>NC_000001.11:107053835-109553835 GCF_000001405.40 Homo sapiens | reverse complement strand
ATACATTGGGTACAGTGTAGACTGCTCAGGTGATGGGTGCACCAAAATCTCAGAAATTGCCACTAAACTTATTCACGTAACCAAACATAACCTGTTCCCCAAAAACCTATTGAAATGTTAAAAAAGTGACTAATGCATTTAAATAAAAGACACAAAGAATGATACATGCTTATAAAACACAAAGCTTTTTTTCCCCGAAACACAGATGCATCCTCACATGAAATGTAACTGGCCATGAACCTTATCCCAAGCAAATGGCAAACATAATAAAGGGTATAATCCCATAGGAGGATATAATGTAATGGCATGTTTACCAAAGGGCAGTCTTATTCTCAATAATAAGCATATTCAGCCAATAATATGCAGCAATTTAAATATAATTAACTGTATAATATAGAGTTTAAGTAAATTAGATGATTCCAGTTCTCTGCATGCAACTGGCTTTTTGCCATACTACCACCAGCAAATCCCAAAGAACAAAGTTTTTTTTTATGTTTTCTCAGAACCTGCTAAAGGAAACTATCAAGAAACAGAAATACAGAGAGCAGATAATTCAATAATTTACAAAACTAAGTATCTTCATTAGTACAGTGATGAGTAAAAAAAAAGGACTAACATTTAATTCCTTTCACCACAAAAGGATATTAAAATTCTTTGAAGATCTTTGAAAATAGTATATTAATATGAAAAATAATAAAACAGCTGTCTGAAAAACCTCTGAAAAAAGTAGCTAAAATGGTAATTCTCACGATCATCATCATCAATAGAAGTGACCACTTACTATTTTTTATTTGCTAGGCACTAATGTGAAGCATTTTACATGCATTATCTCATTTCATATTATGAAACATCATCTCTGCTTTACATATGTAAAAATTATTATTCTTATGGTTAAGTTACTTGCTCTGGGTCTCAGAGCTAATAAGTGGAGGTAGAACTTAAATTCAGTTTTGTGTGAATCCAAAAGCAGTGCTCTTATCCATTATACCAGTGCTTCCCAACCTTTGTCACATGATGGCACACATTAAAAATATTTGTAAGGCTCATTGGGGTGAGCTGAAAGAGCTTGGTGAAAAAAAATTTTCTTGCTTGCCCTGGGGTCAAAAAAAAACAAAAACAAAACCCGCACACACAAAATTTCTTATTATGAAATTATGGCATGAAAAAAATACAAAGTATTACAAATGATATTAAATATTAAATTGGTATAAATTTAGTATTTATACCAAATAAAATTTTTTCAAATTACCAAATTCATGGTAGGGTAGGCACAGTGGCTCACACTGGTAATCCCAGCACTTTGGGAGGCTGAGATGGGAGAATCACATGAGGCCAAGCATTTGAGACCAGCCTGGGCAACATAATGAGACCCCCATCTCTAATTGTTTAAATAGTAAATAACCAAATTACCAAATTCATGAATTATACAAGAGGAAATCATACCAAAGATGTTCAAATGTAATTTCAACTGTTGTAAAAGTTTGAACTTATAAAAATGATTTAAAATTTCAATGCTATAAAAAATTTGTAAACAGCACACCTATATGCCATCCTAAGCACTGGAACATTGGTTGGGAAGCTTTGCATGGTATTTTTTCAATAGAATGTCATAATTAAACACTAATTTGATATACCAAGATCTTCCCAAGAACACTTTATTTTTTTTTTTTTTGAGACAAAGAGTCTCACTTTGTCACCCAGGCTAGAGTGCAGTGGCGTCATCTCTGCTCACTGCAACCTCCACCTCCCGGGTTCAAGCGATTCTCCTGCCTCAGCCTCCCAAGTAGCTGGGACTACAGGTGCACACCACCACGCCCGGCTAATTTTTGTACTTTTAGTAGAGATGGGGTTTCGCCATGTTGGCCAGGCTGGTCTCGAACTCCTGACCTCAGGTGATCCACCAGCCTCGGCCTCCCAAAGTGATGGGATTACAGCCAGGAGCCACCACGCCCAGCCCTTTCCAAGAACATCTAAATGAAATTCAAACCAAAGGTTATCAAAGGAAGAATTACAATACTGAAGTGTCTGTAAATAATCTGGCCCACACTAGCTGCTTAATTTGGTATAATTTCCATAATACCTACAATCTGTAACATTCATTTTGACTTAATAAGAATAGCTAATCTTCATGGAGCTAGTACTATGTGCCAAGCTGTGTTCTGCTTTACATTATTACCATATTTAATCCTCACAGCAATCCTAGGAGTAGCTCTATTTTCTCCATTTTAAAGATAAGAAAACTGAGGCCAAGAGAAATTAACTTTCCCAAGGCTATAACTAGTAAATGGGAATTAGGATTTAAAGCAGTCTGACTTCAGGACCCATGCTATTAATCACCATGTTAAACTACACCCCCATAAGAAAGAAAATATATCATGTGTCAGGAGACACAGGGTAAGTAGATAGATCTCAACTTAAACTAAGTTCCATAGTGATAAAGTAAAAATGACTTGCATCTACAGCAAAGGAGACATTATCCAGGAAAAAGAAAACTGTATACTGTTTTGGGTACATTTTGCTTATAGAAATAGCATAGAAGATAATTTTAATTTCCTATGTGTGTTATGATATGGCTCAAGCAAGAACATATGTTTCTGCAACCTATTTGAATTTGTGGATTTAACTTGCTCAAGAATATTTTAAAAATCTTACTTAAAAAAGAATGAAGTTGGTAAAAATTAAAAGCAAATATGTTTAGTACTTTGATTTTTACTTACTGCTTTTCAAGTTCCCTAAGTCAAGTGTCTAATTTTGTTTTTAATTAAATGCACTACAGATAAAATCCTGAACAAAAATTCTTCTAGACATCTGGACAAGTTCCGCCTATCCAAATTCTGCCTGCCTAATCCTGCATTTTGGAAGAAAGTCTCAAAGTTTCCAACTACATTACAATAAACTGATGTCCTAAGGGTATCTCTGTTGGTCAGTGTAAATCAAATCACTCACAGAAGATGAGAATACATCTTTACTTTCATAACCAATCGATCAATAAAGAAAATGCTGGCCAGGCACGGTGGCCTCACGCCTATAATCCCAGCACTTTGGGAGGCCAAGGCGGGTGGATCACAAGGTCAGGAGATTGAGACCATCCTGGCTAACACGGTGAAACCCCGTCTCTACTAAAAATACAAAAAATTAGCCAGGCGTGGTGGCGGGCGCCTGTAGTCCCAGCTACTTGGGAGGCTGAGGCAGGAGAATGGCGTGAACCCGAGAGGTGGAGGTTGCAGTGAGACGAGATCGCGCCACTGCACTCCAGCCTAGGCAACAGAGGGAGACTCCGTCTCAAAAAAAAAAAAAAGTTAACGCCCTGAATGTTATAGTTTATATCAAATTTCTCAAAGGCCCCAAGGACCAGTGTTCAACATTTGCTGGCTCAGGCTGGTTAACAGTAAATATTTAAGGAGCACCTACTAGGTACCAGGGACCATGCATATCCACCTGTTATACAGACAGTCGCAGTCTAGAACTACAATTTGAACTCGCATCTTCTGAAAGTTCAGGTATACAAACCGGAACCTTAAGCTCCAATACATAACTTTCCCTTTATAGTATATTCAAAAAAGCTATTACCAGAGCTTCTGCAATCTACAACCAACCAAATATGTTCACACGAAGAGACTAACAGGGGCACTTAGAATGTACAAAATAAGTCTTGGGTTACAGTGTACATTCTGTTCTCTGGAGCTTTATACCATGAAAATTTAGCATTTCCCCTAAAGTGACTCCTTTTCCTCAAAAATCAATTGTTTTAAAAAGTAAATTTCTATTGCTTGTAAGGGTTTCTGTAGAAACCCCTACTCCTACTTATTCTTCTCTAATGGAAATACTACCCTAGAAAATATTGGAAAATAATGGAAATACTACCCTAGAAAATCTTCACTAATAATGAAGAAATGTGGCTTGATTTATTAGTAAGCTAATGCCAGTATTCTTTGTATGATTTACTGAGCCTCTCAAAAATTTTGAAACTCATGTTGAGTAAAATACATCCGACTGTGTTTAAAAAAAGCCAATTAAAACGACTATCAAATAACATAAACAGTAATTCCTGAAGTCAATGGTTTTGCTTTGAAGAGGCCAAAAAGGATAAAACAGCCACCAGAAGTCTACCATAGTCTTTACAGTGAATATGTCCAACTCTGTAACTTATCCTAAGGTAACTATTCCAACTACACATCATCTATAGCAACTATTCAGCATCCTCCAATGTGTAATCTCTTGTTCACTAGATCTTCTGCTACAAACCTCAAAGAAATCATTCTTTAAATTTCTTCAGCTCACACCATTTCCCATCCTTTTGTAAAAACAGAAGAAGACGTTATAAAACTTTGAAAATAAAAATGATAGGAAACGGTGGAAAAGTAGAGATGGCCTCTGCACCCAAGCTCTTTTCCTTTATACCTGATAACTTGTCATTTATCTCACCTACCTATCTTCATGTTCCTGGATAATCCAGGGTTCTTCCAACAGTTCAAATGGCTCTCTTACTAACAAATGTCAACGTCCTTATGTGACCATTCTGTTCCAGTCTCTGTACCATCCATTCAAGCCTGCTAGCTTTATCCTGCCAAAGAACCACGACGCTCCAAACTCACAAACCATTATACAAGCCCAACATATACTCTATGCCGTTCTCGTTACCAACACGCTCCAACCCAACGTAAAACCTTCCTAGTATCAACTCTTCCTTTATGAGCTTTTCCCATATTCCTACTCCCTCAACATCTACCGGCCCATACTCCCAAGTCTCTCTGCTAAACGCAATTCTAGCCCGGAGTCACACCCTCTACAGCCTAATTCCCGCAACCCCAAAACCCCACCCCCCTCATCACGCCCTCTGGGGCCTCAGCTAGGAACCCCAACACCCCGCCCCACGCCCGGCACGCCCTCCAGATCCCTTTAGGGTCCTTTCCGTCGGCCCGACCAGACCCCGTTCAGGCCTTCCAAGCGCCTAGGCTCTCCCGACCACCACTCAGTCCCCGCCTCCAGCCCCTCACCGAGTAGCAGCAGCTTCACTTCTTTGGCCGCTTTTTCCCCGTCCTCCCGTAAGTTGCGGTCGATCATCTTGCTTCGCTCCACTGCCGCCTTGTCTTCGGCGCTCAACGTGCAGCCCATGGCGGCGGCGGGAGAGGGGACACGGGCCCGGACTCACTCACACCACGGAAACTGCGGCTCGGCAGGCTGAGGCACCGTCTATTGCTGGGCGGTGGCCCTCTCCGTCAGCTCCCTTAGCGCCCAGAAGAACCGGATATCCGACGTTTACGACACTTCCGGCGACGCCCCGCAGCCTTCACCGTTTAAACCACTCTCCTCAGGGAGAGGAGTTGAGACCGAAAGCGGAAGTCACGGGGAGCTGGCGGCTGGGTTGGGCGGCGGATCTGCAGAGTTTCGAGGTTCTGTCAAGTTCGCTGCCCGCCGCCCAACTTGAAGCCTCATTTACCTTTCGGCTACCTGATTTGGATAAATGGAGAAAAACCGGGGCCTCTAACTCATAATGCCCTCCCGCGTTCAAGATGCCAGTTTTGGGGCGGAGATTTCTAAATTAAAGCCTACATCCCGCGCGGGAATATCTGCTGGTAATTTCTCGCCTGCCAGAAAACTCCTTTGATCTCTGGCTGTGGAGACTCGGGACCCCTACCCAAGTATGGGACACTGCCTCCGTTGGGGTTATCTCAGATCAATGGAATGGGAACAAGCTATCCGGCCTGGGCGCCGTTCACGTCTCACATCTGAGATCGTAACACCGACTGTGCTTAGGACCTCAGCAATAACTTTTTGCCGTCTCTGGCCCACTGACTCCTCTCAAAATGTCCCCTGGTCCTTTTGCTATTCACGTATTTCTGTGGGCTTGAGATTTGCTTAACTCCTATATTGGCAAAAGGCCACTTGAAATCGCTAGCAGATACTCGATAACCTGAAAGGTAAGCCTGTAGTTCCTCCATAAAATTTCCATGCTGCCCTTCTCTCCAGTATAATTCAGATCTTCCTACCTTAGGGTCTTAGAACTAAAACCAAGATAAGTCAACTTCAATTCCACACCCCGAAACAAACCAGTGCATCCTGTGAATCTCCTACTAAAATTTCCTGTTGCGATAACATGCAAAAGGAGAGGTTCTAGTAAAATTTGCCTCTCAGCCCTAGTATCACCTGAAACTTAAGTCCACTGTGAAAGTCCCAGGCAGATAGCATCTTTCACTAATAACCCTGGATACTGCGTGAAGGTAGTCCTAAATCAACTTTTCAGGCAAATAAGCCCACAATTACTATACGTTCTAGCGAAGGGAACTCAGTCCCTAAAACCTTTCCCTGTGATTGTAAATTTATTTCTCTAATAGAATCTGAACTTGAGAAAGTAAGGTCCCAACAGAGAGGTTTATATAGTGATGATTCATTAATTAGAAGGATTTAATTAGAGGATTAGAGCCACCTTAAAAAGCCTCGTCCACCTTAACTCTTAGCAATGCCAATTCTTCAAGGTTTGAAAAGTCCCCCAGTCATTCCCAAATGACTGTTAAGAATGAAAGGGACTGCTTTTCCATTATCAATACTTTTGGGGAAAAAGGGCAAGAGGAAAGGGAAGTAAAACCAGTATTTATTGAGTACCTATTTGCCAGATACGGCTAGGTGCTCCCACATCCCATCTCTTAATCCTCACAACAACCCTGTGAGGTAGGTAATAATGATCCCCATTTTTACAGGTGAGGAAGTAGGCTCAGAGAAATTAAGCAGCTTTCCCAACTTCACACAGTGAGTAAGTACATCTATCTGACCCCAGAGTTACCCTTTTCTATCATGCCCCCGTAGGATATTGCCTGGGGACACCTGACAACAGAAAGTCTAAGGTTTTCATCTAGGATTGGGAGTTACCCCAACACCAGCAGGATGCAGGAAAAAGTAACTGACCGGATGGTTGCCTCAATCTGTTGATTCTTCAGTGAGTTAGCTCAGATTTTGTCCAGGAACAGCTTTCAGAGCCAAAGATTACGTATTGAACTTTACCAAGGCATCTGGTGACTAGAAAACTCCTGGAAGGTGGTCATAGCAGAAATTGTTGGGAAAGTTCTCAGCATAATAAAAGAGAAATTTTTATTTCCTTCATGATCCACTCCTACAGGGAAAAATAAATGGCAAATGAACCCATGTATGTCAAACTCTGTAATAAACACCAGTGAGATCACAGTGTCAGGAAATTTCAGCCTGAATTAAAGATACCCTTGCTCTTAAAACTTTCTTCTTTGATGTATGTGAAGGAAGGGCTGGAGGGCAAAGTCAAAGGAAAAGGCAAAATAAATTAACAAAATGGCTGCCAGGCAATGTTTAATGCCCTCCCCTTCCTCCTCCCACCACGTACACTCGCCTTTCCTCCTTCCATTGGGCTCACACTGCCACCTGCTGGCAATTCCTTGGATCTAATAGCTGATCAGTGGTGTTTGAAAGAAGAGTTTTTTCCCTGTCTAGGAATGATTGATTCCTCTGTATGCATTTATTTTAATAGGGAGGAGAGGTGAACATGTTTTTCAATCACAAAGGACTCTCCTCCCTATATATACTATGTTTTTAGGGAACTTCCACAATGTAATAGGCACTAGACTGGTATAATAATCTAGTGGTAGGAAGACAACCTAGAAATTTTCCTAGAACAAAGGGGGAAAGCTGTTTGCCCAGTTTCATTTAATTTTTTTTCTTCATTAGAGAGTTTCATTTACAACCCCTATGCTTTCCACAATCTGCAGGAAGCTTCAAGGTATGCATCTTGCTGCCACGGGCTGAACTCTCAGAAGTTAGAGCCATGGACATATTCTCCAATATATTTCTCAAGCACATTCTGTAGTGCTTTATCAAATCAAAGTGCTTTGTGAAAATATAAGGTATCTCATCAACTTAGACTATGAACTCCTTAAAAGCAATGACCACACGCCCTGTGTGGGTCCCAGGGACTAGTGGGTGTTCAACTATTATGCACTGAATTGAACTAAAGGAGTCAATGTTGTTATCAGTATAACCTTTTATCATAAAAATTATTTATTAGCTGCTTAAATGGGAGACTATCCCACTCCCACCAGCCCATTTCCCCTTTTGATGCTCAGTGAGCCAGGAATTTGTTCAAATAGAGACCACACCACCCTCTGGCCCTGCCTTGATCCGTTAGTGTTACCTGATTCAATTGAGGGAAGTAGGATGGACAGGTGGTCCCAGATGGGTGTCCTGTCCAGTTTGCAGTTATTCCCTGTTTGTTGAAAATACCACCACCAATACCAACCAACACAGTTCCTACAGTCTCAATCAATGAACAGCCAAGACCAACTCCCGTGCCCTCTCTCCAACCCAGTGCTGCAGATAGGAGAGAGATTTAAGTCTTTGTCACTGAAGCTAATTTTGAGAGCGATGAATGGGAGTAGGAAGGCATTTAATGGATCATGGAAACCCCACCCTTCCCATGCCCAACCTTAAGTCTCTTGTACCCGATTGTCCAGGGGACTG
Source organism: Homo sapiens (assembly GCF_000001405.40). Taxonomy (NCBI): domain Eukaryota; kingdom Metazoa; phylum Chordata; class Mammalia; order Primates; family Hominidae; genus Homo; species Homo sapiens. The sequence goes on along the minus strand of NC_000001.11, from coordinate 109,545,354 downwards.
GAGGTGGGTCGCTGCCATGAGGAGAGAGATCAGGGAGGCCAGTCCTGGAAAGAAAAGATTCGCAGTATTATTGATCAGGCTGATTACCTGGCCTCTCTGTTTCCAGCTACTTTACCAATTCAAATGCTAACCTCCACCCTCGCCCGTCTGACCCCCAGTCATTCTAATTCTTCCTCCTAAAAGAGAGGAAAGCCATCCTGCCTTATTCTTGTCTCTGCTAAGATCAGGCTCTACCCTTGATCTCCTGTGTGCAGGAGAGAGACAGAAAAATAGAACAGAAGGGCTTTTCCTGAAGGGTGGGAGAGAGAGAGCTGCAGTCAGCTTTCCTATCTTCTACTCCATGTACCCTAATTTCTATTTTGCCTTGTTTCTGGCCAAACTCAGTAAAGGAATACACCCTACTGGTCCTCTCATTTTAAGGAAATCTCAGGTATAAAACCAGAAAAATGATCTATTAACTCAAGTGGAAACACTTGGCTATAATTTAGTTCTTTTTAAACCTAGCAAGGAAATGAGAAAACATGGGTCATTTTCTTACCTTGCTTGGGTGCAATTACTGCCCTGGACAATTACACTGAAAAATAAAATATCCTAAATGGCCCCTAGAATAACTCCAAACCTGGCCTGCTGCCCTGTATCCTCCAACTCCTACCCTTAGAGAATTCCCTGCTTCTGGAAGCATGGAAATTTCACCAATTGAGAGGTTTCACCTCACCTTTGTGACCCTTTTCTCTCGTCACCGTCTCACCATACCCAGGTTCCCTCCCCTAGCAGTCAAAGATCACAGCCAAGTCCAAGGCTTTTGCACACGTTCATCCTGTTGGCTCTGTTCCTGACCCAGGAAACACTAAGCAAAAGCTGTGTGCAGAGACCCCAGCCTCAGCCCTAGCCAGCTGGGAAAAGGTGATCCCACAAGGTGGTCCTTGCAATCATAACTGGCCCCAGCCCCATATCCCTCCGAGTGTCCAGCGGCCCATCATGACTCCAGCCGGGGTGAGGCGGCAGGACGGAGGTAGCTGTCTGACATGATGATGTCGCTGGTGAGTTGCTGCTCCAGGAACTCAGAGGTCTCCTCAGCTATCTGGCCTGGGATTCGAAAGTCAACAGCAGGTGGCTCCTGCTTGGGGCTGGGTAGGGGTCGGGAAACCCAGGACTCAGAAGGACAGCCAGTCCCCTGAAGGAACTGCAGGAAGTTCTCCTCAATGGAGCCCTCCCGGCTAGGCAGCCTCAGCTCCTCCTCTGGAGCTGGCTTGAAGAAGCAGACAAACTGCTTGCTGAGCTCCCCCCGGATCTGCCGGTTGAGACATCCATAGAAGAAAGGGTTGGAAGTGAAGCAAAAGTAGCCAATCCAGGTGACCACACTCTCCACCTGCCCAGTTGAAATGGGCTGAGCACTCAGGGCAACATAGAGGTGGAAAGAGAAGTAGGGCAACCAACAGAGCAGGAACTGTCCCCCCACAGCCAGGAGAACCACTGCTGCTTTCCCTCCCCCAAACGTCCGGTGTGGGGTGGTCTGGGGGGCCCCCGAGCTGGTGACCATCGTGGAGCGGCTGCTGAGAGATTCGGAGCGTTGCCGGGGTGTCTCCATCCACGTGGGCAGCGGCCCGTGCTGCATGGCAGCCACGCGGGCCACTCGGAACATGCTGCAGTAGACCACAAGTATGAGGAGCAGGGGCAACAGAAAGTAAAGGACAGCAAAGACCACCACAAAAAGCTGGCAGTAGGCACTGTGGCTCCACTGGAGTGAACAGCCTGGGGGGACACTGGGAGCTCCTTCCTCCCAGGAGACCCTTCCCAACACTGGCACAGAAGCCATGGCCAAGGCCTTCACCCACACACCCACCAGCACAGAGGCCACCAGCCCCAGCGTCATGCGCACCTCGTAGCGCATGGGGTGGACTACGTAATAGTAGCGCTCCACATTGATGGCTGACACCGAGAGGATGGCCAGGCTGACAAAGCACACGCTCAGAAACAAGTAGAGGCGGCAGGCCACCTCCCCAAAGAGGGCGTGGTCAAAGAGGGCAGAGCTGGAGAGCATGGCCAGGGGCATGAGGGTCAGGGCAGCCAGCAGGTCCACCAGGCAGAGGTGGAAGACGAAGACAAATTTTCGGAGGGCAGGCGTCTTGGCGATCACGGCCATCACAGCGGCATTGCCAGCCACAGCAGTCAAGTCCAGCAGGAGCATGAAGAAGAGGGCCACAGATTCCGAAGCAACATCCCGTAGCCCCACCTCCGGGACCCCACTGGCAGTAGAGGGACCTGGGGTTTGAGGGACCCTCCCCAAAGTGGAAGAGTTCCCTGATGACTGGGGGATGGGTGAGGACTCCATGGGGCCGAAAGAGGGCACCCAGGGTACCTCCTGTCACAGGCCCATCCCCCATCCTAGTCCAGCGACCCTGGGATGGCGAGCCCAGGCCCAGGCTTCCTGGTTTCGTAGGGGGCACCTCCCACTGGAGCCTCTTGGGCAGGTTTGTCTGCGTACAGAGCGCCAGGCCAGGCAGCTGAAGGATCAGAAGCTCATCCCCTTTCTGGCCGGAGGTAGCTGCAGGGTCTGCCTTGGTGACTGCTAAGAAGCAGGAGACGTGAGAGGTGCAGGAGCCTGACCCACTCAACACTCCGCTTTCGGAATGGCCTTCACCTCTTCCTTTTCCATCTCCTTTCTGCCATTCTTGTTCTCCATACCCTTCTACCCTTTCCAGAACTGTTAGCCGGGGATTCTAAATCCTGTTTCTCCTTCCCAGGGTCCTGCTGATCTCTGGGATAGTGCCTCAGTTTTAGGGTTCCTTATGTAAATTTCCTGATTTCTTGTCTCCTCAGAATGGCAAGAGCTGCTGGGGAGTAGAAGGAGCACAAAATTTAGTTTCTAGTCCCAGTTCTGGGCATTACTAACTCTGTGAATCTTCTGAATTTCAGTTTCCTCATAAATCCATCTGTAAAATGAAAGGAAGAACACTTGCTTCACAACTGTGTTTCTGGATCCTGCGTGATTTGTTAATAATAATACTAATGACAAGCAGTAGCATTGATACGGCGTTTTCCACATGCCAGACCCTGTTCTCAGCACTCTACCTATATTAACTCATTTTATTCCTCACACAACCCTATGAAGTAGATAATATTTTTATCTCCATTTTGCAAGAGATGAAGCTGAGGTCTAGAAAGGTTAAGTAACTTACCCAAGGTCGCACAGCTAGTAAGCGGCAAGGGCTGGGCACCTACCTGGGCAGTCTGGCCCCAGGTCCAGTACTCTTGCCCACTGTGCCATGCCATATGTGAAGGTGCCCTCCGTGCCGGCTGGACTATAATAGGCATCCAGTAAATAGTTGTTGAATTTCAGCTGTCTCTAAAACTGTCTCTTGCTGCCCTAGGGTTATCATCTGAAAAGGGGAGCTGTGCTTTAGGCTCTTTTGACATCACTACTCCCAGCACAAAGAGCTGCCACTTTGGGAATGTTGAGTAGGAGCAGTGAAAACAAAATGTCCCGTCTGGAAGGAAACTGGGAGGCCAGCTCATCCAGCCTCCACTGCTCCCAAAGCCGGAAGTTGCTTCAAGCTGCCCTTCTCCACCCACTCATGAACTCTTCAAGGCCACTGTGCCCCTCTTGTGGGAAAGGAGCTGCTGCCAACCTCCTGCTCCCCAGATCCCCAAATCTCTGATCTCTGGAGCTGACCCTTGGAGGATCCCTGACCAAGAGCCGCATTGGTTCTAGACTTACTACAGTCACAGAACAAGAAGTAGGGAGGAGACACTGAGGTTGCTCAGTTTAAAAACCCATCATTTCTATGGCTGCAATAAAGAGGATCACATGGCAAGATGGGCCCCACTCTCCTCCACAGTTATAGCCTTACAGTCACCTTTGGTTTTTGGTGTTTCCATAAACCTTACACCAATCCAACTTCTAACATGCTATGCATGCAATAGGTGCTGAATACAATTTTGTGAATTGAATCAAACTCAAATTGGTAGTTGAATCCCTGCCCCCTAGGACAAACTCCAAGAACACTCAGTCAGCCAGCTGTGTGCCAGCCAAGGGACTCTCTTGTGGAAAGGGTAGCCGGGGTTCCTGGACTTGAGGAAGCCCTAACTTTGGGCAACTGCCTAGAGACGTGCCTCTCTCTAGGGACACAGAAAGCTCATTTCACAGTTAAGATGCCCACAGAGACTTAGAGTCTGCAGAGAAGTTGAAGAGCGGGCACAAAAGTGAGACATCAGCTTCTCATTAGAGTCTACCAGGAAAAATGCCTGAAAGAAATGCTAGGAGAAGCATCCTTCCTTCTTACTCTCCATGCTCTGATTTACCTATCCCTTCTGTCTGTGAGTGAGGCCCAGAGGATGTGGTTCAGAGTCCCTCCCTGGTGGCTGAAGGAGGAGAGGCCCACCATGTCTGGATGGACATCAAGAGTCCCAGACGGAGGGAAGCAGACCTGGTTTCCACGTGGAGCTGGAGGGATGCCACGAAGCCATGATGGAGCCCTGAGCAAGAAGGCATTGGACATTGCTCTTTTTCATAGCTCCCTCAAGCTTGCCAGTGTCTCCACAGTGACTCCTAAATGCCAGGATTCCAATTTACCTCTTAACAGACAGATCAGTGTATCTGGCTAATGGGCACTCCCTCACTAATGGACTGGGGTTATGGAGGGGAGGGCTGTGGTGTAACAGTTTCATAGGTGAAACCCAGGGAGCCTCACTCCTCTCCCAGGTCATATCATTATGCCTACTCCCCCAACAGATGCTTTCCTTCCCCCACTACTTACTTCCAACAGCACCCCTCTTACCTCCAGGACCTTCAGTACCTAGAAGGCTTTGCCACTAGGGCCTGAGGTCTGGGCCTCTAGCAGGGGCATGGTCAAGTTACAGGATGCAAGATGTGCATAAGTGCCCAGCCCAAGGCCACAGAGGTATTGGGATTCACATGCACCTGTTTTCCAGATCCAGAGCTTCCATCCCAAAGACCTGAGCCTGGCCTTCCTTCAGACAAGAGCGTGCCCCTCCTAAGCTAGGGAAGATTTCCAGGGAGCTACAACACCTCTCCTCAGCAGAGTTGCCCACGCCCAGGACACAGTTGCCCATCAGCCTGTATGCTGAAGGGCCCATTCCTAGAATGTGGGAGACCCATGTCCATGACATGGAGCAAGACAGATGGAGAATGCTGTTTGTCTGCAGGATGTGGGTACTCCTGCCGGCAGGAGATGATCAACCCCCCAGCTCTGGGCTTCAGAGATGCCCACACCCCAATACCGCCTTTGGGATACCTGAGAGCCCATCTCCTGATCAAACTGCTCACCGGAATGTAGGCAGGGCTGGTCCTTGGAAAGCCACCCTTCTGTGGGGATACCTTGGCACTCACCACCAGGCTCTGGGTCTGGCCCCCATTCCTGGCCTAGTCGGCAACTCCTACCTTTGCTGAGCAGTCCCGGCTCCCATGTGATAGCTCCTCTCAGCTGATGCTTCTCCAAGGCTGCTGAAGCCTGAAGCACTGCAGTGAGCGGTGAGAGGCAGCCGGCAAAGCAGAGTGCTCCGAGAGCCTCTGGGTCCTAATGGCCTCCTGCTTCCCACCCAGCCCCTCAGAGTCACTTCTGGAGCAAAAAGGTGGGCACCAATGCCCCAGGCAAGGTGCCTGGCAGTGAGCTCAACTCCTCTCACTTCTCTCAGGCTGCTGGATTGCGTCTCAAAAATTTCGTGGGGCCAGGAAATGATAGGTAGGGGAGACCCTCTTGACCAGCCTGATGAAGTAAAAAAAAAAGTACATGGAGTCAGAAAATCCAGGTTTAAGGCCTGGCTATGGCACTTACTAGCCGTGTGACCTTGGGCAAGTTGCATTTTGGCCTTGATTTCTTAGCAGTTCAAAGAGAAGATAGGAGAGATGCATGGTTCTGTGTGACATCAGAACCAAGGTGCTGATGCAGGCAGGTCAGCGCAGACCCAGGGCCCCAAGGCTTAGGCCAGGGAGGCGGCTGAGGCTCCAGGGGATGGTCCAAGGTTTGGCCCCTTTGGAAGCTGCCTAATGCGTATGGGGGACAGGTTTAGGAGCAGCACTCAGGTTTGAAGGGCAGCTGAAGGCTTTGTCTTAACCCTGCCCTTGCCTCCCAAAAGCACATTATTATTATTTGCTTAGATTGTATGTTTATTGGAACTGGGGCTGTGAGGGCTGATGGAGATTGGCAGGGAGGGGGCGGGAGGATCTAACATCCCCCCGAGCCACCATGGGAACCACCACAACACTGCTTCCTGAAGGAGACAGAGTGGGGGCCAGGGACTCAGGAATGCTCACACTGATCTGGATTTGTGGGACTGGACAGAGCTAGGTAGCATCAGCCACTGAGCATCGCCCATCTGTGGCATGATGGGCCTTCAGAGACGCAATGAAGGGGCATGGCCTCCCTCTAGCTATGAAGAAAATGATCATTTACCCGGGTACATGACTGATACCCAAGGATAGAATCCTAACATTGCAAAGCTGTAGGACATCCTACAGGCCAAGGTATCCATGTTTCTGAGACCCAGAGAGATAAAGAGATTGCTCAAAGCCACATAGCTCCACATGGCAGAGCCATGAGTCTAAACAGGGAATTCAGGCATGATCCCCTACTCCAGAGCCTGCTTCCCTGAGACTTGCCTATCTAGGGACTCCTTCTGCCTCTAAGAAGGAAAAAGGGAATTCTGGAATTGTTTACCAGACCCAACCCAAAGAGCCATAAGAACAATGAGTTACCCAAGGACCTCACTGGGACAAGTTGGCTGCCCCAAGCCCCAGGTCAAAAACAAAGAGGCCACTGACAAACCAAGAGCCGATGCAGCAAGTGCCGCTGTCACCAGCCACCACTTTTTGAGCTGTTATGAGTGCCAGGCCCTTTACATACAGTTTCTTTGATCCCCACACCAATCTATGAGGCAGCCATGACTTGCCCTATTTTATAAGTGAGGAACCGGGTGCTGGAGGAGAAGTGACTTTCCCCAAATCACACAGCTAATAAGTGCAAGAGCTGATATTTGAACCCAGATCTGTTTGAAGTCCAAGTATTTCCTCCTCCTTCTCCCTTCGTTCCGTGGCCTCTCCAGTGGCCTGACACAAGACTGTGGACTACAGCCCTAAAAGCTATCTTCATAGAAGTAGTCACTGCCTTCCAGAAAGCCTAAAACAGACCTCAAAATTAGGCATACCTGCGTACAAGAAATTCAAATGGAAATACCAAATTGAAAACCTGTAGACAGCAAAGTGATTTTTAGGAAGCCCTGTGCTGTTGTGTTGGCAAGATTAATTTGGCATCAAGCAGATTGTCTGGGATTAGGTAAAGCCTGTCCCTGCTCAGCACCCACATTCTTCCTGCAGGGCCCCAGCCCAGACTGGCATGGCCCCTTCCGAGGGATTCAATAAGAACTGGAGCAGACCTGGGCCCACTGGAACAGGATTTTAGAAAGAGCGCTAGACTGGAGTCAGAAAACCTTGGTTCCAGTTTGGCGCCATTCTATTGGTTGGTGGTAAGACCTTGGCCTGTGAGTTGGCTGTCTGTGAAAATGGGCAAAATTCTTCACTTCCAAGCTTATCTAATAGTGGTAGGGAGCCTGCAAAACAAACATAGCCTGCCTCTCCAGCTTCAGGGAGCTAGCACAGGTAATCACAGCTCATGTGGTGGCCAGCAGGCAAGGCGTCCGTGTCCTGAAGCCCCTCCCAGAGAGCTATTGGGAAAGGCAGTACCAAAGAGGCAGCATGTTCCAGCTGTTGGAACCATCTTGGCTCAGGAGGTCGGCGGGGGAACTGCTTATTCTAGCCTGTGGGCAAATAATAAATAATAATAATAATCATGCTGGCTGGGCACAGTGGCTCACGCCTGTAATTCCAGCACTTTGGGAGGCTGAGGCGGGCAGATGATTTGAGATCAGGAGTTCAAGACCAGCCTGGCCAACATGGCGAAACCCCGTCTCTACTAAAAATACAAAAATTAGCTAGGCATGGTGACACATGCCTGTAATCCCAGCTACTCAGGAGGCTGAGGCAGGAGAATCGCTTGAACCCAGGAGGTGGAGGTTGCAGTGATCTGAGATCGCACCATTGCACTCCAGCCTGGGCAATAAGAGTGAGACTCTGTCTCAAAAAATAATAATAATAAATAATAATAATAATAATGCTACTAGTTCTTGAAGGCCCACTTTGGGAGGCACTTCTTATGCTGTATCTTATTAAATGATCTCAGTCAGGGTGTGGAGTAGCTACTGACAGCACACCCCCAACCCCACCTGCCAGTCCCTCCTTTTAGTAAAGCTTAGCACAATGGAGGGGGCAAGAAGACCAAGATGGAGAAACTGAGTGTGATCCCCCAAACCACATAAGAGATCCATGGCTCACTATGCTGTGCACACACCCAGGAAGGGAATCCTGTTACAGGACGGGGACCAGGCCCTGTTTCCAACAGTGGCACCCCTTCCCTTGGTATCATGGCAGGGCCCTTGCTGCTGAGGACTGATCTTTGCATCCTAGACTTGCTCCCTGGTACAGTTTTACCCAACCCTTGTGCACCAGCACCTCGTGACAGGGTCGTGTCTGCCCATCCACCCTTTTCTGCCCCAGGATGAGACCTGGAAGCCAATCAAGTTTATCTTTCATTCATCCATCCACTTCTTCAATAAACATTGAAGACTTCTTATGTTGCCACTGCCCCCTCCCTAGAGCCCCTTGCCTGCTCAGTGGCACCCACTACCCTCCTTCTCTGCCTTGTGTCAGAATCTGCTCTCAGGAAAGAGGTTGATAAACCCATTTGCACTGATAGCAACTTAATGTGTTCTTTCCCAGGAATATTAACAATTTAACAGGGAACAAAGAGAAGAAGCAGAACGTTGGGATTCCAGCATCGACCAGGGATGTCCCTGAGATCCCACAACATAGACTGCCTGTCAGCCGCCTACTCCCTAGCCAGGCCTCCCCCGCCAAGCTGCTGGCATTGTGTCCTCTTGGCATCCACCTCCATCCGCATGGGCACCCAACCCCCCCGCCCCTGCCAACCAGACAGCAGGCTTACAGCTGGGACCTCCACACCACAGCTCAGTTCCTGGCTTCCTGGGGCCCCCCTGTACCAGCACCAGCCATGCCTGCTTTCCAAGCACTCACCTCACCCTGCCCAGCATCTGGGAGCCAGGCCAAGGGGCTGAGGAGGGAGGCAGAGGAAAGCAGAGGTGAGAGCCCTTCCATTCTCTTTATTCCCCCACTGTCTGGCCTACACCCCCTGCCAGGAGCTGAGATCCAATGGTATATTCAGCCTGCAGCTGCCACTGGTCATGTGAGCCCATTGCTAGGTTACAGGGACCCAAAAATAAATCCTTCCCAACCAGATTAGAAACTGGGGGCCTCGGATGAACCAGGCTCAAAAGAGTGGCAGGAACACCCACAGTGCATGTTTAGGCCAGGCCTGCTATGGACCAGGGCCCTTCCCATGCTGCCCACCTCCTGTCCATCAGCAGGGGCTCAATGCTGGAACCCCACAGAAAAGTCCCAGAGAGCTCCTGGGTCTCCTATTTATTAATAACACAATAAATAGGTCTACAGGTTGAGTGGCCCTTCCTCACTAGCAATCAGGGTAATATCCTCTGCATGTTCTTCCCATCCAACCTTCCCATCATCAGCCTGTCCCTCCACAGGCCCTGCCCTACACCCAGTGCATGGGCAAAGCGAATTAGTCATTTGCCCTGTGGCCTGGGGGCCATCTGCCCTAACAGTCCTTTTCCAGACTCGGGAAGGGAGCTCTGGCAGTAGGCACAGCACTAGGCGTATTCGTGTGAGTAGTCTTACACAATCTTCTCTGTTAGTCTCAATGATTCCATTTACAGATATGGACACTGGGGCTTAGAGAGGTTAAGTGACTTTTGCAGAGCCACACAGTTGAGCAACTGGGGTTCAAACCCCAGATCTATACTATGGGGATGAGGCAAGGAAGAAGACAGGGAAGCACAGTTATGGAAAGGGGAGTTCCCCAAAACCCTTCCCTGGGGCCTGAAAACTTGGCACTTTAATTGCTCTGAATTGGAGGGGAGTTATCTCCCCCTGGAACTTCTTTCACATCCTCCAAGCCAGGACGCAGCTTACCCAGGCCACGTACCTCCTTCCCCATGGCTTTGGGCTCTGTCCCCTTCTCTGGGAAATACTGTCCAGGACCTGGGTGGGGTCATCCCCGGTGCTGAAGCCTGGGGAGGCAGACACAAATCCCCACTGCTCAGCACAACCCTGCTTCAGAAGCTTGACATAGGGCCAGAGTAGCAAAGCTGAAAGGATCACAGGAGGTCAGGTGTCTAACTCCTGATTTTACAGATGAACAGGCCTAGAGTGGAAAGGGAACTTGCCCAGGGCTAGGCTACACAGCTAGAGGGTAAAGGAGGTGCAACCAGAACCCAAGCCTCCGGAGTCCTGCTCCTTTTTTCAGCTTGTCATTAATGGCGCACATTTGGGTTCCTGGGGCCCTTCCTCAACCCACCATATCCCTAGGACCTCCCAGCTGTCTGTTTTCTTCAGCTCCTCCTCCCCAGCAAGGTTCTGAGAAGGCCCAGACACCCCACTTACCTCTGTACTGTCCTTGTCTCCCCATTTTGAGTACATTCCTATGGTCTCCTGAAGCCTGGGAGCACCCTATTCCCACCTCCTTCAGCTCCTAGCAGCCCAAACTGCAGGCTCTATGTCACTCCATTCAAGACATGTTTATTGAGCAACTACTATATGCAAAGCTCTGTATAGGAAGTGAGGAAGAGGGTTACAAAGATTAAACAAATACAGACTTGCCTTCTTGGTGCTTATGTCTAGGATGGGGACAATGCAGGCTGTAAGTGTCAAGGGATGGTGAAATTGCTGGGGAGATTCAAAGGAAAAAGTGAACTTACTTCCTCATGAAATCTAGGAAGACTTCATGAAGGAAGTGGCACGGGTCTTAAAGGAGGAGTAGGATTTTAACTGTGAGTAACTGAAAGAGGCTGAGGACAGTAGTCTAGATGGAAAAAGAAGGCCTACCAAAAATATGGAAATAGCAAGTTTAGGAAATATTAGGGCACTGTGAGTTCTCCAATTTGACTGAAAAATAATCTGGCTGTAGGGAAGAAGTGAGAATAGAAAGGTAGATTTATGGTAGATTTATGGGACTGCGCCCCCTGCAAGCCAGGCTGAGAAGCCAGACTGAGAAGTCAACATAGCAAAATGTCTTGAGCAGGGAAACATAAGGCCACAGATGTGCCCATCTCCTATCTTTTTTTTTTTTTTTTAAGATAGAGTCTCTTTCTGAAACCCAGGCTGGAGTGTGCAGTGGCGCAGACATGGCTCACTGCAGTCTCGACCTCCCAGGCTCAAGTGATCCTCCTGCTTCGGCCTCCCGAGTAGCTGGGACCACAGGTGTGCCACCACACCCAGCTAATTTTTTATTTTTATTTTATTTTATTTTATCTTATTATTTTATTTTTGAGACGGAGTCTCGCTTTATCGCCCAGGCTGGAGTGCACTGGCACGATCTTGGCTCACTGCAAGCCCCACCTCCTGGGTTCACGCCATTCCCCGGCCTCAGCCTCCCGAGTAGCTGGGACTACAGGCGCCCACCACCACACGCGGCTAATTTTTTTTTTTTTTTTTTTTTAGTAGAGACGGGGTTTCGCCATGTTAGCCAGGACAGTCTCAATCTCCTGACCTCATGATCTGCCCGCCTATAGTGATGGGAGTCTCGCCATGTTGCCCAGGCTGGTCTCAAACTCCTGGGCTCAAGCAATCCTCCCACCTTGGCCTCCCAAAATGCTGGGATTCCAGGCCCAGCCTCCTGTCTTTTGGTGGGTCCTTTGATAAGTATTTACTGAACCCACAAGTTCCAGAGCAAGGGGTTGAATCAGAGACGAGGGATTTTCCTTGTCATTCAGGCCCAGAGGGAGAAATAAAAATCCATATAGGTCATCAAGGAGATAGTGCATGTGAATGTGTGACAGAGTGCACTCAGGAGAAAGGGGAGGTCACAGATGAAGTGATACAGCATCAAATGACTCTCATGTTTCTTAGGTGGGGCTCTGAGGATCTTTGGCCCAGGTACTCATGACTGACCATGTCCATTCTTCGGAGAGGAGGGGAAAAGGTGGAGTGGTAATTTGAGTGCCAGGAAATTCTCCCTATAGAGTAATGATATCATAAGAAGCTGTCCAGCCTGTCCTGAGAGGACATGGCATCTGGACTATCGGCTGGTCCTTCCACCCTGGAACGCCCAGTTCAAGGCCTACTTCTTTGGCCCTGGCCTGAAAACAAAAAGAACTGGGCTGGGTTTCCCAACTGAGAGCTCCACAGAGCACTCCCAGCAGTGCCTGGTGTCTGACTCTGGGGGGCACCCCTGCTCTATGTCTCTGGGTCAGTCGCCCCTAACCATCTCATCCTCAGCCAAGCCAACCCCTGCTGAGCCCAAGGGAACCTGACTCTTCCCTGTCCAGGCTGGACACCACTGAGCACAATGATACTGGTCCTGTGACCTCTTTCCCAGACATCTCCTTCCCTCCAAAGTCCTCTCCCTGCGTTCCTGCCCCACCTAAAAATAGCACCCCCCGACTCTTATGCCCATTGGTTGAAGGGAGGGACAGACTTCCAGACCTAGAACTCTGGGGGACTCCTTGGGGATCCAGAGATAGCTTGTGAGTGGCCCCTGGGGTTTCTGGGCGCCCGGGAGGTGGTCAGCCCTCACCCACATGCCTGGGGACCCTACTGCAGAATGGCAAGTGGAAGCTCAGTCTCCTGGATGGCCTCCCCTGGAGGGGTATCCCTGGAGGATGTAAATCAGCATCGCACGAGGCAGGGGTTCCTAGAGGGTGAGGTCCTGGGTGGGAAAGAGGACCCAAGCCTCTCCATTTCCGGCCCCCAGACTGCCTTGACAGCCAGCAACCACAAGGGGGCAGTGTTGGCCACAGAGCTGCAAAGAGTTGACTGCAGTCCCCGGTGACAGGCTTCTCCCCGCCCAACCGCCACCTGCCTTCTCCCTCCTGGAGACCGTGGTCCTATGGTGGTCCTGTGGACTCTGACCTTTTTACACCATCACAGTCGGCTGGGAGGACCAGGCGAGAGGGCCCTGGCTCGTTAAATAAAATCCCTCCTACTCCTAAGAGCTTATGAGGAAGAGATGGGCCGACTGGTGTCCCAGAAGGAGGCCTGAACCGGCGGTCCAGCGTGCATCCACATTTAGTGGGCAGTACGCTTTGGGCTGCTCTCCCAGCTTTTCGGAGCCCCGGCTTTTCGGAGCCCCAGCTTCCAATGAGGGATTGGGCCACGATTTTAGGCATTCTCTAAGGTCCTTTTCCGCCCGAGAATTTGAGCGTCTGAGTCAGCAGCTGCTGTCCTTGAGTGGCTTCTCTCTCCAGGCCCCGGACAGCTTCAGAGGCTCAGTCTGGGTGGGTGGAGGGATACAGGAAACAGCAGTGGGCATTTCTGATCTCTACAAACCAGGCCATTATTCTGGAAACCACAGTCATGAAGAGGTGCAGTCCTAGGACTGGGAAAAGACTGAGAAAGGAATGACCAGGGTCAGCTGGATCTCAGGAAGACCCCTCTCAGGGGCTCCATCTGACTGATTTGTGTGATTGTGTGAATGGCAGGATGGCTGGAAGCTGGCTGAAGAATGCCCTGTCCCAGGCCGTGGAGCTATGTTGAGCTTCCTTGAAGTAGAGGCTGCAGGAAGCCTAGACGTCCCTCCCTTCCGGCCCTCCTTACTCCCAAATCCCCACAACAGTCCCCTTCTCTCCTCCCCGCATTGCTGACACCTGCTTCTAGCTCCCTGCCTGAACCTGAACCTCCACCCACAGAGAGTGGAACCCACAGCCACAGTTCTAGGAGGGGATCCCTGCCTGGCCTTCCTATCCCTAGCCTGTCCTGCCCAGCCCTGTCCCTCCAGACCAGCCTCTGCTCACACCCACATAGCCCTGCTCCTGTGCCTCTGAGGCACTCTCTCCCAACTCCTGTAATTTCACACCAGGCCCCTGGACAGTGTGTGTCCAGCACCTCCGCTTCCCTGATCAGACATCTGATCCAGCACCTGGGGCCTGACCCCCACAAGCACAGGGTGTGTCCTGGTTCTTCTATCTCATCTCCTTTCTTCCTTGATGGCCCCATTTTCTCACTTTTCCTGTCTCCCTTATTTGGTTTCTCTTCTTTGATCTGTCGTCTGCTCTCTGCATCCTGTTCTCAGAACTCTCTGAGTCCTGGAGCCTCTTGGCCGTGGGCCTCTGCTCCTTGACCTCTCTGTTTCTTTGCCTCAGTGTACACCTTTCCCCCTTCGCTTTCCATCTCTCTCTCCATCTTCACTTCCTCCTCTGCAGTGCATACACTGAGTATCGGATCCATCTCTCCCTGGACTGAGGGTATAAATAGCAGAGGGAGGCTGGGCTAGAAGCCAATTGTGCTACCAGCCTCTTCCTTGCAGTCCTGGGCTTAGCATTCAGGACCAGTAGTGGGAAGGGTCCTGGGCAGGGCTTCAGGGGTAGGGAGTTGGAGGGTTGCAGTTGAAGGCCACTGGATGAGTGACAGACCCAGGCAGAGAGAGGGGTGCTACCGCAGCTGGAGGGAGTCCTGAGCTTCACGTGCAGGCCAGGCTCCCCACCTAATGTGCGTATGAAGTCGCTACTTCTGCTGCTGGAAAAGGAGCTCTGGGTCAAATGACCCTCCCAAGGGCCGCTGGAGGGCCCTGTCTGCTCCTCTGGTACGTAGATGCATGGGCCCAGGTGGCTGCCAACAGACAGCAGCTGGGGACTGGAGTAGAAGTGGTGCCCTCAAGAAACAGGCCGCACTCTCGCTGCAGCCAGCTCCCTGGCCTAATTAGAGACCGGAACGGCATTGATCGTCCCTGAGCTCATTATGTCACAGCTGGGGAACAGCTGGCCAGTTTTTTCCAGGCCATTAGCTGCGCCATGAAGTGGAGAGTGTTGGGGAGAGGGGGGTGGCGTGCAAGCAGGATCAATACCCCGTCTGTCTAGGGGAAAGCAGCCTAGTGGCTGCCTTCTCTGGCACTCTGGCTGTGCTTCTCTCCAGCGCTGCTACGCTAGCTGAGCTCCTTGGAGTTCACACACAAAAGCTCTACTCCTTCAATCCTGGAGCCCAGAGAGATGGACTCATGGCTTCTGGGCTGGCCCTGACCTGGCTGGAAGGGACCCTCGGAGCCTTCTCTCAGAGAATTAAGAAGGGCAAGAAAGAGGCTCAAATTACCTAGCTGGTCTCAGAGGGGACCTCAAAAGTGCAGCTCCTCTCCACCCCCATGGCAAGATGACACCTTAAGGCAGCTGTTTCTGTTGGCCCTGGGCCCACCTCTCTGTGCCCCTGGGCTCTGCCGGGTTTGGTTTCCTGTGGGGTGGAGAGATGGCAGGGGATCCTCTGGCCCTTGGGGAGTGTGGGATACTGGAAGGAGGTAGGGAAGAGACAATAGTTCTGTCTTTCTCCCGCTCCCTGTCCCGGGCCTGGGCAAGCAGCAGCTTAGCTGGGCAGCACCTGAGCAGGGGCAAGGCTCTCCACACGGTCTGACCTGCCGTGTGGAGGGAGAAGGAGGACAGCAGAGAAGACTGCTGTCAGAGGGGAGTTCAGTAGTACCTAATGAGCTGGATTCTTACTTACAGGGTTATAAAGTGTGAAGGCTAGAAAAGACCTCCAAAATAGCTCGAGCCTCACTCCTCATTTTACAGAGGGAGAAAGCAAGCTCTAATAAGCCTTAAGCTCTGCTATGCCTGGCTGATTCTGCTATCGAGGGCTTCATTTTAGTTCTCTCTGTGTTTCTCCCATTTATTCCACATTGAGGGTTTTTGGAGGGGGTGGTGGTTGTTTTGTGCGTGTGTGTGTGTGTGTGTGTGTGTGTGTGTGTTTTGTTGTGGTTGTTGTTGTTGTTGTTGTTGTTTTGAGACGGTCTCGTTCTGTTGCCCAGGCTGGAGTGCAGTGGCACAATCATGGCTCACTGCAACCTCCACCTCCCAGATTTAAGCGATTCTCATGCCTCAGCCTCCCAAGTAGCTGGTACCATGCCTGGCTAATTTTTATATTTTTAGTAGAGATAGGGTTTTGCCATGTTGGCCAAGCTGGTCTCGAACTCCTGACCTCAAGGAATCCACCTGCCTTGGCCTCCCCAAGTGCTGGGATTACAGGTGTGAGCCACCACTCCCAGCCCCACATTGAGTTCTAATGTAGCTCCAAGGTGTCCTGGGCACATGTCCTCAGGCCGCTGGTGGAGGCTTCACTCTCCAGGAGAGGTGTGGGGACTGCCGGGCTCCCTTCCATCCTACCTCCACTCTCCAGCCCTGCACCCTCACCCTCCAGCACCACCATGGGAACAGCACCAATCACTGGAAGTCCTATTGGGTCCAGCTAGCTGCTGGGTTCCTGGGCAGTTTCCTACCCACTGGACAGAGGCCAGGCTATGCATAGCACCGGCCGCTCCCCAGACTTCCCACCATGGCCTCCATTCCCAGAATCAGTGGTGAATAGAACACAGAGGTCAGAAGGCCTGAATTCCAGATGTGAGCTCTTTCTAGGCCCAGGCCCAGGTCCAGCCCCTGCCCTGAAGAGCTGGTAGACTCATACATCCAGAGGTGTACAAAGGGCAGAAGGGCCCTTACAGCAGCACAGCGTATTCCTCATGTTACAGATGAGGAAGCTGTGTCCTAGGGAGCAGAAGGATTTGCTCAGGGACATCCAGCTGGTTAGAGGCAGGTTTCAGATGAGGTTTCCCAAATTCCAGATAGTCAGCGTTGGTTCCATTCCACCACAGGGCTTCGGCTCCAAGTTCTGAAAGCCACTGATTAAGGTCTAGTGGATCACCCTTGACTCATTTAACATGCTCAGCAAACCCAACAAACACTCCTCACAAGCCCAGGGTGCACTCTCTTCCTCAGGACTCTTGGAACAGTGAAGACAGCTGGGGCCATCAGAATGCGCATCGGGCACACCACTGCCACCAGAAGTAGGCTCCTCTCGGGTGAGCCTGTCAGTTTAGGAGCAGCTGCTACCCAAAGCATGGAGCAGAGACCCCTGGGCTCTGCTGTGCCTGATGTTGATCCATCTGTCTGTCTGGATCCAAGAGGTGCTTAGAGCAGAAGGAGCCTAATGGTAACTTGGCATTGCTGGAACTTCCTCAGGCCTGATTCACAGGGGTAGAGTGAGTTGGAAGAAACCAAGTACTGCTCTTGCTGCTGGCATTTTGAGGAAAGGGAACGTGTGCCTGGGCTAGAAGATGACATGGCAACCGGACTGGAGATAGAGAGGGCACTCAAGTGAGTTCCCAGGGCCAGCTTTCCGAGGCCATGGGCTGGGTAGCCTCTTCCTTGTTTTCTTCTCTCTTGGCTCCAGAACAGGGGCTAAGATGCCAAACCCCTGTGGCTCCAGCTAGAATGTGGGGGCAGAGGGGAAGGAGTTGTTGGACAGTCTGGAGAGGCAATCCTAGCATAGGGTGCTTCACGGGCCAGAAATCTGGGAGTGGAGATCAGTGTGGCTGACATAGGAGAGGAGAGCCCTGAGGAGCCAAGGACACAGGAAACAGAACCCAGAGGCAGAGGAAAAGGGCCCTGGAAAGGGAGGTGAGGGAGGTGCCGTGACAAACCATATCCTGTGTCAAAATGTCCATGGGATGGAGGGGCATCGTGAAAGTCCTGACTTTATGTCCCGTTGGTGCCATTTATTAGCTCTGAGGATGGGCAAGTCCTGATCCATGAGCAATGCAGAGAGCAATGTTTGCCTCACAGGCTGCTGTCGCTCTAAGGCTCGTGTGAGAGAATGTGGATGAAAGTCTTCGGAAAGTGCACAAGCAGGTCTGATTCTCATCACTGCTCTCTATCAGCTCATCTGCAGTGTGTGGCATTAGGACCCTGATTCCGAAGTTGCTAGAGAATGGTATGTATCATAATGCTGTGTACGCAAGTATTTTTGTCAGGAGTGACAGAAGCAAAGGGGCTTTCCTTCTAGAAGGGACTACCCAGGCCACACGAGCAGATGTTTATGAATCTATAATAGCATGCATCCATCCCCACAGGGTCTCTGCTCACAGAGAAGACGCCTGAAACCGAGGCTTCCAGGATGTGTGTGTGCACACACATGAGCACACATGGACACAGATGCATGCATTGTGGCCATCCCTGGTGGCTTCGCCGTCAACTGTGCCTCTTCCTAGGTGCCGGCCTCTTCCATTCTCAGTCTATAAGCAAGTTCTTACATCTCTCTGAAATGGCAGCTGAATGAAGAACTGAAAGAGATGTGGGGACTGAAGGGACAGTTTTACATTCATTAGTTGTAGTTTTCTGGGAGAAGGGAGATACTACTAATGATTTATATTTGCAATAGTGTTTTTAATAAGCACCATCACATACATTATTTAATAATTTAAGCCACACAGCACTCTTGTGAGATTATTACTATCGTCAGGCTCAGAAAGGTGAAACGCTTTCTTGCAGATCATCCAGCTAATAAGTAACAAAATTAGGACCGAATCCATGTCATTTATTCCAAATCCTGTTCACCTTCTATGATGCTTTGCTGCTTCTGACCTCTTGTTAACTTCCAACTCTTATAAGTGTCTCTCCTGCAGGAGTCCAAAGGCACAGGTGTTCTGTATGCTGTGGATGTTTCTTTCATTTGTTATTTTGAAATTATTTCAAATCAACAGAAAAGTTGCAAGAAAGATACAAAGAACCCCTGTTCCTGCATCCCTTCCACCCAGTTCCTCAACTTTTTTTTTTTATTTTGCTTTTGTTTTTTGAGATGGGGTCTCACTCTGTCACCCAGGCTGGAGTGCAGTGGTGCGATCTGGGCTCACTACAACCGCCACCTCCCAGGATGAAGCCATCCTCCCACCTCAGCCTCCCAAGTAGCTGGGACTACAGACATGCACCACCACACCCAGCTAATCTTTGTATTTTTCTTGTAGAGGTGGGTTTTCACCATGTTGCCCAGCCTGGCCTCAAACTCCTGGACTCAAGTGATCCACCTGCCTCAGCCTCTCAAAGTGCTGGGATTACAGGCGTGAGCCACAGTGCCCGACCCTCAGTTTGTTTTGTATGTGTTCTCTCTCTCTTTCTCTCATATGTATACATCACATATACGTAATTTCTGATCCATTGGCGAGTACACTATAGACATGATGCCCTATTACCCCTTAACACTTCAGTGTGTATTTACCAAAAACAAGGACGTTCTCCTACATAACCAAAATACAACATCTCAGTCAGTAAAGTAACATTGACACAGAACTGCTGGCTAATCCAGAGACCCCATTCAAATTTCACTAATCCTTTTTTTTTTCTTTTGGAGACAGGGTCTTACTCTGTTGCCCATGCTGAAATGCAGTGACATGATCATGGCTCACTACAGCCTTGACCTCCCAGGCTCAAACGATCCTCCCACCTCAATCCCCTGAGTAGCTGTCACTTCAGGTGCACACCACCATGACTGGCTAGTTTTTTTGTATTTTTTGTAGAGATGAAGTCTCGCTGTTACCTAGGCTAGTCTCAAACTCCCGGCCTCAAGTGATCCACCCACCTCAGCCTCCCAAAGTACTGAGATTACAGGTATAAGCCACTGTGCTGGCCTCACTGATAATTCTAGTAACATTGTTTTTAGGTCTAGGCATTAATCCAGGATCATGTGTTCTATTTAGTTGTCATGTCTTTTTAGTCTTCTTCAGTCTGGAACATTTCCTATCTTTCCTTGTCTTGAACTTAATATTTTTGAAGAATCCAGCCTGGAAACTTTGTAGAATATCCCTCAATTGGGGTTGGGCTGATGTTTCCTTATGAGTAGTTTCTGGTTATGCATTTTGTCAGGAATACTGCAGAAGTGAGGCCATGTTCTCAGTTCATCTCAACAAGAGTTACACAATGTCAAGTTGTCCTATCCTGTTACTGGGGATGTTAACTTTATTATTTTTGGGGTGGGGGGGAATGGGGTTTCACTCTGTTGCTCAGGCTGGAGTGCAGTGGCATGATCTTGGCTCACTGCAACCTCCGCCTCCCAGGTTCGAGCAATTCTCCTGCCTCAGGCTCCCAAGTAGCTAGGACTACAGGCCCATACCACCACACCTGGCTAATTTTTGTATTTTTAGTAGAGACAGGGTTTCGCTATGTTGGCCAGGCTAGTCTTGAACTCCTGACCTCAGGTGATCTGCCCGCCTTAGCCTCCCAAAGTGCTGGGATTACAGACATGAGCCACCATGCCTGGCCTGGAGATGTTAACTTTTATCGCTTGGCTAAGATAATGTCAGCTAAGTTTTTCCACTGTAAAGTCAACTAATAGTATTGTGTACTCATCAATCAAGTACTTGTGGGGAGACACTAAGATTGTGTAAAAATCATGTTCCTCATCAGACTTTCACCCCCTAGTTATAACATCCACTGATGACTCTTGCCTACATCATTTATTATTTATTTATTTATTTATTTATTTTTTTGAGATAGAGTTTCGCTCTTGTTGCACAGGCTGGAGTGCAATGGCACGATCTCAGCTCACTGCAAACTCCGCCTCCCAGGTTCAAATGATTCTCCTGCCTCAGCCTCCCGACTAACTGGGATTACAGGCACCCGCCACAACACTCAGCTAATTTTTGTATTTTTAGTAGAGATGGAGTTTCACCATGTTGGCCAGGCTGGTCTTGAACTCCTGACCTCGAGATCCACTCACATCAGCCTCCCAAAGTGCTGGGATTACAGGCATGAGCCACCATGCCCAGCCTCTCCTACACTGTTTATTACTGTGATGGTTACTAGATGGCAATTTTCTAAATGCAGCTTTTTTTCTATATACATCAATTGGCATTCTAACATAAGGTAAAGCCTGCTCTCTCTCCCCATTTATTTATTTATTTATTCATTCATTCCTATTTTACCGTATTTTAGTTGTAACCCGATATCAAAATTATTTATTTTGATGCCTAAATTGTCTCAGATTTGGCCTGTGCATGCCCCTTCAAGTTGGATTCCCCATCCTTTCCATGTGTTTCTGTCATTATCTGAGCACTTCCTCACTTTCTAGCACAAGATATTCCCAGCTCATCTAGTAATTTCTAGGCTGATCAGTCCTGGTGGAGGTTTTTTTTTGTTTGTTTGTTTTGTTTGTTTGTTTTCTAAGTAGAAAATAGCATTTAGAAGCCAAAATCTGGGTGCTTGGTGTGCTCGCTGCCGTTGGGGCATCATTGCTTCTAGTATCGTTCAGAGAGGGCACATAAATGAGTTCCCTCATTTGTATACATGGGACTAGGTTAGATATGTACACACACACATTTACATATATTAAAATCATGAGTTCAAATTAATTACCCCAATTCTGATTGAATACCACAGGGTTTATTCTCTTTCCACATACATAACTCCTGTCACTAACTATGAGAAATATAGCTCCCATCATCCTTAACCTACTATGTGTGTGCTCAGTTCCTCTGTTTGTAATCAATCTCCTAACCACACAGGCCACCCTCTCTGCCTCAAACTCACCACACATGCTGGTTGAACCAGCCAAATCTTGGCTCCAGCCACACTGACCACACCATCTGTGCTGGCTGAATCCTTAATCCAGATCAAAGGAAAGGGGAGAGAAAGGACACATTATATAATTTTTAAGGATTTAATTTATTGCAGAGTATTTATTCACACACTGAATTGAACTCCAACTGTCATTTAGAGACGCTCGTCTTATAACCCAAATATGTTTGTTTCAATAATAGAGCATATAGTGTTTCTAATAGAGTAAGAGAGACAGTATTTATGAAGTTAATTCTAGATTAATCTGAGAAACACATTATGTGCATGTGTATGTGTGTATATATATATATGTATATATATACATTATAAATTTTTTAAGCTCTCTCAAAATCTGTTTTCCTAACTTATATTCACGCTAATTTAGATGATGAAGTAGAGGCCCTTTGCCCAATGGATAAGTTTAGGAACAGAAACTTCAAATAATATGTGTCACAGACTGATTGATTGGTTTTTTATGAAACCGTTTCCTTTTACCTCCTAGGTGCATAGCCTGACTACATTTCCTAGCCTCCCTTGTAGTCAGGTGTGGTCATATGACAGAGTTCTGGCCAGTGGAATATGGCAGAAATGATTAATGCCACTTCTAGAGCTGGTCCATAAAACCTTCCACACAATCCTGCATGCTTCCTGTCTCTACCCCGTCTGCTGACTGGAAACAGGGAATACAGAATCCTCCAATAGAGGATTCCAAAACCTGTAACAGTGATCAGAGCCACAAGGTGGATCGTTCTGGGTCTCGGAATCATCCGGTGGGAGGCCATCAAGTGAACACCTGCATTAAACTGTTATGCGAGGGAGACGTTAACTTCCATTGAGGTAAGTCAGAGACCTGGGGGTTATTCATCACATAAGTCAGCTCACCCTAACCAATGCAAAAAGTAAATGAATTGTCCAAGTTTACCCTTTAGAAGTTACAAAGCATAATGTTGAATGTGACCTTCTGATTCTTACATGAGATCTCTTCCCATCCGATCAGACCAGGTAGCATGAACTTAGTACTTTGGGAGGCTGTTACCCTATCTTTCCACAAGCAATATTTTCCTCTTTAGCCCAAGTATAACATTAGCCCTATCTTTTCTCCCTTTCCCTTTCCTAAGGGACCTGTGACCTAGGTTTGCTTTTTCATGGATTTATCTTTATCAGATGAAAATACCTGGTTTGTCTAACATCTGACCTCCAGCAGAAGACAGCTTACCAAGCCTATAGAGATGAGTCTCACCAGCAAACGAAGACAGCCCTTCAATTTCCTACAAGTGGACTCTGCAATTGACGTGCAGGTGGTGGCAGGGCCCATAGTCTGGGGATGGGCCAAAATGCCTAGGAGGCAAGTAGATTCTTCCTCTATACTCAGTAGACTAGCAACAGTTACCACTCCCGGGAAAAGACACCCCCACATCTTGTCTTTTCACAGGCTAATAACTACTTGTTCAGCAATTTAGCACGTCCCAGGCTGCTGGAAACTAACATCTTCCTGAAGAGGATGTCCTTCACCCTTCTCCCTCCAGGCACGACAAGTTTTCAAGACCAAGAGAGTAGAGAAGTCAGGTAAAGTGCGAGGGAAGATGGGAAACAATGCAATAATATGGGGGAAAGGAAAACCTGAAGATGTGGCCACAAGAGGTGTCGGGCGCTTTCCAAGCCTGGGACTCCAAGAGAACACTGCAGTCCAGTTTCAGAGCTAGAGTCACAAAGCTGACTCTAGAGCT
The DNA here is from genome assembly GCF_000001405.40 of Homo sapiens. Lineage (NCBI taxonomy): Eukaryota > Metazoa > Chordata > Mammalia > Primates > Hominidae > Homo > Homo sapiens. The sequence goes on along the minus strand of NC_000001.11, from coordinate 109,522,162 downwards.
TTTTCTAGAGCTGGGCAAAGCTCCGAGGTCATGATGCCTAACTCTCTCATTTCATAAAGAGGGAATGAAGGGCCTGAGTGATTAAGGACTATGTCCAAAGTCACAGAGGCAGTCACGGTAGGACTAAAGTCCCGGACCAGTGCTCTCCAATGCTCTTTGTATTTTCTACTCTTGCTTGAAGGCCTGATAGGAAGCACTCAGTTCAAGGAGTTGGAGTAGCAGATGTAATTAGGAAGCTAAGTGCTGGAGTATGTGGTCCCTGAGGATTCATCTCTCCATGCCCTTGGCCAACCCCTGTCCTCCCTGAAAGCCTTCCCCTGCTTCTCTGAGAAGCCAGCTCCCGTCACCCACTAGGGACAGACACAAACATTCTGTCTGGGGTGAGTCTCTCAATTCCAAAGTGAAGCAGGAGTGGGAACATCTCCACTTAGAACTCCAGAGCATCTGGGAAGGGAAAGTGTCTCCAGGCTGGAAACACATGGAAATTTCCCTGAACCCAGAAGCATGCTTGGAATAGTTTCAACTGCCGCATCACCACCCCAGCCCAGCCGTGTTAGCGAGGCAAGCCGCAATCAGGGAGATAATTAGTTTGCTGTTATTTATTCCCTGCGCTAATCAGCAGCCCACTGCTTGCACAGTGGAGAGGGCTCCTGCCCCCAGAGCCATGGAGGTTCTCAGGGATCTTTAGTTACCCGCAGAAGACAAAGGGCTGGGAAGAGGGACAGAAAGGGAGGAGGAGACCTAGACCCCAAGATGCAGTGCTGTAGGCTTCTCTACCGTGCATAGAGCCCTTGGGAGAGGCGGTCCTGGGATCACCAGGGGCCCAGGGCAGCACTGCACTCCTCTTCATTTTGTTCTTGGGGTTGGGCTGTGGTCAATAAAGGGCGGCTGGCGTTCACCTCCCTGTTCTGCCTCACTGCAGTCAAATTGCCTTTTTCCAAGGCGACTTTCAAAAAAAGATGACATTTATCAAAGCCTGCTGAGTGTGACCTTGGTGGGAGGGAGAAAGGGCGGGTGTGCTGTCTGTGGAAGCAGGCAAAGAAAATGAGGAAAACCTGCAGGGAAGGAAATGCTTTCAACCCTCAAAGGTGTTAGAACAATCATGGGGAGATGACTCCAAGTTTGGGACAGCCACTCCATGTGCAACTGCACTCCCGCCTGCCCCCTTCCTAATCTTCACCAGCAACTTCTCACCAGCAGTCCCTGGTTTTCCAGCCCAAACAGTAGACTGATGGTGCTCCATTCAAATAACAATGTCTAGGAAGGCCTCGGGCCAATTATTTGATAACTTCATGAAATATAGACCTGGTGTAGTAGAGCATGCCTACATAGTCCCAGACTCAGGAGATTGAAGCGGGACGATCACTTGAGCCTAGGAGTTTGAGTGAGTCTGGTCTGGGCAACATAGTGAGACCCTGTATCTAAAAACCAAACAAAACAAAAAATTAGATCAGTAGCACTTCTAGAATGCCCATATAGGACAGTCTAAGAAGCTGCCATGTGGTTGAAAGGCAGAAGGCAGGAGGAGGTAGGGGGAGCTGGAAGACTCCTCCTGAAGCTGTATTTGTGTATCAAGTACATTTTTTAAAAAACATAGATTATGCATCTGTTTGGAGTGGCATGGCTAAAGCCCACCTCATGCCCCCAGCTACCCCTTGGCCCCACTGCTGCATGTGGTACTAGAGTTGGAAGTGGTCATCTGGTCAACTTCTGGCCCTATGCAGGACTCCTCCACAAGCTTGCTCCCTTCTCTGTCTTCCTAAGCTCTTTACACATGGGCTCTTATATTACCTGTCACCATTCATTGTGGCCATCTGTGTCTTGGTTTCCTTCACTATATCACGGCACTTAAGGACAGAAACAGTTTCCTATGTGTCCATCTTTGGGGGTTTTGTTTGTTTGAAACAGAGTCTTGCTTTGTTGCCCAGGCTGGAGTGCAGTGGCGCAATCTCAGCTTACTGTAACCTCCACCTCCTGGGTTCAAGCGATTCTTGTACCTCAGTCTCCCAGTTAGCTGGTACTACAGGTGTGGGCCACCACACCCGGCTATTTTTTTTTTTTTTTTTTTTTTTTAGTAGAGGCAGGGTTTTGCCATGTTGGCCAGGCTGGTCTCCAACTCCTGGACTCAAGTGATCCACCTGCCTTGGCCTCCCAAAGTGCTGGGATTACAGGCGTGAGCCACCATGCCTGGCCTATTTGTTCATTCATTCTATCACACACTCCCATTCACATATAGCAATAACTCCTGTGAGTGTATAGTAGAAAAGTGGAACATAAAGATAAACAGAAAGGCTGGGCGCAGTGGCTCACGCCTGTAATCCCAGCGCTTTGGGAAGCTGAGGCAGGTGGATTACCTGAGGCCAGGAGTTCCAGACCAGCCTGGCCAACATGGGGAAACCCCATCTCTACTAAAAATACAAAAATTAGCTGGGCATGGTGGCATGTGCCTGTAATCCCAGCTACTCAGGAGGCTGAGGCATGAGAATCGCCTGAACCCAGGAGGTGGAGGTTGCAGTGAGCTGAGATTGCGCCACTGCACTCCAGCCTCGGCAACAGAGTGAGACTGTCTCAAACAAACAAACAAAACCCCAAAGATAGACACATAGGAAACTGCACTCCAGACTGGGTGATAGAGTGAGACTCTGTCTCAAAAATAACAATAGTAATAATAAATAAATGAATGGACATCTGTGCAAAGTCGTCATCCAGCTCCTACTTGGGTGCTTCCTGTGATGGGAGTTCACTACCTCAAGATGGGAAAGATTCATTATTGGACAATTGAAATGTCAGAAGATGTTTCTGTACATGCAAAGGAAATCTGTGTCTCTGACCCTTCCACCCAGTAGTATACTTCTGCCCTTTAAAGGCCCAGAAGAGCACAGATTCTCAACCTAGGTGTCCATGGATAGGCTTTATAAAGTCCATGCCCCCAAGAAATGTGCATAAAATTGTGTGTGCCTTGCCCATGTGCTTCGGGTGGGGAATCCATGGGTTTCACAAAGAGACGTGTATTACCAAATTTCAGAACCATGGTTTGTTTATTCTCTCTTTTCATGAAAATCTATACTAGATAAACAGGCCTCAAAATGCTTTCTTTTTAATATATTTCCTGCTTACTTTTCTGAAGAAAGCAGATCCCCAAGGTGTTATGTATCTTGAACAAAACTAACTGCTACTCTTACCACAGATGATGGAATGGGGATTAGTCCACATACTGAAATTAACCTTGTATGGGTGGGGGACACAGGAGGCCAAAGGAAAGGCCTTGATAAGAATTCTGCCCCCAAAAGAGTGCTCAATATTAGGTGGTGGCAATTTGACTCATTCAAAGCCTGTTTTTTGAGGAAGTAAACTCCCTGATGGAAATGAAAGAAGGTGGATGACTTTTGGTTATGGGCCTCTTTCTGCCATTTCAAAACACGAGTTCAGTTCTCCAAGTCTTGGAAGCACTGGGACCACAGTGACTACAGCTAATAAGGCAACTCACCAGCTACCATGTGGAGTCCTGCAGTAAACCTTTCTTCCTAAAGCCTGTTAGGTATCATTCTTCTTTGCAGTTCCAAAGATTCTGACTAATGCACAATGCTTCAACTTTCAGAAATGGTTATGATAAATTCCTCCCAAAGTAAAAATCTCCCATTGCTCGGTCATCTCTCATATATGAGCTATCAAAGTGTTCACATCTGTTCTCATTTAATCCTCACCAAAATTCTGTAATAGTGGTGCTTAAAGTTGGCGGTATAAAGAATCACCTTAGGCTGGGCATGGTGGCTCACGCCTGTAATCCAGCACTTTGGGAGGCTGAGGAGGGTGGATCACGAGGTGAGGAGATCGAGACTATCCTGGCTAACATGGTGAAACCCCGTCTCTACTAAAAATACAAAAAATTAGCTGGGGTGGTGGCGGGTGCCTGCGGTCCCAGCTACTTGGGAGGCTGAGGCAGAATAGTGGAACCCGGGAGGCAGAGCTTGCAGTGAGCCAAGATCCCGCCACACCACTGCACTCCAGCCTGGGCGACAGAGCAAGACTCCGTCTAAAAAAAAAAAAAAAAAAAAAAGAGTCACCTTAAATACAGATTCTCAGGCACCATCTCCAGAGTTCTAGGAAAGTCTGGGGTGGGCCTTGAAATCCTCTTTTGAAGTTCCTTGGAGATTCTGATGTACACAGTTTGAGGCCTAAACATGGAGAACATGGCCCTGAGGGGTGGTGTTTCCCAAGTGTCCTGATGCTCAAAACACTTCCCAGGCTCCTCCCATGAAGATTCTGATTCGGTTGCTCAGGAGCTCTAGAATTTGTACTTTTAATAGTGCAGGTATTATAACTTCCATTTTATATGTGAGAAAACTGAGCCCCACTGTAACTCGTCCACAGTTACACAGCCAGATGATGACAGGAGTCACATAGTTTGGATATTTGTCCCCACCCAAATCTCATGTTGAATTGTAATCCTCAATGCTAGAGGTTGGATCACTGGGGCAGATCCTGCATGGCTTGGTGCTATCTTTGTGATAATGACTTCTCATGAGATCTGGTCATTTAAAAGTGTGTGGCACCTCCCCCAGCCCCTTGCCCCTGCTTTCACCATGGGAAGTGCCTGCTCCATGAGTAAACGCTCCCTGAGGCCTTCCCGGAAGCAGATGCTGCTGTGCTTCCTGTACAGCCTGCAGAATGGTGAGCCAATTGGACATTTTCTTTACAAATTATCCAGTCTCCGATATTTCTTTATAGCAAGGGAAGAATGGCCTAATACACGGGGTAAGACTGGAATCCAGCTTTCTTGGCACTTAGTCCAATTCTCTTTCTATTGGCCACGAAGTACATACCCTACATAGAGTCCTTAACATAATGAGCAACTGACAGATATTTGCTAAATTGTGTAGAATCCACATATCTTACCTTCTAAGTCCTAGAGAGAAGAAACTATTTCTAAAGCGTATTTGCATCCTGCTTCACCCAGCCTCACCACAGGCATGTAACACAGTGCTCTGCCCTAGGGGCTCAACAGATGTGTGTGAGTGAATGCATATGAATGATTATTAGACTGTGTACCACTCCATCAACTACCTCTGGCTGTGCTCCAGACTGTAAATGAGATGCCCAGAGCTGAACTTTAGACTCCGGCTATGGTCTGACTCAAACTAAGTACAGCCGGAGCACCTTTGCCTGTGATTTTTAAGGAACTGCTGCCTGCTCTGGGGAGTCAGACCTTGCCCTTCCTGCTGGTCTGGCGTGTGCCCTCGCAGGAACTGACTGCTCTGTTACTGATCCTGGGTCCTCTTCACTCCTTCAGCCCCTACTGTGGCTTCCCAATGACTTCCTCATCCTAGATTCCCATTCATCAACACTTAGTACTTAGCTCTCCTGTAACCTTGGCCTGGAGCCCCAGAAGGCAGGCTCTGGACAGCACAGACTACAGATAGAACTTTTCCTCAGTTCTATCTGCCTTGCACTATCCCTGAAAATGTTATGATGCATTGAAAAGAACCTTGACCAAGGATGCAGGAGACAGCCCACTCCTACCTCTTCACATTTATAGAGAGCCTACTTGGTGTTCTAGTATCTCCTAGATTCCTGAACTCAGTAAATCCTCACAACAACCCCATTAGGCAAGTATTCTTATTATCCCCATTTTATAGGTTAAGTAACTAGCTCAAGTCACACAGTGGGTGGCAGAGCCAGGATAGGATCCCAAGGAGCCTAGCTCCAGAGCCTACTCCCTTAACCACAAAGCTACACTCTTTCTCTAGGCTTCTAACTCAGTTCTGCCATGAACCAGCTTGTGAACTTGACTGCTATGGCCTCTTCCAGCACAGGCGGGTAGTCTAAAGTTCTCTCATTATAGGTAAGGGCTAGATGAGCTAGTACTGTGATTACTCTGAGAATTTGCTAAGAATACTCTTAAGTGGTTGAAGAGTAGAAACTTCAAAGACAAATGAGTAGCTATGGGCTCAGAAAGCATGATTAGAGGAGACAGATCCGTAAACTCAAATAGTAATCAAATGGCTGCAGATCACGGAAAGAAACTTTTAACTATAAGCTAAACATTGAATCTAACTATAATCCTTCCCTAAATCATAAAAGTGCTGACTTCCTAAACTAGAATATTAACTTTCCAAATATAAGACAAACTAGTCAACAATTTATATATGGGCCTGGCGCAGTGGCTTATGCCTGTAATTCCAGCACTTTGGGAGGCTGAGGCGGGTGGATCATTTGAGCCCAGGAGTTTGAGACCAGCCTGGCCAACATGGCAAAACCTTGTCTCTACAAAAAAATTAAAAAATTAGCTGGGCATGGTGACACATACCTGTAGTCCCAATTCTTTGGGAGGTGGGGGTGGGAAGATCACCTGAGCCCAGGAGGTCAAAGCTGCAGTGAGCTGTGATCACAACACTGCACTCCAACCTGGGTGACAGAGTGAGACTTTGTCTCAAAAAAAAAAAAAAAAAATTCATATATGAAAATTAGCTTAGAAGTCTCAACATTAGCTAGGATTTAATTTTAGATATAAAGCCTTTAGAAATCAAAAGAGAGGATTGCATGTACAGGAAAAGAAAATATTTTCACACTTATGACAAAACTTCTTAATGAAAAAAATATAAGATTCCTTTTGGAGGACTTCCTGGTTATCCAGGCCCCCATGGCAGGAGCTCCAAGGTAGTCTTATTTGTAACAAGGCCTTGGAACTATAGTCTTCCATCTTTGGGATATTGGGTCAGCTGTAGGTGGACTGTGGTGGTGAACTCCATCCCTAAGGGCTAAAATAACATTTTGAACCATGAATTTATTGTTCAGCCATACTTCAAAGACACATCTATCTGATGATGACCCAGTGCAGAGTTGTTTTGAGATATCCATATGTAAGTGTTAAAAGTCAAGAAAATGTTCATGACTTAGCCATCTAGAATGATCACCACTTTGGTGGCAGGTTAGTCCTGACTGTAGTGCATGAGCTATAGATTAAGCAGATGTCTTCAGATTTGTTTGACAAACCTGAAGAGCCCGGGACATGGATAGGTGTCCATGGCATGCCTCCACCTACATCAGTGAGCCCTCAGCTGCCCCTAATTGGTATGTACATTCTTGTGGTTTCTGCAGATCAAGTGGAGCTTCCAGGAAGTGTGCAGAGTTGAGGTGGAAAGAGAAAAGACTGGAAAAAGGGACTCCGATGCCGGTTGTCTAAACAGAGGGAGTATTTGCCTCCTGGACATTGAGTAAATCAATGTGTGAGCATTTTAAAAGGTTAAAAGGTCAGTGAAATGATTGATGGTTTATGGAGGTGGGGGCAGGAGGATGGCAAAAGGAGTTCTCAAGAGTGAGCACTTTCAGGAACAAACCGAACATGGAACCGTGAGTGAACTGCTAGATACAGAAAGGGCTCAATCCAGCCAGGCGCGGTGGCTCACGCCTGTAATCCCAACACTTTGGGAGGTCCAGGAGGTCAAGAGATCAAGACAACACTGGCCAGCATGGTGAAACTCCATCTGTACTAAAAATACAAAAAATTAGATGGGCGTGGTGGCCTGTGCCTGTAGTCCCAGCTACTCGGGAGGCTGAGGCAGGGGAATCACTTGAACCCAGGAGGCGGAGGTTGCAGTGAGCCGAGATCGCACCACTGCACTCCAGCCTGGAGACAGAGCAAAACTTTGTCTAAAAAAAAAAAAAAAAGGGCTCAACCTAGTGGTGAGGGCTAAAATATTAGCCATTTAAGCAATTCATAACAAAAGACTCATCTTTATTGCTACCCACCCCCAAATAGCCTAATTTTTAGAGGCCCCCCCTTTTTGGAGACATCCAAAAAAATACAAAGTTGCTAATATGAGTAATACTATTGGGATCTCCACAAAATACAAGAATACTTAAAATATTTAAATTTTTAAATTTTTTTTGGAGACAGAGTCTTGCTCTGTTGCCCAGGCTGGAGTGTAGTGGCATGATTTCGGCTCACTGAAACCTCTGCCTCCCAGGTTCAAGCAATTCTCATGCCTCAGCCTCCTGGGTAGCTGGGATTACAGGTGTGTCATCACACCAGGCTAATTTTTGTATTTTTAGTGGAGACGGGGTTTCGTCATGTTGGCCAGGCTGGTTTCGAACTCCTGGCCTAAAGATCTGCCCTCCTTGGCCTCCCAAAGTGCTGGGATTACAGGCGTGAGCCACTGTACCCGGCCAGAAGATAGCTTCTTAATAGGGTGTCTTCCCTCGGCATTCTCCGCTCTAAGTCTTTTTTCTTTTCTTTTCTTTTTTTTTTTTTTTTTTTTTTTTTTTTTGATACAGGGTCTGGCTCTGTTGTCCAGGCTGGAGTGCAGTGGCATGATCTTGGCTCACTGCAACCTCTGCCTCCTGGGCTCAAGCCATCTTCCCACTTCAGCCTCCCAAGTAGCTGGGACTACAGAAGCATGCCACCATGCCTGGTTAATTTTTGTATTTTAAGTAGAGACAGGGTTTCTCCATGTTGCCCAGGCTGGTCTTGAACTCCTGAGCTTAAATGATCCACCTGCCTTGACCTGCTAAAGTGCTGGGATCACAGGCATAAGCCACTGCTACCAGCCTTCTCCACTCTGATTCTGATGGCTAGTATTAGCTATTAAGAAAGCAAAAAATACTTGTAGTGTGGAGAAAAGGAATTCATCCAGTCTCATAAACTGGGAGACACATCCAGCTGCTTTTGCTCAAGTGCTGAGCTAACCAAACAACCTCTCAAATTGCATTTAGGAATATTGAGTTGGTCCATTCCAGCAAATGGAAATACATACTCACTAAATAACCTGTTGCTATTTATCTTGCCCAGATCTTCTTTTGTTGTGAATTAATAGTTGTTCCGGTCTAAAGAGCACCTGTGGGAAAGTTATTATGAGTCAATTATCTAAACCAGTGCCATCATGAAACTTTCTGTGACAATGCGTTGTTCAACAGGGTAGCTGGCCACATATGGCCATAAACATTTGAAATGTGGCTAAGGAAACTGAAGAAGTGATTTATATTTAATTTTAATTAATTTAAGTAGCCACAAATGCTGCTGGCTACCAATTAGGCAGCACAACTCTAGATCCTTGCTACTTAAAATGTGGTCTCAAAGAAGCATTGGCATCATCTTGTTAGTTTGCTGGAAAAGCAGAATCTCAGGCCACACCCCAGTCCTGGTGATTCAGAATCTCCATGATTATAAGATACCCCGCTGATTTGTCTGCACATTAACATTTTAAAAGGATATGGTTAGTTTATATTTTTATTTATTTATTTATTCTGAGACAGAGTCTCTGTCACCCAGGCTGGAGCACAGTGGCATGATCTCAGCTCACGGCAACTTCCACCTCCCAGGTTCAAGTGATTCTCATGCCTCAGCTACCCGAGTAGCTGGGATTACAGGCATGTACCACCACGCCCAGCTAATTTTTGTATTTTTAGTAGAGATGGAGTTTTGCCATGTTGGCCAGGCTGGTCTCGAACTCCTGCTTCATGTGATTTGCCTGCCTCAGCCTCCCAAAGGGCTGGAATTACAGGGGTGAGCCACCGCACCCAGCCAAAATGATTACTTTTAAAAGGATATGGATTAGCTGAAAAAAGAGACTGATTAAAGAACATATCGTGTGGTGACCCTTCCAAATTGTAGACACCCACTCTTGAAACTGGTATCCATCATAAGGGGCCTTTTTCTTTCTATCTGTCTCTCTCCCACGCCTTGGACACAGCAGAAAGAGGAAAGGGAGGCCGGGCATGGTGGCTTACACCTGTAATTCCAGCACTTTGGGAGGCCGAGGCAGGCAGATTACCTGAGGTCAGGAGTTCGAGACCAGCCTGGCCAACATGGTGAAACCCTGTCATTACTAAAAATATAAAAATTAGCTGGGCATGGTAGCAGGCATCCGTAATCCCAGCTACTTGGGAGGCTGAGGCAGGAGAACCACTTGAACCCAGGAGGCGGAGGTTGCAGTGAGCCAAGATCATGCCACGGCACTGCAGCCTGGGTGACAACAGCGAAACTCTGTCTAAAAAATAAAAATAAAGAGGAAAGGGAGAGGAGAGAGCCTGGAACAACACTGGGGTGAAAAGAAAATATGCAACATGCAGATGAGGGGTGGGGTGAGAGGAGCATATGTTTCTCAGGAATATTTGTACAAAATAAAATGATGACATTTCTTTAATAATTATTGAAATGGGTGATGGGTATATGGGAGTTCATTGTACTATTCACTTTTGTGTATGTTTGAAAATTCTCAAAATTAAAAAATAGATGTAACTTCAGAGATGATGTGTGTGATAGCCAGCCTCCAAGATGGTCCCAATGATCCTCTCTTCCTGGTATTTGTGCCCTTGTGTAGTTCTTCCATATTGAATCAGGAATTGCATATGTGACCAAAGTGGAGGTGATATCCATCACTTCAAAGAGCCAGATCACTGTGACTTCTGTCTTGCTGTCTCTTGCATCTCTTGCTCTGAGGGAAGTCAGCTACCGTGTTGTGAGGAAACTCAAGCTGTCTTGTGGAGAGACCTTTATGGATAAGAATAGAGGTTTCCTGCCAACAGCCAGCCACATGAATTTAAGTGAGCCTCTATGGCCCCAGTGAAGCCTTCTAATGACTGTAGCTCCATCTAACGCATAACTGCATGAGAAACTGCCAAGCCAGAACTGTCCACCAGACTGCTCTTGAATCTGACCAACAGACACTGTGAAAGGCAATAAATGTATATTGCTGTAGGAAGTCACTAAGTTTTGGGGTAATGTGATTATGCAGCAATAGATAACTGATGCAATGTGATTTCAAGATTCTTCACACCTTGTCCTCCAAAAAGATTACCCTCCTCATCTTTTCAATGATGCCTGAAATGAACAGAACAGAACATCTTTCTCTTTTTTCTTTCTTTCTTTCTTTCTTTCTTTCTTTCTTTCTTTCTTTCTTTCTTTCTTTTTTTTTTTTTTTTTTGAGACAGGATCTTGCTCTGTCACCCAGGCTGGAATGCAGTGACACAAACATGGCTCACTGCAGCCTTGACCTCCAGGGCTCAAGTGATCCTCCGACCTCAGCCTCTCAAGTAGTGGGCACCACAGGTGCGTGCCACCATGCCTTTTTTTTTTTTAAGAGACAGAGTCTCACCATGTTGCCCAGGCTGCTCTCGAACTCCTGGGTTCAAGCAATCCTCCTGCCGCAGCCTCCCAAAGTGCTGGGATTACAGGTGTGAGCCACTGCACCTTGCAGAAAGACCTTTTCACACTATGCATAAGATTAACACGCTAATACTCCTTGAAGAGATAATATATTCACTAAAATTCATGGTAAAACATGTGACAGATATAAATTCTTTTTAAAACTCTTAGCAAGCTAATCTACTGAGACATTAATTTCAGTCTTGATCTTGCTGTTATAAGAGACTGGAACAAATAAAAAGGTAATTTCTTATGGTCCACCATCTCAAGAACAGCTAACATCTTGAATGATAAGGTCTAGGCTCTTCCTGCATCTCTCTCTTTCCTCACCCCCAAACCCAAACAACATACACTAGTAACAGCTTCTTGTTGTTTCAGGGGCCACCCTAAAGAAGAAACCCCTCCACCTCCACCACTGGCCTTCATCTTGAGGATTAGGTAACAGAGAAACTATGTTGCAATTGCTCCATAAGGGGAGTGGGGAGCTGGCACTGGTTTAGGAAGAAGGCAAGTGGCCAGACCTAAGGGCTGAATGACTTCCTCCGGGCTGGGAAGGGTTTCGGAGTTTCCAGGAATGGAAATTGTCCCTGGCTTGTATGCAGTCCGTGTGTGTGTGTGTGTGTGTGTGTGTGTGTGTGTGTGTGTGTGTAGCAGGTGGAGTGGGGAGAGGTGCATGAGGTGTCTGTAAAGGGGTGTTCTGGGGCCTGGGCTCACCAAACACCCCCTTTCCCCTCACTCCTGCGCAGCTGGCTTGCAGGCTAAGGAGCTGTGCCCTTCAGTGGTACCTCAAGGGTCATGAACTAGTAGCATCAAGACGGGGGTGGGGTGGGGGGAACCCCTCCCCCAATTTTTGAGACCCCACAGCCACAGAGAGAAGGGAGGGGGAACCTCAGAATGTGACTAATGAATTTCCCGCCAACATTGGCAGGCGGGAGCTGAGCCAGATTTCTTCAATTTGCGAAATTAAAAGACATGTGACGCCTCTTGCCCGAGTAGGTGCAGCGAATTCACTTTAGTTAGACTTTTCCTGAGAGCCGGTCTGTGTAGCGAGAAGGGTGCTGGGAGATGGGGGAATGGGGGATGGAGGAAGTTATAGCGGAGCCTAAGGGGCCAGTGCCGCTCTTCCTGCCAATTTTCGTCTTTAGCTCAGCGTCCGGAGCTCGCTGGTTGAGGGAACGACCCCGCGCGCGTCCGCCCGGCCGGCTCCGACACAAACACACGCACGTGCGCCCCGCCCCCGCCGCGCGCACGCGCCCCGAGGCTCCGGCGGCGGCGACGGGCGCGCGCGCGGTGCTCGCTGCCCCCACGCCGCTCCCTCCGCTGGGATCGCTGCGCCTCCGGCTCCCCGCACCGATCCGCGCCAGGCCTGCGGACCTGGAGGCAGCGACCGCGGTCGGTGGGCTCCGGCGGGCTCAGCGGTCGAGGCGGTGGCAGGGTGAGCGGAGCGGGGCCCCGCAAGTCCCCGGGAGGCGACGGTGCCGGGCGCGGGCCCCTGCGTAAGGTGGGCGCAGTGACAGGCCGGCCGGTGAGGCGCCGCCGGGAGAGGCCGCGACGGAGCTCCCAGACCGGCCATGGGCTGAGACACGTCCTCGCCGAGCAGGTGCAGTGACCGGAGGCCCCGGGGGGAGCCCGCCCCTACAGGCCCCGGGGACCCTCAACCCCGACCGGACGCGTCCTACCCAGCCCGGTGCCCTGTTGACCTTCCCTCAGCTCCTCCCAAAAGGCACACCGACCCCACCTCCAAACCCTGCCCGTGCCATCCCTGTGACTCCCAGCAGTCCCTGCCATCCTGTGCATACCTGCAGCCTGCACCCCTGTGACCCCAGCCCAGTAGGCCCTCGGGCCACCTCCTCTTCGGCCGATATTTACAGCCCACTGCCTGCACAGTGCCTGGAAACTACCCAGCATCTCTCTCTCCTAGCCCAAAGGGGGTGGAGGTAAGGGTGGGAGGGGAAGTGGGAGAGGGTGTCCTTCCCTCTGGAGTCCTTGGTGACCACAAACCCATCCTCTTTCTCTCAAGTGACCCTTCCGTACCCCACCAGAACATGCCCGGGTGACCTCCTCCCAGATCTTCCTTGTGGCCTTCCTCGCCCACTCCAGTGACACTATGCACCCCCACCGTGACCCGAGAGGCCTCTGGCTCCTGCTGCCGTCCTTGTCCCTGCTGCTTTTTGAGGTGGCCAGAGCTGGCCGAGCCGTGGTTAGCTGTCCTGCCGCCTGCTTGTGCGCCAGCAACATCCTCAGCTGCTCCAAGCAGCAGCTGCCCAATGTGCCCCATTCCTTGCCCAGTTACACAGCACTACTGGACCTCAGTCACAACAACCTGAGCCGCCTGCGGGCCGAGTGGACCCCCACGCGCCTGACCCAACTGCACTCCCTGCTGCTGAGCCACAACCACCTGAACTTCATCTCCTCTGAGGCCTTTTCCCCGGTACCCAACCTGCGCTACCTGGACCTCTCCTCCAACCAGCTGCGTACACTGGATGAGTTCCTGTTCAGTGACCTGCAAGTACTGGAGGTGCTGCTGCTCTACAATAACCACATCATGGCGGTGGACCGGTGCGCCTTCGATGACATGGCCCAGCTGCAGAAACTCTACTTGAGCCAGAACCAGATCTCTCGCTTCCCTCTGGAACTGGTCAAGGAAGGAGCCAAGCTACCCAAACTAACGCTCCTGGATCTCTCTTCTAACAAGCTGAAGAACTTGCCATTGCCTGACCTGCAGAAGCTGCCGGCCTGGATCAAGAATGGGCTGTACCTACATAACAACCCCCTGAACTGCGACTGTGAGCTCTACCAGCTGTTTTCACACTGGCAGTATCGGCAGCTGAGCTCCGTGATGGACTTTCAAGAGGATCTGTACTGCATGAACTCCAAGAAGCTGCACAATGTCTTCAACCTGAGTTTCCTCAACTGTGGCGAGTACAAGGAGCGTGCCTGGGAGGCCCACCTGGGTGACACCTTGATCATCAAGTGTGACACCAAGCAGCAAGGGATGACCAAGGTGTGGGTGACACCAAGTAATGAACGGGTGCTAGATGAGGTGACCAATGGCACAGTGAGTGTGTCTAAGGATGGCAGTCTTCTTTTCCAGCAGGTGCAGGTCGAGGACGGTGGTGTGTATACCTGCTATGCCATGGGAGAGACTTTCAATGAGACACTGTCTGTGGAATTGAAAGTGCACAATTTCACCTTGCACGGACACCATGACACCCTCAACACAGCCTATACCACCCTAGTGGGCTGTATCCTTAGTGTGGTCCTGGTCCTCATATACCTATACCTCACCCCTTGCCGCTGCTGGTGCCGGGGTGTAGAGAAGCCTTCCAGCCATCAAGGAGACAGCCTCAGCTCTTCCATGCTTAGTACCACACCCAACCATGATCCTATGGCTGGTGGGGACAAAGATGATGGTTTTGACCGGCGGGTGGCTTTCCTGGAACCTGCTGGACCTGGGCAGGGTCAAAACGGCAAGCTCAAGCCAGGCAACACCCTGCCAGTGCCTGAGGCCACAGGCAAGGGCCAACGGAGGATGTCGGATCCAGAATCAGTCAGCTCGGTCTTCTCTGATACGCCCATTGTGGTGTGAGCAGGATGGGTTGGTGGGGAGATTCTGCCCCAGGAGAGGTAATGCACCCCTGAAGGATATGAGGGGATGGAAGAGAGGGCTGGCTGCCCAAGGGAATGGATTCCTCCTGACCTCAAGGGAATTGGTCCCAGGTACAACAGAGAGCAAGACCCCAAACAGGGCGTGGCTGCCACGATTTTCAAATGGGGGTATATTAATCCTCAGGCAAATGCTACACCCGTACCCAAAGCCCTGCCAATTCTCAGTGTGGTAGAGGAAGAGAAGCATGTCTGAGTTGGATGGGAATGAGGAAGGAGTGAGGGGAAGAACAGATTCCCTAAACTTTCATGAGGTCATCCCTAGCTCCTTAAGAGAAAAACATTTAGAAAAAAAAATTTTTTCTATCTCTGCCCACCCACACCTGTGATGTTGTGTGTGTTGGGGGAGCTTCCACAGGAGCCACACTGGGGAAAAGCTGTAGTATCTTCTTTGTTTAGCAAGTCAAACTTCACAGCTGGGGAAGTTGAAAACCTTTGGAAAATGAGTCAGGAAAAGGCTGAGACCTCAATCGGTAACAATTCCCCAAAGCTGTTGTAAGACTTTGCATTAAAGCCTTCCTTTTTCCTGATGTGCCCTGGGTGGATGGATCTTTGCAGGAGCCTGGCCTGCTGCCTTTTAGTTACAACAGCAATGTGGGATGTGGTATCTGTGCCTTGTCCTGGGACCAATGGCACAGAGGGTTATAGCATGAACTGAAGGGTCCATGTCACAGCATAGGTGCCAGCACGAAACTTGTAGATGGGGGGTGAATTCCAGATAGGCTAATTCCCTGGTTGGTGAAACCCTTGGTTAGTATTTGATTCCCAGCATCTGTGTGTCAGGCCAGAGTGGGGGCTGCTGAAGGCAGAGCTTTTATGGATGCCTGCCACAGACGTGGTACATGGGCCCACTTCACGATAGAAGGATGAAGGTAAATCAGCCTCTATTATGTAGCATCCAGCTGGACCTAGCTGATTCTCAATGTATGCCATCTCTTCATCCAGTCTCCTTATCAAGCTCAGGTGGGATTCTGAATTTTCCCTAATATGCTGCTCTGTAAAGGGAGGAGTCCAAGAAAGCCTGGCCCCAGCTGGCTTAGAGTAGGCTTGGCGATAGTGAAAATCCAGTATATATCTCCTCTGTGTGGACAAGGTTGCCTTGCTCCTCTCAGAGATACCACCTCTGCTGCAAAGTCAAAGCATGGGGTTTTGACATCAGAAGGGTTGGAATTGGGTGGTCTCTACCCCAGAATGGCAATTTGGAGTGCAGCTTCAAGTTCTGCCCTCTCCACAGATTCCAGGCAATCCTGAAGCAGAGATAATCAGTAGTACTAAACTTTCAGAAGGGGAGTTCTGCCACCCCATTCCTCCATCGAGAGGTCTTTGCAGTTGTGGTTGTGAGGCCAGAGGAACTTAAGAAGAATGAGCTCAACATTCCATTCCATCCAAGGTTGCAGAATACTTTGAGTATGGAGATGACCGATCCCTTTAACCTTTCCCTTTGACTACACTGCATGCCCTGTGAGTGGCTGCTCTGAGCTTTGGCGGGGGATGAGCAGGGTGAAGGTGAAAATGTTCTCTGATGTTGGTTTTTCTTAGGGTCTCTTCTCTCCCACGTTTCTAGTCCATTGGAAGTTCTCCAGATCCTCTAGATTTCTGACCTCTTTTTACATTCTAAGAGGTGTCATTTACCTGTGGGTGAGGGGCTTGGAGGGCCTGACTATTAAGCTTCCTATTATGATTGGGGAAGGGGACTCAACATCTTCCCCTTGTCTGGTCCTGGGAACTCAAGACTGCTGTCCATCCTTTATTAGTAACCTAGTTTTGTTGAGAGAGAGGTGCAGCATTTCCCTCAAGTACCTGCATGCTCATAGGTATGCATGCTTATAGGTATGCATGCACACCAGCACCTTGACTTCCACCAGGACAGTGAATCTGTAGTCCCCATTAATGATACTCTCAGAATGGTCTCCACCAATGTGCACAACTTCATGCACACAATTGTATTCCTCTTTAGGAGAGACAGTGACCATGCCAGGCTCTTCAAATACACACTCCTGTATTTTCATTTCTGAACTCCCTGAAGCTTCACCCACATCTCCATGGCACTGAATCACTTTTCTGCCCAGGCTGGAGTTAGAAGAACCATGGGTTGAAGGCCTTGGGAGAAGAGGTGGTAAGGAGCTACCTGGTTCTTTGGACTCCTCAGAAACCTCCCGTGAAGACTATATATATGAGCAATATATGAGCAATTAAGATAGAACTAGGTCATTGAAGGACTCAGAAGGAAACTGGCAAGGGGCTAAGTAGCTGTGAGCTGCTCTTCCTGTTAACTGTCCTCAGGAGAGAAAAGTTGTCTTGATTTATTCCAGAGACTCCTGAGAATTTTGTTACTGGAGCTATAGGAACTAGGACTCCCTCCTCAGACTCATCAGGAAATCTGGGAAAATCTCATCTCCATGCTGCAGTCTCCCCGCTTGGCACCATCTAGGGCTCTGAAGATCTTTAAAGTGAGCGTTAAATGAAGCAGGCCTTCTGGGGCATCGTGATGGAGCTCCTGAGGACTGGGAGGGCCGTTTTCTTCATAATTCCTACCCAGTTTAGGGAATGAGAAAAGGCCCTGTGGCTCTTAAGTCTCCTGACTATATCCACTAGTTTGGCCTTGAGTTTGAGACACCTGGTAGATGTACCTGGCTGCCCTACCAAGAGATTTGATTTGTTTCTTCCCGTGGTTTCAGGTGATAGAACCCAAAGGTAGCTTTTTAATTGGAGAATTGAATAATCAGCATATGTAAGCGCACTAGAACCCTGTGTTGAAAACTGCCAGGTGTGGGTATAAGAAAAGGCCGAGAGATCACCACCTCCTCTTACCCTACCCCACACCCATAAACCAGACATGTCTCCCAGGAAGCAGGTGTCCCTGGAGACAGAGGATGACAGGGCTCTACAATCTGTGTAATTATTATTATTATTATTATTTTGTATTTATGGGGCCCAAGAAAGGGGCCAGGAGAGGGTACACCCCAGCTGGGGAGAGCAAAGCAGATGGATCCAGTTTTCTGTGTGTTCTTACCTCTGTACTTCCTCGTAGCTCTGCTGACAAAGCAAGCAGGCCTCCCGTGTCCAAGACCCCATTCCTCCCACTTGTGTACACCTAGGCTGGCAAATCTTGGAGCCTCTGGGCTCTGAAAACTAGACAATGATCATTAAACCTGGCTTGAGTCTCTGTTCTGGCACAATCTGACTGGTTTATTTTTTCAGCCTGTGGGTGGGGTTCACTGTACCTCAGAAGGGTGTGTCCTATCTAGGAAGAAAATCTTTAAGTGCTATTGTACGGACATGGGTGAAATACACATCTAGGCATTAAGATGGACCGGGGTCAGCAAACATTTTCCCTAACGAGCCAGATAGTAAATATTTTAGGCTCTGCAGACCACACAGTCTCTGTTACAACTCAGCTGTGCTGCTATAGCTTGAGTGTAGCCACAGACAGGACAAAAATGAATGACTGTGGCTGTGGTCCAAAAAAGATTTGACTTATGGACATTGAAATTTGAATTTCATATTTTAACATGCCTTTTGAGTTTTTCCAAGCATTAAAAAATATATAAACTAGGCCGGGCGCGGTGGCTCACGCCTGTAATCCCAGCACTTTGGGAGGCCGAGACAGGTGGATCACAAGGTCAGGAGATCGAGACCATCTTGGCTAACACGGTGAAACCCCGTCTCCACTAAAAATACAAAAAATTAGCCGGGTGTGGTGGTGGGCGCCTGTAGTCCCAGCTACGCAGGAGGCTGAGGCAGGAGAATGGGGTGAACCCGGGAGGTGGAGCTTGCAGTTAGCCAAGATAGCGCCACTGCACTCCAGCCTGGGCAACAGAGCAAGACTCCATCTCAAAAAAAAAAAATGTTATATATATATATATATATATATATAAACTACTATTAGCTCACAGGCCACATAAAACCAGGCAGTGGGCTGGTTTGACCAACAGACCATACTTTGCTGACCCCTAAGATTCTCAAATGTCACTGAAGCTTTAGAGTTTAGAAATCCCATGACTTGGCGCTCGCTGAGGCTTGTAGATAATGAAGTCTTCCTGGATCCCTAGGGCAGAGGGTTGCCTCCCTGCCGAGTTCTCTTAAAAGTCTGGATCAAGCCTACTGACCATACCATGGAAAAAATGCTTGGATTGGGTTTTAAAAAATGGTGGGCAGCAGCTCACTTTCACAGAATTTTATTATCAGTATTTTCATGTTGTAAATGGTAGCCATCTTAGGCTAAAAGTATATTCACCTAATGGGCAGGTTAATCTTCCTTGACAGTTTAGTGTGTCCTAGGCATTGCGTGGAACAGAAAAATGCAGTCCCTACGTTTTGGTACAGATTCAGCCTACCAGAAATTGGACTGGACTCTAAAACTCTAACCATGCTGATTCTTTGGCTCCTCTCTTGGTGATTCTAGAAGGGGGCTGTCGTGGCAGATTCCAAAGAGGGAGAGGAAATGATACCAGGAAAAAAATTAAAAGAATGCGAATTTGAATACTTACCTAAAGTCTTGACCGAAGGGCAGCCCTCCTCTATTTGGAAAGTTGTTTTTCACTTCAGGAGGAACAACCAAGGTGACGAGGGGTGGAGCTACTGCACAACCAGCCACATCAGACAAGTCAACCTTGGCAGTCAGTGAAATGACAGCTGTTGATGTCAGAGCACTCCCATACTCTGCATTTATATAGTTTTTCATCTGCAAAGCAGTTTTTCTATGGCTGACAATTTGGCTGACAGGATGAAGCTGATAAGGAGAGCAAGTCTGATGAGGACTACTTGGAGTTTGGAGTTCTCTCTTCTGTTTTGGCCTGTGCCAAGCCCAAGGAAGTCCATGGCTGCATCTCTTCAACACCCCCCACCCACCCACCACCCACATCCTCACCACCTCCCCCAAACCACAAGAAGTTCCTTAGATTCTGGCCAAGATGTGCAATTTTGTCTGCCATGCCTTGCAGCACTTACCCTGGCTCCTCTTAGGTAGCACTTGCGGGGAGGGAGGAGGCTAATATGACAGTTTTCTTTGAGAATAGGTAAGAGTTCAGTGCATTGGTTAACCTGGCCTCTCTTCCCCCCAGTCTCTCAACTCCTTCCCTTTCTGCATGCACTTCTTGCACCACTTATCTTGTATCTCCCAGGAAACCAGTGGGGAAGCTTCACTTTCTCCACCCACATAGCAGAAAAGGCTCAGGCCCCTGCAGTGGGACGGTTGGCTTTTCTGGTCTAGTCACAGTCAGCCTGTGCTGAATGCTTCCTCTCCTGGGGCTTGAGAGAGGAAGGCTAAAGCAGCTGCCAGTCAAGCCCCTTCATCAGGCTTCTACACTCTTAGGTGGAAAATGCAAAATGGTGAAGACACTTAGACCTGCCCTGACGCCTCCAATCTAGTCAGCTTGTTTACTCTCCCTGGTTGGAACCATGGCCTGAGAGAACCAACCTGCAGTGAGCCAGGACGTGGAGCCCTGCAGTGGGACTTCTGGATGCCCTTTGGCACTGGCATACATTAGGCAGGAGTCATTGCCTCCAAGGCTGGTGTATGCGTGCATGTGCGCACACATACAGGTTGGCAAGTACTGGAGTTGGATTGTACTTTGTGCTGCATTTCCCTTACCTCCCACTGCTCCCTCACTTGGTCATAGTTTGCTTTTGGGGGGCCTGAGCAGAACTGAGCATCCTTAGAAAGCACCATGAGATAACTGGGTATCTGCTTTAAAGATAGGGGTGCTAGGGGGCCACTCATGTATACTCAGTGAGACAGAGTTGGCTCCTCAGATGCCACTGAATAGCCTGAAGTCGTTCCTTAATCTGCTTCCAACAGAGGTTAAAAACTCATCTGGGAAATCCTAGCAATAGCAGGATTATAAACTGAGATTGTTATTCTGTGATGCATCTGGTGACTAGCTGAGTCTCCTGAGTGGGTGGGTAGGGGGAAGGTCCCCTCACTGGAGGTAATTTCTGCCTACATGAAGGGGTTAAGCCCAGCGCCATGCTGGAGACGGGCTACTTCAAACCACCCTCCAGGGCAGTTCTGCCTTTCAGCTTGTCGTCTTTGTGCAGTGCTGGTGAGAACTGCTGAGGCTCTGCACACAATGCCTGACTAGTGTTTCATTCCTGGATCCCAGGACAGAAAAAGCAATTAAGATAAAAAACGAATATTCAAGCCTCTGCACTGCTGTTTTGCTGTTCCTGCTTCTTTGCATCCACTCCAGGCAGACTGCTGCTGCTCTCAGACAAATGGAATGGAAAGTATTCTTCCCCAATTTAAAACTTAAACAGAACTGCTTTCAGTGTGTGTGTGTGCGTGTGTGTGTGTGTGTATGTGAATGCCAATAAAGCACTTGGAGGAGGAGGGGACTGATCCTATTCCACGAGCCTGAAATGGGGAAAGGGAAACCAGGCTGTGGACCCTGGGAAGCCAGGGGTCCCTGCTCTGCATCTCCAATGCCTGAGGCAGGTGTTGCTCATTCTGTGGCTTCGGTAAACAGAGGGTCTGTGGCGATGCTGTTTGCTCCAGTTGCTCCTCCCTTCCTAGCTTGTCTGCTCCACTTTTCCCTCAGAAGGGCAGAATTAGGAGAGATTTAGATAGACTTGTGACCTGCAGCTCCCTACGAAGACCAGCTCCAGGAACTTCAGGCTGGACCTAGGGAGGAATTGTACTGACTCCGAGATCTGCAGTCTGCCCTGTGATTTGGGAACACCAGGTAGGCAGCACTTACGGCAAACTTCACTAGTCATGGCCGTGGTGGCATTTCTGGCAGGAGTTGGTAAGAGCTGACCTTGCATCTGGAAGGAAGAAATGTGTCCATGTTTTCTTATGATGGCCAGAACAACTCTCTGAGACTTAGATCCCCTGTCATTATCCATAACTGTTTATTGCCTAAGAAGCATAAAGCCCAAAGCCTGGCTCAGTGAAAGAGAAGGACAAGAACATAATAATACCACCTGTTTACATGTGTTTAATGCTTTGAATTTTCCAATTCCTATTAACATTCATTCTCTCATCAAACCCTCACAACATCCCTGTGAGGTAGGTCAGGCAATAAGTGGTTTGCCCACAGCCACACCAGTGATAGGGACGGAGTAAACCCATACTGCAGGTTTCCCAGCCCCCAAGCTGATGCACCTTTCATTTCATGTTACACAGGATCTTTGTGCCAACCAGACACAGGAGCATCAAGAGCACTACCAGAAGCCTCCCTGCTCTCTGAGCTTGCAGAGGGGACCCAGAAATGCTGGGCTTGAGGCATCAAGACCAGGGGTGCCCCCTGTAGGCCAAGCCAGGTAAACAGAAGGAAGGGCAGGAGTACTGGAAGTTCAGGCTCAACAGCCACCCCTGCCACCACCATAGGTCTCAGCCTAGCATACACTGTGTTCCCTACATATCTTGACCTTTGTCAGGTGCAAGTCTTATTAGTTTACTGAGAGGACTCAGTGCCCACTCCCAGACGAGAAGTCACTGCAAGGCGTGGCTAGCAGCAAGATTCCTGACTTCCTTCCCACAGTGCCTTCCCATTCTGTTACACTCTGCAGCCCAGGAAGGAGGGGGAAGGTGAGGGCTGACTGACTCAGCCTGCAAGTGCTTAGAGATCTGAAGCTGAAAGGCCCCAGCACCATTCAGCTAATGATTATTATTAACTCTGAACAGGCTTTAGCACAGCGGCCAGCTGGCTTAGGGAGGATGCCTGAATCTCCCACAGTGAGGTTTTCAAAACAAGACCTGGCTAGGCACGGTGGCTCACGCCTGTAATCACAGCACTTTGGGAGGCCGAGGCGGGCAGATCACGAGGTCAAGAGATCCTGGCCAACATGGTGAAACCCCATCTCTACTAAAAATACAAAAATTAGCTGGATATGGTGGCACGTGCCTGTAGTCCCAGCTACTCGGGAGGCTGAGGCAGGAGAATCGCTTGAACCTGGGAGGCAGAGGTTGCAGTGAGCCAAGATTCTGCCACTGCACTCCAGCCTGGCGGCAGAGTGAGACTCCGTCTTAAAAAAAACAAAAACCAAAAAAACCAGACCTACAGCAGCCATGCACGGGGGTGGAAGGGTGGGACGATGAGAAAGAAGGGATGGGCCAGTGAGTGCGGAAGGGCAGCCTGCCTTGTGAAAGGGTGGGGAGAGAGGAGGCCCAGGCTGGCAAGTGGTAACAGCCTACCACTTAAGAGCCAAGAAGGTGAGGCTGGAGGACTTCCCCAGATACAGAGCTGCTCCCATTCCATACCAACCCCAGCCATGATGGGGCTCAGAGGAGGGGTGGTTACAGAAAAGACGGGGGCTTGGGAGGGGTATCTGAACCCAGAAGGGTAATCTCATTTCCATTCAGATTTGGATACAGAAGCCATCTATATTTCTAATGTCCTCAAGGTTGAATCTGAATATAATCAAATTTGGAATATAATCAAATTTGGAATATAATCAAATTTGGAATCAGGACTTAGCTTGATATGAAAATTTGTGCAAATGACACGCAAATTTTTAAAATCTAAGCACCCTGCCCTGGCTTTTTTTTTTTTTTTAAAAAAAGGCAAAACAGGCTGACCACTAGCAGCTTTCCCTAGCCAGGGAGCAAGGACAAAAGGGCAACCATGTGCTTCTCCTCCAAGGCGTTTGCTTCCTTGCTGAGGAGCCAAGTGAATACCCCAGACATGAGCAGAATAAGGGAGGTGCGGGGAACAGAGGATGGCGGAGGAGGGAACACACAAGCAGGAGCCCATGCAGCTGGGAGCCACTGAGATCCCAGCTGGAGGAAGAGTGCCCTGGCACTGAGGTCTAATGGCTGTCCAGCTGCTGCCCCAGGATGTGAGGGCAGGTGGTGATGGAGGGAGAAATGGAAAAGAGGGGGAGGGAAGTCCCTCCACAATCCGGCCTGCCAGGATGAAGGGCTCCTCCTGGTGACCTATTCCCTACACTGCAGTCAGACCAGGCTAAGCAGGAGACCACCAGTGCCCTCCTCTCTGCTCTGTGCCCCTGCCCTCCAGGCCTGCTGGTCAGAAAGGCGACAGCTGGGGCCCCTTCCTCCTGCAGAATATAAATGACTCCCCCTTCCTCCCAGGGCTGGGAATAGACATCAGATGGCACAGCCCACGCAAACTGCCGGCTGTCAGCACGCCTGCCCGCCCGCCCACCAGCCCCCGCACCACCTGGGAGGAGGCAGCACCTCAGGCAGGCTCAGGCTTTACGGCATTGCCTGCTTGCTCTTAGAGCAAGCTGGTGAACTTTGCCTGGCCCTCCTACCCTGCGGCAGGTAGAAGGAGCCTCTCAGCACTGGCTGTGATGAGGAAAGAGGAGATGCAGTCCCTGGATCAAAATCACCGCAGGTGAAATTCTCCATGCAGCCCCAGTAACCGTTTCTTCTGAGTTCACACCACACTGGAGAGTTTGAGAGGAGGGAGGACAATGAAAGAGACAGGAACAATACCCCTCTGCACAGCAGGGGCCTCCTTTAGATGCTTGTCCTGGAGATGCAATCTCCCCCAGGAGGGGCATAATGAGTTACGTGGAGAGGACACTTCTGCCCTTGCTGTCCCCATTCTGTCCCCATACTATTGAATCAAACCAACCTCCTTACTTCTAAGCTACCCGGAGAGGAGGACCTGAATCTTCAGAAGACCAAGGACATCCACAACACTAACATCTAGGAACACCTGCCCCTGCTCCTGGGAACTGGAGCTCCAGCGCCTACATCCCAGGCTTCCCAGAGTTCCCTGTGAGCTATGTCGACTTGCCTCAGCAGCACTTTCCTGGCTCAGCTGTTGTCAGGCCTTGCCATGATCTAGGGAGATCCTATCTTCTCAACTGAGCCCAGACCACAGCTCAGCAGTCTAGCATCCAGTCCTCACCACCGAGGGCAGCCTGGGGAACTACTTTCAGCTGCAGCAAGGAGCGGGGTGGTCTCTGGAGGGAAGAGAGTCCAGCCCTCATTTGCCAGCTGGCACCAAACTCAGCCCCCTCTTGGACCAAAGAGCTGGGAAGAGATGACAACTGAGGAAAGCTTAGATAACAAGGGAAGAGGGGTAACCAGAGAAACTTTGTTTTCTTTGGATCAGAAAAGCCCTGCCCCACTTCCTTGGCCCTTATGAAATGCTTCAAAAAAGCTCCCAGAAGCTATGTGCTAAGGCAAGAACCTGAGCCCTAAGAAGGGCAAAGCATGAGATGCCTGGGGCTCCTTTGCCCTGAGAAGTGATTTCGGGGGAGGGAGCGCACGCAGGCCCTGCAGCCCTCAAGCCCGGATCCTGAGGTGGGCTGAAGGAAGATCTTAGCTGGGCTAGGCAGCCCAGCCAGCAGCCTTCGGCTTGGTTAAGCCAATGCCCTCCTGCTTCTCCAAAAGCTTTAAAGTGACTTTAGTGCCTTTACCGTCTTAGAGTCCAGAAGACCCTCACCTGAGTCCCTTCTTTCCACAGTGCCTGACCCCCTGTGCCCTGGCACAGGGACCAAATCAGCACAAATTTCTGAAGGGCCTCAAGGGCAGAGCTGTCCCTCCAGGGTAGTAAAGGGAGAGTAAAGAACTACCCCCTGAGTCTGCTAAGTGGTCCACGTGGTCCACAGCTGGGAGAGTGTTCTGAGACATCGACCTGACAGACGCTGTATATTAGAGAAGGAAGGGACTTAGAGATTGTTTAGAAACATTTCACAGATGAAGAAACAGTGGTCTTAAGATATGGAATGTACCTAAGGTTGTACAACAGAGCCTAAGAGGACCATATCCCATAAATAAGACCCATGGGCTCTCTCCACTACATCACACTGCTTTCTTAAAAGTAACCCAAATATCCCTGGATGCCATTCATAACTTACAGGAACCCAGTTTTTCATCAGGCACACAAGCAAGAAATGACCACCAGCACATCACTATCACCACCCAAAACTCTGTCTCTCATCAAGTAGAGGCTTCAGGATCAGGCTCTCCATCACCTTCCACTCATACCCAGTACATCTCCCCATTTTGACCCACTGAATTATTCCTCAACAATAGCAGCTTTGGTTTCTGCAGTCCCTGGACCAGCCAAGAAGTGCGAAAACCTGACCACTTCTTAAATAGATCCCTTATAGATCACCAAAGGAACCATGATGTTCAAGGCAAGCGTCCCACCTAGATTCAGCGTTCGCAGGAACTCACATTTCCATTTTCTTCCTCGGCAAGTAGGATCTGGAAATCTGGTGCATGATCACCAGGGCTGGATAGACGGGCAGTGCCAGGCACAGGTACCAGGCCGCACCTTTGATCTGGGCCTGGAACCATACTGAGTACATGCCCAGAAGCACCGTTACTGTAGCCATCAGGTAGACCACCAGTCCACATGTCAGATGGTAGAGCTTGAGGCGAGCCACCCTTGAGACCCTGGCTGCCCGGGGACAAAGGAGGCAGAGCCCACACAGTGCCTGGACAGCAGTGGCCAGCAGTGTCAGGGCTCCCACCCAGCTGTGCCAGGACACCAGATGAGGCAGCTCACTGCGGGTCCTGCTGGAGATGATGAAGCCCAGGCCCAGAGCTGCACAGAGGATGGCTAGGGTCTGCCCTGCCCAGTGGAGCCGGATCCGTGCTTTTCGGGAGCAGAAGAAGAACAGGGAGTGTTCAGGTGAGAAGAGTAGGATGGCTTCAGCCATGCAGAGGCAGAACTGTGAACATAGGAGAGAGCCAGTAAGCCTCATGTCTGGCTTGGAGGCCTGAGAAAAAGGAGGTGCTCTCATACATCCTAACAAAGAGGACAAAGGGTAAGGGTTAAATAAGTTCAACCAGGACCACCAGCCTCACAGCTCAACATTTCTGGGAACATTTGGGAATCAGCACTTGAGTGCACGTCTCCTCATTCAGGTTGACATCTCCCCATCCCAACCTCTACAATGACTCCCATTTCTTGACCAGTGGAGTAGCAAATGTTAAACTTCTTCCTGAACTTTGGGGACAAGTCGGGAGATGACCGGATAACACCTCTCCCCCCTTCTCCTTTCCGGCCCCAATGGAGAAAGAAATTATCTTCCATGCCCTCCCGCCCTTTTCAACCATCTGACAACTGCCTATGGCCCAGCCCTCCAGGTTTCCCAATCCCATAGGCTGCAGGGAAAGATGAGCCCTAGATGTTTCCTCCACCTGTCTTAGCCTTAGAAAGGCTGAGCTTTCTGAAAGCTGGGTGCTTCCCTGGGAGAATGAGGTGAGGAATACCCAAACAAATCAGATAGAAGCCTAAACTCACCGCCAAGGCCATGAATACAGGGTGCCAGGAGAAAAGACCTAAGAATCAAAGAGAACAGGCTGAGGGCTTGGTACCATTGTTCCTGCCCCTGTAGCTAGGTGGAACCCAAAGAATCTAGCCACAGGAGAAAAGTACCATCCCCAATCCTAATCGGGCACAGGAACTAAGGACAAAGTGGAGCAGCCAAGGAGCCCCAGGGTGAGCAACCAAGAGGGCCTCCTTATCCACACACATACAACAGTTTGGCCCGGGTTCCCCGTTCAGCACCTCTCAGCTGGCAGCCCAGTCCTCTGCCCCTTTTTTGTTTTTTGTTTTTTTTGGTTGTTGTTTTTTGTTTTTTTTTTGATACGGAGTCTCGCTCTGTCGCACAGGGTGGAGTGCAGTGGTGCAATCTCGGCTCACTGCAGCCTCCACCTCCCGGGTTCAAGCGATTCTCCTCCCTCAGCCTCCCAAGTAGCTGGAACTACAGGCGCGCGCCATCACGCCTGGCTAATTTTTGTATTCTTAGTAGAGACGGGGTTTCACCATGTTGGCCAGGCTGGTCTCGAACTCCTGACCTCAAGTGATCCACCCGCGTCGGCCTCCCAAAGTGCTGGGATTTCAGGCATGACCCACCGCGCCCGGCCTCCTTCACTTCTATCCTCCATCAGGGGACCTGTTTCTGAGGAAGTAGTTCGGTCTGTTCAATCGTCTGCCCTTCCCCCACAGCACCCAAAACCCCATTATTCCAGGATCCCTGGGGCCCCGCCCCACCAGGCCCTCAAAATCCCTCCACTGTTTCTGTCTCCCCTTTACTGCTGGGGTCCCTCCTCCAAGTCTCCCGGGGCTCCCAAGCGCTGCCCCTCCAGCATCTCCACTCCGCCCCCTTCCGCAACCCCGCCCCGCACACTCACTGGTTCCTGGCCGGGACAGCGCTGTCAGAAAGATGGTGAAGCCCAAAGCTACCAGGTGCGCCAAGATCCCACTGCCTCTCCGCAGCCAGCGGGTCAGTCTCGGCTCCCCAGCTGGAGCGGGAACCAGACCTACCTCCAGGGGCTGCATGGCCGTGGCCCGCGGGCCCGTACACTCCAGCTGCCCGAACACGTCTTCCGGGTTTGCGATCGCGGAGGCGGTGGCGGCTGCAGGAGAGGCTCCTCCCCGGGGACGCCGCCGGCAGTGCGGCGGAGTGGCCCACAGCGCCCTCTGGGGGCTGGGGGGGAAACGCGAGTGCCCCGGAGAGGCCCGCTCCCGCGAGAGCCCGGAGGCAGAAGGGGACCGAACAGTTCCCAGCCCACCTTCATTTGTATCTGTGTGTCTGTCTACAAGGGCCTAAATCCCAAGCAGCCTGTGGAAATTACTTTTGTGGCAAACGATTTCAGTGAAACCCCAAATCACACACTTGGTACGCTGAACCAAGACTGTGAAACAAGTGTTTGGAGCCGATTTCTAGTAGTACTGGATTTCCCTGGCTGTGCACTGTCTCCTGTCACCTCATTTTGTCTTGTTCAGGGAACAAGCTTCCTCCATGCCTAAGAGCAAGGAGAATAGGAAAGGACATCGCCAAAATATAGTGCCTTGAACCTGGTGGACCAAAGGAGGGAAATGCAAGTCTCCTCTCGCATCTGCACGGGAGTGGTCCCCAGCGAGATAAATGGAAAAACTAGGGCACTCCCAGCCCTGCCGCCTCCTCAGCAGCTGCTCAGCCCTGAGGAGCCAGGTGATCCTGAAGGACCAAGGCCTCCCACACTCCTGTGGCCTCCCACACCACCAGTTCTGCAAGTGATGATGCCTTTTCCCTTCCTGCCTCCAAAAAAGGGGTGGTTCAACCCAAGGAGGCCTCCCTGGGAAAGGTTCTACCCCTTCCTTAAAGGCAAACCCACAGGCAGGGAAGGAAGGCTGTCCAATAGAAAACAGGAATATCCCAACAGCAATGACCAACCCAGCTCAAGCTCCCTAAGTGGCTGAGAAAATGAGGCTGCAGGAACAGCTGAAGAAAAGCAGGCAATAATTCAGGGAGGGATGGATGCCTAGGGTTGCTGAAGGACCAGAAAAGGGTCACAAGCCAATTCCCAGACCCTCGGGGCAAGGATCCTAGAAAGAGCCAGAAGTGCAGCTCCCCCTCTCGAGTTTCTCTTCCCAATGGGACCATAGTCGTCTCTGGTGTCAAGACTCAGGAAGCCTTACTCATTCAGAGCCACACGCCTCATCATCCTGTCTGGAAAGACTACCCCAGTGACACAAACATTTTTCACACTATTGAAAATGACAAGATGACAATAATAATAATAATGAGCATAAGAGACTTTTGCAGGCAAGCTATGGGAGCTGGAGTCTGGCTGCCTATCATCTCAGCCTCCCAGGGTAGGGCTGGGGACAGTAAGGACACTCATTTTGTTATTTTTTTTCCTTCCTTTTCTATGTTTCTGTTTTTATATTTTCATAGCAGCAACAGAACAGGGAGACAGTCTTGAGGTATTTTAAAGAGCTTTTTTTCTTAAAAAAAAATAATATAAAGTTATAAAAAGCGGCAGCAGCCTGGGGCCCGGATCTGGAGGGGAGGAGGTGCTGGCGGCTCCGTTGCAGTGGGCAGGCACTTTCTCGTTAATGGGCTTTTGACTGCAGGAAGACAAGAGGCGAGAGAAAGGGTCAGGGTGGGGGCCTACCAGCTGTCCTACCCAGTGAACTGTGTGCACTACAGAGGCTAAAGCTTGATTTCCTTCTGCTGGCCTGGTGAGTAAAACTGAGCAAGGGGGAAGATGAATGCCAGCTCACCAGGGGCAGCCTGGGTAGTGAAGCTGGAGAACACACAGGGTTTATGATTAGGCCCACATCTAACCCAGGAGAGCACCCCCGTCCCACCTCCAGTAAGTCCCTCCTGGCAGAGATCATATGGAGAGCACATAGCACACTACACCAGGGCTCCCACCAGAAGAGGCAAATAAAACTGGCTGCAGGCTTTACTGGAAACCCTGGAGAACTTGCCTGTCACCTGCACACCTGGAGGTGGGCACATGTGCATAAGTGGACATGGGGTTGTGTGCCTGCCCTTCAAGGCCCTGATGCCCAGAGGAAAAACCAGTGAGACCAGCCCACCCACCTTGCTGCTCGGCATGTTAGGCTGTGACCCAGGGACTCAAACTCCCTTTCCTTCAGGGAACAGAGGTAGCTCCAGTACCTGGAATGAGGGTCACAGCCAATTCAGAAAGAAGTAGCCCTTTGATTATAGCAAAAGCAGGGGTGGAGGGGTGCCGCATCTCCTCAGCCCAAGGGAAAGGGTTAGGGATAGGGGAAGGTTCACCAGGCAAAAAGCTGGAGTCACTTTGCTAAGAACTGACCTACCTCTTCCTAAAGAAAACAGTCCAGGAACTCTCTCAACTTCCCCTTCCTCCCTTTCCCTGCACAAACACCAATGTAGCATCTTCTCTGTATCAGGTACCCCCTGTGTGCCCCACCCTCATCAATCTTCAGGGAGCCTGGCTGGTACCTTCAGTGTAGAGCACTTCTCCTCAAAGGCCAGGGCCGGGCCTGGCTTCTTGCGGCGCACAGAGCAGGCCACATCAGCAGGGGCACCAGCCTGACAGTGCTTGGCCTTCACTGGCCGGCAATAAGTGGCCAGGTTTTTCCGCTTCTTGGCCACCTCCTCCTCAGAGAGGCAGTTGGTTGGCAGGGCCTTGGCTGGGTGTCCAGCTGCTCCCCGGTTCTCCAGCTGAGAAGCCTTGACTGGTGTGGGGAGCTGATGAGGGGAGCCACGACAGTCCAGGGGCCCTGCCCGCTTCACTCTTGGCCCCATTGTCCCATTAAGCCCCATGCTCAGGGCTGTTTTAGTTTTGGCCGAGAGGCCCCTACAGCCAGAGGGTTTCCCTTTTCCAGTGGGCTCCAGGATGCAGGTCCGTTTAAGAGTGGTAGGGCCAGGGGATAACTTCCGCTTTCGAGAAGGGGCCTCCACCTCCACCCCGTCCTTGCCTTTGGATGACTTGCTGGCCTTGGAAGGCGGCAGCTTGCTGAAGGACGGGGATGGCGTGTTGGCAGGCAGTGGTGAGGTGATAGCCTGGCTCCCGCCCATGCACTCTGCCTGGCTACAGGCAGCCGCCACGCTGGGGGAGCCTGCAGGGTAGCTGGGGACAAGGTTGTCCTTGGTGGGGGGCATGGAGGCTGGGCAGGCAGGTCTCAGGGTTGGACCTGGAAGGCGGGGGCAGGTGCCTGTAGAGGATGGGCTCAGGGGAGCAGATAACGGGGAGTTGACAAGGTGAGCTGGAGGTTCAGCTGCCGGTGGGATCTTCCTGCAGCAAAAAGAAAGCCCCACTGTGACTGCCAAGAAACAAGACAGCTTCCCCCAACACAAGACACACTCCAGTCTCTCTGCCCCACCTAGAAATGGTCAGCAGAGCCCCAGAGTTGCTGCCATCTGCTGGGAGATGCTGGAACTGAGGGTTAGGAAGAAGACACAGGGGTGCCTGTGGAGAGGAATTAGCTAGTACCTACTAACTAGGAGGCAGCCCACTAGGAACTTCATTTTAAATCTTGGTTTGGGCATCCCCTATCCCTAGTTACCCAAAAGGTACTGGAAGTGATGGATGAAAGTCTAGATTCACCCCCAGACCACCCTTCCATGCCCTGCCTTAGCCAAACTCTAGGCTGCCAAGTTTTCCCACCTCCTTTTCATGCTACTCCCTATCTGGGGTCCTGCTGGCAAATAGCCAAGGCACACCTATGGGTATACAGGAAAGATCAGGGCTTCTGAAGCCCAAGTATGTCTGGAACCTAGGAATTTCCATTCTAGAACTTCCATTCTGGGTCCGAGAGACTTACTTCCACATGTGTGTGCTGAGGTGCCGTTCCAGCATGGAGCTGAGTGCTGAGCAGAACCGGTCCAGCCGGCGGCTAAACACATAGCATCCTGGGCTCACCAGCCGGCTCCCAAAGGTGCAGAACTAAAGGCAGAAGGAAGGTGCATGGTTGGCAGGGTCTGGGGTGCACAGACAGCATCTGCACACAGGATCTGGCCTCCTCCCCATGTTGTTGGCCAGGAGTGCTGGGCCACCCCCTCCATAGGCCCCTATTCCAGGTCCTTACCGCCTGTGGCCGTGGGGGCCGGGTTGCATAATGGCAGTCAGGGGGTGGGTGGAGGTCGTCAGATGTCCCCTCCTCCTCACTCTCTTCGCTGGAGGCCTGGGTCCCACCCCGGGGCATGGGGAAGGGGAACAGGCCTGGGTCCCCATCACCACCACAGGGGCCTTCATCATCCAATTCACTCTCGGAGGAGGCCCGGGACCTGGAAGGGCCAAAAGGGATGCCAGGGGAATGTGACTGTTGTGGGGTCAGAGTAGGGGCATCCTTGAACCTGCCGAGCTCAAAGAGCAGGGCACCAGGGCAGACACCCTGCAGGGCAATCAGAAGAGGACAGAGGGAAGGGAAGGACAGGAGGGAACGACACAGCTCACAGAGTAAGAGACAGAGAGACTGCTCCCAAGGGATTCTCTCCCCAGCCCCTTCACCTCCCAGCCCCTTCCTCCTCAGGGGATAATCTGCTGCAGATCCGCCTCCTCCAGAAAATCTTCACAGTTAAAACTGTACCCAGCTCTGGTCAGCCCAGTCAACTCGCTCAACCCCCTTCTTGCATCACATATTCCTGTGAGCCTGTCTGTGAGCTGAGCCTGTGTTTCGTGTCTGCCCCTTGTGTGACAGGCAGAGATGCATGTGTGTCTCCTTCAGCAAGTCAGGCTCTCCCTGGGGTCCGGCATAGCCTCTGCACGCGAAGGGGCCAGTGAGTGAATACACATAGGGCTGCCTTGCCCAGGAGTGTGACCCTTTCAGCTCCCCAGTGACAAGTTTCGGTCTGTTGGAGGCAGCTGGGAAAATGTTCATATCCTGAGTGTTGGATCTGGCACACTGCCGAGAGGCTGGGGTGCTGTGGTATGCCTGGTTGGAAACAGGGGAGTCTCCTGCTTCCACACCACTGTCAGGAGCCCCAGGAATACCCCCACACTCAGGGCTGAGGGAGTGCCTCTTCCAGGACACTCCCTGAGCCTGTTTCCAGGGGCCCCTGATGGCTTAGGGGCCAAGTACCCCCAGGTGAGGTAGGGGTTGGATTCTAGACGTACCTGGGCAGTGCACAGTATGGGTAGGTCTGCTTGGCACGAACAGAGAAGGTGCTGCTGGGAGCAGCCACCGCTGCTACAACCTGGACTGAGGAGGGGAGCTCCTGGGAGGGGCGCTCGAGAACTTGCTCCTTGCGCCCTGGGCTCTTCTCCTTGGGAGACTCCCCTTTGCGGGAGTTGGCCTTCAGCTCTGCCACCAGCACGTCAAAGTCCTTGGCCCGGCCCTGGACTTCCCGGCGCTGGTGTACTGAGTGGATCTAGAATACAGCAGAGTGGAGAGCTGGGGAGTAGGTATGAACTGAGAAGGGGTGAGGGACGGCAGGGTGCTTTGGCCCGGGCAAGTTGGGGGGCAGGGAGAGAGGTGGGCATATTTGCAGCTGTGTTCATGTGTCTTTGTTTCATTCCCCCATGGGGCCAAAACCCTCCTTTGGGATGGGGGAATCTGGAAACTCCCTCCTTCCCACTGTTCCCACCTTCTGCCCAGGAGGGGCATACCCATCTCCCCTTCCCTTGGGTGGGCCTAACTGCCCTCCCTTAAGCTGGACCTTCAGTAACATCGACATTCCTCTCTTTGCCCAGGGAAGGAGTGGGCAAGCCCTGTGCTGTCCTCCCTCACCGTGCAGTGGGAAGGGGGTTACCTTGCAGGTCAACAGGCGGGTACAGATCTTTTTGGTCTCTGGATTTATTACCCCACACTGCCTGTTGAGGTCGCACTCCTTCCCTGTGGGGAAAGCACTTCCAATGAACCTCAAGACCATTTCCAGGAGTTTACAGGAGGATTTGGCCGCTTCCTGCCAAGGGCCTGAGAACTGGTACTAAGGCAGAAGAGACTCCAGCCCTCAGCCTGGGGCTGTACCTTCCAGATAAACTTCTGGGCATCAACATCTCCTTGCTGGGTGTGAGAACCATCCCTATCCCAATTTCAGGTGCGCCTTTTGGGACTTCAAGCCCAAAGCAGGGCAACACACATCAAGAAACAAAAGCAGCCATGGGCATCTGGGAGGCCAGAGAAGCCAGCTGTGAGATGTGTCTGGCTGGCGCCCTGGATCTAGGTGAGAAAAGAGTGAGAAAGAACTTCACCTCCTGGGCATGGGCTCCCTCAGCCTTGATCAGGAGACACAGGATGGAGAGAAGCTTCCCAGGAAGCAAGCAGGTCAAGAGGTGACGGGGCTCCTATACCCTACAACCTGTGATGGCCAGGCCCATAAACCTGACCTCCTCCTCATCCAGCCCAAGGACAAAGCAGCCCAAAGGAGTCCCCACTCTACATTCTGGACCCCCAAGACCACAACTACTCACGAGCCATCTTCCGGTGGGTTTTAGGGGGCAGCCTGGTCCCACTGGGCTCCTTTTCAGGAGGGCTGCCTTCAGCCCAGTGACTGGACCCCTCACTGGGGATGATCTCGATGTTCTCTCTGCCAGGAGGTTCTTTAGAAGGGGGAGCCATGGGAGGTTTTCCAGGGGAGTCCTTGGTGAGGCCCCCTGGCTGGCTGAGAAAAGCAGAGGGTGGGGCCACCCTGATTCCATGTCCATCAGGCTTCGGGAGACTGGACATCTTCTCCAGATTCACCACAGGCACGAAAAGGCTACACACAGAGAGAGGGGGTTGGCTGAGGGAGGGGAGGGGAGGCGAGGCCTGGGGCCTGGACTCTAGCCCAGAGCCATCTCTTTCCCAGCCCTGGAATTTGGGTGGGCTCCAGCAGGGGTGTGAAACACGGGAAGAGGAGACCCCATCTTCCCTGGAATATATGGAAGGAAGCTGCAGACAGGACGGCTGCCTCCTGCTGTGAGGAGTATGCCTTGACCCAGGGCTGTCTGTATTGATGTCAGCCCATCCATGGGTCAGGGTCAGGGCCAGTCTTAGAAAGTTTCCAGCCTCTCCTTACCAGAGGTTGTCCTTCTGGGTCTTCTCAGGAGGCTGGTGGCCACGGCTCCGGGACCCCTGGCCCTTCTCCCTGGAGGAGGTTTTCGTGGAACCTGGGGCCCTACAAGCTGGGCCCTGCCCATTCACTACATGGCATTTCTGAGAGCTGGCAGGGGCTGGAGGTGGGGGTGGGGCCCGGCCATAAAGCTTGCTGAGGGGCCCATGTCTTCTTTCTGTCACCAGGAGGTGGAAAGAATAATCAAGGTGAGTGGTATCACCACTTCCTTCCCCAACCTAACCATGTCCATAGACTCACATGAGAGAATCTGAGTTTCCATAAATTAGATTGTAAACATGCCTCCTTCCCATTTGAATCTGAGCCTTTAGGACTCAAAATTCAAGACCCAGCTTCCTGAATGTCTTAACTCCTCCCGTAATTCCACTGGATGCTAGAATTTTGTTCAAACAATAACCCGACTCCCCACAATGCTCTGAAGCCACCCCCACAACCTTCCTATCCTCAACACCACCCTCCATTACCCTACGAGACCTCCCAACTGACCCTGTCCTCAGAGTTCCATGCTCCACCTTCCCCTGTCCCTTTATCTCCTCCCTAGGGCTCCCCTCACCGCAGTGCTTCTGGAAAGCTTGAGGCTTCACCACTTGGCTGCAGTGGTTACACACAACCAAGTAGAAGTCATCATGGGCAGGGCAGTGCCCGAAGATGGACATGTCTGCAATGACAGAAGCCCATGTCACTGGGGCTGAAGATCCCAGGGTTTCTCTGGAAGATCGGAGAGCACTCCCACCCCACACTCAGAAGGCACTTCACCTCCCCGCTGATATAACAAGCTCCATGCTGAATGCTTCCAGCTTCCAGAGTTCGATCTAAGCAGTCCCAAAGGGTATACGCTTTCAGGTGAGTGGGCAATCACCTATGATTATGATCTCCAACGACAGGTCACAGGAGCCAGAACAACCGGCCGACTCGGACCTATCAAAATGAGGGTCCCCAGACAGCTGCTTCAAGCAGCCACCTCCTTCTGTAGTGTGGTGGAAAAGTGGAGCGTGGTCCTGTCTGCCCTGGGTCCCAGCCCTAATGTGTGTCGACTCCCACCTTCTTTAATGAGGGTCATGGCATCCAACTTCTTCGTGTTTTTGCTACTCTCCTCCAGCTCAGCCCCTAGAGGAGAAACACAGCTCAGAAGGGTCAGGGCCAGTTTTAGAGAGTCTCCAGCCTCTCCTTACCAGAGACTGTTCTTCCCAGAAGACAACCCAGAGGTTGTCCCCTTTCCAGAAGCCCCAAGCAGGGCCTGCAGCTCAACAGTATGAAGCCCACACTCCGTGACAAGCTCCTGGTGCTAGGACCACTTGGGGAACCTTTCAGTGGGTCCATTCTCAAATGCCCATCTTCCTTCACCTGCTGCATCTGGACTAAGATGGCCCCACTAAGAAGAATCCATCCACCTTTCTTATGGGACCCTTCACTTCAAGGTGCAGTTTAGGGTTCCACTGCTAACTAGTTGGGTGATTGTGGGTAAGTATCATCTCTTTTCTGGGCCTGCTTCCCCATTTAAAGGGGAAACCGTCCTTAACCAATGTTTCTATAAGTCCCTGAGTCTCTTCTTGAGATTTCTCGATGGGTCCTTTCTGCTACTATGTGGCATCCCAAATAGATACTCTCCCAGGTCCCCACCCCCATGAACTCAATTTTGCTCCACCTGGGTTACCATAGCATTGTCAAAGTTACACCCAGCTTCTCAGGTCCTGCACTGATAGGATGGTCACAGAGCAGAGAAACTGCTGTCTTTGGTCCTTGAGCATCTTCAAAGTCTCCTTGGTCAGCTATGCAAGTCCCTCCCCTTCTTAGAGGGCCTTTGGGCAGGGGTTGCCCTTGTACCTCAGTTTCTGGGTTAATGACAAAAACATCTTAGCTGTGCAAAGCAGCTTTTTCCCCATCCCCCTACCTCTCTCCTCCCCCCTCCCTCCTCTACGCCCCCTCCCTGTCCCTTGGGAAAAAAAAAATCAATTCTGAGTCACCAAACCCGTCTGACTCCATTTCCGGTTCTCAATGCACCCAGACCCTGACAATGGCCCCATCTTTGCCCACCCAGCATGGGGCAGCCCCAGGGTGGCCTGGGCTCCCACTTAGGTCTGCTCTCTGATGCCCATTAACAGATATGCTCCTTTCTAGGATGAGAAGATTGTTGACAATCTTATATAATATCCAGATTATGAGGGGTCGTGGGTTAGGCACGCAAGAGACAAGGGGCAGCTCCCACTCTAAGTCCGTTAAATGCAAGTGCGGGGAATGATGGATAGAACGAAACTGGGAGTCGGATGTCTCAGAGGAGAACAAGTGTCATTAGAGACCCCTCCGTGCAGTCTCCTCCTCCACCTCTTCTCACTTGCAAACTTCTTCAGGGGCGTGATGCCTGCTGTCACCCCGAAAGGCCACGAGGCCAGGTGCTCCCTGGGGCCCAGAAGACAAAGATCAGAAGAAGGGGCTGTAGGCCCGCTCACTAAGGCACTCAGGGGCCTAGAGAAGGTGAGAGTAAGAGCAGAGAGCCAAGAGGCAGGGCAAGAGGCCTGGGAAAGGACAGTGGGTTGGAGGCATGGATGGATGGACCGAAGGATGGAGGGAGGGAGGATAGATGGATGGACGGACGAACTAACGCGGAGAGGGCGGGGGTCTAAAAGCACTGCAGCTGCAGGCAAATGCCGAAAAGGAGCAGGAGGTGTGGGGCAAAAGGCGAAGGAACAAGGGGGGTGAGGAAGGGGGCACAGAAGTGGGGTGCGTGGGAAACACGTGGAGGACTGTTGCGGACAGGGAAAGCTGGAGGCAGGTGCAGGAGGGTCGCGAGCTGAGGGGCAGCAGGCAAGGAGAAAGATAAAGGCAAGCCTATATGGGGGCAGGTATTAGCGACTGGCAGAGGCAGAGGTTGGCAGGGTGGGCTGCGAGCGGTGAGCAGGCGCTAGGACCCGGAGGCGCGAAGGTGACGGAGCGGGCGGGCACTAGGACCCGGCGGGTCCTTTGTTTGGGGGGCCGGGGAGCCGGACGGCGGCTCCAGTCGGCGGCTCCCCTCAGCTGGCGGGGGCCCGGAAGGGGGGAGGGGAGATAGTGATGGGGTCCCCGGACTTTAGGGTGGCTTTACTCACCGTCAGCCGCGGGCAGGTCGGCCCGCTCCACCCACGAGCTCCAGCTCTGTCCCGCGAAGTCATCGAGACTCGGCACCCGCCGCTCCAGAGCGGCCATTGCTGCCGCCGCGCGTTCACGCACCGCCATCACCGCCGCGGACGCGCGCCCGCCCTGGCGCCGCCGCCGCGCGGCCCCCTCCCCCTCGCCCCGTCGCGGGCACGCCTCCCCTCCTCCCCACCTGCCTTTCCAGCGCAGTCTTTGCGCAAGCGCAACACAGGTTGCCTGTTCCCCGCGCCCCCCCCCCCCCCACCCACTCACAGCCTTCTGGGAAGTGTAGTCTTGGAGCGGATGCTATTGCCTACCGAGCTTGCAGCAAGAGTCCCTCCGAAATGCACAATTGCAGGGGGAAAAGAGAAGACCAAAGCTCCAGGACCTCCTCTTCTAACCCTTATGCACACATTATTTGTGCTACCAGTCCACTCTCCCAAGCTCACTGCATCTCTCCCCAGCCCCAAACCTCTCTGCCCAGACGCCCCTCTAAGCCGTGCGTCCGCCAGCTGGCTGGCGCCCCTTCCCGGGCTGGCGGCCACGAAGCGACTCCGCTCCCCTGTAGATCGAATAGGGTAGGTGCAGGGAGGTGGGCGCTGTGAATCAGAAGGGCAAGGGGAGGGAGTCTGTAGGAGGTGCTGAAGGACACAGGGGTGGTGTGGGGGAGGGCCTCGGCTCCCGTGTCGTGCCTCCTCTGTGGGAAACCCACGCTGCCCTGATGCAGAGCAGAGGGTTGGCGTGGCGTTGTCTGGATTTGAGAGGACCTGGCCAAGCTGACCAAGATCACCTGTCATGATGACAGGATGACAGAAGGCTGTCTCCGAGCCAGAGCCAGCCCCAGAACTGGGGTGGCCCCGAGGCAGCTGGTGTTTGCAGCATCTCTGCTGATCTGTCTCTCTTCTCTTGAGAACTGCGATCGATACCCTGTACAGCCTCTTCCCAAACCCTGGCTGGACCCTGACTCCATCCATCACTTTGCCTTCTTTTTCTAATGAATACTTTCTCTGCTGGAAGGGCTGCTTCTGAAGCCTCGGCATAGGGAGATTTCTCATCAGAGCTGTCATCTTCCTTGCTAAGGTCTGGAAAGTACCTTAATCATCCATTTCTTTCATCTTCTCAGCTGATAACATTTCTTCCCACCCTCACACAATCAGACAAAAGTCTGCCTACTCCATTTCCCGCCCCCCCCCCGCCGCCATCGCATTAAAAAAGTAATACTAATCCTTTTTCCTCCTCAACCTCTCACACCTCACCCCCGACGCTTGACCCTTTAGCTAAGGGGAAAACAAGTTGGGGAGCAAGACCTCAGATTTTCTTCTCCTTTTCATCCAGGGAAGGTGTAAGTACTTCAAGAATAATCTCTGAGGGCAGGGAATCTCAACCTGAGACCCACAGATGATCCCTAGGGCATCCAGGAATCAGGTAAAAATTAAATGTTCAATTGTACCCAAGGTATTTTTCTAGGGGATGTAAATGTAGTGTGTGACTCTCTGAAGAGGGATAGAGGTGCAAGTTTGTTCAACAAGAAGCTGATAGTTAAGAAAGTGAAGCATATGGCCCTCAACTCCTGACAGGAAGCCTGTTTGGGTCACAGATGGTAGGAGAACAAATGGAAACAGCTTTGTGGAAGCCACTATCTCTCACCTTTTGAGTTTGCTCCAGAATTGCTAATGAGTCCCAGTTACTTTGGTCTAATTGGGTGCCACCAAAAGAGGAGATGTCACTAGACCAGAGCCTGCTAGGAATAACTGCTCTCCTCTCTGCACCCCAAGCAACAGAGTCTGACTTTGTTGCTTGGGGTGCACAGTGGAAAGCAGTAGAATGATATCTTGGTGAAAGTCCTGATATTGGTTCAAGAACTTAAAGCAAGGGAGAGGAAGAAAAAATAAATCCCCGGAAGGACTCCAGTCTCAGATCCTTCATGGCAAGTACTTGCAGCACTGTTTATTCAAATATATAATAACAAGCACCAGAAAACAACATGCAACATTCTCCCCCCACCCCTGATCTGCAATCCCAGAAGTAGGAGGCTCATGACTATGATAGTGAAGGAAACTCATGTCCAGGAAAGGTCCTAGGTGGGCACCCTGGTGCTGGGTTAGAGTCTAGTGGGACAAAGGGCAAGTACCCTGCCCATTAGCCTCCTACAGCAGCTGGAGAAACCAGACACCTTCTTCTACCTCAGGCCCCACTTTGCAAAGCAGTGATGCCAGCCCTGGTTGGAGAGAACATGAGTCCTATGAGGCACTTGGCCCTGCCCAGCCCTCTGGAGGTAATGAGGTGAAGTAGCCTTTCCTCTTAGGGTGGCCATAGAGAGTGAGGCCGTAGCCTAAATCAAGGCTCTCCTGATGGAGAACAAGAGAGCCTCTTGAGAAGAAAGAGAACGAGGCTTCCTTGCTCTAAAGAGAGTCCTGGGCTGGGAGTCCTTGGCAGGAGTGAATATAATCTCCCCCCACCCCCTGCCCGCAACTGCTTTCCCTAGCTGAAGGCCCAGTTGCTAACTTCAGCCCCCAAATGAGAACACTACCCAGCACATTTCAAATAAATTATAAATACAGACACAGAATCCAAACAAAGATCCAGTAGAAGCTGCTCACAGACCCCCACAGAGGCCGGCTTGAAGAAAAATGAAGGTCACCCCTTTGTTCTCTGTGTCTCTGGAGCTGTAGGCAAAACTGTCCCCCCTTGTCCTTGAGTAACCATGGGGACAGCTCATGACAGAGAGTTTCAGACTTAAAAACCCTCTCACCCCATCTCCTTTCTTTCCTCCTCAAATCTCTTCCCCAAAATCTTAAACAAACAAACAAAAACTAATTCTTTCACTGAGGGACTCAAGCATTTGGGGATGTAAATCTCACCCTTTCCCCATCGGGAGGAAATGACTGGCCTGAAGTCAAAAGTCCTGACTCCTAGGTACCCCAGTAATGCACATGTTACTATGGATGGTGTTTAGAGAGGTGAGGAGGTTGAAGGGGGTTGACTCAGTCCTGAGGAGAGATTGGCACAGGGCACATTCACCTTTAGGATGCTTAGTGGGCCAATTGGCACTGGATTGGAAAGTGGTCGGATTCTTCCCTCTTCTTCCTTCCCTGGGAAGCCCTATGGCCAGGGCAGATTGAGCTGGGTAGGAAGCAAATGATCCTTACCCAGTTAACACTGATTCTCAGCCTTGGGGCCCAGAGAGGGACTGAAGGAGGTATCAGGAAGAGGATATACACTAAAGACAAATATGGAACTGGGTCCCAAAGTGAAGAAGCACCAATAGCATCGGCCTGCCCTGGACTTGAGAGGGGATAGAGACTGGGAGAAATAAGGACACAGGGGAGAAATGGGACAGCAAGGGAAGAGGGAACATCCTGTTTTCAAGATGAGAAGGAGAAATATGAAAGAAGGACTAGAGAAGGAGCAGGGGAAAAAACTGAGCAGGGAATAAGGAAAAAATGGGCCCATCCATCCTGGGGCTCTGGGGCAACTTAGCCTCATGATGGTCCTTTGGCCCTTCCTAAGCCCCTGTCTGGCCCCACAGGAATAAAAGGAAGGCCTGGACAGACTTCAAAAAGGATCTCAAATGCCTCAGATGCACGATGCTGGGGAAGGGAGATGGACAGAGAAGTAAGGGGATTAGGAGGCAGGTCCTGACTCCACATTTTTGAGTCCCAAGTGTGAGACCAAGAAGGAGGACAGGGAGGAAGATAGGGCGTTTCTAAAGTAGAGTTTAGAGTGTTGGTGGAAAGTGCCCCAGCCTGGTGGGTGGGAGGATTGAGGGGATAGAAGAAATTGATTCTGCCAGCAAGCTTACTGGCTTTACTTTCTTGAAGCTGCAACTCAGTTGCAATTTATCTTGCTCCCAGCTGAGTCCAGGAAGGCCTCATCAGGACCCTCTGAAGGGCTGTTTTCTAGGCTGGTGGACCTCTCTGGTTCACACATGGTGGATTCTGTGGGCAGGCAGAGGCCAGAGAAGACAGTGGAAGGCACACTGAGTCATGGGATGACTGGAGATCAGACGCAGGGACTAGATGACAGCCACTGAGGAGGGGTCGCCAAACCACTATTGGGGCCTCCACACAAGGGACCAGAGGGGAAGGCTACTAGCTGATTTCCCTTCCCCCTAATATTGTTGAAGCCGGACAGGTTGACAGAAAGGTGGCTGCTAGGAACCAGTCTCAGAGCACTGGTTTCCTGCCCCCAACCCTCACCTGCAGCAGAGGCTGGTTCTCAGAGACTGTAAGGGTACAAGTAAGACCCCAAGTAAGATACCTGGGTCCAGGCACTGCACAAGAAGCACTGAGCTCCTGCCATTCATGGCTCCAGCAAGAAGGAGGATAGGAAGCCACTGAGAGGGCTGCCCAGGTTTCCAACAGCTGATGCCTGCCCATCGTCTCAAAGCTCAAAGACCAGAATGATGGGGGAGGGGAATTGGAGGAGGAGGAAGAGAAAGGTCCTGGAAGCCGGAGGTGGTTGAAGAGGTGCTGTCCAGTTCGGGAATAGCCAGGTGGGGGGCTGCTTACTGCTTCTCCACTGCTCCCTGCTCAGCTGCACTCTCCTGGCTGGGACCCTGGCCCTGGTCCTGGTCCTGGTCCTGGTCCTGGCCCTGGCCCTGTCCATGCCACGGGGTCTCCTTGAACACAAACCAACAGTTCCCGGCCCACAGGAAGAAGTTGATAAAGCCAAAGAGCTGCAAAGACATCAGGGGAATTTGTGAGAATAGTCAGGGGGTCATTGTGGGAACAGGGAGGGGGAGTTCCTATTGCAGTTGGGGTTGGGGCTTGTGCAGGGAAGAAGCACAGAGGACTAGAAAGACTAAGACAGAGAGCTCGGTATAGAGGCAGGGCTCAGGACCATCAACTGTTTAGGGGAATCCCAGGTGAAAGTGTCTAATTCTGTCCACACCATGCACCCAAGCTGTAGCTTGGTCACTAGCAGAATCTGACCCTTTAGAGGAGCATCGTGCAAAGCATAGCAAGGAGCCAAGCAAAAGTCAGCCCTGGGGCGCCTCCCACAGCACGCGTGAGGCCCTG
Organism: Homo sapiens; assembly: GCF_000001405.40. Taxonomy (NCBI): domain Eukaryota; kingdom Metazoa; phylum Chordata; class Mammalia; order Primates; family Hominidae; genus Homo; species Homo sapiens. Next base: position 109,479,034 of record NC_000001.11, on the reverse strand, counting down.
TTCGGAGCACCTTCCGCCAGGTAGGTGTGGCAGGAGCTGTCCAAGGTGCTCCTTCCCTGTGATCAGGCACCTAGCCAGGGCTATGTTCAAATAGTTATTCAACATATTTTAAAAACCTCACAGCAGGAAGTACTTAGAGGGAAGTGTACTGATGTCCCAAATTATCTTTGAAATGCACTAAAAACAAGACGGATTGATGGATGAAGAAGTGAATAAATATGTGATAAAGCAAGTCTAGTAAAAAGTTAATGGCACAGTCTAGGTGGTGAGTGCATGGGTATTCACTGTAAAATTCTTTCAACTTTGTTGTACCTGTGAACATTTCTACAATAAAATTTTTTTGGGGGGGAACCATAAGCAGGGTTCCAGCAAGTTCCAGACGTGTGTTCCTGGTGTGCCAGCCATTAAACATTTCAGATGTGGGAACAAGTCATTTTCAGAGCAGGGCTGAGGTGGCTGGGATGACGGGCAGCATTTGAGAAGCTCAAGACCTCAGCTCTTTACCAATGGATATGGACATATTTCAACATTCTAACAACTGGGATGGCCAAATCCATATGCATCCAGCAGACCCACTACTGCTCCAAAGCCCCTTTCCAGGCTGGAGGGCTGAGTGACAGTAAGCCCCTTCCCACTCATGCTGGGTCTGCTCGCAGCTTCAAGCTCAGCCACAGCCCCAGGCTCCCCTTTATGTGTTCACACACATTGTGTAGAACAGGCAGGAGGAGGGGAGACATCACAGAGAGCGTGCCTAGAGGTGGGGAAATGAGAAGGGAATTGGAGGCAGAGTGCAGAAGGAGGAAGGAACAGAAGGCTAAGTGGCTTTTGGGTTCCCCTCATCCCAAAATGTCCTCTCAGGGTCAGCCAGGAGCCAGCAGCCAGCATGAAGCGCAGTGAGGGCACCAGCTCCAGGTGCAGGGGACACCAGCTCTGGGACACCCTCTCTTTCCTTTCAGGACCTGCTAGCTGGGACAGGCCTGGGCAGCAGGGCTGGTGCTGCTTCCTGCAGTGGCCACAGGTCTCACCACGGAGATGTTGGCCAGGCCCATAGAGGGCGTGGCCCCGGCACTGCACACTGCTTCCTCTCCATGGCACACTGACATGGCTGCTGTCAAGCTGGATGGTCGTGTGGCCCCCTTGACATCGGTCAGGCCCTTGCCCCAGGCAGCTGCAGCTACCAGCCAGAAGAAGGTGAAGGAGACAGTCACACAGAAGTCCTGGGAGGAGCAGAGGGATGGGAAATACACTCAGAAAGGCCCCATGATTCCCTTGCTTCTTTTCCACTTGCCATGATACTGGCAATCCCAGGGTGCCAGGACAGTTGCCTCTTCCCATCCTACCCAACACCTAGAACCCAGGTGGTCCTGAGGCATCTGTTCACTGCCCCCAAAGGAGTCCTGCCACTCAGGCTAGCCCTGCTAATGCCCTCAGATCTAAGATCTGGCAACAGTGTACCAAGGCATCGTTGGTCAGCCTCACCCCAAAACCCACTCATCCCAAGTGGAGCCTAAATTCCCCACTCTTCCCTCCCAGCTTTTTCTTTGATCACCATTGCTCAGATACAAGTGGCAGACTGCAGGACGCAAATGGGGTCCCTTAAGGCACCCCTTCCGCCTTGCATGCCTGGGATAGGAAGAGAGTAAAGAGGAATAATATTAATAATCGCTAATGCTTATTGAGACTAACTATGTACTAGATACATGCATTCTCATTTTTTCACATACACACACAAAACTATGAAGCAGGTATTATTTTATCCCCATTTTATAGTTAAGGAAACTGCGATTTAGAGAGGTTATTTAACTTGTCCGAGATCACACAGCAAGTAAGGGGCCATGCTGGGATCTGAACCCAGGCAGTCTAACTCCAGAGCCTGCTTGTGTATGGTGCTATTGTGCCTCCTGTGAACAGGAGCAAGCAACGGGAGGTTGATGGAGGCAGAGGTTCCACCATGGGGGTGGAAGCCGCCATGCTTGTCCTCTGCTCCAGTTCTGACCTCAACCCCCTCACAAACATCTGTTTCTCCACCCCATTCCTTCTGGCCTGTGCTGACTCACCACCAGCGGGAAGCGTTTGTTCTCTGTGTAGAGGTTGTGGAAGCGCAGGTAGATAACTAGGGCAGCCATGGTATAGAAGAAGGAAAAGATGCCAAGGGTCACGAAGAACTCGGCGGGTGCAGAGAAGTCCCCCATGAGGTGCATGGTCTTGGAGCTGGACTCTTCATCGCAGAGGGGCATCTCATATTGGATCCGGTGCAACCTGCAGGTGGCAGGGGAGGCCATCCTGAGCTCAGGCAATCCTCTCTCTCCCTGGCCCAGAAGTAGTCCTGTGCTAGTTCTCAGCAGGGGACTCTTACAGAGCCAAGAAAGGGGTCATGTAAGGAGGCAAGTTTCTGGAAGGAACCTTGCAGTTAAGATGGGAACTCCCCCGAAATTTCCAGTAAAACTCTACCTTCCCCTCAGCTGCTCCCCAACCCACCCCACTCATCTACCCTGCCCAGACATGGTGACCATGTATTCCCAAGTGTCTCCAGGGCCCTTTAGGTCACAACTGCAATATATGTAGTTCTTCTCTTTCTGGTAGCCAAACCACTAGGCAGATCAGCTTCATTCTGCCTCTGGAAAGTGCAGGCCCAGAGTGGCCAAGATAAGGTTGGAATCACCCATTCTCAGGCTTTATTGGGCTTTCCAATGAGACAGTGGACAAATTAAAGAGAAAAACACAGCCTATTATATATGAGACAGTTAATATAACTTGGGTGCTGATACTAGAAATTTCTGAAAAGGTGAGCCTCATCCCCATTTTCCCCTGAACACCTGGGCTCCCTACTTCCTAAGCTCTCAAATACCCAGAAAAGAGATCACTTCTACCTCCCTGTCAAGGTGTGCCCACTTGTATCCTGGTCGTACTGGCTGAGGATCCCACATCAACTCTTTAGGATGTAAGTACTAATAAGCTTCCCTACCTTCAAGGCAGAGAGGAGGCTACTGAGGGTCAGAGAGACCTGTCCAGCTTGTCCAGGTTCCTGTAAGCCTCCATCCCAAACTGCATTGGCTCTTTCTGTATGAGCTGGTGTGACCTGCCATGGGTTGTCCATGGACTGGAACATTATTATAACAGTGATCAATCTGTATTTCCCTTACGTTTTGCTCTGGTCAATGTGTCTGAAATTGCTAAAAAGCAGAAAGGATCTAAGTTTTGTCATTCTATTTGAATCTGGAGTGGCACGCAATGAATGGTTTTTAGGTTTCTGGAGGAGGAAGAGACCAAGCAGGTCCTGCCAGTCAAGTGAGAGATGATGTGCTGGGTTGGAACCAATTCTTGCTCACCTGAAGGGATAGCCAAATGCAACGATGATGGAGCTCACGTCCTTGGCTTCGTTGTTGCAGCGAACCATTGCTCCTGTCTCCCCGCTGTAGGAGCCACAGGACCCGAAGGCGAAAATAGCAAAGAGCTGAGAGAGAGTGAAGCCTCTTTGAGAGTCAGAAGGCCTCAACTGGCCAAAGTCGAGAACTAACCGTGACTCCCCGCAGGTGCAGACATTAAGTGCGGGAGTGGGGGAGAGTGAGGATCCCCTTTAATCAAGTTCTTCCTAGGTAGAAACCCATGGCTTCCATTTATCTTCCAGCCTCAGGCTGCTGGACCAAATAGCCAAATGAATACAAGGTTGACTGAGTGGTGTCTGCAAGGGAGATGAAGAGGCAGGAAATGGACAGTTGCCAGATCTCTCCATTGGGCATGACTTGGGGACCACAGGTAGCCTCCTTAAGATGACTAACACAAAACCTCTGCAATTCAGGCTTTAGGAAACTTCTAGCTTACAGATAGACTTGAATTTCCTTCCCAAGGGAGAGACACACTCAAAAAGATTCCCCTGCATCAACCTAGATCAGACATGCCTAGAACGCTTTTCATTTCTCCTTTGAACTAGTCATCTAATCTTGTTTCCTAGTTGCTAACTTCCAGTGGCTTCCTGCCTTGGTGGAGGTATAGCTGGAGGGGCCAGCTTCTACCAAGCCACCCCAGATGGGCCATACTACTGTCCCATAGTACTGACAGCCTAATTCCTCTTCCCCAAAAGGCACATGGCCTTCTAGCAATAGTGCTGGCTGGGCCAATGTGACAATCTTGGCTCAAGCCCAGAGAAAAGTACCCTCCACTTGCCTTATCAGTCTCCACTGTTTCCCCACTGGTATTTCCCTTTGTCATCTGTTGATGCTGCCATTTCTCAGTGTTAAGATCCAGAGGTGTCTCAGGTCACTCGAATTGTTTTCTTCTCCACCTTTCCTCACATTTTACTACACCTTCTCTCTCAAGTGAAATAAAATTTCCTCATCCTATGATTTTCAGATTTCTTTCTGGGAAACACACTTTGGTTAGAAAAGGAGGTGAGAGGCCAGGTGCGGTGGCTCACACCTGTAATCCCAGCACTTTGGGAGGCTGAGGCGGGTGGATCATTTGAGGTCAGGAGTTTGAGACCAACCTGGCCAACATGGTGAAACCCCATATCTACTAAAAATACAAAAATCAGCCTGGCGGTAGAGTGTCGCATGCCTGTAATCTCAGCTACTTGGGAGGCTGAGGCAGGAGAATCACTTGAACCCGGGAGGCGGAGGTTGCAGTGAGCCGAGATCGTGCCACTGCACTCCAGCCTGGCAACAGAATGAGACCTTGTCCCTCTCCCGCCCACCGCCAAAAAAAAAAAAAAAAAGAAAAGAAAAGAAAAGAAAAAAGAAAAGGAGGTGAGAAATTGAAATGTCTTATCCTCCACATCATCTGCTCAGATTGGATTTCCTGTGCACTTACCTTTGACTTGTACACAATGTCATGTTCTTATTAAGCAATGAGCTTATTCTCTTAATTGTTCACTCTCTGTATCTTTCTTCGAGACTCAGTGTCTTGGACATTAAGCACTTGGAAGACAGCTGATCTGTATGTCAGCCCTGCATCCAGAGTCTAGAATAGAAGCTATATGCACTTTATTTTGCCAATGCTTGTTAGCATTATGGAGTGAAAGGAGACCTGAACTAGGAGTATGGAAACCTAGGTTCCAGACCTGGTCCTGTCACTAATTAGCCAGGTGAGCTCTGATAAGTCACTCTGCTCTCTGAGTCTGTTTCCTCATCTTTTTTTTTTTTTTTAGATGGAGTCTTGCTCTGTCGCCCAGGCTGGAGTGTAGTGGCGCAATCTTGGCTCACTGCAAGCTGCACCTCCTGCGTTCACACCATTCTCCTGCCTCAGCCTGTTGAGTAGCTGGGACTATAGGCGCCCACCACCATGCCCAGCTAATTTTTTGTATTTTTTTTAGTAGAGACGGGTTTTCACCGTGTTAGCCAGGATGGTCTCGGTCTCCTGACCTTGTGATCCGCCCGCCTCAACCTCCCAAAGTGCTGGGATTATAGGCATGAGCCCAGCCTGTTTCCTCATCTTAAATGGAGGGGTTTGGAGTAGATAATCTAGAGGCCCTTTCCAGCCCTGGAACTCTCTCACTCTCTGAGAGTAACACTGTCAGTGTACTCTTGACTGGGCTTGCCAACAGCTGTGCTTTGCCCCTGCGAGGTGTCCAGTGCCACTGCCCCCGGCTTGCAGCGCCTGGCCTTGCAGATCTCCATGCTGGAGCCATTGGCCTCTCTCCAAATAATGGGCACCTCTCTGTTTTCAGGAGGTTTATTCCAGACAAATGAGAATTGTCTCCATGTTTAAAGATATCTGGGAAAGAAGACAGTAAAACCTCCCTCCAATGCCTAAATACCCTCCTCTCCTGAATTAAATGATGAAGACTGCAGTAGAGCCCTGTCTGCCCGCCTTCTTCACAGAGGTAGAGAAGAGTCACTCGAAGCCTCTGCATCATTACCCTTTACTTACTCAAAGTGGCCTCACCATTGTAATAGTGGAACTTCTCTAACTCTTCCTCATAGGAATTCGCTAATCTTTTGTCAGTTCTGTGGCCATCTGATTCCTCTTAGAAGTTTCTTTATTCCTCTTAGCTTCTGGTGCCCAGAACTGGATGTGATTAGGGTGTCACATTCTGGGAAGGGCAGCACAGTTGGAAATATTTTTACCCGTTGGCAGTTAGTCAGTGAATGGCTCCTTATAGGTTCCTTAAGAAAGCAGGGGCCGGGCATGGTGGCTCACAGCTGTAATCCCAGCAGTTTGGGAGGCCAAGCAGGAGAATGGCTTGAGCCCAGGAATTTGAGACTAGCAACATATAGGCAACATAGCAAGACCCTCCCCTACAGAAACTACAAACAAAAAATTAGCTGGGCATGGTGGTGCCTGCTAATAGTCCCAGTTACTCAGGAGGCTGATGGGGAGGAATCACTTGAGCCCAGGAGTTCAAGGCTGCAGTGAGCTATGATCATGCCACTGCACTCCAGGCTGGGCAACAGAACAAGACCCCCATCTCAAAAAAAAAAAAAAAAAAAAAAAGTAAAGAAAAAGAAAGTAGGTACTCAAAACTTGGGGGCAGTGAACGGTCAGTTATGGAGCCTTCTCTTCACCAGCACTCTCCTGAAAGGCACTCCTGAGCATCTACAGAAAGATAAAATTTAAGAGCATGTACTATGCCTAGCATGTACAGTGCCTACTATGCATGGTTCCAGGCACTATTATCTAGTAGTGAACAAAAGAGAAAAAAGGCCAAGCATGGTGGTTCATGCCTGTAATCCCAGCACTCTGGGAGGCTGAGGTGGGAGGATCACTTGAGCCCAGGAGTTTGAGACTAGCCAACTTTTTATTTAGCCAAGAAAAATTAGCCAGGTGTGGTGATGCACATCTGTGGTCCCAGCTACTCTGGGGGCTGATGTGGGAAGATCTCTTGAGCCCAGGAGGTCAAAGCTACATGATCACACCACTGGACACCAGCCTGGGTGACAGAGCGAGACCCTATCTCAAAAAAAGAAAAAGAATAACAAAATCTCTGTCCTCATGGGGCTCATACTCTAGAGCTGCACTATCCAAAACAGTAGCCCCTAGCCAAGCTTGATTATTTAAGTTTAAGTTAATCAGAATTAAATTAAATAAAAAATTCAAGCCGGGTGCAGTGTCTCAGACCTGTAATCCCAACACTTTGGGAAGCAAGGTGGGAGGATCACTTGAGGCCAGGAGTTCAAGACCAGCCTGGGTATCATAGCAAGACTCCATCTCTACCAAAAAAAAAAAGTAGTCGGGCATGGTGGTACATGCCTGTAGTCCCAGCTGCTGAAGTGTGTGGATCACTTGAGCCCAGGGGTTCAAGGCTGCAATGAGCTATGATCACGCCACTGCACTCCAGCCTGGATGACAGAGTGAGACTGGATCAAACAACAACAAAAAAGTTCAGGCCGGGTGTGGTGGCTCATGCCTGTAATCCCAGCACTTTAGGAGGCCAAGGCGGGCAAATCACTTGAGGTCAGGGGTTCGAGACCAGCCTGGCCAACATGGCAAAATGCCGTCTCTACTAAAAAAAAAAAAATTCAGTTCAGTCACGCTAGGCACATTTCAAGTGCCCAATAGCCTCATGTGACTAGCAGGTACTATCTTAGAGAGCACCGATTCTAAAACTTTTCCATTATTACCAAAAGTTCTGCTGTGTCTAAACGACGGTCCTGAGGTTCTGACAATCCTGAATCATGCTTTCGGATTCCTCAGAGGGCAAAATACACCCACAATAACTTTAGTATTTATTGTATTCTGATTCTTTTCAAGTCAGGGATCTTACACGATGATTTTTTATTTACCAAAATATATGTTTAAATCTGAACACTATACAGTCGGATGGTACCAGAGCAAAATGAGAACATCTGAGGGGAATCACAGGTTCACAGAACAGCAGAACAAAAGGGACCTCAAAGATTCTCACACCCAATCATCTCATGTCACAGAGGGGGACTGTGAAGCCCCAAAAGATTAAGTCACTTTCCCAAAGTCACATTTAGTTAATGTGAGAGCCAGGCTTAGAATTCACATCTCCTGATTCCCTGTCCAGTGCTCTTTCCATTTCATTTGCTCATTAACTCAACACTGATTGAGCATCTACCTTGTGCCAGGTGCTGGAGATATGAAGACGAATAACACCTATCTCCTGCTCTTGAGAATTCACATCAAGAAAGGAGCGTCATAGCAAAACAAACAAACAAAAAATAATAAAAACAAACACTGCATCCCAGAGTTATTGAGGCTAAAGAAGAGATCTCTACCATGTGCATTGAGGATTACAAGGAGGGAAGGAGTAGCTCTGTGCCTTGGGGTGCAGAAGCTCAGAAAGACACTTTCTCCCAACCCCCTCCATGTCTCCTAACCCTCCATCTTTCCACTCCAGATTTGCTTTCTTCCCTAACTTTGCCAAGTGACTGAGACACAGAGAAGAGAAGGAAAGAACTAAAATCACCCCTGTCACCAAGCACAAGGCTCTGAGATGAGCAAACTGGTTATAAAGAGCAGCCAAGGAGAGGTAGAGGACCTGAGACAAGGGGGAGTTCTAGCATTCTGGTGCCAACCAGCCTTTCTCCTCTTGGACCTCCATTGCTGGGACAGCGACGGTCATTTTCTGCCCTCCGCCTCCTCTTGCTTCTGCATCTCTTTTGCAACCTTAAACCTTTCCAGTTTAAGGATGAGGCTCCCCTTTGGCACTGACATGCTCGCTGGTGATAATCCTGTGACAGTCCTGAGGACACTAACATCACCAGTTAGCTCAGAGCACAAGGAAGACAAATTCTCTCCCCAGGTCCTACTCCCACGCTTATCTCATTGTTTTTTGTTTTGTTTAGGCGAGGTAACAGGCTCATGCCTGTAATCTCAGCACTTTTGGAGGCTGAGGTGGGAATATCACCTGAGCCCAGGAACTCAAAGCCAGCTGGGGCAGCATAGCAAGACCCGATTTTTACAAAAATTTTTTACAACTTAGCTAGGCATGGTGGCATGTGCCTTTGGTCCCAGATACTTGAAAGGCTGAGGTGGGAGGATTGCCTGAGCTTGGAAATTTAGGCTGCAGTGAGATGTGTTCGTACCACTGCACTCCAGCCTCAGCGATAGAGCCAGTCTCTATCTTAGAGCCTGTCTGAAAAAAAAAAAAGATTTGATATTTACTCACTCAAGGTTCCAGAGCTAGAAAGCAAGAAAGCAGAGGGGACTCAATTTAAACCGAAGCCTATCTGACCTCAAAAATCTGTCTCTATCTTCCTTTTTCTTTTGTTTTATTTTCCTTTTTTTTTTTTTTTTTTTTTTTTTGAGACAAGGTCTAGTTCTGTCACTCAGGCTGGAGTGCGCAGCTCATTGCAGCCTCGACCTCCTGGGCTCAATGATCCTCCAGCCTCAGCCTCCCAAGGAGCTGGGACCACAAGCATGTGTCATCACACCCAACTAATTTTATTTTTTAATAGAGACGCGACCTCCCCTTATTGCCCAGGCTTGTGTCAAACTCCTGGGCTCAAGCAATCCTCCCACCTCAGCCTCCCAAAGTGTGTCTTTTTCTTAAAAAGAAAATTTTTTTTAAGATACTTCTTTTCTTTTCTTTTTTATCTTGAACTCCTATGATTTGATGTCCTTTTCTTTTTTAAAAAAAAACTAGTTCTCCAATAATTGGTCTATGTCCAGGTTATTTTTGCTAGCTTAGTATAGACTTAGTGAGACTCCAGAATTGGAATTGAGGTGAGATTAGTTGATTTCTCAATTAAAAAAAAAAAAACTCTAAGATAAGCTCCTGACAAATAAAAGAATAACATTACTTTCTTTTCACAAAGATTCCAGTAAAATCTTTGCTTTTTGGTAATAATGACAACAAAAGTTCTCAATTACCATTACAATAACTGCAAGCTTTGTGTTTTCTTTTTTCCTTCTCCAATCAGGAGCATTTGATCCCTCCAAACAGGAAATGAGTGAAAAACTCAAATGACATTTCCACTGTCATTTCTGGTGCTAATGCCTGTTTACTTTTTATGTTACCTCATCTGCAGAGCTTCAAAGCAAGTGAAACTGGCGCCCTGAATTCAGGCTACCTGGGATGGCAATAAAAGCAAAGCACGTTTCTTTGTGATGCTACCCTGTGAATGAAATCTGAATTCAGAGTCTAGCCCAGGGCCCAGGTTTTAGCATTCTGAGAGAAAAGGGTCTCTGTTTTGCACAACCCCCTTTCTAAGTACTTGAAGATCATAAAAGTCTATCAGATCTTAATTCCTAGGTCATTAGTGCTGACCCCAAGACTGCATCATTTCCCTGGGCATTGCTTTGTACAGCCTTTACAGAAATGTTGTGGGTATTTGGAGTGCTGCGTGGAGGGAAGGATGGCAGGATTGAAGAAGGAAGCTTTTCAGAATCCCTCCAAGGGAGAGGAGTCCATGGTCTAATAACCTCATTGTTTCCCTTATCCTTTGACAGTCTGTCTCAAATTCTGTTGGATCCATTTGTCTAATTTAATGGTAAAATTGCTTATAATGGCTCTTCCAGTTCTGGATGCCAGTCACTCAGAGCCTTAATATCATTTTTATATGGCTCCCTCTGGCACTTGAGTGGTGGATCAGAACAGGGAAGGGGCCAAAGGCAAAAGAGCTCAATCAGCAATTGGTCTAACCACTCTTGAGGCAGTAAGAAAGGTGGAGAGTCCCCACCAGGTCCCAGAGTTTGCACTTGGGAGCTCCCAGGCTGGCCCGATAATCCCAAATGCACTTTTGCCCCTGGGTTCCAGATTTGATTATTCTCATCCAAACCATGATTTAAGAACTGGTGTCACAGTGCTAATTCTTGTCTCCAAAGCCCTGTAGAACTCAATCCTCCTCAGTATTAATGGTAACTTATTCCCTAGCTGAATTCTGTACTGAGAGCACATTAATTAAGTTATTCACACACCATTTGGTATGTGGATTGTCTAATTTAAAATCTCTTCTGCAATAGTGCACTAAATGCCCCCTACAAGTCTTTATGATTTGAGAAATTGACTGCACCTGTCCACATTCCTAATTTATACCCAGGAGGCCTTAGGCACTGGCCTAGTGAAGCAAGATAGTATTTCCACTAGACTGTAACAGGGGAAACTGAGGACCTGAGCAAGTGACTTTTTCAAGGTCACAAAGTAAGTCTAACCTAGGGCCATATTCTGGCACACCAAACTATTTAGAGCATAAGGAGACCCTAGGAAGGTTCTGATCAACATCTAACTAGTGTTGGAAATTGAAGTCCAGAGAAATGAATTGCCCAAGGTGACATAGCTGGAAAAGGCCAGTCTAGGTCTGGATCCCAGGGCCCCAGCTTCTCAGATCAGTGTTCCATTTTATTCTACATGCCACATTTTAGCCATGCCGTGATTTTTATTCTTATTTTTTTCTTTTATTTAATCATAGAACCACAAGCTCCGTTCATTCATTCATCCACTCCCTCACTCATTTACAGGAACTCGGATTACTCCAGTGACCTCAAAAGGGAACGGCGAGCCGAGAGCCTGTCCCCTGAGCCCAGTACTTGCAGGATCATCCAGGCCCTGGTGGGTTTGGGGGCAGGACGGTTTCCATCGCCTGCTTCCTTCCCTCCTTTGCCCTCTGCGGCTTCCCTCTTGGTGAAGAGCGGACCTCGTCCCCGTCGTCCTTCTCCCCCCTCCCGTCACCAAGGAGTGGTATGTGCAGGATCAGAGTTCTGGAAAGGTTACACCCGGGTCCTCTCGCCCGGGTGAAATGTGAGCGCCCTGGGCAAAGGCTCCTTGCACATAGAAGGACCGAATCCGGGACTCCGCATGCCTCGCTCTTCACCCTCCTGCCACTAAGTCCGGAGAAGCAGCCCCAGCCCGCCCCTCCCCCGCCCACCTGTCGCCGCCCCCCACCCTTCCGCCGTGGCCCGGCCGCAGCACCTCCCCAGCCCCCACCCTGGCTCCATTGCTTCAGGTCAGCGTCACAGCCCAGGCTCCCGAAATAGCCCGGGGCCGGGGCAGCGACTCACCCACTGGAGAACTTTGATGAAGCCCAGCGGCTCCTCCAGCCGCCGCCAGCGCAGCCCCACGAGTAGGCGGTCCACCTGCGGAGACACAGCCGGCCGGGGGGTCAGGGCGGTGGGGAACCCTGGGAAGGCGCTGGTCCCCTTGCCCCACTCACACGCGGTCCAGGGGTGGGATAAGTGTGCAGCCCGACATCTAGGTGGAGAGGGGCGGGTGAGAGTCCTGGGCGCGCAGGGACTACCTGCTGGCGCGGCGACTTGTCCGCCGTGCGGCCGGCGCTCTCGGTCGAGGACATGCTGGCGCGGCGAGCGCTGGGCGCGGCGTGGTGGCTTGGCTCTCTGGCCGGGAGGCGGCGGACACGGCGGGGGAGCGGGGAGCTGCAGGTCCGGGGCAGAGCAGGCGAGCGGGGCCGGAGCGCGAGCGGCCGTCGGTGGGCCGGAGTCCAGTCTGGCTGGCTGGCTGGCTGGGACGCGGGGGCGCTGCTGTTCGTGCTCTCAGAGGCTGCGGCCGCCGCGGTGCCCCGCCGGCAGCAGAAAGCCCCCGACTCGGATTCAAACTTCTGTCAAACTCGCAGCGAACTTGGCCGCCGGGTCACGTGGCGTGCGCTCCCGAACCCTCCTCCCGCCCCCTCTGCTCCCTTTCTCCGCTCGCCGGGCACCTTAAAGGGACCAGAGGCCTCCGTGGTTAGTTCCGCCGCGGGGCGGGGGGGACTCCGGGTCCTCCTCGCCGAAGCCTCCGGGACCGGTCCCCACCGAGACACCGCGGCCGTCGGAAACCCTAGCCAGGCGCACCTGGACGCACAGGCTTCAGGTTTATCCTTCCCTATTTTCCTGGATTGCAAACTGCCCAGCGCCGGTTTTTCTCCTCTTCCATACCAGAATATCCAGAACGTAAAAGATTCTCAAAAGGCACGATCAGGGCTGTGAAACAAGGTTCTAAGCCTCACGATTAACATACCGCCAGTACCGACAAAAGGGCGATAGAATATAAGCTGCTGATTTTTTATCCTGTCTAGCTAGGTATTGTTTTGATTTTTTTTTAAAACAACAAAAGACATTTGTATGTTAGTGATTTAAAAGTTATTGGCCAGGCTTGGTGGCTCACGCCTGCAATCCCAGCACTTTGGGAGGCCGAGGCCAGAAGATCACGAGGTCAGGAGTTCGAGACCAGTCTGGCCAACATAGTGAAACCCCGTCTCTACTAAAAATACAAAAAATTAGCCGGGTGTGGTGATGTGCGCCTGTAATCCCAGCTACTCAGGAGGCTGAGGCAGGAGAATTGCTTGAACCCGGGAGGTGGAAGTTGCAGTGAGCCGAGATCGCGCCATTGCACTCCAGCCCTGGCGACAGTCCAAGACTCTGTCTCCAAAAAAAAAGTTATTAATCTTTAACAAGTAGAAACTTAATCTCCTTTAAAATGGTCATTACCATTTAAATGAGAGTGAAAAAAGGTCTTTGAGGAATGAGGCGCAAAGAATATATTGAAACGTACTGAAAAGTTGACGTCTGGCTAGGCGCGGTGGCTCAAGCCTGTAATCCCAGCACTTTGGGAGGCGGAGGCGGGTGTATCACTTGAAGCCAGGAGTTCGAGACCAGCCTGGCCAACATGGTGAAACCCTGTCTCTATTAAAAATACAAAAATTAGCAGGGCGTGGTGGCACGTGCCTGTACTCCTAGCTACTCCGAAGGGTAAGGCACGAGAATTACTTGAACCCGGGAGGCGGAGGTTGCAGTGAGCCGAGATTGCACCACTGCACTCCAGCCTGGACAACAGAGCAAGACTGTGTCAAAAAAAAGAAAAAAAGAAAAAGAAAAAAGGCAGACAGAAGTGGGGAGAGAGAGAGAGGAAAAAAAAAGAAAGAAAAAGAACGGGAAGGGAAGGGAAGAAGGGAAGGGAAGGGACTGGTTGGGTTGAAGTCGTTGCATTTTTTTAACTGTAACTTGGTCTCTAACTTTTGAAAAGCATTTGGCAGGGGTGAGCAGTTGAGAATATTCCACACTTGGTTTACGAGAGCATAAATATAAGTAGTAAAAGGTTAAGTGATTTGTCCAAGGACAAATTCCTGTGCACTGGCTTGTAAATATGTATCCGTCTCATCCAAGTCATTCCTGCAGGTCCGCCCCCCCAACCGCTCCCCCCAGCACATCAGAATGAATGCCTTTTGAACAAACATTTGGCTATTATCTATACAAGTCGCTTCCCTATTGAGTAAGTGCCTTCCCAGAGCCTTGGGATTTAGAGAGAGACGTGAGGAAGGCAGCTCGGGCTGGATCAGGCCACATGGACTTGAAGGAAACTTCTCCAGTGGATTTCCATGCAAATCTAGACTAAGCAAGGAACAGCTTAGCCCAGTCCCCAGTCCACAGTTTAAAAATTGTTCTGCCGTCTTAGGTTCCTGTTCTATGGAATAGGGATAATAATTTATGTTCCACTCACTTCACGAAGCTGTCATAAAAATTAAATAGTGTGATATATGTGAATGCCACACTACACAAACACAAAAACATACACATTACCAATGTCTTCAACAATATACATACAGAATACAACACAATCAAAAAAGAATCAGAATAACACAACAAAAATCCACTTACACACCAACCAGCCTTGTTAATCTTTAACTCTTTTTTGTCTCAAATCCATTATTTTCTTTAAATCCATTCTTTAAAAAAGAAAAAAATGCATAAAATTGAAAACCTGTATATCACCTCATGTCACTCCCTCCCTCCTTCCTCCCCAGAAATATCCATTATCCAATTCTGAATTTGTTTTTTTATCAGTCTCATGCATGGTTTACTACTTTTTCTATGTATATAACTATAGGAGCAATACCTAGAAACCCATCAGATGTAGTATTGTTTTTCAAATTGCTTTAAACTTTATCTAAATGGTATCATGCTTTAGGTAACCTTCTTCAACTCACTTTTTTACTTAATGTTGTGTTTGTGAGAGTCATCTAGCCTGATGCCTGTAGCTTTAGTTCATTCCTTTTAGCTATATAGAATTCTATTACATACATACGCATACTGCAGTCTATTTATTCTCATATTGATGGGCATTTAGGTTGTTTCCAAAGATTCTCTCTTACAAACAGCGCTGCACTAAATTTGTACAGACCTCCTTGTGCACATGTACATAGATTTCTACACAGCACTGAATTTCCAACTTTGTGTGTGTGTTTGTGTGTGCACACATGTGCGCTAAACCACAAACCCTGGTAAGAAATAAAATTTTACAACCTGACCCACTATATAAACTGGAACAAAAGTTTTGCAAAACACCCTCATATTTTCTATTCCATTTCATTAAAAAAAAATTCTGGTCACCTGGAGGCAGATCCAGGTTTTGTGGAGCCTAAAGTTAATACAATTTGAGGGCCCCCTTTAAAAAGAGTACAAAATTTTGCCCAGGCGCAGTGTCTCACGCCTGTAATCCCAGCATTTTGGGAGGCCGAGGCAGGTGGATTGCTTGAGGCCAGGAGTTCAAGACCAGGCTGGCCAATGTGGTGCAACCCTGTCTAAAAAATCAGTCGGGTATGGTGGTGAGCACCTGTAATCCCAGCTACTCTGAAGGCAGGAGAATTGCTTGTACCCAGGAGGCAGAGGTTGCAGTGAGCTGAGACCGTGCACTGCACTCCAGCCTGTGAGTCAGAGGGAGACTCTGTCTAAAAAAAAAAAAAAAAGAAAAAGAAAAAAGAAAACGTACACAATTTTGAATACAAAATTAGTAACCAGGACTTGGAAGATGTTTTGTAAGGGTGGGAGGCTGAAGCTTCAGCTTCATTAGTTCCAGGATAAATACCTCTCTAGGTAGACACACTGGAATTAATTTGATGATTCACTAATAGCAGGACTCTACCAGCAGCTTGATAAACATTGCTCTATACCTAAAAGTGAGCCACCTCAGTCATAAGATGTATACATTTTCAACTTTGAGCTTTGACAAATGTATACACCCATATAATCACCACCACGACCAAGATACAGAACATATCAAGCATTCGCAAGAGCCCCTTCCTGCCCTTTTGCAATCAATCTGTAGGCAACCACTTGATCTGCTTTCAGTCATTATAAATCAGTTGTTTTTTCTAGAATTTCAGATAAATGGAATTTACAGTATGTAGTCTTTTGTGTCTGGCTTCTCTCACTCAGCATAATATTTCTGAGATTCATCCATACTGTTGCTTGTAGTTTGCTCCTTTTTGTTGCTGAGTAGTACTCCCTCATAGGAAATATGATCCATCACAGTTTGCTTATCCATTCACCCGCAGAAGTACATTTGGGTTGTTTCCTTTTTTTTTTTTTTTTTTTTTTTTGACTCTAATGAGTAGAACTGCTGTAAACATTCTTATATAGGTTTTTGTGTGGATGTGTTTTTTATTTCTAGGGTAAATACCCAGAAATGGAATTTCTAGGTTATGTGTAAATGTACGTTTAACTTTATATGAAAGTACCAAACTTTTTTCCAGAGTGGCTGTAGCATTTTGCATTGCATTGTTTTTCACCAACAACGTACTCCATTGTTTTGCATCTTCTCCATAACTTGGTATTAGTTTAGTTTTGCTTTGTTTTTAGCCATGCTAAAAGGTATGTCATGATAACTCATTGTGGTTTTAATATGCATTTCCCCAGTGGCTGATAATGTTAAACATCTTTTACTGTGCTTATTTGTCTATCTCTCTCTCTCTCTCTCTCTCTCTCTCACACACACACACACACACACACACAGTTTATTTTATCTTATTTTTTGGAAACAGAGTCTCGCCCTGTCGCCCAGGCTGGAGTGCAGTACTGCAATCTTGGCTCACTGCAACCTCCACCTCACAGGTTCTAGCAATTCTCGTGCCTCAGACGCCTGAGTAGCTGGGATTACATGCATGTGCCACCACACCTAGCTAATTCTCACTCATATATTTTCTTTGGTGAAGTGTCTGTTCAAATCTTTAGCCTATTTTTAATGTGGATTGTTTGTTTCTTACTATTGAATTTTGAGAATTCTTTATATATTCTGGATGCAAGTCCTTTGTTGGATATGTGATTTGCAAATATTTCCTCCCAGTCTATAGTGTCTATTAATTCTCCTAACACCGTCATTTGGTGAACTCTAATTTACCAATTTTTATGTTGACAGATCATGCTTTTGGCATCCTGTCTAAAAAACTCTTTGCCTTTGGGAGGCCGAGGTGGGCGGATCATGAGGTCAAGAAATCGAGACCATCCTGGCCAACATGGTGAAACCCCCTCTCTACTAAAAATACAAAAATCAGCTGGGCAAGGTGGCAAGCGCCTGTAGTCCCAGCTACTCAAGAGGCTGAGGCAGGAGAATCGCTTGAACCCAGGAGGCGGAGGTTGCAGCGAGCCAAGATCGCGCTGAGAGGTGAAGCCAGCTGGGCTTCTGGGTCGGTTGGGGACTTGGAGAACTCTTGTGTCTAGCTAAAGGATTGTAAACGCACCAATCAGCACTCTGTAAAAATGTACCAATCGGCACTCTGTAAAATGGACCAATCGGTGCTCTGTAAAATGGACCAATCAGCACTCTGTAAAATGGATCAATCAGCAGGATGTGGGTGGGGGCCAAATAAGGGAATAAAAGCTATCCACCAGAGCTGGTAAAATAAAGCTGGCTGCTGCTAGGGTTTTGTGTCCAGGCTAACTTATGAGCTGTAACCCTCACCACGTGGGGCTGCGAAGTCAGTGAGACCAGGATGCCACCAGGGAGGAACAAACAGCTCTGCACATGCCACCTTTAAGAGTTGTAACACTCATTGTCAAGGTCTGCCTCTTCACTCCTGAAGTCAGTGAGACCAGGAACCCGCCAGAAGGAAGAAACTCTGGAGACATCTGAATATTAGAAGGAACAGACTCCGGATACACTATCTTTAAGAACTGTAACACTCACCGTGAGAGTCCATGGCTTCATTATTTAAGTCAGCGAGACCAAGAGCCCACCAGAAAGAAAAAATTCCGGACACAGCACCACTACACTCCAGCCTGGAGACAGAGTGAGAGTCTGTATCAAAAACAATAACAAAAATTGATTTCTAAATGTTTATAGTTTTATGCTTTATATTTAGACAGCTTGAGTAATTTTTTTGTATAAGGTATGAGATTCAGGTCAAGGTTTTTCTCTGTTTTTTTTTAAGAGATGGGAGGTCTTTCTATGTTGCTCAGGTTGGACTTGAACTCATGGACTCAATGGACTTTGACTCCTCGACTCAATTGCTTCTTCTGCCTCAGCTTCCTGAGTAGCTGTGACTAGGTCAGGGTGTTTTTTCTGTTTTTGTTTTTGACAGTCTTGCTCTGTCCCCCAGGCTAGAATGCAATGGCGATTTTGGCTCATTGCAAACTCTGCTTCCCGGGCTCGGGATTATTCTGTCTCAGCCTCCTCAAGTAGTGGGGATTACAAGTGCCCGCCAACACACCCGGCTAATTTTTGTATTTTTAGTATAGACGAAGTTTCACCATGCTGGCCAGTATGGTCTCAACCTCCTGGTTTTAGGTAATCCGACTGCCTTGGCCTCCCGAAGTGCTAGGATTACAAGCGTTAACCATGGCACCCGGCCTAGGTCAGGGTTTTTTTAAAAAGGTTTTATGGCCAGGGTTGGTGGCTCATGCCTGTAAACCCAGCACTTTGCAATGCCAAGCTGGGCAGATCGCTAGAGGTCAGCTGTTCGAAACCAGCCTGGCCAGCATGGTGAAACCT
This sequence comes from Homo sapiens, assembly GCF_000001405.40. Lineage (NCBI taxonomy): Eukaryota > Metazoa > Chordata > Mammalia > Primates > Hominidae > Homo > Homo sapiens. The sequence goes on along the minus strand of NC_000001.11, from coordinate 109,460,436 downwards.
CTCTCCTAAAATTACAAAAATTAGCTGGGCGTGGTGGCACATGCTTGTAGTCCCAGCTACTCGGGAGGCTGAGGCAGGAGAATCGCTTGAATCTGGGGAGCAGAGGTTGCAGTGAGCCGAGATCACACCAGTGCACTCCAGCCTGGGTGACGGAGAGAGATTCCGTCTCGAAAAATAATAACAAATAGAAAAGGTTTTACATACGAATGTCCAATTGTCCCACACCATTTTTTGAAGACTATTCTTTTGCCATTGAATTGCTTTTGCACTTTTGTGAAAAAAAAATCAACTGGCCATATTAGTGTAAATATAATTCTGGACTCTATGCTGTTCCATTAACCTAGCTGTTTGTACCTTTGCCAATACCACACTGTATTGAACACTAATTTCATCATGAATGTTAAAATAGAATAAGATTTCTCCATTTTGTTCTTCAAAATTGTTTCAGCTATTCTAGTTCCTTTGCCTTTCAAAATAAATTTTAGGATCAGCTTGTCCACACAAAAAAATTCTGCTGGCTGTTCTCACTCATATATGGGAGCTAAAAAAAGAAAAAACAACAACAACAAAAAACTACCAAACAGTTTTTGGAGAAGCTTCATGGATCTCGTGAAGGTAAAGAGTAGTCTGGTAGGCCAGGCGGTGACTCACGCCTGTAATCCCAGCACTTTGGGAGGCCAAGGCAGGCGGATCACTTGAGGCTAGGAGCTCAAACAGCCTGGGTAACATGGTGAAACCCTGTCTCTACTAAAAATACAAAAAGTAGCCGGGCATGGTGGTATATGCATTTAATCCCAGCTACTTGGGAGGCTGAGGCATGAGAATTGCTTGAACCCAGGAGGCAGAGGTTGAAGTGAGCTGACATCATGCCATTGCATTCCATCCTGGGCAACACCACAATACTCCATCTCTCAAAAAAAAAAAAAGAGTAGACTGGTAGTTACCAGAGGCCAGGAAGTGGAAAGGGAAGGAGGAATGAAGAGAGGTGGAGTAAAAGATACAAAAAATACAGTCAGGTAGAAGAATTAATACCTAGTGTTCTATAAATCAGTAAGGTGACTGTAATAAACAATCCTGTTACATATTTCAAAATATCTAGAGAAGAATTTGAATGTTCCCAGCATGAAGAAAAGATAAATGTTTAAGGCAATAGATATCTCAATTACTGTGATTTGATCATTACACATTATATGACTGTATCAAAATATCACATGTACCCTGAAAATATGAACATCTATTATGTATCAACTTAAAAAATTTAAAAATTCTGCTCGGATTTTGATTGGAGTTGCATTAAATCTGTAGATCAATTTAGGCAAAATTGACATCATTACTATGTTCAGCCTTCCAATGCATGAACACAATATACCTCTCGATTTATTTAGGTCTTTAATTTCTTTTATCAGCATTCTTCAGTTTGAAGCATATTGATCATATACATGTTTTGATAAATTTATACATAAGTACAGGGGTCTTAAAAAAGTTCACAGACAATGTGCATTATGAAAATACTGTGCATGGATTTCAAAAAAATTTTGATTAATTTATTATTATTATTATTACTTTTGAGAGAGGGTCTTGTTTTGTCGCCCAGGCTGGAGTGCACTGGCGCAATCACAGCTCACTGCAGCCTGGACCTCCTGGGTTCAAGCGATCCTCCTGCCTCAGCTTCACAAAGTGTTGGGATTACAGGTGTAAGCCAACGCACCTGGCCTCAAAACTTTTTTGCACCAAAATAAACTCATACTAACTTGTTATAACCTATCTTAACAGGAGCTAGTTTGAGACACTAAGAAGGATAAGACATCAGTTTGAAAAGAGCCCCTATCAGAGAAACATGAATTCTGCTAAAATTGAAGCAAGAACAAAAATTAAATTAATGGCGAAGCTGGGGTGAGAGAATGATAAAATCATGAATCCTTTATGAAAAGCTTATGGGAACAATGCCCTAAAAAAATCAGCAGTTTACAAATGGATAACTTGTTTTAAAAATGAATGAGAAGATGTTGAAGATGAAGCCCACAGCAGCAGGACATCCACATCAGTTTGCAAGGAAAAAATAAATCTTGTTTGTGCCCTAATTGAAGAGGACCAATGACTAAAGAGCACAAGCAATAGCCAGCACCATAAATGTCTTAACTGGTTCAGTTTAGACAATTCTGACTGAAAAATTAAAGTTGAACAAACTTTCCACTCAATGGGTGCCAAAACTGTTGTTATCTGCAGATAAGAGCAGAGCTTATAATGGAAATTTTTAAAAAGTAGAATCAAGATCTTGAAGCGTTTTTTTCAACGAATTGTAACAGACAATGAAACATGGTTTTACCACTATGATCCTGAAGACAAAGCACAATCAAAGCAATGGCCACCGAGAGGTGGAAGGGGTTCAATCAAAGCAAAATGAACTGGTCAAGAGCAAAGGTCATGGCAACAGTGTTTTGGGATGGACAGGGCATTTTGCTTGTTGACTTTCTGGAGGGCCAAAGAATGATAAGTTTTTTTTTTTTTTTTTTTTTTTTTTGAGACAGGGTCTCATTTTGTCATCTGGGCTGAAGTGTAGTGGCACAATCTCAGCTCACTGCAACCTCTGCCTCCCAGGCTCAAGCGATCCTCCCATCTCAGTCCCTAAGTAGCTGGGAACACAGGTGTGCACCATCACACCCGACTAATTTTTTTTTAATTTTTTTTGTAGAGACAGAGTCTTGCCATGTTGCCCAGGCTGGTCTTGAACTCCTGGGCTCAAGCGATCCTCCTGCCTTGATAACATCTGCTTCTTATGAGAGTGCTTTGAGAAAGTCAAAGCTTTAGCGGAAAAACGCCCAGGAGAACTTCAACGGAGTTGTTCTCTACCACAACAATGCTCCTGCTCATTCCTCTGATCAAACAAAGGCAATTTTGCAAGAGTTTCCATGGGAAATCAGTACGCATCTACCTTCCAGTCCTGGTTTGGCTCCTTCTGACTTCTTTTTTGTTTCTCAGTCTTAAAAAATCTTTAAAGGGCATCTATTTTTCTTCAGTTAATGCTGTAAAAAAATATTGCATTGACATGGTTAAATTCCCAGGACCCTCAGTTCTTTAGGAATGGACTCAATGGCTGATATTAATATTATCATTTACAAAAGTATCTTGAACTTGATGGAGCTTGTGTTGATAAATAAAGTTTATATTTTTAATTTTTATATTTTGATTTCACTTTTTCGAGTCCCCTCACATTTAATTTTGGGGGAGCCATTATAAATGATTTTTTGTTCATTTGTTTGTTTTTTGATATGGAGTCTTGCTCTATTGCCCAGGCTGGAGTGCAGGGGTGCGATCTTGGCTCACTGAAACCTCCACTTCCTGGATTCAAGCTATTCTCCTGCCTCAGCCTCCCAAGTAGCTGGGATTACAGGTGCCCACCACCATGCTCAGCTAATTTTTATATGTTTAGTAGAGACAGGGTTTCACCATGTTGGCCAGGCTGGTCTTGAACTCCTGACCTCAAGTGATCCACCCACTCTGGCTTCCCAAAGTGCTGGGATTACAGGTGTGGGCCACCATGCCCAGCCATGATATTGTTTTAAATTGAAGTTTTCAGTTGACAATTGCTAGTATATAGAAAAATGACTTTTTTTCTTTTAATCGTTTATCCTAGGCCAGGCATGATGGCTTATGCCTGTAATCCCAGCACTTTGGGAGGCCGAGGCGGGTGGATCACCTGAAATCAGGAGTTCGAGACCAGCCTGGCCAACATGGTGAAACAATGTCTCTACTAAAAATACCAAAAATTAGCCGGGTGTAGTGACAGGCACCTATAATCACAGCTATTCAGGAGGTTGAGACAGGAGAATCACTTGAACCCAGGAGGCAGAAGTTGCAGTTAGCTGAGATTGCACCATTGCACTCCAGCCTGGGCAACAAGAGTGAAACTCTGTCTCAAAAAAAAAATCCTTTATCCTGTGACCTTTATACATTCCTATTTTAGTTCTACGAGGTTTGTGTGTGTGTGTGATTCCTTGGGATTTTCTATGTACACTACTATGTCATCTGCAAATAGAAACAGTTTTATTTCTTTCTTTACAAACTGTATGCCTTTTATTTATTTTCCTTGCCTTATTGCCTTGGCTAGAACTTTCCAGTACAATGTTGAATAGGAGTGGTGAGAGTTGGCATACTTGCCTTGTTTCTCATCTGAGGGGAAAGGTATTCAGCCTTTCACCATTTAGTACAATGTTAGCTCTAGATTTTCTGTCGAAGTCCTTTATCAGGTTGAAGAAGTTTCTCTGTGTTACTTGTTCGCTGAGAGTTTTTTTTTATCCATGGATGGATGTTGAATTTCATCAAATGCTTTTTCTATATCAATTGCTAAGAGTTGCCATTACAACATGTAATTGAGACTACTGAAAATAGATTTACATGCAAGGTGTGTAAGGAAGATAAAATGTGTTTTTGGTAAAAGATTATAAGAAGGCATGGGAATGTAAATTTTTGCCTAGTTTAGAGAGGTAAAGGATTGTTTTAAATTAGATAAGATTAAAAAACTAGATAAGATAAAGCTAAAGGCTTAAACAAGTGGTGGAAAGTTTGTAAAAATTAATCTTTCAAAAGAAATCGTGTGTGTGAACATATTGACTAACTTCAAAAAGGTATTATAGGGTTTTTCCACAAATTGAGCATTGGAATAAAAGCACAAGATTTTCTTAAGGCATTGATCTACTCTTTAACAAAATTTATAAAGAGTTATGAAAGTCTTATAAGAATCTCACCTCATGGTCAAACTGGTTAAGATTGGATAGAATTATCTATAAGGTTTCATTAAAAAAATTGGGGTTGACATTAATAATAGACTAATGCAAAGGTGAAATTTAGCTTTCTCTCCTTTGAACAGGATTTTTATGTAGTATTAAGGACAGATTGTTTGGAAAACTAAATCTTCCCTCTTAATGAGTAAAGGTTTTTGCCTTGTTTAAACTTTTTGAGTCATCATTTTGGCTAAATAAATGACTTATGGTAATCCGGAATTCTATTTCATAATATCAGGTGTTTTAAACCTTTAACATATTTGACAGCCTTCCCCAGATCAAACTTCAGTTTCAAGGTTGTCTTTTCCAACCCTAACTTTTGGGTGCCACAGAGGGCCCCTGGGGCATCCAAAAGAGTTAGGTAAACAGGGTTATTTGACATGTTTATTTATGTAGCATTGCCAAAATAATGTTTAATTCTCTTCAGGTTATATTTTAGTGAATAATGTTAACATATGTTCCAGAATTGCAAGGGATTTCTAAAATTCTAATGTCTGAGTATGTGCTAGCAATCATAATTAAGGTTACTATGTTAAGTTATTGTCAACCACAGAAATAACCAAATTTCTTTGTCAATTGTGTTTTTGATCCTAACTACCCTGAGGACATTTTGTCATTCACAGACAATTGTTGTCTTGCTTTGATTCTTTTCAAAAGATGGTTTATAATCAGCTATAGGACTTTGACAGGTGGTCTGAAATACAGGTTTCTGATAACTTTGGAGATTGCAACATTGGAATAGAGGAAAACATACAGGACTCATGAAGAGCCAAAATGTTCATGAATATCAAGCAGAATAAGGGTTCACTGAATTGACTGAACTAACAGAAAACTGAAGTAATCTTTTTATAACTTTTTGCTTAAGACATTGCTGATCCTTGTTTTGTTTTTCAGAATCAAGGAAACTTTTATTTTGAGACATTTACAGCCTTTAATAATTGAGTAAATTATACTCCTGTGAACAAAATTTGAAGCATATTTGTTTCTCCCTGCCTGGTTTCTCTATAATTTGGAAACTATTTGTGAGTATTCTTAACTTACAGCAATATAGTAATTAATTTGCGTCAGTGCAATAAGAAACATTTTCTTTTGCAACAGGACACAATTGGAGAAACTAGTTGTTTCACCAAGGCTTTGACTGGAATGATGTGCTTTCCTTTAGGGAATCAAGCTTGACTTGCAGAGCCAATAAAACCCCCCTGGGAAAACTGGTCACATGCTTTCTCTACACTGTCCCTGTACAGGGTTCCTAACCTGTGTTGAGTAAAGAAGGTCACTTTCTAACAGGCACAGGAGTCCCATGTTATCTTGAGATCTCAAGAAGAGAGGAATTTACCCAACTCATAGGTATATGAGGGTATAAACCCATGGCTGGACTTGGCTTTAAAAGGTCTTATCTGAGCTTCCTTGTGGAACAGAGTTCCATCAAAGCCAAGTTTAAAAGCCTATGTGGGCCAGGCATGGTGGCTCACGCCTGTAATCCCAGCACTTTGGGAGGCTGAGGCAGGTGGATCACCTGAGATTAGGAGTTTGAGACCACCCTGGCCAACATGGTGAAACCCCATCTCTACTAAAAATACAAAAATTAGCTGGGCGTGGTGGCAGGCGCCTGTAATCCCAGATACTTGGGAGGCTGAGGCAGGAGAATCACTTGAACCCAGGAAGCGGAGGTTGCAGTGAGCCAAGATTGCGCCACTGCACTCCAGCCTGGTGACGGAGCGAGACTCTGCCTCAAAAAAAAAAATTTTTTTTTAAAAAAAAGCCTATGTGAAAAATAATTATTCTTGCTATACTTTATGCAAATAATCAATATAAGTATAGATAATAATCAGTATAAGAGACAAGTATAAGACTAAAGTTTATTTTGCAAACAACTCAGTCCTATCATGATTTGTCTTTAACAAAAATAAGGACTGGAGAAAGAAAAATTATGTTTCAAACTTATCATACACTTGCCATTAAATTCTAATCTCATTAGTTGTTTTTAAGTTTTTGCCCACATTTTAGACTAATCCTGCTTGTTCCTGTGAACCAACCAGTGATCTCCCACTGCAGCTCAGAAGAAAGAGAAGGGATGGGTAATGTAAAAATCTGGATCAATATTCTAATTCTGGGCAATTCTCCTGCAAATCCTGCCAGGTGATAGAAGTAAATGGGGTGCTCATAACCTGGAGGTTTCTTTGTTTGGGAAAATCAGAACAAGGGAGCTAACCAAAGCCAACATGCACCCAAATCTTAGCAGGCATAACTATGGCCACCAGCTATCTGAGTGTATTGGCAGCCCTGGGATTTTTGAGCTGTCCTTACCCCCTTGTTTCATTTGATACATGTCTTCTAATAAACCAAATTGTTTATTCTTGCCTAGAGGCCATCAAACTCCAAATGATCATGTAACCGGAGACAATTGCTTGGACAATTGCTCCCTTTTACTGGGGACCCTTAGACCTCTGAGGGAGATCTGACTGCCGTTTTCGCAAAACAGCACCCCCTGTCAGCAGGAAGCAGTTAAGATTGGTCTTCATCCGTATTCTTTTTTTTTTTTTTTTTTTGAGACAGAGTCTCGCTCTGTCGCCCAGGCTGGAGTGCAGTGGCTCGATCTCGGCTCACTGCAAGCTCCACCTCCCGGGTTCATGCCATTCTCCTGCCTCAGCCTCCCGAGTAGCTGGGACTACAGGCCCCCGCCACCAAGCCCGGCTTTTTTTTTGTATTTTTTAGTAGAGATGGGGTTTCACCGTGTTAGCCAGGATGGTCTTGTCCTGACCTTGTGATCTGCCCGCCTCAGCCTCCCGATGTGCTGGGATTACAGGTATGAGCCACCACGCCCGGCCTTGGACTTCATCCCTATTCTAATGGCGATGATATCTAATGGCCCCTCTTCAGAGGGGCGAAATGATAGTGACAGGAGGCAGCCAAATGCCTAGGCAAATTGGGGCAGGTCCCCAGTACAACCCCACCTCCAAGCCAAAGGCAGTTGAAAGCCTGGAAGCCAGGCTACAAGTTCAATCCTCCAACCGGATTGAGAACTTTTCTTCCCATTTGGTGTGCTTTCCTCTGATTGGTCCCCACTCTTCACCTATTTTACATATACCTACCCTTTCCTAATTGGTTTTTTACATTGTTATACCTACTTTAGAGTGGTGTCTTCACTTTAACCTTTTTTGCATACTCACAAACCAATCAGCATGCACTCCCCATTCTAAGTTCATAAAAGGCCCCAGACCCAGCCACACAGGGGACTTCCCACCTTCAGGTAGGGGAACCATCCCACTGTGTCCCCTCTCCACTGAGAGTTCTTGCTTAATAAATTCTACTCCACTCACTCTCTGGTGTCCGTGTGCCTAATTCTTCCTGGTTGTGAGGCAAGAACTCCGACTTAGCTGAGCTAAGGAGCAGGAAGACTGCTACACTTTCTTATTTAGACTTTTAGTATGGCAAATTAAATTGTTTTTTTTTTTTTTTGAGATGGCATTTCACGCTTGTTGCCCAGGCTGCAGTGCAATGGCACAATCTCAGCTCACTGCAACCTCCGCCTCCTGGTTCAATCGATTCTCCTGCCTCAGACTCCCAAGTAGTTGGCATTACAAGCATGCGCCATCACACCCAGCTAATTTTTTTGTATTTAGTAGAGATGGGGTTTCACCATGTTGGTCAGACTGATCTTGAATCCTGATCTCAGGTGATCCACCCACCCCGGCCTCCCAAAGTGCTGGGATTACAGGCATGAGCCACCACGCCTGGCCTAAATGGATTTTTTTAAAGAAAAAAATTACGTGTATAATTAAATTAATATATTTTATTTTGAGAGCAGTGTTAAGTTCACATCAAAATTGGGTAGAAAGTACAGAGAGTATACCTCCTCCTCCCCTGCCCAGCATCTCCCATATCAATGTCCCACACCAATGTAATATATTTATTTGTTACAATCGATGAACCAACAGTGACACATCATTATCAACCAAAGTTCATACTTTACATTAGTGTTTACAGCATTTTTTTTTTTTTTTGAGACAGGGTCTTGCTTTGTCACTCAGGCTGGAGTACAGTGGCACAATCTCAGCTCACTACAGCCTTGACCTCCTGGGCCAAAGCAACCCTCCCACCTCAGCCTCCTAAGTAGCTGGGACTGAGCACCATCACACTCGGCTAATATTTTAATTTTTTGGAGAGACAAGGTCTCACTAATATTGCTCAGGCTGGTTTTGTACTCATGGGCTCAAGCAATCCTCCTGCCTCAGTCCCCCAAAGTGCTGGAATTATAGGCATGAGCCACTGTGCCCAGCCAGAGTTTACTCTTTGTGTTGTATATTCTGTATTTTGACAAATGCATAATAAATGATATGTGTCCACCCTTACAGTATCACACAGAAGAGTTTCACTACCCTAAAGATCTTCTGTGTTCTACCTATTCATCCCTCCCTTCCCCAATTCCCTGGCAACTTACAATCTTTTTACTGCCTCCATAGTTTTGCTTTATTCAGAATGCCATAAAGTGGGAATCATACACTAGGCAGCCTTTTCAGATTTGCTTCTTTCACTTAATAATATACCTTTAATGTTGCTCTGTGTCTTTTTATAGCTTGATAGTTCATTTATTTTTAGTGCTGAATAATATCCCATTGTCTGGATGTACCACAGTTTATTTGTCCATTCATCTGCTGTAGGACATCTTGGTTGCTTCTAAATTTTGGCAATTATGAATAAAGCTGCTATAAACATCCATGTGCAGGTTTTGTGTGGACATAAGCTTTCAGCATATTTGGGTAAATACCAAGGGGTGATTTTGCTGGATTGTATGATAAGAATATGTTTAGTTTTGTAAGAAACCATCAAACTATTTTCCAAGTGGCTGTACCATTTCTTTTTTCTCCACTAACAATGAATAAGAGTTCTCATTGCTCCACATCCCCACCAGCATTAAATGTTGTCAATATTTTGGGTTTTTGCCATTATAATAGTGTGTATTGGTATCACATTGTTTAAATTTGCAATTCCCTGATGACATATGTTGAACATTTTTTCATATACTATTCGCCATCTTCTTTGGTCAAGTGTCTGTTTGGATCATTTTCCCATTTTTTAATCAGTTTGTTCATTTTGTTATTGTTTAATTTTAAGAGTTCCTCTTATATTTGAATAATACTCCTTTATCAGATAAGTCTTTTGCACATATTTTCTCCCAGTCTGTGGCTTGTCTTCTCATTCTCTTGGCAGCATCTTTTGCATAACAGAAGTTTTAAATTTTAATAAAATCCAACATCATTTTTTTCTTTTACTGGTTATGCCTTTGGTATTGTACCTAAAAAGTCATCATCAGGCCAGGCACAGTGGCTCATCCCTGTAATCCCAGTGCTTTGGGAGGCTAAGGCAGGAGGATCACTTAAGGCCAGGAGGAGTTCAAGACCAACCTGGACACCATAGTGATATTCCCGTTTCTACAAAAAACAAAAAAATTAGCTGGGGGTGATGGCATGCCTGTAGTCCCACCTACTTGGGAGGCTGAGGTGGGAGGATCACTTGAGCCCAGGAGTTTGAGGCTGCAGTGAGCCTAAACTGGACTGCAGCCTGGGCAACACAGTGAGGCATGTATCTCTAACAAAAATAAGTAAAATAAATGAAAATTTTAAAAGTAATCAGCAAACCGAAGGCCATCTAAATTTTCTCCTATGTTATCTACTAGGAGTTTTATAGCTTTGCATTTTACATTTATGTCTATAATCCATTTTGAGTTAATTTTTGTGAAGGATGTAAAGATTGTGGCTAGAAACATTTTTTTGCATGTGGATGTCCAGTTGTTCCAACACTATTTGTTGAAAAGCCCATTCTTTCTCCATTGAATTGCCCTTGCTCCTTTGTCAAAGATTATATTTCTGATTACATTTTTGTGAGTCTACTGATTTTTTTTTTTTGTAGAGATGGAGGTCTCACTATGTTGCCCAGGCTGGATTTGATCCTCCAGCTTCAACCTTCTGAGTAGCTGAGACTACAAACGTGCACCAACACCATGCCCAGCTGATTTTTGAATATTGAGCCAGCCTTGCATTTTTGTCATGGTGTGTTATTCTGTATATATGTTTGCACATATATATATATGTACTTTATATATTTGTGTTATATATATGTACTTTATATATTTGTGTTATATATATGTATTTATATATTTGTGTTATATATTATGTATTGCTGAATTGGACTCTCCAATATCTGTTGAGGATTTTTACATCTATATCCATGAGGGCTATTGATTTATAGTTTTCTTTCTTTGAACTATCTTTGTTTGGTTTTGTTATCAAGGTAATGATAGCCCCCTAAAATGAGTTAGACAATATTCTCTTCTTTTGTACTTTCTGAAGAGCTACTGCTTTTTGAAAAGCTCAAACCATACTGTAGCCAAACTAACTGTATACTCAAGGTAACATTACTCGTGCCTTTTTTAATCTACAAAATTATTCCATAGCAGATATTTTAATTATTGAATATTCTGCCTGTTAGGAATATAGGCACTTCCAACTACAAAATGAGATTTACCACTTCCCAAATTTGTGTCCTATTGGTTTTGTTGTTGTTGTTTATTAGATAATCTTGGGAGACACTAAAGAGTTCTTGGACTTTTGAAAATGACTTCTGTTATCTAGAATCCTAATTCTCTAGGATTTGGACTTACAAATAATTTGTAAAGGCCTAATAGATTTCAAAAACCACTTAATCTTCATATATGCTTCAGAAGAAGAAAAAATATCTGTATCACAGTAAAATCCAATGGCTCTTATTATAAGGAAAATCATGACTATTGTATGAAACAAGGATTTAAAGATTTCTATTATTTTTTAGAACCAGTGAGACAGCGAAAGCATTTTGTAAACAAAGGCATGGTAGTGTGAAATACTGCAGTGTATTGATGATCAGAAAATACTTCTATTTGCCCTGAAAATCAGATGTATGAAAGTGTAGCAGTAGAAAATAAAATCGGGCCAGGTGCAGTGGCTCACGCCTTTAATCCCAGCACTTTGGGAGGCCGAGGCAGGCGAATCATGACGTCAGGAGTTTGAGACCAGCCTGACCAACATGGTGAAACCCTGTCTCTACTAAAAATACAAAAAAATTAGCCAGGCATGGTGGCACACACCTGTAATCCCAGCTACTCAGGAGGCTAAGGCAGGAGAATTGCTTGAACCCAGGAGGTGGAGGTTGCAGTGGTGAGCCAAGATCGCGCCACTGCACTCCAGCCTGGGCAACACAGCGAGACTCCTTCTCAAAAAAAAAGAAAGAAAGAAAATATAATTGGAATGGCAGTTGGGGGTAATGGCCTTGAATGATAAGCCCCTAGACTTTATTTACTTTTAGGTTTTGAGCAGAAGAGATAAAATAAGAATAGTAGTGAGGAATCCATGCTCCAGAGCCAAACAGAGCTGGATTCCTAACCTGGTTCTGCCACTTAGGAGCAGTGTTTCCTTTTCAGGAGATTTGATTCCTCTAAAGTTTTTTTTCTAATCTACAGAATGGAGCTAATGATAGTATCTATTTTAAAATGGCTGTTGTGAAGGTTAAATATGATAATGTATGTAGAGCCTGGTGCCTGAAATATAGCAAACACTCAATAAATATTAGTGACTACCTGATTAGAGCTGTGCTTCAGAAATATTAGTCTGACAGCAGTATGTAAGGTGATAAAAGCAAATGGCTTTCCTTCTTGAAACAGAACCAGAGCCTTCCAAGGTCGGCACCAAGAATATTTCAGAAAGCAGAATCTCTAGGTGGGATGATATGTCTCTAAAATTGGATTAACAAGATTTAGAGGCTACTCTGACTGAAGGTGAAGGAAGAGGAAGTCGTCATTGCATTATTGTTTTCTGTATTACGATGTTCCAGTATACTGTGCTATTTTTAAGCACTGAAATTCAGGTATTTTTGTTGGTGTTATACCATTATTTTACACACTGGTCAGCAAATTTATTTACTCTTCTTCATTCTCTCTTCAAACCCTCCTTCCTTCTGCCCAATCCCTACCCCCATCACTGACATCCTCACCACAAGCCCTCCCACTCCCTTTTTACCACCCAGTCTCAGTAACTCCGTACCGCTTCCATCCTCTGCTACACTTATTTTTTCTTTTTTTTCTTAGGAAAAAGGCTGGGCCAGGCACAGTGGCTCACACCTGTAATCCCTCCCAGCACTTTGGAAGGCCAAGGTGAATCTCTTCAGGCCAGGAGTTCAAGACCAGCCTGGCCAACATGGCAAAAACCACATCTCCACTAAAACTACAAACTAGGCACTTTAGCCTAGGTGACAGTCTCAAAAACAAACAACCAAAACAAACAAAAAAAATTGAAAAAAATTAAGACGGAAACGTTAATAATATAATTTTGCTTCAGTATAGTAACTACTCACTGAAAGAGAAATCAAAAATGGTTTTATCGGCCAGGTGCAGTGGTTCATGCCTGTAATCCTAGCACTTTGAGAGGCCAAGGCGGGTGGACTGCCTGAGGTCAGGAGTTCGAGACCAGCCTGGCTAACATGGTGAAACCCCATCTCTTCTAAAAATACAAAAATTAGCCAGGTGTGGTGGCACATGCCTGTAGTCCCAGCTACTCGGGAGGCTGAAGCAGGAGAATCGCTTGAACCTGAGAGGCGGAGGTTGCAGTGAGCCGAGATCATGCCAGTGCACTCCAGCCTGGGTGACAAAGTGAGATTCCACCTCAAAAAAAAAAAAAAAGGTTTTATGTGTGAAAGAACATTGAAGGCAGTTATAAAAATAAAGAATGTCATTAGGATCATCAAACATTTTCCTGTATTGTAAGATATTGAACTATAAGATATGATATAATAATTAGGGTCCCAAACTGTTTAATGAAACAGAAAGAAAGATTTTGTAGTTTTATTTTGCCTTCTTTTGGTGTCAGCACCAGATACCAAAATACTGTATTTTATTTCATTAAGTGTTCAGGATTTATAACACTTAAAAAATCACTGCTCAGGAGGCTGAGGTAGGAGAATCGCTTAAGCCCAGGAAGTCAAGGCTGCTGTGAGCTGTGATGAAGACACTGCATTACAACCTGGGCAACAGACAGAGACTGGCTCAAAAAAAAAAAAAAAAAGTGAAATTGCTGCTTATTTACATGCCTTCAAGCAAAATCCTTCTTGTTATTACTTCTAATCTAATCTGCTCGAGCCAGAAAACCAGATGAATTCGTTAAAATTCTTTCAGTACATACACCCAACTCAAAAATGTTTAAACTATAAATGTTATTTATTACCTCCTGTAACTGAAAAGTCCAATAATTTTTTAGTCATGACTGGTTCCAGGGGCTCAAAGTATAACATCAGAATTGAGTTTGCTCTTTCTCGCTCTCTCTCTCTCTGCTCAGTTGTCTCTGTTTCTCTCTCTCTCTTTTTTTTTTTCTTTTAGACAGAGTCTTGCTCTGTCACCCAGGCTAGAGTGCAGTGGCACAATCTCGGCTCACTGCAACCTTCACCTCCCAGATTCAAGTGATTAGAGTGCCCCAGTGTCCTGAGTAGCTAAGATTACAGGCGCACGCCACCATGCCTGGCTAATTTTTGAATTTTTAGTAGAGATGGGGTTTCACCATCTCGGCCAGGCTGGTCTCGAACTCCTGACCTCATGATCCACCTGCCTCGGCTTCCCAAAGTGCTGGGATTACAGGTGTAAGCCACTGTGCCACGATTTTTTTTTTTTTTTTGAGACAGAGTCTCACTCTGGTCACCCAGACTGGAGTGGAGTGACAGGCGATCGTGGCTAACTGCAGCATCGACCTGGGCTCAGGTGATCCTCCCACCTCAGCCTCCCTAGGACCACAGGTATGAGCCACCACATCTGGCTAATTTTTGTATTGTTTGTATAGAGACAGGGTTTTTCCATGTTTCTCAGGCTGGTCTCGAACTCCTGGGCTCAAGCAGTCTACCTGCCTCGGCCTCCCAAAGTGCTGGGATTATAGGCATGAGCCACCTCGCCCAGCCGAATCTATTTCTATCTTTCTGCTCTTCTTTCCTCTACATTGGCATAATTTTCCAGCAGGATCTTCCCTCAGGGTATCCCATATGGATCTGGGCTTACATCTTAACAATCTAGCAACCCCATCAGAGTTGCAGGCAAAGTTCTGGGTAGGGCTCGCAATAGCCCAAATTGGGCCACTTGCCCATTTCAGCATCAATTACTGTGGACAAGGGACTGACTGGATCTTGGTCATGTACAATTCCTCAACCTTATGGGTGGTATCAGCCCTACAAAACCCACAAAACCGAAAGTGAGAGAGCTAGTTTACCCAGAGGAAAATCAAAATAGTATTACCCAAAAAAAAGAATTGTGAACAACATAGGTTCACTACACCAGATAACTTAATCTGTTAGAACTATATCTAGAATCATAGCAAATTGGCTCTAAATGAAGATCTGAGAATGTTTCCCATTAATAAAGTCCAGGAGCTTTGGTGTATAAGCTTTGTGATATCTACTTTGGTAGTTCCAAGTGGTCTTGCAGAGCTGAGGGCAAAGAAATGTTCTTTTGCAGAATCGTCTTACTCTGTCAACCTTTTTTTTTTTTTATCAGAATCACCTTACTCTGTCAACCTAACTTATTTCTTAGGGTTTATTCTCTGAATAATTAAATTGGACATAAATTACATCTAGAGAAGGTGAGTTTTTAACATAATCTGGCAAGCAGTATTTCTATTTTACTGAATTGCACTAACAAATCCCTAGGTTGCAAAGAGAATCTCACAGAATACTTAAACCAACTAGAGTTCAGATAGAAAACTCTTTAAGTGCAGAATTAAGAACTAAAGGGATTTGGAGGTGCTTTCCAAAATGCAGTTAATATTTTAAATGAAGAGTCAATTAAATAAATATCAATTTAACACTGTAGTGGACATGACTAATTGTATCCCCAATATTCATTTCCCCATTTTCCTAACAACAGTACCCAGATTTTGCTTAAGGCAAGCCATTTTTGGCAAAATGATTTGGGTAAGACTGACCTTACTTCTGGTTTTAGGGATAGGCTCTAGATGGCTTATGGCAATAGTCCTGGGCATGGTAGTTTGTTCAGGGATGGTCACATGACCCAATTTAGGCCAATCATACTCAATTATCGGACATCTGTTTGAGTCATCAAGATCCTCTCTCTCCCTCTCTTCTCAACTGGATGTAAATCCACAAGCACATAGCCTCAGAAACTACTGGCAGCCATCCTGCACTGGAGAGAGTTTGCTGAGAATGAAGCCAATCTCAAGGAAGCAGAACAGAAAACCTGATACAGAAAAACCAGGTCCTGGTAATGCTATATGAGCTGCTATATCAAGCCATGCCCTGAAGTCTTATACTTTGGATTTTTCAGTAATGTGCACCAATAAATTCCGTTTAGTTTTTAAAGTCAGTTTGAATAGGATTTTCTCTTACCTTTTATTCAGAACCAATTACAACTGCAATACAATTCTGATGCTAACCACCTGGAGTTAGTGTCAGACTTCACAGGTTTTTTTAAGGTCACAGACCCCAGAAAGACTGGCTTTATTTCAGATGCCAGCCACAGTTCAGGGATCCCAAACTTCTGACCAACTGACTAAAATTTCAGAGGTTCCCACAATGCCCTCAGGTTCAATAATTCCCAAAAATGATTCACAGAACTCAGGAAAGTGCTATACTTGTGATTATAGTTTTATTATGAAGTATACAAAACAGAGCCAGTCAAATGAGACACATAAAGCAAAATCTGGGAAGCTTCTGATTTCAGATTATCCTTCCCCTTTCCCCTACAGTGACAGGATGCGTCACTTTCCAGTACCCTGATGTGTTCACCTACCAGGAAGCTCCTCTGAGCCTTGGTGTTCAGAGTTTTTACAGGGATTTCCTTACGTAGGAATGAATGATTGAATCAGTAGCCATGTAATTGAGCTCAGTCTCCAGATATGTCAGAGGTATTTCCTCAAGCTCTCCCTGTTTATCCCCTCTGCTCCTGCATTGGCTCAATCCCTCACCACCTCTCACTTGAATGCAGTATAGCCTGTTATTTCTCACTCTTATCTGCACCAGGTTCCCGCTGCTTTGGCCTCACTCTACCAGATTTCCTGCCTTGAATAAGACCCAGGGGACTGGCTTGGTCTGGAACAGCACAGACAGAATTTCTTTGAATCTATTTAACCTGCAACATCCAAAGATACTCTTGAAGATCCTCATTATCTAAACAGAAAATATACTTAAGGGGGAAATTTAGGTTGTCTATCCCCATTGCTCCTTCTACCTCTTGGAAAATCTTTCTGTCTTTTAGAGGTTTGTGTCATCTATCTATTCATCTTTTCTCCCTTCCTAGTGCAATTATCTTCCAAATTGTTGGTCATTTTCCCTCATTCTCTGAAGACCTGCAAGCACCTCACTCACAGCCTTCCTGTACCCTCAACTTCTACCATTTTCCTGGGCAACTTCAAGGTCCCTGTGCCCTCTGAGTTTCATGTTCTCATTACCTCTAATCCAATGAATTTATATTCAATTCCCCATAAGCCTGCCCTCTTCTCTTTTCATGCTACAATTGCTCTAGGTTCTCTCATTGACTCTTAAGGTTTTACATAAAACCTGTATGCTCATGACTCCCAATTATTTTTCCAGTCCAGACCTCTCTTCTGAAATCTACACCCCTATATTCAACTGTGTTATTCCTCTACATGCCTCACACCCAGGCGTCTCAAACTTAACCTCTCAAAACTTAATTGTTTCTCTTTTGACCCTTACTCTGACAAATCTGCATCTCAGTAAATGATTCCACCAGCCATTCAGTTGTGCAAATCTATCTCCTTCACCCCCTCACTTTGTTACTAAGCCCTATTCATTCTACTTCCAAGATATATTTTGAATCTATTTACTTCTCACCATCCCCAATGCTACCACTCTAATTCAACCCACGATCACCCTTTGCCTGGACTATTGAAATAGTGTCTATCTCGTCTCTGTATTCATTCTTGTATCCTTTCAATCCATTATTTACATAGCCATCCTGACTTTTTAATGCAAATCTTATTTTGTCATTCTTCTACTTAAAATCTTTCAGAGGGTTCCCATTTCTCTTGGGATAATGTTCAAGATCCTTAGCATGGCCAAGGCCTTGCATGATCTAGTTCCCATAGTCTTTCTAGTTTGCTCTCCTGTTACTCTGCCCCTTATTCACCGGTCTCCAGTCACACTCGCTTCCTCTCTTTCCTAAAGATGAAGCAAGTTCCTTCATGCTTTAGAGTGTTCATACATAAAGTTCCTTCTACTTTGAACACTTCCTGTGCCTTACTCCCATCTCCATCTGTCCCTGACTCTGTGACAGGAGCTGTGCCCTAAATAAGACACAATTTTCTCCCTTTAAGAAGCTCACAGTGTCACATGAATGGGACATTCATGTAAGTATTAAAAAAAATCAAGCACAGTATAATAAATGCAATAGAAGCATGGCCAGAGGAGGTAATATTTATCTTTGTGAGAGTCAGGAAAGGACATTTAAGAGAAAAGAACCAGCATGTTCCAAGGACAGAGGCAAGAAACACATGAGATATAAGCATTTTGGACTGCTAGAGAGGAAAGGCAAGGAGGTAGCAGAATAAGTGGCTAGAAATTGCCTTGGATGCTGTGTTAAGGGACTGACTTTATCCAATATGCAAAGAGGGTATCCCTTACAAAGGGTTTTAGGTAGGGGAGAGGCATGAACAGATATCAACTATAGTGCTATCAGATTTGTAGTAGTGTGGGAGAATGGCCTGGATAGAAGAAAACAAAGGTACAAAATCAAGTAGAAGAATACTGTAATAGTCCAAGCAAGTGATGATGGCAACTGAATTAAGACAGAGGTAGTAGGAATGGAAAGAAGATGAACTGAAGATTTTTTAAAAATTTATTTTATTTTTTTGTAGAGACAGGGTCTATGTTGCCCAGGCTGGTCTCAAACTCCTGGGCTCAAGTGATCCTCCACCTCAGCCTCCCAAAGTGTTGGGATTATACAATGCTCAGCTAGAAGATATTTTAAAGAGGTAGAATAGATAGGACTTGGTGACTGAACAAAATGGATAAATTCCTTGCCTTTATGGAAATTACATTCTAATATGGGAGGCAGATAATATTCAATAAACAGATGTGTACATGATATAACTCCTGTAGGGTTATAAGCTAGGGAAAAAATAGAGTAGACTAAAAGCACAGCAAATCAAAGAGTTATTTTAGATAGGGTGGTCCCCCTGAGGAGGTAACATTTGAACAGAGACCTGAATGGTGTGAGGAAATGGGCCATAAGCATATTTGTGGAACGAGTATTTCTAAAGTAAACAAGTATAAAGGTCCAGAGGCAGCAATGTGCTTGGCATATGTTTGAGAAACAACAATGAAGCTAGTATGGCTGAAGTACAAAAAAAGGAAGGGGAGAGTGGAAGGACATAAGGTCAGAATGTAGCAAGAGGCCAGATCATTAGGGCCTTGCAGACTGTAGAAAGAATTTTAGATTTTATTTTAAGTGTGACATGAATCACTGGAGAGTTCTGAACAGGGGAGTGGCATATCCTAACTTACACTGTAAAAGGATCATTCAGAATATAGTTGGGGGAGAGTGGAAGTAGGATAGCCAGTTAGGAGGAAGGGATCTAGGTGAGAGATGATAGTGGTTTGGATGAGAGTAACAGTGATCAAGGTGGTAAGAACTAGTCAATCAGATTTGGAATATATTTTGAAGGTAGGATGATGGATGTGCTAGTGGATCAAAGAGCGTATTAGAAACAGAGGAGTCCATGATGATTTCTGGCCTGAGCAACAGGGCGAATGGTAGAACTATTTACTGATATGGAGAAGGCTGAAGGTTTGGGCAGCAAGGAATCAAAGACTTGGTTTGGACACATTTAGTTTGGAATACTGTTAGACATCCAAGTGGAGTAGCCAGTGGAGATATGAGTCTGGAGTTCAGGGGAGAGGTTGCAGATATACATGTTTTGGAATCACTAACATATAGATGATATTTAAAATGACAGAGTTGGTTAAGATTTTCTAAGAAATGAGTATAAGAAAAAAATTAGTAGAAGTCTGGGGATGGAACACTAGAATCCCCAATAATTAAAGGTTGAGAAAAGAAAGAGGATCCAATGAAGAGACAGAGGAGTGGCCACTGAAGTGAGAAGAAAATCAGTATAGGGTGGAGGCCAGGGAAGGACAGTCCTTCAAGAAAGAGAAAATGATCAACTAGTCAGATGCTGCCATTTAGTCAAGTAGGTTAAGAACTGAATTAGGCAACATGAAGGTTATTGGTGACCTTGATAAGCACAGTCTCAAAAAAGTAATGGGGATAAAAACCTCACTTTTAACAAAGAAACAAAGAAAGTGAGAAGTTTCACTACACAAAGAGGAGCCGAGAAATGGTGTAGTAGCTGGAGAGACACATGCAATCAAGAGAAGGATTTTTTTTAAGGGAGGGAATTTGGTGACGCAGGAGATGGCATAGTGTGAGGGCAAAATTCTTGCGTAGGTGAGTTCTGTAGGTATTTGGACATTTGGGCCTGGAGCTCAATAGAGAGGTAGAGGCTGGAAACACAGATTTTGGAATGACTAACTTGTATATGAAAGGGGCAAATGTGAGAGTAGATAAAACTGCTTGGGGAGAGTGAAAAACAGAAACCAAGGACAGGACTTGAGTAATCAAAAAAATTAAGGGAATATGAGGAGAAGATTCAGTAAGGAAGACTGAGAAGGGATGTCTTTTATTTTCTAGTCATTTTTATGCCTATACCACATGCCATATTTTTTCACCCCTCATGCCTGGGAAGCCTTCTCTTCCCTGGATTCATCACAATCTCTCATAGTACTTTATACATATCATCATTAGCACAGAATTCGCTACATTTACATTATATATATCTTCTTCTTCCATCAACCTCAAAGTCCCTCCCCCACCAAAAAACTCTTCATTCATCTTTGTATTTATAACACTTAGCATCATGCCCTGAAACATAGTAGGTGTTCAATGAATGATGCACGGAAGCAGGGGGAAGTTAAGCCACGAATAGAGCATGTAATATACAAGCATTAGAAAGTATGAATATGTCGTTTATGCCTTTCTAAAAGCAGAATATATCTTGGAAAGAATTCACCAGTGAAGCCATCTGGAGTTTTCTTTGTAGGAAGGTTTGAATTATGAATTCAATTCTTCTAAAATATAAAATTTTCTATTTATTCTGGTTTTGGTCTTGGTAAATTTTGTTTTTCACTAAGATTTTCCATTTCATCTTAATTGTCAACTCTAACGGTAGAAAGTTGTTTATAGTATCCTCCTGTATTTCTTAATGTCTACAGGACCTATAATGATGTCCCCCTTTTTAATTGCTGATATTGGTAATGTGTTTTCTTTCACATTTTCTTGATCACCCTTGGTAAGAGTTGATGAATTTTCATTTCTGTTTTAGAAGATAAGTTTTGGTTTTGTTGATTTTCTCTCTCGGATACCTGCATTCTATTTCATTGATTTCTAATGTTTATTTCCTTTCCTTTGTTTTCTTTGCATTAAATTTGCTGCTTCTTTCTCTAAATTTCCCTCTGAGCTTTGAACCAAAGTGACTCATTAGAGAAGTCCCAATGAGCCTGTATTAGTACCCCACCATGCTTAGTCACTGGCTAAAAATAGTTCCTAAGAAGCATGGCCTCAGCTGCAAACACATTGGTTGATCCAGAAGGTCAGCAGTCGGGGTCATCAATGAACTATTCTCCCATAGCAGGAAATCTGAGAGGCCCACTTTCATAACCACTACAGCCCACTCTTTGAGCCCGACAGATCTACTTTTTCACACAGGTTTGGGAAGAAATTTTTCTATGGTTCCCATGGGCCTTTCTTGCTAAAGGAAAACTTGATGACGAAGGTTAGTGTGACAAACTATAGCAACTTGTCTGGGGGCCACAGTTGTTACTGATCCTCTCTCTCCTCCACTATCTACACCAAATTCCCCTCACCGTCCGTTATCACCTTAGCAGGTCTTGGTGGTTTATATGGTGGTCTGGGCTCCTGTTAACCATACCCTTCTCAGGCCAGATTTGCTGCATGTATTCATTCAGCCACATGGAGCAAGAAGGTATCAGGAGATGCCCAAGTGGAATCACATCAGCTCTGTAAAAAGCAGCACTATCTCCTCTTACTGATCAGGGTCAATTACTCCTGTCATGATGGTGACTCCTCTTTTTGCCTCCTGATATCTGGTCATAAGGAGTCTAAAATGCCCAGCAGCAGCCATAGCTTGTAGTTCGATGGGACCCTTGCTGTGATCCCTAATAGGAGCATAACCTCTTTGGGGACTAGGACCTCCAGCCCTACAGATCCCACATTTGTGAGTATGGGAAGCACAAAATCTTCTACTGGGTCATTGATAGTGAAGAGAAGTGGGGCTATTCCCACATCTACTCCTTGGTTAGTGGACCCAAGTATTTTTCCTATTAGGGCCTGCTGTGGTTTGAATGTGTCCTCCAAATTTCATGTATTAAAAACTTAATTTCGGTCAGGTGCGGTGGCTCACGCCTGTAATCCCAGCACTTTGGGAGGCCGAGGTGGGCAGATCACGAGGTCAGGAGATCGAGACCATCCTGGCTAACACAGTGAAACTCAGTCTCTACTAAAAATACAAAAAATTAGCCGGACGTGGTGGCGGGCGCCTGTAGTCCCAGCTACTCAGGAGGCCGAGGCAGGAGAATCGCGTGAACCTGGGAGGCGGAGCTTGCAGTGAGCGGAGATCGCGCCACTGCACTCCAGCCTGGGCAACAGAACGAGACTCTGTCTTGAAACAAAACAAAACTTAATTTCTAAATTCATATGTTGATGGCATCTGGAAGTAAGGCTTTTGGGAGGTAATTAGAATCAGATAAAGTTATCAAGGTGAGGCCCCCATAATGGGACTGGTAGCTTTAAAAGAAGAGGTAGAGAGACCTGAGCTGACACACATGCTCCTGCCCTCTCACCATGCGATGCTGTCATGTTATGACACAACAAGAACGACCTCGCCAGATGGCAGCACCATATTCTTTGACCTCCTGGTTTCTAGAACGGTAAGAAATAAATTTCTTTTCTTTGTAAACTACCTAGTCTGTGGTTTTCTGCTACAGCAACAGAAAACAAACTATGACAGAATTACAAAGGCCTCTGATTTAATGTATATAACAAATCCAGAATGATAGCATCCAATTCTTTCAGAGTGTTGCCTCTGAGTGTAACGTCACCCGTGCCTTTAGAAAGTCACTCCAGGCTGGTTGTGATGGTTCATGCCTGTAATCTCAACATTTTGGGAGGCTGAGGCAGGAGCATCACTTGAGCCAAGGAGTTAAAGACCAGCCTGCCCAACATGGTGAGGGCTTGTCTCTACAAAAAAATTTTTTTTTGAGATGGGGTCTCACTCTTGTCGCTTGCTCTGTCGCCCAGGCTGGAGTGCAGTGGCGCCATCTCAGCTTGCTGCAAGCTCCGCCTCCTGGATTCAACCCATTCTCCTGCCTCAGCCTCCCGAGTAGCCGGGACTACAGGCGCCTGCCACCACGCCCAGCTAATTTTTTGTATTTTTAGTAGAGACAAGGTTTCACCGTGTTAGCCAGGATGGTCTCAATCTCCTGACCTCGTGATCCACCCACCTCGGCCTCCCACAGTGCTGGGATTATAGGCATGAGCCACCCTGCCCGGCCTTGTCTCTACAAATTTTTTTAAAAATTAGCTGGGTGTGGTGGCACATGCCCATAGTCCCAGCTACTCATGAGGCTGAAGTGGAAAGATGGCTTGAGCCTGAGAGATCAAGGCTGCAGTGAGCTGAGATGGCACCACTGCACTCCAGCCTGGGCGACAAAGTGAGCTGCCTCAGGAAAAAAAACAAAAACAAAAACAAACAAACAAAAAACCTCATTCCAGCCCTTTAAAGTGCCAGATTTTTCTGGATGGTATGGTATGATGGCATGATCAGTGGATGTCATGACCACAGGCCCACTCCCGCTCCTCTTTTACCATGAAGCAAGTCCCCTGGTTGGATGCTATGTTACAAAAAATTTTATGCTTGTGGATCAGGCACTCATTCTGTAAACCCCCATACTTTAAACCCGTATTTTAAACTCCATATTTTAAACCCTGGCTGAGGACTTGTGGGCAGGAAAAGAAAACCCATACCCAGATTAGACATCCATCACTGTGAGAATGAACTATTGAAACCCCCAGAAGTAGAAGAGACCTAGTATTGTCAACTTGTCACCAAGTGGCCAGTTGGTCTCAATAGTGCCAATATTGGGGACTCTGCATTAGTCTTTGATGCTGACAGTAAAGATCATCAGTAGCTAGATCAGCCTTGGAAAGTTGGAGCCCATACATAGCCTCTATCCCTGCCACTGTGGCCACTCCATTTATGTGATGGTATTAGTTTCCTAGCGCTGCCATAACATAAGTACCACAAACGTGGTGGCTTAAACAATAGAAATGCATTGTCTCATAGTTCTGAGGCTAGATGTCTGAGATCATGGTGTCAGCAAGGTTGGTTCCCTCTGAGAGCTATGAAGGAGAATCTGTTCCATGCCTCTCTCTTAGCTTCTGTTGTCACCCTGATCTCTGCCTTTATTTTCACATGGTGTTCACACTGTGTATCTGTCTTCACGTGGCCATCTGCTTATAAGAACACTAGTCAGAGTGAATTACAGGTCTACCCTACTCCAGTATAAACTCATCTTTACTAATTACATGTGCAACAATCCTGTTTCCAAATAAGGTCAATCTGAGCTACTGGAGGTTAGGTCTTCAATGTATGAATTGAGTAGGGGGCAATTGATATGATTTGGTTGTGTCCCCACCCAAATCTCATCTTCAATTGTAGCTCCCGTAATTCCCGTGTGTGGTGGGAAGGAGTTGGTGGGAGGTAATTGAATCATGGGGGCGAGTCTTTCCCATGATAGTGAATAAGTCTCACAAGGTCTGATGCTTTTATAAAGGGGGGTTTCCCTGCATATGCCCTCTTGCTTGCTGCCATGTATTAAGATGTGCTTTTGCTTCTCCTTTGCCTTCTGCCATGATTGTGAGGCCTCTCCAGTCATGTGGAACTGTGAATCCATTAAACCTCTTTCCTTTATAAATTACCCAGTCTCAGGTATGTCTTTTTTTTTTTTTTTTTTTTTTTTTGAGATAGAATCTTGCTGTGTCACCAACGCTGGAATGCAGTGGTGTGTTCTTGGCTCACTGCAACCTCTGCCTACTGGGTTCAAGCAATTCTCTGCCTCAGCCTCCCGAGTAGCTGGGATTACAGGCACCTGCCACCACAACCAGCTAATTTTTGTAATTTTAGTAGAGGTGGGGTTTCACCATCTTGGCCAGGCTGGTCTCGAACTCCTGACCTCGTGACCCACCCACCTCGGCCTCCCAAAGTGCTGGGATTACAGGTGTGAGCCACTGCGCCCAGCCTCGGGTATGTCTTTATTAGCAGCATGAGAACAGACTAATACAGTAAATTGGTACTGGTAGAGTGGGGTGTTGCTGTAAAAATACCCAAAAATGTGGAGGCGACTTTGGAACTGGGAAACGGCAGAGGGTAGAATGGTTTGGAGGGCTCAGAAGAAGATAGGAAAATGTGGGAAAGTTTGGAACTTCCTAGAGACTTGTAGAATGGCTTTGACCAAAATGTTGATAATGATATGGACAACAAAGTCCAGGCTGAGGTGGTCTCAGATGGAGATGGGAAACTTGTTGGGAACTGAAGTAAAGTTCACTCTTGCTATGCAAACAGACTGGTGGTATTTTGCCCCTGCCCAAGAGATCTGTGGAACTTTGAACTTGAGAGAGATGATTTAGGTATCTGCCAGAAGAAATTCCTAAGTGGAAGAGGCTTCAAGAGGAAACAGAGCATGAAAATTCAGAAAAGGTACAGCCTGATGATGCAATAGAAAAGAAAAACACATTTTCTGAGGAGAAATCCAATCCAGCTGCAGAAATTTGCATAAGTAATGAAGGGCCAAATGTTAATCACCAAGACAATGGGGAAAATGTCTTCAGGGAATGTCAGAGGTCTTCACCTCAGCCCCTCTCATCACAGGCCTGGAGGTCTAGGAGAGAAAAATGGTTTCATGGGCGGGGTCCAGGGCCTTGCTGCTTTGTGCAGTCTTGGGACTTGGTACCCTGTGTCCCATCTGGGGCTAAAAGGGGCCAACATAGAGCTCAGGCCATTGCTTCAGAGGGTGCAAGCCCCAAGCCTCGGCAGCTTCCACGTGGTGTTGAGCCTGCAGGTGCACAGAAGTCAGGAATTGTGGTTTAGGAACCTCTGCCTAGATTTCAGAGATGTATGGAAATACCTGGATATTCAGGCAGAAGTTTGCTGCAGGAGCAGGGCCCTCATGGAGAACCTCTGCTAGAGTAGTGCAGAAAGGAAATGTGGGGTCAGAGCCCCACAGGGTCCCCAGCGGGGCACTGCCTAGTGGAGCTGTGAGAAGGCCAACATCCTCCAGACCCCAGAATGGTAGGTCCACCGACAGCTTGCACTGTGTGCCCAGGAAAGTCGCAGACACTCAACGCCAGTCCAGGAAAGCAGCCAGGAGCAGGGCTGTACCCTGCAAAGCCACAGGGGCAGAGCTGCCCAAGGCTGTGGGAGCCTACCTTTTGCATCATCATGACCTGGATGTGAGACAAGGAGTCAAAGGAGATCATTTTGGAGCTCTAAGATTTGGCTGCCCTGCTGGATTTCTGACTTGCATGGGGTCTGTAGCTTCTTTGTTTTGGCTAATTTCTCCCATTTGGAATTGGTGTATTTACCCAATGCCTGTACTCCCATTGTATCTAGGAAGTAACTAACTTGCTTTTGATTTTACAGGCTTATAGGGGGAAGGGACTTGCCTTGTCTCAGATGAGACTTTGGACTGTGGACTTCTGAGTGAATGCTGAAATAAGTTAAGACTTTGGGGGACTGTTGGGAAGGCATGATTGGTTTTGAAATGTGAGGACATAAAATTTGGGAGGGGCTGGGGCAGAATGATATGGTTTGGCTCTGAACCCACCCAAATCTCATCTTGAATTTTGCTCCCATAATTCCCACATGTCACAGGAGGGACCCTGTGGGAGATAACTGACTCATGGGGGTGGATCTTTCCCATGATAGTAAGTCTTGTGATAGTGAATAAGTCTCACAAGGTCTGGTTTTATAAAGGGGAGTTCCCCTGCACATGCACTCTTGCCTGCTGCCATGTAAGATGTGCTTTTGCTTCTCCTTTGACTTCCGCCATGGTTGTGAGGCCTCCCCAGCCATGTGGAACTGAGTCCATTAAACCTCTTTCCTTTATAAATTACCCAGTCTCAGGTATGTCTAATAAGCAGTATCTGAACAGACAAAGACAGCAATTTAGCCCATAAAAGTGCCCATGATGCTGGTTCCTAGGTGGCCAATGATTAAGCCTAGTAATGTCAACTGACTCATTTTGCCTTCTTGATTGTTTAGTGCCTCTTCTCTTGTAGATACATGAGATAAAAACTTCACACCTCATGACTACTTCCATATATTCATTCACGTAACTCTATCCCAGACCTCCTTGTCTTTGATTTTCCAGTCCTTTGCCTTCCAGACCCCCTGTGAAAGGGCCAGACCATTGGCTTCTGCCCAATTAAAGTCTGAAAGTTGGTAGGCTTGACACCCAAGAAGAGCTGATGTTCCAGTCCCAGTCCAAAGGCCAGAAAAGACCAATGTCCCAGCTCAAGTAGTCAGGTAGGAGGAGTTCCCTCTTAGCTTTTTTATTCTATTCAGGTCTTCAATTGATTAGATGAGGCTCACTCACATTTGGGAGGGCAATCTGTTTTGCTCAGTCTACCAATTCAAATGTTAACCTTAACCAGAAACACCCTCACAGACAAGCCTAGAATATTTGATCAAATATCTGGGTACCCTATAGTGAAGTTGATAAAAAATTAATCATCACAAACTCCAAACTACATCTTTCCATGTCTGACAGCTACAATACAACAGAGTCTACAGAAATATATGACTAAAGTAGGGAATGGCCCCTACCATACATCAGAAAAATTCAGACATTTCTACTTTGCTACTCTTCCCAGATCTTGCTGCTCTTACTGGTAATTGGACTTCTGGATTCTGATGACTAAGCACCACCATCTGGCCTCTATTACTTGGGAGGTGGGGTGATATAATTCTCATAGTTATTAATAAGCCCAACTCAGTGACTGCTTCTCCAATTGTCAGCCCAGGACTGCAGAAAACTATTTGGTGATGCTGCTATTCCTCTTAACAGAGGACTTCTGATGGCCTTGGTGAATGGTGCATCTTCTTGACCCTTCTGTGGACCATAATCCTCTAAAGGGTCTTCTGCTCTCACATAATACATCAATTGAAAACACTCACTTCCCCCATATGGTAGAAGAATGAATTTTTAAATTATTTTAAATTATTTTTAAATTCATTCTTCTACCATATGCTAGGGTAACTCATTTTTACTTTGCTCAGCATTGGTCATCACTTGTTCCAGATTTCTAAGAATTTCCCAAAAGTGACTTTATGTCTGAGTCTTTGCTAGGGTGTTAAATTCTGTGTCTCAAGAAGTGCCCCCAAGTCAATGAATCTTGATTACTGTTTTATATTTCAGTTCCCTTGATCAAGCAACCTCAAAATCCAATCCCTGAGTGCTCCCCGGCTTGTCTGCATACGCGAATTTATTCTTATTGTTTTTCCTCCTTTGTCAGGCCCAGCATCTTCCTAGCTGGGTTATGCTAGTATTTACCTCTAGCTATTGGCCTGGAGGGGCTAGGAGAGGAATTTGGGGCAACTCCTGTGCTTCTTGGTCGGAGAGTAGCTCTGCAGTATCTTTCAGTTTGGGGGAATTACTCACTCTTAATATAGAGAGGCAGACCACTTCTGCAAGTTTTGAAAGTACACAGAGGTCTGCAGAGCAAACATCCATATGGATGTCCACCCAGATGTCCCATCCTTTGTTTCAGTCTCTGGCTTTCCCAATAAGAACCCTGACCTGTTTGGCTGCACATTTCAATGTGTCTGGAATATGTGACTCTATCATGTCTGAAGTCTGTCACTCATCCATGTTAGCTTTTCCATTGCAGAAAATAAATGACTCTTTGTAGGCTACTAAAGAGACCCTCTGTCTTTCACATTTGGCCATTAACCAAGTGTAAGCTTTGTTTTCTCATCCCTTTTCAGAGTATTGCTATAACTTAGCAGTATCTAAGCATCTCCACTGTCCTTGTAGGCATTGTTCCCCCATATATTTCAAATGCCTGAAATTGTATCTGCAAGGTCTTTAAGTTCACTGGGATATTTTCCCAGGTCAACATTGATGAAAATCTTTAGCAACTGGGTCACCACCTTGTGCTAGGAACTACCCAAGCTCCTATACTGTGCAGGATGGCATCCTCTTTGCCCAACAAGTAGTAAGTGAGTCAGTCCTGAAACCCCATCTTATGTCTTCCTGATCTCCCCTAGCGCCATCTGTGTTAGTTTGGGTCCTCTGAGAGGCAAAGGCCAAAATGAGATTTGACATGTGTATTAGTTTCCTAGGGCTGCCATAACAAAATACCACAGACTGAGTGGCTTAAACAATAGAAATGTATTTCCTCACACTTCTGGAGGCTAGTAGTCCAAGATCAACGTGTCAGAAGGTCTGGCTTCTTCTGAACCTCTCTCCTTGGTTTGCAGATGGCCACCTTCTTGTTGTGTCTTCACGTGGCCGTTTCTCTTGTGTGCACCTGCCCCTGGTGTCTGTGTATCCAAATTCCCTCTTCTTATAAAACCATCAGTCAGGACTGGATTAGGGCCCACCCTAACAGCCTCATTGAACTTGAGCACTTCCTTAAAGGTCCTAGCTCCAGTCACATTCTGAGATACTGGGGGTTAAGGCTTTAACTTCTGAATTTGGGGCAAGACACAATTTAGCCCATAAAAACATGTAAGAGATCAATTGGCAGAAACATCTATGAAGGATAAAAGGGATGAGAGCAGGAGAAGGTGGGAGATGCTCCAGACTGTGATATAAGTCTGGCACCTATGAAGGAGAGAGAAAAGAAAGGATTGCACAGGCAGGGTCTCAGACTGCAGCGCAGTTCTAAGAAAATTTCAGCTAGGCTGATGGGGGCGTCTATAAGCCAAAGTTTCCCATTAGAGTAGTCCCAGATTATGCAGCAATGGGCCTGCATTAGTACTCTTGCCATGCTAAGTCACTGGCCAGAACTGTTCATTTTCTATTTCTTCAGGGGTTTGCAAGAATCAAAGCTAGCTAAACCTCTCTATATCCTTGAGTTAAAAACCTTTGTTATTTAAAAATACTCTACAAAGTGATTGAAGTAAAAAATGACACACAGGGAAGCAGCCAAATCTAAAATGTCTTTTTACATAAACAAATTGTAGTTACTAGAGATAAATGTGGATAAATGGATTTGGGGAATGTAATATTTAGAAAGAGCAAAGGGACCTAAATTTATTTGGAATCACTTTTTAAATTCTCCACATATTTTCTGCCTCACCCAGGAATGTCTGACACAAAGTACTCATATATGATGTTTGCTAACAAATGTGAGTATTTTCAACATTTATCGGGCTATTAACTTTACCAAACTACTTCATTTACTTCCAGTAGAATGACACAGCTTCCAATCTATAGTTGAAAAAGTATCTTTACTGCAATACAGTTTGTTTCATCTGTAAAATAATCATGGCAGCTTTCAATTAAGGATGATCTTCCTTTCTTTGCAAAAATGTGCAAAATAGTACCAAAATATTTGAGAACTCTCACTCTATGGGTGAACGCAGAACTTTTATTAATGTCTAAATAACTTACATTTCTCCAATGAGGAAGAGTCCGCATCTCTCAGTATATTTCACCTAAAAAGGTGTAGCCAACCAAACTTTTGTCTATTTTATTTAAAAAATTTAAAGAAATACAGTACTTAAAAACATTTTAAAGTGGCTATTTGAAATTCTGAATTTTCTACTTACTCTACTTCTCCAAGTCACACATATATTAATGTCTATGGAACTAGTATGCCTATAGCAATCAATCAATCAATCAATCCTTATCTGGAGGCCATTATCCTTAGCAAACTAATGTAGGAACAGAAACCAAATACCACATGTTCTCACTTACAAGTGAGAGCTCAATGATGAGAACACATGGACACACGGAGGGGAACAACACATACTGGGGCCTACTGGAGGGCGGAGGGTGGCAGGAGGGAGGGGATCAGGAGAAATGACTGGTGGATACTAGGCTTGATACCTGGGTGACGAAATGGTGTGTACAGCAGATCCCCATGGCACACGTTTACCTATATAACAAACCTGCACATCCTGCACATACACCCTGGACTTAAAATAAAAGTTAAAAAAATAAATACTTATTTACTAAACAAATGTATCTAGAGCATATGCCAGGTGCTAGGCTGAACAAGAGAGTACTGACCCTCAAAGAACTCACATTTCCATTATTTTCCTTTTTCCCCCCTTTAACTTAAAAAATTATTTCTGTTGTGGTAAAATATCCTAACATAAAACTTACCATTTTAACCATTTTTAAGTGTACAATTCAGTGACATTAAATACATTCACACTGTTGTGCAACCATCACTACAATCCATCTCCAGAACTTCATTATCATCCCAAACTGAAATGGTGTACCCATTAAACCCATTAACTCCTCATTCCCCTTTTCCTCCAGCCCTAGATAATCACTATTCTACTTTCTGTTTCTATGAATTTGACTATTCTAGGTACCGAACATAAGTAGAATCATACAATATTTGTCTTTCTGTGTCTTGAGATTTCGCCTAGCATAAGGTCTTCAAGTCTAATCCAAGTTGTAGCATGTATCAGAATTTCATTCCTTTTTAAAGGGTGAACAATATTCCTTTGTACGTACACACATTTTAACTTCAATTACTTTTAAATAGCTAATTTCTCATTTTATTTCTTTCAAAGACACATTATGCTAGCTGCTAGATTGTTACAATGCACTCTCTTGGGAGAAAAGATTTTCCTTCCTATCCACAATTACCTGCAGCTCCCCTTCATTTATGTTATATATAGCACAAACACATTTACCCAGAGGAGATTCTACATTCAAGAACATTTCGTAAGCAATTCACTACTGTCTCTGACATTGATAGGGTCTGCAGAGCACCATGGAACCCTGGGTGCTCAGGAAATATTATGCTAAAGTACCTACGTAGTAAAATAACTCCGTTTTTTTTGGTTTTTTTTTGAGATGGAGTCTCACTCTGTTGCTCAGGCTGGAGTGCAGTGGTGAGATCTTGGCTCACCGCAACCTCTGCCTCCCAGGTTCAAGCAACTCTCTGCCTCAGCCTTCCGAGTAGCTGGGATCACAGGCACCCAACATCACGCCCAGCTAATTTTTGTATTTTTAGTAGAGACAGGGTTTCACCATCTTGGCCAGGCTGGTCTTGAACTCCTGACCTCGTGATCCACCCACCTCGGCCTCCCAAAGTACTGGGATTACAGGCGTGAGCCCCTGTGCCTGGCCATAAAAGAACTTCTAAAGAGCAGCTGTAGTGAATTTACGACCAAGACTTTTCCATAGAAAATAACTGATAAGGTGAAAAAAAAAAAAAGCTTGTCAGAAAGCTGACAAGAAAGCTAAAAATTACCATTCTTTTCTCAGAAATCTAACAGATCCCAGAGGATTGCTACTTGGAGTTCTTCCTCAGTTTTATTAGTGCTAAACATCTGATTGGCCAGGGATGACCAAACTAAACTCCTACTGAATCCATGAAGGAAGTCAGAAAATAAAGGGTGGGGAAAACTAATCTTGGTTAATACTCAAAAGGCTTATTTTTACATTTCCTGCACCTTTGAAATGCCTTGGTGACTTACAAACCTAATCTAGGACCAAGAATGAACTTTACTGGAGAGATACAGGCCTTGAGAGGTTAAGGACTTGACTAGTGGTATCACATTAACAACTGGAAATGAGATGCTGGCATTTCCCTTTCCAGCATATACTGCCTGATAAATGATTTCTTTCCCCCGACTCCAGCTTTAAGGTGTAAGTGACAAATAGAAATTGTTCATGTTTATGGTATACAACGTGACGTTTTGATATACATATATATACACACACACACTGCAAATAATTAAATGAAGCTAATCAACATAATCCATCATCTCACATACTTTCCTGTGGTGAGAACATTTAAGGTGTACCCTCTTCACAATTTCAAGTACACAATATATGATTATTAACTATAGAACTCATCCACCTTCTCTGACTGAAACTTTGTATCATTTGACCAACATTTCCCTATATTCCCCACCCCCGTGCCAAGACTTCTTACTTGCCTTTCTTGAACAAATACTTGAATTACAGTGTTATTACGAAGCTGCAAAGTTGCTCCTCAAGCAACTTATTGAAGGGAAGCAAGAAGCGTCGAAAAAGAAAGCGCTTTTTTTTTTTTTTTTTTTTTCGGATAGGGTTTGGCTGTTGCCCAGGCTGGAGTGCAATAGCACGATCTGGGCTCAAAGAAAACACTTATTTTTCACAAACAACAGAAAAAGCAGTGAATATTTTGAAGTCTGGATCCTGAACTCTAGGTTATTTAGGTCTGAAACCTGTACTAGGGGGAGGGGTGCAAGAAAGAGTTGATAAAATTACCTTAACCATGTGGAAACTTTAAGACTTTCTTACATACTAACCCCTCGCCCCCCACTTTTCTCAATAAACGAGCCAAACTGGCTGAAACGAAGGGACTCGTCCGCGGCGCCGGCTCAGACCCACTGTAGCCGACTCATTACCGCCCAAAGTCCTGGAGCCCTCGACCGGGCATGGAGAACACCGTGGAGGAACCCTAAGAGAGGGAATCCTGCGAAGAGAAGTCAGGTGGTGGCCTTGCCGGAAACGGGACCAAAGTCCTCTAGCTGGGATTACGGGAGCCGGCGAGGGACCTATTATGTCAGGGTTCAGACAACCCAGCTCTGCATGCAAGCCTTTCCAATTGCCAGTCTTGGGGCGGGCTCACATCTTCTCTACAAGGCGAACTCACTACACGCCTTGGGTGCCTATCGTCCCTAGCAACCACCCGCGATTTAAGGCGGAAGTACCTCCCTGGTCCTCCTCCTCCTCCGGACCAACCAAGCCCTCGTGAGGAAGCGCGTTGGCCCAATCACCTAGGCGGGAACTACTACCAGCCAATAGGAAGCAGGCACAGGAGGGCGGGCTAAAGAGGTCGCGGTCGCACGCGCAGTTGGTCCTTAGTACTGCGGCCGTGTGGGTGAGTTGGCTGCCGGTGAGTTGGGTGCCGGTGGAGTCGTGTTGGTCCTCAGAATCCCCGCGTAGCCGCTGCCTCCTCCTACCCTCGCCATGTTTCTTACCCGGTCTGAGTACGACAGGTCCGTGCAGCTGGGGGACGTCGGGTGGGAATTATGGGTGGGCAGGCCCGGGACCTGGCCGCGCGGCCTGGGTTCTGCCGTGTCATGGGGCTCCCCAGGAACCCGAGACTGGCCGGACCTGGGGATGTTATGCCCTCCTCAGGCGCCCGCCGTCCTTCCCCAAGCTAGACCACATCGGCGGCACTTGTCCTACCGCTGAGTCACCCCTGGGTCCTAACTCGGTGCGGAAGCGAGAAGCTCCGGCTGGTGCTTGGTAAAGAAGGCGTGAGGAGCCGGAACTCCTACCTTGAACCCGGAGAAGGCCAAGGGTCACTCTTTGCTCCGTTCATCTTTTCGTGCCTAGTATGACTGCCTTGAACAAACAAACAAAAAGTTAAACGTGCTTCCTGGAAGAAAAAGCAACTGGTTTGTAGTAGGGCATGCTGCGGTGTATAGTTTCTTCAGAAGCGCGAAGGCAGTCGTAGCTTTGGCTGGATATATTGTCTGGAGTCTGATTTTATAGGAACTGGAATTTAGAATGGTTTTCAAGAGATTTCTCATCATGCCGATTCCAATTGACCAAAATTTTTTCTGACTTTTTAAAAGTTTAAAGCAAGTTTTAAAAAACTTTTGTGGTATGAAAATGTTCACAATATTAAGTTGTACATATATATGCTGTAGACATTTTTACTTTCAGTTTCTGTTTTCGTCAGTTAAGTTTTTACATAGCTACTCTTTTTTAAAGTCAGGGAAGGCAGACATTTTCTTTGTACTGAGTGGTATGAGATGCTGCATTTCCTGTCAAGTATATGCTGATCCTGTCGAAGTTTTACCACCTGCAGTTACCACTTTTTCATCTTTTTTACTGACTCGTAGAAGATGTGTGTGAAGTTTTGACATATTTCCCCACTGTCCTATAAAGTGACTTTGTTGGTCGATATTTAACTTCCAGAACATTGAAGAGAATCATCTTCGGGTGACATAATTTTGAGTTAGGGTGTGTATGATAGAAATTGTTATGCTTATCAGAAGGCATTTATTAAATTTTGTGGCCATTTACTTAACATATGTATTGACTGCTTTGTTACTTATTTTTCTGTCTTCCCAAGACGGCCTAAAATACATCCCTTTTTATTCTCTTAGTTAATGTGCTTGAGTGCTTGCTGTGAACAAGGCACTGTTCTAGGTGCTGGTGCTACAGCAATGGACAAAATCAAGCTCCTTGCTCGCATATAGGAGACTCTTTTGAGACAGTCTCGCTCTGTGGCCCAGGCTGGAGTGCAGTGACGTGATCTTGGCTCACTGCAACCTCCCCCTCCTGGGTTTTGTTTGTTTTTGAGACGGAGTCTCGCTCTGTCGCCAGGCTGCAGTGCAGTGGCATGATCTCGGCTCACTGCAACCTCCGCCTCCTGGGTTCAAGCGATTCTCCTGCCTCAGCCTCCCGAGTAGCTGGGACTACAGGCGCGCGCCACCACTCCCAGCTAATTTTTGTATTTTTAGTAGAGACAGGGTTTCACCATGTTGGCCAGGATGGTCTCGATCTTTTGACCTCGTGATCCACCTGCCTTGGCCTCCCAAAGTGCTGGGATTACAGGAGTGAGCCACCGCGCCTGGCCTGCCGCCTGGGTTTAAGCAATTCTCTGACTCAGCGTCCTGAGTAGCTGGGATTACAGGCGGTGCCACCACGCCCGGCTAATTTTTGTGTTTTTAGTAGAGACAGGGTTTCCTCATCTTGGCCAGGCTGGTCTTGAACTCCTGACCTCGTGGTCCACCTGCCTTGGCCTCCCAAAGTGCTGGGATTACAGGCGAGAGCCACCTCGCTCGGCCTGAGACTCTTAAAGAATTGTTTACAGGTACAGTGGCTCATGCCTGTAATTCCAGCACTTTGGAAGGCCGAGGCAGGATTGCCTGAGCTCAGGAGTTGGAGACCAGCCTGGGCAACATAGTGAGACCTCATCTCTACTAAACATTAAAAAATATCAGCCGGGTGTGGTGGCGCTGACCTTGTCTCCAAAAAAAAAAAAGAATTGTTTACAGAAGTAACTATAGTGTGAGTCAGAAATATATTAATGCCATTAGAGAAATTCAAATCAATACCATGGAAGTTTTGATGAGGGATTGCATTCAATATGAGACGATCATGGAAAACTTCACAAAGGAGCTGACATTTAAACTAGGTTTCTTGAAAGAGTAGGAATTTAATAAAGACAGTGAGATCAATAGTTGTGGGTTGGAGAATATGGGATAAATGAAGGAGGGGCAATGGAAAAGCACAATACATTTTGGGAAAAGTCCAGTCTGACTGGCACATATGATACGTGTATGGGAACAGCAGGAGATAATGGGAAAAACAGGATGCTGCTAGATATTGAATGGTTTTTAATACGAGGCTAAGGAGTTTGGGTCCTATTTCTGTAGGCAACTGTGTGCTGTTAAATAATAATTGTGTTTTACAGAGATTAATTGTCTGAATTAGGGGAAAGTGAGTCAATACCTGTTAGTGTTAGGCTATTAACAATAGTTAGGTGAAAGGTAATGAGGGCATTGAGAAGGAAGAGTGATGTGTTACTGTGGAGGAGGAATTGATATGAATTGGTATGACTTAGCATATAGTTGGATATGGGAAAAGATGGGGAGGAATGAGTCAGATCATTTAGAACTTCGTATGTTGGGAACACTGGAAGATTTGAGATGTTTTAAATTAAAACTGAAATTGGAATGGCAGGAGATGAAGTCAATTTTGCAAGGTGGCTGGATTTAAAGAGATAATATTTCAAACTGGAAAACGTTAAGTGTTAAGTGCTAATAGGATATGCAAGTGGAAATGTTCAGCAAACATTTAAATTAGTTAGGAAAGAGGTGAAACTGGTAGTAGAGATTTGGAAGTAACTTGTGCTTAGCACTCTCCCAGGCTGGAGTGTAGTGGCACCATCTCGGCTCACTGCAACCTCCGCCTCCTGGGTTCAAGTGATTCTCATGCCTTAGCCTCTCAAGTAGCTGGGATTACAGGCACCTGCCACCACGCCCAGCTAATTTATGTGTTTTTAGTAGAGACGGGGTTTCACCTTGTTGGCCAGCCTGGTCTCGAACTCCTGACCTCAGGTGATCCGCCTGCCTCATCCTCCCAACGTGCTGGGATTACAGGCGTGAGCCACCACGCCAGGCCAAAAGCACTACTATATGACATGTTACCTGTTGTAAAGTCTGGACTCCATAAACCACGGATTGCAACCATCTCATTCATTTGTTCACATATTTTTTGTGTCCATTGTGTGCTCAAAGCTTTTATAGCTGAGACCATGATTGGTGCCTCTTCTCCGTAGGGATTTCCAGCACACTTGAGCAAGGAAAGGTGGAAAGTGTTAAGTGTTAAGGGGAAGTGTTTAGAGAGGAAAGCAGTCTGACATGTAAGTTATATAAATATTGAGTGAATGAACTAGGTTAGAATTAGGAACTACATGGATCTCAGTCTGTTAAGATAACAATAGTAATTCATACAAATAAGTAGAGAAATGTACCTGTGACTAACTTTTAGTAAAAAGTAATAATTAGGCCCAGGCACAGTGGTTCATGCCTGTAATCCCAGCATTTTGGGAGGCCGAGGCGGGTGGATCACGAGGTCAGGAGTTCAAGACCAGCCTGGCCAATATGGTGAAACCCCATCTCTACTAAAAATACAAAAATTAGCCGGGCGTGGTGGCATGCACCTGTAGTCTTAGCTGCTGGGGAGGCTGAGGCAGGATAACTGCTTGAACCCAGGAGGCGGAGGTTACAGTGAGCTGAGATCGCACCCGCCTGAGCGACAGAGCGAGACTCTGTCTCAAAAAAAAAAAAAAAAAAGTAATAACTGTGTTTTATAGAGATTGTCTGAATTAGGGGGAAAACTCTTCCTACTTGCTCCACGAGTCAATACCTGTTAGGAGACTATTACAAACGTTAGGTGAAAGGTAATGAGGGCATTGAGAATGGAAAGAAGAGTGATAACCCCAAGTATTAACGTCATATGCATGTTATGGGAAGAGGATAAGGAAAAATGCACATTTTCTTGGAAATTGGCTGATAGTTTTGAGGCATGAACTTACCAAAGGAACTGGTAAGTCTATTCAGAATGGATCCAAGTTGATTCAGGATTGAGGCAGAAAAGTCATTTGCTCTCATTTCATCAATTTGGGAAGACTTTCTGGGAGTGAGGCAGAAGTGTTCTATATATAGGTTCCATTGCCTTGAGAAACTGTTAATGTACAAAAAAATGCTACAGATTGTTGTGGGCGAAGTAGAGAATAATGACAATGTGCGTATTCTGTAGCTATCTGAGCTAGTTGTCAAGGAACTTGAATTCAGTGTCTACATGGCTAGTTTTTATGAGTATAATTAATAATTTTTTTTTAAATTATAGGGGCGTGAATACTTTTTCTCCCGAAGGAAGATTATTTCAAGTGGAATATGCCATTGAGGCTATCAAGGTATAGTAGCAAGTAGCATAGGTCCTGAAATTTCATGGCTACCTAACATTTTGCTGGCAGAACACTTGGAGTAAATGTGGTTTAACCATTCCTTTAGAAAATGTTCTTATATCCCTTTAAGCAACCACTGTTAACCATTTTTATAACAGTTTCAATCCTATTCCTAATATCTATTTTAAAACTTTTTGAGCAGTTAACTGCTTCATAATTATCTAAATAGCTTTTTCTCAGTGGGGGTGGAGGGACATATTTGTGCTTTTGATCCTCTTAGCTATAAAGAGAGGTACAGAAGTCCAGAATTAGCACCTGTATTACTTTTTCTGTTTTGTTTTCTTTAGCAAATCATGTATCTGACCACCTTTGTATTCTTTCTTTTTCTTTCTTTTTTTTTTTTTTTGAGATGGAGTCTCTCTCAGTTGCCCAGGCTGGAGTTCAGTGGCGTGATCTCAGCTTACTGCAACCTCCGCCCCTCGGGTTCAAGTGATTTTCCTGCCTCAGCCTCCCAGTACCACCAGGCTGGTCTCGAACCCCTGACCTCAAATGATTCGCCCATCTCAGCCTCCCAAAGTGCTGGGATTACAGGCGTGAGCCACCACGCACAGCCCACCTTTGTGTTCTTGTTGGTAAAGTCACCTTAGGGACTAAATAAGAGATTTGTTTTAGTGGTTTTTTAGAGACAGGGTCTCACTCTGTCACCCATGCTGGAGTACAGTGACACCATCTTAGCTCACTGCAGCTTCTAACTCCTGGGCTCAAGCTTTCCTCCCACCTTAACCTCCCTAGCAGCTAGGGTACAGATGTGTGCACCATGCCTGGCTAATTTTTTTTTTTTTTTTTTTTTGGTAGAGATGTGGTCTTGCTATGTTGCCCAAGTTGGTCTCAAACTCCTGGGCTCAAGTGATCCTCCTGCCTCAGCCTCTCAAAGTGTTGGGATTTACAGGTGTGAGCCACCACACCTGGCGTGGACTGGATAATTCTTTGTTGTGGAGGGCCATCTTGTACATTTTAGCATGTTTATCAATTCCTGGGTACTACCCATTAGGTGCCAGTAGCACTCTTTCAGTTGTGACCATCAAAAATGTCTCCAGACTTTGCCAAATGTCTGGTGGGGACAAAAGGGCCCCCAATTGAGAATCACTCTTCTAGATAAAAAGTATATATGAATTCTGTCCTACTCTGTTCAGTTAGGGATTCAAGATCAGTATACTATACATAAAACAATTAGAGAACAACTAAGTGCTAAATTAAGTTTTCTGGCAATGGTTTCTGATTATATATTTGTTTGATTTTTAAGGTATACATGCATGTAGTTTCAGAGTTAGAAGGCAAAGTAGTTCTATAAACCTTGTAACAAAAATAGCAATTCTTGAGGCCTGCATCATCTAGGTTCAGCTTTTCAGAGGCAACACTTTAAATTGTTTCAGCTGGTAATGTTCTAGGACTGTACCTCCATATCTCTATAACACAGATGTATGGTTTTTTTTTATTAGGCATTATCCATGGACTTTTCATTATGAAAGATGAAGATTTCTGCCCTAACCCCACACCCCTACTCCCCACCACACACAATTGTCTTCTGAGGTGGGGATAGGGTGACCCTCTCCATATATATCATGAATATCATAATTTTGTAAGATCATTAGTCAATAGTTACATTAGTATAACTAAATGCTTTTCACAGCTGAGCCATTTTGCATTTTATAATTATTTTTCTGTTTCTGCACAACATTGTTTTTCTTGGAGTTAATAATTCTCTTTTTAAAAATATTTGCTTAATTTAGGATGATCAATAATGCATTCCAAAGTCTCTCCAGGTTACATGTATCCTCTCAAAACATTCAGGCAAATTAAGTGTCCTATTAAGGATTCCTTTTTTTTTTTTTTTTTGAGACAGAGTCTTGCTCTGTCACCCAGGCTAGAATGCAGTGGCGCATCTCAGGTCACTGCAGCCTCAACCTACCAGGCTCAAGTGATCCTCCCGCCTCAGCCCCCAAAGTAGCCGGGACTACAGCTATGCACAACCATGCGCGGCTTGTTTTTTTTTTTTTTTTTTTTTTTTTTGAGACGGAGTCTCACTCTCTCACCCAGGCTGGAGTGCAGTGGCGCTATCTCAGCCCACTGCAACCTCTGCCTCCCAGGTTCAAGCAATTCTCCTGCCTCAGCCTCCTGAATAGCTGGGATTACAGGCGCGTGCCACCACACCTAATTTTTGTATTTTTAGTAGAGATGGTGTTTCACCATATCGGTCAGGCTGGTCTCGAACTCCTGACCCTGTGATCCACCTGCCTCTGCCTCCCAGAGTGCTGGGATTACAGATGTGAGCCACCGCGCCTGGCCTAAGTTTTTGTATTTTTTGTAGAGACGGGGTTTCGCTGTGTTGCACAGGCTGGTCTCGAGCTCCTGAGCTCAAGTGATCCGCCCACCTAGGCCTCCCAAAGTGTTGGAATTACAGGTATGAGCCACAGTGCCCTATTAAGGATTCTTAATGAAATCTTGGAGCCTTCTAATCTGCTCCAGTCTGGACTGGTTGTTCTCTGGGCCTCCTGTGTACCTGTGGACTTCATTTTCTGTGAGATCATTCTAGGCATTCCCTTTAACTCCCTCTTGTGTAAGGCCCCATGTCATCTTTTTTGATTTATTTGCTCAATTTGGTAGAACCCATTTTCCAGTAGTATTGTAGAAACTATTTATTTATTTATTTATTTTGAGGTGGAGTTTTGCTCTTGTTGCCCAGGCTGGAGTGCAATGGCGTGATCTCGGCTCACTGCAACCTCCGCCTCCCGTGTTCAAGCGATTCTCCTGCCTCAGCCTCCTGAGTAGCTGGGATTACAGGCATGCGCCACCACGCTGGCTAATTTTGCATTTTTAGTAGAGACGGGGTTTGTCCATGTTGGTCAGGCTAGTCTTGAGCTCCTGACCTCAGGTGATCTGCCCGCCTCACCCTCCCAAATTGCTGGGATTATAGGCATGAGCCACCGTGTTTGGCCAGAAATAATTTTTAATTTTCAACTTCTTTTGTTTCTTTTCTTCTTATTAGCATCCCGTTCTTGTTTTATGGATGAAATGTCTTGTTTTTCTTCAACAATTTTCTAATTTTTCTTGAAAATTTTTTTCCTTGTGGACATTGTTGCTCATCCCTATAATCTCAGTACTTTGGGAGGCTGAGGGAGGAGAATCACTTGAGCCTAGGAGTTCAAGACTAGCCTGGGCAACATAGCCCGTGTCTAGAAAAAATTTAAAAAATTAGGCTGGGCAAGGCTCA
Organism: Homo sapiens; assembly: GCF_000001405.40. NCBI lineage: Eukaryota > Metazoa > Chordata > Mammalia > Primates > Hominidae > Homo > Homo sapiens. Next base: position 109,418,597 of record NC_000001.11, on the reverse strand, counting down.
CACCTGTAATCCTAGCACTTTGGGACGCTGAGGCAGGAGGACTGCTTGAGTCTAGAAGTTCAAGACCAGCCTGAGCAACATAGTGAGACTTTGTCTTCACAAAAAATTTAAAAAATTAGTTGAGTGTAGTAGTGTACACCTGTAGTCTTAGCTATTTTGCAGGCTTAGGTGGGAAGATCTCGTGAGCCTGGGAGGTTGGGGCTCCATGAGACGTGATTGTGCCACTGCACTCCATCGTGGGCAACAGAGTGAGACCCTGTCTAAAATATTTTTTTTTCCTTTTGAACTGGTCAGATTGTTTAGAGCTATGTTTTTCAAACTGCAGGTCTAGACCTATTAGGAGATAATAAAATAAATTTAGTGGTCATGAGGAGCATTTCTTTTGAGACAGAATGTCACTCTGTCACCTAGACTGGAGTGCAGTGGTACGATCACAGCTCACTGCAGCCTCAACCTCCCAGGCTCAAGTGATCCTCCCACCTCAGCCCCCAGCTACAGGCACATGCCACCACACCCAGTTATTTTTTTTTATTTTTTGTGGAGGTAAAGTTTTGCCATGTTGCCCAGGCTGGTCTCAAACTCCTGGGCTCAAGTGATCTTCCTGCCTCAGCCTCCCAAAGTGTTGTGATTATAGGCATGAGCCACCACTCCTGGCCCACATTTCTTTTTTAAGTGAAACAGAGCAGTAGATATCAAAATGCCTTGCCCATAGTAGTGATGAGTGGTTTTTTTCCTGAAATTTTGTTTCTGTTATGTATTTATATTTATTTGTGGGTTTTAGTTATGAAATCAAATGTATTCCTTACTGTGGCTTTTGGTCAAAAAGTTTGAAAAACATTGCTCAGGAGAAAACTGCCTCTTCTCATTTCATTCCGGGAGGGTATTTCTGGCTGCTGGCTTCTGAGAGCTGAGTAGGGAAAGAAGGCTGAGGTTCTTAACATTTGGTTTGGAAATTTTTACATATTTATCCCGTTTTCAGTACATTATTCCTGCCTTAGACTGTGCTTGGTGTCCCCAATCCAAAGACGCTCTATTTTACGGTCTCCAGAGAATAAGCCTGGAGTCTTCCACGGGAGTGGGGGAGGTGCAGTCGTCTAGCTTTACAGCATAGGGGAGGGGATCCGGGAATCTGTTTCTTAAACATTGAACCACCTTGCAATTTTTAGCTCCTTGTTCATTTCCATTTCCAGAGGTCCTTGTTGCCACCATTTCCTTTTTTGAGGTCCTGTGATAAAAATCAGGTTGTTTCTTTACTTTCTTTACGGCTGGTTTAGGATTTGGATTACCCAGGTATCACTAACCTATCTTCTTTTTAGCTTCAAAGTTTTGTTGCTGTGTCTTCTCCCACTCTCTGTTATAGTGGATTTATGCCTTTTTAGAAGTCCTTTAATCTTACATCAATAGACTTAAGGAAGGCGTGGAACTAATGTTATGTCTTTAGTCTGCACCTTTAACTAGAAATATGAGCATTCATTTTTATTTATTTATTTTTTGAGATGGGGTCTCACTCTGTTGTCCAGGCTGGAATGCAATGGCGTGATCTTGGCTCACTACAACCTCTGCCTCCCGGGCTCAAGCAGTCCTACCGTTTCAGCCTTCCGCGTAGCTGGGAGTACAGGCATACGCCACCAAGCCTGGCTAATTATTGTATTTTTTATAGAAACAGGGTTTCACCATGTTGCCCAGGCTGGTCTTGAACTCCTGGACTCATGCAATCTGCCCACCTCAGCCTCCCAAAGTGCTGGGATTACAGGCATGAGCCACCATGCCCAACCTGAGTACTCATTTTTTTACATAAAATTTTTTGACAGTTCATCTCCTGTAGTTATGCAGGTATCCACTGATTAAGAAAATACATGACAAAAAGCTGGTGTACATTTAATAACACTTCTAAATAAAGTCACAACTCAACACATTTGAAAAATAATATATATGCGTGTGAAATGATCATTCAGTCTGCAGACATGTTAAGCAAGTTATACATAAAGATTCGTGGGATTCTTTGGAACTCTTTGCAGTGCTCACACTTGGCAGTGATTACTTTGTAGAAATAACTAAATATAATGGAATTCAAAGCAGAAAGCATAGTCATGGAAGGCTTTGATGAGTGGAATTTGGATTGGGGGAAGGAAGAATGTATTCCAGGGGAGACAGCATGAGCAGAGGGGTGCAAGGGTAGGAGATAACGTGGCTTGAGCCAGTGGGCTGGGCTATACCTGAGGGATTTTGTTGGAGAATAACGAGTAGTGAAGTTGGAAGGGAAAAGTGGCATCAGGATATGAAGGCTCTGGAAGTTTATTTGGATATATTATAGGCAGTATAGGGTGATGTTAATTCTTGAGAGAAGAAATATAATGATAATAGCATTTTATTAGATCAGTCAGGTTATAACATTAGAGATACATTGAGAGAGATTAAAGATGAGAGAGGCTATTGAAGTATCTAGGCATGGAATATGAATAACATTTGTTCATATTTGGCAGGCACCATTTTAAGCATTTTATAATATATAATGTGTTTACCCTTCTTATTATTATTGTCATCCTCATTTTGCAGGAAATGGGCATAGAGGAGTAGATGACTGGGAGTTACGTAGAGATAGAGATGAATTCCAGGTATATTGTGGACTTCTAGCGACCTTAAATAATTAATAGTTTTACGTTGTTGGTGGTGATGATGGTGGTGGTTCTTTTCGTCCCTCCCTACCTTCCTTTATTACTTTTTTGGAGGTCAGGTAGGTTGGGGAATATCATCACCTCTTGGGACAGACCAAGGTAGATGGCAGAGGTGAAAAGAGGCCAGGTCCAGAGAAGACATTAAGAGTTTTATTACTTTCTTGCCCACTATGTTTAGAACTTTTGAATCCTCCGTCCTCCAAATATTGGCATTAGAGAGTGGATTTTTCCAGTGTTTGAAAGACTTTGTTGAACTTACTCTTTTGGGGTTCTGGGAATTACATGGGTAAATTATAAAGAAAACATTAAAAATTTTAAAAAAATTTAAGGGAGAAAAAAGAACTTTTTAGAATCACAAAATTCTGTAAATCAATGTTCTTGCTATTGACAGGAATAGTATATTAATTACTTACAGTATGTTAGGGTGCTCCTTCTCTCTGCCTATAAGATGTGGCCAGTTGAAGTTTCTATCATGTGAAGATTTACAGAGAGCTATCTGGTGAGTATGTAAGACAGTTATTTGACCTATATATGGTAATCATAACATGTTTCTCTTTAGCTTGGTTCTACAGCCATTGGGATCCAGACATCAGAGGGTGTGTGCCTAGCTGTGGAGAAGAGAATTACTTCCCCACTGATGGAGCCCAGCAGCATTGAGAAAATTGTAGAGATTGATGCTCACATAGGTAAGGAGTGGAGGAAAGCTGTTCTGTAGGATCTGGTCTGGGTTAATTAGTCCTCTATGATGTTCCAAGGAAGGTTTATGAAATGAACACGTTATCCCCTTGTTAGCTATTATTTTCCAGGCAGTAGGCCAGAATGCGTAAATGTAGGAGTAGGAGGCTGTTGCAGGACTCATTTATGTTTAACCTACTCCCATAAGTTCCTTTCCCCTCAAATTTAGACTTGGTAAATGTGATGGTTGTTGAAATATGCAAAGGTTGAGATCTTTGAAGTGACTACAAGTTATAAGAATAATATAGACTTGCCTAGATCAGTCTTCCTCCTTTGTTTTCAGATTATCTTTGTATTCCTTGTTGCCTCTGCCCACTTTTTTGGTCTTTAATTCCCCTGCCTTGGCTTCTGACATCATTGTATAATAGTATTACAGGGTGAGTAATTCTACTTATTTATAGAATGGCATTTTATTTGGCTATCCAAATTTTCTTAACCTGTCTAGTCATCTAATTAATGAAGCATTGGCAAAATAATTAATTGCTTGAAGGCATCAGAACCAAATGCCATGGTGACTCTGGGAGCTTGATATTATGTCTTTCATAGATATAGAAACTGAAATTTTATCTTTTAAGATTGGAACATTGTGTCTTCTTTAACTCAAGTCACTTGGTCTTTTGAAGGTAGCTCAGTGTCACTGTGTTCAACAAATTGAGAGCCTACAATGTGCCAGACCTTATGCTAGATACCAGGATATAGAAAGGAATAAGACATAGTCCTTGTTTTACAGGAGCATACAGTCTAATTGTGGTGGTGGACATGTAAGTAAGTCAATGCAATTAAGTGACAAAAGTATTAAGAAAGACTAGTGTGTTCTTAGTAGGAGTACAAGGGAAGAAATAATTAGTTTTGCCTGGAGTCAGCGGTAGTGGGGCTTTCAGAAAAGGATTCCATGAAAGTGATTTTGAGCTGAGTTTAATTCTGAAAGATAAGGAAGTGTACACAAGGCAAACAAGTGTCTGGGTATAGCAAGGGAGAGCATTCTAGTCAGGGGGAATAGAAATGACTGAAGCCATCGTGGTGTAAAATATAAAATACCATGTCACAAGCAGTTTTGTAGGCCTGGGCCATGAACTGCAGCAGCAGAGTCGGTCAGAGAGCGGAATTCCTTTTTTACCACACTGAAGGGCTTCAATGTAATCCTTTTGCAAGGATGGGAAAGGTTTTAAGCAATGAGGTAATAGGATCCCATTATAATTTTAGAAAGGCCATTCTGATAATGATATTAAAGATAGACTAAAGAGGGCTGAAACTGGAGGCACGGAGGCCAGTTGAAAAATTTGTAATAGTCCAAACAAAGAGATGGTGAAGGTTTTAACCAACACAGTAGCCAGAGAATGGAGAGGAAGATAGAAATTGACAGAACTTGTGATCTGATTGATTGTGAGGGCCAAGGAAGAAGACGGGGTCTGGAAGGGAAATGAGTGTGTGATATGTCCAAGTAGATATATTAAGGAAGTTATTTGGCTTTATATGTCTGAAACTTGGGAGAGAAACTTAGGCTGGAGATTTAGATTTGAGCCATGGCATGTACAATAACAGTTATAGCCATAATCGTGACAGCTTGGGCCATCAGGCAAACTCTCTCTGATATAACTAGTTGCTTTGTGTTTGGGACAGAGAGGCAAAAGGCTTTTGATTTATTCGAGAGTCCTCCACTGTAGTCCATAGTGAGGTGATTTTCTTTTCCTTGTTTCCCAGGTTGGGGCATTAGTATTTGCTTCGTTTGAAAATGTATCATCGTCTACAAAGAGTGCTAAAGGGATGCTTAGGGATGTAATATGTGGAAATTCATGTTTGGTTAGCTGCTTTTCTCTGGGCTTATTTTTATCGTCTGGACTTCTGTGTCATTGTGGATGGTTTTTTGTTTCTAATATCATTAATACTTGGGTTCAGTGCAGATCATTTCCTATCTAATCTTTTGGGTATAAAATGCCATGGGATAGCTGAATGGCTGCCGTGGTTCCAATCCAGAATTTCAGGATTTCCTGAGTGGATGAAAGAGTTTTACAAGGATTTGGCCACTGGGTCACTGTCGCTTTTACATTGCAGGTTGTGCCATGAGTGGGCTAATTGCTGATGCTAAGACTTTAATTGATAAAGCCAGAGTGGAGACACAGGTAAAATTGGCATTATCTCCTTTTTACCAGGATGCTTGAGTTCCTTGTTTAGTGATTATCTAGCTGCCTGGGCTATACTGCAGGTACCTGTGTCAATATTAGATGTGGCTCTTGGGAGTAATTTTGGGTAGAATTCCCAGTTAGAACTTCCTGGGGCTTGGAGTTTAGCTGTCCAATCATTGCAGTTTTAAAGAGGCTCTGGTCAGTAGTGCTGACAGTGTCTTCCTTTTTTTTTTGGCTTTGCCTATATATAAAGCATGCATTGTTTCCTAATTGACTTTGTGTGGGAGCATCATGGCAGGAGGTGGACGTAGTTAAAGGATATTCTCCCCTCAGCTGCCTTTGCTGCCAGGCTTGTAAATAACAGCCCGCCTTTGGTGAGTAATAACTTGTACCAACTGACAAATACTGGTCAGGGATACTGTTTTTTTTTTTTTTAAACTTTGTAGCTGCTGCTTGAAGATAGGCTAGTAAGAAAAATACATCACATGGTAAAATTTTTTGTACTTATTTGCAAGTTTGCTGTCTGTACTTATGTAAGAATAAGTCATTTGAACATCAACAGAATAAGCTAGAGTCTTTGAGGGAAAGAGGCACTTTTAGTTTTTGAAAGAGTAAACTTGGTGCTTTGAGGCATAACCCTCTTTTTCAAGGCAGTAATTCTCTTGTCCGTCGTTGCGTAGAGTCCTTGTGATATGTTTATTTCCAGAGCTATTTCTCTTCCTCTCATGTACTCCCAAGTACTCAGGGTTAATGTTAATTAAGAAAACCACATTTGAGCCTTCAGTTTTCAATCCCAGTTTAAAGGGATGTGCGTAGTGAGATGGTGGGCTGCTTTAATGTCCTTATTAGAAGGTTGTACCATGCTTTGCTCTTCTTCTAGAACCACTGGTTCACCTACAATGAGACAATGACAGTGGAGAGTGTGACCCAAGCTGTGTCCAATCTGGCTTTGCAGTTTGGAGAAGAAGATGCAGATCCAGGTGCCATGGTGAGTGTGATACTTCTGTCGAGTTTTCTTATTGTTCTATGGGACTTAGGACATTTGTCCTGTGAACATAACATTCCCAGCCCCTCTCACCTCCTTACTTTATAGCCATTTATCTTAATATCTCTTATTTTTTGGTTCTAGTCTCGTCCCTTTGGAGTAGCATTATTATTTGGAGGAGTTGATGAGAAAGGACCCCAGCTGTAAGTACCATTTTGTAATTTTCCCCCATGCTTTTGCAGGGAATTATTTTAATTTGGGGTGGAGACTGAGAAGATTATTGTAGACTGTTAGCCAGGTATTAGCACACACCTGTAGTCCCAGCTACTTGAAGGCTAAGGCAGGAGGATCTCTTGAGCCTGGGAGTTGTTATCCAGGCTGTAGTGAGCTATGATCATGCCACTGCACTCCAGCCTGGATAACAGAGCCAGACCCCATCTCTTTAAAAAATACATTAAAAAAAGATTATTGTAAAAAGGGCTATTGTAGAGTGTGTGTGTGTGTATGTATATACATATATATGGCTTCTAATACTAAAGTTTAGTGATTCTATACCGTTTGCACAAATTTGGGGATTCCATGAAGAATTCCCCTATTGGAACCAGTGCTAATTCTGGAAGGAATTAGAAGTAACTTGTTACTATAGTCAGGGTATGTTTTAGAACTTTGCTCTGGAATGTTGATCTGATCCTCATCCTCAAATATTTCTAAGATAGGCATAAACAAGTACCATATTTATACATACTATACTTCTAAATCCCTAAGGAAGGTACTAATTTTCTTAAACAGTTTTTAAAATGTCTGGTTTCTCCAGACATAGAACATCTTTTAGATCTGTGCCTCAATATTTCAGTGGTGTTTCCTGGCTGCAGGGCCAAGCATTTATACTTTGTTTTAGTGAGACGTTTGTTACATAAAGTGCCACCACTCCTGAGCATTTTAGTCCTCATTTTGGGGGTTTTGCAGGTTTCATATGGACCCATCTGGGACCTTTGTACAGTGTGATGCTCGAGCAATTGGCTCTGCTTCAGAGGGTGCCCAGAGCTCCTTGCAAGAAGTTTACCACAAGGTAATTAAGTATTCTCACAACTCTTACTATTTTTTTATCATGGTATAATTTACATATAATAAAATGTGCAAACCTTAAGAGTTCAGTTCTGTTTTGACAATTGCAAAACAAGATAAATAACACTTTCATCACCACCAGAAAAATGCTCATCCACATTCCAGTCAATCTCTTTCCCTCCCTTGCAACCATGTTTACCACCATGTTTACCACTCTCCATTAGTTTTGTCTGTTGTGCTTTGTTATAAATGGAATTAAACAGTTAGTCAGTTTGTATCTGTTTTGTTTAACACACTGTTTTTGAGATCCATTCATGTTGTTCCAGTATTTCCGTTTGATGGCTGAGTAATATACCATGGTATGGATGTACCACAATATGTTTATCCTCTATATTCACAGCTTTACTTAGCACTTTACAATTGGCTCTTGAAGCAAGTGGGCATTTGGTATTTTCTTTGTGAGATGGGAAGATTTGGTTTTGGGTAACTCATTGGTGTGATTGAAGGCTGCTCTACTTATTCAGGTGGTTCATACAGGGATGCCTGCTCACATTAGCTCCTAATGGTATTGCTTTTACATGTGGAAGAAATTAGGTACAAAACAGGGTAAATTTGAATTTTCTAAACCATTGGGCTACCTCTTAGATCATTTGGGCATTATTGTTCATTGGATATTACCAATAATATTATCTTCTAAATTAAAAGAGGAATTCAAATGTACACAAGACTAGTCTATCCCTTTCCCCTTCTTCAAAGATTACTTTGGTTGGTGACTTTATTGTGGCTCACAATAAGGTTTGGGGGTTTTTTTTCCTGAAAAAATGTATTCTACTTATTTGCCATTTACTTGAGTTCTGGAGATACTTGTAATGCACCATACTAAGTAAGATGTTTGACATACTTGCTAAATACTTTTTTCAGTGAGATAAAGGGAAAATCTTTGAAGGAAGGACGGATTGTGCATAATTAATAGGCATCTTCTTGCCTTCTTTGTTTCAAGTCTATGACTTTGAAAGAAGCCATCAAGTCTTCACTCATCATCCTCAAACAAGTAATGGAGGAGAAGCTGAATGCAACAAACATTGAGGTACTTTCTGTTTTATTGTTGGATTTTTTTCGGTTTTTTTTTTAAGAGATGAGGTCTGGCTATATTGCCTAGACTGGTCTTGAACTCATGAGTTCAAGTAGTCCTCCCACCCCAGCCTCTCGAGTAGCTGGGACTACAGGTGCACACACCATGCCTGGTTAATGTTTTTTAATTTTTTTAGAGATGGGGTCTTGCTGTGTTGCCCAGACTGGTCTTAAACTCCTGGCCTCAGGCAATTCTCCTGCCTCAGCCTACTGAGTACCTGGGACTATAGGTGAGAGCCACTGCACCTGGCTGTTTTATTGTTTTTTATTCAGATATCATAGCTGGCATTGCTGAAGACTACATAGATCATGGAAATGACATTTTTGTATGTTTAGTTCCTAAGAAATTATTAACAGCCTTTGAATAATAAGCAGCTTCAGTAAAGTGGTGCTGGCAGAAGCCAGAATTCAGTGAGTTAAAGAATGAGGCCTGGCGAGGTGGCTCACGCCTGTAATCCCAGCACTTTGGGAGGCCAAGGCAGGCAGATCACTTGAAGCCAGGAGTTCGAGACCAGTCTGGCCAGCATGGCAAAACCCCGACTCTACCAAAAATACAAATACTAGCCAGGTGTGGCGGCACGCACCTGTAGTTCCAGCTACTCGGGAGGCTGAGGCATCAGAATTGATTGAACCCAGGATTTGGAAGTTGCAGTGAGCTGAGATTGTGATACTGCGCTCCAACCTGGGCGATAGAGCGAGACTCTGTCTCAAAAATAAAATAAAAAGAATGAAAGGGAGATGATGAGTGGAGAAAACAATAGTATGCTGCTTTCTCAAGAAGTTTGATTAGTGTCAGCAGAAGATAGCATTAAAGAAAAGGATTGTGTCTTTTTTAGGATGTGGAAAAGTCTTGAAAATATAAACGGAGATGAAACTAGTGTATAGAAAAATGTTGAAAGAGTTGGGCGCAGTGGCCTGTAATCCCAGCACTTTGGGAGGCTGAGACAGGTGGATCGCTTGAGGGCAGGAGTTCAAGACCAGCCTGCCCAACATGGTGAAACCCCATCTCTACTAAAAATACAAAAATTAGCCAGGCGTGGTGGTGGACGCCTGTAATCCCAGCTACTTGGGAAGCTGAGGCATGAGAATCACTTGAACCCGGGAGGTGGAGGTTACAGTGAGCCGAGATTGCACCACTGCACTCCAGCCTGGGCGACAGAACGAGACTCCGTCCCGAAAAAAAAAAAAGCTGAAAGAAATAAAAGGAGAGGTTAGGATAGTGATGGAAAAGTTATAGAAGAGGTAAGGCATGGTACACATGAAGGAGTTGGTTTTGAAAAGTAAAATTCATTCAGCATCATATTGAGTACCCATTATATAGCAGGTATTATGCTAGATGCCCAGGGTTACAGACACAGAAAATCCAATTCCTATTCAAGTAGTATACTGTGTAGTGCAGGGAACATATAGATAATAAGAACCTGGGGTGATACTTCTATAATAGCAGTAAAAACAGATTCCTGTGAGTATGTATAACTTAGACTAAAGCATTAGGGAAGCTTCTTGGAAGAGGTGATGTCTGGAAAAGGGAGCAGAAAGGTATTCCAGGAAGACGGGACAACATGTGCAAAGGGTTCAAGATGTAAAAATAATATTGTGGGTAAAGGAAACTTTGAGGTTTTGTCTGACTGCTGAGGTGTGGGATGTATATAAGATGGTGGGGGACGGTAAGGGATGAGACTGGAGAGGTATGGACCAGCTTGGGAATGTCCTTTTTTAGTATGCTAAGAGTAGACAGGAGCAAAGGAAGTAATGACGAGTAAAGATAGGTGGGTTTGGCGGTAAACCTGGAGAGATGTCCCACATTTCCCCAGATTTTTCCTAGTGATTGTAAAGTCATCTGCCGAGGGTAGGTGAATGCAACAGTAAAATTGAGAATGGGAAATATTTGGAAAAGTTGTTATGAGAAGACAGGGAAGAGTAAAAGGATTGCTGGGCCATATTAAAATCGTAGTTGAGGCCAGTAATCCCAGCACTTTGGGAGGCCAAGGCAGGAAGATCACGTGAGGCCAGAAGTTCGAGACTAGCCTGGCCAACATAGTGAAACCCCGTCTCTACTAAAAAAATACAAAAAATTAGCTGGGTGTGGTGGTGCGTGCCTGTAATCTCAGCTATTCGGGAGGCTGAGGCATGAGAATTGCTTGAACCTGGGCAGTAGAGGTTGCAGTGAGCTGAGATTGCACTCCAGCTGCACTCCATCCTGGGCAACAGCACGAAACTCTGTCTCAAAAAATAAATAAATAAAATTTAAAGGCCAACCAAGGCTGTAATTATATATCAGTAATTAAACCAATCAGTACTTACCAGGATATTTGTTGACCACACTCATGAGAAAATGGATGGTTGGATTAATCCATGGTAGGGGATTGACTAGTTAAGAACAGAAGATTAGAGAGGACTGGAGAGTATTGTTGGTGAATGTCTCACCCATAGAACCAGCTTTCATAGGCTGCTGTGAAAGGTCAGTCTAAGAAGGACTGACATTTGGGAGCCACTGCGCTAGAGCCCATCTGCTTTAAGTTCTTAGTCCATTAGTTGTTCCTTGGAGCTCCAGCCTCCCTACATGAACTGCTTCCCCTAAGAAAAGGAAAATATCCGGCCAGGCGTGGTGGCTCATGCCTGTAATCTCAGCACTTTGGGAGGCCGAGGCTGGCGGATCACGAGGTCAGGAGATTGAGACCATCCTGGCTAACAGGGTGAAACCCCTTCTCTACTAAAAATACAAAAAAAATTAGCCGGGTATGGTGGCGGGCGCCTATAGTCCCAGCTACTCCAGAGGCTGAGGCAGGAGAAGTGTGAACCCGTGAGGCGGAGCTTGCAGTGAGCCGAGATCATGCCGCGCCACTGCACTCCAGCCTGGGCGACAGAGCGAGACTGTCTCAAAATATATATATATATCCAAGTTACATCTTACATCTTTCTTTTTAAGAAAATCTTTATATGTACCTCCTTCTGTCGAGTGTCCTTACTTTCAATGAACTTTTTTGAGATATAATTTATATACAGTAAAATGTACCTATTTTAAGTTTACAATTCAGCGGATGTTGACAAATGTACAACCCCCAGTATCTGTCACCCCAGTCATTATATTGATCCTCCCAAAAAGTTCTCTCATGTCCCTTTGTAGTCTCTTCCCCCACATTGATCTACTTTTTGTCACTATAGATTTGTTTTGTGTTCTAGAATTTCATATAAATGTTTTTGTTTGTTTTTTTAAGAGATGAGGTCTGGCTGTATTGCCTAGACTGGTCTTGAACTCATGAGCTCAAGTAGTCCTCCCACCCCAGCCTCTCGAGTAGCTGGGACTACAGGTGCACACACCATGCCTGGCTAATGTTTTTTAATTTTTTTAGAGATGGGGTCTTGCTGTGTTGCCCAGACTGGTCTTAAACTCCTGGCCTCAGGCAGTTCTCCTGCCTCAGCCTCCTGAGTAATTGGGACTATAGGTGATTATAGGGACTATACTTCTTTCACTTGGCATGATTTTGAGATTCACCTGTGTTGCATCAATTCTGTTACATTTCATTGCTGAGTGCTATCTCATCCATCCTATTTTTTCACCTTTATTGCCAAGTCTCCTCCAAACAGAACCTGTATTATCTCCACTGCTTCACCTCTCATTTACTCCTCAATCACTACTATTTGTTTCAGCTTTTATTATTTCCATGAGACTGCTCCTTGCTAAGATAACTCTTATTTGTCAGATTTCATGGTCACTCTTTGGAACTATCATTTGACTTTTTTGAAGGATTCACCTCAGATTTGACAGTTCTAAAATTAAAATCATTATCTTTCCTAAAAACCATTTCATCTTCCCATATTTCTAATCTTGGTTGATGACACCCCCAGGGTACTTGTCATTCACACGAGAAACCTGGAAGACTTTGACTTTCCTTCCCTTTTACTCAGTCATTTCTTTGCTCCCTTATAAATAACTCCCAAATCCATGTCCCTTCTCCATCCCTACTTCCAGTGCCGCCTTTTGTTCAGGTTCCCATTTTTCCCCTACCTTGTATATTTTCAGAGGCTTCCTAATTAATCTTGCCCTCCTCCATTTCAGTCCATTTTTTCCTCATTGTGCTACTATAGTGGATTTTCTAAGCTATATCTAATCTTAATGGTTCTCCACTTAAAAAATATTTTCTGGCTGGACATGTGGCTCACACCTGTAATCCCAGCACTTTGGTAAGCCAAGATGGGTGGATCACTTGAGGCCAGGAGTTCAAGACCAGCCAGGCCAATATGGTGAAACCCCTGTCTCTAATAAAAATACAAGAAATTAGCTAAGCACGGTGACATGTGCCTGTAATCCCAGGTACTTGGGAGGCTGAGGCATGAGAATTGCTTGAACCCAGGAGGCGGAGGTTGCAGTGAGCTGGAATCACGCCACTGCACTCCAGAGCGAGACTCTGTCTCAAAAAAAAAAAAAAAAAAAACCTTTTCTGACTTCTATTGTCTGTGAGATAAATTCCAAAATTCTTTTCATGGCATAATTCACTACTTCTTAAGTCATTTGTTTAATCTATTAGAGACTTTGCTAAGCATTTTACATGCAATTACATCTCTTAATCTTCACAACACTTCTATGAGATAGATATTCCTATTCCGAAAATCTTATTTTACAGAAGAGGAAACTGGCTTTGAGACGGTAGGGCCAACAGGTAAATGGTAGAGTCAGGATTTGAATCCAGGTCTGGTCTTAGGTCTTATACTTTTAACCACTTTAACGTACTGTCTCCCATGAGCTCTGACCCCCTACTCCCTCTCCTTTTCACGTCATATTCCATGTGCAAGCTGTGGTCTAGCCATACAGAATTACTTTCAGTTTTGCAAATATGTCGTGTTCTTTTGTGGTTCTGTGCATTTGCACATTGTTTGCCCTTCCTGTCTTTGACTGTCTGACCCATTCTTGCCATGCTTTAATACACAACTCAAAAGTTGCTTCTCCCTGAAGCCTTCCTGGGCTCCTCCAGATCACTCTTAAACATATTCTTAGTTCTATTACAACACTTACCTGACATTGAACACATTTGGCATCTAGCACTTAGTAAATAAAGACTTTCTTCATCTTTGGATCCTTAGTCACAAGTACATGTAACTAATACACAGGTGCTTAGTAATTAATTATTGGTGAAATAAATTGAAAGAAAATATCTGTTCTACCTGCCTCATAGAGATGTTTTTTGAAAGTGAGATAATAAATAGAAAAGTATCTTTCATATTATGCAAATACATTTATTATTATGCAAATGTAAGGGATTATTTTTACTTATCTAGTGATGAGCAACTTCCTGAAGGCAGTCCTTGGCTCAGACGCTATTATTAATAGTATTGATTTGCGTTCCAGTTCTTCTGTAGGACTGTTCCACTCAGAGTTTTCCCAGTTTCTGCTTTTTAGCCCCTGTAATGTTTTGAGAAGGCTAGCCTGAGTCATGAGTGAAATTCTTTAGGCCCTCACTCTTTAGATTATTGCTCTTATATTTCTCTGTCCTCATGTCATTGATCATCAAGTAAAGATATATCTTAAGAGAAGCAGTAGTAACATTTTTATTTATTTATTTATTTATTTATTTGAGACAGGATCTCACTTTGTTGCCTGGGCTAAGTGCAGTGGTGCGATCTCAGCTCACTGCAACCTCCACATCCCATGTTCGAGCAATTCTTGTGCCTCAGCTGGGCCTACAGGCGTGTGCCACCATGCCCGACTAATTATTGTATTTTTAGTAGAGACAGGGTTTTGCCATGTTCACCAGGCTGGTCTCGAACTCCTGACCTCAAGTGATCTGCCTGCCCCAGCCTCCCAAAGTGCCATAATTGAAGGAATTACAGGCTACCACGCCTGGCCAAGAGAAGCAGTAATAATATTTGTATGTTTAAATATCCTTGGAATGGAACTCATGGTCTACATGGTAAACTAATTGTTTACCTATATTTTGCAGATATATTTGGGACTTTTCTGACATTTCATGTAATTAGAGATATATCTTTTAGGAGAATCTAGAGGAGACTACAAGCTTTGAGAGGAGAACTTTTTTTTTAAGTCTGTTCCCAGATATCAGATGTCTTAAGACTTGCAGCAGTCTTTCTGAATTTTACTTATAGATGAGGCAGAGGATACTAAACATCATATAACTGGATTATGCTGATTCTCTCTAGCAACTTTCAAGTTACATTAAATATTAGTACTGAAAATTACTTTAAAATGCCCTACTATATTTAATTTTAAAAAATTATTATTAATTAATTTATTGTTTTAGACAGAGCCTCTTTCTGTCACCCAGGCTGGAGTGCAGTGGGATGATCACAACTCACTGCAGCCACAACCTCCCAGGGTTAAGCAATTCTCCCACCTCAGCCTCCTGAGTACGTGGGACACAGGCGTTTGCTACACCCCCTGCTAGTTTTTGGGGTTTTTTTTTTTTGGTAGACACGGGGTCTCCCTGTGTTGTCCAGGCTGGTTTTTGACTCTCGGGCTCAAGTGATCCTCCCGCCTCAGTCTCCCAAAGTGCTGGGGTTACAAGCATGAGCTACTGTTTCCAGCCATGTGTTTAATTTTAAAAATTGAAGAAAAAAGACACTATGAGGAAATGACATGTAAAACACAAATCTTTTGAGGCAAATGTGAAGTGGCACCTATTGCTCAGTATTGCCCAAAACTGTGGGACATGATCAACAGAGAGAATGGAAAACCTAGTCATGATAGTTAAATTTGAAATTAACCATCTTCTGACCCTAGTTTTTTATTGTTGTTGTTGCTTTTAAATGTAAATATAATCTGGATTTCCAGTTATTACTGATATCTTCAGCAGTCACAACTGGTTTCCTATGCCAGTGTTAATGAAATCTTTTCTTGGCCAGTTCTTTTAAAAAAACGTAACAGGCCAGGTGCAGTAGCTCACATCTGTAATCCTAGCACTTTGGGAAGCTGAGGTGGGCAGATCACCTGAGGTTGGGAGTTCGAGACCAGCCTGACCAACATGGAGAATCGCCGTCTCTACTAAAAATACAAAATTAGCCGGGTGTGGTGGCGCATGTCTGTAATCCCAGCTACTCGAGAGGCTGAGGCAGGAGAATCGCTTGAACCCGGGAGGCGGAGGTTGCGGTGAGCCTAGATCACGCCATTGCACTCCAGCCTGAACAACAAGAGCGAAACTCCATCTCAAAACAAAACCAAAAACAAACAAAAAAAACTTTTTTGTTAAGTTTTGCCACATAAACAATTTTAGAGAAAATACCTGACAATAGTTAATGATTATTTGTTGTAGGCAATAATGGTCTAAGCACTTTATATATATTAACATTTAATCCTCACAACTACTCTATGAATTAGCTATTCTTATTGTCCTCATTGTACAGATGAAGAAATAGAGGCACAGAGTGGCCAAGTAACCTCAAGTCACACACACAAGCTCAACTTTTAAGTATTTAAATATACTTCAAATATATTTCTAAAGGAGTCTTTAACAGAAAAAAGTACTGACTCCATGTACTTTGCTGCTGCTTTTGTGATCCCTGTTGAAGTGACTTCAAGAAGTGACAATGATGCCAGGCATTTGGTTAAGTATGATGTGGTGAGTTAACCTTAAAATAGAAAATTTGGTCAATAAGCATTTTTATTTTGGAGCCAGAGAGCTATTTTAGGGACCTGCTGCCTGGAAAGGATATCCTTGGGACAGCAGATCCCTTAGTTCCTAATGAATAGCTGCATCACCAACACAGCTTCTCCTGACCATGGTAGGGCCATCAGCAGGGTAACTCAGCCCAGCTTATTAACCCTTCTGTTTTCTTTCCAGCTAGCCACAGTGCAGCCTGGCCAGAATTTCCACATGTTCACAAAGGAAGAACTTGAAGAGGTTATCAAGGACATTTAAGGAATCCTGATCCTCAGAACTTCTCTGGGACAATTTCAGTTCTAATAATGTCCTTAAATTTTATTTCCAGCTCCTGTTCCTTGGAAAATCTCCATTGTATGTGCATTTTTTAAATGATGTCTGTACATAAAGGCAGTTCTGAAATAAAGAAAATTTTAAAATATTTGTTAATAGACTGTTCTCTTCTAATAGTCTTTTTTTTTTTTTTTTTTTTAAGAGATGAGGTCTCACTATATTGCCCAGGCTGGTTTCAAACTCCTGGGTTCAAGTGATCTTCCCGCCTCTGCCTCCTGAAGTGCTAGGATTATAGGCGAGAGCCACTGTGCCCAGCCATTGTAATACAGTCTTTTGTTTGAAATGCAAATGTTAGTGGGCCAAAAGGACAGTGTTATTAATATCCCTATTCTATGAAGATGTCTGTTCTAAAACTGTTTTAGTGATGCTCTATAACAGAATCAACTATATCCATTAATCCCATGGTGTTGATAAATGAACTAGTCCAGCTCTTCCCAGTGGTTAATAGATGTTAACAGCACTGTAAATCCATTTCGGCCCTATAATTTCTGGAGCAAACGTGTATTTTTGCTGCTTTTCTTATAAGGAGATGCTACTAATTGACTATCAGAAGAACATGTTTTGAGGTCCTCCTCAAAACATTGATGGGTTGGAATCAGCCATCAACAGTGTTGTACCAGTTCTTGGGTCTTGATAGACAATTTGGAAAGAGATTTCCTTGTTTACGAAGTGAAGGACTAAGAATTAAATTAATGACCTTGGCCTCACTGGCAATCAATTACAAATCTCTATATCAGTAAGAGAATTGTAAAATTCAGAAGCAGTTTACATTAGACTTTGGAATGAATGATGAACTTTCCCCATTAGAGCTGCCATCATATGATTGGTGGAGATTGTTTAAAGAATCATTCTATCTCAGCCTCAAAAATTACCACGGGAAGATGGTATCAGTATCACTACTTAACAGATGAAGAATCTAATGCTGTGTGCCCATGGACACACAAAATTAAGCTGTTGGGACTTGAACAGCTCAAATTTTCTTGTTTCAGATCACCAGCTCTTGAGTAATAGGGAAATCTGGAGATTTGAAAAGTACTTGCACTGTCCACAACATGGCTAATCCATATGTGGATGATGCAGAATTGATTTAATTCACTAACAGGGACCCCATAATTATTTGCTGGGCTCTGGGTATATTGATGTGTAGGAAGTTGTACTATATGTTAATAAATTATGACTATTTGGATAGGCTGAATTCATACTAAATCCATACTGTAGTTCAACAAAAAACAACATGTTTATATACATTTGGAAACTGCAATGATAGGAAACATTTGGAAGAAAGGGATTTTGCCCTAGAATAACACATAAGGAAAGCAGAGAATTAGAGTATATTGTTACTGAATGTTCCAGAGACTTCTAGTGATTTTAACACTTATTAAGTATAGCATGTTGATGGGGAGATTTGTTTCTCTAAAGATCACTTTGTTTTATTAAATCCTAATAGAAAATACCCTTGAAAATCCTATCTCATTTATTCCTGTAACAAATTTATTGAGCACCTACCTACTATATGCCAAGAAATGTATTAGCCATCAGGCAGAGAGCTGTTCAAATGGTAGATATGATCTGTGCTCCTGTGAAACTTCTAGTGGGGAGAGCCAAACAATAAACAATATTCCTTTTTAACTCTAGGTTAATGCAGAAATGGATAAAGCCCATGTTGCTTTTGGGAGAGGTGAGTTGTGTCTCTGAATCACATGCATTTCATAGGGGGAAAAATGCCCAAATACTAAGGAGTAGCTCTTAGCCTATGTCCGTTCGCCTCAGCTTAAGTTGTTTTCCCTCCCACTGGCTGGGCAGCATATTTGTGTTTTACCTGGTAAAACAGTAAATTTCGTACCTTCTATAATTGGCATTCTTCAAAGAGGTAGAACTTTGATTTTTTTGTAGAATATTAAAACAAGCTTTCTTAGGTTAAAGAAGTGATCTTACTACGAACAGCAATGGTTTCATGATGTGTAATTGCTTTATGTTATCTTTCTGCTATAGAATGTTTCCTGGAGAAAGGTACGGTTTTTAGTAATAAGATAAATTTACTTTAGTCCTGCAAATAAGGTGAAATCTTATGTCCAGTATCTCACAAAGGAGAACTGACAGTGCCACTTTTATATTTAATGTCAATCTCATTAGACAAAAATGAAATATAGTTCCTAGGGTTTCCAATTTAAAAAGTGAAATAATAAATATATTCACTCAAACATTTTCTCAGTGCCATATGCAAGTTACCATGTCCCAGAAGCTGATACAGTTTGAAGAAGGAAATATATAAGTACTGTAAGCCTGTGATAACTAAAAGCAACATACTAAAAAGTGAAGGTACAGATAATTGGAACAAATTTAATAGCGTTTAAAAGTGTATTTGGTAATTTCTCCAGGAGGTGGCACTGTTGAGTTGTTTTTTCTTTTCAGACAGTAAGACAATAGACCATTCATCTTTGTGTCACCCAAACAAAGAAATATTCCTTTATAACCCCCTTTCCTCCCCCCACCTAATCACATGCTACTGGAACTGACTGTCTTGTGATCTACTCCCATAGTTGGCATAGATTTAAAAATAATCTTTTTTAAATTAATCTGATAGTAGTTATGGAAAGGAACAAATTGTTCACCAATTTTCATCAGCTTTATCTTTTCAGTCCAGTAACTGAGAACTTAAAAAGACTATTCTAGTGATTTTACTATCCTGCTCAGATGGCATTCAAAAACATTTTTCACTTCTCACGTCTTGGAAAAATTTGTAAATTCGTTAAGTCTTTTTGTTTGAAAGTTAATGTGACTGGAAATATTTTAATGTAAATATCGGGTTGGGTGCATTGTATCATTTTGCTCTACAATGACTATATCCTCATTTGGGTTTATGGCCAGTTTATAATTAAAAGTAATCTTTACTTGCTTTGAGTGTAATGACTTGCATATTTTGTATCTTTCTATTTGCTACCTTTTCTACTGAACAATTTCTAGCTTTCTGAAGGGATGGAGTCAGTAAGCTTAAGGATTCAGAACTGGTTTTACCTGTGCTACGTGTTGTAGAAGTTGTGTGTGCAGCTTCTGCGGTAAAGGGAACAGCGTAGGGGTTTTATTTTATTCATTAGAGGTGGATCGGGGTGCTAATTTAGAGGACATCACATACTGGAACCAAACTTGTCCGAAGCTCTCACTGCAGAGTTAAGGCACTTTGGTAAAATAAATGTGCATCTAGGAAATGATCATGTGTACAGTAGGCATTGGATCATTCTCTTGCCCCTCTTTTACCTGCCCCTAATGCCTAAGCTACATTCGAAGTCCTGGAAAACCTGTAAGTAATTCCGCCTTTGGCCTACCTCCCCTCAGAAGAGGAAGGTGAGAGAGGCCAAACGTATGGAAAGACTATTCTTCAGGCTTGCAGGAGTCACGGATGTCCTGATGTCTGTCTCCGTAGGATGTGGCCCACATCAGTTCGCATTCACCTTCTTGCAGCAAGGCAGCTGCTTAGCAGACAATGGGCGCTCCAGTGAGCGGGGTTTATAAAAACCCGAAGCCCCGGTTCATGATGGAGCCCCCTTTTCCAGCTGAGCAAGCTCAGGGATTTCCTGGGTAGGTTTTTCCAGGCTCTGCCTCACCGAAGGAATTTTAGGAGTGTCTCTGGGGAACAGGAGGGACGTAACCCAGCCCCAACTTGAGGGCGCTAGAGGTGCGGCAAGGGGTCGCGACGCCAGGAGCCCGGGGCTCGGCGGGAAGGTATGAGAAGCTCCTACGTGAACTCCACAAGCCGGGCCCGGGAGACGCCGGGCGAGGCGGGGTTGACCTCAGCAGTCTCTGCCCCGTTCCAGCCAATCAGTCCCGCATCTTAGCATCCGAATCCAGGACCCCCGAAGCCGGAGGCGACGCGAGCCAATGAGGAGTGGGCCGGGGAAGAGGGACAGGCGGCCAGCCTATGGGGCGGAGAGGCCCGGCCGCGCGTATCCAAGGAGCGCCGCGCTCGGCTCGGGGGTGTGGCGCGCGCCGGCGGGGGTGGGCGGGCGCGCCGGGCGGCAGGTGTCGGCGTCGGCGGCATTCGGCGGCGATGGAGCGGCCCTGGGGAGCTGCGGACGGCCTCTCGCGCTGGCCCCATGGCCTCGGCCTCCTCCTCCTCCTGCAGCTGCTGCCGCCGTCGACCCTCAGCCAGGACCGGCTGGACGCGCCGCCGCCGCCCGCTGCGCCGCTGCCGCGCTGGTCTGGCCCCATCGGGGTGAGCTGGGGGCTGCGGGCGGCCGCAGCCGGGGGCGCGTTTCCCCGCGGCGGCCGTTGGCGTCGCAGCGCGCCGGGCGAGGACGAGGAGTGCGGCCGGGTCCGGGACTTCGTCGCCAAGCTGGCCAACAACACGCACCAGGTGAGCGGGCGCCGGGCCCGGGAGCCGCTCGGGTGCGAGGTGCCGCCCGCGTGCCCCTCCCGGCCCGTGCGCCCCGCGACTCCCGGAGGAGACCCCAGCCCTGCCGCGCCCGCGTCCCCCGGGCCGCAGCCCCGAAACTGCGGCGGGCGGGCGGGCGGAGTCGGGCCCGGGCGGCCGGCGGGGCTGTGTTTTGTCATAGGGGAGGCAATCTTAGACTTCCACCGCATTCTTTTTTTTTTTTTTAAGTTGTCAAAATCTCTTGAACATCGTTTTTCGTCTGTATAAATAATCAGGACCCAGTAACGCTGTTAGGCCCCAGGAAGGTGAAGGAGTAATTAACTCTTGAGCGCTTGCAGAAGTTGGGCTGCGCAGAAGCAAAGGTGTGTCCTCTCTGGGTCAGTACTTTCCGGGTGGGAGAGGCGGGAGTTCAGGAGGCCCGAAGCAGCGATCTGGTCACCGTGTTTTAATAGTTAAGGGGACTAGCTTGGAAATGAGATGGCAATATTTATGTGATCTCTTTTACTGCTTCAGATTTGACCTTCTGTCATGGTACGGAAGTCTGACTAGCATGTCTATATCCCGTGGTGACAAGATTTTCAATAGTTAAGAAACGCATTGCACATATTCTGCTTTGAGCCAGCTCTTGGTCAAAAGACTTTCAAAATTATGGGATTTCTGTCCCTGGGGACAAGCAGCTCAACCTTTGCACACTACTGGACTGACAAAACTAATTATTAAGAAAGTCCTGGTTCCTTGCTTCAGCACAACTTGGGCATCTTTCTCCTATTTCTCTAAAATTAACAATTTAATCCTTGCTAGCCACATTTGCATAATGTATTTTCAATTCTATATATTTTCTCCCTTGCCTGTTTTCCTCTTTCAAAGAAAATGAATTGCACTTGGGGGCAGAGATGGGTGGCCAAGGCTCTGTGCCAGCACTTGTCCTTCTGTAACCGTTTTTCAGCGTCAGCCAAGCCTCAGTCTCCCTTTGGACTGCCTGGTTATCTGGACCATACTTGTTACCTGTAATAGAATTCTCTGATCTGAGGACACAAGACACAAATATTCAGGAATAATTGTGCTTAGTGTATCCCGAGCAGCAGCTGTGTAAAGGTAGCCAAGCTAGTGCTGGAGGGTGAGACAGGTTGGGTAGAATGAGTACTGGGAAGTCTTCCTACTTGATGAGAAAAAAAAATCGAATAGACTTCCTTCTCACAGTGGGGGATTGAGAAAGGCTTTACAACACTAATGCTTAATTTATACTGGACCACTTCCTTCCTTGAGCTAGCTGGTCACAGCATTCTTGCTCCATATTTCAAATTCTTCTCTCGCTGGTTGACCTAACTTTAGGTCTGCTGCTACTCCTGGATTTAGATTTACTCCTGTTTTTCTTTTTCTCTTTTTTTGTGAGATAGAGTCTTACCTCAGCCTCCTGAGTAGCTGGGACTACAGGTGTGCACCACTATGCCTAGCTAATTTTTGTGTAATTACTATTTTTTTTTTGAGATAGGGTCTCACTCTGTTGCCCAGGCTGGAATGCAGTGGTGTGATCACAGCTCACTGCAGCCCTGACCTCCTGGGCTCAAGTGATCCTCTCACCTCAGCCTCCCAAGTAGCCGGGACTACTGGTACATGCACCCAGCTAATTGTTCTTTTCTTTCTTTCTTTCTTTTTTTAAGAAACAGGGTTTTGCCATGTTCCCCAGGCTGGTCTTGAACTCCTGGGCTCAAGTGCTCCACCCACCTTAGCCTGCCACAGTGCTGAGATTAGAGGCGTGAGCCACTATGCCCTGCCTGGATTTATTCCTTGAGTCAGAGTCTTCCTGGTTAGTTTGAATTGATGTGTCATTTGTAATATATTGATTCCAAAGAAAGAGGTTGAAAAAACTGGCTCAGGGGTTCTAAGGCCAAATCTGTGGAAGAGTAGACCTAAAACCACTCATTCTTTGAAGTCCACATGTAAAGAAATTTTCTTCTATTTCTTTCATTTAGCTGTTTGCAATAATTTTTTTTTAGTTTTTCTCTCCCAGTCTTTTTTTCAGTGACCTTATTTAAAATAGCTATTTTGGCTGGGCACGGTGGCTCATGCCTGTAATCTTATCAATGTGGGAGGCCAAGGCAGGTGGATCACTTGAGGTCAGAAGTTCAAGACTAGCCTGGCCAACATGGTGAAACCCTGTCTCTACTAAAAATACAAAAGTTAGCCAGACGCGGTGGCATGCGCCTGTAATTCCAGTTATTCTGGAGGCTGAGGCATGACGATCACTTGAACCCAGGAGGCAGAGGTTGCAGCGAGCCGAGATCGCACCGTTGTACTCCAGCCTGGGTGACAGAGTGAGACTCTATCTCAAAAAAAAAAAAAAAAAAAAAAAAAAAAAAGTTTTTGCGTTTGTTAGTCATCCGTGGTCTCTTCTTCAGAGATCTCATCCTTTCTGTATCTGGTTAAAAAAAAAAAAAGTGGAGCCTTTGTTTAATATCATTTACCTTAAAAATGGTTAAGTAGTACTTCTTAACCAAGAATTGTTATGTAGTAGCCTGTTCTTCTGTTTATTTATTTGGTTTTAGAAGTCATAAAAAATCCTGAACTGTATTGAAGAGATCTAGTATTTTTGGACCGTTTATAAAACAGTGTGAAATAAAAGCATCAGCATGACAGAACAACTTTTTATCAGAGATATTGTACTTTGTACAACTGGGGAAGGAAGGTACATGTAGAATCATTTTTCCTACATAACATGACAGGATTCGAGTCCCAAGAAAAAGCAAAAGTTCATGGTTCTCTTATTTCTTTTAACTTGGTCCTGTTTCATTTCAAGCCACATTAATTCACATCATCAATGTATGTGAATGCCCTCCAAATGCCTAGATCTGTGCTAGATGCTGGGGTGCCAAGATACAAAGAAAAGATCATTCAGACTGGAGAATGAAAAGCCTCAGAAGGTTATAGCAAACTACTAGACCTGTGTCTGTGGCTTATGAGGATATATTAGCATTTAACCTGTCTTCTCAAGAAAGCACGGTAAAGCTAAAGCATAATAGTGCGTTTATATTACGGTTTAAGGAGACCGGTGTCCTGATGACCACTCAGGCTTCTCTGTCCATGAAATCCAGCAGGTTTTTCTCTTTGCCCAAGCCTCCCTTTTTCTCTCTAAGGTTTTTTTTCTCATATCATTTCTTTTCAATCTATTAATTTAAAATATATTTAAAGTGCATTGGGTTTATTACACACAGCATATATTTTTTCACATAGAAGTCCTAATGATTAAGTGCTTTATTTTAGGAGTTGAGGCAGGAGAGGAAAACATTTTCCTTTCTAGTTACAGTATTACAAGTTAGCTATAATAGACTCATGGGAAAGTGGAAATAAAAAATACTGGCTATTACTAAAAAAACAAACAAAAGGGATGACAAGAAAACGAAGGAGAAAGATAAATAGTTATAACTTTCCAAAAATTATGCTCCCTAATTTTGTTCTAAGGGTTTGACTTACCATGGTAAGGTGGTATAGCACTGCCTTATCTGGACTGCCTGCATTTGAACCCTGGCCATGTCACTGTGTGATCCTGGGTGAGTTACTTAAGTTTTCTGTGTCTCAGTTCCTAATCTGTAAAGTGAAGATAAGAGCACTTAATTTGTAGGGTGGTTGTGAGAATTAAATGAGTGTGTGTTAAATTATATATACATAATATATACGTATATGTATATTATTGTATAAATATATATTTGTATTACATAATATATGCATATGTAATATTGTATTTGTAATGAGTTATAGTATGTATTACAACATATCACATTGTGTTGTATAATCTATACATATGTAATAACTCATTAGAAGAATGTCTGGCACATAATTAGCACTCAGCAATTAGCTATCATTTATAAATGCTCTCTTCTTAGACTCAATAATCTTCCTTTTGCCTGGAACTCAAAACTGTTTTCATGCCACATTTTTAACTGATTCTTTCCTTCAGCTGCTTGGAGTATTCATGACATGTATAACCTTTGTACATGCGTGAAATTGAGCAGGCCTAGAAGACTTTATTGTTGGTTACTAAGTTGGATTGCTTCAAAACATTTCTGCTGTAAGCACCCCTTTGAGGGTAGGCATGAAACTGTCTTAAAGGAACAGATGAAATGCCTTGGCCAGAGTTGTGGTGGTGGCTGACATAATTTCCTTACTTCTCATTCCTGTGTACAGACCATTTGACAATTTCCTTAAAACTTTTTAAACTTATGATGAATAAAGCCAGGAACTCTTGCTTATTTTCTGTCCTCCCTCTGCTCCTGTCACTAACTACTTCTGTAAACATAACTTCCCAACTTCTACTCCAACTTTAAAGCATCTGGTTCCTTAAATAAACAGGCCCTGTAGAGAGGCCGTGTTGTATGGGGTGTCAGCTCTGGGAAGAATGCGTGTGTTTGTTTGCTGGCTCTGGCAGGGTTGAGTCCAAGCTGACAGGACTGAGTGTGCCTGTCAGAGGCTTCAGGGAGCTGCCGCTGAAGACCTCGGCCTGTTGTTGTGAATCGCCAGACCTTTGTAACACCCGGAAGTCTGAAGGTCAGTCCTTTAATGCCCCGGAACTTCCTAACTGCCTCATTTCTTCCAATACTTGGCCTCTCTTCATCCTACCTTCCCTAGCACCCCCAGCCGTCTAGCTTATTTAATAGTCTCTTGAGTTCTGTTTCTTCCATTCAGCTTTGGATCAAGGAGTAGGAACTCTGTAGGATCTCCTTCTTGGTCCTGGTTGAGCAGAGTGAGCGAAACCTTCATGAAGAGTCTTCTCTCATGCAATGTATAGTCAGACCTTTAGCCCCTAGAGGGATGTTAAAATGACTTATGCATTGGATATTTCAGTAAGAAGTATCAGCAGATTTGATGAAGTGTAATTTATCTGGGGAAAGGTTAGTCTTCATCTGAAGTTTGGTTGGGATGAGAGTAGAAAGCTAGCCAGGTATGACAGATGGCTCCAAGGGAATGCAGTGTTAACAATTAGGTAAGTTCTCTGCTGACTCAAATGTTTGGCTCTGTGCACAGTGATTTTTAATTAGAAATCTGAGTCTCATGTCTGCTTGTGGAAATAATTGGAAGAAGGCTTATGTTCTGTTCAATTTCTAATGGCTATTTTCTTTTTGTGATTATTAACAACAATAATAGGCTTTCTATCCTGCTGTTTTGATCAGATCTTTCATGTCAGGGTCACAGATACTATTAGCAGTTTCTTCTGCACTCTGCCAGTTTCCAGTCAACTCTCGTCAACAGGCATTGGGTTCTCAGTGGGTGACTGCAGAGTCTGCGTTCCCCAACTTTGTCCCAGTTGGCCTGTTACCCTTGTGTGACCATCACATGCTGGGCAGTGCTTAGCACCAAGTTGTAATGGTCAGGACGGGGGAGTAACGTTTGTTCTTCTCCCTCCTTCCTACCTAATCCTACCCCTCAATTTTTTTTACAGAAAGTGAACTATGTTTTGAGGCTGCAGAAATGAGGCTCAGATATTTTATATAATTAGGAGCTAATATTAAGGCAGACAAAGCCATCACATTTGACATGTAATTTAAAATACAGCTTTTCTAGAAACAACAAAACTGTGGCAATGGCTCTGACAATATTATGAACTAGATACTGCATTTGTAGATTTCTACAAGTTTCAGTTCCCTTTCTCTCCTTTTGTCATCAGTGTTTTTATTGCATCTTTTACTTCTATTTTTAAAAACTTGGTGAAAACTTGTTCTTCCCACTATGTGGTCTCAGTGATTTGTATGCAGGTGGATTTGAGGATTAATGGGGCTTGAAGAACAAGCTGATCAATTTCAGTCAGTTCTAGGCAGCTTTTTTGTTCTTGTTTCAATGGTGACTGCAGTCAAAGTTGGGTTAGTAATATGTTGCTTTGAGATAGTTTGGTTGAATGAATGTTCATGACAGATTCCTCATACCTATGAAAATTTTTAGGTGAAAGATGGAGGCTGTTTTTCCTTCTCTATCCCCAATCTCAATCTCAGGAAACCACAGTAAAAACAAAATCCTTCCACTCAGAACCTGTCGTGTTTTGCCGAGGAAGTTTTCTGTGAATGTAACTTATTTTCTGTTTTGTGTTTTAGTCTCTGGCCCTCGATTCCTCATCTACAGCACAAGAAGTTTTGGACTAGCTTTAAAATTTCTTTCAAAAATTCTATGATTCATATGGGAGAGGCCAGAGGTTGTGATCACAAATGTTTTCCTGGCTGATTCCAAATTTAGAAGCAAACTGTGGCTGTTTGACTTCCCAGTCAAACTTGAACATAGCATGGATTTCACATTTAGGGGTGTTTTACTACCACCTCCAGAACTTGCTTCAGTGAAATATGCATGTTCTTAAAGATAGCAGGAGTACTTTTTTTCATGTAGTTATGAAAGACATTTTTCTCTTTTATTTTGGGGGTAATATTTTACCGTTTGTTCCTTGTTGGCTGAAAAATCTAATGCTAATAAAAGCTACTAGCTTGAATAGTCCAAAAGCAAACCCAACAGATAGCAGTAAATTCATTTTTCTTTTTCCCTTTCCTATAGTACTCTGCCAAAACTGGGGCTTTTTTTCTTCATCCTGGCTGCCTGTGTGTTTGAAAATAGATGGTCAGCTTACCATAAATATATTCACATGTAGAAACTTATATGTGATTAATTGGCTTGATTTATTTTTATCAGAAGAAAACGTATGTATGTTCCTTCTCTGGCTTATGAATACTATCCGTCTTATGTTTGCTTTGGATAAGCATTTTAGTCTTCCTGTATGTCCTAAAACGCGCGCGCGCACACACACACACACACACACACACACATACACACACACACACACACTTTCTAATATTGTACTGAAGCCAGTTTGCAAGTCTGGTTCCACAGTACAATTGCTCTGAAGGACCAGGAGAAATTGAACTGGGAAGGAAAATTTGTATTAACTTCAATAATTCCCAGACAAGTTAGTTCAAATCATTTTTATCTAGTATTTGCTATTTGTCACAAAGGATTCAAAACATAAATATGTTGTATACAAAATCTCAAAGAGATGTCTCAATACCCAGATTTGGGTCCTGGCTCTGCTGCTTCATAGCTGTGTGATTATGGAAAATCACTTAACTTCAGTGGTCTTTACAGTTGTTTTTTAAACTAGAGCAGCAGCTCTTAGGATTGTTTGGAGGGTCAAATGAGAAGTTTTATCAACGTGTTTTGTTAAAGGTAAAGTACTATATAGATGTCATTCATTTAGACACTTACTGAGCTGCCTGCCATGTACTGAGTGGAGTCCAGACCTGTGCATAAACAAAGCAAAGCACTGGGGCTATCTTAAGGATTTAGGTGTTCAGAGATGTTTCACTGGGAGTTTGGAAGAAGGCTTGACCACTGCAGTGCAGTGTTCTGGGAAAGCCCTCTGGCTGAAGAGAGAATCAAAGTGGAGGTGATTTTTAGGGAGATCTGTAACGGCACGAAGGAAGTAGGAAAATCCAAGATATGTTCAAGGGATGGTCAACAGAAACTTTATTTTAGGGTGAGGTAGTTGATGGGGAGTATGACTAAGGTTTCCAGGAAAACATATAGGGAAGTTAAAAAAAAGATAGCTCTTTTGTGGGGGATGGAAAGAGAGGAGGGGCGTGGGTAGTGAGTTTGGCAAAAGGACTTACTTGTGAAAGAGAGAGTTTTAACAGATAGTGCTAGACATGAGGCTAGAGCTGGAGGAACCAGAGGTAGAAATGGGGAGCCAAGAAGAGTTCCCCTTTCAGAGGCCGGCCATTGCTTTGGTCTTGGATGTGAAGGTCCCAGAGGAAAGCAGAACAGAAGGTGAGGCAGACCATCCTTTATACTTGAAGTGCTAACGTTTCCAAAAAGCACTCCTAAACTTCTGGACCTGGTTGAAGAAGAATGTGAGCCAAGGCATGAGGAAGCCAGGAGCTGTAAGACAGTGATGCCTATGAACAGATTTTTCTGAACATTTGTGAACAAGGATAAGGTTGAACTCTTGCTGATAATGTGCTTAATGGTTTGAATCATGGATTATTGGGCCGATTAGCTGGTCAGAGCCCTTTTGCTGATGCGGCTGGCTGACTTGCTTACTGGCCAAGAGCTGGGAGTAGAACACAGATGTCCCAACATGGTGCTGCATTTGGAAGTGTTTCATAGGAGTGTTGAAATCAATGCATTTGCTTTAGGGATAAGGCAAAGTTATGAGATCCCAGTTATAAGTAATATAGTTGTGAATTCTACTCTTTTTCTCAAGGTCATAGTACCCTCAACAGAGCTCAACTAGCCTTTCTAGGCCTCAGTTTCCCGTCACATAAAATGGAGGATTATCATGAAGTTTTGAAGGGAAGATATATGTGAAAATATTTTGAAACCTTGAAGTACCGTATGAGTATGATTTGTATAATTCCTTAATAAACCTGCTGATGTGTCACAGCCCCCACAGGGCCTGCTTGTCAGCCAGGTGATCCTGATAGATACAGCCCTTGAGCCAAACCCTGAGGAGCATGTGTATTAAAGCAGACGGATGAGGCATAAATGCGTTTGGTTTATCACTTGGCAGAGTTGGATGACAGGCTTGGGTGGGGGTGGCAAGAATTAAAGTGAGTCAAGATTGGCAGAAATGTAAGACGTGTATGTAGTGGTTTTCTTCTTTTTTTAAGCCTTTGTGATTATGTCAAACTTTTGTTAATATAATTGATGATGGTTTGAGGCAGTAGTTTGGGGGAACAGGATCTCAGGTATTAGATCTGGATTCAAACTTCAGTGGTGACCATGGACAAATTAACCTCTCTGAACCTTAGATTTTTCATCTATGAAATGGGAGTACTAATACTACCTCTTAGGGTCATTGTGAAGATAGTACAGGATTTAGTGTATATTCTTTTGTTGAGGATTTCTTGTAATGATTTTCATTACAAAGCTTCTGACACATTACCAGTTAGATGCTTAAATATTTGTACATGTGCTTAATTTTTTTCATATCTCTAATATTTCTAGAGAATTATTATAGGTACTCACAAGAACTGCATCTGGATTAAGACATATTAGCCCTGGCTAAGCAGGGTGACTCACACCTATAATCCCAAGATTTTTGGAGTCTGAGGCAAGAGAATCACTTGAGCCCATGAGTTTGAAACCAGCCTGGGCAACATAGTGAGACCCCATCTGTATAAAAAAATTTTTTTAATTAGCCTGGTATGGTAGCATATGCCGGTAGCCCTAGCCACACAAGAGTCTGAGGTGAGGGGATCACTTGAGCCCAGGAGTTTTGAGGCTGTCGTGAGCTATGATTGCGCCGCTGCATTCCAGTCTGGGCAACAGAGCGAGATACTGTCTTCCAAAAATACAAAAAAATTTATTAGGGGTAGGTAGTGGTGCACATCTAGAGTTCCAGCTATTTGGAAGGCTGAGGCAGGAGGATAGCTTGAGCCCAGGAGTTCAAAGCTATAGGACACTGTGATCGCATCTGTGAATAACCACTGTACGCCAGCCTGGGCAACATAGTGAGGTCCCATATCTAAAAGGAAAAAAAAATGTACTACTTGTATCACTGGACTCAGGATGAAAAAAGAGGAGGGTGGGAGATAGGTTTAGGCAGAGATCATCTATTCAAAATGCCTTTCTTTCTTTTTCTTTTTTTTTTGAGACAGGGTCTCGCTCTGTTGCCCAGGCTGGAGTGCAGTGGCACTATCTCGGCTCACTGCAACCTCCGCCTCTGGGGCTCAAGCAGTTCTCTGCCTCAGCCCCCCAAGTAGCTGGGATTACAGGTGCCCGCCACCACACCCGGCTAATTTTTGTATTTTTAGTAGAGATGGGGTTTCACCATCTTGGCCAGGCTGGTCTTAAACTCCTGACCTCGTGATCCACCCACCTCGGCCCCAAAGTGTTGGGATTGCAGGCGTGAGCCACCGCGCCCAGCCCAAAATGCCTTTCTTGAAGCTATGGGAGATAGAGAAGAAAATAATCAGATTAATAATCAGAAAACAGTAATCAGATACCTGGTCATCTGGTTATAATAGCTTCAAGCATATATGGTTAAATAGTTTTTGTTTTGTTTTAAAACAAAATTTTAAATTTTAAACAAAATTTAAAAATTTAAGAGACATGGTCTTTACTGTGTCACCCAGACTGGAGTGCAGGGGTGTAATCATGGTTTGTTGTAACCTTGAATTCCTGGGCTCAAGTGATCCTCCTGCCTCAGCCTCTGCAGTAGCTAGGACTACAGGCACATATCCCTGTGCCTGGCTAGTAAATAGGTTGAAATAACTTAAAGTTATTTATTTTTATTTATTTATTTTTTGAGACTGAGTCTCACTGTTGTCCTGGCTGGATGGAGTACAGTGGCATGATTTCAGCTCACTGCAACCTCTGCCTCCTGGGTTCAAGTGATCCTCCTGCCTCAGCCTCCAAAGTAGCTGGGACTGCAGATGTGCACCACCACACCTGGCTAATTTTTGTATTTTTAGTAGAGATGGGGTTTCACCATGTTGGCCAGGCTGGTCTTGAACTCCTGACCTCAGGTGATCTGCCTGCCTCAGCCTCCCAAAGTGCTGGGATTACAGGCATGAGCCACTGCACCTGACCAAATTATTTTTTAAAGACTATAATTTAATAACAATTTTTCTTCCCCTTCATTAAGCTTTAATTTGTTAAGAGTTAATGGCTCTGGTTTAAGTTGATAGCTCTGAAATAGCACCTTGCATATTTCACCCCTTTCTTTAACTGAGCAGCTGCTGTTAGCTTTGCACTCTACTGATCTCTGTGAAGTTTCAAGAAATATTAGTGAAATGTGATAGGTACTTCTTAGGAACTTTGCTTGAAAGAATAGCGGACCAGAATGTTGATGGAATTATTTTTTATTATGTGCATATTGCTTTTTTAAACTTTTAACAATTATTTAAAAATAGAGATGAGGTCTTACTATGCTGCCTAGGCTGGTCTGGGATTCCTGGGCTCAAGTGATCCTTCCGCCTGGGCCTCCCAAAGTGCTAGGAGTATAGGTGTGAGCCACCACACCTGGCCTATGTGCATATTTATTTAACCTACTATTTCACCACTTCCTGGCCTATATTAACCCTCTGTTCCAGTTAAAGTGATCTTCTAACCAGTCCCTTCAGCTCCCCATATGGTCTGTTGCTTCTCCATCTTTGTTTTCATGGGTTTCTTCCTGTCTGAATGCCCTTCTAGCCCTTGTTAGTTTTTCCTGTTCTCTTCTATAATTTTGGACTGTGCCATGTAATACAACACTTCTGTCTTGTGTTCAGTTTCATTTATAGAAGTTTTACTCCCTAAATGATAAACTCCTTAAAGGTAGGGCCCAGCTTGTACTATGAGTCCTTCATCACTTTTGCCTCCCACAATGCTGAAGAAAGAGTAGTCATGAAATGTGTAGTCTGGAGTCAGACAGACATGAGATTGAAACCTTGCTCTGCCACTTACCAACTTTTTGACTTTGAGCAAATTACTTAACGCCTCTGAGCCTGCTGCTTTCTTTATAAATTAACAGTGAGTACCTTAATATATAATACTAATATAATAAGTGCTTAGTAAAGGTTAAATATTATTGTTTTTCTTTAATTCAGCAGTTGTTTGTCGAGCACCTATACACATGAGGCACTTATCAGGTCCTGGGAACTGGTGTAGAACACCAGACCTCTGCCTTGATGGAACTTTATGGACCAATAGAGAAAATGGCACTAAATGATATATAATTATAAATGTAGTAATTACCAAGAAGAAAAATAGTAACCACAGGAATAATTGACAGGTCTTTTTTAGTCTGGGGCATTAGGAAAGATTCACTGAGAAATTATTTAAACTGATACTTGAATAGAATTTTGCCAGGAAGAGTATCTCAGGCAGAGAGAACAACATGTTCATAAGGCCTGGGTCTAGAAAGAGCTTGGCATACTCCAGGATCTGGAAGAAGGCCAGTGTGGTTGTAGCAGAGGGAATGGGGGAAGGGGTTAGCGCCCACACCCAAGGGAGAAGCAGCAAGCCTTTATGGTTCTCTCGGCTCAGTCAGCTGGCAACTGGAGCATATCTCTCTGTCACTTTCTTTTCTTTAAAATGAACTAAGATATAACAATTAAATGCAAAAATTATGAAATGTAGCTATTTATTGAGAAATGAATTGTTTCATGGAAGTGACTTTCAAAAACTAAGCCTACCCTTTTATAAGTGCCAAAGGTTTTTTGTTTGCTTGCTTTTTTAATGGAAATCTTTCTAATATACTTCTCTGCCTTCTTGGTCAACAGTATGAGCCTAGGTCACTAAGAAGAGAATAAATTATGCTATACCAGGACTGCTGTGGTTTGAATGTGCCTCCCCAAATTCATGTTTTAGGAACTTAATCGTCAATGTAACAGTATTAAGTGGTGGGTCTTTAAGAGGTATTATATCATGAGGGCACCAACTCATGAATGGATTAAGGCCTTTATCCCAGGAGTGGGTTAATTATAATAGGGAGAGAGTTTGGTCCTATTTCTTTTCTTTTTGTTGTTGTTGTTGTTGTTGAGACAGAGTCTCACTCTATTGTCCAGGCTGGAGTGCAGTGTTGTGATCTCAGCTCACTGCAACCTCCGCCTCCCAGGTTCAAGGGATTCTCGTGCCTCTGCCTCCCAAGTAGCTGGGATTACAGGTGTACGCCACCACACCTGGCTAATTTTTGCATTTTTAGTAGAGATGGGGTTTCACCATGTTGCCCAGGCTGGTTTCAAACTCCTGACCTCAAGTGATCCACCTGCCTTGGCCTCCCAAGTGCTGCAATTACAGGCGTGAGCTACCATGCCTGGCCTGGTCCTATTTCTTTTCTGTGTCTCCTGTGCTTGCTTCCACTTTCTGCCATGGGATGATCCTCTGCAGATGCCTATGCCATACTCTTGGACTTCACAGCCTCCAGAACTGTGAGCTACATAAACGTCTTTTCTTTATAAATTGCCCTGTCTTGGATATTCTCTTATAGCAACTGAAAATGGACTAAGACAATGACTCACAGTATTTTAATGTGGTATGACATTTAATACCCACAGGAGCTATTGAGATATGTGGGGCTATCTTCTCCCATTTCAGATGTCCTGGATTATAAACTTAATGCCATTGTCTGCCTGTTTGCTTCTTTGCTGCAGAAATGATATTCCCTTTGTAATTCCTCTTGTAATATCCTCTTCCTCTTGCTGTTGTCCCTGTCTGTCTCTACATATATCACCCTCAAATTTGATTTGCTTCCTCTCTATGCTGAGAAAGCAGATTTCTAATATTAGACAATTCTAACCGGTTTAATAAATTGAATTAGAGTGATGGTCTGCAAATTTCTCTTAGAAGTCAAATGCACAGATTTTTAATGCATGATAGTGACATCAGAGGTCTCCTTGCTTCTTTTCGGTGAGTATCCGGGTTGCTGAGGCATCTGAATCATGGAGGTTGCTGTTGCCCCTCTCCTTTGAACACTGGCTTATTGTGGAGCAGGGAGCTGATCTCGAAAACAACAAAAACCCAGATACATAGCAGTTGAAAAGCAAACTGAGTGGCTAAATTATTGATGAGTCATAGAATTTTAAAGCTTAGAGAGACTGGAAAGATTGTCATTCTAGCCCCCGCACTTCGGTAATGATGTCAGGTTGTGCTGCCCAATTTCACGCAGCGTTTTGTAGAGCTGGAAATAAAATTTGGGTTGACTGATTATTAGCCTGGTACTCTCCTCTGTATCATGCTCCCTCAGAAAACTCTGAATAATTAAATAGATTTGGAAACTTGTACATTATTTTGTAGTTAATTTTTTCATTTCCAAGAATAGACTTCATGAGAACTGGGACATTTGTGATCTTATTTCTGGCTCATGTTTTATGATTCTAGCAGTGCCTAATTTAACAGAACTATATTCTGTTAGGATTTTCTTCCTGCCTGCAAAAGCATCACTCAGGTTGTGTTCTAGGCCTCACTGGAGTTTGGAAGCCTAATCCTAGATGGGCAGTCTGTATGGGATCACCGATGCCTTGCCTTTGTAATTCTCAGTTTTACCCCTGAGGAAATGGATTCCCAACAGATAAGATGATTTGTGCTTACCTTCCCAACCAGTTAGTTACTGAGCTAGGCTTAACGTTCTTTTGTAGTTTTATTTTCATTGTGACAGGCTGACTTCTGTAGATTAAAAGTCTAGTATGTTTAGCCTTTATTTTTAGATTTCTGTACATAAGATGCCTGTTGATAGGTTATAATCTTCAGTAGCTCAGAGCATGTATTATCACAGCACATGGTAGGCATGCAGACATATTTGTTGAAAGAGGGCAGGTATGTGAAGAATGCCATCATTGAATTCACTTCCTTCTTTGCTTGTCAAAAAGGCTGCTCCTGATGGGGTCAGGCCATCAGCAAGTGGCTTTTAAGCTGGGCCTTGCCTTGGGAAAACTGACCCACATGCAATAGTGCAGGTGTTAGTTTTTTCAGTGTTTTATTTTTGATCATGTGTGTAACTAAACATGTAAGTTTCTCATGACTGGATTTTTTTCCAACCTACAGTGACTCTTGGGACCAACTTTAAATTTTCCAAGCTTATAGTAACAGTAATTTAATTTGGTTTCTAGTTTAATTAGATGGGAAGATGGTTGTTTCCATGAAGAATCTTGTGAACAGAACCTAGGGGGTATTCAGACGATCGTAGAAATGAACATTGTGCTAATTCATGAACTCTAAAGTATGGGGGCCCCCTGCTTTAAGATGGTAGGCAATAAATGCTTGGATGAGTCTTATATCATCCGTTTTCAAGGTGGATGCATTTTAGAGAAGGTAGTACAAGCTGTCCCCTGCTTTCTAACATAATGAATTCCTGAAAACCTATTTGACAGTCAGATGGCAACTATAAATGCCAGCCAGTTACTTCTGCTTCCCAGAGCTCCCCTACCGAGGGCAGTAGATGGCTGTTGGTACCATCTGGGACACCAGAAATCACTGTTCAATAGGTAATGGACAAAAGGCTCTGAATGTGACTCTGAAAAGGAAGTTTAGTGTTATCAGTCATTAATGATATTAGGAGGTCTACCTTACATCAAGACCACCTATGTTCCTGTGCCTCAGTGTAGCAGGGGCTCTTTGACCTATCCTGTAACCTTCTGGTATATCTGTTAACTAGTGTAATATAAATAAGAATAAACTAACATGCGTCCAGGCGTGGTGGTTCACACCTGTAATCCCAGCACTTTGGGAGGCTGAGGCAGACAGATCACTTGAGGTCAGGAGTTTGAAACCATCCTGGCCAACATGGTAAAACCCCATCTCTACTAAAAATACAAAAATTAGCCAGGCATGGTGGCATGCACCTGTAATCTTAGCTACTGGGAAGGCTGAGGCATGAGACTTGCTTGAACCCAGAAGGTGGAGGTTGCAGTGAGCTGAGATCATGCCATTGCACTCCAGCCTGGGCAACAGAGTGAGACTTTGTCCCAAAAAAGAATAAATAGATAAACTGATATGGTCTATGTGTACTTTTTATATCACCCTTTCCTTTATACTTTTTCTTTCCTTCCTTTTTTTTTTAAGTAAAAATAGCTTACTTATATAGTTTTATTTTTAAAATGATTTCTGCCAATTGGAGGTGGGATGAGAGTAATTTATGCACTCTAGAAAAACTATAAAGAAGAGTGCACCCCTATCAATTCTATAATACCACTTAAAGACAGTTGCTATTGATATTTTAAAGGGTATCCTTCCAGATACCTTTTTTTTTTCTTTTTTAAGGGACAATCTTGCTCTGTCATCCAGACTAGAGTGCAGTGGCACAATCATGGCTGACTGTAGCCTTGACCTCCTGGGCTCAAACAGTGTATCTGGGACGACAGGTGCTTGCCACCATGCCTGGCTAGTTTTTATTGTTGTTGTTATTGTTGGTTTTTTGGAGGCAAAGTCTCACTATGTTTCCCAGGCTGGTCTCAAACTCCTGAGCTTAAGCAATTGTTCTGCCTCATCCTCCCAAAGTACTAGGATTATAGGTGTGAGCCACTGTGCCCGGCCCCTGATAACATTGTAACCATAAATATGCACATATGATGTCACATGCTGTTTTGTAGCCTGCTTTTTACTAATATGCTCTGAGTATCTTTCAATGTCAGTAAATACCTGAAACATTTTAGTTTTGGGTTTTTTAAGATTTTTTTAAACGTTTCTTCTTTTTTTCCTTGTTCTTGAAACATTTTTAATAGCACCTGATATATTGTTGTATGGCATAACATAATTTACTTAACAAATCTCCAGTTCTTCATTTATAATATACAGGTATAGTAATATCTCATGGGGTTATGTGGATTAAATAATAATGTGTGTAAGATACCTAACACAGAAGATGACATGTGGGGAATGTTCAATAGTTGTTAGCTGCAGTAATCACCCCAACATATGACATCTTTTATAAAGGTATGTGATTATCCCCTTATGACAAATTCCTAAGAATAGGATTTGCTCAGGCACATGATACGGACGTTCTCAGTTTTTATTTGCATCACCAAATAGCTCTCCAGAAAAGTTGCAGCAATTTATGTACTCCCACCCACCGTAGAAGAAGGTGCTCTGGTCCCTATGCCCTCACTGGATACATTTTGTCAAGTCTTTTAATCTTTGCCAGTCTGAAAGGCAAAAATGTCATATTTTTCTTTTTCTTTCTTG
Organism: Homo sapiens; assembly: GCF_000001405.40. Classification (NCBI taxonomy): domain Eukaryota; kingdom Metazoa; phylum Chordata; class Mammalia; order Primates; family Hominidae; genus Homo; species Homo sapiens. Next base: position 109,380,939 of record NC_000001.11, on the reverse strand, counting down.
GCTCACTACAACCTCTACTTCCTGGGCTCAAACCACCCTCCCATCTCAGCCTCCTGAGTAGCTGGGACTACAGGTGCACACCACCATACCCGGCTAATTTTTTTTTTTTTTTTTTTTTTTTTTTTTGTGGCGACAGGGTTTTGCCATGTTGCCCAGGCTGGTCTCAAACTCCCAGGCTCAAGTGATCCTCCCGCCTTGGCCTCCCAAAGCCTGGGATTACAGGTGTGAGCCACTGCACCGGCCTGTTCTTTTTGTTTTAGAGATTAAATAGCTTTTCAAATGTTTATTGGCCATTTCTTTGTCCTTCTATGAATTGGGTGCTCATGTTCTTTCCCTATTTTCCGAAAACCTGTTTGAGGTTTTGGCCTGTTTCCTACTGATTTGAAAACCCTTTCTATATTAATATTTTGTCATGTTACAAATAATTTTATATTAATTGAAACCCTTTCTATATTAATACTTTGTCATGTTACAAATATTTTTTTCCAGTTTTTTTCAGCTTTCTCTTTGGTGTTTTGCAATTTAAACTTTTTACATAGTCAGAGTAAATCCTTAAGTATGAGTTCTGATTTTTGTACCATTTTTGTAAAGGTCTTCCCATTCCAAGGTTATAAAAATATTCGCTTATACTTCTAGTATCATTTTTTGACACAGGGTCCCACTCTGTCACCCAGGCTGGAGTACAGTGGTGCCATCACAGATCACTACAGCCTCGAACTCCCAGGCTCAAGCAATCCTCCCACCTCAACCTCCTGAGTCGCTGGGACCACAAACTCATGCTATGCCACCACACCTGGCTATTGTTTTTTTGTTTGTTTTCTTTTTTGGTAGAGACAGGGTCTCACTATGTTGCCCAGGCTGGTCTCAAACTCCTGGGCTCAAGCAGTCCACCCACCTGGGCCTCCCAAAATGCTAGGATTACAGGGGTGAGCCACTGTGCCTGGCCATTTCTAGTATTTTTATAATTTAATTTTTTTACATTTAAATCTTCGCCCTATATGGAATTTATTTAGGCATTTTAAGAAGGGAGTTAGGAATTCAGCTTTTTATTTTATTTTTTTTCCAAATAGCCAGTTTTTCCAGTGTTCTTATACCACTAACTTGAAATGCTAGCTTTATCATGTGCTAAAAGAAACCTCATCCATTCCTGGATCTGTTTTGCTCTATTGATTAGTCTATTCCTGCGCCAGTAACTCTGTCATGGGATTAATAAATTTTTCCAAAAGTGGCAATAATTTCATGCTCATCTGCTCCTGGTAGAATCAAGCTGACATTTCACCCAGCTACTCTTAAACTTCTTGGCTTCTGTGCTTCCTATCCTAGGGTAGGATTAGGTCATCTGAATGACTGTATTTGCTCTGGGCTCCTCAGGGTACTGGCTTTTGGACTGTTAAGCACAGAAACAGCATATTTACATAGTTTTCCTTAATTTTGACCTGTTTCTAGATCATACGTTTAGCTGACTCCTTAGCAATATGAAGTGACCAGATCGTGTTCTCTTTGTGCCAAATGAAGCTTGTCCAACCCACAGCCCGTGGGCCACATGTGGCCCAGGGTGGCTTTGAATGCAACCCAATACAAATTCGTAAACTTTCTTAAAACATTATGAGATTTTTTTGTATGATTTTTTTTTTTTTAGCTAATTAGCTATTGTTAGTGTTAATGTATTTTATGTGTGGCCCAAGACAATTTTTCTGCCAGTGTGCCCCAGGGAAGCCAAAAGATTGGACACCCCAACAATCTGCCTCTTAGGCATGCTACATTAGAGCAACACAGCTATTTTTTTTTTTTCTTTTTGAGACGGCGTTTCACTTTGTCACCCAGGCTGGAGTGCAGTGGCGCAGTCTCGGCTCACTGCAACCTCTGCTTCCTGGGTTCAAGCAATTCTTCTGCCTCAGCCTCCTCAGTAGCTGGGCCTACAGGTGTGTGCCACCACACCCAGCTAATTTTTGTATTTTTAGTAGAGACGGAGTTTCACCATATTGGTCAGGCGGGTCTTGAACTCCTGACCTCAGGTGATCCACCCGCCTCAGCCTCCCAAGATGCTGGGATTACAGGTGTGGTGTGAGCCATCATGCCTGGCCTCCAGTTATTGTTTACCAGAAACAAAACATGCTTCACTTCTCCCCACACTCTCCATTTGAATTATCATTTATACAACTAACACATAACATCTTTATATATATATATATATATATATATATATATATATATATATATATATATATATATATATATATCATTCACTCTACCTTCTGTTGGCTGGACTCTCTAACATAGTACTAGATGTTTTTATATGATTCATTATTTTGATATTATAGAACATTCTTCGGTAATACTGTGTCAGAGGTTTTGGGTTTTCCCTTCCTATAGGGATTATTCCGCCTTTCAGTTATTTCTGGCAACAAAGCTTTATCCTCTGCTCATATTTCATTTATTCTTCTTACTTTGCCTTGATTACAGCAATTGAGCCATAACTTATTGGCTCATTATTTTCAGGCCTATGTATCATCAGACACCTTTCCTGTCTAAGTGATCCAGTGGCCTCTCTCAGCTTTCTTTGGGTCTTTCAAGCAGGAGTACTATTTCTAAAGTGTCTTCTTAAATATATTTCCTTTTCACTATTTTTATTTTCCTTCTATTTCAACCTTAACTTTCTTTATTCTGACCTTGAGATTCTTCTTATTATTATTCTTTTAAATATAGACCGGGTCTCTCTCTGTTTTCCAGACTAGAGTGCAGTGGCATGATCATAGCTTACTGCAGCTTCGAATTCCTGGGCTCAAGTGATCCTCCTACCTCAGCTTCCTGAGTAGCTAGAACTACAGGTGTGTACCACCATGCCTGGCTGATTTTTAAACTTTTTGTAGCGATGGGGGCGGGGTCTCACTATATTGCCCAGGCTGGTCTTGAACTCGTGGACTCAAGTGACCTCCCACCTCAGCCTCCCAATGTGCTGGGATTACAGGCATGAACCACCATACTCAGCCTGAAATTCTTTTTTTATTTTAACAAGTCTTAATAGCATTTACTGTATACTCAGCATTTTACTAGATGGTGATATTAATAGATTTTATTTGTGGTGTTCTTTGAAAATTTTCAAGATACTTGCATATTATCTTCCTGTGTGTTCTACCTGCACCGCTGCCTTCTCTCATTGCCTTGCTCTTGCTTATATCTGCCTCCCAACTCTGTAAACTCTGCTTAAATCTCAGTAGTCAGACCTTTATTTCTTCACTTGAAATTTGAATTTCTCTTCTATATAGACTACCCCTGCTCAGTGCCTCTAAACACTTCGACGTGTTCAGGGCATCTTTACCAATGTTTAGCTACGTGAAGTTAATGGTAACTACAATGGGAAAGAGAGGAGTAAGGTCACCATCATGTGTGAACATCTAAGAACACATACCAGTGTATAACAGTGTCTTGGCTGGCTGGAAGAGCATAGGAATAAACGCTATTCAGCCATTATTTACTGAGACAGCAGTAACCGTGTTAGAAGGAAGATTACATACAGATCAATAATGTTAGTTCAGGACAAACAGCTATCATGAGTTAAAAAAAATACTAAGAAAAAGAAATAATGTTAGTAGCAGGAGTTTGTGATAGACTTTTACAGAGATGTTTGTGGAGCATCTAATAAATATAAGACCTTGTGCTAGGCCTGATGGGTAATACCAAATTATAGCGTCTGCCATTAAGAATTTATAGCATAATTTGAGAGGAAGACAAATATGTAAATAGTTCTACATGTATAGTTTACATGTACATATAGTTTACATTTATATATAAATATAAATAGTTATAGTACCAGGAGTGTCTGTGAATGCTGTGAGGATAATGCTTAGGAAGAGGAGATCACTTTGAGCTGTGATAATTACAAACCAGAATGGTTGGTTTTACAGTGAAAGATGGGACTTAGGCTGTCTTTCAGATCTTTTTCACTGGTATAGTCTGTCCCCTGTGGCTGTCAAAAAGAAACACCCACAATAGAATGCTGAGGAGCAATGGACAAGTGCAGAAACACAGAACTTTTCCTTTTTGAAAGTTGCATTTTTCAACTTTTAGATTTAGGGGTACATGTGCAGGTTTGTTACCTGGGTATATTGTGCGATGCTGGGATACAAATGATCCCATCACTCAGGTAGTGAACATAGTACCCAAAAGTTAGTTTACCAGTACTCACCTGCGTCCCTCCTCTAATAATCCCGTTTCTGTTGTTGCCATCTTTATGTCCATGAGTACCCAGTGTTTACCTCCCAATATAAGTGAGAGCATGTGGTATTTGGTTTTCTGTTTCTGTGTTAATTTACTGAGGGTAATGGCCTCCATGTGCATCCATGTTGCTGCAAGGGACATGATATCATTCATTTTATGGCTCCATAGTATTACATGGTGTATATAGACCATATTTTCTTTATCCAATCCACTGCTGATGGGCACCTAGGTTGATTCCATGTCTTTGCTATTGTAAATAGAGCTATAATTAACATAGTGCATGTGTCTTTTTGGTAGAATGATTTGTTTTCTTTTGGATATATACCCAGTAACAGGATTGCTGGGTCAGATCATAGTTCTCTTTTAAGTTCCTTTTTTTTTTTTTTTTTTTGAGATGGAGTCTCCCTCTGTTGCCCAGGCTGGAATGCGGTGGCGCGATCACGGCTCACTGCAAGCTCCGCCTCCCGGGTTCACGCCATTCTCCTGCCTCAGCCTCTCCGAGTAGCTGGGACTACAGGCGCCCGCCGCCACGCCCGGCTAATTTTTTGTATTTTTAGTAGAGACGGGGTTTCACCGTAGTCTCGATCTCCTGACCTCGTGATCCGCCCGCCTCGGCCTCCCAAAGTGCTGGGATTACAAGCGTGAGCCACCACGCCCGGCCCTTTAAGTTCTTTGAGAAATCTCCAAATCGCTTTTCACAGGGGCTGAACATTCCCTCCAACAGTGTATAAACACTCCCTTTTCTCCACAGCCTCACCAGTATCTGTTTTTGTGTGTGTGTGTGTGATGTTTTAGTAATAGTCATTCTTTCTAGTATGAGATGGTATCTCATTGTGAAACCTGCATTTTTGAAAAATAGTTTCACTTGCTATAGAATTACAGCTTGACTGTTTTTTTGCCAGTACTTTAAATATGTTACTCCACTGTCTGGCTTGCATTGTAGGAAGAGTCGGCTATCATTCTTTGTTTCTCTGTATGTAATGTCATCTTTTTTGTGGATGCTTTTAAGATTTTTCTCTATTGCTGATTTTAGATTATTTGACTATGATATGATGTGCTTTGGTGTATTTTTCATCGTGTTTCTTGAGCTTAGGGTTTCTGAGCTTCTTGGATCTCTGGGTTTATCCTTTTCATCACATTTGGGGAAATTTTGGCTATTATATCTTTTTTTTTTTTTTTTGAAACGGAGTCTCACTGTCGCCCAGGCTGGAGTGCAGTGGCGCGATCTCGGCTCACTGCAGGCACCGCCCCCTGGGGTTCACGCCATTCTCCTGCCTCAGCCTCCCGCGTAGCTGGTACTACAGGCGCCCGCCACCTCGCCCGGCGAATTTTTTGTATTTTTAGTAGAGACGGGGATGGTCTTGATCTCCTGACCTCGTGATCTGCCCGCCTTGGCCTCCCAAAGTGCTGGGATTACAGGCGTGAGCCACCGTGGCTATTATATCTTAACTTTTTTTTCTGTCTCCAGCCCAGCCTCCTCTAGATGCCCTGATTGCATATATAATCAGCTGCTTGAAGTTGTTCTACTTCAAAAAGAATGAACAGAGCCATCGCTGAGCTGTAGAACAACTTTAAGAACATTTGTAGAAATTGTAGAACATCTTCTGAATTGATAGCTCTGTTCATTTTTTGTCTTTTTTTATCTCTGTGTTTCACTTTGGATAGTTTCTGTTGGTATGGCTTCAGGTTCACACTCACCTCTTCTACAGTGTCTAATCTCCTGTTCAGCCTATCCAGTGTTTGTTTTTTTGTTTGTTTGTTTTTGAGACGGAGTCTCACTCTGTCACTCAGGTGGAGTTCAGTCGTGCAATCTTGGCTCAATACAGCCTCCACCTCCCAGGTTCAAGCGATTCTCCTGCCTCAGCCTTCTGAGTAGCTGGGACTACAGGTGTATGTCACCACGCCTGGCTAGTTTTTGTATTTTTAGTAGAGACAAGTTTTCACCATGTTGGTGAGGCTGGTCTCAAACTTCTGAACTCAGGTGATCTGCCCGCCTCAGTCTCCCAAAGTGCTGGGATTACAGGCATGAGCCACAGCACCCTATCCAGTGTACTTTTCATTTCAGTCATTGTAATACTCATTTCTACAAGTCTAATTTAAGTCTTTTTCTTTTCTTTCTTTCTTTTTTTTTTTGAGACGGTGTTTTCTTGTCACCCAAGCTGTAGTGCAATGGTCCAATCTCTGCTCACTGCAACCTCTGCCTCCTGGATTCAAGTGATTCTCCTCCCTCAGCCTCTTGAGTAGCTGGGATTACAGGTGCCCACCACCACACTTGGCTAATTTTTAGTATTTTAGTAATTTTCGTATTTTTAGTGGAGACGGGATTTTACCATGTTGGCCAGGCTGGTCTCGAACTCTTGACCTCAAGTGATCCGCCCACCTTGGCCTCCCAAAATGCTGGGATTATAGGCATGAGCCACTGGGTCTTTAAAAAATTTTAAGTCTTTAAAAAAATTTTTTTTCTTTAACATTCTCAATCCATTCTCTAATTTCTTGTGGAGTACAGTTACAACTGTTGCAATGTCCTTATCTACTAATTATCTTGTTATTTCTGAGTTAGTTTGATTTTTCTCTTCATTATGGGTCCTGATTTCTTCTTTGCGTGCCTGGTTATTTTTAAAAATTTATTTTAAGAGACAGGGTCTTGCTCTGTTGCTCAGGCTGGAGTGCAGTGGTATGATCATAGCTCACTGTAGCCTCAAACTCCTGGGCTCAAGAGATCCTCCTGCCTCAGCCTCCCAAGTAGCGAGGGCTACAAGCATGTGCCACCATGCCTAGCTGATTTTTTTAAATTGTTTTTGTGGAAATGGGGGTCTTGCTACATTGCCCAGGCTGGCTTTGAACTCCTGGCCTCAAGTGATCCTCCCACCTCGGCCTCCCAAAGGGCTGGGATTATAGACATAAGCTACTGCACCTACCCACCTGATGATTTTTCAGTTGGATATTGTGAGTCTTAGCTTGTTGGGTGCTAGATATTTTTGTATTCTTTTAAATATTCTTGAACTTTGTTCTGGAACACTGGTTACTTGGAAACAGTTTGATCCTTTTGGGTCTTGCTTTTAAGCATTTTTAGGCGGGACCGGCACAGCGTTAAGTCTGGGGTTATTTTTCTTTACCACAGAGGTAAATGTTTCTGAGTACTCTACCCAATTTCCTTGAAATAACGAGGTTTCCTATTATGGTTGCTGGTAACAGGAATTATTCCTGTTCCTGTGTGAGGTCTGAATATTGTTCTCTGCCGTCCTTTCAGGTAATTATTTCCCTGGCCTCAGGTAGTTTCCTCACATGCGTGTGCTGATGGGTGTTCAGCTGAAGACTTGGTGGGGTGGCTGGGGAGGCCCCCTGCTCAGATCTCCAGAATTTTTTTTCTGTGTAAGTCTTTCTTCTCTAATCTTCTGCCCTGTGAACCTCTTTGGCCTCCCCAGACGATATATCAGCTTCCTCTCTTCAGTTTAGGAAGAACTCTGGACTCTGCCTGGGTGCCCCTCCCCTGCACTGTGCCTGAAATTCTCTCCAGGCAGTAAGCCAGTTAGCTGTAGGGTCCTCCTTGTTCAGTTCCTTGTCTTTCAGGAATCGTCGTCCTTTGTGCCTGGTGTCCAATATCTTGGAAACAGTCATTTCATATATTCTGTCGTTTTGGGTTTTTTTTTCTTTTCTTTTCTTTTTTGAGATGGAGTCTTGCCCTGTCGCACAGGCTAGAGTGCAGTGGCGCAATCTTGCCTCACTGCAGCCTCCGCCTCTCGGGTTCAAGCAATTCTCTGCCTCAGCCTCCCGAGTAGCTACCGCGCCTGGCTAATTTTTTGTATCTTTTTTTTTTTTTTTTGAGACGGAGCCTCGCTCTGTCGCCCAGGCTGGAGTGCAGTGGCGCGCTCTCGGCTCACTGCAAGCTCCGCCTCCCAGGTTCACGCCATTCTCCTGCCTCAGCCTCCGGAGTAGCTGGGACTACAGGTGCCCGCCACCACGCCCGGCTAATTTTTTGTATCTTTAGTAGAGACGGGGTTTCAGTCGAACTCCTGACCTCGTGATCCGCCTGTCTCGGCCTCCCAAAGTACTGGGGTTACAGGTGTGAGCCACCGCGCCCGGCCCATTCTGTGTTTTTGTTTTGTTTTGTTTTGTTTTTTATTAGCTGTTTCCGGTAGAAAGGTAAATGTGATCCCTGTCACTCCATCTTGACCAGAAGCAGAAGTCCACCCAGAAATGAACTTTTACATTTCATACTCATGTCTGTCATGGGGAAGTTAAGTGGGCCTGGCCTTATCCTTTTACTTGGGCGTCATCTTTTTCAAAACTTCATAAGTAGTTCTTAAAGAATTCAATATTTATTGCGTGCCCACTGTGCACTATGCTGTGTGTTAGCTGCTGAAATGTATGGGCTTGATTCCTTTACCAGATGGACCTCAGGTCTAGTGGGGAGGACAGGCAAGGTTCTTGTGGCTACAATTAAAAGTGCTGTAATACATATTTTGAAAGATCTAAGATGCCACTGCAGTGTAGAATGACATGTACGTTGTCTTAAATATTAGAAATGATTCTGGATTAGGATTGATGGCTTTGTGCTGACTTGTGAATTCTGTCTCCTAACCATGACCAGGTTGTCTGCCCTTTCCTGGACATCCGTATTTTTTTCTCCCATTGAAGTGGCAGGATTGAATCTGTACTCTTGGGTCCCTAGCTCTCCTGGATTTATCTCCTTTCCATATGACCTTTTCTTTCTGCTTAACCTTTGGGCCTGCTGTAACATCTCATTTCATTTTTCTTTTTTAACTTTCACCAGTATAAGAATGTTAGAGACTGAAATATTAAAAAATTAATTACATTTGCTATAGGTAGATGAGTTTTTCAGTGAGTTTGCCCATTTTCAAAAGCAAATCTTCATTGGTTATTTGGAGTGGGTGGGAGGGACAGCTTAAGGGCAGTAGAAAACCACAGTTTTGCTAGTAAATCTGGCCTACATTTCCAAAGGAACTCTTTGGATGATGAGTGAGGTCCATTACCATTTCAGTTGTTTCAGTGAAGCTGAGAGTTGCCGGTGACACGTGATAATCCTCCTCATTCTGTAGTTGAGCAATAGGAAAATGTGGGTAATGCCAGTCTGCATTGACTGGGTCGGCTGTGTAGAGCATTGCCTGAAAAGTAAAAGTTGCAGTCCTGATTGGCTCAAGACTGATATCTTACAGCCTGATGAAGACAACCACGAATTCCAGTGCCATAACTGATGGACTTTTTCTTTTCTCTTAGTTATGACAAGGACCTTCCTTGGAAAGATAACCTGTGTTTAGATGACTGTGATCTTAGCCCTTGTGATCTGCCTGGTGCTTGTGGTAGCTCTGGATGTTCCTGTTTTTCCTGAAGGACCTCATTGATGTCATTTCAGACACTATCCTCACTCAAGAGAATGTGAGGTTTTGCTATGTGTGAAATATCATATAAGACACACTGCTATGTCAGTTTTTAAGCCTCTGGTTTCAGAAGCTCTGGCAGCCCTACTTTTTCTCAGATGCCTGGCAAGCCTGCATGTCTGAATAGCCCTTCTTTCCTGCAGAGGCTGTGAGAAGCTCTGCCGAGCATTTGAGAGTTAACCATTATTTACGGAGCAAGACCTGCGTGAGGCACTGATTGTACTAACTTACAAAAATTGTGTAAGAGATTCTTTTGACATCAAAGGTACTTACGGTCCAGAGGGGAAATCACATACGTGAATTCGGAAGCCCATTCAAGACTGCAAGAGAAAATTCGAAGATAAACAAAACAGTTCATGTTTTGAGTTCTGTTTCTTTAGATTTCTATGTGGGATTGGTGGCTTGAGTGACCAAGTAGCTGGCATCCCAACCATTTATAGACATGTTCTATTTTGAGGTTGAGTTTGTGGTTTGGGGAGGATGTGTAATCATTTTCAACAAATGCTTACTGAGTGTGCAAAGTATTCCTGTGGAAGGCACAGGGAGTACCAAGAAGTATAAAGTTACATTCCCCAGCTTCCAAGGAGCTTCTCATATCTGGGAGGGCAAGGCATGTTTAAGATTTTAAAATCTTAGTAAGATTATAAGTCTTAAGAAAAAAGCATAATCATCCACATTTATTAGAAATATATACTGAACTATTAAACTGTCTAAGAAATGGGGCTTGGGTGGTGAGCATGTGGCCTGGAAAAGAGAAGGATCTTCACTCTTTGCTATATAGACTCTATATAGTATGTAATTTCTATATGGTTTGAAATTTTTGCCAAGTGCAGTTATTACCTCTTTGGAATTTTTATTTTTTTTATCAGTTACAAAAATTATAGAGAACAGACGATTGTATTAATACATATAATATTAACCTTGAATATCTCTATGTGGTAGGATTATGAGTGACTTATCTTTATTATGCGTTCTTATAATTGTCTACATCTTCTTTAATGAATATATATTATTGTATAAGTAGAGAAAGGAAGTATTTGAAAAACAAAACCCAAAACCACCTACAATGATTATTATAACTATATTTTAACATGCTTACTATATTTTGGATATAATATACCAGCTTTCCCTTTTTTACCTCCTTACTCTCACTGCAACTCTAGTAAGGTTGTTTTATTATTATCATTATTACTATTGTTATTAAATAAAAAGGTGAAACAAAGGCATTTGCTTCTTGCTTCTGCCCGTTGTCATTTTTGAGTGAGCTAGACTAGAAGTAAAAGGAATCCAGTTACGAACTTTTCAGCTATACTGTAAAGGATGCCCAGAAAAATTTAAATTATGTTGATTTGGTTACAATTACGCCTGCCAGTGTGGGCTATGATCTTTTGTTTTAAAGCATCCTAAAAATACTTTGCTATACCTTTATATTTAGTTCTGTTGGAGAAAGCAATTAGATTGTCCCATCTCCCATCTCCCCATCTGGTGCAGTAAAGAAAACTCATCTGCTTGGCTTACTTTGTGTTAGAGAGAATTTAAATTTCCAAGTTATTTGTGATTCACATTAAGTAGTTAAATCCCATCCCTCCCAAATTTTGTACTGGGAATCCATACCCACTTTGTAATTATGAACTTAATTACTCTGAACAGTAATAAAGTTCAGATATTTAAAGAAGCCAAAGATTGAAGGAGAGTGGCTGTCATTTCTAAATTAATTTTTTTTCCCCTTATAGCATGTGTTTGATGATCTCAGAGGCTCAGTATCCTTGTCCTGGGTTGGAGATAGCACTGGGGTAAGTCATATTTTGAGTCTGTTATTTCAGCCCAGCAAGAAGATGATAACAGATTTGGGGAAGGGTTAAGCACCTAATATCATTTCTTCCTGAAACTGTCTTTAGCCTCAATCACAGAAAACACATGTTTGCAAGACAGACTTTCAGGAAGTTGTAGTTGTGTTGGTTTTGCTTTAGAATTGGGAACATCTTTTTTGCGGGGGGGTGGGGACGGAGTTTCGCTCTTGTTGCCCAAGTTGGAGTGCGATGGCATGATCTCAGCTCACTGCAACCTCCACCTCCCGGGTTCAAGCGATTCTCCTGCCTCAGCCTCCCAAGGAGCTGGGATTACAGGCACCCACCACCATGCACAGCTGATTTTTTGTATTTTTAGTGAAGATGAGGTTTCACCATGTTGGCCAGGCTGGTCTTGAACGCCTGACCTCAGGTGATCCACGCGCCTCAGCCTCCCAAAAGTGCTGGGATTACAGGCATGAGCCACTGCGCCTGGCCGGGAACATCTTCTGACCACCTTCTTCCACGGTGGGAAGATGGACACCTTTTCAGTCCTTGGTGGCTGCTTAGCATCAAGATGAGCAAGAAGAAAGATGAAAGTGCTCTGTACTGAGAAGGGAAGCGCACAATGCTTGGGGAAACCCCTATATAGAAACAGAAAATGTCCATTAAAAACATCCTGGCACTTTTCCTCCAAATTGTATTGTTCCTGTGTCCTTTCCTACAGGTGTGTTGAGGGACTGTGGTGCCCATGGGCTCATGGTTGTTCATCTGTTGGTCCCTGCCCCTGCCACAAAGGAGGTACTGCCAGGATTGGGGGAATGGAAGGAGGATCAGTCAGCTCCTTATCCCTCCTGATATACAGCTGGGCTCCCACTAGGAGGACACGCTGAGGATACATTGGCCCCTGGTCTTAAATCAGGACTTGTTGCCTGGCTGTCTTATTATCCTGCTTGAACAAGAGCAGGGGCAACATCTCCTGCCCCCTGGTATTCCATAATGCATGTGTCATAGCATTGAGGCACATGATAGTTATATTAGAAGCCTAAAGAAATAAAATCTTGGTGCTGAAAAGCAAATTGTAAATTTCTTATTTTGATTAATTTTTAAACTTTCAGTAGAATTTCTTTAAGCATAGTTCAGTTTTTTCTAAAATTTGAGTTGTACCCTAATTTCCATGATTTACCCATTTATCTTAGATAGTTGGTATCTCCAAGAATTTTTTTTTTTTTTTTTTTTTTTGAGACAGAGTCTTGCTCTGTCACCCAGGCTGGAGAGCAGTGGTGCAATCTTGGCTCACAGCAACGTCCACCTCCCAGGTTCAAGCAATTCTCATGCCTCAGCCTCCCAAGAAGCTGGGACTACAGGCAAGCACCACCACGCCCGGCTAATTTTTGTATTTTAAGTAGAGATGGGGTTTCACCATGTTAGCCAGGCTAGTCTCGAACTTCTGACCTCAAGTGATCCGTCCGCCTCAGCCTCCCAAAGTGCTGTGATTACAGGCGTGAGCCACCGTGCCCAGCCATCTCCAAGATTTCTCATATGGCTTTCTGAGACTCCCTAGACTCTTATAGTAATCCATCCAGAATCATTTCCTCATGCATAGTTTTTGGTAGATAAGGTACTGAAAAAATGAATTTCATGAAGAACCAACGGCAAGGAGAAGAAAAAGACAGACATACATGACACAGTGATCTCTGTGAGAACACCCACGCTATTCTAGACTCTGTAAGGAGAAAAGGGAAGAGGGTTCTTGCCTGAGAGTATCTTACAATAATTTGGATACAAAATAGTTAAAGCCTTCTTTTATTTTAATGTGTATTTGAGTAGTCAGCCTCACTGCTTCAATGGAGGCAATGGGGATCATCCCAACAAAATGAGCTGAGGACTTTCTCATCATTCTCAGCCCTAGTAACTAGATCCTTCTAGACTTTGGGGAGTACTACAAAGTAGGGATATCAAAAGTCTTTTAGGTGTTGGCTTAATCTCGAACACATATCAGCATGTGATTGGAATATCTTTTTTATTTACGGAATGCTTTTTTCTCTCTCCAGGTCATTCTAGTCTTGACTACCTTCCATGTACCACTGGTAATTATGACTTTTGGACAGTCCAAGCTATATCGAAGGTGAGATCAATAACACGCGTTGGAGCATTTCACTAAGTAACATTGAGAATATAGATTCTCCCTTTTCTAGACATGATGGCACGTAACAGTTGATGTAAAAGATCTTCTAGCCATCCTAAGTTTTCACCAGACTGTCACACTCAGCACATGTTTTTGTTGTTGTTGTTGTTGTTGTTTTTTGAGACAGGGTCTCACTCTTGTCACCCAGGCTGGAGTGCAGTGGCGTCATCTTGGCTCACTGCAGCCTCCACCTCCCAGGCTCAAGCCATCCTCCCACTTCAGCCTCCCAGGTAGCTGGGACTGCAGGCACACGCTACCATGCCCAGCTAATTTTTTGTATTTTTTGTAGAGACAGGGTTTCCCCATGTTGCCTAGGCTTGTATTGAGCTCCTGGGTTCGAATGATCCACCTGCCTCCAAAAGTGCTGGGATTATAGGCGGGAGCCACTGCACCCGGCCCTTAGCACACTTTTTAACGTCTACTCTTTTTTTTTTTTTGAGCAGGGTCTAGCTCTGTCACTCAGGCTGGAGAGCAGTGGCGCAAACACAGCTCATTGCAACCTCTCCCTCCCAGGCTCAAGCCATCCACCATCTTCCCACCTCAGCCTCCCAAGTGGCTGGCATTACAGGCACGTACCTCCATGCCTGGGTAATTTTTGTATTTTGGATAGACAGGGTTTCACCATGTTGCCCAGTCTGGTATCGAGCGCCTGGGCTCAAGCTGTCTTCCCACCTCAGCCTCCCAAAGTGCTAGGATTACAGGTGTGAGCCACCATGCCTGGCCTTAGCATCTAATTAGCAACTGAAAGAAGTATGAAAAGGGACCTGGTTCCAAGGAGGTTGGTTTGACCTGACTCAGGGGCAGAACAATAAAGGAAGATGAAGAAAGAGTGTATAGTGCTGTGTGTTTGTGTTCATTTATATGGATATTTATTTGTGGGAAGGTAGTATGGGGTTTAAAAAGTCTTTCTATTTAGTGTGAGTACAAAATGGTTTTTTATATTCCTGAAATGAAAATCTTCATTGTACTTTCCCAGCAAATATTTATACAGCATTTTGAGGCCTAAGCAGATTATTTTTAGGTAAGAAGGAGGCTCTCAGGTCGGACCTACCAAAGTGCTTTGTAGTGTTCACACTGGCGATGATGGTGGTAACATGTGTTCTGGAACCACAACCTATACTGTGACATTGGTGAAGTTTTAGAGTTGTCTTCTCAAAGGTATGACTTGGTTAAAAAGTAGGTTCCGTTCCTTAGCAGTAAGATTCAAGACCAACTAACTCCTAGAGATTGCTGAATGATTGTGTCTTCTCAATCATTTATGTCTGTCTCATTTTCCCCTAGAGACCTAAAGAAGTAATGACATACCAGCAGATGATATAGAAACTACCCTAGGGTCAGGGTATCTCCCAGGAGTAATGGTACTTTCTCAAGGTTCTTTATTTGACTGCTGTTCTTGGCCCAAGTGGGAGTGAACCCATGTTCAAGCTCTGAAATGGATTAGCCTAACCTCTCTTCCCCGTGAGGTATGAACTTTGACTACATCTCCTGGGCATGGAGCCAGAGGTCTCTGCCCTTCAATACATTGATGTTGGTCCCAGAGAGGCAGCAAATACCTTTAGGCCAACAAGGAATTGCCATCTAACTACAGTGTAAATTCCATGAAGGCAAGGTTCTTGACTAACTGGGGTCCCCAGGATCTAGCCAAATGCCTAACATATAGTAGGCAGGCAGCAAATAATAATTGAATAAATGAATGAATGTCTTGGCTTCTTTATAATTTTTAGATGGTTAATTAAATTTTTTTAAATATAGGATTGACTATATTTTAGAATCTTGGTGCTAGAAAGCGCTATAGTAGGTGACTTTGTTTATTCAATCAGAACAGTAGTTGAACCATTTTAGATGAAAAACATCCTATTTGGGGAGAGAAAAATGCATTTTAAAATGTGTAACTTTGCTTCAGTAACTCTTTCCTGTGGTTAAGAATGTTTGCTATTATAAATTCCCTCCTCACAAAATTAGCTGGGCATGGTGTCACACACCTGTGGTCCCAGCTACTTGGGAGACTGAGGTAGGAGCATCTCTTGGGTCCGGGAGGTTGAGGCTGCAGTAGCTATGATCACATCACTGCACTCCAGGCTGGGTGACAGAGCAATACCCTTTCTCAAAAACATAAAATATCTCCTCATGATAGTTTTTCTTACCAACCTGTGTTTCATTATAAAAGCAGTATAATCATATTATAGGACATTTGAAAATTTTAAAGGAAAGAAAAAAGTTCACCATACAGCCACGTGTAATCTTAATTTGTTTGCAGTTTATTATCTTGACCTTCCCCTTTGATGTTGTATCATATAATTGTAGAGTATTGGGAGGCAATGTGGAATAGCAAAATGTTGCCAAGCTTTGTTGGCAAGTAGGCTCAGGATTGAATCACAGCACTGTCATTGCAAACAGAATGAACTTGGGAAAGTCATTTAACCTCCTAAGTCTTTTTTGTCATCTGTAAAAGGACAATAATAATGCCCACCTCAGAGCCGTTGTGAGGTATGCTCTGCAGTGCCTGGCATGGAGTAATAGCTTGGTGCTGTTAGTTGCTGCCATGCCAATGATCAGGGATGGCATGTAGCCAGCAGGTACTGGCATTGCTGTACCAGTTGTTAAAATGAATTTGAAGCCTTCAGGCAGATTGCCTGCCCCCAGATGCCTCCACGTCTTCTACAAATGCACACTGCACCCCCTAGCCCCTGCCAACATGCAAATGTTACTAACACCTGGCATTATGACCTACATCCATGCTGATGGGTCGGTACTCATACCTTCACTCTGCTGGTAACCCCTCATTTTTTTAGATTGACATAATTTACTTAATCATTGTTCCATTGGATAGTTAGGTTGTAGCTGTTTTTTTCGCTGTAACTAATACTACTGTGATCAGTATCATACATATTTGTGTCATAGGGGATGTTTATTTCTAGTTCACTCTTCAGTAGCAAAGGAAAACCTCCACTCTGATGGATGTCAACGTGTTTTAAAGGCTGTTTGTTAAATGCCTCTTTCTCTAGGTTGAGTTATCTTCTATACCTAATGCCTCAACAACTTAAGACAATCAAAACCAAAACAAGAACCAATACTGCCATGTCACTGTTTAAATACCACCACCATCAGACTCAGCCTTTTTTCAGCCTGTTTTTGTCTAGTCTTGTGAAAAACCCCGCTTTCCTGACATACTTTACTAGAGTGCAATTCTATTTGTTTCTGATATAGTATAATGTTACCAAGGTACTTTTTTTTCATGTTACCCAGCAGTTTTTTGTTTCTTTTTTTGTTTGTTTAACCACATTGACTTTGAATATTAATTATCTCTTCCCTGCCATGAAGTGGAAACTGACTCTGTACCCACTTCCAGAGTTTAGGCGGAAACTGTAAATATGCCTTGTTGCCTTTCCAACTGGGCTGGCCTGGCTTAAAGTGACTGGCCAACCAAGTCAACCATGTCAAACATGCCAACCAAGAGGCAACTGTTGTTTCAGAAATGAGAAAGGGAAAGAAGCAGTTTGATCAAAATGGGTCCTGAGTATGCTGAAGTTGCCCAATTACCGATAAAAGCCCATTGAACCCACTCTGAAGATTTTTCTGTTTTTCACAGCATTGGTGATTATATTATTCGTTAGACCATCTTCGCATACTAAATCTTATATGGTTAAAGGTTCATTTGGATTTGAAATAAAAAACAGCAAATCACATGCCACCTGCTCTGTGTATTACAGCATGAAGTCTCACAAGAATAGAAGGAAGTTGTCTCTGTTGATATACAGAATTAGAGGGAGTATACTTCTGTCTTTAGGCCATGAAAAAGAATTATTGAAGGATTTGGGAGATTATATGTATGTGTATGTATGTATATGTGTGTATACATATGTTTCTGTATACATATGTTTGTGTGTATGTACATGCATACACACACATATGCATATTTTCCATTTAAGGGAATCATATTTGTATAGTATAAATTTTGATTTCCTTATAAGGAATATTAGTTTTATAATGGATTATAGAGTATGTTTGTCTCTCACTTGCACATATGAAGTTAAAGAAATAAACTAGCTACAATTAAGATGATAATTTGATTTTTGGCAACTAAAAGATATTTTCCATCTTTTTGTTTTATGATGTCTTGAGTCCAACTTTTCATTGTATAATGTACTTAGTGAAGCAAATGTAGGCATTATTCTACACCAATGTTATATACCTAATTATTAATATCACAAAGACTGCTGGGCTATTTTATTCCTGGTGTTTCTATTGAGAATTGCTCAAATTTCCCTATTAAGAGGTTTTGCATTAAAATATATTACATAGTCAATGTAAGTTTTTCAGAATGTTACTTGAGATTTTTTTAAAAGGATAACTTAAAGGTATACAATGCAAAGTGCTGCTAGTGCAGTAAACCAGCTTCTTCAAGGCATGTTGTGTAACAACCTTTTTAATGATATGCTCAGTTCAGTTTTCACTGCAGTAGATTGTTAACAATGACTGCATATTTCAGTTACAAGGTTGGGATAAATTCCATTTACAACATATATTTTCTTGCTTTTTTTTTTTTAAAGAAAAAGTATATTAAAATGTGATGATGGCATTTTACCTTTAATACAACTTCACTTCTATACACGTAAAGTTGTCAATCAGAGTAAGATGAAGACCCACAAATACATATTCATGTTCCTTCTGATTAAAAGTTCTGTGATTTTTTTATTTACAATATCTTACTCTCTTTATTTTCCCACTTGTAGTTTCAAAATTTCTACAGAAAACATGTATCCTTTCCCAATAATGATAAAACACAACATAGTTAAATAAAAACACAAGGTAATATCAGACAGTGGGGGAAAAAGACACTGAAATATTGGGAATTAAGTTTATTATGAATTCAAATCTTGCCAATATTACCCAGCAGTAGTTTCAGGTCCATGATTATTTTGATACATTTTAATAAACTACATTCTCCCTATTGATCTTTTACCTGGAAATCTCAGTGCAGTTGGTTGTCATTATTAGTGATAGTTATGTTCTGTAAAGTTGTCATGAATATTGAATTAGTTAATAGTGAACCATTGCTCCTAGGGGGACATATAGGGTTAGGTTTCTGCAAACTTCTGGTCACAGCACTCATTTTCATCAAATGATCAATACATAACTTTGTTTTATGTGTGTTTCTGTTTAAAGATACCTTATTTAATGTGTATTATTGATTCATTAACACTGAATTCATGGCCAATAGCACTAGAACTCTTGCCCAAACAAGGCTTGTCTCATATACTCGTATTTCCTCCATGAGGCACATCAAAGTCTTCTTGTGTTTAGGAACACTAAACAGCTTGTTGACACTGCTCTTGGAGGCTATTTAAACAGAAAAAGTACCCCCCAAAAAAAGCATAAACTTGCAAAAACCTAAGTAGAAAAAAACTAAGTAGACCGTAAAAAGGACACTTATTTATAGTATTAGAACTGAACACAAAGGCAAAGCATCACCTTGTTTGACCTCAGCTGGGAATGGGTACACTGGGTGACTCACATTTTTGCTGCTCTATGAATGTCTATAAATGACTGGCAAGGGACCATGAGTACTGATTTGGGGATTACAAATAAATTTAAGAAGGTAAACAAATTTACAAATATAGAATCCATGAATAATGAAGATTGTATAAGCTTTCTCAATTAGTAAAAACCACAAAACAATAATATTTTTAAGAGTTTACCATCATCCTTGTTACTTTTATGTTATAATTTATAGTGGCTTAGTCATGGCAAAATGAACAAAAGAAAATGGGTAGAAGCAGAAAGAGTTTTTGAGGTGCATGCTTGAAAAAGCCTACATAGCTGTTAATGAAACTTAAAGATGATTCTGGTGAAGGCTCAGAAAGAAAAGAGGAGGGCTGTAGAGAAAAATTCCATCTTAGAGAATACCTAAGTAATCCATGGTAGAATATTCGTAAAAATGTGGACCACAAAGGCCATTATGATGGGTTTCTGGCAGAAATGAGGAACTTGTTGTTGGACAGTAGAGAAAAAGCAATCCTTGTTATAAAGTGGCAGACAACTAGGCTGAATTGTGTTCATGTTCTAGTGTTTTGTGGAAAGTAGAACTTGCAAGCAATGAAATTGCATATTTAGCTAAAACAATATCTAAGTAAAATGTTGAAGTTGCAGCTTGGTTCCTCCTGACTGCTCGTAGTAAAATGTGGGAAAAGAGAAATGACTTAAAGACAGAATTATTAAGCAAGAAGAAAGCAGTACTAAAAGATTTGGAAAATTCTCAGTCTATCTAAATTGCACAGACTGCAATAATAGGATGTGAATAATTAGGATGTGGCCAAGTGACCATTTGATAAAGAGATTAGCATAGGTGTAAACTAAGAACTCAATCAGTCACCCCAACAGGAAAACTGCCAGTTTGAACCCAATGAGGGAAGGCTTTCAGATTTCAAGGACCACAGAGCTATTCAGTTGCGTATGTGTAATCTTCTTTAAGACAAGGCCATTCAGGGATCACCAAGGCTGCCTCCTCAATTTCAAAAGAAGGGACCATCACCCAAAGCCATGGGAGAAGGGCCACCCAGATCCTTGTGGGCCTACCCCCTTTCTGGCAAGGCTGCAGAGCAAGAACACAATCCCAGCGTGTCTGGGAAGAGGAGGGACCCCCTCCCCAATATTGGACCTGTAGGACAGAGCATAGAGCCAAAGAGAATTGTTTTCAAGCTTTAATATCTAGGCCAGGCGCAGTGGCTCATACTTGTAATCCCAGCACTTTGGGAGGCTGAGGTGGAAGGATTGCTTGGGGCCAGGAGTTTTGAGACCAGCCTGGGCAACATAGTGAGACCCATCTCTACCAAAAAAAAAAAAAAAAAAAAATTGAGTGTGGTGGTACATGACTGTAGTCCTAGCTACTTGGGAGGCTAAGGCAGAAGAATTGCTTGAGCTCAGGAGTTCTAGGCTATAGTGAGCTATGATCTCATCATTGCACCCCAGCCTGGGTGGCAGAGCAAGACCCTCTCCTTATTTATTTACTTTTGACACAGGGTCTTACACTGTTGCCCAGGCTGGAGTGCAGTGTCATGATCACGGCTCATTGTAGCTTTGAGCTCCTGGGCTCAAGTGATCCTCCTGCCTCAGCCTCCCAAGTGGCTGGGACTACAGGCTGGAAACCACCATGCTCAACTAAATTTTGTATACTTTGTAGAGATGGGTTTTCACTATGTTGCCTTTGGGAGGCCGAGGTGGGAGGATGCCCAGCCTTAAGACCTACTCTTTAAAAATAACTAAATAAATATATCTCATGAAGTTTGCCTGTATTTTAGACTTATTTGGAGTCACCTTTCGTCTTTTCCATTTCCCTTTTTTGGAATGGAAATGTCTATACTGTGCCTGTCCCACCATTGTATTTTGGAAGTGCATAACTTGTTTGGTTTCACAGGTACACAACTGAGGAGCAGTTTGCTTCAAGATGAATCATACCTTGAGTCTCACCTTTGTCTGATATAGATGATATTTAGATGACACTTTCAATTTTAGACTTTAGAGTTGATGCTGGAACAAGTTAAGACTTTAGGCCAGATGCGGTAACTCATGCCTGTAATCCCTGCACTTTGGGAGGCAGATGTGGGAAGATTACCTGAGGTCAGGAGTTCGAGACCAGCCTGGCCAACATGGAGAAACCCTGTCTCTACTAAAAATACAAAAATTAGCTGGGTGTGGTGGCACATACCTGTAATCCCAGCTACTTGGGAGGCTGAGGCAGGAGAACCGCTTGAACCTGGGAGACAGAGGTTGCAGTGAGCCGAGATCATGCCATTGCACTCCAGCCTGGGTAACAAGAGTGGAACTCTGTCTCAAAAAAATAAAATAAAATAAAAAGGCTTTTGAGGCTGCTGGGATGTAATGAATGTATTTTGCATGTGAGAAGGACATGAGTTTGGAGGAATGGAGTGGAGGGGCAGGGTGGGGGTGTCAGGATGCCGTACACTGAATGTTTATGTTCCCTCTGAACTCATATGTTGAAATTTTAACCCCTAGTGCGATGGTATTAGGAGGTGGGACCTTCGGTAAGTGATTAGGTCATAAGGGCAGAACCTTCACCAGTGGGATTAGTCCCCTTATAAGAGAGACCCCGAGAGCTCCCTTGCCCCTTCTGTCATGTACGGTTACAGTGACAAGAGGGTAATCTGTGAAGCAGGAAGCAGACCCTCACCAGACAGCACATCTGCTGGCACCTTCATCTTGGACTTCTCAGCCTCCAGAACAGTGAGAAATGAATTTCTGCTGTTTATAAGCCACCCAGTTTATAATATTCTTTTATAGCAGCCCTAGCTAAAATAAGCTCTATTCCAAATATATTTGTATTTTAGCATTATTTTCTTGAGTTATAAACATGTGCATGTTTACACCGTGGATACATGCAAAAATGATCATTTATTTTTGGTAACCAGAAAATGGATATTAGTGTTGATGCATAGAATTGTTATTAAAAAGACTTGTTTCTTTTTTTTTTTTTTTTTAAGACGGAGTCTCACTCTGTCGCCCAGGCTGCAGTGCAGTGGCACGATCTCGGCTCACTGCAACCTCTGCCTCCCGGGGTCAAGCAATTCTCTGCCTCAGCCTCCTGAGTAGCAGGGATTTCAGGCGCGTGCCACCATGCCTGGCTAATTTTTGTGTTTTTAGTAGAGACAGGGTTTCACCATCTTGGCCAGGCTGGTCTTGAACTCCTGACCTTGTGATCCACCTGCCTTGGCCTCCCAAAGTGCTGGGATTACAGGCATGAGCCACCACGCCCGGCCAAAAAGACTTGTTTCTAAAGCAGTTGGTTTCACAGCATTTTAACTGTTTACTTATCATTCGACGGCTGTTCATAACGCTATTAATTATCATATGGAATTTGAAAATTAGATTTATCAAAGTTGCTTCATCAATTTCCTCTTCGTGACATAGGCTGATAGAAAATAAAGTGCTAGGATCACGCCTCTAATTCTAGAGCTTTGGGAGGCCAAGGTGGGAAGATTGCTTGAGGCCAGGAGTTTGAGACCATACATATCTTCATGATATGTATGCTGATAGAAAATAAAGCTACATTTAAATAAAGCATTATGTTAAAAAATATACCCCTGGGCCCAAAGTGGCCTTGCTAGAACCCTACTTAAGTCCCAGCAGGTTGATACTAGTTCATTTTCTCCATTTATTTAACTGACTAAAGTACCAGAGTGCTGTAGCAGGTGATTTTTTGTTTTGCTCATGCTGGTTTCTTTTTTTGAAGGGCAGGGATGTGTTTGTTGTGCCAAGTTCTTAAAAAGCAAGCAGGCTTGCCAACAGGTTTGTGGAGATTCTCTGGGGATGTCATGAAGGAGGACCAATTTGTAAACTAGTACTAATCAGGCTGCTTCAACCCCTTTGGAAGATTTACAGAGCTGTTGATGATACATGCACTGTAGAGCTGGGAATTGTTTATGCACATCTCTTGGCCAGCTGTCAGGAAGATAAGAGCTGATCTACTGCAAAGCCAAAGAAAGGGTAATATAATATAGGACTCTGTTGGGTGGCGCCCAATTGTATTTCATTTATCTAGGAATTTTCTGTGTGTGTGTATGTACTTAAGGAAGGATAGAGTCATTCAGACAACTTAGACATATGTAGTTTGTTTCAGCATATTATCAGGGACCTCTACATACACACATGGATACTTCCCTTCTGTCTCCAACTTTCTCTTAGCTGATCTCTTCTGCCAGGTCATAAGCCCCCAGCAAGACAGAGGAAGACCCCAGTTTGTAAGGGAAAAAATCCTCACAGATAATTAAAAGTTATCTCCAGTTTAGGGCTAAAGGTTCAGAGAATTGGACTATAGTTTCAATTTTGCCCTTAATTAACTAGTTGACTTTTGATAAATTGCCTTCCCTTGCAACTCCTCATCTGTGAAATGAGGGAGTTGGACAAGATGTTCACTTCAGCCCCTTACACTGCTCATGGTTCTGCAATTCTTTATTTGTTGAGGCCGCTACCAAAACCTGTAACATCATTTACATCATGTACATTCAAGCTTCGCTTAATGATGGGGATACATTCTGCGAAGTGCATCATTAGGTGATTTCATTATTGTGCAAACATCACAGAGTGTACTTACTCACACCTGGACAGTATAGCCTGCTACACACCACAGCTATATGGTATAACTTCTTGTTCCTAGGCAACAAACCTGTAGAGCATGTTACTGTACTGAATACTGTAGGCAGCTGTAACACAGTACTAAGTATCTGTATATTTAAACATAGAAAAGGCATGGTAACAATATGGTTTCATAATCTGGACTCACCATCATATAAACAGTCCATTGGTAACCAAAACATCTTCATGCAACACATAACTATATTCTATCATTGAAGACCACTGCAGATTACATTTATCTGTGTGCAGAAATTTGCAGTGCACAGCAGTCTTCATTGATGGATACTTAAATTTAATGAACATTAAGATTTAGCATTTTGTATTGTGTAAGAGAGCTATACATAGTATTAAACCTGTCAGGGTTAGACAGCTATGGAATTTTTGCTTTTATTTTCCAGAATCTAAACATGGATTCGAATACTTCTCAAAGATATTGTTGGAATGAACTTTTGGAAAAAGCTTGGAAACTCTGAGAGTTGAGATTAAGTTTGTTTGTTTTTCCTAGCTGTATTTCATGTACTGAGTGCCTTACAGACTTCTGCCTAGGGATGGTAACTTCTATGGGGAAAAACTTCAAGAACTTGCTACAGCTTCATTTACAGCTTTTTCATAACTACTGTGGATTAATAGATTAGTTAGAAGCCTTTGGGAGCACTTTGCATAGATCTCACCTTAAACTAACCTGAATAATAAGGGAATAGTTGATTCTGTAACTAAGTACAGAGGAATGACAGGCTTCAGGGTCGATTCAATTCAGTGTCATAGGCTCTGCTTCTCGGTATTCTGAAATTACCTTCTCTGTGCTCCCATTGTGACAGAATGACGATAGCAGTCTTTACTGTGTGTTCACATACTGCATCATTGGGGTTTCTCAACCTTAGTACTCTTGACATTGGGGCCAGGTAATTCTTTATTATTGTGGGACTGTCCTGTGCCTTGTAGGATGTTTGGCAACATCGCTGGCCACTACCCACTTAATGCCAGTAGCACCTCAGCCCTTCATTGTGATAATCAAAAATGTCTGTAGGACCGGGCACAGTGGCTCATGCCTGTAATCCCAGCACTTTGGGAGGCCGAGGCGGGCGGATCACTTTGAGCTTGGGAGTCAAGACCAGCCTGAGCAATGTGGTGAAACCCCGTCTCTACTTAAAATACAAAAATTAGCCAGGCGTGGTGACACGGACCTGTAATTCCAGCTACTCGGGAGGCTGAGGCTGGAGAATCACTTGAGCCTGGGAATTGCACCACTGAGCTGAGATTGCATCACTGCACTCCAGCCTGGGTAACAGAGTGTGATCTTGTCTCAAAGGAAAAAAAAAAAGTCTGCAAACATTACCAAATGTTTCTTGGGGGACAAAAGCACCCTGATTGAGAACTGCTGGTCTGAAGGAATATAGACCATTTTATCAGGTAGCTATCATAAGTGGGAGGCAGTGTGCTTCCTAGAAGACCCCAAATTTCCCACCCACCTTTTATCTCCCATTGGCTCATCCTGAGTCACTCCCCGATTCCTGAACCCCCATCACTGGTGAGTGGGTTTGTGGGGGGGGGGGCGGGTGGAATGTTCTTCGGACTCACCAGGGCACCTCTGGAGCTAGGAATGTGGCTATTCAGGGTGAGCCGAGTCTCTCAGCATGATTGGTGGAAAGGGAGAATGAAAGCTGAGTAGGAACTCAGTAATATCCATGACCACTGCACCCTAAATTTGCCCTTTTTTTCTTCCTCTCAGTGAGGATTATGGGAAGAACTTTAAGGATATTACAGATCTCATCAATAACACCTTTATTCGGACTGAATTTGGCATGGCTATTGGTCCTGAGAACTCTGGAAAGGTGAGACTCATTCTTGTATACATAAAGCTTGTGCTTGATACCACATGCAGAGCTGTCAGATATTAGTATTGGCATGGTCCAGTGATTCACAGTAATGTATTTTAGTTTAGTATTGCTATATTTATATTTTAAAATTAAACACAATTTTTTAAGGGTCTCACTCTGTCTCCCAGGCTGGAGTGCAGTGATACCGTCACGGCTCGCTGCAGCCTTGACCTTCCAGGCTCAAGGGATCCTCCCACCTCAGTCACTTGAGTAGCTGGGACTACAGGCTCTTGCCACCACTCCTGGGTAATTTTTGTATTTTTTTGTAGAGGGTTTTGCCATGTTGCTCAGGCTGGTCTTGAACTCCTGGGCTCAAGCAATCCACCCACCTCAGCCCCTGAAGTGCTGGGATTACAGGCATGAGCCACTGTGCCTGCCTTAAACACAATTTAATATCGATCATATAAGAATGGAACTCTGAGCACACAGGTTTATTTGTTTTTGTTCCCCGCCCAAGGTGCACCAAAGCCCTTAATAATTATGCAGCAGTTGCTTAACATTACAATGTATATAACCTATGACAACATTTTAGTTTTTTGGAAAACTAATCTCAGTTAGCCTAATCTAGGCTTAAACCCACAGATATGATGTCCCAGCTCAGTTCAGGGTGTTATTTTTTTATAAGAATAAGACCCAAGGGGTAGAGTGGAACAACTAATCAGTTTTTATAACTCTTCTTATTTCTAGAACTAAAATTTCTTAACTAATGTCTGGTGAAAATGGTGTAAGAACTCCTGTGCTTGCATAGATAGTATCATACCCTGAATCAGATCTTTCCTCTTCCTATCAGGTGGTGTTAACAGCAGAGGTGTCTGGAGGAAGTCGTGGAGGAAGAATCTTTAGATCATCAGATTTTGCGAAGAATTTTGTGCAAACAGATCTCCCTTTTCATCCTCTCACTCAGATGATGTATAGCCCTCAGAATTCTGATTATCTTTTAGCTCTCAGCACTGAAGTAAGTCCAGTTGAGGAACATGGTTTGCCTTTTGCATTTTATAGTCTCAAATGTACTGTCTTAGAAGGATCCTTTAGGAAATGCTTTTAATATTGGACTTCTTTCAAGTCTCCTTATGGCATGAAGTATGTATTTTTTTGACGTTTTTTCCTATTTGGTAAAGGACACGATTTCCACATGCTATCTATTCCAGGTAAGTGTGATGCCTAGTTGTCACTGTAATTTTTTTAAGTGACTAAATGTATGGTATTGGAGTAATGAACTAGAAAACAGTTTAATTTAATCATTCTTGTGCTACAAGGGACAAGCATAAATTGTCAAACTCCTGATGTTGTCATTGTTCCTTTTCTATGATCAAACAACATCTTTCTAATTTTTTTCTTTTTTGTTATGTCCTCAGTTTATAAAACATACTGATTTCTGTCTTTGACCCTCATGTATTAAATATCCAAAGTCTTAAATCCCTGCGCTCCCTACCACGTTCCTATACTTTCCCCAGAGACCAGTGTGTTTCCCTAACCCTCCCACTTCTCAAAGTTCTCTGAGGAACACATTCAGCTTCTCCTTTCCTGGAGGACCAGTCTCCTTTACTGTGGTTAAGGGCCCAAAGTGGCTGAGTTGCTAGACTATAATAATCAGAATTATACTTTACATTTTTATGGCCTTCTCTCATCAGATAGAAACACCTGAGGAGCTAGTTCAAGAGGCACATCCCTTTGCCCAAACCCAGATATAATAAATCAATGACTACTGTTGTGGGGTGGCTAATATTTTTAGCAGGCTCCCCAGCTGAGCCTGAGCACCAAAGTTTGAGAGTCATTGCTGTACTGACTGTTTTGGGGTCCAAAACAAGATCATCAACCGTGAACAAGTCAGGCTGAGCAAAGGATGACATAGGAGGACGAAGGGCACTGGAAGAGAGGTCTGGGTTCTGGGCTTTCTGTGGGGAGATTTTTGAGCAGAGGTGAGGCTGAGGGGCACCAGGAGGGCCAGAGTTATGTTTTTTTTGCTTTTGTTTTTTTTTTTTTTTTTTTTTTTGAGACAGAGTTTTGCTCTTCTTGCCCAGGCTGGAGTGCAATGGCTCAATCTGGTCTCACTGCAACCTCCGCCTCCCGGGTACAAGTGCTTCTCCTGCCTCAGCCTCCAGAGTAGCTGAGATTACAGGCATGTGCACCCAGGCCCAGCTAATTTTTTTGTATTTTTAGTAGAGACAGGGTTTCACCATGTTGGCCAGGCTGGTCTCGAACTCCTGACCTCAGGTGATCTGCCCGCCTCAGCCTCCCAAAGTGCTGGGATTACAGGTGTGAGCCACTGTGTCCGGCCTCAGAGTTAGCCTAGCAGTGGAGGCCAGAGGAAGGAAACTAGCTTGCTGGGGAGTAAGCTTCAGATCTTAGAACAACAATTCCTGGAAATTGGCCTCCAGCCGCTTAAGCTGAAAGCACTATAAGGGAGCAAGGAGTGAACAGACCCATAGAGCTCCCCTTTGACTACTGCATCTTCCTTACCAAGTGTCTCAGGGTTATTAAAACAGCACTGTCCTCAGGAAGAGACAGATACAGTCTGCTTCTGTACCTGAAATTTCTTCCATTTAAGGGTAAATCTGAAGTACATATAATTGGGATGGAGAAGAGGGACCAATTTGTACTAAAGTGCAAATCAGTGGTATCAAATTCTGCCTTGTCTTTATAAGTAGAATTAGGTAAATTAGAAATGCTAGGATGTGAGTATTACCAGGGGAGAAAAAGTTAGAGGAGAATGGTGGGTGAGAGTACAGGAGTACTGAACATAAATTCTGCCTAAATAAGTTACATTTAATTTCAGCTAGACTAGGACATCTCTGTCCCATCTCCACTGAGGCGGAGCTCAGTAAGCTCACATTGCCGGTGTAATGTTGTCAGTCAGAATTTTGTTAAGTCTCTGCTACATTTCAAACTATTGGCCAATCCCTCCTTTTGAGAACTCTAATTGTTTGGCTTCTGTGACATTATTCCTTTTAGTTCCTTCCTTAACCTCCTTTCAGCCTACCCTTAAATGCCTACTCCTCATTTCACTGAGCATTCTCTTCCACTCTTACCATTTAGCTACCACCACCTATAATGTATAAGATTTTCAAATCCTTATCTCTAGCCCTGGCTTTCCCCTAATGCATCATATTCCTGTCTTGCTGCCCCCTGAATATCTCTAGCTGGATGTTCCACAAGCACCTTAAATCAATTTAAAACTGAGCTTCCTCCCTACTCTTCTCTCAGACCTGATCTTCTTCCCTTAATCCTTATACTAGTTAATGATATCACAATGCATCCTATACCCCAACCAGGAAACTAGAGTGACCAACTTACATGCATGTGCATGCACGTGCGTACACACACACACACACACACACACACACACACACACACACCCCTACCTCTCATCCTGCCCTGCAGGAGAAGTCATCCCGTTCTACTATGCTAGCTTCTAAATTCTTGCAGAGCCTGTTCCTCATGGCCAGTGTTCAAGACCTCATTAGCTCTTACCGAACTAATGTGGCAGTCATTCCCTGCTTTTCCTTGCCTCTAGTCTGGACCCTCTGAAATCCATCTTTCCCATTCACGTCCAAGTACTCCACCTAAGAAAGTGAAACGGACTGTGTCATCCTCCTGCTTAGCACACATTCCTCCTGAGAGCACCTCATATGCAATAAACCCTGGAGTCCTTACCATGGCACAGAAGGAAGGCTCTCTGTGAGCTGGCCTCACCTTTCTGCCTAGCGTTAGTTCCTCATTTGCTTACCTTGGAATTTGCACTCAGGTAATGCCTGATGGCTTTTAGCTCCCTGCACACACTGCAGGGTTTATGACCTCCTTGCGTTTGCTAATACTAGTCTCTCTTTGTGCAGCAACACCTCATCTCCCTGTTTGCCTTCTTTTGGTCCCACTGCTCATCATTTAAAACTCAGTGCACCTGTCTTCTTCAGGACACCATCTCTGATGCAATGTTCCTCCTCTCCTCACTTCTATACTAGACCATATTTTATAACTCTGCATAGTGTTGAACTTTCTTCTTATCTATGCGCCTTGTTAAACTGTGAGCCCCTTCTCTCAGCAGGGAGTGTGTCTTATTCATCTTTGTATCCCCAGTGCAACATCTGGTACAGTGCCTGGCACATAATAGGCACTTCATACGCATTTGTTATTCTGAACTTCCAAGACCCCAAAAGGGCCCAGATAAACTACGTGTGTGTCTGTGGAGCTCGGGCAGCTCTGATGGAGCTTCAGTATGTGTTTTTCCTGTCCTGAATGATTGGATATGAAATATTAAAGGTCATACAAGCAACTACACAGGATAAAGCTAGAATTTTGATAAGTCATTTATAATCTTTCAGAATGGCCTGTGGGTGTCCAAGAATTTTGGGGGAAAATGGGAAGAAATCCACAAAGCAGTATGTTTGGCCAAATGGTGAGTAACAGAAGACTCCATCTGTGCAGAGCCCTAAACCCTTCCTGATAGCGCTGCCAAAAATCACATGAATAAATATTGAGCACTTACTGTGTGCCAAGTACTCTTCAGGGTGCCATAAGAGATATTGGAGAGGGGTGTGACACAGGCCTTGACCTGGAGGAGCTTCTCATTCTGCTGGAAAAGAAGACTTAGTCTCACTTAAATGTTAGAACATAAAGTATAAAACAAGGCAGGTGACTGAGTTGCTGCTGCCTGCCCAGGGTTCATTCTCCATGAATGGTGACATCAATTAAAATACAATAAAATATAGCTTTAATTTAGGGATTTAAATACTTCTCCATGCCCAGATTTACCCTCTTGTCTAGAGTTCCATTTCAGTCATGTAGAACATGGCAAGGAATCAGGAAGAAAGCTGAAAGAGCTTCCAGACTCCTGAAGTCACATTGCGCACCACAACTCATTCACTTTTCTCGGAGAGATTCCCTGCCCCTCCGGGTGCCTGCTTAAAGAGGATGGAGTGGAGGGAGCTCTTACTTGGGAGTCTCGTCACCTTTGTTCTGTCCTCACTCTGCTGCTAGTCAGGGGCTCAACCTTTCTGGGCTTTAGTTTTTTCCTTTTGTGAAAGGAGGCTTATTTGGAGAATGTGGGGATGGCTAAGCAAGAACTGAATTAACAGGCTTCATGCCTCCAAAATCTGATTAGGCTCAGAATGTTGTTTAGAGCCTCTTTCTCCTTTCCCTTTGACTAATTTCAGCTAATTTGTGAATCCCAGTTTATAGCAGATTGGTTACAGAGGTAGGATATGTAACTGCTGCAATAAGCACGTAACAGCATTAGAATTACAGCCTGAGAGCTGGAAGGAGGTGGAATTACTCTAAAAGAGCAGACAAAAACTTAGAGAATAAACAGTATTAAATTATTTAGTGCTAGATCAAGAAAGTACACCTGTGTTAGTAACTTCTAATGGGAACACTGTGTTATAGTTTGATAGAATTGATGTTCATGATGATGACCCACAATCCCAAGAGTTTCCTGTACTCTAGGAATCAGGAAAGTGTAGAATACAGATTTGAAATATGTCTACCAAGATTGATTAAAATATTAAATATATTGCTTAAATAAAGTAGGCCTTTTCTAGAAATGTTCTTGTTCTTGAGATAGGGTATTGCTCTTTTGTCCAGGCTAGAGTACAGTGGCACAGGCATGGCTTACCACAGCCTTGACCTCCTGGACTTAAGTGATCCTTCTGCCTCAGCCTCCCAAGTAGCTGGGACTACAGGCATGTGCCACCATGCCTAGCTAATTTTTGTATTTTTATTTTGTAGAGATAGGGGGTCTCACTATGTTGCCCAGGCTGGTCTCAAACTCCTGTGCTAAAGCAATCCTTCCTCCTCAGCCTCCCAGAGTACTGGGATTATAGGTATGGGCTACCATGCCTAGCCCCAGAAATGTTTTTTTAATGAGGTTTTTATAGCACCACTCTGTTACACATGCCACATTTGCTTTCGTTTTATGTATTCTAATGAATTGTATTTGTACCTTATACAGTTTTATCAGGAAGGAAGGAATTTTTTTTTTCTTGAGACGGAGTCTTGCTCTGTTGCCCAGGCTGGGGTGCTGTGGTGCAATCTCGGCTCACTGCAGTCTCCACCTCCCAGGTTCAAGTGATTCTCCTGCCTCAGCCTCCTGAGTAGCTGGGATTACAGGCATGTGCCACCACACCCAGCTAACTTTTGTATTTTTAGTAGCAATGGGGTTTCACCATGTTGGCCAAGCTGGTCTCAAACTCCTGACCTCCTGATCCGCCCACCTCAGCCTCCCAAAAGTGCTGGGATTACAGGGCATGAGCCACCGTACCAGGTGGAAGTAATTTTTAAGATAACTAAGTTAAATTGTTTCACTCCTGATGGAACTAAAACATGTAGGTCATGTGTAAATAATTTTTTTTTCTTTTTTTAAGATAAGGCCTGGCTCTGTCACCCAGGCTGGGATGTAGTGGCACGATCTCTGCTCATTGCAGCCTCTGCCTCCTGGGCTCAAGTGATCCTCGCACTTCAGCCTTCCCAGTCGCTGGAACTACAGGCATACACCTGGCTAAGTTTTGTTAAATTTTAATCATTAAAACTCATCTTTAGCCAAGTGCAGTGGCTCATACCCCTAATCCAAGCACTTTGGGAGGCTGAGATGGAAGGATTGCTTGAGACCAGGAATTCAAGACCAGCCTGGGCAACAGAGTGAGACCCCATCTCTACAAAAAATTAATGAAAAAAAAAGCCAAGCATGGTGGTGCACACCTGTAGTCCTCGTTACTCAAGAGAATGAGATGGGAGGATCACTTTAGCCGAGGAGTTCGAGGCTGCAGTGAGCTGTGATTGCACCACTGCACTCCAAACTAGGTGACAGAGCAAGACTCCGTCACTTAAATAAACAAACAAAACCTTATCTTTAAAACTAAAAAGTTATTTTAAAATAGGATTTTGTTTTGTATCCTATGCAAGGTTTTTACTTTTGTAACATGTTTTTTTTTTTTTGTTTAGTGTCTAAATATGAATAACCAGGATGCTGCTGTTTACTCACCTTTTTAGATCTCTAGTTTCTAGGAATTTACAACCAAAAGTTCTGAAAGAACATGCTCAAAACCAACACCTTTTTTTGGTTGCAATCCAGTAAGTGCCAGGAGGGTCTGAATCTAGTTCCCTGCAAACTCCCTTTCCAGGTTACATTTTAAATAATTCAACCTCCGACCTAGTTGTCCATTTGAGATGGAAGAACTAAATTATTTAACTCATACAAAGCATTGAACTAGATTCTGAAGGGAAACAGCAAAGTATAGTACCTGCCCTGAAGAAGCTAATTTATATAGTAGGAAAGGTAAGGCATATACTATGCAAGTAAAATAAAAAACAGGCAAATGCATGCCAAGTGGCTGTGCAGATGGTACAGTGCTCTAAAACAGAGTTTCTCAACCTCAGCACTAATGACATTTTGGATCAAAGAATTCTTTATTGTGGAGGACCGTCCTGTGCATCATAAAATGTGTAGCAACATCCCTGGCCTCTACCCGGTAGATGCCAATAACACCTCCGCCACCCACCCCTCAGTTGTGATGATCAAAAATGTCAGAGGCAAATGTTGAGAGGGTGAGTAGACCAGCATGACTGCCTGAAAGAGTTCACGTAAAGAAGTGGTGGACTGTAGACAACACATGGGCCGGGCAGTGGGGAGCTTGACAGGCAGAGCTGTGAAGGACCAGGGCTCAGCGCCTGAGAAGTGGTGCTTGTCAGTGCCTGTGAATGAAGCTTGTTAGACCTGCTAGGAAGTTTGTGAGTAAGGTCAACACAGTCCTTCAGCAGTCTTAAACCATTTCTTTTCCCTGTTTTTGCCTCATTGTAGGGGATCAGACAACACCATCTTCTTTACAACCTATGCAAATGGCTCCTGCAGTAAGTATATTTTAGTCCCAGAAAATAATGTCCTGTTGTCCATTCATGGTAGAATTTTCTGGGTTGTGCAAGGTAGAAACATAAAAGGTCCCTCCATTCTCCTGAAATTGTAATAGCTAAAGAAAGCTGTTAGTGGTTATTAAAATCTTGAAAGTAAAACCAAATTACTACACTACCCAGATCAAGTAAAAATATAGGCTATACGTAGAGGCAATATTTAATCTTAGCAATGTATTTATGTAAAGCAAATATTATGCTACAGACAATAGCAAATTGAAATGCATGGTTATTTCTACAGGAAAGCAAGGGTTGTGTTTGTGTTTGCAGAAGCAGCTGGCTTCCCAAACTCTGACACAACTTCAAAACAGAAAGCAAAATCTTTCATTTACTCATTCAACAGATATTTGAGCACCTGCTCATATGCTAAACACTGTTCTAAGGATGGAGAGAAGAAAACACCCAAGGCCTGCCCTCATGGAACGTAAATTCAGGAAAACCAAAACTCCAGCTGGGCATGATGGTTGCATGCCTGCAGTCCCAGCTACTTGGGAGGCTGAGACAGCAGGATTGCTTGAGCCCAGAAGTTCAAGGACAGCTTGGGCAATGTGGCAAGACCCCCAGCCCTTAAAAGAAAAGAAAAGAAAACTCAAGACAATTTAAAATAGGATAAGATAATTCCAAACTGTGCCATGAAGAAAGTAAAGCAGCATGCTGTGGCTTTTTTTTTTTTTTTTTTTTGAGACGGAGTCTTGCTCTGTCGCCCAGGCTGGAGTGCAGTGGCGCCATCTCCGCTCACTGCAAGCTCCGCCTCCTGGGTTTACACCATTCTCCTGCCTCAGCCTCCTGTGTAGCTGGGACTACAGACGCCTGTCACCACGCCCGGCTAATTTTTTGTATTTTTAGTAGAGATGGGGTTTCACCGTGTTAGCCAGGGTGGTCTTGAACTCCTGACCTCGTGATCCACCCGGCTCGGCCTCCCAAAGTGCTGGGATTACAGGCGTGAGCCACCGCACCCGTCTGCTGTGGCTTTGATGTTTTTATGAAACACTGTATTAGAATTAAGTAATCTCTTACCTTTCCATTGAGCATAAAATCTGAAATGTATAAAATAAAACACAAATATGAATTGCCTATATCTAATGCTGTATCACTTTTTTTTTTTTTTTTTATGAGACGGAGTCTTGCTCTGTCATACAGGCTGGAGCACAGTGGCGCGATCTCTGCCCACTGAAAACTCTGCATCCCGGGTTCACGCCATTCTCCTGCCTCAGCCTCCCGAGTAGCTGGGACTACAGGCGCCCACCACCACGCCTGGCTAAATTTTTTTGTATTTTTAGTACAGATGGGGTTTCATGGTGTTAGCCAGTTTGGTCTCTATCTCCTGACCTCGTGATCCGCCCACCTCAGCCTCCCAAAGTGCTGGGATTACAGGCATGAGCCACTGCGCCTGGCCGCTGTATCACATTTTATGTTGTCACTTGATTAACATGCATAGTATTTAAAATGCTTTAGCTATAAAATTAAGATTGATTCTAAAACAACTGCTTTGAACTAGGCTCACCAGTAAGTGAAATTTTAATTAATATTTTGTCTTGTTTAAGAAGCTGACCTTGGGGCTCTGGAATTATGGAGAACTTCAGACTTGGGAAAAAGCTTCAAAACTATTGGTGTGAAAATCTACTCATTTGGTCTTGGGGGACGTTTCCTTTTTGCCTCTGTGATGGCTGATAAGGTAGGTATTGCCCTCTCCCCTTTGGGGTCTGATATTTCTGCAAATATCTCTCGTATAGATTCTCTTTATTACTTGGCATTGACAGAGTTTCTTGTCTTTTTGTTATATTTAGTACCACTGTGAGTGTTAGGGGTGATTCTTTTTGCAAAGGCTGATTGACTGATAGGCTACTCTGCACTTTGGCCTTCTGTCACCATGTGAATTCTGTTATCTTTTTTGGGATTTTTTTTTTTTTTGAAACAAAGTCTCTCTCTGTTGCCTAGGCTGGAGTGCAGTGACGCAATCTCGGCTCACTGCACCCTCCGCCTCCCAGATTAAAGCAATTCACCTGCCTCAACCTCCCAAGTAAGTGGGACTATAGGTGTGCACCACCACACCCGGATAATTTTTGTATTTTTAGTAGAGATGGGGTTTTGCCATGTTGGCCGGGCTGGTCTTGAACTCCTGAGCTCAGGTGATCCCCCCGCCTCAGCCTCCCAAAGTGCTGGGATTATAGGCGTGAGCCACCGCGCCCGGCCAGGATATTTTGATCCAGTGTTTGGGCATTACTCAGACAATGGACATCTGTAGAAAGCAATCTCTTGCTCATTATCCAAGAATAAAAATACAATTAGATAACATTAATTGAGTGCCTACTATATGCTAGGTACTATTCTAAGTCCCAGGAATATGGCAGTGAACAAAACAGATGAATTTCCTGCTCTCAGAACTTATGTTTAAGGGGGAAAATAAATACTCAAAAAATAAATATGAAGGCTGGGGGTAGTGGCTCACACTTGTAATCTCAGGACTTTGGGAGGCTGAGGCGGGTGGATCCCTTGAGCCCAGGAATTCAAGACCAGCCTGGGCAACATGACAAAACCCTGTCTCTACAAAAAATAAGAAAATTAGCCAGGCATGGTGGCATGTGCCTGTAGTCTCAGCTACTTGGGAGGCTGAGGTGGGAGGATCATCTGAGCCTGGGGAGGTTGAGGCTGCAGTGAGCTGTGATCATGCCACTGCATTCCAGCCTGGGTAACAGCACAAGACCCTGTCTCATAAATAAATATAAATGTGAGTGTGTGTGTATCAGGTAATAATTAAAGCCGCGAAGAAATCTAAAACAGTAAGAAAACAAAGTGTCAGGAGTCAGTGCTCTTTTAGACAGACTGTTTAGGATGGGCTCTCTGAGACCTAAGTGAAACAAGAACTTGACCATGTGGCCATCTGGGAGGAGAGTAGGATGAGGCACAGCCAGTGCAGAGACCCTCAGACTGGAGCATGCCCGATCAATCCAAGCAAAGGGGAGAAGGGCAGTATGGGGGGAGCACAGAGAATAATAGTCCAAAGTGGGGCCAGAGGGGGCCTGGCCAGACCTTATGTGGCCTTTGTAGATCACAATTAGGATGTGGGCCTTACTCTTCTTGTGTTGGGAGCTGTGAGAGGGTTGTGAGCAGGGGAATGCTGAGATTTGGCTTCTCTTTTGAAGAATAGGTGTGCGCAGAACAGCCTGACAGGGGCACGCGCAGAAGCAGCGGGAGCGCCGGGAGCTCTCTCAGGAGTCCAAGCTGGGGAGGTGGTAGCTTGGCCAGGCTCTTGGCAGTGGGTAAGGGGGCAGGTGGTGAGACTGTGGATACATTTTTAAACATATTACTAATAGGACTTGCTGATGGATTTGATGTGGGTTGTGAGAGAATGAGTGGAATCAAGGGTACCTTTAAGAGTCTGTATCCTGAGCGCCTGAATGGTGGTGCCATTTTCTAGGATGGCAAAGACTGCAGGAGGAGCAGGTTGTGGGAGAAAAATCAAGAATTCTGTTTTGGGCCGAGCATGGTGGCTCACGCCTTAATCCCAGCCCTTTAGGAGGCTAAGACGAGCAAATCACTTGAGGTCAGGAGTTTGAGAGCAGCCTGGCCAACATGGCGAAACCCTGTCTCTACTAAAAGATACAAAAAATTAGCCAAGCGTGGTGGCGCAGGCCTGTAATCCCAGCTACTCGGGAGGCTGATGCACAAGAATCAACTGGACTGTGGAGACGGAGGTTGCAGTGAGCCAAGATCATGCCACTGCACTCCAGCCTGGGAAACAGAGTGAGACTCTGTCTCAAAAAAAATAAAAAAAGAATTCAGTTCTGCATATGAGACACCTATTAGATATCTGAATGGAGATGTCAAGTGAGCATTTGGGTATATGAATCTCCCTAATTGCTATGGTATTTGAAGCCATGTGACCAGATGATACCTTCTGGAGGAGTAAGTAGGTAGCAAAGAGGTGGGAGGACTGAGCAAGCCCTGAAGCACCCACAACTGAAAGGTTGGAAAGAGAAGAATCCAGCAAAGAAGACTGAGAGGGAGGGATCCGGGAGGAAGAGGGAAATCAGGACCATTGAGTTAGGTGCATTCTGAGAATTATCCACTGGAGTTGGCGACGTGGAGGTTGTTGGTGACCTTGACAAAAGCACTTCATTGGAAGTTAAAAGGCCGATTGGAGTGACTTCAGTGAGAACTAGAGATGAAGAAGTAGGCAGTAAATACAGATAACTCTCCAAAGCCATTTTGTAATATCCTCCCAATAACCCTGTGAGCTAATAGTATTACCTCAGTTTTATAGGTGAGGAAATTGAGTAACTTACCTAGGGTCAACCAGTAGTGGAATCCTGCTGGAAATCAGACTCAAATTCCAGAGGTAGCTTCCTATGCTATACTGCATATATGGTATAATGCTGTCTACAGAATTAAAATTTTGCGATGTACTTTTGAACTCTGGTTTCTACCTACAGTAATGAGAATAAGATTCAAAGTAATGAGACATGTTGGTATAAGTTGAATAAGTTAAATGTACTTATCACTGAACTTTAAAGAGTATTTAATCTAAGGAAACACCGACATTAATTCTCATGCTCAGGCTAACTGTATCTAGTAGCGATGTTAAGCTATTTATCAGAGAGTTAAGTTTTAATTGCTTTCTTAACAGACTCTTTTCGTCAGCCAAATACTCCCTAATCAGTTTCCTTATAGTAATTTCCGACTCTCCTTGGCCTCTTTCCAGCCCATGCCTGTTCCCTTCATCCTGGCTATTCTGAGAGACTTCCTTAGAGAGAAGGCGTGTTACATCTTGACTTCCCTTGTGATCTCCCAAACATGGGTTTCATCTCTATTTTCTAGACCCTTAAGTATATAATTCTTTAAATTATGCAAGCACTGTATGAAAGGGACCAAACTTTTATGCAGTAGTCATCATTTTAAGAATTACCTGAGTGTATGCAAATGGCTATAAAGCCAACCTAATGTTCTCATCAAATCCTTAGCTCTACTGAAGGAGGTGGACTATCAGAGACCAAGACTATACTATCTTACAGGGCCGCATCAGAATGAAGAATTCAAAGAGAAAGCCAAGATAGCCTTACTTAGAATAGAATGGATTGTTCCTTTACCTAGAACTTTGCTAGGGGCTAGAAATTGCTTTGGTAATTGGTACTATGACCTTTCATTCATAGCAATCGTACCCAGTAGAGAAATGGATAATAGTAGTTATTTAAAACATTCTTGTTCATGTCCCTGCCCATGGCATCTTGGCAGAAAATTAGAAAGATAAATATTGACATCTGTTCTAGGATACAACAAGAAGGATCCACGTTTCAACAGATCAAGGGGACACATGGAGCATGGCCCAGCTCCCCTCCGTGGGACAGGAACAGTTCTATTCTATTCTGGCAGCAAATGATGACATGGTATTCATGCATGTAGATGAACCTGGAGGTAAGAGCTTTTTAGTGGCTTACCCTTAAAAGCATAGAGATGTAAGCTTTGAGCAGCTTTTATTTTTACATGTCGAGTTTTCCTCTTACCCCTAGAAATTTATTAGTGCCCTACTGATTTTTCTGTCCTAGAGATCATCTGTAGCCCCTGTTAAAAATGCCACTTGTTTTGGTAGCTTGTGTGTATGTTCAGGTGTTCTAGAGCAGAGCTGCTCAAAGAATGGTCAGCAGACTGGTACTGATTTGCAAACTATCTGTTACCAGATAAGTACAGAAATTGAGAGCAAGAGTTTGGAAACTCTTCTAGCCTTTTGACAAAGCAATTTTATGTCTGTTGGATCTAATGACAAAAAATTAGGGGTTTATGGCTGGGCGCAGTGGCTCACACCTGTAATCCTGGCACTTTGGGAGGCTGAGGCGGGCAGATCACGAGGTCAGGAGATCGAGACCGTCATGGCTAACACAGTGAAACCCCATCTCTACTACAAAAAATACAAAAAATTAGCTGGCCGTGGTGGCGAGCACCTATAGTCCCAGCTACTCAGGAGGCTGAGGCAGGAGAATGGCATGAACCCGGGAGGTGGAGCTTGCAGTGAGCTGAGATCGTGCCACTGCACTCCAGCCTGGGCAACAGAGCGAGACTCCATCTCAAAAAAAAAAAACTTAGGGGCATATATTTTGTTTACCTTTTCATTTTCTAATGATTAGTTTTTATTATGTTTTACAATAGCATCAGTTTGTGACATATTGGAAATCTTACAAATTGATCCTTCACTACAGATAGTTTGAGAAGCATTGTTCTAGAGTGTAAAGATTTAAAAATATGTAAACTAAACATAGGGCCTCTCCCACCAAAATATATCTGGGAAGAGTTTTTCTGTAGCATCTGATTAATTTATTCAACAAACTCAGCATCTGCCATATTCCAGGCACTAAGCTGGGTACTAGAATTAAAGATGGGCATAAAGATCTTGAGTATCAAACCTTGATTAATTCTCAGGTCTGAGTCTTCATCATGAAGAGACAC
Organism: Homo sapiens; assembly: GCF_000001405.40. Taxonomy (NCBI): domain Eukaryota; kingdom Metazoa; phylum Chordata; class Mammalia; order Primates; family Hominidae; genus Homo; species Homo sapiens. The sequence continues at coordinate 109,340,987 of NC_000001.11, read as the reverse complement.
AATTGGCTACTGTGTTTGGTCAGGCAGGTAATCGTGTGTGGTTAGACTATTGTTTTTCTCTTTGGTTCCACCCAAGACTTAGTATTTTTGTTTGTTTGCCTATTTCAGACACTGGGTTTGGCACAATCTTTACCTCAGATGATCGAGGCATTGTCTATTCCAAGTCTTTGGACCGACATCTCTACACTACCACAGGCGGAGAGACGGACTTTACCAACGTGACCTCCCTCCGCGGCGTCTACATAACAAGCGTGCTCTCCGAAGGTGAGTCTCGGCATCGCAGTGGTGTACTGTGCCTTCAGCTGCATGTGGTAGGATTTGAGGCTTCGGGGAACCTGTCCCCTAGTAATGTTGCTTGCCAAGCCAACAAGCCTACCCATGTACATTTTTTTGTTTCCTTTTTTTTTTTTATTGTGGCAATATGTCTAACAAAATTTGCAGTTTTTAACATTGTATAGGGTACAATTCAGTAGCATTAAGCACAGTCACAATGTTGCACAACCATCACCCCTATTTCCAGAGCTTTTTCATCATCCCAAATAGAAATTGCACCAGGTGCACAAGCACTCCTCGTTCCCCACCCAGTCACCCAGCTCTGGTAACCAACATTCTATTTTATGTCTCAATGAATTTGCCTATTCTAGGTAGCTCATGTAAGCAGAATCATACACTATTGGTTGTTGTATGTCTGGCTTCTTTCATTTTGCATATTGTTTCAAAGTTCAGCCACATTGCAGCATGTTTTAGAATTTCACTTATTGCTTTTTAAGACTAGAATATATTCCTTTGTTTGAATATAGCACCTTTTTTTTCTTTTTCTTTCTTTTTTTTTTTTTTTTTTGAGATGGAATCGCTCTGTTGCCCAGACTGGAGTGCGGTGGCGTGATCTCAGCTCACTGCAACCTTGGTCTCCCAAGTTCAAGGGATTCTCCTGCCTCAGCCTCCTGAGTAGCTGGGTTTACAGGTGTGTGCCACCACACCCAGCTAATTTTTGTATTTTTAGTAGAGATGGGGTTTCACCATGTTGGCCAGGTTGGTCTCGAGCTCCTGACCTCAGGTGATCTGCCTGCCTTGGCCTCCCAAAGTGCTGGGATTCCAGGCGTGAGCCACCATGCCCAGCCTGTTTTTTATTCCTCCATTGATGGACACTTAGGCTGTTTCCATTTTCAGCTCTTATGAATACTGAATGCTGCCATGAACATTGTTATACATGTAACTGTTTAAGTCAATGCTTTCAGTTCCTTTGGGGATATATGTAGGAGTGAAATAGCAGGATCACATGATAATTCCATGTTTCTCTTTTGGAGGAAATACCAATGGGTTTTCCACATGGTTGTACCATTTTACATGCAATACAAAAGGATTCCAATTTCTCTACTTCATTGCAAACACATTATATTCTCCTATTTTTGTAACAGCACTCCTAATGGGAGTGAAATACTATCTCGTTTATAGCTTTGATTTGCATTTCTCTAATGACTAAAGATGTTGAACAACTTTTTATATGCTCGTTGGCCATGTGAATATCTTCGTTGAGGAAGCTTCTAATTGAGTCCTATGGATGGCAGTGATTTTTAAAGTTGTGTTCACTGATGCTCCTCTGGTGCTTATGACAATTTTTGCACATAGTAGATGTTCAGTAATACTTGCCAAATGAGCCTACAAATAAACGGCTGAACAGCCTTGCACTCAAAACCATACAGTGAACACACTTGAAAAACATTTAAGACTGAGCCTTAAGTATGATAGGCAGGAATGGGGAGGGAAGGGCATTTTCAGCTGAAGGAAGTACACATGCAAAGTATCAGAGTCGCTGGGCGCGGTGGCTCACACCTGTAATCCCAGCACTTTGGGAGGCTGAGGCAGGTGGATCATGAGGTCAGGAGATCGAGACCATCCTGGCTAACACGGCGAAACCCCGTCTCTACTAAAAATACAAAAAATTAGCTGGGCGTGGTGGTGGACACCTGTAGTCCCAGCTACTCAGGAGACTGAGGCAGGAGAATGGCGTGAACCCGGGAGGCTGAGCTTGCAGTGAGCCAAGACCATGCCACTGCACTCCAGCCTGGGCAACAGAGTGAGACTGCATCTCAAAAAAAAAAAAAGTATCAGAGTCACAGGAGGGTTTGGCCTGGTGGTGGTGGTGAGACATTGGGTGATGCCGGGGGAGGAGGGATCAGGAGGACAGTCCAGCAGGGACAGACCAAACCCATGCAAATTCAGGCTCCCTATTTTAAATAAGTTATGATAAATAGAACTAGGAGTGAGGAGAGCAACAACAAGTAGAAAAAAAGATGTTTTGAATCTATGTTGTTTAGGTAATAAAGTGAGTCTTCTATATTGGGAGATGTAGGCCTATGAGAATAAGCCTGAATTTGACCCACTTCCTGCTCTTCTTGGTAAGGGTGCATAGCAGTAGCCAGCCAGGGTTCTTCTTGTGTTCTACTCAATGGCTCTACAGAGCTCACCTTTCCTTAGGCCCAGTTATACAAATAAACACATTAGTCTCAAGTACAAAGACTCTTAAAGTGTCATTTTATTTATATATTTATTTTTCGGTAGGAGGTAGGGGCTGTTTTTATTTTGTAAAGTCCTGGCAGTGGCCTACAAAGTCCTGGAGATATGGCTCCCGGTTTCCTCCCTGACTCACCTCCAGCGCTTCTCTTTCCATCTGCCCTACTCTCATCATACTGTCCACCTGCCAGTTCTTAACACAGCAGGTACACATGCACATGCACAGATTAGAGTTTGCACCGACAGTTCCCTCTGTTTCTCCAGATGTCCGCAAGGCTGATATGTCTGTACTCATGTATTACTTTTTGAATGAGACCTTCCCTGACTATCCTATTTTAAATTCCAGTTTGCCCTCGCCTCCTCACACACACACTATCAATCCACCTTTAGCTGCGCAAGTATTTTCCATAGTACTTATTTTCTAGCATACTACATAATTTACTTATTTACTATGTCTAGTGCTTGTCTCGCCCTACCGGAATGTATTTTTCACAATATTTGTCTGTTTAGTTCACTGATACATTACCAAAGGCTTACAAAAGTTTTCACTCTGGGTGTAGTGGCTCATGCGTGTAATCCTAGCACTTTGGGAGACCAAAGTGAGTGGATGACTTGAGGTCAGGAGTTGGAGAACAGCCTGGCCAATATGGTGAAACCCAGTCTGTACTAAAAATACAAATTAGCCAGACCTGGTGGCATGCACCTGTAGTCCCAGCTACTCAGGAGGCTGAGGCAGGAGAATCGCTTGAACCCGGGAGGCAGAGGTTGCAGTGAGCCGAGATGGTGCCACTGCGCTCCAGCCTGGGTGATAGAACAAGACTCTGTCTCAAAAAAAAGAGTTTTCACATAGTAGGCACTCAGTAGATGTTTGAGTAAATGAATTTTCCTTCATTTGCTTCCTTGTTTGCTTTTTCTTAGAAAACTCAAAGGAGCCCAGGCACAGTGGCTCACACCTGTAATCCCAGCACTTCGGGAGGCTGAGGCGGGTGAATCACCTGAGGTCAGAAGTTGGAGACCAGCCTGACCAACATGGTGAAACCCCGTCTCTACTAAAAATACCAAACATTAGCCAGGCGGCAGGTGCCTGTAATCCCATCTACTCCAGAGGTTGAGGCAGGAGAATTGCTTGAACCCAGGAGGCAGAGGTTGCAGTGAGCTGAGATTGTGCCATTGCACTCCAGCCTGGGCAACAAGAGCGAAAATCCATCTCAATAAATAAATAAATAAATAAAAATAAAGGAAAACTCAAAGGATATTATCTCTGAATTTAAAACCTGCAACAGTTTATATCATTGAAAATAAGAATGGGGAAGAGACGAGGGAAAAAAGAAAGGTACAAGAAAGATAGGATATGGAGTAGTGGAGAGACAATAATTCAGAGTTATTAATCCAGAACTCTGCACACTTACTGAATCTCAAGAGTCCCTAAAACAAGGCTAGTGTCATGGCCTTGTCCGAATAAAGATTAGGATGCCTTCCTGTGGTAGATTTTACTTCCCAGGCAAGCAAACAGGGAAGGAGAATGGACATCAGCCTGTTCATGTTGGTAAGGAGTTAAAAGGTATTTTTTTCAAAGAGTATCAGTCCTAAATAATTTGTGGAATTAATTGGGTCCTGTTCAGGTGGGACACCTTCTTCAAATATCTTTTTTTTTTTTTTTTCTGAGACAAGAGTTTTGCTCTTGTTGCCCAGGCTAGAGTGCAATGGCATGATCTTGACCCCCTGCAGCCCCCACCTCCCGGGTTCAAGTGATTCTCCTGTCCCGGCCTCCCGAGTAGCTGGGATTACAGGCCCCCACCACCACACCCGGCTAATTTTTTGTATTTTTGGTAGAGTCAGGGTTTCACCATGTTGGCCAGGCTGGTCTCAAACTCCTGACCTCAGGTGATCCACCTGCCTTGGCCTCCCAAAGTGCTGGGATTACAGGCATGAACCACTGCACCTGGCCTCAAATATCATATTTAAAGTGCTGCTCCGTTACCAACAATGAGCCGTTTTGTGAGGTGTTACAAGCTTGTCGGACTCCAGGTGCTATACGGTCTCAGGAGAGAGTCATGCAGTGATAAAGTGAATCTAACCTAGGTACTTCCAGTGTATCAGACTTAATGTTGTTCTCTTCCCATTCAGATAATTCTATCCAGACCATGATCACTTTTGACCAAGGAGGAAGGTGGACGCACCTGAGGAAGCCTGAAAACAGTGAATGTGATGCTACAGCAAAAAACAAGAATGAGGTTTGTTTACTCTAATGTGTGCAGAGCACAGCAGCCTTTCCATTGTGCTCTGATCAGTGCCAGCCTTTTGGATGATGAAGTTTCATACTTGATTAGGGTCCTCAGCATAAGGTGGAAAGTTTGGAGATGAGAGTAATGAAATTAACTTAGAATTTCGGAAGTAAGAACTGAGGAAAGGTCAAAATACTATGGATTATTTGTCTTTTAAAGAAGAACAAAACTGAGGGCTAACAATTTGTGGTTCACTAAACTGCTGAATTAAAACAATGGCCAGAGGGGCTGGTGATTAGTTAGGGGTCAGCTTGGCAGCTGGGAGACTTTAGAGGTTCTGCAAGAAGCCGCAGCTCCACCATTCATAAGCAGTGCACAGCCTTGCTCATCGGAAACAAGAGGAAGAGGATCTGGCCTTCCTTTCCCTCTGCCTAGGCTCCCATGGCCAGTGGGTGGTGACCTGCTTAGTGCACAGGGACGCAAGGCAGCCCCTGTTGCAGAGAGTTTGGGAACCGGAACTACGCAGGTGTCACTCCAGGAGATCTAAAGCCTGGAGTGACAGGCCTTGGCAGGCAAGGAAAAAAGGGAAAAAAAAAACAAGCTTTTTATCTGGCTCTCACAGAATGTGAGCTTGGGGGACAGCTGGAGTTCCTTCAGAAACTGAAGTACCGGTAGTTCCCGAACCCTCCTTAGTATCTGTATCACTGACATACACTTTGCTTTTCTAGGTGGGGTTTTCTGTTTTGTTTTAAGAGCCTCAAATGATGAGAGAAAGTGTGCCTTCCTACACCACCCCAACACACTCTCCTCCTTTACACTCGCAAGCACTGTTGCATCTACCCGACTTTCTGACCCCTGTTTCCCATCTGTCTGCCTTGGCCCTGCCCAGCCACTGCCCTCCTCACCTTAAGCCTGGGCAGGTTCAGTGGCCTCTGTGTTTGCCTTGCTGCCTGCAGGCTCCCCATGCCTCTCCCTGCCCAGCGCTCGTTGTGGCTCTCTTGGCCTGTGATGAATGGCCTCTGTCCCTGACCTGGTGAGTAAAGGTTCTCTCCTGGTGGGCCCTCTGCCACCTTTTCATTGTCATTGCTCACCTTATCCCTGACACACCCCTTGTAACCAACCCCCTGCCATTCCCTGAACACCCACACTATTCCTGGAGGAAGTTGGGCCTGTCTCCCCCAACCCCAGTTGACTAGGATTGGTGGAAATTCTAACCACCCTCAGTGACCATCCAGTTAGAGCTAATCATTCCTCTTCATTTCATTAATAGTTTGCTTGAACCTCTTCTTTTTAAAAAAATAGTAGTAAAATATACATAATATAATATTTATTATCATTTTAGCCATTTTGAACCCTTTTTAGAGTGTTAACTTTCATTCGGCTGTATACCTCAACTAGTTTCTGACAATACATTTCTTTTTTCCCCAGCTTTATGGAGGCATAATTGACAAAAATTGTATATTTACAATGTACACTGTGATGTTTTGATATATATATACATTGTGAAATGATTATCACAATCAAGCTAACTAACATATGCATCACCTCACAATTATCTTTTGTGTGTGTGGTGAGAACATTTAGGATCTATTCTCTTAGCAAACTTCAAGTAACAATACAGTATTCTAGACTGTAGTCACCATGTATATTTTCCCTCAGAAGCTTATTCATCCTGCATAACTGAAACTATGTACCCTTTGGCCTTCATCTCCCCATACCCCAAGCCCCAAAAGCCACCATTCTACTCCCTGCTTCTGTGAGTTTGACATTTTTACATTCCACTTATAAATGAGATCATGCAGTATTTGTCTTTCTGTGCTGGGCTTATTTTACTTAACATAATGCCTCCCAGGTTCATGTTTTCAACAGATGACAGGATTTCCTTCTTTTTTAAGGCTGAATAATATTCCATTTTCTTTGTCCATTCATCCATCTGTAGACGCTTAGGTTGATTCTGTAGCTTGGCTATTGTGAATAATACTGCAGTGGACATGGGAGCACAGATATCTTTTGGACATACCGATTTCATTTCTCTTGAATATGAACCCAGAAATGGGATTGCTGGTAGTTCTGTCCTTCATTTTCTTTTTTTTCTTTTTTTTAAAGACACAGTCTTGCCCCGTCACCAAGGCTGGAGTACAATAGCACGATCTTGGCTCACTTCAACCTCCGCCTCCCGGGTTCAGGTGATTCTCCTGCCTCAGCCTCCCAAGTAACTGAGATTACAGGCATGTGCCACCACGCCCGGCTAATTTTTTGTGTCTTTAGTAGTGACGGGGTTTCACCATATTGGCCAGGCTGGTCTCGAACTCCTGACCTCGTGATCCACCCGCCTCTGCCTCCCAAAGTACTGGGATTGCAGGCATGAGCCACCATGCTCGGCCCTGCTGTTATTCATTTTCTAGGAAAATTTCTTACGGTATTGCATAATGGCTGTACCAGTTTACATTCCCACCAACAGTGTACAGGGTTCCCTTTTTTCCATGTCCTTGCCAATACTTACCTTTTATCTCTTTGATAATAGCCATTCTAACTTGGGTGAGATAATATCTCATTGTGGTTTTTATTTGTATTTCCCTCATGATTAGTGATGTTGGGCATTTTTTCGTATACCTGTTGGCCATTTATATGTCTTCTTTTGATAAATGGCTGTTCAGGTCCTTTGCCCATTTTTTAGTTGGATTATTTGTTTTCTTGCTACTGATTTGTTTGGATATTAACCCCTTATAAGATGTATGGTTTGCAAGTATTTTCTCCCATTCTGTGTATTGTTTGTCTTCTCTCTTTTGGTGGTTTCCTTTATTTTGCAGAAGCTTTTTAGTTTGATACAATCTGATTTGTCTGTTTTTGTTTTTTGTTGCCTGTGCTTTTAGGGTCGTATCCAAAAAGCCATTGCCCAGATGAATGTCAAGAAGCTTTTTTCCCTATATTTCCTTCTAGTAGTTTTACAGTTTCAAGTCTTACATTTATGTCTCTAATCCATTTTGAGTTGATTTTTGTACATGACATGAAATAAGGATTGAGGCCAGGTGTGGTGGCTCACGCCTGTAATCCCAGCACTTTGGGAGGCCAAGGAGGGTGGATCACGAGGTCAGGAGATCGAGACCATCCTGGCCAACATGGTGAAATCCCGTCTCTACCAAAAATACAAAAATTAGCTGGGTATGGTGATGTGCACCTGTAGTCCCAGCTACTTGGGAGACTGAGGCAGGAGAATTGCTTGAACCTGGGAGGCGGAGGTTGCAGTGAGCCGAGACCGCACCATTGCACTCCAGCCTGGCGACAGAGCAAGACTCCATCTCAAAAAAAAGAAAGAAGGGTTGAAATTTATTCTTCTGCATATAGATATTCAGTTTTCCCAGCACCGTTTATTTAAGAGGCTGTCTTTTTCACATTGTGTGTTCTTGACACCCTTGTCAAAGTTAAGTTGACAATAAATGCATAGATTTATTTCTGTGCTCTCTATTCTGTTCCATTGGTCTATTTGTTTTTAACGCCAGTACCATGCTGTTTTGATTACTATAGCTCAATAATATATTTTGAAATTAGGTAGCATGATACCCCCAGCTTTGTTCTTTTTGCTTGCAATTACTTTGGTTATTCAGGGTCTTTTGTGGTTCCATATAAATTTTAGGATTTTTTCTATTTCTGTGAAAAATACCATTGGAATTTTTTTTAAGAGGCAAAGTCTTAGTCTGTCACCCTGACTGGGGTCCAGTGGAATAATCATAGGTCACTGCAGCCTCAAACTCCTAGGCTCACACAATCCTCCCACGTCCCAAGTAGCTAGGTGTGTACCACCACACCTGTCTAATTTTGGTACTTTTTGGTAGAGATGGGGTTTCACCATGTTGCCCAAGCTAGTCTTGAACTCCTGGCCTCAAGTGATCCTACCACCTCAGCCTCTCAGCTGGGATTACAGATGTGAGCCACCACAACTGGTTGTTTTGTTCTTGATGTACCTTAAGTACCTAAAACAGTGCCTGAAATATAGCAGGTACTCAGTAAACATCTGATGAATTAACGTGTTTGGATTGTTCTGTGTTGTCACAGAAAGAGGGTTATTTATAACCATATAATAGTAAAAAAAGACAGTCAAAATAATAGGCATTACATTTAATCTGTAGATCACTTTGGGTAGTATGGACATTTTAACAATATTAATTATTCCAATCCAGGAACATAGGATATATTTCCTTTTTTTTTTTTTTGTCATCTTCAATTTCTTTCATCAATGTTTTGTAGTTTTTAGTCTTTCACCTCCTTGGTTAAATTTATCCCTAAGTTTTTTTTGTTTTTTTTTTTTAAGTTTTTTTCTTGTACTATTGTAGATGAAATTTTCTTGATTTCTTTTTTGGATAGTTTGTTGTTAGTGTATATTGTATTTTTATATGTTGATTTTATATTCTGCAACTTTTTTGAATTTATTAGTTTTAACATTTTTGGTGGAGTCTTTAAAGATTAAGGATTTTTATATATAAGCTCATGTCACCTGCAGACAGACAATTTTACCTCTTTCTTTCTGGTTTGGATGCTTTTTGTTTTTATTTCTTTTTCTTACTTAATTGCTCCAGCTAGGACTTCCATTACTATAATGAACAGAAGTGGTGAGAATGGGCATCTTTGTCTTATTCCTGATCTTAGAGGAAAAGGTTTAGCTTTTGACTGTTTGAGTATGATGTTAGCTGTGGGCTTGTCACATATAGCCTTTATTATGTTGAGGTATATCCCTTTTATACCTAATTTATTGAGAGTTTTTATCATGAATGGGTTTATTATGTTGAGGTATATCCCTTTTATACCTAATTTATTGAGAGTTTTTATCATGAATGGGTGTTGAAATTTGTTAAGTGCTTTTTCTGGATTTATCAAGATGATATGATTTCTATCCTTCATTCTATTAATGTGGCATATCTCATTTATTGATTTGCATATGTTGAACCATCCTTGCATTCCACAGATAGATCCTACTTGATCATGGTATATAATCTGTTTAATATGCTGTTGAATTCAGTTTGTTAGTATTTTGTTGAGAATTTTTGCATCTATGTTCATCAGAGATATTGACCTGTAATTTTGTTTTCTTCTAGTGTCCTTGTCTGGTTTTGGTAGCAGGGTAATACCACCCTTATAAAATGAGTTTGGAAGTGTTCCATTCTCTTCAATTTTTGGAAGAGTTTGAGAAGGATCGGTCTTAATTCTTCTTTGAAGAAAGTTTGCTAGAATTCACCATTGAATCCATCAGGTCCTAGGCTTTTCTTGTTGGGAGGTTTTTGATTACTGATTGAGCCTCCTTACTCATATTAGTATGTTCAGATTTTCTATTTCTTCTTCATGATACAGTCTTGGTAAGCTGTATATGTCTAGAAATTCATCCATTTTTTTCTAGATTATCCAATTTGTTGATGTATAGTTGTTCATAGTAGTCTCTTAGGATCCTTTGTTTTTTCTGTAGTATAAGTTATAATGTCTCCTCTTACATTTCTGATTTTACTTGAGTCTTTTCTTTTTTTCTTATTCTAATTAAAAGTTTGTCACTTTTTTATCTTGTCAAAAAAAACAACTCTAAGTTTCATTGATCTTTCCTGTTATTTTTCTAACTTCTATTTCAGTTATTTCTGCTCTGTTATTATTTCCTCCCTTCTGCTAACTTTGGGCTTAGTTTGTTCTTTTTCTAGTTCCTTGAGGTATAAAGTTAAGATTTTTGAGATTTTTCTTTTTTCTTAATGTAGACATTTATCACCATAAACTTTCTTCTTAGAACTGCTTTTGCTGCATCCCTTAAGTTTTAATATGTTGTGTTTCCCTTTTCATTTGTCTCAAGTTTTTTTTATTTCCCTTTGACTCATTGGTTGTTCAAGAATATGTTGTTCAATTTCCACATTCATGTGAATTTTCCAATTTTCCTCCCTTTACTGATTCTAGTTTCATAATGTTGTAGTTGAAAAGAACTTGAGGCCAGGCACACTGGCTCACGCCTATAATCCTTGCACTTTGGGAGGCTGAGGTGGGTGGATCACGAGGTCAGGAGTTCAAGACCAGCCTGGCCGACTTGGTCTCTACTAAAAATACAAAAAAAAAATAGCTGGGCGTGGCAGCGGGTGCCTTTAATCCCAGCTACTCAGGAGGCTGAGGCAGAGAATTGTTTGAACCCGGGAGGCGGAGCTTGCAGTGAGCCAAGATCACGCCACTGCACTCCAGCCCAGGTGACAGAGTGAGACTCCGTCTCAAAAAAAAAAGAAAGGATACTTGAGGTGATTTCAGTCTTACATTTGTTAAGGCTTGTTTTGTGGCCTAACATATGCACTATCCTGGAGAATATTCTCTGTGCACTTGAAAAGAATGTATATTCTGCTGCTATTGGATAGAATGTTCTGTATATGTCTGTTAGGTCCATTTGTATGGTGTTGTTCAAGTTTGCTCTTTCCTTACTGGTTTTCTGTCTGGATGATCTATCATTGAAAGTAAGTATTGAAGTCCCTTACTATTATTGTATTGTCGTCTACCTCTTTCTTCAGTTCTGTTAATGTTTGCTTTATACATTTAGGTGCTCTAATGTTGAGTGCATTTATATTTACCAATGTTATATGCTCTTGATGAATTGACACCTTTATCATTGTGTGGTAACTTTCTTTATCCCTTGTGATAGTTTTTTACTTAAAGTCTATTTTGTCTGATATAAATATAGCCACCCCCGGCTGGACATGGTGGCTCACGCCTGTAATCCCAGCTCTTTGGGAGACCAAGGCGGGCGGATCACGAGGTCAGGAAATCAAGACCGTCCTCACTAACATGGTGAAACCCTGTCTCTACTAAAAATACAAAAAATTAGCCGGGTGTGGTGGCAGGCGCCTGTAGTCCCAGCTACTTGGGAGGCTGAGGCAGGAGAATGGCATGAACCCAGGAGGCAGAGCTTGCAGTGAGCTGAGATGGCACCACCGCACTCCAGCCTGGGTGGCAGAGCGACACTCCGTCTCAAAAATAAATAAATAAATATAGCCACCCCTGCTCTCTTTTGGCTACCATTTGAGTGGAATATCTTTTTTTTATCTCTACTTTTAGCCTATGTGTCCTCTTACACACATAGGCCTTTACAGATGGCTTCAGCAGGGGAAGCCCTTACCAGGTAGCTCATCCAGAGATTCTTGGGGGGGCAACTGACAGGTTCTGCAGGTAGGTGGGCCTGGTGCCTTGGTCTTTGGGGGTAGCTTGGAGGCTGGGTCCTCTGCGGCAGGCCTGGCAGTGGAATCCACTAGGGTGGACCTTTTAAGTGGGTCTTCAGGTGAAACACCTGGAGCCCGGTAAGTAGATCTGCAGGAGCCAGCCTGGTGCAGGGGTGGGCCCTACCCTGAGCCTGCAGGGGCTGGCCTGATGCAGGGGTCCACTTGGCTGGGTCTGTGAGAGTGGACCTGGAGCCTTTAAGTTTCTTAAAGACAAGACTGGATCTTATTTCGAACCACCATCACATCTTGTACGGTGTCTGAAGTATATCAGGTGCTTATCAAGTTTATTTGTGTAGAGTCAGCCTTTAAACATTGTTCAGAGGCTTTGATGTAATGCAAAAATAAAATAAACGGAGACAGGTTACCCATGAGGAAATATTTGCTTCCAGATATTGTAGTACATTTCAGAATCAAGAGTATGCCACTGAGCTACAACTCAACAACAAACAAATAGCCTGAATAAAAAATAGGCAAAGAACTTGTATAGACATTTCTCCAAACACAATATAGAAGTGACTAACAAGCATATAAAAAGAGGCTCAGCATCACTAATCATTAGGAAAATGCAAGTCAAAACCACAATGAGGTATCTCCTCACACAGATTAGGGTGGCTACTATTTTAAAAAGTGTTGGCAAGGATATGGAGAAATTGGAGCCCTGGTGCACTTTTGGTGAAAATGTAAAATGGTGCAGCTGCTACAGAAAACAGCATAGTAGTTCCTAAAAAAAATTAAAAATAGGATTATCATATCCAGCAATTCCACTTCTGGATTATACATCCAAAAGAGTTGAAAGCAGGTTCTCAAAAAGATATTTGTACAACCATGTACATAGCAACATTATTCATGATAGCCAAAAGGTAGAAGCAACTTGTGTCTATTGACAGATAAATGAGTAAATAAAGTGTGGGGTGTGTGTGGATACAGATACACACACACACTTAAATAATATTTAGCCTTTAAAAGGGAGGAAATTCTGACATATGCTATTAATACAACATGGATGAGCCTTGAGGACATTATGCCAAGTGAAATAAGTCAGACACAAAATGACAAATATTATGTGATTCTACTTATATGAGCTACCTAGAGTAGCCAACACAAAGTAATATGGTAAAAATCATAGAAAACACAAAGTAAAATGGTAGTTTCCAGGAGCTGGGAGGAGGAAGAAGTAGGTAACAGTTGCTTAATTGGTGATTGTATTTTATAAGATGAAAAAGTTTAGAGATGTGGTTGTACAACAATGTGAATATACTTAACACTACTGAACTATACACCTAAATAGTAAATAAATAGTTAAGATAGTACTTTTACCTAGGTCTGGGTTAACTTAAAGCTTTATTGGAAGGGTTTTGTGAAATGATTAAAGAAATTGTATCTTTATCTTTGGTTCTAATCTACGCTTTTGTTTCTTTTCACAGTGCAGCCTTCATATTCATGCTTCCTACAGCATCTCCCAGAAACTGAATGTTCCAATGGCCCCACTCTCAGAGCCGAATGCCGTAGGCATTGTCATTGCTCATGGTAAGGAACCTCCCACTCACCACCTCCAACTGGAACAGTGGCTGAGCACACTGAAACTCAGCCAACAGGCTTTGAACGCTCTGAGAAGAAACAATGTGGATGCTTTTACATTCCTTTGGTAGAATTTCTTACATTATAACAACACTTTGGGTTTTTCATCAACTTTTATCAGAGAGAGCAACACAACTTCTCCGAAGTTTTTGGTGGTTTTCTTTCCTACTAAAAGAGGCTTGATGGGAAATAATCAGAATAAATTCATTCAACATTATTCTCTCTGGAGTAAATGCTCTCTGTTTCATTGCCTATTTGTGCTAATGAGATGGTGGATTATATTGCAGGTAGCGTGGGGGATGCCATCTCAGTGATGGTTCCAGATGTGTACATCTCAGATGATGGGGGTTACTCCTGGACAAAGATGCTGGAAGGACCCCACTATTACACCATCCTGGATTCTGGAGGCATCATTGTGGCCATTGAGCACAGCAGCCGTCCTATCAATGTGATTAAGTATGCATGAACTCATCTCACACACACTGTCTGCATAGAGGGCAACTGGGGGAATGTTCTTCAGTTTATTGGGGGGATGTTACAGACTATAATTCAAATTTTTGCATTTGACAGAACTATAGATAAGATTCTAGAAAGGATTGCTTTTAATTGGCAACTCAGATTAAATGGCATTGTTTTTTCTTCTGACTGCCTTTAGCTAACATATTTGTCACTTCTTAAAAACATTCTTTCTGGGTTGGGCGCAGTGGCTCATGCCTGTAATCCCAGCATTTTGGGAGGCCAAAGCAGGAGGATCGCTTGAGGCCAGGAGTTCAAGACCAGCCTGGGCAACATAGGGAGACCTTGTCCCTTGTCTCTAATATTATTTCAATCAAAAAAAAAACCATATATATATATATGTGTGTGTGTATATATGTATGTGTGTGTGTGTATATATATGTGTATATATATGTATATATATGTGTATATATATGTGTATGTGTGTATATATGTGTGTATATATATGTGTGTGTGTGTGTGTATGTATATATATATATATATATATATATATATATATATATTCTTTCTGTCTACAAAATTATTATGGAAGCGTTCAAGCACTCTAGATTGAAAATGACTTCTTAAGTACAAGTTCTGAGCTGGGTGCAGAGGCACACACCTGTAATCCCAGCACTTTGAGAGGCCAAGGTGGGTGGATTGCTTGAGCCCAAGAGTTCAAGACCAGCCTGGGCAATGTGACAAAACCCTGTCTCCACAAAAAAAAAAAAAGAAAAATTAGCTGGGCGTGGTGGTGCACGCCTTTGGTTCCAGCTACTTGGGAGGCCGAGGTGGGAGGATCACCTGAGGAGGTCAAGGCCACAGTGAGCTGAGATCGTACCACTGCACTCCAGCCTGGGTGACAGAGTGAGATCCCGTCTCAAAAAAAAAAAAAAAAGAAGTATAAGTTCTTATAAAATAATTTGATTGTTATTTATTTATTTATTTATTGAGATGGAGTTTTGCTCTTGTCACCCAGGCTGGAGTGCAATGGTGCAATCTTGGCTCACTGCAACCTCTGCCTCCCAGGTTCAAATGATTCTTGCGTCTCAGTCACCTGAGCAGCTGAGATTACAGGCATGCACCACCACACCCAGCTAATTTTTGTGGTTTTTTGTTTTGCTTTGTTTTTTGTGTTTTGGTAGAGACGGGGTTTTGTTGTGTTGGTCAGGCTGGTCTCGAACTCCTAACCTCAGGTGATTCACCTGCCTCAGCCTCCCAAAATTCTGGGATTACAGGCGTGAGCCACCACAGCCAGCCTTAAATTTATTAATTTAAAAGCCAGTTCTTACCTGGGTCACTCTCCTGTCTTTCCTTTGAAATAATTTCTGTAAAGGTATTTACTTTCATATTCTCTCTGAACAAATCTCTTCCTTATCCTGTTAACTACAGACGTTAAAAGTTAAAATAGTTGGCTGGGTGCGGTGGCTCACGCCTATAATCCCAGCACTTTGGGAGGCCAAGGTGGGAAGATTACCTGAGGTCAGGAGTTCAAGACCAGCCTGCCCAACATGTGAAACTCCATTTCTACTAAAAATACAAAAATTAGCTGGTGTGGTGGCACGTTCCTGTAATCCCAGCTACTCAGGAGGCTGAGGCATGAGAGAGAATCACTTGAACCCAGGAGGCAGAGGTTGCAGTGAGTCGAGATCGCGCCACTGCACTCCAGCCCGGTGACAGAGTGAGACTCCATCTCAGAAAAAAAAAAAAAAAAAAAAAAAGTTAAAATAATTGTCAGCCAATAAGCCACCACCTAAATGTAAGGGGTTTTGTCTGGTTTGGGATCAAAAAGCCAGAGTGGTTTTCTGAATTCCCAGTACACATTGATCCTCTGTCATGATCTTTCTGTAATTGTGGTTTCAGGTTCTCCACAGACGAAGGTCAATGCTGGCAAACCTACACGTTCACCAGGGACCCCATCTATTTCACTGGCCTAGCTTCAGAACCTGGAGCTAGGTCCATGAATATCAGCATTTGGGGCTTCACAGAATCTTTCCTGACCAGCCAGTGGGTCTCCTACACCATTGATTTTAAAGATATCCTTGAAAGGAACTGTGAGTGTCTCCTTTGACCTTTTCTACCAGAAACTTCCAAGTCCATTTTCCTAAATAATCAATATGGTTTAATTTCTTTTAGCTGGAATCAGCAGATGCATATGCATATGAAAGAGGATTGACAGATGTTCTGTGTGGGTGATTAAGTAATGGAATGGCATCAGAAAAACAACCTCCTCCTCGGTGCTAGCACTGTCCAGGAGAAATATGAGGGCCACATATGTCATTTAAATTATTCTGTCAGCTATATTATAAAAGTAAAAAGAAAGGTGATATTAATAAAATAAACTTAATATATCCAAAATATTATCATTTCAACATTAAGCAATATTAACGGCCCAGAAAATAGGTTCAGAAAAGGATTCACAATGTTCATTGCACAGTGTTTCCAAAGTGTCACAAGCAAACCCTAACCTCACTGCCAAACAAAGATGCTGGCATTATGCTAAGAAATAAGGGGAATGGCCAGGCGCGGTGGCTCATGCCTGTAATCCTAGCACTTTGAGAGGCCAAGATAGGCAGATCACGAGGTCAGGAGTTCGAAACCAGCCTGGCCAACAGGGCGAAACTCCATCTCTACTAAAAATAGAAAAATTAGCCAGGTAAGGTGGCGGGTGCCTGTAAGGTGGCGGGTCCCAGCTAGTTGGGAGGCTGAGGCAGGAGAATCATTTGAACCCGAGAGGAAGAGGTTGCAATGAGCCAAGATCATGCCATTGCACTCCAGCCTGGGCGACAAGAGCAAGACTCTGTCTCAAAAAAAAAAGAAGGGGGATAAAGAAAAACACTGGAAAAAGGATGACCTGTAGTTAAGTGTTGGCATAATACAATAAAAGACTTAACGTTTCTAGACACTCTAGTTGAATTTGGTCCTTTGAGACTGTCGTGGGCTCATTTCCTCAGCGTGTTGATTTAGTGACTCCTGAAGGAGCAGACCCTTGGTTTGGACCTCACATTTCCATAAGACGTTCAAATAGATTTAATGCCTGAGGGTCGCTGTCATCTAAATCCATTCAGTAGACTGTACAGAAGCTGGCTTGGGAGTTCTCCCCTCAGCAGGCAGCTCCCAGTTACCCCTAAAGTGTAATGTCATTAAAAGATTTGTTAAGCACCTGCTCTTTAGCAGGCTGTATGCTGGTCTTCATATCCCAAAGGATAAAACCTAATCCACTGTCTTTAGGTCACAGCCTTTGAGTCATTTTTCCAGTAGATGATACGACATACTAAGCCAGAAACTAGGTTTATCAGCAATATGCATTTGAGAGCCGGTCAACTGAGCTAGAAGTCTAGGAAAAGGATGTTTTCCCTTCTTCCTTAAGCCAATGAACACATGGTGAAATTGAACCTGTGCTCTTGGCTAATTAGTATCTTGTCCTAAACAAAGAGCTCCCTGGTCCTGAGTGGAGAATATCTGGTTGCTTACCTCTGACAGCTCCTACTGACTGAGGGCGTAGGTGTGCAAGACACACACAGCAGCCTCTTAGTTTGGAAGGAACTTGAGAGATTTTCTATCCAGCTTCCCACTTCAAAACAAATAGGGTTTTTCCTAATCCTCAGATGGATGTTGAGATGGAAGGAATACTCTTTTGGCATGAGGAAATGCGATTGCTAGTAGGCTCTAGACTAGTGTAACTTTTTGTTTGCAATTCCAAAATGAAGGAATAGGTTGAGTCAGACATTCCCACTTTCCCTCTCCTTGTTCTTCCTATAGCCTGGCAGCTGCCTCCCGTGGGTGGGTTCTGTGCTGTGTACTTTCCTGAACAGTGTGTCTCTCCTTTAGGTGAAGAGAAGGACTATACCATATGGCTGGCACACTCCACAGACCCTGAAGATTATGAAGATGGCTGCATTTTGGGCTACAAAGAACAGTTTCTGCGGCTACGCAAGTCATCCGTGTGTCAGAATGGTCGAGACTATGTTGTGACCAAGCAGCCCTCCATCTGCCTCTGTTCCCTGGAGGACTTTCTCTGGTATCAGCATTCCTCAGATTTCTCTGTCTCCCTTTCCCTGTTGGAGGAGGTGAAAGACAGTTTTCTTATAGGGCTAACAAATATTGAAATCCAGCCGGGTGCGGTGGCTCACACCTGTAATCCCAGCACTTTGGGATGCCAAGGCAGGCAGATCACTTGAGGCCGGGAGTTCGAGACCAGCCTGGTCAACATGGTGAAACCCTATCTCTACAAAAAACAAACAAACAAAAAAAAATTAGCAGGGCATGGTGGCGCACGCCTATAATCCCAAGCTGCTCAGGTGGCTGAGACACAAGAATCACTTGAACCTGGGAGGCAGAGGTTGCAGTGAGCTGAGATCATGCCATTGCACTCCAGCCTGGGGGACAGAGCAAGACTCTTGTCCCAAAAAAAACTGAAACCCTTTCCCCCAAGAGTGGAGAACTGCTGCTTCTTATCAAGGAAGCTGAGGCACAGAGAAAGGAAACCAGAATTGTTAATAATGAAACAGATAGCACGTATTAGACAGTTAATTATTGGGCAGAACCAGCAACAAACCCGAGAAATCCTGAGTTGACAGTGGTGTGAAGGAGAGGAGTGATATAAGAAAGAAGAGAATAAAACAAACAAAAATCTGTAGAAAATGAAAAGACAGAAACACCAAAAGAAGTGGTAGAGGAGCAAAGAGGAAATTGGACTTTAGAAAACAGCCTGAGGCCAGGCACGGTGGCTCATGCCTGTAATCCCAGCACTTTGGGAGGCCGAGGCGGGTGGATTGCTTAAACTCAGGAGTTTGAGACCAGCTTGGGCAATATGATGAGACCCTGTCTCAAACAAAAAAAAAAACAGAAAGAAAGAAAAAGAAAACCCCTTGACAGCATGAGCTCAGCAGGCAGACACTAGGTTTTGGATCCTCTGCAAGAATCAAGGCAGAGAGATGGTGGTTGGTCCTGAGACTAGAGGTGACATCAGTATAGTCATGGTCCCATCAAGGTTTAGAGGCCATCAAAGTGGACTCCCTAGAGTTCAGGACCATCCAGACTTAAGGATTAGTTACTTGGCTGGCATTGGGTTAGTTGATTATATAAGGGCATGAGTCCCTGGATAGCTTAAATGAGGTAATTTTTGGGCAAATAAGAGGAACTGCTTCACATCACAGATGATAATCTTTTGGAACTTGTTACCTGCAAAAGATACTGACACAAGATAAAAGTAGATCCTAAAGGATTTGGACAAAGAAGGCAGGCAGATAGCAGCCATGGCCCTTTATGTCATGTTCTCTCAAATCGCAGGTGACAGTAGAATATAGGTCTGACCAAAATGCAGGTCTGACCCAGTGTGGTTTCTCCTGCATGGCTCACACCTGTGTGTGGCATGATTAAGGGTCCTCCCTTCTCTGTTTCAGTAAGGATCACCTTTGGTGTTCCAGTAGGGCTGGAGGTCATCGATAAACCTGTAACACTGTAAAGGGTTCTCTCCTATCCTCGACTCCAAATATGCCAAGCTCTTCACCTGTGCTTCTGCTCTTCTCCAGCAGTGCCATGGTTTTTCAGACCTCCATGCCACCGCACATGATGCTCCCTCTGCCTGAAAAGTCTTTCCACAGTCCCTGCTTCACCCCCAAGTCTGGCGACTTCCCACTTAGCCTTTCATACTTAGCTCAGGTATCACCACTAGATGGGCTTTCCCTCATCTAGACCCCCAGAGTTCCCCTATTACAGCACTTACTAAATTTTAATTACTATTTATAGGTTTGCTTCCATCATTAAGCCCCAAATTCCTTGGAAGCATATTCTATTCGATAATAATATAGTAATCATGATAGCAGCTAACATTTATTGAGCACTAACTTTATACTAGGCACTATCCTAAGCAATTTACATTTAACCTCGCAACAGAGAGGACATGACTGATATGCCCGTGGGAAGTGGCAGAGCTGGGATGTGAAACTGGCATCCCAACTCCAGAGCCCACATGTTTGGGAAGTGGGTCCTTTATGAGTGAGAAGGGTACTCACAAAAATCCAGAAATTTCTGATTGAATACCTAAAACTCTTATCCGAATTTCCTCCTGTTATTTGAGGGGTGATATCTTCAGCATCTTTTGTTCTCCATACCCTCTCTCCTAAATACTTACCAGGAAAACCTTGAAATACAAGCAGCATCCATATATTCCCCAAATACTCATTGAATACCAGCTATGCGCAGGTAATGAAAAGTGATAATGGAAAATTTGTTGCAAAACAGAAGGTGCCAGGTGCCATGGGGATTTAGAAAAGGAAGAGAACATTTCATGTAGAGCTGAAAGGAAGTGGGTCAAAGAAGGCCTTGTTGAGGAGGTGGTATGAGAGCTGAGCGTTGACAAATGGTAGGATTTGACCATGAGCATCTGGGAAGAAGCAGCTCATCAATGCCAGTGGACTGCTGCAAGCAGAGACACCAACAGCATGATCAAGGAAGGGTGTCCTGGAAGATAGGCCATTGGGGAAGTCACAGTAGTCATGATAAAGAAGTAAGTAGGGCCCAGAAGGAGGATCCTCAGGCTAAATTTTCCACTGAGATAGTGGGAAGGAAGGTAATGTCATGGACGAATACGGAAATGATAAGGAGAGCCTGGCACAAAGGAGAAAACATGATGTATTTTGAACATCTTATTTCTTTGAGGTTTTGTCAGCATATTTAGGTGGGATATCCAGCATGTATTTGAAATATAGGATTAGAACTCAAGAGAGGTAAAACCTGGAAGTTTTAGTTGCAACCAAAAATAGTTGTGATCACTAAGGGAGAGCAGATAGAGAAAAAGTAAGAGAATGCATTATACCTGCCCCCTGCCCCCGGCAAAAGACTACATTTATGGGTTAGGAAGAAAGAAGAGCAAGCAGTGGCGGGGGCAGCAGAGGGCAGAGAAACAGATGAGTGCAGCTTTACCAATGCCAAGGTTGGCAGGGGCACAACAGTATGTCAGATGCTGCAGAATGGGTGGTCTGGGGGAATGAGACCCGAGAGGGCTCCACTGAATTTGATGATTATTGAGCCTTAGGGGCACTGCAGACACTCATTTTCTTTTCTTTTCTTTTTTTTTTTTTTGAGACGGAGTCTCGTGCTGTCGCCCAGGCCGGAGTACAGTGGTGCGATCTCAGCTCACTGCAACCTCCACCTCCCGGGTTCAAGCGATTCTTCTGCCTCAGCCTCCCGAGTAGCTGGGATTATAGGCACACACCACTGCACCTGGCTAATTTTTTGTATTTCTAGTAAAGACGGGGTTTCACCATGTTGGCCAGGCTGGTATTGAACTCTTGACTTCAGGTAATCCGCCTGCCTCGGCCTCCCAAGTGCTAGGATTATAGGCATGAGCCACCACGCCCGGCCCAGACACTTATTTTCAAAGTTGCAGAAGGGGTCAAAGCCAAAATGCGTGGAAGAAAAAATAAATGAGTAAAATAGGACAAGTAAAAAAATATTCTTTTGAGAAATGTGGGTAGTAAGGGAGAGGTGGGTTAAGGAAGTAATTTCTAAGGTCAAGACATGCAGGCTAAGGAGACGCTGCCAGCTGAGTGGGAGAGATTGATTGTTCCCCTCATACTCAGGGAAGCAAGGCCCCAGGGCAGGTCGGAGGAGGGGAACCAAGGATGCTCATGGAGTCAGCCCTGGAGATTGTCAGCAGACATTGTTTCTTTGGGGTAAACAGGAAAAGGAGAGCAGTGGGTGGCACTATGGAGAGATGGGGTAGAATGGAGGACAGAAAAAGGTGTTCACATGGAAGGCAAAGACTATCTAAGAAGCTAAGAGGAACAGAAGTGGGGAAGACAGAAAAATTTGCCGTGTACTGCAAGGGCAACATAATAATGACATTTGGAGGTAAAGAAAAGAATTGCTGGCTGGGCACAGTGACTCATGCCTGTAATCCCAATACTTCGGGAGGCTGAGGCAGGTGGATCTCTTGAGCTCAGGAGTTTGAGATCAGGCTGGGCAATATGGCAAAACTCTTTCTACAGAAAATACAAAAATTAGCAAGGCACAGTGGTTCACGCCTGTAATGCCAGCACTTTGGGAGGCTGAGGTGGACAGATCACTTGAGCCCAGTAGTTCAAAACAAGCCTGAGCAATTTGTCAAGACCTCATCTTTACAAAGAATTAGACGAGCATGGTGGTGCATGCATGTGGTTCCAGCTCCTTGGGAGGCTGAAGCGGAAAGATCACTTGAGCCCAGATGGTTGAAGCTACAGTGTTCATGCCGCTGTACTCCAGCCTGGGCAACAGAGCGAGACCCTGTCTCAAAAAAAAAGCGGGGAGGGGGAAGAAAAGAAAAGAATTGCCAAGTATCCCTGAGTTGAGAGCTGCTGCTGATGCTGAGGTTTCTGTGTGAGTCTCCACCCCTCTGCAGGCTGCATCAGTCACCTCCCTGCGCCTGAGCTGCCTGCAGTGCACAGCCTTGGGGCCCTAGCTAGTCCTACCCCCACCAGGCCTGACCCATAAGCTTCTTTTCCTTAATAAGGCCCTCTCTGGCGGGGCACGGTGGCTCACACCTGTAATCCCAGCACTTTTGGAGGCCGAGGTGGGCGTATCACAAGGTCAGGAGTTTGAGACCAGCCTGACCAACATGGTGAAACGCTCTCTCTACTAAAAATAAAAAATTAGCCAGGCATGGTGGCATGCACCTGTAATCCCAGCTACTCAGAAGGCTGAGGCAGGAGAGTCGCTTGAAGCCGGAGGCGGAGGTTGCAGTGAGCCAAGAACACGCCACTGCACTCCAGCCTAGGCGAGAGAGTGGGACTCCATCTCAAAAAAAAAAAAAAAAGGCCCTCTCCGTGTCTGTTTTCCTAAATCGACCTCCTTCAGAGGTGTCACAGGACTTCCTGAGCTACTTTCTAACAACCCAAGACTGGAATGTTAACCATCCACTACCCCACATAACCCTTCATTGCTAGTCACTTAACGGTCTTCCAGCTGCTTTGAAAGGTACTTTATTTGCTGACTCTTGCAGTGATTTTGGCTACTACCGTCCAGAAAATGACTCCAAGTGTGTGGAACAGCCAGAACTGAAGGGCCACGACCTGGAGTTTTGTCTGTACGGAAGAGAAGAACACCTAACAACAAATGGGTGAGGTGGCCTTTTCTCCCTTGTCACGATGGATGAGGTGTTCTTGTTCAGAGTGAAAGCTGCTTCTCTCCACACTGAGATCCAAGCCCTACTTTAGAGCACTATTTTTGGCGGGGTTGGGGAGGGGCAGGATATGAAGGCCTCCTTCAAGGGTCAACTACAGGAGGTGAGCCATGAGTGCTTGGTGTCAGAGGACTCAACCCCACCAACACCACGAGGCAGAGCAGGAGAACAAGCTCGGCCAGATCCTGCACCCCTGCCTCCCGCCCAACCACCCCCAGGAAGGGAGGAGAGGCGAGGGACCCACAGGCAGAATGACAGAAGCGTCCCATCCGCCATGAACGTCCATCGCTCGTCTGGCACAGTTTAGGCACAGCCAGGGAGAGCTCTGTCTGATAGGACTTTCTTTGGTGATGGAAGTGTTCTGTAATTTGCTGTGCCCAATATGATAGTCACTAGCCACACATAGCTGTGGACACTAGTGTAACCGAGGAACTGAAATTTTCGTTTTAATCAATTTTAAGTAGCCACCATATTGGACAGTGCTGCTCTAGACGGGCCTCATTACCTCGCTCCCCTGATAACTTCCCCTCTCCCATTTTGTACCACTTGTTAATGAGCTTTTTTGGGGTCAGATTTCTTTGGCACAGTCTCTTAGGTAGAAAGAACAGGCATGTTTCTGACAGCAGGGGACAGAGATGCTTAGTTTGCTTAAGGCCTGAAACTACACAAAATATCCCCCAAAACATCCCTGTGGACATTCCCCCCAGGCCTGAAACATGACGTAAGGATGGGAAGCTTTTCGGCAGCTTTTCAAATCTTGTTTCCAAGAAATAGGCAGGTACCCAGGAATACATCCTTATCTTCTGTTACCAAATCTTCTTTGCCTGGTAGGTACCGGAAAATTCCAGGGGACAAATGCCAGGGTGGGGTAAATCCAGTTCGAGAAGTAAAAGACTTGAAAAAGAAATGCACAAGCAACTTTTTGAGTCCGGAAAAACAGGTATGTTAAAATAGGTCTAGTTTTCAGGTACAAATGGGATTTTGTGTTCTGCTAAGAAAAATCAAAGTTAAAGCATCAAGAGTTTTGTTACTGATAAAAAGTGGTCAAACTACTTCTCTCAGGCTTCCCTTATACAGGAAGCTGTTAGCATGAAGGATGGGTCATGTAACCCAGTGATAAGCTCACCCTACTGAAAGCTCTTTTCTTATTGAGGGTTGGGGGATGATATTCTGTAAAGTTGTAAAATTCTTAAAATCATACAGTTGTGGAAATTTCTGAGGCTGAGAGTCATTTAGGAAAACAAAAAGGTTGTCTGTGGGCTGGGTACAGTGGCTCACACCTGTAATCCCAGCACTTTGGAAGTCCAAGGCAGGCAGATCACTGAGGTCAGGAGTTCAAGACCAGGCTGTCCAACATGGTGAAACCCTGTCTCTGCTAAAAATACAAAAATTAAAATTACAAAAATTAGCTGGGTGTGGTGGTTTACGCCTGTAGTCCCAGTTACTCGGGAGGCTGAGGTAGGAGAATCATGTGAACCTGGGAGGTGGAGGTTGCAGTGAGCCGAGATCGTGCTGCTACACTCCAACCTGGGCAACAGAGCAAGACTCCGTACCAAAAAAAAAAGGTTGTCTGTGAAGGGCCATGACCTGGAATTGTGCATGTGTGGAAGAGAAGAGCACTGGGCAATAGGTAGGGTGGATCTCTGACCAAGTCATGTTAAGTATGTTCAAAGTGAAAAATTGAGCTATGGTAATGGGCTGGTTTTGATTTAAATGAAGCAAGTTACCTGTCGGGCATGGTGGCTTACTCCTGTATAGTCCCAGCACTTTGGGAGGCTGAGGTGGGGAGATCAGTTGAGGCTATGAATTGGAGAGCAGCCTGGGCAACATGGAGAAACTCCATCTTTACAAAAAAAATACAAAAATTAGCCGGATGTGGTGGTGTGTGCCTGTAGTCCCAGCTACTCAGGAGGCTGAAGGGAGAGAATCACCTGAGCCTGGGAGGTCAAGGCTGCAGTGAGCCATGATCATATCACTGCACTCCAGCCTGGGTGACAGAGTGAGATCCTGTCTCAATTTAAAAAAAAAAAAAAAAAAAAAAGGTTATGAGGCTGCATCCAAATCTGTAGCACTGAACTACCTGTGGAACTGGAGATGTGTAAAGAGGAAACCTCTTGATAATGAAACACTAGACCAGCAGCATGACTTCAGATGCTCAACAGCAGGCCCGTTTCCCAATTCGTAATAGGAGAGGTCAAGCTGGATCACCTGCAGTCCCTCCTCTCTGCTGTTCTAAGGGATGAGGGACTGACAAGGGGTGGGATTAAGGAGATGATGGGAGAGGAGTGTGTGAGTGTGTGTATTGGTAAGGGGGCGAGTTCCTCCTTCTGTGCACCCTTGTCCTGGGCTCCTGGTGACTCTCCTCAGAGTGTTCGTGTGTGTGATTGCACAGGACTCCCACCCACAGGGACACAGCTTGTCCTAGAATCCAGCTCTGCCTCCTCTGGGATACATTGAAAACACACACTCCCTATTTCCCACCCAGAAGCAGGTAGGTCACATGCAAACAGTGATATGATAAGGCTTATTTATAATAATATATAAAAAATTAAGTAAACAAATAAATCTTGGTGTCATATAATGGCCTGCCTGGTTCTTCTGACACAGCTTCTTCCCAGATAATGGCCCTGTTCTAGAGTCATTCAGCCTACTGTTACAGTAGTCTCCCTTTCCTACTCCACCCTTAAGCCCCAAGACTTGTGAACAGTGGTAGTGTGAAGCAATCATACTTGATCTAGGCAGTTGCCCAGGCTTCCAGTGTAACTTTGACATTTAAACCACAGAATTTGAAGGTTCAAGGCAGTTGGAGCTAAGATGACTCTCTGCCAGCTATAATATTCTCCTGGTAACACTGAGATGGTTCATCTTGGGGGGTTGGAAAAGAGCCATCATTAAGCGCATCAGGACTGCAGATCATTCACAAAGAGATGAGGGGAATGAGTGGCTGCCTTGACCTCAGTCCTAGGATATGCATGCCTAAAACTTTTGTGTTTGTGTTTTAATTTCTCAAGAATTCCAAGTCAAATTCTGTTCCAATTATCCTGGCCATCGTGGGATTGATGCTGGTCACAGTCGTAGCAGGAGTGCTCATTGTGAAGAAATATGTCTGTGGGGGAAGGTAAGGAACACAGAAGTCAATCCAAGGTACTGAGTTCAAGCCAGAAGGCTGATCTAGGGCATATGGCTGAGTCTACTCTTGGCAAAAACTAGGTACTTGCAGTACTGTTCCTGAAAAATCAGGCCCAAATCTTCTCA
The DNA here is from genome assembly GCF_000001405.40 of Homo sapiens. Taxonomy (NCBI): domain Eukaryota; kingdom Metazoa; phylum Chordata; class Mammalia; order Primates; family Hominidae; genus Homo; species Homo sapiens. Next base: position 109,314,534 of record NC_000001.11, on the reverse strand, counting down.
TGTCGTACATTTTTCATATGTCAACCATGGACTGTGCTTTCTGTGTCTGTGATGCGTTCCTGAGTGTATAAAACTGAGAAAGTCCACAGTCCTGTAAGAAGTGCACCCCTGCTGTGTACCACCGAGTGTTAAGGAGGTTTCTGTTCACAGGTTCCTGGTGCATCGATACTCTGTGCTGCAGCAGCATGCAGAGGCCAATGGTGTGGATGGTGTGGATGCTTTGGACACAGCCTCCCACACTAATAAAAGTGGTTATCATGATGACTCAGATGAGGTGAGGCTATTTCTTCTTGAATGGTAGTACCCCCCCCCCCAAAAAATACAAGAAAATAAAGTCTGTCTTCTATTCATGATCAAGATATGCCAGGGCCAAGGCGACTTAATGACCATAAGATTTGGCAAGCCCAGAAACTAGGTGATTGCTTTTGAAATAGGAGTGTTGTGGTCTGTCGGTAATATGGTGCATGTCTTTTTCAGGACCTCTTGGAATAGCTCTTCAGAGGAGCTGGACCCAGCATGGATGGTGGAACCACAGTACCTCTTACACTCCCTGTGGCTCCAACTTCAGGAAATAAATTTCCCATTGCGAGGGACCCAGCTCTGTTTCTGCTGCTTCCATCAAAGCCAAAAGGACCTACACTAAAGAAATGCAGGGTGGGGGTGGGGAACCCTGAGCACTTTTTTACAATTGGCTCTGAGAAAAAGGGAGACATTTTAAATTCTTTAACTTCTTATTTCTCGTCCTGTCTCTTTGCAAAGTATGGGCTTTTTTGTTTTTGTTTTTTAAGGGAAACGAAATGGAATTCGAAGGGACCTTTTCACTAACCCCACTTCTGTGTGTTCTGCATGGCGCCTGCCCCAGGGCATCTGCCAACTCCAGTATCAGCTCTCACAGTGTACTTGGTACCATCCCTGGGCTCTGCTGGCGAGACGAAACAGCTGTAGAGATGAAAACAGGCTGCAGAGGCTGGCACAGCCTGGCCGGCTTTTCTCCATCTGGGGACAGTCCTACTCCAAGAACACTGCACACCAGCTCCTCACACAGATCCCACTTACTCTTTTTTTTTTTTTCAGAGACCACAGACCACAGTGATTTTTCTTTTCCCTTGTTTAATTAGGCAATACCCTTGTTAATTGCCCTTTGGCAACTAACTTAACCATGTGCTTCCCACACAGTACATCAGGAAAACTTACAGGGCAATATTTTTAACTTGGGGCAGGAAGAAGGGAGCAGCAGAGAATTGACTAGATATAGCACCTATTAAAAGAGAACTCTTGCTTCTTCTGAGATTTTTCAAGCTGTGCTTTGTGTGTGTGCCAGTAGACTTACGCAAGGACAGGGTACAAACTTAGCTGGAAGTCTGCCCAGGCTGAATGATCTCTTCCCTAGAGTTGATTGTCGGGTACACAGTGTGAACCCCCGAAGACGGAACCTCACAGTCTTCCATGTTCCCTTCTTAACTGTCGTGTGGCTCGTTGCTAAATCATGACAATGGCTGCCTATCTGCTGCTTCTTAGGTTGCTGTTGTACATGGAACCAGGACTAGAGATTTTTTCAGATTTATAGACTTAAAAAATTAGAATTTTATTACCAGGCTTTCCTTCTCACCCCTTTTTTCTGACTTTGCCAAGTAATTTGTTGACACGAAAATTTTGGAGGAACCAATTGAAAACACACTTCCAGTCTAGATGATGCTTTGTGTGATACATTAAGTTCTTATTTTGGATTAAAAGAAGTTTTCCATTTGATACCTCTCTAAATTAAATAAATTATAGAATGTAGTTGGGTGGATTTTGGGGTGGCCATATAGTAATGGAAAGCTGCAATAATTAGTTTTAATACAGCTTGAATATTTGCTATATAGAAATATAGTATGGAAAGTTTTTGGTCTTAATGTAGCTACTGTGCGGGTCACAGTTTCTCCCAATGATTATGACTGGGACATTCTTTGGTAGATACCATTTGCTACTAGTTTATTTTGTGGCTAGAAAGTCAGTTTTGTGTGTTTTTTTTTTTTTTTATTTGAAGTGCCAAATTAACTTTAGTCAGAATGTGAGCAGATGGCTAAGTTCTCTCCTCCCCAGAATGGATTAACAGCTGCGTGGAAAGTGGGGGAGAGAGTGGATGGAGACTTTTAGAGATGTTAAAACTGCAGTAGAATGAAATGAGTCAGGGAGCTTCAGTTAGAAAATAAAGTTGAGGCAGTTTTTGTGAAGATAATATGGTTAGGGCTGGAGTGCACTAGTCTTTTTGCTTATTCATTTTGCATGGTTTTAAAATTAAAAATAATTCCGAAGATACACCAGCTCACAAATGAAAACGTCAGCCTCTGCCCCACCCTCCCTCCTGCCCAAAGTGAATTTGGTACTCAGAAAAGAACTGTTTATACCACTCACCTTTCTCCCAGCATGTACTCACTGTGGGCAGATGCACCAATACATGGTAATCCTCTTACTCATTTTAAGACGTAGGAAACTCAATATTCTTCTCTAACCATATACGATAGGGCTCTTCGCTTTTAATGATATCTGGGATTTCTGTGGAACTTGGCAAATTTTCAGAGCACCTTCACTCACATAATGTCATTTGAACCTCACAATGTTCTTGGGATGGAGTCAGTTGTTCAGGGTCCCCGTGTGTGTGATAAGCAGTGCTGGCTGGCTGTCTTCAGAACTCTTGGAAATCTTTACACATGCGAGTGCTAACCACTTTGAGCAAGGCTGCCTTCTTGTAGATGACTTGCTGTTCTTTATGACAGGGATCAGTGGCATTTGTTTCCTAGCAGTATTTAGCACCTTTTTGCCACCTTGGTGAACAGAAAATTGTATTTTCCTGTCTTTCATGGCTGAAAACAAAAGTAATGGGAATTTTAAATACGTTTGCAGAAACTGCCCCTCCCCTCATTGAGGGTCACTGCTCAAGAGTGCAGGAGTGGACTCTCCACTGATGGGTCTCCCTCCCCATCCTGGTTTCCACCCCGGGCTGGCTAGCTCTGTTGGTTTGAAGACTGACAGCCAGCCTGGCTCATTCTCATTATTGGCTAGTTAGCTTTCTTTATCAACCTGCTCACTCACAAATGTGTGCCCTCAGCCAGAGAGTAAGAAAGCCCAAATCTGTTACAGCTTCTAAAAAAATAGATTTCTAATTTGTCCTACTCATGTTAGGAGCATTATCTTTGAAGGTAAAACATAGTGTATCATTGTGTAAACTCCCAGGCTTGATGTAGCAGAAGAGATCATTTCTGGAGGCTTCAGCAATGGAATTTAGCATTATAAGAGAGATTGGACAAACCAGTCCAAAGTGGTCCGAGTTCTTAAATCCAGGTAGGGAACTCACTCTTCTTTCTTCTCTGGACCTAATTGGGCATTGGGCTTTAGTGAGACCACAGACCAGGCCCGTCTCTCCTGTAGGCTTTTAATTCAATGGCAACTCTATTTCAAAGAATAAAAGCCTTTGGAGAGTTGCGGCAGTTCTGGGGGCGGGCTCAGGAGAGTCCATAGATCAGCCGTAACTGGAACGTAGAATCTACGTCTGCCTCTGAATGGACTTCCCACCTCCTCTCTCTTGCTCTGATGCTTGCCTCTGGGCCTCTCCATGCCCAAGGTGGTCTTTCATCCTTGACAGGCTGGTAATGTGCTGGCCACCTCCAGCTCCTGCATCGAGTCTGTAAACCAGAGCTGGTTCTCATGGCCTTCGTCACGATACCAGGATACGGAGGGGAGCCCAGGGCCATCCATACCCACCCCAGGGTAACGGGGCTGGCCTGGCATTAGTCATTATTTAGTTTCCAGGCCAACCATCCAGATAGAGATTCCCTCTTTCCTTTGAGCAGTGCTCTCAAGAGCTCCGTGCCTGTCCACAATGACCTAGAGTGCATCCTGCTCATTGTCAGTGTAGCCCCTCGCCCCTATATTCATCCAGGATACTTGGAAGTGCTAAAATAGGAAGGGATTCGGCTTTCAACTTTGCTACCATCTTCCCTGAAGCAGGAAAATGAACATGGACTTAAATGTTCTTTGAAAAAACCAAAGTTTTAAGATTTGCTGTGTGATGAAGTGACAGGGAGGGCCGGAGTCAGCAGGTGCCAGACTTTCTGTTCTGTCTGCCATGGGTTTGTCCAGCTCAGGTAGCTCTAGGAGCACCATCCTGCCCTAGCAGAGCCCAGGCCTTGCCCTCATGAAGCATCATTGAAATAGCAGGAGCATGTTGATTTCTTGGTTAGGTTGCATTATAATAACAAGAGTCAGAACATTAATTCGAAACAACTTGCAGTATGCATTTCTTCACACCAGTACATTCTTAAGTGTACTTGTTTATAAGGAATAACATAAACTAATCTGTACCTTTATATATATGTGTGTGTACATATATACATATATAAACTGTATAGTGTACATGGTAATGATTTATTGCTATGCCCCAGATCCTTAATGTAGTTCTCATCCTCCGCATGCCCTCAGCCACAAGCGGGTGACTGACTGTTCCCTGATGATTTGGCCCACCTCCTGTGTTTGGACCTCTAGGGAGGAGGGTTTTGGTCATACTCTCCTTATCCTCGTGCACAGAAATGCTCAGGGTCCCCATGTGCCTGTTGTTCAGCCCTCTCTCTTGTTCCCTTTCTGAGCATGTGGTCCTTCCCCAGGCTGTGGGACAGCTGCCTTCCCACGAAAGTGTAAAGCAGTATTAAGATCATTACTGCATGTGCCCTAAAAACCCAAGTTTTCTATTCCCTTAGGACAGAAAATTGCATGTGAGGTGGGATAATCGAGTTTCAGTGACCCACGTCAGTTACACATTAAAGCCAGACCCCATGATAAAATTCCACAAAATGGAAATAAAACTCAAATTTCTTTAGCATTGTGTAAATAAATCTGAATGTGTTTAACTTTGTACTGGTAATTTTCTGTATATTTGGAATATTTGGGTTAAAAATAAAACAGACTGGACTTTGTTACCTGACCTACTGAAATGACTAAGCTACAGTTTGTTGATATACTTTTTCCAGTTTTCTTGCTTCAGAATCAGACTCCAGCAACCAGAGAACAAGCCATTTAAAGAGCCAGGACTGTACATTTATAGCATGAAATGTATTCGGTCATCTATGAGGAAAACGTCTCACAAAAATGTGAGCCATAAATTACCTAATTTTCTTGTTCTTCATTTTCTTGCTCTTAGTGCTCATACAGATCTTCCTCCCGTGGGTGTGTATACGACCAGCTTTCTTGTTCTTCCTCCTAGAAAGTCTAGGCACCCACCCCACATACCTTCACAGGTTTCAGTTGCTACACTCTTCCTTCTGGACACAGCAACAGATAATTACTCCTTGAATTCTGTGTTCTTTTGAGCAGGTTTGACCCCTGGCGGCACTGAGAAGTTCAGCTTTGTAACTTCCCATCTGCTCCTCTTACATTTCTCTTGCTGTTCTTACGGGCCCTTTCTTGTCCCTTTCATTTAAGGACCTTTGGAGAGTTGCAGCCTTCCTCTCTTGCAAAGCATTTAAGAGAGGTTCCTGCCCACCCGTCTGGAACCGTTAGCCATCCTACCCTGCTAGCCTGGGGCAATATTCCATGTAATACTCCAGCACCTTGGTCTGAAGATGACAGGGCAAAGCCCTTGTTCCTGAGGCCCATCTGATGGGCGAGTTCCTACCCCAGGACATTATCTAAGATCGTTGTTTTATTTGAAGGAATTCTATCTAACATGGTATTCCAAGATTTCCTGCGCCAGAGTCACTAGGTTGGTTTTTTTAGGTGCAGATTTCTGGATAGCACCCCAGACCTATTGAATTAGACTTTCTGATGGGCAAACCTTAGGAACCTGCATCTTAAAGTTGATTCTTTACACCTTCGCTCCAACAAAGGGCTAAGACTCAGCCTGGGCCAATTTCCTCACCAAAAGATGGGTTACGTGTTGTGTAAAAGGGGGTGTATTTGGGGTCTCCTGGCTAGGAGACTGTCCACACTTACGGGGCCTTGGCTGGGTCAAGCAGGAAAAATAGTTCAGAAAGACCTTCAAGCTAGTTCTGATATGGCAAAAACCCAGTCTTCTGCCAACCAAATCAACCCCATAGGCCATCCAAGGCCCCAATAAACAGATTGTCCTGGGCCTTAGCTCCTATACCAGTTACAAAGAGGCTGAGCTTCTGTCACCCCAAGATAACACAGGCTCCTGGGATCTTACCAATTACCCCAAAATTGAAGGCAAAAATGAGTAAGAAGTCAGTCCATTTGTTCAACTGCACCCATTTTTTTTCCATGAAAAAAATACAGGGGTGAGTAGGGGGCTGTGGGAACCCTATACTTTCCACTCAGCTTTGCCGTGACTCTCAAACTGCTCTAAAATTAAAGCATTTTAAAATGCAGAGGGATGCTGGCTTCTGGAGATAAGAAGGTAGGAGTATGATAGGTGGCAGTGTCCATGGCATGTACAACACGTATAGAAAGATGGTTTGCTAAGTCTGGAAATCATGTAGGACCTGTAGTATGTGACTAGCACCTGCTGTGAGCTGGCCACTTTCCTATAGATTGTATCATTTTATCCTCAACACAATCATGGCATCATCCCTTGTTTCATAGACTGGGACTTGAGACTCCGAGTCGGCCATTTGCCCAGAGTCCCAGCTGGTGAGTGAGTGGTACAGCCAGAAGTCACACGCAGGTCTCTGAGCTCGCCTCCCTCCACCACTGCTGCCTCTCCCTTTATTTGTACTTCATCTAATAGGCAAGGCAGCCATTGACAGCTCTCAAAGGGGGAAGTGCTGGCCTGACCTAAAAATAGCTTACATTTATCAAGCACTTAGTCGGCTACACTCTGCTAAGCACTTTACAGAGATTACCTCTTTAATCCTCACAACGACCCTATGGTTATAATTATCTCCATTTTACAGATGAGGAAACAGACTGAAGAGAGACTGTGAGGTGTTGTGAGTCACACAGCTAGTTGGTGACAGAGCCCCAAGTGGCACCTGGGCAGCCAGTGCGAGTGCAGTCTCCACCTACCACTGCGCTGTGCCCGCTGCCCCCGGGGAGCGGGGGAGGATGGGACAGGCCCTGTAAAGGTCGAGTTGATAAGACTTTACAATTCATTGAATGTGGGAGCAGAGGGAGAAAGAGCAGTTCAGGCGTTGCTGTGAGTCAGCTAATCCTGGGCCCCTTCTTTGGGACCTGAATGCCCCACGGGATGAACTGGAGGTCAGGAGCAGAGATGTCACTCAACCCTCCCTACAGAAATTAGAGGTCCCTTTTGGATGGTGTGTTCAAGCTCTCCCTCCCTGGTGCTGTGGGGGGTGTCATCTCTCTCCCGAGATAACAGGGACACCTCAGTCCTCCTGGGGCTATTCTGGGCTGCTGTCTGATCCTCCTCTCTCCCCCAACCCCTACTTCAGCCTTTCTGCTGGGCGTAGCTGAGTGGGGAGGGCCAGCCCAGTTACGTAACCCTGTGGCTGGGACCCGGGAGGCCAGCCTGGGAGCAGGTGCTCAGCCCCTCCCTCATCACCAGCAGTGAAAATCTAGAGCTGGAGCTCAGCCTCTGGGAAGGCCCAGCATGGAGGCAGCCACAGCTCCGGAGGTGGCCGCAGGATCCAAGCTGAAGGTGAAAGAAGCCAGCCCAGCGGATGCTGAACCACCCCAGGCTTCACCTGGACAGGGGGCTGGCAGCCCCACTCCCCAGCTCCTGCCCCCTATAGAAGGTGACCCATGGCAGGTGGGGAGGGTGGGGAGGCCGGGTGGTGGGAGTTGGGGAAGACATCGCCACCTTCCTGAACGGCGCCTCAGGTTTTCTGCAGAGCTAAAGACTCTATAGGATTGGTGATTAGGCTGGAGATCATTCGTGAGAGCCCCCATCCCCTGTCCTTGATGGAGTCTAACTTGCTGCTCAAATGTCCCTGCTAAGTTTTTGTGTTTTAGCTGAGAAGTCAGTGATGGTGTTGGTGGCACTTTACAGTGACTAAAAATGATCTGTTTATATTTTTACCTTTTAAAAAATTGTCATAGGGACTGGGAAGACCTGATATACTAATGGCCAGTCAGGAAGGGACTGAGGGGTAAGAGATAGTGACTGTCTGCTGAAGGAACAGGGAAATAAAATGCTATGGCAATGGGGAGGCTAAGAGTGGGGCAGCACAGTGACACTCGGCCTCCTGCTGGGCAGTACCACGGGGTCAGGACCTCCTCCAATCCCCCACTGCTCCCATAGGAGATCCTGACCCCTCAGAGTCTGAGCTCCACGGAAGTGGAGCTCTCCTGGGAGAAGCATTCAATTTCCCCTTCACGATGGTCTCTGTGTGCCTCTCAGCAAAGAGGCGTTCCCAAGTGAGGAATTCCAACCCCGAGCTTCCTGCCGCCCATCCCTGAATGCCCTGGCTGAGGCCTCTGTAGCTAACCACTTCGTGGCGCTCACCTGAAAGTCTTAAGAGGATGAAAAGACCACAATCAAGAAACACGTGGACTCCTAGGGCAGGAAGAGGCAGGGGAAAAGATATACTAGACTTGGAGGCAAAGCTCTAGGCTCAATTCCTAGTGCCGCCTCTAACAGCCCTGTGACCTTGGACAAGTCACTGGACTGCTCAGTTTCCATTTTCACTCTGTAAAATGGTGATTAATAACATCTACCTATCAGGGTAGTTGAAAGGATTGCTGAGATGATCCAGGGTGCCTTGGAAGAGGCCAAACTAAGATGTAAATAAATGATCAAATATTTCCAAGTGAGAGGTGAAGGCTGCGTTCTACCTCCATAGGGTTGTGCAGCAGACTCTGTCTGCCTCTTATCCTCATGGGAGAGGCCAGGTTTCCAGAAACTATTTGAATGTCAAGGGCAGAGAGCTGGCCAAGTTTGTCCCGTTGAAGATGAAGGGAGCAAAAGTTAGTGTAAATATATTAAGCTGGGGTGATGGAGGCAGAAAACCAGTTTCTTCCCTTAAAAGGCCCAGAGAATAAGTGACAGGCAGCAGGAGAATGAGAGCCAGGACTGCTGACGCCTCAGCTCTCTCTACTGGTCTTCCCAAAAGCACAAGGGAGAGTGCTCATCTCCCCCATGCTTCTCCCCTCTGGCTGCAGCCAGCTCCTGACAGCCCCCAGTCACGGGCCCGCAAATGCAGCCCAAAGCCTCTCGTGTGCAGCAGCTCTGTACACTGCAGGCCTCAGGGCCACTAGCACCCAGTGGCTCAACCCAGTGGTATCCCAGAAGTCACTGGCAATAAGAACACCTTTGAATACTTTGCAAAATATATGTGCATCTGTTAACTACTTGGAACAAAGAAGTCATGAGTTCAAATCTTAGCTCTGTTCTGTGGCCCTAGGCAAGTCAATCCACTCCCATTTTCTCATCTGTAAATTGAGGAGTTGAACCAAATCAGGGTCTTAACCTTTTGGTGGATATGGACCCCTAGGAAAATCTAATGCCAGCTGTGGACTCTTGCCCCTGGAAAAATACACAAAAAAGTTCAGAGAGCCAACAGAGCCCCAAACCCCCACCAAAGATCCTTCAGGGTGCAATGCATGGGCCTGGACTAGATGACCCCTAAGCCCCCTGAGAGCTCCAAAGCCTTTCTTCCTCCTAACTCCTCTTCCTTACAGAGAGCTCTGGGACTGAGTATCACAGGAAGCATGTGAAAACATGGGAACTAGAGCAGGCATCAGAAATAGAAATTAATTTGCAAGATCAAAACCAACTGCAAATGGCCAACAATGAGCTTTTAGTTTGGCAAGCCTGCTACATGGCTAAATAAGCAGGAGTAGGTGGCCAGCATTGGTAAACAGTTCTATGTCTGTCCTCAGCACTACACTGAGTACTGTGTCCTGGAGACAAAGCTTGGCAGGGGCCAGAGAAGAGCTTCCAAAACAGGGAGAGGCTGGGGAACAAGCTGCATCCCTCCCATGGACAATGTGACACTCGGCCTCCTGCTGGGCAGTACCACGGGGTCAGGACCTCCTCCAATCCCCCACTGCTCCCATAGGAGATCCTGACCCCTCAGAGTCTGAGCTCCACGGAAGTGGAGCTCTCCTGGAAGAAGCATTCAATTTCCCCTTCACGATGGTCTCTGTGTGCCTCTCAGCAAAGAGGCGTTCCCTGGGACCCTGAGGTGGAGGAGAAAGAGCCCATCTGCTGACTTCAGCATCATCGCTCCAACTGACTCTGTGTTCTCTTTCAATCTGAACTGTTCTGTGTCTTCCAGGCATGGGAAACTGAATCTCATGCCTAGGAGTGACCTTTCTTCCCTCCTTCCTTCCGTCCTTCCTTTCCTCCTCCTTCCTTCCACAAATATTTAGGTTGTGCCTATGATGTGCCAGGCGCTCTTCTAGGTGCCAGAATTACAGAAATGAACAAAATAGGTAAAAATAACTGCCCTCATGGAAGTTAGATTCTAGTGGAGGGAGCTAGACAATAAATAAACAAGTAAAGTATCTAATATGTCAGATGGTGAGAAATGCTGTGCCAAAACTAATGCAGGGACGGGGATAGAACGTGCTTCGGGTAGGAAGCATGCAGGCTTCCTGCTTCAAATGGAATATTCAGTGAGGGTCTCACTAATAAGGTGACATTTGAGCAGCAACTTAAAGGATGTGAGAAAGCAATGCATGCAGATATTTGGGGGAATATTTTCCACACAGAGAGAACAACTGCAAGGACCCTGAGGCAGGAGTGTGCTTTATGGGTTGGGGCCATTGTGGCTGTAGCACAGGGAGGGAGACAGTGGCAGTATTTCAGTCTGAGAGGTAGCACGGCCGCTGTGAAGACTTTGGTTTGTCTACGAGACAGCCAGCCAGCCAGTGCAGGGACTGGGAGTAAGGACTGACAGGACCAAGTGTAGATTTTAAGGATTTTTCCAGCTGGCCATGTTAAGAATAGACTGTAGGTGGGCCTTAGACACTAGCAAGATCGACAACTGGGAATGAGAATGAGGGAGAAGGTAGGGAGGTTTTAGAAGAGAAAGGTGTGCGATAGTCACCCAGGACAATGGGAGACCGAGTGAACTTGGGAAGTCTAGTAGAATTGCCAGAGTTCACTTGGAGGTGGTGGTCACTATTAATGGCCCTCAAGTTAAACTCCATATAATTTTGTATTTTCCCCCAGTCCTGTTACTCTGTGCAGATACAGCCACTGAGTGGGTGGGAAGTTTATTTAACAAGGGTTAGGTATTGCCAAGAGAGTGCAATGAAGTCAAAGAGGACTCAGGGATTTGAGTGAGTGCAAGAGAGAGAGTATAATAATGACCGTGCAATCTAAGTTGGGTGGTGAAGAAAGTGCTAACATGAAAGGGGTGCTAGGTAGTGAGAGGGTGGTAGGACAATGGATCACAGATCTCAGTGGTGCCAAAGAATTGCTGGTGTTGGAGCACTGGAGGAAGTGAGCTAAAGGGATAAAGATTATATTAGTTAGGTATACTAGTGAATGAAACAGGTCTCAGGAATGACATACATCTATTTCTCACTAGCGTAAGAACTAAAAACTATTCTGCAGATAGTTCTCCTCCATGTGGTAATCCAAGGACCCAGGCCTCTTTCATCTTGGGGCTCTGCCATTCCTTAGGGCCCGTGATCATCTGTGTACAGCTAGCAGAAGAGGAAAATAGAAATCTAACTTCTTCAAAGCCTGGGACCAGATGTGATTCTCACCATTGCCACTTACGTCTCATTGGCAAAAACTGGTCGCGTAGCCATCCAGCAAAAGGTGGCCGGGCAGCCACTTCTCAGAGATAGCTACGCTACGGAAGGGGTAACATACATTTTTTTTGGCCAGTTAGCCATCTCTGTTATAGAGGTGGTGATGAGACAGTGGGATGCTTGTAATTCTGATCATAGAAGGATTGTAGCTCTTGGTCTAGAGAATGGCCACAGGGACCATTGGCTGAATTAGGAGAGGACAAAGTTATTGGAGGAGTGGTGGGCCAGATGTGAGAGACCCTACGGGGACTGGAAACATGGGTGTTGGGACCAGCAGGAGTTATGCCTGGAGAGGCATACCGCATGGAGAGGGTGTTGGAGAGACAGTGAGCCAGGGCTAAAACCATCAAGCACTAGGGGGACGACTGTAACATAGGGACGGGGTGGGGTGGAGTCTTTTCCTCAGAGAAGTGTTGCCTGTTCCTATGTCCTTTTATTTTTTCTGACCTTAGTTTCATGGCCTTCAAGAAAGTGACACTCTTGTACCACTCCTTTCCCATTGCACTCCTCCAGACAGGTTTCTGAGTAGACCAAGGCCACATCCTAGGCATCTGGTAATGTTTCTCTAAGAAATCCCGGTACTTCTTGGATTTCTGGAAACCTCTGGATAGTTTCAAAGCCATAGCTAGCCTCCTGCATTCGCCCTCTTTTGGTAACCCTTCACCCACATAGGCACGTGTGTATGCAGGCTCCCTCTCTCTCTCACACACACACTCTCATACACACACATACACACACCATTCACAGACACACGTAAACACACCCATACACACATTCATGCACGTACACAAACACACACATTCACACACATACACTCACACACACATACATACACACTCATACAAACACACACACACCCTCTCCACTTCTCCAATGCTTCCATCTTGGTTCTTGGCTCTCCAGGTCATAGTTAGTAACATCGGTCTGAACTATACAGCCCCTAGGGAGCCTCTGGAGAAAGACTGATCCCATAAAAGGGAATTATGAGAGGATAGGAACAATTATAGAATAGTAAAACAGGCATAAACTTTAGCAGGATAAAAGTAGGGTAGGTATTAGGAGGAATTTTCTAATCAGAAGTCAAGATCTTTGGACTTGAAGTAGTTTTCTCTCTTTTTTTTTTTTTCTTTTTGAGATGAAGTTTTGTTCTTATTGCCCAGGCTGGAGCGCAATGGTGCAATCTCGGCTCACTGCAACCTCTGCCTCCCAGGTTCAAGCGATTTTCCTGCCTCAGCCTCCCAAGTAGCTGGGATTACAGGTGCCCGCCACCACACCTGGCTAATTTTTGTATGTTTAGTAGAGATGGGGTTTCACCATGTTGACCAGGCTGGTCTTGAACTTCTGACCTCAGGTGATCCACCCTCCTTAGCCTCCCAAAGTGCTGGGATTACAGGCATGAGCCACTGCGCCCGGCCTGAAGTAGTTTTCTCTAAGAATTTTTTAGAAAGAATTAAACAGCATCCTGTCTGAGAGAAACATTGTACAGAGAGAGCCTAACTCAGAACCAAAGGCCCTCAAAGGACTTTTCAAGATGCCTTTTCTCTAAGACCCCATGAAGGGAGAAAACCAAACTGTGACTCTCACAGACCTGCTCTTAGAAAACCTAGGCTCTTAAAGACTCTAGGCTTTGGTTCACATCCCTCCTGTCATCTAAGGAGGAGAAAGACCTTGGGCATCAGGGGAAGCCATGCCTCCCCAAGGTCAGTACAATTTACACCTCGCTTGACTGCGGATGTGTGAAAAGAGATGCCTCAAATGAGCCCCGGCGTTCACATTCTTAGCAAAGAGTCAGATTGCGCCTGGGTTGGGTTGAGAGGCGATTGGAGAGCATGCTGCTGACCTGCTGACTGGGCATCTGAAGCTGCCACACTCTCTCCTGCCACCTCTGCACGTAGTCAGCTGAGTTAGCCTCACGTCCATACTCTGCCCTCCCACAGGGAGCCGGGAGCCTGCTGGGAGCAGAGGCCTCACCTACACATCCTCAGAGTCCATTCTAGAGACTTAAGTTTCGTCATCTTGTCAGGAAACCCACTGATAAGCAGAGAACCGGCAATGGAGCCGTCCAGGGAGGGAGAGACTGCCGTCCTCGCGGGCAGCCTCCTTCCTTGCTCTCGCGGGCAGCCTCCTTCCTTGCTCTCTGCCCAGCCAGGATCCCCTCTAGATCCAAGGGCCAGTCTGCTCCTCTTCCTCTAACTCCCACACCTTAGCTTATGTTCCACATAAACCCATTTCTTTCATTTTTCTCTTTAGTTCAGGTGTAAGAATGCTAACATTTTCCCAGGTGTTTTTCTAAGAAACAAAAGAAACACTAGGTGGAAACACATACATCAGCTCACAGCTACCCATAACAGCCCATTCCCTACCTGAGGTCTCAGCAGGGCGGGGCTCAGCGGGCACTTCTGTCAGGCATGAAGGCCTGGGTTCCTCTCCCCACCTCAACCCTTTGCAGTTCTTGGGTATGTCTAGCCCCCGCCTTCCCTCTGGGCCTCCTCCCTCCAGGGGCAGGCCACTGTCCAAGCCCTGACTATGGTGCTCATTGCTGGGTGGACACTGGTGGGCAAGACACAGCTAGTGCTCTGAGAATGGGTCCTTCAGACACACAATCTTAGATGGGGAGGCAGGAGTCTCTGGTGCCAGGCACGTCGTCACAGCTAGCCGGGAGGTCTCCAGAATACCGGCTTCTTTCTCGGAGCCCTCTTGCTCCCAGCATCCTTGTTCTGGTGCTTACAGGCCCTTCCTAATGCCGACATTCTGTAGGCAGGCGGCACAGGGACAGCAGAGCCAGCTTCTCTCCAGCCCTCTCCCCAGCAAATGTAGAAAGGGTTATTTCCTCCCCCAACAGTGGGGAACCAAGCCTGACAAGATGAGGTTTTGACCCTCCTTTCCAAGTACGGCCCTCTTTTTCAAAACACTATTAAGTCATATCCGCCCGTCTTCAACTCTTTGGTTGCTTGCCAAGATGGCCACAGGAGAGAAGCCCATCACACAAACGCTTCTTCTGTTCTTCATGTCCCGCCCCTCCCAAGCCACCAGAGCCCAGCCGAGGGCAGCCACAGCAGGGTCACTCAGCCGCCTGCAGCTGCTGCATCTATGCTGAGGCAGTCAAGACCTGAGCAGGGCAGGGAGGACGGGCACTCAGGCCCATCAAGTCCCCTCGTCACATATTCCTGAGGTGCAGTCTAAGACAGGCACAGCCCAGGTGAAAACATAAGCCACACAGCACAGAAGGAAACTGCAGAAACCAAACGGACCGTGTGCACTGTACATTGCCATTGATCTTCATTTGCAAAGGTCTCGCGACCTTGAGATTATCATGGGGAGACTCAGAGTGAAGTTCTCTGGACAATGCTTGCTGATTGAGCTGGAGGAAGGACACAGAAGAAGCTCTGTTTCAGTTGCGTCACTTACATGTTTGTGTTATGTAATGTATGTATTTAAACAGTTCATCTATAAGTAAACATACATATGTCATAGTGAATGCTCAGGGAAGTATTTTCACAGAAGTGTGTGCTATCAAAGAGTCTGGAATCCACTATCGAGCAGTCATGCTGTTTGCCACAGGAATGTACCAGGGGTGAAGTTCTTCCAACTGCCAAGAATGAACTGTGGCAAGAATCCTGGGTTGTTGGGAACTGAAGCACTATCACATTCTACTGAAGATAATATCAGCCAGGCGACTGCCTGTGCCTGAGAAAGGAGGAGACAGCAGCCAGGAAAAGGCCAGAAAATGGTGTCTGTCTCAGCCAGGCCCCCGAGGGAACGCAGGTGGAATGTTTGTGCTTCGGCAGCTGAGACAGTGTGAGGCATCCCAAGAGGAGAGAAATGATACCTGGTCAATCTCCAAACCTACACTCAGCACTTTTCCAAGCATTTCCTGTCTTCATCCTGGAAGCCCATACACATCATCTAATCTCTACTTCTCACTGGGACAGACCTGTGAGATCAAAGGGAAATGAGTGGTGGACCTAATCTGTCCCAGAATCTGTACAAAATGATCCTCTGCAAACTGGAAGAAGACTGTGCAGGCGCCCGGGAGCAGAGTGGCCATGCAGAGGAAGGGACCCAGACACGTGCTCTGTCTGCAGTGACATCAGTGTTGTCTCCGTGGGCGGCTGGGAGGTCAGGGTGTTGACTCTGCCTGCAGAATGGAGAGCATTCTCCTGAGACCCACACCTAACTGGGAGGTCAGGATTGACATGGAAAGTGGCCTTGATAAAAGGAATGGTATTAAGGACAAATGTAGAAAAGGGTGGAAAGACAAACCACACAGACCAGGCTGGTCTGTACACAAACAGAAAAATAAAAATGCCTCCATCAGGATGGAATGCCTCCAGATGATGGAAAGTCAGTACTTGAGAGTTACAAATTAAGAGAACTGTCAGACTCGCACTCCAGTGTTCCTTCTGCTGAGACTTTAATGTTTCCCGGGGTGTTCCTTAAGCCAACCCCTCATCCCCAAATCCCAGCAGGATGATGGGAGCACTCTTCCCCTCCCCTCTAAGAAGGGCTTAATTTGGTGACCGATTCCTGGGCCACTCACCCACAGCAGGCAGCTGGATGCAGGATTTACTTTCTCTGAGTATCCATCTCCTATTCTCTCTCTTTCCATCACTCAGAGCACCCCAAGATCTGGCTACCTCGGGCCCTGAGGCAGACCTACATCCGGAAGGTTGGGGACACAGTGAACCTACTAATCCCATTCCAGGTGATCATGCCAGCCCCATACTGGGTCCATGTCTGGGGCCAGTGCAGGTTTTGGATTTGGAAACAGATACCAAGAGTCCTGCTAGCAGAGGGGCAATCTTCCCAGCCTTGGATAGAAGGGGTCACACCACCAGAAGTCTGAGGCCAAATGACCTCTGCACTCCTGAAGGTGGGTTTGGATAGGACTGGGTGTGCACCCATGAGATGGTGTGAGGCTAATCCATGCCCTTCAGTCTACAGAAGCCTCAGAGCTTGCAGTTAGAAGGGTTCTTGGGAGTTTGAGTGGCTATTCAATTGGTCCCAGCTGCCCCGGGTGTTCATGACCTAAGCTCTCAGAGATTGGGAGACTCAAAGCCATCCCTCTTTCCCAAGATCCTTAGGCTGTTGCTGAAAGGAGGAGGCCCCCGGGAGGGTCCACCAACTTCTAACTCAAGGAATGTGCAGCTCCAAGTCAAGCCTCCCTGTGGACCTGGGGTGGACAGGACCCCTACAGCAGCAGGGAGAGTCAGGAAGCCTCTCGGGGCTGCTCAAAGCATTACCCTCATTCCTCAGGGCAAGCCCAAACCTCAAGCCATCTGGACACATGATGGCTGTGCCTTGGACACCAGGCGTGTGAGTGTGCGGAATGGGGAGCAAGACTCCATCCTCTTCATCCGAGAAGCCCAACGTGCTGACTCAGGTCGCTACCAACTCCGCGTGCAGCTGGGTGGGCTGGAGGCCACCGCCACCATTGACATCCTGGTGATTGGTACGGTGGGGGAAGTGGGAGATGGGGGGGTCCTCAGGAACTCCCTCTCCAGGCTGAAGAGGAGCCAGCTCAGAGAGCTGGGGAAGCTGCGGCAAGGCTCCCACGTCATGTCTGGGACACAGGGTGGGCGCAGGAGGGGTAACTGAGGAGAAAAAGGGGCTAGGGCACTCCTGAAGTGACTTCAATGCATGTGGGATGTTCCACGCCCACTGCCATGGCTTTGCCCTTTCAGAGAGGCCAGGCCCTCCTCAGAGTATTAAGCTGGTGGACGTTTGGGGCTTCAGCGCTACACTGGAATGGACACCGCCCCAAGATACGGGGAATACAGCACTTCTGGGATACACGGTGCAGAAGGCTGACACAAAATCCGGGGTGAGGCCAGCTGGGAAGGAAGGAGGGTGGAAGAGGGCATGTTGGGACAGGCCTCTGGTAGCTCCACATGGGGTGGCTGATTTCTGGCATCATGTTCGGCCCCGCAGCTGTGGTTCACGGTGCTGGAGCACTATCACCGCACCAGCTGCATCGTCTCTGACCTCATCATCGGCAACTCCTATGCCTTCCGTGTCTTTGCTGAAAACCAGTGCGGACTCAGTGAAACAGCCCCCATCACTACGGACCTCGCCCACATCCAGAAAGCAGGTAAGGGAGGCATGGGGATCATGAGCTGGGAAGACTTAAGGATAGGCCGGGCACAGTGGCTCACGCCTCTAATTCCAGCACTTTGGGAGGCCAAGGCAGGCGGATCACCTGAGGTCAGGAGTTCAAGACCAGCCTGGACAACATGGTGAAACCTCATCTCTACTAAAAATACAAAAATTAGCCAGGCATGGTGGTGCACGCCTGTACTCCCAGCTACTCAGGAGGCTAAGGCAGGAGAATTGCTTGAACTTGGGAGTTGGAGGTTGCAGTGAGCTGAGATCGTGCCACTGCACTCCAGCCTGGGCAATAGAGTGAGACTCCACCTCAAAAAAAAAAAAAAATACTAAGGATAAAGAGTCGACGAGGGCTGGGATCTCAGAAGCTACATGCCAGCCCCTCTTGGTGCCCTCAGCTACTGTTTACAAGACCAAGGGGTTTGCCCAACGAGACTTCTCTGAAGCCCCAAAGTTTACCCAGCCTCTGGCCGACTGCACTACAGTCACCGGCTATAATACCCAGCTCTTCTGCTGTGTCCGCGCCTCTCCCCGGGTGAGTGGGGGCTCTGGGGGGCACTGTGCTGAGCTGCTTCTTGTTCCTGCCTGTCCTAACCTAAGCTGAGTTGCAGAGCACTGTAACATAACATCTGTTACCATCACCGCCATCTGCCTCTTCTACAGCACGGTATTTAGGAACAGTCGGGGGGGTGCTTGGAGTCCAAGACGGACTGATGAGAATGACATTTCCTTTTGAATGTTTGTTTCTCATATATGGAGGTGTTGCTTACTGACCTGCTGGCAATTAGGCATGCGCCTCAAGTTGTTTCTGTGGTAGGAGTGACAGAGTCCCTGTGGTTTCTCCTTCCCATGCATACCTCATCCCATCAGGGCCGTGCACATGCAACCTGCCTAGAGTTCAGCCTTTTGCCACAACCCTGAGCAAGGCTCTCTGTCTATTTACAATCTAGTCATCATGCTCCACACACAGCAGAAAACACCATTAACAACCTGTACCAAGAATCTTTTGGGTTTTGAGTCTGGGCAAGACTACATGGAGATAACATCTCAGAAGGGGCATATCAAGAGCCCACTCTAGAAGCTACTCTCTAACCAGAGGGGACAGAGGCAACTCACAAGTCAGCAGTGGGAACAGAATATGGATGGTTCACAAGAGGTGAGCCTGATGCTCAGTGCTTCTGATCCATAAAGGGGCTGCCTGAGAGCCCGGAACGGAAGTTAGCAGTTTTCTTCCAGTCAGAAATATTGGTAAAGAAAATGAAGTTTCAGGTGCTGTTTTCAAACAAGAGAAGGAGCTTGGGGGACTGCTGGTGGCACTGGAAGGGGAAACCCTTCCCACAACATAAGGAACAGGGAGCCTTCCAGAAAGCCATTATCTCTATATAGACAGAGTCCCAGAAACTGAGCACAGAAAGACTATTGGTTCTTACCCTCGCCCCTCCTTGCTGCCTCCCTCATCTTTGTCTTCCAGCCCAAGATCATCTGGCTGAAGAACAAGATGGATATCCAAGGCAACCCTAAGTACAGAGCCCTGACTCACCTGGGAATCTGCTCCCTAGAGATCCGCAAGCCGGGTCCCTTTGATGGAGGCATCTATACCTGCAAGGCGGTGAACCCCCTAGGGGAGGCATCTGTGGACTGTCGGGTGGATGTGAAAGGTAAGGGCAAGAGGAGAACTAGTGCCTTAGGGTGCCAGTCACCTCCTCTCTCCACCGGTGGAAGAGTCAGGGAACAGAGACGCAAGCCTAGGGGGAGAAGGGGTTCCTCCGCTGGACTCTTTCATCACTGTCATCATCAGGATGTATTGGAGGAGACATTTTAATTATCTACTATCTCATTTCTCTCCATCACAATTCAATAATATAGGAAGAATTCTTATTTCCATTTTGCAAATGAGAAGACGAAAGTACAGGGAGGGAACTGGTTTGCCCAAGATTCCCAGTGTCAGTTAGTTGATCACCTGGCACTGGTGGAAATAGCCCAGGTCTCCGGGTCCTCGCTCAGCTCATTTTTCTTTATGCTGTGCAATCTTCTGACTCAGCCTAGGAAAGCTGCAACTGTTTGTCAGGCTTTATTTCACTTCCCCTCCGGTTTATTTATAGGTAATATTGCATATCCTCTCTACTTCCTTAAAGTATTTAATCACTTATCTATACCTGTCACCTTGTTCAGATCTCTATCATTGTGTTTAACATACTGTTTTATAATTATCTATTTATAGATATGTTTCCCTATTAAATTATAAGCATTTTGAGGGTAGGGACATTGTCTTATTTGCCTTTGTCCCCCCAGTGTCTAGCCCAGTTTCTGACACACAGTAGGCACTCTAAATGTTTGTTGCATGGATCAAGAATGAATGAGCCCTTACATGTCCTGTTCTTCTCTATGTATAGACTACCTAATTAGCACCATTGACTCCCCAAGAACCTGAAATAGAATATTCCTTTCTAATGCTCTGAAAGAAAGTTTCTCAGAGATTTCTGAGATGTTAACACTGAGAAATGTCCGAATTATTACAGTTCCTAATTGAGGACACCTAAGAAGGCATGGTACTCTGACAAAGGTAAGTAAAGAGAGGCAAGATGTCTCACTGGATTACTTCCTGTTTATGGCTAGTGTTGTTGAGTCAGGGACAGAGGTGCATTCCTGAGCCTTTCAGTCATGTATCCACTGGTGGCCACTTTTGTTGTAACCATTTTTTTTTTGAAATGATGTCTTACTCTGTTGCCCAGGCTAGAGTGCAGTGGCGCCATCTTGGCTCACTGCAACCTCTGCCTCCTGGGTTCAAGCAATTCTTGTGCCTCAACCTCTCGAGTAGCTGGGATGACAGGCGCCCGCCACCATGCCCGGCTAATTTTTCTACTTTTAGTAGTGATGGAGTTTCACCATGTTGGCCAGGCTGGTCTCGAACTCCTGACCTCAAGTGATTCACTCACCTCGGCCTCCCAAAGTGCTGGGATTACAGGTGAGAGCCGACATGCCCAGCTGTTGTAACCATTTTTATATTTATTTATTTATTTATTTATTTTGAGACAGAGTCTCGCTTTGTCGCCCAGGCCGGAGTGCAGTGGCGCTATCTCGGCTCACTGCAAGCTCTGCCTGCCGGGTTCATGCCATTCTCCTGCCTCAGCCTCCAGAGTAGCTGGGACTACAGGCACCCACCACCACGCCCGGCAATTTTTTTTTTTTAGTAGAGACGGGGTTTCACTGTGTTAACCAGGATGGTCTCGATCTCCTGACCTCATGATCCACCCGCCTTGGCCTCCCAAAGTGCTGGGATTACAGGCGTGAGCCACTGCGCCCAGCCTGTTGTAACCATTTTTAAAAGCGATACTGTCATCCCTGTGGAGAGAATTTATAGTAGATGCAGTCTGCTTTTGTCATATCCTCTCTATGTCTGCACTCCTCAAGTCGATGGTAGGAATTAAACCTAATGAATGGTCCTCTGAAGAAGAGTGACAGCATCCACCTAATCATAAGGAGATTCTGTGGGAGGGAGCTGAGCAGGTATTGTAGGAAAAGATGTCAAGGGAACAATTCAGAGTGCAGGAACCCACAAGAGTCACAGCACCTTGTGCCTGTGGGGTGTGTAAGGACAGGGGAGGCTGCTCCTGCTGACTGAGTAAACGCCTCAGGATCATGAGCATGGTAAAAAAAAATGGATTAATATATTTGTTTTTTACTTTGAAGCTTATGGATTCCTTCCCTTCCAAGAGAAGAAAATCCTCTTTCTCATTTATGTCAATTATAATTTAACCTTTAGGTGTGTGGTCCCAAGCAGCACATTATTGGCAAAAGACAGCTCAGCTCATCATTTAGAACCGGACAGCTCTTTTAGATTTTCCGTCATTCACATTAGCTATGTTGTGAACAAAGTGATGCATAAGGCGAAAAAGAAGCTTGAGACAGAACTAAAGAGAACAAGTTCCCAGTGTCCTCTCTGACTTGTAGCTGCTGGCTGATGGAAATTGGAAATGAATTTGATCCCATAAGACATTTATTTAAGGCTCTCACTGGTATGTAGCAAATGAAAGCCTAAAGGGGTGCGTTACAAGTACAGACTTCTCAGGAAAGCGCTCTCCGACAGTCGGCTTGCAGAGACAACTCTCCCTCCCTCACCTCCCTCTCTGTGTTAATGATACTTGTGTTCGTGTTAGTTGCCCCTTTCCCTCTCTCACAGCCAGTGCCCAGCAATGAAGTGAATTCATGGCACAGGAGCCAGGGACCGTGACAACGGTGCCCTCAGCAGCCTGGTGTCCTCTGGCCATTTGCTGTCATGGCTACAAAGTGCTCCCTCTTTTCAGTGCCTCCAGGAAGCCCGCCAGTGGTGAGACTGTGTCCTCAAGGAGCTTCGGCACCATGTCTGGTTTGGATTCATCTAAATAAATATGTGGTTCCCCAGTGCCTACGTGTCCCTGTATTTGAGACTTTCTATGAAACATTTGGAAAGTTGCCATCCTTTAGCCAGGCTGTAAGGAACCACAGGGCCTTAAGACTCCCCTTTATCTTCCCACAACCACATTCGCTTCCACAGAGGTTTCTAACACTGTCCTTTTCCCTAGACATCTACGACACAACTGAATTCAACCCTCCACAGTACTAAGTGCTGGAAAGAGATGCCGAAGATGACTTGCTCTCTGCCTCTATGGGCTTTCCAATTTAAGTTGGGATAACAGGACGCACATCCACCACAAAGAGGCAAACAGCAGAACACAAACATGCACATAGCTAATTATAGACAGAGCCCCAAGACCTGAGGGCTGGAATGATACTCAAGAAATTGGAGGGCTGGGCAATGTGGCTCATGCCTGTAATCCCAGAACTTTGGGAAGCCGAGGCGGATGGATCACTTGAGGTCAGGAGTTCGAGACAAGCCCAGCCAACATGGTGAAACCCCATCTCTATAAAAATACAAAAATTAGGCTGGGCATAGCGTCTCACGCCCGTAATCCTAGCACTTTGTGAGGCCGAGGCAGGCGGATCACTTGAGGTTAAGAGTTCAAAACCAGCCTGGCCAACACAGTAAAACCCTGTCTCTACTAAAAATACAACAAAATTGGACAGGTATGGTGGCGAGCGCCTCTAATCCCAGCTACTCAGGATGCTGAGGGAGGAGAATCGCTTGAATCCAGGAGGCGGAGCTTGCAGTGAGCCGAGATCATGCCACTGCACTCCAGCCTGGGTGACAGAGCAAGACTCCATCTCAAAAAAAAAAAAAAAAAAAAAAAAGCAAAGTATTTGGAGCAGAGTCTCATTAAACCCAGGAAAAGAATAAAGGTGAGGTTCCCTTGATTATCTTTGTTTTCATTCTGATGACAAATAAGATATTGAAGGTGTTCTGTGATAGAATCTGCAGAAGATGATAACAGTTCCTCCTATCTTTGTATGAGCACGGTGCTCCTCTCATCAAGAGTTGGAGTCTATTTCCCCTTCCCTTGAATCATGTGACTTGCTTTGACAGAAAGAATGTAGCAGAAGTGACGTGGCACCAGTCCAGGCCTGGGCCTTAAGAGGTACCTTAGTTTCTGCTTTTGCTCTTAGAAGTCAGCTCCCATGTAAAGGATCTCAGGCTAGATTACTGAATTATGAGAGGCCACATGGAGGACAACCAAGCGTCCCCACTGAGAGCCAGCACCATGGCCCCGGACACACGTGGCCACCTTGGACCCTAGAGCCCCAATCAAGCCCAATCAACACCTTGTAGAGTAGAAACAAATCACCCCTGGAGAGCCCTGCCCAAATTGTAAAATCGTGAGCAAATAAATAGTGGCTGTTGTTTCAAGCCACTAAATTTTGAAGTGGTTTGCTATATAATCATAGATTACTGAAACAACCTTCTATGCAACAGGCACTGAACTAAGTGCTTTATCTCTTTTAATCTTCATTTTACAAATGAGGACGTTGAAGCTCCTAAGTTGTCCCAAGTCATGCAGCTAGTAAGCAGCAGAGCTAGGATTTGAACCAGGTCTGTCTGACTCCAAGGCTTTCCTGCTTTCTCTCATCCCTTTTATCTGGTGATCCCCACTGTAGAGGGTCTGGGTTGGAATCATGCGTTTAAGAAAGAAAATATTTCCAGGAGGCAATACATATTAGGAAAGGTTTTGAGGAGGTTGGGGAAGTGATTTGGCTGAGCAGAATGTGAAGGGCCTTTTTGTTCAGACCAAAGGTCTATTTTCAGTTGAGGCAAAGTATCTATTCCAGTCCGCAACTGAAGTTCCAGAAGAATTAAGCCTCCACGCCATAAGGCATCCTTTGTGTCATAAATTAACTTATTTCTATGCAATTAGAATGTTACTGGGTATATACTATCCCTTTGAAAACTGAGAAAATAGTCATGCAAATCATTAGTAAGGAACCCCTGCTTGAGAGTGTTGGGGGAGGGACCAGAGTCCAGTGACAGCCAGCCATGTACACAATGGCAAAGAGGCCTCCCTCCAGTGGAAGCAGGACCTAGGTCAGGAAGGGGTGAAATACCCCCAGTTATGATGCCCTAAGGATAAGTCAGACCTTTGGCCTCAGCTCACAGCCCCTTCCCTCTGCTGTTCCCTGAATTACTCAAGGGCCATCCTTTAAAGATTGTATATTCCCAAATTTCATGGTGAAGAAATAAAATTACACTGCCCAAGACCTCCAGCCATATTCTGCATTGAAGGAGAAGCACGCTGGAGTCCTTACTGTTCTCATTTATGCATCTGACACTTAAGGAAGACTTCTGAGTTCAGGCCTACTATGTGGCTGGGAGAGGAGGAATTTCTTTCTTTCTTTCTTTCTTTTCTTTCTTTTTCTTTTTTTAGACAGAGGCTCGCTCTGTCACCCAGGCTGGGGTGCAGTGGCATGATCTTGGTTCACTGCAACCTCAAACTCCCGGGTTCAAGTGATTCTCCTGCCTCAGCCTCCCATGTAGCTGGGACTACAGGCACGTGCCACCACACCCAGCTAATTTTTTGTATTTTAGTAGAGACGGGGTTTCACTGTGTTAGCCAGGATGGTCTCGAGCTCCTGATCTTGTGATCCGCCTGCCTCGGCCTCCCAAAGTGCTGGGATTACAGGCGTGAGCCACCACGCCTGGCCGGAATTTCTTCATTAATTCATTATTTATCCAAAAACTTAAACACCTGTTCCTACATGTCATTTTGGGGTTGAGATGAGGAAAACAAATATCAATATTTCCCAGATTACTGGCTGCGCGAAGAATTTTTGTGCCTGAAAGCTATACATTCTGGCTTTGCTGTCTTTCTAATGGAGGTGAAAGTAGTTCTGTTGCCTTCTTTTTTTTTTTTTCCTGGTACTGCAACAGCTTTCAAAATCATAATTTGGGCTGGGCATGGTGGCTCACGTCTGTAATCCCAACACTTTGGGAGGCCGAGGAGGGCGGATCATCTGAGGTCAGGAGTTCAAGACCAGCCTGACCAACATGGTGAAACCCCATCTCTACTAAAAATACAAAACTAGCTGGGTGTGGTGGCACATGCCTGTAATCCCAGCTACTCAGGAGGCTGAGGCAGGAGAATTGCTTGAACCCAGGAGGCAGAAGTTGCAGTGAGATGAGATCGCACCATTGCACTCCAGCCTGGGCCACAGAGCAAAACTCTTGTCTCAAAAAAAAAAAAAAAAAAAAAATCATAAACTGGTGGAGTTTCCTTAGGAGAAATTAACTTCCAGTTTGCTAAAACTTCCTCCTCTACTCATCTAAGGATGGATGAAGTGTAGGGTTTCTCTACTCAGGCTGCTCCAAGGGGAAGAAGGAACGCAGTTCATTAACAGCTTCTTCCCCTCTGATCTCCACTTTGCTACTACTTGCCTGGAGAGAGGGAAGCCCTACTTGGCTCTAATTCTCCCACCCTCCATGTACCCTAAATCCTGCAAGCAACTGACATTCCATCTTCATTAGCAGAAGAGGCAATCCTCTTCTCTCTGCTCTTCCTCACATAAACTTGCAAGTTCTGGGTCTTCCCACCCTAAATTCTAATAGGCTCTGTCAATGAAAAGAGTTAAACTCCATAAAATATTTGAAGAGATTTCTTCTGAGCCAAGTATGAGTGACCAAGGTCCCCTGACACAGCCCCAGAAGATCCTGACAACATGTGCCCAAAGTGGTGGGGCTATGGCTTGGTTTTAATCACTTCAGGGAGACATCAGACATCAGTCAATCCATGTGAGATGTACATTGGTTCAACCTGAAACGCCGGGCAACTTGAAGCATGGGTGGAGGGGCTTCCAGGTCATAGGCAGATTCAAAGGTTTTCTGCAGGGCACAGTGGCTCACGCCTGTAATCCCAGCACTTTGGGAGACCGAGGAGGGCGGATCACGAGGTCAGGAGATCAAGACCATCCTGGCTAACATGGTGAAATCCCATCTCTACTAAAAGTACAGAAAATTAGCCAGGTGCGGTGGCGGGCGCCTGTAGTCACAGCTACTCGGGAGGCTGAGGCAGCAGAATGGCGTGAACCCAGGAGGCGGAGCTTGCAGTGAGCCGAGATCACGCCACTGCACTCTAGCCTAGGCAACAGAGTAAGACTCCATCTCAAAAAAAAAAAGAAAAAAAGGGGGGGTTTCTGATTGGCAATTGGTTAAAAGAGTTATTATCCAAGACCTGGAACCAATTGAAAGGAATGTCTGGGTTAAGATAAAAAGTTATGGAGACCAAGGATTTATTATGCAGGTGAAGCCTCCAGGTAGCAGACTTCAGAGCTCTTATCAGACCTAAAAAGGTGCCAGACTCCTAGTTCTCTCCTGGATCAGGGAAAAGACCTGGGAAGGAACAGGAATTCTCTACAGAATGTAGATCTTCCCCACAAGACACAGCTCTGCAGGGCCATTTCAAAATATGTCAAAGAAATATATTTTGGTAAGAGCTAAGTTATGAGAACACAAAGGCATAAAAATGATACAATGGACTTTGGGGACTCAGGGAAAGGGTGGGATGGGGTGAGGGATAAAAGACTACAAATTGGGTGCAATGTACACTGCTTGGGTGATGGGTGCACCAAAATCTCAGAAATCACCATAAAGAACTTATTCATGTAACCAAACCCCACCTGTTCCCCAAAGACCTATTGAAAATATATATATTGCACTGGTAAAGTCTCGTGTACATTGCCCATAACTGGATCCCAAAGGACAGGAGTTATTTGAAGCAGATGAGTGAATTTGCAGCATCTTTTAAAATAAATTTTGTGGGCCGGGTGCGGTGGCTCACGCCTGTAATCCCAGCACTTTGGGAAGCCGAGGCGGGCGGATCACGAGGTCAGGAGATCGAGACGATCCTGGCTAACACGGTGAAACCCCGTCTCCACTAAAAATACAAAAAATTAGCCAGACATGATGGCAGGTGCCTGTAGTCCCAGCCACTTGAGGCAGGAGAATGGCGTGAACCCGGGAAGTGGAGCTTGCAGTGAGCCAAGATCGTGCCACTGGACTCCAGCCTAGGCAACAGAGTGAGACTCCGTCTCAACAACAACAACAACAAAAGGAAAAAAAAAAAAAGAACAGTAAACTTTGTCCTTCATTTGCTTCTAAAAAAAGAAAAAGAAAAGAAAAATATATTTTGAGGTAAAATACTTTAATTTCTTTCAGGGCCTACTGTCTGTCATGTGATACTATACTAGAATCAGGCTGGAATTTGGCGTCTTATTGTCAGAGGCGTTTCGACCAGAGCAATTCCATCTTGAATAGGGGCTGGTTAAATAAGGCTGAGACCTACTGGGCTGCATTCCCAGACAGGAATTCTAAGTAACAAGATGAGATCCTAAGGAGGTCAGCACAAGATACAGGTCATAAAGACCTTGCTGATGAAACAAGTTGCAGTAAAGAAGCCGGCTAAAACCCACCAAAACCAAGACGATGATGAGAGTGACCTCACTGCTACACTCCCACTAGCACCATGACAGTTTACAAATGCCATGGCAACATCCAGAAGTTACCCTATATGGTCTAAAAAAAGGAGGCATGAATAATCCACCCCTTGTTTAGCATATCATCAAGAAATAATCATAAAAATGGGCAACCACCAGCCCTCGGGCTGCTCTGCCTATGGAGTAGCCATTCTTTATTCCTTTACTTTCTTAATCAACTTGCTTTCACTTTATGGACTCGCCTTGAATTCTTTCTCGTGTGAGATCCAAGAACCCTCACTTGGGGTCTGGATTGGGACCCCTTTCCAGTAATATTATTGCTACAAAAAGTCTGTTTCTGGCCAAGCGTGGTGGTTCATCCCTGTAATCCCAGCACTTTGGGAGGCCAAGGTGGGCGGATCACCTGAGGCAGTTCACGGCCATGGCGAAACACCATCTCTACTAAAAATACAAAAATTAGCTGGGCTTGGTGGCGTGTGCCTGTAATTCCAGCTACTCGGGAGGCTGAGACGGGAGAATCGCTTGAACTCAGGAGGCAGAGGTTGCAATGAGCTGAGATTGCACCACCGCACTCCAGCCTGGGCAACAAAGTGAGACTCCATCTCAAAAAAAAAAAAAAAAAAAAAAGTCTGTTTCCTTAGCCTTAAGATCTTTGTGGTTTTGTTGTTGTTATTGTTGTTGTTTGTTTTTTTTGTTTTTGAGACAGTGTCTCGTTCTGTCACCCAGACTGGAGTGCAGTGGCGTGATAGCTCACTGCGACCCCCGCCTCCTGGGTTCAAGCGATTCTCCTGCCTCAGTCTCCCAAGTAGCTGGGATTACAGGTGCCTACCACCATGCCCGGCTAATTTTTTTGTACTTTTAGTAGAGATGGTGTTTCACCACGTTGGCCAGGCTGGTCTTGAACTCCCGACCTCAGATGATCTGCCTGCCTCGGCCTCCCAAAGGGCTGGGATTACAGGCGTGAGCCACCGCCCCCTGGCCAGATCTCTGTTTTAATGTTAATGTTGGTCAGCTGTGCCTGATTCCCAAAGGGCAGAGAGTATAATGAGGCATGTCCAACCCCCACTTTCCATTATGGCCTGAACTAGTTTTCCAGGTTAAATCTGGAATGCCCTTGTCAGAGAGAAGGGGTCCATTCAGTTGGTTGGGGGGCTTAGAATTTTATTTTTGGTTTCCAGCTTCTTGGTCTCTGGTGGCATTTATTACAGTGACATCTCACTCCTGCAGACCTCACCACCTCAACGTCACAGCCAAAAACTAGAAAGTAAACAAGAAAGCCTATAAATGGCCAAAAAAATGGGCATGAACTCTGAGGACTAAAGCTCAGGTTCTGTTTACCAGAAAGCTCCTCAACCATTCCCTTAGGGCTTTTTCACTTTAAATATTCAGAACCTTTCTAGGAGCTCAGTTTATTACTGGAAAGGGGTCTTGATCCATCCAGACCCCAAGTGAGGATTCTTTGATCTTTCAAAAGAAAGAATTCAGGACGGGTCCACAGAGTAAAGTGAAAGTGAATTTATTAAGAAAGTAAAGGAATAAAAGAATGGCTACTCCATAGAGCAGCCCCAAGGGCTGCTGGTAAGCTATTTTTATGGTTATTTCTTGATTATATGCTAAACAAGGGGTGGATTATTCATAGGTTTTCTGGGAAAGGAGCATGATTTCCTGGAACTGAAGGCTCCTCTCCCTTTTATACCATATAGACGTTGCCATAGCATTTGTAAACTGTCAGGACGCTGGCAGGAGTGTCTTTTAGCATGCTAATGAATTACAACTAGCATATAATAAGCAGTGAGGATGACCAGCTGTCACTTTCTTTTTTTTTTTTTTTGAGACGGAGTCTCACTCTGTCGCCCAGGCTGGAGTGCGGAGGTGCGATCTCGGCTCACTGCAAGCTCTGCCTCCCAAGTTCACGCCATTCTCCTGCCTCAGCCTCCCGAGTAGTTGGGGCTACAGGGGCCCGCCACCACGCCCGGCTAATTTTTTGTATTTTTAGTACAGACGGGGTTTCACCGTGTTAGCCAGGATGGTCTGGATCTCCTGACCTCGTGATTCGCCCGCCTCGGCCTCCCAAAGTGCTGGGACTACAGGCGTGAGCCACCGCGCCTGGCCTACTTTCTTTACCATCTTGGTTTCTGGCAGATTTGGCCGGCTTCTTTACTGCACCGTTTTATTAGAGGGATGTTTGAGATCTGTATCTTGTGCGGACCTGCTGTCTCCTCCTGTTGTTACCAGAAAGGGGTCCGGATCCAGACCCCAAGAGAGGGTTCTTGGCCCTTGCATAGGAAATAATTCAGGGCAAGTCCATAAAGTGAAAGCAAGTTTATTAAGAAAGAAAAGGGATAAAGAATGCCTACTCCAGAGGCAGAGCAGCCCGGAGGGCTGCTGGTTGGCCATTTTTATGGTTATTTCTTGATTATATGCTAAACAAGGGATGAATTATTCATGAGTTTTCCGGGAAAGGGGTAGGCAACTCCCTGGAACTAAGAATTCCTCCCCTTTTTAGACCATGTAGGGTAATTTCCTGATGTTGCCATGGTATTTGTAAACCGTGGTGATGCTGTCTGGAGTGTCTTTTAGCATGCTAATACATTATAATTAGCGTATAATGAGGACTGAGGACCTCCAGAGGTCAGTTTCATCGCCATCTTGGTTTCGGTAGGTTTTGGCTGGCTTCTTTACCGCATGCTGTTTTACCACCAGGGTCTTTGTGACCTGTATCTTGTGCCAACCTCCTATCTCATCCTGTGACTTAGAATGCCTAACCTCCTAGGAATACAGCCCAGGTCTCAACCTTATTTTACCCAGCCTCTATTCCAGATGGAGTCGTTCTGGTTTGAAGCCTCTGACAAGTTCACTGGTGGCCCGGGCAACATTTAGAAACAACAGAGACAACACTCCTAACAAGTTGGTTTAAGCATTTTACAAATACTGCTTTTAGTTCAGAGGGGGCTACTTACAAACACCCCCTCTAAATCCCCTAAGGGCACACGGTAGAAAACGCCTTCATAATTATCCTCGTAACACCGTAACTGCGAGGACCAACATCCTCCTTTCACAGATAAGCGAAGAGAGGTGAAAAGAGGGCAAATATACTCAAGGCAGCCGCCTCTAAACCGAAACTTGGGTTCTGAGGTCAGTTAAACTTGGGTTGCATTTGAACCTAAGCCTGCCTGCGTGAAAAGCCCGTTGCTTTCTTTGCACCTCAGCTGCCTCAGGTTCTTGAAGAGGCGATGGAGGATGTACTTCTAAGAGAACCTCAATATACCTACAATATAAGTGTTTAGGTGCTCCCTTAACTTGGAAAAAACCCACAACTGAGGAACCTCGGCCAATGCGGCGCCTGCATATTGAGTGCGCCCAAGAAAACGAATTTCCTCCCGTAGAGCGTCGGTTAGCGGCCACGTTAGGCAGCACAACCGTTCTGGAGACTGGGTGCTCGGCGGCCCAGCAGAGGGAGCGGGGCGGGGCGCGAGTTCCATACTCGTGGGTCCGTTTCTTCCCTCCTGGCCAGCCGCGCTCTGCTCCCATCTGCCTACGGGAAAGAGAGTCTCCGCGCACGCGAGCACGCGCACTCGCAGCCTCAACCCTCGGCTCCGCCACCGGGATGCAGTCTTCTGGGAACGGTTCTCCCCCAGCCCCCACCGGCTGACTTCCGGCCGGCAGCTCCTCAGCCCCTCCCCCTGAGGATTCACCAATCACGGTGCGCGTGTGGCTTGAGTAGGTGGGGCCTGAGAGATTCGAAAGGAGCCCCGCCCCCTCGGAGCTGATTCCCGGGACTAGGTTGCGGGAGAAAGCCTGTTGCGTGGAAGATAAGGCGGCGCGGGAAGTGGACACAGGGTGGGCTGGAGGTGTGCTTCGCGTGTGATGCCAGGGGAGTGGAAAGGTGGCTTGGGGAGTGCAGAACCCTGAGGATAGTGGCGGGGAGGAAGATGGGGCGTGCAGGCCGCCCCCAGTGAGGAGAGGCCAGGATGCAGGGCGGCTCCAGGGCAATCTGGGCAGTTGGGGGAGCCCTCCGTATCGTTCCCGGAGGTAGCAGGAGTAGCTGTGCGGGAGGTGCCACTCCTGGGCGCTTGCTTTGCCTCCAGCATGACCCCCGACCCTGGCTTGCACCCTGAATCTAGCTGCGAGCCTTGGGCAGAATGGATACCTGAGGAAAGGTATGGTTTCTCTCCAGCTCAGATCTAACTGGACTCTCGCTCCTGCTGGCTGGACATGGAGGATTTGGAGGAAGGTAAGGAAAGGAGGGAGGGAAGAATGAAAGGGAGGAGTGAGACCCAGCGATGGAGAGCTGCATCAGGGACCCATGACTGGCTTTCATTCTTCTTTCCCCTTCAGATGTAAGGTTTATTGTGGATGAGACCTTGGACTTTGGGGGGCTGTCACCATCTGACAGGTACCAGCCTCTTTATCCCACTTATTTTCCTCTAACAGTACCTCTTTGTCTCGAATCCCTTACTGCTGAATTATTGGCTTGGGTTGGTAACTTAGCAAGGTTTGGCGCACTTGGGGCTGCTGGGCGGCTGGCTGACTCGGGCCTCTATGACACTATTGGTAGCGGGGAGAGAAGGGAGAAGCTGGAGTTAGATTTCAGGGTGTTAAGAAGAAGGATAAGTGGATTTGCTGCATCTCCATCCTGGCATCATTTCTGATGTCCGTAAATGCTAAAGGCCTATTAGGCCCCATAGAACCAGGTATCTCATCGCCCAGAGGCCACATCTCACAGCCAGCATGGGCATCGGGGCCTAGGGTCATGTCCCTGGCTCTGTTGTGGGGCTTTTATGCAGTCTCCCTTGCATAATCTCCTGTTCCCTTTTGCATGGGCATGATGCCTGGTTTGTTTCCTGTCTCAGCCGTGAGGAGGAAGACATAACAGTGTTGGTGACTCCAGAGAAACCACTTCGACGGGGCCTCTCCCACCGAAGTGACCCAAATGCAGTGGCACCTGCCCCCCAGGGTGTGAGGCTCAGCCTAGGCCCCCTCAGTCCAGAGAAGCTGGAGGAGATCCTCGATGAGGCCAACCGGCTGGCCGCTCAGCTGGAGCAGTGTGCCCTGCAGGATCGGGAGAGCGCAGGCGAGGGCCTGGGGCCTCGCCGAGTGAAGCCCAGTCCTCGGCGGGAGACCTTTGTGCTGAAGGATAGTCCTGTCCGAGACCTGCTGCCCACTGTGAACTCTTTGACGCGGAGCACCCCCTCCCCAAGCAGCCTGACGCCTCGACTCCGGAGTAATGATAGGAAGGGGTCAGTCAGGGCTCTCCGGGCTACATCTGGAAAGAGGCCCTCCAACATGAAGAGGGTGAGTTGAGAGAGTTGAGTTGGAGGTGTGCCCCAGACATGGTGTGTGCCATGATGCAGGGAGTGGTTTCCTTATTGGTAAAACAGGGATAGCATTTCTACATCTAGAATTGTTGGAATTAAATGAGAACCATGAAAAAAGAGAACCAAAACTCTTACCACAGTGTCTGAGTATATGTCTATGATAAACTCAATAAATGGTATTGGCAATAGTGATGGTGATGGTGATGTGGTGATGTTAGCAGCTAACTTCTACCCTTCCTTACTGGGATGTAGACAACTCTCCACCTCTATTTCTTAATTCCTTAAGCCACAGAACAGATATTTTTTCCACTCTAGTCTTTTTTCTCTCTCTCTTTGTGTTTCAGGAGTCACCCACTTGCAATCTGTTCCCTGCATCCAAAAGCCCAGCATCTTCTCCTCTTACCCGATCGACTCCCCCAGTCCGGGGGAGAGCCGGGCCCAGTGGGAGAGCAGCAGCCAGTGAGGAGACCAGAGCAGCCAAGTTGCGGGTGAGTGGGAGTGGGGAGTTTGTGGGATTGACCCTGAAATTTCTCCACCCCTCTCCACCAGGCCCACCCACCCCCATCAGATCCGTCCTGGCCCCACAGCCTTCTACCAGCAACTCTCAACGCCTGCCCCGGCCGCAGGGAGCAGCTGCTAAATCTTCCAGTCAACTGCCCATTCCCTCGGCCATCCCCAGGCCTGCCAGCCGAATGCCACTCACCAGCCGGAGTGTGCCACCTGGCAGAGGTGCCCTACCTCCGGATTCTCTGTCAACTCGAAAAGGGCTTCCAAGACCAAGCACTGCAGGACACAGAGTGCGGGAAAGTGGACACAAGGGTAAGAGGTCAGGAGGAAGAATGCCCGCCCTTGCCCAGCGTGTCCTCACCCTCCCAGAGCTGTCAACAGTGACCACTTTTGCCATCCTTATTGCAATTCAATTGGAAGATGGGGAGACTGAGTTACAGAGAGGATATGGGGCTGGACAGAGTCTGAGTCTTAGTTTTCAAATACCTCATGGTCAGGGGGAGAGTACTAATCCCACACTCGCTCCCTTCATCCAGTATTTCTTTTCGAGGTCAGTTAAACTTGCTGCTAACTCATTTCTTTTGTTAACCCCCATGAAGTTCCTGTTTCCCAGCGACTAAATCTTCCTGTCATGGGTGCCACTCGCAGCAATCTGCAGCCCCCCAGGAAAGTGGCAGTCCCAGGACCTACCAGGTCAGTCTGGTCCTCCCTTGCCCATCCTGTCTCCCTACCCCGCCATCATCTGGGATTCCAAGCTGTTATGCACATCAGCCCTGAATTTTGTATGGAAAGATGGAGAGAGGAGGGGAGCCTGGGGCAGGGGAAGGGGGATCCCATTTCTTCCCACCCTGAGGAGCTTGAATTCTGCTGGGTGACAAATGGGCTTGAGGAAGAAGGGCATTTTAAAGCAGTTATTCCTTCTATTTCTTTAGGTAAAGAGATCAGGACAGCAAGCAAGACTTCAGTAGCAAACCACTACAGTCAGTACCTGGACTCGCCTCTACCCAGCAGACCCTGACTCCAGCAGATTCTGGCCCAGGGACAGGAGGAAGAGATGCCACCAGGGCTGGTCTCCCAGGAGTAGAGACCATGGGAAATGGGGTGGATTAGGATTGAGCTGGAGAAGACTTAAACTCTCTGGGTTGAAAGAAGATTAGGGGAAAAGAGGTCACCTTCCAGCAGTGAAATGAACAAATAGAAGATGAGAAGTACAGGCAAGTGGTTTGTCTTTATCCACCCCCACTGTTGTGGTCAGCCCCAGAGAATTTTATCTTCTTCCTTGGCATTGGTTCACTGGACATTTCCACGTGAGCGGCCTCCGTAGCTAACCTCCCTGCCCTCTGAGGAGCCATCTTCCTGAATCGCATTCTCTACTGGACTCTGGCCTGCTTGGAGAGGTGGCAGCAGGCACCTGGTCTTCAGAAATTGTTTCCTGTGAATTCTGTGACTCCTAATAGGCCAGTTTGTGATAAGCTTACTCTATGAGTCTTCATTTTTCTAAAATAAAGTGAATGTATTTTTATATTCTCTGTATATCTGGAAGTCGATCCTGCTCCTATTTCTTTCTCTTTTTTTAGACAGAATCTTGCTCTGTCACCCAGGCTGGAGTTTAATGGCGCGATCTGGGCTCACTGCAACTTCCACCTTCTGGGTTCAAGCAATTCTCCTTTCTCAGCCTCCCGAGTAGCTGAGATTACAGGCGCCTGCCACCCACGTCCGGCTAATTTTTTGTATTTCTAGTAGAGACGGGGTTTCACCATGTTGGCCAGGCTGGTCTCAAACTCCTAACCTCAGGTGATCCACCCGCCTCAGCCTCCCAAAGTGCTGGGATTACAGGTGTGAGCCACCGCACCCAGCCCCTGCTCCAATTTCTCTTTTTTTTTTTTTTTTTTTTTTTGAGACGGAGTTTTGTTCTTGGTGCCCAGGCTGGAGCACAATGGTGCGATCTCAGCTCACTGCAATCTCTGTCTCCCGGGTTCAAGGGATTCTCCTGCCTCAGCCGCCCCGAGTAGCTGGGATTACAGGCATGCACCACCACATCTGGCTCATTTTGTATTTTTACTAGAGATGGGGTTTCTCCATGTTGGTCAGGTTGGTCTTGAACTCTCAACCTCACGTGATCCGCCCGCCTCGGCCTCCCAAAGTGCTGGGATTACAGGTGTGAGCCACCGCACCCAGCCCCCTGCTCCAATTTCTAACAAATTTGGAGTAAATCTCTAATTCCAGGCAGGGAGCCAGGATGGGCCTCCTAGGCAGGGGCCTGAATAGGCCCTAGGGCCTTGAGATTCCAGCTTATCAGGCTGTGACTGCTCCCCTTGTTGGCATTAGACAAGGACAGGCTGCCTTTCCCCAGGTCTCAGGTATCATTGGAAGGTCCAGATGAAAGTTAAGTGTAGCTTAATTCACAGTATGTGAGGCTATTAAGCTAGGATCTAGGTAGATTCTTATTTATATCCTAAACTTGAATGTCCTTTACTGGCAAAATAATGGAGCCTCCTAGAAACGCACCAGCTTCTTGTTTGCTCTCCCTGTGAGACGTGAAGGCCCTTTGGTGGTGTTCATCTTCCCTGATCACCTCAGCCAGAGCTGCTGGAACACCTAGTCAGGCTCCAACTAACATCACTGGGGTTGTCTGTGCTCTCCTCATCTCCCCTGTTAGACTTGGGGGTGAGCGTCAGGATCCGGAAACCTCTGCAGTACCCTAGTGTTGTGACCTGTGTGTAGCAGAGCATTTAGTTTATTTATTCAGAAGATATTCGAGTGCAAGATGGTGTTTGTTGAAGGAATAACAAAGACACGTTTAACAGATTTGGTGTAGGGCCTCCCTTTTTTTGCAGCCTTTAACTCTAGTAATCAGAACCAATTCAATTCCTTCTGAGTTTTGAGGAAACTTCCCTCCCTGAAGGTCAGGCCATGACTTGAGAAAAGCAGCAGGTAAGTGGGCAAAGAGAAGTGGGACTGCCAGCTGGTGCCCCCACCCATGCCTATTTGGCCATAAATGCCTGACTTAGGCACCAAAGTGTCCTTGCCCTGTCCCTGGAGCCAGAGGCCCATCACTGCTTTCCCCTTTTTGTGGCTGATTCCAAGGTTCACCTGGCACATTCACCTACTTCAGTGACAATGCCTAGATATGCACCTTTCCCTGAATTCTGCAGCAACTCCCGCAGCCTCTGGGATTCCAGGAATCGGTGGGAGGGAAGGGGTATGCAGACAGACACGGAGTATTCAGCTCTGGAGAAATTTGGCGTAAGGCAAGAAACCTCAGGTGTGCTTCCCAGCTGCGCCCTGCACTGGTGTCTAGTGAGCAGGGCCTGTTGGTGGCTCCTGGGCCAATAGAAGCACTGGAAGGTCAGCAGGCTTAGGTACACACCTGGGTGAGGCCAGAAGGTGACATGTTTGTGTGGAGCCATGTCCAGGGTGGGTCCTTAGAGGCAAAACAAGCTGCAGACCCATGTGTTGTTGCCACCTGGCGGCTGGAGAGGGCATGGCACATCCTGTTCGCCCTCTTGGTCAGCCTTGAGTTTTGTCCCCACCCCACCTCCTCCCACTCTAAACCTGCTTCAGCAGCACTTTCAGTAAGCAGTGCCAGTCAGGGAGGAGGCCCTCCTGCCATGGCTGCCCTTCTTGTTCAGCCACCTGCCTGTCTCCTTCCCTTTGGGCCTGGCTTTCTACTTTTTCTCTCTGTGCACTCTTCCATTGCACCCAGTAGCAACAACACAGAAAGCCAGTGTTTACTGGCCTCTTACTATGTACTATGAACTCTTCCAAGCACTCTACATGTGTTAACTCACTTAATCCTCATAAAAGCTCAATTAGGTGGATGCTTTTATCATCATCCTCATTTTGTGGGCAGAGAAACTTAAGGCTCAGAAAGATTAAGTCATTCAGTCTGGTTCTAGGGTTTGTGTCCTTTTTTTTTTTTTTTTGAGACAAGGTCTGGCTCTATTACCCAGGCTGGAGTGCAGTGGTGCGATCTTGGCTCACTGCAGCCTCTACTTCCTGGGTTTGAGCCATCCTCCCACCTCAGCCTCCCTAGTAGCTGGGACTACAGGCATGCACCACCACAGCTGGCTTTTTTGTATTTTTTGTAGATATGGGTTTCACCATGTTGGCCAGGCTGGTCTCTTAACTCCTGGCCTCAAGTGATCCACATGCCTTGGCCTCCCAAAGTATTGGGATTACAGGCGTGAACCACTGCCCAGCTAGGGTTTGTGTTCTTAATCATCACCCTATATTGTCCCCAGGTTAACTCCCTTTCTAGTTTTTTTGTTTGTTTTGAGATGGAGCCTCGCTCTGTCACCCAGGCTGGAGTGCAGTGGCACGATCTCAGCTCACTGCAATCTCCACCTCCCAGGTTCAAGTGATTCTCCTGTCTCAGCCCCTGGAGTAGCTGCGATTACAGGCATGTACCACCGCACCCAGCTAATTTTTTTGTATTTTTAGTAGAGACAGAGTTTCACCATGTTGCCCAGGCTAGTCTCAAACTCCTGATCTCAGGTGATCTGTCCACCTCGGCCTCCCAAAGTGCTGGGATTACAGGCATGAGCCACCGCACCCAGCTGCCTTTCTAGTTTATTGAATGGAACTTCGACAAACACAAAACTTGGAACTAGGCCGGATGCGGTAGCTCATATCTGTGACCCCAGTTTGGGAGGCCAAGGCGGGAGGATCACTTGAGCCTAGGAATTCAAGACCAGCCTGATCAACATAGTGAGACCCCGCCTCTATTAAATTTAAAAAGCATATATACTTTTAAATATATATCATATATATACACAAAAACAAAACTTAGGCTGAGAAGTAATGTTGCAAAGCACACACTTGGCTTCAGTATGAGTAGCTGCTTCATTTTCCAATGGGAAAAAAAAAACAAAAAACAACCCTGAGCAGTATAGTTAGGAGGCACTGAGTCACTGACCACCATTCAATTCCAACCAGCCTCTCAATGCAGCCCTCCCTGCTTCTTGAATTCTGCCCCAGAAAACTCATCCCTGTCTAGGACTCAGCCCTGAGGGGCTGGGCTGGAAGGCTGCCTGCCCCGTGCAGCCTCTCCCACCGTAGAAGTCCTTTCCGTCCTGGTGAAAAGGACACCTTCCTGCCCGCCCACCATGTCTTCCTTGGAAATGCCAGGAAATGGGCTCTGTGCTGATCCAGCTATTTGGGAGCAGTGTCATGGACATGGGCAGAGGGACAGGCTTATCAGCCAGTGGTGTCTGAGTCTCCCGACCTCCCGGTGGGGCCTTCTGGGCCCTGCCGGCTCTTCTGTTTTCCAGAGACCAGACCTTCCTCCCTGTGGGAGGACAGGGTACCACACAGAAGCGGACAGTGACAGTGCTGTACCCGCACAGAACTAGTTTATTCAGTAGTATGGGGCATGAAAAAACAACAACAACAAAACGCTACCCTATTTACAGCAACAACCAAACTGTACAATCTGATGGTTAGTACCAAGTTAGCATCCAGCATCTTTGTATTTTTTTTAAATCAAGTCATCAGTAGTAAAAACCAGTTAAATTTTTAACCCTTTGCAGGAATTGCTGAGGGGAGAAGACGGGGGAGAATCCACGGCAGA
This sequence comes from Homo sapiens, assembly GCF_000001405.40. Lineage (NCBI taxonomy): Eukaryota > Metazoa > Chordata > Mammalia > Primates > Hominidae > Homo > Homo sapiens. The sequence continues at coordinate 109,275,516 of NC_000001.11, read as the reverse complement.
AAAGCCAGAGGCTGGCCTCACAAATGAGAAACAGGAGCCTTTCTTTCCTGCCCACAGCCTCTTTTTCTAGCCACCTGCTCCAGAAGGAAAGTCAGTGACAAGTCTGGAATACATGCTTGGAGTAAATGGTGACTCAGATGAAAAGCAGTCGGCAAAACTGAGGAGAGGGGAGGAGAGGTGGGGAGATGATGGCCTGGGGCAAGGGGAAGGGCGTCAAGCCCCCAAGCCAGGGCTGCTGGGAACACCCAGCCTGTGATGGCCATATCAGACCCCCGGGACTGGACACGAACCCATCCCAACACAAAAAGCAAATAAATAAAACAAATATATTAACTCTCTCTTCACAGGGAGCTGGGGTGGAGTCGGGGAGAAAGAGGAACAGGACCTGGTCCTTTGAAGAAGAGAGCCAATTCCAAGAAGGGGTTAAAAATAGAACATGTCTCAGAGGCCACAGCAGGTTAGACAAAGTAGCATTTGTCTGATTTTGGGGGGTGGGGTGGGTGAGTGGACACCAGAACCCAGACTTGAAACCTGTGCTTGATTGAGCACCCTCAGGGCAGCCGAGCCAGCACTGTGTTTACTCTTCCTCCCCCACCCACATCACAGCAAAGAAGCGCAACTTAACACATGACTGGCCTGCCCGGGGCGCGGGGCGGGCACGAAAAATGAAGCACTTTTGGGTCAGCAACTGAGCAAACACCTGGGCTGCCGCGCACGGCCAGAGTCCAGGAAAAGGAGAGGGGCTGGGGCTGCCCGACCCCCGCCTGGGGGCACAGGCTCCCCTGAAAATGTGTTCATGCAGCATTTGGGGGTCCAGGGGCGCTGAGTCCTTCTGCCCCCTCACCGGACAGGGCTTTTCCAGTTCCTGGGAGAGGCAGTGCGGGCAGGACGAGGCACACCCTTTGCCCTGGCCCCTCACCGTTCTGAGGCCTGCCCGGGTGCAGCCTGAAGGGTGTGAAGCCCTGGCTGCGTGTGGCTTTGTCCTTTCCTTTTGGTGATGGCGTATGAGGGGCAGGCCCCCCAGGAGTCCCTCTCCTCCCAGAGGCACAGCAGATGGGAAACTGAGGAGAGGCTGGGAAGCATCCTGGGAGGTCCTATCCTCTTTGGGAAGGGAAAGGGGAGTCAATTTCCAGCGTATAAAAAAAATGAATCCCTGAAGTCATGAAGAGTGGAGATCCTTTTTTAAATTCTTTTTTTCCTCTTTTCTGAAAAACTTTGTCTTGGAGATGTTGGCCCCAGGGGTCCAAAGTGCAGTGAGGGGAATGGTGGGGGGGGAGTTGGCACTAGATGGCCTTAGGTGGGGTGAGTACCCCTCCCGGCAAGGCCCAGGCTCCTCAGATGGACGTTTCGTCGCTGCTGCGGGCAGGCGATGGGGAGCGGGGCAGGATAAAGCACAAGACAGGAGCAGGGCATGAGTGCGGCTGGGGAAGGGAAGGGAGCCTCGGGCGTAGGAACCACGGCCCAGGGTTAATGCAGGAAGTTAAAGAAGAGAAATCTGGAGAGGCAGGAAAGGAAAGTGGCAGAAAAGGCAGACAGAGGGTTAGTTGAAACAGAGGAGAGAGTGAAAGCTTTCACCAGACGAAGGAAACAGGAAAGCACCCCCAGCTCCCCATCCTCCCGCACTCTGCCCTAGGCTGGGCTGCGCCGCGTAGAGCCTAGGAGGGGTGGCCCTCCCCGCAAGGCACCATGGTTTGTGGGCACGGCATAGTAAGGGAGCTGGGCCAGTTCTGCCCATTTGTCCTCCAAATGCCATCCAGAGTCACCTGGGGAGGCCCGGAGGCAGCTCTGGGCCCAGGTGAGGCCTCCGAGGGGCTGCACCCCGTCCCGCCCACCCGGCCACACTCACTCGGAGCCTGACGAGTCCTCATCCACCGTGCCTGCCTTGATGCTCATGGCGATGGGCATGACCCCGTTCAGCTGCTCCTGGAGGCTCTGCCGGGGCGGTGGGCGGGGAGGGGGGCCTCCCCGGCTGCCCTCACTAGCGGAGGAGCCCCGGGAAGACCCTGTGCATTGCTCCAGGGGGAGCCGCAGGAGGCTGCTCTTCTCGCTGATGGTGGGCAGACACTTCTTCTTAAGGATGCCTGTGGGCCGGGGCGGGGCTGTGAGGTGCGGCCACAGGAGAATGTGAGGTATGAGGCTGCTGACTAGGGGAGCTCGGCAGCTGGGGGTGCCCCACTCACCTTTGTGAGGCTGGGCAGAAGAGCCTGGAAGGGGGCCTAGGGACCCCTCTCGAGACAGGGCATCTCCATTCTCCCGCAGCCGCTCCTCAGGGGCCCCGTTGCCACTACTCTCTTTTGCTGTGGTCCCAAAGTCTCCTGGCCAGGGGGCCTTGCCAGGCCCTGGGCCCCCATCTGGTGGGGAAAGGAAGTAGATGAGGCCCACAGAGGGCAGATAGCCAGGAGGCCACCACCCCAGTCCTGCTTCCCAAGAACCCCAGGCCCACTGTCCTCCCACTGGCCCCAAAGGCCACAGCCCCAGTGCTGGCCCACCCTTGGGAGTACTGTGCAGGGGCAGTCTCTCTGCTCCAGGCCCCAGCAGGCTATCCCAGCCCTGCTCTCCAGGGAAGGCGGCCTCCTCTTCCTCCTCCTCTTCTTCCTCCTCACTGTCTGATGAGTGGGTAGAGGCATAGGAGCCACTCTGGTCGTCTTCTAAGGACAGGTCACTGTCGGAGTCCGTGTCAGGATCTAGGAGGCCAGGGAGAGATCACAGCCAGCCCAGCCACCTCCACCCACCTTCAGTAAAAGCCAGCCAACTGCCCTGCTGGGTGGCCAGAGCGTTCTGTCCTCACCATGCTGCTGGTCTTGACCTTCCAGGAACAGGCTGCCTGGATCCCCCAGGCCAGGGGGCCCTTGGCCAGGGTTCAGTGCGGACTCCTCCCTAGGAAGATGAGACCATGCTGGAGGGGTCAGCCTGGCCCCTTGCCCAGGGTCCCAGTCTCTCCTCTCCCCTGGGATCCTGGTTCCTGCTGTGGGTCCCTTACAGCTTCTAATCCAAGCTGGCCCCCACGTCAGCCACAGTGTGTGCTCCTCAACTCCCAACAGCTGGCTGGCCTGGGTCCAGCATGCGTGGGCCCCTCCTCCCCTCCTCCACCCTCCCATCTCCGGGATTCACCTCAGCAAGAAGGGGATGTAGCTGGGCTGACTCTTGCCCGAGCGACTGGTGCTGTGCAGAGAGCCGGCCGAGTCTCCGTAGGGCTGGTACAGCCGCCCATCTGCGTAGGGGCTGGGGCAGTTGTAGGACTAGGCAGGGAACAGAGAGGTCAGTAAGTGGGGAGTGGGATGGCTGGCCCCAGGCTGGGAAGAAGGAGGGTGGAGGGAACTTGCCCTAAGTTCCACCTTCCACATGCTCAGGTCTGAAAGAGAGGGCCCTGCTTCTCCGCTGTCCCCATATTGAGGCCTGGCAGTGGTCACAGCTCTGCCACAGCTGTGCTACCCCTGCATGCCCCCAGGGATCCTGGACTCACTATATAATGGCTCTGTAAAAGATGAGACCAGAAATTGTCTCCTGAGAGCACCTTGGGAGACAGAAAATTTACTAAAATTCATGAGAGATTCTCAGGTGCAAGGCACTTATTACCTGATTATCTGTCTCAGCCCCATCTCCCTCAAGTCAAAATCCTACACACCCTTTCCAACATCTCCTCCCCAGGCCGAACACAGCATTTCACCTCCCCTTCCACCTTCCAGGAAGGGATGGAGAAAAGAGAAAGGGGAGTGGGGCCAAAAGTACAGGCTCACTGGGCCTCCTGCCTCTCCCTCCCTTCACCGCCCTCCTGAGACCCCTGGCTCCCTCACCGAGGTCAGGGTGGACTTGGTGGTCAGAGCAGGGTCAGGGCTGGGCTTGCGGCTGCAGGCAAGCTTGAGTGCTTTCCGGACCTCCTTGCTAAGCACCACATAGGAGAGGAAGATGAAGGGGCCCTGGCAGGCAAGAGGCAGCAACGGTCTGTGCATATTCAGGCATCCACAGCCCAGGTGCCTCCCTTCTCCACAGGCTGGGCCAGGTACCTGGATGCAATTGCAGGTAGCAAAGAGGTAGTGGAAGAGGAGGGTGTCGCTGTTGACAGAGAGCAGTGCCAGCAGCCACGTGGCGCTCAGCAGCAGGAGGACGGCGAAGGAGGGCTGCAGGCCCGAGCTGGGGATAGGGACAGGCCATGAGTCCGGCCATGAGACCTCCCATGCTGGTGCCTGCCCATGGCCCAGGCACCCCAACCCTATACTCACACAGGACCTTTCTTCTCAAAGCCCTGCCGCTGGGCAGCACAGGAGGCCCGGGCCGCCAGGATGTACAGGAAGACACTCATCTAGGCAGGGGCAGAGGGCATGGGGTGCTCAGTGGGGACAAACAGCTTCCACCCAGCCCACAGGGCCCCGTGGCCTCAGCTGTTCCTAAAGGGAGTCCTGAGGACACGCGGCCCCAGCAGCAGGAGGACAGCAAAGGAGGGCCACAGGTGACACCCAACCCACCTGCTAGCACTCACCGAGACGGCAAAGGCCACCGGGCCAGCAAAACTCCAGATGAGCGTGTCATAGATGGAGAGCCAGCAGAAGTCAGGGTTCCCGTAGCCCTCGGGGTCCAGGCCCACGGCTAGCCCTGGAGCATGGAGACAGACGGGAGCAGTGGAGGGGTGATGAGGGGCCTGGGAAGTAGGGCTGCGGGCAGGTGGGCTCACAGGGCCAGGCATGAAGCATGGAAAAGGGTTCTGCCCACCATCGGCCCCTACCGATCTCCCCAGGATAAGGGAGTGACGCCTGGGTGGCGGCTGCAGAGTCTGGGTTAAACCAGAGGGACACCTGTGAATAAGGCGGCCTGGGGCATGGGGATGTGGGGCCTCAGGGCCTGTATGTGGGTGGAGAGAACATGGCACAAAGGTGGACCCAGGGATGTGGGACCCCAAGACTGGGAATGGGTGGGAGTACCTGTGATGAAGGCAGGCACGCCCCAGCCCAGCATGTAGTAGAAGCGCATGGGGCCGGTGTTGACATCGCGCACCTCAGTGAGTGCCCGGTACAGGTGCAAGGCCTCCAGCAGAGCCCAGGAAAAGGTGCAGAGGTACAGGAAGTGCAGCAGGATGGCAATGACTGTGCAGGCAAACTGAGGGCCCAGGCCAGGGCAGGTCAGCGACCGGGGCCCGCCCAGAGCACAGGCTCTGCTTCGGGTCAGGCATGGAGGAGGGCCTGGGTGTTGGGAACTGCTTCCAGGGAAGCCTGGGCCAGAGGCAGGTGCTGGGGGATCCCGGGGGAGCCACAGAAGAGGAAACCCTGGGCCAGGTGCTGCACTAGGCACCTTATTAGAGTTCATGGTGCAGGAGCAGGGGTTGCCAGTGGGGGCTGGGGAGGCGGCCTGAGAAGGTGGGGACAGTTTCTGGGCAGTAGGAGCATCTTACAGGGAGGTCAGCCTGGTTGATTCCCAGGAGGAAGACCAGCTGAGCCAGGCCCAGGGCAGCTGTCAGGTTACGTCGGATGCCGTGTTGGTTGGAGCGCAGGATACGCAAGAGAGTGAGGAAGAAGAAGGTGAGCAGAAGGGCAGCCAAGGTGACACCTAGAGCCACGTATGTCAGTGTCTTCAGTGGCAGGATCTCCCCATTCTGCAGAGTAGGTGGCAGGGGGCCAGGGAATTAGGAAGGGCAGGACCTGAGCACCCAGCCCCGTGCCCTGGGTGCCCACCCACGGCTCTGCAGCTGCCCCTGTGGGCCCGACCTCCCGCCGAGAAACGTCCATGAGCACAGCGAAGCTCGTCATGTGGTTGCACTGGCAGCTGACGTGGCTCTCATTGCGGAAGACGACTTCACAGCCTCTGGCCGACCAGCCACCTGTGCCACTGACCCTGTGTGAGGAAGGCAGGGTCAGGGAGACAAGGAGGGTGAGGCATGCAGGGGCCTGGACTTTCAGCCCGAAGCCTGAGGGGGCGAGGGCAGTGCAGGCTCACAGGATTGAATGGTTCCAGAAGACACAGATGGGCTTGGTCCGCTCCTCTGTCTCCAGCAGGCGGAACTGCACCGTGACGGGTTTGTCCAGGGCCCGGGGCAGAAGCTCCTCATCATCATGGACGCTGATGCTCACCACGGGTGTGTTGATGATCGGGCGTTTGGGGACTCTGATGTGGGGCAGTCAGGTGCACAGTCACCACGGCAGTCACATGACTGGGGAGACGCCCCCGACCCCCTCCATGCCTCAGCACTCACCGCCCGACCCATACCCCTACCCACACCTGTCCCCTAGCTGCTGACCTCAAGCTGCGCTTGTCAGGGTCATAGTTATGAGGCAGTAGCCCGGCCAGGGTGCGGTAGATGATGACGCTGGCCACAGCCTCACCCTGGCTCAGCTCCGGGTGCCGTCGCTGTCGCCGTGCCAGCTCCTCTGGCTCCTGGGCCTCTCCGGGGCCTGCGGGCCTGACCACGGGGGGCGTCTCTGGGAGGGGACACTGTCACACTTAGCTGGGCCCTGCTCTCTGTGGAGTCTGCACAGACACTGGGGTCCAGCTCCCAACTCAATCCATGGCCACCACTGACCTCTGAAGACAGACTCAGGCAGAATGACTGTTGTCTCAAGGTCCGGGGGCTGCTCCCCACGCAGGGCCTCGTAGCGGGGCAGCTTGGCCCCAGCAAAGTTCCCTTTGTCCAAGCGCACTACGGAGATGACTAAGGAAGGGGATGGTCACAGATCGGACCTGTGAGGCAGGCAGGACCCCAGCACAGCCGCTCTTGTCGGGGACTCCCTCCACAAACCCCTCCCCAACCCAGGCACCAGCCTTACCAATGTTGGGCGTGACGATGGTGAAGGGGCTTAGGTAGGTGTGCCGCATGTTCTGGGCCAGGGCACTGGCGTAGGCCTCATAGTGCTGGAGCAGCCAGGCGGTGCCACCCTCTGTCTGCTGGATCAGCTCCCAGTGCCGCTTGTTGGCTGTGTCCAGGAGGGCGCTGCCCACCCGCAGCAGATTCTGGGGTGGGCAAGGTCACGGTGGGTGTGCTCACAACCCACACCTGACATCCCCACCATGGAGCCCCGGCCTGTGCCCGGGCCAGTCCCTGCTCCCCACCAGGCCCCTCCCTCTGTGCTCACTGTTGCCTCCCCTGAAATGCTCCTGGACCGCACTGCCCACTCAGGTCACTGGATGCTCTGCCCCTAAGCCCTCCTCCTCATTCTCTACATAAGAGCTTCCCAGCCCTGTGCCTGGACCCACACACATGTCCTGAGATACTGCTTCCTCCCAGCCCATGGTACCACAGGCAGGCCTCTGCTCTGGGTCAGACCATGCCCCAACACACATATGTTACTATGAGAAGGGTTGGGAAGAGGGCTGGGCCAGGGGTCACAGGGTTTCATGGAGGCCTCCTGCCAGCAGGGAGCTCCTTGTAGGTGGGATGGGAGGGCCCCCTCTGCCCCCCAGGTTGCCATGAGCAGGCTCACTCACCATGACCCCTATCTAACCAGCCAGCCCTGCATCCTCCAAGCCCCACCTCAGTGAAGTGCACGTCCTGTGTGGCAGACAGCCCAAAGCCCCGCTGGGTGCTCTCGTGGGCCAGCAGCCGCGTGGCCAGCTGGTAGGCCACCTTGACGTCGCTGCCGAAGTAGCCAGCTGTGTGCTGCGTGGCGTTGCGCAGGAGCAGGGCTAGCTGCTGGGAGCGCCCTGAGTCTAGGCCTGACTCATTCCGCTGTAGCCGCTCAGCCTAGACAGGACGGAGCGGAGGAGCAGGAGTGAGGGCAGGAACTCTGGAGCAAAAGGACCTCAGGAGGTGAGAGACGGCCTCTCCAGCTGGGAGCCCAGGAACACACAGGCTGGAATTCCAGAAGCCCCGTTCTCAAAGATGGGAGTGGGGGCAAGTGAGACTCAGGACGAAGGACAGGGAAAAGATGGAGATGAGGGGGTTCACTTACGAAGCCCTTCAGTTCTGAGAAGGTGATGGACGTGCAGTTGAAGAGGTTTGGGGGGAGCCACCCCCTGTGCTCATCACAGTGGCGCACAGCAGTCCCTGGGGGAAGGAAGCCAAAAGGGCCGGCCTCAGGGAGACACACAGGAAGCCCCTGAGACTGGCTGAGAGGTTCTGCTGGAGGCCAGCACCTCATGGGCCGGGGACAGTAACTAGCAAACAAGGGCCCTGGTGAAACAGGAAGACAGGTATGTAGAACACCAGGGCCAAAAATCTCCGCAAGATCAGTCCACACATGGGCTCTAGGGGAACAGGGCATACGACCTCCTTGAGCCCCCATCCTGCCTGTCTCCAGCCACCACTTTGTGCTCTCCGCCACTTCCTGCCTATGAACCTGCTCATTGCCAGTCCAGGACCAGCGCCAGCCCCCATCCTGGGCTGGGTGTCCTGGGTCAGCAGCCAACACCCCCTACTCCCCAGACTGTCTGCCTTTGTGGTGGCGTAACTCCAGGACTCGGTGGTGAGCTGACGATTGGAACCCTGCATGATTCATCTTTGAATCTCTAGCACAGCCCTATGCCAAGCACAGTGCAGGTTTTTCAGCATTTTTGTTAAGAGTCCAAGATGTGGGCTGGGCACGGTGGCTCACGCCTGTAATCTCGGCACTTTGGGAGGCCGAGGCGGGCTGATCACAAGGTCAAGAGATCGAGACCATCCTGGCCAACATGGTGAAACCCTGTCTCTACTAAAAAAATATAAAAAATTAGCTGGGCATGGTAGCACACGCCTGTAGTACCAGCTACTCGGAAGGCTGAGGTAGGAGAATCGCTTGAACCTGTGAGGTGGAGGTTGCAGAGAGCCGAGATCATGCCACTGCATTGTAGCCTGATGACAGAGCGAGACTCCGTCTCAAAAAAAAAAAAAAAAAGTCCAAAATGTGGTGGGGTGCAGTGGCTCACGCCTGTAATCCCAGCACTTTGGGAGGCCGAGGCAGGCGGATCATGAGGTCAGGAGTTCGAGACCAGACTGGCCAACATGGTGAAACCCTGTCTCTACTAAAAATACAAAAAAAAAAAAAAAAAAAAAAAAATTAGCCAGGTGTGGTGGCGGCCAGAGGCTTAGGCAGGAAAATTGCTTGAACCTGGGAGGCAGAGGTTGCAGCGAGCGGAGATCACGCCACTGCACACCAGCCTGGGTGACAGTGACAGACTCTGTCCCAGAAAAAAAACCAAACCAAAACAAAACAAAACAGTCCAAGATGTAGGCACACCTGGGCAACATGGGGAAGGGGGAATGTGAACCAAGGAAGATGGGAAATGAAATCCCAGGACCTGGAGGCCAGAAAGTGGGGTCCCCGGATCTTCAGCCAGGAGCTTCCTGCCCTCATCCCACTAACAGCAGAGGCCATGTCCTCGACATCACATCGGGGCCTCCAACACCTACCAAAGGAGCCTTTGGGACAGGGAGCAGCAGCAGGCAGCCCGAAGCGGGTACGGGGCCACCAGATCCCAGCCTCAATCGCTCGTGGGCAGCTGTCATAATTCACTGCGGGGAAGAGCACATGGTCACCCAGGAGCAGCTCTCCCTCTGCTGTCCTGCCCAGGCTCCCCAGCCCTCCCTAGGCCTCCCCAGGCCTCCCCAGGCCTGCAACCAGCCCCTTCCTGGCTTTCCTGGGGTGCAGGTGCCTAGCACACTGTAAGGAGGGCTGCCCACCCATCCCAGGAGCCCCACCTTCACAGCCATTGGTGGTGACCTCAGCAAAAGGGTTGTCACAGCGGTCACACTGACGCCCGATGACACCTGGCTTGCATGGACACTGGCCATCCTCAGGGTCACAGACTCTGGACAAGGAGCCTGTGGGGTAGCAGTCACACAAGAGGCAGGTGGGGCTGCCTGGGGGCCGGTAGTGGTTCTCCTGAGAAAGGAGGGAAGAACGGTGTCACTGGCCAGGCTCTCTTCCCAGGATGCTCATGGGTCCTTCTCAGCTGTGGCCCCTGTGGAGAGGGTCCCGACCTCAGGTCCCCTCAGGAGCAGTATTCAAAATAATTAACACTAGCAATGCTTTGGAGTTGAGCCCATCAGCGAGATGTCACAGAATCAGAACAGGCTGCAAACCACCACCACACCAGGCCAGAGCTCATGGGTTACACATTGGCCCAGGGTCCCCCTGCGCCTCAGACACACGAAGGTAAGCAGCCAACTGCCCTGCCTGTGAGAGCAAAGGCACAAGGCCCTCAGCTCTACAGGAAGACCCATCCCTACAGCCTGCCCTCTAGGGCCCAGGAGATGTGGACAGAGGCCCAAGTGGCCACAGTGGAGGCTTGCTTGGGGCTGTCACCTTGCAGTGGCACTCGCCGCTTGTCTTGTTGCAGTCTGGGTCAAAGCCTTTGCTGACATCACAGTTGCATGGGCCACATGTGGGATGTCCCCACCAGCCACGGGGACAAGGCTGGTCAATCCTGCAGAGAGGGACCCAGGTAGGCATGAGCTCCCCCTGCCACTCCCACCTAACCTAGGTGAGCCCTATGTGGCCCTTCTGACCCTGGCTGTGGATCAGCCAGGCTTTCGGGGCTCTGAGGGACACACCAGAGAGAAGCAGCAGCCACTGGGACCTGCTGCCACATGCCCTGGTCTGCTTACCTGGTCTCACAGTATGGCCCAAGGTAATTTGGGGGACACTCGCAGGTATAGCCATGGGGGGCACTGGGCTTGCGGGTACACACAGACTGGTGCTCACACGGGTTCAGGTCACACACATTAGTACAGTTGTCACCATAGTAACCTGGGACCAGAAGGACCAGAGAGGCTCATTCCCCCACCCTCCCCTGGCACCATCTTCCATCAAACCCTTCATCTGTTTCTTTCCACATAGCATCCTATCAGCTGGCTATGGCTTTGTTGTGTAGGCAACTAAGACTCAGAGAGGTGGTGTGATGCCCCATGCCCCAGGTCACACAGCAGAGCCAGCATGTGGCCCCAGGCACCTGATAACCTGCCCGTTGCCCTGGATCCTTAGCATACCTGGATCACAGCTGCAGGAATAGCTGTCCCAGTCGTTGCTGCAATAGCTGTTAGCAGGACACGGGTTTGAGTCACAAGGGTCAGGCAGGCTACAGCCTTGCTCCACGTTGATGCTCTCCCCATGGCTGGGATCCAGGCTGTTAACCCCCTCCGGCGTATCGCTCACCCGCACACCCTGGGAGGGACAGGAGCAGTGTTGCCCTCAGTGGAGCGGGGCTGCAGGTGGTGGGGGAGGGGATGGGAGGGCAGGGCAGGACACTCACCTGCAAACAGCCCCGAAAGCCACGGGCCACACCGCCGGCTGGCCCAGGTATTCCGCCCACTGTTATGTTGCTCAGGTGCAGACCATGCAGCCGGGGGCCCAGGTTGCCCTCTGCTCTCTGCTGCCCATAATCGAAGGACAGAATGGCATGGCCGGGCCCCCCGCTGGCTCCCAGTGCCAGCTGTGCATGGTGCCAGTCACCGTCATTGGCCCGGCCTGGCTCCAGACGGAGAGAGGAGGCCTGAAGCCCTGTGCCCTCCACGCTCAGCATCACGTGGCCCTCTCGTAGCTGACACCAGGAGGAAAGAAAACAGGGTCAGCAGACGGCCTTAATCACTGTTCTCCAGCTCACAGTTCCCCTTTCTGGACCATCAAACCCATCCCGCTGCCCAGCTGAGGCCATAGAGAGGAAAGCGTATTTATTTCCCTCAGGCCCAACAGGTGGCAGCATTGACCTTCCCAACGGATCCAGCGGCCTCTATATGTCCCCACCCCTGCCCAGGACCTGCCCAGCCACTTCTGTCCAGCCGCCTAGAGGCTACCAGGGCCCTATGGCCAGGCCAGGGCCAGCCGCCCTTCCATGCATCACCTGTAGGGTGATGGTGCTGCGCCCCCTGGTGATGGCCTGCAGCAGGACACCGTCGGCCTGGCGCGTGCGGAACATGAGGCTGAGGTACCAGGGTTGGGAGATGGGCAGCGAGAGGCCATGCCAGGCCACCAGGCTGCTGCCCAGGAAGTGCTGTGGATTGGCCATTTCTGGGGAGGCAGGAAAAGGCAGACTGTGACGGGTGGAGCCTCAGAGGGCCCTGGGGCTGTGATGCTCAGCGGTGGCGGCTGCACGGGAGGCAGAGCCCACTCCCCTCATCAGCCCCGCCCTCCAAAGTGCGTACCTGCCCTGGGACCGCCCCACGCTGTGCCCAGGCCTGCCTCTGACTGGCCCCTTTGTCTCCTGTGTTGCCCTTTCAGGGCTCTGCCCAGACACGCTTTTCCACCCACAGCCCCGCTCAGCAGAGCCCTGCCCAGTGCCTGCCCCAACCCTGCCAGTTCCCAGACTGTTGATGGCACCCAGGCTGTGGCCTCTAACAGCCGCCCCTCCTACCCTGGGCGCAGCTCTTGCCCCCAAAGCCCAGGGGGCACTCGCAGCTGAACGCGTCCCACTGGTTCACGCAAGTGCCCCCATTGTGGCAAGTGTTGCTGTCACACACGTTCTTCTTGGCAGGGCAGCCTGGAATGGAGAGAAGGCAGCTCAGTGGACCTGAGCTGGGGCTCTAAAGAGAAAGCCTGTGGCAGCAGTTAGAGAGGCCTCTGAGACCCTCCATTCTGGCATCCTCACACCAGGCACAGCCCCTCCTCTCAGCACTGGGATCCCAGCCTGGCTCCACCCCGGGCCCCCATACCAGGCACGGTGCCATTGTTGGCAATGAAGTCAGCCATGTCTATGTGCCGGCTGTCCACCTGCAGGTTCCGCATGCAGCCCACGAACTGCCGCATTCGGACTGGGAAGCTCTCGGGCAGGTCAGGCACCCCGCCTAGTAGCAGGGGCCCCGTCAGATCCAGAGACCTGGGGGAGCAAAGATGGTGGCGGCACAAGGGAGGGCTGGGAGCTTCTGGTCCTCCGCTCGCTCTGCCGCCAGGCCAGAGACACGAACGGCGTAGGCAGGTGTCCAAGAGGCCCTGCAGAGCAGTGCTCAGGAAGGGCGTCACCCCTACCTGGAACTGTTCTTGTCGAACACTCAGCCCCCTCCCCAGACTGCCCCACAGGGCCTTGCTCTGATTCCCCAGTCTTGACCCCATCCCCAGGGCTGAGCAGGGGCTAAGAGAGGCAAAGGGAGAGAGACCCCAAAAGCCCACCCTCTCCACCTTCCCTCCCTGCCTGGCCCTGCCCTCACTTCACCCCATCCCTGGCCCTTTCCCCTGCTCACTTCTTGCTGCCACCCTGGGTGCCCTGGGCAGCACAGGAGTAGTTGCCCAGGACAGATCCGAAGCGCAAGGCCACTCCTGTGTCACAGCCATCCACGGTCACCACAGCCACCTTCTGCTCTGATGGGCCCTGTGGGAGCCCTGTCTGACCCAACAGTGGCTGTGGACAGGAAAGAGCAGAGAAGGGGGACACTGAGTACAGAGCCCACTAGGTTCATGGCCAGCACACACTGGGTGCCTCTGTGTGCACCCACATGCCCAGACACACGTACACACATGCATATACACACACGTGTGCTCACGTGGTTTATGCATGTAACTACCTTCCTCAGTGTCCAAGTTTGCGGCTGCCTAGTGGAACAGAGAGCATCGAGCAGTGCCCAGTGGGGTGGGAATGCCCAGCAAGGTGGCACCTTCCCAGCCGCTCCCTTCCTCTCAGCCAGAAATGCCCTGACCAGCCCACCCAAGCCTGGAGGCAATGCCACTCAGGGCTGGGTAAGCACCTGAGGCAAGAACAGAACCCCCAACCCTCTGTGCCCTCCACACCCACCTTATTGTAGTATTTCAGCTGCACCGTATGCCACTGGCCATCACTGACTCCTCCGGGCACGAATGGGGACACCGTGGTGGTTGACTCCCCTGGGGAAAGGACCAGGTGAGCTGGAATGCCTGACGAGGGCTAGGAATGGCAGGGTTTGGGGTGCCAGTGGCTGGGGCTGGGCCCAGATTTGGCTGATAGAGTATGTGGCTTGGGGTCAGGGGCTGGAAGACTTGGGGCCTTTGGAAGATGGGCAAGGATGGGGGGCAACTGTGATCACCTGCAGAGAAGGTGAGCTGGACCTGCTCCTGGATCACCTCGAGGGCCACAAAGTCATGCTTCTCATTGAAACGCCCATTGTACAACAGCAACCCGTCGCGCTCCTTTGTGGCAAACCTGAACAGGAGTTGGGGATGGGGGCAGGGAATGGGGTACCCACCTGGATGCCAGCACCCCCGCCACCTAACCAGCGCAGGGGAGGGAGATCTGCTGGCAGAACCACAGGCAACTCCAAGAGCAGACCTGGCTCTGCCGGCAGCCTGCTCCACGCTTTCACTGCCTGACCTCTTACTTCAACCACAGAACAGGAGGCACCTCAGATGCCCACCAGGCCCACTCCCCACCCCCAGTGCCCAGCCACTCACGAGAGGGCCAGGGTGAAGTGGAAACGCTGGCGCAGGCCGCGAAAGGTGATGAAGGAGTGGGCGGGGAAGCTGCGCGTGGTCACCTGGCAGTAGGGCTTCTCGAAGTCTCCAGATGGGCAATCGCACTTGAAACCGCCCACCAGCAGGTTGACACAGGTGCCCCCATTCTTGCAGACACCCGGGGTGCAACGGCCTGAGCGAGCACTCACCTCACAGTGCTCACCTGGACAAGAGGAAAGGCAGGTGAGTACCAAGTACCTGAGGACAGGAGGGGAACTGAGACCCCCCACAACCCAGTGATAGCTCCCATGGCCTCCCGTGACCCTCGTAATACTCCCCAAACCTCCCAGGCATCCCCACTTCCTCTCGTGTGCCATCTTCTCTGAGACCTATGGTCCCCAGCCCTTCATGGGCACCCTGTTTGGCTCACTGAGCCGCTCTCGCCACAGCTCCACGCACTGCTCCCCTGCAAGTTCCTCGGAGTCCCCAGCACCTTCCCTACCCCATTTGGGTTTCATAAGCACAGGCCTGCTGGGACACTTGGTTGTAAGGCCCGGATCCCGGGAGCCTTCGATGTCACACTACCAAGCACACCTGGGGGTGTCCTGGCCCCCAAGAGGGTAAATGTGCACAAGCAGATGGGCCTGCAGGACAGCGGGAGGGCTGGGAGCCTCCCTCCTCCCTCCTTCCCACTGGTGCTTTTGTCCCTCTCAGGCACTGAGATCAGTTTCCCTCCCTGGGGATGGGACCAGGCTTCCACTTAGATTTGTCTGGGTTATGGAAGAGTATGAGAGAGAAGCTGGGGAGCCCCCAGGAATGGGGCAGAGGACTCCCACCTTGAGCCCTGCGGTCCAGACTAAGGACCTCTGTGCACCTGGGACATGCTGAGAGTGGGAAACTGAGCCCTGAGAGCAGACAAGAATTCAACAGAGGAGCTGAAAACTCCAACATCAGATGGGAAAATCCACCCTTCTCTCCCTCCCCATTCCCAGATTCTAGAGATAGGTTCTCAGCTCCTGTGCCTAGTGACTGGCTCTTGTTTCCATGGAAACTGTTGTTCGCCTGCTCTAACCCCCCCCCTCCCAACCCCCCCCACCATCCTCCTGGACAAAGACTTCTCTCCCCTCCCCCAAGCCCGTCCCTCCCCTTCCCCCCACCCCTAGCAGCAGCAGAGAGAAGTCAAGTCTGGCAAGTTCTGGGCAGGAAGATGCAGCGGGGAAGGAGTGGGGCCTGCCTATGGCTGCTGGCAGAGCCAGTGGGCATGGCCCTGGAGGACAAGGAGCAGGGCCTGGGCATCTAGGAAGGAAAGGCCCACAGGGAAGGGGAGCAGGGGGTGTCCTGAGAAGACACAGGAGCCTGAAGGGAGGGGTCAGGAGCATAGAGCAGAGACAGTGAGCATCCCAGGGAGCAGGATGTGTAAAGACCTTGGCTGACAGGCCAACAGGGAAGCCGCCTAGCCAGGATCCTCTTTTACCAGCAGCTGGGCGGAGGCGGAGCCATTCTGCCCAGGCCCATACAGGTGCAATGGTTTTCTGGAGCACCCCATCTCAGAACTCAACCCCCTCCAGTTCCCCCAGCTCTTCTGTGTCTTCCCCTTAATGCCTGGGGAGAAAAGTACTTGCTGCAGCTCAGAAAAGGAACTCGCTCAGTGGGGGAGAGACCAGGTTCTAGGCCCAGCCTCACCTCTAAACCGGGTGTGATGAGACCAGGAGCAAGTCACCCAATCTCAGCGTTCCCTTAAATCAAGGCCAACACCTTCCATGCCACCAGCTGTTTCCAAGTATCAAATTAATTACATTAATCCTCACAACCAACTTATGACCTAAGTACGGTCATTATCTCCATTTCAAATAACCGAGGGCCAGAAAGGTTAAGTAACTTGTTCAAGGTCACACAGCTACTAGCGGCAAAGCTGATACACGAACACAGGCCGACTGGCTCTGGAGCCAGCTCTGCCCACAATGGCACTGCCTGTGTGTCCTGTGCACAGCAGGGAGAAGCACTCCTTGCACTGCCTTCCTCAGTGGGGTGCTGTCAGGGAGCAGGCCGGATTTATGACCTCTCAGTGTAGCTGCACCTCACTCGGGAAGAGAATGAGGCAGCCGCCAGCATTTGTCCTGATTTGTGCCTGCACCACACAGTCAGCCTTCCAGGGCTGGCCCATGAGTCCCCTCCCTTGGCTCACCCGTGTAGCCATCACGACAGAGGCAGGTGTAGCCGCCCTCGCGGCTGCGGCAGCGCCCGTGGGGGCCACAGGGCCGCGAGTAGCAGAGGTCCACCTCGGTCTCGCAGTAGTCACCCGTGAAGCCGGGCGGGCAGCGGCAGCGCAGCCCTCCGACGGGGTGGATGGGCCGGAAGAGCACGGAGGAGGAGGCGATGAAGGGCGCGGAGGAGTCGAAGCGCAGCACCGACACGCAGCGCATGTAGTTCTCGCAGGGCTCCCGCAGGCAGATGTTGTCGTCGAAGGGCAGCACGCGCTGTGCCGAGATGGCCGTCAGCAGGCTGCGGTTGAGGTATAGGCGCTCCTGCAGGTCCTCAGAGGGCAGGAAGGGCGGCCCGCCCCCGGGCCCTGGCGGCTGGCCCACCGACAGGCTCACGTTGAGGATGTGGCCCCCGGGGGCGTCGGTGTCCCGCTGTACGTTGAAGACCACCACGTGGTCCGGTGGCGTGGCCAGCGTGGCGGCCACCGCCTGGATGAAGAGGCCTAGCAGTGGTGACAGGAAGCGCTCGGGTGACATGTCCTCCAGGCGCAGCGTGATGCTGTGGGTGAGCATCTCATCGGTGATGATGGTCACACGCAGCGCGCACTGGGCGGTCACGCTGTGTACGCCGTCTGTGGAGAGGGACACAGTCAGGACCCAGCCTGGGGCTGCAATTCAGCCTGCATATTCCTGCACCACCCACCAAGAAAGGCTCTCCTTTCCAACTGGCATAAGGGTGCTGAGCCAGGTATGTCACGTGTGGGCCAATCACTCCTTCAGGGCTCAGGGGATGAGATTTGCAGTTCTCTTTGCATCCTTTCCCAAAACCTTCTGTCGCTGATGCACGGCACACCTCTTAATGTTTGTGCACCTTTCCCTGCCCAAGCCACCGCTCCTGCTCCCTTCCCCCAGAGTCTGTGCTGCCTGCGCGGGAACCCTATGTTGTCTTTTTCATACTTTTCTACAGGGCCCAGAGCATCCTGAGACCCACAAAAATCATCCCCCTGCCCCCTCAGCCTCTACACCTCAACACCACGATAATCGCAACCATGGCTGTGTTCCCCACTCCCCCACAGCAGCAGGGAGTTGGCGGGGGTGGGGGGGAGTGGGTAAACTGGGTCAGTGGGCCACCTAGTCCCCCTCCCACTGAGCCCCATGGCTGCTTGGGCGCGCAGACCTGCTATCCCCATGGCAACATCCAACACAAAGCATTCTTCCCGCCCAACTCTCTGGGCTGCTGTGGGTAGCCTGGGGGGCCCCACCCCAGGAAATCCAGCTGAGCCACGTTAACCAGTGACATCATCACCCACTGCCCCATGCTGGAGACAGGGTGAGTCGGGGTGGGGGACCGGAAGGCAGAGATAGAAGGGCCTGGGCAGCTCTCCACTCTGAGACCCCAGAGCCCCACTGAGTCAGTCTCTTCTCTGGTCCTAGGGCCTCTAGCTACTCATCACCCACTTGGCTCAACCATTACACCCAAATGCCTGCTATGCCCCCAGGCAACACACTCACTTATAAACAGCTAAGCACTAAAACACACTTGCTGGTGTCTCATTCCACCCACACACCCTAAGCCCAGAAATACCATACACACCTGAATGCACATACACATGGGAATGAATTTTATTTAGCTAAAAAATGAAAGCTGGGGCCTGGAGAAGGAGGAAATGGCTTTACAGGGCAAGAAGGGATAGTCTTTTTTTTTTTTTTTTTAAGAGACAGACTCTCTGTCGCCTACACTGGAGAGCAGTGGCACGATCATAGCTCACTGTAGCCTCGAACTCCTGGGCTCAAGCGATCCTCCCACCTCAACCTCCCAAATAGCTGAGACCACAGGTGCTCACAACTATGCCTGGCTAATTTTTGTTTGTGTGTAGAGATGGGGTCTTGCTGTGTTGTCCAGGCTGGTCTCAAATTCCTGGCCTCAAGTGATCCTCCATCTCAGCCTTCTAGAGCACTGGGATTACAGGCATGAGCTACTGGCATATTCATATTTGTATTTATTACAATGCCTTACACATAGTAGGTGTTCAGAAAACACTGAGATGTGGATGACAATCTATTCAGTCTCCACAAAGAATAAACGGACTTTAAAACATAGCAGGGGGCCGGGCGCAGTGGCTCACGCCTGTAGTCCCAGAACTTTGGGAGGCTGAGGCGGGTGGATCACGAGGTCAGGAGTTCGAGATCAGACTGACCAACATGG
The DNA here is from genome assembly GCF_000001405.40 of Homo sapiens. Lineage (NCBI taxonomy): Eukaryota > Metazoa > Chordata > Mammalia > Primates > Hominidae > Homo > Homo sapiens. Next base: position 109,256,857 of record NC_000001.11, on the reverse strand, counting down.
TGAAACCCCGTCTCTACTAAAAATACAAAAATTAGTTGGGCGTGGTGGTGGGTGCCTGTAATCTCAGCTACTCAGGAGGTCCCAGATACTCAGGAGGCTGAGGCAGGAGAATTGCTTGAACCCAGGAGGCAGAGGTTGCAGTGAGCCGAGATCGCGCCATTGTACTCCAGCCTGGGTGACAGAGTGAGACTCTGTCCCAAACAAACAAACAAAACCACATAGCAGGGGGAGCCCAACTAGATATAAAAAGCAAATGCTTACCCTAGCAGTAACGGGGCAGGAGCCCATGTTTCTGGGGTGGGGTGGGAGTAGGCAAGGGACATGGGAACAAATTCTGCATCTGTGTTGTACCTACTTGCGGTGGCTGACTGTACCAGCGGTGGCTCAGCTGAAGCCGGGAAGGCTGAAAGCAGACCCCCATCTCAGCCATGTCCTCAGCCGACTGCCCACCTACCCTCCAGCCTCATCACTTGCTTATTCTCACTAGCTCTCACCAGCAAGCCTGCTTGTCATCACCCACTTCTGTTCCTCCTGCTCTCGTCTCAAAGCTGCTGCACAGGCTGTTCCTTCCCACCCAGACACCAGCCCACAGTCCTCTGAGTCTTCTAACCTGCCCTAGCTCACCTGCTCCAGGAAGCCTGCCCAGATTTATGTCATCAGGCTCTACTTTCCTCTCCGTTTCAGACTTCCCCGCACCAGGATGCTCAGCTGGCACAGAGCTCTTGTATACCTGGTATATCTGCCTAATGATTCCTTGACGGGATATTCCCTCCAGGCAGAAAGCAGCCCAAGACTCCACACACAGTGCCCATAACTGATTAAGAGAGGAGAGGGGGCAACCAAGGCCATGGAGCGGGAGAAACTTTGCCACCCCTCAGCCCTGGGAACAAACACTTCTCCCTGTGTCCCCCACCGCCATCGTCTTAGGCCCCGCCTGGGCCCCTCTCCCAGCATGTCTCTGTTGCTTCCCATCTGGTCCACCATCTGTGGCCACCTGCCCCCTCTGCTGTTGTCCCCCATCCCCAACAGTCAACCCACTGCTCTCTCCTTTCTATATCACCCTCCCCTGCCTTGACCTAGGTCACCCCTCAGGTGCAAAGGCAGGATGGGAACAGGGGTGGGGAGTACGTTGCCTGAGCTGTCTTCCTGGACAGAAAAGGAACAGCTGGGATGGCCTCTGACCCCAGGAAATGCCACCTGTGTCCCAAGCTTAGCCAGGCACACCTGGAAAAGTGCCAGGTCCCGGTCAGCCTCCCAGCCTCTCTTCCCCTGGCAGATGTGCCAGCGGAGACTGGAGGCCAAGAGGGCTCTGCTGTTCTGGGAGCTGCCCAGACCATGGACAGGAGCTGCTGCGTGTCTGAGCAGAGGAAGAAAGAGGCGAGGAGAATTCAGCCTCCAGGGGAGCCATCGGCCCAGGCTGGGGCAGCTGCAGCCATAGGGAAGAGAGTGGAGGCACAAACACGGAGACCAAACAGGGGAAGACAAAGCCTCAGGAGAGGAGCCAGCAATGGGCAAGTGGGAGAGCCGGAGAGCCGCAGGAGCAGGGAGAGGGCACCGGAGAGAGGCAGTGCTGCAGGGCTCCGCATGGGCAGGGGCGGGAAAGAAAGAAGAGACAAAGAACAAGAGGAGGAAAACAAAGGGGCAGTGGGAGTCAGCTCCCCCTCACCCCGGCCTCCCTGAACTTTGGGGTTGCCGTGGTGACTGCCTCCAAGGGTCAGGGCCGAAGGGAGAGGGTGGGGCCAGAGCTGCCGGGCCAGGAGGAGCCGTCCTGGATGTTGCCCCGAGCCTTCTCTAGACTAGGGAACCAAGGTCTAGGGCTCTGCCCTGGTGGGAGACCGAAGGCTTAATGGGGGCGCTTCTCTGCCAGTGCCTGGCCACGCTCACCAAAGGCAGGCTGGGTGTGGAGGACCAGAGGGAGAGGCCCTCCTTCCCACCTCCTTCCCACTTGTCTCAAGTGCCCAGGCACAGTTGAGGACACAGGAGCTCCAGCCTCCCTCTTCCGCCTCCTGGAGGGGAAACTGAAGTCTCAGGAGGCTCAGAACCTCAGCCACAGTCCCTGAAAAGCTCCTGCTTCCTGGTTCCTGTGGCTACTTTGAAGGGTGGGGCAGGGAGGCATCTGTCCAGCAAGGACCCTGAGTGAGGCCACGCCCTGACTCTGGCATACCCCTCCTTCCCCTTCAGGCCACACTCCCTGGGGTGGGAGTAGGGGCCTGCCAGCCTCTTCTTTTCCTCCCTTCCCTGATGGATTTGAAGGCTGCCTAGAGGGGATGTGACCTGATCCACCCCTGGGGTGCAGCTAACAGCATCCCCTCATGAGGGTCTCAGTTGTTCCCAGGCTTGGGGAAGGCACTCAGCAACTTGGGTGTGGTCTTCTCCCTGCTGCTACCTCTGGCTCCCCACAGCTGATAAAAAAAGACAGAATACTGTCACCAACCCCCTCCAACTCTCCTCCCCCAGCCCTGCTGTCCAGGGAGTCTGTAGGCTGAGTGCTTGGCCAAGCAGCAGGAATGCCCCAGCCTGGGTTCCGGCCAGGCTCCCACGCCCTGGGACTCTGTTCTCTCCTCAGATAAGGTGCCTTGGGGTCTCTGCCCTCAAAGCTCACCAGTCCACTGGCCTGTCCTGGTCCCTACACTCCATTCCTGGAGCTTGGGCTGGTCACAGCTAGCAGGAAAGGAAGGCCTGGCACCCTAAGAACAGCCCATGAGGTGGCAAGGGGGGCCCACGAGGCCTCAGCCTGCCCCCCAGCTTCATTGCAGCCCCTCCTCCAAGCCAGACCCGAACCACGGACTCTGAAAGTGGGGTCTGTTTGGACAGACAATGAGCTCTGGCCTCACTTCCTGTGGGAGCTCTGAAGGGGGAGCCAGGCCAGGCTCTTTCTGCCTGGAGGGAAAAGAATGCGCTAGACAAAGTCCCTGTCAGCCGATTCTGCAGCTCAGCCAGGAGGCAAAAGGGGCCAGAAGAGGACTACAGGGTCCTGACCCCTGGGTGGCGGCAGCCCTGTGCTCCCGTGGTCCCCAGCTCTGCCAAAGGCTGTGTGAGACTGCAGGAATATCTTGATGGGGGTGAAGGGGCCCTGGCCTCGCCTCCTCTCCTGCGCCACAGTCCTCTCTGCCCTTCCCCCAGCTCTCCTGGCCCCCCAGGCTTCCACGCGCCTTTTTTCACAATTCTTGGCAGCCATAGCCGGGGCAGCCTCACAACACTTCCCCGACCACGTCACAGGCTGGTAGACAGTGGGGGCAGCCAACCGAAGCAGCCCAGCCCAGCCCAGCAGAAGGTGGGGCCTGCACCAGCCGCCAGGGTTCCTGGGGCTTCTTCCCAAGCTGGCTCTTGCCCCTCCTGCTCTGTGCCAGGCACTGGGCAGGGAGGTGGATCTGTAGCTGCTTCCTGGATCGCACCCTACCTCCAGTGGCTGCCCAGACCATCCCCGCGAGCTACCCCCACCCCAGCGCCACCTGGGCCCTTCCTTACCTGACACCAGCACGCTCATGATGGCCTCCAGAGGCCGGTTGTTGTCCAGTGCGCGGCTTAGCTTCAGCTCACCCGTGGAGGCATTGAGCAGGACCAGGCTGAGTTCATTTCCCCGCTCAAAGCTGTAAGTCAGACTATCTGAGATATCAGGGTCATGGGCAGGTACTCGGCCAATGGCACCCCCAGGGAAGCTGCTTGAGCGATTGGTGACATAGTTGTTGAAAAGGATCTCAAAGTTGCCCAGCACTGGTGGGTTGTCATTGCGGTCAAGGAGGCGGACGTGGACTGTAGCCCGGCTCACCAGAGGAGCTGACGTGGCCTGGATGACCAGGACGTACTCAGGCCGGTCCTCGTAGTCTAAGTCTACCAGGGCTGTCAGCTCCCCGGAGAAGATGTCCAGCTGAAAGACCTCAGGGATGTTGCCCTCCACAATCTGGTACATAATCTGGGCATTGGTGCCTTCATCGGGGTCAGTGGCTGTGACCCGGGCCACGGCTAGCCCAATGGGGCTGTTCTCTTCCACAAACACATCAAACTCATCCTGCTCAAAGACAGGGGGATTGTCATTCACATCCAACACAGTGACTGTCACTTCCATAGGTGTGCGGGCTGGGGGCATCCCCTTGTCCACTGCATATGCCCGCAAGACATACTGGGCCACGTTCTCTCGATCCAGCCTCCGTAGCGTTCGCACGATGCCTGACGTGGACTCAACAATAAAGTCACCGTCTCCATCGTCGCCTCCTTGGAAGGTGTAGAAGACCCTGCCATTAAGTCCAGAATCACGATCAGTGGCTGAGATCTGCAGGACGCTAGTGAAGGGTGGCACATCCTCATAGACACTGCCCTGGTAGGAGTCTCGCAGGAACTGAGGGGCATTGTCATTCACGTCGTTCACCAGGATCTCCAGGTAGGTGGTGTCGGACTTCTGGGGAATGCCATTGTCCCGAGCAGTAATGGCCAGGGTGTAAGACACTTGGTCTTCATAGTCCAGCTCAGCCTGGGTGGTGACAGCCCCCGTGTCTGCATCGATGCGGAACTGGGGGATGCTGTCCTCCATGAAGTAGGTGATGCGGGCATTCTCACCTGTGTCCTCATCCGTGGCGCTGATCAGCACCACCGTGGTGCCTGCCGGCCGGTCCTCATTAACATTCACTGTATAGTGGGAGCTCTGAAAGACAGGACGATGGGTGTTGGCGTCGGTGACATTCACCACAATCTGTGCCGTGTCCTGCCGAGTGCCATCGGAGGCGGTAACAGCCAACACATACTGCCGCTCAAGTTTGTAGTCCAGTGGCAGGGCAAGGGATACCAGCCCACCACCACTTTGGCTGGTGATGGAGAAGCGGTTTCGAGTATTGCCACTGGTGATCTGGTAGGTGATGACACTATGAGCATCACGGTCCACAGCTGACACCGTCACCACGCTGGTGCCCACAGCTGCATCCTCATTGAGCCGCACTGTGTACTCTGGTTGGGTAAAGGTTGGATTGTTGTCGTTGACATCCAGGACAGTCACGCTGACACTGGCCGAGGCAGTGAGTGCTGGAGTGCCATGGTCTCGAGCTTCTACCCCAAAGCTGTAGAAATCAACTTCCTCCCGGTCCAGTTCAGCAGCCACAGAGATCCAGCCTGTGCCATTGTTGATGGTGAAGGGGAAGTCATGTCCCACCCCAGCAAGGCGGTATTCCAGGCGGGCATTGTCACCAGCATCAGCGTCGATAGCCTGGACATGGAGAACCAGGTAGCCTAAGGGGACACTCTCCAGGACAGTAGCCTGGAAAGGGGTGCTGACGAAGATGGGGGCATTGTCGTTGATATCCAGGACCTGTACTGTCACCAAGCCAGAGACATTAGAGAGTGGGGGACGGCCACCATCCTGTGCTCGCACCCGTAGGGTGTACTCCTTGGTCGTCTCATAGTCAAGAGGGCTCACCACATCCAGAGCTCCAGTCTGGGCATCCAGATAAAACTGTCCCCGAGCATTGCCACTCATGATGCTATAGTGCACCACGGCATTGCTCCCCTTGTCTCGATCCGAGGCTGTGACTCGGAGTACTGGGGCCCCTGGAGTCACATCCTCCCTCACCTGGACCACATAGCGCTTCTCACTAAACTGGGGGGCATTATCATTGTCATCCTCCACAGAAAGGAAAACAGCGGCTGTGGTACTCCGAGGACCCGGGTCCCGACCCTGGTCACTTGCCTCTACCGTCAGCTGGTAGGATTCCACCTCTTCCCGATCCACAGGGCCACGGGTTCGGATCACCCCAGAGCGAGGGTCGATCTCAAAGACTTCAGAGGGGCTGCCCCCAGACCCCTCCAGCAGGCGGTACAGAATATTGGCATTGGGAGGGGCATCACCATCCGTGGCCCTGACAGTGAGCACCTCATAGCCAACCTCCAGGTTCTCCCTGAGGCTCTCCTTGTACTCCTGCTGCTCGAACACAGGGTCATGGTCATTGGTGTCAGTAACCAAGATGGTGAGTGTAGCCAGGGCACTTCGTCGGGGCATGCCGTGGTCCTGCGCCGTGACCCTGAAGACGTGGGTGCTCTTGGTCTCACGATCCAGCTCCTCGGCTGTGGTTACTGCACCAGTGACTGGGTCCAGGGAGAAGAACTGGTTGGAGCGGCTATCAAAGAGGGCATCCATGGTGTACTCCAGTCGACCTGCCTCACCCTCGTCCGGGTCGATGGCCCTCAGGGATGCAACAGGGGTGCCTGCTGGCTGGTTCTCCGGCACTGTGGCCTGGTAGCTGGGGGGCTGGAACTGGGGGGCTGTATTTACATTCCTTTTCCGACGCCCACCCAGGGACTCTTCTGGTGACCTTTCCCCTGCCCTGAGCCCGGGGGCCTGTGCCAGCTTGCAGGACTGGCATCTGAGCCGTGGAGCCTTTAAGCACGGGTGCTCCTCGGGCAGTGTGAGCTTGCCCTGTGGGGAAAGGTGGCCTCCAATGCCCAGGAGGCGACAGCTCCAGGGGCAGCCTTCAGGAGCTGGTGGTAGGGGAATATGGGCCTCGGATTCTGGACACCAAACCCTCAGGCCATCGTGGTGGGGTACCAGGTGGCCAGTCAGCTCAGTGCCCGCATCCCTGCAGCGGCTGGTGTAGAGCCAGAGGTTCGACGCTGAGGATGGACAGAGCCAGCCCATGGGGGCGCAGGCCCCCGAAGAGCCTCGTCCCCTGGACCCCAAGGAACGACAGGGCCCCACTTGGTCTCCCAATAGTGGCGGCGGCAGCAGCAGCAGCAACAGCAGCAGCAGCGGCGGCGGCGGCGTTGGGAGGGGGACGCCGGTGGCCGGGCTCCGCATCTCTCCCAGCTCCCGGCCGGCGGCCGGGTCAACGGCGGCGGCGGCTCCTCCTCCGGCTCCTGCCGGCCCCGCCGCGCCTCATGCCCGGGCCAGGGCGCCAGTCCCCGGGGGCCTCCCGTGCGCCCCGCGGGGCCTGCGTCTGGATGGCTCGGCGGGACCCCGCGCTGCACCCTCCGACGAGCCCGGGCTCCCACTGCCCCCTGAGCCAGACCCGCTCCCGGGTCACCCTGAGCACCGCGGGCTGCCGCCGCGCCTCCACCTGCGCTCCGGGCACTCACCACCTGCGCCCGGGGGCCCCGCGGCGCCCCTGGCCTTGCCGGGCCCCGGGTTCCGGAGCCGGGGTGCCCCCTCCGCCCCTATGGGATCGCCCACCTGCGCCCGCGTAGCCGTGCGCCCCGACCCCGGCCCGGCCCCGGCGGCCCCCGACGGTCCCGCGCCGCCCGCTCGCGCCCCGCGTCCCCGCCGCGGCTGCTGCCTGTCGCCGCGGCCCCGGGCCCAGCCCCGCGCTCCCTCGCCTCCCCGGCGGGCGGGCGAGCTCTGCAGAGTCGCGGCGGCGGCTCATTACCATAGACCTGCTCGCGCCGCGGCCGCCTTAAAGCGGCAACGCCGGCCGCGCTGGAGGAGGTGGGCCCCACCCAGAGCACTCCTCCGCCCAAAGCGCCAGGATTCCCTCCAGCAGGACCCTCCATCCCAATTTCCCCAGGCCGGCCTCGCCAGATGCCCGGTGCGAATTAGCGATCGGAAGCCACACAGCCGATGATAATCATGGTGGAAGTACCCTAAGTATGCCTAGAGGTTTCCAAAACATTTTAAGGGCTCTCAGAGGCCAAGTTTCCAGTTCATTCCAGTCATAAAAGCCCTCGTTGCTGTCCCCTCCCATAGGTCAGACAGAGTTAAAAGGGCCCTGAGCAACACAACAAAGCCTCCAAAATCCCAGAGAAGCACCCACAATGAGTCACCGGGCCCACTCGCTCCCTACCGTCCCCTCCACCCCACCAGCGAGGCTGTTGTCTGACCAGCATGCCCCTTGGGGTCGGGCTGTTGGAAGAATGACCCCAGCCTCATGTTGGACACCACTTGGGCTTTTCCAGGGAAGTAAATTAGAAGGGTCAGAGTGGGTGGAAGCCAGGTGGTGCAAACACACTGTCACCAGATTCGGAGGCCGGCTGCGGTGGAGCCTAGCTTTAACACAGGCTTCCTGGATTCTAGACAAGGGGCTTACACTGCCCCCTGAGGTCCTGTCTAGAGAGGCGGCCTCTCATCCCCTCCTGCCTCCCTGTCCATGTCCTGCGGCTACCCCCTCCTTCCGCCACAGTTTTGTGACCAGCGAGGAGGCCTACCTGGTACCCGGGCTCCTGACCCTCTCCAAGGCAGCTTCATTTGAGAGGGTGTGCAGGATTCCAGGGGTTCTCCAAGAGGACCAGACATGAAGCTGGACCACACGGAGAGCCAGGCAGGAGCCGTGCAGGCGACCCAGAAAAGGCTTCCCTACATCCTGGAGCAGCCAGGGGCCCAGTCAGGTAGTCCCTGGGGGGATGCCCTGGCCTGGGGGGATGCCTGGGCCTGGGTCCCAGCCTCCAACACCACAGCTATGTGACCTTGCTCAAATTCTGTGCCTCAATGTCCCTTTTTGTAAAATGAGGGGATTGAATAAGGTGAATGGTTCTCAAATGTTTATTTAGCAGTAGAATTCTTTTCTTCAAAAGAAATCTGAAGTGGAAGGCCAGAATATAGAACAGATGAGTAGTGCTGCTGGGTTGAAGTGAGGGGGTCAGGGCCTTGCCCCTCTCCACCACTCCCCCAACCAAGAAATCCCTGGGCTGCTCTGTGCAACTTGAGGGTCTGGAGGAACCCATCTGAAAAGCACTGGATCAGGTGCTCCCTTCTACCACTGCCCCCGGTCACAGTGGTGCCACTCTCACTGGGTCACAGCAGAGGATCCCCCAGCCCCAGGCCCAAGGAGTGTCTGTGTGACCACACAGTGAGGCCAAGGATGAGAAATCAGCTTTTCTCTTTTCCCCTGGGGAAACAGGAAAGGAGATGGGCCTTGGGTACAGCAAGAAAGATTAGGGTTAGACTGTGCTCCTGGCAGGATGGATAGAAGTAGGAGGAGGACCCATGGCTCAAGGAAATGCCCTCCCCTTTGACCAAACAGGAGCTTTCTTCCTCTGAGCAAGGCCAAGGGCAGCTCTGGAGATGGAGGCGTGGGTTACACGCCTCCGCAGGGCTCTGCCTCTCTAGACTTCCTCAGACTCTGGAGTTTGGAAGGATCTAGGGGCTGCGTGGGCATTTTGTTCTTCACCTAATAGCCATGTGGTGCAGAGAATGCTTGGAAATTATACCATCTGTTAATTATCCTTTGAATTGGGGTTGGGTAATGAGACTCTCATTTCTGGTGAAGGCCCAAGCCAACCCGTGGAGAAGCTGCAACTCTCCATTCATCTCGCTCCCTTTGTTGCTAAAATAAGCTTTCTGGGTGGGAGGAAAGAGTAGCCCTGGCTCTGGATCACGGAAGGTGGTTCTGGGGCCTTGCACCTTGAGGCAGGGGTTGCCAGGGAAGGCATGAGCTCAGAAGCCCCTTCCAGGTGGGTGGCCTTTCCACCCAAAGGCAGATAGGTTGGGGGATCCAAGGAACCCTTTCCTTCATCCCCAAGCACATTTGGCAAATAGTCCTTAATCCTCCCCAGTCCTCCCTCCGGGGGCACAGGACAGAGCTCTCTCCCCATCACTTCCTCAGATACTTCCAACTCCCAAAAGCAGGAGGGAAATTTCCAAGTTTCATATGCATCACTGAGAGTCTCAAATGAGGGAGGGGTTGCCCTGGTGGAGGCCTCCCTGATCCCCAGGGAAGGGCTGCCTGCTTCATGGAGCTTTCCAGTTGTAAGGAACCTATGGACCTCCCTCCTGTGTGTAAGGGACATTTAGGCCTCCCTTCTGCATAGCTTTTAGGTGCTATCAAGGGGCAGCAAGGGCTTGGGGTCTGTTAAAAGAGAATTTATTGTTCTTCTAGTCCAAACCTCCCACTTCACAGTGGAGGCTCTGGGAAGGAAGGAAACCTGCTTGGCTAGCCTTGCGGCTGTCCTTTAGCTCTGGTGGGATTTCCTTACTCAGGTTGCTTCCTGAGGACCCCCTGGATAAGGCATGGCCCTGGCTTTCAACACAACAGGGTCGCATGGGTGAAGTGCTCCAGAAGCAACTGAGAGAAAAGGCTAAAGGAATTCAGAGGACAGAGCAGTGAGGGTGGAGGAAATCCCAGAGGGCCTCTAGAGGAGACGGGACTTGGGCTGCATCTTCAAGAATCAGGAACAGCATTCCTGGAAGAGGAATTCATCAGTTAAGTCACTTAATCTACACATTAAGTGTCTTCTCCATGATTATACAGCTAGTAATGGAAGAGCTAGGATTTGGACCCCGGCAATCTGACCCCAGAGCCCACTCTCTTAAGCAGTACACTATGAATGAATGAAAGGAATGAATGAAATGCAAGCATCAGCTTGGCTGGAGCTGAAGATTGGGGTGGCTCTGCTGTGGCCTAGCACGCTGGTGAGGAAGAACAAGGTGAGCTCTGCCTTGGGCAGATCCCTGTGGCCTGAAATTCTGGAACCAATGGCCTGCTGGGAAGGAGGGGTGGGGAGGGAGGCTGCTGATGGGATCGGTCATGGTGACCTTTTGTGGGTGGGCAGGGCAGTTTCTCTGGAAAGAGAAAGAGGCCCTGGCACCCGATCCCATTTCTGGGCTCTGTGCTGCTTTAGAAAGGGCACAGAAACCAGAAGGAGAGAACCTGGCCATGGGTGACTCCTGGAGCTCCTGGACTGTGGGGTGGGTGGCGTGAAGGAACCAGGAGCCAGCAGACTGGGGGATGGGGGTGGCCAGAAATCTGAACACCCTTCGGTCTACACTTGCCTGTCGTGCCCCGCCCACTGTTCCCCACTTTCTTCAAGGCTGGAAGGTGCACTCCTTGTGGGGGCTCTGTTGTTTCTCAGTTCCCCACTTCAGGTCTGTCACAGAGGGGGATACTCAGTCAGGATTTTATGGATTCTTCATGTGGTCACCTCCCCTCCAAACCAGTCTCTGCTCGGCAGTGAAAGTAATTTTTTTTTAAACTAATAAACATTTTTAGGTTTAAAAAATCTCCCCCAGTTTTTTATTTGGGAAAATTTCAAGCCTTCAGAAAAATCAAAAGAATGGTGTAATGGTATAATAAATACCCAGATATTCTCCTGCTAGATTCAACAATTTTTATTTTATTTTTTTCAGACAGGGTCTCACTGTGTTGCCCAGGCTGGAGTGCAATGGTGTGATCATAGCTCACTGCAGCCTTGACTGCTTGAGAACAGCCCCAAGTGATCCTCCCACCTCAGCCTCCTGAGTAGCTAGCTGGGACTACAGGTGCAGGCCACCCATGCCCAGCTTTTTTTTTTTTTTTTTTTTTTTTTTTGAGAGGGGGTCTTGCTGTGTTGCACAGGCTGATCTCAAATCCTGGTCTCAAGTGGGATTACATATGTGAGCCACTGTGCCTGGTGTCTGGATTCAATAATTGTTGACACTCTGCTTTATGTCTCTCAATTTTTGAAGAATGAGAGGAAAATGAGGTGCCTGAGCCCTGGGCCCCTCCGCAGGCAGCTCCTGAGAGTCAGGGAATGCAGTATTTTTTTTTTTTAATTTTTTTTGAGACGGAGTCTTGCTCTGTTGCCCAGGCTGGAGTGCAGTGGCACAATCTCGGCTCACCACAACCTCTGCCTCTCGGGTTCAAGTGATTCTCCTGCCCAGCCTCCCAAGTAGCTGGGATTACAGGCATGCACCACCATGCTCGGCTATTTTTTGTATTTTTAGTAGAGATGGGGTTTCACTATGTTGGCCAGGCTGGTCTCAAACCCTTGACCTTGTGATCCGCCCGCCTCGGCATCCCAAAGTACTGGGATTACAGGTGTGAGCCACTGTGCCTGGCCAGGAATGCAGTTTTGTGGGTAAAGTGAATGAGTTTAGAGCTGCCCTTAGAGTAGCCTAGAGACCCAGCTGGGCTACCAGATGGTGGCTCCAGGTATAAAGAGACATCTGGTCAGCCCTCTCTGCCATCCATCCAGTCATCAATCCATCCATCCATCCATCCATCCATCCATCCTTCCTTCCTCATTTCAGGTATTTATTTTTTGACCAATATTTTCCAAGTGCCTCCCCTTCTTCCCTTTCTTGCACACCCACAGGACTGCTGCTTCGACCAGGAACATGAAGGGGAATTCCTGGTATCATCTAATATCCAGTCCAATCCAAATTCCTTACTGTCTCCCAAAGGTCTTAGACAGCTGCTGCTTTCAAGTTCGTGGATTACATTTGGTCATATGTCACTCTTTTTTTTTTTTTTTTCTCTCTCTCTCTCTCTCTTTCCTTTTTTGTTGACATCGACTGAAGAGTCCAGTTTTCTTATTGAAGTGCCACATTCTGCATTTATCTGATTAAAGGATACCTAATGGTATCCTTCACAGGGTACTATTGCACGGCCTTAGATCTGAGCATGTCATTCCCCTTCTGAAAACCCTGCCGTGGGCCTCTGTTGTACCTTGAATAAAATCCAGCGTCCTTATATTTATCCACAAAGTCCAGTGTGGAGTGGCCCAGCCTCTTCTCACTCCTCCCCTTTCACTCTGTTCTGGACATGCTGGCTTCCTTCCAGCTGTTGAACATGGCAGTCTTAAATGCCCCCACTTTCCTGGCACATATGACAACTTGTAATTAGAGTATTCACTTGGCTAACATCAGTCTTACCCACTGGCAGTGAGCTCCAGGACCAGCGAGAACACATATGTCTTGAATGCCTATCACCTAGCACCTAGCACAGGCCTGACACACACAGTAGGCACGTGGAAAATATTGGTCAAAAAATGAATACATGGGCCAGGCATGGTGGCTCATGCCTGTAATCCCAGCAAATTGGAAGGCCAAGGCAGGTGAATCACTTGAGGTCAGGAGTTTGAGACCAGCCTGGCCAACATGGCAAAACTCTGTCTCTACAAAAAATACAGAAAGTAGCTGGCCGTGGTGGCATGCGCCTATAATCCCAGCTACTTGGGAGGCTGAGACGTGAGAATCACTTGAACCCAGGAGGCAGAGGTTGCAGTGAACCGAGATCATTCCACTGCACTCCAGCCTGGGTGACAGAACAAGACTGTCTTAAAAAAAAAAAAAGATAAAAGATAAAATGAATACATGAATGGAGGATGGATGGATGGATGGAAGAGAGGGGTGACCACATGTCCCTTTATGCCTGGAGCCACCATCTGGTAGGCCAGTTGGGTCTCTAGGCTGTTTTAAGGGCAGCCCTGAACTCATTCACTTTAACCACAAAACTGCATTCCCCATGCCTGCTGCAGCCAGGGGTAGAGGTTTTGATGTCCCAGCCCTGTGAGATAGACCTTCTTTGGCGCTTGTTAAAAGATGATATTGGATGCTTTATCCTAGTGATAGGTTCCACCCACAGTGCCAGTGTTCTTTGTCAAGGGTGGCTTAATAGGCCCAGCATTCCATAAAGATGTAAAGCCATCTAAGATCCAGCTGAAAATACTGCCTCTGACCACCGGGCAGGAAGAGATGGAACCTGGGGCTGAGCTTCGAGCGGCAAATCCCTAAGCACCCTCTGAATAACGTGGCTGTTCAGGCTGTCAGAGCAGGCCAAGGAAGGAGGCCCTGTCTGGCCAGAGCCATGCTCCAGCCACGGTGGTAGGTGGCTAAGTGTGAGAGGTACACAGATGAGCTATGTCCCCAAGGGACAGCCAGTCCCTTGGACAGAGACAAAAGCTGTCACAGAGCAATAGTCACTAATATTTTTGTGTGGGGGTGGAGGAGTTAGGGAGGGCTTTTTAAAGAAGGTGGCATTTGGCCGGGCACAGTGGCTCGTGCCTATAATCCCAGCACTTTGGGAGGCCTAGATGGGCGGATCGCCTGAGGTCGGAAGTTTGAGACCAGCCTGACCAACATGGAGAAACCCCGTCTCTGCTAAAAATATAAAATTAGCCAGGTGTGATGGCGTATGCCTGTAATCTCAGCTACTTGGGAGGCTGAGGCAGGAGAATCGCTTGAACCCAGGAGGCGGAGGCTGCGGTGAGCCGAGATCGCACCATTGCACTCCAGGCTGGGCAACAAGAGTGAAACTCCATCTCAAAAAAAAAAAAAAAAAAAGAAAGTGGCATTTGAGCTATCTTGAAGAGGAAGGAAGAATTCCACTAATAGGCAGGAGGAAAAGGCATCCAGGCAGGGGGAACAGTGTGAGCAAGCGTGGAGAGGTGCAACACACGGTCAGTGCCAGGAAACAGGAGGAAACAAGGGGGCGGTGAGAATAAGGAGCAGAGAGCCGCTAATCTGAACTGGGGGCACATTTTGATGAGCTGGGGCTCCAGCTGAGAAGTCTGGACCTTATAAGTTGAGGGGAACCATCTGAAGTGTTTTGGCAGGGGAGGAATGATCATGGCTGTGCCATCTGGCAGGCTAATCTGGCACAGTGAGGAGGCTGCGCCGGAAGAAGGGACTGAGGTCCAGCAGACTAGCAAGGAGGCCGCTGTAATAGTCCAGGAGGAGGAGGGCTGTGCTGGGGCCAGGGAGCAGGCTGTCAAGGGGGCAGACCTGAGTGATGAAGACTCAATGGCGCTGCGAAACAGACTGGCCCCTGGAGATGAAGAGGAGGGAGTTGTCCAGGGTGAGTCTCAGGTGTGTGTTGGGGTGCCTGAATACTAAGAGGAGATGCCCAATGTGTATGCTGGGGGTGGGTGGAGATGCTCAGATGAGAGAGAATGGATTTGAGAGCCCTGCATGTGGAGGTCACAGAGCAGCAGGGAAAGCGGAGGTGGAGGCCAGCATTAGGGTCAGGTGCCATCTCCTGACCCTGCCCACATCTCCAGCCTCCAGTCAGTATCGCCCTTACTTCATGCTTCAGCCATTCAGGCCTTCTTCCTGTCCCCTCGTGCAGTTCCCTCTGGAACAGTTCACCTTCCCTCTGAGGGGAATGGGGTGAAGGAGGGCCAGGAATGTTAATGAGGTAACAGAGCCTGCAAGTGTCCACTGTTCATTCATCTTTGAGGGAGAGGAGCCAGATGGGATCGCAATTTGACAGGAGCGGCAGGAGTGCAGGATGGCTGTTTTCAGATGGGGAATATGTTAGCAGGTCGGGACTGAGGGGAAGTGGGGCGGGAGGTTCAGCAGAGAGCTAGCTCAAGAACAAGGACTCAGGGGAAGCAGGATGGTGGCGAGTTCCAGGGCACAAGTAGATAAGACCTGGTTTTGGAGAAGGAGTAAAAAAAAAAAAAAGGTTTTCTCTGAGACAAGATGGAAGGAGGCAAGGATGAAGCGTATTCCAAATGGGAGCTTAATTCTTCAATTTCTTCAGGTTTAAAAACCACTTGTCCCAGAAGGTCACACCGTCTTATCAGCAATTTACACCCCAATGAAAATAAACTCCCAGACCATTTTGACAGCAGGTTTGTGTAGGGGGAAGGGAACCAAGTCCCATGGAGGGACAGGGACCAATCTCCAAAATGCAGGGCTTGTGAACCAGCCAGTCAGAGCAGCAGAAGAGGACCCGCCCCTCCGTAACAAGAGGTTCTCTCGGAGGTGGCTGGGACACCCTACCTCCGCCGGAAGGTCCCAGAGAGGTAAAGACCTGGAGTTCAGGGCTTCTTTCCTGGCAGATGGATGGGGAGCTGCACATTGCTGGGTTTCTGCAACATGAACCTGCCTGCAGCACCCCCACCCCACCCCCATGGGGAGGGCTTTTTTAATTTTTATTTTTTTGAGACAGAGTCTCACTCTGTCACCCAGGCTGGAGTGCAGTGGCACAATCTCGGCTCACTGCAACCTATGCCTCCTGGGTTCAAGCGATCCTCCTGCCTCAGCCTCCTGAGTAGCTGGGATTACAGGTGCGCACCACCATGCTCGCCTAATTTTTGGTATTTTTAGTAGAATCAGAGTTTCACCATGTTAACCAGGCTGGTCTCGAACTCCTGACCTCAGGCGATCCGCCCTCCTAGGCCTCCCAAAGCGCTGGGATTACAGGTTGGCCCCGCCGGAGAGGGCTCTTAAAAGGGCAATGTCAGAGGCCGAGGCATCAGCCCCACCAGGACCTGGCCAAGTCCAGGCTGCAAGGAAGCACTCCCCTTTTGTACCTGGGAAGAGCTGCTGGGGAACCCCATGTTGGGAGGTAACTGGGAGAGCGGGGCAGGCCCCTCATCCCGGCACAGGCTCCGACACGCAGTACATTTGTCTGGCGCCCATCCCAGCTCTGCCTGTCAGACTCATCCTGGGAGTGCAGCCAGGGCCGCCCCCGCCGCGTACCCCCTGGGGAAGGATGGGGACTCGGGGAGAGGAGGCATTCTCAGGACCTGGGGTAAACCGGAAAAGCTTCAGGGGAGGAAAAGCAGGACAGACGGCTAGGAGAATGTTGGTTCCCAGGAGTGAGGTTTCAGTGTTTGGCTAATGAGCTGCCCTGCCCAGCCTGGACTGTGAGCGCAGGCAGGTCCCTCGGCCTTACGTTGGGTCCCCAGTTACCAGCCTCTTTAGAGTTTCTAGAAGTCTGGCTTATGGTTGTCTCTCTTGGTGGAGAGGCCAGACTGTTGGTCCCAGTGTTTCCTCACTCCCTGCCTAAAGCACCCAGACCTGCATCTTGGGCCCTGAATACCTGGGTGTGGGAACCCAGGGTTGGTGAGGGACCCAGGGCTCTGACTCACTCCACTAGGCCTCTGGAGGGTGTTTGCTAACTGAGGTAACCTGGGTAGCTGAGGTTGGAGATGGGGCAGGTCAAGGTGCCAGAGATGAGGGCATCAGGCGTGGGATGCGGAGGCAACTACCAGGGTGGAGTCAAGGCTATTGGGCCTGTTCCCAACTGCTCGGCTTCCAGGTGGGTCGGCCCCTCCTAAATGAAGCTTGCATCAGCCCCATCCCACTGCCTCAGGGAGGGAGAGTGTCTGGTTTTCCCTCTCTGAAGGAAGGCGAACCACACCTTTCCCAACAGTTATTTGTGAGCAGGAACTGTGTTACCTTCTTTCTGTAAACCCTGCTCCTAATGGTGCCTGGCACAAGGTAAGCACTCGGTGACCGTGTGTGCCCTCCTGCTGTTGTGCTCTTGGGTATGACCTGTGGGGAGGGACCTCAGCCACAGTCATCCTTGCCTTCACTACCATTGACTTCCTCTCCTCTGGCTTCTGGAAGCATGGGGTCCCTTATAGTTACTTTCTGCTAACAAGCCAGTTTGTCCATACAGCCATCTTCCTAGCCAGGCTCCTACACCAGTCCCTACACGGGCAGGAGGAAGGCTGGCAGGGAAAGCTGGGCTGCCCAAGGCAGGAGGGTCTCTCTGCACAAAGCAGCTGAGAGTCCAGGCAGCCAGCTCCAGCAGGTAAGTCAGCTGGGTCCTCAGGGACTCAAAGCCCCAGCTTCTGCCCTCCCACAGAGCTCTCAGGGCCATGGCAAAAAGCAGAGCCTCCTACTGGTAGGAAGGTGACAGGCACCAGGAGCCTAAGCAGGTAGGCGTGGGGAGTGGTGCAGGCAGCTGTAGGGACTTCTAAGACAGAGCTAAGGCAGAGCAGGGGCGTTCAGGGCCCTGTGAGAGTTCCCAGTGGGCTTCTGGAATGGTATAGGGGGTGGGGCAAAACTAGCCTCCTGCACACTGTGTACGCTGCCTTTCTTCAAACCAAATAGTTGAGGCCACAGGAAATGTGAGTTTCTGGTCCTTCTGAATTACAAATGGGAGCAGCTTGCTCTTTGTCCCCTTGTCCCGGCTTTGTTATCCCAGAGCTGGGGCAATGGGCTACGGCCCAGGCGGGTCTGCCTGTGGGCCCCCAGCTGGCATAGCCAGGCAAGACAAGAGAGCCACTGTCACCCCTTCACGCACCTACCTCAGTTTTGACAGGGTTTCCAGCAGCAAGATTAATAGGATCAATCTCAAGCCCCCAGTGGAAAATGGAGCACATGGCCCCTTTCCTTGGTACTATGCTCCAGCAGGCCCAAGTCGCTGCTCAGGGACTAAGGAAGCTGAGGTGAGATAAAGGCTCCTAAGTGACAGCCCAGTTCACATTCCAGCTCTCAACCTCCCAAAGAAACATAAAGCACTGCCGAGGAGTCAGGACTTCCGACCTCCATCAGGCCACGTTGTCTCATCTCCCTTACCGTCCTTGTATTTCTGTCTTCCAAAGGATGGAATAAGCATAATCATATAATCATGTCCCCACCCTACCTTCTGGGACCATCACAAAGATAAAAGAGATCATCTATAGGGAGTATTTTAACCTCCTAGGAGAGAGGCACTAAACTAACAGAAGCTGTTATTAAAGTAAAGGGTTTGTAGATTGCAGATGAAAGGCAGCAGGTAAATAAACAGCCTGAACATCAGCCTCCCCTGAGAAAGGAACTGGCTATTAGGGCAACAGTGGGAGCTCCACAAAGGGGCTACAACATTTTCTCCTCTCCTCTGCCCTGCTGGCTATCCCAATCCTTTGGAGGTGCAGCAGCAAGTTGGTATGCAGTTGGTCTCCCCATGTGGGGATGGCTGTAACGAGAGAAACTGCTGTTAATAAGTCCCCAACCCATGCTAGGCATAGAAGCTAGGGGCTCTTCTGGATTAAATACAGCCTCTCGCTTTCCACAGAGTCCTTTGTAGGGAACAGAAGTGCTAAGAGGCTTTTAAAACAGTTCTGGTCTCTAAGCTAGTCCTACCTCAATGATTTCAAGCAGGAATATATTTGTAAAGGAGGATCCTGGCCCTTGCCCTGCAAGCTTTTGTGATTCAGACTCCATCTTCCACCTTCCCCTTGAGCTTTTTCTAAGTGTACCCCTCCCTTCGCTTACCTGTTCAAAGGCTCTGTGACTTGCTAACTGGAGGGAGCAGCCTAATTTGGAAGGAAAAGCAGAAGTGTATATCAGGGAGAACCTCAGAGGCGGGGTTCAAGCCCGGGGAAGAAGACTGAGGAAGAGTCCTAAGCCCTCCCCAGAGATGCTTTATTACATGGTTTCATCAGTCATCAATGATGGGTCCCTATGCCCATGCGAGGAGACAGGAACATCTGTGTGGTACATGGCACTGTTCCCCTCTCAGCTACGCAGTCAGATGGGGGCAGGGGGATGAATGGGTGCTTGGCTTCCCTGCTGTTGGGCAGGCTCTGAGATCTCAGCAGACAGAAATGAAAGCCTGGCAAATAGGGAGGCAGGAATGTTCAAGCATCGGTGACCTCCATGTTCTGCAGCCTGTTTTCTAGGGTGACGTCTCTTGCTGCTGCTTTCTTTTTGCTGCCCTCATGTTGCTTCTTCTGCTTCTTTGATGGCTCCTGCTCAATGGGCGCAGGCTTCACAAAGGGGATCAGTTCTTGCAGTCCTGGGAGGGAAGAGCCAACCAAATGACCTGTTGTTTCTCAGTGAGTCAAAGCCCTAAGACCTCTGGGGAGAATTCAACAAGACAATGATCCCTTTGAACAGAGGGGTCCCTTTGATAGGCACTGGTTTCCTTTATTCTTTTCTTCCCTAGTCTGAATTTTAGCAGCATTTCAACATCATACCTGCACTGGCTACTTTCTCAACCAGGCCCCCTGCCCTGCCCAGCCCGAGAGGGCAGACAGAGTTTCAGGGGCTGTGTCTGAACAAAAAAACCTGGTATATCCTGAAAGGGGACTGCTATTTAGAAGAGTGTGAAGACAGAAAAGAGGAGAACGATGAGATGAGCTGGGAGTTTTACCTGGCGGCATGAACTCCTTCAATTTCTCAGGCACAGTGATGCCCTTCTCTGTCTGGTAGTTCTCCAGGATGGCGCAGATGGTACGGGTAGTGGCGCACATGGTAGCATTGAGCATATGGACAAACTCCACCTGGGAAGACAGGGTCCCAGAGGGGAAGTCGGGCTCAACTCTCATCGGGTCTTACTGACGGCCAGGAACCATCCATTCAACCAGACTTCCCCAACCACAACTGTCCAAATCAAAATGATGGGTTCTACCCCTTAGCAACTTTTTTCTAAATTTGAATTATTTGGTATTTATTGCCTATTAGATAACTGCAGAAAGATCCCTCATGTTTCGATGAGTGACAAGTGGTAGCTTCTGGTATTCTGAGAGTTGGGCCCTTTGAGGGAAGGAAGAAACTACTATTGTGGCCTTTCCTTTTCACCCCTTTCAAGCACCTGACTTGGAAAAGAGTAGGGCCTGAAAATTGGGTTTGAAGAGAGCAGCTTACAACCCAGACCTTCTTGGGTGAGAAGAGGGAAGCCTCCAACTTGTTCTGTGTAGATAAATGGAGATTATTCTTTCTCTGGAGTTAAGAAAAACAAAGCCAGAAAGAGAAAAGCTAGAATTACCTTATAGAAGAGAGCTAGATTCAGGTTTCTAGCTAAAAGAACTCAGTCCTGACTCAGTAGAAGGCATTTTCAGATTCCCTTTTTGGTCTAGATTGAGAAGCTCAGATTTTCCCATGATGCTGGGGACCAGTGCACCCCAAAGGCTGAGAAATAATTCGGACGGGCCGTGTACTGAAGACTCTGCTTCCCACCTCCCTGGGGGCCATCTACCTTGTCCATCATCTTCTTGGTTTGCCCATATCGGATTCGAAGCCGGCGAGCCTGGTAATCCGTGCAATTAGAAC
Source organism: Homo sapiens (assembly GCF_000001405.40). Taxonomy (NCBI): domain Eukaryota; kingdom Metazoa; phylum Chordata; class Mammalia; order Primates; family Hominidae; genus Homo; species Homo sapiens. The sequence goes on along the minus strand of NC_000001.11, from coordinate 109,236,474 downwards.
AGGAGACCAACTCACGGAAGGCTCCTGAGCCCGGAAACCAGGCCTCCAGGTCAAGCTTCTTACTGGCAGCATGATTCAAAGAACCTGTAAGGAAAAACCCCTAGAATTCATGAAGGAGGGATGGTATTTCAGAAGGCTAACCTTTAGCAAGCCTGAAGAATTCTTTAATTCATGTCCTGTCTCCAGAGGTGAAATCACACCCAGATATTCTTAACACCAAATACTCCCAAGTGAGAAGAGTGTAATATTTTAATTAATGTGGGCAATGAGTTGAATTGTGAGCTGTTTCTCTGTGTGGCAGCTCAGCTGGTAAGGGTGGCGTCTGGGATTACAGGAAAGGGAGGCTGAGAAGAGGCTGGGTCCCATACCTGAGACAATATTCACAATGTGGTAAGGAATCCCCAGGGACTGGTAGAACTCCTCTGCGGTGGTAATCATCTCTTCAAACATCTCCCATGACTTGTTGTCATGGGGTGATGAGTACACAAACTGTTCAATCTGCAGAGAGGGACCCAAGGAAACGGTGACAGCGGTATAGGGTGAATAAAGGACTGAAGTGGGAGACATCCTTGCCATGAAGACCTGTTTCCACACCACTGGGAGGCAGGCAAGTCTGGGCCCCCAGCAACTGGGACTGGACCACAAGAGCAAATGCTTATGGTGCGAGCTTCCCGTATGCATGCCAGCCCCTGTTCTGAGTGCTTTACATATAGTGACTGGGATAATCCTCACAATAGGCCACAATAGGCCTGGTGAGGCAGGCACTGTTACTGTTATCCTCCTCATACAAAGGCAGAAATGGAGCACTGGGGGCTTATGCATTATGCCCAATGTTACACAGCTGGTGAGTGGTAAAGCCGCAGCCTGGTTTCAGGGTCCATAATCCACGCCACTCCACCATGCACTTCCCCAGAAACACAGAGGTAAGCAATGAGAGGAAAAGCTGGAGCCAGGATGGGCCTCAGCAACACAGATCCTATCTCTCATCTAACCATTCTGGAGACAGAGAAAGTTCCACTCCTTACCCTGACCCATCTACTCACCTTCTCAAACTGATGGACTCGGAAGATGCCACGGGTGTCACGGCCATGGGAGCCCACCTCCTGACGGAAGCAGGTAGACAGGCCAGCATACTTGATGGGCAGGTCCTCCGGCCGGAGCCACTCATCCCGGTGCAGGGCAGCAATGGGCTGCTCTGAGGTGGCAATCAGGTACTTCTCATCATAGGAGTTGTCATCAGACTTTTCACTGCCTTTGCCAATCACCTGTGGAAGGAAGGAGCTATACCAGTTAAGAGGAAGTGGGGAGGACCTTGGCTAGAATAAGAAACCACAAGAAAGAGATCAATAATAGTGCAGGAAAAATTTCCTTTAATCCCTGCCTGGGAGTGGGGAGAGAATACTAAAAAGATAAAGGAATGGGTCAGTCCAAAATGGGGTCCCTGACAGAGATCAAAGAAATGTAAATTAAGAGGAAAGAATATTTTCCACTTATCTTTTTTTTGCTTTTGAGACAGAGCCTCACTCTGCTGCCCAGACTGGAGTGCAGTGGCACAATCTCGGCTCACTGCAACCTCCACCTCCCAGGTTCAAGCGACTCTCCCACCTCAGCCTCCTGAGTAGCTGGGATTACAGGCACGCGCCACCACGCTCAGCTAATTTTTGTATTGTTAGTAGAGACAAGGTTTCACCATGTTGGCCAAGCTGATCTCGAACTCCTGACCTCAGGTGATCCACCTGCCTCAGCCTCCCAAAGTGCTGGGGTTACAGGCGTGAGCCACTGTGCCCAGCTATTTTCCACTTATCTAATACAGAAAACTCATCCATGATGAATAATGGTCAATGCTGGCAGGTATGCAATAAACCTGTGCTGGTAGCCACATACATTAATCCTTGTGAGACGTTTACTAAACACCAATGTGGAGCAAAAAGGGACACCAGTCTCTGCTTTCTTGGTGCTTACAGGTTAGTGGTTATGATCCTTAAAGAATATACTTTGCTGTTCAACTGAAGAAAATAATGCAAAAAAAAAAAAGTTCAGACAGGACAAAGTTCACTGTAACATTATTTATGTAATATTATACAACCATAAAAATGAAGACCATGCAGTAACACAGAAAAATACTTTTGATATAATGATACATAAAAAGGTGGCCAGGCACGGTGGCTCATGCCTGTAATCCCAGCACTTTGGGAGGCCTAGGCAGGCAGATCACTTGAGGTCAGGAGTTCAAGACCAGCCTGGACAACTTGGTGAAACCCCGTCTCTACTAAACATACAAAAATTAGCCAGGTGTGGCCAGGCGTAATGGCTCATGCCTGTAATCCTAGCACTTTGGGAGGCCAAGGCGGGTGGTTCACCTGAGGTCAGGAGCTCGAGACCAGCCTGGCCAACATGACAAAACCCCATCTCTACTAAAAATACAAAAAAAAAAAAAATTAGTCGGGCATGGTGGTGGATGCCTGTAGTCCCAGCTACTCAACAGGCTGAGGCAGGATAATCCCTTGAACTCGGTGCGTAGAGGTTGCAATGAGCCGAGATCATGCCACTTCACTTTAGCCTGGGTGAAAGAGTGAGATACCGTCTCAAAAAAAAAAAAAAAAAAAAAAAAATTAGCCAGGTGTGGTGGCGACGCCTGTAATCCCAGCTACTCGGGAGGCTGAGGCATGAGAATCACTTGAACCCAGGAGGCAGAGGTTGCAGTGAGCCAAGATCGTGCCACTGCACTCCAGCCTGGGTAACAGAGTGAGACTCTGTCTCAAAAAATGAATAAATAAATAAAAATAAAAATTAAAAATAATGCTAAGTTAAAAGGCAATTTATGTACATGGCAATTATAAGTATGTGAAAACAACATATATATGAAAAAAATCCCAACATGAATATTTTAAGATGACAATTGTTATATTAGGTCAATGGGAAAGCAGATAATTCCCTCTGCCATTTCTAAATTTTGTTATGTAGCAGCATTTTAATTAAAAAAAAAAAAAGTAAGGAAGAAAGGTTCCCCTGGATCAGTGTTTAGAGGCCTGGAAAACTACCTTGCTACCTGGCAGTAGGAATTTAGCCACTGTGGGGCCATTCACATACAACATACGAAAGCTCTAGGGCTGTGCAGCCTAATATGGTATAGCCAGCCACACATGACTATTTAAATTAAATTGGGCTGGGCATAGTGGCTCACACCTGTAATCCCAACAGTTTGGAAGGCTGAGGCGGATGGATTGTTTGAGCCCAGGAGTTTGAAATCAGTTTGGGCAACATAGTGAGACCCTGTCTCTACATAGGAAATTAATTAAAAAAAAAAAATTAAATTAAATTAAAATTTAGTTCCTCGGTTGCATCAGCCACGTTTTCAGTGCTCAAGTCACATATGGCTGATGGTTGCCATGCTGGATCATGCAGACTTAGAACATTTCCATCAGTGCAGAAAGTTCTATTAGGCAGCGATATATTCATTCTTACAGAACTGAGGTTTTTATCAGACAAGAAGTGCCAGCCAAAATTCTTCACTATGAAACCTGTGATTCTTCCTGCCTGTGGGTCCAAGAAGCGTCTGGATAAGAGACGGAGATTGCAGGACTCAGAGAGCACCAGCTACCTAACAGTTTCCATAATACTCCACATAGGTTTCTCCCTACTGTTACCTGCAGCGGATATTTCTAATGTTCTGTTAGTGATTATCTAATCTTAGGGGTTGAAATTAGAAAAAGAAAGAAAAGGTAAAACAGGTTTTAGCGAGTAAAGGAACACATTCCTCCCTTCATTAAAAGAAAGAAGAGAGGAGGTCAAGGTTATACTGATGCTCAGGGTTTAGGGAGAGCACTTTGTTTCCCAGTGCGTCTTGAATGAAAACTTAACTTTTACCTCATCAACAGAAACAATGGAAAGATCGTTCTAATTATTGAACTATCTCCCTATATAAATTAGATGAGTCCAACAGCAGTTGTCTAACTCTACCTCCACTGTCTGGAGAGGAAATAAGCCAGTAGGAACTAAGTCCCTATTTCTGACAGAAGAGTTGAAAGGGAGGGACAAATGAATAGTAGACACTGCTGCATTGGACAGCTGTTAGCAGAGACGCTCTAGAAATCTTGAGTGCTGAACACAGAGTGGGGTGCTGTTATTGGTGTTAGAGCCAGTTGATCAGAATGACCTTCTGAACCTTGACTTGAATTGTCTGGCTCTCCCTGACATGGTCCATGGTTGAGAAGGAGCCACAAACTGGAAGCCACCTCCATCCCAAGGCAAGTATGTCTCACCCTGTGGAAGCTTCCAGTCTGGGGTTAGGAGTGGGAGGACATGGGAAGCAGGCTAGGAGATCAGTGCCACCACTGTAATTTCCTTTTGTCCAAGCACCCAAGGAATGGGCTTCTTTTCTAAGCTCATGGTGTTCAAGTATGCTTGATTTAGATACATCATACAGATTACCCAGGGAAAGGTAAAAGAGGCTCTGCAGCTGCACTGTCTAATATGGCAGTCATTAGCTACATGTTTAAGTTAAAATTAATTAAAATAAAAAATGTGCTTCCTCCATTGCACCACCCACATTTTAAGTGCTCAAGAGTCACAGAGAGAGAACGTTTCCATCATCGCAGAAAGTCCTATTGGACAGCACCACTCTGCATCACTGAAGTTAAGCTACATAACTTAAGAAGTCATTCTGTCACCTGACCCAGGCTACTCACCTTATAAAGTTCTTCATCAAACTGGCTGAGCTGTGCCACCTCCTGCATGACCTCCTTCCTCATGAAAAAGGGGGTATAAATGGGAATGTAGCCCCGACTTCCCAAGGTGCGAAGGGCATACTGGATGAGAGCCTGTTCCAGGAACACCAGGACCCCCTAGAGGAGCAGAGACACAGTACTATGTGATTGGGTCTTGTCACCATCATGTTCAGCTAGAACTGACACCTAAAGGCACCTGGGCCAAGAGAACAGGACTACCGAGGGGCAAGCAGGAGGCCAAGAAAAGACCACAGATCCCAGCAACTGACATTCTGAACCTTGAGATTCGTTCTGAACACTGAAGCCCAGCAAATCATCCAGGCACACCGTTAAGAGAATTATCCTGATGTTCTCAAAGCACTTTGGGCCTACACAAACCACAGAGCTTATGACAGTGGATTTTGATTCTTTGTTACTTGTCTGACTGTCCAATTATACTGAGCTACTTAAAGGCAGAGACTGTTCTGATTCAGTCAGCAAAACAGACATTCATTATGGAGGACCACTTAGTGGCTTTTGTTCTACGGAATCCTGATAAGCCCTCTCTTGCTTTAGAAAGAGAATTGCATCTAATTGCCAATACATTTGCAGAAAGGCAAGTACAACTGGTAGATCTGTGGGCCTCTTTAAACAGATTATGTTTCTCTACAAAAAAAAAAAAAAATATATATATATATATTTTGTTTCTTTTTCATAATCCTATCCTCACTGGTTCCCAGCTCTTACCTTCAAGAAGTACCCTCGACTCCCAGCCACCACGGCCCCCTTTTCGCCTTCAAAGCCATCTACCATCACCACCAGGTCCACATGAGAGTACTTCTTCCTGACTGTACAATCACCCCAAATCCTCTCTACTTTGTTGTCCACATCCTAAGGAAACAGAGCAAGAAAGAGACATACAAGACATATGATTTTATTATTTTTAAATTATTTTTTTTTTTTGGAGACAGGGTCTTACGCCGTCATCCAGGCTGGAGTGCAATGGCACAATCTTGGCTCACTGCAGCCTCAACCTTCCAGGCTCCAGTGATCCTCCCACCTCAGCCTCAGCTGGGACTACAGACAGGTGTGCAACACTATGCTCGGCTAATTTTTGTATTTTTTGTAGAGACAGGGTTTTGCCATTTTACCTAGGCTGGTCTCGAACTCCTGGGCTCGAGTGATCCGCCTGCCTAGGCTTCCCAAAGTGCTGGGATTATAGACGTGAGCCACCGCGCCAAGCTTGATATATGATTTCTTAATTCTACAACCTCCATCTTTCCAAACTTTATTCCACGAACAACTTAACTTTGTGAAGTCATCGCTTAACTCAAACACTACTGTGTCTCATAACTAGAGAAGGCAACTTGCTACTCAATGGAGAAGTAGTAACTTACAAAGTTTGAGAAGTAATTCTAGCCATGAAACTGGGAATGATGATTTTCCAAGAGGTCTATAGCATTCTCTCGGGGGTTTTTTTTGTTTATTTCTTTTTTTTACCCTTTTAAATTACCCCTCAAATCCTGCACAAGGACAACCCTTCCCAGACAATCGACATTGCCTGGGGTGCAGAGGAGAATGTAGATTTTTTTTTTCCAGGCTCTCATTGGTCCCAGGGCCACATGAGGGCGGACTCAGGGCCCTGACCTCCAGAGTCGTCTCGTGGTCTGTGCTCTGCAGCCTCCTGCACACCCCAGCCTGCAGTGAGTTTAATGTTCACCAGGGAATGAATGAAAGAGGCACAGATGGGCCCTGCTACGGCTGGGGTGTCGGGGAACAAAGGCTGGGCTCAGAGCAGCTTTGTGCAGGGGAAGCTCCCGCTCAGCAGGAAACTTTTATCATGCAGATTTCCCTTCAACCTGCAGCTTCTCAGCAGGGTGTGGGTGAAGGGGTTAGGTTGATTTAGCAGATCCCTCCCACGAGATGCCTGCTACCACGGGCAACATGCAGCGGAGGACAGCAGCCCTATTTAGAAGAGATTTCTGTGCCAGGAGTCTCCTCCTACCTGCTGTCTCTGCTACTTCCCAATCAGACAAGGATCTGACTCCTGCAATTCTCAATTGGTGGGCAGAGGGAATATACAAAGAACCTGCTTCTGACAGACAATGCCAGTGTTCCACAGATCTCCTCCCGTCCCCGCCCCTGCAGAGACAGCAGCGACCTAAGGCAGCCTCCTGCTGCGGCACAGCCACCTACCTCATCGTTACTGATGGGTACAGAAGGGTGCAGAAGGTTCCCAATCTCTCGGAGGTTCTCAAACCGCTCTGCTTCCAACTTTATCCGCTCCGCGTCACACTTCAGGATGGCTTCATCAATGAGGAGTCGGACTTTTTTGATTTGTGAGACTTTCAGGTTCTGCAGATGAACAGGCCAGGCCCATAAGCAGGACAGTGAGGCAAGGACAGCACAGGAATATGATTCGGTTGCCCTAACCCTGTTGTGCTCTAAAGATAGCCCTTGTGGTAGCATTTTAAAAACTGGAAACGAAGACTTTTAAGAACTGAGATTTCCTTCACACACAGATATACACAGTCTTGCCCTACAAATCCATCGGCATTTTTCTTTGGGGGTGCTTGAGGCAGAGATAGATAGTTCTGGCCACTATCTATTGTTCCCATACATTGCAGAAATTTAAGTACTGCCGCTCTCTTATGAGAACTTTCCCTTAATTTGCACTTTCTGATTTTCTTGACTGAACCAATTTAGCACTCCATTGATGTGCTGCATTCAACTGTTCTCTAGGAAGATTATAAATTTATTAGGAGTAAGAGATTTGTCTGAAGCATATTTTGTATTCTGTATTGCAGGTGTTTCAAACTGTGCTCTTATTTCTTTGAGGCAAGCGCTTTAGCAGTAGGGCCAGGCAGGTTCAGGCCCCCAATCCGAGACCTTCAAGCACAGCAACTTTGCTTTTTTGGTTTATGTTCTTGCTATATGTTAAGGGTTTCAAGAAAGGGTTCAGTGACTAAAAAACTCAAAAATTACTGCTCTTGCCAGCGTACTGAATATTTACTGTGTTACAGTAAACTGAAGTTTCTTGCCTTTGTGTAACAAACGGTAGAATATGGAGTTATATAAACCAAACACAATTCCTTTCCTTTTTCTATTCTTCCTGTCCTTGACTCTCCGACTCTCCCACTCCATCTGTCTCCATCTCTGCTGTCTAATAAATACTCAAATATAGAATATAACAAGAATGGGTGGGGACATTTCCCAGCAGCAGAAATGAAAGGATGTCACAATGCTGTGTGGAGCAGAGTGAGAGCACTTGCTGTCTAGGAATAAAATTAAGACAAAATAGCAGAGATCCTAACTTAGAAAAGAACTATAACTTACAGCTAAAGCGTCTGCAGTAAGGTCATCGAAACTCAGCACATTCTCTGGGACAGACTCATCATCTCCCACTGGCTCTTTTTTCTGCAGGAAGGAAAAAAACCCAACACAAATAAATAAAAGAAAATCTCTGGCATTGTTTTATAAAGTGTACACCAAATTAACGTATTATATAAATGAATCACAGAACTTCTTACATAAATTTTTCTAAAAGATACAACATGTAGGAAAAAAATTAGTACACTGGAAGCCAGAAGTCAAAGTGTCAAGCCCCTCCCTATGCTGCCACTTAATAGCTTTTTGATCCTAAAATCAATTAATCTGTCTGGGTCAGAGAATTAACATCCTGAAGAATATGAGAAGAATGTCATTCCCTGTACATAGATCATCATAGGAATCAGAAGAGAATTTATTCGAAATGCTCATGAGCTATAAGCGCTGGAGAGGTAGTGCAGTGCTCAGGAGCAAGCCCTGGAGCAGACACACCTGAGTGTGGATTCTTTTTTTTTTTTTTTTTTGACGGAGTCTCACTCTGTCGCCCAGGCTAGAGTACAGTTTGCGTGATCTGGGCTCACTGCAAGCTCCGCCTTCCGGTTTCAAGTGATTCTCCTGCCTCAGCCTCCCAAGCAGCTGGGATTACAGGAGTGCACCACCACGTCTGGCTAATTTTTTTTTCCTTTTTTTTTTTTGTATTTTTAATAGAGATAGGGTTTCACTCTGTTGGATAGGGTGATCTCAAACTCCTGGCCTTAAGTGATCCCCCACCTTGGCCTCCCAAAGTGCTGGGATTATAGGCGTGAGCCACTGCACCCGGCCCCGAGTGTAGATTCTTATCTACCTGCTAACAACAATCCCAGCATTGAGGCTAAGGGTGAAAGATGGATGGAATGATGAAATATCAGACAGCCAAGGAAAACAAACAAACAAAAAGTCACAGGATCTGGAACTCAGTTTAGAACAATCAATGTAATTTGACAAAATGGCAGGGGTGTAACCAGGGTTGGATTTCGTTCTCTCTAGTTTCTCTTCTCATCCTTCCGTATGATAATTCTGCTAAATCATCATTTGTAATCCTTGCACAAAACCAGGTGAATTTAAAAAGATCACTTAAAGAGTTAAATTCTTCTTAAATTAAAAAGAGTTGGCAGGGCACGGTGGCTCATGCCTGTAATCCCAGCACTTTGGGAGGCTGAGGTGGGTGGATCACGAGGTCAGGAGTTCAAGATCAGCCTGACCAAGATGGTGAAACCCCGTCTCTACTAAAAATACAAAAATTAGGCAGGCGCGGTAGCAGACACCTGTAATCCCAACTACTCGGGAGGCTGAAGCAGGAGACTTGCTTGAACTTGGGGGCAGAGGTTGCAGTGAGCTGAGATCACACCACTGCACTCCAGCCTGGGTGACAGAGTAAGACTCTGTCTCAAAAAAAAAAAAAAAAAAGAGTTAAAGAAAGTTAGTCAAAGGTCATTATAATAAGATACATGAGACTTCAACAAAACTTGCATAAGAATATTTAGCATCCGCTTTGTGAGTATAAATAAAACAAAGTATAGCCAGGTACAGTGGCTTGCAACTGTAATCCCAGCTACATGGTAGGCTGAGGTGGGCAGATCACTTTAGCCCAGGAGTTCAAGACCAGCCTGGGCAGCAGAGTGAGACCCCATATCTAAATATAAATAAATAAATAAATAAATAAATATATATATATGTGTGTGTGTGTGTGTGTGTGTGTGTGTGTATATATATATATATATATATTTTTTTTTTTTTTTAAATTAGCCAGGCATAGTGGAGTACACCTGTAGTCTCAGCTACTTGGGAGGCTGAGGCGGGGGGACTGCTTGAGCCCAGGTATTAGAGGCTGTGGTGAGCTATGCTTGTGCCACTGCACTCCAGCCTGGGTGACTTTTTAAAAAATTAGCCAGGCACAGTGACATGTGTCTATAGTCCTAGTTACTTGAGAGGCTGAGGTGGGAGGACTGCTTGAGCCAAGGAGTTGGAGGCTGCAGTGAGCTATGATCACGCCACTGCGCTCTAGCCTGGGCAACAAAGCAAGACACTGTGTCAAAAAAAAAAAAAGAAAGAACAAAAGGACTAAATCTCCTAAATGTAAAGCATGGAAATCCTTTAGGTTCATTACACATTCTCATACAATCAAAATTCTAACCATAACTCCACTCACACCCTTCAGTGACTCAGAGCAAAATCATCTTAAAAAGTTGGAAAAATCTGGCCAGGTGCAGTAGCAACACAGGGAGACTCCATCTCAACAAAAAAAAAAAAAAAAAAAATTAGCCGAGTGTGGTGGCATGCTACTAGGGAGGCTGAGGCAGGAGGGCTGCTTGAGCCCAGGAGGTTGAGGCTGCAGTGAGCCATGATTGTGCCACTGCGCTCCAGCCTGGGCAATAAAATGAGGCTTTGTCTCAGAAAAAAAGAAAAAAAGTTGGAAAAATCTGAAACTATCAGAATGAGTCTTGATAAGAACAGACTACAGAGGTAGGGAAAAAATGGACTAAATCTCAAGATTTTTGCAATGGCATCATAGGCAGGGTGATATGTTTGCAAGATAGTTACCAGGCTCCCTTGCTATTTGATAATCCCTCAGGGCAGCAAATTCAAGTTCTGAGCTCAAGGTTTGACTCTGCAACTAAGTTAGAATATGATTTTAAGCAAGCTCTTTAATTTCCTAAGCCGATTCCCTTACCCATTAAATAGGGCTGACAAATGTACTATCTGCACTCCAGCTCTGCAGTAAGGATCAAAACCAAAATAAGATGTCTGTGAAAGTATCTGAATGCTTTCGAGTGCTCTACAAATTAAAGCACTATCATTACCATTTCAATGGCAGTGGGAGTGAACACTCCCTGCATGGCTAGCAACAAAATCAGATCTAAGAATGTTATTGTGAATGACAACACTCACAATCCCATCTTCTTGCTTCAAAAAATACCCAGCTGGCACTGACTGTACATAGGTCCCAAAGAACACCCAGGGAGGAGTATGCATGGGAATTAACATAATTATGGGGCCTCTAGTATGCGAATGACTAAGTCCCACAGAAAGAAACTGGATGATTATCAATATCACTTTCCACAGCTAAAAGTGTTACACGCTGAAAGTGTAACAAAATATTGTCAAAGAGAAAGATGCCGACTGCCATGAAGTTAAGTGTAAGGTGCTAGAATCCCGAGGTCATCTTTTTATGCTCTTTACTGGTGCAGTTCCAAAGTTCTATAATTTTTTGTTGTTGTTGTTTAGTTTTGAGGTTTACAATGTAAAAGTTATCTAGATTGTAAAGTGCATTTAATTAATTAATTTATTTATTTTGGAGACAGGGTTTCACTGGAAACCCAGGCTGGATGGAGCTCAGTAGCGCAATCTTGGCTCACTGCAACTTTTGACTCCTGGCCTCAAGTGATCCTCCCACCTCAGCCTCCTGAGTAGCTGGAACTACAGGCACAGGCCGCCACGTCTGGCTAATTTTTTTGTTTCATTTTATTTTTGTAGAGATGGGGTTTCACCATGTTGTGCAGACTAGTCTTGAACTCCTGAGCTCAAGCAATTTGCCCACTTTGGCTCCCAAAGTGCTGGGATTATAGGCGTGAGCTACTGTACCCAGCTATAATATGTAATGTAATATGATTAAGGGGCTAAACAGGTATTTTTGAAGGAAGGTTAAAAACATGAACTATTCTGGATACCAAAGCAAAAGCTGAGCTGAAACATAGTATTTTTCAGGCATAGGAAGGATTTTTTTTTTGGATGAAGGCCAGTAACATTACTTGCCATTCATTATAACTCACAATTGCTGAACAACTACATGTTCTAGACACTGTGCCAAATTTTCTACATTTAAAAGAAATTTAGTTCTATCCATAACCATTGCTTGGCGTTTAAATTAAAAAAAAAAAGTTCTAACAATTCCATTCTGTAGGTGAGTGTTAGTATTGTCATTTTATAAATGAGAAAACTGAGGCTGAGGCATTAACTTGCCTAAAAGACACATAACGTAGCAAGATTTGAACTCTGAATCTGTAGTTTTCATTATGGAGCATAACTACGCTGAGACGACAAATCTGAAATCTGCCATAAAAAAGATGACTGGTGGAATTTATATTTCTAATATAAGAACAGAATAGACAACAAACAGCTAGACAACAAAGAATCTTACCTGAACACAGAAGATGGACTTGTGGTAAAGTATATGAAAATGCCTCCAAGTTCCCTGCCTCCCTATCTTTTTAAAATAATATTTTCCCCTTTGGTAAGAAATTGAACATCTTGTAGACTTAAACACTGAGTTAGAACTTCTGTGAACATTAGCTAAGAGCAAGATCAAATATCTCCGCTCAAGTTCTCATGGCTGTTTGTTATTCAGTTCTCTTACCTTCATTTTCTCTCCGATTGTCTTGCTGCATAGGTTCTTCAGCTTGTTCAAGTTGTCTGCCCGAAATCTACCTAGGAATAAAGAATCCAAGACTATACCAAAGAAATGCCCATAATTAAGATACTCCTTTCTCCTGATCTTGACTTCTTAGTACTGATTTCAGGTTAAGGCCCAAATGCCGGCAGAGCTGAAGGATCTGCCTCATGAAGTTATAAAATCTTACAGCTTTTTATTTTTATTTTTTGAGACAGCATCTTGCTCTTGTTGCCTAGGCTGGAGTGTAATGGTGCAATCTCGGCTCACTGCAACTTCTGCCTCCCAGGTTCAAGCGGTTCTCCTGCCACAACCTCCCGAGTAGCTGGGATTATAGGTGCCCGCCACCACACTCGGCTAATTTTTGTGTTTTTGGAAGAGACGGGGTTTCACCATGTTGGCCAGGCTGGTCTTGAACTCCTGACCTCGCCCTCCCAAAGTGCTGGGATTACAGGCGTGAGCCACTGTGCCCGGCCTAATCTTAGAGCTTTAGAGCCCCAAATGTAGTTGGCATACAATGGTGACTACAATAGGGTGTCCCCAGCATTTGGTGACAAGGAAAAGACCAATCTGAGGTTAAAATTAAAAAGTATCATAACCTGTATGAAGCCATTATAGAGTAACACATCTGAAAAACTTGGAAGACACTCAAGTAACTAACCTGCCCAATTATCTTAAAACTCATTTAAGGAAACTAGGTGCTATGCACAGGAATCTATAGAGAGTGCAGTCATGATTGCTACCTCTCCATGCTAGAAATGGCTAATGATACCCTTTTACTTTGATATAATGCTCATCTAGCAGCCTTGAGAATAATTTAGTCTCTTATAATTTGGTTTCCTTTGGGGGAAGACAGGCACTAACTGGTCAACATATTGGCCCAAATTAATATATTGGTATCATGGATCATCAGTCTAACTCTGATTAGCAAAATTTGGACCTCTTGAATCTAAACGTCAGGGGCAATATGATAAAAATTAAGCACAAGGTTTTTTGTTGTTGAGACAGGGTCTCACTCTGTCACCTAGGCTGGAGTGCAGTGGCACGACCTCAGCTTACTGCAACCTCTGCCTTCTGGACTCAAGTGATCCTCCCACCTCAGCCTCCCAGGCAGCTAGGACTACAGGTGTGCGCCACCACACCCAGCTAATTTTTTTATTTTTATTTTTGTAGAGATGGAGTTTTGCTGTGTTGCCCAGGCTGGTCTCAAATTCTTGGGCTCAAGCGATCCACCCATCTTGGCCTCCCAAAGTGCTAGAATTACAGGTGTGAGCCATGGCATCCAGCCAAACTCAAGCTTTTAAGAGGCAAAATTGATGACTAGAAATAAGATAGCACCTAGAGAGCCATTCTTTAAGGCTTTACCAAGAAGCTTTCCTCTTTGATACCTCTTTAACAAAACTTCAATGCAAAATGATATCACTATTTTCTCATTCACTTATTCACATTGATAAAACTATAGAGATGGATAATAGATTAGTGGTTGCTAGGGGTGAGATGGAGGGCAAAGGGAGTAGACTACAAAGAGATAGCAAGAAGGATCTTTGTGGTGATGAAACAGTTCTGTATCTTGAGCATGGCAGTGGTTATACAAATTTACACATGGTAAGATTGCACAGAACTACACACACACATGTGTGCAAAACTGGCAAAATCTGAATAAGGTTTGTGGATTGTAGCAATGTCAATTTCTTGGTTTTAATATTGTACTAGAGTTATATAAGATGTTATCATTGGGGAAAACGGGACCTTTCTACTATTTTTCCAACTTCCTGTAAATCTATAATCGTTTTGAGATTCCCTCCTATTTGCAAGGCACCAAGGTAGGTATTGGGAGTATAAAAGAAAATAAGGCCAGGTGTGGTGGCTCATGCCTGTAATTCCAGCACTTTGGGAGGCTGAAGTGGGTGGGTCGCTTGAGCCCAGGAATTCGAGACCAGCCTGGGCAACGTGGCAAAACCCTGTCTCTACAAAAAAAAAAAAAAAAAAAAAAAAAAAAAAAAAATATATATATATATATATATATATATATATATATATATATACACACACACAAAAAAATTAGCTGAGCATGGTGGTGTGTGCCTGTACTCCCAGCTACTTGGGAGGCAGAGACTGCAGTGAGCCAAGATCATTCCACTGCACTCCAGGCTAGGTGACAGAACAAGACTCTATCTCAAAAGAGAAAAAGAAAAGAAACAAAAAGAAAATAAAACAAAACCAAATATTGTAACAATGCTGAATGTTTCAATCAATGAATATAGTATATCCCTTCATTGTTTTTAATTTCTCTCAGCAATGTTTTGTAGTTTTCAGTATATGAGTCTTAAATGTTATTTATTAGGTATATCTCTATGCACCTGGTGCTTCTAAACTGTTACTTGTATATAGAAGTACCTTTGATTCTGTGTATTGTATCCAGTTATTTTGTTAAAGTTATTTAATTGTAATAGTTCAGATTCTGCATACACAATCAAGTGATCTGCAAATAATGACAGTTTCTTCCATTCCAATCTTTTATTTTTGTTTCTTGCCTTCTTCATACTGCCTGGAACCTTTGGCATGATGTTGATTAGAAGAGGTGATAAGAGACATACTTGTCTTGTTCCTAACCTCAAGGGGGAAAGCATTCGATATTTCATCATTAAGAAAAATGTGGCCGGACGCAGTGGCTCACACCTGTAATACCAGCACTTTGGGAGGCCGAGGCGGGCGGATCATGAGATCAAGAGATCGAGACCATCCTGGCCAACATGGTGAAATCCTGTTTCTACTAAAAATACAAAAATTAGCTGGGCGTGGTGGCACGCACCTGTAGTCCCAGCTACTCAGGAGGCTGAGGCAGGAGAATCGCTTGAACCTGGGAGGTGGAGGTTGCAGTGAGCTGAGGTCACGCCACTGCATTCCAGCCTGGTAACAGAATGAGACTCTGTCTCAAGAAAAAAAAAAAAAAAGAGAAGAAAAGAAAAATTAGCTATGGGTTTTTCTGTAAGTATCTACTATCAGATTAAGGAAGCTCCCTTCTATTCTCAGTTTATTGCATTTTTACCATGAGCAATTGACTCTCCACATTAAAAAAAATTTTGATCTATCTCACATAATACACCAAAATTAATATTAAATATATCTTATACCTAAATGTAAAAGGTAAAGAAATAAAATGTCTACAAAAAAACTGGAGAATCTCTTCTGAAGGTTAAGACATAACATGATTTTCAAAACAGAATACAAATTCTGTGATTTATCTATTGTGTTTTGGAAACACAATAGACAAATCACAGAAGAAAAGTCAATAAATTAGACTTCATTAAAATTAGGAACTTCTATTCATCACAAGACTGAAAGAATGAAAAGGCAAGCCACAGAATGGGAGAGGAGATCTGTGGTATCTGTATCTCACAGGTATTCTTCTATCCACACGATATAAATAATTCCTACAAACCACTAAGAAAAGGACAAATAAAAATTGGTCAAAAGGCTTGAACAGATACTTCTCAAAATAGGCTATCCAAATGCCATCAACTTATGAAAAAGCGCTCAGTATCTTTAGTCACCAAAAAAATGCAAATTAAAATAACAATGAGACACCACTATATATCTACCAGAATGGCTAAATTAAAAGGACTGCCAATGTCAAGTACTGGCAAGAATGCCAAGCAACTGGAACTCTTAGATATTGCTGGTGGGAATATCAATCATTACAACCACTTTGGAAAACTACTTGGTATTATCTACTAAATCTAAACATGTGCCCACCCTATGATCCAGCAATTCTACTCCTTGGTACATACCCAACAGAAATGAGTGTTAATGTCTACCAAAAGACACACATAAGAATGTACATATGTTCTTATCACAAAATATAAGTATTTGAGGTGATGGATATGTTAATTAGCTGCTTTTATTATTCCACATTGTATTCATAAATCATAACATTACATTGTACCCTATAAATATATACAACTATAATCTGTTAATTGCCAATCAAACATTTTTTAAAAAAGAGTCTCTAGAAGCTTATTCATAATGCCCTCAACCGGTAACAACCCAGTTTATCCAAATGTCATGCAGTAAATATGCTAGTAGAATTGATTGGCATATTTACATAATGGAGTATTATATAGCAATGAAAAGAACCAACTACTGCTACATGTTAATAACATGGATGAATCTTACAGACATAATCTTGAAAGAAAGAAGCCATGCCGGGCGCGGTGGCTCATGCCTGTAATCCCAGCATTTTGGGAGGCCAAGGCGGGTGGATCACAAGGTCAGGAGATCAAGACCATCCTGGCTAACATGGTGAAACCCCAGCTCTAATAAAATACAAAAAAAATTAGCCAGGCATGGTGGTGGGTGCCTGTCATCCCAGCTACTCGGGAGGCTGAGGCAGGAGAATGGTGTGAGCCCGGGAGGCGGAGGTTGCAGTGAGCTGAGATCACGCCACTGCACACCAGCCTGGGTGACTGAGCAAGAATCTGTCTCAAAAAAAAAAAAGAAAGAAGCCATATGCAAAAGTATATACTACATAAGTCCATTTATATGTAGTTCAAAATCAGGCAAAGGAATTTATGGTGATGGAGGTAAGAATACTATTATTTTTGGAGGAGGGGCTGACTGGGAGGTGGCATAAGGCAATCTGCTGGTGTGCTGTAAATGTCATATATATATATATATATAGTGTGTATATAAATATATAGTGTATATATATACTGTATATGTACACTATATATATATATATATATATATATATGGAGAGTCTTGCTCTATCGCCCAGGCTGGACTGCAGTGGTGTGATCTCGGCTCACTGCAAGCTCCGCCTCCTGGGTTCATGCCATTCTCCTGCCTCAGCCTCCCAAGTAGCTGGGACTACAGGCGCCCGCCACCACACCCGGCTAATTTTTTGAATTTTTAGTGGAGATGGGGTTTCACCGTGTTAGCCAGGATGGTCTCGATCTCCTGACCTCATGATCCGCCCGCCTCGGCCTCCCAAAGTGCTGGGATTACAGGTGTGAGCCACCACGCCCGGCCTAAATGTCTTATATTTTGATCTAAGTGTTACATTGGTGTATATATTTAGAAAACTCATCAACCTGTACACTAAGATTTGTGTACTTTACTGTATCTATGTCAATAAAAATAAGTTTTTGAAGGGTATATACAGGAATAGTATAAATGCTGTAAGAGATTTGTAAGATAATATAAGGAGAGCACTCAATAAATGAGGTGGCACTACAACAGTAGTTGAGTGCCAAAGAGGGCCGTTGGAAGTGGGAGTGGCACACCCTGATAAGGAGCATTCCAGGAAGAGGCAACAGTCACAGAAGTGTGAAAGAGTCTAGGAGTAGCAATAAGCTAGAGCAAAGAGCGGGAGGCCCTATGTGGGAAGTGGTAGACAGCGAGGCCAGGAAGGCATGGGGGACTTTGTAAATTGTGTTCAGGAATTTGGATTTTTATGCTTTAAGGCTGTACTGTCCAATATAGTAGCTTTTAATACCATGTGACTATGAGCATTTGAAATTTGAAATGAGCACCTGAACAGAGTGGTGCTTTAAGTGTAAAACATACTTTGGAGTTTGAGGACTTGTACCAAAAAAAAAAAAAAAAAAGTAAAATATCTCAGTAGTTTCAGTAATTTTTTTTTTTTTTCAGATGAAGTCTCACCTTGTCCCCCAGGCTGGAGTGCAATGGCACGATCTCAGCTCACTGCAACCTCCGCTTCCCGGGTTCAAGCAATTCTCCTGCCTCGGCCTCCCAAGTAGCTGGGATTACAGGCGCCCGCCACCACGCCTGGCTAATTTTTTTTTTTTTTTTTTTTTTTTGGAGACAGAGTCTCTCTGTGTCACCCAGGCTGGAGTGCAGTGGCATGATCTCAGCTCACTGCAAGCTCTGCCTCCCGGGTTCACGCCATTCTCCTGCCTCAGCCACCCGAGTAGCTGGGACTACAGGCGCCCCCCACCATGCCCGGCTAATTATTTTTGTATTTTTAGTAGAGATGGGGTTTCACCGTGTTAGCCAGGATGGTCTCGATCTCCTGACCTTGTGATCTGCCTGCCTCGGCCTCCCAAAGTGCTGGGATTACAGGAGTGAGTCACCGCACCGGGCTAGTTTCAGTAATTTAAAAATACTGATTATGTGTTGAAAATATAATTTCGGGGCTGGGCGTGGTGGTTCACACCTGTAATCCCAGCAGTGTGGGAGGTCGAAGTGGGAGGATCACTTGAGTCCAGGAATTCGAGACCAGCCTGGGCAACAAAGTGAGACTCTGTCTCTACAAAAAATTAAAAATTAGCTGGGCATGGTGGTGCACACCTGTGGTCCCAGCTACTTAGAAGGTTGAGGTGGGAGGACCAGTTGAGCCCAGGAGGTCCAGGCTGCAGTGAGCTGTGATCATGCCACTGCATTCCAGCCTAGGCAACAGAACAAGACGCTGTCTAAAAATAATAATAATAATTATATATATATTTATATATATATAACTTTTGGGTATACAAGACTAGGTTAAATAAAATGTATTACTAAAATTAATTTCATCTGTTTCTCTTTATATTTTTTATATTGGATACAAACAAATTAACAATTACAGACTATCGCCAACTTATAATGCTTAAACTTTATGATCAATAGTAATAAATTACATGAGATATTCACACTTTATTATAAAATAGGGTTTGTGTAAGATGATTTTTCCCAACTGTAGGTTAACATCAGTGTTCTGAGCACATTTAAGGTAGGCTTGGCTAAGCTATGATATTCAGTAGGGTATGTGTATTTCATGCATTTTTTACTTACAATATTTTCAACTTATGGTGGATTTATTGGGACATAAACCCATCCTAAGTCAAGGAGCATCTGTATACATGAAGCTAACATTCTATTCCTATCAGACAGTGCTGCTCTAAAGTATGTCACTGCAAAACTTAAGCCTTCAAGTAAAATGATCAGATTTGCATTCTAGAAAGATTATATGCCCTGGTGAGACTGGGTTAAGATTGAAAGCAGATAGAAAGCTATTCCAGTTGCTGGGGCAAACAATGATAAGGACCTGTTTTAAAACATGTGCAGTAAAGGTTATGAGGAAATAACAGCTTTAGCCTGGGCATGGTGACTCATGCCTGTAATCCCAACACTTTGGGAGGCCGAGGTGGGAGGATCGCTTGAGGCCAGGAGTTTGAGGCCAGCCTAGGCAACATGACGAAACTCCATCTCTACAAAAAATACACACATTAGCCAGGCATGGTGGCATTGCGCCTGTAGTCTCAGCTAGTCAGAAGTCTAAGGCAGGAGGATCATCTGAGCCTGGGGAGATTGAGGCTGCAGTGAGCTGTGATCATGCCTGGGTGACACAGTGAGACCTTGTCTCAAATTAAAAAAAAAGGAAACAACAACTTCAATTTTCAATGTACAGTAAAAAGAAAAAAAAAACCACTCAGGATAGCACTTTTTGAGGGAGGATAAAATTCTTGGGGTTTGCAGCAGATTTCCAGTTACATGGAAATCTATTTGCTTTGGGAGTGGGGCCAAGACAAATATGCCCAAGTGTAGGATCATTACGCTACTCTGAATTAAAAAGAAGAAATCACATTCAAATCCCTGGAGTTAGAAGAGTTGTGAGTTCCAATGTGGTATTATCACTCCAAGTTATACTGGACTCCTGAGTTCTCCAAAGGAACCCTAGTGGTACCTTGTAAGTCTACAGGAAGACAAATTGGTATAGTTGTAGTGGAGGGCTTGGTGAAGCTTGCTATGTGTCCTCAATTAGGGAGCATGATCTGAGTTCTTAATGTGGCTCTGGTTATAAGCCCTTGCTCAAGGCAATGAGAGAAGAACTCCATCCTCTGATCTGAAGTTCAAGATGTCAAAGAACCTTGATATAAATCTGCCAGTGTCTACCTTGGGCAGTTGGGAACTTGGGAAAAAACATAAATTCCATTTGGATGCAAAGAGAATATTGGAAAGGGTTGTCAAATAGAAAAGAATCAAATTAATAGATGCATTGGAAATAAACTATTGGCCAGGCATGGTGGCTCACACCTGTAATCCCAGCACTTTGGGAGGCTGAGGCAGGCGGATCACTTGAGGTCAGGAGTTAGAGACCAGCCTGGCCAACATGGTGAAACTCCCATCTCAACTAAAAAAAAAAATTAGCTGGGTGTGGTGGTGCACACCTGTAGTCCCAGCTACTTGGAGGCTGAGGCATGATAATCTCTTGAAACCGGGAGATGGAGGTTGCAGTGAGCCGAGATGGTGCCACTGCACTCCAATCTGGGTGATAATGAGAGACTCCGTCTCAAAAACAAAACAAAACAAAACAAAGAAAAGAAATGACTTCACATTTAGGATTAAGTTTTTTAAAACAATAACATAAACTACATAAACTGCTTTTCATAAAGAATATAAAGTGCCCTGAAGACAGAAAATATTCACGCCTCTAACAAACCTTTATCAAGGCCTTACCAAGGACCAGGTACAGTGCTAGGTACTGGGATTTTATGTATAAATGTGTATATGTATATCCACATATATACTGTATGAATAAAATTGAATCCTTGTCCCTGAAGAACTCACCACCTATCTACTTTTCAGATAAGGGACAAATCCCTCAGATGTGGACATTATACCCAAAAGACTAGCTAACACATTCAAAGTCATTTAGCACTGGCTAAGGGCTGGACTGACACAAAAATCTGATACTCCTGACTTCAGATTCAGTAGAACAGTGCTCAGGCTAGTTTTATCCTAAACAAAAAATGTGGCAAAATTAAATTCCATTGCAACTCGAAACTTCAGGTCAAGTGTGGAATCTCACAATCAAACAAACTACTACAATAGAGGGCCTAAGACATAGAATCAGCACAAAACTCAAGTTAAACAAATATTCTTTTGACATCCAAGATCCTTATAAACAGGAGAAAATCAATTTTCCTAATAGAAATCCATCACACTCTTGGATAGTGGCTGCCTTTGCAGTGTACTGTCATCGACCTAGCTCCCAGATGGTTGCAGACCTATTGCATCAGACAAATCAAATCACAAGTACTTGACAGCATCCGCCCAACCAGCGACCACTCCAGTTAATACAGGCAGAGATTTATGGGCAGATGGTTCTATGGTTTTATTCGGCTTCATGATAGATGCCCGATATGACTCCAAGATCCGGCAGTTCCAGGTTCTAGCCCAACTCTGCCAATGTCTTTAAAGGAAAACGTCCACAAATCACAATTAAACAGCTTCAGTCATTACAATCTTTTGCTCGCCTCCTCACTCCCCTCGCGTTTGATCTACCACGGAAAAGACTTTTCTAATTCTTAAAGGTATGCCCATAGGTCGGGGGATGGCCTTCCGAAAAGCTTCAGGGTCATTTATTTTGGCCAAGAGCGGCCTCCAACGCCCCGAAATGCTTCCGATACCGAAGGAATGAATCTACTGTGTTGCAGAAGTGACGCAGTCTCAGGAGAAGCCTTTGATCCTATCAAAACAAAGGAAAACCACTCTGGCCTTGCTGAAGATGAGAAAAAGACTGGGGGGGACCAAAGATTCGTGTTAGGAAAGCCGCGTAGACCCCACAACCTCCCGCCCCGGCATGTTCTGGCAACCCCTGGGGCAGGAAGGCTTGACAGCTCCCGATGCGCGTGCGTACGCACACTGGCAGCGAACGGCACTGAGCACGCGTGGAAGGGACCTCGCTCCGCCCGGGTGGAGGAGAAAGTGGGATGACCCCGGCGACCAGGCTGTGTTTTCGGGGATGGGGAGAACCTCGGAGCCACCGCACCCTGGGAGGGGGTCTGACGAAGGGTGGAAGCTGTGGCCTCAGGAGCGGTGGCTGGATTTGAGAGAGAAAATTGGGTTTAGCATCAAGGAGGTAACCCGCCCGTCCCGGTACTTACATCGTCGCCACTCGCTGTCTGCCTTCACCAGCTGGTCCACTAGTCCCGGGTCCTTGAAGCGCTTCTCCTGCGTCTCTCGGATGAGGGCTGGGTCCCCTCCTTTATCCACCCGAAACAAATCCAGATCCAGCACCATCTTCTTTCCTCCCGGGCCAACGCTCAGGGAAGCAAGGATCGCGCCGCAGCACTCAGCCTGTGACCGCCGCACTGCGCCGGCGCGCTGACCCGCCCTTCCTGCGCAGGCGCAGCTGGAGCCCGCAGGCGACCCTCCCCGCGACCGGAAGCGGCTGGTTGGAGGCGGGGCCGCGGAGGGAGGGGAGGGGAGAGTGGGTGGGCGTGGGACTATACCTCTGGTTCCTGCTCCCCAGCTCTGCTACAGTCTGCAGGAACTGTGATCGCCACATAAAAGTGTGAATGCCTCAGTTTCCTACTCCTGTCTCAGGCTAGGCAGAGGCCTGTCCCCTCATCCCTAGCTTAGAGGCCGGGGCCTTCACCAGGTGCCCGTTTTCCTCTCACTAGGTTGGGTTCTTCCACTGGGCTCTTTCCCTGAACCTCGGCCGTCTTCTCCATCTTGATACAAGAGGATGGCATATTTAGTCCCAGGGCTACCTCAGCTTAAGATTCCTGCTCTCGTGCCTTAGAAATGGTATACCTTTATTAATCTGATTATTGGATAAACCAAATTGTCACTTTACCAACTCTTAAGAGCACAGCTTTGGGAAAGTGCGGTTGTCTTTTAGAGAGAGACGAGAGAAAACTTTTCCAAAGGGACATTAAGCAGATTTGAACGCCGTATAAGGTGTTGAGGTCATGTCTTGGGTCAATTTGAAAGCGTCTTGAAGAACGGTTTGTATCATACTTTGATTTTATAATGTTCAGACCTTTAAATGAAATATTCTAGTTGCCGAGTGAAGCCAAAGTTATCAAAGAATCTCCCTGATAACAAGAGATTATTTGAAGGATTTGGGAACAGGTGATCTCCTCCCCCACCCCCACCCCCAATCCTTCCACTCTGCAGAAACTTTAAAGCCTCACTTCCAATGCCTTCTCGAAGCTAGATGTGCTAAGACCTTCTTGATCTTATACCGCCGTCATGGACTCCTGAGATGAGGGTGTGACATAGCTAACTATCATATTATTTATTTATAATATGAAATATATTTGGGCTTTGTCCCTGGTTCCTGACACAGCCCCTAAAACCCTTGAATTTCCTGGGTTATACGTAATGGGTCTCTTTGATAACACCTGAGTTTATAATAAGGAGGTGATTTAGGATGGGGGCCCTAGATAACCTTAGGATGGGGCCAGTCACCAGAGAGACCAAGTGATTGGAGGATTGGAACTTTCATCCCCACCCTTCAACCTCCAGGAAAGGGGGAGGGGAGGAGCTGGACATCAAACTCTATAAACGCTCGAACAACAAGAGTTGATGAGCTTCAGGGTTGTTGAACATGTGGAGATGCCAGGAGGGTGTCTTGCCCAGAAAGGTTATGGAAGCTCTGCACCCCTGACACCTTGCCCTATCCATCTCTTCATCTGGCTGTTCATTTGTACCCTTTGTACTATCCTTTATAATAAACTGGTAAATGTTTCCTTGAGGTCTGTGAGCCTTCTCAGCAAATTAATCAGACCAAAGGAGGGGGTAGTGGGAGCCCCAGTTTATAGCTGCTAAGAAGTATAGGTGAAATCTACTACTTGCAATTGGCATCTGAAGAGGAGCAGTCTAGTGGGATCAAGCCCTTACCCCATGGAATCTGACACTACCTCCAGGTAGCTAGTGTCAGAATCAGAATCGAATTGAATTATAGAATGCTTAGCCAATGTCCACTGGAGAATCGCTTGGTGTCTGAGGAACTTACCCCCCAGGGCCCCTCACCACTGCATCTGGTCACAGAAATGTTGTGTGTTGAGTGTGGGTTTTTGTTTTTGTTTTTTGTTTTTTGTTTTTTTTTGCCTCTTACACTATCCCTGCTCCCCAAAAAGCCTCTGCCAAGCCAACCCTGAAGTGTAGGTCAGGTCTAACAACAATGATAGAGCTAAGTAGAGACCCTGAGGGAGGCAGAGGAAAGGGGCTTGTCTGGGTGTGCTCTCCTTGGTTCAACCTGCCTATGGTATTAGATTTAAAACCAGTGGAAAGGAAGGGTGAGGAGCTGCAGTCTTGGAGGAAAACATCTAAGAAGACTCTCCTCAAAGTGTTGGGTTCCCTAAAACCTTCTGAGGGCAAGGTCTGTGATGGGGGCGCTCCCTGCTTCCATGTCATTGAAGGCACCGCCAAAGTGTATTGCCAATTAAGTTTCTAAAACAGTGGCAGGTGTTTCTGAGGCTGAAGTGATCCCAGGCCTAGGGGAGGAGGGCCACTGGGTCAACCCTTTAGGAAGGTCATCAATGTCATTCAACAAGTGATCTTGAAATTCTGATCTCTCCAAATTTATTCATGCATTTTTACAATTGATCTTATCATTAGATTACAAACATCTCCCTTTAAAATGTTCATATGGGCGGGCGCGGTGGCTAATGCCTGTAATCCTAACACTTTGGGAGGCCAAGGTGGGTGGATCACCTGAGGTCAGGAGTTCGAGACCAGCCTGGCCAACATGACAAAATCCCGTCTCTACTAAAAATACAAAAATTAGTTGGGTGTGGTGGCACATGCCTGTAATCCCAGCTACCTGGGAGGCTAAGGTACAAAAATTGCCTGAACCCAGGAGGCGAAGGTTGCAGTGAGCTTAAATCACGCCACTGCACTCCAGCCTGGGTAACAGAGTGAGACTCTGTATCAAAAAAAAAAAAAAAAAAGTTGATGTTACCTGATGAGTATAATAAATTAACATAATAGCATACTTCATCAGCTTAGAATCGTGGGATTTTTAGAGTTGGAGGGGAGCTTCAGCTATCTGTTAACTTAATAATTCCTGATTTTTTCATCACCTTGTCCCTCATGTTTTGAAATATTTTTGTCTAATGAACATGATTTTTAAAAAATAATAATTTGCCTTTTTTATTAATCAGATCTATATGGCTGCCACCTAGAAATTCTGATCAGCAGGAAATAGGCAGTGTTACTGCACCAAGTAACTCCTGCCAGAAGCTAACGCAAAAACAAATCAACATAAAAACTTTCGTTATGGAGTGATGGTGTGAAGCCCTGCCACCTTTGAATATGTGATTTCTGTTAACCCTTACTACCAAGAATGCTCTTGGGCACTGCCTCTGAGGACTGAAGTGCTCAAGAAGCCCTGACTGGAAAACAGCCAGCCAGGCTAACCCTTTTATTTTCTATATAAGGAAACAGCCCCAGAGAAGATAAGTGATGGAATCAAAACCAGGACACAGGTAAATACCTAAGATAGCCTAATGTTTGGGCTTTGCCCTTTTAGTAGCAATCCTTAGCAGAAAACAGGTCAGTGAGGACCCTGACTATGCTATGGGGCCTGATCTTATAGGGCAGAGACCATTGCGTATTTGCATTTTTCTCCCCACGGGACCTAGCACCCTGCCTTACCCATGGTAAGTGCTTGTTACATCCTCCCTGAGTGAGTGGGTTGCGAGGAAGTAGGCTGAGAGGATGGGAGCTTGTTGCAGGTCAGCGAGCAGAGTCCTGGGTGAAGATACTGCCTTGGGGATCCTGGGCAGCTAGTGGGCAGCCTAGGGGAAAAGAGCAACTGCAGAGACGGAGCAAAAAAAGCGGGTGTGAGGCACCCAACAAAAGCTGCCTACCTCAGTTTTCCCAGTTTGGAGCTGGCTAACTCGGAAGGGTTCTCTGAGGCCTCACTGTGGCAGCCCTTTGTGTTCCTCTGTCTTGGATTTGGAGTAGGGTTTCTCAATGTTCACCGAACAAGTCCGGTCCTGTCACTCCCTTGCTAGAAGTCTTCTGTGGATACCTGTTACCCTCAGGGGAATCCAAACATGGCTGGCAACGCTATATATGATCTGTCCCTACCAGCTTCTCTAACATGTTCCCTCTTTATCTCGTGTGTGTGTGTGTGTGTGTGTATGTGAGACTGAGTCTCACTCTGTTGCCCAGGCTGGAAAACAGTGGTACAACCATGGCTCACTGCAGCCTCGACATTTCCAGCTTCAGGGGATCCTCCCACCTCAGCCTCCCGAGTAGCTGAGACTACAGATGTGTGCCACCATGCCCCAGGCAATGTTTGTATTTGTTTTTGTTTTGGTAGATACAGGGTTCTGCCATGTTGCCCAAGCTGGTCTCGAACTCTTGGGGTCAAGCAATCCACCCACTTTGGCCTCTTAAAGTGCAGGGTTTACAGGCATGAGCCACCTCACCTGGCCCTCTTTATCTCTTAACATTTCCCCCTCGTATTCCCCATTCCAACCTTCTTGTGGCTCCCTTCCTTCCCTCTGAGCCTTTGGTTGCACAAGTTCCTTCTACCTGGAACTCCCTTTCCCTTCTCTGTTCCTCTTACCTGGCTAATTCCTCCTTTCTCCTGGAAGCCTTCTCTTACATCCTCTTTACCCCTCCCTGCAAATTGGTTAGACACCCTTCCCGTTTCCCACAGTACAGTAGTATTGATGATACTGTTTCAGGAGGAACTGACAACCCTGCCTCCAGTTCTGGCTTACCCACTCCCTTCTATCAGAGAGACACAGTAACAAAGGAGGTCCACGTTGCTATCCTTCAGCAACTAAGCAGGAATCATTTAAAAATAGCGTGGGTCGGGGAAAGCTGCCAGGACTTGGAGGGACTTTGATCCAGCCTCTCCATCTGATAGAATTGGGGTGCGAAATCAATTCTCCCACCACACTGTATCTTACGGTAGTCTCCAGTGGATGCCTGAAACCACGGAGAGTACGGATCCCTACATATACTGTGCTTTTTCGATCTGGTAACTCAGATGGCTGCTAAGTGAGTAATGGGTGGATAGTGCAGACAGTATGGATACTCTGGACAAAGGGATGATTCATGTCCCAGGTGGGAAGGAGTGAGATGGCACAAGATGTCATTATGCTACTCATAATGGCATACAATTTAAAACTTATAAATTGTTTATTTTTGGAATTTTCATTTAATATTTTTTGACTTAAGTTGACTTTAGGTAACTGAAACTGTGGAAAGTGAAAGTACCGTTAAGGCTGAACTACTCTATAGGGAATTGCATTTTATGTGGGATTGTTAACTTTGGCACTGAGACAAAATTAGTTTATATTTCAAATTCTCCTTGAATAGCTCTTAAAAACCCTAAATCAGTTTCTCTATCTCTTAATACTCATTGTTGCTCTATGCTTCCCAGTTAATTAATTGTCTTCCTTAAGATTTAGACCAAGTCGTAAGTATATTCTTGCCTGGTCACCTGATAATGTATTTTACTTCTTTGTCAGTGATTGGGAAATTCTTAAAATCATTTCCATATCATTACACACCCCTCTCACTGCCCCGCAGTTTCAAGCTTGATTGTGTCTGTTGCTTGTTTGTTGCATTGCACAGTACACGGTTGTATTCATAAAGATTCATAGCGGTACTCCCATGGGACTGTTTTTGCCCTGTTATTTCCCACAGTGGGGTGACGTGGAAGGCTGAGTGGGATCTGTGAGGTGAAAAGGAAGCAGAGGGGCAGAGAGGAGAGCATATTCCAATGCTGGAGGCATGAAGGTGCTTATGACTCAGAGACCATCAAAAGCTCAGTGTGGTTAGAGTAGAAACAATGTTGGGAAGGTGGGCCGGTGGGCCGTTAGGGACCCTGTAGGCCACGTAACTGAATCTATTGGAGACACAGTTTCTTCCTCTATTGTAATGGGTGTAATGGGGATAGTAGCTGCCTCCAGGGCTGTTCTGAAAATGAAAAAAGGCAATGCTGTGAAAGCATTAAGTCCAGGCTTGACACAGATGCCAAACGAATGCGTTTTCTTTTCTACTTACCTTCTTAGAGTTTGGACTGTATGTTATAAGCAGGGGTGATGTTCAAAATATTTAACCACCAGTACAACCCAGGTACCACCCAGTCAAAGTAGATGTGGGTCATAAACAACCAGCCTTGGAGTGTAGGTGAGCTGCTGCCAATTGCTCCTGCCTGACAGCAATAAGGAGCCATCAGAGATGGCACATTTGAGTGCCATCAGATGTGTTAGAAAAACGGCTCTGAGTGTTCCAGCTCTTGTAGAATTTTTTTATTTTTTTTACAGACAGGGTCTGCCTCTGTCACCTAGGCTGGAGGGCAGTGGTGCAATCCACCATCATAGCTCACTGCAACCTCAACCTCCTGGCCTCAGGCGATCCTCCAGCCTGGCCCTCCCAAAGTGCTGGGATTACAGGCATGAGCCGCCACACCCTCTTTTAGAATTTGGTTAGCAGGTTTTCTGCCTTTTACCAGAAAACTTTTCATGAAAAAAAGAAAAAGAGCTCTGGCTACAGAGCAGGGGGGTGATACTGGTGTGGGAAGCACTGGCGCGGAGAGGCCTGTTAGAAGACTAGAAATTACCTAAGGACCCTGACGAAGAACATCTGGCACTTAGTGCCATTCAGTCTGAAAAGTGTGACATTCCCAACTCATCTATTAATAGCTGAGAGAATTATTTTTGGGGATCAAGTGCCCTCAACTAGAATAAAGTCCTGAAGCAGAAAAATCCTGCCAGGCACGCTGGCTCATGCCTGCAATCCCAGCACTTTGAAGGCCAAGGTGGGCAGATCTCTAGAACCCAGGAGTTTGAGACCAGCAACATGGTGAAACCCTGTCTCTCCAAAAAATACAAAAATTAGCCAGGTGTGGTGGCGCATGCCTGTAGCTACTCAGGAGGCTGAGGTGGGAGGATCACTCAAGCCCAGGAGGTTGGAGCTGCAGTGAGCTGAGATTGTGCCATTGCACTCCAACCTAGGCAACATAGTGAGCCTCAGAAAAAAAAAAAAAAAAAGAAAGAAAGCAAAAATCTAGCAACCTCAGGAAATGGTAGGCCCTTGATATCATCTAGGATTTTCTCCACATCTAGTCTGTAATAATCTACTTCATACCCAAAGAAGCTAATTTTGCTTCTATTTGTGGATTTATTGTTATGTGGCTGGCCTCATGTTTCCTGAAAGAAACCTGAGCAGAAGGGAAGGGAAGTAGCATGCGAAGTGGTTTATGAGTTATTTCTTTTGAGCTCATTCAATCTTGGTGTGTTGGGTATCATTAGATGCATTTTATTATTGTGGAAACTGAGGCTTTGGTTATTGACTGATTCCTCAACAAGTAGTGGGAGGCTTCTAGCCTATGTCCATCTTGTTCCAAAGTCTGTGCTCTTTTCTCTGCCTCTCTGCGAATGTGGAATCCTTCTCCTTTTCAGTTTAAGCTTCCAGGACACTTACATTTCCCACTCACCCCTCCAGCCACCCAACCCATGTTTAAGAAAAACAACTTGTAAGGTATGTTTTTATTTTACAAAAAAAAAAAGTGACATGCAATAACCCATCTTCTAACAAACTATTAACGCTTGGATTACAGGGTAAAAAGGAAATCCAACCAGCCCTGATGAAAAAAAATTCGATTTCACAAAGCTGAAAAAATCTATTACAAAGTTTCTGTTGTATAAATATAGTCAGTCTTATCTTTAATGTAGTCAGACAAAAAAAAGTTTTGTTGGCACTAAAACAAAAACAAAAGCAAAAACCCTACTGCTTGAATACACCACAATCTTCATTTGTATTCCCAGCCAAATACAGATGATGTCTATAGCATGACAGTTACTGCATGTTCCAGGACTCAAGGTAACCAAATGAGATTTAAACATTTTATCATACTCCCTCTACCAACAACAGCTTGGACAGACCACTTTAGCCCTGGGTCAAGGACTAAAGCCTTTGTTCATAGAAAATTGAACATGTAGGCCAGGCACGGTGGCTTACACCTGTAATCCCAGCACTTTGGGAGGCCGAGGTGGGTGGATCACTTGAGTCCAGGAGTTTGAGACCAGCCTGGCCAACATGGTGAAACCCCATCTCTACTAAAAACACAAAAATTAGCTAGGCGTGGTGGCGCATGCTTGTAATCCCAGCTACTGGGGAGGCTGAAGCAGAAGGATCACTTGAACCCAGGATGGGGAGGCTGCAGTGAGCCAAGATCATGGCACTGCACTCCAGCCTGGGCAACAAAGCTGACTCTGTCTCAAAAAAAAAAAGGAAAAGAAAATTGAACATGTGTTTGCTCTCAAGTGGGCGGACAACTCTGTGAGTTTGCTGAAAACCATTGAATCGTATGTTTTAAAGGTGAATTGTGTAATATGTGAATTATATCTCAATAAAGCTGTTAAAAATATATGACATGCCTAACTTGCTAGGGGAGCAACAGGTGACCCCAGTAGCGTAACTCAGGAGTTCCTGACAGGTCACAGGGCAGACCTGCAGAAGTCAGCACGGTAAGGGGTAGTAAAAAGTAGCTCCTTAAAGTATTATGGCTAAAATCAGTGGAGTCAGAATAAAGAAGTCAAAGACATATGTAATTTTTCCTACTGTTTCCGGAATAGTCTAAGGGCTGTCTGTGGCCTTTGTCACAAAAGAAAGCTATTCAGTGAGACAGCAGGTGCCCAAGTATTGCTGAGGCTACAGAAGACTTTAGGCTGGAGCTCAGGAGCTGCGTATCTGCATCCACACTGGGGGAAGTTCCAACATGGACACAGGTTCTGAGAGCCTGACTCCTACAAAAGGAGGGGAGAATTTGGATACCCAAAGAAAAACTGGATTTATTAAACCAAAGGGACTCCCTGCCGTCACCAACACTGTTGATGGCCAGGGACCACAGCCTGGCTCTAGTTCTCATTGACTCTTACAAAGCCATTGCCAGGGCAGCAGTGGCTAATCAGATGAGCATTTTGTGGCAGACTAGTCACTTGCAAATGCCATCCCCTTTCTATATCTACCATCTGGTCACCAAATGGTCACTGGAGAAAGGGCACAGGCACAAATCATGGGCAATTGGGGCTTGACCAAGGGAAGGTCACCCTAGCCTGATAGTGATGGAGGCAGAACTGCCAGTAGAAGAAAGAAGAAGGTAATTTAAAGTCTTGCTCTGGTTTTACCCATTCTAGGTACTTAAAAGTTCATTGATAATAGTTTGTGTAAAATTGGGGAAAATGGGCATAGAAGACACCCACTCTACTCACCTTTCAGAAGGGATGTTGCCAGAAATTGGACCAGAAGTCTCTTTAGTTTTTTATCACACAAAGCAATTGAGAATGAAAAAAAGAGAAAGATAGGGGCTTAATAGTGAGAAGTATCCCAGCTTGGTGAACACCTTGTTTATTTTTAAATTTTTTAGAGACAGGGTCTCACTGTGTTGCCCAGGCTGGTCTTGAACTCCTGAGCTCAAGCCACCATTCTGCCTTGGGATTACAGGTGTGAGCCACCATGCTGGGCCCAGTGAAAATCTTGTTAAACTCTCCTAGCCTTCCTTCCTTGAAGACTGGTTTGATTCTGGTGCTGGCGTATGGGCCTGGGATTCAGTTCCTTTTTTGGCCAGCCTAGACGTTTATTCTGTGCCTGAGCAGATGCGTTAAGCTTAGAAGCAGACATCACGGCCACCTCAGGCCCATGCCATTGTGGGCTGTATCCCCTAAAGTGCCCCATTAAAATCTTGGCCTCCTTGTGCTCTTTTCAAATAAGAGACCCCTGTTCCATAATATGGCCCAAACTTCTAGGACGGGGGCACTCAAGGATGGGGAATTTTCCTCACTGACAGGGTTTGCTATGTCTGTGGGTAAACCCAACAGAGGATAAGGCTGGAACATCTGGGTTTGGGGCTTACCTGGTTCTTTTCAGTGTCATAGAGTGATAGTGGAAGGTTTAAAAAAAAGATAGGGAGGATGTATCCACCAGGGCTTTGGGCATTTTCTTGATGAACTTATTCCTTTGGCTTCAGTGAGAATATCTATCATTTACTTAAGAGAAGGCAATGAGCTACGTGGTTTAAAAAACAAATAAAAGGCTGAGTGCAGTGGCTTATGCCTGTAATCCCAGCAGTTTGGGAGGCTGAGGCGGACAGATCACTTGAGCCCAGGAGTTGGAGACCAGCCTGGGCAACATGGTGAAACCCTGTGTCTACAAAAAATATAAAAATTAGTGAGCCTGGTGGTGCACACTTGTAGTCCTAGCTACTTGAGAGGTTGAGATGGGAGGATAGCTTGAGCCCAAGAGCTTGAGGCTGCACTGAACAGTGATTATGCCACTGCACTCCAGCCTAGGTGACAGAGTGAGAGCCTGTCTCAAAAACAAAAACATTCCTTGTTGCCTCTCTTTGTGCTTTTCTTTTTTTTTTTTTTTTTTTTTGAGGCAGAGTCTCACTCTGTCACCCAGGCTGGATGGAGTGCAGTGGCGCGATCTCGGCTCACTGCAAGCTCCGCCTTCCAGGTTCACGCTATTCTCCCGCCTCAGCCTCCCGAGTAGCTGGGACTACAGGCACCCGCCACCACGCCCGGCTAATTTTTTGTATTTTTAGTAGAGACGGGGTTTCACCGTGTTAGCCAGGATGGTCTCAATCTCCCGACCTCATGATCTGCCCGCCTCGGCCTCCCAAAGTGCTGGGATTACAGGCGTGAGCCACCGCGCCCGGCCTCTTTTTATGCTTTTCAAGGCTTTTCTTACCCAGGCCTTGCTCCCCTTGCCCTCAGACTACCATTTTCACTCCCTTTGAGCTGGTTATCCAGGGGAAATGGATCCAGGCTGCTATGAAGATTATCCACCAGGGAACCCCGACACCCTCCTCACCCAGCCTCTCTCCTGAAGAGATCATGAGCTGAGGGCATGCGAGGAAAACTCCCAGCTGTTTCTGCCCTTAAGTTAGAGGACAGAGGAAATAGTTTCTATACTTAAGAAGATAGAAATATTTTCATTCCAAAGCTATAAGAATTATGAGCAGACGAAGCTATGGCTCTGGCGGATGGGCCATTTTGGGAAACAAGATACAAGCAAGGGCATAATTTACAAACAAAGTGTGGGTATATTTGGCAGGTTTGAGGCAAGCAGAAAGGAGGGTTTGGGTACTCTATAAAAAAAGATCTGAAATTCAAACATCTGATAAGGCCACAATGAAGAGATTTCCAGCAGTGGGTGTTGCAGGATGCTGGCACCCAAATCGCCGCAGGCTTGCAAAGGTGCTATGCAAGGTGAGGAGGCAGGTGAGGCAGGCAGTGCCTCTCACAGGTCCATGTCTAGGCCTCCTGAGGATGTCTTCAGCGGCACTGAGTCAAATCCATCAGGAGTCCTCTGAAAGAGAGATGGTGACAGGAGCTGGCTGCTGCACAGGGGCAAGTTTGGGGACAAAGGAGAGAAATGGAAAATAGGTGACAGAAGGAACCCTTATGAAATTCCTGTTTCAGTGGCTTTGTGGAAACACAGAAATGAGATACCCTCTATTCTGCTTGCTCCCTTCAGGGTCAGTTGGAGAACAATAAAAATCTTTTTCTTTTAGGCGGGGTGTGGTGGCTCATGCCTGTAATCCCAGCACTTGGGAGGCCAAGGCAGGTGGATCACCTGAGGTTAGGAGTTCGAGACCAGCCTGACCAACATGGTGAGACCCTGTCTCTACCGAAAATACAAAAATTAGCCAGGCATGGTGGCAGGCGCCTATAATCGCAACTACCTGGGAGGCTGAGGAAGGAGAATCGCTTGAACCCGGGAACAGAGGTTGCAGTAAGCCAAGATCATGCCACTGCACTCCAGCCTGGGCAACAAGAGCGAAACTCTGTCTCAAAAAAAAAAAAATTTTTTTCTTTTAAAAAAATGTTTTTGGCCAGGCACAGTGGCTCACACCTGTGATCCCAGCACTTTGGGAGGCCAAAGCAGGCAGATCACCTGAGGTCAGGAGTTCAAGACCAGCCTGGCCAACATGGTGAAACCCTGTCTCTACTAAAAATACAAAAAAAAAAAATTAGCCAGGTGTGATGGCAAGCACCTGTAATCCCAGCATCTAGGGAGGCTAAGGCAGGAGAACCACTTGAACCTGGGAGGTGGAGGTTGCAGTGAGCTGAGATCATGCCACTGCACTCCAGCCTGGGAGACAGAGCAACACTCCGTCTCAATAAATAAATAAATAAATACATGTTTTTTAGAGACAGGGTCTCGCTCTGTTGCCCAGGCTGGAGTGCAATGGCACAATCATAGTTCAGTGCAGCCTCCAACTCCTGGGCTCAAGTGATCCTCCCACCTCAGCCTCCCAAGTAGCTGAGACTACTGGCATGCTCCACAACACCCAGCTGATTGTTTTTTATTTTGTAGAGATGGGGTCTTCCTATGTTGTCTAGGCTGATCTTGAACTCCCAGCCTCAAGAGATCCTCCAGCCTGGGCCTCCCAAAGTGCTGGGATTACAGGCATGAGCCAAAAATCTTAAAAATCCCCTGCTTTGCACCTTTGCTGAATTCTAGCAGTCCCAGATAGACTCAAGAGTCCCAGGGTGAACTGTTCTCCCATTCATTTAAAAAAAAAGAAATCGCAGTCTAAGGAGGCCAAGGGAGTCTCCCTAGCAGGTCAGCACAAAGGAAACAAGACTTAGCAATCTAAACACCCAAGCACGGTCCTTTCTTCACCACCTCCCAATACCCTCCTCCCTCTTTCCGCCCTCCCCACCCACTCCTATTGGGATGAACTGGTTCAGAGCAGTAGTCAGGTATGGGCACTGGCAGAGTTGTGCTGCAGAGGACTATAGCCCTGGAGGACCTGCTTGTATGCTGTCTGCTGGCCCCACACCCAGTGACAGTATTGTCTGTATTGCATTTATAAGCTTCATACTCACCCACCCACACAAAGCCAGCCCTCCCAGCTCAGAATTGCTCAGTGGGGAACAGCTGAGACTGAACTATGATTCAGCTCCCAAAGGACTGGACCCAGACACCTGGAAGACAGCACCCCCCACTGGTCAAAGGAGAGCCTGACTTCTATCAGAAGTTGATCCCAGAGATCACCTTTTCCCTTTTCAGTGAAAATAAAAAAAGGAGTAGGGGATGATTCTTACAACATAGATGGTTCAGTACTCCTTCTGGAAGTGAAAAGGCCCAAACAGTTCACTAACTGGAGTGCATGTTGAGAGAGAAGGAGCCTGATCAAGAGCAGCCTTGGGCCCCGGGGGAAAGAGTATTGGTGTAGAAACACAGAAGGAGAAGGCAGGATTTTCAGAGTGGGGAAATGGAATTGTATCGGGCGTGGGGAGCAGGGTGCCCATCCCTGAACGGTACAGGACCATTCAGTGTCTGAGGAGCAGTGTCTCCTCCAGCCCTCCAGGCTGACCTCAGTGCACTGGCCAGGACCCCTACCTTGGAGGTAAATGATTTGATCTTCCCAAAGAGTGACTTCTTGCTGGTAAAGATGAGGTCGTCCTCTACATCCTCGCCTTCCATGATGGCGCAGCTGTCAGCTGCTGGCAGGTCACAGTCCTTGAGAGTAGCATTCATCACCAGCTTGGAGTACTTGTACTCTAGTCTATAAAACAGGAGGATGGGAAAGACAAGATCCCAAAATGTGGGAATAAGGGGGAAAGAGGTAGAGAGGTTAGGCTATGAACAGGTCCTATTCCCATGCCATGGGTAAGGAGACTGAAGCATGGTAAAATGGTGTCAGGGCTGGGGTAATAGAAGGA
The DNA here is from genome assembly GCF_000001405.40 of Homo sapiens. Taxonomy (NCBI): domain Eukaryota; kingdom Metazoa; phylum Chordata; class Mammalia; order Primates; family Hominidae; genus Homo; species Homo sapiens. The sequence continues at coordinate 109,200,577 of NC_000001.11, read as the reverse complement.
ATCTTAGTTCCCAGTTCAGTGATCTTTGTTCCTTAAGGCTGTCTGTTTCTATGATCTCAAAATTTAATGGAAATATCAAAATCATAATGTCATTCTCTGTACTGTTAATAATAGCAAACTGAGGATACTCTTTGCTTTTGAGAATTTAACATCCATTTATAGACTGCCACGTGGTACCATCCCTGTTCAGGAGTCAGGATAACCAAACCATGCACTGGATAAGTCACAGAGTCTGTAGCCAACTCCAGAGAAAAACCCCATTAATTTATACTTTCAGATATTCTCCCTGATCAATAATCCAACCCTGTCCATCCCCACACTCCAATACCGCAACATGTACTTTTGATTCTTTTTCCAAAAGTAGCAGGTCAAGACGGTGAGCAGGATGGCAGTACAGGTGCCTGCAGAGATGCCCACTTTCAGCCAGAAATCTATGGTTTTGCAGATGGTGACTCTCTGCTCAGGCAGAGAAATGCCACCAGAGCATAGCTTGGGTTCTCGCCACACGTAAGTAGTCTTCTGTTGGGGAGAAAAACAAGGAACTCAGATCTCCCATTCCCTTCTCTCATGGAAGTGCCCGATCAGAGGGAAACCCACCTGGATCCCAGCCACACAGCTGCTGACGATAGCATGGTAGTCAGCCACTGAGCAGAGCGGGCAAGCAGCCGCGCTCTCCCACAGGAAGTGGAAGTTGCAGCCATCACAGGTCCCATCCGAGCACGTTCTAGCAAAGCAGAAAAGAGACCTGAGCTCTCACTCGCTGGAGGGGTGGGGAAGATCTGGTTGGAAGCCTGTTGTCTCATAGCTTGCCTGATTTACCCTCTCCCTGCCCAAACCATTAGCCCTACCAGGATCCTTCCAACTAGTCCTTAACACAGGTTTTGATCTCTGATTTCACTGATAAGAGGCCTTCCTGGCCTCCAGTGGGCTCCCCACCCTCTGCCCGTTTATGTTTTTGCTGACATCTTATGAGAGCTATTGTAAGGTGTCTGAGCTCCAGCATGGCTGTCTCATCAACCCCTTTGAGGTTCCTGTCCTCCCCACAGACTTGTGACATTTTGCAATAGCCACTTTGATGCAGCTTCCTCGGGGTGGGATTGGAGTTGAGGTGGGGTTCAGGAATGAACTTCCGGTATGGATACCTGTTATGTACTTTACTGTGATGTTTACAATGGCAAGAACAGGGATTTGACACTCAGACACCACTACTGGGTCAAGACGCCCTGCTTTGCTCCCCATCTCCCCAGTCAGTTTAGGCGCAGCATATCCAAAACGTCTTCCTCAAGACGCTAGTGCCCGTCAAGATGTTAGCTGCTGTTATGCGGGGAGGGGAGGGGGTGTCCTGTGGTCATATTCATTTAGAAATTTTTGATTTAGTTCACTCAGCTATTAACCTCAGAACTGGGTATTTTCGTTGCAGAGAGATTCCTAGGATCCCTAAACCTTTACTAATCCTCATAATAGCCAGAGATCATGAAACGTCCTAAAGTCTCCTTGTCTCATTTAATCCTCAAAACAACCCGCTGAGGGAATTTAGCATTATGCCCATTTTTACAGATATGGAAAAAAGAGGCCTAAAGAAGGTAAGAAATGCATCCATGATAACATAGCTGGTTAGTGGAGGAGATGATTCAACCTGGCTCTCAGCCGAGCTGTTGGTTACCATGCTACGCAGCTGCTGCCTTAATGGACCAGGAATATGAGAATAGCTTTCACTCTTCCTTCTACCCCATTCTTGCCATATGAAGACTGAGGGTCTGGGGCCATGACTGTGCCCCTAAGCACCCATTAATGGATCTCAAACTCTTTTCTTTTTTGCTCTTTTTCAGTAATCTCTGGATCTCAGGATGGAATGACTTCAAGGGAGATTTTGGCCTTTGTTACATCCCTTTGCAGGGCTTACCCTGGCAGCAGCAAACTTCCAGGGACAGTTTTCTGTGGACTGCACCTGACGCGGATGGTGGTTGATCTCCCAGAACTGCAGGACTGGGTCACATCATTGGACCTGCAGAGAAAGCCAGCCCCCATGAGGGAATGAGTCACTCAGCTGTGTTATTGGACAGCCACCAAGAGAAATCCGCATGGAGCAATTCCCTTGCTGGGGAAGTCAGGACTTGGGCTTTAGCCTGGCACACAGGGAGTGCACAGGCCTTGGTTTATACGTGGAAAGGGTGGGGATCAACAATATGTAGTCAAGGGGGAAATGCCCTGGTTTAGGAAAGTCATGGCTAGCATACACTGGAGCCTGCTTAGGCTGGAAGGGAAGTCCACTGCAGATCATCCAATATTTCTCCTTGCCTCTAGGGCAGATCTGCTCCAGTAATATCCAGGAAGCTGGGATCAGGAACTCCCAGCCCTTAGCTATCATGACTGGGCAGATCTGCTAGACCTCAGACATGTTCTGGCTTGATAAGCAGTAGGTGGCTAGAGAGGGAGGGATGCAGCAGAAATTATGGAGGAGTCCTAGGTTTCACTTGCATTAGCCTAGCCTCTCATCTTCACCTATAAAAGAAGATCACGTCCGGTATTCCCAAGGACTCCAGGTGGAAAAGTTCAGCTGGGGAGGTGATTCCATCCAGAGTCATATCTGTTGTCACCCCTGCCAAATTAGAGCTCCTAATTAGTTCTCACTAGTAGCATTAGCTGGCAACCACTTCAATTCTTCCAATACCTGTCAACATCCAACCTCACTTCATCTCATCACATCCCTGAGTGGCTTATGAAAGGGTGAAACAAGGGTTTGTCAGAGTCCCTGGGAGCACTTTGCACACAGAGTGGAATAGAAAACACAGGTCAAGAGGTTGGGCCCCTCATGTGGGGCCTTTTACCTCCCAGACTGGTAACCTCACACTCTCTTACACATACACACACACACACACACACACACACTCTCAAACAAGGCTGAGGCAGCGGAGTTACTCACCAATAAGTCGATCAGCAAGGCTGACAGGCTGTGAGGAAACCCCGGCCTTGTAGCCTGTCACCTCTGGGGGGATGATGACTGCCTGGCAGACGTAGGCTGTGATAGATTTGGAGAACCCTGACTCACCCTCAGGAATCCGGAGGTCAGTGACATTGTCGGTGCACACAGACATTTTCCTACCCTGGTTGGGGAGTGGGGAGGAAGAAGTAGGAAGAAGTGAGTGGTCACAGAGGAATTCCCAGAAGGGAATAGGGAAGGCTTTTTTACATCTAAATTTTCAGCGTTTCAATGGTATGTTGTAGGGGAATGATTCATCCCAGGTCTAATGACGAGACAGATTTGATTTTTTTGTTTTGTTTTGTCTTTTTGAGACAGAGTCTTGATCTATTGCCCGGGCTGGAGTGCAATGGTGCAATCATAGCTCACTAAAGCCTTGAACTCCTGGGCTCAAGTGATCCTCCTGCCTCAGCCTCCTAAGTAGCTGGAACCGCAGGTTAATTTTTTTTTTTTTTTTTCGTAAAGATAGGGCCTCTCTGTGTTGTTCAGGCTGGTCTTGAACTCCTGGGCTCAAGCAATCTTCCTGCCTCAGTCTCCCAGAGTGTTGGGATTACAGGGGTGAGCCACTGTGCCCAGTCAACATTTTCAATGTTATAAATTTTATTATAAATGGTGCTGGCTGGGTGCAGTGACTCACACCTGTAATCCCAGCACTTCGGAAGGCCGAGGCAGGTGGATCATGAGGTCAAGAGATTGAGACCATCCTGGCCAACGTGGTGAAACCCCGTCTTTACTAAAAACACAAAAATTAGCTGGACGTGCTGGCGCATGCCTGTAGTCCCAGCTACTCGGGAGGCTGAGGCAGGAGAATCGCTTCAACCTGGGAGGCGGAGGTTGCAGTGAGCAGAGATCGTGCCACTGCACTCTAGCCTGGCAAAAGAGTGAGACTCCACCTCAAAAAAAAAAAAAGTGCTAAATCTGGTGTCTCAGCCTTTTTTTTTTTTTCTAGATTGTAGGAAGTAGATGAGCTTGAAAACTGAAGAAAACCTTTACATTACAATAAAATAGAGTTCTTTTGTCTTTGAACTAAGGATCTATCGTGTGGCAGTACATCATAAGCATTTCTAAACAGGAAAGGAGTAGATAAAAAAATACACCATTTCCCCAAATTCCCCACCTTCATTGCTCTCCATAATTCACTGAATGACACTTTTGCTACATGAAGCCTGCTTTAATCAGTCTTATTTCCTAAGTGATCATGACCTGTTACTTCTGAGGCTTCATTTTAACTTCTTCGAAGACTTCTGAAAACAAGATAGAGACACCTATCTCTAATCTTTCATAGATTAGTTTATTTCTTGACATGTTCTCTTTATAAACACCCATCGACTTCTTTGCATGCTGCAGAAGATGGGTCAGAGCTCTATGATGTAAAGGCCTTACCACCAACAGAGTCAAAGACTAGATGCTCAAGATGCTCTTTATATTGTCACTTTTTTTTTTAGATGGAGTCTTGCTGTGTTGTCCAGGCTGGAGTGCAGTGGCATGATCTTGGCTCACTGCAATCTCCGCCCCCTGGGTTCAAGTAATTCTCCTGCCTCAGCCTCCCGAGTAGCTGGGATTACAGATGTGTGCCACCATGCCGGGCTAATTTTTGTATTTTTAGTAGAAACAGGGTTTCACCATGTTGACCAGGCTGGTCTCGAACTCCAGACCTCAGGTGATCTGCCTGCCTTGGCCTCCAAATTGCTGGGATTACAGGCGTGAGCCACCATGCCCAGCCTCTTTTGTAACATTTGAAATGAACTTTCCAACTGCTAATTGTGGCTTGTTGCAATTTAATCAAGTGCAGTGGTGGGATTAACCTTTGCATTTCTGCCTTTGAATTTTGGATCTGAAATATTTGCAGCAGCATGAAATGGCTGATGGTGACAATCTTTCCTTATAAAGCATTTCATGTTACTTTCTTTCATACTGTCAGCAAAGAGACGTGTGGATGAACTAGAAACAGTTGATTTTATCCAGCCTCTAGAAAACAAGCGACAAATGCAGTGATTGCTGAAGACTGCTTTTTCAAGCAAGGGAAAAAAACCTTTCCTTCTGCATATTTCTGGGGTTTTTTTTGTTTGTTTTGTTTTTTGCTTTTTTGTTTTTTTTTTTTTTTGAGACGGAGTCTCACTCTGTCGCCCAGGCTGGAGTGTAGTGGCGTGATCTCCGCTCACTGCAAGCTCCGCCTGCCAGGTTTATGCCATTGTCCTGCCTCAGCCTCCTGAGTAGCTGGGACTACAGGTGCCCGCCACCACGCCCGGCTAATTTTTTTGTATTTTTAGTAGAGACAGGGTTTCACCGTGTTAGCCAGAATGGTCTCGATCTCCTGACCTCATGATCCACCCACCTAGGCCTCCCAAAGTGCTGGGTTTACAGGCGTGAGCCACCGCGCCTAGCCTTCCTCCTGCATATTTTTAAATAGACTCATTTTGAGGAAATAAAGGTCAGGTAAAAGAACACCTTATTTTATTTTATTTTATTGATTTTTTATTATTTTTCTGAGATGAAGTTTCACCTTTTTGCCCAGGCTGGAGTGCAATGGCGCAATCTCAGCTCACTGCAACCTCCACCTCTCAGGTTCAAGCGATTCTCCTGCCTCAGCCTCTCGAGTAGCTGGGATTACAGGCATGCACCACCACGCCCAGCTAATTTTTTTGTATTTTTAGTAGAGACGGGGTTTCTCCATATTGGTCAGGCTGGTCTCGAACTCCCCACCTCAGGTGATCCGCCCGTCTCGGCCTCCCAAAGTGCTGGGATTACAGGCGTGAGCCACCGCACCAGGCACCCGGCAAGAACACATTATTTTAAATATCTTTATTTTCTTAAGTGTTTATAATCCTGATTATTTAATTTTAGGGGAAAAAGTCCTCAGGGAGAATAATATGTAAAAACCTTTGAAGCTCCTCAACCCCCTGCTACCTGAAGGATTTCTGGTTTTCTCCTGTGTCTGTCTCTGGCTTCTGATCCATGGGCCTCCCCCATTCAATTTTCACCCTGTCAACTGGTATACCTTACCTGGTTTCCACAGAGACTGAGGGTAAAGTGATGGAAGTATTTCAGCCCTTTGGAAGTGAAGCTTGGCCCTCCAGCAAGAGTGACAGTGTTTGCCAAAGCGGAGAAGTTGTAGTTGAAAGTCCTGGTCGGAGTGTTGCGTGAGAAGGTGCAATCGTTGTAGCACAGAGAGTGGATCTGAGGGGGAGAGGGACGGGTCGGGCCAGCTGGTCAGGAAGGGCCTTGAGGGCCTGCAGCCAAGAGTAGCAGTTTTCTCCCCCGTCTGGTCCCGCCCAAATGGGGTCAAGAGGAGGAAGAAAGGATTAGGAGTGGCTAGTAAAAGAAGTGAAACAGGCACTAGTGGGATTTATGTACATTTGCCATTCAATTATTAGCACATATATGATGGACAAACCTAAATCTGTTATTGTTCAGAAGGGAGTTTGGACAAATTCTATAGCCTTATAACCCTGTGCCTAGATTATAGAAGCCTCTCAAGACACAAGAGGATCCTTTTTACTTTCCAGCAGAAGACAATGAGGCACTAACCAGAAAAGGGTATCTGAGATGGGAGAAGAGAAACTTTTCTTGCTCCCTCCTCACCCCCTCACAGTGCAAAACTCACTGAACTCTGCTTCCTGTTTCTCAGGTTCTCTGTAGGAAACTGAACTCCGAAAGGGGCTTTTCTTCCCATAAACCCATTCATTGCTCTGTTTTAGGGTCACCATTCAGCGGTAGCCGCACACAACTGTCATTCCCTCCCACAGCAGCAGAGGGAGCTCCAGGGAAGGAAGGTTGTGGCAAAAGTCCAGGGTACCCGAAAGAGGTTGCCAGGAGTCTGTAGAATCGCTGCACTTATTGCACAGATGAACTAGGCAACGTTTGCAGAGTACATATTGATAGTGCTTTACAGATGTATGTGCATGTAGTTGTGATCAGTAAAATGCAAATTCATTTAAAAGCATCGATTAATATCTAAAAGCTTTTAGTCATAAGTACTTCTCAGATGCAGAAAGTACATGGGGGCAACAACACTGCTTATCCACTTTATTTATTTATTAGTTTTTTAATGTGCCTTTATTTTTATTTATTTTTTTAATTAGAGACAGGGTCTTGCTCTGTCACCCAGGCTGGAGTGCAGTGGCACAATCACGGCTCATTACAACCTTGAACCCCGGGGCTCAAGTGATCTTCCCACCTCAGCCCCCTAAAGTGTTGGGATTACAGATGTGAGCCACTGCACCCAGCTTTTTTCCACTTAGGAAAGGAATCCTTATACTTGTAAAGCTGAGAAGCCACTGGGATAGAAGACAGCAATGCCAGTTATCATATGTCCCAGCAATGGTTGGGTTTCTATCTTTCCAAAGAAGGGGCAGATTTCCATAATAACAGGCTGGATTGAACATTTTTGAATATAAGCCACAGGCCTCACCCCACTGTTCCTTCCCTTTAGGTCTCTGCACAGATGCCAAATAACCCTCTGGACCAGACAGTCACCAACCTCTCTTACCTGCCAACTAAAGAGGAGACTTGTCAGTGACTGAGTCCTGGACCCTGGAAATTAAGCCCTGCTAACCCTCCACAGTCACAGCCTGGATGGGTGTCCTCCAGGACTCCAACCTAGGAGTATGCTAGGGGGAGCACTCGGGTATCAGCCTCTCAAGAACCCTACCCAGGACCCAGCATCTTCTGAGGTCATCCAAGCAGAGGGTCAGGTTTAGGATGCATGCCAGACTACAGGTACCTTGTTGTTCTTGGTCCCTGGACCACAGGGCACACAGGCCTGGACACCATAAGGCTGGTGGGCTTTCAGAATTGTGTTAGTGGGGCAGGAGTGGCAGGTTCCTGAATCTCGGTCAATATAGTAACCAGCAGGACAAGAGGTGCAGGAGGAGCCCACATCAGAGGCTTCTAGGGCACAGGGACGGCAGTAGGAGGCCACACCATTCATAACATTGGTGACATTGATGGAGTAGATCTTGGCAACGTCATTGGTGTACTTCCTGCTCTGGAGACAAGGAAACAAGAGGGGAGAGGGGAGAGGCCTGAGACAGCAGCAACAATTGAGGCCTCTAGAAAGAGCAAGGTACTTAATCTTCTATCCTGTGATACTTAAGAAGAATCTGAGAAGCATCTGACTCTTTTTACTCACTTACCAGTAGCTCTTCGTGTGCATTTGATGTCATTTTAAAATGAGACTGAACCATTTATAGGACATATAAAAATGTTAAGTACCATGGGGAAAATATAATATATACAGTTTTATGAAAAAAGCAAGTCTTTTCCTTATAAAAGAGAAAAAAATGTACTTGTGCAGAAACAAACAGTGTATAGGAGATTGTCCAGATGTTAACTGGTTTATCTCTGAGTAGTAGGATTATGGCTGATTTTATTTCTTATTTTTGTTTATTTTTATTTTCTGTGTCTTCTGCAATGAGCCTGTATTCCTTTGAGTTAAGAAACTAAAACCAGAGTTGTTATTATTAAAAACAACAACAAGTCTGGTAACACATGTATCAGGGCAGGGACTACAAGGAGGGCCAACTTATTTCTTATGGTGTCATCTTTCCAGGAAGTCAGCTGGACAAGACTAGGTGGTCCTCAGAGGGCTGGGTTAGGCAGTTTTCTGCTTGACCCCCTGAGATCCTTCTAACCCTCAGATTCTGAACTTCACACTCATACTTAAGCTAATGCTAGGAGTCCTCCTGGGTTCAGAGGGTCTCTCCTGGGGGTCTGAGGAAGGGGAGGAACTTACTGCCTCATGAAAAGTGGTCCTCTGGAAGGCCCAGGTGAAGCTCGTGGTAGTGTTCTCCTCAATGATGTAGGTATAGGACTGTTTGCCTTTGGAACCTTTCCACGTCTCCACAGGAGTGTTGGTCCTAGAATTCACACCCTGAACCCAGGACAGACAAGTGAAGCGGGTGCGATGGCCAGAGGGGAAGTGGGTGCCCATGTGGCTGCCATCCCAGGTGCCATCACGGTTGGTGAGACCCTTGTTAAACTGTGAAGTCCCTGCTGGTCAGTCTGGGCCTTTCCTCTGTGGAATCACTACAAGGGGGGGTGTCAGTCACGTGGACACACCAATGGGGCAGATGGGGCTAACCCTCCCCTGGAGGCCCTCTAGCGGGCAAAGAAAGGAAAACGTACCACCATGAAGTAGAGCTCACAGTTCACAGAACAGAGGGTCTCAAAGACAAATGTGATTCTGGCCACCTCTTTATTCTCTGTGTCTGCCATCACCGACTGCGGAGGTCTGTAGGGGCAGAAATTAAAAGTCAGTTCTAAAGGCCAGGCAGTGCTTATTGAAGAGCCCAGACAACAGCAGAGCGTCTGCTGGGGGACAGGGTTAAGTTCTGAGTATGATGGAAAGCGTGTGGACTAAATCCAATTCTGCCCTCCTAGCTATGTGACCTTGACCTAGCCAAACCACGGTTTCCTTATCTGTAAAATGGAGGTGATGAAATCTCTTTCTTACCTACCCCCCATCATCGCGGGGAGACCTGAAGGCATGACAGATGTGGCGGTCCTTTATAAAATGCTGTATCACCTCACTAGCAGAATATGGTCCACAGACCAGCAACATGGCCATCTCCCAGAGTTTATTAGAACTGCAGAACCTCAGGCTCCTCCCAGGCCCAGTGAATCAGAATCTGCATGTTAATACGATTCCCAGGCGATTCGTGTGCACATTTATGTTTGAGAAGCACGTCTATCATAAGACTGTAAATTGTTGACATTTACTCAGCAGCTGTCTCTCCAGCACTGGGGAGCTTTGCCGGGGTTAAAGGAGCAGAATTTGTGATCCAGCAAAGTCCTCCGTTTGGTCCTACTTTTGGGAAAGAGAGAGCCATGCCCAAGCGGGCTGGGGTAGTAGTGGGGATGGGGGATGAGGCAACACTTTACTATGACGATCAGATTTGCAAATTGGAAAGTACTTTTTGAATGTTATTCCAAAAAAAGCCTAAAAAGTTTGCTCACCTTGCAAACACAGGCTTCATTCATCTGGCTAGCTCTGAGTAATGTGTGTTAAGGGAAGGCAAACTGAGCAACATCCCAGGGATGGGAAGCAGGGACCTCGAAGAAGGAAATGAAGGTGTCAGACTGGCACTAGGGAAGCATATTCAGTGCCTGCTTCTTATCTTTAGAGCACATATGGGCAGAAGAGTTCACTTTGGCCTTGGAAATTCATTCACGGCTTTCCTTTTGGCTTTAGCCATTTGCCTGAATTCTGAGGACCTCCAGTTCTCAGCTTATCTCTATGCAGCTGTGTTAACCAGCGGGCTGGAAAAGCCATCTGAACCTCAGTTAGTCTTAAATCACACACTGTTTTTATGGATGAGGGGCCCGAAGCCTGAACAGGTGAAGTGACTTTTCCTAAGGTCGCACGGCCAGTAAGCGGCAAAGCACAAGTGCCCTGTCTTCCAGTCTGGTGTTCCTTCCACCACACCACACTGCCAGGAGGTGTGTGTGTGTGTGTGCGTGTTTGTTTGTTTGTTTAGTGGGAAACAAATTTCGTGTTGCCCTAGGTCTTCCTGGGATATGGGGACAAATACAGTAAGAATAATCCTTCCCAATCTTCTTGCCCCAAATAAAGATGAACTGTCTATGGGCATTTCTGACCCCATTATTTTTTATTTTTATTTTTTTTCTAATCTTAAGTGATGCTGTGAGGAGGAAGAATTTGAATAGCACGTGACTAATGGCTGGGAGAAGCTATACGGGAGAGAGAGCAGTCGGTAAATCAACATGGGCAGCAACTTGAAAAACGTGATAGCATTGGGTTACCTCGGTCAAACTGTACCCTCTGTTCTCAACTGACATTTGAAATGAAATGAAACACAACCCCGGAAGCCCTCTCCTCTACAATATTCCAAAATACGTGGGATTCGGATATGGCCAAGCTGGCCTGGACTCCCCTGGGCTTTGGATTCCTCACCTAAATCCTGGCACAACCAGAGTGAGAATCATGAAGTCATTGTCTGAGGCTCCAGCAGCTGTGTAAATGTGATCACCAGCCACCTCCCAGCCTGAAAAGGAAAGAGGAGAGTTAATGCCTTGTGCTCTTGGGTGCAAGGCAAATGTGCACCCAGATGACACTCTGGAAGGGAGGTTTGACACCATCTTTTGAGGCGCCCAGAACCACCACTGAACATGAACCGTGTTACTTATCCTGCCACTTTGGTCAAAAACCCTGAAGCTCTCAGAGCAAGACCTTTGAAGTGCACGCTCATGTTTCTAGCTCTGTTCCTTCCTCTAAAGCTGTCTTGGCAGAACATATGTCCATGAGGAGTGGAACTTTCAAGGGAATGCATGACATGGTTAGCTTATTTTTCTCAGACATCACTATTATGAAGAAATGTGAAGTTGGAAGAACTGAGGGTGTGCAGGGAGCTGACAGCTCATGGCACAGGGAGAGGCAATTACCTGTCATGCCCTTGTACTCGAAGTTGATCCCACTGAGAACGGTCGTTTCCATGTTTGTGGGCAGCGTGTTCCACCATTTGTATTCAAATCCCACAGCAGGTTCAGTCCCTGCAGGGCAGCGGGTACAGTCTGGGGAACCACAAACAAGATCCATGCATTCAGTGGGAAGGCTGCAGTCACTCTGACTGGAGCTGCTGCCACACAGACAAGTTGCAACAGTAGCGGGCAGCCCAGAAGCCTGGCTGCTGAGTACTGCTGCAGGAAGTTGTATCAAGTTGACTCAAAAACATTCTGACAATGTATTTAACTCAAGATGTAAACACTGAGCCTTCATTCCAATATGCCAACCATCCTATTTGCCCACCCCAATTTCCATTTCAAAACTTAAATGTACCTTCTAGTCTGATACATATAGTTCATATTATTGTCATATTATCATTAAATGCTTTCATTTTAACAGGTACTCAAATCCCCCCAAGGCAGCATGGCTTATAGGTTTTGGTTGTGTGGGGTTGGTCATCCCAGCCCTGTAAGCCTAGTCAGCATCTCTGCCATATGCTGGAAGCCCTGCTTTGAGGATTGGGCACCTTCAGTCCTGAGTCACATTTGCAGTTGGAGCAAGGAGGAAGGAAGGCAGCCTCAAGTATGACTCTGACCTGCAGACGAGGCCAGCCCTGACCTCTCTTCTCCTGAATTTAGTCCTCAAAGGTGGCCTGGTCCTTATTCCTTACTGCCTCCCTTGGAAGGGCAGAGTCTGCATTCAGCTGGCCACTGTTAGTGCCCACACAGCCCACCCACACAGTCGATGTGCTGCAGAGAGTGGGGTGGTGAGGAGGTTACCTGAGCCATTGGAGTAGGAACCATATGGGCAGGGCTGGCAGGTGCTGTTGTTGGTTTTGAAGAAGCCTGGGTTGCAGGGTGGGCAGTGGGTCTTCACACCAGAGGCAGGCAGCTTCACTGCCCCCTCAAGGTCCTCGCTACAGATTTTCGGCTTGGCCCATTTGTACATGAGTTGTGTCTGCAGAAATGGATTAAGCACAACTCAGCCTGTGTGAGATTTAGGACATCTTTGGGACTCTACCTTGAGGATAGGGGCTGGGGGCAGAGATCCAGATTCTGGGCCAGGTAAGAGCTCCTCTGGGGTGGGGAACTTTGTGTGGCTCACGGATGTATCCCAAGCACCTAGCCCAGTGCCTGAGTCATGGTTGTGTTCAATCACTATCTGCCAAATGAATGTTGCCTGGGTGACAAGGAATAGCTCTAATGAAGACTTTATGACAGAGAATGTGGGACCAGTTGTCTTAGAGAAAGCTCCGATTCCACTGTAGAATCTTATTGCTACCAAGGTCACAGGAAAAGCAGCTGGTGAAAATCCCAGAACACAGAAAGGCACAAGGGTGGAGGTGGCTCAGATGTCCCCCGGGGACTGAGGGGGTGGCTGAGATGTCCCCACTTATTTTTTGAGTGGTACATTCTTTGCTCTTTTATTTATTGGGTAAATCCTAATGCATCTATGTGCCAGACCTGGTGTCTCAGAGATGAATGAAACATGGCCCCTGCATTGGGTACAGAAGTGGAGATGACCCGCAGGAGACCCCGGCTGAGTCAGGGGTGAAGGTGGGCAGCTCCATTCTTCCCATGTGGCCCTCAGATCGAGTCACAGACAAAAACGTGCCCTTATAGGTTGAACTGAGGGGTTGATGAACATGATCTGTGCAGATACCATACATATGAAAAGAAGGATGAATAAGGCCTCTGTCCATATTTTTCAAGATAAGAAACAAGTCCTTAAGGAGGGACACAGACTGCCTTAACTGATGGGGAGCCCTGGGCTCCTCCTTCCCCTGCTCAGCTCGGCCCTCTTCCCTGCGGAGGGCTGCGACAGCCAGAGCCCCAGGCTTGAACCTCACCTGCCTCCTGTGAGTCTCAGGGAGAGGAGAGTCCTAGGAGCTGGCAAACTGTCTCGGGCCAGCTCTTGGAGCAGCACATTCACTGACCCCAATGGATGGGCCATCCTGGTCCCTGAGAAACAACTGAGGCACAGCCAAGGTCAGAAATGTAATCATAGGAGCCAGCTCGAGGTGTGTCCCTTGATTTTAAAATACTGTTCAGAAGACAAACTCAATCACCAGACTGAGCAGAACCAGTGCGGGAATGAGGCACAAAGCAGAAGTCTGCAAGGAACAGCTGGGGAATGCATGTTCATGCGCACTCCTGAAAGCACACGCTTCAGTGCTCCTCCTCTGAGCTGGGCCTTGGCTGTGCTGCAAGGCGGGAACACAGGCTTTGGTCTGACCCAGCATCTAAAGGCCCCGGCAGTGGTCAGGCCAAGGCAGACACCCGGGCTTTCAGGCAGCAAGCACGGTACTGACCCAGAAGGCCTTGGCGTGAGCCCAGGGAGGGAAGAGAATGGGGCAGAAGGGAGGAAAGACAGCCACATTCAGTCACATGTTATGAACAGGAGGGAGAAGAGCAGCAGGATTAATTGTCTGCCTTTTATTAGTGAGTTGGCTGAGACCAAGAAAATGAAAATAAATGTTCACAAGGTCATACAGAATACCAGACACCACAGAACTGAGTCTAAGGTGCAACTGACAAGACACAGCCATTCTCTCTTGGCTGCTGGAGAAGGGGATGATGCCCCAAATACGTGGGGGAGGTGGTGTTGGTAAGAGATGACTGTGCAAAATATTCATTGTTAAGGACCAGACTTTAACCCATGCTTAGTTAGGAAAGGGAGAATTCAGTCAGCCGCCCAGCCAGCAAATGTTTATGCTCCCTAAGAGCCAAGCATCATGCTTAGTGCTGAGTGCAGAATGCCCAACTCCTAGTTCTATCCTCTTGAGAATCTCTAGCTTAGGGATACAGACAGCTCAGCCAGATCCTTCTCCGTGCACCTCAAGCCCTTCCCTGCTCACTTACACTGTTTCTCCACCCACCTGGCCCAGCTGCCGCCTCCTCTCCTGCTGTGTCTGCTGCCTGGAAAGCTCCACGGCTCCTCCCTCATCTCCTTCAGGTCTCTGCTCAAATGTCACCTCCTGAGAGGACATCCCTACCCTTCTAAAATAGTGGCACCACCCTCCTTCATTCTCTCTCTCCTAATCCTGGTTTTTTTTTTTCCTTCCTACCACTTACTACCATTTGCTATATTATATACCCATTTGTTGTCTATTATCTCTCTCTCCACTCCCTCCCCAACAAGAGTTAAGCTCCATAAGGGCTAGATGTTCCCTCAGTTTTGTTAAGTGATGCATGCCTAGCACCTAGCACCGTGCCTGGCACAGAGTCGCTCCTCGATAAATATTTGTTGACTGTTGAACAAATGGCCTCCTCTGAGAGGCTTTCTCTGCTGCCCCCACCCCAAGTCCTGGTCGCTTCTCTTCTGGGCTCCCCCAGTTCCCTGCACATCCCTCTGGTTGCCTTGACTGGGCCCGTTTTTCTCCTCTCTCCAGCCTCTCATACAGGACTGTGAGCTCCCTGGGGGCAGGAGCTTGTTTCAGTCGTCTCTGACTCCCCAGCCTATAGTGCCAGGCCTGACATATCAGTCAGCCTCAAAAAATGCTTGTTGACTCAGTGACAGTGTAGACTAGGAGGGAAAGTTCTTTTCTGAAGCAGAAAGCCTGGAGGAAAGAGAAGCAGCAGAAACGGAACAAGTCAGACCATAGGCAGGAATCCATTCCCCGTGCCAGCCCACAAAACAGTGCCGAGGGGGTGAGCCTGAAGAGCCCCGGGAGGACATTGTGTACGGACAGGCAGGCTCTGCCGGAGTGGCTCGGCAAATAGAAGAAACCAAGCAAGAGAGAATGAAGTGGGTTTTTGAAACAGAACATATGTGCATAAACAGTGAAACAAACGCTGCAAAAACAGTTTCTGACCGGAAAATGAATGAAGAGGTCTCGTTTTGCCCCCCACCCCACCTAGCCCTAGGGTCACCTCAAAGGTCTGTGGGGTTTTAACTAGTGCCAATGTCATTGACTGCTGAAGTTCCAAATGGTGGCAAACCTCAGGGAGTGGGAGACAGTCCATCTGGGGCTAAGGGGCTCCAAGACTGTACTACCCACCTCTCCGTTGGCATCGCAGGCCGTGTGTGTGTAGAAATAATCTTTGTCTGTGCAAGCTGGGCGCACGTTACAGGAAGAAGATCCTTTCTCTAAATTGCCAAAGCAAGAAGAAATATTTGGAGTTACATAAGAAAGCTGAGCTCCTGGCCTCTTCATGGCCCTGTGACTCCCAAGTCCCTGGGTGCATTGCCACACAAATATTGCCGGAAGTAGAAAATCCTGCACACTCACCCTTCCCCTTGTCTCAATAGTGTCATTTCCAGTTCCCCAACCCTGCTCAAGCTTCCCTTTGCACCTGTTCCAGGTGCTGATGAGAAACCACTGTTTGCCGCTTCCCGTCCCCCGCCCCATGGGGCAAGGGAGGGAGAAGTGGCCTGGCCAAAGGACCAGCAAGGAGGGTAGACGGAAACAGCTTCTTGCAGGTTAACCACTGCCAACCTAAGTTCCCTGAAACCTGGGGAGGTTCAGAGAGTTCACCATCTTCCAGGTGCCTTAGTGTCTTGACTCTGGGTGTGGTTTTTCTACTCCTGAAGTGTTGAAGTAAAACATGATTTTGCTTTCATACTCATTCCAAGCCTTTCTATGAATGTTCTAATATATGCCTAGAATGAAGGCCTTCCACCTTGGAAATTTCCTTTTCTTCATGCAATCATTCTACACAAACCAGGTTTGTAATTTCCTTGGACTCCACCTAACACATAAGGTTCTTCCCACTTGCCTCAACCCAAGCATCCCAACACTATCTTTATTATTATTATTATTGAGATGGAGTTTCACTCTTGTTGCCCAGGCTGGAGTGCAGTGGCACGATCTTGGCTCACTGCAACCTCCGCCTCCCAGGTTCAAGTGATTCTCCTGCCTCAGCTTCTTGAGTAGCTGGAATTACAGGCATGAGTCACCATGCCTGGCTAATTTTGTATTTTTAGTAGAGACGGAGTTTCTCCATGTTGGTCAGGCTGGTCTCGAACTCCTGACTTCAGGTGATCTGCCCTCCTCGGCCTCCCAAAGCGCTGGAATTACAGGGGTGAGCCACCGTGCCCGGCCTCTTTATTATTATTTTATTATTGTTATTTTTTAGAGACAGAGTCTTGTTCTGTTGCTGAGGCTGGACTGCAGTGGTACAATCTTAACTCACTGCAGCCTGGAACTCCTGGGCTCAAGCGATCCTCCCGCCTCCCGCACCAGCCCAACACTATCTTTAACTCTTGATTTATACCTAATGAAAAATGTTAACTGCTGGGCATGGTGGTTCATGCCTGTAATCCCAGCACTTTAGGATCTCTTGAGCCCAGGAGTTCAAGACCAGCCTGGGCAACATAGCAAACCCTGTCTCTACAAAAAATACAAAAATTAGCCGGGCGTGGTGGTGCAGGCCTATAGTCCCAGCTACTTGATGTTGAGGCAGGAGAATCACTTGAGTCCAGGAGGTTGAGGCTGCAGAGAGCCATGATCATGCCATTGCATTCTAGCCTGGGCAATGGAGAGAGACTCTGTTAGGAAGGAAGGAAGGAAGGAGGGAAGGATGGAAGGAAGGAAGGAAGGAAGGAAGGAAGGAAGGAAGGAAGGAAGGAAGGAAGGAAGGAAAAGAAAGAAAGAAGAAAAACGTGAACTATCAGTTTTCTTCTGCTCTCTGCATGTTCTCCTCCTTTCAATGTTAGCTCTGCTTTAACCCTGTGAACCTCTGGATAGTGAGAACTACTTCTATGAATTCATTTTTTAATTTTATTTTTTTCATTATTTCATCATAGGGTTTGTTTTCTTTTCTCTCTCTCTCTCTTTTTTTTGTTTTTTTTTTTTTTTTTTTTGGTAGAGACAGAGTCTCGCTATGTTGCCCAAGCTGGTCTTGAGCTCCTGGCTTCAGGCAATCCTCCCACCTCAGCCACCCACCCAAAGTGCTGGGATTACAGGCATGAGCCATTGTGCTTGACTCTCTCTTTAAAGCAGTGGGTTTAACTTTTTTTGATTTTAAAAACTCTTTTGAAAATTTGAAAAAAAGAGATGTTTCTCTCTACCTAGAAAAATATGCGTAATTCATACAAATAAAAACTTTTTGAAAGTTTTCTAGGGAATTTACTTCCTCCAGAATAAAAACAACTGCTTTATGAGGTGCACATTACAATACTGTTACTACTGCCACCACTACTTCGAATATGACTGCTGTGTCACCTGCAGATAAGCACTGAATAATGGTAAGAACTTCTCTCTCTTTATATTACCTGGCAAGCAGTATGGTGTAGTGGAATGAGATTTTTTTTTTTTTTTTTTTTGAGATGGAGTCTTGCTCTGTTGCCCAGGCTGGAGTGCAGTGGCACGATCTCGGCTCACTGCAAGCTCCGCCTCCCGGGTTCACGCCATTCTCCTGCCTCAGCCTTCCAAGTAGCTGGGACTACAGGCGCCCGCCACCATGCCTGGCTAATTTTTTGTATTTTTAGTAGAGACAGGGTTTCACCGTGTTAGCCAGGATGGTCTCGATCTGCTGACCTCGTGATCCGCCTGCCTTGGCCTCCCAAAGTGCTGGGATTACAGGTGTGAGCCACCGCTCCCGGCCTGGAATGAGATTTTAAGCTAGACGGATATGGGTTTGGATCCTGCTTCATCATTTAGCAGCTGTGTCACTTTAGGCAAGTTACTTAACCTCTCTGAGCCTCAGCCTTCTCATCTGTAGAACAGGAATAATAATATATACCTTGCTGGAGCCAGTACCTACCTGGCACATTGTAAGTAGATACTCACTAGATAGCAGTAACTATTATTACCTGCATGTTTGGGAATTATTATTATTATTATTATTATTATTATTTTTTGAGACAGAGTCTCGCTCTGTTGCCCAGGTTGGAGTGCAGTGGTGCCACCTCAGCTCACTGCAACCTCCGCCTCTCGGGTTCAAGTGATTCTCCTGCCTCAGCCTCCTGAGTAGCTGGGATTACAGGTGTGCACCACCACATCCAGCTAATTTTTGTATTTTTAGTAGAGATGGGATTTCACCATGTTGGTCAGCCTGGTTTCAAACTCCTGACCTCGTGATCTGCCTGCCTTAGCGTCCCAAAGTGCTAGGATTATGGGTGTGAGCCACCATGCCCAGCCGGGAATTATTTTTATTTGGGAGTAGTCACAGGAGAGTGAATAAGGATTAAAGGTCTCTTTACCTCCCTTTCAGTTAAGGGCTTATTTCTCAACTGATTCCTTCTTTTTCTCCAGGCACCACATGGGTTCGTAGATCAGATAATCTCCTAATTGCAGTCTTGTTGGCCTGAGCTGGAAAGTTCTCTCAACTGCACATCTCCATACCTCTTCTGTCTCTGTCTTATTAGGCTGGACAGGTGGGAACTACTGGCTGAGAAACAGTTGGGGTCTTCTCAGCTCATTTACTTGGTTACCAAGCAGGAGGCCCAATTCAGCACAGAGGGACCCATGGACTCCTGCTTTTGACTGACTTGGCCAGGAAAAATGTGGGGAGAGAGGCTGAAAACGTGGGAAGGTGCCAATTCTTAGGTCTAGCAAAGTACAAGTTATGTGTTAGAAAATGCATTCTACACCAAGACCTTTCTCTGCTTGTCAAATATTTGCTCAATCTGACATCCTAGCTCTGGGTTTTAGCAAAAATGGCTCAGCTGTTTACACACTGATCCCTGTTAAGGTGGTTTTAATAAATGATTAACCAAAATGCTGAGACCAACCTCCTTTCCCAGCTTGGGTTTCATCAAAGTGTTTAAGTTGGATGCTAGTCAAGTTTGGAAGATGGGCCTCTGTGTTTGGTTGAGGGAGTGAAAAGTGACTTAAGTAGGATTGGCCCTGGGCAAAACTGTAAGAAGATAAAGTTTATCTCAGGGGCTCCAACTCCTCTTTCTGCACCTGCCTCCTCCTTTCAATATCCCCCCACCTCCAGGAGTACAATGTTCTCACTGGGATCTGTTTTATCAAAGTAAAACATTTCTCCTGAGGGTTTCAGTACTGAATGGACACAGGCCCGGGTCAGACAGCAGCTCATGCTTTTGTGAAGCTCCTCAGTGTCGCTGAGCTTCTCTTTCTTCCTCGGTAAATGCAGAAATAACTCCCTCACTATGCTATAGGTAATAAATGAGATCATGTTTTGTCAATTGGAGAGTACTATACACGTGACTTATGAGTGTTACCTGTACCAGGAGTATTTTCTTTTCTTTTCTTTTTTTTAGAGACAGGGCCTCACTCTGTCACCCAGGCTGGAGTTCAGTGGCACAATCAGCTCAGTACAGCCTCTACCTCCCAGGCTCAGGTGATCCTCCCACCTCAGCCTTCTGAGTAGCTGGGACTACAGGTGCATGCCACCACACCTGGCTAATTTTTTTATTTTTGTAGAGACAGGAGTCTTGTTCTATTACCCAGACTGGTCTCAAACTCCCGGCCTCAAGCACTCCTCCTGCCTCGGCCTCCCAAAGTATTAGGATTACAGGTGTGAGCCATAGTGCTGGCCTGAGTATTTTCATATTAAAAAAGGAGTGTTGGGACAGGGCTTAAGGTAAATGAATTAATAAAATTACTGCTTACTATATGCCAGGCCCCTTTCTAAATCCTTTACCTGTATTAACCAATCCTCACAATAACACTATGAGGCAGATATAATTATTGTCATTCCCATTTTTTTTTTTAAAGAGATGGGGTCCTGTTCTGATGCCCAGGCCGGAGTGCAATGGAGCAATCATGGCTCACTCAGCTTCTAACTCCTGGGCTTGAACGATCCTCCTGCGTCAGCCTCCCCAGTAGCTGAGACTACAAGCAATAGCCACTGTGCCCAGCTGTCCTTCCCATTTTATAGACAAAGAAACGGAGGCACAGATAAGTAATTTGCCCAAGGTGGCACTGCTACTAATTGGTGGAGCAGGGATTTGAGCCCTAGTAATTTAGTTCTGGAGTCCATGCTCTTTAACTTCATGCTATTCTGTTTAGGAAATGGATCACTAATATGAAACATAACACAAAGAAATTAAACCTAATGATCAAATTTTAGGGACCAGTGAGAAAGATGCTTTTAGTCAGGCTTTTGTCCTTCACAATGCTCCTGTGAGTTCTCCAATCTCCACCCACATTAATTCCACCTTAGTTTAGGTCCTGGACATCAGCAATGATGCCAGCTGCAACATCTCCCTACCACAGCCTCTGCCTCCAGCATTCCCTCCCTCCTCTGCATGGCAGCCAGAGTGGTCTTTCAAAAGCACTGGCTGAAATCCTTCATTTAAAATTCTTTTTTTTTGAGATGGAGTTTCCCTCTTGTCACCCAGGCTAGAGTGCAATGGTGTGATCTCGGCTCACTGCAACCTCTGCCTCCTAGGTTCAAGCAATTCTCTTGCCTCAGCCTCCCAAGTTGCTGGGATTACAGGCGTGTGCCACCACACCCAGCTAATTTTTGTATTTCTAGTAGAGACGGGGTTTCACCAGGTTGGTCAGGCTGGTCTCCAACTCCTGACCTCAGGTGATCCACCTGCCTCAGCCTCCCAAAGTGCTGGGATTACAGGCATGGCCGTGCCTGGCCTCTTAAAATTCTTTAATGACCTCCACTGCTGATAGGATCAAATCCCAATTTTTTGCCCCTACAATAGCACAGAAGGACTGCTCCATAATCTGTTTCCGGCCTGCTTCTCAGCCTTAGATGCAACTTCTCGCCACCTAATCTCCAGCCAAGCTGAATTATTTGCAGTTTCCTGAGCTTTCTGGCCTTTGCTCACACTTCTTTTTTTTTTTTTTTTTTTTGGAGACAGAGTCTCACTCTGTCACCCAGGCTGGAGTGCAGTGGCATGATCTCGGCTCACTGCAACCTGCAACCTCCGCCTCCCGGGTTCAAGCAATTCTCCTGCCTCAGCCTCCCGAGTAGCTGGGACTAAAGGCGCCCGCCACCATGCCCGGCCAATTTTTTGAATTTTTAGTAGAGATGGGGTTTCACCATGTTGCCCAGGCTGGTCTCAAACTCCTGAGCTCAGTCAATCCACCTGCCCTGGCCTCCCAAAGTGGTAGGATTACAGGTGTGAGCCACTGCGCCTGGCCCTTTGCTCACACTTCTATCCCAAACATCCTGCCCCCACCAAATCACTAATTAACCTTTCATCTTTCCAGATCTTAGCGAGTGAAACTTTTCCTTCTTTTCTAGAGGGGACTAACCATTTTCCTTTTTTGCCTCCACTACATTCTTTTTTTTTTTTTGAGACAGTATTATTCTGTCACCCAGATTGGAATGCAGTGGCATGATCTTGGTTCACTGCAGCCTCCACCTCCCAGGTTCAAGTGATTCTTCTGCCTCAGCCTCCCAAGTAGCTGGGATTACAGGCGTGCGCCACCACACCCAGCTAATTTTTGTATTTCTAGTAGAGTTGGGGTTTTACCATATTGGCCAGGCTGGTCTTGAACTCCTGACCTCAGGTGATCCACCCACCTCGGCCTCCCAAAGTGCTGGGATTACAGGCGTGAGCCGCCACACCCGGCCCACCTCCACTGCATTCTACACCCAGCTCTCCTATCCCAACACCATGGAGAGTTACTGCACTTAGGTGTTTATATAACCACATTTCCTTTTCAACATAAGCTGGAGGTCAGGCACCAGCTCTAACCCTAGCACCAAGCTAGTCCTTGGCAACTGGCAGGTACTCAGAATATATTTGTAAATGCATGGACCTTCTGTCACTCCCTGCATACAGTCTATCATAGGCTATCATCAGAGTCTCCCTGCAATTTCCCAGTCTCTCACTGACCCTGTATTCTGGAAGAGTCAAGTCTCAAAGAAATATGACTCTCTTTGTACCCCAAGCCGGTGAGGTTGTCAACAAGTTGACCATGTTCCTCATAGTAAAAACTCACTGGCCAGGTGCAGTGGCTCACGCCTGTAATCCCAACACTTTGGGAGGCCAAGGCGGGTGGATCAACTGAGGTCAGGAGTTCAAGACCAGGCTGGCCGAGATGGTGAAACCCCGTCTCTACTAAAAATACAAAAATTTAGGCAAGCATAGTGGCAGGCACCTGTAATCCTAGTTACTCGGGAGGCTGAGGCAGGAGAATCACTTGAACTGGGGAGGCAGAGATTGCAGTGAGCCAAGATTGCGCCATTGCACTCCAGCCTGGGCAACAAGAGGGAAACTCCATCTCAAAAAAAAAAAAAAAGAAAGAAAAAAGAAAAAACTCACTTCTCAGTCAATGGGGCACATTGAGAAATCAGTGGCAGAAGGAAAATAGATTCCAAGAATTCAGACTCCCAACCTAATGCTTTTATAACAGCACTCTGGATAAAAATCAGCTTACACAGAGTTGATCAAAACACTTCTATGAGAAGTTTTTCTAGAACCACCTTGCCATTCAAACCCTGCCCAACTGCTGGACCATAAAGGGAGCCAGAGATTTAGGCTAACAAAGGTTGCTGTTGATAGAAGCAGAGTGGGGAAGAGGAATAAAAAATGCAAGTGGAAAAACAGGAATCTAGACTTACAGATAAAAACTTCCCCCAAGATCTAAAGATTTCTGTTTTAGTTGAAAACTGCACTCATAGTGGCGTGATCTCGGCTCGCTACAACCTCCACCTCCCAGCAGCCTGCCTTGGCCTCCCAAAGTGCCGAGATTGCAGCCTCTGCCCGGCCGCCACCCCGTCTGGGAAGTGAGGAGCGCCTCTTCCCGGCCGCCATCCCATCTGGGAAGTGAGGAGCGTCTCTGCCCGGCCACCCATCGTCTGAGATGTGGGGAGCACCTCTGCCCTGCCGCCCCGTCCAGGATGTGAGGAGCGTCTCTGCCCGGCCGCCCCGTCTGAGAAGTGAGGAGCCCCTCCGCCCGGCAGCCGCCCGGTCTGAGAAGTGAGGAGCCCCTCCGCCCAGCAGCCACCCCGTCTGGGAAGTGAGGAGCGTCTCTGCCCGGCAGCCGCCCCGTCCGGGAGGGAGGTGGGGGGGTCAGCCCCCCGCCCGGCCAGCCGCCCCGTCCAGGAGGTGAGGGGCGCCTCTGCCCGGCCGCCCCTACTGGGAAGTGAGGAGCCCCTCTGCCCGGCCACCACCCTGTCTGGGAGGTGTACCCAACAGCTCATTGAGAACGGGCCATGATGACAATGGCGGTTTTGTGGAATAGAAAGGGGGGAAAGGTGGGGAAAAGATTGAGAAATCGGATGGTTGCCATGTCTGTGTAGAAAGAGGTAGACATGGGAGACTTTTCATTTTGTTCTGTACTAAGAAAAATTCTTCTGCCTTGGGATCCTGTAGATCTGTGACCTTACCCCCAACCCTGTGCTCTCTGAAACATGTGCTGTATCCACTCAGGGTTGAATGGATTAAGGGCGGTGCAAGATGTGCTTTGTTAAACAGATGCTTGAAGGCAGCATGCTCCTTAAGAGTCATCACCACTCCCTAATCTCAAGTAGCCAGGGACACAAACACTGCGGAAGGCCGCAGGGTCCTCTGCCTAGGAAAACCAGAGACCTTTGTTCATTTGTTTATCTGCTGACCTTCCCTCCACTATTGTCCTGTGACCCTGCCAAATCCCCCTCTGCGAGAAACACCCAAGAATGATCAATTAAAAAAAAAAAAAAAAAGAAAAAAAAAGAAAACTGCACTCATTTGGCAAGATCTGTGTAGGTAAATATGACTTTTGTTTTAGGAATAGTGTAGAAACAAGCAATTCACAAGGTCAGTGGCTGGTCTTGGCTGAGCAAACACATACTTTCACACCTGTGTGAAGTTTGGCATGTCTTTGTAGGGATATGTAGGTCTGTTTGAGAGAGGGCCTTGTGCTGGGTTTACATATAAACTGTGTAAAAAAGGAAAAGTAGAATAGTTGTGAGTGTTTCTGGGGAAAAGATGGGACTGCTTCTCTCTCCCTTCTTGTTTGTTTCAGAACCTGTCTTGGAGGTTGGCCCTCATACCAATGTCTGGACTGTCTGAGCAGAAAGCCATCTGCTGGCACTGCCCATCCCACATCAGAGCCTCGATACCCCCTGGAACTCCCTCAAATAACCACGTCCTATTTCTCAAATTGGAATGCTTTAGGAAGCTATCCTCAAACAATAAAAACAGGCTGCTTCCTGCTGTCCCCTTACTTTCCCTCAGAGCAGTGGTTTGCAAATTGTGTTACAAGGAAACCTAGATTTCCCAGAATGCCTGATTTGACTTCAATGAATGCTCTCAGGTTGATAAAAGATTGTCATTTGCATCTTTAGACCTTGTTATCAAAATCTTCTTGTTCATCAATATAGGCTCATGAAATTAACTTTGATAATAATTGTTATACGTTAAAATGTATAAATTTATACATTTTAAATCTACAGTATCTACTGTTTATGTTATAATCTTTTTTTTTTTTTTTTTTTTTTTTTGAGACTGAGTCTCGCTCTATCACCCAGGCTGGAGTGCAGTGGCACGATCTCTGCTCACTGCAACCTCCACCTTCCGGGTTCAAGTGATTCTCCAGCCTCAGCCTCCTGAGTAGCTGGGATTACAGGCACACGCCCCCACGCCGGGCTAATTTTTGTATTTTTAGTAGAGACGTGGTTTTGCCATGTTGGCCAGCCTGGTCTTGAACTCCTGACCTCAAGTGATCTGCCTGCCTCGGCCTCCCAAAGTGCTGGGATTACAGGCGCGAGCCACCACCCCTGGCCTATATTATAATCTTATATAATGTTTCATTTAAAATTTCACCACTGACTGGGTGTGGTGGCTCACACCTGTAACCCAGCACTTTGGGAGGCCGAGGTGGGCAGATCACCTGAGGTTGGGAGTTCGAGACCAGCCTGGCCAACATAATGAAACCCTGTCGCTACTAAAAATACAAAATTAGCTGGGCATGGTGGTGCACGCCTGTAATCCCAGCTACTTGGGAGGCCGAGGCAGGAAAATTGCTTGAACCCGGGAGGCAGAGGTTGTGGTGAGCCGAGATCACGCCACTGCATTCGAGCACTCCAGCTTGGGCAACAAGAGTGAAACTCCGTCTCAAAAAAAAATAAAAATAAAAATAAAAATTCACCACTTAAAAAAAATGACTGGACTGGGCACAGTGTCTCATGTCTGTAATCCCAGCACTTTGGAAGGCTGAGGCAGGAGGATCACTTTGAGGTCAGGAGTTCGAGACCAGCCTGGGCAACACAGTGAGACCGTGTTTCTACAACAGCAACAAAAAGATTGCAACCCAGGCCGGGCGCGGTGGCTCATGCCTATAATCCCAGCACTTTGGGAGGCTGAGGCGGGCGGATCACGAGGTCAGGAGATCGAGACCACCCTGGCTAATACAGTGAAACCCTGTCTCTACTAAAAATACAAAAAATTAGCCGGGCGCAGTGGCGGGCGCCTGTAGTCCCAACTACTCAGGAGCCTGAGGCAGAAGAATGGCATGAACCTGGGAGGCAGAGTTTGCAGTGAGCTGAGATCGCGCCACTGCACTCCAGCCTGGGCGACAGAGAAAGACTCCGTCTCAAAAAAAAAAGGATTGCAACCCTTTCCTTAGCTTCCCTAATCCCTCTAGCTCTGAGCTGCTTTTTCTTTTTGCCATGACACCATGGCACTTTTTACCATCTCACATACTATATAATTTATTATATATGTATCATCTATTTCTTTTTGTTTATTGTCTCTCTTCCCCCCACCCCCGAATGTAAACCCCATAAAAACAGGGACCTTTGTCTGTTTTGTTCACTGACGTATTCCAAGCACATAGAATAGGGCCTGGTAGATAGGAGAGGCTCAATATTTATTGAATGATTTTTTTTTTTTTTTTTTTTTTTTTTTTTTTTTTTAGAGACAGGGTCTTACTCTGTCACCCAGGCTGTAGTGCAGTGGTGTGATCATGGCTCACTGAAGCTTCAACCTCCTAGGCCCAATTGATCTTCCCGGTTTGACCTCCCAAAGTGCTGAGATTATAGGCTCACAGCTTGAGAGGCTGAGGCAGGAGGATCACTTGAGCCCAGGAGTTCAAGACCAGCCTGGGCAACTAGCAAGACCCCTGTCTCTATAAAAATAAAAATAAAAAATTAGCTGGGTGTGGTGGGGCACGCTGGTAGTCTTAGCTACTCAGGAGGCTGAGGCGGGAGGATTGCTTGGGACAGGGAGTTTGAGGCTGCAGTGAGCTATGATCGCACCACGGCACTTCAGCCTGGGTGATAAAGTGAGACCCTATCTCAAAAAAAAAAAAAAATGACAAAGTGATTAATGGATATATGGATTGGCAAGGGTATTCCAGGATCCAGAAAGGAAGGGTTTAAGAATTACCATCCTCAGCTTGGCCAGAAGGATGGCTCTATTCCCTGGTATCTCCTTGTGTGTTTTGGTGGTACTCTCTATCCCCAAACTCTTCCCACCCTCAGAAACATCACCTGAGTATTTGTCAGGGTCACACTGGTGGCAAGAAGTTTCTCCTTTATTTGAATAAGAGTTGGCTGGGCAAAGTTTGCAGAAAGAGGAGCCCTGCTTGTCTGCATACGTGCCAGGTTTGCAGGGGAAGCATTCTGAAGTGTAGGCCACCCCTAGGGAGGAGGAAGAGCACAGAAAAGCAAGGATTCAGCCTGGAGACTGAGTCCCCAGGAGACTGCAAAGTCAACAGCCCAGGAAGTCAGTAACCCTGCTCTCAGTACCTGTTATGGCAATGTTTCTCACCAGCACAGGCTTGGGTACTTTGGTCCATACTGAGAAGGCTGTGGTTCTCCAATAGAGGACATTATTGCCTCGATTTAGCTCCACCTAAAAACCACAAACAGGAGCATTCATTCATCACAGAGAAAAATCTCGCTAATCTGTTGGTATAGCCTCTTGTTGGGATGACTTCTCTTACTAACTGCATGGTAATGCTTCTTCTGACCCTCTTCCTCCTCTTCCTCAGCTCTGTCCTTCTTCCCAACTTAGCACAGCTCCTCTCTCTTTCTAAGCCTCCTCTTACAACCCTCCCACCACTCCCTGGATCATATATACCATGAGCATCTCTTATGGTGAGACCAGTAAAGAGACCTGAGGGTCCTGACAACAGGGTGACTGGCACTCCCTCATTCTTCTGTGGTTTTGCAGGGGGACAGCCCCCCTCCCCAGAATACCCAGTCTTTTTTTTTTTTTTTTTTTTTTTGAGACAGAGTTTCGCTTTTGTTGCCCAGGCTGGAGTGCAATGGCTCGATCTCAGCTCACCACAACCTCCGCCTCCTGGGTTCAAGCGAGTCTCCTGCCTCAGCCTCCCGAGTAGCTGGGATTACAAGCATGGGCCACCATACCTGGCTAATTTTTTTGTATTTTTAGTAGAGATGGGGTTTCTCCATGTTGGTCAGGCTGGTCTCGAACTCCTGACCTCAGGTGATCCACCTGCCTCGACCTCCCAAAGTGCTGGGATTACAGGCATGAGCCACCATGCCCGGCAGAAGACCCAGTCTTAAAGCTGGAAAGCTGCTGGTCTTTGGAGTCAAGCCATAGAAGCTACAAGTCAGCTCACACCCATATTCTGTCAATGCTAGAGGACAGTAACTACAGCATCTTCATCATATCACATTCCTGCCCTCCAGGGACATTGGGGTGGAGGCTCAGACTGGGAGGAAGCACTCTCTGAGGAAAGGCCCTGGGTCCCTTTTCTGGGATCTCTGGGAGAAGGCTGGTGTGATACTCACACTGTGGAATTCCCATCCTTTCTCTGTGGTCTTCATCCACCTGGAGTCATCTGCATTGGGCTGGCACTGGTCATTCTGAACCTGACATAAAAAGAGTTTGGGACCAGAGTCTCAGCTTTCTAAGGAAATGGATACCTTTCCCCACATTGCACCAGCCCTCCAGAGGGCCCTTCTTTATATGGGAAGAGTTGCCAATTTCCTTTAGGGATTGAGCTCAAAACACATGAGCCTCAAAGTAGGGCAGGAGTTAGTCACACACACAAAATGAGCGTTGACACCAAAGAAATAACTTGTAACTCAGATGTGCTGTTTTCATGTCTGAGCTGGATAAAACACTTAGAAATCTGCCAGACAATTCTTCCCCCAATAGTCCTTTCACTTTTGCCTTTTCTTCTTGCCTCCTGGGCCTCAGCTCATTTTGCCCACAGCTCTCTCCAGAGAGAAAACAACAGTGATTCCCCCAAGCAGGGCTACACTCATGATGGATTCCTCAAACGGATCTGAACCCCAGAGAGGCTTTTTAGCTCCCACCCTCCACCTTGGCCAGGGGCTTACGAAAAACTCAAAGATGATGCTGGAGTCTGGATAGTAGTATTCGAAGTTAACGGTGCCAGATTGCTTCAGGTTGACGGCGTACATCAGTGTGGCTGTGCATTCGTCCGTGTTGGAGGCGATGTAGTCGCCCCGGGGAACCCACTTGGACCTGTGAAGGAACAGGAACCAGGTTCACAGGCAGGAGCACAGCCCACCAGGCTTTGTGCCATGTGCAGGTCTCATGTTCTGCTGGGTCTTTGGGAATTTTCAGGCTTGTGATTCACAAACTGAAACTTGGACCTGAAAATGCTCAGTGAAGAAAGACAAAAGAAGCTCTCAGGTAGGTCAAGGACCTGGAGTACAGCTAAGAAGAGGAAGGCAGACAGGTGAGGAAAACAAGCAGGCATGCCTCCACATTGTGCAGAGCTACCTGGGATACGGGTGGCAGGTGAAGTTGGGGAGGGCTAACATCTTTTTTTTTTTGAGGCAGAGTCTCGCTCTGTCTCCCAGGCTGGAGTGCAGTGGCGTGGCCTCGGCTCACCACAACCTCTGCCTCCCGGGTTCAAGCAATTCTCCTGTCTCAGCCTCCCGAGTAGCTAGGATTACAGGCATGCACCACCACACCCAGCTAATTTCTGTATTTTTTTTTAGTAGAGACAGGTTTTCACCATGTTGGCCAGCCTGGTCTCGAACTCCTGACCTCAAGTGATCCACCCACCTCGGCCTCAAAAAGGGCTGGGATTACAGGCATGAGCCACTGCGCCTAGTCAGGGAGGGGTAACATTTATTGGTTGCTTACTACCTTCCAGGAATTGAACTACGTGCTTTATATTCATGATTTATTTTCATCAATAAGAGGAAATGTTTTTTCTGTTTAAGAGATGATGAAACTGGGGCTTGGAGAGTGCCAAGCCCAGTATTACGAAGCAGCGAGTGGCAGGGCTGAAATCAGGTCTGCCAAACTCTAAAGCTGTCAAATAACTCAGTAGACACAGATATTCTTCAGAACTCAGACATCCACCCAGTCTAGTCTACCTGTTTTTCCAGAAATGTCTACTATAAGATGCTGCATGTAAATGGTTTTTATGGAAACAAGGAGGGCCGGAGAACCCTGGAGACAGCCAACCTGGTCATGTCTGTTTTATCTCCTAAATACGTGTTCACTCTATCCACCCTGTCCACGGGCTCTCCCTACACTCACCACCACACCATCTATGAACCAGCCCCCAAACTTGTCTCCCTGAAGCCAGTCCCACATCCTCCAAGCCCTCTGCATGCTGCAGCCCAGCGGACAGATCCTCCAGAATAGACGTCTGACCATGGCACTCCCTTGCTTCAAATTAAAACCCCTGGGACTGACTCCCTGTGGCCCTTAGGATAGGGTACAAATTCCTGATGCACTCTATATACTTCAACTCTATGACATTTCTTTCAATTCCTCTGCCAAGCTTTCTCTTACCTCTGGGCCTCCTGACATCCTCTTCCCTCTTCCTGGAATGAACTTCCTCCTCTCTCTCTCAGTTTAACTCCTACTGTGTCTTAAATGTCACTTAATCTAAAAAGTCTTCCTTGATTCTATCTGCTTCTGCTATGGGTGCCCTTAGCTCTCTTTGCTCTCCTTCTCATAGCCATAATCCCATGATATTTTATATATTTTTAGTATATTATGAAATATGTAAGACCTATACAATGGTGTAATGAACACTCCCCGACCCATCACCCTGCTTAAGAAGTTCAACACAGCAGAAGCCTCTGCGTACCCTCCACTAACCTCATCCCTTTTCCTGGAACACACTGCCTTCCCCACTGCCAAGTGACTAATTTCCTGAATCTGGTGTTTAACATGCGCATGCGGTTCTCTACATGTATGTATCTCTAAACAACATACTGTATGGTAGTGCTTCGCATGTTTTCAAGCTTCACATAAATGGTATTATATTTATGGGCTCTGAAACTCACTTTGGGAAGGAAGGGACTTCAATATACTAACTGTGAGATTCATCCATATTCACACATCCAGCTTTTTTGGCTTCGTCTTTACTACTGCATAACATTCCTTTGTACGGCTCTGCCATATATATTTGTGCATTACTCGTTGATGGACATTTGGATTGTTTGCAGTTTCATGTGCACATTCTGCTGTGTTCCTGTCTCCTTAGGCACATGTCTGAGTAGAAAGCCTGGGAGGAGAACTGTATGTGAGCCTCCCATTTACCAGCTACTGCTACACTGTTCCTGTTGCTCCACATCCTCTCCAAATTTGAAACTGTCAGACCTCAAAATTGTTGCCAATATTATGTGAGGGAAGAGACCAAATTTACCTTACTCACTAAAGTATTCCCAGCACCAGCCTGGACCTGGCACATAGTGGGGAGTCACAGGGTTAAAGAGTTGAATGTGGAAACAGGTAATCGAAAACACTCACGCTATTGCACTGTTTTGCCTGAGACCAGCCCAGGTTTCCAGTTGCTTAATAATGGCCAGTTGGGTGGGCGTGGTGGCTCATGCCTGTAATCGCAGCACTTTGGGAGGCTGAGGCGGGTGGATCACCTGAGGTGAGGAGTTCGAGACCATCGAGACCAGCCTGACCAACATGGTGAAACCCCATCTCTACTAAAAATGCAAAAATTAGCTGGGTGTTGTGGCACGTGGCTGTAATCCCAGCTCCTCAGGAGGCTGAGGCAGGAGAATCACTTGAACTTGGGAGGCGGAGGTTGCAGTGAGCCGAGATTGTGCCATTGCACTCCAGCCTGGGTGATAAAGCGAGACTCCATATCAAAATAATAATAATAATAGCCAGTTAAAGGAATCTCAGATTAGTCCACAGATTTCCCCCTGTGTTTGTCAGAATAACATGGTTATTTTCAGCTCTTTGACAGTCAGTGTTATTCTCAAAACGAAAACATATAACATGAGCTCATCCAAAATATCCCAGCTAACCTAACAGCATTGATTTCTCCTTGTTGAAAGGGATAACCTTTAATGCTGATATGCTCCACGACATCAGCTATAAATAACTCTTGAAGTTTAATAAATAATTTAAAAGATGCCATAAGTGGGTTACATTTGCAAAATGCATCATAATTCTGATTTTTGTCAGAATTGCCCCCGGTGAAGACATTTCATATTCAATAATAACAACATGTTTTGATTGATTTCTAGTGTCAGGCATCGCTCTAAATTCTTTACAAGTATCATCTCATCAATCCTTACCTCAACTATAAGAGTACTATTTTTATCATCATTTTTAGAATGAAGAAACTGAAGCCCAGAAGTGCTTAGGAAACTTACCCTAGGTCATCCAGTTGTGATCTGCATATAATGTTTTTCATTTTTAATGTTTACATTTCTCTCTCATTCTTGTTTCACTGTCACAGTCTTTGGGCGTCTGCTTGATCTTTTCCACTAATATATGACATTCTTTCTATTACACCCACGTCACTCCTGTTCCCTTAGCTTATCCTAGTTTCTGATCTCAGGCCAGTACCTTAGCCCTGGGACATCAACCCAGGACCCATGGGAGGATCCCTGAAGGCTCAGAATCCTGCCATGGAGACTCCGTTCAGCTGGTCTGTTTTGTCCCCAATTATTTATTTTGTCTATTTTGAGCCAGACACTATGTTAGATGCTGGAGACACAGTGATGAACAAGACAAGTATGATCCTTTCCCTCTTGGGGCTTGCATTCTCTTTCTAGTTGAGGAGACAGAAGCTTAACTAATCACACAATCACATAGCAATGACTGTGATAAGTGCCATTGGAGAAATGCAGGATGATAAAGAGAGTGTAACAGGAGTCTGTGGGGTCGGGGATGGTTTCTTTGAGGAAGGGATTTTTAGGTAGAGACCTGAGGGTTAAGTAGGAGACATAGAAGAGGGGACAGAGAGTCACATGTTCAAATGCCCTGAGGAGGGGAAGGAGTGTGATGGTCAGTGTGGCTGGAACACAGCAAGTGAAGACAGAAGGAACTTGGGAGAGGCTGGGGAAACAAGCAGAGGGCAGGGGGCAGGGCAGCAGGGCCCTGCAGGCTGTGGGAAGGTAGTGGACTTTATCCCAAGAGCAATTGGTAGCCATTGAATCTAGGGTTTTGAGCGGGAAAGTACTGTGACTGGATTTAAGGAGATGAGGCTGGGTGCAGTGGCTCACATCCGTAATCCCAGTACTTTGGGAGGTTGAGGCGGAAGGATCATTTGAGCCCAGGAGTTTGAGTCCAACCTGGGCAACATAAGTGAAACCGTGTCTCTAGAAAAATAAGAAGTTAGCCAGGTGTGGTGGCATGAGCCTGCAGTCCCAGCTACGCGGGAGGTTGAGGTGGGAAGATGGCTTCAGCCCGGGGAGGTTGAGGCTGCAGTGAGCTGTGATTGCGCCATTGCACTCCAGCCTGGGTGACAGAGTGAGACCTTGTTTCTTAAAAAAAAGAAAAAAGAAAGATGAATCTGGCTGCTGAGTGGACAGGCCTGGAGGAGGCTGGGAATGGAAGCAGGAGATGAGCTTGGAGTCTCTTGAGGCAGAGCAGGCAGGATTTGGGTAGCTGCACAGCTGAATAGGAAAGCCAAATACTTGCGCTCTAGGTATTAGCTCAATTATTGCCTTTCTGAGGGATGATGGGGAAACCACAAAAGCTCTCCAGATGGCCATTTCCTCTCCATTGACAGAGAAATATCCTCTCCCTCCCTCCCCGGGATGTCGTGGGATGCCTTAAGATGCAGGCCCTGAAATAGTCCGTGCGGTGGAAACACAAGTTGTTATTAACCCACCCACATCCTGCCTCTCTGAGAGATAATGATTTCTGGACTCTCGGTGCAGTCCCCAGAGAGAGAAGAAATCCTTCCTTTACATGGGTAGGAATTGACTGAGCCATGTCTGCACCTTGTCCAGGGCCTAATGACATTCTCAGTTAGGACTCAAATGGGAGTTGGTTGTCTTAACCCACACATTCCCGCTCCTTCCAGCTTTAAAGCTCTCTAGCTTTATCTCTGCCTCCAGTATTGTCATGCTAATGAATCTGACACACCAAGTTGAACTCTAAAATAACATAACATTAAAATTGGACTACAGATTAAATAGCCACTGCTTGGCTTAGACAAGATTTAAGTATAGGAATGGGAAACATTGCTCCCGGTTTTTAGAAATCCAAGTGTAATACAATTCTTGAGTCCTTCTTATCCATTTGATTGTTTGGGTATAAGTGAAACTTTCACTTGCTTTCCTCCTGTATTCACTGTCCATATTTAATAAGGAACAATATGGCTGCCTTTCACATCCTCATATCCCCCCACTTTCGCTCCCTAGGACCCAGTGTTGCCTTGCCCATAATAAATGTTATTTGAATGTGGCATTATGGAGCAGTGGAAGCTTGGGTTCGAATTTCAATCTCGCCGGCTGTAAACCGGATAACAAAGAGCAGGTCATAACCTTGCTGAGCTTCCAGTTCCTCGTCTCTGTAATAGAAATAGTAATGCCTATTTCACAAGGTTCTTGTGAGAATTAGAGAAAATAATATATGTAAAGCATCCAGAATAGTGCCTGGCCTACAAAAGACATATCTGAAATAGATATCCAGTTCTCCAAGCACCCTGGACTGAGCTTTCCAAGAAAATTTGCTAGTCATTGGG
The DNA here is from genome assembly GCF_000001405.40 of Homo sapiens. Lineage (NCBI taxonomy): Eukaryota > Metazoa > Chordata > Mammalia > Primates > Hominidae > Homo > Homo sapiens. The sequence continues at coordinate 109,166,419 of NC_000001.11, read as the reverse complement.
GTCTCACAGCATTTGGAAGATTTCAGCCAGCACTGGGCAAAGGCTAGGCAGAATCAGTTTCAGAAGTTAGCAGCCAAGGTGGCCCATGCCTGTAATCCCAGCACTTTGGGAGGCTGAGGCAGGTGGATCACCTGAGGTCAGGAGTTTGAGACCAGCCTGGCCAACATGGTGAAACCCCATCTCTACTAAAAAAATACAAAAAAATTAGCTGGGTGCGGTGGCTCACGCTGTAATCCCAGCACTTTGGGAGGCCGAGGCAGGTGGATCACGAGGTCAGGAGATCGAGACCATCCTGGCTAACACGGTGAAACCCCATCTCTACTAAAAATACAAAAAATTAGCTGGGCGTGGTGGCGGGTGCCTGCAGTCCCAGCTACTCGGGAGGCTGAGGCAGGAGAATGGCGTCAACCCGGGAGGCAGAGCTTGCAGTGAGCGGAGAGGGCACCACTGCATTCCAGCCTGGGTGACAGAGCGAGACTCCATCTCAAAAAAAAGAAAAAAAAAAAATTAGCCGGGCATTGTGGCACACACACCTGTAACCCAGCTACTCAGGAGGCTGAGGGAGGAGAAACACTTGAACCTGGGAGCTGGGGCTTGTGGCGAGCCAAGATGGCACCACTGCACTCCAGCCTGGGCGACAGAGTGAGACTCTGTCTCAAAAAAAAAAAAAAGAAGAAGAAGAAGAAGTTAGCACCCAAGCCGGGAAGATACCCAAGCTTTGCATATTGTGTTCCAGTCAAGCTGAGAAAGTATATTGGCTGATCTGAAATTCCGTGGTGGAAATCCGGTTGGTTTTTTTGGTTTTTGTTTTTGTTTTTCTTTTTTTTTTTTTTTTAAGACGGAGTTTCACTCTTGTTGCCCAGGCTGGAGTGCAATGGTGCGATCTCAGCTCACTGCAACTTCCGCTTCCCAGTTCAAGCGATTCTCCTGCCTCAGCCTCCCGAGTCGCTGAGATCACAGGTATGCACCACCAGGCCTGGCTAATTTTTTGTATTTTTAGTAGAGACGGGGTTTCACCATGGCCAGGTTGGTCTTGAACTCCTGACCTCAAGTGATCCACCCGCCTCGGCCTCCCAGAGTGCTGGGATTACAGGCGTGAGCCACCGCGCCCTGCCGGTTTTTGTTTTTCAATGAGACAGGGTCTTGCTCTGTTATCCAGGGGTACAGTGGTGCGGTCATAGCTCAGTCTAACCTTGAACTCCTAGGCTCAAGTTATCCTCTTGCCTCAGCCTCTCGAGTAGCTGGGACTACGGACATGCACCACCACACCTGGCAAATTTTTTAACTTTTTGTAGAGACAGGGGTCTCGCTATGTTTCCCAGGCTGGTCTCAAACTCTTGGCCTCAGGCAATCCTCCCACATTAGCCTCTCAAAGTGCTGGGATTACAGGGGTGAGTCACTGTGCCCAGCTCCAATTGGGTTTTGTTTTAAATAGACTGGGCCATTTAACCCTTGCCCCCCTTGTCCACTCTCTTATTTCCTCATGTTTTTTACCTCCCACAAATGCCTGTCCATCACTGGTAAGTTTAGGCCAGTAAGAGTGGGCCAGGCAGAGTCACATCCACTGGTCTTGCGGGCACAGCTGCAGGCCTCACCCTGGCAGCCTGGCTTCCTCTTCCCTCCATCCTCCCTGCCCAGCCTGAGGGGCAGCGGAGGAGGCTGTCCAGTGTGCCCTGTAGCCCCTTACCCAGTGGGCTGGGGGTGGGGTGGGGGTGTGTGCAGACTCACGAAGTACAGTTCCCGGTGGACTCAGCAGCACTGTCATCCAGCTCCATGTTGGCTGAGAGGCTGGCAAAGCCATGGGGCAGCTCATCCCACTCATCAAACCGAATGCCTGTGCCGAGGGAGTAGCGGCCCTCAGCGCATGGCTTACATGACTGGTCCTTCATATCCAGAAACTCCCCGGCGTTGCAGGAGAAGGCTGGAAAACAGGGCAGAGACAAGGTGGGGCAGTGAGGTCACTGCAGCCCCAGAAGTGAATGGGCTGCGAGCAGCTGAAGGGAGGAGCGCTGGGTTGGGGTCTAGGAGTTTGGCCCACTAAGATTTAGGGCCATGGCATTTACTGTGTGATTTGATTTTATTTTTCTTAAAAAAATTTTTTTTTCAGCAGTGATATTCCTTGCTATGTGTCATTCTATTTGTATGGAACGGCCAAAAGAGGTGAAGCCATAGAGACAGAAAGTAGATTTGTGGTTGCCAGGGGCTGTGGGGAGGGGCCTGGGGAGAGATTGCTAATAATATGAGGTTTCTTTTTAGGATGATTAAAATGTGAAATGAGAGTGATGATGGTTGCTGTGAATATTCTAAAAACCACTGAATTTTATCCTTAAAGGAATGAATTTCATGGCATATAAATTATATACCAATAAAGCTGTTATAAAAAAAATAGATCTAGGGCCACGGATGCTCTGCCTTGCTGTGGGACTTTGGGCTTGTTCCTGGCACTCGTTTCCTTTGGAGAGGTGCCCTGACCATTCTGAGAGCTCTCTGGTGAAGAAGATGCCAAGGTCTCTTGTGCTGACCCCTCTGAATGACACATGGCCCTTCAGCCTTGAATTTCTCCCTTGAGCCTCTGGCCTCTGCCTTTCTGGTTGTACTGCCACCATGCTAGGTGGAATTCTCATGACCTGTTAACTCAATCATTGCAATATCCTCCTAACTAGTTCCCTATTCTTATTTTTGCTCATTCTGTGGTCAGAGGTACCTTTCTAAAACAGATGTGATCAGGCACAGTGGCTCATACCTGTAAACCCAACACTTTGAGAGACCAAGGCAGGAGGATCACTTGAGCCCAGGAGTTTGAGGCCAACCTGGGCAACACAGTGAGACCCTGTCACTACCAAAAAAAAAAATGTTTAAATTAGCTGGGAGTGGTCGCGTGTGCCTGTAATCCTAGCTACTCAAAAGGCTGAGGTGGGAAAATTACTTGAGCCCAGGAGGTCGAGGCTACAGAGCTATGATTGCACCTCTGTACTTCAGCCTAGGAAACAGAGTGAGACCTTGTCTTTAAAAAAATAAAAAGTAAAACACGTATGTACTATTATTCTCCTTATTTTAAAAATAAACAGGCACTCCCTTTTGGTTCTAGAATTATGCTCTTGGCCTGGCATTCAAAGTTTTCCACGATTTCCCTGCAGCCTAACTTCCCAGCTTGACCTCCCACTACAAATCTTTTTTCACCTCAACTCCATCCATCACCTTCTCTGTGTTGCCTCTACCCTGGACCACAAGCTCTTCCTCAAATGTGTCACTCTTCATCCACGTCTAAACTTTTGCTCAAGTGGCCCTCCCAGCTATGCCTGATCCCTAAATATTCGTAACTCTCATTCTTTCTCATATCATATATGTCTGCCACCCACTAGGCTCTGCGCTCCTCTGGGGATGGCTGGCTCAGTGACTGGCACAGACTGGGAGCTTCATGAATGTTTCTGAAACAATGAGTGAATGAATGAATGTCTGCACTTTCCACCACCCTAAGCTTCTGAAAGCAGAGAGTGTGCCTTATTTGTCTTTGCAGTTCACACTGCATGTGCACATCATGGTGCTAACACATAGTGGGACTCACTGAAGTCAGCAGAGTTCAATGAAGATGGCTCATTTGTTTCCACTAGTCACACCTCAGTTCTGCTCAGGTCTCAGCAATATCCAGTCATTAATTTAACAAGTATTTATTTGCTCACTTACTCAACCAGGCACTGTACTAAGCTGATTTTAGAATTTAAATATCTTCAAACTCCTTTCCAACTCTTCAGATAATTCCTTAAATCTAGTGCCTGGTTTTTCTTGTTATTCCCTTTGCATTCCTAAAAGAATAATGCAGGGGAAACAGCTGCCAATTGTAGAAAAGTTGTGACTGCAGAGTCACAGAGGCGGGTGCTGGGGCTGCGGCAAGCCACTGCCTTTCCTATTGCACAATCAGACCCACAGTCAAGAAGATTCTTGTCTCCTGAAGTGATGCCTGGAGCATTTTAAAGGACGTCTCTGCAGAAACTTAGCCTCTCTGACTTCCTTTTTAAGAATGAAAGCAAATCTCAATCTTGCCTAATGACTGATTGTGGCTGGTGAGTGAGTGTAGATTGGAGAGACATACAAGGCAAAAATGAAAATGTATGCAAACAGAAAAGAATATCTGAGTGCACACAGCTGGCATTGCTTATGCTGTATCCACTGATGGGATTTAAATTCCTTTAAAAAATGAAAGCAAATTCAGATATCCAGTTTGCATTCATGAAATACTTCTGCACCAAATCTCATAAGGGTCTGGGATGTGGGGACTAATTGGGGAAAAGATCTGATTCCTTAATGCAGCTGCTCTGCCAGGAAGGGCCCAGATTGGATGGCAGGAGACTTGGGGGAGAGACCAAAGCTGAGTGACAGGGAGGCCCTGAGCAGGATAGCTGCTTACAGCACTCGGTGCCCTTGATGGGGTCAGGCAGGCTGGTGCACAGGCCCGGGGTATGCGGCACGGCGACCCTCCACCTGGAACCCGTGCTGTCACACGCCGTGTACTCATAGTGGTACTCAGACTGCAGGGGAGAGAACAGTGGGCGAAATGTGCATTAGCAGTGATCAAACATTAACAGCTTCCCACCCACTTCCCAGCACCATGGCTACTGATGCTCATCCTCTCAGAAATGGGCCCTGGGACCCCGGGCAGGGAGCTGATGATTATGAACCGAGTACAAGAACTACAATGATTTGGATCATTCCCTTCCACCCAGCCATGGTCTAGTCCCTAGAAATCATTTTTGTGTGTGACTCTCTTTGTTGTTATGTTTAAGTAGTGTCCTTATGGAGCAGAGGAACGTGGGAAAGGTAACTAAGGAACAGGCTAGAAATAGGTGGAATTTTTCTTATTCCAAAGTGTAGAATTTATGAACGAGGACATTCTAAATGGAAGGATGTTCTAAATGGAAGCCTTAGTCCACAAAAAATTTACAAAGGCTCCTCACAGAAGTGGTATGTATTTCTATTTCCCTGTGTTTCTTTTTTTTTTTTTTTTTTTTTTTTGAGACGGAGTCTCGCTCTGTCGCCCAGGCTGGAGTGCAGTGGGATGATCTTGGCTCACCGTAACCTCCGCCTCCTGGGTTCAAGCGATTCTCCTGCCTCAGCCTCCCGAGTAGCTGGGACTACAGGCGAGTGCCACCACGCCAGGCTAATTTTTGTATTTTTAGTAGAGACGGGGTTTCACCATGTTAGCCATGCTGGTCTCAAACTCCTGACTTTGTGATCCACCTGCCTTGGCCTCCCAAAATGCTGGGATTACAGGCATGAGCCACCACGCCTGGCCCTATTTCCCTGTGTTTCTTATGCTCCTTTCCACTCAGAAAGACTATGAATTCCCAATTGCATTTTATGAAAATATATTTGGCCGAGGCAGGTGATGTGCTCTCACTTGAGCCTGTTCATCCCTAATTTGTCTGTGCAATGGGAAACTCATAGTTTAATTGTTTTACCTGAGCTAAAAATAAATGGAATAACAACAAAACAACCAAATCAAGCATTAAGTAAAACAACAACAACAAACAGTTCCACTCAGAACAAAGAAAACACAATTGATGTGCCAAATGCCCTTAAGCGTTTCTTCCTCCTTTAAATCTGGTAATAAACAACAGACCATGGAATTAGTGATGATTTTGGCTCTGACAAGTATTTTACAATCTACACTTACCTAAAACTATATTCAAGCCCAGAGGTATTTTGTATTACTGTATGCATAAGAAAAATAGAATTAATGTCCCCCTTTAACCCACGTGATAGCCTGATTGCATAACATGTATAACGTCAAGGAGCTAAGACAAAAAATACAAGTTTTGAAGTTTGCTAATCTAATAATGCGTCAGGATCAAAAGGAATAAGCTTTATTTTTGGGGATAGGTAAACACACTGCATTTCATCTATTCCAAGATGCACGCTTTTTCCACATCTAACATCTATGAAATCAAGACGTGTCTTAAAATTGACACAGTAAGGAAGAATTGTGTTATGTTTTAAGGGATAGAGAGCTTTTTCTTTCTTGATGACACATTAAAAAAATGGTGTCTTAGAAGCAGTGGCATTTCAGACTTGTTGCAATATGGTAAAGATGTAGTTTCTTTTCTTTTTTTTTTTTTTAGACAGTCTCTTGCTCTGTCACCCAGGCTGGAGTGCGGTGGCGTGATGATGGCTCACTGTAATCTTGACTTCCTGGGCTCAAGTGATCCTCCCACCTCAGCTTCCCAAGTAGCTGAGACTACAGGAGCCACTACATGCAACACCATGCCCAGCCAATAGATTAACTCTTGACCAGAATCTTTGGCTTTGGATGTAGATGTCAATGTCATCTAGGAAAGAAAGAACATCAGGATGGGAATTCTTTGTGCCCTCTCTGGGTCTATTTTTCCCAATAATTCTTGTCTTTTCCTCATCTCAGACTCTGAGGACAAATAGGGCAACTATACATATATGATGTCAATCCACTTCTTAAAATGATACTCTCAAAAGGGTTTTGCTGCAAGAATGAGGGGTAAAATCCACTGTGTATAAATTAAATGGAGAATTGAGTGAGCAAGGCAGAAAGGACTGTGTGGTGCTTCTGAACATATTCATGCTGGTCTTTTGTGTAGTGTGTTCACAGTTCCCAAATACCATCTCGTTTCATCTTCACGACTCCCTATAAGGCAAGTAGACCAGGGGTTGTTTCCTTCATTGTACAGATGAGAAAATGACTCTCAGTGGTGTGATAGCTTGTCCAAAGTCATGCAGCCGATAAGTCACTGAGCTAGAAACCAGGCCTTCCCACCAGGAATCCTCCTCCACCCTTATAGACTCTGACCAAACACAGACTCACACAGGGCCAAATTTAACAGCCAAATCTAAAAATTAAACATGACAGTGTTGGTTGTGTGCCAGCAGCCAGGCTCACTTCTGAGGCCCAAGAATTGGTGTTAAAATATCTAATCTGTTCGAAGATCATCTCAGTTCATTCTGACTGCATTGGCCTCTTAGAGGCACATGGGCCAAATCCATTACTTTTCATCGTCTTTCATTTGATGTCCCCTGGGTCTCACTCAGGTGGGAGGTTTGCTGAGGAAATGGTGGTTCCAAGCCTAAGAAAATTTCCCTTTCAATATATGCTCATTTACTTCATGCCACTTGGGGATATTAATTCAAGGTGGCTGGTTCTAATACACCTGTTTCAAATCTGAACTACACTTTGAGATCACACCATTCAAGACATAAGCTTAGGGCGGGGCACGGTGGCTCACGCTGTAATCCCAGCACTTTGGGAGGCCAAGGTGGGTGGATCACCTGAGGTCAGGAGTTTGAGACCAGCCTGACCAACATGGTGAAACTCTGTCTCTACTAAAAATACAAAAATTAGGTGTGGTGGCACGCGCCTGTAATCCCAGCTACTCAGGAGGCTGAGGCAAGAGAATCGCTTGAACCTGGGAGTGGGGGCAGAGGTTGCTGTGAGCCAAGATCACGCCACTTTACTCCAGCCTGGGCAAAAAAAGCAAGACTCCGTCTAAAAAAAAAAAAAAAAAAAGACATAAGCTTAGAGAGAGTTAAACCAGGGATAGAACTGGCAGGACTCCTCAATTATATTCAGCGTTCTGCAAACACATCAATTCCCTGACAGTTTACTCAGTGATCTGTTACTCAGTTTACTCAGTGATCTGTCTGAAAGTATATAATTTGCATAAAGTGCAGGTCTACAAAGGAGCACATAAACACGTTCAGTATATACATCCAGCACGTAACTCCTTCCCCCTCCCTGTGCACAATTCTATGACGCACACCCAAATTACACTGCTAAATGGGACACAGCAGGCAGTGGGTGCTGCCTGTTCATCAGAAAAACAAAGGAAGGGTTTAGAAATGAGAGGGTGGGGAACTGTAGTTAGCGCATCCTTCCGTAGCGTCACCCAGCCATGTAATACTCCTGGGCACATGAGAAGGAAGAGGAAAAAAACCCTGAAACTGGAATATGCTTTGCCTGTATTGACTGATCTGTCGGTAACACTGATCTTTCAGTTCTAGAAGAATTCACTCAGACTCACAATATTTTTAGTCCTTACTGTCTAGGTATTGAATGGACTGCTGAAATGACCAAAAAAAAAAAAAAAAAGAAAACTGTCAAGTCAGGATGGTATCTGGATGGAAATCTGTCCTTCCTTCTACCTTCCCACCACTTGCTTTCAAAATAGTATCTGTTACTTTTAAAAATGATTATCAAAGTAACAGTTTAGAGGCCAGACGCAGTGGCTCACACCTGTAATTCTGGCACTTTGGGAGGTCAAGGTGGGCGAATTACTTGAGGTCTGGAGTTTGAGACCAGCCTGGCCATCATGGTGAAACCCCGTCTCTACTAAACATACAAAAATTAATCGGTCGTGGTGGCATGTGCCTGTAGTTCCAGCCACTCAGCAGGCCAAGGTGGGAGGATGACCTGAGCCTGGGAGGTTGAGGCTGCAGTGAGCCGTGATTGTACCACTACATTCCAGCCCAGATGACAGAGTGAGACCCTGTCTCAAATAAAAAAAGGAACTGTTTATAGACTAGAGATTGGAGGTAATCTATGGGTTAGATGCTAGAGCTGTACTTCATTACCATCCACTGTGGAAGATGAATAAGGTTTAAGCTGGTTAGCTGATGACAGAGATGTGGTCCACAATTCAGGTGGAGGAGAGTCCTAGGGACTGGGTTAGCCTCTTTCATGTGCCCTAAGTAAATAGGCAAATTAGAAGTGATCCCACCGCCCCTTCCCACATGGTGCTTGACTTCCCTAAGCCATAGCTGCCTCATTGAAAAATGGGGATATACAAACTCCTGCATCATAGAGGGGCTGGGCTGCTGTATAGTTATGCAGGCTATTCATAAGGTTACCTAGCTCAGGGCATGAGTGGAGGGTGAAATCTAGCTCAAGTCTTGCATGCTAGGTGGTATGCCCTATTCAGGTGTTGCATCTGCCCAGAGAGGGAGTGCCTTTTCCCCATGTGCGATAGGGCCCTCTGTGAGCATGATTAAGATGATGTAGGTCAAGCACATCACACAGTAGGTTTTCCAATCTCCAAAACAATTCAATGGTAAATTATTTTACCATTTTACAGATGGGAAAATTGAGTCATTGAGAGGCAAAGTCACTTGCTCAAAGCCACACAGCCAGGAACTGCCAAACCAGGATTGGACCCAGGCTATCTGAGTCCAGAATCTGTTTTCAAGGCTGCCGGTGTTTGAGAGCAGCCTGTGTAGGCTCCTGTCACACTTACATACTGTGTCTGGGGCACAGCACTGGCTTTCAAGCTGCTAAAAACTGCAAGGAAAGCCAAGTAGATAAAAAATTTTGCAAACAAGGCCCAAGGGGAAGGGACCCAAGTCCAAAGCTGTGTGCAATGGGAAGGCGGAAAGGCATTTTGTACCTTGTTGGAGGTTCAACAAAGACATCTATTGTTTGTGCCTGCCCAGTGTCCACCCCCCTTCTTCTGAGAGAAGCACCTCTCTGGGAGGAACTATTGCCTCCTTATTACATACAGAGTCTTGATGGGATTGTCAAGTGAGGTGGCCCACCTTCCTCTGCCATGGATGGACACATGACCCACACGAGGCCAATCAGATGCTCTTTGCTGATAAGTGGAAGATGGGATGAGGGGGATGAAGACATTTAGCCACTGAGCAGGGACCTCAAGTGGGTGGGAACTGAGGGAGGGATGGGGCAGGAAAGTGGGGCAGCGGGGGATAAGGCCCCTCCTTACTTCCCAGTTCTACCTAGGGCTGGCCTTGGTGCCCCCCAACCAAACTCCACAGAATAAAAACATAAAAATCATGCCAAGTGAAATAAGCCAGTCATAAAGACAAATGCTGTATGATTCTACTTATACAAGGTACATAGTAGTCAAATTCATAGAGACAGAAAGAATGGTGTCTGTCAGGGGCTAGAGGAGCAGGATGGGGACTTACTGTTTGATGAGTACAGCATTTCAATTTTGTAAGACAGTTCTGTGGATAATGACGATGGTGGTGCCGATGGTAGCACAACAGTGTGAATGTACTTCATGCCACTGAACCGTAGACTTAAAAATGGTTAAGCTGGTAAATTTCATTATGTGTATTTTACCACAATTTTATTTTTTTTTTAAATAGGTGATACCACAGATCCTAGAGAACATGCCTAACCTCTGAGTTATTCTATTGAGTACTCTAGAAGGTAAAAGTCTGATGATCTGATAGTCTAAATTTGAGAAATATCTCCAAAATAAAAAATATTTTTATAAAATATAAATCTATATATATTTAGAGATGGTGTCTTACTCTGTTGCCCAGGCTTGAGTGCAGTGGTGCAATCACAGCTCACTGCAGCCTCAACCTCCCAGGCTCAAGTGATTCTCCCTCCTCAGCCTCTTGAGTAGCTGGGACTACAGGTGTGCACCACTGTATCTGGCTAATTAAAAAAATTTTTTTGCAGAGATGGGGTCTTGCTATGTGGCTAAGACTGGTCTTGAACTCCTGGACTCAAGCAATCCTTCCACTTTGGCCTCACAAAGTGCTGGAATTACAAGTGTGAGTCACCACACCCGTCCAAAAATATTTTAATCACCATCCAAATGATTGGCCAAACTCAGAAATACAAAGAGGGAGGAGTGGAAGGCAGCAGGCAGAGTGCACATTGTAGCAGTGTCACTGGACATACCCGGGCTGTGGTGTTCCCTCACGCTTATTTGTTCACTATTGACAGCTTTCAAAAACATTGCATTGCAGTTGTGCAAATAAATATTAAGTGCTAATTTTTGTTCAAACATTCTGTTCTTTTAGAATTAAAATGTTTAAATGTCTCAGAATATATTTTATTTTTTATTTTATTATAAAATATAAAATGTTTATATAGCTCAGGAACAATATCTCAGAAGACATTGTTAACTTGGAATATGTCTGTTCTTCTACATTCTAAGAAAATGATGTTCACGGCCGGGCTTGGTGGCTCACGCCTGTAATCCCAGCACTTTGGGAGGCCAAGGCGAGTGGATCACGAGGTCAGGAGATCGAGACCATCCTGGCTAACACGGTGAAACCCCGTCTCTATTAAAAAAACAGAAAAAAATTAGCCGGGCGTGATGGTGGGTGCCTGTAGTCCCAGCTACTCAGGAGGCTGAGGCAGGAGAATGGCGTGAACCCGGGAGGCGGAGCTTGCAGTGAGCAGAGATGCGCCACTGCACTCTAGCCTGGGCCACAGAGTGAGCCTCCGTCTCAAAAAAATATATATATATAATGATGTTCACTCATCCCACATTCAACAAGCACGTACTGAGGGCCTGTTATGTGCTAGGTTCTGGTGAAGCAGTGGTGTTTAAAACCTGTTGATTTCTAGAGCTTTTATGTGTATGTGGTGGGGAGTGTGCTAGCAAGGATGGGACGGGGAGGAGATATAAACACACATAAACACACATCCCAAAGAGGTTTAGTTGCCATTGCAAGCTGTTGCTTGCCCCCATTTCTCCGGAGCAGGGTCTTGGTGTCTAAGGACTGTGGCAAAGACAGTAACACATCTCTAACTCCGATCTGACTAACCATTAAACCACATCATTTCTCTTCCAAGTGATGGTGGTTTGAAAGCCAGGACAAGCCAGCTCCCCCAGACATTTACCCTAGTTGCTTCGAAATAACCCCTGCAACAGCAGAGCTAAGAAGACACGGATGACTGGTCAGAACACTCCAAGGGAGAAGCACAAGGTGACCAGGTGGCAGTGAGGTCTACTGTTCTACCAGCCTTCTTCTTCCTGCCAGGGCACTTCTCCAGCCCAGCTGGCCAATGATGACTGCAACGGATGGCCCAGACTGTCTGGAAAGCCCCTCAAATGGGGCCTCCAGGGATTAACAATGGGCACTCCCCAGGCTGCGAAGGTCCTCAGGGGATACGAGGGCTAGTGGTGAAGTAAAACAAACAGTCTCTGAGACGAGGAACAAAAGACCTTGGTGGTCATTCGATTCATTCTACCCTCAGTCTCCTCATCTGTAAAATGAGACAGTTGAACTTCTAAGATTAGACAACTTCTAAGATTCCTTCCAGTTCCAAGAACTTATTATTTTGTACGGGTACTGATATGGAAATCTGTCCTTACTTCCATCTTTTTCCCCTTTTCTTTTTTTTTTTTTTTTTTTTTTGAGACGGAGTTTCGCTCTTGTTGCCCAGGCTGGAGTGCAGTGGTGCAATCTTGGCTCACTGCAACCTCCGCCTCCCAGGTTCAAGCAATTCTCCTGCCTCAACCTCCCGAGTAGCTGGGATTACAGGCATGCACCACCATGCCCAGCTAATTTTGTATTTTTAGTAGAGACGGGGTTTCTCCATGTTGGTCAGGCTGATCTCAAACTCCCGACCTCAGGTGATCCGCCCGCCTCGGCCTCCCAAACTGCTGGGATTACAGGCATGAGCCACAGCACCCGGCCCCTTTTCTTTCAAAATAGCACATCTTAGTTAAAAATAATTATCAAAGTAATACCTGTTAAATGCAGGAAAGATGAAAATACAGACTAGAATAAAAAAGAAAATAAAAATCTGGGCCGGGCACAGTGGTTCACGCCTGTAATCGAGGTGAGGAGTTCCAGACCAGCCTGGCCAACATGGTGAAACCCCGTCTCTACTAAAAAATACAAAAATTAGCCTGGCATGGTGGCAGGCACCTGTAATCCCAAACAGGAGAATCGCTTGAACCCAGGAGGCAGAGGTTGCAGTGAACCGAGACCGCACCATTGCACTCCAGCCTGGGCAACAGAGCGAGACTCTGTCTCAAAACAAAACAAAACAAAACAAAACAAAACAAAACAAAACACCTGCCACAAGTCCACCAAACAGAGATAACTACTTTTAACATTTTGCTGTATTTCTTTCCAGATTCTGATTCTATACATGCATGTACACATGCAAATGAAGATCATATGGTATATAGTTTTGTTTTCTGACTTTTTTCCATTTAATTTTAGGTCAAAAGCACTTTCCCATGTCCTTAATGGCCGCATCACAGTTTCTTTCACCATTCCCCTATTGTTGGACCTGGAGTTGTGTTCCATTTTTCCTTATTTTAAATAATATTGCAATGACACTTTCTTTGTATCTCTAATTATTTCCTTTAGATAAATTCCCAGAAGTGGAATTACTAGGTTAAAGAGTATGAGTTTCTTTGAGATTGTTGATCAAGAGATTTCTAAGAGAAAACAGACATCCCTAAGTCTTTTCTTCCACTTTTACTTTTTGATGTGGTAAATTTATAAAACCTATTATGGCAAATTTGAAATACATTATTTCAAATATATATTAAAAAAACAAAACAGTGCAATGAGCCCCATCTCATTGCCCAACTTCAATACTCACCAATTTCTGCCGTTCTTTATCTATCTCTACCCCACTACATCTGCCTCCACCTGCTCCTCCCCACATGAGACTGTCATTTTTCATTTTTCGTGGTCCTTTTTTTCTTTCTTTTTTTTTTTTTTTTTGGAGACAGGGTCTAACTCCACCACCCAGGCTGGAGTGCAGTGGTGTGATCTCGGCTCACTGCAACTGCAGCCTTGAACTCCCGAACTCAGGCCATCCTCTCACCTCAGCCTCCCGAATAGCTGGGATTACAGGCATGCACCACCATGCCTGGCTAATTTTTTTGTATTTTTAATAGAGATGGGGTTTTGCCATGTTGCCCAGGCTGGTCTTGAACTCCTGAGCTCAAAGCGATCTGCCTGCCTCAGCCTCCCAAAGTGCTGGGATTCAGGTGTGAACCACCATGCCGGCCTCATGGTCCTTTTTTAAAAGGTAAAATTTATATACATTGAAATGAACAAATATTAACTCCACAATTTTGATAAATGGCTATATTTGAGTAAAACATTAACAGGGCTAAGAATAACTACCCAAAGACTATTGGGAAAAAGGGAACAACTTCCCTACCTCCCCTACCTCCCAGAGAGAAAAGACAGAGCCAAGCAGGTGTCTCACATTCTGAGTCTAAAAACCACTGCTGCATAAAGTCACAAGTAGGAAAGGAAGCAGAAGATCAACATGACTTGGGTTTGTCTTGGCTGGGACAGGATCTGTGTCAAGAAACAGGTTCTTAAGTAAACCTGGGTTTTGTCTGGAGCCAACTTTAGACTGGATGCCTTGGGGTCTGGAGGAGGCCACTTCTTCCCTTGTTCCCAAAGGATCTGCTTTCAGAAGAGAAGTTTCTCTTCTCCTCTCATAGTCCCTAAAAAGCAGATTCTTCGGGGAGAATGTCAAAATTAGCAGCGGGGCGCAGTGGCTCACGCCTGTAATCCCAACACTTTGGGAGGCCAGGGCAGAAGGATTGCTTGAGGCCAGGAGTTCAAGACCAGCCTGGGCAATATGGCAAAACCCTGCTCTACAAAAAAATATAAAAATTAGCTAGGTGTGGTGGCACGTGCCTGTAGTCCCAGCTACCTGAGAGGCTGAGGTGGAAGGATTGATTGAGCCTGGGAAGTGGAGGCTGCAGTGAGCCGTGATCATGCCACTGTACTCCAGCCTGGGTGGCAGAGTGAGACACTGCCTCAAAAAAAAAAAAAAAAAAAGGATGAGGCTGGGGTCGCCAGGCAAATGCCCTGGAGCTGGGTATAGCAGAGTCAATAGGTAGTTGTTGACTTAGTTACAAATGCTTCTTTGCCTGGAAAGTACCTGACCCAGACCAGAACAGATTCCATTAATCAACCCCAAATTAATGGAAGCTCTGTGTTACTTCTGACAAACTCTAAAAGTTCCCTGACTGTTAGGGAGAGACTAGCCCTTTGCTGGGAAGTACCAATGAATTCCACTTAGCATAGGAACATGGAAAACCATGGAGAAATGTCAGAATTTGGAACATGAGTTCCCCAGATGAGACTTTCTCTCAGGCCCAGCCCTTGCGGGTGTTTTGTGAACTCCTGGTTTCTGTACTTTTTGCTTCAGAGTTCCTCTGCTCAGGCTTTGGGTGGATGGACTGGTTGAGGCTCAGGGGCACTGCGACCTCACTGTGTCCCATTGTGAAGAGGAGGGCTGAGGGAAGAGGACGTTTCCCATTGTTCTCCAGCTGGTCACACTGAAGCCTGGGAAAGGCAGCTGGGCTCCTCCCTCCCTCCCTCCTCCCACTCCCTTAGGACTGCTGACTCAATAGGGCCTGGGTGCACCAGCTCTAGACCTCTGAGGCCTATGTTTGTCTGATCAAAACTGCCTGGAGATCATGTTAAAAACACACATTCCTGGCCTCTACCACCAAGATCCTGATTCTCTAGCTCTTCTTCTCCTTCCTCCCCTTTTCAAAACTCATTCTTCTGTGCTCCAAGCCTTAAATATTTACCCCATTTGAAAGTAAATCACATAAACAAATATCCCACAAGACAGGGGTCCTTAACCTATGGCCCATGGATCATTGCCCATATACGGCCAGATGCAGAATTTCAGATATGTGCATTTTTCTGGGCAGTGGGTCCATTGTATGACTTCAGATCCTCTAAGGAGTCTATTATCCCCCTCCTCCTCCCTACACAGGAAAACATTGCCACCTGCCATCATGTATCAGTAATTTTAAAATAGCTTAATATTTTATCAAACCAAGGCTGTTTACTTTTTAACAGGGTGGCTGCAATACTTTAACCCACTGATTTTCAAATTATGCTCCAGAGTCTAGGGTTTTAGAAGAAAGCCAGCCCCTTCGAAGGGGGAAGTAGAGAGTCCCCCATTAATGGAGCAATATTTTAAAATATCTTTTTCTTGTTCATGCTTCTAAGTTAAAATTTTGTTTGAACCAAAAATTTCACACACCAAAAATGTTAGGATGCCAGAGTCTTGACTTGAACGAGTTGCTAAAGGTAAAACTGCAGACACCGAGGCAGACGCATAGGGTCAAGGGTGACTTTAGTCATCCCACGTAATTAGTTGCTTCCTCTGCCTACAATTAAGACCTCCTCTCCCCCAGAGCAAGCACCAGACCCAGCAGCAGTCGAAGAAGCAAATGGACCCCAGTCCTGCCGGCCTTTGCTGGCCGTCCTCAATCCCTGGACCGTCGCCTAGCAACACAGTGCTGGGGTGCAGGGGCTCCCAGTCTACAGGAGTCTGGGGGAACCCTGGCCTTACACTGCCCTTTCTTTCAGCATTGCTCTATTCTACTCTGGCTTTCCAGCTTCTATTTTGATCATAAACCGCAGAGACAGCAACTGGTCCCCCTGGCAGGGCCTACCCCACTGGCTTAGCTATGGACATATCACACAAAGCAGACAGTGGCCTCCACACGGACCTGGGGTAGTTTGTATCACCACGCTCTGGGCCAGGCAGGACCTTGACCACGTTGTCCAGTCTGTGAGTAATTTAAGCTGCCTGTCTATTTTAGGCTGAACCTTGGCATGAGGGTTCTTGGAAAACACTGACCAGTCCCGTGAGGGAGACAGGACTGCGGCAGTAATAACAGCCACCCTAGTGAGCACCTCTAAGCATCCATGTGCCAGGCTCGGGGCCCGGCACTGTACCTGCATCTTCTTCCCCTTTAGCCCTCACAAAAGCCTCCTGAAGTGTTGCCAATATTATCCCTTCCACCTCGAGCTCCCTGTTGACAATAGCAATTGGCTCCCCCCTCTCAACGATCCATTGATCCTTCAAATCTGGGATGACTTTGAATTTTTTTCCATAGCACTTACCACCTTCAAACACACACTTTATACCTTTACTATTTGCTGTGTTTATTGTCTATTTCTGCCCCGTCCCCATTCCAGATCAAATGTAAGTGTCTTCAGAACACAGATCTTTGTTTTTATCCATGGATGTGGCCCAGACACCCAGAACAGCACCTGACATAGTAGCTTTCAATAAGTATTTGTTGAATGACTGAATGGTGGGCCAGGGTGTGGCCCTAGAACAGCTCGGGAGCTGTGCGGGTGCTGGGATTACAGCCAAAAGGTCTAGACCCTGCTTTTATCCTGCCACCCCATGCTGCATGACCGGGGACAGTCATTCAATCTCCCTTGTCTATAAACAGGGAGGGTAACACCCTGCTAAGATGATTAAATAGTTCAGTAGCTCTCCCCCACAAAACTGAGTAACACTGATTTCTCTGGATGATTAGGGCATTATGTTTAGGCAAGCTCTTTGTAAACTGGTTAAAAAAAAAAAAGCTACTGCTCTAACCCTGCCTGAAGAGGGTTTATGAGGGAGCACCCACGTGTTCTCCCAGCTGAGAGAAAGGAGCCCCGCTGACATTTCTGGCCTAGATGTGATAATCCTCAGCAGTTAGCCCCTCCTCAGTTTCCCCTGTCATGTTTACTGCCTGCCCGACGCGCCCTCTTCTCTAATCCCAGTCTTCTCATACATATGGAGCAACACCTGTCCTTTTTCCACTTTTTCTCCCCTAGCAACTCCCCAGAGCTAATCTCTCCAAGAGAAACCCTGGTCGCTGACATTTATGACAGTCTGTAACTGCGGCCAGTCCCTCAGGTGCAGAGGGTTTTTCAGTACTGGTTGTAAATATCCCTAGGATTGAAATGGCTTTGTCACCAAGAAACAAAATGTCCCTTTATAAATTCCAATCTCTTTCTAGTAGGAAAGAATATAGCACACACATCTGTCTACAAGGCAGGGCTTTATGAAGTTATATTCTGAAGATGTGCTTCTATCACTTTTTAATGAGACCAAAATGTTCTATTAAATGTTTTTCACCTGAGCTTTTAATCATACATGTCAGAACCAGGCAATCTAGGTTGTGGCCTATGCAAAACTCTCCAAGGACATTGCTTGTTTGGATATGTTAGCTGTCTGTGATGGAGAGAACCTGGCGGACAGAATTCTAGCCTGGAGAACCAGTTCAACAGACAGGGCTTCTGTAACTCTACTGGAGCAAATAGATATGAGCAGCTGCAATACTCAATCTCCTATAGCACTGTTTCTCCAAATGGAGTCCTTAGAACCCTGAGAGTTCCCATATGTGTTCTCAAGAGTCCTCAAAATAATATTCTCCAAGATAATTTTTTAAAATAATAGACTTGGCTGGGCACAGTGGCTCACGCCTGTAATCCTAGCACTTTGGGAGGCTGAGGTGGGCGGATCACCTGAGGTCAGGAGTTCAAGACCAGCCTGGCCAACATGGTGAAACCCCGTCTCTACTGAAAGTACAAAAATTAACCAGGCGTGGTGGTGGGTGCCTGTAATCCCAGCTACT
Source organism: Homo sapiens (assembly GCF_000001405.40). Lineage (NCBI taxonomy): Eukaryota > Metazoa > Chordata > Mammalia > Primates > Hominidae > Homo > Homo sapiens. Next base: position 109,148,264 of record NC_000001.11, on the reverse strand, counting down.
CGGGGGACTGAGGCAGGAGAATCGCTTGAACCTGGGAGGCGGAGGTTGCAGTGAGCCAAGATTGCGCCACTGCACTCCAGCCTGTGTGACAGAATGAGACTCCATGTCAAAAAAATAATAATAAAATAGGCCAGGTGCGGTGGCTCACGCCTGTAATCCCAGCACTTTGGGAGGCCGAGGCGGGTGGATCACGAGGTCAGGAGATCGAGACCATCCTGGCTAACACAGTGAAACCCCATCTCTACTAAAAATACAAAAAAAAAAAAAATTAGCCGGGCGTGGTGGCGGGCACCTGTAGTCCCAGCTACTTGGGAGCCTGAGGTAGGAGAATGGCGTGAACCCAGGAGGCAGAGCTTGCAGTGAGACGAGATGGTGCCACTGAACTCCAGCCTGGGCAACAGAGCAAGACTCCGCCTCGAAAAAAATAAAAAACAAATAATAATAATAATAATAAAATAAAGTAAATAAAAATAAAATAAAATAATAGACTTTTTTTTTAGAGCAGTTTTATGTTCACAGCAAAACAGAACAAAAGGTATGGAGATCTCCCATATCTCCCCACAAATTCATAGCCTCCCCATCACCAACATCCCCCACCAGAGTGGTACATTCGTTACAATTCATAAACCTACATTAACACATCATTATCACTCAGAGTTCGTGGCTTACATTAGAGTTCACTCTCGGTGTTGCACATTCTATAAGTTTGGACAAATGTTTAATGACACGTGTTAACCATTATAGTATATAGTTATAATACAGTAATTTCATTGCCCTAAAAGTTGTCTGTGCTCTGCTTTTTCCACACCCCCACACACAAACACACATAATCCTTGACAATCAATGATCCTTCTGCTGTCTCCAAAGTTTTGCCTTTTCTAGAATGTCATATAGTTGGAGTCAGACAGTATGTAGCCTTTTCAGATCAGCTTCCTTCACTTAGTAATAGGCATTCAAGCTTCCTCCATATCTTTTCATGGCTGGATAAATCATTTTAGACTAACTGTTTAATTGTGTTATCATTTGATGTTACTTAAAAAAATTAAATAGGCCAGGCGTGGTGGCTCATGCCTATAATCCCAGCACTTTGGGAGGCTGAGGTGGGCAGATCACCTGAGGTCAGGAGTTCAAGACCAGCCTGGCCAACATGGTGAAACCCCATCTCTACTAAAAATACAAAAAAAAAAAAAAATTAGCCAGGCGTAGTGGCAGGAACCTGTAATCCCAGCTATTCCGGAGGCTGAGGCAGGAGAATCACTTGAATCCGGGTGGCAGAGGTTGCAGTGAGCCAAGTTTGTGCCACTACACTCCATCCTGGGTGACAAAGTGAGTCTCTGTCTTGAAAAAAAAAAAATTAAATAGCCAGGCATGTTGGCTTACACCTGCAGTCCCAGCTACCTGAGAGGCTGAGGCAGGAAGATCACTTGAGCCCAGGAGTTTGAGGTTACAGTAAACTATGATTGCACCACTGCACTCCAGCCTGGAGGACAGAGTGAGACCCCCATCTCTAAAATAATAGTAATAATATTAGTTTAGACATATCTAAGTTCATCTTGATGACTACCTTCCCTCGAGAACAATCACAAGGTTACAGTGCCTGCTTTTGCATTTGTGTTGACAATTGCTGTCTCACCTAGTGTGGCTGCAAATCCTTTTACATTTCTCTCTTAGAAAAGTGGGTTCTCAAAAGAGAAAAAGCAAGAGAAAAAACAAAAGTAGATTCCATTCCTACACCCTCCAGCCTCCTTGAATCTGGGCAGGCTTGTGACTACTTAGACCAATAGGCAAAGTACAGCAGAAGTAACACTAAGTGACTCCCAAGGCTAGGTCATAAAGAGCCACACAGCTTCCACACTGATATATATCTAGATATGGATTTATCTTTTTCTTCCTGGCCTGGAATTCTTAATTTTTGAATCGAGATTTGTATTTTTTTTTTTAATTGAGACAGAGTCTCACTCTGATTACCCAGTCTGGAGTGCAGCGACTCAATTTCGGCTCACTGCAGCCTCGACTTCCCTGGGCTCAGGTGATTCTTCATCTCAGCCTCCTCAGTAGCTGGGACTATAGGCATGCGCCCCCATGCCCGGCTAATTTTTTTGTGTGTGTATTTTTAGTAGAAATGGGGATTTGCCATGTTGCCCAGGCTGGTCTCGAATTCCTGAGCTCAAGTGTTTCACCTGCCTCGGCTTCCCACAGTGCTGGGATTATAGATGTGAGCCACTGTGCTGGCCTGAGATTCTTATCATTTATTAATTCTGAAATTCTTAGACATATTCTCTTTGAATATTGCCTTTGTTCCTGCTTTTGCTATTCTTTCTCTCTTCAGAAATCCCACTAGATGTAAGTTGGACCATCTCATTCTATTCTATTTCTATTCTATTTCTCATTCTATTCTGTCTTTTGTCTGTACAAAAAGTACAAAAATTAGCCAGGCATGGTGGCACATGTCTGTAGTCCCAGCAACTGCAGTCCCAGTTCCATCTCTCTCTATGCTGCATGGAGTAATGTTTTCTTCATAGTCATCCACTTCATTATCTAGTCATCTCTTTCAAATCTGCAAGGGAACCTAGCCACCGAGTTTTAAATTTCTTTTTTCTTTTTTTTGAGACAGAGTCTCTTGCTCTGTTGCCCAGGTTGGAATGCAGTGGCACGATCTCGGTTCACTGCAACCTCCGCCTCCTGGGATCAAGTGATTCTCCTGCCTCAGCCTCCCGAGTAGCTGAGACCACAAGTGCGCACCACCATGCCCAGCTAATTTTTGTATTTTTAGTAGAGACAGGGTTTCGCCATGTTGACCATGCTGGTCTCAAACACCTGATCTCAGGTGATAGGCCCATCTCGGCCTCCCAAAGTGCTGGGATTATAGGCATGAGCCACTGTGCCCAGCCTTAAATTTCAATGAATATTGTCTTAGTCTGTCTGTGCTACTACAATTAATTACCTAACACTGGGTGATTTTTAAAGAACAGAAATGTATTTTTTTTCACCGTTCTAGAGACTAAGAAGTCCAAGATCAAGGCACAAGCATTTGGTGTCTAGTGAGAGCCTTCTTGCTGCATCCTCACATGGCAGAAGGTAGAAGGGCAAGAAAAGGGATCTACTGCCCCTGTCATGCTCCTTTATAAGGGTACCTAATCCCATTTACAAGGGAGAGATCCACTCGGCCTAATCACCTCTTAAAGGCCCCACCCTTTCCCCAGCAAGCAGATCACAAAAAAAGACCTCATCTTTTAATATATCACATTGGTAACACTTGAATTTTGAGGAGACCTATTTAAGCCATAACAAATGTATATATTATGTATATGCATGATATATAATATATGTTTGGTTTTGTTTATAGAAGTTGTTTGATTCTTAAAGCAAGCAGAGATAAAAGACAAAATACCTATAAAAATACTAAATTATACTTACAGCAAACTTCTGCACAATACAATAATATCTAGGAGAAAATGGGAAATATAAACAAAGTACTGAGAGAAAAGGCCAATCCTAGAATTCCATTTCTTTTTTTTTATTGAGATGGAGTTTGGCTCTTGTTGCCCAGGCTGGAGTGTAGTGGCACGATCTGGGCTCACTGCAACCTCCGTCTCCCAGGTTCAAGAGATTCTCCTGCCTCAGCCTCCCGAGTAGCTGGGATTACTGGCATATGCCGCCACACCCGGCTAATTTTTTGTATTTTTAGTAGAGACAGGGTTTCGCCATGTTGGGCAAGCTGGTCTTGAACTCCTGACCTCAGGTAATCTTCCCACATCTGCCTCCCAAAGTGCTGGGATTACAGGCATGAGCCACTGCACCCTACCTAGAATTCTATTTCTAAGAAAATTATTCAAGAATGAGATCAAAAAGTCAAAGTTCGGGCTTCAGAACTCTTCAATCTACTCTCGTCACTTCTTCAAATATAATTTTAGTCTGGGTGCGATGGCTCACGCCTGTAATCTCAGCACTTTGGGAGGCCAAGTTGGGCAGATCACCTGAGGTTGGGAGTTCGAGACCAGCCTGGCAAACATGGAGAAGCCCCGTCTCTACAAAAAATTAGCCGGGCATGGTGGCACATGCCTGTAATCCCAGCTACTCGAGAGGCTGAGGCAGGAGAATCACTTGAACCCGGGAAGTGGAGGTTGCGGTGAGCCAAGATCGTGCTATTGCACTCCAGCCTGGGCAACAACAGCGAAACTCCATCTCAAAAAAAAAAAAAAATATATAAATATATATATATATATATATAATTTTAGAAAATTCACCTTCCCTTTCCAAAAATATTGGCACCCAATAATCCTTAAGATTAAGTTCAAACTTTAGGCCAAGAGCAGTGGCTCACACCTATAATCCCAGCACTTTGGGAAGCTGAGGCGGGTGGATTGCTGGAGCCCAGGAGTTCCAGATCAGCCTGGGCAACATGGCGAAACCCTGTCTCTACAAAAATTAGCTGGGCATGGTGGCTTATGTCTGTACTCCCAGCTACTTGGGCAGCTGAGGCAGGAGGACTGTTTGAGCCTGGGAGGTCAAGGCTGCATTGAGCAGTGTTTGTCCCACTGCACTCCAGCCTGGGTGACAAAGTGAGACCCTGTCTCAAAAAAAAAGTTCAAACTTTTACAGGCAGCTGAAACTCATTTTACCATTTATTTAAAAATTGAGATAAAAATCGTATGCTCTAAAATTCAAATTTAAATTATACAATTTAGGAAGTTTTAATATATTCACAAGATTGTGCAAGCATCACCACTATCTAATCCCAGAATATTTTCATATTCTGAAATTATTTTCATATTTCATATTCATCAGCAGTCACTTCCCATTTTATCCTTCCCACAGCTCCTGGCAACCACGAATCTATTCTCTGACTCTATGTATTTACCTATTGTGGACACTTCATACAAACACAATCATACAATATGTGGTCTTTTATGTCTGGCTTCTTTTACTTGGCATAATGCTTTCAAGTGTTGTACATACTATAGCATGATCAGTACTTAATTCCTTTTTGTGGCTGAATCATATTCCATTGTATGGGCCAGGCATGATGACTCATGCCTATAATTCTAGCATTTTGGGAGGCCAAGGCGGGTGGATCTCTTGAGGCCAGGACTTCGAGACCAGCCTGGCCAATATGGCAAAAGCCTATCTCTACTAAAAATACAAAAGTTAGCAGGGTATGGTGAAGCATGCCTGTAATCCCAGTTACTCAGGAGGCTGAGGCAGGAGAATAACTTGAACCCGGAAGCCGGAGGTTGCAGTGAGCTGAGATCGCACTACTGCACTCCAGCCTGGGCGACAGAGCGAGACTGCTTCAAAAAAAAAAAAAATCCATTGTATGGACATACCACATTTTATTTTATCCATTCATCAGTTGATGGACATTTGGGTTGTTTCTACTTTTTCGGCTATTATGAATAATGCTGCTAGAATAATCATGTACAAGTTTTTGTGTGAATATATGTTCTCAATTCTCTTGTGAATATACCTAGAGTATAATTGCCAGGTCATATGGTAACTCTATGTTTAACTTTTTGAGGAACTGCCAAACTGTTCCATAACAGCGATACCATTTTATATTCCCACCAGCAATGTATGAAGGCTCCAATTTCTCCACATCCTCAACCACACTTGTTATTATCTGTCTTTATGTGGTCCACGTTACCTTTGAAGTATGTCCTTTACATGCCCCTGACAGAATCCTCTTTCCATCAGGACAGTGCCCGGCTGTGGACCAGCGTACACTTGTATGAGATCACAAGATCTGACTGTGCTCACCTCTTCCCAGCTCCACGCTCAGTGACACTGATAGCTTGAGATTGACTGTGATGGGAGTATTTACACCATGGAATTCAGCAAACACTATAAATCAGGGCTTCCTTTCACCTCCCTAGAGAGCCAGTTGTTAAGCATTTACCAGCACACCACTGACAGTATCCATTTACTCCTAACTTCATAGCTTTCTTTGACTTGCTCTTTTCTTCAGCTTCTACCTATACGTCTTCTAGTTCAATTAAAGTCCTAGTCTTTTCTAAAGCTCAGTTCAACTCTTTTTTGTTTGTTCTTTTTAATATTTTAATTTTTCTTTTTTTCTTTCTTCAGAGTGCCAGAATTCAATCAACTCTCTTACACAAAGCCATTTTCACAGTTTCAATTGTCTTTTATGTCCTTATGATTCCCAGATTATATTTTGAGCTTACTCTTGAGCTCCAAATTCTTACCCTTAACTGCTTATGGGGGCATTCCACAGGCACCTCAGACCCAACTTTAAAAATATAGTTCTCTCCAGCATGTATTCTGGATGTCAAAGAAAACAAAATAGGCCGGGCACAGTGGCTCATGCCTATAATCCTAGCACTTCGAGAGGCCAAGGCGGAAGGATCACTTGAGCCCAGGAGTTCAAGACCATTCTGGGCAACATGGCAAAACCCCATCTCTAGAAAAAAAAAAAAATTAGCCAGGTGTGGTGGTGCACTCCTGTGGTCCCAGCTACTTGGGAGGCTGAGGTAGGAGGATCATGTGAGCCTGGGATGTCAGGGCTGCAGTGAGCCATGATTGCGTCATTGCACTCCAGCCTGGGCACAGAGCAAGTCTCTGTCTAAAAAATGAAATAAAATATAGTGCTCAGCTACTCTCCCCAGCAGCATTCCATATCTAATTGAGTGGTAACATCAGCCACTTTGTAGTGGCAATACTGGCTCTTCAGGGTTTTTAAAATAATACTTTGGGCTGGGCGGTGGCTCACTCCTGTAATCCCAGCACTTTGGGAGGCTGAGGCGGGCAGATCACGATGTCAGGAATTCGAGATCATCCTGGCTAACACGGTGAAACCCTGTCTCTACTAAAAATACAAAAAATTAGCCGGGCGTGGTGGCAGGCGCCTGTAGTCCCAGCTACTCGGGAGGCTGAGGCAGGAGAATGGTGTGAACCTCGAGAGGCAGAGCTTGCAGTGAGCCAAGATTGTGCCACTGCATTCCAGCCTGGGCAACAGAGTGAGACACAGTCTCAAAAAAAAATTAATTAATAATACTTTCATTAATTTTATCTGCTAACAATTTATATTAGAATAAGTAATGTTTATATTTTTATTATTGTATACTTTACTTGATGTTTCATAATATATAAAATGCATTTGGCCGGGCATGATGGCTCATGCCTGTAATCCCAGCACTTTGGGAGGCCAAGGTAGGCGGATTGCCTGAGATCAGGAGTTCGAGGCCAGCCTGGCCAACCCGGTGAAACCCCGTCTCTACTAAAAACACAAAAATTAGCTGGATGTGGTGGTGCATGCCTGTAATCCCTGCTACTTGGGAGGCTGAGGCACAAGGATCACTTGAACCCGGGAGGGGGAGGTTGCAGTGAGCCGAGATCGTGGCACTGCACTCCAGCCTGGGTGACAGAGACAGACTCTGTCTCAGAAAAAAATAAATAAATAAAATAAAATGCATTTGAAGCTTTTAAGTATTTAGTTTCACTTATTTCTTTAAAATATTTCATAAATTCTGGACACTTAATAAAATACCAGTCTCAGCATTGTCCTTTTGCTCTGATAATGAAACTGCTATATTCAGCACCTCCTCAAGCCAGGAGCGGTGCCCTTGTATACAATCCTGAGATCTATCTATTTTCTATCTCCAAAACACTTCTTGAGTCAGTCCACCTCTCTCCATGTGCATTGCTACTGATGAAGTCAAAACACAGTTATTTCTTATCTAGAGGAGCCTCCTTACTGGTTTCCCGTGCTTTGCTCCCCTCTCCCCTCCAATCCATTCTCTAGGCTATAGCCAGAGTGATCTATACAAAATGCAAGTCAGGTTGTATGGCTGCCCCACAGCTGCCTTCTGAGCAAGGCCAGACTCCTGTAAGGTTTACGAGGGCCTTCACTCTTTGGCCTCTGCTTACCTCTTCAGTCTTTCCTCTCTTTATTCCAACCCTGCACCCTAGCCATAATGGTTTGTGATGCTGCCCACTTTACCTCAAAGTAATTCAACTAAAAATATATAGTGAGGGGATACAAATACAGTCAGGACAATCCTGGCATATAGAGAGCCAATATGTACAGATGTACAGGTTGTGCATCCTATAACCCCAGGGAGTGCTTTTCACATAGTAGTCTACAAGACACTATCCTATAAGTTATATACCACATTGGTTAATACAGTTGTTAAAATAAATAAATAAATAAATGATATATACTACAAAATAAGAATGTTATGAATACATAGCTGGGTGGGGTGGCTCACGCCTGTAATCCCAATACTTTGAGTGGCTGAGGCAGGTGGATCTTTTGAGCTCAGGAGTTCGAGACCAGCCTGGGCAACATGGCGAAACCCCAACTCTACAAAAATTAGCCAGGAGTGGTGGCACACACCTGTGGTCCCAGCTACTTGGGAGGGTAAGGTGGGAGTATGGCTTGAGCCCGGGAGTCAGAGGTTGCAGTGAGCCAAGATCATGCCACTGCACTCCAGCCTGGGTAACAGAGTGAGACCCTGTCTCAAAAAAAAGGAAAAAAAATGCTATAAATATACACATAAACATAACATCAGATAGAAATTGGCAGCCATGACAGATGAGAAATAATATTCTTCAAGAATTTTAAAAAGTGATTTATTGAATGCTCCCTAGCTTCTTTTTTTCTTTTAACCTCCAATTCATGTCAATATCTGGCTCAAAATCCAACTCCTCCAATCCCAATCCAAATAATTAAAGCTAATTTAAAGGAACCCCTCATTCTTTATGTATTATACTTTGATGTTGTGACTACCACACTGGCCAGTGAGCACTCTCCTGTCTCTGGTTTTGTTGTCCCAGAGAGAGAAGCGTGTGGTCAAGACTGTTATAATGTCTTCTGTGTATCCCCAGTATCTACAGTGTGCCTCAGGAGTGCTTGTTCAATACAAACTAACTTTATTTATTTATTTTATTTTTATTTATTTTTATTTTTTGAGATGAGGTCTCGCTGTGTCACCCAGGCTGGAGTGCAGTGGTGTGATCATGGCTCATGGTAGCCACAGCCCAAGCAATCCTCCCAACTCAGCTCCCCAAATGGCTGGGACTACAGGCGTTGCCACCACACTTAGCTAATTTTTGTATTTTTAGTAGAGACGGGGTATTGCCATGTTACCCAGGCTGGTCTCTAATTCCTGGGCTCAAGTGATCCACCTGTCTCAGCCTCCCAAAGTGCTGGGATTACAGTCATGAGCCACCGCGCCCAGCCACGAGGTAACTTTAGTAGTAAGTTCCAAGGCAACAGGGGCTACTTCCTAGGAGGAGAACTAGGGGGCCAGGACAGGGGTAGGAGGGATACTTACGCTTCATTCTGTACCCCTTATACTTTTAAAATTGATTACCATGTGGATGAATTACCTATTTAAAAATTTGTTTTAAATTAAGTTTTGAAAAAAATTTTAACGTCTCTTTTAGGGAGAAGATTCTTTTTTTTTTTTTTTTTGAGATGGAGTTTCACTCTTGTTGCCCAGGCTAGAGTGCAATGGCGTGATCTCGGCTCACCGCAACCAAGGAGAAGATCCTTTAGCAGGACACTCAGAGCTGGGACTATGGGGAGAAGGCTGAAGCAGCATTTCACCACCCTGGGCAGGACCTGACACCGTCATTGGGTTTCTCATTTGACTCTGACCCAGGGGAGAAAGTGTTCCTTCATGAGAACATTAGGAAATCAGGAAGTTTTAGCCTGCTGCTGCTGCTGCTGCTGCTGGTGGGGAGGGAGGAGGTGATAGAAACAGTTTTTCATACTGTGTTTGACATTTTATCTAGGCCTCACAAAGGGATCTTATCAGCTGTGGACACACCTGTGATATATGAGCGCTCCGAGCCATAGAGGCCAAATAGACACCTGGGCAGGTGCCTCTGTGTCCTGTAAAATGAAAACTGTGCCAGTGACTGGTGTGGCTATGGTTATCTGTATCACGTTTGTGAAGGAAACACCGAATAAAAACACAGGCCATTCTCTGGGACAAAAACGCACCCTCAGCCATCACCAAGTGTCACCAATTGAGATTCTCACCCAGCCTCTGCCATCACCAGGTGAACTGGAGATGTGTGAGTGGAGAATCATCTCTAAAATGTCAGGCTTCCTCTGGTCAACCTGATCTTAAGGGCAAACAGAAGCCAGGCTCTTGCTTAAGCAGGTTCAGCTGTAACCTGGGGCCACGCTCTGGGGGCAGGGTTGGGTGGAGGTGTACCTGAGTAGGTGCTTTCAGAAGAGATTCCCACTAGTTGATAAAGTTTCTGCACCAGCAAAGTCCTTTCACTGTCCCATACAGCTGGAATGTAGTCTTTCTAGGCCTCAGCTAACTTGACCTTCATTCTAGAAACAGCTAAGGAATTAGAAAAGTTTGTATACTTTGTGAAGAAAAGAATGAAGATCTTTCTTGTGTCCCTTTATACTTTTTGGATTGATTACTATGTGGGTTACTTGTTAAAAAATAAATAAATTTAGGCCGGGCGCGGTGGCTCACGCCTGTAATCCCAGCACTTTGGGGGGCCGAGGCGGGCAGATCACCTGAGGTCGGGAGTTTGAGATCAGCATGACCAACATGGAGAAACCCCGTCTCTACTAAAAATACAAAATTAGCCGGGGGTGGTGGCGCATGCCTGTAATCCCAGCTACTTAGGAAGGCTGAGGCAGGAGAATCGCTTGAACCCAGGAGGCAGAGGTTGCAGTGAGCCGAGATTGCACCATTGCACTCCAGCCTGGGCAACAAGAGCGAAACTCCGCCTCAAAAAATAAAATAAAATAAAATAAATAAATAAATAAATTTAGGTCGGGTGTGGTGGCTTACATTTGTAATCCCAGCACTTTGGGCGGCCGAGGCGGGCAGATCACTTGAGGTCAGGAGTTCGAGACCAGTCTAGCCAACATAGAGAAACCCCATTTCTACTAAAAATACAAAAATTAGCTGGGCGTCATGGTGCATGCCTGTAGTCCCAGCTACTTGGGAGGCTGAGGCAGGAAAATCCCTTGAGCCCAGGAGGCGGAGGTTGCAGTGAGCCGAGATCACACCACTACACTCCAGCCTGGGCAACAGAGTGAGACACCATCTCAAAATAAATAAATAAATAATCAAATATTTTAAAAAATTATCACCTTGCCTTTATCACTTACCCCTCCAGAGTGACATGGGTTTGCAACTGAAACTCTAAGTAAAAGCATCAGAAGAGGGCATTATACCTGCTCCCTTACCCCACAGAATGCCCTGCCTGGTCCCCTTCACCCCTCAAACTCACCAGTCCTGGCTGAAGTGCCCTTTTCCCCGTCCTTTGTGATATGGCCCCTAATCCTTCTGGCCGGTGGGAGCTCCCCTCCTCCACAACGGATATGGGGCAAAGATCACAAACTGCCTTGCTATGTTGTTACTGTTCAGTTCTCCTGGTCCCAGTTAGATGGTAAATTATTTGACTCACGTGTGTCTGTGACTTAAACGTCTAAATGTGCTTTGCCTGCAAACAGACACTCCATGACTATTTTGAAGAATTCCCTGATAGATGGACACACGGTCAGAGGCTGTTGCTAACTGAGAGGTTTAAATATCTAGAGACACAGGAGTTCGTTATTTTCAGGGTATTTAGCAGTAATTATACCTACAATTAATTTTTTTAAATCACAAGCACAATAAAGAGATGTGTGGGATTAAAAACTGGAAGTCCTCCTTCACCTCTCCTCAATGTGCCCTGTTCGCGAGGGATGTTCTACCTCACGGTGCCTGCATTCGTCTTTCAGGGCTGCTGTAACAAAGTGCCACAGACTGGGTGGCTTTGAACAATAGAAATTTGTTGTCGCACAGTTCTGGATGCCAGAAGCCCAAAATCAAGGTGTTGGCAGGGCTGGTTCCTTCGGAAGCCACAAGGGAGAATCTGGCCCCTGCTTCTGCCCTGGCTTCGGGGGACAGCCAGCCATCCTTGATTTCCTTGGCTTGTGGCAGCATAACTCCAACTCTCACACAGCATTTTCCCTGTGCATTCGTCTCTGTCCAAACTTCCCCCTTTTTATAAGGACCCTGGTCATACTGGATGAGGGCCTAACCTAATGATCTCATTGTAACTTGACTACATCCGCAAAGACCCCATTTCCAAATAAGGTCTCATTCTGAGGTGCTGGGGCACACAGCGGGTACTCTAAGGTACATATGAACTTTTGAAGGACACAATTGAACTCAAAACAGTACCTGTACCTCAAATTTTCCATCTAGATAAGGGGAGAAGCATAGCTCTTTGTTCCATGCTGTGAAATTTGAGAATTACTTCTTAGACCAAAAAAAAGAAAAAAAGAAAAGAAAAGCAGAATCATGTTACCTCCTTGAAGGAAATAAAATTAATGTTTATTGGGCATCCCTCATGGTCCTTGGACTTTGAACATTTTATCTCTTTAATTTTCATATCCACCCAGAGATCCTTGACATCAAAGACTGTCTCGTCCCACCACCCAGCTCAGGGCCTGGCACTGCAGGATTTGTAGAATCAATGAACTCTATGGAGTAGATATGATTTCCCCCATTTTAAAAGTGAAGAAACCAGTTAAGAGATATTCAGTCATATGCCCCCAGTCACACAGCTGGTATATAAGCTACGGATTTAGGATTGAAACCCAAGCCTGCCTTTCTTCAAAGCTCTTGTACTTTCCATAAAGCTTAAACCAATGGTTCCCAAAGTGTGGTTTCAGGACCTGTGGGGGCAGCAGCAGCAGCAGTAGCCCCTGGAGACTTGTTAGAAATTTGAATTCTTGGAGCTGGGCACGGTGGCTCACACCTGTAATCCCAGCACTTTGGGAGGCCAGGGTGGGCGGATCGCAAGGCCAGGAGTTGGAGACCAGCCAGCCTGGTCATGTGGTGAAACCGTTTCTACTAAAAATACAAAAATTAGCCAGGTGTGGTGGCACGTGCCTGTAATCCTAGCTACTGGGGAGGCTGAGGCAGGAGAATCGCTTGAACCCAGGAGGTGGAAGTTGCAGTGAGCCGAGATCCCGCAACTTCACTCTAGCCTCGGGGACAGAGCGAGACTCCATCTCAAAAGAAAAAAAAAAGAAATTTGAATTCTTAGGCCTCTCTCACTGACCCATTGAATCAGAATCTCTGGAGTAGGCCTACCAATCTGGGTTTTAGAAAGCCCTCCAGGGGATGCTGATACCTACTGCAGTTTGGGAACCCTGCTCTAAACCAGGAAGCTGCCTGGGAAAAGGCAAGAGTAGGTGTGGAGTTAAAGATTAGCTTGGTCATTATTTTTTCTTTTGAGTCACCTGCGTAGTTGCCAGATTTCCAGAAATCTTACCTTGTCCTCCAACCATTATTGCCATTATTTATGCTGAAAAATTACATGATCCCATGATTTTTTTTAAAGAGAGGGAGGAGAGAGAGAAGACTGCCTGGAGGCAATTACTTAAATCCATTCTTTCTTCAAGTTTCTTTCCTCTGCTGGAAATGATGAGACCTCCTATGGGCAGCCCTGATGAGAATTCCCAAGTTCAGCTTCAGCCTTCCCACCTAGCAAGGAGAACTAGCTGTCCTCTCTAGGATAAGACTGGCAAGATGTTGTTAAAGCCTCCAGAGGGCTTCAAAGTTGTAATGACGAAGGTGAAACCAGCTCAGCTCCGCAGGGCTTTATCTACACAAGCAGGAAAGAAACGGCAAAAGCAGCAGGTGCAGCAGCCGCCTGAGCAGCCACGGTTTCTTATCAGTAGGCCAACGGGGCACTGCCATAAAAGCTGGCTGTTCACTGGACAGATGTTCTTTTTTATGTTACACAGAGGGCCAGGACTAAGCTTTGCAGGAATAACCTGGTTTTAGAGGAAGCTACTTTTCTTCTTGGGGGTCTTGGTGGCGGAAGAGAGCAGCCAGATGCCAGCCAGAGGGGAGAGGCCCACAGCCCTGTGAGGTCAAGAAGCCCACACCAGGGCTTCACCATTGGGCTCCACCTGGAGAACCTATGAGGCTTTGCAGAGTAAAATCTGAAAACACCCAAAGCTATGGCAATAGGAGGAAGCAGTGCCATTGAGTCGCCTTCAATGTTTCCTCCGGGAAACTGTGATATTGACCACTGTGAAAAGGAGAGGTGAGGCTGGCAGGAGTGGATTTGGAGAAAAGAACAGAATCTAAAGGAGAACACTCAAGCACAAGCCATTTGCCTAAGTTCACTTTCTCAGGTGGCTTCTGCTACAAGGAATAAAAGGAAGTGCTCCTTTATACAGTACTGAAAGTGTTAACAGCACTCCTCTGCCCCCTCCCACTTCCGCCCACCCATGACCAGGCACTGACAGTTCCCCTGGGCCAGGCTGGCGCAACATCACTGGGAACAGGAGTCCACATTAGCACCTCACACTTTGCCAAAGTAGAAATGGCCTGGATCCAAAAGTGAAATTTGGTGGAAGAAATTAAGACAGGATGCCATTCTCCCTAATTTTCAGGAAGGCCTCAGATGATCCTTCTGCTTTTTAGCAGGCACAGGAGGAAACAGGACAAATCTTGCCATTTCTTTATTTTTATGCCCACTGATAAACAAGCTATCTATTTCCTCCCACTCTAAGTAGTGCCAACTTCTATAATGGTTCATAGACAGTAATTAAACATATCCCCTGCTATTCCAATTTGAGACAAAAGAAAATTACCCTGGCCTAAAAAATAAGATAGATTCCACTTCTACTTCACACATATATGATGGAGAAATAATAATCATTGATCCCATAATAATCTCGGTAGATACTGGGAGATAATATCCGGAGATACTACAGTCTCAGTAACCATAGTAACTAATTGGTGAATCTCTCTGCAATGTCTTCCTCTAATGTTGCTTGTCTTTTCCATTCTCATGCCACAGACAGACCATCAGTACATCTTTCTGTTGCACCTGCCTGCTAAATGATTTTCCCATGTTTTTTTTCATGGGCTGTGAGCACTACATATTCTAATTTTTTTTTTTTTGGCTTCTACTTTGGCCACTAGAAAGCTCAGGGTCAAGTTTCCAGTCCATTTGCTTATATAGCATTCATATATTCATGTAATGATTCTTTCTGCATTTGTCATTCTAAGTTGTACTTTTTTTTCTTTGAGACAAGGTCTTGCTCTGTCACTCAGGCTGGAGTGCAGTGGTGCAATCAGAGCTCACCGCACCCTCAACCTCCCAGGCTCAAGGGAGCCTCCCACCTCAGCCTCCCAAGTTACTGGGACCACAGACATAAGCCACCATGCCTGGTTAATTTTTATATTTTTTGTAGAGACAGGGTTTTGCCATGTTGCCCGGGCTGGTCTTCAGCTCCTGGACTCAAGTGGTCCTCCTGCCTCGGCCTCACAAAATGCTGGGATTACAGGCATGAACCACCATACCTGATCCTAAGTTGTATTTTTTTCTGCCATAATTTTTATTTTATATTTAGATTTTACTATTTTGACGGAGGTATTTCCTAAAAACCGAAGTCCTTGTAGATAGGGGCACAATTAATTCATTAGTTAATTAAGACCATTCATGGTTTGATCCTTGCCTTCCTCTCCCACCTTATTTCTAACTGTGGTCTCCTTCCTTCTGTCTCTGCTCCTCCCATTACACTGGCCTTCCTTGGGTCCTTTGTACTCATCTCAGGGCCTTTGCCTGTGCTGATCCCTACCCTTGCATGGCTTATTACTTCTGGACATTCTTCAGGCCTCGCTCAGTTATCATTGTCTCAGAAGAGTTCCCTGAACTTTTGGCTTAAGTCAAATCCCCTAATATGTGCTCTCATTGCACCATGTACCTTTCTTTGTAGCACTGTCAAAGTTGTCATTTTATCCTTATATGATTTGATTAATATGTACCTCTCCCATTAGACTACAAGCTCTCTATAAATAATGCCTGGCAGGCTGGGTGCGGTAGCCCACAGCTGTAGTCCCAGCACTTTGGGAGGCCGAGGTGGGCAGATCATGAGGTCAGGATTTCGAGACCAGCCTGGCCAACATGGTGAAACCCCATCTCTGCTAAAAATACAAAAATTAGCGGGATGTGGTGGCGGATGCCTGTAATCCAAGCTGTTCAAGAAGATGAGGCAGGAGAATTGCTTGAGCCCAGGAGGCGGAGGTTGCAGTGAGCTGAGATCATGCCATTGCACTCTAGCCTGGGTGACAGAGCAAGATTCAGTCTCAAAAAAAAAAGCCTGGTTGGTCTGCAATAAATTTTGAATAAATGAATAAGTTCATATACACAAAGATATTAGTTCCTCTGGCTCCATTTTTTTCTGTTGTCCAAAACAAGTATCTAAGCATATCACTCCCCTGCTCAAAAAACACAAGTCATTCTCCAGTGTGTTCATAATCAAGTCTAATCTTTCTCCTTACCACATTCTCCAAGGGCCTCCAAGTCTGGCCTCAAACTCTTCCTTTTCTCCCCCTTCCATTAAAGTGACCCTGGACAACCTGACATTCCCACCTACAAGTCCTACACATTCCCATCTCCAGGCACAAATGTCCCTCTTCAATGACCTGCCCAGGAACTACTCTATACCAGGGGTTGGGCTAAGATTTGGGTACTGCCCTAGGCCCTCAGATGCCTCCGGCCCCTGAAGCTTTCTCTGATTTCTTCAGTTTCCCTCTTAGAGTTGCAAACGCAAAGCCCTCTGTTTATATTCACTTTTATCTCTTATATACGTGCATTATATTTACAGACTATTCCCTTTCCCTCACTAACCTGTAAACCCCTCGAGGGCAAGCACTGGACCAATTCATTCCAAATTCCCAGCTTCAAGTACAGCACCTGGCACACTGCGAGTGCTCAAAATGATTATTTTATTAACAAATAATAATAATAACATGGAGATTTAAGAACGTCCACTGCCGGAAACTAGACCAACAGCTAAAGGAATGGATGCTTTCATTATACGCCATGGTGTGGTTCTCCTTTCAACAGGAATTAGAGCTTCATCCTCCTCCCCTGGAAGGTGCACTGAATTTCGTGACTTGCTTTTGATGAACAGAATGTGGTAAAAGTGACAGTGTGTGACCTCTGAGATTGAGTCATAAAAGGCATGGTGGCATCTTCCTTGCTCTCTCTCTGATTACCTGCTCTGGAGGAAGCTGGCTGCTATGTCATAAAAACACTTAAGCAGCCCAATGGAGGAGGCCATGCTTGAGGAACCAAGGCCCCTGCCATAGCTGTGTGAGTGAACCATCTTGGAACTGGATCTTCAAGTTCCAAACAAGCTTTTGGATGACTGCAGCCCTGGAGGACATCTTGACTGTAACCTCCTAAGAGACTCTGAGCCAGAATCACCCAGCTAAACTGCTCCTGAATTCCTGTCCACAGAAATTGTGAGATAGTAAGTATTTGGTATTTATTTTTAGAGAGAGAGTCTTGCTATGCGGCCCAGGTTGGTCTCAAACTCCTGGGCACAAGTGATCCTCCTGCCTCAGCCTCCCGAGTAGCTGAGACTACAGATTTACGTCACCATGTCCAGCTAATATTAATAAATGTTTGTTATTTTAAGCTGCTAAGTTTTAGGGTAATTTGTTAGGAAGCAATAGGTAACTAAAATATGCATTAATAGTTAAACCATTTTGAAAAAGATTATAGTTTTTAATTCCCATTATTGGGCCAAAGGAGATTTCTGTCTCATGAGTAGCTGATTTTACAAGGTTAATAACTCTATTTTTAAAATATTGATATGCTGGCCGGGTGCAGTGCTTGCACTTGTAATCCTAGCACTTTGGGAGGCCGAGGTGCCAGGATCACTTGAGCTCAAGAGTTGGAGACCAGCCTGGGCAACAGAGTGAGCCCTTGTCTCTATTTTCAATAAAAATAAATATATATATAATTTTAAAAATAAAATAAAATATTGATATGCTATTCTTTCCACCTGAGAGACTCTATATATTTTTAGTTCTTATCTAAATTTTAGTACTTCTTTGAAGCCCTCCGTGACTCTTACTCCTTCTGTGAAGCTCTCCTTAACCACTCCAACCCATACAAATAATTTTTCTCTGCTCATTGGCACTTTGGCACTTGATAACCATAACAGCTTCTACTTATTGAGTCTATACTACGTGCCGGTGCACTGGGTTGTATAGTGTCCCTCCAAAATTCCTGCCCACCCTGGAGCTCAGAATGTAATCTTCTTTGGAACAGTGTCTTTGCAGATATAGTTAGTCAAGATGAAGTCCTAATGGATTAGGATGGGCCCAAATTTCAAGGCCTTATGCCATGAGAAGACCCAGAGACACACACAAGAGGAAGGCCATGTAACAGTGAAGTCAGAGGTTGGAGTGATGGAGCTGTAAGCCAAGAAAGGCCAAGGATTGCTGGCAACCACCAGAGGCTGGAAGAGGCAAGGAAGGTTCTTCCCTAGAACCTTCAGAGGGTGCATGGCCCTGCTGGCACTTTGGTTTTAGACTCCTGGCTTGCAGAACACAAGGAAATAAATTTCTGTTGCTTTAAACCACCCAGTTTGTGATACTTTGTTGAGGCAGCCCAAGGTAACTAATATAACTAGTGCACGTCTTATTTCTCCTTTCTAATTTTCACAGTGGTCCTTCAAATTAAATAGGATTAGCTCCTTTGGTAAGTGAGATGCTGAGATTCAGCAGTTTGCCTGAGTCTTACAGTGAGGGAAGCTCCAACTGGGGTATGAAGCCCGTCTCCAGAGGCTGCGCTCTGTCCACTGCTCCTTCCCAACTGGCCTCATTCTATCATGCACTTGATCTCTGTAACTGCTGGCAACCACTTGTTCCCTTAAAGGCTGTGTGTTCCATCAAAGTTGGGTTTTTTGCGTGTGTTTTTGTTTTGTTTTGTTTCGTTGGTTTTTTTGAGACGGAGTCTCACTCTGTCGCCCAGGCTGGAGGGCAATGGCACCATCTCGGCTCACTGCAACCTCCACTTCCTGGATTCAAGCTAGTGAATCCTGCCTCAGCCTCCCGGGTAGCTAGGATTACAGGCGTGTGCCACCACGCCCAGCTAATTTTTGTATTTTTAGTAGAGACGGGGTTTCACCATGTTGGCCAGGCTGGTCTCGAACTCCTGACCTCAGGTTATCCACCCGCCTAGGCCTCCCAAAGTGCTGGGATTACAGGTGTGAGCCACCGCTCCCAGGCCAAAGTTGGTTTTATATCATATAATTCTTCTATGTCTCTTTCAGTCCATTATGTTTAATAAATACTTAATGAGGGGTTTATTTTAAATTTCAGAGGATTAAAAATTAAAACTATAAGAGGAAAAATAACTATTTGGTAAAAACATGACAAATGACCCATGAGCCCCAGAGGCAATCTGTCACTGACATCTTCAAACTGTAAAATACTCTGATGATTACTTTCTTAAATGTATCCCAGAATGAGCTACAGGTAGATGTTAAATGTTCAGGGCTCAGGTTCTCAGTCTAACCTTTAAGAAACTGATGATTTCTCTTATTTAATAAGCTGGGAAATGGCACTCTATGGAGATAATATCCTTGGTCTTGGGCAACAGAAAATGAGAGAATTTGCAGAGTGGTACAAAGAGCCTGTTTAGATCCACTTGGGCTCTGGTCTCAAACCTAAAGGAGAAAATTCTGAAGCATGTAAAATCTAGAAAGGGAGGTAACAAATTTTGGCTCAAAATATTCAACAACTGCTTAACAACTACCAATGTTTAAAAATTAATACTTTTTTAACCCAATGGCACAGGTTTCCTTTAGAAATAGTGAGCTCCTCTTTACCAGAAAGGCTCAGGCCTACCTGAAGATAAGCGCCCATCCAGGTATTGTAGGGGGCTGGCAAGGATGCCTTGGGACTGGATGACCACTAAGATTCACCTCAACACCAGCAATGTTATGAAGTTACAGTTTTATATCTAGGTGACACTCCCCAGAGTGGGTTACTAGCCACTCTATTTTCATGTGATTGGGATGGGAGGTCAAAGTAATTGATTTCAAGCACAAAATTAGCCAATTTCAGTTTTCCTTTATTGTTTTGCATCAGGTCAGGAAAAGGATGCCCCAATTAGCATGCAGGTTTATTACAATTAGAGTCCAATTTTTCTGTTTGCTTTTCATTTTGTATTAGCAGTAAGGTTCATACTTAGAAAACCACATTCTAGGCCTATGAAACTCAATTTATTTTATTTTTCATGCTGCATAGTTTTGTGGATCTTTTAAAAGTGCCTTTAATAAGGCCAGGTGCAGTGGCTGATGCGTGGAATCCCAGCACTTTGGGAAGCCAAGGCAGGTGGATAACTTAAGGTCAGGAGTTGAAGACCAGCCTGGCCAACATGGTGAAACTCTGTCTCTATAAAAATATAAAACTTAGCTGGGTGTGGTGGCATGTGCCTGTAATCCCAGCTGCACAGGAGGCTAAGGCTGGAGGATCTCTTGAACCCAGGAGGTGGAGGTTGCAGTGAGCTGAGATCAAGCTACTGCACGTTAGCCTGGTGACAGAGCGAGACTCTGTCTCAAAGAAAAGACTTAAAAAAAAAAAAAGCAGGCCGGGTGCAGTGGCTCATGTCTGCAATCCCACCACTTTGGAAGGCCAAGGTGGGAGGATGACCTGAGCCCAGGAGTTCGAGACCAGCCTGGACAACATGGTGAGACCTAGTCTCTGAAAAAATTTAAAAATTAGCCAAGTGTGGTGACATGTGCCTGTAATTCCAGCTACTCAGGCTAATGTGGGAGGGATCACTTGAGCCCAGAAGCTCAAGGCTGCCGTGAACAGTGATCACGCCACGGCACTCCAGCCTGGGTGAAGAGTAGGACGCTGTCTCAAAAAAATAAATAAATAAATAAAATAAAAAGGTAACATCATATCAGCCTTCTCAGACTTGAAAGAATTTGAAGGCTGGGTGCGGTGGCTCACACCTGTAATCCCAGCACTTCGGGAGGCCAAGGCAGGTGGACTACAAGGTCAGGCGATCAAGACCATCCTGGTCAACATGGTGAAACCCCATCTCTACTAAAATACAAAAAAATTAGTCAGGCATGGTGGCGTGCACCTGTAGTCCCAGCTACTTGGGAGGCTGAGGCAGGGGAATCACTTGAACCTGGGAGGTGGAGGTTGCAGTGAGCCGAGATTGTACCACTGCACTCCAGCCTGGTGACAGAACAAGACTCCATCTTAAAAAAAAAAAAAAAAAAGAAAAGAAAAAAAAGAATTAGAACAGTGGAGGGCCCAGGAAATATGAGAATATATTTTTGTATTTTCAGCAGCTGTCAAGCACTAACTATAATTATCTGTTGTGTTCTTTTATCTGGTATGACATAGAAGGAGAGCTTAAGAAAGAAATGTGACAAACAGCCCAATTTTTATCACTCACCAGAGGGACAATACAGACTGAGGAAAGGAAGAGTTTGACTTGTTTTCAAAAAATTTGGCAGAATTCTCCACCCGGCCCATCTGCCCTGATCCGGACAAGCTGGCAGCTTGATAAAGCAGACAAGCTCTTGAGCCTGGCCCTCCATGTCTCAGTGATTCCGTGGTGAAATCAGCACTCTTCGCCTTCCTCACAGCCAAAGCTGTCCAAGCCTGTCAGCTGACCACAGATGGAGAGGGCTAATGATCTCATTAAAGATCCATGCTACAGGCCAAGCACGGAGGCTGACACCTGTAATCCCAGCATTTTGGGAGGCCAATGCAGGCGGATCACTTGAGGTCAGGAGTTTGAGAACAGCCTGGGTGACATGAAAAAACTCCATCTCTACTAAAAATACAAAAATTAGCTGGGCATGGTGGCGCGTGCCTGTAATCCCAGTTACCCGGGAGGCTGAGGCAGGAGAATTGCTGGAACCCAGGAGGCGAATGTTGCAGCCAGCTGAGATTGCATCACTGCACTCCAGCCTGGGCAACAGAGCGAGACTCCATCTCAAAAAAAAAAAGTGCTTTTTTAGAATTATTTCTCAGTGATTAAAATTGGGATAAATTTTTATTTTCTTTACTTGTACTTTCCTGTATTGCTTGCTTTGTTTTTTAAGGATCATACCTGGGATTACAGGGGTGAGCCACTGTACCTGGCCTTGCACTTTTTTATTTTACAAGTGTAAGTTTATGTGGTTCAGCCACACTGGCCTTCTGTCCATCCTCTGAGCACCAGGCTGAGTTTGTCCCTTATCTTTGCCTGCCCAACTCTTCCACACCCTTCAGATCCATGCTTAAACTCACTCCTCAGAAAGGCCTGCTCTCACTTTCCCCATCTAAGTCTCCTTGAAATAATCTCTCATCATAGCCTTCACTTTTCCTGCATAGCACTTAATGAAATGTATAACTGCAAGTCGATTGGAATGGTTATTTGTGAGTAACAACTTGGCTTTTCAAGCCAAATGAGCTTCTCCCTGGGACCACCTAAGTGGGGAAATGTGAAAGAGAAGAGAGGAGGCTGGCGTAGTGTGGGAGAAGGATGGAACACTTCACTCCTGGTTGGGTGGAGGGGAAGCAGCTGAGAAGGGATTTGGAAGATTAAGAATGATGTACGGGGATTTTTATGCTATTTCTGTGAATAAATTAAAACTTTTCCTCCTGGAAAAAAAGTCCATTGCTCATTAGTGTCATCTTGCTGTAGTGGTGGTGTTTTTTGCTTGGTGTGTGTGTTTTTATGTATGAAGATGCATTCTTATCACCCTAGGAAGTGCTAAACTGTGTATCCAGATTGTGCAGGATTAAAAACAGACTGCTTGGCCGGGCGTGGTGGCTCCCGCCTGTAATCCCAGCACTTTGGGAGGCCAAGGCGGGCAGATCACAAGGTCAAGAGATCGAGACCATCCTGGCCAACATGGTGAAATGCTGTCTCTACTAAAAATACAACCGGGCCTGGTGGTGCACGCCTGTAGTCCCAGTTACTCGGGAGGCTGAGGCAGGAGAATCACTTGAACCCGGGAGGCGGAGGTTGTAGTGAGCTGAGATTGTGCTGCACTACAGCCTGGCGACGGAGCAAGACTCTGTCTTAAAACAAAACAAAACAAAACAAAACAAAAAAAACAGACTGCTTGGCCAGGCATGTTGGTTCACACCTGTAATCCCAGCACTTTGAGAGGCCAAGGAGCGCTGGATCACTTGAGGTCAGGAGTTCGAGACCAGCCTGGCCAACATATAGGGAAATTCCATCTCTACTAAAAAAATACAAAAATTACCAGCTGGGCATGGTGGCTCACGCCTGTACTCCCAGCACTTTGGGAGGCCGAGGTGGGTTGATCACTTGAGATCAGGAGTTCAAGACCAGCCTGGCCAACATGGTATAGTGCCATCTCTACTAAAAATACAAAAATTAGCCAGGCATGTTGGTGGGCACCTGTAATCTCAGTTACTCAGGAGGCTGAGGCAGGAAAATCATTTGAACCTGGGAGGTGGAGGTTGCAGTGAGCCGAGATTACACCACTGCAGTCCAGCCTGGGTGACAGAGCAAGATTCTGTCTCTCTCAAAAAAAAAAGAGAGACCACACACAAGGAATCGAAAGTGGTAGAGTGAGGAGCCAGAAAATCTCCCTCAACTGAAGTAATAACCCCTAGAAATGCTCTGAGGTCACTTGGGAGCTCCAGTAGGGTCCTTTTGAAAACAGGTGGGATTCCTCAGTTATGGACCAAGAATGCAGTATGCATGTGCATTGCCTATTAATTTATGAAAGTTTTAAAGGATTGATAGCATTGCCAAGGATGTGAGAAAAGGTGACGGTGTGCAAGGTTAATGAGAAGTAAAAATTGATGCAATTTCTCCAAAAGATAAATGGAGAAATAGGGAACAATATGAAATATATATGCCCTTGGTCAAAGAATCCTCATTTCTAAGAACATAATTTAAGGAGTTAACTGAATGACAGTTGAGCAAATGTTTACAACTATATATGCAAGTGTTCACTTCAGTATTCTTCATTCTAATAGAAATTGGTTGGTTATCTGAATTGGTTAGTTATATAAATTATATTATATACAGCCTACGGAACTCTATGCAGCCTTAAAAATAATAAAGTAGCTAGATGTGGTGGCACAAGCCTGCAGCCCCAGCTACTTGGGAGGCCGAGGCAGGAGGATACCTTGAGCCCAAGAGTTCAAGGTTATACTGCACCATGATGACACCTGTAATAGTCACTGCTCTCCAGCCTGGGCAACATAGTGAGACTCCTTCTCTTAAAGAGAAAAATGATGATGTAGACCTATATTTATTAACATGTAGCAATGCCCCCTGCAATATTATTGCATGAAAAAAGTAGGTTATGAAAGAGCATGTGTGGAATAAACACACTTATGGATAATTACATATTTATGGCCAGACATGGTGGCTCACACCTGTAATCCCAGCGCTTTGGAAGGCTGAGGGGGTAGATCACCTGAGGTCAGGAATTGGAGACTAGCCTGGGCAACATGGTGAAACCCTGTCTCTACTAAAAATACAAAAATTAGCTGGGCGTGGTGGCCCACGCCTGTAGTACCAGCTACTTGGGAGGCTGAGGCAGGAGAATCGCTTGAACCCAGGAGATGGAGGTTGCAGTGGGCCAAGATCGTGCCATTGCACTCCAGCCTGGGAATGAGATAGAGAAAAACTCTATCTCAAAAAAAAGTATATATTTATATCCATACATACAGAGGTCTAGAAAGTCTATAAGTATGGAGAGAAAGCTGGAAAGATATAATGAAATGTTTACAATGAGCTTAACCAATTATGAAATTCTGGGTAAGTTTCTTGGTCCTTTTTGCATTCTGTATTTCTTGAATTATTAGAATAAGAGAGTATAATTGTTGCAAAAACAATAAGATTATTTTAAAATAGTATTCAATAAGCCAAAAGGGAATAGAGAAATTTAAAGTTCATCTCATTCAAATCAACACTTTGTATGCTTTTCCTTGACTATGCAATTTGACTATGGTGCTGTAGTTTTCTTGCTGCATTCCCAAAGCAGTGATCTATACCAACAGATACGGTGATTAAAAATATTCATATGTCGTCTTTATAGAAAGATGCTGAAAGTATATAAAAGATCTTGTGGCATACTGTAAAGTAGGTATCTTTGTAATAATCTCTCATATCCTTTACTTTTCTTTCCTAGTAATTAGCCACATTTATAACTATAGGTCCATTGGAGTGGTTGGTTATTTGTATCAACTCTGCTTTTCCTAGTGGTATGCTTCAAAAATGGCAACATATTCTTCCCATCCCCCATATGTATGCCCCTACATAATGACTTTGCAGGGGCTCCCAACAGCCTGTCAATGTCAGACCTCTGGGTGAAGCATTTTAGGTAATCTGGCTTGCAGTCAATCTACCAGCTGACCAGTCACACAAGGGAGCCCAGCATAGATCAGCCACGCTGCCCTAGCCCAGTCAAACTACAGGATTGTGGGCTAAACAAGGGGTCCTGTTTAAGACAATAAGCCTCAGGGTGGATTGTTATACAGCAAAAGCTAACTAATACAGATCCCCCTACCTTTTTTGTGAGACAGGGTCTTACTCTGGTGCCATCATGGCTCACTGCAACCTCAACCTCCTGGGTTCAAATGGTCCTCCTACCTTAGCCTCCCAAGTAGCTGGGACCACAGGGGCACACCATCATGCCCAGCTAATTTTTGTATTTTTAGTAGAGATGGGGTTTCACCATGTTGCCCAGGCTGGTCTCAAACCCCTGAGCTCAAGTGATCTGCCCACCTTGGCCTCCCAAAGTGCTGGGATTACAGGTGTCAGCCACTGCACCCAGTCTCTTTTTTTTTTTAAAGAGAGAGTCCCACTGTGTTGCCCATGCTGGAGAGTAGTGGCTTGATCACGGCTCACTGTAATCTTTAACTCATGGGTTCAAGTGAACCTCCCACCTCAGTCTCCCTAGTGTCTGGGTCTACAGGCGTGGGCCACCACACATAGCTAATTTTTAAAACTGTTTTGTAAAGTTGGGGTCTTGCTATGTTGCCCAGGCTGGTCCTGAACTCCTGGGCTCAAGCAATCTGCTGGCCATGGCCTCCCAAAGTACTGGGATTACCGGGACGAGCCACTACATCCTGCCTTTTTTTTTTTTTTTTTTTTAATGGAAAGGTTATCTGAAGCTGGGCACAGTGGCTCACGCCTGTAATCCCAGCACTTTGAGAGGCGGAGGCAGGTAGATCACTTGAGGTTGGGAGTTCAACACCAACCAGCCTGGCCAACATGGCAGAGTGTGGTGGTGCACGCTTGTAATCCCAGCTATTCGGGAGGATGAGGCATGGGAATCGCTTGAACCCGACAGGCACAGGCTGCAGTGAGCTGAGATTGCACCGCTGTACTCTGGCCTGAGTGACAGAGCAAGACTCTGTCTCAAAAAAAAAAAAAAAGAGCCAGCTGTGGTGGCTCATGCCTGTAATCCCAGCACTTTGGGAGGCCAAGGTGGGCGGATCACAAGGTCAGGAGTTTGAGATCAGCCTAGCCAATATGATGTAACCCTGTCTCTACCCAAAATACAAAAATGAGCCGGGCGTGGTGACGGGTGCCTGTAATCCCAGCTACTCAGGAGGCTGAGGCAGGAGAATTGCTTGAACCCGGGAAGCAGAGGTTGCAGTGAGCTGAGATCATGCCACTGCACTCCAGCCTGGGTGACAGAGAGAGACTCTGTCTCAAAAAAAAAAAAAAAAAAGTAATACACAGGCAAAGAAGACCTCCATTATTGGGCCACTGGAGTATGAAAGATCCATATTTGCAGAAATTGTCTAAATTTCACAAGGCTAGATAGTTCTTGGTAATGTTCTTTTGTCAGAGTTTAGTCCCTCCAGTGTCTAAGGCAGCATTACCCCTCTTTTCAGGATTCATCCTGAATGTAAAGGGAAACTCTAAAGTGTGACTGAGGCAGGAGAATCCTTTGAGGCCACGAGTTCAAGGCTGTTACTTCCATATTCCCTTTTGGCCTATTGAATACTATTTTAAAATAACCTTATTGCTTTTATAACAATGATACTTTCTTAATGTAATAATTCAAAAGCTAGGCACAGTGGCTCACGCACTTTGGGAGGCTGAGGGGGGTGGATCACCCGAGGTCAAGAGTTCGAGACCAGTGTAGCCAACATGGTGAAACACCATCTCTACTAAAAATACAAAAATTAGCCGGGAGTGATGGCAGATGCCTGTAATCCCAGCTACTTGGGAGGCTGAGGCAGGAGAATCCCTTGAACCTGGGAGGCGGAGGTTGCAGTGAGCCGAGATCACGCCACTGGACTCCAGCCTGGACAACAAGAAGGAAACTCCATCTCAAAAAAAATTGAAAAAAAATTCAAGAAATACAGAATGCAAAAAGGGACCAAAAAAGTACCAAAAATTTCAAAATTTTGTAAACTGTACCAAATCTGGATACGAAGCGTTATTTTTGCCCACAGGGCACTTCCCTGAAAGACGTTACAATAGCTAAGACTCCTCTCAGATAGAATAGAGAGCAGTAGATAGCTCTTATTGAGTGACATTTCTGTTTTACCCTAAGATGTTACCTACCTTGACACCTTAAGATGCTACTAATTTCCAGAAGCCTGGCCCTAGAAGTTGCTTTCACCTGGACTCTATTTAGTGAGTGATCTGAATGAGAATTCATCTGTCCAGTTTCCAAAATAGAAGAAAACTCATCCCACCTGCGACACATCAGATTACAAAACTGAAAACTGAAGAAAGCTGTAAAAGTCTAGGTAAACACGACCCCCAAGAGCTCTGAAGAAACAGCATTACTTGTGAAGAGAGAGTGTCCCCACAGTTAAGCCCTAACTTGGTATGTCTGGGGCTAAAGTGACTGCCTAGTCTGTTTGGTCTGCTATAACAAAATACCATAGACTAGGTAATTTATAAACAATGGATATTGATTGCTCACAGCTCTGGAGGCTGGGAAGTCCAAGATCAAGGCACCAGCAGATTAGGCGTCCGGTGAGGGCCCATTCCTCAGAGATGGTGCTGTCTACGTGTCCTCATATAGTGGAGGGGGCAAAAATACAGGCCTCTTGTATTTATTTTATTTTATTTTATTTTATTTTATTTTAAGACAGAGTCTTGCTCTGTCACGCAGGCTGGAGTACAGTGGCGTGATCTTGGCTTGCTGCAACCTCTGCCTCCTGGGTTCAAGCAATTCTCGTGTCTCAGCCTCCCAAGTAGCTGGAATTACAGGCATGCACCACCACACCAGCTAGGTTTTGCATTTTTTGTAGAGACAGGGTTTCAACATGTTGGCCAGGCTGGTCTTGAACTCCTGGCCTCAAGCGATCAGCCTGCCTCGGCCTCCCAAAATGCTGGGATTACAGGCATGAGCCATGGTGCCCAGCCCCTCAGGCCTCTTTTATAAGTGCACTAATCCCATAGGATATAATCACCTCCCAAAGGCCCCACCTCTTAATACCATTGCATTGAGGATTAGGTATCAATGTATGAATTTAGGGGGGACACAAACATCAGACCATAGTGGTGACTAAGGTCCTTAATAGAATCCCAATCTCTGGAGTCACTGAAGAATAAATTATGATTAATTCACTCACTTCAGAAAACAATTTGGCATTCTCCTGTAAAGATGAATCTATACACAACCCACAACCCAGCACCCCACTCCTAGGCTTATACCTTCAAGAAACGTGTACCTGCACACCAGAAGACAGGTTCAAAAATGTCCATAGCAGCATTGTTTGAAATAGCAAAACAATGGAAACCCAAATGTCTATTAACAGGAAAACTAATTTTTAAATCGTGGAATATTCACCAAAGGAGTATTTTACAACACCGAAAATGCACAAAATATAGTAACATACAATAACGTAGATGAGTTTAGAAGCTTAGTGTTGAGTTAGAAAAGCAAATGTTATAACTCTATATACAATGCAATATATTTTTACAAAGGTCAAAAATAAACAGATCTAAATAAGATTGTTTAGAGAGACATACATGTGAAAAAAAAAAAAAAAGCAGGCTGAGTGCGGTGGCTCACACCTGTAATTCCAGCAATTTGGGAGGCCGAGGCAGGCAGATCACTAGAGCTCACGAGTTTGAGACCAGCCTGGGCAACATGGAGAAACCCTGTCTCTCCAAAACTACAAAAATTATCAGGGCATGGTGGTGCACACCTGTAATCCCAACTGAGATGGGAGGATGGCTTGAGCCTGGGAGGGGGAGGTTGCAGTGAGCTGAGATGGCACCACCACATTCCAGCCTTCAGAGTAGAGCCAGATCTTGTCTCAAAAAAAAAAAAAAATTAGGCCAGGTGTGGTGGCTCACTCCTGTAATGCCAGCACTTTGGGAGGCCGAGGCGGGCAGATCGCCTGAGGTCAGGAGTTCAAGACCAGCCTGGCCAACATGATGAAATCCCATCTCTAATAAAAATACAAAATTAGCTGGGCATGGTGGCGGGCACCTGTAATCCCAGCTACTTGGGAGGCTGAGGCAGGAGAATTGCTTGAGCCCAGAAGGCGGAGGTTGCAGTGAGCAGAGATCACACCATTGTGCTTCAGCCTGGGCATCAGAGCGAGACTCCGTCTCAAAAAAAAAAAAAAAGAAGAACCAAATACAGGAGGAAACAGAAAAGCCTAGACACTGTGCTCACAAAGTGAAGTAGCGTGCCAAAGGCTCAGGACTTTCTCCCCTGACTACAGGGGCTGATCCCAGGGACATCAGAACTAAGAACAGGGAACACTCTGCTCCCTAAAGCTGTTCTTTCTGCATTTTGGATAGTAACTCCTACCATTCTCCCACTCCAAAATCCTTACAAAAATCCTTGACCCGCCCGTCACCATCACCCTACACCATCAATCAGTTGCCAAATCCTCTAACCTCCACCGTCAGCATGTTTTTCACACAGACGCCTTTCCATGTATTCCACTGCCCCCATCCCAGTGCAGTCCCTTTATTAACCTCCTCCTTGACTTCAGTAATATCTTCAGTATTGGTCTCCTTGCCTCATCTCTCTGCTCTCATCTGTTGGCCCACCTCAACCATGCTTACTTTATATTCATGCTAATCCATTCTGCTTAGGCTGCTATCTCTGCCAGAAATCCTTCAGGGATTCTCCACTTAGTTTAGAATTTTTCAACCTTATCAACTTTGTATCTCACACTATTGCACATTTCAGCCAGCTGGTCTGCTTGCAAGTCCCAGGATCATTTGCATTTTCCACATGTGGACCTTTCGTCAAGCTCCTCCCTCTATCTAGAAAACACCCTTCCTCCATCTCTGCCTACTGAAATGCTGCTGATTATCAATCACAGAAGCAGGTCAAGTGCCAACTGTTTGAATTAATTTTCTTTCTTTCTTTCTTTCTTTTTTTTTTTGAGACGGAGTTTCATTCTTGTCGCCCAGGCTGGAGTACAATGGCGTAATCTCAGTTCACTGCAACCTCCGCCTCCCAGGTTCAAGTGATTCTCCTGCCTCAGTCTCCCAAGTAGCTGGGATTACAGGCATGCACCACCACACCTGGCTAATTTTGTATTTTTAGTAGAGACAGGGTTTCAATGTTGGCCAGGCTGGTTTTGAACTCCCAACCTCAGGTGATCCACCTGCCTCGGCCTCCCAAAGTGCTGGGATTACAGGTGTGAGCCACTGTGCCCCGCCCTGAATTAGTTTTCTTCTTTCTTTTCCTATCATCCTCTATATTGCCACTCCTGCATTGTTTACCACATGTTAATCTTATGACGTCATTTATACGTCATTATCTGTGTACTTAACTGTTCTTCCTACCAACGTTTATTAAGTACCTATGATATATCAAGGGTATGTACTAGGCACTTCACATGTTATTTTATTTAATTTAATTCCTACAACAGCCCTGTGAGATAGGTATTACCATCCCCATTTCACAGATCAGGAATTTGATGCTGACAGAAGTTAATTAACTTCTCAAAGTAGCATCCTTACTAAATGGCATCACTCATTCAACAAATTTTATTCCAATCCATGTCTGCTAGATTCCTAACCCATGGGCTTTTCAATATAGACTGGGGAACCCCTTTGAGGCCAATTAGCCCTGGAGCCTCAGGATAAGGTAGAGCGTGTTAAAGGCAGCTTTCTGCTCCTCTTTGGTTTGATTTGCTTCACTGCACCTTGGGAAATGCTCCTTTGGCTCGCAGTCAGCACTTAGCCTTGGCTAAAGAAACGATTCATGAAAACGAATATCATACAGGATGTTTAGTTCCATTTGTGACCCTGATTATTATAAAACTGTGAGAGGAATGCCAAGCCCCAGCACATGTCCAGCAGTCTAGAACTCCCACTTTGCCACTTCAGTTTAGGCCTCAAGCTAAACCTCTCCGTTTCCTGATTACATCCAGAGGGATGCCTCAGCTTTCACGAACAAGGCTGGAACAATATTATTGTCATTAGGGTCAGCCTTGGCCTGATAAGAGTCCTGCCATCAACACCCAACATCAGCTCACAAGAAATTCGTATGAAGATTAAGAACAGAGAAGAGTGGCTGGGCACAGTGACTCACGCCTGCAGTCCCAGCACTCTGGGAGGCCAAGGCGGGTGGATCACCTGAGGTCAGGAGTTCAAGACCACCCTGGCCAACATGATGAAACCCCATCTCTACTAAAAATACAAAAATTAGCCGGGTGTGGTTGCACATGCCTGTAATCCCAGCTACTTGGGAGGCTGAGGCAGGAGAATTGCTTGAGCCTGGGAGGTGGAAGCTGCAGTGAGCCGAGATCATGCCACTGCACTCCAGCCTGGCCTGGCAACAAAGCCAGACTCTGTCTCACCAAAAAAAAAAAAAAAAAAAAAGAACAGAGAAGAGCTGGTCTACCTTGAATTGGTTTTTCACCATTTGGGGTTGGAAGCCCCCAAACTTGTTTGATCAGTTCATATTGCCAAATGAATACTATAATAATGGGTTTATTCTCTCCCTGATTGTTTTGGAGTTGAGGGTGTTCAATGGCCACTGTTTGCTCAAGGAGAATGTAAACAGGACTTGCTGACGCCTGTGGCAAATGGGCATGCCTCCTAAGCCATTTCCAATCTGGCATGGGGTGTGGATCTAATGGGAAAGAAGCTGAACAGAGAAGGAGGGTGGGTAACTCTCTTTTGTGTTTCCAATGTATTTTCTATTTCAATACTCAAAGCAATCCTTTCTGAGGTAGGTGTTATTTTGATACCCATTCTACAAATCCAAAAACCACGTGGTAAGTAACAGGACTGAAACCCTGGTAGGTTGAGCTCCATAGCTTTCCACTACCTTAAGCTTACACTTTGTGGCAAGACCTTTTGCTTAGGCAAATATTGGTTATTCAAACAGGACCAAAGGCAAAATTCGTACACAAGTTCGAGTTCTCAAGTATCAATATTCTTCCCTTCCTCCAAACCAAGATAATAGAAGTGCTTAATTTCTGAAATGTCTCATATTTTCCATTGTTGACAAAGATCTCAACAAGAATTGGTAGTTAAACTGTATGATTCTTACCTTCCACTCAGGAAACTCCCTTGTTTGATTCTTAGGCAAGTGGGCTTTCTTGGTCTCATTATTTTGGTTGGTTAGACCACAGGCCATCAAGGCCAGTGAGCCAGTCACTGATAAGATCATACTGTTCCCTGCGATCTCTAAAACAGGTCATAATGCGGCTAGGTGGAAATGTAGATGGCCCAGGGCAGGTTGTCATTGGAGCTAATAAAGGTTATCAAAAGTCCCACTCACTGGGGTCACTTATGTCATATTCATGAATCTTCAAAATCAAGTATCTTTATTCACACAAAAATCCTCCCCCCCACACCTGACTTCTTTATGACCTGCTGTGCTGTAGACACAGAACATCTTTATAAGAATTTATCTCCATATGGGATGGAGTTGTTGCCAATCAGTTCACACTAACAATTTATAAAAAATATTCTGGGCTGGGCGCAGTGGCTC
The DNA here is from genome assembly GCF_000001405.40 of Homo sapiens. Lineage (NCBI taxonomy): Eukaryota > Metazoa > Chordata > Mammalia > Primates > Hominidae > Homo > Homo sapiens. The sequence goes on along the minus strand of NC_000001.11, from coordinate 109,115,560 downwards.
ATTCTTATAATCCCAGCACTTTGGGAGGCCGAGGTGGGAAGTCGCTTGAGCCCAGGAGTTAGAGACTGGCCGGGGCAGTATATCGAAACCTCATTTCTATTTTAAAACATATATTTTTTAAAGTAAAGAAAATACATCTATATATATATTCTAACCTCTCAAAACCTTAGTCAAGCTTGATATTTGGGATTAAATTTACAGAGCTAGATGCTTGACTTTTTATGAAGTCCTTCACATTTCACAGAAATAACAGAACTTTTATTTTGCCTTCCCCAACGTAGTTCTTGTAAATATCTTATTGTTGCCTCTGCCATATGGTTTCTAAAAAAGTTGCTCAGAGCACAACCAAATATTGTTATTTCAATAACATAGAAATGACTTAGTTTTGTTGCTGCTAGTGCCCTTTTATGTTCCTCCAAGATGACTTTTCAAAAGCTATTTTTGGTTATAAGAGATTGACTACCTATTGTCTGAATTCTGCTTCCAACATATTGGAAATACCTTGAAAAAGACTTTGACATATGTTAAGTCAGAGAAGGAGACTAGAGGTTGGCAGAACACAAGATATTGAAGAACTCAAAATCTGCAAAAAGGTGAGTCGTGTACTGTCAGGTACACTAAACATAGTACGCTGCGGGGAGGCCAAGCTATAAGGAGGAGACACATTTTACAGTCTGCACTAACCGATGTTTAATAAACAAGGAACTAGAGAGCTGGAATCCTATCATCCCTCTCGCACATCTCCCACCTTCACACTCCGTTTTGTGTAGCCATGATAAAACCACTTCGCTCTGATACTTTTTTCTGGCCTTCCTAACTCCTTTCCTCTCCCACTACTCTTCTTTCCTCTTCCTATTTTGCTTCTCTGTGCATAATCTTTTCTTGTCAACCACTTTTAAGGTGAGTTCATCCTAACTGGAAAATAACTCGTCTGCCTCCCTCATTCTGAGTTCAGGTACCCAGGTAGCTCCCCTTCTTGGGGCTGGGACCTTTCTCGCTGAGCTCAGCATCCCAATCTGTGAGGATGATCTATCCGTGAGTCCTCCAATGTGCTGGCCTCCTCATGACGCCAGACTGGCTCCTCTTCCCTCCCCCCACGCCTCATCCCCAAAGAAATCTAAACTCCGTGGCGTCTGAAACTCTCTGCGCCTGGGTCCCCAAGGTCTCCGCCTGGATCCAAGACTTTTGTGACCAAAGCGGGATCGGGTAGGGGGGCGGCAGTACCTCTTTGCAGGCATGAAGCTCCGGTCCCGTTCCCTGGGTCACCTGGAAGGCGGTCCCAGCCCAGAGCAGCAGCCGCCACAGCCGGGGTATGCGCCTCTCAGTTCTTCCCCTGACTCTGGCGGAGAGATGGTGGCTGTGCCCAGGCTCAGCCATAGCGTTGTCCTGAGTGAGCGGCAGTAGCGGCTCAGGTGCTGCGGCTGCTGCTTCTGCTGGCAGAAGGCGGAAAAAAAGGGGAGGGAGGTACACAGGCGGAGGATGCAAGAGGCCAGGCTCGCTTCAGTCACCTCCCTGCGGCTACGCCAACACCGCCCATCCTTCCTCCTCCCTCTGTCCTCTCCTCCTACCCACGTCGCCTTGACAACCGCCTCCTCTCTGGCTCCGCGCGGGTGGGGCAGGGACCACGCGCGCCTCTGCAGCTCACCTGCGGGTCGCCATGGCAGCCGCCGCCGCTGGTGCGCGCGGCGTGGGCGCGGGAGAGCGCGCGCCCGGGGTGCGCAACCGGCCCAACAGGCAGGCCCGGGGCTCGTGTGAAGAACACAGTGGAAGCATCCTCCAAGCCAGCCAACAAATTTCCGTTTTCTACTGCCCTTTCGGGCCAGGGGTTATTTTATGAGCATCTCCGATGTTGCACACGTGGCGTGTGAACCGAGAGAAAGAAGATGGAGAGATCACCCTCCAGACGTCGTCGCCTGGAAGAGGCCCCAGTACGTGTTCCCTCCTACGAAGGCCACTCCTGGAGATCTTACATCCCGCCAAATCCATCCGTGCTTTTACAACCGGCTAGAAGAGAAGCCCTGACACTGTAGTTGATCCGAGTTTAAGCGAGGAGTTTGCCTTAGCCGCAATTTCCCAAGCGCCGCACGTGGGCCTCTCTCTCTCTCTCTCTCTCTCTCTCTCTCTCTCTCTCTCTCTCTCTCTCTTTCTCTCTCTCTCTCTCTCTCTCTGAGACAGGGTCTCACTCTCTCGCCCACACTGGAGTGCAGTGGCGCGATCTCGGCTAACTGCAACCTCCGCCTTCCGGGTTCAAGAGATTCTCCTGGATTAGCCTCCCGAGTAGCTGGGACTACGGGCGCGTGCCACCAAGCCCAGCTAATTTTTTTCCTACTTTTTGTAGAGACGGGGTTTCGCCATGTTGCCCAGACTGGTCTCGAACTCTTGGGCTTAAGCGATCCGCCCGCCTCCGCTTCCCAAAGTGCTGAGATTACAGGCGTGAACCACCGCGCCCGGCCCTCTTTGGTCTCTTGACATCCTCATTCTCTCATGGCTTTGAAAGCCTTTTGTTAGGTGCGAGGGAGAAGGAAATTTCTGGGTCATCTTTCAGGACTTCTTTCCTCAACTGAAGTCTTTTGCAGAAGTCCTGATGGTGAGCAGCCAGCACTTTTCCGCCGAGGCTCAGGAGTGCAATTCCAAGTCTCGGGCCCGCTCAGCGGAACGTTCCCTCTGCAGTCCCCGGAGCTTCCTCCCCAGGGGCCTCCCGTGGTCAGCCGCCAGGTGGCGCCCTCCTCTGAGGGAATTCCTCTGTCATAGATGGCTGGGCAGTTGCCTGGCAACCGAAACCAGCGCTCCAAACAATTGGGACCCGGGATCTTATGCCAGTGAGGCTGTGCTGCGGCTGAGCGGGCCTCCCATCCCTCTTAAAAGAGTTAGGCATTTAGCCATGCCTCCCACCCGGGACCCTTTCCAGCAGCCTACATTAGATAACGATGATTCCTACTTAGGAGAACTGCGGGCTTCCAAGGTACTGTGGTTTCTTGCGCAGATTCCCAGTAGGGTCGCCGGTAGTCTTCTTTCTGTCTGTGTGATGAGCAGAGATGGTAACATAAAGGACTCTGGTGAAGACACTCAGTCGGGTACCAGGGAAGTCTGTTTTCTGCCTGCCTCCCTATCTCCATATTCAAGTCGGCTAACGTTTCAGAGGCGTTTTTGAGCAGAGGAAAGTAGAGTTCTAGTCTAGAGGAACAAGGGGCTCTGGCAGCTCAAATCAATTGTGAGTATAAGTTATGGCAGTGCCCAGGTTCCTTCAAGCTACCCATTTCCCTATTTGGAAGACTGTTCTCTGAAGAGAAATGAGATATGGAGTGGGAGAGAATCCTCTGAAAGCCACCAGAGGTCATGCTTTACACATCTGTGTTCACACTGTCTCTGTCTTCTGGTTAACACCACAATATGTTTGTTATGTGTGTGTTTAGCATGATGGTGGACACTGATTTCGGAACTTAGATGATCTTTTTTCTGGTAGAAGTGATTGGGATATATGAAGTGGTGCACAATAAGATGAATTAAGTGGTGATTGTGGTCTAATAACAATATTGAGAGCCCCTTTTTATTTATTCAATACTTATTTACTATAAGCCAGACACTCTGCTAAACGCCAAGGATATATAAATAAATTAGATGTAGCTTCTGCTGTCAAGGAACTCTAGTAGTAAAGAGAGACCGACAATAGCAAAAATGCTTGCACAATAGCACATGTTGTGACAGAGTTGTGTGCAGGGTGCCGTGAGAACCAGGAACTTAAAGGAAAGCTTCACAGAGCAGATGCATTTTGATGTCCAAATATGAGTTAGGTAGGCCAGGTGAGGGAGTGGATAGAATGTGAGTTAGGAAGAAGGAAACAGGAACCAGATATGCAAGGCAAAGGAAGCAGCAGGTGCAAATACATGGAAAGGAGAGAGAGAATGGCTTATTTGGGGAACTGCAAATAGTCTAGAAGGGCTGGAGTGTAGGCGTGCAATGGAAGCACTCAGAAATCAGAGCTGGAGAGATGCCCTTGGTTGGCTGGGTGTGCTGTGTACACCATGCTAGCTAGCTATGGTTTCATCCTAGGGATGTGAGGAATCATTGTGGGATATTTTTTTTTTTTTGAGACAGGGTCTCCTTGCTCTGTCACCCCAGCTGGAGTGCACTGGTGCAATCTTGGCTTACTGCAGCCTCGAACTCCTGGGCTCAAGCAATTCTCCCACCTCAGCCTCCCAAGTAGCTGGGACTACAGGTGATGCCACCACACCCGGCTAATTCTTATTTTATTTTTTTGTAGAACCAGGATCTTCCTTTGTTGCCCAGGCTGGTCTCAAACTCCTAGCCTCAAGTGATCCTCCTGCTTTGGCCTCCCAAAGTGCTGAGATTACAGGCATGAGCCATGGGTCCCAGCCCCATAGCAGGATTTTAAGTACCACAGTGACACAATCAGATGGGTGTTTTAGGAAGCACAAGTGGCAGCAGACTGGATAGGATGAGAGTGAGACAAGAGGGATCAGCTAGGAGGCAGGTGAGGTGATCTCCAGGAGGAAGAGTAACAGATCTACAGCAGTGCCACAGGGGGTGGTGATCAGGTGCAGATGTGAGAAAGGTGCACAGGGCAGGACTGACAGGACTTGGAGACTGACTGGACATGGGCCCAAGAGAGGAGGTGAGTCTAGGATAGCTGCTGGGTTCCTAACGGTTTAATTCTGAGGTTTCACTGAAATGGGGCATCCTGGGGAAGCAGGTTTGGGGAGAAAGATGTTGAGAAACATCAACTATGTAGATGTTTTTGTAGTGACTGTGGTATATTTAAGTGAAGGTCAATAGTAGGCAACAGGATTGAGAGTTCTGGATTGAAGATGTATGACTGAGCTGTGTATCCGTATGAGCTATGGTACCCATATGGTAGTTGAAGCCATGGAAGGGAATCAGCTCATCCAGTGGATGTGAGCATAAGAAAAGTAAAAATGAGACCCTTGGAGAATAGCACTGCCTAAGGGACAGAGAGAAAGTGGAGCTGAGACAGTAGCTGAGAGATAAGGGCCAGAAATAAGAGGAAAACCCAGAGGAGCTGGGCCCACAGAGCTTGGTGAGGGCATTTGAGGGAATCAGCATTATGGTGCCAGAAACAGCTGAGTTCAAATAAGATCAGGCCTGGAAAGGATCCACCTGACCTGGCCACAGAGATCATTGATAACTAGCAAGAGCAGTTTTAGGGGGTGCTTGAGGCAGAGGCCAGACTGCAGTGAGCTAAAGAGGGTATGGGAATGGTGAGTGAGGAAGTAGAGATAGTAAATATTGACTCCTGAAAAGGTCTGGTTCTGTAGGGAAGGTGACAGGCTGGTAGCTAGACCACGACAAAGAAATGAAGTGAGGCTGGGGTCAGAAGAGAGCGTATGCAGAATGGTACAGGTCTCAGAAGACCAGGGAAGGGTGGGTCTGGGGAGAAAGGGTTATTCTTGAGTAAAAGGGACTTTCCTTTCCCTGAGATGGAAAGAAAGTGGATGTAAAGATGGCATTCATGCTTGACAGTCTGGACTTTCTCAGTGAAAGACAGACTCATCCTTCTGCTGACAGAGATGACGAGGTTTAAGTGGTCTTCAAGGAGAGTGGGAGGAGTGCTGCTCAGGGCCACATCAAAGGACAACTGAGCCTATGCTGGCATCAAATACCTGTAGCTTTCTTTCTTTCATACTTCATTCTTCTCAGTGATAGCACAGTGCCTGATACACACTGTTCAATTAAGGTATGACTCACAGCGGGGCACGGTGGCTCATACCTGTAATTCCAGCAGTTTGGGAGGCTGAGGCAGGTGGATCACCTGAGGTCAGGAGTTTGAGACCAGTCTGGCCAATGTGGTGAAGCCCCATCTCTAATAAAAATACAAAAATTAGCCAGATGCGGTGGCACATGCCTGTAATCCTAGCTATTCGGGAGGCTAAGGCTGGAGAATCGCTTGAACCCAGGAGGCGGAGGTTGCAGTGAGCCGAGATCATGCCACTGTACTCCAGTCTGGGCGACAGAGCGAGACTCTGTCTCAAAAAAAAAAAAAAAAAAAAAGGTATGGCTCACATAGCACTTTGCCATATTGTGGGGAAGGAGGATTACAATGTTGGATAGGTCTAATGAGAGTTCTATTTTTTTTGAGACAGAGTCCCACTCTTGTTGCCCAGGCTGGAGTGCAGTGGCGCGATCTCGGCTCACTGCAACCTCCACCTCCTGGGTTCAAGCGATTCTCCCTCCTCAGCCTCCCAAGTAGCTGAGATTACAGGCGCCCACCACTACCCCCAGCTAATTTTTGTATTTTAGTAGAGATGGAGTTTCATCATGTTGGTCAGGCTGGTCTCAAACTCCTGACCTCAGGTGATCCGCCCGCCTCAGCCTCCCAAAGTGCTGGGATTACAGGGGTGAGACACTGCACCCAGCGAGAGTTCTAATAGGTTGTTAGTTGCACTCACTGGAATTCAGTCAAATGATATAGTGGATTCAAGCATTTTTTAATACCATGTGTTAGGTAGTGTGCTAGGAACTGGGGATACAGTGGTGAATATGGCATTTTACATATAATGAAGAAATCTGTTACATGCTTTTTACATTCATGCCTGTGGAGTTTTATTGAGAGGACTAATGTCCAGTGGACTTTTTCTGCCATTCCTGCAATCAATGACCCTTCCCTGCTTATTGGAATCTTTTTCTCACCTGCTTAGACATTGCATTCTCCTGATTTCGTCTCTGACTGCTTCTCTAGGGCCCTCCTCACTCCCAGTTATAATACTGTACAATCCTCACAAACCCGTTCTTCCCTTTTGGCCTGACTCCATTTTGCAGGCTTCAGCTACTACTTCATGTGGACAACCAAGACTTCTGAGCTCTCCTCCAACAAGTTACACTTCCAATTTTCTACCTGTTATTTGCATTAGAATGTCTCACCTTTTCTTCAAACTCAGTACATCTAAACCTAAGCTCATCATTTTTCCTATCTGCTCCCAACTCTTCACTCCCCTCATCCCACTCCACACCTTCTCCTATATTCCTGGCCTGTTTCTGTCAGTTCTCATTAAGAAAACATAGGAGGATCAAGAGCCTGGGGAGTCTTGCCCCATACCATTCTTCTCTTTGCAGATGTCTGAGATTCAAATAAAACTAGATGGGGCCGGGCATGATGGCTCATACCTGTAATCTGAGCACTTTGGGAGGCTGAGACAGGTGTATCACTTGAGGCCAGGAGTTGAAGGCCAGCCTGGCCAACATGGTGAAACTCTGTTTCTACTAAAAATACAAAAATTAGCCGGGCATAGTGGCACATGCCTGTAATCCCAGCTACTTGAGGGGCTGAGACAGAAGAGTCACTTAAACCCAAGAGACAGAGGTTGCAGTGAGCCGAGATCTCGCCACTGCACTCCAGCTTCTATGACAGAGTGAGATTCTGTCTCAAAAAATAAAACAAAACAAAAAACACAAAACTGGATGGAATAAGGGGATGCTACTGAAGCTAACCACATCAGCAAGGCTTCCCGTATAACCAGGTTGTCCTGGATACGGTTTCTCTTTTGCAGAAATTGCCATATAAGAACCCAACACACCTTGCTCAGCAGCAGGAACCCTGGAGTCGGCTCAACTCAACCCCCACAATTACTTCCATGAGGCGGGATGCCTACTATTTTGATCCCGAGGTACCTAGCATTGAAATATTATTCCTCTTTGCAGCCGTTTAGGGCTTTTTTTTTTTTTCCTGTCACCCAGGGTGGAATGCTGTGGCCTGATCATGGTTTACCGTAGCCTGAACCTCCCAGGCTCAGGCAATCCTCCTGCCTCTGCCTCCTGAAACTATAGGCATGTGCCATGACATGCAGCTAATTTTTTTTTTTGAAGAGATGAGGTCTCGATATGTTGCTCAGGCTGATCTCAAACTCCTGGCCTCAAGCGATCCTCCCACTTCAGCCTCCCGAAGTGCTGGGATTATAGGCATGAGCCACTGCACCCAGCCCTTAATATTCTTTTTGAAATTTAGTCTGTCCCTAACTGCTTCAGTACTTTTCCTTTTGTCTCTAACCCAAGATCCTACCAAATCCAAAGCCAAAAATCAATTTATCTGGCCTCTGGGAAGCCAGAAGGCTTAGGTTTTGCTCTAGGCAGTTATCTAGAGCAAATGATTTTACAAACCTTCTCATTCTCTAACTAAAACAAGGACTGAATATAAACATGAATGAGGTAAAGTTCATTAAGCCCACATCAGGAACAATATTCCTGAGTCTCCAGTGAGAGCTCACCACTCCCTAGACCTAACCCAAAGATAATTCCATATCAACAAGAGTTATCATATACAACAATTTAGTGTGTACGGAGTTGGTGGATTTCAGGCCCAAGAGAGCCTTCACTATACTTTTGGGGAAGAGTAGAGCACAATAGAACCTGACTAGAGCAGGGACACAGGTGGCTGAGCTAACCTTGGGGGGGACTGACTTCTGTAGATACCAAAGGATGACCTGGACTTCCGCTTAGCAGCCTTGTACAACCACCACACTGGGACATTCAAGAACAAAAGTGAGATACTGTTAAACCAGAAAACCACGCAGGATACCTATAGGTAAGTGGTAGAGGCAGAGCCTCTCCAGCCTAAACATGCTGCCATCCAGTCATATAAGGTAAAATGTCACCTGGAAAATGATAATCACTAGGTACTCATTTGTATACAAATTTCTGTATTTTTACATCTGTGTCTATAATATAGTTTCTGTATTTTCACTGTCTAAGATGAACAGAAATCTCCCAAGATTGTGCTCATCTGTATAAACAAAATCTTTGGTTAATCCCACAGAGGTAAAAAGAGTCTTTGGCTGCTTTATTCTTGAGATCACATTCAACTACCTTGCCTTCCTCACCTTTCTCTGATTGATTTCACTCTCCACTTTTCTTCCCTATGCCTTCTTCTAGAACCAAGATCCAATTCCCTGGAGAATTTTTAACCCCTCCCACTCCACCCATCACTTTCCTGGCTAACATCAGACACTGGATCAACCCTAAAAAGGAGTCCATCCACAGCATCCAAGGATCCATAGGTAAGGGTTAGAGGACTGGGTAAGCAGATGGGGCAGTGGGGGAGTCTTTCTAAATGGACCCATGAATCAGGGATTTAAGGTGATTGGACAGTAGGGAAGATGAAGGATATCTGTGGGTCTTGGAAAGCAATGATTAAGTTGGCAAGTACCAGATTAATACCAGGGGACATGCTGACTATAGAGCTAGGAAATTAATTCAATTTTTCAGAGCCTCTTTGCTCAGCCTTAGGTCTAGGAGACAAACATTTACAGCAAGGGCAAAAACCTGGGGGTGGAAGACCTATAAGTACCTCCCATCAGTCCTCCATATGCCGGTTTTCCCAGCTGTTATGAGAAGCTTCTCCACAGTACCTACAAATGTATTGATGTTTAAAGTTTCCTAGAAAAGGCCAACGATCTGAAATTCAGTCCACTTCCTCTTCTCTTTTCTCCACAGTGTCCCCTCACACTGCAGCCACCAATGGAGGCTACTCCCGAAAGAAAGATGGTGGCTTCTTCTCCACCTAGTGTTGACAGATCCCTGAACTAATTATAGTGAAACATACTGCGGCCCACTTCCATTAAATAGATTTGTGCAAGATGAAGTCTGAAGTGTCTGTTATCCATAGATTACAAATTGCCACTTGACCACTTTTTTTTTTTTTTTTTTTTTTGAGACAGAGTCTCGCTCTGTCGCCCAGGCTGGAGTGCAATGGCACGATCTCGGGTCACTGCAACCTCTGCTTCCCGGGTTCAAGTGATTCTCCTGCCTCAGCCTCCTGAGTAGTAGGGACTACAGGCACACGCCACCACGCCTGGCTAATTTTTGTATTATTAGTAGAGACAGGGTTTCACCATGTTGGCCAGGGTGGTCTTGAACTCCTGACTCATGATCCACCCACCTCAGCCTCCCAAAGTGCTGGGATTACAGGTGTGAGCCACCACGCCCGGCCTCCACTTGACTACTCTTAAAACACGGGAAGGAAATTACCCATCTCGTAGAAACTAGTCCTTTGGGGTATATTTGCAACTTGGAAAATCATATCTTGCTGATGAAGATTTAGGACACAACAGCAGTCTTTGGTAGGATACAGATATTCATATTTTGTAAACTGAAGTCACTCCAACCATACAGAGCCATCCATTCAACACTGCCAGCAAACCTTTATGTGCCAGGAACTGAGCTAAGTGTTGAGGAAACAAAAATGGACATGAGCTACCTTGTATTTTCAGAAGCTCCAAATAACATCAGTATTTATGCTAAGGTCACACTTAAGAGATTTAGCCGTCCTGGGTTTAGGCATTTGCTGGGCTTTACTTTTCCTTGGTTCCATCTCCCTGGTCCTGACTCGCCACTGTTAATCTCTAACTCTGCTATTTGTCCTTGCCTGGGAGTCAACTCCCTTTCCTTTGTGTCAATTCGTGCTGTGATATATAGCCCTGATTCTTATAAACATGGTTCAAAAACCTGGTGCTTGGGTTTGCAGTACCTAAAAACTGATGTATTCAGTGATTTCCAAAATTACAAGTCACTCACAGGGACCTGCTGTGTCATAAAAAAGATTGGACAAGAATGGCAAACCTTTTAGAATATTGCACAATAGGTGTGATGGCTCATGCTTGTAATGCCAACACTTTTAGCTGAGGCATGAGGAACACTGGAGCCCGGGAGATTGAGCCTGCAGTGAGCCATGATGGAGCCACTGCGCTCCAGCCTGGGCAACAGAGTGAGACCCTGTCTCAAAACAATTAAATAAGTAGTTTTCTAAGCTAAAAAAGAGAGAAAGGTTTGGGAAAGGCAGATTTAAGATCAAAGAGATCCGCGAGAGTATGGTACCCAGGTCTAGGTGGTGGGGGATATACTGCTCAACTCCACTGAGAGGGCCATCACCATCGGTTTGTCAAAGAGATCTGCCTGATCATGCCGGAAACGCTCTCCCAGTCTTCCCAGGGGAGAGTCATGACCATTCCATACCAGCCCATGCCGGCCAAGTCCCCAGTCATCTGCGCGGGCGGCCAAGATCGTTGCAGCAAGGCTGTGGGCTACCCCCGAGGCACCCGTGACCTGGAGGGACCACCTCTAGATGCCTACTCGATTCAAGGACAACACATCATTTCTCCGCTTGATCTGGCCAAGCTGAACCAGGTGGCAAGACAACAATCTCACTTTGCCATGATGCACGGCGGGACCGGATTCACCCGAATTGACTCCAGTTCTCCAGAGGTGAAAGGCTAAGCAAGTTTGGATACATCTACTCAAACTATGGAGGGGCGCGGTGGCTAACTTCTGTAATCCCAGCACTTCAGGAGGCCGAGACAGGCAGATCACTTGAGGTCAGGAATTCGAGAACAGCCTGGCCAACATGGCGAAACCCCATCTCTACCAAAAATACAAAAATTAGCCGGGTGTAGTGGAGGGCGCCTGTAATCCCAGCTACTTGGGAGGCTGAGGCAGAATCGCTTGAATCTGGGAGGCGGAGGTTGCAGTGAGCTGAGATTGTGCCACTGCACTCCAACCTAGGTGACAAAGCAGGACTCCGTCTAAAAAAAAAAAACAACCAAGGCTGGACGCGGTGGCTCACGCCTGTAATCCCAGCACTTTGGGAGGCCGAGGCGGATCACGAGGTCAGGAGATCCAGACCATCCCGGCTAACATGGTGAAACCCCGTCTCTACTAAAAATACAAAAAAAAAAAAAAAAAAAAACTAGCCGGGCATAGTGGCGGGCGCCTGTAATCTACTCGGGAGGCTGAGGCAGGAGACTGGCGTGAACCCGGGAGGCAGAGCTTGCAGTGAGCCCAGATCACGCCACTGCACTCCAGCCTGGGCTACTGAGCGAGACTCCGTCTCAAAAAAAAAAAAAAAAAAAAACAACCAAACAAAAATCTACTCAAACCACCCACAAATTCACCATTCCAGATAACTTAATTGGCTGTGTAATCGGCCCCCAAGGCGCCAACATTAATGAGATCCGCCGGATGTCCGGGGCCCAGATCAAAACTGCCAACCCAGTGGAAGGGTCTTGATAGGCAGGGTACCATCAGGGGCTCTGCTGCTAGTGTCAGTCTGGGCCAGTATTTAATCAATGCCAGGCTTTCCTCTGAGAAGGGTACGGAGCGCAGCTAGAATAGTGTAGGTTCCCTCAATAACCCCTTTGTGCTGTTTTCCCATGATCCAACTGTGTAGTTTCTGGTGAGTGATTCCAGCTTTTAAATAATTTGTAAGTGTTCAGTTTCTACACAACATCATCTGCTAAGAATTTTAAAATCACATTCTCTGTTCAGCTGTTAATGCTGGGAACCATTTTTAATTTTATAAGCTTTTCCCTGTTTTTAGTTTTGTTTTGGGCTTTTTGGGTCATGAATTTTATTTGTCGATAAAATATTTAAGAGTGAAATGTTAATAAGTTTCACTTTAGTTCTGTAATATCAAGAATTTAAGAATTGGCTGGGCGCGGTGGCTCATGCCTGTAATCCCAGCACTTTGGGAGGCTGAGACCAGGAGATCACAAGGTCAGGAGTTTGCGACCAGCCAGTTCGATACCAGCCTGGCCAACATGGTGAAACCTTGTCTCTACTAAAAATACAAAAATTAGCTGGGTGTGGTGGCACACGCCTGTAATCCTAGCTACTCGGGAGGCTGAGGCAGGAGAATCGCTTGAACCCGGGAGGTGGAGGTTGCAGTGAGCCGAGACGGAGCCACTGCACTCCAGCCTGGGCGACAGAGTGAGACTGCATCCAAGGGAAAAAAAAAAAAAATTAAGAATTAAAACAAGCCAGGCACAGTGGTTCATGCCTGCAATCCCAACACTTTCGGAGGCTGAGGTAGGTGGATCACCTGATGTCAGGAGTTCCATACCAGTCTAGCCAACATGGTGAAACCCCATCTCTACTAAAAATACCAAAAAATTAGCCGGGTGTGGTGGTGGGCGCCTGTAACTCCAGCTACTTGGGAAGCTGAGGCAGGAGACTCCCTTTAACCCCAGAGGGGGAGGTTGCAGTGAGCTGAGATGGGGCCACTGCACTCCAGACTGGTCAACAGGAGCGAAACTCTGTCTAAAAAAAAAAAAAAGTAAAATAAAAAAAGGAAAAATAATAGAATATCGTGCAATAAATTCCCATTTCTAATTAAGTTTGACAACATAATTGCTGAGCAATTCAGATATGAAAGGGCTTCTTTCAGGCACTCAGGTGGAGGGTCCTTAAGCCAAACTGTTAAGAGTCCCCTTCCAGCCAGGCGCGGTGGCTCACGCCACCCAGCACTTTGGAATTACAATCCCAGCACTTTAGAAGGCTGAAGTGGGTGGATCATCTGAGGTCAGGGGTTCAAGACCAGCCTGGGCAACATGGTGAAACCCCGTTTCTACTAAAAATACAAAATTAGCTGGGCGTGGTGGTGCGTGCCTGTAGTCCCAGCTATTTGGGAGGCTGAGACAGAAGAATTGCTTGAACCCGGGAGGTGGAGGTTGCAGTGAGCCAAGATCGCGCCACTGCACTCCAGCCTGGGCAACAGAGTGAGGCTCCGTCTCTAAATAAATAAATAAATAGAGTCCCCTTCCACCCAGACTTTCCGACCTATTCACATATCTGCTGCCAAGTGGCTATATGAAGTTTCAGATCTCATTATTTAGAGTGGCTTAAGGTGGCAGAGGCATGACTACCTGGATAATCACATTATGGAGGTTGAGATACTAAACATCAAAAAAAGGCATTTGCTTTTAAAAACATGGATTCCTAGACCTCCCTGATAATTCTAATTCAGTATATTCCAGGAGTGTCCCTGGAACATTTCATGTTCTCTTAATGGACATATACATGTATAAGGACATACTAGACAGTGTGTGTATAACCCTTAGCGGCAGATGCTGTACCATGCCGTTAGCCCTGGGGATACAAGTGTTGGTAGCATACAAAAAATGTCAAGCCGGCCGGGCGCCGTAGCTCACGCCTGTAATCCCAGCACTTTGGGAGGCCGAGGTGGGTGGATCACCAGGTCAGGAGATCGAGACCATCCTGGCTAACATGGTGAAACCCCGTCTCTACTAAAAAATACAAAAATTTAGCCGGGCGTGGTGGTGGGCGCCTGTAGTCCCAGCCACTCGGGAGGCTGAGGCAGAATGGCGTGAACCCGGGAGGCGGAGCTTGCAGTGAGCCGAGATCGTGCCACTGCACTCCAGCCTGGGCGACAGAGCAAGACTCCGTCTCAAAAAAAAAAAAAAAAAAAAAGTCAAGCCAAGCCTAAAGAAAAACAAGGAGAGGACTGGCGTTATGGCGTGCACTGATAGTCCCAGCTACTGGGCAGGCTGAGGTAGGAGAATCTCTTGAGCCTGGGAGGTCGAGACTGCAGTGAACTATGATTGCGCCACTGCACTCCAGCCTGAGAAACAGAGTGAGACCGTTTCAAAAAAAAAAAAGAAAGAAAGAAAAACTAAAAAAGGGGCCGGGCGCGGTGGCTCATGCCTGTAATCCCAGCACTTTGGGAAGCCGAGGCGGGCGGATCACTTGAGGCTGGAGTTCGAGACCAGCCTGGCAAAACATGGTGAAACCCCGTCTCTACCAAAAGATACAAAAATTAGCCGAGCGTGGTGACGCGCGCCTGTAGTTCCACCTATTCGGGAGACAGAGATGTGAGGATCGCTTGAGCCAAGGAGGTCGAAGTTGCAGTGAGCCGATATTGCGGTTCTGCACTCCAGTCTGGGCGACAGAGCAAGACCCTGTCTCAAAAAAAAAAAAAAAGGAACAAAAGAAAAAAGAAAAACAAGGAGAAATGGGAAAGTGGGAGGAAAGTATATCAGCGGCCAAAAAGGCCTCCGCGACCTTCCAGCTCCAGGGGGAGGGGCAGCGGCTCATTTACCCTTGGCCACCGCGCTCAGCATCCCCGCCCGCCGCCGCCGTTCACGTGCTCGCCCCTACGCCACCGGCAGCCCGCAGCCCGGTGGCCGTGCCCAGATCAGAATCGCCTCGATAATCAGTGGCCGGGGACAAGCCCGGCCTCGTCTATCTGATCAATTCATCACTTCTGAGCGCCGGGCCCCGCAGGGCCAGCTCCGGGACCTCGGGGACCACAGCGTGGCCGCCGCCTAAGGGGCCTCGCTGCACAGCGCCCCGAGGGGGCTTCGCAGGAGGAGAGCTTTTCATTTCGGGTCGGCCCGGCGGGGCTGGGGTCACGATCCGATCAAATAAGATCAAAGTGTAAGCGGGAGGAGGGGCGCAGGGGTGGGCGCACGCACTCGCCTAACACGCTCCAAGCGCGCACACTCACACACTCACGCGTCCACTCACACTCACCCTGCACGCGCCTCACACGCGACGCCACAGCTCCGCACACAACACCCAGGACCCAGGCCGCTCTCCCTCCCTAAAACAGCGGAAGTCCGCTCCCCCCGCGACTTTTAAGCTCTCCGCCCCCTCCCGCGCCTTGGAGGATTCTGGGAGAAACCACCGAGCACAGGCGGACGAGTCCTGAGGAAGGGGGTGTTCCTCAGAGTGCGCGCGTTGCTGCCCTCGCGTGGCTCGGAGGGGAACATAGGTCCCAGGAAAAGGCAGTACTAATTTCCACCTTACAGAATCGTGGTTTTTTTTTTTTGGAGACCCGTTCTTGCTGTGTCGCCCAGGCTGGAGTGCAGTAGCGCGAACACGGCTCATTGCTCCTAGATCAAGTGATCCTCCCACCTCAGCCTCCTGAGTAGCTGGGACCACAGGCGATGGCCACGGCACTTAGCCTTTTGACCTTTGTATAACTACATAGTTATATACATATCTTTAGTTTTTCTGTGATCGTGACTTTAATTTGTCTTCAATTTCTTTCTTTCTTTTTGAAATGGAGACTCGCTCTGTCGCCCAGGCTGCAGTGCAATGGCACGGTCTCGGCTCACTGCAACCTCTGCCTCCCGGGTTCAAGTAATTCTCCTGCCTCAGCCTCCGGAGTAGCTGGGATTACAGGGGTCCGCCACTATGCCTGGCTAATTTATGTATTTTTAGTAGAGATAGGGTTTCATCATGTTGGCCACGCTGATCTCGAACTGCTGACCTCGTGATCCGCCCGCCTTGGCCTCCCACAGTGCTGGGATCACAGGCGTGAGCCACTGCGCCCGGCCCAATTTCTTTCTTTTTTTTATAGACGGAGTCCAGCTCTGTCACCCAGGCTGGAGTGCAGTGGTGCGATCTCGGTTCACTGCAACCTCCACCTCCTGTGTTCGAGCGATTCTTCTGCCTCAGCCTCCCAAGTAGCTGGGATTACAGACGCCCGCCACCACGCCCGGCTAATTTTTGTATTTTTAGTAGACTTGGGGTTTCACCGTGTTGGCCAGGCTGGTCCTGAACTCTTGACCTCAGGTGATCCGCCCGCCTCAGACTCCCAAAGTGCTGGGATTACAGGTGTGAGCCACCGCGCCCGGCCTTAAATTTTTTTGAGACGGAGTTTCGTTCTTGTTGCCTGGGCTGGAGTGCCATGGCGTGATCTCGGTTCACCGAAACCTCCGCCTCCCGGGTTCAAGCAATTCTCCTGCCTCAGCCTCCCAAGTAGCTGGGATTACAGGCATGTGCCACCACGCCCTGCTAATTTTGTATTTTTAGTAGAGTTAGAGTTTCTCCATGTTGGTCAGGCTGGTCTCGAACCCCCGACCTCAGGTGATCTGCCTGCCTCGGCCTCCCAAAGTGCTGGGATTACAGGCATGAGCCACCGCGCCCAGCCCTTTTTAAATATGATTCAACTTCAGGATATTCATAGGTGAGTGACTTCTTTTCCAAGAAGACATCAATCTCTGGTCATTACCATGGGGAGCATCAGCTTCCCCAGTAGCCCCTTCTCCCTAGGGAGAAGGCAAACATCATTTTACCAAAGGGAAAGGTAAGGAATAGAGTACGTATGTATGTATGTATGTATGTATGTACTTATTTGAGACAGGGTCTTGCTCTGTCTCCTATGCTGGAGTGCAGTGGTACAATCATGACTCACTGCAGCCTCAACCTTCTGGGCTCAATTGATCCTCCCACCTAAGCCTCCCAAGTTGCTGGGACCACAGGTAACACCTGGCTACTTTTTTTCTTTTTTTTTTTTGAGGAGTCTCGCTCTGTGACCCAGGCTGGAGTGCAGTGGTGCCATCTGGACTCACTGCAACCTCCGCTTCCCAGGTTCAAGCGATTCTCCTGTCTCAGCCTCCTGAGTAGCTGGGATTACAGGTGCGTGCCACCATGCCCAGCTAATTTTTTGTATTTTTAGTAGAGACGAGGTTTCACCGTGTTAGCCAGGATGGTCTTGATCTCCTGACCTTGTGGTCCATCAGCCTCAGCCTCCCAAGTGCTGGGATTACAGGCATGAGCCACCGCATCAGGCCCACACCTGGCTACTTTTTAAAACACATTTTTGTAGACAGAGGTCTCACTACGTTGCCCAGTCTGGTCTTAAACTCCTGGGCTCAAGCGATCCTCTTGCCTTGGTTTCCCAAAGTGCTGGGATTATAGACTTAAGCCACTGCACACAGCCAAGAATACTGTATTTAAATCCAAATATTAGGAAGTCAGGATATCTATGAAATGGGTACAGATAGGAAGGCATATTCCTGTCCCCACTTAGAGAGCCCTAAGTCTGCCCACAACTTAATGCTGTGGCACCCAAATTTTTGAGCCTTCATTTATGGTCATATCTATTAAAACATACGTTGACTTCCAAGTTCCAGAATGAGTAGAGTGTAAAATAGCAGTGGTTATATAAGCAGAATTAGCTCCTCTCACATTAGAAAGCATAATTTTAATGGCTCAATTCCTTCTTTTTCCTTTTTCAATGAAATGGGTGTTGGGGGGTAGAAATCAGAAGAATTTTGGAGAGTAGTACAAAATGATTTAAGTTCTAATTTGTACTTGTGCCAGTCTCACCAGGCACTTGAAATAAACAAATAAGGGGGAAAGTACCCATTGTATGTGCCAGAATCCCGCTGGCTCAAGGATTTTTTTTATTTTTTATTTTTTTTTTGAGACGGAGTCTCGCTCTGTCACCTAGCCTGGAGTGCAGTGACACATTCTTTTTTCGTATTTTTAGTAGAGACAGAGTTTCACCATGTTGGGCAGACTGGTCTCGAACACCTAACGTCAAGTGATCCACCCGCTTCAGCCTCCCAAAGTCTGGCTCAAGGATTTTCTAGGTGTCTGGCTGGTTAACTTGTTAACTTCATTTGAATGAAGATGTTTATGACTGTTTAGAGCAGATGATACTTGTATTTTAATAGCAATAGCAGATGGAATGTATTGGGGGTGCTATCTACCTTATTTCATTCATATACCTCAATACTTATTCATTCACATATATATGAATATCTTATTCGTATATATATGAAAACTTACTACATGCATTTATATTTAGTTATATATATCTCAGCATATCATATATACATATATATATCTAGTTATAGATATCTCTAGATATATCTGTCTCAGCTGCCCTAAAGGAGAAAACTAGGCCATCATAGATTCTTAACTATATAATACATTCAATGCTCTCACAATGGGATAACAGGAATGATGGTATTTACTAATGTGAACTAAAAAGGTAGGCTATGAACTGAACCCAGGGGAGGACTGAACAAACTTCAATAAATTCAGCATGTGACAAATAAATTGACAAAGACTGTAGGGAAAAAAAGGTTTATTTTCAAGGATTTGTGCAGACAATGGTGAATAAAAAATTGTATTTCAACTATAAAAAGGAGCTGACTTCATTCCACCCTGGCCTACAGGGTTTATGGTGATGCCAGTTTGAATCTGAGGCAATACTGCTATCCCCATTCCTCCACCTGTAAAAGATTCCCCCAGAGGAATAACATTCTATAACTTTTAGTCAAAAATATGTAAGACACATCAAACAAAGTAATGAGTTAAACAAGTTTCTGCTTATCTGCTTAGGGAAAGTCAAGAAATGAAACAAATGTATATTTGTTTCTGGCTGTAAATTACCTTTACCTTGTGCACTTTTTGGTACATTCTGGTATGAAAACCTCTCAAAATGTAACAACACAAGAGTTTGGGTCAAGACGACCCACCCAGGAGGCTGTAAAAACTGGTTTGAACTAGAACTGTGGAATGGAACTAGTTTAAAATATGAAGCAGCTCTAAACACCAAGCTTAGAGACATTTGCCCTATTAGAAAACAAAAATCATTAAAGCTACAAAATAACAAGTGCAAACATGCTGAACCTGTTTCCAGGGAGTGACATTCCCTTCTGCCAACAGGTCCCAAACTCACACCCACAAGGTGTAACTCTCTTTCCTGTTCCACTAGATTTCCTTTCTCTCATCTCAAAGGTCCTCAGAAATGACAATGGAAAACGTATGAATTGTTGAAATTTACCCTGTGGACCAATTCCTGAAGAGATAACAGCCACAACTCTGAGATGATTAGACATGCAGTGTTTACTTGATGACTTTCTGTATTTCTAGAAACCCTCAAAGCATTAAACTGCCTATTTCAAAATCTAAACTTCCTAGCAGCTTTTATTATTTGGAGTAAGCAGACAGAAGACAATTTACTGCCACACAGGAATCAACCACAGCTAACTTGTCCACCATTAAGTTTTACGGTAATGGACAATTCAACTGGAAGACCCATGTCTATGCTTGCTTATAATAATTTAATTTTAGACCTACTCTTTTTTTTTAAATAGAGAAGTTCTAGACATCCAACAGCTGATCCTTCCATAGATATAAGCAGGGAATGGAGAAGTCTTCCTGCCAAATGCTGAGCCATCTAAAATGGTCTGCTCAGGAGTTACTAACTCCATGGCAAAGTACTTCAGTATCAATTGCAAAGTTCTGTTTTCTTCTACTTCAGGAAACAACCTCATTTGATTTGTGGACCCTATGAACTGTCCAAACACACTGATGAATATCAGCAACTTCTCTCATTTGAATTTCTCATGTCCTTAAAGTAAATAGAATTTCCAGAGACAACTAAAGAGCAATGCAATATGAAGAAAATTAAAATTTGGCTAAGAAAAATAAGTAATCAACTAAAAATTGCCATAACACTCAGACTTAAACAGAAAATAAGTTTGTTGTCTTTTATAAGATGACAAAACTTCAATCTAACATCACAAGTTCTTATACTAGATGAATTTACTAGTATATGAATCAATATACTAGATTTCTTTCTTCTACCCCAACTGCAAATATACTAAACAATTATTTCTTCAATAGTTTCTTTTTCCCCTAGTCGTGGCATTTAAAACTGAGTAACAGTATTTAGCACTAAGTAAATTTAGAAAATATAAAAAGGTTTTACGAAATAGCAATAGTTGATTCATTTTTCATATACCATCTGATCAAGTGAAGTCTCCATTTGAGGATACTGGTGAACAGAAAGATTTTTTCTTGTCTAAGCCACTGCTTTCTGGTCTCATCACACAGATAATTCTCAAATTTTATGTAGGCCCAGATTTTCTTGGCAAAACTCTCAAGATACCAGCACATAACACAGCTACTTCATCTGTTCTCTTTTTGCAATGAGCACTATGCCTCTCTTTTATGTTCCCGGATGGGTACATGAAAGATAAATTTCTAAAGCCAAAGAATTTCTTGGCATTTCATAACTGTTTCCCACCCAGCATCCCCTCCCCAATTTGCCAGATCCAAATCAAAGAGTGAAAAGAAGTCTTGAAAATTCTCTCTCTTCAAAAGAAGTCTGAACACAGCCTAGTTCCTTCCCTAATGAGCCTCAGTTTGAAAAGATCCTGATGAGGAGCTGAAGAACAAAACAGGATGACAGGTTTTTATGAAGGAGGTATGTAATCTTATCACCGAGGGGTGTAATTTATCCGGACATTATATGCACTCTGCCAAGGACTGATTTACACATAGATCAAAGGAAGCTGGCTTTCTGTAGTCCCCTGAAGCATAAATAATGTTCGTGACCATGAGTTTTCCCCACATATAGCAGGGGCAGATGCTGTGGTGTCATCCTGGGGACCGATGATTTCAGCTGAACTCTCCTACACTGGGTTCAGGTCTCCAACAGGTTCTTCATCCCCGTCCCCTTGGTTGGCAGTTGATGACTTGGGTGCTTTGGAATTCATTTTATAAACAGGACGTAAAAGGCCATTACAACACAAGCAATTGCCACAGCAGCATGCAGCCTGGTTCCAATCACAGCGGCTAGCAGGCAAAAGAGAGAAGAAATCACACCCTGCCCTTCACCGAAGTCCTCACTTTCAAGGTGATATTTTGAAGTCTCTAGTCACAGACAGACATATCAACGCTCTCAAGGGCCTGGGATGTTTTTATTTTATTTTTGGAGGCAGTCTCACTCTGTCGGCCAGGCTGGAGTGCAGTGGCGCGATCTCGGCTCACTGCAACCTCTGCCACCCGGGTTCAAGCAATTCTCCTGCCTCAGCCTCTTGAGTAGCTGAGATTACAGGCGCCTGCCACCATGCCCAGCTAATTTTTGTATTTTTAGTAGAGATGGGGTTTCACCATCTTGGCCAGGCTGGTCTTGAACTCTTGACCTCAGGTGATCCACCCACCTTGGCCTCCTAAAGTGCTGGAATTACAGGCGTGAGCCACCGTGCCCGGCTCCCTGGCTAATTTTTGTATTTTTAGTAGAGACAGGGTTTCACCATGTTGGCCAGGCTGGTCTCGAACTCCTGACCTTGGGTGATCTGCCCTCCTCGGCCTCCCAAAGTGTTGGGATTACAGGCATGAGCCACCGCATCCGGCCTCTGAGATGTTTCTAAATGCTATCCTTATGCTTTAGGGTCTAGGTGAATATACTGTTTGTTTATATTTTGTCCTTTTTCAAAAAAAAATTTAGGTAGATAGGATTCCAAATGAATGTGCCTCAAATAAAAAGTACAAAAAAGCATCTGAGTTAATTAACTCAAACCTTAAAACAGACTCCAATGTACCATTTACAGAAAATCAAGAAAAATTTTCCGTAGAAAAATTTTTTTCCCACTGAAGGGAGGAATTCCACCCCAGCCTAAAATGATTTGATGTGTATACTTTTACTCCATGGAGAATACAAAAATCATCTGGATGCTAAAATAGACAATTATGTTTTTAAATAATTTTTTTTTTTTTTGAGACAGGGTCTCACCCTGTCACCTGGGCTGGAGTGCAGTGGCTCCACCATGGCTCACTGCAGCCTCAACCTCCTAGGCTCAAGCAATCCTCCCACCTCAGTCTCCTGAGTAACTGGGACTACAGGCACGTGCCACCATACCTGGCTAATTTTTGTATATTTTGTAGAAATGGGGTCTCACTGTGTTGCCCGGGCTGATCTACAACTCCTGGACACAAGCAATCCTCCTGCCTTGGCCCCCCAAAGTGCTGAGATTATAGGCATGAGCCATCACACCCAGCAAATTTTAACTTTTACCTCTTCCCTCAACTTTGGAGAATGATTAATTTTCCAGACTCTCAGACCCAATCGGAGGGATTTTTTTCTAAAAATGAAACCAAATATAATCCCAGCTCACTGTACTCCCTACTTTGTAGCTCCACACTGTCCAGAGATGGCAGTCTCTTCTCCCTGTCCAGACATGGCCTCACCTTTGTAAAACACACCCCAAACACCCTTCTTCTCTGATAGCAGCCAGGTTTTGAGACGAGGTACTTTCTTGAAGTAGGCACAGGTGCAAACAAAGAGCAAACCAAACACCAGAATCCCATCCAAGGAGTACACTGTTAAATAAAGAAGAAAAGAAAACCTTAGGTACTGATCTAGCGTCGGACCTGTGATCCCGCCTGAGAACTCTAAGGAAGATAGTGTGTGACATAATAACAAAATAATAACCTCAACAGGCAGTACTGACACTTGACAAGGGGGAGCCAGGATCCTGGGACTAACACGATTATTTTACTGTTCCCAAAAATTGCTTGTAGGAGGAAGGGGGATCAATTGAGCCCAGGAGTTCGAGGCTGCAATGAACTACGATCATGCCACTGCACTGTAGCCTGAGCAACAGAGTGAGACCCCAACTCAAAAAAAAATTTTTTTTTTTACATCCCCTTTACTAAAATGTCACTGGTCCTTCCCCTCACCTTTCAAGAAGTAGAAATCCTGGGCAGAAATTAGCATCCCAGGAATGACTAGTGTTGGCAATAGATTGAGACATATGAATCCTTAGAGACTCAGCACAGAGAATTTAACATGTTCTTGTTATAAATCACTCATATGATAAAGGAGAGCTAGATATGTAGCCAAAACTGTCAGATGTGCAACTGTTGGTGAAGAATATGTTAAGGCAAAAAATTAAGCTTAATGAAAGTTGCAAGAGTAAGAATCCACATGACTACAATTTTCCTATCATTATCTTACACTTTATGGATGATACTCTTAACAAACCGAATTTCTGCCAGAATAATAACAGATTTTTCTAAAACAAAGAAAAAGTATCTAAGGCTTCAACATAGAAAGCTTTAACTTCTTAGCTCTGTTTCTTAAATACATAAACCAAGCTTATTTCTTGTACAGGGAAGCACAATGAATCACCTAATTGCAAAAAACAAGAAGATATTGGACCACAAAATGGGGGAAGAATGACTAAAATTTATTCAGCAACTACCGTGTCAAACTGCTGTCTTACTTCCTGGTTCAGATTCTGTCTTCCTCTGGGTAAATTCCCTTTTCTTACTGTGCCTAGTATCCTGAGACCTCTGACTTCCCAGGAAGCTCCAAATGAATATTATATATAACCAGTGTCTGCCAGTTCTAGATCACACTACCTCTCTTCCTCCAGTAAAACTGTCTCACAGCTAAGCTGTCACTAAGAAAGGGTCCAGCAAATTAATACATACACTAAGGTTTTCTGAGGAACTATACCTTCACGTGCTACCCCTTTTCTCTCATAAGTTTCTGCAGACAATGCCAAAATTCACAAGGAGGTTAAATTCGAGTCTTCAGTGCCAGGTCTATGGACAAAGTACTTTTGAGAAATGCTTTCCGGAGCCCCTCAAATCATCGTAATGCCTAAAAGGCTTTCTCTTCTCCTTTCCTGTAAGGTTGACACTAAAAATCATGAAGGCCCTCCTTCCTGTCCTCCTCTGGAATTCAGAATTCATAAAGTGTTTGAAGAGGCCTGGAAAATTAGGTCAGATAAACTGCCTCATCATCTAGAAGAGGCAGTGTCTAAATCCACCCTTTGCAACACTAGTCAGGGTCTCCACGTGGGATCACCCCGCCAGGACTTTAAAATCAGAAATCTTTCCGGTATTTTTCCGTAAGAAGAAGCTTTTGTGGGGTCTACATTCACCAGCAACCCCAAAAGTGTGGGACTTGATATTCTATGTCATTTATTGGCCCTCTCAACAAAACTACGGTCCGAAAGCATGAGAACGCAGGGAGCTGGGAGGAGGAGCCTCTCTCTTCCCCGGGTTTAAATAGCAGTAGTACCTCTGGGACTGACCTCTCCAAGGGCCAGAAAGAACTAAGAAAAAGAAAAGGGAAAGCAAAGCATAGGGATAGATAACTCGAGGTGTGAGCATAAGAGGCACTGGGGGTCCTAGATGAATATGGGAAGGGGGAACCCGTAGAGGAGTATAGGGGTACAGAAGTTAGGGGCGTCGAGAGGCCAAGGGGGGCCGGGCTGGGAGGGGGCGGGGAGAACGGCCACGTCAGTCCCGGCCCCGCCCGCCACGTTTTCCCTTCGTCCTTCACTCCCACCCTCCGCTCAGGGCATCAGTTCTCACCGTTCGTCATGGCGGCTGGCCCTGGACCTGGGTAGGGGGTCCGGGTTCAGTGGTAATAGCGGCGGAGATGGGGGAGCGCCCGCTTGACACTTCCCGATCCGGGCCGAGGTGACTGGAAGAAGCCGTAGTACGCAGGAGCAAGGGCCGAGAGGCGAGCGCCGAACGCTATCAGGAGTGGCTAGCCGATTGTCGAGCTCGGGAAACTGCGTGTTTACGTAGGGTAAGAAGAACGCTATCTCGAAGGCTTCGTACTTGGCCGTGGTAACTAAGTCTTTTCTGCGTGCCCCTGCGGGCGTAGGGCTGGGGCTGGCCCGCGTCAGTGTGTTTGAAAAGGTAAAGGCTTGTAGTTTTGTAGTTTATTTTGCGCCGTGGCGGCTGCTGTGTGTAAGCAGCAGCCTACCTATGAGGTTTTCATCGTCCTGGGCTTCCACTTGAGAGAACTCCAGCACCGCGGGTGAAGAAGCCGCACCTGCGGCCTCCGTGACTGCCCTTGAGCTGCTCTTCCTTACTCCGGATGGAAATCTAGTCAGACTGCGTCTGAACGTTGCAAATGAAATGAGGAACCTTGTAACAAAAACAAGTCGCGGCCGGGCGCGGTGGTTCACGCCTGTAATCCCAGCACTTTGGGAGGCCGAGCCAGGCGGATCACCTGAGGTCGGAGTTCGAGACCAGCCTGACCAACAAGGAGAAACCCCGTCTCTACTAAACATACAAAATTAGCCGGGCGCGGTGGCTCATGCCTGTAATCTAAGCACTTTAGGAGGCCGAGGCAGGCGGATCACCTGAGATCGTAGTTCGAGACCAGCCTGACCAACATGGAGAAACCCCGTCTCTACTACAAATACAAAATTAGCCGGGCATGGTGGCTCATGCCTGTAATGTAATCCCAGCTACTCGGGAGGCCGAGGCAGGAGAATCGCTTGAACCTGGGAGGCGGAGGTTGCGGTGAGCCGAGATCGCGCCATTGCACTCCAGCCTGGGCAACAAGAGCGGAAACTCCGTCTCAAAAACAACAACAACAACAACAACAACAACAAAAACCAAGTCGCATCTTTCAGATCCTAAAGCACCACGTCGTCGGAAAACATTCAAAGGGTTGCCCGTTTGCTTGTGTGAATTTTTCTTTTCCTTAAACTATCAGGAGAATCTCGATTCTCCTGCATTTAATTAATGCTGGGATCACTTCAGCCACTTTAACCAGAAATCGGCGATATCTAGACACCGCTTCTCTGAGGACACTTTGACAACGTGACAAAAGACATTGCCAGTCTAATGATGGGGGTGGGGTGGAGGAGACAAAAGTACAGATTCAGATTTGCATACTGAAATCCTTAATTGCACACAACTCGGCCCGCTTTATTAGAGTTCGGGCGGAAGTGCGACACCGAGTCCTCCAAGGCTAACTGGAGGGTTAAATTATACGGTTACTAATCCGCCGTGCTTGTCAAGGGCCTAAAGGGACTCTGCCCCTTTCTGCTGCAGTGCCATCTGCTGGCTGCAGCCTGCTTGGTTACCCAGAGGGAAAACTGCCAAAGCATCCTCTGGAAGCTGGCCTGGAAAGACAAGCCAAAGTCTAGTGCAGGACAGATGCCTTGAGAAAATATACATACATGCAGAAA
This sequence comes from Homo sapiens, assembly GCF_000001405.40. Classification (NCBI taxonomy): domain Eukaryota; kingdom Metazoa; phylum Chordata; class Mammalia; order Primates; family Hominidae; genus Homo; species Homo sapiens. The sequence continues at coordinate 109,089,263 of NC_000001.11, read as the reverse complement.
GAAAAAAAAAAAAAGACGGCGTATATACGGGACAAAACCTAGGACAAGGCCAGGCAGCCACTCAGATTATATATATGTTTGCACATTCACACACAGACAAATTCCCCTGCCCAAAAGAACTGTTCAGGACCACTCAAAAACAAAACAGAACAAAAGCTCTATTGTTTAGGCCTTCGAATCCTTCATCAACCATTGTCTAAAACAGCAGCAGCTGGCCGGGCGCGGCTCACGCCTGTAATCCCAGCACTTTGGGAGGCCGAGGCAGGCGGATTACCTGAGGTCAGGAGTTCAAGACCACCCTGACCACATGGTGAAACCCCGTCTCTACTTAAAAAAAAAAAAAGAAAAAAGAAAAAAAGAAATACAGAAATTAGCCTGGCATGGTGGCGTGCGCCTGTAATCCCAGCTACTCGGAAGGCAGAGGCAGGAGAATAGCTTGAACCCGGGAGGGAGAGGTTGCAGTGAGCCGAGACAGCACCACTGCCCTCCAGCCTGGGCGACAGAGCGAGACTCCATTTCAAATAATAATAATAATAATAATAACTGCCCCCCTTTGGCCGGGCGCGGTTGCTCACGCCTGTAATTCCAGCACTTTGGGAGGCCGAGGTGGGCGGATCACCTGAGGTCGGGAGTTCGAGACCAGCCTGACCAACATGGAGAAACCCCGTCTCTACTAAAAATACAAAAGTAGCCGGGCATGGTGGCACATGCCTGTAATCCCAGCTACTTGGGAGGCTGAGGCAGGAGAATCGCTTGAACTGGGGAGGCAGAGGTTGCGGTGAGCTGAGATCCTGCCATAGCACGCTAGCCTGGGCAACAGTGAAACTACGTCTCAAAAAAAACAAAGAAAAGAAAAAAAATTGCCCCTCTTGTAATCCTACAGCCATCACCTTAGTAATTTTGCTATATCGGTAGTCTTTAAGTATCAATTATGTCCTCACAACAATGAAAACTTACATTTTTATAACATTTTGACATTTTCAAAGCAAACACACCTTGTCATATGATCTTATTTAACCCTCACAACTGCCTGATTACCCCTGTTTTAGAAATAAACCAAGGTTTAGGGTAAGGACTGCCAAGTATTACACTGGCACAATAATTCCAGCCTTCTGAAATCAGGACTAGAAAATTTTCCTCCATACCACACTGGTGTTTCCTTTGACAGCAACCACTACCTACTGAATAATGCCTAAGTCCTTAGCCTGCTACTCAAGGCCTTCCAATAGTATTTTCCACTGTTCCCTATATGGGCTTTAAGCTTTGTCTATAAAGACTATGTTCTTCAGTTACAGTCTTTGCTTTCTCATTTTTGCTCATGCCACTCACTTTTTAGAGATAATTTTTTCTCCCCATTTTTTTTTAACTAGATGAAAACCTCTTCAGTTTTTGTCATACTCTGAAAGACAAGTCTTTCCTCTTCTGTCATTCTCAGAGGTTAGAATAAAAGTTAATCAGCTGGGCGCAGGGGCTCACGCCTGTAATCTCAACACTTTGGGAGGCCGAGGCGGGAGGATCACCTGAGGTCGGGAGTTCGAGACCAGCCTGGCCAGCATGGTGAAACCCCGTGTCTACTAAAAATTCAAAAAAATTAGCCGGGAGTGGTGGCAGGTGCCTGTAATCCCAGCTACTCAGGAAGCTGAGGCGAAAGAATCACTTGAACCTGGGAGACGGATATTGCAGTGAGCCGAGATTGTGCCATTGCACTCCAGCCTGGGCAACAGAGTGAGACTCCACCACAAAAAAAAAAAAAAAAAAAAAAAAAAAAAAAAGTTAAGCCCGGGCGCAATGACTCACGCCTGTAATCCCAGCACTTTGGGAGGCCAAGGTGGGCAGATCACCTGAGGTCAGGAGTTCAAGACCAGCCTGGCCAACATGGTGAAACCTTGTCTAAAAACACAAAACTAAAAACACAAAAATTAGCCGGGCATGGGGGCGTGAGCCTCCAATCCCAGCTACTCAGGTGGCTAAGGCAGGAGGGAGAATCGCTTCAGACTGGGAGGCGAAGGTTGCAGTGAGCCGAGATTGTGCCACTGTACTCCAGCCTGGACAACAGAGTGAGACTCCCTCTCAAAAAAAAAAAAAAAAAGAATAAAATGTAAAGGCTGGGCATGGTGGCTCACACCTGTAATCCCAGCACTTTGGGAGACCGAGACAGGTGGATCACTTGGGGTCAGGAGTTGGAGACCAGCCTGGCAACATCGTGAAACCCTGTCTTTACTAAAAATACAACAATTAGCTGGGTGTGGTGGTGTCTGTCTGTAATCCCAGCTACTCGGGATGCTGAGGCAGGATAATCACTTGAACCGGGGAGGCAGAGGTTGCATTAAGCTGAGATCACGCCACTGCACTCCAGCCTGGGAGACAGAGCAAGACTGTGTCTCATAAACAGAAAAAAAAAATTAAGGATGAAATCAAAGCTGAAAAACCAGGAGGAGTGATGAATTGGCAAATTACAATTTTTTTTTTTTGAGACAAAGTCTCACTCTGTTGCCCAAGCTGGAGTGCAGTGGTGCAATCACTGCTCACTGCAACCTCTGCTTCCTGGGTTCAAGCAATTCTTCTGCCTCTCCTCCGGAGTAGCTGGAACTACAGGCATGCGCCATCGTGTCCGGCTAAGTTTTGTATTTTTAGTAGAGATGGGGTTTCACTACGTTGGCCAGGCTGGTCTTGAACTCCTGACCTCGTGATCCGCCCGCCTCGGCCTTCCAAAGTGCTGGGATTACAGGCGTGAGCCACCACACCCAGTGGCAAATTCCAATTTTTATTTTATTTTATTTTAGCTTTGAGACAGAGTCTCGCTCTGTCGCCCAGGCTGGAGTACAGTGGCGCCATCTCGGCCCACTGCAAGCTCCGCCTCCCAGGTTCCCGCCATTCTCCTGCCTCAGCCTCCGAAGTAGCTGGGACTACAGGCGCCCGCCACCACGCCCGGCTAATTTTTTGTATTTTTAGTAGAGACGGGGTTTCACCGTGTTGACCAGGATGGTCTTGATCTCCTGACCTCATGATCCACCTGCCTCGGGCTCCAAAGTGCTGGGATTACAGGCATGAGCCACCGTGCCCGGCCTCAAATTACTATTTCTAAAGGGCAGTGATAATGCACACAGTATCTTATGATTAAACAGTTTTCTTTTAACTCCACTCAAAATTTACTTTTTCTTCATTTTCCACGTCTGTCTCTATTCTTCCTACTTTTTTTCTCCCACTCTTAAATTTATTTCTTCTTTCTCCCTCCACCATATTTTTTCTTTTTCATATTGTAAAAGATATTTTACATTTTTTTAATTGAATAGAGTGAGTCTCACCAGGCTATTTCAAAATTAGTTGTATCAAGACTTTTATATTCTAAAATCAAAAAGTTGACCAGGTGCGGTGGCTCATGCCTGTAATCCCAGCACTTTGGGAGGCCGAGGCAGGCAGATCACGTCAAGAGATTGAGATCATCCTGGCCAACATGGTGAAACCCCGTCTCTACTAAAAATACAAAAATTAACTGGGCGTGGTGGCACGCACCTGTAGTCCCAGCTACTCGGGAGGCTGAGGCAGGGGAATCGCTTGAACACGGGAGGAGGAGGTTGCAGTGAGTTGAGGTCGCGCCACTGCACTCCAGCCTGGTGACAGAGTGAGACCCCGTCTCAAAAAAAAAAAAAGTTCAGTTTTCTGTGAAATTAAGTTAGTTCCTTTCTAAGGTTGTTGGAGGATTAAGTGAATTACTATTTACAACAATATCTGACATGAGTAAGTATTCCATAAATGATAGCTATTATTGTTGTTCATTTTGAGGGAAGAGAGAGACCCTCTCATATTGTTCTATACTCAGAAAAGGAAAGAGAAGAGAAACTAAAGGCAGGTAGCCCAGTGCCTAGGAACCACACCTGAAACCAGGCCTAGGCCTGCCTGACCTAAGCCTGGTAGTTAAAATTCGACCCGTGACTTAGCAACTGATGTTATCTATAGATTCCATATATTGTATGGAAAGACATTGTGAAACCTCCAGTTCTGTTCTGTTTCGCTCTGACCACTGGTGCTTGCAGCCCCTGTCATGTACCCCCTAGCTTGCTCAATCGATCATGACCCTCTCATGTGGATCCCCTTAGAGTTGTGAGCCCTTAAAAGCACAAGTTGAGCACCTGAAGAGCTCGGCTCTTGAGACAGGAGGCTTGCCGATGCTCCCAGCCGAACAAACCCCTTCCTTCTTTAACTCGGTGTCTGAGGAGTTTTGTCTGAGGCTCCTCCTGCTACAATTTGTTTTAAAAGTATCTGTGGTTGGCCTGGTGGCTCACGCCTGTAGCCCCAGCACTTTGGGCACTGAGGTGGGCGGATCGCTTGAGCTCAAGAGTTCAAGACTGGCCTGCACAATATAGTGAAAGTCTGTCTCTACAAAAAATAAAAAAATTACCCAGGCATGGTGATGCATGCCTGTGGTCCCAGCTACACGGGAGGCTGAGGTAGCAGAATCACCTCAGCCCTGGAAGTGGAAGTTGCAGTGAGTCATGATTGTACTGCTGCACTCCAGCCTGGATAACAGAGCGAGACCCTGTCTCAAAAAAAAAAAAAAAGTACTTGTCAGTGTCTACTACTGTGTGCTAAGCACTTTGCTTGATTTTGCAGAAATGGGGCATAAATAAGTCCCTGCCCTCAGAGAAGAAAATATGTTGGGTAAGATAGATGAATAAACACATTTTAATAGAACATGAGCATTGTGTAAAGACAGTATCTTTGATTTTCACAACTGTTTTACAGATTTTTTTTTTAATTAAATCTTGAGACTTAAAGAAGGGACGTGGGTGAGATAACATAGCCTGTTAGGATCCATACCCAGGTCTAAGTTCAAAGCTCCCTTTCCCTTGTTATCACACTGCCTCAAATTACAGTGCTTTCCACTGATACTGATCTTTGATTATTTTGTTACAATCATTAATGTTTCTGTCACCCTGGAAAGTCTCATAGCCTCACTGCCACCCAGTGCAGTCATGTCTCACATCAGGCCAAAGCCTGGGTGACCAGCTCTTGCAGCCCAACTGCAAAGAATAAATAGAGCCTACTGGCCTAGGGACTCTCAATTCAGACAGTTCTTCCTCAATTCATTTCAGTGTTCACTGGAGAATTGGTAGTTGTTGCCAAACGCCTGTCAGTCAAGAACAGTGGCCTGTTTGTTAGGGTTGTTGCAGTTATTGTGGTGAACACTAATCAGTCATGGGGACCATGACTGTGGCATTCTGGTTTAACCAAAGAGTAAGTTGAGCCTCAAAGGCACAGCTTGCAACAATAGCTTCATTTGAATTACAACATATTTGAAAAGGGATGTCAAATAGGCATTAATTTATGCTACAAACATTTGTTCCAGGACTTCTAAATCTAAGGAATGTGCTAGCCTTTGGGAACTCAAAGATGAATGAGAAATAGACTCTGTTCTTAAAAAGTTTAAGATTTAGTAGAAAAAGATAAGCTGTGTTTATAAATAACCAAAAAATACAGCAGAAAGTGAGAAGTGTCCAAGGAAAATGAAAACTAAGTGCCAGGGTGGCGGGGGGGTGCGTAGAAATGGGAAACTGCCTTCAGCTGGAGCGTTCAGGGAAGGCTTTATTGAGGAGCAGACATTTTAGCTGGGCCTGAAAAGCTTATAGCATTTCAATAAGCAGAAATAAAGAGCATTCTAGTGGGGAGGGAATTGAGCCATCAAAGCCCTGGAGAGGGAAAGTGTAAGGTAAGATTGGGGCACAGTAAAGCCTCCCTTCCTCCTTCAATGGCTAACTCACATTCATCCCTCAAGTCCCAACTCAGACCTCACTTGCTCAAGGTAGACTTCTCGGACCTTCAGTCTACTTCCCTGATCATGTTTCCAAAGCATACTATATCTGTTTAACTTATGTCCCCCTGCTATATTGTAATGTTCATTTGTTTTGTCATTTTATCCACAATCCCATAGCTAGTGCTAAACATTTTGCAAGTGCTTCATGAATATTTATTGCATGAATAGTTGAATGTGGCCTTGTGGAACTGGAATGCAGAGCTCATGAAGGAGAACAGCAGAAGATAATGGTGAAAGGTAGGCCCTTAAATAAAAACAACTGCCGGGCACGGTGGCCCATACCTGTACTCCCAGCACTTTGGGAGGCCAAGGCGGGCGGATCACCTGAGGTCGGGAGTTCAAGACCAGTCTGACCAACATGGAGAAACCCCATCTCTACTAAAATACAAAATTAGCCAGGCGTGGTGGCCCATGCCTGTAATCCCAGCTACTCGGGAGGCTGAGGCAGGAGAATCACTTGAACCCGGGAGGCAGAGGTTGCCGTTAACCAAGATTGCACCATTGCACTCCAGCCTGGGCAACAAGAGTGAAACTCCATCTCAAAAAATAAAAAAAAATAAAAACAATGATACTTATGGAATATTCACTACATGCCAGGTACTACCCAAAACACTTTATGGTTATTAACACATCTAATAACCTCATAATAACCTTATATGGTTAGTAACTATTATTATCCCCCTGTCATAGATGAGGAAATGGGTGTACCAGCAGGTCAAGTAAGTTGTCTCAAGGTAACATAGCTGATAAATAGTACACCTAGGATTTCAGACTCAACCTATCTGATCTCAGAGTCTGCATATTTAACCATGGACCATAGGAAGTGTGGTTAAGACTCCATTAAGATTATTGCAGAAATTCTGAAAGCCATTTTAAAAGTGACATAACCTCACTAAGCCCAAATTAGGGAGAAGCACTGTAGACGTCTACACCCTGGGATGGAGGGGTGAAAGTGGAGGTAGGGGTGGGACTGCAAAGCTTCTGCCTTGATTTGGAGTCTGAGTGGTGCTACCTGCCTACCAATATCCCATCACTAACACCTCTCAGACCCACCATCCAGCTCCTGCTTTCCTCATTTCTGATAATCCCACCCCTGCCATTCCTTCCAAATTACTCTCATAGAGCTCCATTTCTTCCTTCTATCAATTACCTCTCTGCTGATTCCATTCTTTTGTGAACAAATCTCTTTGGTCATTACCTTTTTCATTAAAAGCTCATTCCATTTTTTTGCTGTAATGAAAAACAGGATTTTCTGAGCAGTTAGCTAAATGGCTGGGATAAGTTCACAGCTTCATTCATTCAGTAATCATTTATTCAAAGTCCACATTCCTAGGTCCTAATGCCCTCTTTTTTCTTTCTTTTTTTTTTTGAGACGGAATCTCGCTCTTGTTGCCAGGCTGGAGTGCGGTGGCATGATCTCGGCTCACTGCAACCTCTGCCTCCCGGGTTCAAGCGATTCTCCTGCCTCAGCTTCCCAAGTAGCTGGGACTACAGGTGCGTGCCACCACGCCCAGCTAATTTTTGTATTTTTAGTAGAGACGGGGTTTCACCATGTTAGCCAGGATGGTCTCAATCTCTTGACCGCTTGATCCGCCCACCTCGGCCTCCCAAAGTGCTGGGATTACAGGAGTGAGCCACCGCTCCCGGCCTTTACTGCCCTCTTAAGGCTACTTTCCTCTTTGCTTTTCTACCTTCAGTATCCAACTATGTACTCGTTCTTTAACCTGTTATAATCTGGCTTCCATCTTCACCAACACCCTCAAACTTTGTTCTCCAGATCATTCCCATACCTCCTAATTGTCAAATCCAAGGCCTTTTCTTAAATCTTCAATCTTGTGGCCGGGCGCGGTGGCTCAAGCCTGTAATCCCAGCACTTTGGGAGGCCGAGGTGGGCGGATCACGAGGTCAGGAGATCGAGACCATCCTGGCTAACACGGTGAAACACCATCTCTACTAAAAATACAAAAAAAAATTAGCCGGGCGCGGTGGCAGGCGCCTGTAGTCCCAGCCATTCGGGAGCCTGAGGCAGGAGAATGGCATGAACCCGGGAGGCGGAGCTTGCAGTGAGCCGAGATCAAGCCACTGCACTCCAGCCTGGGCGACACAGCGAGACTCTGTCTCAAAAAAAAAAAAAAAAAAAAGAGAAATCTTCAATCTTGTAATCTCTGGCACTGAGCACTCCATGCCACCTGCTTTTCTTTGTTGGTTTTGTTTTGTTTTGTTTTGAGACAGAGTCTTGCTCTGTTACCCAGGCTGGAGTGCAGTGGCATGATCTTGGCTCACTGCAACCTCCGCCTCCTCGGTTCTAGCTGTTCTTCTTCCTTAGCCTCCCGAGCAACTGGGACTACAGGTGCTCGCCACCACATCTGGCTAATTTTTTTATTTTATTTTTATTTTTTGTATTTTTAGTAGAGACAGGTTTTCATCATGTTGGCCAGCCTGGTCTGAAACTCCTGACCTCAAGTGATCAGCCCAAACCTGCTTCTTTTTGAAACTTTTTCTTTTTGGGTTTTCAGTTTTTCTCCTCCCTCTCCTCCTCCTTATCCTACTTTTATCTTTTCCTACCTCTTTGACTATTCCTTCTGTCACTCTGTCTCCTTGATGTACTGTTTCTAAGGCTGTGCCCTTTGCCTCTATTCTCTCAGCCTTTGTTTCCGTGCAATCTCTAGACTATCACTTTGTGATGGTATCTCCCATGTCATTTTCTCTAGTACTAATTTTTCTTTCTTTCTTTCTTTCTTTTTGTGTGTGTGTGTTTTAGTAGAGACAGGGTTTCACCATGTTGCCCAGGCTGGTCTCGAACTCCTGAGCTCAGGGAGTCCACCCACCTTGGCCTCCCAAAGTGCTAGGATTACATGCGTGAGCCACCACACCCGGCTTCTAGTACTAATTTTTCTGTGGATTTCCGGGCCTGTAATTCCTGGCCTGGATTTCCATCAGTTTTAGTACATCTCCAGACTCTCAAACACAGACTAAACTCATTTCCTTCCACTTCCAACTTCTTTCCCCTTTTTCTTTCCTATTTATATTAATAGCATTCCATTCTTCTGTCAATAGCTTTCACATTCATTGTCACAAAGTCCTGTAAATTGTCTCGTAAAGTTTGTGTTAAATCAGTTCCTTCTTCCTCTTTGCCTTAATTCAGATTATAATCATCTCTCATCCTAGTTTCCCCGCAAAAGTGATCTTTTTAAAAACTGTAAAGTCATGTGACACATCTGTTTAAAGACTTCCCAAGAACTCTGTAGTTTGAAGTTCAGTCTCTGAAGAGAACATTTAAGGCCTTTCACACGCAAATTCCAGCCTCGTTTCCTGCATCCCCACCCAAAAAACTTGGCTCTGGCAACCCACAGAGAACATCTTGTAGAAGCACACCATGACTTTTTACTCTGTGTTTTCCTTCTGCTCTGCTTATCACACTGCAATTTTTTTTTTTTTTGAGACGGAGGCTTGCTCTGTTGCCCAGGCTGGAGTACAGCGGCGCGATCTCGGCTCACTGCAAGCTCCGCCTCCCGGGTTCATGCCATTCTCCTGCCTCAGCCTCCCAAGTAGGTGGAACTACAGGCGCCCGACACCACGCCCGGCTAATTTTTTGTATTTTTTTTAGTAGAGACAGGGTTTCACTGTGTTAGCCAGGATGGTCTCAATCTCCTGACCTCGTGATCCGCCCGCCTCGGCCTCCCAAAGTGCAGGGATTATAGGCGTGAGCCACCACGCCTGGACTGACACTGCAATTTTTTTTCCCCCACTTTGTGTTTTGGATCTCAGGTTCACAGGATTGAATTATTCACATGCCGCAGCTCATGGCATAGTATTACAATTGGCCCTTCCAAAGTCCTTCACTTTTTATTTATCAATTTATTCCTTTTATCCTTATTCCCATTTCTCCTACACTGCAACTTTCTAGTGTGTTTAATGTTTACGCTTTTTTATATTTTCCTTTAAAATAAGTAGTATTTTTAATTTCTATAAATGGTATTATATTATAGATTTTATTGTTTCTTTTTTAACTTAGCACTGTTTTCAAGTTCTGTCCATGTTGCTAAATCTATTGCTTCTGATTGCTGCATTGTACTCCGTGCTGTGCATCCAGCATATTTTACCTATCTACTCCACTGATAACAGACACTATGAATGTTTTATGCCTGACCTCCTGGACACTGGATCACTACCTAAAAGCAGTTCTCAAACCTATCAGGCTCAACAATCTCCTTTAAATATTAATAACAAATACAGTGTCTCCATTATTGTGTAGTGAAATTCAAAAATAATATAATTTACTGTGGTAGGTGACCTCTCAGAAAGCCCCCAGTGATCTCCCCAGCAATATTCTTGCCCTTATGTAATCCCCTCTCCTTGAACTTGGGCTGCACTTTTTTTTTTTTTTTCTGAGATGGAGTCTTGCTTTGTCGGCCAGGCTGGAGTGCAGTGGCACCATCTCAGCTCACTGCAACCTCCGCCTCCCGGGTTCAAGCAATTCTCCTGTCTCAGCCTCCTGAGTAGCTAGGATTACAGGTGTGCATCACCACACCCGGCTAATTTTTGTATTTTTAGTAGAGACAGGGTTTCACCATGTTGGCCAGGCTGGTCTCAAACTCCTGACCTCCTGATCCGCCCACCTCGGCCTCCCAAAGTGCTGGGATTACAGGTGTGAGCCACTGCGCCCAGCCCTAGCTGCACTTTTTTACTTACTTCTAGTGAATAGAATAGGGCAGAAATTATAGGATGTCACTTCCAAAATTAGGTAACAAAAAACCTGTGATTTCTGTCTTTTGGGTTCTCCCACTTGTGTCCTCTGGAGGAAGGCAACTGGCACATTGTGAGCTGCCCTATGGAGTGGATTACATGGCAAGGAACTGAGGGAGACCTCTGGGCAACATCCATTAAAGAACTGAGGCCCTTAGTCCAACAACCTGGAGGAAGTGAAACCTCCAGCAACCTGTGAGTGACTCTGGCAAATTCTCCTCCATCAACACTTGAGGTATGACTGCAGCCCCAGCCAACATCCCGACTGCAACAGGAGGGACCTTGAGCCACAGGCACCCAGTTAAATTGCACCCACATTGCTGACCCACAGAAACTGTGTGATATTTGTTTTAAGCCACTAAGTTTTGGGGTAATTTGTTACAGCAATAAATAACTAATATATCTACCTACTCACATAATTTTGAAAATAACATAATATCCTAACAGGATCCAGTGATCCAGTGGCCAGGAGGTCAGGCATAAAGGTAATATAAAAGTAAAGTAAAAATAGTAACATTTGTTTCAATATATAAATACTCAGGTATGATGGCACTAGGGGGGGATAATGAAGATTTCAGATGCTTCTACCTATATGTAGAATTGCTTTGAATGCAGACTGATTTGGGTGAGTATTGTCGACCTAAAAGGAAGAAGCTGAGGCAAAATTAATATAAATAGAGAGTTTATTTGGGCCAAACTTGAGGATTACAACTCAGCAGCATAAAGTTGCCTAGAATATACACTCTAAGATTAGCAGCAGGTACAAGTGGATTTTTAAAGGAAAAGAATGAGGACAGGGAGTGGGCTGATACAAAGTTGTCTTTAAGGAGTTCTCATTGGTTCACAAAAATAACATTGATTAGTAATTGGCTAAACATTATCAAGCTATAGGGTGTGCGATATGGTGTCTGATGGGGCATAATTAGGCTAATTTATAACTAATACTTGTGGCAATAGCAAGCGGTTTTAAGACATAAATACATAGCTCAAAAGGGGGCAAGCAGGATGTGATTGCCTCTCATTTTAATGCCTCTTTGGGCCTAATAATTTAACTCACATTCCTCAAATCAAAGTTATTTTTTCATTATTCACTATTCAAATTATTACAAGTGATGTTGCTTTTGGTGACGTTATTTCTTGAAATGGTACACAGCTCTTAATGAATTCCAGACCAAACAAAATACAATTACTATTCAATTTTGGGGTAATAACATTCCTAGAAACTTCAACGTACATTAAAAGTGTGGGAAAATGCTTTGTGTTTATTTTTTTAATTTTTATTTTTTGAGGTGGAGTCCCGCTCTGTCACCAGGCTGGAGTGCAGTGGCACAATCCCGGCTCACTGCAACCTCTGCCTCCCGGGTTCAAGCGATTCTCCTGCCTCAGCCTCCCGAGTAGCTGGGATTACAGGCGTGCGCCACTACGCCCAGCTAATTTTTGTACTTTTAATAGAGACGGGGTTTCATCATGTTGGCCAGGATGGTCTTGATCTCCTGACTTTGTGATCCGCCCACCTCGGCCTCCCAAAGTGCTGGGATTACAGGCGTGAGCCACTGCGCCCGGCCGCTTTGTGTTTATTAACAAAGATAGGTTCAACTCTCAGATAATTAGTTTTCACTCACCGAATGTTCAGCAGGACATTCAGAAATCGTGTGTATTACGGGATTTTCTTTATGTAGCATCATCTGTTACACTGTAGGGACATTTATATTATATCCCTAGCTCTGGCCTTCCGATGCCTGTGGTTTTGCCAGCCATTGTTCTGACCAAAAGCCTTCCCCGGTGGACACGGTGGCTCACACTTGTAATCCCAGCACTTTGGGAGGCAGAGCGGGGCAGATCGCTTGAGGCCATGAGTTCCAGACCAGCCTGGGCAATGTGGGGAAACCCCATCTCTACTAAAAATACAAAAATTAGCTGGGCATTGGTGGTGTGCGCCTGTAATCCCAGCTACTTGGAGGCTGAGGTGGGAGGATGGCTTGAGCCCAGCAGGTCTAGGCTGCAGTGAACCCTGATTGCGCCACTTCACTCCATCCCGGGGGACAGTGAGGTTGTGTCTCAAAAAAACAAAAATAAGGCCGGGCATGGTGGCGCACGCCTGTAATCCCAGCTACTCGGGAGGCTGAGGAAGGAGAATCACTTGAGCCCGGGAGGCAGAGGTTGCAGTGGGCCGGGATCGCGCCACTGCACACTTCAGCCTGGGCGACAGAGTGAGACTTCGTCTCAAAAAAAAAAAAAAAAAAAATCAAAAAACCTTCACAAAATTTTAAATGCTTAGTCTCGGGACACCATCTCTTGGAAATTTGTGATGAAGCACAGTATCCCCAATAATTAACACAGTGCTTAGAAACAGTGGAACTACAAATCTTTAAAATGATTTAAAAGCATATTTGTCTGATAAAGGACTGCTGGCTTGCCCTCCTATGATCCATAGCTTCGCAGTCCCCAAACAAGAAGCTGTGATTCAATACGCAGTAGCAAATTCAGGGTGACAACGAGATACTCGCGACCTAGCCCGTGATTTCCTTTTCTTTGTTAGTTTTCAATTCCTTCGGGATTACAGGGAGGCGCTCCGGCCTCCTCCCTTAGAGACTGTCGCATTTCCGCCGCTAGGCCGGAAAGCACCACCGTCCTCCCGCAGGCCGCAGAGGGCTAGGCCCAGCTACGGCCCCGCGCGTCACCGGAAGTGAGGCGGCGGAAGTAGTGTAACCAGCTGGGAGCCAGCCGGCAGGACGCTGTGAGTTGGCGTGCTAGTGGGATGGCAGATGAGGAAGAAGACCCCACGGTGAGTGACCGTCTCTGTCCAAAACCTGTCTTTTCTTCACTCCTTCGGGCTCAGTAGCGGAGGCAGAGTTCAGGATCGGGTCTGCTTGCCTTAGTGAATTCAGCGGACAGAGTTCGGGGACTTCACGCCCTAAGGATTGATCATTTTAGAAAGTGGGGAAGGACATGAAGGAAGAGTAGGTTTTGTGACCCCTTTCCCCTTGATTTTGGTCTGTATTTGCCAGACACTGAAACACGTACAGAATCATCAGAGATCAAAACTAACATCTATTAGCGCGCACTATGAGCCAACAGTTCAATTGTTAACAAAACTGTACTTACTGTGAAGTAATGGGAAAAGAATGCATTGAAAGTCAGACAGCCTGGATTTCAAAATTTCCATTCTCTCTGAGCAAGTTATTTAACTTTGAACATCAGTTTTCTTTTTATAAAATAGGGTTACGGGCTTACTTAAGGAACGTTTTTAGCACTGTATAAGCAAATGCATAGGAAATATTAGTTTTGCTTACTACAAAGTCTACAAAGGTAGACTTTGATTCAGTATCAACTGTTTAACAGTAACAGTAGTAATAGGCCACCTTAGTTGTTTAAAAATAAAACTTATGGTCATTGGAACTCTTACAAGTAGAAGCAGTAGGATTATTAGTTAGGAACATTGTAGAAGCCATTTTTGCATGAGTTGGAAGTTGGACTAGATACATAGGCTCCTTCAATGCTAAGGTTTCGTGGTTTTTTTTTTTGCTGCTTCCTTTGGCTTTCTGGCCTATCTGTTGAAAAGGAAAAAAAAATGTCATTATTAAAATATCAAATGCAAGGCAATTATTTGACATTTCTATATATACATTTTAACTTCTAGTTTGAGGAAGAAAATGAAGAAATTGGAGGAGGTGCAGAAGGTGGACAGGGTAAAAGAAAGAGACTTTTTTCTAAAGAATGTAAGTAGTATTTGACAATGATTTTGTTATAGATGATGAAAACTTTTGGACATGTCCTTTCAAAGTAGCTTTATTGCTTTGAATGTTTCCCTGTAGGGATAATATTCTCAGACTAGCCTATCAAATTCTGTTTAACTTTTGAATCAGATAGTACCAATCCTAACCCCAATTGTGTGTGTGTGTATAAATTGCTTTTTTTTTTTTTTTGAGACGGAGTCTCGCTCTGTCGCCCAGGCTGGAGTGCAGTGGCGCAATCTCTGCTCACTGCAAGCTCCGCCTCCCGGGTTCATGCCATTCTCCTGCCTCAGCCTCCTGAGTAGCTGGGACTACTGGCGCCGGCCACCACGCCCACCTAATTTTTTTTGTGTGTTTTTATTTTGCTTTATTTTATTTTTTTAATTTTTTTAGTATTTATTGATCATTCTTGGGTGTTTCTCAGAGAGGGGTATTTGGCGGGGTCATAGGACAATAGTGGAGAGAAGGTCAGCAGATAAACATGTGAACAAGGGTCTCTGGTTTTCCTAGGCAGAGGACCCTGCGGCCTTCCTCAGTGTTTTGTGTCCCTGGGTACTTGAGATTAGGGAGTGGTGATGACTCTTAACGAGCATGCTGCCTTCAAGCATCTGTTTAACAAAGCACATCTTGCACCGCCCTTAATCCATTTAACCCTGAGGGGACACAGCACATGTTTCAGAGAGCACGGGGTTGGGGGTAAGGTTATAGATTAATAGCATCCCAAGGCAGAAGAATTTTTCTTAGTACAGAACAAAATGGAGTCTCCTATGTCTACTTCTTTCTACACAGACACAGTAACAATCTGATCTCTCTTTCTTTTCCCCACATTTCCCCGTTTTCTATTCGACAAAACCGCCATCGTCATCATGGCCCGTTCTCAATGAACTGTTGGGTACACCTCCCAGACAGGGTGGCGGCAGGGCAGAGGGGCTCCTTACTTCCCAGATGCGGGCGGCCTGGCGGAGGCGCTCCTCAGTTCCCAGACGGGGTCGTGGCCGGGCAGAGGCGCTCCTCACCTCCCAGACGGGGTGGCGGCCGGGCAGCGGTGCTCCTCACCTCCCAGACGGAGTAGCGGCCGAGCAGAGGCGCTCCTCACATCCCAGACGGGGCGGCCGGGCAGAGGTGCTTCCCCACATCCCAGGGGATGGGCAGCCAGGCAGAGACGCTCCTCAATTCCTAGACGGGGTGGCAGCCGGGCAGAGGCTGCAATCTCAGCACTTTGGGAGGCCAAGGCAGGCAGCTGGGAGGTGGAGGTTGTAGCGAGCCGAGATCACGCCACTGCACTCCAGCCTGGGCAGCATTGAGCACTGAGTGAGCGAGACTCCGTCTGGAATCCCGGCACCTCGGGAGGCCGAGGCGGGCAGATCACTCGAGGTCAGGAGCGGAGACCAGCCCGGCCAACACGGCGAAACCCCGTCTCCACCAAAAAATACAAAAACCAGTCAGGCGTGGCGGCGCACGCCTGTAGTCAGGCAGGGAGGCTGCAACGATCCCAGATCGCTGCAGTACAGTCCAGCCTCGGCAACAGAGGGAGACGGTGGAAAGCGGGAGACGCAGACGAGGGGGAGGGGGAGGGAGAGCTTTTTTTGTATTTTTTGTAGAGACGGGGTTTCACTGTGTTAGCCAGGATGATCTCGATCTCCTGACCTTGTGATCCGCCTGCCTCGGCCTCCCAAAGTGCTGGGATTACAGGCGTGAGCCACTGCACCCGGCCTATAAATTGCTTTTTAAGTGAGCAAATGTAATTAGTGTTTTAATTTAGGGCAGAAGAACATACCTCCATTAGTTTTCCTCTTGCCTTTACAGCAGTAGAGAGGCTTCTTTGACTGTAAGCCACAGGTAATAATGGATCCTGCAACAGGTGTTGAGGGAGAGTAGCAAGTGAGTTGGGGCTTGGGCTTTGGACTAAGGCCCTGAACAAAGTAAGAAGGTGGTGAACAGCTGGGTGCAGTGGCTCACGTCTGTAATCCCAGCACTTTGGGAGACTGAGGCGGGTGGATCACTGGAGGTCAGGAGTTCGAGACCAGCCTGGCCAACATGATGAAACCCCGTCTCTACTAAAAATACAAAAATTAACCAGACGTGCTCGCTTGAACCCAGGTGGCAGAAGTTTCAGTGAGCCAAGATTGCGCCACTGCACTCTAGCCTGGGTGACACAGCAAGACTCTGTCTTAAAAAAAAAAAAAAAAAAGGTGGTGAATCGTGTAAGGCATTATAGTGACATGGAGGCTAGATGCAGTGGCTCACGCCTGTAATCCCAGCACTTCGGGAGGTCAAGGCAGGCGGACTGCTTGAGCCCAGGAGGTCAAGACCAGCCTGGGCAACATAGTGAAACCCTCTCTCTACAAAAAATACAAAAATTAGCAGGGCATGGTGGCATGCCCCTGTAGTTCCAGCTACTCTGGAGGCTGAGGTGAGAGGATGGCTTGAGCCCAGGAGGTGGAGGTTGCAGTGAGCCCAGATTGCACCACTGCACTCCAGCCTTGGTGACGAAACCAGACCCTGTGTCCAAAATAAATAAACAAATAAAATAAACAATAACATGGAGATTATAATGTATTGATTCTCCATCCTACCCCCTCAGTAGACGGTTTTGACCCTTTTTGGCAACACGAGGAAGGGAGAGCTGCTACTAATACTGATGATCCAGGCCAAGCCCTGGAACACAGCATGAAAATGTGCTCTCCATCTCCCAGTCCTGGGTCCTTTATGTAAAGTTATGTCTAAGTATTGAGAGATGAGGCCGCACAGATTTATGAATATGATTTATTTAGGCTGGGTTATATGTGAGCAGTTCCCAAATGCCCTTGAAACTACAGGGTCAGTATATATATATATATATATATATATGTGTGTATATATATATATATATATATATATATATATATGTGTGTGTATATATATATATATATATATATATGTGTGTGTATATATATATATATATATATATGTGTGTGTATATATATATATATATATATATATATATATATGTGTGTATATATATATATATATATTTTCTTTTTGAGACAGAGTCTCACTGTTGTCAGTCTGGAGTGTAATGGCGCAATCTTGGCTCACTGCAGCCTCTGCCTCCTGGGCTCAAGCGACTCTCCTGCTTCAGCCTCCTGAGTAGCTGGGACTACAGGCACATGCCACGACGCCTAGCTAATTTTGGTATTGTTAGTAGAGACAGGGTTTCATCATGTTGGCCAGGATGGTCTTGATCTCTTGACCTCATGATCCGCCGTCTCAGCCTCCCAAAGTGCTGGGATTACAAGCATGAACCACCGTGCCCAGCTTCAGCGTCAGTGTATCTTTTTTAAGAAAAATTATTTTCTTAATTTTTATTTATTTTCTTAGAGACAGGGTCTCACTCTTCTGTCACTGGGGCTGGAGTACAGTGGCATGATCATAGCTCACTGCAACCTTTAACTCTTGGTGTCAAGTGATCCTCCCACCTCAGCCTCCTGAATAGCTGGGACTATAGGTGCATGCCACCATGCCCAGCTAATTTTTTTTTTTTTTTTTCCTGAGATGGAGCCTTGCTCTGTCACCCAGGCTGGAGTGCAGTGGCGTGATCTCGGCTCACTGCAACCTCCACCTCCCAGGTTTAAGCAATTCTCCTGCCTCAGCCTCCCAAGTAGCTGGGATTACAGGTGTGTGCCACCATGCCCGGCTAATTTTTTGTATTTTTAGTAGAAACGGGTTTCACCATGTTAGCCAGGCTGGTGTTGAACTCCTGACCTCAGGTGATCCACCCCACTCGGCCTCCCAAAGTGCTGGAATTACAGGCGTGAGCCACCGTGCCTGGCCACACCCAACTAATTTTTGTATTTTCAGTAAAGACAAGTTTCACCATGTTGGCCAGACTGGTCTCAAACTCCTAGGCTTAAGTGATCCTCCTGCCTCAGCCTCCCAAAGTGCTAGGATTACAGGCATGAGCCGCCAGACACTGTTTTATTTTTTAAACATCCAAATCCTTTTCCATATTTTGTTTCCTCACTAATGCTGACCATTTCTTATTTCATTTCTCTGATGCTCCTTATACCATTATGTGGTTTTTACTTATTAGGTCAGCATAAGAAGGGGATCCTTGTACCAGAGCATCCCAGAGTGATGTTCAGTCGGTTGTTAGCAAAGACCTTTGTTCCACTGAGATTACTTTGTGATGACAGGAATTTGTAATCTTCAGGCTTCTCCTTATCTTACCTGAATATTCATAGAAGTTACTGACGAAAGATCTATTCTCCTGAACCTTTAAAAAAAAAATTTGGGGGGGACTGGGTACGGTGGCTCATGCCTGTAATCCCAGCACTTTGGGAGGCCAAGGTGGGAGGATCACTTGAGGTCAGGAGTTCAAGACCAGCCTGGCCAACATGGCGAAACCCCGTCTCTAATAAAAATACAAAAATTAGCTCGGCGTGGTGGTGCATGCCTATAATTCCACTACTCAAGGGCCGGGCACGGTGGCTCATGCCTATAATCCCAGCACTTTGGGAGGCTGAGATGGGCGGATCATGAGGTCAGCAGATCCAGACCAGCCTGGCCAACATGTTGAAAACCCATCTCTACTAAAAATAGAAAAATTAGCTGGGCGTGGTGGCCTGCACCTGTAGTCCCAGCTACTTGAGAGGCAGAGGCAGGAGAATCGCTTGAACCCGGGAGGCAGAGGTTGCAGTGAGCCGAGATCACACCACTGAACTCCAGCCTGGTGACAGAGAGAGACTCCGTCTCAAAAAATAAAAATAAAAAAAGAAAGCGTCAAGGTTTTGAAAGATGAAAAAGTCAAGGAACTATCGGATTCGAGGGAACTAAGGAGGCATGACAACTAAATAGTATGGGAACCTGAAACAGAAAAAGGACATTGGTGGAAAAACTTGTAAAATCTGAATGAAGTCTGTACCTGTACCGATGTTAATTTCTTAGCTTTGATGACTCCCTATGGTTGTATAACATGTTAACATAAGGGGAAGCTGGATATAGGGCATATGGGAACCCTGTACTATTTTTGCAACTCAGCTGTAAATCTAAAATTATCTTTTTTTTAAAAAGGCAAAAAAAAGTACAGAATCCAAAACAGAACGATAGGAACTATTGGCTCCTGTGTTTGTTTTTTTACTCCTGTTTCTGGACCTAAAGACTCTTGCCAGTGTAAAACCCTAGGGATATGTCTATCTCAGGCTGGTTTCCAAGTCACCCTTTTCTTCTGTAGGCCTGGTCTACTTTCTTCTCTTTGTACTTCTACTAGTTTTTACTTCTTCTAAATAGAGGAATTATTCTTAATTTACTCATTTCTTCCTTTAGAAGTATTCTATGAGTATCTTTTTTAAAAAAAAAAACTTAGGTACAATAAATTGTGCAAGTCTTAAGTGAACAGCTTGCTGAATTTTATGTATGCTATACAGTCGGCTCTCTATGTCATGGGTTCTGCATCCATGGATTCAACCAACCTCAGATGGAAAATATTCAGAAAAAAAAACTGTGCCTCTATTGAATATGTATAGACTTTTTTCCTTGTCACTATTCCCTAAACAGTATAGTATAACAACTATTTACATAGCATTTACATTGTATTAGGTATTGTAAGTAACCTAGAGATGATTTAAAATATACATAGGATGTATTTAGCTTATATGCAAATACTATGCCATTTTATATCTGGGATTTGAGCATCTGCAGATTTTGGTATCCACGGGAGGTCCTGGAACCAAGCTCCCAAGGATACTAAGGGACAACTGTATACATGTGCGCACACACACACACACACACTCACACACTTGTAATCACTACTAAGATCAAGATACAGAACACTTCCAGCATTTGACAGCATTTCTTACCATTTACATATACCCCTTTGATAATCTGATAAAAGTTATAATTATTCCCAGAAAAATGCCCATGTACAGATAATGTATAAAATTTTTCCGTATGATTTCAGGGTAGTCTCAAGGACTTCTTTTTTTATTTTTTGAGGCAGAGTCTCCCTCTTTCGCCCAGGTTGGAATGCATTGGCATGATCTCAGCTCTCCGCAACCTCTGCCTCCTGGGTTCAAGCTATTCTCCTGCCTCAGCCTCCCAAATAGCTGGGATTACAGGTGCGTGCCACCACGCCCCCCTAATTTTTGTATTTTTAGTAGAGACGGGGTTTCACCATGTTGGTCAGGCTGGTCTCAAACTCCCGACCTCAGGTGATCCGCCCACCTTGGCCTCCCAAAGTGCTGGAATTATAGGCGTGAACCACCGCGCTGGCCTTCAAGGACTTCTTAAAGCTTGTCTCTGGACTGGGAGTTTATAGGCGATAGGATAAGAACCTCTGTGGATCTCAGCTGGGTGTGGTGGCTCACACCTGTAATCCTAGCACTTTGGGAGGCCAAGGCAGGAGGATTACTTGAGTCCAGGAGTTCAAGACCAGCCTGGGCAACAAGGTGGGACCCTGTCTCTACGAAAAAATAAAAATAAATAAATAGTTAGAAACCAGTTCAAAAACTGCCTAGGCAACATAGCAAGACCCCTGTCTCTAGAAAAAATTTTAAATGGCTGGGTGTGGTAGCTTAGGCCTGTAATCCCAATAATTTGGGAGGCCAAGGCA
Organism: Homo sapiens; assembly: GCF_000001405.40. Classification (NCBI taxonomy): domain Eukaryota; kingdom Metazoa; phylum Chordata; class Mammalia; order Primates; family Hominidae; genus Homo; species Homo sapiens. Next base: position 109,068,382 of record NC_000001.11, on the reverse strand, counting down.
GGCAGATCACTTGAGGCCAGGAATTCAAGACTATCTGGGCAACGTGGCAAAACCCTGACTCTACTAAAAAATACAAAAAAATTAGCTGGGTGTGGTAGCGCATGGCTGTAATCCCAGCTACTTGGAGGCTAAAGTTTGAGAATCTCTTGAATCCGGGAGGTGGAGGTTGCAGTGAGTTGAGATCGTGCCATTGCACTCCACCCTGGGTGACACAGTGACACTTCTGTTTCAAAAAAAACCCCACATATTAGCCAGGCATAGTGGCATGTGTCTGTAGTCTCAGCTGCTCACGTGAGCCAGGGAGGTTGAGGCTGCAGCAAGCTGTACTGCAACACCACTCCAGCCTGGGCGACAGAGCCAAGACTGTCTCAAAAAAGGAGAGCAAAAAAAAGAATTCACACGGATCCTGTCTGCCCTAAACTACAACTACCAACAAGTGCGATGCTGTTGTGGGTATGAGTAAAGACGCGAACCAGATCAGCTGGGTTCAAACTCAGGTTCCATCTCTTACTAGCTTTGTGACCTTGGGTAAATCAGTTACTGCAGTGCTTTAATTTTCTCATCTATAGAATGGGGATAATCAATAGTTTCTACCTTAAAGGATCATTGTGAGGATTAAATGAGTTATATATGTAAAGGACTTAAGACAGTACCTGGCATATAATAAGGGCTATATATGTTTTATCTTTTGGCAGTTATTTTTATTTGTCTGTATTAGACTTCTCTCTTATTATTTTTGAGACACAGTCTCTCTTATTATTATTATTATTTTTGAGACACAGCCTCCCTCTGTCACCCAGGCTGGAGTGCAGTGGCGCATTCTCAGCTCACTGCAACCTCTGCCTCCTGGATTCAAGCGATTCTCATGCCTCAGCCTCCCGAGTAGCTGGGATTATAGGCATGTGCCAACACCCCCAGCTGACTTTTGTGTTTTTTTTTTTTTTTTAGTAGAAACAGGTTTTCACCTTGTTGGCCAGGCTGATCTCAAACTTCTGGCCTCAAGTGATCTGCCTCAGCCTCCTGAAGTGCTGGGATTACAGGCGTGAGCCACCATCCAGGCCTACGCCCAGCTAATTTTTGTTTTTTATGTAGAGACAGGGTTTCGCCATGTTGCCCAGGCTTGTCTCAAACTCCTGAGCTCAAGCAGTCTACTTGCCTGGGCCTCCCAAAGTGCTGGGTTTACAGGCGTGGGCCACTGCACCCGACCTAGACTTATCCTTTGCATTTCCTATGGTTTCTTCAGATGAAGCCTGAAAGGGCTTTGCTGCAGTTGTATTGATCTAGGAAATGTCAAAATTCCTTGTAGTAAGCCCTCTGCTTTCTCATTTTGAGTACCCTGTTTCTTCCTATAAGAACAGATTTGGGGCTGGGCGCGGTGGCTCACGCCTGTAATCCCAGCACTTTGGGAGGCTGAGGCACGCAGATCACCAGGTCAGATCATCGAGACCATCCTGGCTAACACAGTGAAACCCCTTCTCTACTAAAAATACAAAAAATTAGCCGGGCGTGGTGGTGGGTGCCTGTAGTCCCAGCTACTCGGGAGGCTGAGGCAGGAGAATGGTGTGAACCCAGGAGGCGATGGAGCTTGCAGTGAGCCAAGATGGTGCCACTGCACTCCAGCTTGGGCGACAGAGCGAGACTCTGTCTCAAGAAAAACAAACAAACAAACAAACAAAAAAAGTATTTGGAGAACTGTCTCTCATGTCTTTTCCCCTATGGTAATATCAGTAAAGAGTCTGCCGTTTTTCCAACGCCCCACTGCCATGCCCACACACAAAAACCACCTCCAAAAAAGGCTAAGCTGTTGCTGTCTGTCCTGTCCTTTGCCAGAGTTTCCTACTTAAAGGTGTTCTGCTGGGGGCAGGGACTGGTAAGTAGATGCTAGAGATTAGGAAAAGACTGTTTACCTTAGGGTTCAGTAGGTGGGAGGAAGGAAGAGTTTTGCTGGAGGCTACGTGGGAACAGTTGGTCATCAGACTGTTCTTAAACCTTTTACACAAGAATCCATACTTGGAGATAACAAATACGATGTAAATATGTTTTCATACCAATATTATCTATAACTTGGTTCATTTCTACTTTATTTTTTTAAAGTATCAAATTGTTAAATCTGTAAAAGTAAACAAAAGTAAGTGATTGTTCTTTTACAGTGCGATGTATGATGTATGGCTTTGGGGATGACCAGAATCCTTATACTGAGTCAGTGGATATTCTTGAAGATCTTGTCATAGAGTTTATCACTGAAATGGTAAGATTCTTTCCTAACTGGTCTTAGTTAATTGAAGAATAGATTTGAAATATTAAACTTTAGGTAAGACTAGAACTTATGGCATCCCTTTGAAATAAGCTATCCATTTGAGTGCTTGTTTGCAGAAGTTATTGGTTACTATTTATCATTGAGGATGGAGGTTATACATGTATATTCTATCCCCCCTTCTTCCTTTTGTTTTTTTTTTTTTTTGAGATGGAGTTTCGTTCTTGTTGCCCAGACTGGAGTGCAATGGCACGATCTTGGCTCACTGCAACCTCCGTCTCCCGGATTCAAGGGATTCTCCTGCCTCAGCCTCCGAGGAGCTGGGATTACAGGCATGCATCACCACACCCAGCTAATTTTGTATTTTTAGTAGAGACAGGGTTTCTCCATGTTGGTCAGGCTGGTCTCAAACTCCCAACCTCAGGTGATCCGCCAGCCTCGGCCTCCCAAAGTGCTGGGATTACAAGCGTGAGCCAACGCGCCCAGCCTCTTGCATTTTTTATAAGGACATAATTATAAAATCCTTGAATAAAATAAAAATATTATCCATAATACCATTATCCAACATAGGTTTTTTTTTTTCCCCTCCTTTTCCAGTATTTAAAGATACGCAATTTTTTGTGTGTGTGTGTCTGTGTGTGTGACAGGATCTCACTCTGTTGCCCAGGCTGGAGTGCAGTGGCATGATCATTGCTCACTGCAGCTGAGACCTTCCGGACTCAAGTGGTCCTCCCACCTCAGCCTCCCAAATACCTGGGACTACAGGCACATGCCACCATGCTTTGCTGATTTTTGAATTTTTTGTAGAGACAGGGTCTCACTATGTTGCCCAGGTTGGTCTTGAACTGCTGGGTTCAAGCAATCTACCCCCTCAGCCTCCCAAAGTGCTGGATTACAGGCATGAGCCACTGTGTCTGGCTCAATGCCGTATTATTAAGTATTTAGCTTCTATTTTTTAATCATTAGAAATAATGCTGTGATAGGTCTTTGATTTTGCACAGGTGAGTATATAATGACAGGATGAGATAGAGTTATTTGATTTTTAGAAAACCCACCAATATTTATTGGGTATTAAGATAGAGGAGGACACAAAGCATAAATGAAATGGGTGGGTACACAAAATTATAAAATTATTTTATATAAATGAAGACAAAATCTACATATATCAAAAAACAAAAAAGGAACAATAAAGTTGACAGCTTTCATGTCCTTAAGATTTTTTTTAAAGTGCCTGTGAAGCATAAAGGAGAACATTGCTAATAATCCAGTAGAAAATAGACAAAGGACATGAGTAGAAAGATAATTCACAAATGAATAGCCATAATAATAATAATAAGAGAAAATCTTCTACCTCACTTGCAATTAATAAATGCAAATTAAAACAGTAAAATATTAGATTTAAAAAAGTTAAATGTAATATGTTTCTTTGTAATAGACTCACAAGGCAATGTCAATTGGAAGACAAGGTCGAGTACAAGTTGAAGATATCGTCTTCTTGATTCGAAAGGACCCAAGGAAGTTTGCCAGGGTTAAAGACTTGCTTACTATGAATGAAGAATTGAAACGAGCTAGAAAAGCATTTGATGAAGCAAATTATGGATCTTGACACTTTTTGTAGTTTCCGAAAATTACCATCTGGGGAAACCATATATAATAATTGTATATTTTCTAAAGTAAGATTCTGATATCTAGCCATGTAAATGAAAGATGGAGAAACACAAAGTTTTCAGCCTTTATTTTTATGCCTTTGATTTTAGGGTGATATTGGTGCATGTAATTGCCTGCCTTTATATTACCATACTTGAATTACTTACTGGGTTTTAATGACCACACATAAGTCAAAGTACCTTGCAAACCATGCCGTTGTTCTGACTTTTGACTATTTAAAGGATAAAGTAGTATTTAATGTGTTAGGTATGTTTATGCCCTTGTAAGCTATACTGTAGCTTTTTTTTTTTTTTTTTTTTTTTTTGAGATGGAGTCTCACTATGTTGGCAGGCTGGAGTGCAGTGGCGTGATCTTGGCTCACTGCAGGCTCCACCTCCCGGGTTCAAGTGATTCTCCTTCCTCAGCCTCTCGAGTAGCTGGGAAGTACAGGCGCCTGCCACCACGCCTGGCTAACTTTTTGTATTTTTAATAGTGACGGGGTTTCACCATGGTAGCCAGGATGGTTTTGATCTCTTGACCTCGTGATCCACCTGCCTCGGCCTCCCAAAGTGCTGGGATTACAGGTGTGAGCCACCGCGCCTGGCCTACTATAGCTGTTTAATATGTGAAATCTAAATGGCATTTTTGACTTGACAGCTCAGACTTGTACTTCATGTATTCAGAAGTTTTTAGACAACAATTAGTTTATTGTCTAGTTCATTATTAAAGATAATGAACTAGGCCGGGCGTGGTGGCTCACACCTGTAATCCCAGCACTTTGGGAGGCTGAGGCGGGCAGATCACTTGAGGCCAGGAGTTCCAGACCAGCCTGGCCAACATGGCAAAACCTCACCTCTACTAAAAATTAAAAAATTAGCCAGGCATGGAGGCATGTGCCTGTAATCCCAGCTACTTGGGAGGCTGAGGCAGAAGAATTGCTTGAACCCAGGAGGCAGAGATTGCAGTGAGCCGAGATGGCGCCACTGCACTCCAGCCTGGGCAATAGAGTGTGACTCTCAAAAAAACAAAGATAATGAACTGGTTTGCATTTCTTTTAAAGAGATGATAGAGGAAAATATAGTTTTTTGTAAGAATGTTTATCTCTCTTAAAAGATAATCTTTTAATTTTCTTCAGATAACAAGTTATTATTATTTTTTAAGAAAGCAAGTTTCACGGGCCGGGCGCGGTGGCTCACGCCTGTAATCCCAGCACTTTGGGAGGCCAAGGCGGGCGGATCACGAGGTCAGGAGATCGAAACCATCCTGGCTAACACGGTGAAACCCCGTCTCTACTAAAAATACAAAAAATTAGCCGGGCGCGGTGGCAGGCGCCTGTAGTCCCAGCTACTTGGGAGGCTGAGGCAGGAGAATGGCGTAAACCTGGGAGGCGGAGCTTGCAGTGAGCCGAGATCGCACCACTGCACTCCAGCCTGGGCGACAGAGCGAGACTCCGTCTCAAAAAAAAAAAAAAGAAAGCAAGTTTCACATGAATAATGCTGTGTTGGAAGGCTTTTTGATTTAAAATCTTTTCGGATTTATAACATCCTGTTAAGTTTTAGGAGAACCCGTTTTCCCAGAGCAGATTCAAGCTTCTAAAAATAAATGCTTTCAGTAGCAGGAATGGCATTGTTTAAAAAGCTGATGGCAGGGTAAGCATTTGGGTTAGTGTTTTATTAACATATTTGTAAGTACTTGTTCATTGTGGAAATGTGTCCTTGACTAAAACCATACGTGGCTATGGAAACCATGTTTGTAGTTCTGAATACACAGGTTTTGTGTGTATTTACTCTATGTATTAAATTATTATTGCCCTTAGTTTAAAGTAAGGATTACAATTGGATTTAAGTAGATCACTGAATGTTATTGTTTATGAAACTTAACTTTTTGTATGCTGCTTATAAACATGATCTATAAATCAGTGCTTGGGAAAATTTTACTTTCTTAATCTACTGATACAGGAATAAAATATGAACAATTAAACAGGTTGATCCTTGAATCTGACTGATTTGTGACTTTTTTTCCTCCCAGAATATTATGCCCATTACTGGTAATATGATAATTCTTGCTGCTTAGTCTAGCTGAAAATTTTTTTTATTTCAGTGAGTATCTGGGTGAATCTTTTCATTTAAAAAAGCAGGACTGGGCCGGGCGCGGTGGCTCAAGCCTGTAATCCCAGCACTTTGGGAGGCCGAGGCAGGTGGATCATGAGGTCAGGAGATCGAGACCATCCTGGCTAACACGGTGAAACCCCATCTCTACTAAAAAATACAAAAAAACTTAGCCGGGTGTGGTGGCGGGCGCCTGTAGTCCCAGCTACTCGGGAGGCTGAGGCAGGAGAATGGCGTGAACCCGGGAGGCGGAGCTTGCAGTGAGCCAAGATCACGCCACTGCACTTCAGCCTGGGGGACAGAGCGAGACCCCGTATCAAAAAAAAAAAAAAAAAAAAAAAGCAGGACTGGGCACCATGGCCCATGCCTATAATCCCAGCACTTTGGGAGGCCTAGGCAGGAGGATCTCTTGAGCCCAGGAGTTGGAGACCAGTCTGGGCAACATAGAGAGACCCCATCTCAACTAAAAATCAAGGCCAGGCACAGTGCCTCACACTTGTAATCCCAGCACTTTGGGAGGCCAAGGCAGGTGGATCACTTGAGGTCAGGAGTTCCAGACCAGCCTGGCCAACATGGTGAAACCCTGTCTCTACTAAAAATACAAAAAAATTAGCCGGGCGTGGTGGCATGCCTGTAGTCCCAGCTGCTTGGGAGGCTGAGGCGAGAGGATTGCTTGAGCCCAGGAGTTGGAGACCAGCCTAGGCAAGCCCCATCTCTGTAAAAAAAAAAAAAGAGCCAGGCACAGTGGTTTCCGCTTGTGGTCCTAGCTACTCAGGAGGTGAGGTGGGAGAATCACTTGAGCCTGAGAGGTCAAGGCTTCAGTAAACTGCTCACTCTGTCACCCAGGCTGGAGTGCAGTGGCACAATCACTGCTCACTGCCTCGACCTCCTGTGCTCAAATAATCCTCCCACCTCAGCCTCCCGAGTAGCTGGGACTACAGGCATGCCTGGCTAGAGAACCTATTTCACTGTGTTGCCCAGACTGAGTGGGGCTTTGCGTTGACTATTTTAGGTTGCAAGTGATATAACTTAACTCAATACTATTAATAGCATAAACAAGGAATTTATTGGCTTACCTAACCGACACATGGGAAAGGGGATGGAGCTGAATTTAGGGTTGACTGGATCTAAGTACTTGAGAAGCAAGACTGTCTCTCTGTCTTTTATCCTAATTTTGGTTTTATTCTAAGAGTGGCAAATGAACATGATGGCCAGCAGTTCTGGGGTTCCCTCCTTACAACTCCAAATTGAAGAAGCTGCTTTACTTCGTAATAGAGAAAATTCCAAGCAAGGATTATGAGGATCCGAGCTCTGCTTATTTTCTTCCTGGACCAGTCACTATGGCCAGGAAGAAGTTGTACTATAGCCCGGATCTCTTGCCCCACTTCTGGTAAAAAAGAGCTTGGAATGGGATTGGGATACTAGATACTGCTATTAGCAAAAAGGGGAAAGAGGCTCGGCGGGCTGACTTGATGCCTGAGCTTACTTATTAACTTCAAATTCTGGTAGTAAGGTGGCATGGCTGTCTTCCAGTATTTAGAGCTGCACTGTGTAAATGGTAGCCACTAGCCACATATGGCTGTTTACATTTTAAAATGAAAAATTCAGCTGGGTGCGGTAGCTCACGCCTGTAATCCCAGCTTTTTAGGAGGCCAAGACAGGCAGATCACTTGAGGTCAGAAGTTCAAGACCAGCCTGGCCAACATGATGAAACACCATCTCTACCAAAAATACAAAAATTAGCCGGGTGTGGTGGTACGTGCCTGTAATCCCAGCTACTCGGGTGGCTGAGGCAGGAGAATTGCTTGAACCCAGGAGGCAGAGGCTGCAGTGATCCGAGATCGTACCACTGCACTCCAGACTGGGCAACAGAGTGAGACTCTGTCTCAAAAAATAAAATATTTAAAAAATGATAATAAAATGAAAAATTCACTTCCTTAGTTGCGTTTGCTATATTTCAAGTGCTCAAAACCCTTATGGTAAGTGGGTACAGCATTGGACAGTGCTGATATGGAACACTGCCATCATCACAGAAAATTCTTTTGGACAGTGCTGATCTGGAGTATATATAGGTGCTCTCTCCTAAATTAATTCACTTTTTTTTAAACTTCCTATGGAAAATCTCAAGTATACACAATAATAGTGTAACTAGCCCCCAGCTTCAACAAGTAACCAACTTTTTGCCAATTTGTCCTATCCCCCTACCTTTAAATAATTTTCTTATTTTTAATTTTGGACCTTGGTTTTAGAACCCTTACCTTTTTTAAGGTAGGGGGGCAGTATTATTTTAAAGCAAATCTGGCTGGGTGCGATGGCTCATGCCTATATTCCCAAAACTTTGGGAGGCCAAGGCGAATGGATCACCTGAGGTCAGGAGTTCAAGACCAGCCTGGCCAACACAGTGAAACCCTGTCTCTAATAAAAATACAAAAATTAGATGGGCATAGTCGCGGGAGCCTGTAATCCCAACTATTCGAGAGTCAGGCAAAAGAATCCCTTGAACTCGGGTGGTAGAGGTTGCAGTGAGCCAAGATCGTGCCATTGCACTCCAGCCTGGGCAACAAGAGTGAGACTCCATCTCAAAAAAATAAAAAATAAAAACAAAAGCAAATCCCAGACATCCTTGTATCATTTCATCTATAAATGCTTCAGTACATATCTTTTTTTTTTTTTTTTTTTGTGACATAGTCTCACTCTGTCACCCAGGCTGGAGTGCAGTGGCACGATCTTGGCTCACTGCAACCTCCACCTCCTGGGTTCATGCGATTTTCCTGCCTCAGCCTCCCGAGTAGCTGGGATTACAGGCATCTGCTACCATGCCCAGCGAATTTTTGTATTTTTAGTAGAGATGGGGTTTCACCATGTTGGCTAGGCTCGTCTTGAATTCCTGACCTCAAGTGATCCACCTGCCTCAGCCTCCCAAAGTGTTGGGATTACAGGTATGAGCCAATGTGCCTGAGCTTCAGCACATATTTCTAACAAAGTTTAAAAAGCCCACATATTATTACCATATCCTATCAAAAATTAACACTAATTCCTCAATATTCCATCTAATACCCAATTCCTGTTAATTTTTTTATTTTTTTGAAATAGGGTCTTGCTCTGTTGCCCAGGCTAGAGTGCAGTGGCATGATCATGGCTTACTACAGCCTTTGCCTCCTGGGTTCAAGCAGTCCTCCCACCTTAACCTCCCAAGTGGCTAGGACTACAGGTGTGCAGCACCACAACTGGGTAATTTTTAAAATTTTTTTGTAGAGAGACAGGTCTCACTATGTTGCCCAGGCTGGTCTTGAACTCCTGGGTTAAAGCAATCCTCCTGCCTTAGTCCTGCCAAAGTACTGGAATGATTGCAGGCGTGAGCCACAGTGCCTGATGCCAAATCCTGGTTTAAATCTTGCTGATTTGTCTCAACATATCTTTTTTGAGTGTGTGTATTAATCTCAATTGTTACTGTAACAAATTACAGCTCATTTAGTGACTTAACACACATTTATTATTTAACTAGTTCTCTAGGTAAGAAGTTTGACCCTAGCTCGGATCACGAGGTCAGGAGATCGAGACCATCCTGGCTAACACAGTGAAACCCCGTCTGTACTAAAAAATACAAAAAAATTAGCCTGGCATGGTGGTGGGCACATGTAGTCCCAGCTACTCGGGAGGCTGAGGCAGGAGAATGGTGCGAACCCAGGAGGCAGAGCTTGCAGTGAGCCGAGATTGCGCCACTGCACTCCAGCCTGGGCAACAGAGTGAGACTCCACCTCAAAAAAAAAAAAAAAAAGTTTGACCCTAGCCTTACTGTGCTAAAATCAAGGTGCTGACACAGTTGTGTTCCTTTCTGGATGTTCTAGGAGACACCTGTTTGCTTGCCTTTTACAACTTGTAAAGGCTACATTTCTTGGCTCATGTTACCCTTCTTCAAAGCTAGCTAGCAATGTTGCATCTCCCTGGCCTGTGACTCCAGCTGGTAAGGATTCTCTGTGATATTGGACCCACCTGGATAACCCAGAATACTCTCCCCATTTCAAGGTTCTTAAGTTAATCATGGAAGCAAAATCTCTTTTTACCATGTCAAGTAACATATTCTCAGGTCCTGGGAATTAGGATGTGGACTTTTTTTTTTTTTTTTTTTGAGATGGGGTCTCGCTTTGTGACCCAGGCTGGAGTGATCATAGCTCACTGCAGCCTCCAACTCCTGTCAAGCAATCCTCCTGCCTCAGCCTACAGAGTAGCTAGGGCTATAGGCAACACACCACTATGCCTAGCTAAAGGAAGTAGACATCTGTGAGGGGTTATTATTCTGCTTCCCACATTGTCTTTGAAGTAGGATCTAAACAAGGTGTCACCCATTGCATTTGTTTGGTATGTCTAAATTTCTTTTAATCTATAGTAATTCCCTCCAAGCTTTGTGGCTTTTTGTTGTTGTTGTTAGAGACAGGGTCTTGCTCTGTCACTCAGGCGGGAGTGCAGTGGCAGGATCATAGCTCACTGCAGCCTTGAACTCTTGGGTTCGTCATCCTCATGCCTCAGCCTCCCAAGTAGTTAAGACTACACTGCACCTGGCTAATTTTTTTCTTAATTTTGTAGAGATGGAGTCTCACTATGTTGCCCAGGCTGGCCTTGAACTCCTGTCCTCAAGCCATTCTTCTGCCTCAGATTCCCAAAGTTCTGGGATTATAGGCATGAGCCACGGTGCCCAGCCTCCAATTTTATTGAAGCACTCTCTCTTTTTTTTTGAGACCGAGTCTCACTCTGTTGCCCAGGCTGGAGTGCAGTGGCGTGATCTTGGCTCACCACAACCTCTACCTCCCAGGTTCAAACAATTCTCCTGCCTCAGCCTCCTGAGTAGCAGGGATCACAGGCAGGTGCCACCATACCCAACTAATTTTTGTACTTTTTTAGTAGAGACAGGGGTTTCGCCATGTTGGCCAGGCTGGTCTCAAACTCCTGACCTCAGGTGATCCACCTGCCTCAGCCTCCCAAAGTGCTGGGATTACAGGCGTGAGCCACCATGCCCGGCCGGAAATGGTGTTCTTGAGTAAAAACTGTAATAGTGTAAGTGTAGAAATTTTAAAGTGGAGGAAAGAGCTCACTTGGCCTGTCATCAGTGGAGAAAGGTGCTGCCTGGAGAGTCATCTGGCCATTTTCCAAGAGACTTTGGGAGGTTGCATTACTTGAATGAGTATACTATAGTCCAGAGCCAGAGTTTGATTTGCAGCATTGCAGGCTTAGAAACTGATTTCATCAGCAAATAGCACATTCATCTCTGTGGGTGCGCTCATAGAATCCAAACTTATAAGACCAATGTATGAAAACGGATACCAGTTTATAGATGTAAGTAAAACTTGCACCTATATGATCAGCACATTCTTCCTTCTCTAGACATACACATGTAGGAAATGAAAACAAAATTATGAGGGTGAATGACAGTGAGAGGAGTTACATGAATGCATCGTCTAGAGCAGTGGTCCCCAACCTTTTTTGTACCAGGGACCAGTTTTGTGGAAGACAGTTTTTCTACGGACTGGGGTGAGGGTGATGGGGGGATGGTTTCGTGATGATTCAAGCGCATTACATTTATTGTGCACTTTATTTCTATTATTATTACATTGTTTTATTTTTTTACACACACGCCCATTTAATTATTTTTATTTTTATTTATTTATTTATTTATTTTTGAGATGGAGTCTCACTCTGCTGCCCAGGCTGGAGTGCAGTGGGGCGATCTTGGCTCACTACAACTTCTGCCTCCCAGATTCAAGCGATTCTCCTGCCTCGGCCTCCTGAGTAGCTGGAATTACAGGTGCCCGCCACCACACCCGGCTAATTTTTGTATTTTTAGTAGAGACGGGTTTTCACCATGTTGGTTAGGCTGGTCTCGAACCCCTGACCTCGTGATCCGCCCGCGCTGGCCTCCCAAAGTGCTGGGATTACAGGCGTGAGCCATTGTGCCCTGCCTAATTTTTTTTTTTCTTAAAGAGATGAGGTCCTGCCATGTTGCCCAGGCTCATCTTGAACTCTTGGACTTAAGCCATCCACCCGCCTCATCCTCCCAAAGTGCTGGGATTACAAGTTTGAGGCACCGCACCCAGCCTAAAACCAAAAACTTTTTAAAGCCCTGCCTACATCACAGAACACACCCATTTCTCTAGGTCTGATTTTCTTACAGTCCCCATGTTTTCCTTCTTGCCACAAATAGATACTGGAAGTGTGGATGATCAGGGAACAAAGTGTTAAATGTGTTGTTGAAGGCTGCTGCTTTTCCTGGGCCCTTGTAAATGACTACATGAGTTATTCACACCATTAAATTATGCGATAGGGCAGTCTGGGCCCTATCTCTACAAAAATAAGAAATAAAATTAGCGAGGTGCAGTGGCACGCCCTTGGAGTCCTAGGTACTTGGGAGGAGTGGTCCTAGATGGGAGGATCACTTGAGTCCAGGAGTTCGAGGTTACAGTCAGCTATGATTGCACCACTGCACTCCAGCCTGGGCAACAAAAGGAGACCCTATCTCAAAAATAAAAAAAATGAAAAAATCTGCCCAGTCCTGTAAATCTAGCACCTCTGGAAGCCAAGGTGGGAGATTCATTTGAGGCCAGGAATTCAAGATCAGCCTGGGCAATATACTGAAACCCTGTCTCTTAAAAAAAAAGAAAAAGGCCAGGCGCAGTAGCTCACACCTGTAATCCCAGCACTTTGGGAGGCCGAGGCGGGCAGATCACCTGAGGTCAGGAGTTTGAGACTAGCCTGTCCAATATGCAGAAACCCCGTCTCTACTAAAAATACAAAATTAGCCAGGCATGGTGGCACACACCTGTAATCCCAGGTACTCGGGAGGCTGAGGCAGAAGAATTGCTTGAACCCAGGAGGCGGAGGTTGTGGTGAGCTGAGATCGCGCCATTGCACTCTAGCCTGGGTAACAAGAGTGAAACTCCGTCTCAAAAAAAAACAAAAACAAGGCCGGGCGCGGTGGCTCACGCCTGTAATCCCAGCACTTTGGGAGGCCGAGGCGGGCGGATCACGAGGTCAGGAGATCGAGACCATCCTGGCTAACACGGTGAAACCCCGTCTCTACTAAAAATACAAAAAATTAGCCGGGCGAGGTGGCGGGCGCCTGTAGTCCCAGCTACTCGGGAGGCTGAGGCAGGAGAATGGCGTGAACCCCAGGGGGCGGAGCCTGCAGTGAGCCGAGATTGCGCCACTGCACTCCAGCCTGGGCGACAGCGAGACTCCGTCTCAAAAAAAAAAAAAAAAAAAAAAAAAAAAAAAAAAAAAAAAACAAAAACAAAAACAAAAAGAAACACAAAAATTATGGGATTGGTTCAAGGAAAACGTTTTCATATATTGAGTATTTATTAAACACCTATTGTATCTGAGACAGCATAGGTATCATTTTGTTATGTGGTATCCAGATAAGTGGAGTAAGTGGAATTCTTTTTTTTTTTTTTTTTGAGACGGAGTCTCACTCTGTCACCCAGGCTGGAGTGCAATGGCATGGTCTCGGCTCACTGCAAGCTCTGCCTCCTGGGTTCAAGCGATTCTCCTGCCTCAGCCTCCCGAGTAGCTGGGACTACAGGCTTGTGCCACCACACCTGGCTAATTTTTGTATTTTTATTTTTGTATTTTATTTGTATTTTATTTTTGAGACGGAGTTTTGCTCTTGTTTCCCAGGTTGGAGTACAGTGATGCAATCTTGGCTCACTGCAACCTCCACCTTCCGGTTTCCAGCGATTCTCCTACCCAGCTAATTTCTGTATTTTTAGTAGAGATGGGGTTTCACCATGTTGGCCAGGCTGGTCTCAAACTCCTGACCTCGTGATCTGCCTGCTTCGGCCTCCCAAAGTACTGGAATTACAGGCATGAGCTACCGCGCCTGGCTTAATTTTTGTATTTTTAGTAGAGACAGAATTTCACTATGTTGGCCAGGCTGGTCTCGAATTCCTGACCTCATGATCCACCCGCCTCGGCCTCCCAAAGTGTTGGAATTACTTTGGGCGTGAACCACCACGCCTGGCATTTTTTTTTTTTCCAAGACAGAGTCTTGCTCTGTCACCCAGGCTGGAGTGCAGTGGTGCAACCTCGGCTTGCTGCAACCTCCACCTCCCAGGTTCAAATGATCCTCCTGCCTCAGCCTCCTGTAGCTGGGACTACAGGGGCACGACATCATGCCCAACTAATTTTTTTTTTTTTAGTATTTATTGATCATTCTTGGGTGTTTCTCAGAGAGGGGGATTTGGCAGGGTCATAGGACAATAGTGGAGGGAAGGTCAGCAGATAAACATGTGAACAAGGGTCTCTGGTTTTCCTAGGCAGAGGACCCTGCGGCCTTCCTCAGTGTTTTGTGTCCCTGGGTACTTGAGATTAGGGAGTGGTGATGACTCTTAAGGAGCATGCTGCCTTCAAGCATCTGTTTAACAAAGCACATCTTGCACCGCCCTTAATCCATTTAACCCTGAGGGGACACAGCACATGTTTCAGAGAGCACGGGGTTGGGGGTAAGGTTATAGATTAACAGGATCCCAAAGCAGAAGAATTTTTCTTAGTACAGAACAAAATGGAGTCTCCCATGTCTACTTCTTTCTACACAGACACAGTAACAATCTGCTCTCTCTTTCTTTTCCCCACATTTCCCCCTTTTCTATTCGACAAAACCGCCATCGTCATCATGGCCCGTTCTCAATGAGCTGTTGGGTACACCTCCCAGACGGGGTGGCGGCCGGGCAGAGGGGCTCCTCACTTCCCAGACGGGGCAGCCGGGCAGAGGCGTCCCCCACCACCCTCCCGGACGGGGCGGCTGGCCGGGCGGGGGTTGCCCACGACCTCCCTCCTGGACGGGGCGGCTGGCCGGGTGGGGGCTGCCCCCCACCTCCTGGACGGGGCAGCTGCCGGGCGGAGACGCTCCTCACTTCCCAGATGGGGCGGCTGCTGGGCGAAGGGGCTCCTCACTTCCCAGACGGGGTGACTGCCGGGCGGAGGGGCTCCTCACTTCTCAGACGGGGCGGCCGGGCAGAGACGCTCCTCACCTCCCGGACGGGGTGGCGGTCGGGCCGAGAGGCTCCTCAGTTCCCAGACGGGGTCGCGGCCGGGCAGAGGCGCTCCTCACATCCCAGATGGGGCGGCGGGGCAGAGGCGCTCCCCACATCTCAGATGATGGGCGGCCGGGCAGAGACGCTCCTCACTTCCTAGACGGGATGGCGGCCGGGAAGAGGCGCTCCTCACTTCCCAGACTGGGCGGCCGGGCAGAGGGGCTCCTCACATCCCAGAGGATGGGCGGCCAGTCAGACGCTCCTCACTTCCCAGACGGGGTGGCGGCGGGGCAGAGGCTGCAATCTCGGCACTTTGGGAGACCAAGGCAGGCGGCTGGGAGGTGGAGGTTGTAGCCAGCCCAGATCACGCCACTGCACTCCAGCCTGGGCAACATTGAGCACTGAGTGAGCGAGACTCCGTCTGCAATCCCGGCACCTCGGGAGGCCGAGGCGGGCAGATCACTCCATGTCAGGAGCTGGAGACCAGCCCGGCCAACACGGCGAAACCCCGTCTCCACCAAAAAATGCAAAAACCAGTCAGGCGTGGCTGCGCGCGCTTGCAATCCCAGGCACTCTTCAGGCTGAGGCAGGACAATCAGGCAGGGAGGCTGCAGTGAGCCGAGATGGCGGCAGTACAGTCCAGCCTCTGCTCGGCATCAGAGGGGAGACCGTGCAAAGAGGGAAAGGAAGAGTGGGAGGGGGAGGGAGCCCAACTAATTTTTGTAGAGACAAGATTTCACAGTGTTGGCCAGGCTGGTCTGGAACTCCTGACCTCAAGTGATTGCCCACCTCAGCCTTTCAAAGTGCTGGGATTACAGGTGTGATTCTGATAAGTGGAATTCTAAAGTTAGAAATAGGGCTGGGTGAGGTGGCTCATGCCTATAATCCCAACACTTTGGGAGACCTAGGCAGGCAGATCACTTGAGCCAAGGAGTTTGAGACCAGCCTGGGCAACATGGCAAAACCCTGTCTCTACAAAAATTAGCTGTGTGTGGTGACGGGCGCCTGTAGACCCAGCTACTGAGGAGGCTGAGGTGGGAGGATTGCTTGAGCCTCGGAGGTGGAGGTTGCAGTGAGCTGAGATTACACCACTGCACTCCAGCCTGGGCAACAAAGCAAGGTCCAGTCTCAAATAACTAAATACAATGAAATAAAGTAAGGAGCAAATTTCTTATGTGTTACCAGTAGATTGATAGAAGTTCCTATTTGAACTTTTGTACAAAATCTCATGTTATTTGTAGCACTGAGACTTCCATGTATAATACTTTATTATGGTTATACCTAATATTATGATTATTTCTGCTTACACAGAGAACCTGGTAGACTGCCTTGATATCATTGGGTACATTCTTTTAGGATCAGAACAATTGCTAAAGCAAAAATCATTTTTCAATTTGTATTTGCATGGCCATTTTAGATAAATAACTGAAATTTTATTGGAAAGAGCCTGTATAGTTACTGACCAAGCTCTAAAAGAAATGCTAATACTATACTTATTTTTTCTGAAATAGGGTTTTTGTAAGTATTTTGGAGGCATATGAACTTATAAGACACCAATCAAGACTTGTTTTGGTGATTATGACATTTCTTCCATCTTTATAGGAAGTTCTACTAAATGGTCACAAGTTTATTACCGGAAACTTTCTAACCTTATCCTAAAACACTTATCTGAAATTATGATGCTTAATGTGCTTTAGGTATTACTAACATTTCCTAACATTTAGTTTCCCCTTTTAAAAATTTTGACATATGGCCAGGCACGGTGGCTCACGCATGTAATCCCAGCACTTTGGGAGGCCGAGGCAGGTGGATCACGAGGTCAGGAAATCAAGACCATCCTGGCTAACACGGTGAAACCCTGTCTCTACTAAAAAAAAAAAACACAAAAAATTAGCTGGGTGTGGTGGTGGGCGCCTGTAGTCCCAGCTACTCGGGTGGCTGAGGCAGGAGAATGGCGTGAACCCGGGAGGCAGAGCTTGCAGTGAGCTGAGATTGTGCCACTGCACTCCAGCTGGGGCGACAGAGCGAGACTCTGTCTCAAAAAAAAAAAAAAAATTTACATATTTCACTGACTTGATTAAAGTGGATGTTTTCCAAAATAATTTATTTTATTTTTATTTTCAAGAATATATCAGATATTTACTTAATATAAATAACAGCATATCTCTTTTATGTACAACCAAGTTTTTGTTTAGAGGTCTAGATAGGAGCCCTGGAAGACCCAGGTAATTCTACCTCTGTTGCCCAGATTGGAGTGCAGTGGCGCGATCTCAGCTCACTCCAACCTCTGCCTCTTGGGTTCAAACGTGCGCCACCACGCCCTGCTAATTTTTGCATTTTTCAGTAGAGACAGGGTTTCTCCATATTGGCCAGGCTGGTCTCAAACTCCTGACCTCAGGTGATCCGCCCCTCTCAGCTTCCCAAAGTGTTGGGATTACAGGCGTGAGCCGCGGTGCCTGGCCCTTGAATCTGTTTAAAGGAGAAGCAGCAGTGGTGGTGCTTTGTTCTCCTAAAGCCTCACTTAGGTTAATTCCATATCTTGGTTAGGTGCTACTGGCTCTGAAGCACAAAGCTTTTTGATGTGTGTATGTATGTGCGTGTTCTAGTAATGGGAGTGGAGCTTCTAAAACACGTTCTCTTAGCTCCACAAACTTCCCCTGAATTCCTTGAGGCAAAGTTTCCTAGCTTGGGCTTGTACTCAGACTCCTTTCTCCTATTTGGGGAAAACCAAAAACTCCTATTCTCCTTTTTAGAGATAACATTTAAGAATCACATTAAAAGAGGTCCACCTTAGCCTATAGGCGTTTAAGTCACAAGGCACCATGAATCATTCTGTCATGTAAGAACCTGCATTTCCAAATGATGCCTAACCTAGTTCCTGACCCAGAACTGGCATTCAGTTAATATTTGGTGAATGATTGAGGCAGTACCTTGGAATCTGAGGACAGTCCTTCATCTAAGCAAGCCTTGTCCTCTTTGAACAATTGACTGCTATTGCAGCAACTAGAGTGAAAGACAGGAAGATCTAATCTTAACCAGTGTGGCTGAGTATAGAAGGAAAGGTGATACCTTAGGCTACCAGCTATTAAGGTTGTAGTGTAAACTTTGATGTTACATTAAGAAACAAATATACAGTCAATGCGTTTATAAGTATGCAAGTGATAAGATGTACCAGATGTCTTGTGTTTCGGTGCCTCTTTCTTTCTCTCCTTCCACCTTCTTTTTTCCAGAAATATAATGGTGGTATATTTGCTTCTAACAATGTTGAGTCCTATTCATTGAAAATGCATATGCAAATAGCACTATGCTATAGGTTATGGAGAATATAAACACTAATAAGACCTCTTATCTTCTCTACCTTGTCAGAATAGGGTCCATTTTATTCAAGCTAAAATTTCTGGCTGAGCATGGTGGCTTAAGCCTATAATCCCAGCACTTTGAGAGGGAGTGCAGTGACACAATCATGGGTCACTGCAATCCTTGACCTTCCAGACTCAAGCGATCCTCCTGCCTCAGTCTCTCCAGTAGTTGGGATAACGTGTTACCATGGCAGGCTATTTTTTTTATTTTTATTTTTAGTTGAGATGGGGTCCCACTATGTTGCCCAGGCTGGTCTCGAACTCCTGGGCTCAAGGGATCCTCCCACCTTGGCCTCCCAAAGTGCTGGGATTACGGGCATGAGCCACTGTGTCTGGCCCAAAATTTCTTTTTTTTTTGAGATGGAGTCTCGCCCTGTCGCCCAGGCTGGTGTGCAGTGGCGCCATCTCAGCTCACTGCAGGCTCCGCCGCCTCCCAGGTTCACGCCATTCTCCTGCCTCAGCCTCTCGAGTAATTGGGACTACAGGCACCTGCCACCATGCCCAGCTAACTTTTTGTATTTTTAGTAGAGACGGGGTTTCACCACGTTAGCCAGGATGGTCTCAATCTCCTGACCTTGTGATCCACCCGCCTCGGCCTCCCAAAGTGCTGGGATTACAGGCATGAGCCACCGTGCCCGGCCATCTGGCTCAAAATTTCTTAGAACAATTAGCCAGGCAAGGTGGCTCATGCCTGTAATCCCAGCTACTCAAGAAGCTGAGGCTAGAGGATAGTTTGAGCCCAGGAGTTTGAGACTGTGGTGAGCTATAATCATGCCACTATACTCCAGCCTAGGTGACACTTTAGCCTGGGTGAGAAAGTGAGACTCTGTCTCTTAAATAAATAAATAAATACTAAAATAAAATTTTCAGTTAATATAATGTAGAATGAGGCAGGGCACGGCGGCTGATGCCTCTAATCCCAGCACTTTGGAGGGTGAGGCTGGCAGATCACTTGAGGTCAGGAGTTTGAGACCAGCCTGGCCAACACAGTAAGACCCCGTCTCTACTAAAAATACAAAAAATTAGCTGGGTGTGGTGGTGCACGCCTGTAATCCTAGCTACTTGGGAGGCTGAGGCAGGACAATCGCTTGAACCAGGGAGGGAGAGCTCGAAGTGAGGTGAGATTGCACCACTGCACTTCAGCCTAGGTGAGACTCCCTCTCAAAGATAAGAAATCATACTAATGTGGTAGAATAGAAAAAGAAAGTTTTAAGAGTCAGAATGTCTCTGCTACATACTAGCTGTGTGACCTTGGGCAAGTTATTTTCTTTAATCACTCAAATAGGAATAATTAATAGGTGTTTTAAGGGAGATTATGAGGCTTAAATGAGAACATAAGCAAAGCATTTCATTTTGTGTTCAATGAATGCCAAAGCCAATCTAATACTTCACTGGGGTTTTCCTTCCTTCCTTCCTTTCTTTTCTTTCCCTTCCTTCTTTCCTTCCTTCCTTCCTTCTCTCCTTCCTTCCTTCCTTTTCTTTCCCTTCCTTCCCCCCTCCGTCCCTCCCTCCCTTCTTTCCTTTTCTTTCCCTTCCTTCCCTCCTCCCTCCCTCCCTCACTCCCTCCCTCCCTCCCTCCCTTCCTTCCTTCCTTCCTTCTGATGTAACTGTGGCAGTCTTATATTTGCAACTCAAGAAGGAATCAACTGCGTTCCAAAACAGCTAAATATGCAGGTCACCCAAAAAAGGTTTTGTTTGTTTGTTTGTTTGTTTTGAGACAGAGTCTCACTCTGTCTCCCAGTCTGGAGTGCAGTGGTACGATCTCGGCTCACTGCTGCAATCTCTGCCTCCCAGGTTCAAGCAATTCTCCTACCTCAGCCTTCTGAGTAGCTGGTATTACAGGCGCCCACCACCACTCCCAGCTAATTTTTGTATTTTTAGTAGAGATGGGGTCTCATCACGTTGGCCAAGCTGGTCTCGAACTCCTGACCTCAAATGATCCACCCGCCTAAGCCTCCCAAAGTGCTGGGATTACAGGTGTGAGCCATGGCGCCTGGCCATGAAGGTATTATTATTATTATTATTATTATTATTATTGTTATTATTATTGAGACAGAGTCTCTCTGTGTTGCCCAAACTGGAGCGCAGTGGTGCAATCTCGGCTCACTGCAACTTCTGCCTCCCGGGTTCAAGCGATTCTCCTGCCTCAGCATCCTGAGTAGCTGGGATTACAGGCGCCTAACACCACGCCTGGCTAATTTTTGTATTATTAATAGAGATGGGATTTCACCATGTTGGTCAGGCTGGTCTCAAACTCCTGACCTCGTGATCTGCCCACCTCGGCCTCCCAAAGTGTTGGGATTACAGGCATGAGCCACTGCGCCTGGCACAGGTATTTTTTAAACTGCCACATTCACTCCGAAGCCCATTCATCTCCTTCAGCATCCCACAGATGAAGCACATGTTCCGCTTAGCTTGATAACAAGGTGAGGCACACTTTGCACTGCTGACGTCACAGGAAAGCTGTCTATAAAACTATACTTCTGATACTGGGCTCCAGCTTTGTTCTCACAGGTAATCATCCTCATCCAGGAGAGCAGCTGTCTGAGCAAACTCTAACTCATGCTCTTATTGCTCTGTCAAAGCTGGGTCCATGACAACCTCAGGTAGGGGAGTACAGGGTAGCAAACCCCAAGTTAGGGCCTCCAATGAGCTTCCTAGCAAGCCAGAGAAAGGGCTTTTCAAAGTTGTAGTTAGTTTTGGCAGTAATGTCATAGTACTGAAGATTCTTCTTTCGGTGGAAGACAATAGATTTTGCCTTCACTTACCTGTCCTTAATATCCACTTTGTTGCCACACAACATCATGGTGATGATTTCACACATTGGCACCAAATCTCTATGCCAGTTAGGCACATTCTTGTACGTAACTCTTGGTGTTACATCAAACATTATGATGGCACACTGGGCTATGGGTTCGATGTAATAACCATCTCTGTTCACCACATTTCTCCTGGCCGGCTGTATCCCATTTATTGAACTTAATACATCTTCTGTTGGTGTGGAACACTTGGGTGATGAACCTCAACACCCATACCTCTCAAATGTGGCTACATACCTCTCAAATTCACCAGTCAAATGATGTTTCACCAAAGTAGTTTTTCCAGTACCACCGCCACCAACCAATACAAGTTTGAACTAGACCTGGGGCTCTCCCTGGGCAGCCATCATGGTGTTCCTTCCAGAAGTGTCTCCTGCCCGTTGGACTGAGTGGTTCTTCTGTTTTTCAAGCACTCTCCCTAGCAGGTGATCGGTTGTTTGTCAGATTGTCCCTGATTAGTTACTCTTTCTAGAGCTAGTAGAAGATTTAAATATTTAAAGGATGCTGGGCTGGGCACGATGGTTCATGCCTGTAATCCTAGCTCTTCGGGAGGCCAAGGGGAAAGGATCATTTTAGCACCAGCCTGGGCAACAAGGCAAAACCCTGTCTCTACTTAAAAAAAAAAAAAAAAAAAATTAGCCAGGCATGGTGGCTTGCACCTGTAGTCTCAGCTACTGGGCTGGGGAAGCGGAGGTGGAAGGATCGCTTGAGCCCAGGAGTTCTAGGCTGCAGAGAGCCATGACTGCCCTACTACACTCCAGCCTGGGCGACAGAGTGAGACACTGTCACAAAAAACAAACAAACAAACAAACAAAAACCCTCTAGAATTCTATGATTCTGACCCAATAATTAATTATTAACGATTTGTTAATAAATGTAATTAATTCCTAGCTGGGCACGGTGGCTCACATCTGTAATCCCAGCACTTTGGGAGACTGAGGTGGATGGATCACTTGAGGTCAGGAGTTCGAGACCAACCTGGCCAACATGGTTATACCCATTCTCTACTAAAAATACAAAAATTAGTTGGGTGTGGTGGCATGGGCCTGTAATCCCATCTATTCGGGAGGCTGAGAAAGGAGAATTGCTTGAACCCGGGAGGCAGAGGTTGCAGTGAGCTGAGATCGCCCCACTGCACTCCAGCCTGGGCGACAGAGCAATACTGTCTCAAAAAACAAAAAAAAAAAAAAAGAAAGAAAATGTAATTAATTCCTAAAGTTTCAGAATATGGGTCCATGGGGAAAAGGTTCTAACTGATAAAAATGTGGGAAATGGGATAAAAAATGAAGTTAAAAAAAAAAGGATACTGGTTCTCAAAACTTCTTGTTTGATCATAAAGATTTAGAAGTGGTTTCTTAGATGAACTATACTAGCAAAATAATTGAGATACTACTTTCAGGAAAAACGTATCTGCCTACTTTTTCAATTTAAACACTCTGTAATGTGTTGTTTGTTTGCTTGTTTTGTTTTCAATATCAAGATCCTGGGTAACATTCAATTATGTTTATATTTATTTGCCTGTCACTTATCATTAAGAGGGTTCATAATGAAGACTTTCTTCCAGGAGTTACTGACTAGGCAATTGAAATTTTGTAGTTCAGCTTTTGTGTGTTGTTTTCTCTGAATGCATAAGTATTTTTCTTAGAAATGTTTCCTCGGCTGGGTGCAGTAGCTCATGCCTGTAATCCCAGCACTTTGGGAGGCCATGGCGGGAGGATCACTTGAGGTCAGGGGTTTGAGACCAGCCTGGCCAACATGGTGAAACTTCGTCTCTACTAAAAATACAAAAATTAGCCGAGTGTGGTGGCACACAAATTAGCTGAGTGTGGTGGCACCTGCCTGTAATCTCAGCTACTCAGGGGGCTGAGGCAGAATTGCTTGAACCCAGGAGGCAGAGGTTGCAGTGAGCTGAGATTGCGCCATGTACTCCAGCCTGGGTGACAGAGTGACTCCGTCTCAAAAAAAAAAGAAAGCCAGGCACAGTGGCTTATGCCTGTAATCCCCAGGACTTTGGGAGGCCAAGGCAGGCAGGCGGATCACGAGGTCGAGACCAGCCTGACCAACATGGTGAAACCCTGTCTCTACTAAAAATACAAAAACTAGCTGGGCATGGTGGTGTATGCTGTAGTCCCAGCTACTCTGGGGGCTGATGCAGGAGAGTCGCTTGAACCCAGGAGGAGGAGGTTCAGAGTGCCAAGATCGCACCACTGCACTCCAGCCTGGGCGACACAGTGAGACCCCATCTCAAAAAAAAAAAAAAAAAAAGGAAAAAAAGAAAAGAAAAGAAAAAAAAGAAATGTGTATCTTCAAGCTCTCGCTTCTTTTATCTTGAACTGGACAAGATTTTGTATTCCCAGAAATATGGTTTAAATTTTGTTTATTTTTAATTTTTATAGTTACATAATAGTTGTAGATATTTCTGGAGTAAATACAATGTGTAATGATCAAATCTGGGTAATTGGGATATCCATCACCTTAGAAATGCATTATTATTATTAAGACACAGGGTCTTACTCAGTCACCCAGGCTGGAGTGCAGTAGTGTGATTATAGCTCATGGTAGCCTCGGACTTTGAGCTCAAACTATCTTCTCACTTCAGCCTCTCAAGTAGCTAGGACTGCAGGTGTGTCTCACCGTGTCTAATTTTTTATTCTTGTTTTTGTAGAGAGGGAGTCTCACTATGTTGCCTAGGCTAGTCTCTAACTCATGGCCTCATGTGAGCCTCTGGCCTAAGCCTCCCAAAGTGCTGGGATTTCAGGCATGAGCCACTGTGCCCACCCATTTATTATTTCTTTTCTTTTTTTTTGAGACGCGGTCTCGCTCTGTCACCAGGCTGGAGTGCAGTGGCCCAATCTCGGCTCACTGCAACCTCCGCCTCCCGGGTTCAAGTGATTCTCCTGCCTCAGACTCCCGAGTAGCTGGGACTACAGGCGCACACCACCACACTCGGCTAATTTTTGTATTTTTAGTAGAGACAGGGTTTCACCATGTTGGCCAGGATGGTCTCGATCTCTTGACCTCTTGACCTCGTGATCTGCCCGCCTCGGCCTCCCAAAGTGCTGAGATTACAGGCATAAGCCACCACGCTTGGCCTGCCATTTACTATTTCTTTGTGTTGGGAACATTCTGAATCTTCTCTTCTAGCTGTTTGGAAATATAGAATAGATTATTGTTAACTATAGTCACCCAATTATGCTATTGAGCACTAGAATTTATTCCTGCTACATAACTGTATTTTTGTACCCATTAACCTCTTTATCCCCCCTTTGCCCTCCACTACACTTTCTAGCCTCTGGTAACCACCATTCTATTCACTACCTCCACGAGATCAATTCTTTTAGTTCCCACATATGTGTGAGAACGTGCAATATTTGTCTTTTTGTGCTTGTCTTGTTTCACTTAACATAATGTCCTCCCGTCCCATCCATGTTGCTGCAAATGACAGGATTTCATTCTTTCTTAATGGGTGAATAAGATTGTATTGTGTGGCCGGGCGCGGTGGCTCACGCCTGTAATCCCAGCACTTTGGGAGGCCGAGGCGGGTGGATCACGAGGTCAGGAGATCAAGACCATCCTGGCTAACACGGTGAAACCCCGTTTCTAATAAAAATACAAAAAAAAAAAAAAAAATTAGCCGGACCTGGTGGCGGGCGCCTGTAGTCCCAGCTACGCGGGAGGCTGAGGCAGGAGAATGGCGTGAACCCGGGAGGCGGAGTTTGCAGTGAGTCGAGATGGCGCCACTGCACTCCAGCCTGGGCGACAGAGCGAGACTCCGTCTCAAAAAAAAAAAAAAAAAAAAAAGATTGCATTGTGTATATGTACCACATTTTCTTTATCCATTTGTCTGTTGATTGACATAGGTTGATTCTATATTTTGGCTATTGTGAATAGTACTGCAATAAGCATGGGAGTGCCAGAAATATTTTTGATGTTTATTCTCTTTACCAGACTGTTACCCCATTTTCCCCTTTTGGGAGGTCCAGCTCACTCTGGACTTTCGCCTCTGTGAGGATGATGTTCTTTTTTCTGTGAGACGGAGTCTCTCGCTCTGTCACCCAGGCCGGAGTGCAGTGGCATGATCTCGGCTCACTGCAACCTCCGTCTCCCAGGTTGAAGCGATTCTCCTGCCTCAGCCTACCAAGTAGCTGTGATTACAGGAGGCTTGCCAGCACACCCGGCTAATTTTTGTATTTTTAGTAGAGACGGGGTTTCACCATGTTGGCCAGGCTGGTCTCAAACTCCTGACCTCAGGTGATCCGCCCGCCTCGGCCTCCTAAAGTGCTGGAATTGCAGGCGTGAGCCACCGCGCCTGGCCGAGAATGATGTTCTTACAGGTTTGTGTAATTGTATTCTTCCTTATGGTTATACTTCCTGGATGCTTAATTAAGCTCGGTTGAACATCACGTATATTTGTGGAATAAGGGGCTTACAACCAACAGGAGTAGACAAAACCTGAACATATTAAATGTTAAGTAACTGAAAAATGCTTTCAAGGCAGATCAGCTTTGCAAAATGAGAAACCAGGAAGGGGACAAACAAACTACTGGAGTTTTCTGGGACGAAGTGGGACCTAGGAAAGCAGCGAAAGAAGGGTAGAAGGCAACATTAATTTCATTAACCTTTATTAATTATCGGGGAGGAGTATGAAGAGTCAATCCTAATGCGCAGTCTTCTCCATTTGCAGGCGACAATCCTGTTCGTGCTATTTTGGGACATGGGGTCACCGGCCAGCTAAGGGTCTACGTCCCTGCCACCAGTCTCACGCTATTGCCGCACCCGTTCTGCTACTCCCCCGGGCCCCTAGCCGGTCCCTCCAAGCCCGACCCCCGCCCGCCCCGCCCAGGCTTTGGTCCGCCCCGCCCAGGCTTTGGTCCGCCCCGCCCCTCCCCGCCCCAGCTTTGGGCCCGCCCCTCCACGCCCCTCCCCGCCCCGCCCCGCCCCGCCGACTCGCCCTTCGGCTCAGGCACCTGCCTGGCCGCCCCGCGCGGCGGGGTCCTGAGGCGCCTCGGGGAAGCGCGGCGATTGGCTGCCGCTCGCGGGTAGAGCTCGGCTCCCCGGCACTTGACAACCGCAGTCTGCAAGAGGCTGAGCTGAGGAGTCGCTGGGCCGGGAGGGGCGGACGTGAGAAGGACGGATTGACGAACTGATGGATTGACGCGCGGGCGGTAGGAGGGAGGACCGACGCCAAACCCAGACCGCCGCCGTCGTGCTCCTGCCGCAGCCCGGAGCCGGCCGCTTCGGGGCCCTGGCCGCCGGCCTCCCAGCCGCGTTCTCCTCCGCCGCTCCTCCGGGCTTGCCCTGGAGCCCTCAGGTGGGTGACTCCGGGAGTCGGAGGCTGGGTCGGTCCGCTGCACACCTCGGGTTGCCATGGTCACCCGTCGCCTCCTGTCACCACCTGACACGGCTCCGACCGGGCGGCCCCGAGGACTGTGTTTGCGGCCCCGGAGAGGGGTCTTTAGTGGGCTTGGGTGCCGACTGGGAGGGGGCTGGGGTCGTGGGTGAGGCCCCAGCATCGCGGGGTGAGGATCTGCGAACTGCTGGGCCCCGGTTCGAGGTCACCGGTCCTGGACCACACCTTTCCCACATTACCAGTTGGATTCTGGGGGCAGAGCGACGCCCCTCGCCCTGGCACTGAGCAGCAAGTGAGCGCGAGGTTCGTGCCCATCTCGCCGCTGCGCCGATTCTTCCTTCCTCGCCCCTTGGTCGAGCCCGTGCGAGAACTGAGGGGCGCGCTCGCGTCCCTTTCTGGGCACGCCTTGGCCCGGAGGAAGAGAGGGAGCGGCGGGGCTGGGAGCCCCGCTGGGGCCGGTTTTGGCCTTTCTCACATCAATGGTCGGGATGGGAGCAGGCCTTTGGGGATCTGGGTGTGGTCGCGGAAAGGGGCAGCGACTCGATTTAGAACTGGGATTGCGCTGGAGGGGCGCCTGCGTAGAAGAACGCAAGGTTGTGGAACTCAAAGGGTTAAACCGCTTCCCTTTATTGGGGAGAAAAATATTGGAACTCTAGCTCTGGGGCGAGGCCATGGGCAAAGGGGGCGGGGGCGGGGGGCGAGGGTAGGCCGGGGCGGCATTTGGGCTTTTGACCAGATGATTTTTCCTTCTCTGTACCCAGACGTGCAGTTAGTAACCGTGCATGGTATCTGAGGGGACCGTTTTTTTTTTTTGGCAACTTGGTTTTCTCTGCATAATGAAAGGAGAAGTCTTTGTTCCACCCAGATTCGTAGGTTGTGATCCTAATACTTATTTCTCTCTTTGTTGGAGACTCTGTAGAATGCCTCAAAAAGTTAATGGCACAGAAATGAACATGTAGGTTTAAAAAATGCTATAAATCTTTTTTTCACAGTAAATTCAAGTAGAATTTTTTTGTCTCCAGTGTTGGCATATGTTGCATTGGCATTTTACTAAGAAGGAGAAACGCCTAAGAGCCCATTTTCCTTTATATGGCATATTGTCGAGGTCTCATTTAGGAAGAAGATGAAATGAATAATTCTACTTTAGGTTTGGGAGATTAGGAGAGATTGCTTCCAATAGGAAAGAAACATTATTACACGGTAATGGAAAAGTCAAGTCACAACAGTATATTGTTAGGTAAAAAAGCCAAAACCCAAACACTTGAATTTGGATGCCATTATGAAGATGTAAATTTTTTTTTTTTTTTGGACGGGATTTTAACCTGTGTTTATCTCCCACTGGTCCACTTCCTGGTTCTTTTCTCCCTCGCCTTAAAAACCAGTACTGTTAAGAATGTGTCATAAGAGAACAGGGGTACTATCCTATGTTACTACTTACATAATGGTGTTCAACCTCTTTT
The DNA here is from genome assembly GCF_000001405.40 of Homo sapiens. Taxonomy (NCBI): domain Eukaryota; kingdom Metazoa; phylum Chordata; class Mammalia; order Primates; family Hominidae; genus Homo; species Homo sapiens. The sequence goes on along the minus strand of NC_000001.11, from coordinate 109,040,362 downwards.
CCTGTTTGTGAAATAGAATATATTAGTTATTTAATGGGCGGCATATGAAATGCTTAATGTATGCTGCAGTTTCAGAAACGCTTTAGTTATGAAAAGATGTGCAGTTTTCCTTAGTAGATCAGTAAGCTGAAAAATCAGATTACCTGTATTTAAGCTTTCTTTTGCTACTGATTGCATTCTTGTAAGAGCTGCTAAGCTTAACATTGACTGATTTCTCATTCTGTAAAATGGTGATGCTTGCTATTGTTTTAGTCTGAGAATGGGCTTTGAGTTGAAAGCACTTTGGAAGGCATCTGTTGATTACCTTTTTTTTTTTTTTTTTTTTTTGAGACGGAGTCTCACTCTGTCATCCAGGCTGGAGTTCAGTGGCATGATCTCGGCTCACTGCAGCCTCTGCCTCCTGGGTTCAAGCGATTCTCCTGCCTCAGCCTCCCAAGTAGCTGGGATTACAGGTGCCTGCCACCACGCCCGGCTACTTTTTGTATTTTTAGTAGAGATGGGGTTTCACCATGTTGGCTAGGCTGGTCTCGAACTCCTAGCCTCAGGTGATCCACCCGCCTTGGGCTCGCAATGTTGGGATTACAAGCTTGAGCCACCGTGCCTGACCCTGTATATTATTTTTGAACAGAAGACTTGAACCCAGGTCTTCAGACTCCAAATCCAATGCTGGCCCACACCTGAGGATACTTCAGTTTTGAGACTATTACACCGAATAGCCAAAGCTTGCATATTTCAACTAATTTTTCTCTATGTTGAGTTTGTTTCTGTTCAAGTGAAAAGATATCCTTAAAAAAGGGTTTATACCGGCTGGGCGTGGTGGCTTGTGCCAGTAATCCCAGCACTTTGGGAGGCCAAAGCGGGCGGATCACGTGAGGTCAGGAGTTTGAGACCAGCCTGGGCAACATGGTGAAACCCTGTCTTTATCAAAAATATAAAAATTAACTGGGCATGGTGGCGTGTGCCTGTAATCCCAGCTATTTGGGAGGCTGAGGTAGGAGAATTGCTTGAACACAGGAGGCAGAGGTTGCAGTGAGCCAAGATCATGCATGCCACTGCACTCCAGCCTGGGCGACAAAGCGAGATTCCACCTCAAAAAGAAAAAAAAAAAGGATTTATACCACACACTCCCTTAAAACCTTTCTTTTGTGTTCTATAGTCTTATTCACTGTAATAGCTCGATCATTGTATCCCAGTTTGTAGCATGTTGTTAATACATAGTAAATGCTCATCACTCATTACCCACCTGAACTTCTCCTGTTTAAATGGCTTCAGATGAATATTATCACAAGTAGGAGTTTCTTCATATAGTATGTTTAACATAATTGATCTCAGTGAACTTTCCAATATTTATTTATTTATTTATTTATTATTATTGTTATTATTTGAGATGGGGTCTCGCTCTGTTGCCTAGGCTGGAGTGCAGTGGCGTGATCTCGGCTCACTGCAACCTCCGCCTCCCAAGTTCAAGTGATTCTCCTGCCTCAGCCTCCCAAGTAGCTGGGATTGCAGGTGCACATACCCCCACACTTGACTAATTTTTGTATTTTTAGTAGAGACAGGGTTTCACCATGTTGGCCAGGCTGGTCTTGAATGCCTGACCTCAAGTGATCCACCCAGTTCGGCCTCCCAAAGTGTTGTGATTACAGGCGTGAGCCACTGCACCTGGCCTGTTTATTTATTTTTTGAGACAGGGTCTCACTTTATCGTTCAGGCTGCAGTACAGTGGCATGATGATAGCCCACTGCAGCCTCAAACTCCTGGGCTCAAGTGATCCTCCTACCTCAGCCTCCCGAGTAGCTAGGACTACAGGTGCTTGCCACCACACCTGGCTAATTTTTGTATTTTTTGTAGAGATAGGGTTTTGCCATGTTGCCCAGGCTGGTGTTGAACTCCTAGACTCAAGTGACCTGCCTGCCTTGGCTTCCCAAAGTGCTGGGATTACAGGCATGAGCCACTGCACCTGGCTCGATATTTTTTAAATTACTGAAATATTTTCAAAAATAAGTAAGCTTATTCCAAAGTAAATTTTTATACTTCACAGCACAGTAGCTCTCCCGCAGCAATTCATTAGCAGTCCTTTTGACACATTGTCCTTACCAAGGCTAGGAGCTCTGAAGGGAAGGAATTTACATTTATTGAGCACCAGTTGCATGCTTGCCACTCTGCTAGGAGCTTGTTCTCATTTTACAAGTCAACATCCTGTTTTAACTGAGAAATAGTACTGGGCTGGGCGAGGTGGCTCATACCTGTAATGCGAGCATTTTGGGAGGATGAGGTGGGAGGATTGCTTGAGCCCAGACGTTTGAGACCAGCCTGGGCAACATAGTGAGACCTCATGTCTACAAACAATTAAAAAAAAAATGCTAGCTGAGTGTGGTGGTGCACACCTGTGGTCCTAGCTACTGGGGAGGCTGAGGTGAGAGAATCACTTGAGCCTGGGTGGACAAGGCTCTACCAGCCTGGGAGACAGTGAGACCCAGTCTCAAAGAGAGAGAAAGAAAGAAAGATAGAAAAAAATAGTACTACAAGCAAAAAGACATAAAAATTTTATACTATTTATAATTACTAGTTATGTAGTATGCTTGACATATGTAACTCAAATAATGTTTTTTTCCTATGGCTAAGTACCATGTTTTGTGACTCTTGTTGTTGTGATGAAAAAGAAAATGGAACCTTTTATAAAATCTTTTGAGAAAATTTTATAGAATTGGGTTGGTTTTTTTTTTTTTTTTTTTTGAGACGAGGTCTCGCTCTGTCCCCCAGGCTGGAGTGCAGTGGTGCGATCTCAGCTCACTGCAAGCTCCGCCTCCCAGGTTCATGCCATTCTCCTGCCTCAGCCTCTCTGAGTAGCTGGGATTACAGGCGCCCGCCACCAAGCCCGGCTAATTTTTTATATTTTTAGTAGAGACAGGGTTTCACTGTGGTCTCGATCTCCTGACCTCGTGATCTGCCCACCTCGGCCTCCCAAAGTGCTGGGATTACAAGCGTGAGCCACCACGCCCAGTCTTGTTTTGTTTTTTGTTTTTTTTTTTTTAGACGGAGTTTTGCTCTTGTTGCCCAGGCTGGAGTGTGATGGCGTGATGTCGGCTCACCGCAACCTCTGCCTTCCAGGTTCAAGTGATTCTCCTGCCTCAGCCTCCCTAGTAGCTGGGATTACCGGCATGTGCCACCACGCCTGGCTAATTTTGTATTTTTGGTAGAGACGGGGTTTCTCCATGTTGGTCAGGCTGGTCTTGAACTCCCAACCTCAGGTGATCTGCCTGCCTCGGCCTCCCAAAGTGCTGGGATTACAGGCGTGAGCCACCGCACCTGGCGATTTTCTTTGAAACTTTAAGAAGAGCTTTGGAAATGAAATTCCGGGAAGTGCAAAAACAGCATTTCACAAATAGATGATGATATAAAGAAATTTTAGGTGTATTCATTGTAAAGAGCCTAGATGATGGGAATTGTTAGTTTCACTGTATATAGTTCTTGATCAGACCACACCTGGAGTGTTGTGCTTTATTATTTATTTATTTATTTATTTTGAGATGGAGTCTCACTCTGTCGCCCCAGGCTGTAGTGCAGTGGCATGATCTCGGCTCACTGCAAGCTCCGCCCCGGGGTTCACGCCATTCTCCTGCCTCGGCCTCCTGAGTAGCTGGGACTACAGGCGCCTGCCACCACGCCCAGCTAATTTTTTGTATTGTTAGTAGAGACGGGGTTTCACCGTGTTAGCCAGGATGGTCTCGATCTGCTGACCCCGTGATCCGCTTGCCTCGGCCTTCCAAAGTGGTGAGATTACAGGTGTGAGCCACCGCGCCTGGACTATGTTTTTTTTTTTTTTTTGAGACGGAGTCTTGCTCAGTCGCCCAGGCTGTAGTGCAGTGGTGCCATCTCGGCTCACTGCAACCTTCACCTCCTCCTGGGACTACAGGCGCACGCTACCAAGCCCGGCTAATTTTTGTATTTTTAGTAGAGACGGGATTTCACCATGTTGGCCAGGATGGTCTGGATCTCCTGACTTTGTGATCCACCTGCCTCAGGCTCCTATAGTGCTGGGATTACAGATGTGAGCCACCGCGCCTGGCCTATTTTGGGTTCTTTAGGAGGGGGATTAACAGATATTTAGAGGAGGATGACGGGAGTGGGAAGGGATCTAGAAGCTATCTTCTGGTGAAGAATGGTTTTTGTAAGGATCGATTAGACAATGAATGTAAGATCCTAAAATAGTACCCAGTAGTTTTTGCATTGTAAACAAAGCAGTTAATCCTGTTTTGGGGATTGTACTTTAGTTGGTACCTTTATAGATTAAAACCTTTGAGATCTAATCCTTTAATATGTATATATTTTTCATTTTCATAGTTCTTTTTTGCTTTAAAATTAAAAATTGAGCCAGGCAAGTTGGCATATGTCTATAGTCTTAGCTACTCAAGAGGCTGAGGCAGAAGAATTGCTTGAGCGCAGGAGTTTGAGGCTGTAGTGTGCTATGAACAGGCCCGGCAATAGCAACTACACTGTAGTCTGGGTAGCATAGTAAGACTCCTTCTCTTAAAAAAAAAAAAAAGAAGATACAAAATTAAAAATTGGCTGGGCATAGTGGCTCATGCCTGTAATCCCAGCATTTTGGGAGACCGAGGTGGGTGGATCACCTGAGGTCGGGAGTTCGAGACTAGCCTGGCCAACATGGTGAAACCCCGTCTCTACTAAAAATGCAAAATAGCTGGGTGTGGTGGTGGGCGCCTGTAATCCCAGCTACTCGGGAGGCCAAGGCAGGAGAATCACTAGAGCCCAGGAGGCAGAGATTGCAATGAGCCAAGATTGCGCCACTGCACTCCAGCCTGGGCGACAGAGTAAGACTCCGTCTCAAAAAAAAAAAAAAAATTTAAAAATTGTATTCATATGAGAAATGCATGTATTAACATACAAGTAATGCATGAATATATATTGGTTGTTAACTCTTCAGATAAACTGCAAAGAGTAAAAAATAAAAAAGTCTCCTTCAACCCTTTTCTTCTCCTAGATCCCTGCCCTCCATCCCAATCCCATGCCTTTCTTCAGAGATAATCACACTGAACAGTTTGGCATGCAACATTCCAGACCTTGTGTGTGTGGGGTTTTTTTTTTTTTTTTTTTCTGAGACAGGGTCTTACTCTTTTGCCCAGGCTGGAGTGCAGTAGTGCAATGTTGGCTCACTGCAGCCTCAACCACCCAGACTCAAACAATTCTCCCACCTCAGCCTCCTGAGTAGCTGGGACCTCAGGCCTGCACCACCACGCCTGGCTAATTGTTTTTTTTTTTTGGAGAGACAGGGTTTCGCCATGTTGCCTTGAACTCCTGAGCTCAAGCTATCCTCCGATCTCAGCCTCCCAAGTGCTGGGGTTATAGGCATGAGCCACTGTGCCCGGTCTCAGACCTTTGTATATTTATTTAGACACAGAGATATTATGCCTCTCTCCTTTTAAATAAATGGGCCTGTTTATATTCATTCATTCAACAAATATTTATTGATAGCTGTACTATTCTGTGATGCACTTTTCCTTTTTAGGATATATAGATATACGTCACTGTGTTAGTATTCTATAGCAACAGTCCTCAGCCCTTTTGGCACCAGGTACTGGTTGGTTTACTGTCTTCCTAGAAGAAAATTTTTCCACAGACCAGGGGTGAGGTGGAAACCATTCTACCTCAGATCAACAGGCATTAGATTCACATAAGGAGACTGCAGTTTAGATCCCTCATATGTAGGGTCCGTGCTCCTATGAGAATCTAATGCCACTGCTGATCTAACAGGAGCGGGACTCAGACAGTAATGCTCCCTTGTCTGCAGCTCACCTCCTGCTGTGCAGCTCAGTTCCTAACAGGCTGTGGATCAGTATTGGTCTGTGTCCTGGGGGTTGGGGACCCCTGTTTTATAGTATGAATTTACCATAATTTATTTACCAATTCTGCTATTAAGGACAGTTCAGTTTATTTCTAATTTTTCTCTATTACAAATAAATTTTCAGGGAACATTTTTTATTTGCAAGTATTTTTGCAGGCTAGGTTTCTATAAGAATTGGAATTGGGTAGTCTACATTTAAGTTTATTTATTTGAGATGGAGTTTCACTTTTGTTGCCTAGGCCAGAGGGCAATGGCGTGATCCCAGCTCACTGCAACCTCCGCCTCCTGGGTTCAGGTGATTCTACTGCCTCAGCCTCCCAAGTAGCTGGGATTCCAGGCATGTGCCACGACGCCTGGCTAATTTTGTATTTTTAGTAGAGATGGGGTTTCACCATGTTGGTCAGGCTGATCTCAAACTCCTGACCTCAGGTGATCCACCCACTTCGGCCTCCCAAAATACTGGGATTACTGGCATGAGCCATCATGCTTCACCAACATTTTTGTAGGTAAAAATTTCATGCTGTCAAATTCTCTCAAAAAGTCAGTCCCAGTTTACATTCTTCTTTTACTTTTATTTTTTTGACACAGAGTCTCACTCTGTTGCCAGGCTGGAGTGCAGTGGCACGGATCTCGGCTCACTGCAACCTCCGACTCCCTGGTTCAAGCAATTCTCCTGCCTCAGCCTCCTGAGTAGCTGGGATTACAGGCATGTGCCATCACGTCCAGCTAATTTTTGTGTTTTTAGTAGAGACAGGGTTTTACCATGTTGGCCAGAATGGTCTCCATCTCCTGACCTTGTGATCTGCCCGCCTTGGCCTCCCAGAGTGCTGGGATTACAGGCATGAGCCACCACATCTGGTCCCCAGTTTACATTCTTAACAACAGTATATGAAGGCATTTGCCCACACTCTTGCCAAAACTAGATATTATCGGGTCTTCTTTTTTCTTTTTCAAAACTGGTAGGCCGTAAATGGGTAACTCATTTTACTGTGTGTGGAAGTGAGCATGTTGGTACCTTGTTATAAAACTATTATTGAGGTTGAGCATCTTTTCACAAATATATTGGTATTCATAGTTCTTTTGTGAATTGTCTATATTTTTTGCTCATTTTTCGTCTGGAATTTTGAGGGTATTGATTTGAAGATGCTATTTATATGCTCCAGATAATAACCATTTAGCTTTTTTTTGTTTTTGTTTTTCCTTTTGAGGCAGAGTCTCATTCTGTCGCCCAAGCTGGAGTGTAGTGGCGTGATCTCGACTCACTGCCACCTCTGCCCCCCTGGGTTCAAGTGATTCTCCTGCCTCAGCCTCCCGAGTACCTGGGATTACAGGTGCCTGCCACTGTGCCCAGCTAATTTTTGTATTTTTAGTAGAGACGGGGTTTCACCATCTTGGCCAGGCTGGTCTTGAACTCCTGACCTCATGATCCACCTGCCTTGGCCTCCCAATGTGCTGGGATTACAGGTGTGAGCCACTGCGCCCAGCCCCATTTAACTCTTTATGTGTGTTTTACTTAGTCCTACTTTGTGCCTTGTCTTTTAACATAATTGTTTGTGGCAAGTTTCTGTTGAATGGAAGATTTACGTTTTGTAATTTTTTTTTTTGGACAGAGTGTCACTCTGTCACCCAGGCTGGAGTGCAGTGGTGCAATCTCAGCTCACTGCAACCTCCACCTCCCGGGTTCAAGCAATATTCCTGCCTCAGCCTCCTGAATAGCTGGGATTATAGGCACATGCCACCATGCCTGGTTAATTTATGTATTTTTAGTAGAGACAGGGTTTTGCCACGTTGGCCAGGCTGGTCTTGAACTCCTGACCTCAAGTGATCCGCCCACCTGGCCTCCCAAAGTGCTGGGATTACAGGTGTGAGCCACCATGCCTGGTCTACATTTTACATTTTTAGTGTCAAAGTTGACAATTTTTTTTCTTTACCTTTTCTGCATTACATGACTTAATTGAGCAGCTTGAGTAAGAAAATCTTTTTTTTTTTTTTTTGAGACAGTCTCGCTCTGTCGCCCAAGCTGGAGTGCAGTGCTGCGATCTCAGCTCACTGCAAGCTCCACCTCCCGGGTTCATGCCATTCTCCTGCCTCAGCCTCCCGAGTAGCTGGGACTACAGGCGCCCGTCACCACGCCTGGCTAATCTTCTGTATTTTTAGTAGAGACGGGGTTTCACCGTGTTAGCCAGGATGGTCTCGATCTGACCTCGAGATCCACCCGCCTCCGCCTCCCAAAGTGCTGGGATTACAGGCATGAGCCACTGCGCCTGGCCAGAAAATCGTTTTTATCATGTGAATTGTTAGTACTTCAGTAATTTTAAACATACTTGTTTAAAAATTTCTGGGTTTGAATATGGAAAGAACACACATACCTTAGTCCTTAGTCTCATAAAGAAAGATTGAGGCCAGGTGCAGTTGCTTATGCCTGCGTTCTCAGCACTTTAGGAGGCTGAGGCTGGCAGATATCTGTAGCCTAGGAGTGGGAGACCAGCCTGAGCAACATGGTGAAATCCTGTCTCTACAAAAAACACAAAAATTAGCCAGGTATGGTGGTGCATGCCTGTAGTCCCAATTACTGGGAAGGCTGAGGCGGGAGGATCTCTTCAGCTCAGGTGGTCAAGGCTGCAGTGAGCTAAGATCGTGCCACTGCACTTCAGCCTGGTGTTGAGAGCAAGACCCTGTCTTAAAAAAAAAAAAAAAAAAAAAAGAAAGAAAGATTGAAATGATATTCAAATCAGATCTGAGAAGAGGTCTTGGGTTATGGGGAAGAAATACAAATTCCTTTGAAATATTATTACTTCATTATATGCATTAGTTTACTAATTCCTTCTAGTAGTTTGCAAATGTAAATTTGTTATTTATGTTTTATTATTTTTAATTTTTTGAATAGGTAATATTTGTCCATGGTACAAAATTCAAAAGGGTATATAGTGATCTTCCCATTCCTATTCATTTTAGGTTCAGGGGTACATGTACAGGTTTGTTATATAGGTAAACTCATGTTACAGGGCTGCTTTGTTGTACAGATTCCATTTCTATTCTTATCTAGTTTTCCTTCTAGGATACAACCAGTATCACCAATTTCTTATATTTTTTTCCAGAGATATTTTATGCATGTATACAACATACAGTTTATATTAGTTTCTTTTTATAGTTATATAAAGTTGCACCTGCTTTAAACATAATTTATTTCTTCTGGCCAAAAATCATTCACAGTTCCAGAAGGTAAATTAAAGTAATTGATAAATTGAGAACTGCTGTCAACAGTAAGCAGGGGCACGTGCTGCACCCATGTTACAAATGTTAGGTGATTAGCAGACATGACAGAGCTTTGGTTAGAAGAGCTTTTCTTTTGTTTGTTTGCTTAAGTGATCTAATGCAAATCTATTTTGTTTCTTCTTATTAAACAGACTTTATTAATTACAGGCTTCTGATTATCCCGGACTTTATATTTTCTATATATTCTTGATGTTTCCCAAGAATATGTACTTTCTGATATTGAAATGTAAGTTAAAGCAAATTATAAAACTTGAAGGGAAATCATAGAAATTAGACAAACGAATCCCCTTACTTTATGAATGAAGAAATTGAGGCCCATAGAGGTTAGTGACTTGCAACATCACATATATATTCCTGCAGGTCTGGACATTTAAAATTAAATGACCTGGCAGCAACATAAAGTTTTTTGAATGCCATGTTATTAAAAACAGCTAGCAGTTTTTTTCTCCTTTTTTTTTTTTTTTTTAAAGGAAAAGATGCAGTAGTCCTGTGTTGCAGTTTGGTATTTTATTGAAAAGCTTCATGACACTTCATCTTCTTGTCTGCATTTTTGTTTGTGAAGTTCTGTTGTAAAGCACTATTGTTCCATGTTAGGCACTCTGTAATACTTGGAAGATTAAAGAGAGCAGTTTTTATTGTGTGAGATGGAATTGCAGATTAATGGAGCCTTTATTAAGCACTTTTGTCATAACTATAAGGTTTATAATGACTGTGCCCTAGTTCTCTTAACCTTATATTTATAGTAATTCTTGGCCTGTTGTGTTTTTTTTCCTTCATAATGTGTGTTTAAGTAACCGCATTGCAGATGAACATTTAATTTTTATTTTATTTTATTTTATTTTTTATTTTTATCAAAAATGTGCTTATTGAGATGGTTTCCCACTCATCTTGATTCAGAGTGCTTTTAGTGCTGCTTCTTCCTGAAGGAACATCCTTCTGTAAGCCTTGCTTTTCCTCCTGTAGGCTGGCAGAGGACAGTGGAGCAGCCAACACACAAAACTACCATTTGTGCATGGCTAAAGACCGTGGTGATTTATATTATCCTGGGCATTTCACACCCATGAAGTAGGAATTGGGGCTCTGCACCAGGCGTTTCTTCTTGTGTTTCTTCTTCTCTTCTTCTGGGGAGGGATGAAGGAGATCTTTTGCGAGAGGCATGTTCTCCTGTGGGTAGGTCGTCACTGCCAGAAAGGGACATTTAATTAAATCATATCTGCTTATATTTGGTTAGAAAGCTACCAGTGATATTTTTTCATGAAGTTTTTCCATATCTTTGTATGGAAATACACAGAGTCAATATATTTTTATTACTAGAATATTTTCTTTCTTTCTTTCTTTTTTTTTTTTTGAGACGAAGTCTTTCTCTGTTGCCCAGGCTGGAGTGCAGTGGTGTGATCTCAGTGTACTGCAGCCTCCACCTCCTGGGCTCAAGCAGTTCTCTGCCTCAGCCTCTCGAGTAGCTGGGATTAGAGGTGCCCACCACCACGCCCGGGTAATTTTTTTAAAAAAATATTTATTTATTTATTTATTTATTTATTTATTTATTTATTTAGAGACAGAGTCTCGCTCTGTCACCCAGGCTGGAGTACAGTGGCGCAACCTTGGTTCACTGCAAACTCTGCCTCCCAGGTTCAAGTGAGAATCAAGTGATTTCTCCTGCCTTAGCTTCCTGAGTAGCTGGGACCACAGGCATGCACCACCACGCCCGGCTAATTTTTGTATTTTCAGTAGAGACAGGGTTTTATCATGTTGGCCAGGCTGGTTTCGAACTCCTGACCTCAGGTTATCCACCAGCCTCAGCCTCCCAAAGTGCTGGGATTATAGGCATGAGCCACTGCGCCTGGCCAATTTGTTTGTATTTTTAGTAGAGACGGGGTTTCAGCATCTCGGCCAGGCTGGTCTTGAACTCCTGACCTCGTGATCCACCTGCCTCGGCCTCCCAAAGTGTTGGGATTATAGCCATGAGCCACTGCGCCCGGCAGTTTCTTATGTATTATTAACATTTTACCTTTAATCTTAGATTTCTAAAAATAATTTTATTTCTAACCCTTTAATACATCCTTCTAATCTTGGTTTACTAAGATGGTAATCAATAGGAGTCCACATAGAGACCCCATCTGGAATTAATTTCAGTGTATGTTAATTGTATCTAAGGACTAAAATACTAAATACCTTCTAGCTGGTTTCCAGACATACTTATATTTAAAGAACACTCTTATTTCTTTACCTAGTCTGGATATTGGATATAAGTAAAACTTACTTTTTAAAGGAAAATTCACAATTACATTTTTGTGATTTTAACCAGAGGCCAGAAGGGAAAGAGGAAAGGCAAGGATGGAATATAGATTTATTTATTACCGTTGAACTGTACACATAAAAATGGTGAAGATGGTAAATTATATATGTATTATTAAATACATATTAAATTAATTAAAATTAACCTCAAAAATGTTTTTTAAAAAAAGTTTTTTAAGGCCAGGCACGGTGGCTCATGCCTGTAATCCCAGCACTTTGGGAGGCTGAGGCGGGCGGATGACGAGATCAGGAGATCAAGACCATCTTGGCCAACATGGTGAAACCCCACCTCTACTAAAGATACAAAAAATTAGCTGGGCGTGTTGGCACATGCTTAGGCTAAATAGCTGGATTGCTTCAGTCACAGCTCCATCCTTTTCAGTAAGTTTTTGAAAACAATTAAAAACAAAGTCCTCTGGGCCAGGCATGATGGCTCATGCCTGTAATCCCAGCACTTTGGAGGTCGAGGCGGGTGGATTGCTTGAGCTCAGGAGTTCAAGCAGTCAGACTAAGCCTGGGCAACATGGCGAAACCCAATCTCTACAAAAAAAAAAAAAAAAAAAAAACCCAACAAAAATTAGCTGGGCCCAGTGGCACATGCCTGTGGTCCCAGCTACTTGGGAGGCTGAGGTGGGAGGATTGCTTGAGCCCAGAAGGCCAAGGCTGCAGTGAGCCATGATTCAGCCACTGCACTCCTGCCTGGGCCTCAGAGTAAGACCCTGTCTAAAACAGACAAACAAACAAAACCATAGTCATCTGTTCTGTACTTTTGTAGAGACATTTCTTCAGTGACTTTACATCTCAAGTTAATTCAGCTAATATTTATTTATTGAACACATATTATGATTATATGTGCATCTCATTTTAAAAGATAATTTTAGTAGTTCCTAAACTTGTTAAAATCTTTTGCAGATTTATAGCTCCCCCAGAGGAGAGGGGAAGAAGTAATTATTATTGAATTCTGTTTCCCTGAATTAGAGAAAAGTTCTAACTTTGTGGTGAATAGTTATTTATTTATTTATTTGAGATAAGGTCTCACTATGTTGCCCACCTCAGCCTTCCAAAGTAGCTAGGATTACAGGAAATAGATGTTTAAAATATGTATATAGCTGGGCATGGTGGCTCATGCCTGTAATCCCAGCATTTTGGGAGGCTGAGGCGGGTGGATCACGAGGTCAGGAGTTCAAGACCAGCCCTGCCAAGATGGTGAAACCCCATCTCTACTAAAAATACAAAAATTAGCCGGGCGTGGTGGCAGGCACCTGTGATCCCAGCTACTTGGGAGGCTGAGGAAGGAGAATCACTTGAACCCGGGAGGCGGAGGTTGCAGTAAACCGAGATTGCACCACTGCACTCTTGCCTGGGTGACAGAGCAAGACTCCATCTGGGGGAAAAAAAAAGTATGCAGTATATATCACTTACAGAGGTAAGATTTTGGGAGCCTGTATAAATGTTTCAGTAATACAAGGGAGTTAGAAGAGAATAATTCTAAGATATAGTCATCAAGCATGTGCCTATGCCTATATTTATACTGTATTCAGCAACAGTGAAGCTTATAAGAATTAAAATTCTGGGCCAGGCTTGGTGGCTCACGCCTGTAATCCCAGCACTTTGGGAGGCTGAGGTGGGCGGATCACCTGAGGTCAAGAGTTTGAGACCAGCCTGGCAAACATGGCGAAACCCCGTCTCTACTAAAAATACAAAAAATTAGCCGGTTGTGTAAGTGCACGCCTGTAATCCCAGCTACCCAGGAGGCTGAGGCAAGAGAATTGCTTGAACCTGGGAGGCGGAGGTTGCAGCCAGCCGAGATTGCCACTGCACTCCAGCCCGGGCAACAGAGGGAGACTCTGCCTTAAAAAAAAAAAATTCTGTGTTGGGTGATTAAAATATATTATTCTACTGGGAATTTCAAGGTATAGAATTAAAACTTGTCTTTTTTTAATTAGTTTTTTTTTAAAAAGAAAACTTGAACCAATTTTAAGTTAATTAGGACATATTTTCTGTTACCTTCAACTGTCAGTATAAAATATGTATTTGTAAGAATGTAGTTCTCTTAGGCTTTATTAACCAAAAATGACTGCAACATTAAACTTGTAGTTATTATTTAAAGTGGGACTATTGCCATAAATTCCATTCAGAGTAACTTTATATCTGGACTGATATTTAGATTGAATGTTGAATATGAAGCCTATACAATGTTTAGTATCATTGGTATATTGAGCTATATTAGAAAATTATAGTCCCAATTGTGCATTAAGTTTGTGTGGTTGGTACATGGAGATATATGTGATGTGCCCTCTAAGAACCTACAGAGGAGGGAATATTTTTTTCTGAGAGTTAAATTAGTAAAAGCCATTTTTTTGCTAGTAAGAATTACCTGAAGGGCTACTCTGGGCACACTGCCTATTGGGTAGCCTGCTCTGCAAGGAGCAGTAAAAATAAAAAAAAGAATTGTCTAAAGATTTGAGGAATGCTAAAATCACTAATCAGTGTGCTCTAAGAATAATATTAGGGAGACAGTTCTGATATGATCAGAATTTAATGAGTAGTTTCCACGGATAACCTGAAAAAAAAAAAAAGGTGGGCACGGTGGCTCATCCCTGTAATCCCAACACTTTGGGATGCCGAGGCGAGAGGATTGCTTGAGCCCAGGAGTTCGAGAGCAGCCTAGGCAACATAGGTAGATCCCGTCTCTACAAAAAGTAAAATAAAAAATTAGCTGGGTACGGTGGCACACACCTGTCATCCCAGGTACTTGGAAGGCTGAAGCGGGAGGATCACTTGAGCCTGGGAGGTCAAGGCTGCAGTGGGCCATGGTCATGCAACTGCACTCTAACCTAGGTGACAGAGCAAGACCCTGTCTTTAAAAAAAAAAAAAGAATTTAGTGAGTGGAAATCTTAACTTATTTTACCGTATCCTCTTTTGGACGAAGTCTGTGAACAGGAGGATGGTGGTCAGCTCAGAAGATAGGAAAGGGAAACCTAAAGCATGCGGAGTTGGGTAGCTGGTGTGTTGGGAGATAAGTTTGTGATTTACTGTTTCCTGAGACAGACATATTCTTACTCTGCAGAGGGATTTGTGTAGTCTGATGTCATTAAATATTTGAGTGAGTCGTATAATTATTTTTCTGTGGTTTGTCCCTTGTTTACCCTAGCGCCACTTTTTTTTATTTGTTAGTTTTTTTTTCTTTTTCCGAGATGGAGTCTGGCTCTATTGCCCAGGCTGGAGTGCAGTGGCACAATCTTGGCTCACTGCAACCTCCGCCTCCTGGGTTCAAGCAATTCTCCTGCCTCAGCCTCCCAAGTAGCTGGGATTACAGGTGCGTGCCACCACGCTCCGCTAATTTTTGTATTTTTAGTAGAGGTGGGGTTTCACCATGTTGGCCAGGCTGGCCTCAAACTCCTGATCTCATAATCCACCCGTCTCAGCCTCCCAAAGTGCTGGGATTACAGGTGTGAGCCACTGTGCCCAGCCTTCTTTTTTTTTTTTTTTTTTTTGAGGCAGAGTCTCACGCTACCGCCCAGGCTGGAGTGCAGTGGTATGATCACCGCTCACTGTAGCCTCAACTTCTGGGGCTCCAGTGATCTTTCCACCTCAGCCTCCTGAGTAACTGGAACTACAGGCACACATGCTGGCTGATTGTTATATTTTTGGTAGAGACCATGTTTCGCCATGTTGCCCAGGCTTGTCTCGCACTCCTGGGCTCATGTGATCCTCCCACCTCGACCTCTCAAAGTGCTGGAACTACAGGTGTGAGCCACCATGCCCAGGCCTCTAGCTGAGGGAGAAAATGTACTCATCTGCTGATGAGAGCATTCTAGTCTGCTAGA
Organism: Homo sapiens; assembly: GCF_000001405.40. Classification (NCBI taxonomy): domain Eukaryota; kingdom Metazoa; phylum Chordata; class Mammalia; order Primates; family Hominidae; genus Homo; species Homo sapiens. The sequence continues at coordinate 109,025,097 of NC_000001.11, read as the reverse complement.
CATTTGCATTTCTTGTTATAAACAAAAAAATCAACCCAAAAGTAAAGAAATGGAAACAACACTAACCTGTGGGCCTACATATATTTTTTGTTTTGTTTTGTTTAGAGACATGGTCTTCCTCTGTTGTTCAGAGGTGTGCAGTGGTGTGATCATAGCTCACTGTATGTAACTTCTAACTTCTGGGCTCAAGCGATCCTCCTGCTTCAGCCTCCCAAAGTGCTGGGACTACAGGCGTGAGTCACTACACCCAGTCCACATGTGTATGTTTATGTTTCTGCAAGCTTGGTTAGAATAAGTTGGTCCTGTGAGAAAGATATGCTTATAGTCTGTTTCATCTGATGAAGTTTCTTTGTGGCTACTCCCCTAGTGTGGTGGTATTTTGCATTGCTCTGAACCTTAACATTTGAAAACTGTAACAGTTTAGGCCATTTAACTTGTGTGGCTTCACTGGTAAAATTAGAATGTTGAACAAATGATCTTATAGTCCTCCCAGGTCTAAATCTTTATGGATTCATAACCTGAGCATTATGTGCTCAGTTGTAGCAGACCTACAGGTAAGAGTTAGAAGGAAGCTTAGAGAGTATTGAAATATCACTGATATTACCCATATGACTAAAGTTGCACTTTTTTCTTTCTTTTTTTTTTGAGACGGAGTCTAATTCTGTTGCTCAGGCTGTAGTGCAGTGGCACGATCTTTGCTCACTGCAGCCTTGATCTCCTGGGCTCAAGCGATCCTCCCACCTCAGCCTCCAGAGTGCTGGGACTATAGACACACACCATCTTGCCCTGCTAATTTTTTAATTTTTTTTGTACAGATGTGGTTTTGCCATGGTTCCCAGGCTGGTCTCGAACTCCTGAACTCAAGCAGTCCCTCCACTTTGGCCTCCCAAAGTACAGGGATTACAGGCGTACGCCACTACACCTGCCCTAAAGTTGCACATCTTAACTAACCTTGTTTTGTTTGGCTCCGCTGTACTGACCAGGTCATCATTTAGGTATTACTGCTAGACTAAAGCTTCTTAAAGCAAGGCCAATGTCTCCTGAGTACAGAATCATGTCTGTCACAGAGAAAAGGCATTAAGTACTTATTGAGTGAATGTATTAGAGCATACCTGGGACAATGTATTTGGGACATAGCTAAACATGGTTTGGTTATTAATGACTTTTTAAAATATTCTCTATTATGGAAAATTTTAAACATGTAGGAGTAGACAGGATTATATAATAAACCCTCATTTACCTATTACCCTGCTTCAGTAACCATAATCATTCTTGTTTCATCTTTATCTCTTCCCACTCTTCTCTTCTATTATTTTCATGTAAATCACAAAGTTTATATCATTTAATCTGTAATTATTCCAATATGTATTTCAAAGATAAGGACTTTAAAAAATCATGGCCATACCATTGTCACATATTAAAGAACGACTTGGTTTTGATAAATACTAAGTTAACTTCACTTCAGAATATGTGTACTAAAGATTCCCAGTAAACCTGTTATGTGTAGTTGCCAGGCAGTTAAACTTAGAAATAAATCAATAGGACTAGCTTTATTGTTTTTCTGTTTCATATTTAGGCTATCAATATGACGGCTGAAGAAACAGTGAATGTAAAAGAGGTTGAAATCATTAAGCTAATTTTGGACTTCCTGAATTCAAAGAAGCTTCACATTAGTATGCTGGCCCTGGAGAAGGAAAGTGGAGTCATAAATGGCCTGTTTTCAGATGATATGCTTTTCCTGAGGTATGATTTCATTATACTGTGAAGTTTGTAGCTCCTTCGAAGAAATGTTAAGTATTAATAAGGTAATATATATAATACAGATAGAACTTTATAATCATGAAAAGGCTATGTAAGTATAATTTTAAAAAATATTTTATTTTATTTTATTTTTTGAGACGGAGTCTTGCTCTGTCACCCAGGCTGGAGTGCAGTGGCGAGATGTCGGCTCACTGCAAGCTCCGCCTCCCGGGTTCACGCCATTCTCCTGCCTCAGCCTCCTGCGTAGCTGGGACTACAGGCGCCCATCACCACGGCCAGCTAATTTTTGTATTTTTAGTAGAGATGGGGTTTCACCATGTTAGCCAGGATGGTCTCGATCTCCTGACCTCGTGATCTGCCCACCTTGGCCTCCCAAAGTGCTGGGATTACAGGCGTGAGCCACCGCACCCGACCTAAAAAAATATTTTAAAAATAGAACATTTACAAAATAGGCTGGGCGTGGTGGCTCACGCCTGTAATCCCAGCACTTTGGGAGGCTGAGGCAGGCGGATCACTTGAGGTCAGGAGTTTTGAGACCAGCCTGGCCAACATGGTGAAATCCCGCCTCTACTAAAAATATAAAAATTAACCGGGCATGGTGGCACATGCCTGTAATCCCAGCTAGTCGGGAGGCTGAGGCAGGAGAATCATTTGAACCAGGGAGACGGAGGTTCCAGTGAGCTGAGATCGCACCGTTGCACTCCAGCCTGGGCAGCAGAGTGAGACTCCGTCTCAAAAATACAAAAATAAAAAAAAGGAACATTTACAAAATAATGCTTTCTGTAGAATGTTTTCAGTAGTAAGACCCAGAGGTCTGTTAAAAAGAACAAGAGTCATCACTCCATTGTGGTTGTGGTATGATAATAAAAGATATTTGACTAAGAAAATCGGACTTTGAAAAGGTAAAGAAAATGTTTCTGAAATACCATTTTTTGGCCATAGAAATAAGATGTGTTCATTATAGAAAATATAGAAAGATAAATAAAAGAAAAATTACCCCACCACACAGACATAATATTGTTCTTATTCCTTGCTGTTTTCATTCTTAGAGTGTAAATTCTGTGCATCTTTTTTTTGCATCTATTAAAAATAACAATTCTGTTGTGTTTATGATTTAGAATCATGCCTTATCTATTAACATCACAAGGTTTCTCTGTGTGATTACAAACTTATATTTAAAAAATTTTCAGGCTGGGCATGGTGACTCAAACCTGCAATCCTAGCCATTTGCGAGTCCAAGGCAGGCGGATCACCTGAGGTCAGGAGTTTGAGACCAGACTGGCCAACGTAGTGAAACCCCGTCTCTACTAAAAATACAAAAATTAGCTGGGTGTGGTGGTGCATGCCTCTAGTCCCAGCTACTCGAGAGGCTAAGGCAGGAAAATCACTTGAGCCCGAGAGGCAGAGGTTGCAGTGAGCCATGATGGTGCCACTGTACTCCAGCCTGGGCGACAGAGCAAGACTAAATAAATAAATAAATAATAAATTAAATAAATAATAAATTAAAAAAGGCCAGGCGTGGTGGCTTACGCCTGTAATCCCAGCACTTTGGGAGGCTGAGCCGTGTGGATCACTTAAGGTTAGGAGTTCGAGACCAGCCTGGCCAACGTGGTGAAATCCCGTCTCTATTAAAAATACTAAAATTAGCTGGGCATAGTGGTGCATGCCTGTAATTCCAGCTACAAATAAAAAATTTCAGTTTACTTAATTTCCTAATGGCTCCCCTAATTTTAAACAATTGTTCCCAATTTATCTTAAATAATTGCTCTACAGAACATTTTATACTTGCGCCTTTTTTTTTTTTTTTTTGAGATAGAGGCTTGCTTTGTCACCTAGGCTGGGGTGCAGTGGCATGATCTCAGCTCACTACAACCTCCACCTCCTGGGTTCAAGTGATTCTCTCGCCTTAGCCTCCCAGGTAGCTGGGACTACAGGTGCACACCACCACGTCCGGCTAATTTTTGTATTTTTAGTAGAGGCAAGGTTTCACCATTTTGGCAAGGCTGGTCTCAAACTCCTGACCTCAGGTGATCTGCCTGCCTCGGCCTCCCAAAGTGCTGGGATTACAGACATGAGCCACTGCACCTAGCTGAGACTTTTTCTATATATTGGATTATTTCCTTAGGACAAGATTCTTAGAGGTGGAATTGCAAGGCAAAGTGAAGTAACATGTTTGCCAAAATGGAAAGCTAAATATATTCTAGTCTGAATTGGATAGAAACGGAAAATCCCAAATTTGCAGGCAGAAGTGTATTCTATTTTTATGAGATACCAAATATCCTTGACAAGAAGTACAGATTCTTGGACATGTGGCATTTTGTGACTTGGAAAGCCTCAAGAAATGAAGTGTTCCTCCCAGGAGGCAGAGGTTTCAGTGAGTTGAGATCGTACCATTGTATTCCAGCTTGGGCGACAAGAAGGAAACTCCATCTCAGAAAAAAAAAAAAAAATGAAGTGTTCCTAGCTTATGAAAAGGAACCATTCAACAACAACAACAATAACAGCAATAACAAAGCTTTATTATATTAGGGGACTCTATTTAAACTTGTTGCACTTCCCTATATTTTGTGTTATGAATATCATCCAGCCCCAGGGAGCTTAGTTAATAGTGTAGTATTTTTTTAAGCACTATCTTTGAAGCATTAATACTCCTAGAAGTTAACAGTGGCAGCTCTCAAGTACCCTCCTGCTTGATTTATGATGAAATTTTACTGGTCTGAGGTGAAATGCAAAGAATAATAAAATAGTAGGTTTTTCATTAAACTAAATATGTTCGGCTGGGCACAGTGGCTCACGCCTGTAATCCCAGCACTTTGGGAGGCCAAGGTGGGTGGATCACGAGGTCAGGAGATCGAGACCATCCTGGCTAATGCGGTGAAACCCCCCGTCTCTACTAAAAATACAAAAAATTAGCCAGGCGTGGTGGCGGGTGCCTGTAGTCCTAGCTACTTGGGAGGCTGAGGCAGGAGAATGGTGTGAACCCAGGAGGCAGAGCTTGCAGTGAGCCGAGATCGTGAGCTTGCAGTGAGCTGAGATCGTGCCACTGCATTCCAGCCTGGGCGACAGAGCAAGACTCTGTCTCAAAAAAAAAAAAAAAAAAACAACTAAATATGTTCATCTTAAAGGGCTTGCCTTTGAAATTGTGTCCTTTCTTACATTTTAAATATTGAAATGCACCTTTATAAAATGATTATGATATACAGTGATTGCCTTATTTTTATTTAAAAAATTTCTTTATGTTAATTTTTTTTTTATAAAGGTAGGATCTTGCTATATTGCCCTTGGCTGATCTTGAACTCCTGGCCTCAAATGATTCTCCCACCTTGGCCTCCCAAAGTGCTAGGATTTACAGGCATGAGCCACTGTGCCCATCTTGCTTTTATTAATATTTCTTCTTTGCAGCATATTGTTAATCCTATGTAGGTCTTCCTGCCCATCCTTCCCATTTAAAATTTCTCTGTTCTAAAACATTCAAAAATAGGGAAATTGCCGTTGTGTAAGAAAAGATGTAAGAATGCCTTGTAACTTTTGGATATTCCCATAGACCATTTAAAGTAGGATGAAACTTGTTCTTATTCCTTGCTGTTTTCATTCTCAGTGTAAACTGTATTCTCAAAGCTGTAGATTTCACATAGAATTCACAATGTAGAGCAGAGTTTCTCAGCCTTGGCACTGCTAGCATCTGGGCCAGATAATTCTTTGTTGTGGAGGGTTGTCCTTTGTTGTAGGATGTTAACGGCATCCCCAACTAGATCCCAGTAGATCTACCCACTAGATCCCAGTAGTATCCCCAGTTGTGACTACCAAAAATGTCTTTAGATGTTGCCAAATGTCCTGACAGAATGCAAAATCACCCCCAGTTGAGATGGATTTTCACCATGGTGCCTCAGCCTCCTAACATGTTGGGATTACAGGTGTGAGCCACCACTCCCAGCTTTTTTTTTTTTTTTTTTTGAGACAGAGTCTCACTCTGTCGCCCAGGCTGGACTGCAGTGGCGTGACTTCGGCTCACTGTAACGTGCCTTGTAGGTTCAAGCAATTCTCCCTGCCTCAGCTTCCCGAGTAAGCTGGGATTACAGGCACCTGCCACCACGCCTGGCTAATTTTTGTATTTTTAGTAGAGATGGTGTTTCGCCATGTTGGCCAGCCTGGTCTTGAACTCCTGACCTCAGGTGATCTGTCTGCCTCGGCCTCCAAAAATGCTGACAGCCACCATGCCTGGCCCACTCCCAGCTTTTAAAATTCTTTTTACTTTTTTTTTGAAACAGGGTCTTGCTATGTCACCTAGGCTGCCAGGCTGGAGTGGAGTGGCATGATCATGGTCACTGCAGCCATGACCTTCTTGACTCAAGCGATTATCCCACCTCAGCCTTCTGAATAGCTGGGACTACAGGCATGTACCACCATGCCCAGCTAATTTTTAAATTTTTTGTAGAGATGGGGTTTTGCATGTTGCCCAGGCTAGTCTTGAACTGCTGGGCTCAAATGATCACCTGTTCTTTCTTTTTTGTGTGTGTTTTTTTGAGACAGGGTCTCACTCTGTTGCCCAGGCTGGAGTGCAGTGGCACAATCTCAGCTCACTGCAGCCTTGACATCTGGGCTCAAGTGATCCTCCCACCTCAGCCTCCCGAGTAGCTGGGACCACAGGCATGCACAACCATGCCTGGCTAATTTTTGTATTTTTTGTAGAGCCAGGGTTTCGCCATGTTTCCCAGGCTGGTTTCGAACTCCTGAGCTCGAGTGAATTGCTTACCTTAGCTTCCTAAAGTGCTGGGACCACAGACATGAGCCACTGCGCCCAGCCACTTGTTCTTAAAATAATATATAATAGCTTTAAAACTGTAAGATGAATATGGAAATATAGGAACTTTAAAGCTTAGTCCATTTTTTTTTTTTTTTTGAGACAGAGTCTCTCTTTTGTTGCCCAGGCTAGAGTGCAGTGGCGTGATCTTGGCTCACTGCAACCTCTGCCGCCCAGGTTCAAGCTTCTCCTGCCAGTAGCTGGGATTACGGGCGCCCGCCACCACGGCCAGCTAATTTTCGTACTTTTAGTAGAGACGGGGTTTCGCCATGTTGGGCAGGGTGGTCTCAAACTCCTGACCTCAGGTGATCTGCCCACCTTGGCCTCCCAAAGTGCTGGGATTACAGGTGTGAGCCACCACGCCTGGCATGTCCAATGTTTTTACATAGGTCAAAACCCACATATATATAGTTAGTATGAGTGGTTGCAGATTCACAAATTCTTCTCATACAGTGTATGTTGTTACAAATAAGTTATGAAAAATTTAGGCCAGGTGAGGTGACTCACGCTTGTAATCCCAGCACTTTGAGAGGCTGAGGTGGGTGGATCACCTGAGGTCAGGAGCTTGAGACCAGCCTGGCCAACATGGTGAAACCCTGTATCTACTAAAAATAGAAAAGAATTAGTGGGGCTTAGTGGTGCGAGCCTATAGTCCCAGCTTCTCGGGTGTCTGAGGCAGGAGAATCGCTTGAACACAGGAGTCAGAGGGTGCAGTGAGCCGAGATTGTGCCATTGCACTCCAGCCTGGGCAACAGAGCGACACTCTGTCTCAAAAAAAAAAAAAATTATGAAAAATTTATTTGAGGAATCAAATAAAATGTTAATCTCATTGTGTGCTTTATGAAGTTTGAATGCTGTTTTGTCATCTGTTCTGCTTTTAATTAGTATAACCTGAATTTGGTGACATGCTGGTTTTTTTAAATTTTTTATTTAGGCAGCTAATACTTGATGGTCAATGGGATGAAGTTCTTCAGTTCATTCAGCCTCTAGAATGTATGGAAAAATTTGACAAAAAAAGGTAAGATTTTATCTAAAGTTTTTAGTGTCTCATCATTGGTAGAAGCTTAGCAAAACAATGAACAAAAATTTTCATTTTCATTTTTCTTTCTCCACTGGCCTTGAACAGAGAGTAAACAAATTGATCTCTCTCTGTCACCCAAGCTGGAGTGTGGTGGCATGATCACAGCTCACTGCAGCCTTGGTCTCCTGGGCTCAAGCAATCCTCCCACTTCAGCCTCTCAAGTAGCTGGGACTATACAGGCGTGTACCATCAGCCTAGCTAATTTTGTATTTTTTTTAGAGTTAGGGTTTCACCATGTTGCCCAGGCTTCCCTTGTGTTCATTTGGATTATTTTAAGTTGATTTAATGTTCACTGACCCTTTCTTTTGCTATTAGCAATCTGTTGATAAATTGTGAATTTTTAAAAACAGGTTCTTGTTCTACCACCAGGCTGATGTGCAGTGGCATGTATGTGGCACTGCAGCTTCAAATTCAACAGTGAATTTTTCATTTTGAATATTGTGCTTTTCATTTTCAAATTCGTATAATTTTTTTGTAAGATTTTTCCATCTGTTCATTCATTATGATTATATTTTTCTTTAGGTCCTTCAACATACTGAGAGTAGCTGCTTGTTTGCTAGTGTAGTCCTTGTTTGGTAATTTGGACTTGTGCTTGCTTATATCAGGCTCAGTTTCTAATGATTGCCTTTTCTCCTAACTGGGAGTCACTTTTTGTTTTTTTTTTTAACTATATCTAATTATTTTGTAAATGTAATCTGCACATTTCAGCTTCACTCTTGAGGCTCTGAATTCTGTTCTCTTCCTACATAAAAAGTTTGATTTTCATACAGGCAGTTATTTAACTTAGGTAGCCTCAAAATGCAAACTCTTTCTCCCCTCTTGTGGATACCAGAGATTTGTCCCGAAATCTCTGCTCAGTTCTTTGGCCTTTCATCTGTTTTCTCCAGGCTCCTTGGAGTCTCCCTTGCATCTTCACAGTTTAGGGGATAGCCAGGGATATGGGTACCTAAGTTTATACAGTAGATTTTGGTATGTTTCCTACTGTGACGTCGTCCTTTTTTTGGATCTTCCTCTCATTTTTTAGCTGCTCTGGCAGTACCAAACTTTTTTTTTGAGACAGGGTCTCATTCTGTTGCCCAGGCTGGAGTGCAGTGGTGTGAACACAGCTCACTGTAGCCTTACCTCCTGGGCTCAAGTGATTTGCCTGCTTCAGACTCCTGTGTGGCTGGGACTGCAGGCGTGTGCCACCCCGCTAGGCTAATTTTTAAATTTTTTGTAGAGACCAGGTCTGACTTTGTTGCCCAGGCTGGTCTCGAACTTCTGGGCTCAAATAATCCTCTTGCCTTGGCCTCTCAAAGTGCTAGGATTACAAGTATGAGCCACTTTGTTCAGTCAGTACCAGACTTTTCAAGCTACAGCCTTCTGTTTGAGTTCTAGCTCACACTGTGTGAACTGGGGAGTGCCCTCAGCTGGAAAGCCTTATGCTGTTGAATATAACCCCTTAAATTTCTGGGTTTTTTTTTTTTTTTTTTGAGATGGAGTCTCACTCTGTCACCCAGGCTGGAATGCAGTGGTGCGATCTTGGCTCACTGCAACCTCTGCTTCCCAGGTTCAAGCGATTCTCCTGCCTCAGCCTCCCGAGCAGCTGGGACTACAGGCATGCACCACTGTGCCTAGCTAATTTTTGTATTGTTAGAAATGGGGTTTCACCATGTTGGTCAGGCTGGTCTCGAGCTCCTGACCTCGTGATCCACCCACCTTGGCCTCCCAAAGTGCTGGGATTACAGGCTTGAGCCAACGCACCTGGCAAATTTCTCTTTTTTTAAGGATTGACTTCCCTCTAGTTGTGCCAGCTTTTCAAATGCATTCAAAATAGTCATTTTTTGAGGCCAGGCGTGGTGGCTCACGCCTGTAATCCCAGCACTTTGGGAGGCCGAGGCAGGCGGATCACTTGAGGTCAGGAGTTGGAGACCAGCCTGGCCAACATGGCGAAATCCTGTCTCTACTGAAAATACAAAAAAAAATTGGCTGGATGTGGTGGCACATGCCTGTAATCCCAGCTACTTGGGAGGCTGAGGTAGGAGAATCACTTGAAACTGGGAGGCAGGGGTTGCAGTGAGCCGAGATCGTGCCACTGCACTCCAGCCTGGGCGACAGAGCAGGACTCTGTCTCAATCAGTCAATCAATAAACAAACAAATAAATAAAATCACCTTTTTTTGGTATTTTATGTAAGATTTATTGTTGTTATATGCAGAAATGTTAGCCAGATATAAGTTACTCTATCACTATCAGAAGTTGAACCTGTTGTTATTTTTTGATTTGCTATTCAGACCATGCTGCTTGATATTTCTTTGCGTTTGTACATTCTTTACTTACCTGGAATATTAATCCCTTCACCATCTCCTGCCTTTACCTGGTACACTTCTGATTGTCTTCTGAGAGTCAGTTGTTATGTCTTTTTTTTGTTAACTTTCCACCTCTTTTGTACAATTGGTTTCATACTTTTTTGAGGCCTTGCTGAACTCTGAATATTTCATATAATTTATTAGGTGACCCTCTTTTTGAAGGCAGGGATTTTGTTTTATTGGACACAATTTGCTACTACAACAGTGGCTGAAAGAATGACTGAAGGTTCATTATTTTTTTCTTTCCAGACTTGGAAACACTTTTTCTATAAATTGCTTCAGGCAATAAAGCTTTTGATTCTTAGACAGGTTAGGTAGACTCTTTGCTATCCCTTCCCCTCTGAAAAACTCTTGTTAAAAAGCTTTAAATTGGGACCAGGTGCAGTGGCTCATACTTGTAATCCAAGCACTTTGGGAGGCTGAGGCAGGAGAATTGCTTGAAGCCAGGAATTTGAGATCAGTCTGAGCAACAAAGTGAGACCCGGTCTCTACAAAACAATTTTAAAAATTGGCCGGGTGCTGTGGCACACAGTTGTAGTCCTAGCTGCTTGGGAGGCTGAGGCAGGAGGATTGCTTGGGCCAAAGTTTGAGGCTGTAGTGAGCTGTGATCATGCCACTGTACTCCAGCTTGGGTGACAGAGCAGAAGACTCTGTCTCTAAAAAAAAAAAAGAAAAGGAAAAAAGCTTTAAGTCTCTAGTTATTTTGTAGTGTTTTAGAAATGTTCATTTTCTCCTACCCTTTCAGCCCCATTTTTTATTAGACTTTTCTCATATTTAAAAAGAAAATATTTGATTTAATCTTTCTACAATGTATATGTATTTAAAAATGTAACATACCCCATAAATATATACTATTATTTGTTAAAATTTTTTTAATAAAAAACAGGATGTAAGGTAAACAAAACATTTTGGATATAAGACTTGATTTAATATTAGGTAACATTTGATATCTTCCATAAAAATTGGATTGTTGTTTACAATTAATATTGGAAGTATAAATTCATTCTCTGAGTGTTAAATTGTGATTACTTGTGACTGAACTTCAGTTATGGCTTCAATGTGATAAGAAGCCTAGTAAATTATTTGAATAATTTTCCTAAAGCAAAAGTACTTACATAGTAACTTCTAAGTATATTTGACATCAGACATTGGAAAAATTAATGCTTCATTTTTTTCCCACAGGTTTCGTTATATTATCCTGAAGCAGAAGTTTTTAGAAGCTTTATGTGTTAACAACGCGATGTCAGCAGAAGATGAGCCCCAGCATGTAAGATTTTTATTCCTGAAGGTTTGCGCCCTAGTCTTGTTTTCAGTCATAAGTATTTTAGTCACTAAAACGAAGGATTAGCATCACAAGTTTTCAGAGTTTTTATGAGCTGGGATGGGGCAAGATCTGGTGTTTTCCAGGTGTAGTATTTTCATTCTGTAGCGCTTCTAAACTTGTTCCATGGTTTAAGCCAAGATATATAAATAGCTGGCTAGTTGAAGAGTGTGTGCATCTCTCTTGTTTAAGGTAAGTCAGCAATAGATAAAGTTTGACTTGATGACTCTTCATCATTTCTTCTTTTTTTTAAATCCCGGAAGTGGGTTGGTTATATTTATGTCCTTTTTCTCTGTCTTTTCTGTATTGTCTTTGATCCAGAGATAGTTTTTTTTTTGCTGAAATGTTTGTCTTCATGACTATTTAAATTTAATGAAATTAAATTCATTTTGATTAGTAAAGTGACTTTTAAAGATTCAGTGTAATACTAAAACCGAGAAAACTTGTATTAAGTTCTGGTAATTGTTAACTGAAGTAAAGTGTCTTAGTCCATTTGACCTGCTATAACAAAATATCATAAACTAGGGGGCTAGTAAACAATAGAAGTTTATTTCTTACAGTTCTGGTAGCTGGAAAGTCCAAGATCAAGGTACCAGCAGATTCATTGCCTGGTGAGGGCCTGTGCTCTGGTTCATGGATGGTGCCTTCTAGCTGTGTTTTCAGCTGGTTAAAGAGGCTAGCTAGCTCTCTGGGGTCTCTTATATGGGCACTAATCTAATTCACGAGGGCTGAGCATTTATGACCTAGTCACCTCCCAAAGGCCCTACTTTTCCAATACCATTACCTTGCGGGGTTAGGATTTCAACATAGGAATTTTAGGGAGGCACAAACATTCAGACTGAGGCAAAAACCAAAGGATTTTACAGTGGGGACTTTCAGATACAGATATATTTGCCAGATAATGATGTTCAAAAGTGAAAAGAACACTGGAACATGAGTTAGGAGACCTATTTTTTATTCCGTCTTTGCCACTAATCAACTGAATTACCTTGGTAAATGTGTACCCTGACTTTTCCCATATGTAAGATATGGTGGCTAGACTAGGTGAGTGCTGAAGTTCCTTACATCATTAAAAGCTTATGATTCAAAGACAATATTCACTATACAAATTATTATAATTTGTCTCTCAGCTAAGCTTCCATTTTGGTCTGTCTGGATTGTTTTGTAGTAAGTCAACTTTAGGCATTCCCTTTCTGTTTTTTTTTTTTTTTTTTGAGATGGAGTCTCACACTGTCACCCAGGCTGGAGTGCAGTGGTGCGATCTCAGCTCACTGTAACCTCTGCCTCCTGGGTTCAAGCAATTCTCCTGCCTCAGCCTCTCAAGTAGCTGGGATTACAGGTGCCCGCCACTGTGCCTGGCTAATTTTTTGTATTTTTATTAGAGACGGGGTTTCACTGTGTTGGCCAGGCTGGTCTCGAACCTCATGATCTGCCCACCTTGGCCTACCAAAGTGCTGGGATTACAGGTGTGAGCCACTGTGCTCGGCTCCCTTTTCTTGACTTTCTATCTCCACACAATTTTGCTCTAAGGTAAGTTTGGACTAACAGAGTGGCTCTTTTGCCTTTTGGGTAAGCTGGAATAATAGCAAAGTTTATAAACAATTGAACATTGGCATGCTTCAATTTTCATTTCTAGAAAAAAAATTCTTACCGTTAAAAAATTATATATTTGAGAGCTGGGCACAGTGTGGCACACCTGTGGTCCCAGCTACTTTAGAGGCTGGGGATCACTTGAGCCCAAGAGTTCAAGGCTGTAGTGCACTATATTTGTGTGTATGAATAACCCCTGCACTCCAGCGTGGGCAGCAGAGTGAGATCCTGTCTTATGCCTGAATTATAATAGAACAGTGTTTTTATAGATAAAAGTTTAATGTACTAATAAACCAAGTTTATTATTTTTATTTTAGTTGTGAAAACATTATGTTCCTATCTTGAAAGCTGTTGCATATCCTACAAATTATATGAGTATTCTGTGGCAATATAATTTATTCTTTGTACTCTTGTCGTTTTCATATTTCATAGCATGTTTTTTATAGTGATTATTTGATCATTTATATTTTTCTTACAGCTGGAATTTACCATGCAAGAAGCTGTGCAATGTTTACATGCTCTAGAAGAATACTGTCCTTCTAAAGATGACTATAGTAAGCTCTGTTTGCTTTTGACTTTGCCTCGTCTGACCAATCATGCCGAGTTTAAGGACTGGAATCCCAGCACCGCACGAGTTCACTGTTTTGAAGAGGCTTGTGTCATGGTTGCAGAATTCATCCCTGCTGATAGGAAGCTAAGTGAAGCTGGTTTTAAGGCTAGTAACAATCGTTTATTTCAGCTTGTAATGAAAGGCCTGCTTTATGAATGCTGTGTAGAATTTTGTCAGAGTAAAGCAACTGGAGAAGAAATTACAGAAAGCGAAGTGCTTCTTGGCATCGACCTCTTATGTGGTAATGGTTGTGATGATTTGGATCTGAGTTTACTGTCATGGCTTCAGAATCTTCCATCTTCTGTCTTCTCTTGTGCTTTTGAACAGAAAATGCTTAATATTCATGTTGACAAACTTCTGAAACCTACAAAAGCTGCATATGCTGATCTTTTGACTCCTCTTATCAGCAAACTCTCTCCCTATCCATCATCCCCAATGAGAAGACCTCAATCAGCTGATGCCTATATGACCCGCTCTCTGAATCCTGCTTTAGATGGCCTCACCTGTGGACTAACCAGTCATGATAAGAGAATTTCAGACCTTGGAAACAAAACTTCTCCAATGTCACACTCCTTTGCTAACTTCCATTATCCAGGGGTACAAAACCTCAGTAGAAGTCTCATGCTTGAGAATACAGAATGTCACAGTATTTACGAAGAATCCCCTGAGCGGTAAGCATTTGGTTATAAAAATTAGGAAATCTTAGGCCGGGTGCAGTGGCTTATGCCTGTAATCCCAGCACTTTGGGAGGCCGAGGTGGGTGGATCACAAGGTCAGGAGATTGAGACCATCCTGGCTAACACGGTGAAACCCTGTCTCTACTAAAAATACAAAAAATTAGCTGGGCGTGGTGGCAGGTGCCTGTAGTCCCAGCTATTCAGGAGGCTGAGGCAGGAGAATGGCGTGAACCCGGGAGGGGGAGCTTGCAGTGAGCTGAGATCACGCCATTGCACTCTGGCCTGGGCCACAGAGTGAGACTCCGACTCAAAAAAAAAAAAAAAAAAAAAATTAGGAAATCTTCAGAAGTTTGAGATAATCTAATTATAGTGTGTATATGTTTTCTTTGAGACAGGTCTGGCTCTGTCACCCAGGCTGGAGTGCAGTGGCACAATCTCCCAGGTTAAAATCAGCCCCCTGAGTAGCTGGGACTACCGGCACACACCACCATACTCAGCTAATTTTTGTATATTTGATAGAGAAGGGGTTTCACAGTGTTGCCCAGGTCTCAAACTCCTGGACTCAAGTGAAGCAATCATCCTGCCTTGGCCTCCCAAAGTTCTGGGATTACAGGTGTGAACCACCATGCCCAGGAGTGTGTATGTTTTCTTAATGTTCAGGTCCTTTTAGTTGAAAGTTAGTCGTTAATACTTTAGTAAAGGTTTAAAATTTTTGATAATTAAAATTATATGAGAAAAATCTTTATATCTTATTCTTTTGCTGGTTATAGATATAATACATGTGCTGTGAAGAAAATTTGGAAAATATAGAAGAGTAATAGTATGAGAATTAAAATCCCATACAATCTCATACTTAGATGGACCAGTCTTTTTTTCTATGAGTATGTTTTTTTGTTTTTTTGTTTTTTTTTGAGATGGAGTTTTGCTTTTGTCACTCAGGCTGGAGTGCAGTGGCACGGTCTCGGCTCACTGCAACCTCCGTCTCCCGGGTTCAAGCAATTCTCCTGCCTCAGCCTCCTGAGTAGCTGGGATTGCAAACACCCGCCACCACGCCCAACTAATTTTTGTATTTTTAGTAGAGATGAGGTTTTACCACGTTGGCCAGGCTGGTCATGAACTCCTGATCTCAGCTGATCCACCCGCCTCGGCCTCCCAAAGTGCTAGGATTACAGGTGTGAGCCATTGCGCCTGGCTATATGAATACATTTTTAAAAACTGGGAATATATTACATAGATTTTCATGTAATCTGCTTTTTCCACTTGAAAGACCATGACTATTTTCCATATTCTTAAACATTTCTTGATATCAATGATTAATCATAAATATATGCAGTATTTCATTGTATGACTATATCACAAATTTAACTCCTTATTGTAGGATACCAGGTTGTTTCTACTTTTTTTCTCCTGTACATAGTAGTGTAGTGAACAACTAGAACTTAAAACTCTAATTATTTCCACTTACTTTACTTTAGTGATTCTTATACATATGAAGGAAATAAGTGTTAAAGCCACCATTCAGTTTTTCCTTCAAACCTGGCATGGAATAATAAACTCCTGATCAACAGTTATTTATTTCAGGGTTAGGAAACTTTCTGCCTCATTTTTCCAGTAAACCCATGAGGATGTATAGATGGTTTTCTGTAACTTAGAGTTGGCGCAATGAAATATTAGTGTTGACTTCAATAAATTTATTTCATGAAAGAGATAAAAATGAAACCTTTTCACATTACATAGGATAGTTGGAGCCATTCTTTGCAGAGGAAGGAGCAGTGGGCTCAGAATTTCTGTTTCTTTTATTTTTATTTTATTTTTATTTTTTTTTTGAGATGGAGTCCCGCTCTGTCACCAGGCTGGAGTGCAGTGGCACAATCCCGGCTCACTGCAACCTCTGCCTCCCGGGTTCAAGCGATTCTCCTGCCTCAGCCTCCCGAGTAGCTGGGATTACAGGCGTGCGCCACTGCGCCCGGCCCAGAATTTCTGTTTCTAATTAGAGCAGGTGAACTGGGTGCGGTGGCTCAGGCCTGTAATCCCAGCACTTTGGGAGGCCGAGGTGGGTGGATCACTTGAGGTCAGGAATTCAAGACTAACCTGTCCAACATGATGAAACCCTGTCTCTACTAAAAATACAAAAATTAGTTGGGTGTGGTGGCACGGGCCTGTAGTCCCAGCTACTCAGGAGGCTGACGCAGGAGAATCGCTTGAACCTGGGAAGTGGAGGTTGCAGTCAGCCTAGATCGCACCACTGCACTCCAGCCTGGGCAACAGAGTGAGATTCCGTCTCAAAAAATAATAATGATTAGAGCAAGTGGAGATCCTTAGTTAAAGCATAAGAAATACAGGATGAGGCCCGGCGCGATGGCTCAAGCCTGTAATCCCAGCACTTTGGGAAGCCGAGGTGGGTGGATCACCTGAGGTCAGAAGTTTGAGACCAGCCTGGCCAATGTGGTGAAACCCCATCTCTACTAAAAATACAAAAAAATTAGCTGGTGCATGCCTATAATCCCAGCTACTTGGGAGGCCGAGGCAGGAGAATCACTTGAGCCTGGGAGGCAGAGGTGTAGTGAGCAGAGATTACACCATTGCACTCCAGCCTAGGCGACAGAGTAAGACTCCATCTCACTCCAAAAAAAAAAGAAGTATAGGATAAATGTATAGGGAAGCCTTTTCTGTTAAGTTGCTCTGAGATTATAGAGGAGAGAGTTGTGATATTTTCTTTCATGTGCTTTAGAGAGGAGAATCTAACTTCAATCAGTTAAGTGAGGGACTTCCTAAAGGGTAGGTTAACTTTTTTTTTTTCTTTTTTTTGAGATGGAGTCTTGCTCTGTTGCGCAGGCTAGAGTGCAGTGGCGTGATCTCGGCTCACTGCAACCTCTGCCTCCTGGGTTCAAGCGATTCTCCTGCCTCAGCCTCTCAAGTAGCTGGGATTACAGGCGCCCGCCACTGTGCCTGGCTAATTTTTGTATTTTTAGTAGAGCCGGGGTTTCACCATCTTGGCCAGGCTGGTCTCGAACTCCTGACCTCATGATCTGCCCACCTCGGCCTCCCAAAGTGCTGGGATTACAGGCATGAGCCACTGCACCCAGCCTGAACATAGTCTTTAAAGTCAGACATAGGTCTGAACAATAGCTTTGCCATTTATTGGCTGTGTGACCTTGGGAAAGTTATTTAATCTCTCTGAGCCTCAGTTATCTTCTCTATATAATAAAGCGTTGACTTGCAAAATGAGATAAAGCTTCTAGTAGAGTGGCAAGCATGTGATTGGTACTCAGTGAATATAAATTTCTTCCTTTCAGAGCTCATGGCTTTGGTAAGGACAGTGTGTCAAAAAGGACTACTAATGAAATGCTGTGAGAGAGTTACTGTCCTGTGGATAAAGTATAAAAATTTACTTTGGAACAAATGCACCTATTTTAAAATATATTTTAGATGTAATTTTAAAAATATTGGGACTGGTATGGTGATTCACACCTGTAATCCCAGCACTTTGGGAGGCTGAGGTGGGAGGATTGCTTGAGGCTAGGAGTTTGAGACCAGCTTGGGCAATAGAGTGAGACCCTGTCTCTATTTATTGTTTTTTTAAATGTTATATATATAGAAGCTCAACTAGACCAAGTATGCTAAGTATGCAACATGAAGAGTACTACTTGAAATACTTGAAGTCAGTATCTTTTTTTTTTTTTTTTTTGAGTATACATTTAAAATGTATTTCAGGCTGGGCATGGTGGATCACTGGAACCCAGGAGTTCAGGACTATCCTGGACATCATGTTGAAAACTTGTCTCTACAGAAAAATACAAAAATATTAGCCAAGCATGGTGGCGTGTGCCTGTAGTCACAGCTACTTGGGAGGCTGAGGTGGGAGGATCAATTGAGCCCAGGAGGTTGAGGCTGCAGTGAGCCTTGATTGCACCACTGTACTCCAGCCTGGGTGACAGCAAGATATCCTATCTCAAAAAAAAAATTTTTTTTTTCAGTGATTACTATGTGCTAACACCATGCTACAATATGATTGAACTGCTATGGTGAACAAGAAGATAAAACATGAAAGAAAGGGAGTGTGTAATATTTTAAAAGGATATCTTTCCACTTGAACAGAGACACTTAAAATGGAGAAAAATCATTTGAAATATGTAAGCTTGAAATGCATGTATTTCAGGCATGGACTGGCACTGGAATTGGAGTCTGATGACCTGAGTTCAAGTTCAAGCTCTATTTTCTAGCTATGCAATCTTAGGAAAATGACTTGTTTTTTGAGTCTGTTACCTCTTTGTGAAATGGGTCTTATAAACTGTTTCACAGGTTATTGTGCAAGTTAAATGAGATAATGCATATGGAAGTTCTGTATACGTTGCAAAATTAAATGAAATGTTACTTTTTGAAGGTTATTTTATTCTTTATACAGTTAATAGCTCTTACAAATTCTTCTTTGTGGACATAAAAGGGGACTTCCTGTGGCCATTAGTAATTCATAGCACAGTCTGGTAGCCAAAAAACTCCTCAGTCTTTTGTTTTTGAAACGGAGTCTAGCTCTTATTGCCCAGGCTGGACTGCAATGGCGCGATCTCGGCTCACCACAACCTCCGCCTCCCGGGTTCAAGTGATTCTCCTGCCTCAGCCTCTCGAGTAGCTGGGATTACAGGCATGCTCCACCATGCCGGCTAATTTTGTATTTTTAGTAGAGACGGGGTTTTTCCATGTTGGTCAGGTTCGTCTCATACTCCCGACCTCAGGTGATCTGCCACCCTCGGCCTCCCAAAGTGCTGGGATTACAGATGTGAGCCACTGTGCCCAGCCCAAAGAAAGTCTTCTAATAAAATCTCAAAAATTCTTAAAAATCTATAGAAACATATGGAGGAAATAATGTTTAGATAACAAAACTGTAAGTTTATATTTTATAAAGATAATTTAGGCATTGTATTATCCAACCTATTATTTGTATTCATCAGCCTATTTTAAGCTGAGCCACAGAGAATATAAGTGACTGTCCCAAGGCCACACAACTGATTTTATTTTTTATTTATTTTTATTTTTATTTTTTTGAGGTGGAGTCTCACTCTGTCACCAGGCTGTAGTGCAGTCGCGTGATCTCGGCTCGCTGTAACCTCTGCCTCCCTGGTTCAAGCGATTCTCTTGTCTCAGCCTCCCAAGTAGCTGGGACTACAGGCGCGTACCACGCCCAACAAATTTTTGTGTTTTTGGTAGAGACAGGTTTTCACCATGTTGGCCAGATGGTCTCGATCTCCTGACCTCGTGATCTGCCTGCCTCGGCCTCCTAAAGTGCTGGGATTACAGGCGTAAGCCACTGTGCCCGGCCCACCCAACTGATTTTAAACTGTAGTCCCTGCTCTCACTCTCCCTGCCTAATAACCTGGTACTCCTCCATTAAGACCTTCCTATTTTTTAAAACCCTTTTTGTGGTGTTAGAAGAAAGGAAAATAAAAAATCGATTTGTGTACAGTTTATAAACAGGCTAAATATTCTTTTTTTATTTTTTGAGACAAGGTCTCACTTTGTCACCCAGGCTGGAGTGCAGTGGCGTGATCTTGGCTCACTGTAACCTCTACCTCCTGGGATCAGGAGATCCTCCCACTTCAGCCTCCCAAGTAGCTGGGGACCACAGGCGCCCCACCACACCCAAATAATTTTTTATTTTATTTTATTTTATTTTTTAGAAACTAGGCTTCACCATGTTACCCAGGTTGGTCTTGAACTTCTTAGCTCAAGCGAGCTGCCTGCCTTGGCCTCCCAAAGTGCTGGGATTACAGGAGTGAGCCACCGTGCCTGGGCTATTCATTTTTTAAAATTAAAATTTCTTGGCTGAGCGTGGTGGCTCATGCCTGTAATCCCAGCACTTTGGGAGACTGGGGAGTGTGGATCGCTTGAGGTCAGGAGTTTGAGACCAGCCTGGCTAACATGGTGAAACTCCGTCTCTACTAAAAATACAAAAAATTAGGCGGGTGTGGTGGCAGGCACTTGTAATCCCAACTGCTCTGGAGGCTGAGGCAGGAGAATTGCTTGAACCTGGGAGGTAGAGGTTGCAGTGAGCGGAGATTGCGTCACTCCAGTCGGGGCTACAGAGAGAGACTCCATCTCAAAAATAATAATAATAAAATAAAATTTCTCTAACTAAAATATATTTTCCTTTACTCCCCCCTCTGCCTTTTTGTTTTTTTGCACGTTTCTGGAAGAAGTGATACACCTGTTGATGCACAGAGGCCTATCGGCAGTGAAATCTTGGGCCAGAGTTCAGTTTCAGAAAAAGAGCCTGCAAATGGAGCACAGAATCCAGGACCAGCTAAACAAGAAAAAAATGAGGTAATATTTACTAAACCTAGTGTTTTTCAGAGTTATTCTCTTTGTAAGAAGTAATAGAATTTACTTAGAATGTAAAAAGAATTTTCTGATATTTGGGAGTAGGAAATAATATACATAGATTTTCTTATTATTAGCTTATTTTCTCTCCTCTCTTCAACGAATATGTGGCTATTTAGTTGCCATTGGGTATTCTGGAGCAATTTTAACAGGTGAATTTACTAGCAATCTAAAATATTACTGGTGACATTGCATGTTTTACATGCTTTGCGACTCAAGTAATTGCGCTTACATTAAACATGGCTAGTTTACGTTTGTTTTTTTTTTTTTGAGACGGAGTCTTGTTCTGTCGCCCAGGCTGGAGTGCAGTGGTGCGATCTCGGCTCACTGCAAGCTCCGCCTCCCGGGTTTGTGCCACTCTCCTGCCTCAGCCTCCCGAGTAGCTGGGACCACAGGCGCCCGCCACCACACCTGGCTGATTTTTTTGTATTTTTAGTAGAGACGGGATTTCACCATGTTAGCCAGGATGGTCTCGATCTCCTGACCTCGTGATCCGCCCACCTCGGCCTTCCAGAGTGCTGGGATTACAGGCTTGAGCCACCGCGCCCGGCCGGCTAGTTTACATTTTTAAGAGATATGGTCTATATTTTACTAATTAGATTTAAGAATAAGAAATTAGACATTTTAAATATAGAATAAAACTTTTATCCAAATCCAGGGTTCTAGATTATTTTTCTTTGGTGTTTTTGTGAGGAAATGGTATTGTGAAATAGGGTATAAGTTTTATATAGGCTGGATATGGTGGCTCATGCCTGTAGTCCTAGCACTTTGGGAGGCCAAGACAGGTGGATCACCTGAGCTCAGGAGTTCAAGACCAGCCTAGGCAACATGGTGAAACCCCATCTCTACTAAAAATACAAAAAATCAGCCAGGCGTGGTGTCACAGCTACCTGTAGTCCCAGCTACTTGGGAGGCTGAGGCAGGAGAATCGCTTGGACCTGGGAGGCGGAGGTTGCAGTGAGCCAACATTGTACCACTGCATCCCAGCCTGGGCGACAGAGTGAGACTCTGTCTCAAACAAACAAACAGGTTTATACAGCATGCCACTTTGAAGGGGTTAAGTGGTTTTAATAAGTTGAATATGTTTTTTGTTTTCAACTAAATATTAAGAATATATTTCTTTATAGCAATGCAAGAAAAAAATTAAAATTAAAAAAAGAATGAAGTAGAAAAATTACTATTAAAAGTACATGGATATGCACCAAACAACAGAGCTTTAAAATATGATGCAAATATTGAGAGAGCTGAAGGGAGAAATAGTTTTGCAATAATAGTTGGAGACTTCAATACCCTACTTACAATAATGGATGAAACATCCAAGTAGAAGATCAATAAGGATATAGAGGACTTGAACAATACTGTAAACTGACTAGACCTGACAGACATGTATAAAACACTCCACTCAACAACAGCAGAATACGTATCCTTCTGAAGTGTACATGGAACATTTTTTTAGTACTATATGTTAGGGCTACTGGGAATTGTGCTGCGATAAACATACACTTGCAGGTGTCTTTTTGATATGATGACTTATTTTCCTTTAGGTGGATACTCAGTGGGATTGCTGGATTGAATGGTAGATCTACTTTTAGTTCTTTGAGAAATCACCATACTGTTTTTTTCCATAGAGACTGTACTAATTTATATTCCCTCCAGCAGTGTGTAAACATTCCCTTTTTACCCCATCCATTCCAACATCTATTGTTTTTTAGTGATGGCCATTCTGGCTGGGGTAAGTTGGTATCTCATTATGTTTATTAAATATTAATGCAGTCCCTCAGTATGGATATTTTTAAAGAAATGCCAGATTTGTATTAGTCTTTATCTACATTCATTTTCTCTGATCATGGCCCCCTTGTAACCATTATAATTTGTATTTTTATTTTGGGTTAGTCAGGGAACCAAGGCAACCATTCATTTCGGTCAGTCTGTTTCCGTGGAATAAAGCAAATTAACTGATCCACTTGAGTATTAAGACACATACTGTTTTTCAAAGAGCAATAGATTAAGTATTTTGTGATTGTTAAATATAGCTAATTGTATATTTTATTCAGCATTTATAAAAGGTACTGTTAAGATATATTCTGTCATAGTTTGCTCAAATATATATGTTTTTTTCTAATGTTTTTAAGCTTCGAGATTCAACAGAACAATTTCAAGAATATTATAGGCAAAGATTACGCTATCAACAGCATTTAGAACAGAAGGAGCAACAGCGGCAGATATACCAACAGATGTTGCTTGAAGGAGGCGTGAATCAGGAGGATGGTCCTGATCAGCAGCAGAATCTTACTGAACAGTTCCTTAATAGGTTGGTCTTCTAATCACTTTTTAAAATATGGAGTTATTTGAAAGCTATTTAAAACATGCAATAACTGCTACTTTCTATGTATAGTTTGACATTTTAAGGCTTTTTACGCATTTGAAGTAATGTGGAGTTACATATTGCTTTCTAGTCACAGCATTCCGAGGGCTCATCTAGTTTTGTCCTTATTCCCTAAGCAACTAGAGCAGAAGAGTGCAGAGGTTCAGTGCACTGAACAGCTGACAGCCAGGTGGATCCAGCTCTCCCAGGGTAACTGCGGATCTAGGGGAAGTCACTCTAGTTCTTTTTATCTCTTTATCTGCTGCTTTTTTTTTTTTGAGGCAAGGCTCTCACTCTGTCGCCCAGTCTGGAGTGCAGAGGCACAGTCTTGGCTCACTGCAGCTTCAACTTCCTGGGCTCAAGTGATCCTCCTGCCTCAGCCTCCTGCGTAGCTGGCGCTACAGCATATACCACCACACCCAGCTAATTTTTGTATTTTTTTTGTAGAGATAGGGTTTTGCCTTGTTGCCCAGGCTGGTCTCAAACTCCTGGCCTCAAGCGATCCGTCCACCTTGACCTCCCAAAGTGCAGGAATTACAGGCATGAGCCACTGTGCTGGCCCTTATCTACTTCTTATTTCTTCTAACCTTCTTACAAGGTTACCATGAGGATAAATAGAGTTAATCTTTGTAAAGTGCTGAGAACAGTACCTGGCACACTGTAAACACTATGTTGTTAGCTGCTATTTTTATTGTTACTAAAGTGCTTAAACCTACAGATTTTTTTTGATTTGCTGTATTAAAATTATTTTTATAATTTCCGCCAAAACAATATGAACTACATTTATTGTTTCCAATTATAGGAGAAATATATACACACACGTGTGTGTTTATTTTTTATTATTTTATTTAATTAATTAATTTATTGATTTATTCATTCTTGGGATGGAATTTTACTCTGTCACCCAGGCTGGAGTACAGTGGCGCGATCTTCGCTCACTGCAACCTCTGACTCCTGAGTTCGAGCAATTCTCCTGCCTCAGCTTCCCGAGTAGCTGGGATTATAGGCGTGTGCCACCACACCTGGCTGATTTTGTATTTTTTTAGTAGAGATGGGGTTTCATTGTGTTGGCCAGGCTAGTCTTGAACTCCTGGGCTCAAGTGATCCGCCCACTCCCAAAGTGCTGGGATTACGGGTGTGAGCCACCACACCCGGTCTTATGTATGTGTGTTTAGAATTCAATAAAATAATATATATTTAAATAAGCAATGATTGTTGGAAGATTAAGTGAATTAATATATGCAAATGTGCTTACAACAGTTCTGGCACATAGGAAGTATCCTATAAATGTTGGCTATTGTCATGATTACAATTAGGTAACTGTAATGGTGACTGTTAGCTCTTCACTTGATTCAACAATATTGGAAGTAATCTGCTTGACAACTCTGAGTGTTGTGTAAGTCAGTGAGCCTGAAATTGATCCTGTCTTCAAACCTTCACAAAGGGAGTGGTTTTTTTTGTTTTGTTTTTTGTTTGTTTGTTCTTTTTTGAGTTGGAGTCTCACTCTGTCGCCCAGGCTGGAGTGCAGTAGCGCAATCTGATCACGGCTCGCTGCAGCCTCTACTACCCCAGCTGAAGGGATTCTCCCATCTCAACGTCCCAAAGTGCTGGGATTACAGGTGTGAGCCACCACGCCTGGCCTTTTTTTTTTTTTTTTTTTTGAGACAGAGTCTAGCTCTGTCGCCCAGGCTGAAGTGCAGTGGTGCGATCTCGGCTCACTGCAACCTCCGCCTCCCAGGTTCAAGCGGTTCTCCTGCCTCAGCTCCCTGAGTAGCTGGCATTACAGGTACGCACCACTATGCCTGGCTAATTTTTGTATTTTTAGTGGAGGCGGGATTTCACCATGTTGGTCAGGCTGGTCTCGATCTCCTGACCTGGTGATCCCCCTGCCTCAGCCTCCCAAAGTGCTGGGATTACAGGTGTAAGCCACTGCGCCTGCCCTTTTTGTTTTTTAAATGGAGATAGAGTCTTGCTCTGTCATGTTAGGCTGGAGTGCAGTGGTGTGATCATAGCTCACTGTAACCTTGAACTCCTGGGCTCAAGTAGTCCTCCTGCCTCAGTCTCCCAAAGCTCTGAGATTACAGGCATGAGTCATCGTAGCCGGCTCACACAAGGATTGTTTAAACTGGTGGTCTCAAGAGTCTAAATAGGCCTCTGAACATCCAGTTTGAGTGTCATTTTCTTATCACCTCTGTTGAAGTGGGTGGCTTGTCAGAATTATTCTTATTTGATGAATTGCCATTTCTGGTTTTTGGATGTTTTCTTCATGGCCATAAAAGTCATGGATGTAATTTGAATTTCTGACCAACTTATTTTGCAGTGAGAGCAGATATCTAGCAGTGAGAAGATGAAATGGCAAAGTTCTGTGACCCTCCTCCCCAATAGTGGTTAGTGATGTACGTCCTCAGAAAAAAAGCTAAACTATTCGGGAAGGTTCATCTTTCCTTTATAGACAATCATAAATAGAATTTAAATTCTTTTTTTTTTTTTTAATTTGAGACAGGGTCTCGCTCTGTTGCCCAGTCTGGAGTGCAGTAGTGTGGTCATGGCTCACTGCAGCCTCGACCTTCTGCCTCTGGGGCTAAAGTGATCCTCCAGCCACCACAAGCAGCTAATTTTTATATTTTTTGTAGAGATGAAGTTTCACCATGTTGCCTAGACTGATCTTGAACTCCTGAGCTCAGGCAATCCTCCTGCCTCGACCTCCTAAAGTGCTGGGATTACAGGCGAGAACCACCATTCTGGGCCTAGAATTTAAATTCTGTCTTGTAATTTAGGTTTGTTTAGAGTGTATTTATTGTTTTGTTTTTTGTTTTTGACATGGAGCTTCCATGCCCGGCCCATCCTAAATTTTTATATATTAGTTTCCCATAAATTTTCTGTCATTCTCTTAATCTTATCTATTCTGTTCTAACCCTTTAATATAATTTTTTTTTTTTTTGGGGACAGAGTCTTGCTCTTGTTGCCCAGGCTGGAGTGCAGTGGCGCGATCTCAGCTCACTGAAACCTCTGCCTCCCAGGTTTAAGTGATTCTCCTGCCTCAGCCTCCCAAGTAGCTGGAATTACAGGCACTGCCACTTATGCCCAGCTAATTTTTTGTATTTTTAGTAGAGACAGGCTTTCACCATGTTGGTCAGGCTGGTCTCGAACTCCTGACCTCAGGTGATCCACCTGCCTTGGCCTCCCAAAGTGCTGGGATTACAGGCTCATGCCTGGCCCAATATTTTTGTTTAATTATTTTTTCTAGACTCTAGTTTTGTATATCTGAGCCTGTACTAGGGCTTTAAGATATGTAAAATCAAGGACAAATTGAATGGAGATAGAATCTATAAAATGTGCTTTTTCCTCTCAATGTTTTATTCTTCCAAATCACTCTTGCAGGTCATTATTTCTAGATTTAAATTTTACTTCTTCCTTCTGAGGGGCATAGACAGAAGAGAAGTAAGGTGTGTTACACAATTAGATCTTATTGAAAAAAATTATAGCATGATAGGAATTTTATTAATAGTACTGTATCATTACTTTATACCTCTTGATCTTTTGTTTTTATTAATACTAATAATTGGCACCATTGATTTGACAATTAATAGGCGTATTCAGCCTCTTCCCCATCCCAGCCCATTTTAAGAGAGTTAAAATGCTATATTAGCATTTTTTTTTTGTTTTTTGAGGCGGAGTCTTGCTCTGTTGCCTAGGCTGGAGTGCAGTGGCATGACCTTGGCTCACTGCAACGTCTTCCTCCCAGGTTCAAGCGATTCACCATCTCGGCCTCCCAGGTAGCGGGGACCACAAGTGTCCACCACCATGCCTGGCTAATTTTTGTATTTTTAGTAAAGACGAGGTTTCACCATGCTGGCCAGGCTGGTCTCAAACTCCCTACCTCAGGTGATCTGCCCGCCTTGGCCTCCCAAAGTGCTAGGATTACGGACATGAGCCACTGTGCCTGGCCTGTATTAGCATTTTAAATGCTTTTTATACTTTGCATTTTTCCCAAATTTATTTGACCTCACATCCCTTTTTATGGGGAGTATAAAAAAGATATATGTACATTTCACAAGAAATATGTTTCACAGAACACAATTTGAGAAATGCTACTTAATTATAATTTTTAACTGATAAATATTTAGTATAAGGCTAACAGTTCCTCTAATAATATTGAGCTGCTTTTTTGGAAGTATTTTTAAACCCTAAAAATATAAATAAACAATGTTTAATGTAGGAAAATTAAAAAATACCATAAGCCACAACACCTCTCAATAATTGTACTCCCTGTGTTAGTCCTTTCTTATATTGAATCTCAGCTGGAGAAACTGATGCTGGGTTAGTTTTGGGTCTAAATCTTCTTTCCTCCCTCCCTTCCTCCCCTTTCCCCTTTCCTTTCCTTCCTTCTTTCTTTTTTTTTTTTTTTTTGAGATGGAGTCTTGCTCTGTTGCCCAGGCTGGAGTGCAGTGGCACTATCTCGGCTCACTGCAAGCTCCGCCTCCCAGGTTCACGCCATTCTCCTGCCTCAGCCTCCCGAGAAGCTGGGACTACAGGCGCCCACCACCACGCCTGGCTAATTTTTTTTTTGTATTTTTAGTAGAGACGGGGTTTCACCGTGTTAGCCAGGATGGTCTCGATCTCCTGACCTCGTGATCCGCCCGCCTCGGTCTCCCAAAGTGCTGGGATTACAGGCATGAGCCACCGCGCCCAGCCCTCCTTCTTTCTTTCCTTTTTTTTCTTTTTCTTTTTTTTTTTTTCTGAGATGGGATCTCACTTTGTTGCCCAGGCAGGATCACGGCCCATTGCAGCCTTGACCTCCTGGGCCCAGGCAATCCTTCCACCTCAGCCTTCCAAGTAGCTAGGACCATAGGCCTGCACCACCATGTCTGGCTAAGTTTTTCTTTTTCTTTTCTTTTTTTTTTTTTTGGGAGAGACGGGCTCCCTCTGTTGCCCAGGCTAGTCTCAAACTCCCGAGCTCAAGCAATCCTTCTGCCTTGGCCTCCCAAAGTTCTGGGATTATAGGCGTGAGCCATCGCTCCTGGCCATGGGTCTAACTTCTTTTTTTTTTTTTGGAGATGGAGACTTGCTCTGTCGCCCAGGCTGGAGTGCAGTGGTGTGATCTTGGCTCACTGCAGCCTCCGCTTCCCAGGTTCAAGTGATTCTCCTGCTTCAGCCTCCCAAGTAGCTGGGATTACAGGCATCTGCCACCATGCTTGGCTAATTCTTGTATTTTTAGTAGAGATGGGGTTTCACCATGTTGGCCAGGCTGGTCTCGAACCTGACCTCAAGTGATCCGCCCACCTCAGCCTCCCAAAGTGCTGGGATTACAGGTATGAGTCACCGCACCTGGCCCATGAGTCTAAATCTTAAAAGAGCAATGTAGCTTCCTGTTTGTGCCCTTTGTAGCCCTGATCTCAATATGGAGTCAGGCTACAGCAATGGAGAGACTATTTGTTGAGGGCAAGGCCCTGAGGCTAACTTGTTTTGCTCCCTGTTTTATCTCCCTATTGTCTAGATCAGAGACTGGCCAATAGTATTTGTAGAATGAATTAATGAGTGAATAAGTACATGTGGAGTATTAGGGATGCCATTTGACTTTTTACTCATCATGGCTTGCTCAAGTCATCCATTTCCTACTTGATACTACTCAAGACAGATGGAATGAAAATGGCTTGTTTTGTTGATGAGCAATTTTGGTAGTGGTGATATTGTTATTGACTCTTTCTGAAAGTTAAGTTTTAAATGGAAAATTAAACCAAAGTTATATTGGGGAAGAAAAAGAATTTTTTTTCTGTTTTTATTGTAAAAGCTGCTTTTAAAAAGTCTGTGATACTGGCTGGGCACAGTGGTTCATGCCTATAATCCCAGCACTTTGGGCGGAAGGCAGGAGGATAGCTTGAACCCAGGAGTTAAGGACCAATCTAGGCCATATAGGGAGACTCTGTCTCTACAAAAAATTTAAAAAGTTAGCTGGTCATGATGGTATGCACCTGTTGTCCCAGGTATGTGTGGGAGGTGGAAGGATTGCTTGAGCCCAGGGCTGCAGTGAGCCACGATCATGCCACTGCACTTCAGCCTGGGCAACAGAGCGAGACCCTGACTCAAAAAAAGAAAAGTCTATAATGCCCATTATGCCTATCTTCTGTAGTGTTATACTATGGGAAAATGTGGATCTTCTTTCAGTATCTTGGTTATGTCTTAAGTTGATGGTGGTAATTTTTAACACTAAATTTGCCATAGATTATATATTATATGTGCATATTTTTACCTTTTCACACTTTTAACCTTGTATATATTAGGAATGCAATTAAGTTTTTATTTTAAAATGATTACATTGTTTAATTTTATAGGTCCATTCAAAAGCTTGGTGAATTAAATATTGGAATGGATGGCCTTGGTAATGAGGTATCAGCACTCAACCAGCAATGTAATGGGAGCAAAGGCAATGGATCTAATGGTTCTTCTGTGACTAGTTTTACTACACCACCCCAAGACTCTAGTCAGAGATTAACACATGATGCTTCAAATATTCATACAAGCACTCCTCGTAATCCTGGATCAACAAATCACATACCTTTTCTGGAGGAATCACCTTGTGGAAGCCAAATGTAAGTGCTTGACTTTGTAAAACTTGGAAATATTAACTTACTACTAATGGTTAGAAGGTTGAACTTGTCTTTGGAGCCTTATAAATAAAAGTTTTTAGAGCTTACTGCCTACCAATTTTTTTTCCTAATCTGCCTTCATTTGTCTATATTCTCTTCTACCAACTTCTAAGTCTCTTTATAGTTTCCATTTTCCTTCTATTTTTCTTTTTGCTTCCTGACTACCACCAAGGCAATTATATTTTTTATAAGCCATCCTACTCAAAGAACCTACAGTTTTAGGATCTCTAAATCTTGATTTTCTTTTTTCTTCAGTTGGCATCTTTGAACAAATAATCTTAAAATTCAGACTTTCAGGGCATAGAAAGATGTTTTACAATCTGGTGGAATGATTACAGCTGCAGTGTTGGCTGCTTTGGCAATTACAGCAGTGGAAGACTGCATATTTACATTTTCACTATTCAGGGAAAATTTTTATCTTGCTATCATTAGTATACAAGTGTTAATTTATGCAATGGGAATAGTTAAGGAGCATTTTCTATATTCTTAGCATAAAACACTTTTCAGGGTGGTTCATTAAAAAATGTATAAGATGAGATTCCCAGCTTTTTGGCTGAGATTAAGTACAAAAATGTATAACTTGCTTTTGGCACTTGGATGCTTATAGGAATTCACTTTATAAATAATTAGTGTCAAAAACCTAGTTTTATTTCAGAGCATAAATTCAATTTTTGATTCTTTTCTGAATTTTTATTTTTTTACTATTTGCTTTTTTATTACAGCTTTCATAATAGTTGTTTTGAGTACTTTCAAAACAAGAATTCAGATTTTAAAATTTAATTTTTGTTTTTGTCCATGTAATATACATACATGGTTTCAAAAGACAAATAGTACTTCAAGGCTTAAAATAAAACCCATCTTTGTCCATGGTTTTATTTCTTATTGGCTGCCATTTTCAACCCATTTGGCTGTTTCTCTTGATATATATACATACAATTTTTTTTTAAGATGGGATCTCACTATGTTGCCTAGGCTGGTCTCAAATTCCTGGGCTTAAGTGATCCTCCTACCTCAGCCTCCCAAAGTCCTGGGATTACAGGAGTGAACCACCACACCCAGCCTTTTGCTATATATTTCCACATTTCTGAAAAACATACTTCTATTACTGTTTTGTTTTGTTTTTTTGAGATGGAGTTTTGCTCTTGTTGCCCGGGCTGGAATGCAGTGGTGTAATCTCAGCTCACTGCAACCTCTGCCTCCCAGGTTCAAACAATTCTCCTGCCTCAGCCTCCTGAGTAGCTGGGATTACTGGCATGTGCCACCATGTCCAGCTAATGTTTTGTATTTTTGGTAGAGACAGGGTTTCACCATGTTGGCCAGGCTGGTCTCGAACTCCTGACCTCATGATTCGCTCACCTCGGCCTCCCAAAGTGCTGGAGTTACAGGCATGAGCCACCGCACCCGGCCTCTATTACTGTTTTTGCTATCTGTTGATTCTCTACCATACTCCTCATACATAGCACCCTCACTTTGTCTATCCCTTATTTTCAGTATATATCAATTTTTGTTTAAATCAGTATCAGTGTGATTTTGTTTAAATCAGTATCACATTACTATGACCTTGTAAATGTTATTTACAACTGGGTCATGTAGTGCCATATGATTATATTTCTTTTTCATATAGCTTCTTGTTTTTCCTGGAGACAGTAATTGCCTCAAGTTGGTGTTCATGTGTCTGTACATGATGAGTTTTCTTAATATTTATCACTAAACTATCTGTAAGTGCTTTGACAGAATTATAAAATCATAAAACTTCTCTCATTATTGTAAAAAGTGTCAGAAATTTCTCTATTCCATTTTTTCCCCTTGGGAGATGTCCCTCCAGGATCACTCCTGCTTCACTTTATATTTACTGCTTTTTGATCACTTTATGTAGGTCTAGATAGAATCCTGGGACTTTCCTCACTGTTCTGCTGGGATTTCCTTTGCCTCATCTCTTTATTAGATTCCCTGTTTTTAGCATCTCACAGTTTCCTGAAAAGGGGTGCCTTAGAGGTGAAGTTTCTGAGACCTTGCATGTCTAAAAATGTGTTTGCTTTATTTTTCACCTTTTTTGTTAGTATAGCTGGGTATAGAATTCTAGGATGAAAATCATTCCTCAGTATTTCAAAAGCATTGCTACATGATCTTCCAGTTTTAGTGTTCTGATTAAAAAGTCTGATGCCATCTTGATTCCTCATTGTCTTTTTTTTTTTTTGAGACAGTGTCTCACTTTGGCTCCCAGGCTGGAGTGCAGTGGCGCAATCTTGGCTCACTGCAACCCCCGGCCTCCTGGGTTCAAGTGATTCTTGTGCCTAAGCTACCCTACTAGCTGGGACTACAGGTACATACCACCACACCCAACTAATTTTTGTATTTTTAGTAGAGATGGAGTTTCACCATGTTTACCATGTTGGCGAGGCTGGTTGATTCCTCATTCTTTGGGTGAGGCCTATTGCTCCTTCTACTCTGGAATTTTTCAGGTTCTTCTCTTCCCTGATAGTCTGAAACTTCATGATGATATAGAAGATAGACCTTAGAGTGATTCTATTTTTCCTTATTCTTCTGGGTATTTCATGGGCCCTTTTAAGTTGGAAACTTAAGTTCTAGGAAATTAAAAAAATATTATTTAGCAATTTCCTCACCTCTATTTTCTATGGATTTACTTTTTTTTTTCCTTTTAATTACATTTATTTTAATGCTGAATTTACTCCCGTGCCATAAGTTTTTGTTTCTTCAGTTTCTTCTGGGATATCCTTTTCTTCTGGGCAACCTCCTCTTCTGGTTTAGGAACAATCTGTTCCTTTTCCGTAAGGATCATCTCAATGTGGCAGGGAGAGCTCATGTATGGGTTAATCCGACCATGAGCTCTGTAGGTCCGGCGGCGCATCTTAGGTGCTTTGTTCACTTGGATATGCTCAATGACCAGAGAATCTACATCTAAACCCTTAAGTTCAGCATTACTCTCTGTGTTTTTAAGCATGTGCAGCAAAAATTCAGCACTCTTTTTGGGCCACCGACCTTGTGTCCAGCCCCACTGCTTGGCCTGCGCACACCTGCCAACTCCACCATTGTAACGTCGGAATGGTACACACTGTTTCTGTAAAGTGACATCTTTCAGATACTTCGTGGCTTTTCGTATATGCATACCCTTGATGGCCTGAGCAGTTTCACGAGTGTTCTTAAAGTGAACACGAAGATTGGAACCTCTTGATTTGCATGATTCCGTGGGGTTCTCCGGGTCAAGTGAATAGCGAACCATTTTCACAGATTACCTCAGGCTGCTTCGGATTTACTTTTTTCTACCATCATATTTTAATTTTCTAAGAGGTCTTTCTTATTATCTAATTTCTTTTCCTTTTTAAAAAATAGATCTTGCTCTTGTTTCCTTATTAATCTGTTATTTCCTCTTATATCTAAGGATTTAAATTACATTTTTGTAGCTTTTGTTCCCTAAATTGCCTCTCTTCTCCCAAGTTCATTTTTCTGTTGATTTTAGTCTCTACCTTTTATCTCGGCTTTTTTCAGGTATCTAGAAAGCTTTGGCTGGCCGTAAACAGTGAGACATTAAAACAAAAGCTGGCTGGGTGTGGTGACTCACACCTGTAATCCCAGCAATCTGGGAGGTTGAGGTGGGAGGATTGCTTGAGCCCAGGAGTTCGAGAGCAGCCTGGGCAACATAGGGAGACCCCGTCTCTATTATATTTTATAATATTAAATAAAAATTTTAAAAGCTGATTGGAAGGAAGGGCTACATATGTGGGTGGATCTGTCTGCTTGTTGGCCTCACAAAAATTGATTAAGAGGAAACATAGTTTTACTAAGGTACCCTAAACTGTAAGTTTCTGATATTTTTTTCTCTTGGGCCAGATAATTTTCCTGAAGAGCATTCTCCAGTGTCCTGTCTGGGGTTGGATTTAAGCATAGCAAACAGGATTCTGGAACTAAGCAAGGGAAGGGTACTTGACATCTCACTATAAAATATGTGGACTTTGACTTAATTTTCTTTCCAGAATGGCTTTTCATCTCCTCCTTACAACTGTCATTGGTGCCACTGAATCCAGAGCTTATTTTAATAAATGTCTCCAGAGAGTAACTTTGGAGTCAGCTAGGATTGTTTGCTAAAAAGAAAAATTAGTGTTTGAAAGGGTAAATTAATTTAGTTTCTATTTTGATACATGGAGTAAACTTTACTTGAATTTCTACTCCCACAGCTCTTCAGAACATTCGGTCATTAAGCCACCTCTTGGAGATTCTCCAGGGAGTCTTTCAAGGTCGAAAGGGGAAGAGGTAATACTTTGGGGAAGGAAGTTTTATTGTTTTCATATGCACCTGTAAATTTTGCTAAGAAATTTTCAATTCAAAGAAAGAACCATTTTAGTCAGACGTGGTGGTGTACAGTACCCAGGAGGCCGAGGCAGAAGAATGTCTTGAGCCCAGAAGTTTGAGATTGTAGAGTACTAGAATCGCACCTGTGGATAGCCGTTGCACCACTCCAACCTGGGCAACAGAGTGAGACCTCGTGTCTTAAAAAAAAAAAAACAAAAAAAAACCCCACAAACTTTTACTGCTAATGTTGGTATTTATCTCGAGGCTCAAGGCAGTTGAGCTCTCAGTGGTGTAACTGAAGAGGGAGCCTTAGAAAGCACAGTTGGACACGTGGGAGTGTTCATATTAATGGCCTAGTAGTGGCCTTGGGACATGAATTGAGGCTCTGTGTTATTCTCTGAACCCTATGGTTAATTTCATTATTGGTATCTCTTTGGGCTTCTCATCGGTACACCTTTTTTTTTGCTTTGGAAGCAAACATCCTTTCCTAGCTAGTATACAGCTTCACTCTATCTTACTTTTCCTAGTTCAGATTTTAACCCCATAAACAAAGGTGTTAATTTGAGATGCTTTTAGGGATGAAATAGATAACATAAATTAATAAAATTGACCATTTTTATGATAAGCACAAAGGAATATTTGTCCCTTGCAAAAGAAATATGCAAGTCCAGTGTTTCCAATTCCTTTGATTTAAAAAAAAATATTAGGCCAGGCATGGTGGCTCACACCTGTAATCCCAGCACTTTGGGAGGCTGAGGCAGTTGGATCATCTGAGGTCGGGAGCTCAAGACCAACCTGGCCAACATGGCAAAACCCCGTCTCTACTAAAAATACAAAAATTAGCCAGGCATAGTGGTTCACGCCTGTAATGCTAGCCACTTGGGAGGCTGAGGCACGAGAATTGCTTTAACCCAGGAGGCAGAGGTTGCAGTGAGCCAAGATCGCGCCATTGTACTCCAGCCTGGGGGACAGAGCAAGACTCTGTCTCCAAAAAATATATGTATGTATATATATTAATAGAGACATGGTGTGACTACGTCACCCAGGCTGGTCTCAAATTCCTGGGCTCAAGCAATCCTCCCACCTCGACCTCCCAAAATGCCAGGATTACAGGTGGGAGGCACTGCACCTGACCTGATTTTCAAGAAAAGCTAGAAATCTAGATTTTTATGTGAAATCACCTAGTTTTTTAAATGACAACAAATTTAAAAAAATTTTAAGGCTGGATGCAGTGGCTCACTCCTGTAATCCCAACACTTGGGAGGTCAAGGCAGGTGGATCACCTGAGGTCAGGAGTTTGAGACCAGCCTGGCCAACATGGCG
The DNA here is from genome assembly GCF_000001405.40 of Homo sapiens. Classification (NCBI taxonomy): domain Eukaryota; kingdom Metazoa; phylum Chordata; class Mammalia; order Primates; family Hominidae; genus Homo; species Homo sapiens. The sequence continues at coordinate 108,989,891 of NC_000001.11, read as the reverse complement.
AAACCCAATCTCTTCTAAAAATACAAAAAATTAGCTGAGTGTGATGGCGGGTGCCTGTAATCCCAGCTACTTGGGAGGCTGAGGCAGGAGAATCGCTTGAACCTGGGAGGCAGAGGTTGCAATGAGCCAAGATTATGCCATTTCACTCCAGCCTAGGCAACAAGAGCAAAACTCTGTCTCAAAAAAAATTTAAAACACTCTGGAGGACAGCAAATAAAATCAGTTTGTGTGGCTTCTGCTATAAAGCAATCTTTAGTAATTTTTGATGTGCTATAGGCCATTTAGTTAATTAGTCGTTTTTCCTCCCTTTTTCTCTTATCTACCCCATGCTATTATATAATTTTGCAAACAGTCACATTCCCTGTGTATGGATTATTGGAAAATGCAACATTTCTAGTCAAATTCATACAAATAATATCAGAATTCAATTCACTTACATAGGACATACATAGCGTAACACATCAGGTTTGCCCCCCTACTCCTGCAAGGAGGATGTATTGCATGAATAAAGGCTTAGGTAGAGAGAGGCATAGTCTTTTCATTGCTGTAGTCATTATGGGTCCTAGACCTCTCAGAATACATCCAGAGCTGAAGTGATTTTCCTTTGTGTGTGTACTTGACATTCATACTTCTCAAAGCCGGGGTTTGGTTGAGTCTGACCATACCTAGTGTAGAGGTTCCTGCACCATGTCCAGTCAGTCCTGGTCAGGGTAACACGGTGGTTTCAAATGACATCAGTAGTAGGTTCACCAAAGCTTTTATACAGAACTGCTTCAGCATCTCTCTTCAGAAGAGAGATCTGGATGGACAGGTTGACAGTTTAAAGTAAAAATGAGGCTAGGCGTGGTGGCTCACACCTGTAATCCCAGCACTTTGGGTGGCTGAGGTGGCAGATCACTTGAGCTCAGGGGTTCGAGACCAGTCTGGCCAACATGGTGAAACCCCATCTCTACTAAAAATACAAAAATTAGCCGGGTGTGGTGGTGCATGCCTATAATCCCAGCTACTTGGGAGGCTGAGGCAGGAGAATCGCTTGAACTTGGGAGGCAGAGGTTGCGGTGAATCAAGATTGCGCCACCGCACTCCAGCCTGAGCAGTAGAGCGATACTCCATCTCAAAAAAAAAAAGTAGAAATGAAACATTCAAATGTTTCCATTAAAATTATTTTTACAGTTTTAAAGGGATGTTTGTTTATTTATTTATTTAATTTGAGACAGAATCTTGCTCTGTTGCCCAGGCTGGAGTGCAGTGGTGCGATCTCAGCTCACTGCAGCTTTGACCTCCCAGGCTCAAGTGATCCCCCCACCCCAGCGCCCTGAGTAGCTGTGACTACGGGCATGCGCCACCACACCCGGCTAATTTTTGTATTATTTTTCTTTTTTTTGGTAGAGATGGGTTTTCATCATGTTGCCCAGGCTGTTAAAGGGATATTTTATAACTTCAGCTTGAAATACTGAAATATTCATTGATAGAGATAATGGTAAACATTTTTTCTTAAGCAGATTAATAATCCTTTATACTTCCTTCATTTAGAAACACAAATGAAACTCTATTTGTTAGAACTTCTAGTGGGCTTTTTTTTTTTTCTTAATAGTTAAAGAGAACTTAATATAGGAATGCATACTTATTCTTTCCTTCCTTCTTGGTGCCCCGCCCCTCCCCCCTTCCTATCTCCCCCTCCCTGACAGGTGTTGCCCAGGCTCACTATAGCCTCAACCTCCCAGACTCAATCGATCCTCCCACCTCAGCCTCCCAAGTAGCTGAGACTACAGGTGCATACCACCACAGCCGTCTAAAATTTTTTTTTTTTTTCATTTTTATAGAGATGGGGTTTAGCCATGTTGCACAGCCTGGTTTCAAACTCCTGGGCTCAAGCAATATGCCCAACTCGGACTCACAAAGTGCTGGGATTATAGGCATGAGCCACCGTGCCTGGCCCGTATTTATTCTTACATTTTGTCTTAATAATTGAAGAAAAACTTGAGTGTTTATGAACTGAGCTTAGTTTAGCAATGAGTAATGAAAAATAGAAAAATTAGGGAATTTGAATATGCTACTTAATATATGGAGACTGCTGTCAGAAAAACTTCATGTAATCATATGTATTTAAAAACAATTGGCTGGAACCAGGTGCGGTGGCTCATGCCTGTAATCCCAGCACTTTGGGAGACTGAGGCAAGCAGATCACTTCAGGTCAGGAGTTTGAGACCAGCCTGGCCAACACAGTGAAACCCTGTCTCTACTAAAAATTCAAAAATTAGTCAAGCATGGTGGTGGGTACCTGTAATCACAGTTGCTCAGGAGGCTGAGGCAGGAGAATCACTTGAACCTGGGAGGCAGAGGTTGCAGTGAGCCAAGATCACGCCACTGCACTCCAGCCTGGGCAACAGAGCAAGACTCCATCTCAAAAACAAACAAAACAAAACAAAACAAACAATTGGCTGGTGCGGTGGCTCACACCTGTAATCCCAGCACTTTGAGAGGCCGTGGTGGGCAGATTGCTTGAGCCCAGAAGTTCAAGACCAGCCTGGGCAACATGGCGAAACTCCATCTCTATTTTTTTTTAATTAAAAAAATTAAAACTTTTTAAAAAAGGAAAGCAATAATGCTGCACTTTAAAAGAATCATCTAAAGAATACAGAAATGGCCCATGGACATGGACGTTAACATGAACATAGTAAAATGGAATTTCCAGATTATAAACAATGGAAGATAGAAGAAACACCATTAGAAACTATCCAGGAGAAGCTGGCTGCAGGAGGGCTAAGGGATCTATGGGGCTGTAATGAAGCTTAGAGAAACATGGGTGACTTTGCAAACAATGTTTCCTCTGATGGTGCATTATTAAAAGGATTCAAAGATTTGCTGCATTTGTGGTAGCTGTAGGGGTTTAATATTACCTGGTGTCCCAGAGTAAAGATAAGAAGCATCACTGATGATAATACCTGGAAGTATCTTAGTGGTTTCTTAACTCTCCAAAATAAGATTTCTTCACTGTAGCCTACTTGTCTGTGTGTTTGCCTCTTAAAGGATATTAGTAAGATTTAATAAAGTAAGAAAAACATAGAGAAAAGAATATATGGTTATTGGCAGTAAACCTAACATGATCCAACAAGAATAATAAAGTTCAAATGAATTTAAAATGGGAGAAAGATGAATTCTTTCAAATTCATTTTTTTAATAGGATAACTAATATTCATTCTTTCCATAGGATGACAAATCAAAAAAGCAGTTTGTTTGTATTAATATCCTAGAAGACACACAAGCTGTTAGAGCAGTGGCTTTTCATCCAGCTGGAGGTTTATATGCTGTTGGTTCAAATTCAAAAACTCTGAGAGTATGTGCCTATCCAGATGTAATTGATCCAAGGTAAGGATCAATGATTTGTGCTGCCATTCTTACCTTAGTTTTTAATTTAGCCGTATAGGTTCCTTTTTCAGAATTGCCATTCAGTAGTGTTTCAAATCTTACTTTCTTTCCTTCGATTAAACTTTATTTTCTGTTATAAAATAACTGTTTTTACTTTCAGTGCTTAGGAAATATACTTAAGTCATTAACTTCATAATTTTTTCATAAAATGTTTTTGATTACAACATTGCTCATTTATGGCTTTAGACTTCTTTATTTCCATGGCTTTTGTATTTTGTTTTTTATCTGAAAAGTCTTTATATAGTAGACCCCCCTTATTTGCAAGGGATACATTTAAGAACCCCAGTGGATTCCTGAAACCTTGGCTGGTACTGAACCCTACGTATACTGTGTTTTTTCCTATTCATACACACCTATTTATAAATTATGTATGTAATTTACATATAACTCTTACTCTTTTACACCTCTTAAGACTTTTTAATTATAACCCTAGTTTGAGAAACAGGGGTGGGATTTTTCATTTATTTGCATTTTTTTTTTTTTTTTGCTATCTCTATGTCTGAAACCAATAATTTAGGCTTTTGGACTGTGGTAGCATTTAATGATTGGGAAAGGGAATATAATAAGGTCCATGTTAATTGATAGTATTATAATTTACTGGTGCTCACTGCATTATTTAAGTCGAAATACTTAAGAAAGAATGGCAAAATTCTCTATAAGGGAGTGAGAAATAGCAATAATTATGGAGGTAGAACCAAAGACTTATATGTTTAGGGTTAACTTGAACTTAAGGTAACTGTTTCTCATCTTTTGTATTTCTTATACAGACACAGATGTTTCATAGGCTGTGAAGAAACTGATTTGAAAATAAATACATTTATTTAGCAAATATATATTTTGGGCTCCTATGTGCTAGGTACTATAGTTGTGTGTAAAACAAACATGTTTATTGGCTTCATGGAACTTCTTGTTTAGTGGGGAAGATGGATATAATGCAAATGAACACAAATATACATTTTGGTAAATGTTATGAAGAAAGATTACAACGTGCTGTGAGAATAAAATGGGGATGGAGTAGGGTGCAAACTGGCGAGTCAGAGAAAGACTTCTTTGAGGAAGAGGCACTAAAGTTGAGATCTAAGGAGGAGTAACCTAGCTATGTAAAGAGAAGGGAGAAGAGAATAATATAGAGGGAACGTGAGGTGAGAAAGAGCTTGGCTTTTTTTAGGAACTGAAATAAATTCAGATTGGTTGGAAAATTATGAGCTTGAGTTTGATAAGGCCGCAGAGATAGACATGAACTAAATTAGGCAGAGCTTTCTAGCCATTTTATATTTCATGCTGAGTGCAGTGGGACACCACTGAAAGTAGCAGATCAAGTGTAAATGTATTTTGAGATGATGACTCTGCCTGTGATTGGATGGCAATAAGAGGAGACACTGGGAGAGAGGGAGGAAGCTGTTTGTATTTGATGGTAATGTGATGGCAGTGGAGGTGGAGCAAAGTGGGTGGATTTGAGAGGTATAATCCATTTAAGGAAGGAATCGGTGGGACTTGGTGATAATTGGTTGTGCAGCTGAAAAGAAAATCTTTTTATCTGGTCTGTTCTCTAGATCAGTTTTTTGGGTTTTTTTTGTTTTTGTTTTGAGACAGAGTCTCACTCTGTCGCCAGGCTGGAGTGCACTGGCACGACCTCAGCTCACTGTAACCTCCACCTCCTGGGTTCAAGTGATTCTCCTGCTTCAGCCTCCTGAGTAGCTGGGACTACAGGCATGCACCACGATGCCTAGCTGATTTTTGTATTTTTAGTAGCGACGGGGTTTCACCATGTTGGCCAGGATGGTCTTGATTTCCTGACCTCTTGATCCGCCCTCCTCGGCCTCCCAAAGTGCTGGGATTACAGGCCTGAGCCATCACACCCTGCCTAGATCAATATTAAACACTTTTTAGGTATTAGAGATTTGTCAGTCTTCTTGTTTGTTTTTTAAACATTTCTTAATTATGAACATTTTCAAAGACTCAAAAGTAGACTAGTATGCTGAAATGCAATAGTTGTCAAGATTTTTGTCACATTTGCTTCATTCATCTTTTTTTGTTCATTTGCTAAAGTATTTAAATCTTAGATATGTCATTTAACCCTTTCATCCTTCAGGATGAATCTCCAGAAACATGTACATTTTCTTACATAGACTTGATTTTATCATTATACCTGATTTAGAAATCTTTAGTGTCATATTAGTTCGTGTTTCAAAGTGTAGATAAAATGCTGTTACCCCACTAAGCCAATGTTTGACTGTCATTAAAGGACAAACTCTTGAGGAGCATGGCATTTAGAACCCTCCACAGCTGAGCCTGCAGTGCCTCACCCACCACATCACTCCTGCTCACTCTACTAAATACCTCATGCTTTTCACTGCTAGCCCCACAGACTCTTTCCATTGCTGCATGCTCAGCCAGTACTTTCCCTACTATATTTTATTGTCACTAAAGTGGTTCTCCTGCCTTCTTATTTTTCTGTAAAAATTTGCCTTATCCTTTAAGGCCCAGTGCTTTATACTGGACTATGTAACAACTTATACTTGCCTTACTGTATATGGGTAGTCTCATGACAATATCTACCTGTACCAGATTTTAAACTCTGGACAGAACTCTTGCACATTGCTCACATTATATGTTTATTACATGTTTATTATGTGTTTATTATATGTTTATTACATGCTTATTGCATTTTTTTTTTAAATTTGGAAGCATTGTTAGCTTTTTTAATTTTTTTTGTTTCTGAGTTTAAAATCCATGAAAAATATGAGAAACGGAGATTTTTTTTTTAAGTCGTATATCCTGTTTCCTTTGTCATCTGAAATGAGAGTTTAGTATGATTTGGTTTATAATTTTACTTTTTGGGTTTTAAGTATGCTGCTAATTTTATTTCTTCTATGATTTTGAAAACTATTAATAAGCTGTTGTCTGACACGCTTTTTCTCCTTCCTTCAAGAACAAGTATAATATGGAACCTCATAACTGATTGTAGCAAGCAAGAAATTGAAATATATTTCTGTAATTTTTCTTTTCAGTGCACATGAGACTCCTAAGCAGCCGGTGGTACGTTTTAAAAGGAATAAACATCATAAAGGATCCATTTACTGTGTGGCCTGGAGTCCTTGTGGGCAGTTATTAGCAACAGGATCAAATGACAAATACGTCAAAGTGCTGCCCTTCAATGCAGAGACTTGTAACGCAACAGGTAGGGCCCAAGTATGTAAGCAGTAGCTAGCTTACCAGTGTATATGTTATGTTTTCTCCATGTTGTATTTCTGTATTGTCTTTAATGAAATCCAAGAATATAATCTTAAAGAATAATTTTTTCAATAATTCTAATTGTTTAGTTACATTCATGAGGTATTACTCTTTCTTAGTAAATTCTTACAGGTGTCTAGGTGGTGTTTGAGTTTTATAAAATTATTATTAGAAAAATAGCCTTTAAATAGCTACCAGATGTTTTCTAGAGATCACTTGTCTTCTTTTTCTTTGGGATAAGAGACAAGATAACCCTGTGGTAACAGCTATTTTGATAAAATTCTTTGCTCAGTAAAGTGAAACTGCTTATAATACCAATCCCTAAATGAAAATACAAACCATATTTCTAAACCATTATTCTTGACCAGTTTTGAGGTAGTTTAGCAATCTCAAGTTATCACAGTAAGTTGAGCAGCATTTTTTTTTTTTAATTCTTACTACTGTTTCAGGACCAGATCTGGAATTTAGTATGCATGATGGAACAATTAGAGACTTGGCATTTATGGAAGGCCCAGAAAGCGGAGGAGCTATTTTAATAAGTGCTGGAGCAGGGGATTGTAACATTTATACAACCGATTGTCAAAGAGGACAGGGCCTCCATGCTTTGAGTGGACATACTGGTATGTAATATCAGTTTCAAGTGCTGTTTTTCTTTTTGTTCAATCTGTGCTTTTTTTTCCTCTCTGCATTTTCTTTTCTAAGAGACAGGGTCTTGCTCTTACTGTCCAGAGTGCAGTGGCACAATCACAGCTCACTGCGGCCTCAACCTCCTGAGGTCAAGTGATCCTCCCACCCAGCCTCCTGAGTAGCTGGGACTATAGGCACGTGCTACCATGCTTGGATAGTTTAAAATTTTTTTGTAGATATGGTGTCTCACTATGTTGCCCAGACTGGTCTTGAACTCCTGGGCTCAAGCAATCATCCTGTCTCAGCCTCCCAAAGTGTTGGGATTACAGGCATGAGCCACCATGCCTGGCCTAGTATGGTTTTGATGTTGTGCATTTTACTGAGTTTTATTTTATTTTTAAAATTGTCAATCTATTTGATAAATGTGAAAAATCTCTATCACATAGTATATTTGACTAACCAGACCACCACTTGCCCTGTAAATAAGGAGTACTTAGCTTTTTCTTTTTTTTCAGATACAGGGTCTTGCACTGTTGCCCAGGCTGGAATGCAGTGGCTTGATCATAGCTCACTGCAGCCTCGAACTCCTGGGCTCCAGCAGTCCTCCTGCCTCAGCCTCCTGAGTAGCTGGGATTATAGGCATGAGCCACCTTGCCCAACTCTAGAGTGCTTAGCTTTGAATATGTTATGGAAAGATACTCTCCCACCTTAATAATTGAGTATATGATCTTTTATAGGGCATATTTTAGCACTTTATACCTGGAGTGGCTGGATGATTGCATCTGGTTCCCAAGATAAGACTGTTAGATTTTGGGATCTTCGAGTACCAAGTTGTGTTCGTGTTGTTGGCACAACATTTCATGGAACTGGTAGGTTTTTCTTTAAATGATATATATGGGAAAAAAACTTTGTAAATTAGACTAGTCTACTTCTTCTCCCCTGCAATATAAAAAATAGAAAAAATTGTGAAATAAATACTTGATATTTTATTAGTTACTTTCAGTTCTTTCACAATACTTGCATTTGTTACCTTATTTGTAAAAATAATATTCAGCTTAGGGAACCAAGGCCCAGGGAGATTAAATATAATGTCCCAGATTGTCTGTTAGCAGGGCCATTTTAGAACTCAGACCTTTAGAAACATTTTTTAAAATGCATGCACATGGCAAAAAGTGAAATTGAACAAAAGAGTGTACTATTTTCTTTCCATTCCTATTTCTTGGTCTCTCTTTCACTAAAGGACCAATTTCTTATTTATTCTTCCAGAAATATTCTATAAATATGTAACCAGAAAGTTTGTATGTACCCTAATCTCCCTTCTCCTGTAAACACAAATACACACACACGCACACACACACACACACAAATGGTAGCATGCATTACAAATTTCTCTTTCTAAACTTAACAGGATGTCTTGGATTGTTCCATGTACTGTTCTTTGCATTGTACCACCTCTTTGGTTTTTTTTTTTTTTGAGATGGAATCTCACACTGTCGCCCAGGCTGGAGTGCAGTGGCGTGATCTTGGCTCACTGCAAGCTCTGCCTCCTGGGTTCACACCATTCTCCTGCCTCAGCCTCCCAAGTAGCTGGGACTACAGGAGCCCGCCACCATGCCCAGCTAATTTTTTGCATTTTTTAGTAGAGACGGGGTTTCACCATGTTGGCCAGGATGGTCTTGATCTCCTATCCTCATGATCTGCTTGCCTCAGCCTCCCACAGTGCTGGGATTACAGGCATGAGCCACCACTCCTGGCTGCATTGTACCACCTTTTAAGCATGGTATCTAAGAGTGACACAGTATTCTGCCTTTATCCTTATTTTATTCTGAAGTACCTTTTCTGCCTTTGTAGTTTTTTTGTTGTTGTTGTTGTTGAGACAGAATCTCCCTCTGTCACCCAGGCTGGAGTGCAGTGGCACAATCTTGGCTCACTGCAACCTTTGCCTCCCAGGTTCAGGTGATTGTCCTGTCTCAGCCTCCTGAGTAGCTGGAACTACAGGCGCCCACCACCATACCCGGCTAATTTTGGTATTTTTAGTAGAGATTGGGTTTCACCATATTGGCCAGGCTGGTCTCAAACTCCTGACCTCAGGTGATCTACCTGCCTCCACCTCCCAAAGTGCTGGGATTACAGGTGTGAGCTACCACGCCTGGTCCTTTGTAGTTTTTAATAGCAGAATTAGAAGAGAATTCTATGGTACTATTCCAAGTGAAAAGATCTGCCTTGTATTCTAAATTTTTAGTGTTTTTTTTAATGCCTTGTTTATTCTTTTGAGTTTCATGGACTTTTTTCTGCACTTTGATTCAAACCAGATATGATGTTTTACAGCACATTTGAGTCCATGATCATTGATTTGTTAAAATTTAGTTTGTATCATTTTCAAAATTAATATATGACAGTTTAAGGCAGCAGTCCGCAACCTTTTTGGCACCCACCAGGAATCAGTTTCGTGGAAGACAGTTTTTCCATGGGTGGGGTGGGAAGGGGTAGGGATGGTTTAGGGATGAAACCACTGCAGATCATCAGGCATTAGATTCTCATAAGGAGCACGCAACCTAGATACCTTACATGTGCAGTTCACAGTAGGGTTCCCGCTCCTGTGAGCATCTAATGCCACCACTGATCTGACAGGAGGCGGAGCTCAGGTGGTAATGCTCACTCATTTGTCACTCACCTCGTGCTGTGTGGCCCGGTGCCTAACAGGCCATAGACTGCTGTCAGTCAGTGGCCTGGGGCTTGGGGACCCCTGGTTTAAGAAATCAAGCAATTCAATAAGGCTTATTAAGAAAAACAGCATTGCCCTGGTTAAAATAATGTAAACAATGACTACTGATCTAACCAAAACTGATATAACTCTATTGAAAAGATGTGGAGAGAGGAAGAATTTGTATGTGAATAAGGGAAATATTCGTATTTATTTATTTTCTTATCTTTAGGATTATTTATTGACTTCCTACCATAGATTAAGATTTAACTTTTTCATGTGCCTTTCCAACTCCCATCATCCCACATTCACATATATTTTTCCTCTCTCTGCATCTTTTCTTTTGTTTTGTTTTTTTGTTTTGTTTTGTTCTGAGACAGGGTCTTGTTCTGTCACCTAGTCTGGAATGCAGTGTCGCAGTCATGGCTCACTGCAGTTTTGACTTCCAGGTTCAAGCCATCCTCCCGCCTTAGCTTCCCGAGTGGCTGGGACCATAGGCACACACCACCCTGCCCAGCCCCTCTGCATCTTTTTGATATATCAATTTTGGTTAGCTCAGTTAGTCATTGTTTACATTATTTTAACCAGGACGATGCCATTCATGGCTTATTTTTTTTCCTGTGTATATTTTCCTTGGGGTTAATAATTGTGTTTGTTTGTTTGTTTATTTGTGTAGTTTCTATACACTTACCACTAATTTATTTTTAAACTCTAGCTTTCTACATTATTTTCAGGCCACTTTTCTCCATTTCAGAGACTTCTAGTTTTTGGTCGTCTCCTCTCTCTGATAACATTAATGTCTTCCTCTTACTGTATCTCTCCTCCTCTGCTTCTCTATCATGCACATACAAACATTTTATGGAATTGGCAATGCCAAAAATTCATCTCTTGATCTCCTTATCCCCCTTCCAGTTCTTACCCTCAATTTTTGCTTCCTTTTTTACTCAGATATCTCAAAAGTCTTGCCTATATATATCGTTAGCCATTTCCTTACCCTCAGTCTTTAACTTATTCTAATGTGGTTCCTGCTGCAACCATTATAACAAATGCTGTCTTTTTCAAGATCACCAACAAACTTCTGGTTGTCAAATCACTTTTATATCCTAATTTTGCTTCAGCTCTCAGTGTCATGCAACACAGTTGACTTCTTCCACTTTTCTTTTGGGCTTTCTGCTATTCTCTTACCTTTCTGGGTATTATTCTTTTGCTGGCTCTTTCTCTTTGCTCAAATTCTAAATTCTGGCATTCCCTAGGACTCAGGACTTTAGTCTCTTCTTTCTTTAGATGATTACATCCATTTCCCCGGCTTTAAGTGTAACTCATATACTGAAAGACTTATATTTTTATCTCTAGCTGAAACCTATTCTGTGTGCTAGGCTCATAAAATTCTTTTTTTTTTTTTTTGCTTTTGAGACGGAGTCTCGCTCTGTCACCCAGGTTGCCCAGGCTGGAGTGCAGTGGCGCAATCTCGGCTCACTGCAAGCTCCGCCTCCCGGGTTCACGCCATTCTCCTGCCTCAGCCTCCTGAGTAGCTGGGACTACAGGCGCCTGCTACCATGCCCAGCTAATTTTTTTGTATATTTTTTAGTAGAGACGGGGTTTCACCATGTTAGCCAGGATGGTCTCGATCTCCTGACCTCGTGATCCGCCTGCCTCGGCCTTCCAGAGTGCTGGGATTACAGGCGTGAGCCACCGTGCCTGGCCTTTTTTTTTTTTTTTAATTAAAGGATGGACTTTAATCTTTATTTACGGGACACTGTAAGATATGAAATTTCATGTAGAAATTAAAATGCATTCAGAGGACAAGCTTCATACAGTATATACAGCTTGGAACTGTTCAAGTATAGTTTCAGTGTAAAAAGTGCTACAATAACAAGCCACATTTAAAAAGAGTTCTTTTTTTTTTTTTTTTTGAGAGAGTGTTTCGCTTTTGTCACCCAGACTGGAGTGCAGTGGTGCAATCTCTGCTCACTGCAACTTCCGTCTCCCAGGTTCAAGTGATTCTCCTGCCTCAGCCTCCCAAGTAGCTAGGACTACAGGTGCGTGCCACCACGCCCAGCTCGTTTTTGTTTTTGAGAATCTTACTTTGTCGCCCAGGCTGGAGTGCCATGGTGTAATCTCAGCTCACTGCAACCTCTGCCTCCTGGGTTCAAGCGATTTTCATGCCTCAGCCAGGCACCACCACGCCCAGCTCATTTTTGTATTTTTAGTGGAGGCGAGGTTTCACCTTATTAGCCAGGCTGGTCTCGAACTTCTGACCTCAGGTGATCTGCCCGCATTGGCCTCCCAAAGTACTGGGATTATAGGCGTGAGCCACCGCGCCTGGCCTTAAAAAGAGTTCTTAGTAGAGAAACAGTAAGACAAACTTACACCAAACATGGTATATAACAACTTTATGCCTCAGCTACATGATCTAAAAGTTAAATGTTCCAGGAGTTGCACCTGGCCGGGTGTGGTGGCTCATACCTGTAATTCCAGCACTTTGGGAGGCCGAGGTGGGTGGATTTCCTGAGGTCAGGAGCTCGAGACCAGTCTGGCCAACATGGTGAAACCCTGCCTTTACTAAAAATACAAAAAAATTAGCTAGGCGTGGTGGTGGGCGCCTGTAATCCCAGCTACTGGGGAGGCTGAGGCAGGAGAATCGCTTGAACCTGGGAGGCGGAGGTTGTAGTGAGCCAAGATCATGCCACTGCACTCCAGCCTGGGCGACAGAGTGAGACTCTGTCTCAAAAAAAAGAAAAAAACCCAGTTACCTATTTTCCTGTTTATTGCTACCACTCTAGGATAAATAGCATAAACCACCATCATCTCTCAACTGAACCACAGCAATAGCTTCCTTACCATACACTTTCACTTGTGCTCCCTTTAGTCTGCAATCCACGTAGCAGTCAAAGTATGCTTTTGAAAAAATAAGCCTGGTCACCTCACACCTTCAGTGACTTTAAATCTTAAAGTACACACTTGTTATCACGACCTACAGGAGCCTGCTTGATTTGGCATTTTTACCCTTCTAGTCTCACCTCAGATCACTTACTTTTTTCTTTTCAATTCCTGGAACATGCCAAGCTCCTCCCATGTCCAGTAAAGCCATATGCTGTTTCCTTAGTTGGAAATGTTCCTCCTCTTGTCTTCTCATGGTTAGGTCCTTCGTGTCTTTAGGTCTTAACTTCAATGCCACCTAGCCAGAGAGGCCTTCTTTGACTTACCTAATTGGGACCTCGCCATTATTTTCTATTACTGAACTCTTATCACTATTTAAAATTATGTACTTGTTTACTTGTTTAGTGCTTACCTCCTCCAATAGATTTTAAGTTTCATCAAGGCAGCAATGATACCTGTTTTATTTTCAGAAGAGGTTTAGCACCTACCATAGTGCCTGGCCTAAGGGAGTAATGATTTAATAACTTTTTTGAGTAAACGAATGAAGATTTTTGTTGACACTATAAACTTTGTACGTGTAAAACTAAACTGTATTTCTCCTCTAAATCAGTTATTCTTCCCACCTTCCTTACTGTTTTTTTTTTTTCCTCTTCCCTAGTTTTGATAATGGTTCTCTTATTTTCTCATGCAACTAGATTTGAAATCTGGGACTCATTTTTGCTTTATTTTAATTAACTGCCCCACTCAGGCAGTTAATTTCCAAGACTGTTGACTGTTTATTCAGGTTTTGTTCCTGAAATCTTTCTTGTCTTCTAGTGGCCTCTTTTGTTCTACAATCTTTCCACTTTAATTTGATACACATTTTCACTTAGATTACTCAAAGTACTGCTCGAATCATGTAATTCTCTTGCTTAGAAACCTACAATGATGCTTTACTGTTTACAGAGACAAGTTCAAAACTCTGCAGTTTGAGATTTAGGCGCTTGACGGCCTGGCCCTAACCTACCTTTTGCATTTCAGTTTCAAGCTGCCTTTCAAGTTAACTTTTATCTCCAGCCAAACTGATCTACCTTCCTGTAAGCTGTTTTATACTTTTCCTCTAAACCTTTTCTCATGTAATTCTTCCTGATCGTAATAGCCCTCTTCTCTTTCAGTATTTCAAGAAAAGATTATTCTTTATTACATACAAATGTATGTGTTCGCCTGTGTATACATACATACATACTCTTATTTATGCTGTTTATTGTTTTTCAAGGTCTAACTTGTGTCCCATTTTTTTATGAAGTCTTCCTAGACCACTTTGGTCTAGAGCAGTGTTATTCAAACTTTTTTTTTTTTAATTTATTTTTTTGAGACAGGGTCTCACTCTGTCTCAAAAAAATTTATTATTTTTTTTTGAGATGGAGTCTCGCTCTGTCGCCCAGGTTGGAGTGCAGTGGCGCAATCTCAGCTCACTGCAACCTCCGCCTCCCAGGTTGAAGCGATTCTCCTGCCTCAGCATCGTGAGTAGCTGGGATTACAGGCACGTGCCACTCCGTTCGGCTAACTTTTGTATTTTTAGTAGAGATGGGGTTTCACCATGTTGGCCAGGCTGGTCTCGATCTCCTGACCTTGTGAGCCACCTGCCTCGGTCTCCCAAAGTGCTGGATTACAGGCATGAGCCACCGCGCCCAGCCTGTATAATTAATTAACAAAATAATTATTAATTATAATAATTTATAAAATAAAATTATTTATTTTATTTCTGGGAGACAAGGATTCAAGTTGCCCTGAATATATGCCCCCAAGAGCTTATTTTCTGTTCACAGTTCCTATTGGCAGTAATCTTGTGTTGCTTTAGTACATTTCCTATACTGTTGTCCTAAAATACATTTTGTTACTGAATTTCTTGTCTCTTTAACTACACTCTTAGCTGGGTATAGGAGCATTTCTAGATACTTCCAGTAGTGAAAACACTGGATTGAGAAAAGTGGTTTCTGTAGCATGGCTCATCTATTGCACTATAGGTGATGCTGTTGCACACAGTTCTCTCAAATGACAAAAAATGGACTTTCTCATTTCTTACAAAATTTTGTTTAGGCCTTGGGCCTTAAAAGGACACAACTGTTTATTGGTTAACTGTTAATTTGGATTTTTTCATCGCTGAATAGTATTGATAAACTACATTAAATCTTTAGTATATGGTTCAATGGACATAATCAGCTGTGTTGCCATTTGGGTATATTGATTTTCTGTATTTAAACTTTCATTCCTACCACTACAGGCAGTGCAGTGGCATCTGTAGCTGTAGATCCCAGTGGTCGTCTCTTAGCCACAGGTCAAGAAGATTCTAGCTGCATGTTGTATGACATAAGAGGAGGAAGAATGGTACAAAGTTATCATCCTCATTCCAGTGATGTTCGCTCTGTTCGATTCTCCCCTGGAGCTCACTACTTGCTAACAGGCTCTTATGATATGAAAATAAAGGTGACAGACCTACAAGGTGATTGAGATCGACTTCTCTGTTTTTAGTCTTTCCTGTTCTATTTGGGACCTTTATTTTTTTGTTAATGTGATGTGGTTGATTATATAATACTTTCAATTATTTTATAGTATTTATTGAGCAGATTCTGAGACTATATTAAGATATATAATAGCAAATTATTAAATAAGCAGTGAATAGTCTTATTGTTAGGTTTTGTTTTTGTTTTTATAGAGGCAGGGGCTCACTATGTTGCCCAGGCTGGTCTCGAACTCCTGGGCTCAAGTGATCCATCCGCCTTCGTCTCCCAAAGTGCTGGGATTACAGGCGTGAGCCACCACGCCCAGCCTGTTTTTGTTTTTGAGACAGGGTCTCGCTCTGTCGCCCAGGCTGGAGTGCAGTGGTGTGATCTTAGCTCACTGTATCCTCTTATCTCCCCTGCTCAAGTGATCCTCCCACCTCAGCCCTGCAAGTAGCTAGGACTACAGGTGCATGCCACCTCACCTGGCTAATATTTGTATCTTCTGTAGAGACAAAATTTTGCCATGTTGCGCAGGCTGGTCTCAAACTTCTGAGCTCAAGCGATCTGCCTGCATTGGCCTCCCAGAGTGCTGGGATTATAGGCGTGAGCCATCATGCCCAACCTTATTGTTAGTTTTTGATTTTTTTTTTTTGAGGCAGGGTCTCACTCTTTCACCCAGGCTGGAGTGCAGTGGCACGATTATTGCTCACTACACCCTTGACCTCCTGGGTTCAAGCCATCCTTCTGCCTCAGCCTCCGAATAGCTGGAACTACATCTGTGCACCACCATGGATGGCACATTTTAAAAATTTTTTTGTAAAGATGGGATCTTGCCATGTTGCCCAGGCTGGTTTTGAATTCCAGGCCTCAAGTGATCCTCCTGCCTCCGCTTAAGATATTTTTTAAAATCAACATTTATTTATAGTGACTCATTCTGAGATAAATGATGGATTTGTGTACTGTTATTAGCTTCTACATTAAAAAATCATTAGCATACAATCTTTGTAATTAGGTCTTAGTATCTAGTTTTAGTTTTAAACATTCATCAAGCAAATATTTATTGTATATCAATTAGGGACTGACAGATGAGAATAAGACAGTTAATTCCCTCCCTGATGGAGCTTATATTTTAGAGGTCAATAAAAAGTAAACCAATAAACAATGTAATTTTAGGTATTTGTGCTGTTTAAAAAATTAGTATGGTAGGGAGATAGTGACTAGGGTGAATAGGGGAAGGCTATTTATTTATTTATTTTGAGACAGAGTCTTGTTCTGTTGCCCAGGCTGGAGTGCAGTGGTGCATCTTGGCTCACTGCAGGGGGAAGGCTATTTTAAATAGGATAATTGGAGTAGGTCTCTCCAAGGAAATGCCATTTGCATAGAGACCAGAATGATGAGGAGGAACAAGCCAGGCCAGGATATTAGGAGAAGAGCACAGCAAGTATAAAGATGCTGAAGTAGGAACCAGCTTAGCACGTTCATGACACTACAGGAAGCCAATGTGCCTGGAACTTAGTGAACTAAGAGAGAGAGACACAGAAGAATAAATCAGAGGCAGGGTTTTATAGACTTTTTTTTTTTTTTTTTCTGAGACAGAGTCTCGCTCTGTCGCCCAGGCTGGAGCGCAGTGGTGCAATGTCGGCTCACTGCAAGCTCCACCTCCCAGTTCATGCCATTCTCCTGCCTCAGCCTCCCAAGTAGCTGGAACTACAGGCGCCCGCCACCACACCTGGCTAATTTTTTGTATTTTTAGTAGAGACAGAGTTTCACCATGTTAGCCTTGATCTTGATGGTCTTGATCTCCTGACCTCGTGATCTGCCTGCCTTGGCCTCCCAAAGTGCTGGGATTACAGGCGTGAGCCACCGCGCCCGGCCTATAGACATTTTTTTTAAGGGCTTTATTTTTAATAGCAGTTATAGGTTAACAGCAAAATTGAGAGATACGGAGATTTCCCATATACTCCTGACTCACACATGCATAGCCTGCCTCCCCCATTATCAGTATCCCCTTCCACAGTGGTACATTTATTATAGTTGGTGGGCTATAAGCATTTTAAAAAGTATAATGTGAAGCCTTTGGAAGATTTTAACTGGAAGGGATAGGAGCTGAATTATATTTTTGGAGAATTTGGGGTTCTGTAGGGAGAGTAGATTGTAAGGGGGCAAGAGTAGAAATATAAATGTCAGTGAGGAGGCTGTTGGAATAGTTCAGGTGAGATGATGGTGGCTTGGACTAGGGTGGTGGAGGTGGAGGTAGTAAGAAATGACTAAATTTGAGATATATTTTGTTTGGATCAGCTTTGAGGAGTGAGGGGAAAAGGAATCAATGACGATTCCTAGGTTTTTGTCATGAGCAACCAGATGGTGCCATTGAGATAAGGGAGGCAGGTAAGGGGAGGAACAGGTTTAGGCAAGAAAACCAAGAGTTTGGTTTTAGACAAGTTTAAATTAGGATGACTATCAGACAAGTGAGATATTGAATGACTATTTGGATACTAGTCTGGAGCTCAGATGAGAACCAAGATTGGAGATAAAATATGTATGAATTGTAAATATATAAATGGCCATGTTGCTAGATGAAATTTTTTAGGAAGTTAGGTACAGAGAGAACAGAAGAAATCTGAGGGTTGACTCCTGGGATTCACCAAGCTTTACGTCAAGAAGAAAAGGGAAACTAGCAAAAGATGAAGTGGCACTGAAATCAGGGAGAAATCAAGTTGAGAGAATTTCCGAGAGAGAGAGAGAGGCAACTTGTCAAATGTTGCTGTATGGGTATATGTTAGCAAATACTAATAGCATAATTAGGTAGGTAGTAATTTATCCCTGTATAAACCTTTCAATGTATTATATTAATGTAGTTTAAGATTTTTTATACTGTAATGTCTTAAAGTAACAGGAAGTCTATACAATCTATACATATACTTATTTTGCATTGTAAATCAACATCTCTTTTGTAATTTAGGGGACCTCACCAAGCAGCTTCCTATCATGGTGGTGGGGGAGCACAAGGACAAAGTGATTCAGTGCAGATGGCACACCCAGGATCTTTCCTTCCTGTCATCCTCTGCAGATAGAACTGTCACCCTCTGGACTTACAATGGGTAGAGCACACCGCATGTCAGTCTATGCAGCAAAAGCACAGAGACTTAAGACTACTGAGTTGTGAAAATTACAAATCTGAAGAACATAGTGTCCAGGAAAGTGGTTTAGCACGAAGAGGCCCCTTATTACCATGTATCCCACTGATAGGAGGTGTTGGGTGGTGTTATTCCGCAGTGCTTTCAGTCTTCCATGTGAGCTCGTGCTGCTGTGACCTGCTATATGTAGTCTCGTTGCCAAAGTCTGCAGAAGAGCTCTTCAGTTGTTGGTGTGCACTCCAAGTCAGGATGGACAATGTGTTTACGGTTTAGTATTCAATGCATTCCTTGGTCTTTGCCTAAATAACAGTTTTATATGCACATTGAAATGGAATTATACTTCAACTATATTATTAAATGTAATGCAACCAAGTTCCTCCCAGATTAAACTTCCCAGGTGTTCAGAATTACTTTTGCTCTTCTCACGATCCCATATTGTATTATCACTTGTCTTCTAGAGGTCAGAATTCCATAATATATGTCACTCAAAAGTTACATGGTTGCTTTCACTTAAGGATCATTGTGGAGTTTAAAGATGAATGAAAAACTGCTTCTTAGTTTACTACATGGTATAGGCCCTTTTTTCTTAAACCCAGGGATATGATTATTTTGTCATATAATTTTGTTTCAGGCTAAAAGGTAAATGTGTTTGCTTCAGAAACTTGTTAACTTCAGTTTTTTGAATGCAACAGGATACCTCCCTTCCAAACTGAACTGTAGAAGCAGAGCAGCAGCAGTTATGTGATGCAACACTTGATGGTACAGTAAATTTACTGGCATTTTTCTCCTTAAAAATTAAAATCCTTGACATAGACCATAGCATGGCTTGAAATGCTATGTCTGCATGATAATTTAAAATGGAAGATTTAAACTTTGCACTCCAAAAGCTTATTTGGATTTTTTTCTTGCACTGTTTTGTGTAATGCAGAATAATGATTTTATTTCTACAGCTTTGTAGATTCTAACATTTATGTATCTTTATTTTCATATTGTACAGTAATTTTACTTTAAATTATTTAAATAGGCTATTTTATTTATTTCAAATGCAGTTGTATTAGTTCTCATTATTGAACTGTCTGTGCACTGTATGTAGCAAGCATTTTTCATCTGTTGTATACAAGTGGAAAGGGTATTAGAAGTGTAACTGTGCTATTATTTCAATAAAGACCTCTTGACATTTAAAACTGTTTCTGTTCCTCAGTCTTTGGCTTTCAAAATAATGTTATTTTTTCAGTTTACTGGGAGAAAGTGAGGTCCAGTGGATGAAGTCCATAATCAGTTTCTTAGATTTCTTTCTAAAGTTCTTCTACTAATTTGCTTTTTAATCCTTGGCAACTGTATAACTTATTAACAAAAAAATAATTTTTCTAAAAATGGGGTCTTGCTTTGTCCAGGTTGGTCTTGAACTCTTGGCCTCAAGTGATTCTCCTGAGTCAACCTCCTGAAGTGTTGGGATTATGGGCGTGAGCCATTGTGCCTGGCCTGTATAACTTTTGTGTGTCTTCTGTCTCTTTTATCCAAGATTTAGAGAACTTTCTATCCTTAATATGTTGTGAAAGTTGACTAATAAAAGCCTAACAATATGTATAAATTTGAACTCAAGAGTATGAATATGTCGAATTAGGTAATCACCCAACAGGTTCACCATGCCCTCTGCCTAGATAGAGCCAATTTATTCAAGACAAGGGAATTGCAATAGAGAAAGAGTTATTCATGCAGAGCCAGCTGTGCAGAAGACTGGAGTTTTATCACTCAAATCACTCTCCCTGAGCATTCCAGGATCAGAGTTTTTAAGGATAATTTGGTGGGTGGGGTTCACTCCTAGTAAATTGGGAGTGCTGATGGGTTGGGTTGGAGATGAAATCATAGGGAGTCAAATCTGTCTTGAGTCAGTTCCTGGGTGGGGGCCACAAGATGAGCCAGTTTACTGATATGGCAGATGTCAGCTGATCCATCAAGTGCAGGGTCTGGGAAATATCTCAATCTCTGATCTTAGGTTTTACAATAATGATGTTATCCCCAGGAGCAATATGGGGAGGGTCAGAATCTTGTAGCCTCCAGCTCTATGACTCCTAAACTGTAATTTCTAATCTTGTGGCTAATTTGTTAGTCCTACAAAGGAGGCAATCTAGTCCCCAGGCAAGAAGGGGGTTTGTTTTGGGAAAGAGCTATTACTTTTTTTCTTTTTTTTGAGACAAGAGTCTCGCTCTGTCGCCCAGACTGGAGTGTAGTGGTGCGATCTCAGGCTCACTGCAACCTCCACCTCCAGCAATTCTCCCGCCTCAGCCTCCCAAGTAGCTGGGATTACAGGTGCGCACCACCACACCCAGCTAATTTTTGTATTTTTAGTAGAGATGGGGTTTCGCCATGTTGGCCAGACTGGTCTTGAACTCCTGACCTCAAGTGATCTGCCTGCCTTGGCCTCCCAAAATTCTGGAATTACAGGCGTGAGCCACCGTGCCTGGCCAGAGCTGTTATTTTTGTTTCAAACTATAAACTATAAATTAAGTTCCTCCCAAAGTTAGTTTGGCCCACTCCCAGGAATGAACAAGGACTGGTTGGAAGCAAGATGGAGTTGGTGAGGTCAGATCTCTTTCACTGTCTCAGTTATAATTTTGCAATTTCAACTTAGGAAGAAATAAAATACAGCTAGCTTGTGGGTATTCGATAGGTACACAAATTTTCTACCTTTCAGGCATGCAGAAGGGAATTCTGCTAAAAGCATGCCACAGTCTCTCTCTTTTTTTTTTTTTTTTCAGATGAAGTCTCTGGCTCTTGTCCCCAGGCTGGAGTGCAATGGCATGACCTTGGCTCACTGCAACCTCCACCTCCCAGGTTCAAGCGGTTATCCTGCCTCAACCTCCCGAGTAGCTGGGATTACAGGTGCCGGCCACCACTCCTGGCTAATTTTTTTATTTTCAGTAGAGACAGAGTTTCACCATGTTGGCCAGGCTGGTCTCGAACTCCTGACCTCAGGTGATCCGCCCGCCTCGGCCTCCCAAAGTGCTGGGAATACAGGCATGAGCCACCATGCCCGGCCCAGTCTCTTCTTTAGTTTACTTTCATGTTGAATTTCACACATTTTAGATATTAGATAAGTTGTGTTAAGTTTAAAACTAGGAAAATAAGCTATTTCTTAGAGACCAGTTCAAGTTCATGGTTAAAAATATTCATAAAATTGTGTATTCCACCTTCATCACTGTCAGGGAGAAGAGATTCTCCTGGACATGAGGTATGGAATTCATTTCTTTTACTGCAGTACATTAGATAGTAAGCATCAAGGCTGGGTGTGGTGGCTCACGCCTGTAATCCCAGGACTTTGGGAGGCTGAGGGGGTGGATCACTTGAGGTCAGGAGTTCGAGACCAGCCTGGCCAACATGGTGAGGACTAAGCTCTGATTTTTTTTTTTTTTTTTAATCTTCCTATCTAAGGGGACTGGGGAGTTATGCCTTACAAACCATGACTTCTCATCAGATGGGTTTTATTTAATCATGTATATCGTGACTTACTTTCCAATCTGACTCTGGCATAACAAGAAAATCAAAATGTTTTACCCCAAAATACATTTCCTTGCCATACCTTGAAATTGCCCTGCAAAGTCTTTTGTGGGAAAAATGCACATCCTATAGAGAATCCCTTTTCCCTTTGTTTTCCTTCCTTTCTTTCCAGATCCAGGAGATAATCAACTAAGAAGCAGGCACCTTTTTAATTCCTGTAAGAAACATTTTACAACCTGCTCTCTCTGAAGTCTTTTATCTGAGCGCTTCCTCTGCCCAATAAAACTCCGTCTCCACAATCTTCTATCTAAACCTGAACATTCCCTTTGATCCCAGGTCTTCAGACAAACTCAACCAATTGTCAACCAGAAAATGTTTAAATTTACCTATAGCCTGGAAGCCCCTGCTTTGAGTTGTCCCGGCTTTCTAAGCCAAACCAATGTATTTGTTAAATGTATTTGATTGATGTCTCATGCCTCCCTAAAATATGTAAAACTAATCTGTACCCTGACCACCTTGGGCACATGTTCTCAGGACCCCGAGGGCTGTATCACGGGCCATGGTCACTCATATTTGGCTCAGAATAAATCTCTTCAAATATTTTACAGAGTTTGACTCTTTTAGTCAACAATGGTGCAACCCTGTCTTAAAAAAAAAAAAAAAAAAAAGATCAGCCGGCTGTGGTGGCATGTGCCTGTAATCTCAGCTACTCGAGAGGCTGAGGCAGGAGAATCGCTTGAATGCGGGAGGTGGAGGTTGCAGTGAGTCAAGATTGTGCCACTGCACTCCAGCCTGGGCGACAGAGCAAGACTCCCTCTCAAAATAATAAGCACCAGAAATTGTTATATTTGCTTCAGTAAATAGCTGGTTACATATGTCCTTTTTTGTTTGTCTCCACATGTCTTCTGCATGGGGTGACTAGGTTCTTTGAGGTTCACATAAAAGAGAAAATGAGAGGACTGAAGTATCTATACTCTTGGGGTCCATCTCATTTGGCAGTGCAAGGAAGGGGAATTGGGGTGGATGGGTAGTGCAGAGGTTCTTAATTATTCCCAGGGAGGACATTTAGAGGTCTGTTCCAATTTTATGTGTGTGTGTGTGTGTGTGTGTGTGTGTGTGTGTGTGTGTGTGTTGCCTCAAGTTGAGAGATTATTTCTATTTTTAAAATGTTTAATTTTTCTATTGCATTGTGTTATATTGACAAAGTCTTGCTCACTATAGCCTAGAACTCCTGTGCTCAAATGATCCTCCTGCCTCACTCAGCCTCCCGAGTAGCTAGGACTACAGGCACATGCCACAATGTGGGGCTAATTTTTTTTATAGAGATGGGTGTCTCACTATGTTGCCTAGGCTGGTCTCAAACTCCTGGCCTCTTAACAGTCCTCCCATCTTGGTCACCCAAAATGCTAGCATTACAGGCATGAGACACCACATCTGCCCCCAAATTTTATTTTTAAAATGTTTACTTTTCCAAAATTGTAATGTCGACGGAGTCAAACTCTGTAAAATATTTGAAGAGATTTATTCTGAGCCAAATTTAAGTGACCATGGCCCATGACATAGCCTCAGGAGATCCTGAGAAGATGTGCCCAAGGTGTTTGGGCTACAGCATGGTTTTAT
This sequence comes from Homo sapiens, assembly GCF_000001405.40. Lineage (NCBI taxonomy): Eukaryota > Metazoa > Chordata > Mammalia > Primates > Hominidae > Homo > Homo sapiens. The sequence goes on along the minus strand of NC_000001.11, from coordinate 108,966,279 downwards.
ATACATTTTAGGGAGCGTAAGACATCAATCAATACATGTTAAATATACATTGGTTCAGTTCAGAAAGATGGGACAACTCAGAGGTGGGGGTGGGGGGATGGACCTGCTGTCACATTGGTATCTTACTGCTACAAAGTGTGTCAGTGTTAAGGTCTCTGTTTTTTTTTTTTTTCCTGAGACAGAGTCTCGCTTTGTCACCCAGGCTGGAGTGCAATGGCATGATCTCAGCTCACTGCAACACCCACCTTCCAGGTTCAAGCGATTCTCCTGCCTCAGCCTCCCAAGTAGCTGGCATTACGGGCCCACCGCTTTGCCTGCCTAATTTTTGTGATTTTACTAGAGACAGGGTTTCACCATGTTGGCCAGGCTGGTCTTGAACTCCTGCCCTTAAGTGATTCACCTGCCTTGGCATCCCAAAGGGCTGAGATTACAGGCATGAGCCACTGCAACTGGCCTCAGGTTTACTTTAGAATGCCCTTGGCTGAGAGGATGGGCCTATTCAGTTGGTTGGGGGGCTTAGAATTTTATTTTCGTTTTATAGTAAGAAGCCAAAGGACACAACAGAGTGAAAAGGCAACCCACTAAGAGGGAGAAGATGGGGCCGGGCATGGTGGCTCATGCCTGTAATCCCAACACTTTGGAAGGCTGTGGCAGGAGGATCACTTGAACCCAGGAGTTTGACACCAGCCTGGGCAATACAGGGAGACCCTGTCTCTAAAAAAAAAAAGAAAAGAAAAAGTGGGAGAAGATATTTGCAAATCCTATCTGATAAGGTGGTTAATATCCAGAATATATAAGGAACCAAAACACAACAAAAACCCATTAAAAAATGGGCAAAGCCAGGAGTTCAAGGCTGCAGTGGGCCATGATCATGACACTGCACTTCAGCCTGGGTGACAAAGCGAGACCCTGTCTCTTAACAAAACAAAATAAAACAAACAAAACAAATGGGTAAAGGACTTGAATAGACATTTCTCCAACAAACATATACAAATGGCATGACCAATAAGCACAAGAAAAGATGCTCAACATCACTGGTCATTAGCGAAAGGCAAATCAAGACCACAGTGAGATACCTCACACCTATTAAGATGGCTACTATACAAAAATAAAAAGATGTCAGTGGAGATGTGGGGAAATTGGAACTTGTGCACTCTTGGAGGGAATGTAAAATGTTGCAGCCACTATGGAAAAGAGAATGGCAGTTCCGCCGGGCGCAGTGGCTCATGCGTGTAATCCCAGCACTTTGGCAGGTCGAGGTGGGTGGATAACGAGGTCAGGAGTTCGAGACCAGCCTGGTCAACATAGTGAAACCCCATCTCTACTAAAAATACAAAAATTAGCCAGGCATGGTGGCAAACGCCTGTAGTCACAGCTACTCAAGAGGCTGAGGCAGGAGAATCGCTTGAACCCGGGAGGCAGAGGTTGTGGTGAGCCGAGATCGTACCACTGCACTCCAGCCTGGGCAACAAGAGTGAAACTCCATCTCAAAAAAAAAAAAAGTACGGCAGATCCTCAAAAAATTAAAAATAGAATTACTACATAATCCAGCAATTCCACTTGTGTATATATATTCAGGAGTTGAAAGCAACAGATATTTGAACATCTGTGTGTATACCCAAAAGGGTTAAAAAACAGATATTTGTATATCCATGTTTACAGTATTATTTCACAGTAGCCAAAAGTGGAAACAACCTGTTATCCATTAACAGATGACTGAATGAACTGGTATATACATAAAATGGAATACTATTCAGCCTTAAAAGAAATTCTGACACGTTACCACATGGATGAACCTTGAGGACATTATGGTAAGTGAAATCAGTTACAAAAAGACAAATGCTGTATGAGTCCTTATATGAAATACCTAGAGTAGTCAAATTCATAAAGACAGAAAGAATGGTAGTCGCTGGGAAGGAGGGAGGGGAAGAATGAGGCGTTACCACTTACTGGGTACAGAGTTTCAGTTTTGCAAGATGAGTGCTGGAGATGGATGGTGGTAATGGTTGCATAACAATGTGAATGTATCTAATACCACTGAATTGTACCTTTAAAAATGGTTAAGATAGTAAATTTTACCATCTTCACAGTTTCCCGAGATTGCAAGGCCAGCAGTTAAAGACAAAAACAAAACTACTTCCAACTGCCCTACAGTGTGCAGACCTTTCCCTTGTCCTGCCCTGAGTAGAACTACAGTTGTCATTCGTGATCCTCCCTTTAAAAAATTATGCTTGTGGCTAGGCGCGGTGGCTTACACCTGTAATCCCAGCATTTTGGGAGGCCGAGGCGGGCGGATCACCTGAGGTCAGGAGTTCGAGACCAGCCTAGCCAACATGGTGAAACCCTGTCTCTGCTAAAAATACACATTAGCTGGATGTGGTGGTGCGCGCTTGTAGTCCCAGCTGCTCGGGAGGCTGAGAGAGGAGAATTGCTTGAACCCGGGAGGCAGAGGTTGCAGTGAGCCGAGCCGAGATCGCGCCACTGCACTCCAGCCTGGGCAACACTGTGAGACTCTGCCTCAAAAAAAAAAAAATCATGCTTGCGTTTCATGGCGAATGTTACACATTCAAACTTATCAAATATATTAATAGTAAGAAAATAGGTTTCCTATCCGTTGTATATATTTGAGTTCCAGGCGAGATTTCCTTCGCAGAAAGAGTTCCGCAGATGAAAAGTAAAAGAAAATCCGCGGCGAAAATAACCCGCGCGCAGAGGCCGGTCCCGCTACTAGCCCCGCCCAATCAACGAGGCCAATCAGCGGCCCGCAACGGGGGAGGGACACGCAGCCGTCAGCCGAACAATTCGATGACGAGGCCCAGGAAGCACGCTGAAACCCTGGGCGGCGGCAAGCTGTGCGACCTCTTCTGCGGCCGGCCTGGGCAGGTGTCTTCCTCGAGAGGCAGGCAGGGGATCCCGGACGTGAGTCCGTGCAGTTGGGTGTGTTGTGCGGCGGGTGGGGCGGGTTACCCGCCGTTACGCCCTGGCGGGTCCAGCGGACTCGCGGCGCAGACGCTGGGGAGGCCGCAGGCGCGACCCGGGGCGGGGACCGTGCTAGCTGCGTGCGTCCGCTGCGGCCTGTGGGTGCCCCGGGCTCCTACCTCAGCTCCCGCGCCGGCGGCTGCCTGTCCGCCGCGGTTGCGCGCGTTCCGGGGAGGTGCTTGGCCCAGAGAGCGGCCTACGGAGAAGGCACAGCGAGGGCAAAGCGAGACCTGAGCGCACGTTGAATTCTGTTGGCTTTGGTTATCTCTGAAAACTTTAAGCATAATTTGAATAAATGCTGTCAGCAGAATAGCTCGGATTTAGTTGTAGTTAATTTTCTAAAACTTCAAATCTGTGAATTAACACAGTTAACAACAACAACAAAAACGGACACAAAACAACCTCCAAAATGGATTTTTTTTTTTTTTTTGAGACGGAGTCTTGCTGTGTCACCCAGGCTGGAGTGCGGTGGTGCTATCTCCGCTCACGGCAACCTCCGCCTTCCGGGTTCCAGCGATTCTCCTGCCTCAGCCACCTGAGTAGATGGGACCACAGGTGCGCGCCACCAGGCCCGGCTAATTTGTAAATTTTATTTGTAGAGAAGGGGTCTCCCTGTGTTGTCCAGGCTTGTCTCTGACTCCTGGGCTCAAAGGATCTTCCCATCTTGGCCTCCCAAAGTGCTGGGATTACAAGCGTGAGCCATTGCGCCTGGCTCCAAATCTGATTTGAGTGTAAAAAGTTAGACACACCATAAGCTGTAGGTTTATTACTGGGTGGTGAAAAACAATTCAGGTTTTCTTTATAATAGTGATTATGAAGTGTTCTTCCCAGACTAGCTTTATCGTCATCTGGGAAATTGTTAAAAATGCAAATTCGCAAGTTTGAGAGCCATGGTTCCAAGAAACTGCATAAGCATACGAAATAAGTTGCAGCCTCCCGACTTATACCCTGGTACTTCTAGTCTAAAACAGGATTTGACTCTACTAATCCAGGTTAGTCTTGCCTTTCCCATTACTCATGTGCTTTCGTTGAAACCAAAGACTTTTTCTTTTGTGCCCATTTCTACTCACTGCCTGGCCGTCTGCACGACGATCTGTGTTTCCTGGTAGTTCTCCAGTCTAGTAGCTACTATAAACTACTCTCCCTATTTCCCGCTCTGTGGAGATGTCGTTCCAACAGGTCCTCTCCACTCTAAGACCCTATCCTCTCAGAGAAGCCCCTGAGAGCCATTAGTACTTTTGCCCTGGAGAGGCAGTTTAGGTAGAGCCAGTCTGGGTTCTACCACTTACTAGCTTGGTGGTCTTAGGCAAGTTACTTTGTGTGATCTGTAAAATGAAGATGAGTGAAGATAAGAGTACTACTTCCAGTAGTTTTGTGAGGATTAAATTAATGTAACAGTGCTTAGCACATAGTAACAAAATATTAGCTACTTTTTTTTTTTTAGACGGAGTTTTGCTCTTGTTGCCCAGGCTGGAGTGCAATGGCGCGATCTCGGCTCACCGCAACCTGCACTCTCTGGGTTCAAGCAATTCTCCTGCCCCAGCCTCCCGAGTAGCTGGGATTACAGGCATGCGCCACCACGCCCTGCTACTTTTGTATTTTTAGTAGAGACAGGGTTTCTCCATGGTGGTCAGGCTGGGCTGGAGCTCCCAACCTCAGGTGATGCGCCCGCCTTGGCCTCCCAAGGTGCTGGGATTACAAGCGTGAGCCACCGTGCCCGGCCTTTAGCTACTATTATACATATTATAATTTAAAAATTATTAGTACCGAAGCCTGAGACAGGAGAGAAATGGTAAAAATAGTAGGGACTGCGGGAGAGAGAAAGAGTAGTGTCCCCTGACAAGTACTAGAATGACATAGGTGCCACCATTAAACGAAACTAGCTAGGATGGTTACTTTCGATTAACACTTTGCTACTCAAGAGTGTGGTCTGCGGCATCACCAGGAGCTTGTTAGAAGTGGAGATCTCAGACCTACCTCAGATTTACTGAATCAGAATCGTTTTTTTTTTTTTTTAACAAACTCTTCAGCAGGTTTAGATGTAGCTTTGTTTGGAGGAAGTGTGAGATTCGTTTTAGGATTTCTCAAGGAGTTCCAGCCTTCAATCAGTGACCATGGGGATCTGGCAGGAGGGCTTGAATTTCTAGCTGATTCTTCTATTCTGTCTTACCCTCCTGTCTTCCATCATTTCTGCATTGCTAATCTCTATCCCTGGAGAAATCTATGGAACTGCTGGTTATTACTGTAGAAAGTAACATAGTTGCCAATAGTACGACTTTGTGGATGTCACAGTCAAAACTCAACTGCCTGGCTGGCACAGTGGCTCACCTGTAATCCCAGCACTTTGGGAAGACAAGGCGGCGGGCAGGGGGATCCTTTGAGCTCAGGAGTTCGGGACTAGCCTGGGCAACATAGCAAGACCCTGTCTCTATAAAAAAGAAAAAAAAATCTCAACTGCTTGACAGGCTTTTTATTCACTTCCCTTTGTATAATGCCTCCTGTAGTACCTTTTTTCCCCTCCAAATCTCCGTTTCCCCCATCCTAACCTCCTCACAGTGTTAGAAATGCAAATTACTCTTAATTTCTCTGTCCACTTCATATCATATTATAATATGAAATCTGTCAGTTTCTCTTTTTACTTTAGAAATTTTGTCTTCATCCATCTTCATTCATTTCTATTTATGGAGTATATAACCTCATTGCCTATGAAGAACCCTTCCCGTAACCTTAATTTCATGCACTCCCATCTTGGAGCCTCTCTCCAGTTTACACACTCCCTTTGTCACCTACTTCTTAACCACTTAGAGAATTAGGCTTCTCACTGTCATTCTCTGAAAGGTCATAAATGGCCAACTAATTAACCAATCCAATGGCTTTTTTCCAGACTTTGTTCCTCTCCACTTCTCTGAAGTATTGAATACGCTTGATACCACTTTCTTGAAATTAAGTCCCTCCTTAGTTTTTGCCCATTGCATATTTTGGCTTGTCTTCTATTGCCCTGATTAGCCTTCACTCTCCTCTCTGGTATTTGCTTCTTCCATGGCTTTCTTCCTTAGTTGAACTCTTAATTTTTTCCAATAAAGTATACAGTTATTCAGTATTTCTAAGTATCTCCAGAGCATAACAGTGATTTTAGTGTTTTTTGTTTGTTTGTTTGTTTTTTAATTGAGTCAGGGTCTTGCTCTGTCACCCATGCTGGAGAGCAGTGGCGTGATCTCGGCTCAGTGCAGCTTCAACCTCCCCGGCTCAAGTGATCCTCCCACCTCAGCCTCTCCAAGTAGCTGGAAATATAGACGTATGCCACCACACCCAGCTAAATTTTGTTTCAAGTTTTGTAGAGATGGAATCTCCCTAAGTTGCCCAGGCTGGTGTCGAACTCCTGGGCTCAAGTGTTCCTCCTGCCTTGGCTTCCCAAAGTGCTGGGATTACAGGCGTGAGTCGCCACAACCGGCCAGAAACTATTGTTCTATTTATTTTGTGCAGAGCTTTGGTTGTTCAGGCAGGAGGGTAAATCTGGTCCCTGTTACTCCATCTTGGCCAGGAGTAGGAGTTGGGGAAGTGCTTTGGGAGTATAGAGTCCCCCCTTTACCCTTGGAGTATACATTCTAAGATCCTAGTAAATGCCTGAAACTTCAGATAGTACTGAACCTTGTATATATTCTATGTTATTTCCTATACATCTATTCCTCTGCTAAAGTTTAATTTATCAGTTAGGCACAGTAAGAGATTAACAGCAATAACTAATAAAATAGAAAAATTATAACAATACACAATAATAACAGTTATGTACTGTGGCTGGAATTTTTTCACTTGAGGTGCGACAGCAAAACTAGCATGAATTTCTTTCTCCTCCTGTACAATTTCATGGATACAAGTTTTGTTCTTAACATAGATCTTAGCAACCTCATCATATGAGCTTTTTTTTCTTTAATTTTTTTTTTTCTTTTGAGTTGGATTCTCACTTTGTCACCCAGGCTGGAGTACGGTGGTGTGCTCTCAGCTCTCTGCAACCTCTGTCTCCCAGGCTCAAGCGATTTTCCTGTCTCAGCCATTCAAGTAGCTGGCATTACAAGTGTGTGCCACCATACCTGGCTAATTTTCATATATTTATTTATTTATTTATTTTGAGACGGTGTTTCACTGTTGTTGCCCAAGCTGGAGTGCAATGGCGTGATCTCGGCTCACCTCAACCTCCGCCTCCCGGGTTCAAGTGATTCTCCTGCCTCAGCCTCCTGAGTAGCTGGGATTACAGGCATGTGCCACCACGCTCGGCTAATTTTGTATTTTTTTGTAGAGATGGGATTTCTCCATGTTGGTCAGGCTGATCTCAAACTCCCGATCTTGGGTGATCCGCCCACCTCGGCCTCCCAAAGTGCTGGGATTATAGGCATGAGCCACTGTGCCTGGCCTATTTATTTTTTGAGATGGAGTCTCGCTCTGTCGCCCTGGCTAGAGTGCAGTGGTGTAATCTTGGCTCACTACAACCTCCGCCTCCCGGGTTTAAGCAATTCTCCTGCCTCAGCCTCCTGAGTAGTCAGGACTACAGGTGCTTACAACCATGCCTGGCTAATTTTTTGTATTTTTAGTAGAGACGGGGTTTCGCCATGTTGGCCACGCTGGTCTTGAACTCCTGGGCTCAAGTGATCCGCCTGCTGGGCCTCCCAAAGTGCTGGGATTACAGGCATGAGCCACCACGCCCAGCCCTTTATTAAGTTGAGAACTTTCACTTTTTCACTTAAAGGAAGCACTTTATGGCTTCTCTTTGACATATCTGAATTGCCAGCATCGTTACTACTGTGCTTTAGGGCCATTATTAAGTAAAGTATAGATTCCTTGAACACACGCACTGAGATACCACAGCAGTCGTAACCCAGATGGATACTAAGTGACTGGAGTGTGACACCTACAGTGTGGACATCGTCCCATGTGGGATGGAACAGGACAGGAAGAGAGTTCCTCACACTATCCAGAGCTGTGCATAATTGAAAACTTAGGAACTGTTTACTTCTGGAATTTTCCATTTAATATTTTCAGACTGCAGTTGACTGTGGGTAACTGAAACCTCAGAAAGCAAAACCGTAGATGGGGTTACCACTGTAGAGTTACTGTGTTACCTTGATCCAAAACCTTTACCTGAATGATTCCTTTAACCATTCCCGGTAGGCTTTCTCTGTTAAAGCTGCTGTACCAAATCCAGGGGTCAGTTTGCTGCCCTCTGATCGCCTGACCTCTTAGCGGCATTCAACATATTTGTCTGCTCTCTCCTTTCTTCACTTGGCTTCTGAAATTCCAACCTCTCTTGGTTTTCTTCCTGCCTCATAGCACTCACTAGAATTATCTCTTGCTGGTTCCTCCTCTTCTTTCTGATCCCCGAATGTTGGCTTGCCCAGGACTCAGTCTTTTGTCCTCATAATAAATCTTCTGGTGATCTTACCCAGATCATCTCTTTTAAACCCCGTCTACATTCTGATCGTTCTCAAATGTAGTCCCACTGCTCTCCTTAGCTTCATCCTGCATATTTATAATCTCTACTTGGACATCAGTGGACACTTCAGATTTACTATATCCAAACAAAACTCTTGATCTTTCAGAACTTGCAGTCTTCTTCAGTCTTTTCCCTTCTCCCAGTTGCCCTGGCCACAAACATAGAAATCGTCCCAAATCTTCACTTGTCCTTACCGACATCCAAATTTTCAGCAATTTCTATAGTGTATTTCTGTATTAGAGTAGCAAGAGATGTTATAAGAAATAAACCCCTATATCTCAGTATATGCCATAAATGAAATTAATTTTTGCTCACATGAAAGTGAAAAGCTATATTCCCACTTAGTGGGTGGCCTTCCAGGTGGTCATTTAGGGGCCCAGGTGCCTGCATAGTTTGGCTGCCCTCCTCCAGGGCTCAGTGTCCTGGGAATTCCCTGGTTGGGAGAGGGCAGCTGGGAGGTTTTCATGGGCCAGACTTGGATGTGGTGCATATCCCTTCTATCCGTTGGGTTGGCTAGAACTTAACTATTACGTGGCCATACTTCACAGAGAGGCTGAGACATACAGTCATCATTTGTCCAGAAGGAAGAAGAAATATGCCTAGTGACCTATTAGCTGGTCATTTTGCCAGATGTAGTAGGGTCTACCTACAGATTTTAAAAGTCTGACCATTTGTCATCACCTTTGCTGCTGTCTTTAGCTCATGTCACCTTCATCTCTGAAGTGGATGACTACAGATCTTCCTAACCTCCTGATAATCTTCCATTCTAATCTCTACATAGTAGCCATAGTAATGTCTTTTAGAATGTAAACCAGATTCTATCACGCCCCTATTTAAAAGCCTCAAGTGGCTTCTTGTTACACATAGAGTAAAAACCACACTCTTTACTGTGGTCTACCACTCCCTCCCCGCCTCCCCGCCTCCCCGCCTCCCTGCCTCCCAGCTCATTCCCAAGACCCAGCTGTTCTGGCCTCCTTTCTGTTCCTTGACTGCTTCAGCTTCTTCTCCACTCAGGGCTTCTATACTTGCTGTGTCTTCTCTCTGGATGTTCTCCAAATCTTCCTAAGATTATCTTATTTTTCTCCTTAAATGTTCTTGTGGTTATCTGCTTGCATGTAACAAACCACTCTAAAGTGTAATGCTTTTTTTTTTTTTGAGACGGAGTCTCGCTGTGTCACCCAGGCTGGAGTGCAGTGGTGTGATCTCGCCTCACTGCAACTTCCGCCTCCCAGGTTCAAGTGATTCTTCTGCCTCAGCCTCCCGAGTAGCTGGGACTACAGGCGCGTGCCACCATGCCCGGCTAATTTTTTGTATTTTTAGTAGAGACGGGGTTTCACTGTGTTAGCCGGGATGGTCTCGATCTCCTGACCTTGTGATCCGCCTGCCTCAGCCTCCCAAAGTGCTGGGATTACAGGTGTGAGCCACCATGCCTGGCCAAGTGTAATGGCTGTAAATAACACTTTTATTACTGCTGGTGATGTTGTGGTTTTATGGGGTGTGATGGGGCTCAGCTGGATAGTTCTTTTATTCTACATGATGTTGGCTGGGTCACCAAGTCAGTCACCAGAGGTTGGACTGGAACCACCAAGATGGCTCACCCACATGGCTGGCCATTGATATTGGCTGCAGGCTGGGAGCTCAGTGTGCCCCTGCACCCAGCCTCTTCGTGTGACTTGGCCTTCTTACAAGGTGGCAGCTGGCTTCCAAGAGGGGCGTGTTCCCACAAACATATGTTCTGTCTTAGGATTCTCCAGAGAGACAGTGAGGGTGGGAGGATGGATGGATGAGAGGGGATTTATTAGGGGAATTAGCTCATATGATTATGGGTGCCGAGAAGTACCATGATAGGCTGTCTACAGGCTGGAGATCCTGGAAGGCCAGTAGCCTGGCTCAGTCCAGGTGTGAAAGCCTTAAAACCAGGGAAGCCTATGGTGTAATTTTCAGTCTGAGGCTGAAGGCCTGAGAACCTAGGGGCTGCTGGTTTAAGTCTGGGATTCCAAAGCCTGGAGAGCCTGGAGTTCTGATGTCCAGTGACAGGAGAAGAAGGGTGTCCCTGCTCCAGGAGAGAAAAGAAATTCCTTTTCTCTTTTTTGTTGTATTAGGGTCCCCAGCTGACTGAATGGTGCTGGCCCCTACAGAGGGTGGATCTTCCACACTCAGTCAGCTGACTCACAAACCAGTCTTCCCTGGAAACCCCTTCAGACACATCAGAAGGAATGCTTTGCAGTTCTCTAGGTTTTCCTTAGTCCAGTCAAGTTGACACTTAACCATCACATGTTCCAAAGTGAAGTAGAAGCAGGCGACCCTCTTGAAGGCTAGGCCTAGAACCATCATAGCCCCACTTCAACCAAAGGATTTTGGTTCAGTAGTCACAGGGCCAGCCCAGATTCAGGAGAGGGGGAAATACACTCCATCTTTCCGTGGGGAGAGTAACAAAGCATTTGTGACCGTCTTAGATCTTAGGGGCCTACCCTGAAATACCCAGCATCGCCTAATCCATATGTACCACTGTCTTGCTTTATCTTCTTAGGATTTATCACTATCTTGAGTTACATGTTTTTGTTTTTGTTTTTTTGCCAACTTACTGTCCTTCCTTCCCCCCTAGAATGTAACCTTCCTGAAGAAGACCTTTGTCTGTGTAGACTCCTGGTATCCCTGTAACTTAAGACAGTGCCCAGCATGGTGGCTCATGCCTGTAACCTCAGCACTTTGGGAGGCCAAGGCGGGTGGATCACCTGAGGTCGGGAGTTCAAGACCAACATGGAGAAATCCCTGACCAACATGGAGAAATCCCTTCTCTACTAAAAATACAAAAAATTAGCTGGGTATGGTGGCACATGCCTATAATCCCAGCTACTTGGGAGGGTGAGGCAGGAGAATTTTTGAACCCAGGAGGCAGAGGTTGCAGTGAGCCAAGATCGTGCCATTGCACTCCAGCCTGGGCGACAAGAGCGAAACTCCGTCACACACACACACACACACACACACACACACACACGCAAAGACAGTGCCCAGTATACAGTAGGTATTTGGTAAATGTTGAACAAATGAATGCTGAACTCGTTCCACAACCATATTCTCATTATGAATTTCTTTTTAAAATTAACATCACCATTTTTGTTGCTGGTAGGCCAAGGTCTGTAGAATTGATCTTCAGAGTGTGCCACATGTGTTCTTTCTGGTTTTCTTGCCACCACTCTTTTAGGCCAAGTACCACATCTTTTTTCTGCTTCAGCCTCTTTGTTGGATAATGAATCCAGGTTTTCCTCCTCCTGTGCGCTTAGTGCTGGTGGTGGTGGTGGTTGTTGTTGTTTTTGAGACCGAGTTTTACTCTTTCACCTAGGCTGGAGTGAAGTGGCACGATCTCGGCTCACTGCAGCCTCCGTCCCCCACCCAGGTTCAAGCGATTCTCCTGCCTCAGCCTCCCAAGTAGCTGGGATTTACAGGTGTGTGCCACCACGCCTGGCTAATTTTTGTTGTTGTTGTTGTTTTATTAGAGACTGGGTTTCACCATGTTAGCCAGGATGGTCTTGATCTCCTGACCTCATTATCTGCCTGCCTCGGCCTCCCAAAGTCCTGGGAGTTAGTCGTAAGCTTTTTTCCTCAGCAGTGTCATCACCACCCACCCACCTCTACCTCTCACCGTATCCATCCTCGCAATTGCAATTGCTGAAGCATACACTTTGCCCTCTGCCTCTCCCATCTTGAGCACTTAAGATGTTACCCATACCTCGGATTCCCATTCCTGTGCAGTCTTTCCACTTTCTAGTTTCTCCAGTCGGATGTGTTTTTTTTTTTTTTTTTTGAGACGGAGTTTCACTCTGGTTGCCCAGGCTGGAGTGCAATGGCATGATCTTGGCTCACTGCAACTTCTGCCTCCCAGGTTCGAGTTATTCTCCTGCCTCAGCCTGCCGAGTAGCTGGGATTACAGGCATGCACCACCATACCCAGCTAATTTTGTATTTTTAGTAGAGATGGGGTTTCTCCATGTTGGTCAGGCTGGTCTCGAACTCCTGACCTCAGGTGAGCTGCCCGCCTCGGCCTCCCGAAGTGCTGGGATCACAGGCGTGAGCTACTGCACCTGGCCAGATGTGCTTTCTTTATCCTTTGAACCTCTAAAATCCTTGAGTCCTTGCTATGGCTTTATTTGCATTTGCTGCTTAACAAACATTTACTGAATGTCTTTCACGTGCCAACCACTGGGCTGGGTGTTGAGGTTGGGGAGATGGAGGGACAAGATAGAGAGGCCAGTGGGAAGGTGACTTCAGATCTAGGTAAGATACTATCTTTCCCTAGAGAAGTTCACATTAACAGTGGTTTTCTGTCTTGGCTACACATTAGAATCACTTGGGGAGCTTAAAAAGATCGAAGTGCCTGGGTCCTAATCCCAGAGATTCTGATTTAATGGTTTTGGGATATGGCCAAAACATTGGGAGTTTCAGAAGCTCCTCGGGTGATTCTAATATGGAGCCAAGGTTGAGAGCTATTGTGCTAATGGAAGAGACAGACCGATAAATGGCTAATTTCATTGCTTCCAATGCCAGAAGAATATACAGGGCACATGGGGAACAGGAGTATTTAATTTAGCCTAGAGTGATTTTTATTGTACAACTAGACCGTAAGCTGTTTATGGGCAGGGCCCAGGGCTTTGTCATCTTGGGGTTCTCTTGCCTGATTCTTATATGTAGTAGGTATAAGATAGGCTGCCCAACAGAACTTTCTTCGATGATAAAAATGTTCAAATGTTCTGTATCCACCCTGTCCAATATGGTAGCCACTACCCATATGTGACTATTGAGTGCTTGAAATGTAGCTAGGGGGAATGAGGAACTGAATTTTAAATTTTATTTAATTTTAATTAAATAGCTACATAGAGGAGTTACTAAGTGTTTAAATTATTTGACTGTTTATGCAGGGGCTTAGGTAAGGCAGGTTATTTTCTCTGAATGGTTTTGAAGTTTAGTCACTGCATTTGAATCGTAAATTCCCACCTTTCTTTCTTTTTTTTTTTTTTTAAAGGCAGAGTCTCACTCTGTCACCCAGGCTGGAGTGCAGTGGCGCGATCTCAGCTCACTGCAACCTCTGCCTCCTGGGTTCAAGCCATTCTCCTACCTCAGCCTTCTGAGTAGCTGGGATTACAGGCACACACCACCATGCCTGGCTGAGTTTTTGTGTTTTTAGTAGAGATGGGGTTTCAACTTGTTGGCCAGGCTGCTCTCGAACTCCTGGCCTCAAGTAATCCGCCCAGCTTGGCCTCCCACAGTGCTGGGATTACAGGCGTGAGGCACTGCACCTGGCAGTTTCCCACTTTTCTTATTTCTCATTTGTTAAAAAAAAACAGGGGGGGCCAAGCGCTGTGGCTCATGCCTATAATCCCAGTACTTTGGGAGGCCAAGGTGGGGTGGAGGTCGGGAGTTCGAGACCAGCCTGACCAACATGGAGAAATCCCATCTCTACTAAAAATACAAAATTAGCCAAGTATGGTGGCCCATGCCTGTAATTCCAGCCACTTGGGAGGCTGAGGGAGGAGAATCGCTTGAACCTGGGAGGCAGAGGTTGCAGTGAGCCGAGATTGCGCCATTGCACTCTAGCCTGGGCAAAAAGAGTGAAACTCTGTCTCAAAAAAACAAAAAACCCAAAAATAGGGGGGAGATTCGTTAAAATACCTGTTTTTAAATTGACTTTATTGAGCTATAAATCACATACTATATAATCCACCCATTTAAAGTGTCCAGTTCCACCAGGTGCAGTGGCTCATGCCTGTAATCCCAGCACTTTGGGAGGCCGAGGTGGGAGGATAGCTTGAGCCTAGGAGTTTGAGACCAGCCTGGGCAATATAGTGAGACCCTATCTCTACAAAAAAGTTAATTAATTTTAAAAAATTAGCCAGGTGTGGTGTAAGCTTGTAGTCCCAGCTACTCAGGAGGCTGAGGTGGGCCGATCACTTGAGTCTGGGAGGTTGAGTCTGCAAGTAAGCTGGTATTGTGCCACTGCACTCCAGCCTGGGCAACAGAGGGAGAGACCCTGTCTCAAAAAAAAAAAAAAAAAAGTATACAATTCAACGGTTTTGGGTATATTTGCATGTATTTGCAACCATTATTATAATTTTAGAACATTTTTCATTACCTCAAAAGGAAACCCTGTACCCTTTAGCTACTATACTCCCAAACCTTCAGCCTTAACCACCTGTTAATCTACTTTCTGTCTTAATAGATTTGCCTATTCTGGACATTTCATATATATGTACTTATATAATGTGTGGTCTTTCATATCTGGTTTCTTTCACATAATGTAGCATTTTCAAGGTTCATATGTGTTGTAGCATGGTGTCAGTATTTCATCCCTTTTTATGGCTGAATAATATTCCATTGCATGGCTATACCAGTTTTATTTATCAGTTAATGGAAATTTGTTTGTTGTTGTTGTTTTTTCTGTGATGGGGGTCCCACTCTGTCACCCAGGTTGGGGTGCAGTGGTGTGATCTTGGCTCACTGCAACCTCTGCCTCCCAGGCTCAAGCGATCCACCTGCCTCAGCCTCCCAAGGGGCTGGGATCACTGGCTTGCGCTACCACGCCTGGCTAATTTTTTGGTTATTTTTTTCATTACCTAGCCTGGTCTTGAACTCCTGAGCTCAAGTGATCCACCTACCCAAAGTGCTGGGATTACATGTGTCAGCCACCACACCTGGCCCTGTTGATGGAAATTTGGGTTTTTCCCACCTTTTGGCTATTACGAAAAATGTGGCTCTGAACATTCATGTACAAGTTTTTGTGTGGACATATATTTTCATTTCTTTTGGGTATATACCTAGCAATGGAATTGCTGGGCCATATGGAAAAATACCTATTTTCTTATATCAGTGAGCATATTATGCATATATGCATTTTTTTAATATATGAACACCAATTTATTTTTATTTTGTGTACCTTCTTCCTTAGATACTGTTCAGAAAGTGTTATCTTAACTCTAGAAGGAAGTAGTTTTCATTACAAAACAATCTGGCTGGGTGCAATGGCTCATGCCTATAATCCTAGCACTTTGGGAGGCCAGGGTGGGAGGATCAGTTGAGGCCAGGAGTTTGAGACCAGCCTGGATAACATAGTGAGACCCTGTCTCTACTAAAAATTAAAAAAAAAAAATTATCCAGGTGTGGTGGCACACACCTGTAGTCCCAGCTAGCCAGGAGGACCTCTTGAGCCCAGGAGTTGGAGGATGCACTGAGCTGTGATTGTATCACTGTACTCCAGCCTGGGCAATAGAGCAAGACCCTGTCTCTAAAAATAATAATAATAATAATAATAACCCAAAACCCAATTTATTTAAAAAAATAATTCTATTTCATTATATATATTAAAAATTGTTTTAGCCTTATACAGGATGCTGTGTTCTTTGCTCCTTTGTGAATGTCTGTTGCTGGTAGCTGGTTATGCTCATGATGATGACTGGATTGACCCCACAGACATGCTTAACTATGATGCTGCTTCAGGAACAATGAGAAAATCTCAGGTATTAAAAAAAATTCGTGCATGTGTGTGAGACCTTATCAGTCCCATGATGGAAACAGTCTAGCTCTGTTGTTTTGCACAGAGCTATGAGGGTCATGGATCCATGATTAGCAATTATGCAGAATATTTTCTTGACACTGTTAATCTAAAATTATTTCAAACCTACCTGGTATTGAATTTGAATGTAAAGCCCTTGAAGTAGCAAAATAATATGATTTTAGTTCTTAGTGTGTACATTTGAAACTTTTTTTTTGTGGTTCAGTACAATTTAAGAATATAACATGCAGAGTCATGAAATGATGAAGTCAGAATCTTAGTCTTCATTAACCAAAGGCTATTTTTGTAACTAAACTATAAAGAAATAAAATGTTTCTATACTCTGTTTTAGGCAAAATATGGTATTTCAGGGGAAAAGGATGTCAGTCCTGACTTGTCATGTGCTGATGAAATATCAGAATGTTATCACAAACTTGATTCTTTAACTTATAAGGTTAGTTTTTTTATTGATAAATTTTATATTTTTATATTATGTTAAATCGCTCTATATTCTTGTCTCTGCTGATAAATTTGTATTTCTAGTGTTTCCGTGTACCGTATGATTTTTATATGTCAAATTTTTCTTTGGATACTCTAACCTTGGTTTCTTATTAGTTATTCTAGCCTTGGTTTTTCTAGTAGTACCTTGTATTTTCCTGTAATAACATTGACATCTCTGTGTTGTAAGTATTTCTTTACCAGACTGCAGACTTCTTGGTGCAAGGAATACGTTTTATTGATCTTAATTCTCTGTCACCTATCACAGGGCTGAGGCATAGTAAACTCTCAACAAATGTAGCAAATGAAGAAATGTGTCTATTACCAGCTTATACGAATAAGAGTTACTCTTAAGAAGGATTATTATAATTTAGTGTGTAATAGCTATTCATTCCTTCATTTATCCAATCCTCTTAAAAAAATGTAGCTGAAGAGTTTACACAAAAATAAATAAGTCAAGGGATGTGAATGTAGTCGTTATGTGCTGTGGGAGCCACCCTCGGTTGGCTGCGTAGGCAGGGTGAACTGGTAGCAGTGTGGAGGTAAGGAGGTGAGGCCTGGAATGGAGAAGGGGGGTGTCAGTGAGATCAGTGGAGGCTGCAGAGGTCCAGCAATGCTGAAGGTCTGAAATGAGGCAGTGATGGGTTGAAGATAAGAGGCAGATATTAAACTTTTATGAGGTAGAATAGGCAAATGTTGATGGCTTAGGGAAGTAGGGGGGATAAGGGATAGGGAAGAGCTAGAGTGAATGAGTCCCAGCTTGAGAGACTGGGAGAGTTTGTTCACTGAGATCCAGATATAGCCCAATAAGATCTATACCCACCTGCTTGTGATTCTTATTAAGTACGAATACTGTCTCACCTGAGTGGTTGAGAAGGTGCGCTTGGATAAAATTTGCTTCACTCCCATGATTTGAGGAAGCCACAAGAAAAAGAAAAGGAAAAAAAAATTGCTTCACTTTGTGTATTATTATTGTATAGTGAGCTATACAAAAGTTTGGCTGCACAGCAAAAATGCAGAAATACCTTTTTACAGAATTTTTTTATTCCATTGTTTGTGACTGGTTTAAACATTCTAAGAAACATGGTTGGCAAAATGGAGTCTTGAATTCTTTTTTTTTTTTTTCCTAAGTTGTTTCTTTAAGGTTTAGAAAATAAACTGGTTTTACAAACCTTGCCTGAGAGCAAAGGAAACTGCTGTGTTCTTCTATTTCCTTCTCTGCTCAGTGTCCTTCTTAAGTCTGTGTGCTGCTCAATTATTGTCATGTTTATCCACTGATGTGCATTTCAGCGCTCAACTCATGGTCCACACTCCGTTAAAAAATGCAAGTTGATGATCACAAAGTTATTCTAATGTTTGAAAAATACCCACTACCCTCAGCGACTTGCCTGCTGGGTTGGTGGTGGCAGAGCTAAGTTCGTAGGAAGTCTGCTCCCGTGTAGAATTGTGTGCTGAAGGGTTGCCATGTGGGTGGTACCCTGGAGAAGCTGCAGTTCCTGCCTTCCTGAGCATTCCATACAGCATGGGATGATTAATTGCTGATTAAAACATTAATAAAAGGCCAAAAGTCATATGCACATTGAAGAAATACTCTGTTGTGTCCTTCATTTCATCGTCTGGCTTCATCTTGTTTCTGTTTCTCTGTCCCTTTGTTTCTCTCTGTGTATTTATTCTACTCTTCCCTCCTGCCCTTCCTTCCTTCTTTCTCTTGTTAAATTGTTGCTTTGGAATTAGAAAGAGGCAGATTGGTCCAGATGCTCTGCTTGTGGATCTCTGCCTCCTTTAGCTTTAAAGTTGCTGAAAGTCAGCAGAAAAACTGCCAGGTTAGGGCTAAGTATTGGATCTGTGCTCCTTATTTGTTGCCTACTTGCCCTTTGCAAAGAGAACATGGGGAAGCAGGCCAGCTCTGCACTGTAATGTATTATAGCTGATAAATGCAAACTTGATCAAAACAACTAGCTCCTTACCTTGATTCCGATGACAGCACTAGGCTAGAAACTTAACCCTTATATTATACTTTGACTCTAACTAATGTTGAATTGATTTTATGGTTACAGATTGATGAGTGTGAAAAGAAAAAGAGGGAAGACTATGAAAGTCAAAGCAATCCTGTTTTTAGGAGATACTTAAATAAGATTTTAATTGAAGCTGGAAAGCTTGGACTTGTGAGTATTTGATGGTGTGATACTAATCCGTATAGTGTATATTTTTATTTATTAATTTCAAATAATATGAAGAAGTGAAAGCATCATGATGCTTTTTAACAGAGACCACCTGACTGACTCTTTAACCAGAAGCTATTCATTCAGGATTAAAGGCACTACTATACTGCTTTGCAGTGGTCTGGTGGAAGATGAGCAGTGCAGACCGCTCTTTCTCCTCTAGTTTGTATGGATTTACTTACTCAGCTCTGTGCACTGCTCCACCAGTTAATGGAGGTGAGGAGGTGGGGTGATAATTCTGTTCTGATCCTACTCCTTGTTTTCTCTCAGTATATGCTGAGAAAAAGAAAAATGTGTTTTCTGTAGTTTTTCTCCTTGTTGTTTACTGTGGTGAGTGCTACTTTATAGACATATTGTTCATAATTATTGTTAAAATTTCCTTTTTTTTTTGAGACAGAGTCTCGCTCTGTTGTCCAGGCCGGAGTACCGTCGTGCAATCTTGGCTCACTACAACCTCTGCCTCCCGGGTTCCAGCAATTCTCCCTGACTCAGCCTCCCGAGTAGCTGGATTACAGGCACCTGCCACCATGCCTGGCTAATTTTTGTATTTTTAGTAGAGATGGGGTTTTGCCATATTGGCCAAGCTGGTCTTAAACTCCTGACCTCAGGTGATCCGCTTGCCTTGGCCTCCCAAAGTGCTGGGATTACAGGTGTGAGCCACCGCACCTGGCCAAAATTTCTATTTTTAAGAAGTCACTGTTTTCACTTTGGGAAGTGAAAACTTCCCAGACTTAATGCATTAATTTAGTTTTAATTCACTTACCAAAGTGAAAACATCAAGAAAACATAAATTTAATAACTTATAACATTTAGAAAGCTCATTTAAAAGCTCATAGACTTTTTTTTTCCTATTGTGTGTGCCACCAGAATTGACTTAGAGAGTCAGAGACCAGCCTTTGGTCTTGATCTGGCCATTAGCCCCACCTGCCAGAAGTGGTTACAGGCAGATCCCTGAAAATGAAAGGCCCTTGCATCAGCACAGTGTAGGCTGGCAAAACTTGCCATATACTCCATCTTCCTGGTACAGTAAGAAGTGACCAAAAGAAAAAGGAGTGTTAGATGAATAACGCCACCTTATTCTGGAAATGTAGAAGCAGATGCGTTCTCATACGTACACTCTGTAATTTGAGCCTTACAGCTACGTACAGGGTGGAACAGAACCTAGATAAGGAAACAGATGGAACCAAAAATACTTAAGATGGAAATGCTGGAAAATATTTAGTTTCTGATTTTTTTTTTTTTTTGAGACAGAGTCTTGCTCTGTCACCCAGGCTGGAGTGCAGTGGCGCAATCTCCGCTCACTGCAAGCTCCGCCTCCCAGGTTTACACCATTCTCCTGCCTCAGCCTCCTGAGTAGCTGGGACTACAGGCACCCGCCACCATGCCCGGCTAATTTTTTGTATTTTCAGTAGAGACAGGGTTTCACCGTGTTAGCCAGGATGGTCTTGATCTCCTGACCTCGTGATCCGCCTGCCTCATGCCTCCCAAAGTGCTGGGATTATAGGCATGAGCCACCGCGCCCGGCCACGTCTGGCTAATATTTTTGTGTTTTCAGTAGAGACAGGATTTCACCATGTTAGCCAGGCTGGTCTCAAACTCCTGACCTCAAGTGATCTGACCGCCTCGGCCTCCCAAAGTGCTGGGATTACAGGTGTGAGCCACCATGTCCCACCTTGTATTTACTGTTTATAAAAGAAAAAGGAATTTTATTTGTATCAACTGGCTAATTAATGCAAAATTTG
The DNA here is from genome assembly GCF_000001405.40 of Homo sapiens. Lineage (NCBI taxonomy): Eukaryota > Metazoa > Chordata > Mammalia > Primates > Hominidae > Homo > Homo sapiens. The sequence continues at coordinate 108,945,811 of NC_000001.11, read as the reverse complement.
TTTAGTGATTTTGCTAAGCTGAACTCACACTAATAAAGGTAGTTATAAATATGTAATTTATGGAAACCCATTATTTTGTTGCTCTTTGAGATCCTTCTTGTTTTTCTTGTTTGCACTAATACAGATTTTAGGCTATCTGAAAACTGTCAGGAAATGAAAAGTCATGCAGTGAATCATAAAATGAAGATGCACAGTTGATCCTCATTCTTCACAGATTCCGTATTTATGAATTGACCTCATTAAGTCTGTGTAACCCCAAAGTCAATAATCGAGGTGTTCTGTGGTTACTCTGGGACACAGTGAAGAGTGGTAAAAAATTTGGGTTGCCTGTTGCAGGCATTCCCAGCTGAGATGGAACAAGGCAATCAAAACTGTTTTCTTGTTTCAGCTCTCGTACTGCAAACAAGTGTCTTTTTTTGTGGTCTATTTAGTGGTATATTTTTTCGTGCTTTTTTGAGGGGAGAGGGGTGATTTTTTTTATTTTTATTTTGAGACCAATCATTAAACAGCATCATTTCGTTGTTTAAAACGGCCCTCTGATGTAGTGCTGAGCTGAGGTCTAGTGTTTCTAAGTGCAAGAAGGCCACGATGTACTTACAGAGAAAAGGAAAAGGTGTGTATTAGATAGGCTTCAGTCAAGCGTAAGGTATAGGACAGTTGTCCATGTGTTCAGTGTTAGTGAATGAACAATATGTATTTTAAATAAGGTGTCCTTAAACAGGAATGTACAGAAACACACATAAAACAAGGTTATATATTGATCAATTGATAAAAATGTTATGACAGGTTTGCACGAACCAAACCCTGTATTTATTATAGGAGTAATGGTTCAGTACTTGCTAATTGGTGTTTGAGGTGACTTTATAGAAGATAACTACTGTGAGGCCGGGTGCAGTGGCTCACGCCTGTAATCCCAGCACTTTGGGAGGCCATGGCGGGCGGATCATGAGGTCAGGAGATCGAGACCATCCTGGCTAATGCGGTGAAACCCCGTCTCTACTAAAAATAGAAAAAATTAGCCAGGCGTAGTGGCGGGCACCTGTAGTCCCAGCTACATGGGAGGCTGAGGCAGGAGAATGGCGTGAACCCAGGAGGTGGAGCTTGCAGTGAGCAGAGATTGCGTCACTGCACTCCAGCCTGGGCGACAGAGTGAGACTCCATCTAAAAAAAAAAAAAGACGATAACTACTGCGAATAGCAAGAATCAACTGTATTTTAGTGAAATTTACAGTATCTTTTTTACATAGAGTTCTAGAATTTTTAAATGTTTTTCATGTATATTATCTTTGGTTTTCATGTTGGCCTGTGAAGACAGGTGGATATTATTATTATTTTTTTTTTTTAGAGACAGGGTCTTACTCTGTCTCCCATGCTGGAGTGCAGTGGTATGCTCATAGCTTACTGCAGCCTCGAATCCGGGGCACAGACAATTCTTCTGCCTCAGCCTGCTGAGTAGGCAGGAGCCAGGTGCACACCACTGCACACAGCTAATGGTTAGAATTTTTTGTAGAGATGGGGTCTCGCTTTGTTGCCCAGGCTGGTCTTGAAGTCCTGGCTTCAAGCTATCCTCCCACCTTGGCCTGTCAAAGCACTAGGATTATAGGTGTGAGCTACCTTGCCCAGGCTATTATTCTTATACATATGAAATACTGCAAACTAATATTTAGTTCCAAATTGGCTTTTGTCTTAAAATGGTTCACCAAGTAGTAATAAAATTCTCTTTCTATTGTTTGTTTTTTGGTAAATTTAATTTAGCCTGATGAAAACAAAGGCGATATGCATTATGATGCTGAGATTATCCTTAAAAGAGAAACTTTGTTAGAAATACAGAAGTTTCTCAATGGAGAAGACTGGAAACCAGGTGCCTTGGATGATGCACTAAGTGATATTTTAATTAATTTTAAGTTTCATGATTTTGAAACATGGAAGTGGCGATTCGAAGATTCCTTTGGAGTGGATCCATATAATGTGTTAATGGTAAGATGGGATGAGGGCAAGGGCAACGTCATTAAGTTTCCTTTTTAAAATACTTTCCAAACTCCACCATAATTACGTTAAGAACCTGTACTAGGTCACTTATACCGTATTGATGAACAAGCCACAAAATTGTAGAAATGATTTTGTGCTTTTGAGTCCAGTTCTTTTTAGCTGTCTTAAGTGTTTTTGGTGGCTGATTTCTGCTTCTCTCTGTTTTAAGGTACTTCTTTGTCTGCTCTGCATCGTGGTTTTAGTGGCTACTGAGCTGTGGACATATGTACGTTGGTACACTCAGTTGAGACGTGTTTTAATCATCAGCTTTCTGTTCAGTTTGGGATGGAATTGGATGTATTTATATAAGGTATTATATGGATGGAGGGTTTTACAATTTTAACACATTTATTCACAATGAAAGAAGACTCTAATCCATTGAGAGCAATCTTGCCTTGGATGTGGGTTGGAGGCAGTGATTAGAGGTGGCCCACGCTGGAGAGGAATTAAATGGACACTTCTTAGCTGACAGTTTTTTGATTCCTTGACCAGTTAGTGGGTAAAAAAGTTCAGTCCTAATTTTCATAACCCAGTTAATGTTAACATTTGGGCATCTAAGTCAGAATAAAGCCAGGTGGGTTGGGTGTGGTGGCTCATGCCTGTAATCCCAGCATTTTGGGAGGCTGAGGTGGGCAGATCACTTGGTCAGGAGGTCAAGACTAGCCTGGCCAACATGGTGAAACCCTGTCTCTACTAAAAATACAAAAATTAGCTGGGCCTGGTGACGTGCACCTGTAGTCCCAGCTACTCAGCAGGCTGAGGCAGGAGAATTGCTTGAACCTGAGAGGTTGCAGTGAGCCAAGATTGCGCTGCTGCACTCCAGCCTGGACCACAGAGTGAGGTCTGTCTCAAAAACAAGGAAGAAAAAAAAAAGAATAAAGCTATGTGGATACATTTAAAAATTATCATGTAGGTAATTTAGAGTATGTCATTCTATGTCTTTGCTAGAAATGATACCAAAATATTATTTTTTAAAAATTAGGTTATTTTTTGAATAAGTGGTATATTCATGGCAGAGAATTTAGAAAAGGCAGATACAAGGAAATTAATTTTTAAAATAACCTATAATTTTATCACCTAGAGAAAATCTGTCAGTAGTTTAAGGTATTTCTTTCTAGATTTTTCTAGATTTTAATTATCTTTCAAAGTTGGGATCATACTGTATATAGAAATTGGAAAGGACCACTACTGTTCCCATCAACATAGCATAAATAATAATCATTGAAAGAAAATTTTAGATCTTTCTAGCAGAGTGAGTCAAGTAGCCAAGTATTTTCAATGATTTCATCTGGTTAAAGCATTGTGACATTTCCTTAACCTTTTGCTGTAAGTATTATAGTATTTAGAACTAATTATTTACAAATTAAACACAGATTCTGTGTGGAAGGAAAGTTGCTTGAGTATTGTCACCTTAATGATTGTATATTGGTCATTGTACTGGAAATTATCCAGTGCAAAATAGGATATCATCAACTATAAAAGAAAATAAGAAGTAGTCATTTAATTTGTATGGCTAGAACTAATTGTTGTTGTTGTTGCTGTTGTTTTTGAGACAGTCTCACTCTGTCCCCCAGGCTGGAGTGCAGTAGTGAAATCTCGGCTCAATGCAACCTCCACCTCCCGGGTTCAAGCGATTCTCTTGCCTCAGCCTCCTATCTGGGACTACAGGCCCGTGCTATCACGCCTGGCTGAACTAATTTTTAAAAACAATATTTTTAGTAAAGTTTCCCTTTTTCATTATAATTACTTACAGAGAAGGCAATTGTAGTTAGTACTTTATGCTTACTTGTTGCATTAAGGCTGTACTTTTCCATGAACTGGAAATAGCTACTCTTTACAAATAATATGTTTTCCTATAATCCTAGCACTTTGGGAGGCTGAGGCGGGCGGATCACTTGAGGTCAGGAGTTCAAGACCAGCCTGGCCAACATGATGAAACCCCGTCTCTACTAAAAATACAAAAATTAGCTGGGCGTGGTAGCGGGCACCTTTAATCCCAGCTACTCGGGAAGCTGAGGCAGGAGAATCGCTTGAACCCGGGAGGTGGTGGTTGCAGTGAGCCGAGATTGTGCCACCGCACACCAGCGTGGGTGACAGGGCGAGACTCCGTCTCAGGAAAAAAAGAGAAAAAATAGTAATAATAATATGTTTTTTTTTAATTAAAAATTTATAACAGTCTGGTTTGGATGAATGGTAAAGACACTCTTTGAATGAAGGTCTTTTGGATGTGTAGGCCTAACCTTCATAGGTAACGGCCTCTCCTGGTTCCCTTTTGGTGTTGGGCAGCTAGCTTTTGCACAGCATCAGGCTGAAGTCGCCAAGATGGAGCCATTAAACAATGTGTGTGCCAAAAAGATGGACTGGACTGGAAGTATCTGGGGTAAGGTGTTTGTGCACTTGTCCTTATTTTGAATAGAAATTCTGAGAATGAAAGAACATAGAACAAAGAGAATGATAAAATAACAGGAGGCTTTCCATGACTGAATCTTTAATATCAGAAGAACATGCAAGAAGCATTTTAGGTTTAAAACCAGTGACTTTTTATGCTCATCTAAAGTCACAGGGAAGGAATAGAAGTTGTATATATGTTGGCTCTGATATTATCTGTCTTCCTTCATAAGACTGTGTGAAGGATCCTATGCTCGCTTTTGTTCATCTCGTTCTTTGCACAGGGTCTGGCATATTCTCAATAGAAGTTTATTAAACAAGTGAATGAATGTATATATGAATTAATATCCATCTTAAATTTAATGGCCTTATATTGACTTGTGAAATTTTATGTTGTAGCTTTACTTTTTTTTAACTACGGGAAAAATTAGTTTTTTTATTCTTTCACATTTTATAAACATTCTCATGAATGTTCACTACCTTTGGTTGTATGTATCTAGCAATGGGGATGGTTTAATAATGTTCCAAGGCATTTTATAAATGCAAGTCCATGACTGACACGGAATTCTGCAGATGGAATCCAAAATAAATGTTTCTTAAAAAGTTGTGGGAACTAAACCAATTCAGCCTTCCTTCCTGGCTTCAGTGGACAGTGAAATGCCTCCTCTAGCTCAGGCTAGTTTCCCAACGTATATAAGCCTGATTTGGAAAAATTAGAACTAATATTCCACTTTATTTTGTAAACTCCATAAAGAACTGACTTTTTAAATTAAAAATTTACTGAGGTAATTGTGGATTCACACAGTAAGAAATACTACAGAGAGAGCCCGTGTACCCTTTCCCCATTTTCCTCCAGTGGTGACATCTTGCACAGCTTTAATAGTACAATATCAGAGCCAGGATATTGACTTTGATACAATCCACCAGTCTTATTTCGACTTCCCATTTTACCTGTACTCATTTGTGTTTGTGAAGCATTGCTTTTAAAGTGTTTACCTTTTAGACATTTTTATAAAATACAATTTTTTATCTGCATAAAACATGTATAATTTGAATGGATTTTTAAAACATGATTTTGGACATAAGATGAAAAATTTAAAAATCAGCATTACAGGGAGTCTACTTAAAACTTAAGATAATTTAAAACTCATTGGTGGGTGGTCAGGGAGGGTCAAAACCAAAGTAATGTCTTGTTTGGGAATGAAATGCAACATTAAAAGAAATGATCAGTGTTTTGTCTGTTTCTCTAAACAGAATGGTTTAGAAGTTCATGGACCTATAAGGATGACCCATGCCAAAAATACTATGAGCTCTTACTAGTCAACCCTATTTGGTTGGTCCCACCAACAAAGGTATAGCATATATTTTGTAAAAATTACTTAAAGTCAGTCAGAAATCCCTTGTATTTTAAAGAACTTTAGTGTTTGAGTCATTTTGCTAATAAGCGTTTGTCCAAGAAAAAATACTTTTGCACAGTGATTTTCACATTAAAAATGGCACAACAGCATTTTAATTTATGTAACATACTTTCAGCATCAGTACTCAATGAATTTTGATGCATTCTGTACCTTAGTCCTGTGAGGAGAAAATTAAGTTGCTTTTCTCTCGTTTTAGGCACTTGCAGTTACATTCACCACATTTGTAACGGAGCCATTGAAGCATATTGGAAAAGGAACTGGGGAATTTATTAAAGCACTCATGAAGGAAATTCCAGCGCTGCTTCATCTTCCAGTGCTGATAATTATGGCATTAGCCATCCTGGTTAGTATTAATATATTAGCACTGTCGGGCCAGGCGCGGTGGCTCACGCCTGTAATCCCAGCACTTTGGGAGGCCTAGGCGGGCGGATCACGAGGTCAGGAGATCGAGACCATCCTGGCTAACACAGTGAAACCCTGTCTCTACTAAAAAAAATACAAAAAATTAGCCGGGCGTGGTGGCGGGCGCCTGTAGTCCCAGCTACTCGGGAGGCTGAGGCAGGAGAACGGGGTGAACCTGGGAGGCGGAGCTTGCAGTGAGCCGAGATCGCACCACTGTACTCCAGCCTGGGCGACAGAGCAAGATTCCGTCTCAAAAAAAAAAAAAAATTATACATATATGTATATTTATATATCTATCTATATATATTTATATTTATATATCTGTCTATATTTATATATTTATTATATATAATATATATTTATATATTATATATTTATATTTATATATATATATGCACTGTCAGTATTTAGCAAGATTTATATTAAATCTTAGTATTAATATTAGTAATACTGGTTAGTATTAAATATTAGCACTGTCAATATTTAGCAAGATTTACAGAAAAAAAGGCAATGCTAAAATTATTGGGCTTCTTTGATGTTGTAAATCAGGCTAAGTCACGCTTAATGAGAAGGCGATTTTTAAGTGATACAGATTTTTTTCCTCCCCTCTGCCCCTCTAAATGATACAGACATATTATACTTACTTGTATATTTTTATAATCAAGAAAGTAGTTCTCTAGTTTGATTGCATATGTCATAGCAGTGATTTAGAATAATAACCTCTTTTTAAATGTGTTAACCTTGGTAAATTAATACACAGGAAATAGGAAGTTGATTTCTGTCTCCCAGAAAGGGGGACTTCTTATTTCTAGTCAGTTTTTGCAGCAGTGAGAAGGGTAGAGCATTGAGTTTGACACAGAACCAGAAAGGGATGTGGAAGAACATGGGTATGCTGAGAAAGAGTTTGGGGATCCAGGAGCAGACATTAAGAAGAAATATTACTCGTCATCCCTCCATGGTCTATTCAGTGTTTTTTGTTATCGATTTTTTAGCTATTACCCAAGTAAAGCAGTTGTCGCATAAAACAAAAAGAACTCAGATGTGCCAAGGGAAATTCTCTTCCCTAAGGATACAAGATTCACTATCTCTGTTCACTTTGAAATCGTTTCTTTTTTGGTTTTGTTTTTTGGCTTGTGATTACAGGATTATGTGGTTGACGGGTATTTTTTTGTTAGGTGACATTAGTTCTATAGTCATAGTTTAGTCTCTGAAACTGAAATTATCAGCAGAGTCTTCACCATCTGTTTTTGTTTCATGTGCTCCCTCAGGAAAGTTATGCTCTTTGACTTTTGCTGCTTTTGTCTTCAAATAGTAGTGTTTGAAAAACTAGTACAGAAATTTTCAAAGTTTCTGTTCTCAGGACCTCTTTGCAGTCTTAAAAATTGAAGCCCACAAACAGCTCTTACTTAAGGTGATTATATTTATTGATACTTACATATTAGGAGTTAAAACAAATTTAAAACATACGAGTACTGTACACGCAAGCATGCATCCCCTGAGTCTGAGTGAGGCTGTCACTCTAGCATCTGGAATGCTCCGTTGTATATTCAGGAGGGGACAGTGAAAAAGACAAATAATAATGTCTTTGTATTATGAAAAGTTTTGATCTCATAGATCTCCTGAAAGTCTCAGGTATCCCCCGGGGGTCCCTGGGCCACACTGTAAGGAACTGCTGCCTACTTTTTCCCATGGAATGTGAATCAAAACCTGTTGAATTTTAGCTGTAACTTAAGCCTAGTTTATATTTGTAAAAAGAAAATGTACAGAAGATTGTTTACATAATGATATACAACTTTAAATATTTTCAGCATTTACCTTATATGATGGGCATGAATCTAGAAACATGAATAATTATCAGACTAGAACCTTCTAATTTAAATATCTAGGCTTCAGCCTGCCATTGTTATAGTTCAATCGAAATGTGTCTAGCTGATTAAAATGTCTACTGAAAGATTTATTAAGTTTTATTGGCCACTCTGGCCTTGTATTAATCTAAAGAGGTCTCTAATGAAAAAAAGTCAAATTAACATGTTTATGTCTATAAATGCCACAAGTAAGTTAAATTACATAACTTTGTTAGCACTCTGAATAAAATGCCTCATAACTTTTGTAAGTTAGCCATTGAGTCCTCAGGAAAATGTATTTCTTTTCCTTACAGAGTTTCTGCTATGGTGCTGGAAAATCAGTTCATGTGCTGAGACATATAGGCGGTCCTGAGAGCGAACCTCCCCAGGCACTTCGGCCACGGGATAGAAGACGGCAGGAGGAAATTGATTATAGACCTGATGGTGGAGCAGGTGATGCCGATTTCCATTATAGGGGCCAAATGGGCCCCACTGAGCAAGGCCCTTATGCCAAAACGTATGAGGGTAGAAGAGAGATTTTGAGAGAGAGAGATGTTGACTTGAGATTTCAGACTGGCAACAAGAGCCCTGAAGTGCTCCGGGCATTTGATGTACCAGACGCAGAGGCACGAGAGCATCCCACGGTGGTACCCAGTGTAAGTCAGCAACTCTTTTATTCTGCTGTCCCTTCATTACTGGTTCTAAATCCTTCTGGAAGAGGTCTGATTGTTTTTACTCTTTTACCCCTCACCCTTAATTATATCATGAGTGATACAGCCACTCACTCTCTCCCCTTTCTGGTCAAAAGTTAGTTCAGCTTCCTCAGAAGAAATAAAATTAGATTTAACTTTTATGTAAAATACAATTTAACAGTAGTTTGTTAGAGCAGATGGTAATTCATATGAACCTTCATGGGAAGCCAGCGTATGAGCATGACAGAAATTTCTATCTTTGAAGAGATCAGAGAGAAGGCATCACTGAAGGCCCGGAGCTCTAGGGAAGGTACAGTAGAGCCCTAAAGGATTAGCTGGATGGAAGAGTGGGCTGGGGCCAGGGATCAAAAACATTGCTTCCCCAAATCTTCAGTGTCATTGGCTGGCTAGACTATACTTTTTACCTGTAGAATGGTAAGAAGAAGTTTTTCACCATTATCAGTCTTTTAAAGGGACATTTCCATTTCTGTTTGAGAGAGGAATTTGTATTGTCATTTGAAATGTTTAAATTGCAGCTGTTAAACCTTTGAAACAGTTATGAGCATAATAGAATCTGGGAAATTATAGAATCCCTTCCCATAGTTTCATATAAAAATAAACATATCTACATGTATCTAGAAAGATGGACCAGGCGCGGCGGCTCACGCCTGTGATCCCAGCACTGGGAGGCCGAGGCAGGCGGATCACTGGAGGTCTGCAGTTCAAGACCAGCCTGGCCAACGTGGCAAAGCCCCATCTCTACTGAAAATACAAGAAAATTAGCCAGGCGTGATGTGGTATGCACCTGTAATCCCAGCTACTTGGGAGGCTGAGACAGGAGAATTGCTTGATTCCAGGGGGCGGAGGTTGCAGTGAGCCGAGATCGTGCCATTGCACTCCAGCCTGGGTGACAGAGTGAGACGTCGTCTCAAAAAAAAAAAAAAAAAAAAAAAAACAACTTAAGATGGTCCTTCCAGCTTTTATAGTTAGTAATTACCTGTCACCTATCTCAGAAGTCTTCCAGTGACTTCCTATCTCACTTGAGGGGAAAGCCAGTATTACAATGGCCTGGAAGCCTCCTTGGTCTCCCCTTCCCCCACATCCACTACCTCTCTGGTCACCTCTTCTCCCTCCGTGCTTACTCTACTTTAGCCATAAGGGCTCCTGACTGTTCCTTGAACTTGAGAGCCTTTGTACCTGCTGTTCATTCTACAGTCTTCATTTATATATCAATCATATGGTTACTTTCTTCAGGCCTTTACTCATTTTTATTATTTTTGGAGACAAGGTCTCACTCTGTGGTCAAGGCTGGGGTGCAGTGATCATAGCTCATTGCAGCCTCAAAATCCTGGGCTCAACCGATTCTTTTGCCTCAGCCTTCTGAGTAACTAGGACTATAGGCATATACGACCATGCCTGGCTAATATTTTTTATTTTTTGTGGATATGGGGTCTTGCTGTTACCCAGGCTGGTCTCAAACTCCTGGCCTCAAGCAGTCTTCTCACCTTGGCCTCCCAAAGTTATGGGATTACAGGTGTGAGCCACCATGCCTAACCATATCACTTTTTCAGACCACCCTAATTTAAACTGTAATTTGACCCTGCCAGCCCACCCACATTCAGCACTCATCTCTTCTCTGCTTTTTTTACATAGCCTCTTTAATTCAACATATCACACTTGTGTGATTTTCTTCTAACCTAAATATAAGTTCCAGTGAGAACAGTTTTATGTATTTTGTTCCTGCTGTATCCCTAACACCTAGAACTTAATATATGCTCAAGAAATATTTGTCAAATGAATTATTCTCACCAGGCAAGAGAAGTTGACAATACTGATGACCAATTCTCTTGACCCCTTCTAAGCTGGGCCACTAGACCACCCAGTATATGCGCTAAGCGTTCCCACTCCTCTGTGGGAGTACTGTGGAGTTTGGTGAGGTATAATAACATTTATATAATTATAACCCAGCACTGGACCCTGGATTTGAAAGAGTTTGGAGCTTGCTACAACGGATTTGGGTGGGAACTTTTTAGATATGTTTGATTACTAAGACTTCACATTACATTAAACAGTTAAAATGTAATTTTGTACTTTATAGCATAAATCACCTGTTTTGGATACAAAGCCCAAGGAGACAGGTGGAATCCTGGGGGAAGGCACACCGAAAGAAAGCAGTACTGAAAGCAGCCAGTCGGCCAAGCCTGTCTCTGGCCAAGACACATCAGGGAATACAGAAGGTTCACCCGCAGCGGAAAAGGCCCAGCTCAAGTCTGAAGCCGCAGGCAGCCCAGACCAAGGCAGCACATACAGCCCCGCAAGAGGTGTGGCTGGACCACGTGGACAGGATCCGGTCAGCAGCCCCTGTGGCTAGAGGAACACCAGCACAAACGACAGCCTCAAGTCTCCTTCGAGCTTTGTAAAGTATACTCTTCACTCTCTTTCTCTTCTCTGCAAGAATTCTGATTACTACAAAGGTGCCAACTTCAACATTCACATTTCAACTTCAACATTCACATTTTTACTGACAATTAGAATTAACAAACACGTTATATATGTAAAAGCTTTTCATTTCATCTTCTCTTTGATATTTACATCCCATAAAGTAAGAAGTGTTTATTTTAAGATGAACAGATGACAGGCATCACTGATTCTGGATAGTTAAGGAGGCCAGTTTGAATTGGGGACATTGAAAAAGAAATTTTATTGTTACAGGCACTTACGGGAACCCACTAACCAATTTACATTGCCTAGTGAATCCACTAGAGTTAAGGCCACCCACTTGATGCCTCCAGCATCTTCATGCAGCCATGGAGTATCGTTACCAGGATCAGTCTGACTGACACCTCAGCTTATCTCTACGCAGGCTGCCCACAGGTCACTGTGGCTGTAGTTTCATCTTTTCCACAGCTATTACTACGCCTGCATCCTTATTGTTCCTTTTACTTTGTTTACTTAGAGAAAACTGAAGACTGCCAGGGCAATTTAGATAACATAGCTTGTTATATTGGTAATCTGTTTTACAGAGTCAGTCGACTGAAAATGACTTTATTCTTTTCCCCCACCAATTGAAGTGCATGGGCTTTTTATAAAACCTATTTTTTGTGTTACTCAGAATCCTAGCAGTGGAGACTATTAGATATTACCATATCTTAATTCATATTATAGCAAATCATATTGTCTTGTCCATAGGAAGTTTGCATTTTTAGAGATCTATACATAGAGAATACCATGATGAGGAAGAAGAGAGTTGGGTGTCTTCCTTAACTGCAGACAGGACATCAGTCAGCACTTTACATTAGTCTTTCTGATTATCAAAAGCATTCCTCATTTTAAACTTTTTAAAAAGCAATGCATAAATTTTGTACCTGTCCTTAGCAGACTTCACAGACATCAGGTGTCCTTTGTTTTAACCATATTCACACTACAAGTTATGTTCAACTGCTTACTAAAAGTGATACCAGTCAGGAATAAAGTCTTTAAATTTTCATGCAGATATTTGTATCCCAAGCACTTGCTTTTTTATTTTAATATGAAATGCAGAATACACATTTTTGGATCCAGGAAGTGTTACTTACGTGCCTGTAACAATGTAATTTTAGGCCAGGTGCAGTGGCTCATGCCTACAGTCCTAGCACTTTGGAAGGTTGAGGGAGGATGATCGCTTAAGTTCAGTTGTTGAAATGCAGAATACACATTTTTGGATCCAGGAAGTGTTACTTACGTGCCTGTAACAATGTAATTTTAGGCCAGGTGCAGTGGCTCATGCCTACAGTCCTAGCACTTTGGAAGGTTGAGGGAGGATGATCGCTTAAGTTCAGTTGTTGAAATGCAGAATACACATTTTTGGATCCAGGAAGTGTTACTTACGTGCCTGTAACAATGTAATTTTAGGCCAGGTGCAGTGGCTCATGCCTACAGTCCTAGCACTTTGGAAGGTTGAGGGAGGATGATCGCTTAAGCTCAGTTGTTCAAGGCTATGTACTAAAAATAAAACTAGCCAGGCATGGTGGTACACGCCTGTAGTCCCAGCTACTTGGAGGGCTGAGGCAAGAGGATCGTGAGGTGGCAGTGAGTTATGATCGAGCCACTGTACTCCAGCCTGGGTGACAGAGCAAGACCTTGTCTCAAAATTATACATGTTAATATATTCTAGTTTAATATTGCAAACATCTTTAGAATTTCATCAGAAACGTGATTTTTTCTAAGAAATGCAAAAGGATTTTAGGATTTTTAACACAGAGGACATGTTTAACAAATGAATCCTGACAGACACCTGCAGTTTAGAATAAATTTGTGAACATCCATGCGTATAAAGTGTCCTCTTGGGACAAGACATGTTCACACTGACTTGGGGAATATGCCCCCAAGGTGAGAGCTGTCTTTTGAACTGTGATCTGACTCTGAAAAGTAGTGAATGCCCCAGGTGATAGACTGTAACTGTGAGTGGAATTAATGCTGCTTGCATGCCTTTTAATCCAAAACCAAATTCTTTTAAAAAATTTTTAAATAAAATTTCACCTTTGTATTCTTTCATTACAGATATCCATTTGGGGATGAAGTCTACTTTGACAGCTAGCAAGGCGACATGCAACTGTTGTTGAATGATGACAGCAATTCAGGAAAGACTTAAATATGAAAGCAAATTGAACACATCGGGTGTTTGTTATCAGAAAAGAGATGAGATGAGATAAGACTTGTTTATTGACTAGCCAATATGTCATTAAAATTAAGGTTTATATTGTGAAGCTTTTTTGAAATTTTACTTTTTTTTGAGAGTTTTGCTCTGTCACCCAGGCTGGAGTGAGGTGGTACAATCTCGGCTCACTGCAACCTCCACCTCCCAGGTTCAAGAGATTCTCCTGCCTCAGTCTCCCGAGTAGCTAGGATTACAGATGTGCATCACCATGCCTGGCTAATTTTTGTATTTTTTAGTAGAGATGGGGTTTCACCATGTTGGTCAGGCTGGTCTCGAACTCCTGACCTCAAGTGACCCGCCCTTGTCGGCCTCCCAAAGTGCTGGGATTACAGGCATGAGCCATTGTGCCCAGCCTATATAGTGTGAAGCTTTTAGGAAAATCAGAACAGGGTAGACAGCTGTTAAAAACAATGTTTAAATGGAATAATGTTGAATGTTTACAGGCTGTAAGAACTATTGTATACACAAAATAATACACAAAGTTTGTACTTTGTGTACAAATACAAATTTGTACTTTGTGTACAAATAATACAAAAAGTTTGTATACACAAACTTTTTACGTTGTGGTTTGGTATATTGTCTTAACTGAATTTTCTTATAAGAACCCCATGAAACTTACCTGAGTTTTTAAAATGCTATCCAGGACATCATACCTTATAGTATACATGAAACATAATGTAATCCAGGTTGTAATTTAGAACTTTTTTTTTTTTTTTAGCTGAGCACTTAATGTAATTAATTCCAGGTTATGACTCTTAAAAAACATTGGCCATTAGAGAAATAGTTCTATTTGCCCATCCAAATCACCTGAATGACTTTTTGAAAGAATAGGGGTCCACATCCCCAGATCCCATCCCAGCTGTGCACAGTCTGAAGCAAGCAGAGTGAAACAAGTTGGCAACTTGTTCCAAGCGTGGGCCTTTGCAGTCTGTGATCCAGTGTTACTCCAGGTCCCAGTCTGTCCCATACTTGTCTTTTGCTACAGTTAGTTAGTTACTTTGTTATCATCCCCTTGTAAACTGCCTTCAATATCTGGGATAAGGAAGACAAAGCTTAATGACAACTAAGGTTCTAGCTGACATCTTTCTTTCATATTTAATTTTTGTGAGTTTTCATCTGTTTTCTGTTTGTTTATGTGTCCTAGGTTCTTGACCTAACCACATGGGTTTTGTTTTTTGTTTTTATATTAGAACTTAGAAAAGTTTGTTTTACAGCAGTATTATGGAACAGAAGAGACCATTTTAAATAATTTTTTTAAACAGCCCAAAACACACAAAAGATACTTGTTTTCTAGAGACAGGGTCTTGCTCTGTCACCCAGGCTGGAGTGCAGTGGCACGATCATAGCTCAGTGCAGCCTCCACCTCCTGGGCTCAAGTGGTCCTCCTGCCTCAGCCTCTTAAGCAGTTGGGACTACAGGTGTGTGCCAGCATGCTTGCTGTTTTTTTTTTTTTTGAGACAGAGTCTTGCTCTGTCACTCAGGCTGGAGTCCAGTGGCTTGGTCTCAGCTCACTGCAATCTCTGCCTCCCAGGGGTTCAAGTGATTCTCCTGCCTCAGCCTCCCAAGTAGCTGAAACTACAGGCGCATGCCACCATGCCCAGCTAATTTTTGTATTTTTAGTAGAGACAGGGTTTCACTATGTTGGCCAGGCTGGTCTCAAACTCCCGACCTCAAGTGATCCGCCCGCTTCGGCCTCCCAAAGTGCTGGGATTACAGGTGTGAGCCACTGCGCCTGGCTGCTGATTTATTTTTCATAGACACGGGGGTCTATGTTGCCCAGGTTGGTCTTGAACTCCTAGCCTCAAGCGATCCTCCTGCCTCAGCCTCCCAATGTGCTGGGATTACAGGAATGAGCCACCATGCCCAGCCCAAGAAGTAGAGTTTCTTTTATACTGACTTTGGCCTAAAAAAACAGATTTTCATGGAGGAAAAAAAAACCTAGATTTTTAGTAAGACTATTTTATATACTTTTTTACATTGATCAAGTACATTATTTTTACCAAACAACATTGTTTCCCACTACATCCATGGTTATGTATAAAAAAACGCCATTGTCAATTAAGATGTTAAAAAATTATTTCCATAAGAGTATTAAATTCTAATCTATGATTCACTTAACTTCCTACTTTATAAACACTAGGTAAAGTAATCTCACAAGCTGCCAAAGAACACATCCCAAGCAGTAATCACAGACGATGAAGCACCTTACAGGACCCCTCCACCCTCAAACGCGCATGTCCAGAGAAGTATTAATGCCTTAATAGACTACTGAAGGTTAACTATTTACATCATTCTAAAAATATTTTAAGCTGTATTACAGTGCTATAAATTCTCCTTTTAAGGAAAAAAGTAATAGATTGTTTCCTTACCGTGTTTGAAAGGAAAAAAAATAAATCCATAGTAACTAATGGTCTGCCGATTTTTTCCCTGAATTTTTAAACTCCAACAAAGCATTATTTTGCAAAAAGTCCTTTAGCCCAAAGTCAGTGTCTCTGTTTTGATCTCTTTGTAAAAGAACTCTCTGTTCATCCATTCTCTTTCCCTGGGACCGTAAAATAAGGCTGAAAAAGTCTTCATCTGGTACTGTCGGACCCTTTGTGGTAGCAGGTGGTGGAGCACATCTTTGATCATCTAATCTGGATCCCTAGAAGTTTATGAGAGAGATTAAAAGACATACTGTGGGAAAGAAAGCACCAAGCTATGTTAAATCTCTCAGTCACAACAAGAAAACGCAGTTGTAAACTTTTATTTGGGGCTTCTCAGAAATTAATCTTTGTTTTTATATTGTTCTCTTTAGTTCCCAGCCTGATTTCTGAAAGAAATAATCTTTAAACCTGAAACTGCATAAAATTTTTCCTTTAAAATGGCTTATATAGGTATAGCTGCTTCATTGGTTTAGTACGTGCATTATGTTAAGTCATACTGTTTTAATTATAATTGGTCACAAGGATAAAAGACAAGGTCAACTGTATCTAAGTATGACAGTTCAAGGTTATAATCTAACAGGCATCAACTGTGTAACTTAACAAATCTTTAGAAATATGTACAAACCCCATGAGGAACTACCTTAAAAAAATCACGTCTTAGGCTAGGGGACAGCAAACTGTAACCCAGTGCCGGCTTCTGTAAATGAAGTCATTTTCATTTTCCCATCAATACATATGTTTATATACTATCTATATGGCTGCTTCCCTACTAAATGGCAGAGTTGGGCAGTTGCAATAGATACCATATGGGCGGCAAAGCCTAAAATATTTTCTATCTGGCCTTTTACAGAAAAAGTTTGCCTGCCTCTGTCTTAGGCTGTTAAATCTGTTAAGAAATAGCCCAGAATGAATTTTTTTTTTTTTTTTTTTGAGACGGATTCTCGCTCTGTCATCCAGGCAGGACTGCAGTGGTGTGATCCTGGCTCACTGCAACCTCCATCTTTCAGGTTCAAGTGATTCTTCAGCCTCAGCCTCCCAGTAGCTGAGACTATAGGCATGCGTCACCACACCTGGCTAATTTTTGTATTTTTAGTAGAGATGGGGGTTTCACCATGTTGGCCAGGCTGGTCTCGAACTCTTGACCTCAAGTGATCCACCCGCCTTGGCCTCCCAAAATGCTGGGATTACAGGCATGAGCCTGGTCTCTGAATTTTTCTTTCAAGTTTGAGTATTATGATTCTTATATTAGACATGCTACTTGTCAAAAAATACATGCACTTACAAGTATACACCATAGTTTCTGGCATTGTAGCTCAAGAGTAAGAATAGAAGTGTGATAGCTGATATTTGAATATGCACTACATTGTTAGGGACTGTGATAAGACATAGATCCCTGAACATTTAAGCCCACAACCCTCAGAGGGTGCAGTTATTTACTGCCCTCCTAAGTGAGTGCCACCTCCACACATACCTGGCTCATTCATTTCTCCTGTCATAAATTGATAATTTCAATGTCCTCCAATTAACCCAACACTTGGGCACTTAGTTCCTAGACTTCCTCACTTAGTTCCTAGACTTCCTCTGATTGAATGTCCTCATCCTTCACTTCGGCCTTAGCCATTTGGCTCCCATGGTCATATTCTAGCCTCTTGTTATCTCTATAGAAATGCCTCTTCCAGTTCTTTGCCCATTTTTGAATCAGGTTGGTTTTTGTTGAGTTTTAGGAGTTTTCTATATATTCTGGGTATTAATCCTTTATCAGATATGTGATTTCCAAGTATTTTATGTTGGGTTGCCTTTTTACTGTTGATAATGTCCTTTGATGCACAAGTTTTTAATTATGAAGTCCAATTTGTCTACGTTGTTGTTGTTGTTCCCTGCTCACTCTTTTGGTTTTATAACCAAGAAATCACTGCCAAACCCAATGCCATGAGGCTTTCCTTTTTTTTCCCTTTAGAGACAGGGTCTCACTCTGTGGCCTAAGCTGGAGCACAGTGACGTGATCATGGCTCACTGCAGCCTTGAACTCCTAGGCTCAAGTGATCCTCCCACCTCAGCCTCCTGTGTAGCTGGGACTACAGGTGTGTGCCATTAATTTAAAAAAATTTTTTTATAGAGATGGGGTCTCACTATGCTGCCCAGTCTAGTCTTGAACTCCTGGGCTCAAGCAATCCTCCCACCTTGGCCTCCCAAAGTGCTGGGATTACAGGTATAAGCCACCACATGCTCCTCTTGAGTTTTATAGTTTTAGTTCTGATGCTTAGGTCTTTGGCCCACTTTGAGTTTTGCATATGGTATTAGGTAAGGGTCCAACTTCATTCTTTTTGTATGTGGCTCTCTAGTTTACCCAGAACCATTTGTTGATAAAACTGTCTTTTCCCCCACTGAATGGTCTTGGCACCCCTGTTGCATATTATTTGACCACACATGCAAGGGTTTATTTCTGGGATCTGTATTCTATTCCATTGGTCTATATGTCTGTCTTTTATGCCAGTACTGCACTGCTTTGATTAATGTAGCTTTGTAATAACCTGAAATAAAAAAATGTGAGCCCTAAAGCTTTATTCTCAAGACTATTTCGGATATTTGGGGATCCCTTGAGGTTCTATATGAATTTTAGGCTATATTTTCTATTTCTGTAGGAGGAAAAAGTCATTTGGATTTTTACAGGGATTGCACTGAATTTGTAGGTCACTTTGGATAGTATCGAAATGTTAACATTATTAAGTCTTCTAATCCATGAACATGGGATATTGTTCCATTTGTTTTCTTTCATCTCTTTCAGCAATGTTTTGTGGTTTTCATTATACAAGTCTTTGCCTCAGTGATTAATTTCTAAGTATTTTATTCTTTTTGATGCTATTTTAAATGGAATTTTAAATTTCTTTTCCAATTGTTCATTGTTAGTGTATAAACACACAACTGATTTTTGTGTTGATTTTGTATCATGCTACTTTGTTGAACTTGTTGATTACCTCTGTCAATTTTATTGATACTTTGTCCTTTCCAATGTGAATGCCTTTTTTTCTTTTTTTGCCTAATTGCTCCAGCTAGAATTTCTAGTACTACATTGAATAGAAGTGGCAAAAACCTGCATTCTGATCTCGTTCCTGATCTTGGAGGAGAGCTTTCAGTCTGTCACCATTGAGTATGATGTCAGCGGTACATGTTTCATATATGGCTTTTATTATGTTCTGGTAGTTTCCTACTGTTGCTAATTTTTAAGTTTTTATCATGAAAGAGTTTTGAATTGTCATTTTTTTCCTGTATGTGTTTTTTCCCTTTATTCTGTTTATATTATGTGTTACACTGATTGATTTTCACATGTTGAACAATCAGTCCTTGCGTCCTGGGAATAAGTCCCACTTGGTCATGGTGTAAAATCCTTTACAGCAGGGGCGCTGCTAAATTTGGATTGTAGGCTTTTGTTGATTTTGCATCTGGATTCATGAAGGATATTGGTCAGTACTTTTCTTGTAGTGTCTGTCTGGCTTTGGTATTGGCAATACTGGCCTCACAGAATGAGTTATGAAGTGTTCATTTCTTTATTTTCCTTCTTACAGCCTAGATTCTTAAGTCCATTATTAAAATCACTTCCTGGCACATGTCTTCAACTACCATTCTCTCCCCTGAATCCCATTCTCCTGGAAAAATAGCAGTCTTGATTTATCTCTGTGCCTCAAGCAGCTGGCCATGACTGGATAAAATACACAATTGCACTCACTAGTTTTACTTCCAGTGACTGAACCTCAGGTGGGTTCTTAGCACAGCACAGTGTTCTTAATACTTTCCCCCTAGTTTCAGTTTCTCTAAGTCAACTATTTCCCACTTCCTTTCTCTTCAAATTTATAGTGCTCCCCAACTCCAATCTTAACTGATGACTACTTCTTTCTTTGGTGAGAAAATAAAAGCAGCCCGAGAGAATTCCTACTTGCTCCCATCTCCAAATCCGTACTCTGCTTTCCCTCTCTCACCTACACAAAAACTGTGTTCTTCAGTTACCCCAGACTTACCTACATCACTGACTCTTCTCTACTTGACCATTTCCATCTGTAGATAAACTACGTTTTCACCCCCAAAAAGAAAAAAAAAAACCCCACATTTGCCTTGTATTTATTTTCTAGCTAATGGTCCATTTAACCCATTAAAGTTTCTATATTTACTATCTCCCCTTTCACACTTCCCATTTTCTCACCCCACTCAATCCTTTGTCCCCACCATGCCACTGGAACAGTATCTTTCAAAATTATTCATAATCTCCATGTTATCAAATCTAGTAGTTCCGTCATCATCTGACTCAGGTTCTTAGCAACATTTGCCACAGTTGAGCACTGCTTAAGATACACTCTTTACTTGATTTCCACCACACCACACCCCACCCCTCCCCAGCCCACCCTTGGGGTATCCTTCCAACTCTCTGGCTGTTGCTTCTTTGCCAGCTCATCTTCCTCCATCTAACCAGTAGATTTTGAAATGCTCAGGGCTTAGTCTTCCTGTCCTATTCTTTAGGTACTTTCTTCCCAGGGCTTTAATACCAGCTATAAGCTGATGTCTCCCAAATTTACTTCTCCCTTGGGCTCCAGATTTTACATCAAATTGCCTATTTAACACCTCTACTTCATTGTCTATACCAGTCACACTTGCCATTCCTTGAACTGGCTAACAGTTTACCAAATTTAACATGTCTAAAACAGAACTCTTGCTTTTTCTCTCCAAACTTGCTTTTCTTCTAGTCATCTCCATTTCAGTGAATAGAACCATTCATTTCCCAGTTATTCAAGGTATAAGTCATCCTTGATTCTCTTTCCCTGAAACCCTCTACTCAATTTATTAAGAGGTCCTGCCAACTAACCATAATATATAACTGATATAATAGCTAATAATGTAGCCCTATGCTAACTACTTCTCACTGTTACCACTCTAGTCCATATCACCAATATTTTTTGCCTGCATCACCATACAATCTTTCTAGCTGGTTTTCATACTAACACCCTTGCCACTCTACGTTCTTCCATCAGTAGCCAGGATCCTCTTTGAGGACACTCCCAGTACCTTCCTAATACATCTAAAACACGACTTTATCATGGCCTCCAAAAGCCTAGATGATCTAGGCCCTGATTACTTCTCCATCCTCATTTTGTACAACTCTTCCCTTCCCCTACTCATCCCATGCCAGTCACATCTGCCACTCCTTGAACTGGCTAAGCTTTTATATCCAAGAGGGGACTTGCTGTCTCTGCATGGAATACTCTTTCTCTAGATACTCACATGGCTGACTGCTTCACTGCATTCAGGTCTCTGTTCAAATGACAATCCAGAAAGGTCTTCTCTAACCACCCTACCTAAAACAGACACTCCCCCTACCACCAACACCTTTGCTTACCCACTACCCCTTTATCCTCCTTTAAAGTTCTTCATAGCAAGCATAATTACCTAATACAACACACATATACTCTCTCTCTATATATATACACACACACACACGTCTCTCCTAAAATGTAAGATCCTTTAAAAATCAAGTGTGTCCTCGATGCCTAGAATAGCAGCTGAAACATAATCGGTGTTCAATAATTTTTTACTGAATGATGGACAATAATAACTCTCTAATACAAAATAAGCCCTTCCTGAATGAGAATTATAACACTACCAATGTTTTCAGTGGTATCTGAGCTGTATGCAGAACGAAAAAAATATACAGACATACTTGACATTTTACAAGGATGTCAAAGAAATCTTCATCAGCCTCTTTGTTGTCATTAGTCATCAGGTGGCTAAGTACCGACTGGCTGTTTTGTGTTAGACGAAGCCCTGGCAAATTACTGAAACTAGCCCTCTGGTCATCCAGACGGCGACTCTGTGAGCTGGCAAGAAGATCTAAAAACTCATCCGTGTTGGGGGATACCACAGGAACAGATGATGCTAAGAACAGAAGAAGAAAGCCAAAGATTAAAAAAAAACAAAAAACAAAAAACAAAAAAACCTAGGCACATTTATTATATACCTAGATCTTTTCGGCCTTGCCAGTCCCAAGACCCGCCCTGCCCTCCTGCTATAGCGCTGACACTGATGGGCTTTGGCTAGATGGGTGTGGTTTTTATTGGCTGGAGGGAAGAATGAGCCCCAGAGTACTTCAGATGACCCACTTGGACGTTATTCAGATTTGACTATATTTCTCTATTTAATGCTCACTCAAAATGTAACTATAAGATATGTGACTAGATTTCAGAAATTGAACAAACTGTTTTTCTTACATAATTTCTCAGACCAGGTTGTGTAGGACAGTGTTTTTTATTCCAAGCCCTGGATACAAATCATTTAGTAAACTAACAGTTAAGTGCTGCTGGCAAGTCTTGGTCTATGGTACAAGAAGTCTTTTGGTAGCTGAAATAGAAAAATATAAGTAACCTATTTTAGTCCTTTCTAACTCAGCCAGGCCTTAGCCTCAGCCTTAGCCATATGTTTCTCTTCAGTCTGTCTTCGTTTTTCTTTTTTAATCCAGATATGAAGCATTGACGTTTTATATATAATCATAAGGTATGTATAACGACCTTTCTTCCTCATTTTTATTTTTAAAAGTTATATTTAGGCTGGGCACAGTAGCTCATGCCTGGAATACCAGCACTTTGGGAGGCTAAGGCAGGAGGATCACTTGAGGCCAGGAGCTCAAGACCAGCCTGGACAACACAGCAAGACCTCATCTCCACAAAAAATAAAAATAATTAGCCAGGCATGGTGGTGTGTGCCTGTAGTCCCAGTTACTTGGGAGGCTGAGGTAGGAGGATCACTTGAGCCCAAGAGTAGAGGACAAGGCTGCACTGACTACGATCATGGCCTGGCACTCCAGCTTGGCTAACAGCAAGATCTCGTCTCAAATAAATTAATAAAATCAGATTTTATTTTTATATATTTTTTAGACATAGGGTCTAACTATGTTGCCCATGCTGGAGTGCAGTGGCTATTCACAAACGCGATCATTGCACACTATAGTCTCAAACTCCTGACCTCAAGCGATCCTCCCACTTCAGCCTCCCAAGTAGCTGAGATTACAGGCATGCACCACCACACCTGGCTCACAGTCACATTTTCCACAACAGATTTTTCAAAGAAAACTAGGGAGGTAGTATAATATAGTTAGTAGAAAGCACATTGGACTAAAAACACAGATATACGTAAGGGAACTGAAAAAACCTTGTTTGAACTGTATAAATAACAGCATTTCAGATATACCTGAATTCAGGCTCATTTATTATATCTCTTATGATGGGAATTCAATTCTCAGAAATAAGCCACAAGAATATCAAAGAGAACTATTAAAATCGGGGGAGAAACAGAGATGACTTACTTTTTAGCATCATTTTAGGGGGAGTGGAAGAAGTTGTTGTTGAAGCTGTATGGCAGTTCTTTTCTTGTAAGCAACATCTCTGATCATCCATCCTATTGCTTTGAAATCGGCTTAATAAGTCAAAGAACCCTTCATCTCCAATAGTATCTGCACTGATTTTCTAAAATATTGAGAGGAAGTCTAGTTTATTTGAATATTCCAGTATTATCTTTAGATCATCAATGAACATCATGATGCATTCAAATGCAAAAGGTAAAGGATGAGGATTAAAAATTGACATTTTGAAAAAGAATACAAGATGGCAAATATTGGTAATAAAATGTTATTTTAATCCAACAAAAAGCACTTCATTTTTTAATTCCTGTATTTCTAAGGCTAAAGAAACAGACTTAACAGAACCACTACAGATACTGAATTATGCAAACACTGGTGATACAGGCCTGTACTTCAGGCTCTACATTCAGTTCTAAACATTCTGCAGTGGAATTTAGGTACACTTATCTCTTTGTAAGAGCTAAGAAAGAAAACAAGTGTATTTTCCTACCATAGTGATTTCTAAGGTCTTTTTTTTATACTTAGATTTGAAGATCCTGAAAAAATACAAACTTCAAAAAAATATTTGTGAGGAGAGCAAGAACTATATTTATACTTCATTTGGAAGGCTTCAAAACTGAAATGATGAATATAATGTTTAATACAAGTAATTATTTTAATTTTTTCATAATGATATATTATAATAGAGGCACATATACAAAAATGTTACGGGCCTGAGGAGGAGAGAGGAACTAATTTTTAGGAGAAATAGGGAAAATTTCATAGCATGTATTTGTGTTGGCTCCTTAAGAATGAATAAGCATTTGGAGGTGAGAGATGTTTCATACTGGTTAATATGCAATCCAAAAAGTTTTTAGTATTCAACTGATTATGAACTGAAGGGCAGGGGTAGCTATAGAGGAGGGAAGAGGCCTTTGTATTCAATACTAACAAATGTAGACTTTATCCTATGTGAAATAAGATGAGCACTGGCAATAGTCAATTTTAAGCAGTTTTGTTTAGAGATAATAAATGAAGGCAGGGACATCAGTTCAGGTACCTATTGAAGCCTAGGTAAGAGAGTAAGTACTAGGCTAAGACATGGTAGCAGATTTTTTTTTTTTTTTGAGGAGTCTCGCTCTGTCATCCAGGCTGAAGTGCAGTGGTATGATCTTGACTCACTGCAACCTCTGCCTCCCAGGTTCAAGCAATTCTCCTGCCTCAGCCTCCTGAGTAGCTGGGACTACAGGTGCGTGCCACCACACCTGGCTAATTTTTGTATTTTTTATACAGTCAGGGTTTCGCCGTGTTGGCCAAGCTGGTCTCAAACTCCTGACCTCAGGTGACCTGTCTGCTTTGGCCTCCCAATGTGCTGGGGTAGCAGATATTTTTGGAAAGGGGTGAGGGTGAGAGCAGATCTGAGGGACACAGTGGATTTGA
Source organism: Homo sapiens (assembly GCF_000001405.40). Taxonomy (NCBI): domain Eukaryota; kingdom Metazoa; phylum Chordata; class Mammalia; order Primates; family Hominidae; genus Homo; species Homo sapiens. The sequence goes on along the minus strand of NC_000001.11, from coordinate 108,921,103 downwards.
TGTGGTTAGTGAAAGAGGGTATCTTGCATGACACCGGGGTTCCTGGCTTAGGGACAGAGTAAATGGTATCCCTTTAACTGGGATAAGGAAAACAGGAGTGACTGAGAGACGTTTTTAACGTGTTGAATTTGAGATTTGGGAATGATACATACATAAGCTACAGTCAAATGTGTTAATTACCAACAAAAGACTTTTTCCTAGGGGCAAAAAAGCCTAGAATTCAAAACTCTGAATGTGAAAACACATATGGCTCCTAAAGTATGGGCATTTTCAGTTGAGCTAAGTGAGCTTAGTTAAGACCCCAAACCTTGAACAAAGGCATGGCTTCCTTGAATTCCAGTCCTGCTCTAGACCTACAAAAATATCCCTGAATTTCTATATACCCCATAATTTTTCCTTTTATTAGTCATAGCTACCCCAGAAAAGCTATGTAAGAAACCACTGATAAAAATCGAGGCATTCTATAACAATACCACAGACTGGGGGGAAAGAAATCGAGACAAAAGATACTACACAAAGGTGTAGGTATAAATGAAATGCTGACAAAAGAAATCTCTAATTTAAAAAAAAAAGGCTTTTTTTTTGCAAAGGCTCTCATTGCTGGAAAAATGGATTTTATTTATTTTACTCTTTTTAAGACAGAGTCTCACTCTGTCACCCAGGCTGGAGTACAGTGGCGCGATCTCGGCTCGCTGCAACCTCCACCTCCCAGGTTGAAGCAATTCTCCTGCCTCAGCCTCCCGAGTAGCTGGAATTACAGGCATGTGCCAACACGCCCAGCTAATTTTTGTATTTTTAGTAGATACGGGGTTTCGCTATGTTGGCCAGGTTGGTCTTGAACTCCTGACTTCAAGTGATCCGCCTGCCTTGGCCTCCCGAAGTGCTGGGATTACAGGTATGAGCCACTGCGCCCAGCCAATTTTATTTTATTTTTTTTGAGATGGGGTCTCACTCTGTCACCCAGGTTGGAGTGCAGTGGCGCAATCTCAGCTCACTGCAACCTCTGCCTCCCAGGCTCAAGCAGTCCTCCCACCCCAGTCTCCTGAGTAGCTGGGACCACAGGTGTGTGCCACCACACCCAGGTTATTTTTTGTATTTTTGGTAGAGACAGGGTTTTACCACATTGGCTAGGCTGATTTCAAACTCCTAAATTCAGGAGATCTACCCACCTTTGCCTCCCAAAGTGCTGGGATTACAGGCATGAGCCACTGCACCCGGCAGATAAATGGATTTGATAATATGAAGTACCTTCTTTGTAATGTACTTTGATCCTTTTACCAGATTATGGGGTAGCTGGATTCGAGATTTCCCTGATACTGATTATCAGTAAACCCACGGTATTTTTATTTCTAAATAAATTAAATAAACTGATTGTTATGATCATTTTTCTCTTTTTTTTGAGACAGGGTCTTGCTCTGTTGCCCAGGCTGGAGTGTAGTGGCATGATCTCAGCTCACTGCAACCTCCACCTCCTAGGCTCTGGGACCATAGGCATATACCACCATACCTGGCTAACTTTTTATTTTTTGGTAGAGACAGAGTTTCACCATGTTGCCCAGGCTCATTTTTCATCAAAAGTTTGTAATTCTATCATTGTAGTTTCAATAATGTGATTAATACAAGTAGATGCTAACAGACACTTTTCATTCTAAATTAATATTTAGAAATCCTTGAGCATCTGAATTTAATTTGTTCTGCCTTCTGAGCTGAGTAGAGGGTGGTTTTACTGGGAGACAATGCAGTGAAATAACTGGTAGTATTTTTGCAAACAATAGTGACTCAAATAAATAATTATTGGCCAGGCGCAGTGCCTCACACCTGTAATCCCAGCACTTTGGGAGGCCAAGGCAGGCAAATCATTTGAGTTCAGGAGTTTGACACCAGCCTGGCCAACGTGGTGAAACCCCGTCTCTACTGAAAATACAAAAATTAGCCGGGCATGGTGGTGTGCACCTGTAATCGCAGCTACTCGGGAGGCTGAGGCAGGAGAATCGCTTGAACCCGGGAGGCAGAGGTCACAGTGAGCTGAGATTGCGCCACTGAACTCCAGCCTGGGTGACAGAGCAAGATTCCATCTCGAGAAAAAAAAAAGAAAAAGAAATAATTACTGTCCAATACAAGGAAGCAACTTATCTACTAAGACAGTAATTACCATTTCTAATTTTGAAGAAGATAGAAAAGATAGGGAAATATGAATACAAAGATATTTTATATTAAATGTCTAATTTAAATTACTAAAAATTCAGCATGAATACAAGAAAACCCAAATGTCGGTACTCAAAACACAATACTCAAAAACTTAGTTTAAACGTACCCTCTGAGAATTTGGAATTCGGTGGTCAATAGAATTACTGGCATCTTGGAGAACTTTAGTGGAGGAATTCGTTTTGTATTTTTTCCCCTTCAGTCTGTTGACAAAGAGTAGCTTTGCAGAAGGTTTGGCAATAAGAGGTTTTTGCTTAGCAAGAATTTCACTGTTCCAGTTCTGTACCTACAAAATTATAAATGGAAGGCAGGTGAATAAACACCCCCAAATCCCCAGCTCTCTTCTGGTTTCCCATAATATTAACCTGACGTACTCACTTATTTACTATTGGGGGAGAGAGGAAGAATTTTAGATCTCTTTAAAAATATCCTTTTTAGTATATTGCACTATTTTCAAGACTTGTACCAAATGCATACTGTGGATTCTCATTATCAAAACATTAAAATGCTGGTTTTTAAGAACCTACGAATAAGAAAGCAAGGTTTACCAAAACTCTGTAAAAATAAAATATGAATGGTCAGAGAAGGAGCCAAAGTTTTACTCTAGACGTGAGTTACTTAAAAATCTGTTACAACTGGAATTTTTGGATGTATGTAGAATTTTTAAACATAAAAATTAATATATAAAACATAGTAATTTTAAAAAATAAAACGGTACTGTTTTTACTAATACCATACTAAATTCTCAATAGGCGAAACCAATTTATAAAGGTCTAGATCTGGTTTAAATACATGACAGCCTACAAATAACAAAATAACATTTATTGAGTACAGTGGAAAAATATGCACTACATACAATAGCTCTGACATTTGCAGCTTTAACATTCAGTCTTAAATGTTTACAAGTAAGTCTAAAGGTTCATGCTATGTAATAATTTTAGTGACACACATTTTTTCGTAGGTAAAATTACAGTCAAATGCACAGATTTTAAGTCTATGATTGGAAGCCATATAAACCCTACTCCAATCAATACAAAGAACATTTCCACCAATCCAGAAAAGTGCCCCATGAGACACAAATTGAAATAAATGTACAGGGGAGTGAGACATGTAGCTAGGGATGGTGGCTCACACTTGTAATCCCAGCTACTCAGGAGGCTGAGGCACAAGGATTGCTTGAGCCCAGGAATTTGAGGATTGCTTGAGCCTGGACAACATAGTGAGAACTCATTTATATATATATATATATATATATATATATATATATATATATATATATATATATATGTGTGTGTGTGTGTGTATACATTTGTTGCTTTTTTTAAATTTTTTTGAGACGGAGTCTCACTCTGTTGCCAGGCTGGAGTGCAGTGGCACGATCTCGGCTCACTGCAACCTCCGCCTCCCAGGTTCAAATGATTCTCCTGCCTCAGCCTCCTGAGTAGCTGAGACTACAGGTGCCCACCACCATGCCCGGCTAATTTTTTGTATTTTTAGTAGAGACGGGGTTTCACCATGTTGGCCAGGATGGTCTCGATCTCTTGACCTCGTGATCCACCCGCCTCGGCCTCCCAAAGTGCTGAGATTACAGGCGTGAGCCACTGCGCCCGGCCTTGTTGCTGTTTTTAAAACATGTAGCTAGTAAGTGAACCAAGCCATCGATTCCTTTTCACATACAGGTTATAAGGGGAAATTATTTACTACAGTGGATTTCGTGGTCTATTGTTTAGAGAAAAGGAAAATGGTCCTTGATGTGAGAACATAAAACTGCACCCAAAACCCAAGAAGAAAAATTAAAAATGTTCCTTATATATTTATTTGAACTTCTCAACAATACTGAAAACAAGAATACAGGGCGAAGCAATGTCTTAAAAACTGTGAAGAAAAATTATTTCTAACCAAGAATTCTAAAGTCAGCAAAATTATCAAATGTGAGGTTAGTAAAGACATTTTCACATATCCAAGTTCAGGCATCCAAGTCTCAAAAGTTCCCTCCCACTGCACACTCTCCCAGGAAGCCTCTTAACCTAGAAGTCTCCCTTTTTCCTTATGTATGCTTCTTTACTATGTTGAGAATAATGAAATAATGAATTCTTTGACAGCTTTATTATGAGGAAAAGAAACCAATACAAAGAACTAATTACACTTAAACATATTTTACATTAAGGATAGAATTTTATCACTTGGCTCTTGGAGAATTACAAGGTTGAATCTGGTCAGCTTCTTACATAACACTGTTAGTACCACTACATAGGTAGGCAGAAGAAAGCAAATTAATTTTGCTACTTATTAGTATGTTCCTAAAAGAAGAAAGTAGACAAAAATGGCCTTTTTAAAAGCTTTTAAAAATAATTTGTGGATTTAACAAATTTATATTTGAGAACCACTCACAGAGAAGAGCTGGACATTTGGGAAAATCACAAAGTCCTTTAAAAATTACTAGAGTTTCCAAATAACTCTGTGAATGGCTGGAATAAAAATATTTTGGATATGATTCTCACACAATTAGATTTTGGTTTTTTGAAGACTATTCACACATAAACTATCACTATTGAAAAATCATATGTTATTGTTATAATGATAGGGCAGAAGAATATTTAATGACATGGAAAGATGTTCCTTTTTCTTTTTTTTTTTTCAGAGACAGGGTCTCACTCTGTCACCCAGGCTAGAGTGCAGTGCCACAATCATGGCTTATTGCAACCTCTGCATCCCAGGCTCAAACGATACTCCTGCCTCAGCCTCCCAGGTAGCTGGGACTACAGGCATGGCATGTGACACCAGGCCCAGCTAATTTTTCTATCTTTTTTTTTTTTTTTTGTATAGACAGGTTTTTGCCATGTTGCCCAGGCTGGTCTCAAACTCTGGGGTTCAAGTGATCTGCCTGCCTCAGCCTCCCAAAGTGCTGGGATTACAGGCATGAGCCACTGCGTCCAGCTGGAAAGATGTTCTTGATAGATCACCACATATTAGAAAATAGTGTCTATAATATCCATATGAAAATGCCAGATGAATAGATGCCAAAATAACTGCAGTTACCATCAGGAGGCAGAATTACTGATTATCTTGATTTCTGTGTTCAGATTTTCTAAAGTTGCTGTAATGAAGGTATTTTATAAAAGCATTTTTAAAAATATACCACAGTGGCTAAATAAAATAAGTAAAATAAAGAAAGGCCAGGAGCAGTGGCTCACGCCTGTAATCCCAGCACTTTGGGAGGCAGAGGTGGGCGGAACACGAGGTCAGGAGATCGAGACCATCGTGGCCAACACGGTGAAACCCTGTCTTTACTAAAAATACAAACATTAGCTGGGTGTGGTGGTGCCCGCCTGCAGTCCCAGCTACCCGGGAGGCTGAGGCAGGAGAATCGCATGAACCTGGGAGGTGGAGGGTGCAGTGAGCTGAGATCGCGCCACTGCACTCCAGCCTGGCCAAAGAGCGAGACTCCGTCTCAAAAAAAACAAAAAAGAAAAAAAAGAAATAAAAATATACATAAAAGAATGAGAACCTATTTTTTTTTTTTTTTTTTTGAGACAAGTCTCGCTCTGTTGCCAGGCTGGAGTACAGTGGCGCGATCTCAGCTCACTGCAACCTCCGCCTCCCAGGTTCAAGCGATTCTCCTGCCTCAGCCTCCCGAGTAGCTGGGACTATAGGCGGACACCACCACACCCAGCTAATTTTTGTATTTTTAGTAAAGACAGGGTTTCACCATGTTGGCCAGGATGGTCTCGATCTCCTGACCTCGTGATCCACCCACCTCGGCCTCCCAAAGTGCTGGGATTACAGGCGCGAGCCACCGTGCCCGGCCGAGAGCCTATTTTGACAATGTAATTATTCAGTTCAAAGGAAACGGAAAAAAGTAGCCTTGATGTTTTCTTCAATAACCTGTTTCTAATTATGAAGTCCCTTCCCTTTTACTGTGCACCCCTCTCCTGCAAGAAAAAGCCTAGGGAAGATGTATCTTCAATACAAAGTACTTGTTAAAAAAAAATGCTTTTCAAGAATGCAGCCAGAAAAACAACTCTCCTCTTGATCATAAATTTCATTTATCTTGGCAATAATGTTGCTATGTAGTTGGGGAAAAAAGCTTGTCCTTTTGATCTTCCTGATCTTCTATTAATTAAAAGTAATACATTTGCATAGTAAATGATTCAAACAGTTCAAACTGGTATATAAAGTATTTCTAGCCTAACCCAGACACTCAGTCCTCTTCCCAGAAGAAATCATTGTTAGCCCGTTTCTTATATCTTATTCCAGAATGTTTTAGGAATCTACAAAGGAAATATATGCATGTATTTTTCTTAAACAGATGGCAGCATACGGTACTCATTCTTTTTGCACTATACTTTTTCTGACTTTTTTTTTACAGGCAAATTTTAAAGTGATACCTATATAGGGCAAGCCTTATTTAAATTATTTCATTAAATTAAAAATTACTAAAACATTTTATAATAGTTCATGAAATTTAAAACATAAAACCTGCCACCCACCTTTTCTGGTGTTAACTTCATAAGTTCCATATTTTCCATACTATGCCGGCGTCCCAACTTGGGGCGTACACCTTTGTTTAAAAAAAATTAATTCAAATAAACCAGGGAGCCCTTAAGAGTACAAGTTCAGCATCATTACATTATTCAGTTCTAAAATCTGATACACAAACCCATATGAAACGAGAAAACCTGTACAAATATGTATTCTTCCAAGAATAATAATTTTCTATACCAGCTACACAAAAATAGAATATACATTCCCCTCTAAAATGCTTTGATGTAAGGAAGTTACATTTTGGTTGGAAACTAACACTGGTTACTACATTACCCCTTAATTTGAAAAAGGCATTTTATAACAACTGGTTTTATACTATCCACACAGTTTCAAAAATAACAATCTGTAGAGCAGTTTATTCCTTATAACAGAAGGAAAAGGCTGTAGGCCTTCAATTGCGTGAAAAGAATCAAAATAGCATCCCCACTACTATGCTGTTACTCTTTTCTAGGTTACCCCTTTCTATTTTAAGATCTCATTAGATGACAGACTTACTGCCAGTCAGAAAACAAGTAAACGAGTCCTTAAACTTTTTTCAATAAAGTTATTAAATACAGAGAATTTCCATATCCATTCAATGTTTTAAAATATTAGGCAATATTTTAAAAGGCATAAGAAATACCTAATACCCAGCTTAAAAAAAGAAACATTACAAACACATTAAACTCCCCTTGTATAACTCCCCTCATAATTTCCCTTGTCTTCCCTGCGCTTTTATGCATTTTCATTACAAATGTATGTATTTCTTAGCAATACAGCATGTGCTATATTGCTTTTGAAACTATATTGGTTTTAGAGCTATATTGGTTTTGAAACATTTATAAATGGTATCATACTGTATGTATTCTGCAACCATCTTTGAGAAACCTTATGTTTGTGAGATTCATCCAAGTTGCCATGTATACCTTAATTCATTTTCATTGCTGTTTTTGGCAAAGGCTTTTTTATAATAACTGGTTTATACTATCCACACAGTCTCAAAAATAACAGACTGTAGAGTGGACTAGGAAATCATCCATTTTATTAGTGACAGATATTTGGGTTGCTTCCAATTTTTTTGCTATGATAAGCACACTACAGATATTCTTGGAAACGTCTCTCAGTGTACATGAACAAGCATTTCTTCTAGTTTGGTGGGTATCAGCAGTATATAACTGGGAGCACAACAGGAGTGAAACAGCTGGATCATCCAGTTGGCGCATCTTTAACTTCACCAGAATGTTGCTGGATTGTACTTCAGGGTATACCAATTTCTATCCCATCAATACCACACAAGAGTTTCCATTACCCTGCATCATTTGAATACTGGTAGTAATTTTTGTTTACCTCATAAGTTTCTACCAGTACTCCACTGTGATGTTTGCTGATGAGATGAAGTTAAATATCTTCTCATATATTTATGGGCTATTTGTGTACTGTTCATCACTTTTGCCCCCCGCCCCGTGTCCCCCCCACCCTTTTTTTTTTTTAAAGTAGAGACAGGGTTTCACCATGTTGGCCAGGCTGGTCTCGAACTCCTGACCTCAAGTGATCTGCCCACCTCAACTCCCAAAGTGTTGGGATTACTTGTGTGAGCCACCATGCCTGGCCGGCCCCCGATCTCTTTTTTTGAGAAGAGGTCTTGCTCTGTTGCCCAGGCTGGAGTGCAGTGGCGCAATCACAGCTCACTGCAGCTTAGGTGACCTCTTGGGCTCAAAGCGATCCTCCCACCTCAGCCTACCAAGTAGCTGGGGCTATAGGCATGCAACACCATGTCCATTTTTTTTTTTTTTTTTTATACAGACAGGGGTCCTATGTTGCCCAGGCTGGTCTTGACTGCTGGATGCAAGCGATCCTCCTGCCTCAACCTCCCAAAGTGCTGGGATTACAGGTGTGAGCCACTGCACCTCTCCTGCATCATCACTATTACTGCTCTAAATCTGTCTTTCACATTGAAATCCTTAATCCATCAATAATTCATTTTTATGTGAGATTATTTTCCATATATGTGAGGAATATAGGCTCTCTACTCGATTCCACTGGTCTATTTGTCTTTATGCCAACAGCACACTGTCTTATTACTTATATCTGTAAAGAAAGCACTTTTCATATTCTTAGGAATGTTTTGGTATTTCTCAGAACTTTTTTGTTTCATATAAACTTATGAATAACTTCATGAAGTTCCACAAAATAATTGTGATGTGTTTGGCAGTGCACTTAATTTTTATCAATTTGAGAAGAACTGAAATCTTTTATAAAATTTTGTCAGCCGGGCACGGTGGTGCATGCCTGTAATCCCAGCACTTTGGGAGACTGAGGTGGGCAGATCCCTTGAACTCATAAGTTCGAGACTAGCCTGGGCAACATGGCAAAACCCCATATCTGCAAAAAAATATAAAAATCAGCCAGACATGGTGGCATGTGCCTTATAGTCCCAGCTACTCAGGAGGCTGAGGTGGGCAGATTGCTTGAGCCTGGGAGGTAGAGGCTGCAGTAAGCTGAGATGACTCCACTGCAGTTCCGCCTGGTGACAGAGTAAGAGCCTGTCTTTAAAAAAAAAAAAAAAAAAAAAAAATTGTCTTCCCACTTGAGTATGGTTTATCACCCATCAATTACTAAGAGATATGTATTAAAATTTCCCGTTATGATTGTAGATTTTCCTATTTCTTTGGTCAATTTTGCTTTATGTACGTTGAGGCCTTGTTATAAACACCTATTAAGCCCAGACACATTTAATGCATTCATCTTCCTGGTGAATTGAACTGTTAATCACTGGTAAGTACCACCGTAAAGTGACCTTCTTCATTTACTTTGGTTTTTGTTTGTTTGCTTGTGTTTTTGTTTTTCTGAGATGGAGTTTCGCTGTGTTGCCCAGGCTAGAGTGCAGTGGCGTGATCTCGGCTCACTGCAACCTCCACCTCCTGGGTTCAAGACATTCTTCCACCTCAGCCTCCTGAGTAGATGGGATTACAGGGCCCTGCACCACCCCCAGCTAATGTCTGTATTTTTAGTAGAGACGGGGTCTCACCATGTTGGCCAGGCTGATCTTGAACTTCTGATCTCAAGTGATCCACCAGCCTCGGCATCCCAAAGTGCTGGGATTACAGGCGTGACCTACCACACTCAGCCGACCTTCTTCATTTCTAGTAAGACCCTTTGCCTTAAAGTACATTTTATCTATTAACATAGCTATACTGACTGTCTTTTGGTTAGTTTTTGCATGATGAATCTTCTATTCTTTTACTTTCAGGTTTATTATATCCTTATATTAGATATTTCTCTTGCAAGTAGTGTGTAGTTGGATTTTATTCTTTCTCCAATCTGCTACTGTGTCTTATAAATGGAATATTTTCATTTAATAGTTCTAATGAAATAGAACTATTTCATTAGTTCTATATGAAATAGATTTAATAGATTTGGATATTTGGGTGATTTTCTCTTTACTATGTTCATTAGTGAATTACATTAATTGATTTTCTAATGTTGAATCCACTTGAATTTTTTTTTTTTTTGAGACGGAGTCTCTCTCTGTCGCCCAGGCTGGAGTGCAGTGGTGCTATCTCGGCTCACTGCAACCTCTGCCTCCTAGGTTCAAGTGATTCTCCTGCCTCAGCCTCCTGAGTAGCTGGGATTCCAGGCACACACCACCACCCCTGGCTAATTTTTGTATTTTTGGTAGAGACGGGGTTTCACCACGTTGGTCAGGCTGGTCTCGAACTCCTGACCTCATGATCCGCCCGCCTCAGCCTCCCAAAGTGCTGGGATTACAGGGGTGAGCCACTGCGCCCGGCTCCCCGTTTGTTTTAAAATACATTACTGGATTTGCTTTGCTAATATTTTGTAAAGATTTTTATATCTTATGTTCACAAGTAAGGCTGGCCGGTAATTTACTTTTCTTGTATTGTTCTTGTCTAGTTTGGATATCAAGGTTATGGTTCTCAGAAAGATTGATAAAAGTATGTCCACTTATTCAGTTGCCTATAAAATTTTTGTGTAAGGTATTATAATTAGTTTTCTTAAGTGGCTGGTTTACCTCACTTGTACAATCATCTAGGCCAGGTATTTTCCTAGTGGGAAGATTTTAAATTACTGCTCGAATTTCTTTATAATTTTAGCCATTAGCATGCCATTCACATTACATTTTACCATTGGAACAGTTTTGGTAACTTGTTTTTCCAGAAATTGCCCATTTCTCCTAGATTTTCAAATATTTTGTCATAACGTTATTCAGAATCTCTTTTTAATCTCTGCATATTTATTATGCCCTCTTTCTGTAGACTTAGTCAAAATTAAACTAAACAATTTGGAACCAAATTTTGACTTAAAGAAAACACTGTTTTAATTTTATTAAATTCTGCTTTTTAATTTTTGCCTTCTTTCAGTGTTTTTTTTTGTTTGTTTGTTTTACTTTTTAAGCTAGATGGTATTAAGCTTTCAGCCTTTTTCCTTTTTTTTTTTTTTTTTTTTTTTTTGGAGATGGCGTCTTGCTCTGTCGCCAGGCTGGAGTGCAGTGGTGTGATCTCGGCTCACTGCAGCCTCCGCCTCCTGGGTTTAAGCAATTCTCCCGTGTCAGTCTCCTGAGTAACTGGGACTACAGGTGCATGCCACCACGCCCAGCTAATTTTTGTATTTTTAGTAGAGACAGGGTTTCACCATGTTGGCCAGGATGGTCTTGATCTCTTGACCTTGTGATCCACTCGCCTGGGCCTCCCAAAGTGCTAGGATTACAGGCGTGAGCCACCGCGCCTGGCCAGCTTTTTCCTTTTTAAATACAACATAAATTTTGCTCTAAGTACCAATGTAAGTCACATGCCACAAAATTGAAACAATATTTTTATAATTCAGTCCTAAGTTACTTTCTAACTTTAAGATTTCTTTCTCAACCTGTAAGTTACTGAGAAATGTTATGTTTTCAGATTAATGTTTTATATATTATCTTATTAATTTCTAAATTAAATGCACCGTGCTCAGAGCATGTGTGATACAGATGTGATACAAATCCTTTTAAATTTGTTGAGATTTGCTTTATTGTCAGTTTTCTGTAAATGTTTCATGAATACTTAAAAATAATGGAAATTGACCAGTTAGGTCAATATATTTCCATTAAAGCAGTGGTTTTCACTTTTAAGGTGTGACCCCATATTAAAAAATACACATATATACCTAGAACATACACAAACATACAACAAAATCTTCACACAACAGTTTTATATACATACATACACATACGTGTGTAGTTTTTTGGTTTTTCTCTATTGCCCAGGCTGGAGTGCAACAGCATGATCATGGCTTACTGCAGCTTCGACTTCCTGGGCTCAAGTGATCCTCCCACCTCAGCTTCCCGAGTAGCTGGGATCACAGGCTCATGCTACCATGCATGGCTAATTAAAAAAATTTTTTGGAGAGATGGCGGTCTCCCTGTGTGCCCAGGTCGGTCTAAACTCCTGGGCTTAAGTGATCCTCCCACCTCAGCTTCCCGAGTAGCTGGGATGACAGGCTCATGCCACCATGCACGGATAATTAAAAAATTTTTTGGAGAGATGGCGGTCTCCCTGTGTGCCCAAGTCGGTCTAAACTCCTGGGCTCAAGTGATCCTCCCAAGAGCTGGGATTACAGGCATGAGCCACTGCCCCGGCGTGTGTGTGTTTGTGTTTTGAGATGGAGTCTGGCTGTCGGCTGTGTGTGTGTGCGCGCACGTGTGTTTTGAGACGGAGTCTCTCTCTGTCGGCTGGAGTGCAGTGGCGCGATCTCGGCTCACTGCAAGCTCCGCCCCCCAGGTTCACGCCATTCTTCTGCCTCAGCCTCCCGAGTAGCTGGGACTACAGGTGCCCGCCACCACGCCCAGCTAATTTTTTAGTAGAGACACGGTTTCACCGTGTTAGCCAAGATGGTCTCGATCTCCTGACCTCGTGATCCACGTGCCTCGGCTTCCCAAAGTGCTGGGATTACAGGTGTGAGCCACCGCGCCTGGCCTCCTGTGTTTTTTTTGTTTGTTTTTGTTTTTGAGACAGAGTCTCGCTCTGTTGCCCAGGCTGGAGTGCAGTGGAGCAATCTCGGCTCACTGCAAGCTCCGCCTCCCAGGTTCACGCCATTCTCCTGCCTCAGCCTCCCGAGTAGCTGCGACTACAGGCGCCTGCCACCACGCCTGGCTAATTTTTTGTATTTTTAGTGGAGACGGGGTTTCACCACGTTAGCCAGGATGGTCTCGATCTCCTGACCTCATGATCCGCTCGCCTTGGCCTCCCAAAGTGCTGGAATTACAGGCGTGAGCCATGGCGCCCGGCCCCTGTATGTGTATTTTTAATGCTAACTGCAACTCATAAGACTCATTTTATAACTCATGAATGGGTCAGACACATAGTTTGCAAAATATTGCATTAGATGAAGCCTATTAATTGTGTTGGTCAAATCTCAACTTTATTACTGATGTCTGACTCCTGACTGATTTTTATCAATTATTGAGGTGTGTTAACATCACATTAAGACATAACTATCACATAAGACGGATTCTGGAGCCAGAGTGACTAAGCTTAACTCCCATCTCTACCACTTACTACACAGGTAACCCTGGGAAATTTACCTAACCTCTCTTGCCTCCATTTCCCCACCTGTAAATTAAGGATAACAGAAACTTAACTACTAGAATTGTTACAATTAAATGAGTTAAAACATGTAAAGCACTTAAATCAGTGCCTGGCATATCATAAGCACTCAATAAATGTTAGCTTTTTTTTTCAGTCTACCTAACATTTTTGTTATTCTCTTGTTTTCATTTCCTTGTTACTTCTGTAAACGTTCAACCACAGTCATTTTATTTTCTATATCTGATAATTCTAACATCTGAAGAACTTGATGACCTAATTTTGTTATTTTTTTCCTTACTATCTTGGCTTGTTTCTTTACATATTTGGTAATTTTTTTGTTGTGAAACGCTTATGACCTGGAATCAAGGATGCCTTTCCCCCAGAAACTATTTGGTCTTACTTCTGCTAAGTCTCTAGGAACACCTCTAACCCAAAAGTGCTTTAATGGATTAGGGTTTCTTAGACTGTGCAGATGGTATAAATCAAATTCCAAACCAGTATGTAGGGAGGCTTATGAATTCATGAATTAAGATTTTTAGCGAAGGCTCCTTTTTTCTACCTTGAGCCAACACCAGAAATAGACAAGTTTTCTTACAAATCCTTTCTCCTCACACTGGGGAGATGGCAATGAACAAAAGAGACCAAAAAACACCTGTCTTCATACAGCCAGAGTGAGCAAGAGGTGGAGTGGCAGGAAAAGAGGCTGAAGAGATAGGTTCAGATTACATAGGGCCTTTCAACCATGGTGAGGACTGAGGATTCCGTTCTAGGTGTGATGGGAACTAACTGAAGGGTTTTGAACAGAGGAACGACGTATATTCTAAAGGAGCACTCTGAGGCCAGGCATGATGGTTCATGCCTGTAATCCCAGCACTTTGAAAGGCTGAGGTGGCAGGATCACTTCAGCCTAGGAGGTCGTGCCTATAGTTCCGTCACTGCACTCCAGCCTGGGCGACAGAGCGAGATTCCATCTCAAAACCCTCCTCCCAGGTTCAAGCGATTCTCCTGCCTCAGCCTCCTGAGTAGCTGGGACTACAGGTCTGTGCCCCTGTGCCTGGCTAATTTTTGTATTTTTAGTAGAGATGGGGTTTTGCCATGTTGGCCAGGCTGGTCTCGAACTCCTGACCTCAGGTGATCCACCTGCCTCAGCCTCCTGAAGTGTTGGGGATTACAGGCGTGAGCCACTGTGCCTGGCCAAAATATTTTTTTAATTTAGAAAAAAAAAAAAAAAAAAGCACTCTGGCTCCTGTGTGGAAAAGTAAGTGTGAGAGATGCAGAATCGAAGTAAGAGAAATCATTGGTAGGCTAGGACTCTGCTGGGAGCTGTCGGTAGCTTATACTAAGATTGTTGCAGAGTACACTGTAGGAGAGATTAGGGATATATTTTGAAGGCAGGTTTCTGATAGGTTTGATGTAGAAGTGAGTGAAAGAAAGGGAACAAGGCCAGCTACTTGAGAAGCTGAGGTGGGAAGATCTCTTGAGGACAAGAGTTCGAGACCAGCTCGGGCAACAGAGTGAGATTCTGTCTTTAAAAATAAAATAAAATAAAATAAATAAATAAAAGTAGAAAGGGAACAAGTATGACCCCTAGTTTTTTGGCCTGATTAGTTGAGTGAATGGTGATACTATTTCCTGAGATAGGGTGGGGTACAGGAAGAACATGTTTAGGAGAAAACATTATGGACATGCTAAGTTTTAGATGCCAATTAGATATGGCATGACAATGGAAAATTTTAAACAAATGAGTCTCAAACTCATGAGAGAAATTTTGGCTGGAAATATAAATCTGAAAATAATCAGTATATAGACAATATAAAAGCCAAGTAACTGGATGAGATTATCTAGAGCTGTGCTGTCCAATAGCCAGTAGCCACATGCGGCTCTCTACATTTTAATTAACCAAAGTTAAGTAATATTAAAAATTCACTCCCTCTTGTAGTAGCCACATTTCTAGTGATCAACAGCCACATGTAGCTAGTGGCTTTTACATTGGATGGCAGATGTAAAACGTTTTTATCATCACAGAAAAGTTCTATTGGAAGCACTGACTTAAAGCACAGAATAGAAGGAAAAAGGATAAAATCAGTAAGAAGGAAGGAGAGAGAGATGGAAAATAGGGAGGGAAAGAAGGTAGGAAGAAGAGGTCCAAGAACTGAACCCTGAGCACTACAAACGTAGAGGAAAGATGAAGAAGAGGAGAGAAGAGAATAAAGACGAGAGTGGCAAACCAGAAAAGCAGAGTAATCCTGGAGGCCAAATGAAGAAAGTTTTCTCAGAAGGGAATGATTGGCTATAGGAAATATTGCTGAGAAAAATCAAGTAAGCTGACATGTGAAAACTGAATGATATATTTGGTAAAATGGAGGTCTCAGAGACATGGTGAGGGCAAAGCCCAACGGGAATGGGTTGAAGAGAGAAAGGGAGGCAAGGAAGTAAAGACAATGAATATTAGTGTCTTTTCAGGTTTTGTTATAAGAGCGAACAAAGGAACAGGTCTACAGCTAGAAGGGTCTATGAAGACAAGCGACTGTTTGTTTTTGCTTTTTAAAGATGAGAGCTCTTAACGGCATAACCTATTTGAAAGTTCAGCACAGAAAAACGTCTTAGCCCATCATTCAACCACAAAGCACGCAGTCACAAATTATTATACGGTTCACACTTCAGAACTTTTCACTAAATGTTCTTTGAAAATCTAAATCAGATGACTAGCCACTAATTTCTTTTCCTGAGTTTAAAGAAAAAAATTGGAAAAAGTAAAGGTAGATTTATCACTGACTTTAAAATTCAAAATATTTGTCAGTAGTTTTTTTTAGACTGAGAATTTCTCAAGCTTAGGAAAATGATCTCATATAGAATCACATACTGATGAAATTTAAAAATGTGATCCTAATCTTATCCCTTTTATTTCTTTAAAAGTAGATTTTCTTTCACTCAAAAAGAGACATTATAGCAAATTTCCTCGCTATAGAAATGTCAAACAAATCGGCACCTAAGGAAGGTGTCCTAAAGATAGGTTTTGCCACCAAAAAAAAAGAAAGAAAAATAAAGAGAGTATCTTAGATTTTCTGAATTTAAAAAAGTCCTAAGAAAATTCACCTTGGAAATGAAATGGGGGAAAAAGAACTAAACAGAAAACAGATACGTAAAACGATATGAGATAAAAAGGATAAACAATAACATTTTAAAATTTTGGCACCTTCACATTTACAAATTTTTGAATGAGCTTAGAGATAGAGAATTTAAATGTATTTTTACAAAAGAAAAGAACAATACCATCACCATTCCTAAGTTCATGGTAAAAACTATAAAATATTGTTTTACACTTATAAATTATATATTATAATTATATATATATTATATACAAAATATATAATTGTAATATATATTTACAAACAGAGCTGTGTACAGCAAAAAAGTGTAATAAGTTGAACTTCCCATGTTATATATTCTCTCTGAATATGCCAAATTTGTGATAAATAACTTTAATCTAAATATTGAGGATAAAAAAATTGGGTTTTAAAAGTCCTATTACTTACCATTCAAACTGCTATCAATTTCAGTATTTTCAGACATTATGGAGTTATTTGTGCTGTAGCTCAGACCAAGAACCATTTGAAGGTCTGAGAGATTAAGTCGTGCTGTTAGTTCACCACTTTTATCCCCAACCTACAACACAAACATTTATATTTTAGAGTAGTATTTAAAGAGAAAGAATGGTGAAGATTATTTGTAAATGTAGTGAACCTAAAACTAGAAGAAAATATAGAGAAATGAAAATAGTTATATTAGAATTATGAGACTATGAATGAATGAAAATTTTTTTCCATTAATAGTTGTCTTAAAGAATACAGAAAGAAAAAGCAAGCTTCTAAAATATCACAATAGGACAGCTAATTGTATTCTTTTAATTCTTTAGTTCTCTAAACATTAGATTGCTCTTGTTCTCTGGAATCATACTAAGTAATAATGTAGATTATCCTGGACACATTAACTTGGTATATGAATAAAATTTTCTTAGAATATTTTATTCCCATAGTATAATAATAATGTTTATTAAGCCAGCACCAGACATTTTGCTAGGCACTTTTAATATACATTAGCTCTAATCGTTATAACACTTTGCAAGGTAGATATTATTATTCCCATTATGCAGATGAGAGAAACTGAGGCTCAGAAAAGGTTTCCAAGCTCAAATAGCCAGTAAGTGGCAGAACTACAACAGGAAGCAGTCCTTAATTCTAAGAACCATGCTTTTCCTTCAATACCATGCTACTTCTCCATGTAGAGATGCGGGTAGAGTAGGGGCATATTTTAGTACTCTCCTTCCACTTCCCCATGCCCGGCCTTACTTTCCTGTCTTCCTACATGAAAGCCAATACAAACATAACTGTGATCTGTACCTCAAAATGCTTTCTGGGGTTCTTATGCCAAGAGAATGATATATAATCAAATTTATTATTCAGCCACATGATCAATCTAGAGAAATAGGGTTCCCTCCCCCAACCTCTAATTTGTAAATTACAATAGCACAGACAGCATTTTTTTTAGTTTCATACCTCTCTTGAAATTTCCAAGTGCTTTTCAGCAAAATGCATTGCTTGATCATGATTTCCTAGTGCTGTGTATGCATTTCCTAAGCTCCAACATGCTCTTCCTTCACCAATTCTAAAACGTTATTCAAAGCGAACATGCAGTTATTTGAAAAGAGGTCCTATGTATAGAATAAAAGCTATCTAGCAGGAACTAAAGGGATAAAGAATGCTTTGGATTGATTTGGTCTTTCATATAAATAACATACTATCATGATATTATAGACATACTAGAATACCCAGATTAAAAAAAAGAATACCCACATAATACTAAACTCACAGTCAAGTATTACAACATAGAAAACATGCTTTTAAAATATGAAATACATTATAAAGTAATAAATCTCAAGGATAGGTATTCTGGTCCACTACCCTATTTTCCTTCTATAACAGCCCTACCAGGTAATTATTCAGTGTGTGTTTGAGCAGCAGGGAGAGAGAACGCACTACCTCTTGAGGTAGCATACTTCATTTTGAACATCTGCATCGAAAAGTTCTCTCTCATACTGAGGTAAAAACAAAATCGATCTTCTAAAGCAAACATCACAGACTAAATGCTGGAAAATAATGTTTTTTAATACAGTAAAACAAAAAAACTGAATTAGCCACTAACATTTAAAAATCAGATTTCATATAAAACTCAGCACTTCCAGCTTCTCTTTAAAAAACAGGAAGATGTGGACATAACGGATTTTCATTCCTGGCTGGCAACAATTAGTTGGAGTTGGGTAGCAGTTGCCCCCTTCACACTGGACATTATCTCTAAGTTCACCACAATTCCCACACTTATGTAGTTAGGAAAACTTTTTTTTTTTTTTTTTTGAGATGCAGTCTTGCTCTGTCGCCAGGCTGGAGCGCAGTGGCGTGATCTCAGCTCACTGCAACCTCCACCTCCTGGGTTCAAGCGATTCTCCTGCCTCAGCCTCCTGAGTAGCTGGGATTACAAGCGTGCGCCACCACACCCGGCTAATTTTTGTATTTTTAGTAGATACGGGGTTTCACCAGGAAGACTTCTGAAGAGGTAATTGAGTTTGGGACCTAGTCATTGATCTTGGGTCAAGGGCATATGGAACCAGACTAATCCTCTATCACAGACTAGCCCTTCATACAATGATATACAGAGGATATCACTGAAAGAAAATTCCTTAAAAGGGATTTTAAGGAAAACAAAGGAAAAGAAACAAAGGAAAAATTCTAGGGATTCAATAATGCATCTATATTTTACCTTAGTTATGGTAAAAAGACGTAAAACATACCTATCATTCAGCTCTTGAGCAATTGCTAAGTGCTTCAGATGATAATCAATGGCCTTTTCATAGTCTTGAAGTAAAGTATATGTATTTCCAAGACTGTAACAAGACTGTGCTTCTACAGCTCGGTCTTTAAGCTGTCGGGCCAACAGTAGTGTCTTCCTACAAGAAGAAATTAATTCTTATATAATGATCATTCTCAGTTTGGGCTTTAAGAATCACAAAACAAAACTCTCATTTTTCCTCTCTGCTGCTTTCTGCTGTCTTTAAATCTCTGAGAGCCTAATATTCATATCCCGTACTTTCTCCATTACTTTTAGACAAAATGAAAAGACGTTTTTGAAACACAGAAAGAAGATTCAAGACTTTTAGAATAAATTTGAGAATCCTAACAATTCATCAAAGTAAAGGAGTATTGAAACATAAAATCAAGAGGTTCTAGAGATTAACATAATATCTTTAACATTTAAAAAAACTTTCCCTTTAGTATTGGCAATAGCTAAAAGAGGCTTTTTTCCACATGACATCTGTTTTCAATCATACCGTCACCTTTGCATTGTCAAAATTTAAAATATTTAGGTAAAATTCTTATGTGTAGGCTATTAGTCACCACTTAGGTAAAATTCTTATGTATCGGGCATTAGTCACCAACTCATGAAAAATACTGAATACTACATCCAAACATTACCCAAATTCTACCTGTGGTATTGCCAGTGAGAAGCTAGCGTAGCAGTTAAGAGCATAGATCTTGGAGCTAGACTGGGTTTAAATCCCAACTTTGCCAATTACTAAGCTAAGGGCAAAGTCACTCAATCTCTCTGTATACCAGTCTCTTCTTATATAAAATGGGGGAAATATCTCGAAGGATTTTTGTGAGGATTAAATTAATATGTATAAAGTGCTTAGAATAGCATCTTGTGCATAGTAGTTGCTGTATAAATGTTAATGTGTTATTATCAGTGCTTAAACCTATAGATGCTTTTGGATTCAGTAATTTAAATGACCCTCCCATTATTTCTGTCAAATAGTATAATTACTTCATATCACTTATAACTATATGACAAATTACTATGCGGTAACGTGATAGCTTTTTTTAAGCAAACAAATCTAAAGTTACATATTTAATGATGATACCTTCAAATCTGTCACCTTGGGAGGCTACCTACTTATTCTAATGTTGCCTGTCTTTTCAAATATTTTTGAAAGACTTTTGGAATTGCTTTCAGATCCTGTGGCATAATGCTTTCTGGCATACCATTATTCTTTGATGGTACAGTTGATTTGTAAATGATCAGAAATCTTTCTGGAACCAAATTCAATTACTAACATAGGTTTACCAAACTACTGCTTTGTATCCGGAAGGATATGGATCTACATTGTTAGCCTTCTTGTTTGGCCCTGATAACAATTCCAGGCTGGGTGTGGTGGTTCACGCCTGTAATCCCAGCACTTTGGGAGGCTGAGGTGGGCGGATCACTTGAGGTCAGGAGTCCCAGACTAGCCTGGCCAACATGGCGAAACCCCGTCTCTACTAAAAATACAAAAATTAGCTGGGCGTGGTGGCAGACACCTGTAATCCCAGCTGCTCAGAAGCTGAGGCAGGAGAATCGCTTGAACCGGGGAGGCCGAGGTTGCAGTGCACCAAGATTGTGCCATTGCACTCCAGCCTGGGCGACAAGAGCAAAACTCCGTATTTAAAAAAAAAAAAAAAAAAAAAATCTAAAGAAGAGTTCTAAAAATATTTCTAACCAACGACTTGGAATATATATAAAGTTCTGAGTTCTAGCCTGCTTATTGGGAGGAAAAAAACTAAGTTTCATTACTTTATATTCATGCTTCTTTAGTCAAATAGCCACTATCCATTTTATAATAGAACCTTTCAGTATTTAACACAGATACACCATTTAATAATTAAGACTTCTCTATATCCCTTGGCTTTAAATATAGGAAATTTTTATATTTAAAATCAAAATATATACTCCTTCACATAGTACACAGTGATATATTTTATTTGGGAGGCTATTTCATATCTAACTAACCTAACCAACAAATATTAACCATTAGTTGATGTTTAAAGCAAAGTGGAATGCTATTTAATTTTTTTAGATAGGCCTAAAACAATTTTACCTTTTTTATGAAGATGACAAATTATCCAGAACTGTCTCATATTGGCTTCTTTAACAAAATACAAATCAATCACTGTGTCTTCGGTTTAGTCAAACTGCCTTCTACCCAAAATCTGTAAGAGGCTTCAATCCCCACTAACTAGGGAAAACTCAATCTAGAAAGCACAGATCAGGCAACTTGAAGCTGTCTAAACTTTCTATCATCTATGTCTCAAATCTACTGATAAGAGAGATCCTGCCACAGAAGAAGCTGGGATTGTAAATGCTTCAGGTAAGTGAATGGGGGACTCAGCTTACAGTGACAGTCAAATATAGGCAGAAAGAGGGTAAAGGGAGAACTGCTCAATAAGAGGGTGGGAAGGTAGAGAAAAAAATTCAGTGATCACTGGTATAGACTATAAATATTTTTGTTACAAGGCTTTCTTTTGGCCTCTCTTCTAACCCATAACTGAGTGAAATAAAGCATATACACAATATACACCACATATGCTAAACAGGTTTAAAAGATATTAAAGGTTGAAAACTTCATTTAAAAACAATTACTTTTAAAGATAAAAACCAATATTATAAAGGGGTCATACTGCTGCTATTAAATCTTATGTACAATAATATTTATTGAGCACTGTGTACCAGATACTGTGTTTAGTATATTATTTCATTCAATCCTCACAGCATTCCCCAAAATGAAGTATTGATATATTCTGTTACAGATAAGGAAATTGAGGCTTAGATGCCAAAAGTTCTGCTACAATCAGATTTTAAACCTAAAGCCTATGAATTAATGGGACTGAGTATTCATTTTACATTTATCTACAGAAATATTAGACTAACTTGTAGTATTCCGAGGCAGTTTCAAATTCACCAAGAAATATATATGCATTTCCAAGGTTGCTATATGCTCTTCTTTCAGCTGCTTTATCTCCAAATTCTTTTGCAATAAGGAGACGCTGAAACAAACAATTTTAATTAGATGTAGATAAAATAAAACTGAAGAATGATCTAATCACTGTTCAGAACTTTGATGGAGGAAATGATCTGGCTCCAAGGCTTTCCACTGTACCTGCTCATGAGCTATAACTGCATCCCTGAAGTTGCCAAGGAGGTAATGTGTGTTTCCAAGATTTCCAAAGGCACGTCCTTGTGCCGCTCGGTCACCCAAAGCAGTCACTAATGATAGGTTTTCCCTAAGGGATCGCAAAAAGTGATGAAAAAATAAGTTTGCAGAACAATTTTATGTATGTGATTTACATATCTAATTCTTTTTATCAGAAAAAAATGTAGGGAAGCTTACAGCCATAATGTGCAACATTTTAAGGATGACATCTATGATGAAGAGCAATTATAGGAAATAGCTGGGAACACTTTATTAAACTATTCAGATAGGTTTCTGCCCAGGGTCAAGCACAGAGTTAATCTTGGAACCCCTATAGTTAAGTAGTTCTATGAAATTCTATTGGTAAAAGACTAAATTACTCTAAATAACAGACCAACCATTGACATTTCTTGCTTTTGCCACTAAGTGGCACTGGTCTGCAACTTAAATGAAAGCTGCAGATTACTACTAATATAACACTGTAACATTTAAGCAACTGAATTGATGATTTTGCTAGTTCATAACTTTAAAATCTTTGCCAAACTTAAAAACTTACTACTGAATAAAGAACGTACAGCAGATCCACGGCTTAGATGGGCCTACATGACTGCCCATATCAGCCCCTACTCACTCATAAAAATCCACGGCTGCCTGCAGAGCATCTCTCACTTCTTCTGGAAATTCTCCTACATCCTGGGGACCAGGGCAACCAAAACTTTTCCCTTTGGCATGATACACATTCCCAAGATTGTAAAGTGCTCTTGCTTCTCCCACCTAAATGAAGACATCAGCAAAGTTTACATTTTGAAAACAGAGGTCAGGTTTATCATATATATTTGTAATATCCTTAGTATTACGGACAAGGGAAAAAAATTTTTATATTGGCTCTCCATACAGAACCAATCAAATAATTACTTATGAAAGACCTCTTACTATTTCCTTCTTTTTCTCCATTAAATTTTTTTTCTTTTACTTCTATTAGTCTATAAATGTTTTCTTTTTTGGTATTAATTTTAAAATAAACTATAGAATAATTAAATAGTATTAAAATGCAAAGCCCTTTGAATGAAAATATTAGGCCTACCATCTAATGCTGCGGTATTACCTTGTCATTAAGCTCTCTGGAAATATCTAGGTGTCGCTGACAACAAACTATGGCTTCGTCAAAATTCCCAAGAACTTTTAAGGTGTTTCCCAGATTACCACTAGCTTTCGCTTCCCCCAGCTGGTCTCCAATAGTCCTGAAAAAAACAAAAAACAAAAAACAAAAAACCAAATGGTATTAAAATACAAATGGTGTTAAAATATAAAGTAGCCAGAGTACAGTTTTCCAAGAGGACAAACTGACATGCTTAAGGTAAGAAAAACCCATTGGCTTTGAAACCTACTTTAAATAAATATTTAAAACTTACATTTCTGGATTTGAATGTAATTAGTTTTCATCCATTTAATTAAACTCTAGGGTCAATTCACTACTATTCATTCAATTAAACTGTGTTCAGCCTAAAGGTTAGTTTTGAAAAGCGATGTTACTGAAGTAGAACTCATTAAATGTATTAAGTTAGTTTTTGTTAATTGAATAGAAATATTTTTTAAAGTAATAGCTAATTTCAGAAGGAAGAATATTTAAAAGCTTAAATTAATTACCTTGCAAGGGTTAAATCATGATGGTGATATTCTAATGCTTTGGCATAATCATGCAAATAGAAATAAGCATTGCCCAACTGGCTGTAAATAGCGCTAAGTGTTTTTAGGTCTTCAGTTCCAACTTGAACTGCAGCTTCAAAGAATGACACGCCAGCGCGGCAGTCTCCTGATTTACATAGACGTTCCCCTTCCAAGGCCAGCTCTAGGCAAGAAGCTTCCATTCTACAAAATTATACAGGACAGACATTTAAACATAACATTACAGCTGCATCACAGTATTTTTAACTTCCCGTAATATAATTTAAGCGGCTACTCTTGTTCAGGGCAGCTGCCTCTATAACTGAAGTTTATATACATTCCTGATAAAACAGTAAGCAGTTATTTGTAGCAAGAGGTAATTTGCCTATTCGAATTTCTCTGAGCCTGCTCAGAGAGGTCAGGATAGCTAAATATCTTTATGTGGAGCTCATTTTAATTGGCCCAGAGCAATCCACGTTACTAGTGAAAGAGCCTAAAGCAGTATTTCCCAAACAATTCTGAGTTGTAACAGACCTCTGGACTTCCTTAGAGTCTGAGAAGATGAGTATGTAGGAAAGTGAGGCCCTACAATTATTAATATTGTTCTCTACCCAGGTATCCAAGTAATCTAGTCACCTGTTCATCAGCCCCTCTGACCATCCAGCCATCCATCCCTCGCTCTCTCTCTCATACACACACAACACACACTCACTCTCCTTCCTCTTCTTACCACCACATGTCCACTTATACCCTAGAAAAATAGAGGAACAAAATATTCTTGATCTGTAAGACACATTTTCACAAGAGAACTAGGTGTCAAGAAACTAAGTTAGAAAACAATGATTCAAAAATTTGCAGAAATACTAATTTTGAAAGTCTGTCCCTGAATTGAAAAAGAAGGATTAAGTCACTGTAAACATATCTGGGAGAAAAAAACACTGATACTTTGGATTCAAATCCTAAATTTTAGAGGGTGCCCTTCACCAAAGTTGCCATTGTGTTTCTTCAGCATCTTCATGATTTCTGCCATATGTAGGAACTACCTATTCGTTTAATTATTTCTGTAATTTGGCAAATTTCCTTTAAATTGGCACACTATCTTTAACTTATCATTTTAAAAAAATGGAGCTTCATCCAAAGCAGTACTCATGAAACTGTGAATTTGATACGATACTTATATGTATATTCTAATACAACGGTCTCCAATCTTTTTGGCACCAGGGGCCGGTTTTGTGGAAGACAATTTTTCCATGGACGGGTGGCAGGGGATTGTTTTGGGATGATTCAAGTGCATTACATTTATTGTGTACTTTATTCCTCTTGTTACTATACATTCACCATAATGTACAATCAGTGGGAGCCCTGAGCTTGTTTTCCTGCAACTAGATGGTCTCCTCTGGGTGTGACTGGAGACAGTGACAGATCATCAGGCATTAAACTCTCATAAGGAATGTGCAATCTGGATCCCTCGAATGTGCAGTTCACAATAGGGTTTGCACTCCTATGAGAATCTAATGGTACTGCTGATCTGACAGGAGGCGGAGCTCAGGTGAAAATGCTCACTCGTCCTGCCCACCTGCAGCTTACCTCCTAACAGGCTACAACAGTACTGGTCTGTGGCCCAGGGGTTGGGAACCCCGTTCTAATACACATTAAACAAATATGAAATTATTAAAATCTAAAAGTGAGTAAAGTTACCTTATGTACCACCAGTGGCATACATATCACTCTTTGAGAAGCTCTGATTAAGCTCATCAAATGTTTTAATTTTTGGAACAGCATTAAGTTACTCCTTACTAGAATGAGCTTTGAGCCACTCCAATAGAGCAGTTGTTCTTAATGCTGGCTGTACAACAGCAGAGCTCACCTGGAGCACTTTCTAAAACTCCCAACGCTGAACTCCACCCTCTGGGTGATGTCTGGCCACCTGTATTTTTTTAAAGCCCCAGGTAATTCTAAAGTACAAGTTAGGGTTGAGAATCAGTGCTTTTATAAGAAATGTGAATTAAACCACCACCCACCCTAATATCATTCAAATATGATTATACTCTGTATATCTAGTGGTAGATCAATTAACATGTTTTTGTGAGTGCTGTTTTTCAGTCTGCAAAATTTCAAGGGTCCTTAGAGCCATAAATTAAAATGGGATTGTAAAGTAGAAAATGTACCTGATGAAGCTAAAAGCCTGGACAAAGATAAACTGAGCCAATTGTAAAGGTTCAAAGCAGACTTCTGGTTTAGAACAAGCAGATATATGTAGCCAATTCCAATAGGTAATTTTCAAGTTTTCTATCTAGGTATCTTTTTTTTTTTTAAGAATTCAAATGACTTAGCCAATGGCTACTGCTTGCTCATCTTCACTTTTTTTTTGAGACACAGTCTCTCACTGTCACTCAGGCTGGAGTGCAGCAGTACAATCTTGGCTAACTGCAACCTCTGCCTCCTGGGTTCAAGTGATTCTCGTGCCTCAGTCTCCTGAGCAGCTGGGATTACAGTCATGTGCCATCATGCCTGGCTAATTTTTGTAATTTTAGTAGAGACAGGGTTTTGCCATGTTGGCCAGGCTGGTCTCAATCTCCTGACCTCAAGCAATCCACCCATCTTGGCCTCCCAAAGTGCTGGGATTACAGGTGTGAGCCACCATGGCTGGCCCCATCTTCACTTTATGGATCTATGCAAAATAATGCAGGTAAACCTCCAACATTTTGCTACAATATTAGACTACAAGCCAATTAGATACAGGAGAGAAGATCTAAAATACATAGTAAGATAAGCAGTTAAATCAGAAACCTTAAACAGCTATATTTATGTTTCTTTATATGTCACTTCACAATTAATAAAGCCTATTTTTGCCTTCCAAAAATGAAAACTGCCCTTTAGAATTGTATTTCTGAAAATGAGATATTTCATAAAAGAAAAAATTGAGTATATCTGTTTAAGATTTTATGAAGTTATTGTCATATTCTATGTATAAAGATAAATAAATCAACAAAAGATATATAAAAATGTAATTTTTTTTTTCTTGAGATGGAGTCTCACTCTGTCACCCAGGCTGGAGCGCAATGGCTCACTGCAACCTCCGCCTCCTGGGTTCAAGCAATTCTTCTGCCTCAGCCTCTTGAGTAGCTGGGATTACAGGCATGCACCACCGTGCCCAGCTAATTTTTGTATTTTTAGTAGAGATGGGGTTTCATCATGTTGGCCAGGCTGGTCTCCAACTCCTGACCTCAGGAGATCCGCCTGCCTCAGCCTCTCAAAGTGCTGGGATTACAGGCGTGAGCCACTGTGCCCAGTCAAAATGTGATTTTTATTAAAGGATTATTTTGCTAGATGAAGTACCTGAACTGGTTGTCTTTATTTGTCAAAAACTGAAACCAATGAATTTCTAAGAAATATTATTTAAAAAAATGGAAAAGATATTTTTATTTGTAAAATAATTCTTTTCCTACAAAAAGTTTTTAATTTAAGCATTCTAAATTATGTTAAAAATTATATCTCAAGCATTTTCAGTGCTAAGAATTGATCTTAAGGTATACTTACACAAATTTAAGAAGATACATATGAAAGGATATTCACAGCAGCAAAAAAACCACAAATGAATTAAATGTCCACCAATAGAGTACTGGGTAAAAAAAATTACACGCCACTATACAATGGATTACTAATGATGGCGCATCATTTCACTGAGGGGGAAGTGAGGAAATGGTCACACATGACAGCACCATCAGTTCAGGATGACTGGGTTGCTGGCCGGGAAATTAGGAATAAGGCAGAACTGGCTATTCATGTGAACAACATTTAAAAATCGGAAGTATAAAAGTGTTTGCCAATATTCATATAAAACTGAGAAGTATCTTCTTCAAATAAATAACTTCACCACAAATGACTGATCTTCTGGATTTAAGTTTACAGAACATTTTACTGGAACCATTGATCCAAATGATGTGGCATCCCACAAAACTTAGCTATAGATTGAATGGCATCGTAAGTGTTACACGTTTTTAAAAAGGCATTTTACATAATTGTCATAAGAAACAATACTAGCAAACTGGAAGCTTGCTGGCTACATGGCTGTCCTTGAAGTCCATGTAGTGAGAATGCCCTACAGGAGAGACTATCTTAGAAAAGTTATTCCAGTGACTAATACCTGAAATAATGTCCCAAACACTCTAGTTTATGATTAATTCTTAGATAGATTCAGGCTCTGGTGTATTTTATTAGAAAATAAGTTAATATTCTGGCAAAAATCTCTAACACCTGAATCAAATATAGATTTATGCCTGCAAAATAGGGCAGCTTGGTTTATAAATTTTTTAGAAGATCATTAAATAGTAACAGAGAAAGTAATTTCATATCCTCTCTGTCACTATGAGAGAATAGAATTACTTCCTTTGTTTACCAGTTGGGTTGAAAACAAAGAACATACCCACATGTAGAAGAAAAACCAAGAACATACCCCTCCATTAAAATTCATCCCACATACAAAGTTTCCTTTATGCTTCTGAGAGCCTATCTAGCTGTATAATCAAAGAAAATATGTTTCTAATAAACTTCAAATAGACACAGTACTACTATCCTTAACTGACGTGTTTTCATTTTTGCTAATAGAGTGAACATTTTAGCTAGAATTTCTCATTTTCTGTGCAAACTCATGTCATTTCAATTTTTCTTTTAATTTTTAACTTCTCTTCCACACTAGATTTTGCACTTGACTATTATCCTCTTTACCTCCTTAAATTTGTTTCGTGTTCACAGGACGTCAGTGAATGCAAAACATAAAACCATGATGCTACATCTTTCTAAAAGACTTAATAACATCAATTTTGTCCAGATTTGACTCTTGCTTCAAAGGGCTTACATACTATTTAAGAATAAATGATGGAATTCAGGACTTAAGAGGCAAAATAAGACTACTCTCCATTTTCTCTATTATGCTTTCCATTTCTGTGGTTGTGTGATCTTCTTTCATAAATCCTAGCTCTACCTTCTCTGTATTCTAATTGGGCATGAACCTTTTCCATCACCAGTGCTAGCCCCAATAAACAAATTTCATCCATTCAATTTACCACATATATCTAGCTGTTCTCATTTATTATGTAAAAGGAAAAGTAGTGCTCAATTGATTTACATTTGTATGGTTAGATGATTAATAATATAGAATAAGAAGGAAGAAAATGATTAAAAAACAAAAATTTGTATGGTAATTTAGTTTTAAAAGTGATTTTAACCTTTATCAAACTTAATTCTCAAAATAACCCTCTGAGGCTGGGTGCAGTGGCTCATACCTGTAATCCCAGCACTTGGGAGGCTAAGGGGGGGTGGATCGCTTGAGCCCAGGAGTTCGAGACCAGCCTGGGCAACATGGCAAAACCCCATCTCCACCAAAAAAAAAAAAAAAAAAAATTAGCTGGCTGTGGTGGCATGCACCTGTAGTAGTCCCAGCTACTCGGGAGGCTGAGGTGGGAGGATAGCTTGAGCCCAGTAGGCAGAGGGTGCAGTAAGCTAAGATCACACCTCTGCAATCCAGCATGGGTGACAGAGCCAGACCCTATCTCAAATAAAATAAAATAAAAATAACCTTCTAAGATAGGTATTGCTACAGAAGGAGAAAGTGATGCTGAGACAGGTTAAATGACTTGCTTAAGGTCATGGGATGTCAAAGTTGAGATATGAAAATTTATCTTTGTCTCCAAATCCAGTGGTCTTTCCATCACTCCATGTTACCTTAAACTACTCAAGAAAGCACATTAACAACTACATTGAGCTAACAAAATTAAAGAATTCAACACCATATCTGTATTCCTTCACAACTTACATGCAAGAATCTAACTTTTACAATATTAAAGTATTAAAATGCTTATTATTCACAGTAAGAAGTATAAATGACATTTTCCAAAGAAACACAAAACCAGAGGAACTAGTGTAACAAACCCAATGTATCCATCTTTCAACGTCAATAATTACACATATATAATCAATATATTATTTATTCATCTCTACTCTGATCGTTACTCTTCCAACCCCAGATTGGTCTGAAGTACATTCCGGAAAGCATATGATTTAATTTGTAAATACCTTAGTATGTATCTTTAAAAGATTAATCTTTTTCAAAAAATACAATCACAATACCATTATCACACATAAAAAATTAATAATTCCTTAAAAATCAACCATATAATTTTTTTTTAACTTAAATTGTACTTGCTATCAGTCTCTACCTTTTGAAATAGGTGCAAAATATTTCAATAAAGCATTCTGATGTCCCCTTAGGAGGTTACTTAGTGTTCCAAGAAACATTCCATTCAAAATTACAAATTCATTGTGCCACAGAAACTCCTCCAGGGATAGAGGAGGACCTCCACAATGGAAGAACCAGATGGATAAAACATTTCATAAGGATTTACTATAGCAGAAGAATAACTTATACCAGCCTATGGCCTAACATAAAGAGTTCAAATCATTACCCCCAATTATACGACAATCCAATCAATATACAGAATGCTGGTCTTAGAGCACTGATAAAGCCAGAGATTTGTTTGGTATAGTCCTATTACAGACAGTACAGATTTTTAAGTTTCCCTTGGTGAAGTCCTATAGCAAAGTGCAACCATGTTTGATCTAGACTGTATCACAGAAAAAGGACAATTCTAAGATCTTCCAACAGGCAGAGGTACAAGCCATTCCTACTTATCTACTGTTCTTACCATATTAGAAAGCACAATACTATTCAAAACATTTAGCAAGACAGATAAACATCTTATTACGTTCATATTCCATTGAAGTTCAATATGTGCCAGACAACATGCTAATTATCATGGCTGCTGAGGAGTGACCACAGCTGAGGAGCTAATGCTCAAAGGGAGAGGTGAGGAGGAAGGGAGCACCATAAAAACAGATTAACTTAATTTTAATACAGTTGGTGCTAAGAAAGAAAAATGCACAGATTGTAATATGAGCACACGGAGGCCACAGAGCCTAACTATGGAGCTTAGAAATGGTTTCCAGGAGGAGATAATCTCCGAGCTGTATCTTAGAGTAGAATTAGCTAAACAAAGAAAGTGGGAAGGGAGTTCAACATAGGGCATAGCATGAGCAAAGACACTGAAATATAAAACAGCATGACATGCAGGAAACCAGAGCTCAAAGTGCAAGGTGAAGAATGGCAGGAAGTAAGGTCCCAGGAATAGGCAGAAGCCAGATAATGAAGATCTTGTGTTCTATGTTCAGCTTGGCCGGGTGACTAGGAGCCACCCTAGGTATTAAGCAGAGAGGTTGCACGGTTAGCTCTGTGTTTTGAGATTGAGCCCACTAGTGACAAGTCAAAACGACGGGTTCCAAGAGGTGAAGAATGGAGGCAGTCTGGAAAGAAGATCCTGAGGATCTCAATTATAGCTATGGCGGTGTAAAAAGTAAAGTAAAGGTTCCTCTTCAAAGACTTTCCTCCCCATCTAATTAGGAATAAATAGTATTTATTCCTTAGACGCAAAATTTATTCAAAGAACTGTGTTAACATTCTTAAATATCTGCTAGCGGTAATAAGGAAATCAATGTACCTTATGTTCTTAGCTCCCACAATTTAGCCTAAGTATTTGCCCTAGCATGCTTACACTGGTCCAAGCAAGCATTAGGTCATAGCCTGTTCCTCTTCCTTATTTAAAAGTGTTTTTATCTTTCTCAACATTCCACAAGTTACTTCCTCCTTCCTTTGTTCCCCTCTACCTTTGCCTCTTTTAAAAAGTTCTAAGTTGCTAGCCAATCGGGACAAATACAGAATGTGAGGTCCCGTTCCAGTTAATGGAAACCAGACACAGCAGTAGGGTGGATACATCAGGTTATAAATGACCCTGTCTCCTTTGTTCAGTGTACTCTCGAGGCAAAACTGCTGATGAGTGTACCCCTTCTGCAGCAAGTAAAAATGGCCTTACTAAATAAATTAAATTTATGTTCAAGTGCTATTTCTTTACAGCACCGGGGAACAAGCCTTTCAAACAACTGGGAGGATGCACATGAGTAGATGAATCTGAGAAACATTTAGGAGATGAAACCAGCAATACTTCATGCTGGATACAGAATGAGAAAAGAAAAAAGTATATAATTCCCAGGTTTCTGGAAATTTATGTAAAGGGTAGGATGGCAGCATTTCGTATATTAAAAGCTCATCTTAATTATCTTAAATGTCTTCCATTTTATTTTACTTGAAACTCTTTTTTAATAGAAATGTCCTCATCTTACCTATGTTAACTTCCTTGGCATGAACCTTCCTAACGTGAACTATTTACAGGATGATAAATCTCCCATTTCCTAAATATGTTAAGACATCTAAAATTTGGTACACCCTCCTGAGATTTTGAATTCTATTAATTGCTACTATATTCTGATGTTCATCTAATAATTAACTTGTAACAGTTTTGATAAAGAATCTATTACCAGCTGGGCACGGCAGCTCATTCCTGTAATCCCAGCACTTGAGGAGGCTGAGGTAGGTGGACTGCTTGAGCCCAGGAGTTCGAGACCAGCCTAGGCAACAGAGTGAGATCGCATCTTCACAAAAAGATTTTAAAAATTAGCCAGGCATAGCTGTAGTCCCAGCTACTCAGGAAGCTGAGGTGGGAGGATTGCTTGAGCCTGAGAGGTTGAGGCTGCAGTGAGCTGTGATCATGCCACTGCACTCCAGTCTGGGAAACAGAACAAGACTCTGTCTCAACGGGGAAAAAAAGGCCAAGTGCAGTGGCTCACGCCTGTAATCCCAGCACTTTGGGAGGCCGAGGCGGGTGGATCACCCGAGGTCAGGAGTTCGAGACCAGCCTGGCCAACATGGCAAAACCCCATCTCTACTAAAAATATAAAAGTTAGCTGGGCATGGTGGCACACGCCTGTAGTCCCAGCTACTCAGGAGGCTGAGGCAGGAGCACTGCTTGAACCTGAGAGGCAGAGGTTGCAGTGAGCTGAGATTGCACACCACTGCACTCCAGCCTGGGTGACAGAGTGATACTCCATTTCAAAACAAAAACAAAAACAAAAACATATTCCCTAATCACCTTATTAAATGATGATAATATTTAAGTTTGCATTTATTTTATCGTTTAGTGCAATTACCAGAACTTGCAGAATATTAATAATCATAGTGCAGATAGCCTTGTTTTGTTCCTAATTGCATTAGAGATGTCATTAATATTTAACACTAAATATTAAACTGGCTATTGGTTATCATGTTTACAAAGTACCCACCTATTCCGACTTTATTTAATACCCATTCCTTCAAGATGCTCATTTATGAAGGCTGAGCTCCACACACGGATGGGGGTAGGCTGCATGCTCTCACAGACTGTCACTGGGTGCATGGTGTCTGTGGGTGACACTGACCTAAGCAGCCCATCTAGAAGGGTGCAATAGGAAGGTCTGTATGCAACCCTCTAGGAGTGAGGAATGAGAATGGGAGCCTGGCTTGCAACAGGCAGTGCCTGGGAGGATGGCAGGTAATGGCATTCTAGGCCATCCAAGGAATAAGGGGCAAAGTCTGGGAGGCAGAGAAACCTATGGGGTTTGGGGAATCGAAGGTGTGATGAGGAGATATGGAGGGCAATGAGGTGGGCAAGGCCAGGAGATGGGGACATCGCACTTGGTGCTCTGGGCCTCGAGGTGCAGGAGGGTTAGCGCCTCGGAGTCCCAGGGTAAGTGTATGTTACGTCCTGGAGAGCAGCTTTCTCAAAACCTTGAGCTCTACCTCCCCCACCTGCCTGTGTGGTTTTTTAGAGAGTTGTGTCTGTTACAGGCCTCTTTCTCCTCCTTAAAATGTTCAACCCACATTTTTAAAAAAAAATTTGCATTAGCTGCCAACATTTCAGAATTTGGAGACAGCACAATAAAGATTTAGATTTCCGGCCGGGCTTGGTGGCTCATGCCTATAATCCCAGCACTTTGGGAGGCCAAGGCGGGCATATCACTTGAGGCCAGGAGCTCAAGACCAGCCTGGTCAATATGGCAAAACCCTGTATCTACTAAAAATACAAAAAATTAGCTGGGCGTGGTGACACACGCCTATAATCCCAGCTACTCGGGAAGCTGAGACAAGAGAATCGCTTTAACATGGGAGGCGGAGGTTACAGTGAGCCAAACTCGTGCCACTGCACTCCAGCCTGGGCGTCAGAGTGAGACTGTCTCCAAAAAAAAAAAAACAAAAACACAAAAACACACACACACACACTCTTCAGATTTTCAGATTTCCTGGGCTCTTCTGAAAAATCAGGAAGACCTGCCCATTCTGTACCTTCATTCTGCCCAGCTATCACTTCCTGGCTATCTTCCCTCCTTTCCTGATGTGTATGTCTGATTTGGATCCTGATCTAGATCAGTGGGAAGCATCCACCCCCACCAACACACATACATGTGCATAACCTATTATATATAAGGTGTAGCCAAAGGGAGTGTGTTGTATTTGTGAAAGACACTTGTGGATGCAGAACAAAGGTGGGAACACTGGTCCTTACAATCTGCAACCTTCTACCAGGAATGTAGACAATCCATTTGGGCATCCAAGGGAACACTGTAAGTCCTAGAGGAGCCAGGCCATTTCCCTAGGGACCGTGAAGCTTGTGAGAGAATGCATGTGGGTGCCTTTCCTCAGCCTGACTTGCTTTCTGGAGTAAATTAGGGATTACCAAACCACTACTTCATGTAAAAATGTGGTCTTAAGTATTAAATCAGCAAAACAACACAAAATGTCACTAGA
Source organism: Homo sapiens (assembly GCF_000001405.40). Lineage (NCBI taxonomy): Eukaryota > Metazoa > Chordata > Mammalia > Primates > Hominidae > Homo > Homo sapiens. The sequence continues at coordinate 108,886,338 of NC_000001.11, read as the reverse complement.
CATTAAGCTTAAAAATGACATTTCTTTTGAACAGCGCTTGTTTGTATTTTAATAATAATGTATTTATATTAATGTGGATTAGGTACATATTTAAAACAGTAATAATGGTTGTGAAATAAAATTTCCTTTAAAGATAAAATAAAAAGCCAGGTGCAGTGGCACACACCTGTAGTTCCTGCTACTCTGGAGGCTGAGGCAGGAGGATTGCTTGAGCCCAGGAGTTTGAGACTTGCCTGGGCAATATAGTGAGACTCCCATCTCTGATAATATAGAAAAAGTAAAATTAATAAAATAAAAAATATACAAAAAAAGGAAATGAGAAGGGAATCAAAACAATACACTACAAAAAATAAAAATAAATCAAAAATAAAAAGTTCATGTCTAAAAGATCACATTAAATTACAATGCAAAGGTTTGGTCCTTCAGCTGACCACATTTTTAAAAAATCCACCTTTTAGCCCCAAAGATTTTCAAACATATTTCATTTACATATTTGCATTACATAAAAAGTTACAAATTATAAAGAAATTATTCATAAACTCTTCCAGAGAACATTAAACAAACCATAGTACATAATTGGTCTCTACTATCATTTTCTTACAGAAAGGAAAACTTACAACAAAAAGAAAATATTGTCTACAGACAATACTATGGCTGGTATATTTGAGTATTTTCAACTGAAACTTGAAATGGTCATCAGAGTTAAAAACACTTTAAAATAAGGATTAAAAGTCATCCATTAAGACAGCAATAGTCTTACCTGTAACGAACATGAAAAGAATGGTCTTCTCTCATGCTTATCAAATTTTCCTCCATCGAGTCATATTATAAGCTGAATAAAATAAAATTATTTTATTTTGTGCCAATCCAGTCCTTTACAATGTAGAATTGTTTGTAGAACATTGTCCGGTTAGTATATTAATGAGTTGGTGTTAATACATCCTAAGCTCCTGATTCTTCTTTATTAATAATGAAAGGAGGTCAATGTCAGACAGCTTAAAGGTTCAAAATGTATCCCAAATCCTTGCATCTCTGGCCCTTTCAGCAGCACTTCAGCAACATTTCTGCAAAAGGAATACAAGATGCTTTGCTTGAAGTCCTATTTTCAAAGAACAACCTACAGTAACCCTGAGCTGTACATAATCACAAGCTAACTCTGCAGACTGCTGTCATGTCAATCAATACAGAAGATAGCACAGGGCTTAACTGTCATCATGGAGCTTCTAAATAGGGGTGGGAATAGATGAGATTTGAGAACTGTAATTTTTAAAATATGTTTGAAATTTAATACTTTTATGTAATATTTTCTGCTATAAACAAAAAAGAACAGTATGTATCATATTAGCATCTAAAAACAAAATTGCTGCTTCAAACTTTTAAAAACTACTATTAACAAATCAAATGAAAATTCAATAATTATTTGAAATAGTCAACTCCAAACTCAGTAAATTTATTTCTTCAAAGAAGATATCACACTGATACTTCGGTTATAGTTGGATTCATTTGCTTTCAAAATATATTCTACTTAAACTCTTTAAGGTCTTTAAAATGTTTTTTATTAATATTGGGTAGGTACAAAAGACATTTGGGAAATATGTATATGGTAAAAAGAATGACACAACAAACATTTATATAACACCATTCAGTCTAAAATAAGAACATTACCTGCCTTTAAAGTCTCCTGGGTAGTCCAACCTAACCCATCTCCTTCCTTTTCCCTCTAAGGTGATTTCTAAACTGTATTTTGTTCCTTATTCCTTTGCTTGTCTTTACAACTTTAACACGAATGTCAGTATAGTCCTAAATAAGATACCATTTAGTTTTATATGATTTTGCTGAACGTTGTTTCTGAGATTTTTCTCAATTGTTGTGCATAGCTACAACTTGCATGTATATTCCATTGTATACCAAATGTATTTTTCATTCTGCTGTTGATGGACATTTGGATTATAGTTTTTTGGATTGCTGTTACTAACAGTATTAATATTCATGCCACTGCACTCCAGCCTGGTTGACAGAGCAAGACCCTGCCCCAAAACAAAATGAAACAAAAAACTACCATGAACACTGATATTAATAACTCAATGTACTAGTTAGGGCCAGGTGCAATGGCTCATGCCTGTAATCCCAGCACTTTGGGAGGCAGACACAGGTGATCACTTGAGGCCAGGAGTTCAAGACCAGCCTAGCCAACACGGTGAAACCCTGTCTCTACTAAAAATACAAAAGTTAGCCAGGTGTGGTGATGCAAGCCTGTAATCCCAGCTACTCAGGAGGCTGAGGCATGAGAATCACTTGAACCCGGGAGGTGGAGGTTGCAGTGAGCCTGAACCCGGGAGGCGGAGGTTGCAGTGAGCCAAGATTATGCCACTGCGCTCCAGCCCAGGCGACACAGTGCAACTCTGTCTGCCCCCACCAAAACAACAACAACAACAACAACAAACCCTCAATGTACTAGTTAAGCAGCTAAAGAAAGAATAAGCAGATGAAAAATAATAAAGAGAAGTTCAGAGAAAAGGAGGACAAAATGAGCAGCTCTATAATATATCTAATAGGAGGGTGAGAAAGAAAAAGAGAGGAATAAAGGTAAAATCTTCAGTGATAAAGACTGAGAATATTTAAATAAAAATGAATCCATACCGATACATTAGAGAGAGCTACAGCATATCAGACATAAACTATAACCTCTGAGATAACAGTTGAGAAAGACAAAGAAGGATATACATATACATATATGAGATAAATTGGTAGATATACAATCATAAAGTCCTGGAATCTCAGTGTTATAAACAATCCTAGAGGTCAGTTAGTCCACTATCTTACTATAGCATTCCTACATAGGTCATAAAGCAGCTAATCTTAATTTTGAATATTCCTGTAAGAAAATCGTTCCATACTTTGAGCAATTCTTCCATTTCTACCCATTTGTTCTACTTCTTCCTTCTGCTGCCATATACAATAAAGCCTAATTCCTCTTCTATATAACATCCTTTTAAGTATTTCAGCTATATCATAAACCAGACTAATGAATACTCACTGCTCTGTTAATTAAGTACAGCTAGAAGTTAATAGGGAACAGAGCAGAAGGTGAAAGGAGGGAAGGTAGAAAGAAACAGCCTTGGGAATACTGATGAAGTTTCCAAGAGGAAATGAGGTTTTCACATTAATAACAAGTTTAGCCTGCAAGAAACACAAAATAGTACTCCTCTTATCTCTTCCCTTGGCCAACAAAGGAAGCACTATCTTTTGTTGTTGTTTTGTTTTTTTAGAGATGGGATCTTGCTATGTTGCCCAGGTTGGAGTACAGTGGCTATTCACATCACAATCATAGCACACTGCAGCCTGGAACTCTTGGTGATCCTCTCGCTTCAACCTCCCAAGTAGCTGGGACTACAGGTGCATGCCACAGCACGGGCTAGGGAGCAGTATTTTAAGAAAGAACAAAAAGGTAGCAGCTATCAACACATCAAATAGCAGCTATCAACACATCAAATCTCTTTTCCTTTTGTTCAGAATTCCACTGTGCCTCTTTTTTCCTTAATAAAAAAATTAATAAAGGGAATTAGTGTGGATACTCATTGCAATAGCTCCAAAGGCGTCTAGATTACACAAACAGCTAAACTGGCAATGATATTATCTCCCGTTATCCACTATGAGGTTTGGGCTGTTATTTATAAAATGGAGCAGAAAGAGAGGTATTAGAATTAACTTACCTTAGAATTAAATTAAATTATAGTAGGTCCTCCAGATCTGTGGGTTCTGCATAGTGGATTCAACCAACCGCGTATCAAAAATATTCAGGAAAGAAAATGAAAAGTTGTGTCTCTACTGAACATGTAGACTTTTTTCCTTGGCATTGTTCCCTAAACAATACCATATAACAACTATTTACATAGCATTTACATCGTATTAGGTATCATAAATAATCTAGAGAGGATTAAAAGTTTGTGGGAAGATGCGTATAGGTTATATGCAAATACTATACCATGTTATATAAGGAACTTGAGCATCCATGGATTTTGGTATCCTCAGGGGGTCCTGGAACCAATTCCCCACAGATACTGATATTAAATTTAAATATTTTTCTTAGGTAGGCCCGGTGGCTGACATCTGTAATCCCAGTGCTTTGGGAGACCAAGGTGGAAGGATCACTTGAGACCAACAGTTCAAGACCAGCCCAGGCAACGTACAAGACCCCGTTTCTACAAAAAATTGAAAAATCAGCCAGGTGTGGTGGCCTGTGACTATAGCCCCAGCTACTTGGGAGGATGAGGCAGGAGGATTGCTTGAGCCCAGGAGTTGGAGGTTATAGTAATCGATGATTGCACCACTGCACTCCAGTCTGGGCCACAGAGTGAGACCCTGTCTCTAAAAAAATAAAACAAAATATTGTTCTCATCCATGAGTTCTTAATGAAATTCTAAATTTTGCAATTATAAAATGTTAATTTCATACTCCTTAAGATGTAAACATGTAGCATTTACATGTTTCACAAATTAACGAATAAGTAAATGAATATAAATAAAGTTGCAAAATATTTTACTTGATGAAAACTGCATGTAGAAAGAACCATTTCTAAGACCATTAAAATAAGCAAGAAGACAGAATGCTATTCACTATTTCAATAAGAGCAATTTATAATATAGTCTTACTATTCTCAAGGGAAGAATATCTTTAAAAGTGCCTCTTACATTACAATCTCCATAACAATTAGGTAGCACTTCACACAAAAAAATATTCACTGAACAAACAAGCAATTCTTGATTCATGATTCATGTTTTAAGAACTCTCTAGCCAATTTAGCAATAATGTGTTCACTCATGTTCCTCATTACATGGAGTTAACAAACCTACTTCCTAGATACAATGTGTGTGTATATAGTGTAAGACTAGTAAAATTTGCAACAAATATTAAATTACAAATTTGATCATTAGGATAAGAAAATTTAATCACAGGACGAAGAACTGGAAAATAATTTGTAGGTTTGAAAGGATATTGAGAAGTCATCAAGTTCAACCTCCAACCTCCACTACTATTTACAACTAACAATCTGCAAGGAACAAATCTGTCTCTTAATAGCATCTTCCAAGCAATGCTCCAAAAACCTCAAAATTAACAAAATTGCTAGATCACGGCATCTAACCATAAAGAAAAGGCAATCATTTTTTCCATATCCCGGGAATTGACAGAGACATATAGAAAGATCAACTAGTACATAACTCTAACTGCCTCACATTTAATTATCTGATTAGGAAGTCAAAATAGACAGACTCCCTTTAGACAGCTAGGTGGACTTCCAGGCACTGTCCAAGGTATGCAATCAGAGCAGACAAGAAAGGCTAGCTCTTTATCAAAGAAATCCTAGCCCTGCTTTACTCCACTGGCAGTAAAAAGTTTGCAAACCAGGTTACATTTTGTGCTTCTTCGAATTTATCTAAACTATCTGATCCTGACTGCCACTTAAATGCCAATAACTTTTGGTCTGTTTCTTTGTTTGTTTTTGGTCTGTTTCTTCCATCCATGGATCTACACAAACTGGTAACATTCATCAGACAATAAATATAATTTACTTTTCTTGCCACCAGGTTAGATCATCTGAACTATATATAAACCTTTTTGGTAAGCATAGCCATTTATTATTACCAACGATGGTCCAGTCATCAGCTTCAATCAATTAATACATATACATAATTTTAAAGCTCAATAGTGAAATAGAAAAGAAATGGTCCTTTCCACTAAGCATTGTTTTTTTTTTTTTTGAGACGGAGTCTCACTCTGTCGCCCAGGCTGGAGTGCAGTGGCGCCATCTTGGCTCACTGTAACCTCCACGTCCTGGGTTCAAGTGATTCTCCTCTCTCAGCCTCCCACAGGTGCCCAGCACCACGCCTGGCTAATTTTTGTATTTTTATCAGAGACAGGGTTTCGCCATGTTGGGCAGGCTGGTCTCGACTCCTGGTCTCAAGTGATCCGCCCACCTGGGCCCCTCAAAGTGCTGGGATTACAGGTGTGAGCCACTGCACCTGACCCAAACACATTTTAAAGCAGAAATAAATCCCAAATGCAGAAATATTATAAATGCTTAGAAAGGGTCCCTAGAGAGTTTGAGTTTAGAATTCTCCATAGGAAAATATATTAAACATGATTTTGTCTTCTCTTCCCAAAAGTTATCACCATTCTGTGGGAAAATAAATGTTTCTATTCAATAATGTTTTGTGATAATATGGGAATAATAATTCTAACTGAAAAGGACCAGGGAAAACTTTTTGGAAGCAAGGAATTTTGTACAGCACCTTGAAGGATGGGTAGATCTTATTAGCCAAATGAAGGAAAGGCATTCCAGTCAAGGGAAAAGAATGGCTCAAGAAAAAGGGAGGGTAGAAATGCACAGAATGTGTTCCAGGATAAGCACACAGTATTCAGAGTAGTGAAAGAGAAGGCTGAGAAGGTAGAACAGTAACAAACTGTGAGGGACTCTGAACATGTGGCAGAAGCATATATTCATATTCAGCCCCCCCTTTTTTTTTGAGATGGAGTCTTGATCTGTCACCCGGGCTGGAGTGCAGTGGCGCGATCTCGGCTCACTGCAACCTCCGCCTCCCTGCCTCAGCCTCCTGAGTAGCTTGGATTACAGGCGTGTGCCACCACACTGGGCTAACTATTGTATTTTTAGTACAGACGGGGTTTCACCACGTTGGTCAGGCTGGTGTTGAACTCCTGACCTCGTGATCCGCCCACCTCGGCCTCCCAAAGTGCTGGGATTACAGGCGTGAGCCACCGTACCCGGCCTCAGCCTTTTATTTACACAATGGGGAACCTTGCTGGTATTTTTTCCCCACAAAGGAATAGCCAAGTTGGATCTCTGCTAGGAAGATAAACCAGCAGCAACATATAAGGCAGGAATGGGGAGAAAAGAAAAATACTACAAAAACTCCAGAAACAACTACTGAATAGGAAGCATTTTCTTGTCATCTCACAACACCAACGACATTGCTTTGCACATAAGAGAGGCCCAACAAACTTTAATTTCTTCCCTGGGAAGAAGACAGGAATTATGACGAGGCCAAAGAATCCTACAATAGTGAGAAAACCGGACTGTAATACATTTCTTCTCCACAGTAAAGATTCTATTCATATTTATGTAAGAAACTCAGAAAAGTCTTACTCTTCACTTATGTTTTGTATAAAGATGATTAAGAAGATATTGAAAATATAATGTGATTTATAAGATGATTTATAAAATAATGAAGCAAGATAGTTCCAACAGAAAGATTGAAATATTTCTGCGAAGCTACAACAAAACACAGCACCTAAAGGCATCTTTAAAGTAGAACTTGTCCCTACAAATGGAATCCAGAGACACAGCAGAGATTTAAACAGACACACAGAAGCAATACAGCATGTGCTTTGGGATCAGGCCATGATTTGAATCTCGGCACAGTGACTTATTAGTTATATGATCTTACGCTAAACTCTCAGTTGGTGTGGGCATAATGACACTTACCTAAAATGTGCTGTGATAATTACAGACATGATTTATAAAGCACCTGACCCAGCACCTGGCTCTGATACATAACAAAAGTACTCAACATAGTGCTGTAGTAATAACAGTAACTGTTATTATAAAATAGACATATTTAATATATATTCAAATAAATTTAGAATAACCTAAATCTATGTCAGATTTTCCATTTTAAAATTCCAGAGAACTAATTACAAATTTCTAAAGATAGATCTTAGAAATATTTTATGTTTATGAAAAGGTCATTTTTAAAACTACTATATCTTATCACTGTTTTAATTAGTCTAGTAAGCAAGTCTCAGATCTATATTAAAATATGTTTGTAACACCGAATATCTGATTTAAGAATGTAAGAAAATACAATTAAACTGCTTATCTGGCCAGAGAGGATTTTGGAGACATGCCTCTACAACAACATCACACAACTTTTTACTTTGAAACCGCTCCAATACTTAAATTATAAGTAATAGCCTGGGAAATAGCTTGCGAAAACGACTCCGTGGTAGTTGTAAAGAGAAGTAGGTGTGAGACCACCCCTAATCCCTGAGGCCCCCCTCTCCTTACACACACCATGTCAACCAACAGTGATCTACCCTTTTTAATGTTGTTTATTCACTTCTAAACAATCAACTAAAGCTGCTCCTGAATAGTGAGAACCCAATCAAAAGTGGTATTTATCAGAAGCAATCACACCGGCTATTATCAGGCCAGAAATCTTCGGTACACCCTTCTAAAGTGGCAGCTTGAAAACTCAGCTCTGTTGGTCCTGCTGACTTCCAACACACCCCACGAACGCTCCAATGCAAACCCGATAGAAAGGAAAGCCAAGAACCTACTTCGTTTAATTCTACGGTGTGGTTAAATTATGCATTAAGGCCAATAAAATTTCCATCCTTACTCGTTTTCTTTAACAGAGTTCAAATGCTACTAGTTCAAATGCTCTAACTGGTTACTATTAAAACAAGGAAATTACAGATTTTTTTTTATTCGAAGGTATTCTATAGATTTCAGGAAAGAGTTTTCTTAACGTTTTATGTTTACTTACTCTTTTTGCAGCAACTACCAATTTCTATGGTAAATCGACCAGTTGGTGCCCAAAAGTTCACTAATTTAAGCACGGTCAAGGCAGGTATTTGCCATAAACTGCCTGGTTTAGGTAGGACGCGCCCGACTCCAAGTGATTGCAATCAGCCTCGGAATGAATTCCACGGGGATTCGGGCTTTGATTCACAATTTGTTACTCACATTCAGAGTGGTAAGAAGTCGCTGGACTCTAGTATAGTTTTTATCTTAAAAAAAAAAAAAGACTCAGGAGTGAGGCTCTTAACGCTTTACTCTCATTTGAAGACCTTCCGACAAAAAAGCAGCAACTCCTCAAGCCGAGTTTCTGGTTTCTTGAGCATCGACGCCGCGTCCCCGCAGCGCCCACAGGTCCCGCAAGCCCCCAGCCCGCCTCCTGCCCAAAACAAAGGACGTCACCCCCAGACCTCTGGACACAGAAGCCCCACACGCACGCACACGCACCCCTCCCTGTCACCTCCCTCCGAGAGCCCCTCAAACGCCTCAGAACCCGCGTCGCGGAAGCGCTCACCTCCCGCGGGCGGGCGGGTCCCGGGTACGCGGTGAAGGTGCAGCGGCGGCCGCCTCGGGCGACAGACGGGTGGTCACGGCCCCTCCCCAAGGCAGGGGCACCGCAGGAGGCCGGCGCGCCCCCTGCTCCCGCCCCCGGCAGGTCACGTGGGCCAGAGCTCGTAGCGCCCCTCGCTTTCCCGGAGCGTCCCTCCGCCACCTAGGGGTCCCGCCGCTCCGCCGGTCTCAACACCGCCCTCCTCTGCGCCTGCGCCCCGGCTCCAGGCGCTCTCATTCAAACCGACAACGCCCCGCGTCTTTCGGACCGGCCAATGGCGGGCGGCGCAGCGGGGCGGGGCGGGGCGCTGGTTGCCCCCCTCTTCGCAGTCCTGGGGAACCGTCTGCGTGTCAAGGTGACAGGGGGCTTGGGAGCTTGGTCCTCCTCTGCTCCGGGACGTGTCCTCAACCCTCAGACTGAAGTTTCTTTCCTGTCCTCTTCTTTCTTCTTCAGACACTAAAAAGTAGAGCAATAAATATTGTCTAGAGTTGGCCGGGCGCTGTGACGGACGGCTATAATCCCAGCACTTTGGGAGGCCGAGGCGGGCGGATCACCTGAGGTCGGGAGTTCGAGACCAGCCTGACCAACATGGAGAAACCCCGTCTCTACTAAAAATACAAAATTAGCTGGGAGTGGTGGCGCATGCCTTTAATCCCAGCTACTCAGGAGGCTGAGGCAGGAGAATCGCTTGAATCCGGGAGGCGGAGGTTGCCGTGAGTGGAGATCGCACCATTGCACTCCAGCCTGGGCAACAAGAGCGAAATTCCATCTCAAAAACAAAACAAAACAAACAAACAAAAAACATCGTACAGAGTTCAGATAGAGGCTGGCCTAGATCCCTTTAAAAAAGGAGCGCAAAACCAGCGCCGCCTTTTTGGAAGACTTGGTGCTGCGCTACAGAATGAGTGTCCCAAGCGGCAGATGCGGGATATAGAAGAAAAAGAGGCCTCTGTGGAAGGAACAGAGGGACCGTGTGAAAGTCTGAACAAGGCAGCCTCAGTTCTTGAGGCTGTGCCCAACCCTGGCGTTTCCAGCTGTTGGAAAAGCAAACTTCTGTTGACTACAGAATCGCTGGTTCCCAGGAAAATTGGGTGGCAGTTTTACTCAGTTTCACTCAGTTTCAGCGCCTACATTCTAAAGACACTGGGAAGAATAAGTTTTATTTCCATTCACCTCTCCTCCATGTCAAGGTGACCCCAAAATAGTAGTCACCTTATAGTTTGTTCTTCACAAAATACCGGCCGGGCGCGGTGGTTCACATCTGTAATACCAGCAACTTTGGGAGGCCGAGGCGGGGGGATCACCTGAGTTGGAGACCAGCCTGGTCAAAATGGTGAAACCCCGTCTCTACTAAAAATACAAAAATTAGCCGTGCCTGGTGGTGGGCGCCTGCAATCCCAGCTATTCGGGAGGCTGAGGCAGGAGAATTGCTTGAACCCAGGAGGCGGAGGTTGCAGTGAGCCGAGATCGCGCCACTGCACTCCAGCCTCGGCGACAGAGCGAGACTCCGTCTCAAACAACAACAAAAACCAAAATACCAAGACCAGAGTCTCTCTGGGGTAAAGCATCTGATGAATTTACTTAGATTATTTTTCAAATAGATATTTCTCTTCTGAAATGAAGTTTAAATGTTTCTACAGGGTAAAGGCTATGTTAAAGAAAACTCCGGGTTCAGTATCTCCGTGAATGATGGCCATAACCAGTGATCCAAGCAACATTTCCCATTAGGTGCATGTTATGGCAAATTGCTTAAAGGAACAGCTTTATCATCAAACTAGACCTGGGTTTGAGTTCCAATTCTGCTACTTACTTGCTGATTGACCTTGAATGAGTTATCTTCTTTAGTCTTAGTTTCCCCACCTGTAAAACATAATAAAGCCTCTTCTAATAAGGGTTGCTATGATGCTTCTGTGAGGTAAGGTTGTTAAGTGGTTGACATAGGGCCTGACACATAGAAACTGCTCCATACTTGATACCTATTATCGTTACAACCATCTTTAATATCAGGTTCTTGTAAATAACAATGGAATTGGTTGGCTGTACTGTTTCAGAGGTAGGTATTAATTCCTTCTTAATTATAAATTCTTTTAAAGTATGGATACTGTGAAAGCCACAAAGGAAATTTTATATATATAGAGAGAGAGACAGGACCTCCCTCTGTCACCCAGGCTGGAGATCACTGCACAGCAGCCTCAACCTCCCAGGGCCAAGTGATCCTCCGATCTCACCCCTCCCCTACACCCCAGTAGCTGGGACCACAGGAGCTTGACACTATGTCTGGCTATTTTTATTTTTTCAGTAGAGAAAAGGTCTCACTATGTTGCCCAGGCTGGTCTTGAACTCCTGGGCTCAAAGGATCCTCCTGCCTTGGCCTCCCAAAGTGCTGAGATTATAGGCATGAGCCCCCTCACCCAGCCAGAAGTACAACATTACATTCAACATGTCCAGAATTATTTACCCCCTGCAAATCTTCTCTTACATATGTGATTTCTATCTCTGATATTAGTTACTTCCATCTTCCTAATCACTCAAATTGAAAAATATCTTTTAAATGGCATAAGTCAGATTATGTCACTCTCGTACTCGTAAACCTTTAGTGATTTCCCATTTAATTTAAAATAAAATCCAAACTTCCTGTGGGGGAAAAGGCCTTAAGCCATCTTGCCCCTGCCAATTTCTCTCTTCTCTCCTATTTTTTCCTCCTGCTGCCTCACTTTCCTCCAAGTACACAGGGCATTCTTCATGCCCTAGAATGGACTAAGCCTCAAGGTTCTCTCAGGACCTCCTCCCTGCCTAGATTTTCCCCAAGCTCTTTAAATGGTTGGCTTCTTTTCATCCTCAGCTCTCAGCTTATTCATTACAGTATTCAGCAAGTATGTATTAAACTTCTGCTGTGTGTCAGGAGCTGTTCTAGGTACAGGGAATATAGTAGTGAGCACAACAGAACACAGCCCCTGATCTCTTGGAGCTCAACAAAAATAAACAACAAGAAATATCAGGACTGGGTGTGCTCACACCTGTAATTGCAGCACTTTGGGAAGCTAAGGTGGGACGGCTGCTTGAGGCCAGGAGTTTGAGACCAGCCTGGGCAACATAGTGAGACCCTATCTCTACAAAAATAATTTTTTTTATTAGCCTGGTGTGGTGGCACACACCTGTAGTCTCAGCTACTCGGGAGGCTGAGGCTGAGGCCCAAGAGTTCAAGTCTCCAGGGAGCTATGATCCAGCCACTGCACTCTAGCCTGGGTGACAGAGCCAGACCCTGCTTCAAGAAAGAAAAAAGAAAAAGAAAAATATCAGGTTATGATAGGTACCATGCAGAGAGTTACAAGAAGGGTGATGTGAGAGTGAGTAAGTGACTACTTTACTTCAGATTGGGGGCTAAGATAAGGAAGTCCTCTCTGAGAAAACGGCATTCAAACTGGGATTTGAATTATGAGAAGGAGCCAGCCTTCAAGCAAACTTCAGGGAAAAGCACATTAGGAAAAGGCAACAGCCAGTGCAAAGTCCTGCGAGGATTTTGCAGGATTTGAGAGCTTTGTGGACTTGAGAAACCGGAGGAAGGCCACTGTGGCTGCAGTGAGAAAGAAGAAAACATACAAAAGGCAATGTAGACCTTTGTAAGCCAGGGTAGTGAGTTTGGACTTTATTTTCTAAATATTATAGGAATCCTGTGGAAGGTTTTAAATATGGGAATAACTTCATCTGATTTATATATATATATATATATATATATATATATAAAATACGTATATATATATATGTATATATATATACGTATATATATATATATATATATATATATATATCTTTTTTTTTTTTTGAGATGGAGTTTTGCTCTTGTTGCCCAGGCTGGAGTGCAATGGTGCAATCTCAGCTCACTGCAATCTCTACCTCCAGGGTTCAAGCAATTCTCCTGCCTCAGCCACCCGATTAGCTGGGACTACAGGCATGTGCCACCATACTCAGCTAATTTTGTATTTTTAGTAGACAGGGTTTCACCATGTTGGTCAGGCTGGTCTTGAACTCCTGACATCAGGTGATCCGCCTGCCTCGGCCTCCCAAAGTTCTGGGATTACAGGTGTCAGCCACCATGCCTGGTCCTGATTTATATTTTTAAAAAAGCACTCTGGAACAAATCCAGAATTTGAGACATTCTGCAACTAGCCCAGACTCTTTATAAATGTCAATGTCATGAAAAACAAAAAGGCACATTAGTCTTGCTGGGGATCCTGGATCAGAGAGAGAGAAAGACAGAGAGAGAGAGAGAGAGGAAGGGATCTGTTTAAAAACATACTGTGATCTGCTCCATAACATTTATGTTTAAATGCCTATTTTATGCCAGGCACTTTGCTGGATGCTGGGAACACAGCAATGAAGTTTTTACCACATCACTTCCACAGTACTAGATGAAACCCCCTGGTGATCACACTGCTGACAGGCTTCCTTGACCATTTTCCAGTGTGTTGGAGTAGGGGGAGAGCACTGATAATGTACATAGCCTCACAACATGTGGGGTTGTTAGGATAGGCCAAACTTTGCTTTAAGATGAAACCAGGGTGGCTAGACTTCCCTGAATTATAAACGACCACACTGAATCAAGGCAAACTTGAATAACCAAGTAAATAACATTTGTTGCTTCCCTCCCCCAACAAAATCTATCAGAGTAACAGTGCTCCCTTGACTAAAAGAAAGAAGATTGGTTGTGTAGTTTCCTCAGCAAGAATGTGGACTTGATAACTCCACCTTTTAGAATAAAAGGAGATCCGGTGCGGTGGCTGATGCCTTTGATCCCAGCACTTCAGGAGGCTGAGGTGGGAGGATCGCATGAGCCCAGGAGTTGGAGACCAGCCTGGGCAACATAGTGATACCCTGTTTTTACAAAAAAATAAAAATTAGCCTGGTGTGGTGTCATGTACCTGTGGTCCCAGCTGCTTGGGAGGCTGAGGTGGGAGGATCACTTGAGCCCAGGAGGTCAATGCTGCAGTGAGCTGTGCTTGCGCCACTGCACTCCAGCCTGGGCAACAGAGCAAGGCCTTGTCTCAAAAAAAAAAAAAGTGTGTACATATATATACACACATACATATGTATCTATATATGTATGTACATATATACACATATATAGGTGTATGTATATATATAAAATAAGAATAAAAGAAGGAAAAAATGAGAGTGTGGAGTAGGTGAGTGAGTAAGAGCTTTCCAAAGGAATAGCTAAGAAAAAGAGAATGGGAAGGAGACTTCAAAATGCAGGGAAACAGCCTACTAACATGCCTAATCTCTCATGTGAAATCTAGAGTAAATCAGTAAATAATAATAGCTAAGATTTATTGGTGCTAGATATATGCCAAGCACTAGTCTAAACTTTTTTCATGTTTGAGGATTATACCTGGACATTGACTGATGTAAAGACTAAATGAATTAATACATATAAAGTGTTTAGAACAGGGCCTACCACATATAAGTGCTAAATTTTGCTATTATTATTATTTTAACTATAATCTCCACGGCAACCCTATGAAGTAGGTACTAACATCATCCCCATTTTACAGTATCTTAGGCTGGTTTCCCTAGAAGCCAATCCTGAGATGGGATTTAGACCCTGTAATTTATCGAGGGAGGGCTCTTTAGGAGGAACCCATAGGGAGAGAGTGAAACAGGATAGGGAAGGGGAAACAACCAAGAAAAACGGATCTTAGGAAATCCTAGCCTTGATCTGCTCTATTGAGGGAGGGCTCTGGAATCTAGAGCATAAACCAAACTGCAGAATTAGCCCCATCTTACACAAAGGTGTTTGTACCTTTGTATCAGGATAAAGTGGGGCGTAACTGCACCCCCCCAAGTGTGGCTGCCTTCCCTAGTGTAGACTCTCCAGAGAAAAAGGCACCTGTGAGCTCTAGCAGCCAACCTCACAACAGTGGAGAGACAGGTGTACTGGCCAGTAAAGCGTATCCAAACAGGGCACCTAACATAGCATCCACCAAGGCTAGTAAATGGTAGAACCAGTCTGTCTCAGGAGCCATGCTTTTACTTTCTCTATATATACTGACTTTTAAAAATTCAAAAGGAAAATGACAAATGGAGACCTATGTTACTGATAAAGAGTTAATACTAAATACTTAGTATTTAAATGAAATTACCTTACAGTCTAACCTCTTACAATGAAATAACCTCAAAGAAAAAAAGACAACAACCCAATAGGGCAAAGGACAAGGACCAGCACTTAAGTGACCACAATGAGCTCACTTACAAACTTCAGCTTCATTATTATTTAAATAAATGCAAACTAGAACAGCAATGGGACTCCTTTTTTGCCCATCAGACTTCAGATTTTAAAAAATTATGTTACCCATTGTTGCTGAGGATGTGATGAAATGAGTCCTCTCATAAGCTGAGGTCGGAGCTGCAACTAAGTATGACCATTTTGGAGGGAGATTTTGTAATATGTGTCAAAAGCCTTAGTACCTCTTGACCGAAAAATTCCATTTTTTAGGACTTTACCTACATTAACAATCAGGCAAATGTGCAAAACAAATGCACCAGGATGCTTATCACACAATCACTTTTAATATTCAAACATTTGAAACCACTTACCTGTCCAAAAGATTGGTGAAAACAATCAAGTCATCCATATAGTGGAATATTGCGCAGCAATTGAATTTATTTGCTAGCTAAGATAGATGCATATTGGTTGACATGGAAAGGTATTCACAATGTATTGGATTCAGTTCTTTTAGGAGCAGGTTATAAAGTGCTATAAGTATTAATGTTTTCTAATATGTTTTACAATGAACATGTATTACTTGTAATTAAAAAACAGTTATATTGTAGATAATAGCTAAATATGCAAAGGACAGAGATAATTCACAAATGAAGAAATAAAAATGGACAATAAACATGAAAAATGTCCAACTTCATGAATTATTGAAGTACTACAAATTAAAACACTAAAATACCTTTTTTAATTAACAAAGATTTTTAAAAATATTACAATTTAGTATTGCAGAGAGCATATCAATATATTATTCCCACACTGTTGATGAATATATGCTTGTAATCAATTTTGTTTTTATATTAAGAGCATTAAAGTACTTACACTCTGTCCTAATACTTTCCCATCTAAGAATCTATCCTAAAGAAATAATTAGAAATACAGACAAGGATGTTTTACTGTTGGGTTATTTTAAAATATTGAGGCCAGGTACAGTAGCTCACTCCTGTAATCCCAGCACTTTGAGAGGCTGAGGTAGGAGGATCACTTGAGTCCAAGAGTTTGAGACCAGACTGGGCAACATGGCAAGACCCCATCTCTACCAAAAAATTTAAAAATTAGCTGGGTGTAGTGGCACACGCCTGTAGTCCCAGCTACTCGGGAGGCTGAGGTAAGAGGAAGGCTTGAGCTGTAATTATGCCGCTGTACTCCAGCCTGGGTGATAGAGCAAAAACCTATCTCAAAAACAAAAAAAGAAAATGTTGAAAACTTGGATATACCCTAAATGTCTGTCATTAGGGAAATGATTATAGTATAGCCATGTAGTGGATATAACTATTAAAAACAAATTTTCATTTCAAAGTTTTTAATAATGTGGGGAAATGTTCTTGACATTAGGTGAAAAAAAATTGTATAAAATTTTTTACATATTATGACCTCGAAACACTAGAAGCAATTATGCTGAAGCATTGTCTTTCTATACTTTCCTCGATTTTTCACATTTTCTACAATAAGCAGATAAATATAAAATATAAAAAAGTTAAAAACTGGCTGGGCGCGGTGGTTCACGCTTGTCACCCCAGGACTTTGGGAGGCTGAGGCGGGTGGATTGCTTGAGTCCAAGAGTTCAAGACCAGTCTGGCCAACATGGCAAAACCCCATCTCTACTAAAAATACAAAAATAAGCTGGGAGTGGTGGCACATGCCTGTAATCCCAGCTACTTGGGGGGCTGAGGTGGGAGGATAACTTGAGCCTGGGAGGCAGAGAGTGCAGTGAGCTGAGATCACGTTACTGTACCCCAGCCTGGGTGACAAAGTGAGACCCTGTCTCAAAAAAAAAAAAAAAAAAAAAGTTGAAAACTAAGAAAAACCACTGTGAATTTGTACATATTTCCCACACATGCCTCTCTCTATCACTTCCTTCTGGTATCTTTCTATTAAAAAAAAAAAAAGGTATGAAAAGAGAGTAAGTGCTTGGGGGAGGCGGATAATACAGATGTTAGTGGTTGGGTGGAATGGAGAGAATCTGTCCTGAGCTGGGGTGACCAATCATCCCAAGACTGAGAGGGCCCCAGGATGAGGGACTTCCAATTTTAAAACCTTGAGGAGTTGGCAAAGGCAATAGCATGGAAACCCTTTGGGACTTGTAGATCAAACAAAGATGGTAGGTTTAAGAAGCCTGTCTGAGAAAGAGAAGCAAGTAAGTAGCTTAGGGCTTTAACCAGGAGACACCTCTCTTTCTTTACAGGGTTGGTGAAGATATATTAATACCTCTTAGGGTTCACTAAAGTTGAAGTGGACACTATCACTGGTTAACAGCAGATCTAGAGGCTGCCTTTGCTTTGCCAGCAAAGCAATCAAATGCTCTTAATTTACATGGTGTCAGGTGTAAAGGAAGTTGCAAAGAAGTTGCCTGGTAAAACTTCATTACTACCACATTGTTCAAAAACTCAGTAGGGTGGCTTGCTAAGAAAGGAAGCAAGACTCTTATGATGACTCTAGAAGTCTTCCATGTACCTAACTTCTAAGATTCTGTTTGCCTTTAGGGTAACATGCTTGCTCAGATGTTCTCCTCTGAAGATAATGACATTGTTTTATGATGTTATTATCAGTTTTAATAATGGGATTGCAAATGTGCCCAGAGTTTTAGGCAAATCATACCAATCCAAATTGTCATCATTTGGAATTCTTTCTACCTTAGTGGCTAGACTCCACCTCAGATAGTTGTCACTGACCCTTCCCAAACCATTGTGTTCTGCATTAGTAGAACAGAACTTTGGTAGGGCTCTGGTCTCAGAGACATTAACCCATTTATGCCTGAGGTTGCATTTTTTGGAATTTTTGCAATCAGACCTTAGTGATGACCTTGAGCAGTAGGACATAAATAATTCCCACACGCTTAGCATTCCGATAATGGAACACTAGGCATAAAAACTAAGTAAATTTTTAGCGGTGTCTCACTTCCCCGTTGGGTCACATTCTTTCCAAGAAACCAAGTATAGTCATCCTACAGATACTTGCTAGCATGCTGGAGGGATTGTGCAGAAAAGGGTAGATCTTTTATGAATATTTGAGCAACACGACCATGCCAATGTCTATGAATTCTACCCATTGCTTCCACTCTCACCAATTATGACTGTTCATCCTCTGACCACAGGCTTCTTTTAAGACATTTTTGTGTTCACAGAGCCTCTTAAACCCATTTAGGAGGATTATAGATGTTCTCTCTAGCAAGCTAGGTACAAAGGCTTTTTCAGTCCACCTTTCTCAGTTAAATTTTCACCCTTACTTGCCCTTCCATTTGGGGAAGAGGGAGAAGGAGAGAAGGTAAAAAGATTTGACATTTTTTGAGCACCTACCATGTGTCAGACACTGAGCAAGGCACTTCCATACACTTATCTAATTTAATTGTCATGAGCACCCTTTATCTCCATTTTGTGGATGTGGGGACTGAGGTTCAGATCACTTAGATAACTTATCCAAGGTCCTCAATTACTAAGGAGCAGAGCTAAGGGTCAAACTCATTTTTTTTTTATTTGTTTGTTTATTTGTTTTTGAGACGGAGTTTCGTTCTTGTTGCCCAGGCTGGAGTGCAGAGGTGCAATCTCAGCTCATCGTAACCTCTGCCTCCTGGGTTCAAGCGATTCTCCTGCCTCAGCCTCCCTAGTAGCTAGGATTACAGGCATGCACCACCATGCCCGGCTAATTTTGTATTTTTAGTAGAGACAGTGTTTCTCCATGTTGGTCAGGCTTGTCTTGAACTCCCGATCTCAGGTGATCCGCCCTCCTCGGCCTCCCAAAGTTCTGGGATTACAGGCATGAGCCACCGCGCCTGGCCCAAACTCAGCTTTTAAACAACTTGTGCTTCTCCACTCTCCTCAAGCAGCCAAATTGGTCTTCTTCCCTTCCTTACCTCCTCCCTGTCTGCCTTCCCTTTTCTCACTGTCTCCCCTCCCTCCTTCTACTAGTATTTTATTATTGTGATAAATGCTACTAAGGAGATACATGGAGTACTCTGGAGGCTTATATCAGAGGACCCTGGCCTACTGTGGGAATGAAAGAAGGTTCTGGAGGAAGTGGCATGCTAGGAGTTGAGTAAGAAATAACCAGGTAGAAAGGCAGGAGGAAGGTGGGGTGGACACTTCAGGCCCCGTGAACAGACGAAGGGAAGGTCTAAGGTAGGCAGGAGGCAGTGTATTTGAGGAGCAAAAGAAGTTCAGGGGACAGGGGACCCCCAGGGGCCAAGGAGTAAGTGCAGAGAGTGAGCACTTCAGGGAGAGGATTCCAGTCCTCATCACTAGCTGCACATCCCACTCACATGAAGCACTAAGGAAGAGGATTATTTGCAGTCTTTTTTTTGAGACAGAGTCTCGCTCTGTCGCCCAGGCTGGAGTGCAGTGGCGCGATCTCAGCTCACTGTACCCTCTGCCTCCCGGGTTTAAGTGATTCCCCTGCCTCAGCCTCCCGACTAGCTGGGATTACAGGTGCGTGCCACCACATCTGGCTAATTTTTTGTATCTTTAGTAGAGACGGGGTTTCACCATGTTGGCCAGGCTCGAACTCCTGACCTCGTGATCCGCCTGCCTCGGCCTCCCAAAGTGCTGGGATTACAGGCGTGAGTCACTGCGCCCAGCCCATTTTCAGTCTTCACAGAGAAAACACATTTTATCCTTGAGTAGTGTTTCTAACTGGGGGCCCTATTGGCGTTTTGGACGAGAGCATTCTTCTTTGCACAGGACTTTACTTCCACTGTGGCCCCTGAGTACTAAATGCCAGCTGCACTCCGCCTCCATTTTTAAAAGCCCCTGGGTGGTCCTGCCATCCTATTGAGAACCCACGGCTCTAGTTCAGGCTGCAGGAGTGTCACTGCCATCAACTTCAGGACCATGCTTTATCCCTTCATCCAGCAACATCCAAACTCCTCTTTTGGTGGATCTTCTTCCCTGTAGACATCCTAATGGTTCTCATGTATACCACCATGACACACTGGGAGAATTTCCAGTTCCATGAAATAAATGTTGAGACCCTGCCATCCCTGCCATATGCCCTGGTTGGGAGTACAGATAGGCTAGTGACAGGACAGATATGAAAAAATTAATTACAAGATAGTGGGGAAAGTGTAACTGAGGAACCTTGTACAGGACATGAATTGGCAAAAGATGAAGGGATGACCTCTCCTGGCCAAGGACGCTAGACAGGAAGGGCATTCCAGGCGTGTCTTCTTCAAAGACTTGGGGACATAAAACACCAGGTGAGCTTGGGAAGCTATAAATAGCTTGGGATTGTTGAAGCATGAATTTCAAGGCAAGGTGTGGTAGGAAGACAGGTTGGGGAGGTAGGCTGCCGCAGTTCACAAAGGGCCTCAGAGGCCATATGGAGCTTAGACAGTACACAAAACAAACTGCCAAATGTGTTACACTTGCAAACCTGCAATCATCCTAAAATGATAACATCTGAATGAGGTCATTAAAACTTTTCTGAAGAGCTTTATAGATAAGGTTACTGCTGTTTGATACAATTTTCTCCCTGGCTCTATAATCTCATTTTATGAAGTTCCTGTGTGCCTCAGAGGACTTTAAAGTCTCTTTTCTATTATTACTATGTTTTTGAGACAGGGCCTCCCTCTGTTATCCAGGCTAGAGGGCAGTGGCGTGATCATAGCTCACTGCAGCTTCCAACTCCTGGGTTCAAGAGATCCCTTCTGCCTCAGCCTCCTGAGTAGCTAGGACTACAAGCTTGTGAGCTTCTGTCACCATGCCCAGCTGATGTGTGTGTGTGTGTGTGTGTGTGTGTGTGTGTGTTTTAAAGACAGGGTCTTGCTATGTTGCCCAGCTGGTTTTAAACTCCTAGCCTCAAGTGATGCTCCACTCTAAGAATCCCAAAGTGCTGGGATTACAGGTGTGAGCTACCAAGGCCTGCTCATGTATTATTATTATTATTATTTTGAGAAAGGGTCTGGCTCTGTCACCCAGGGTGGAGTTCAGTGGCATGATCTTGGCTCACTGCAACCTCTGCCTCCTGGATTCAAGTGATCCTCCCACCTCAGCCTCCCAAGTAGCTGGGATTACAGGTGTGAACCACCACGCCCAGCTAATATTTGTATTTTTAGTAGAGACGGGGTTTCACCCTGTTGGCCAGGTGGTCTCAAATTCCTGACCTCAAATTATCCATCCGCCTCAGCTTCCCAAGCTTCCCTCAGCTGTATTATTTTTAATAGCTTTCTTGAGCTATGGCTGACATACAATCAACAGGACATATTTAAAAGGCACGATTTGTGAAGTTCTGAAAAAAAATCACCACAATCAACATATCTATCACTTCTAAAAATTTCCTCATGTCTCTTGGTCACCCTATCTGCCTTCTCAACCTCCACCCAACTCAGACAACCACTGATCTACTTTCTATTATTATATATCACTTTGCATTTTTCACAATTTTATATAAATGGAATTATACAATATATACCCTCTGTGTGTGTGTGTGTGTGTGTGTGTGTGTGTGTAACCTGGCTTCCTTCAAATAGCTAAATTACAGTCAAGCGCCACATAATAGCATTTTGGTCAATGACAGACTACATCTACAACAGTGGTCCCGTAAGATTTTATTACCATATTTTTACTGAACGTTTTCTATGTTTAGGTACACAAATACTTACTATTGTGTTACAATCGCCTACATAATTTAGCATGGTAACATGCTGTATGGGTTTGTAGCCTAAAAGCAATAGGCTATACGATACAGCCTAGGTGTGTAGCAGGCCATACCATCTAGTTTCTGTAAGTACACTCTATGATGCATTTCTCAGAATGTGTATCTGGTGTTAAGTGACACATAACTGTATTTTGAGATTCATCCATGTATTACAGTTGCATGTATCAATAGTTATCATTTTTAATTTTTTTTAAACTTTCCAGTTTTGAAGGTATGCCCTCCTGCTGTATCTCAATAAATTACAATTGTTCCACGGGATAAAAAAGCTTCACATCAAGAGGGACTTTGGGGTAGTAGTACCCCCTGGAGATACAATAAATGCTGCTTGGGGATGAAATGATGAGGCATAGATCCTAGTTTTCTAAGAATCCTCCAAAAGAGTACTATGGTAAGCAAAACAATGGCCCCAAAAGATGTCTAAGTACTAATCCCTGGAATCTGCACATGTGTTACATGTCAAAGGGATTTTGTGGGTGCAATTAAATTAAGGATCTTGAGATGATTATCCTAGATTATCCAGGTGAGCCCAGTGTAATCACAAGGGTCCTTGTAAGTGAAAGACTGAGGCAGGAATGTCACAGTCAGAGGAGATTTGAAGATGTTGTGATGTTGCTTTTGAAGATGAAGGAAGGGGCCAATGGGTCAAGGAACGCAAATGGTTTCTAGAAGCTGGAAAAGGCAAGAAACTTGATTCTCCTGTCAAGCCTCCAGAAGGAATGCAGCCCTGCCTACACCTTTATTTCAGTCCAGTGAAATTATTTTCAGACGTTGACCTCCAGAACTTAATCAGTTTGTGTAGTTTTACACTACATTTGTGATAACTTTGTGAAATAAAATTTATGAGAGGTCATTGGTTGACTGAGCTCCTGCACTAGGCCCCAACAGACCAGACCAAACTAGAATGGAGTCACTTGTGCTAGGGGCCACATAACCAAACTGAACTTAGAAATGGGTCAGTTTTCCAAAAAACAGGAAATTCATAGCAACCAACCTAATGGGGCCCAGTCAACTTGATCAGGCATGATAAGGAAATCCCCTCTGCTTGAAGTCACTTTGAAACAACCAATCTGCTTATTGTTCCTTGTTCCTTATTTCTGCTTACTTCAGCCTTTTCTGCCTGTAAAGCCCATCCTCTCTGCTCAGCTCATTGAAGAGCCTTTCTATTTCATAGATGGGATGCTGCCTGATTCATGAAGTGCCAACAAAAGCCAATTAGATCTTTGAAATCAATTTGTTGAAATTTTGTTCCTTAACAATTTGTTATAGAAGCAATAGGAAACTAAAACAATAACCAATCTTATTAAAAACAACAACAACACTGATGAGTCTGACTGCTTCTATTTCTTCTTCCTGTTTGTGACATGTGGTCTTACAGGAGTAGAAGCACATTGGCTTTGGATGACCTGTCCTAGCTCTGTTCCTCTGAGCTTGGTTATCTTTTTTTTTTTTTTTTTTTTTTTGAGACAGGGTCTCACTCTGTTACCCAGGCTGGAGTGCAGTGGCATGCTCTTAGCTCACTGCAACCTCTGCCTCCCAGGATCAAGTGATTATTGTGCCTCAGCCTCCCGAGCAGCTGGGACCACAGGTGCATGCCACCATGCCCCATGCCTGGCTAATTTTTTTTTTTTTTGTATTTTTAGTAGAGACAGGATTTCACCATGTTGGCCAGGCTGGTCTCAAACTTTTGTCCTCAAGTGATCTGCCCGCCTTTTCCTCCCAAAGAGCTGGAATTACAGGCATGAGCCACCGCGTCCTCAGTTCTCATCTTAAAGAAGCAATGATATTTACTTCGGGGGCTGTGGAAAGGACTGAAGAGATATACACAAAGCACCTACCACACAGTAGGCTTTTAATCCCACCTCACCCCTGATTCCAAGGGATTAAATCCTGGCTGCTAGTGGCCTGCTGTGTAATTTTAGCTAAACTGCCTCCTCTCCTTCAATCTGTTCCACAAGGTTAAAGGGAGATACTTAAGTCCCTGAGAGTGTTTAATTAGAGTTTGCAATGTGACTGGATACTGTTGGTTGAAAAGTGTTATTTAGAGGCAAAGTGCTGTTATTTTTGAGCAGATAATTGTTTCCTGTCCTAAGTTGTTTAACCTTGTACCGAGTTCCCTTCTCTGAGATAATGACATTGCTTGAGAGGGTAAAGAAATACTTCACCTAGGTGTTGTGAGTTTTAGTTAATTAACGCTTTTGAAACCTACACAAGCCTATCATAAAAGGCTAAACGTTGATTATTTACCTTTCATATGGTTGTCACTTCCAGTATCTTAATACTATCTAGTAAAAATTGGCATTGCAGCATTGGATCAGGTAATATTTACTTTATAATCGTGTTGGGGGCTCTAACTTACGACTATGCAAAAAGCTTTGTGCTTTTTACAAGAAAGGGGTTAGGGAAGTATTGATAGCTATTGTTTTTCTACCATGGCACAACTTATAACAGATTTACATTTCAAATCCTCATCTCATATAAAACCATACAAACTGACTAAAAAAGCTAAAATTGCGAAATACTGAGAGAGGTATTTTACATAATGGTTAACAAGTTTTTAAAGCTAGCATGTATCAAGACATTATGTGTCAGGCACTGTTCTAAACCTCATGCATGCATTAAAGCTAAAGTAGGCATAGGCTGGGTGCGGTGGCTTACGCCTGTAATTCCAGCACTTTGGGAGGCCGAGGCAGGAGGATTGCTTGAGCGCAGGAGGTCAAGGCCAGCTTGGCAAACAAAGTGAGACCCCACCTCTAAAAAAATTAAAAAAAAAATTAGCTAGGTGCAGTGGCAGGAACCTGTAGTCCTAGCTACTTGGGAAGTTGAGGTAGGAGGATCACTTGAGCACTGGAGGTTGAAGCTGCAGTAAGCTACGATCATGGCACTGCACTGCAGCCTGGGCGACAGAGGAAGACCCTGTCTCAAAAATAAATAAATAAATAAATAAGTTCAAGTGATTCTCGTGCCTCAGCCTCCCAAGTAGTTGGGATTACAGGCACCTGTCACCATGCCCGGCTAGTTTTTGCATTTTTAGTAGAGACGGGGTCTCATCATGTTGGCCAGGCTGGTCTTGAACTCCTGGCCTCAAAGGATCCGCCCACCTCAGCCTCCCAAAGTGCTGGGATTATAGGCATGAGCCACCACGCCCGGCCTACAAATATGTTTAAAACATAGAACATGCCCTAACAAAGGTAATCATCTTTTTATACGTTTAAGTGCCATGTATATTTGTATATCTTTTTTCTCTTAATTCATGTCCTTTGTTCTTTGGGGTCATTTTTTTTTTTATTGATTTGAGTGATCTTTATTCTAAAATACTTGGAAAAATACAAGAAAGCATGACAAGGGGTCCTGATTAAATTCTCCCCTGCCTTCACCAGCACATTGCCAGGTTTTGTTGATTACTCAAAAATGTCTTATGTCTTGAATACATCAACTTGTTTAATCTCTGCCACCACCATGCTGGTTCCTTTCAGCTTTCCCAATAAACAATGTTATTTTCCATCCTCAGGTCTTTGCACACATGTCCTCTCAGCCCAGAACGCTCTGCCCCGACTCTCTGCGTCGTTGGTATGCGTCCTTCAGGCTCCAGTTGAAATGCATGGCCTTGGAGAGCCCTTCCCTGCCTATCTGATCTCGAGAAAGATTTTCCTTCCTTTCTTATATTCTTTCTTCCAGCAGTCTCTTCCGATCATTCATAGCACTTATCACCATTTATAATAATATACAATGTGTTAAATCCTTTGCACTCAGTTAATGAATATTTGGAAAGTGATTAGAATAGCATCAGGTGCATTGTGCTACGTAAGTGTTGATTTAAACAGCAACTCACATACTCTTCACAACAACTCTATGTGGTAGTGCTATTAATACCCCCATTTTACAGATGAACAAACTAAGGAACAGAGAAGTTAAGCAACTTCTCTAAGATAGCACAGTAGTGAGCAGCAGAGCCTAACTACAAACTCAGTCTGGCACCGAAGTCCATAACCTAACTGTTCTCTATATTTCCTTTTGATTCCAGGACCTGCATGGTACTGTGTGCCTAACAGGTACATTCAATACATATTTGTTTAATAAATGAAGGAACAGTTCTAACGGGAAAATAAAAGTTACCTGTAATCCTACCACATGTTTTGAGATTCATTCTATAGATATTTCTTCTAATATGAAAATAGACTTTTAATCAAAATCTTAACTTTTTGAAATCATTTTGAGGAGCATAGATTAGGTATCAATGTGCAATATATTTAACCTTGTATTCATTATTTTAAAAAATTATAATTACAAGTCAATGTTCTTCCTTTAGGCAGGGGGAGGAGGGCGGAGGAGAGAAGCATAAGTCTTTGGTTAAGGGAGGAAGGGTTTTCCTAAAATATTCTGGCCCTTCTTATCTCCAGGAGGAGGTTGCAAAACTTAAGTTTGAAAGTTTAGGGAAGGGCAGAGACGTTTCAGGGACAAGATTAAAAACAAATTATACTTATTCGAGGCTGGGTATGGTGGCTCATGCCTGTAATCACATCACTTTGGGAGGCTGAGGAGGAGGATCGCTTGAACCCAGGAGTTCGAGATGAGCCTGGGCAACCTAGCATGATCCTGTCTCTACAAAAAAAAAAAAAAAAGAAAAAAAGAAAAAAAAAATTAGCCAGGTGTGGTGGTATATGCCTGTGGTCCCAGCTACTCGGGAGGCTGAGACAGGAGGATTGCTTGAACCCAGGAGGTAGAGGCTGTGGTGAGCCATAATCATGCCACTGTACTCCAGCCTGGGACACAACAAGACTCTATCTTTACAAAATAAATAAATAAATAAAATTTAAAAATTATACTTCTTTGGCTGGGTGTGGTGGCTCATGCCTGTAATCCCAGCACTTTGGGAGGCCGAGGCAGGTGGGTTATGAGGTCAAGAGATCAAGACCATCCTGGCCAACATGGTGAAATGCTGCCTCTACTAAAAATACAAAAATTAGCTGGGCTTGGTGGCACGTGCCTGTACTCCCAGCTACTCGGGAGGCTGAGGTGGGAGATGGCGTGAACCTGGGTGGCGGATGTTGCAGTGAGCCAAGATTGCGCCACTGTACTCCAGCCTGGTGACAGAGTGAGACTCTCTCTCAAAAAAAAAAAAAAAAAAAAAAAAAGACATTATACTTCTTTAAATCAATGTGTTTTAAAGTTTATCACTGGAATTACTTTCAGAAAATTAATTGGTAAGAGTTTTCTAAATGTTCCCAAAGCACAGCAAAGGTCCGTGGTTTACAGCACACACTAGGCTACATCAATGGGAAAATTGGATAAAAAGACAGGGCTAACCTCACCAAAGAGCAAGGAAAACCAGCAAAGTTTTCTGGTAAAACACAGGCAGGAAGTTTCTCCAAATACTGCTTTACTCGCACTTTTAAAAGGCTTTCCTCCCTTCCCCCCAACTTCTAAAATAGTTTCAGGATAACAAATTTGTAACAGCTGGTCATCAAATTCATGCGCACTCCCAAAAGGACGACAGCCCTAAGACTGACTATAAATAATACATCCATCTGGCTCTTGTAGGAGTATTGGATTGACTTGTTGCCCATCACAGTGTCTCCCTTCTGCCACCCCACAATGACAGGGTGAAGCTAGACAGCCTCACTGAATGGTATATGGTTACAGTTGAGGCACTGCATTGTGGGTACCCCACATTTCTGAGATAAAGTTAGCTGATAGAATTACCAGAGCATAATCAAATGCAGTCATTACAGAGGGAGCCTATATCATGTTACCTTTGAAAATATTTTAATCTAGAAACATCATACACTGTATACAAAATTCATGAATCCCTGACGCCTGGGCGTGGCCTTGGACATATTATTCTGAGCCATCTCCTATTTTCTTTCATATGTAAATGTTATTCTTGAGCTAGGAATAGGAGAGAAAGAGAAAATTGAAACAGCCAGACCAAGTGTTTTTGAATGCTCTTAAAAGACAAAAAAAAAAAAAAAGACAAAAGTTTGTATCACATCAGAAGTTCCCTACGTGCTCTTCAAAGCTGATTGCTTGCAGTTAAAAGAACCCAGAAGAAGCAGGCACGCCATGATTTTGAAGCTCCGTTTTTGTTCTGTTATTCAACTGCAGTCAACTTCCAACTGTTGAAAAAAAGATGATTTAGAATTAAAGGGTTGCTTGTCTGTGTCGCAAGGCCCTTCAACTTGTTCACCTGTGATATCCAGAGACTCCAAGATGTTGGTGAGTTTCTATTGCAATTGCCATATTGCCATGGTTTTGCCCTTTGTGTTGACTGTAGCATTGTGCTGTTTGAAGACAGAGCAGCATACTGCTTTGTGTAGTAAAAATTGATGGATAATGTACTTAAAGCTTTTAGATGTACACTATTCACATTCTAAATGACAGATACAAAAAGGAATAATCAGAATTTAGATTGTTGAATCATTGCCTCCAACAGCCAACTCTTACCGTGACAAAGTCAGTAGGGCTGATCTTAGAAGTGTAGGACTTGTGAGTGTTACGTGGTTGTACTAACTGGTACCTTAGTGGAGGGGCAGATAAGGTAAGTAGAAACAATGCCTGCTTTCTCCTCCATGTCTGGGTCCTACACATAGTCCCCAGTTTGCCTGGTTTGTAGAGGTTTAAACACAGAACAGAGGGTGTTGGGAATGAGACAAAGAGATTGTCACAGGAACATGGACCCACGGTTTTCCTTTGGTGATGAAAACAATCCTGTCAATATGGAAAACTGTGTTATCACAAAATGGGCTTAGCGAATAGAAGAAATGTCACCTACCAGCCGGAAACAACAATTCGCTGACCATCTTTGGCCTCTTGCCACTAAGGAGTTTTGGTTTTCCCATCTGTAGAAATTCTTAATTGAGTCCATCAGATTCCCAGTCATCCTAGCCATGGTTACCTTCTTCTCTAAGTTGGCAGGTTAGTGAGCTTAGGCTAGCACTTCAGCATCAAATTTAGACTTCATAATAAAGTAAATCACACAGGGAATAGCTGTCAGCATGGTGACCACCTTGTTGTCCATTCCTACTCAGGGACTGGCCTGAAGTGTTTTCACAGCCTGGGTCACTGTGATGTCCTGGCCCTGTTTGCTCAAAGTGTTCATCTCAGAGTGACTTGTGAGGTATTGCTGAGCACATAATGGTCAAGATAGCTGCATAAGCAGGCGTGGCCCCAAATGTAGTCACCTGACTTCAGAAAATCAATTTGGATTCTACAGAAAGGTTCTGTTGGATTCTGAGTGGAACCTCTTTGGATATGCCTTTGGATTTCAAGATTGAGCCAAGTGTTGACATGGGAAGATGCTCCAGTTCCTCCAGTTATCTCAAAGAAGCTCATTACCTTGCTAAGGGTATGGATTGTCCTTTTCCAGAAAAAATCCTCTTGATATTTTGCATGCACACATGCAAAAAATAATAACAACAGAAGCTGTTTTCCTGTATGTAATGAGAGTGTTCCTCAGGTTTCTGGTTTATCTTAATGGTATCTCACTCCTTTTCTTTTCCTTTCTTTCTTTCTTTGTCTGTGTGTGTGTTTGTGTGTGTGTGTTTATGTGTGTGTGAGAGAGAGAGAGAGAGACAGGGTCTTGCTCTGTCACCCAGGCTGGAGTGCAGTGGCATGATCTCTGCTCACTGCAGCCTTGACCTCCTGGGCTCAACTGATCCTCCATCTCAGCCTCCCAAGTTGCTGGGACTACAGGCATATACCACCACTGCTGGCTAATTTTTAATTTTTTTTTTCTTTGTAGAGACAGGGTCTTGCTTTGTTGCCCAAGCTGTTCTCAAACTCCTGTCCTCAAGGAATCCTTCTGTTTTGGCATCCCAAAGTGCTGAGATTACAGGCATGAGCCACTGTGCCTGGACTTTTTTTCTTTTTCTTGAGAGCCAGAGCAAAATTCAAATTTTATCAGTTTTAATTAATTATATTTTAAAAGTGGGAATTTGGCCAACAAAGTATCTTTCCTTTCTATACAAGAAGGGTATGGCGTTTGGCAATGAGCTCCTGAAAATGTAAAGAAAGCATGAGGATAACTTTGGGACTGATACTTGGGTCATTAAAAGTCTTGCAAAACTAGAATTTGTTTTCTTCTTCTTCCATTCTCTCTGTAGGCATTTAAACATACTCTCAGGCCAGGCACAGTGGCTCATGTCTGTAATCCCAGCACTTTGGGAGGCTGAGGCAGGTGGATTACTTGTGCTCAGGAGTTCGAGACCGTCCTGAATAACATGGTGAAACTCCATCTCTAAAAAAAAAATTAAAAATTAGTCAGGTGTGGTGGTGTGCGCCTGTAGTCCCAGCTACTCAGGAGGCTAAGGGAGGAAGATCAGTTGAGCCATGGTGTTGTCACTACACTCCAGCCTGGGTGATAGAGTGAGACCTTGTCTAAAAAAAAAAAAAAAAAGATACTCTGTTTTTTTTTGTTCTAAAAAATTAGACAATATTTTGTTTAAACTTGCTTAGTGATTTATTTATTTATTTATTATTTTTTATTTTTTTGAGACAGAGTCTTGCTGTTGCTCAGGCTGGAGTACAGCGGCATGATCTCGGCTCACTGCAACCTCTGCCTCCCGGGTTCAAGTGATTCTCCTGCCTCAGCCTCCCAAGTAGCTGGGACTATAGGGATGCACCACCATGCCCAACTAATTTTTGTATTTTTAGTAGAAATGGGTTTTGCCACATTGGCCAGGCTGGTCTTGAACTACTGAGCTCAAGTGATCCACCTGCCTCAGCCTCCCAAAGTGCTGGGATTACAGGCATGAGCCACCTCATCCAGCCTGATTTTTTTTTTTACCTTCAAATATATTTATTTACAGATTGAGTTTTAAAATTGTCTTAAAGTTCTTGTAGAGATTATGTCTTTTTTGTTTTGAGACGGAGTTTCACTCTATCGCCAGGCTGGAGTGCAGTGGCGCGATCTTGGCTCACTGCAACCTCTGCCTCCCGGGTTCAAGTGATTCTCCTGCCTCAGCCTCCTGACTAGCTGGGACTACAGGTGTGCGCCACCACGCCCAGCTAATTTTTTGTATTTTTAGTAGAGACGGGGTTTCACCATGTTGGCCAGGATGGCCTCCATCTCTTGACCTCGTGATCCACCTGCCTCGGCCGCCCAAAGTGCTGGGATTACAGGCATGAGCCACCTTGCTTGGACGAGATTATGTTTTACATATGCAATTCCTTCCTTTATCCTTTAAATATCCCCACGGATAAGGAGTGCCTCACCTCTGGACCTGGGCATTCTTCAGTATTCCAATACTGAGACTGGTTTTGTTTTTTCATTTTTCAACAACAATGTATGGAATTCTTACTCTGTGCCAAGCCCTATGCCGAGTACTTTAGTGCCTTATTTCAGGTATTGCTAGTCCTATTTCTCAGAAAAGGCAACCGAGACTCACAAGAGTTAAATAACTTGCCAGATGACACACAGCTAGAAAGCAGAGAAGCCAGAGTATTCAGATCCATGCCTCTCCACTTCTGCTTTCCCACTGTGCCTTTCACTTTCTTGGGAAGCCTTTTCCCTTGTTCTTCAACTTGGATTAGAATAGCCTGTAATTCTTCTCATGAAGACATGCCTCACTTTATACTAAATGTTACCCTCTTTAAATGATTTAAAATAATCCTGCAGTGATATTCTCCTTTCTCTCCACCTCTCTAAACAGAGCATCTGTTTAATTTGGGTTCTCTAACATTGGCATGTGTCTATAAATTAAGATTTTTGTACAATGTCTCACAGATGCTTTTACCACATTTAGTTTGTACTCCTTTTTTTCTTGGACGACTTAGTTCAAAAAAATTTATTTTGGTCAAACATATGATTTTAGCTTTTGAGGTTACCTAATAAATCACCAGCTTATAGACTCATAAAAATTTGGTTGGAGAGAGAACCTCAGAGATCTGCTCACCCAACATAATCATTGTATGGGCAAGGGAGGCTGCCAGCAGCTGTGGTCACCCTGGGCTGGTGCTCCAGGGGAGAGGGAATCTCAGTTACTCTACTTAAAACTTGAGATTACTACTTCTGAGGAATCATCCCAAAAGTTCACAAATCAGGAAGAGATATCTGAATGGGTGCTTTAAATTTTGTTTAAAAAAGAGAAAATAGGACTCATACCAAATGGCAGCTGGTTTTACTCCAGCCATTTTCAGGAATATCCCCAAAGAGTCTGGTACCACCAGACCGCCGCCTGGGCTGTGGTGGCTGGCAGGGGTTGTTCAGGGAAGGCAGCCTCTCTGACTAGGTTCCTGCCTGAGTCCAAATTAGAAAAGGGACATTTGGCTGCAGACTGGCCTCCAGGTGTTTGAAAGCCTATTTGTCCCTTGGTCACATTTCTTTTTTTTTCTTTTTTTGAGACGGGGTCTCTCTCTGTCACCTAGGCTGGAGTGCAGTGGCTTGATCTCGGCTCACTGCAACCTCTGCCTCCCAGGTTCAAGCGATGCTCCTGCCTCAGCCTCCCAAGTAGCTGGGACTACAGGTGCTTGCCACTACACCTGACTAACTTTTTGTATTTTTAGTACAGATGGGGGTTTCGCCATGTTGGCCAGGCTGGTCTCGAACTCCTGACCTCAGGTGATCCGCTTGCCTCAGCCTCCCAAAGTGCTGGGATTACAGGTGTGAGGCACCGTGCCCGGCCCCTTGGTCATATTTCTGTAAGTCCTTCTCTGCCCTTCTCAGACATGCAAGGGAAAGTCAGGAGAAGGGGACCAGAAGGTCTGGAGGGACAGGTGAAAAGGCACCAGAATGGAGAAGGTGGGTGTTACATGTGAGCTAGGCCAGCTTCCATCGCCACATGGCTTAGAAGACTGTCAGTGACACGTGGACAAGGCGTGGCTCTGGTAGTTAAAAAAAAAATCAGGCCGGGCGCGGTGGCTCACGCCTGTAATCCCAGCACTTTGGGAGGCCAAGGCGGGTGGATCACGAGGTCAGGAGATGAAGACCATCCTGGCTAATATGGTGAAACCCCATCTCTACTAAAAATACAAAAAATTAGCTGGGCGTGGTGGCGGGCACCTGTAGTCCCGGCTGCTCGGGAGGCTGAGGCAGGAGAATGGGGTGAACCTGGGAGGTGGAGCTTGCAGTGAGCCGAGATTGTGTCACCGCACTCCAGCCTGGGCGACAGAGCGAGACTCCGTCTCAAAAAAAAAAAAAGAAAAAAGAAAAAAAATCAATCCTTTACTTGCATCCCAAGTTCCTACTTTGGGAGAATAAACTCCAAATACTATCTCCTAAGGGAGGTTGATAAGTATTTGGCCATTAACTGTAGACTAATGTCATCCTCAAAATTTAATAAATGAAAAATGTAACACTCTCTTTTTTTTTTTCCCCCATTCCTTGCTGTTATTCTACTGATTGTGTTAACATAGTGTGGATTGAGGTTGGGTCAGCTTGTGGTTGAGCTTCCTGCCTTCCTGTTTGTAACTGAATTTTTCAAATTAAAAAAACATCCACTTTGTTCTGGCATAGTTGTATACATTATTCCAATATATTTAACAATGAGGCTGTTCTCATTTCACACAGAATAGCACACAGTGAAGACAGTCAGTGAGAACCAGAGCTATTGTTACAACTGACAGCAGCCAGCTCAGGAGGCAGAGGACGAGAGCGATCGGGCTGCACACACATGGATGAGGCTGATTTTTCAGAACACACGACTTATAAGCAGGAGGATTTGCCTTATGATGGGGACCTCTCTCAGATTAAGATAGGCAATGATTACAGTTTTACCTCAAAAAAGGATGGCCTTGAAGTCTTAAATCAAATTATTTTCATAGCAGATGACCCTCAAGAGAAGGCTATGCATAGTGAGACTTGTGGAAATACAGCTGTGACCATACCCCTGGGTAAAATTACTGAAAATGCTGCCAACAAAAAAGACGAGAAAGAGAAACAATGCACTGCAGCTCTTCATATTCCAGCAAATGAAGGAGACGCTTCTAAGTCAAGCATTTCTGATATTTTACTTCATCATCTTTCCAAAGAGCCATTCTTAAGAGGTCAAGGCATTGATTGTGAAACCCTCCCAGAGATCTCAAATGCCGACAGTTTTGAAGAGGAAGCTATTATTAAAAGTATTATTTCATGTTATAATAAGAATTCTTGGCCAAAAGAACAAACCCCAGAACTCACTGACCAACTCAACCCGAAAAGGGATGGTGAAAACAGCAATAAGCCTGGTTCTGCCACCACGACAGAGGAAAATACCTCTGATTTAGAAGGGCCAGTGGCTGCTGGAGATAGCAGCCATCAAGAAAATGTGAATGTTCTAACTAAAACCAAGGGTCCAGGTGATAAACAAAAAAGTTATCAAGGGCAGTCACCCCAGAAACAGCAGACTGAAAAAGCAAATTCAGGCAACACGTTCAAATACGGCCAAGGTCAAGTTCATTACCAGCTCCCTGATTTCTCTAAGATTGCTCCCAAAGTGAAAATTCCTAAAAATAAGATAATTAATAAACCACTTGCAATAGCTAAACAAGCCAGCTTTTCTTCCAAGTCGAGAGATAAACCCACTCTTGTGCAAGATAGTCTAGAAACCACGCCTGAGTCAAACTGTGTTGAAAAACAACATCAAGAGCAGAAAGGGAAAATCACTGAACCTTCACAACAAATCCAGGTAAATGAAACAGTCTCCTGTAAACACATTAATTGGGACCACTGCTTATCTCTTTCAGTGTGGGTTTTTGGAGGGTGAATAGAGCTTGGTTCTAGTTCCAAAGTTTCATTCAGCACCCTGGGTCACCCTGGATGAGTGACGTGGCCACTCCGACTCTCAGTGTCCTCACGAGAAGCATCACAGGCTACACTGACAAAAACATATAAGAGAATAAAATCCAAATTCCGCAAGCCGGAATTTGGCTCTCCTCACTTAAACTTAGCTGCCTTCCTTCAGGAGTCATCTGCAGTTACCTGGCTGGTCCAGAACCTCTTCCCAGGCCCTGAGCTCTCTGAGTTCCTGCCTTGCGTGGCACATCCCATCTTGACTTGCCAAAGACCTGCTTGTTTTCATGGCCTCCTTCAATTCCCCCTTGGGCCACATAACTTTTCAGGTCTCCTAAGTCACAACCTTTTCCACACTTGTTTAGTCGTTCCATCAGAGTGTGTATCTCAGCCTGCTTTGGATCTTAATAGCAGAAGCATCTGCTTCCTCCACTAGATTCTAAGGCTCTGGAGGGCAGCAACCTTATCTTCGCCTTTCCATTGCCTAATTTCCCCCAGAGGCCTGGCCTCGTGTCTTAACGTACGTTATGCCCTTAGTTATTCATGCTAAGTCCAATGGAATTAAGATCGTTAGTAATGGATTTCAAGCTTGTTATCTTGGTAATCATTTGGTACAAAACTTTGTTAATGCTTAATTTATGCTATTCCCCCTTTCCCTTACGCCAACTTCTCACACTCCCCCACCAACTTCTCAACATGCTGAGGCTCAGGATCTCATTGATGTTTGAGGCCCAATAGTAAGGTAAATCCATCTTAATAATCAAAATATACATTTTAGTTCTTGGGCACTTTGCCTAGAGTGCATGATCTTTCCTTTGAGCCTTATATGAAGGTGTCCTGGACTGAACCACACTGCCTGTTTCCATTTCCATTCTCTCTCTTTTTCTGTAACCTAACCTTGGAAGTGATTTTTCTCTCTCTCTCTTTTTTTTAATTTCCATTTCCATTTTCACACTTCAGCTCCCCTCTCTTTCAACTGAATGCCTGGGGAGTTTGAGCAGAACCCCCTACATCCAAACCTGAGCCAACAGCCCACCTGGCCATGACTGGGATGCTCTCTAGGTCTGAGAGAAACCTACACCCCCGTGGTATTGGGAAGTGTCGGGGTTCCTTGTTCTGCTTGCAGGAGAACATCCTCATTGTGTCCAGTTCTCAGTGCCCCGTGGTTAGCAGGAGCAGATGGATATCAGGCTCTTCTCCCTCTGGTATGGGGGTTCGAGGTCAGGTATCTGATTTTTTCCAGTTCTGTCAATTCAGATTGGAGAATTGGACACTGCAGGTTTCATATCCGTCATATAGTTGAGATGTCTAGAAAGACCATAGTCCATTTTGACCAGCTCTCCAGCACTAGCGTGTTTCTGAGCTTTATGTGTTGGGAACAAAGGAAAGACCCCACAAGGTGAATCACTCTGGAATTTAAACTGTTCAATTAGCCAGTGGTGAGTAGAAAACCATCACTATCTTGACACACAGTTTGGAACTTAATGCATCCTCTGTTATTCTCTAGAGTGTGGCTACCATGAGTTTTGTGTTAGTGACAGCACCAGCAACAGAGCTGGTGACAAGACCAGCCATGGTCCCTACCCTTGTGAAACTTATAGTCTAGTTTTAGGAGAAATGTTTCAGCATTTCACATACCAGTATCAAACACAATGGTGATAACAGGTAACATGTATTGTTACATGCTTACCACCTGCCTGATACTATGGTAGATATTTAACATTTCATCCTCATAACAACCCCCTGAGGCAGGTTCACTTACTATCCCCATTTTCCTGCCAAAGAATTGCAGGCTTATAAGTGATGAGACAATTACTTGGGTTGCCCAGCAAGTAAGTGTCAGAGTGGAATTCAACCTTGGCATCATGGCTCCGGCTCTTGACTGCAAACCTGGGCTCCCTCTATGATGACAGAACATGTTGGGTCATTCTGAACGGTGGTGTCATTGATCAATATCGACAGTAACGTTTTCTTACCCTTTAATTGTGCAGATGGAGCCCATAGTACATATCCACCAAGAACTTCTCACAGGTACTAATGTTTTAAAACTTCTTTGAGATATATATATATGTTTTGTTTTTGTCTTTTTGAGACAGGGTCTCACTCTGTCACCCAGGCTGGAGTGCAGCAGCACAATCTTGGTTCATTGCAGCCTTGACCTCTGGGGCTCAAATGATCCTCCCACCTCATCCTCCCGAGTAGCTGGGATTACAGGTGCATGCCACCACACCTAGATAATTTTTTTTTTTTGTAGATGTGGGGTCTCACTTTGTTGCTGAGGATGGTCTTGAACTCCTGGCTTCAAGTGATCCCCCCGCTTTGGCCTCCCAAAGTGCTGGGATTACAGGTGTGAGCCACTGTGCCTGGCCTAGATAAATATTTTGAAAAAAATTAAATTTTAAAAATAGTAAGTGGTGGTGACTGCAACAGCTTTCTGTTTTCAGTACTTAATAAAACTGTGATAAGTTGAGATGAATGGTAGCCCAAATGTGTTCTTTCTTGTATAGGAATAGAATCTGAGGCAAGTCTCTCTAAGTTGTCACCAACCTCTCAGAAAGGCACTTCCTCAAGTTCTTCTTACATATTTCAAAAGATATCCCAAGGGAAACAGATGTGTCAGAAGTTGAAAGAACAGACTGATCAACTGAAGACTAAAGTAATACTTTTAAAGCTTATTATAAACAATATAAGTAACCAAATTCACACATGAGAAACCATGCCATTAATGAGAGATTGTAATTTTTTCACTGCAGGTACAAGAATTTTCCAAAAGAATAAAACAGGACTCTCCTTACCATTTGCAAGACAAGAAGCTGGTAATGAATTTTATCCCGTTTTTAAAATCTTGATTAGAGAATATGGCTTGGATAAAGATAAATAACTTTATAGTGCCATGTTTTCTCTACAGTGGTGGGAGTGGAAATGTTTTGCTAAAGATTAAACCATCTTTGTTTATGGGGGCTAAAAGAGCTTAGAATTCTGTTTCTCTATCTATTTAGCCCTCTTTCCTTCTCAGGGGATCTATTACTTATGGCTATTACTCCTTGCCAGGTTACTCATAATTAATCTGACACCACGGGAGGTTCAAGAGAAGAACCCATAATCAGTTATAAAGAGTGGGCCTGTCCGCAGTTGATGGGTACTGGTGAATTCAGGTTATAAAAATTGCCATTACCTGGAAATTAAATATGACTTTGAATACTCATAAAATCAACCTTGAAGCAATGTTTTTCAGGTCAAAATCTTTTCCTTTCATATCCTTGCTAGTTGCTGCATTTAATCAAACCATTAATTTATGTCATCACCACAGCAGTCATGTTGTCAGTGCCAGGATCATGGGAAGGGGGTGGAGCAATGGGGTGAAGGGTAAGGCTGGGAGAACCAGAAGTATGCTGACCTGACATTGAAGATGTAGTTGAGGCCATTGGCTCATCAACAAGGGATAAGGTCAGAAGTTCTGATGTAGGCACAAGCAAGGTTTAGGGAGGGCTGTGCTTCAGAAACCTAGCAGCATGGACAAAAACCAGGGGACCCAAATGCTAAAAGACACAGTTGATTATTCTCTCCTTTATCCTGTTAATTAAATCATTCATTCAACAAACATTTATCAGGCACTTTCTATGTCCCAGACCCTGTACCAGGCACTAGGAATTCAAGATGAATAAACAATTCCTTTTCCAAGTGGTTTATAGTCTCTTAGGAACAGTGGACTGGTAAACAGGCAGCTAAAATGCAGCTGGAGAAATGTTACAGAGAATGCTAATGGCAGCCTAGAAGAGGCTCACCTTTGCCAGTGAGGGGACATTTGGAAGGCTTCCTGGAAGTCACTTCTGAGCTGGGTGTTGCAGAAGGAATAGGGATGAGCTTGGCAGGAGACCAAGGGGTATTCTAGAAAAAGAAAACAGCAGGTGCAATGGCACAGGGGTGAGGAAGTGCTGCCAGTGTGAGGAGCTGTGGGCACTGTGATTTACCATACAGCACTTGGGAGCACGTGGTGACATGGGGGTGGGGGAGGAGACAGGGGAGGTGGACAGGGGTACTTCATGAAGGCCTTTAAGCCATGCCTGAGGCTGAGTAATTGGGCAGCATTGAAGGTTTTTTTTTTTGTTTTTTTTTTTTTGAGACACGGTCTCATTCTGTCACTCATGCTAGAGTGCAGTGGTGTGATCTCAGCTCACTGCAACTTCCACTCCCCAAGTTCAAGTGATTCTCCTGCCTCAGCCTCCCAAGTAGCTGGAGTTACAGGTGTGCACCACCGTGCCTGGCTAATTTTTGTATTTTTAGTAGAGACGGGGTTTCACCATGTTGGCTGGGCTGGTCTTGAACTCCTGACTTCAGGGTGATCCACCTGCCTCGGTCTCCCAAAGTGCTGGGATTACAGGCATGAGCCGCTGCACCTGGCTGCATTGAAGGTTTTCAAGCTGACAAATGGGAAGCACCATGGGGGCAAGGCTGAAGGCACAGAGATTGGTTCGGAAGCCAGAATCCAGGTAACAAGTCAGGAGGGCCTGAACGAAGGCTGGCAATGAGGCTGGAGATGGGGACAAATCTGGGGGTTTAGGGAAATGGTGGCAGATGGAAAGGGCTGAAGAGAGGAAGGGAAGAGGCTTGGATGAGCTCCAGATTTCTGGCTTGGGTAACCAAGGTCAGGAATAAAAGTAGAGGATCCCGTTTAGAATGGGTGTGGAAGGCAAGCAGGAGGCAAGACGTCAAGTTGAGTTTGGGGCATTTTGAGTTTGAGCTACCTTTGGGACATCTAAGTAGAGGGCTCCAGTAGGCAGTTAGACCAGTGGATCTGGCCTGCAGAGCTGTTTGGGTGAGAA
Source organism: Homo sapiens (assembly GCF_000001405.40). Taxonomy (NCBI): domain Eukaryota; kingdom Metazoa; phylum Chordata; class Mammalia; order Primates; family Hominidae; genus Homo; species Homo sapiens. The sequence goes on along the minus strand of NC_000001.11, from coordinate 108,846,744 downwards.
ATGTAGATTTGGGCATAGTTGTGAGTTGACGCTGGAGTGGATGAGACGGGCCAGGCAAAATACACAGAGTGAGAAGTGAAGAGGGCCCAGGAGAGACTCGAGGGAAATGGCAGCTGGGGAGGAGCGGAGGCGGAGAAGCCAAGAGAAAAGGGGGTTTGAAGGAGAGGGGAGTGGGCCCAAATAAGAAGTGCATTGGATTTGGCAATCAAGATGTTATAAGGGTCTTTGGCAAGCCTGGTTTTGATTGAAGTGGTGGATCTGGAAGCCAGATTGCAGGGATTATGGAAGAAACAACGATAAGCAAGATCTCCAGAAAGCTAGGATTTCAGGAATTGGAAGAACACAGAATTTTAAAGGGCTGAGCAGAGCAGAGAAAACTGGTTCTGTCAGGAGCCTTCGGAAGCCTGGATGCGGGAGGTTTCTTCCTGATGTTATCAGGTATGTGAGGATCCCTGCTGACCGAGAGGAGAGTAAAGGTGGCTCCTGACATTATCAGCCTGTGGTCTGGGACTTCCAGGCCCAGGTGGTTCAGTCTTGAAAAAAGCCAGACAGGGCTACAAGCAACCGCCTCAGCCTGAGCAGCACTACACAGCAGAAAGCATTTGGATTTTGGAGCGGATGTCGTGCCTCTACTTATTGGTTACACAACTGTAGACATGTTACAGCATGTCTTCCCTTTCAGAGTTGTTATGAGAATTCAGTGAGGCACACTTCTGCCTAGGAAATTGTGCCCTATCTTCTGCAACATAATGCAATTTAAATTCCAAGATCCTGAATTATAATTTGTGATTAGCTTTTATCTCTTTTCTCATTACCCTCTTTCCCTTGAACACATAATTCTTCCTCATGGCCTCAGCTGCCATCTTCAGGCTTCCAGTTCGTAAGTGACTTGTCCTGACTTCTCATCTATAGCTCCAAATGTTTGTGTCTCTCTTCACTTCGGACATCCCACCCTCACTGCAAACTCTACCTTGTCCAACATCAATATCTTCGAGCCTGTTAGCCTTTCCAAATTCCCCAGTTTAGTCAGGTCTACCACATTCTTCTCACTTCCCAAGCTGAGAAACTCAAGCATTGTCTGTGAGATTTACAGTGTCAGTCAGGGTTCTGGCAGGGACCAGATGGTTACTCAAATGGGGCAACGGAGGAGAGTTTAACAAAGGCATTAGTTTACAACAGTGTGGGCAAGGCTAAGGGAAACCAATAAGGGATGGAAAAGCATCTCCTGGAAGGACCCGTGGGGAGCTCCCCTTTGGCCTGAAGGAACAGAGGAAAAGCAGGTCCTAGAGCCTAAAGAGAGCAGCTGTCACTGTGGGACTAGCTGACAAGCCCTGTGGCTTTTGGTGGAGGGACAGAGTCAACTCCATGACGGCACAGGTGAGGAAGAAAAGACTCCCATCTCATCCTCCAACTCCTCTCTCCTGCTGTTGCCTTCCATCGACTAAAACCAACCAAAGCCAGGGCCCAGGGGAGCCTGTGGTGCAGTCCATTAAAGGTCAGCACAGAGAAAGAGGATGAACCTGGGGAGAAATGTAAAACATCTGCCACACCTGCCGCTTTTTATCTACCCTTTAGCCAATATGTTTCCAAACTCTTGTTTATTCATTTTTAATATTAATAAGAATTGGCTGGGAGTGGTGGCTCATGCCTGTAATCCCAGTACTTTGGGAGGCCAAGGTGGGTGGACCACCTGAGGTCAGGAGTTTGAGACCAGCCTGGCCAACATGGTGAAACCGCATCTCTACTAAAAATACAAAAATTAGCCAGGCATGGTGGTGCACACCTGTAATCTCAGCTACTTGGAAGGCTGAGGCAGGAGAATTGCTTGAACCTGGGAGGTAGAAGTTACAGTGAGCTGAAATCACACCACTGCACTCCAGCCTGGGTGACAGAGCGAGTGACTGTCTTAAATTAAAAAAAAAAAAAAGAATTAATAATCTGTCAAGTATGTACTATAGTCCTGGCACAATGCATTATCTCATTTAGTTTTTATAATATGAGGCAAGGAGTATTACCTTAATTTTACAGATGTAGAAACTGAAGCTTAGAGAGTTCAAGTTTACTAAAATCATACAATGAGTAAGTGACAGAGTCTGAACTTGCACCCAGCTGTGTCTGATCCTGTAACCTCACCGAGCTATGTTTCTGTCCTGGGCAACCTCTGTCCAATTCATCCCTTCCTCTCCATTTTCATGGATACTGCCTGGTCCAGGCCCTCCAGAGCATCCTTTATGCCTGATTTAAGTTGCACTCCTTCCACTGGGCCTTGGCAAAGGTCTCTCTCTCTCTATCTATCTATATCTATATATACATATATAGATATGCACTCCAGAGCTCTGGCTTTGGTATATATATATATATATATATGGAGAGAGAGAGAGAGAGATGGAGTCTCGCTCTGTTGCCCAGGCTGGAGTGCAGTGGTGCAATCTTGGCTCACTGCAACCTCTGCCTCCTGGGCTCAAGTGATTTTCCTGCCTCAACCTCCCAGGTAGCTGGGATTACAGGCACGCACCACCATGCCCGGATAATTTTTGTATTTTTAATAGAGATGGGGTTTCACCATGTTGGTCAGGCCGGTCTTGAACTAATGACCTAAAATGATCTGCCCACTTCGGCCTCCCAAAGTGCTGGGATTATAGGCATGAGCCACTGTGCCTGGCCTTTGGCTAAGTACTCTAAGCCACAGTCTCTTTTCTCAATGGAATAACATCTCTAAGACCAGGAACTGTGCCTGATGCAATTTTTTAATCTCACACTTCTGGCCCAGGGCCAGAAATAGAAAGTGCTCAGGGAATGTTTAGTGACTGGGGATGTGGAACTGAAGCCTCCATACATCTTCAACATGCCCCTAACCCGCACAGTTTAAACATTCATCTGCTTGAGGCTGCACGTAGTGATGTCTGGAAGACCCATTCACAGCTTTGGCTAAATCTTCCTGCTGTTCCTTCCCCATCTCATCCTCCAACTCCCCACAGACTGAAACCCAGGCCATGTAACTACAGTTCCTTTTTAAGATCTATGTGCCTTCAGACATATTGCTAGAGCTCCAATTTCCTCCTTTGTAAAAGTGGGATAATAAAATATACTTTACTACATTTACAACATTGATGTGTTGATTAAATAAGATGAGGAATGGAAAAATGCTTTGTAAGCTAAAAACCATTCTGCAAATATACAGGATTATGAATGTCCCACTAAGGAAGGCCAGAGGCCTCTGAGTGGGTTCTGAGAGAGAAATCAGAAGTAATTGTACTTTTGAGCTGTGTGCTGTGAGGGTTTGTGAATGTTGAGATGACCCTTGGGTTGTCTGTAGTTTAGATGTCAGACTCTGAGACAAAACAATTTATGCTGCTGGGAGAAGGATGGCAGCTTTGTTTTGACACTACTGTAGGGTACACCTGCTTTGTGTTTTTGGGAAAACAATTACACACACAGGCTTGCATGTGAATGATTCCAGTGACTTCACCGCTGCAGGTCCTGGAGAAACTGCAGGGACACCTTGAACTGCTGGAGCAGAACTTTCTGGCCACCAAGGACAAGCATCTGACTTTGCAGCAGCAAGTCCACAAGCACGAATCAACAATCGTTGGTGACTTTGATCCAGAAAGGTCAGATTTAAACCAACTGTGTAAGGTGGAAGGGTCAAAGGTGATCTCCTTCAGGTGGGATTCTGATGTGGCTGCTGGCTTAGTGCTTGGAGAGCCACTGGTCTAGGGTCAGCAGAAACTGTGTCACCAATGAACAAAGTGTCACCTAATACCACAGACAGCATGGAGGACCTGTTGAGTGTAAGGTGCTGTGCTGGACATTGACTCAGATGGAACACCCAAAATGAACAAATGCTTCCTGGGGCAGAGGCATTGTACCAAAATTTTGCAATTTGTTGAATATCATTATAATTGGTTTGGAGACCCAGAGGAGCCTAAGAAAACCCTAGAAAGGCTCACATGATAACCACAGAGGGCCCTCTTCTCAAGTTCCTCCTCTCCTCTCCCTCTCAGCTTTTTCCTCTCTTATCTATCTCTCCCCACACCTGCCTTTATTGTCCTTGCCTGGTTCTCTCTTCTGTCCCTCTCTTTCCCCTTTTCTTTCCCATTCACTGATAATTCCAAGGCACACTGGGCAGGAGGGGGTCATTGTAAAGTTAATTGGTGTCAGGGTGAGGGACCTACAAATCCTGATAAAGGAAAAGCGTGAAAGCTTAAAGTTAAATGATTTCTGAGTTAATTCACATTAGAATCTTGAACACACACTCCAAACTGAAGTTTCTAACTGGTAGTTTTTATGGCACTGTATTCTCCTTTCTCCATTCCAGATAATTTTAAGCTGTATTCCAGGACTCAAGGAGAGGATTCTTTCCCTATAATTTCCTGGTATAAATTAAAAGAAACTATTTAGTAGGCTTAATATTTGTGAGTTTAGCCCTTTCTATTCATAGCATTTTAATATGGAATTGTTGTTGCCAAATTTTTTAATGGTTTACATTTCAGCCCTAGCGTTCTGTGGCATTTTTTTCCCCAAGGTATGGTTTTACTTTTCCAAAATTAATGGAACCTCTGTCTACCTTTATTTCAGCACTGAGTAATTAGACAGTAAGGATGAGGTTTTAATATTGATTTTTTTCCCAAAGGCTTTTTTTGGGGGGAGAGGAAGAAAGAACTCTGCATGCTTCTGCTATTTAAAATTAATAGAGTAAGGATATTTATTTTCCAAGGAATCTTCTGCTTGGGCAGTCATTTTAAAGACAGGTTTCTGTGCACATTAAGACCAAAGTTATTCAATGTCTTATTTATATCCTAGTTACAGCCACACTGTGCCTGGCATGAGTATAAATAAAAAGAGCTTCAACTGCAATTACATTCCATATATGGGAGAAGCTTTCAACACTGGGGCAAGGGAGGGACCCAGACTTTCCCAAATCTCGGCTGAAGTCACCTCAGGACAGGCAAAGACTGATCAGCTCCAGAATAGTCCCCTTGTTCTCAAATGGGCATAATGTGACAAGGAACAGAATCCCATACAACCCTTGGGTTCTTGATATGTCGAGAACCTTATAAGTGTTGAGTCCAAAGGCTAATGCAGAGGGCTTTCTGGAGGGGCAAGAATTCTGCAAATTCATTGACTAGTCCTTTGTTTACATCACCTGCTGTGCTCTTATTAAAGCCTTCTCATTATTACCTTTACAAGGTAATGTGCAAAAATATTTGCTTGGATTTCATGCATCTTGCTTGTCAGAATGTAGTCCAATAGTAATTTGCTTCTTTCACATATTAACTTCAGAAGCCAAGAATTCAAGAAATGGGGTTCTACCTTCATCAGCCACTTCTCCCTGAGAGTCTCAGCATAAAATCTTATGTTCTGCTTTAAAGAAAAGATCACAACTTCCCTCAAAAATGTCTCTTCTATCTCCAAATCCCCATGTTTTCACCTCCTCTCCCTTCCTTAGTCTGCTCTCCAACCTCTCTAGCCATGGTCCTTGAACCCATCCCTTTCTACTTCCTTGAGGCCTTGCTCCATCATTTTATTTCTTTTATTATTATTATTTTTATTATTACTATTATTATTATTTGAGATGGAGTCTTGCTCTGTTGCCCAGGCTGGAGTGCAGTGGCGCGATCTCGGCTCACTGCAACCTCCACCTCCCAGGTTCAAGCGATTCTCCTGCCTTAGCCTCCAGAATAGCTGGGATTAAAGGTGCATGCCACCATGCCTGACTAATTTTTTCATATTTTTAGTAAAGACGGGGTTTCACCGGGTTGGCCAGGCTGGTCTTGAACTCCTGACCTAAAGTGATCTGCCCACCTTGGCCTCCCAAAGTGCTGGGATTACAGGCATGAGCCACCGTACCCGGGCTCATTTCTTTTAAACTTTCAGTCTCTCCTTGTCCCCTGTTTCATTCTCTTCTGCCTGCAAGATCCCAACATAGTTTCCTATATTTTATTCAATTATCACTTTGTTTTTTTCATGCTTAGATCTTTGTCCCACCACTTATTGAATAGGGCAGCCTTTCCCCACTGGTTGAAAAAGCCCCTTATATCAGATACAAAACCTCCACATGTATACAGAACTGTTTCTATTCCATCCCATTGATCTATGTGTCTATTTCTACATTATCCACATAAACTATTATAGGTTAGTGTATATTTAGAAATGTTTCTTCTTTTTAAAATTTTCTTATAGCTATTCTTATACACTCATGTTACTAATAAACTTTATAATCAGCTCACCAAGGTTCTTAATAAAATTTCATGAGGATTTTGCTTAGGAATGTATTGAATTTATAGGTTAGATTGGGAAGAACTGAAATCTTTGTAGTAAGTATTCCCATCACGTTTTCTTCATGCAGATTTTACACATTTTTTTGTTAGGTTTATTACTAGCTATTTTATAGTGTTCTGAGTATTGTCGACAGATGTTTTCTCTAATTGATGTCATAGGAAGTATTTCCATATTGTATATTTAACTTGTACTGGGCTACCTTATGCAATTCTCTTCTTAGTGTTTTGTTGATTTTTTAGTTGATTGTCTTAATTTTTAAGTATGACAATCCATAGCATCTGAAAATATTAATAAGCTTTTTACTCCAGAATATTTGTATTGTACTTTCTTTTCTCTCCAATTCTTATCTATCTCATTTCTTTTTCTTTATTTCATTTGCTAGGTTTTCCAGAACAATATTGGATAATTAATATTAGTGAAAGACAGCATTTTTTTTTTTTTCAGACAAAGTCTCACTCTTGTCCAGGCTGGAATGCAGTGGCACAATCATAGCTCATTGCAACCTCAAACTCCTGGACTCTGGGATCCTCCCACCTCAGCCTCCTGAGTAGCAGGGACTACAGGTGCATGCCACCACTCCCAGCTAATTAAAAAAAATTTTTTTTGTAGAGACATGGTCTCCCTATGTTTTCCAGGCTAGTCTCGAACTCCTGGGTTCAAGTGATACTCCCACACTGTGGTCTCCCAAAGTGTTAGGATTACCAGCGTGAGCCATAAAAGACAGCATTCTTGTCATGTTACTAATAATAATGAGAACTCTCCTAAGTATGATTCAAATAGATAAGCTTCATCAAGAGAGTTTTCTTCTATTCCTAGCTTTCTAGAATTAGGGCTTTTGTTGTTATTTAATTCAAGAAAATGTTTAATCAAATGGGATTTAGAAATCTAGTTTTTCTCCTTTAATCTATTAATTTAGTGGAATATGTTAATAAATATACTAACGTTGAACCACAGAATGAGTTGGGCAATTTTCCCTTTTCTTTTTTTTTTTATTGAGACGGAGTCTCGCTCCTCCAGGCTGGAGTGCAGTGGCGCGATCTTGGCTCGCTGCAAGCTCCGCCTCCCGGCTTCACGCCATTCTCCTGCCTCAGCCTCCCAAGTAGCTGAGACTACAAGCATCCGCCAAGTTTTCTGTATTTTTAGTAGAGACGGGGTTTCACCATGTTAGCCAGTATGGTCTTGATCTCCTGACCTCGTGATCCACCCACCTCGGCCTTCCAAAGTGCTGGGATTACAGGCGTGAACTACCGCGCCGGGCCCCTTTTCTTTTCATGTTCTGGAAGAGTCTAATAATATAGGACTTATCTGTTGCTTAAAAGTCTTGGTAGAATTATGTTTAGTGAACTCCAAGGTTCTATACACGTGCTTCGGGGTCTGCATATACTTGATTTAAATTTCTCCTTTAAAAATATATGTTGAAATATATGCTTTCAAACTGTTATAAATTACATTTTAAACTATGTAATACATAAAAATTAACATATTAGAGACATTGAAATTTTTTTTAAAAGGCTTGGTAGAACTCACCCATTATCCCACTCTTCATGCCTTTCATGGAGTAGATTTTTAACACTTTCCATTTTTCTCTGGTTGTTGGTCTTTTCATATTTTCTACTTTTTTAAAAGTGAATTTTAATAATTTATATTATTCTAGAAACTTGCCCAGTTCACCTAAATTTTAAATGGTGTTGATATGGATTTTTCAATGCCTTTTGATTTAAAATTTTTCCTATTTTTCCTTTCTCATTCTTAATGTTATTTGTTTTTCAGACTTCCAGTGGTTTGTTTCATAGATATTTTGGAAGAAAACATGTTTTATCTTATTGATCAAATTCTTTTAAGTCTCATTTATTTCTAGTAATTTTATGAATCCTTTTCTGTGGTTTATTTTATATTCCCTTTTCTATCTTCCTATTTTAAATAGTTGATTGATTTTTGATTTTTTCCCCCAATAATGCATTTAAGACTAGAAGTTTTCCTCAGAGTACTGCTTTAACTGCATTACATTGGTTTTCCTATGTTATTCTCTCATTTGTCATTGACTTGTAAGTTATGCCTAACATTCATTTTTATTTCCTACTTAATCCAAAGCTATTTAGGTATTAAAATTTCTAATTAAACAGGGTTTTTTTTGGGGGGGGGGCTATCTTTTTGTTGTTAATGTCTAGTGATAAGAGAATGTAGGTAGTATAATTTTTAATATTTTGGATTTTCTTGAAATTTTCCTTTGTGGACTGTTACGAGGTAAATTTTTATAAATGTAATGGATTTGAAGAAAATGGATTCTCTTTGTTGGGTAAAATATATATTTATATACACATACACATATATTCATATGGATTAGAACTTGTTAATTAAATTATTCAGATATCTAATATTCTTCCTCTTTTTAAATTAGCATAACAAGTAATTCCATAGAATCACAGTTCTTAGAATCCCTTGTAAGGGATCTCAAAATCATCAAATCCAGATAAGTAAGGTACAATATTGTTATCCCAGGTTATAAGTGAGACATTGGAGGCCCAGAAATACTAAGTGATTTATACAAGGATACGCAGCTAATGGACAGCAGGTGAAGATCAGAGCCCAGGCTGTCAGAGAAACTATGAACAGTCATGCGGGCTCCCATTATCCTTTGTGACAGAAGACAGGCCACATTAATAATATAAATCAATGCTGTATTCAAGAACTGTCATTATTAATTAGAATGCCAACCACATAGCCCAGAAGATGCCTGTGTGTTTATGTTTACTTAGAAAAGTGGAAGGTGAAATCTTCAAATTGGAGATGCTGCTTGAAGATGTTAAAGAGAAAATGGATGAAAGCAAATATACTTCAGCTCCTTCCCTTCCTGTGAGTTCTCCAGTTACCCTGGATGACTTGGCCTCCACCTTCTCTTCACTCTCAAATGAGGTAATACAGCAATGTACAGTCTAATTTTGTGCCAGGAAAAATGGTGTTTTTGCATTTATAGACTCCTAATTCATGGATTCACTGAATTCCATTTTTAATATCTCATGAAAATTTAACTTTCCAAAGTCCCATGAATTATATTATTTTAAATGGAACCAGCTTTTAAAGATTAGAAGCTATTTCAAGTGTTAATTTTTGAAACATCTTTATAGTTTAGGATGTAACAATGCTGTTTAAATCCATTAAACCACCGAAGAGCTATTTCTTCCAAATTAATAAGAAAATTTTTGTAGATCATGCCTGGAAGAAATAATTTTTTTTCTTCATAGTTTTGTACTCACCAGGCTGGAGTGTGGTAGCACGATCTCAGCTCACTGCAACCTTTGTCTCCCGGGCTCAAGTGATTCTCCTCCCTCAGCCTCCCAAGCAGCTGAGATTACAGGTGCATGCCACCACTGCCTGGCTAATTTTTTATATTTTTGGTAGAGATGGGGTTTCACCATGTTGGCCAGGCTGGTCTCAAACTCCTGACCTCAAGTGATCCGCCCGCTTGGCCTTCCAAAGTGTTGGGATTACAGGCATGAGCCACCTGAAAATAAAGAATAGCACACTCAGTGAAATAATTATTTCCCATGAATCCACTTCTGCATTTTCCTTCTCTCAAGTTAAATTCTTTTGGATTTCTACTTATGCAAGATTGGGAATTCAAATTAACCACCACTGTCTTTCTATACTTTTTGCCTTTGTAGCCTCAACTATCAGAACATTCAGACTAAAATCAAAATTCTGAGAAACAGAATCATTTAAATAAATACCTTAAATTGACTCTTTAGTTTCATACAGTATTTGAAGACACAGCCTGGGGCTGATATTCAAACTTGAATGAGGATTTTGTCAAAGCGAAGGACAAAGTGACAAAGATTATGTCAAGGTTAGCCCTTCCGAAGAAGTGTTTGCCTCCTCAAAGCACTTACTTGCCTGGCAAAATCTCACTCATTCAAGGCCCAGCTCTAGCGTCAGGTCATTTATGCATCCCTAGTCAGCCACCCTCCTCACCCCCAAGCCCCCCAATCCCCCGCACCTGGAGGAATTCTTGGCCCCGGCCTCTGTGTCCCCGCAGCACTGGGTCTCGTTTGTCTCTGTGACTCTGCACTCATCTTTGAATCCTGAATGTCCAGCTGAAAGCCCAGGAGAGTCGATGCTTCATAGAGGAAGCCCTGAGCCACCGTGGATGTAACAGCCCATCTCAAGGCACCCAAGCAGTTTCCAGGCTCACAGCGGCTGCCCTGCTAGTCTTGGACCTGCAGGAGTCACAAGTCTTTGTGAGGCCACCTCAGGGTTGGCCCTGCCCTCTACCTGGCAGCTCCCTGGGGTCTGGATCTGCTCTTCTTTACTTGGTCCCAAGTTTACAGCTACTGTTGTGAAATGATGAGAACTCTCTAAATAACTTTGTGGTAAGTGGTTCTGGAAAGAGTCTAGTGCTGGCATCCTTCATTCACTCAGCAGTATGTATTGCTATAGGCTAGCACTTTTCTAGGTATTGGGGATAAAACATGAACAACAAACAAATCACCTGCCCTCAAGATGCTTACATTTCTGTAAGAGAGACATATACTTAACAAATTAAGCCAGGTGCGGTGGCTCACGCCTGTAATTCCAGCACTTTGGGAGGCTGAGGCAGGCGGATCACGAGGTCAGGAGTTCGAGACCAGCCTGGCCAACATGGTGAAACCCCGTTTCTACTAAAGATACAAAAAATTAGCCGGGCGTGGTGGCGGGCGCCTGTAATCCCAGCTACTTGGGAGGCTGAGGCAGGAGAATCGCTTGAACCCGGGAGGCAGAGGTTGCAGTGAGCCGAGATTGCGCCATTGCACTCCAGTCTGGGTGACAGGGCAAGACTCCATCTCAAAAAAAAAAAAAAATTAAATTAACATATAATTATGAAATGTTAAAAAGCACAGTGCAGAAAATAATAATACATTCTGCGTGACTCTGAAGCCAGACTACCTGGGTTCACATACTGGCTCTGTCACTTATTAGTTTTGTGATCTTAGGAAAGTTATGCAACCTCTCTGTGCCTCAGTTCTCTCTTCTGTAAAATGCAGATAATAATATTTGCCTCACAGGGCTGTTATGATGTTTAAATGAGTTAATATAAGTAACGTACTGAAAATAGGGCCTGGCTCACAGTGAGTACATTACTCCTGGGTGTTAGCTATCATGACTATTAAGTAATGGGATATGACCAAAAGTAACTAAATGCAGAAGGTTTGAATTACTAAGGGAGAAGGTTTTTCAGAGAAGGTGAGATTTGGACTGAGTCTTGGAGGATGAGAAGACAGCTAGGTAAAGAGCTGGGGGAGACAGGGGTGGGGGGACGCCAGGCAGGATGTTATGGTGCCTTAGGGGTGCTGTAGGGATGCTGAACTGATTTTGAGTCACCTCCAGTGGGACTGTGGCTCTAATTCAAGTCTTTCTGTGTGGCTCCCCCAGATTCCCAAGGAGCACCCCGGCCACCCTTCTGGGCCTCGAGGCTCAGGTGGGAGTGAGGTAACAGGGACACCCCAAGGAGGGCCGCAGGAGGCCCCCAACGAGGAGCTCTGTGAGCTGGCCCCGCAGACGTGAGTCCTAGCCCTGGAGCCCCAGCAGACACAGGACACAGAAAGAGGCCCCTTCCTCATGCAGCCTCCAGGAAGGCCCATGAGGCTCCCACAGGAAAAGCAGTCTTGGACCACGAGTTACAAAGCCTGGTAGCCTGGCTCCTCACCTGCCCCACCAGCAGGGCCTGGCCAGCCTCTGCAACCCTCTGGGCAGAGATCTGAGGGACGGGACAGCTGGGGCTGGGGGACGCGGGGAGAGGTGAAGGTCAAGTGGCCGCATGAGGCCCATAGCACTCTCTGCCTTAGGTTGCTCGCTCCCACCATCCCAGGGGTGATGCCAAGTGATTCCAAATAGTGGAGCTCCCAGGTAGCTCAAGAACTGATTCTAACATTCAAACTGCTTTTTTTTTTTTTAAATTAGTTACCTAAACGGTCATTATGGAGATGCAGCTGCCCAGAACAAGCCAGACCAAGTGGCCATGAGGCTGTCTTCTAACTCTGGGGTAATGTCCTGCAGCCGGGGCCTGGCTGGGTTCTTCTCATTGTTGGCTCTTTAACTAAAACCAGTGTTGCTGAATGTGACTGTGAAATTGGCATAATCAAGATCACTTACCTCTTCCTAATGGCATCCTGGGTGTCAGTGCTGGTGATGGCTGGTACTGCTGACGGTTTCCCACTTTCTGCACTCCTGAGAATCTCGGCAGGCGTACCTAGACCGGAGCTTCTCCAACTTCTCCGAGCCTATGAATCACCTGCAGATCTTGTTAAAATGCAGGCTCTGAATCAGTAAGTTTGGGGCGAGCCTGCAATTCTGCATTGCTAACAAGCCCCAGGTGATGCCAAAGCTGCTGGTTCTGGTCTGCGGACCACATTTTAAATTCTGAGGGTCTAGAGATTATTTCATTTCGAATGAATTGGAAATGCTGGGATTACCAACCCCGGGGTCTTAAATGATATTATATTATAATATTATAATAAGCAGTAAACAATGATATAATAATTATGTTGGCTCAGAGCTTTACAGTTTGCAAAGACTTTTTGCAGAGGAAGAGTAGTTTAGAAAGGTGATATTTGTTCAGGGTAAATGATAGGTGATGCCCGGGTCTCCAACTCAGGTGGAGGGGCACCTCCCTGCATTCTGCTAATGTAAATCTGCCTTAAATGTCAGTGGAGGAGTAACCCTGTAAGCTCAGCAATGATAAAATATAAAAATTAAAAAAAAAAAACCATGGGAAAAATGGATGAAAAAACCCTTTTTTTTTAAATTATAAAACTGATACATGCTTATTACAAGAGAAATGAGAAAATAAAGAAAAGTATAAAGAAGAAACTTCCACTGAGAGGAAAATCAATCTAATTTTTTTTTTTTGAGACAGTCTCGCTTTGTTGTCCAGGCTGGAGTGCAATGGTGCGATCCCAGCTCACTGCAACCTCTGCCTCCTGGGTTCAAGTGATTCTCCTGCCTCAGCCTCCTGAGTAGCTGGGATTACAGGCATGTGCCACCACGTGCAGCTAATTTTTGTATTTTTAGTAGAGAGGAGGTTTCACCACGTTGCCCACACTGGTCTAGAACTCCCGACCTCAGGTGATCCACCCACCTCAGCCTCCCAAAGTGCTGGGATTACAGGCATGAGCCACTGCGCCTGGCCCATTGCTAATATTTTAGTGTATATCCTTCCAGTCTTTTTTTCTCCTATATATACATTTTGGCCAAAATAGGATTTTACTATATATATTGTTTTATGCTTTTCATTTAATGTTATATTTTGAGCAGCTCTCCACATCACTTAGAATAAACTATCGCTTCATTTTTGATGACTGTACTATATTTCATTATACTAATGTACTCTGACACATTTAGACAATCTCTTATTGATGGAGATTTAGTTTTTTCCAGTTCTTTGATATCATAAACACTGCTTCAGGTAACATCATTTGACATGCAAACATTTGTAGTTGATCATTTCCTTAGAATAAAACCCTAGGATTGCAGTTAATGGTTCAAATGGTACATGCTGAAAATTCTGATAATCTGGCCTTTAGGAAGTCCATGGGGGTTTATAGGCTGAGGGCAGTGCGTGGGAATGTTGGTGTCCCCAGTTTGAGCCTACCCCAGACATTTTTTTCTTTTTCCAACTTTTGCCAAATGCATAAGTGAAAACTGATATCTCATTATTTTAATCTTGCTATTTTTGAAACTCAATCTATTTTCATATGTTTCTTGGCCACTCGCACCTCCTCCTTGACAATATTGATATTTTAAGTTGTTTACAAAACTGAAACCACCATCAATTAAAAAAAATGTAGATAGACAACTGAGAAAATATTAAGGGCAAATAATGTTCATTGTTGAGAACTTCATTATATCAAATGCTGTGACAAATTCCCCAAGGAGCAGAACTGTGGTTAAGAACACAAGCATACTGGCCGGGTGCAGTGGCTCGCGCCTGTAATCCCAGCACTTTGGTAGGCCAAGGCGGGTGGATCACTTGAGGTCAGGAGTTCGAGACCAGCCTGACCAACATGGTGAAACTCTGTTTCTACTAAGACATACCAAAATTAGCTGGGTGGGGTGGTGTGTTCCTGTAGTCCCAGCTACTTGGAAGGGAGGCTGAGGTGGGAGAATCACTTGAAATTGGGAGGGAGGTGGAGGTTGCAGTGAGCCAAGATTGCGCCACTGCACTCCAGCCTGGGCAACACAGAGAAACTCCATCTCAAAAAAAAAAAAAAAAAAAAAAGAACACAGCATACCAGTCAGATAGGTAAAAGTTAAAATCCCAGCTTTCCCACTTACTCATGATGCAACCTTGCCAAATTGCTTAAATCCGCCAGGCCTCAGATCACTCACCATTAAAATGGCGACAACGTGCCAGGATGGTTGGAAGTATTAAGGAGACTATAAGGGAAGCACCTGGCACATCATGAACAACTAGCAAATGGTAACAGGAAAACACTGAAACCCTCCAAGAAAATTAATGGACAAAGGACATGAGCTAAAAAGTCACAAGTAAGGCCGGGCGCAGTGGCTCACACAATTACTCACAATTAAAGTAATCCCAGTACTTTGGGAGGCCGAGGTGGGCGAATCATGAGGTCAGGAGCTCAAGACCAGCCCGGCCAACATGGTGAAACTGTCTCCACTAAAAATACAAAAAATTAGCTGGGGGTAGTGGTGGGCACCTGTAATCCCAGCTACTTGGGGGGCTGAGCCAGAAGAATTGCTTGAACCCGGGAGCTGAGATTAGGCCACTGCACTCCAGCCTGGGCAACAGAGTGAGACTCCGTCTCAAAAAAAAAAAAAAAAGTCACAGGTAGGAAATACAACCAATAAATCAGCATATAGGAACAGACTTATTTCCTTTAGTCACAGAGGAAATGCAAATTAACACAAAAGGTGACACACCCCTCCCTTCAATTAACAGAAACATTTTCAAGTGATAATTCCTGATGCAGAGGAAGGTGTGGTCAAACTGAGCCGTCCACACTGTTGGTGGCTGTGAAATCTGTACAACTTTTGTGGAAAGCAATTTGGCAATATGGGTCATCACACAAACATGTTCGCAACCTTTGGCCCAGACATTTCCTCAGGAAGTAATCCAAGATGTGGAAAAAGCTATGTGTACAATGATGCTTCTGCCATTGTTTATAATGATGGGAAAAGTACATTTATTTTTTACTTACATAAAGGGTAAGACCTTAGTCAAAAATACACAGTGGGTGGTAACAGCCCTCACAGGTCAGTGGAGTAATTGTTTTGTGTTAAAGAGGGACATATAACCAATCATTTAGGCCCCCAGACAGTCCCTAAACCCTGTTTTAATTCATAGTTGAATATATTTATTTAGAAAGGCTTTTAGAGCTCTACTAGCCAGCGGTCAGATTAATAGATCTAAAAATTATGTTCCTAAATCTGTTCATTATCTGGCGAAGCTTGGAGTAATTTGAAACTAAGGGAAAGATAAAAAGGGGAGAGTATTCTGTCATCTGTACACCAGATTTTAAAATCTGTTTAGAGGAGGAAGGAAGCAAGCCAGGGTGGAAACTTCCATTCTTCAGCCCAGGCCATTAGAGGCGCAGCCCCGACTGAGTGACACATCAGAACTAAGGATGGGCTCTTTCTTCTTTCCCTCCTGTCCCCCTGCGCCTCCCTTTCCCCAACTGGAGGAGAGGTTTGGCGAGTCTCTCTGCCTGAGGTGGCAAGTTCAGCCGGACCTCAGCTGCTTGCTGGGCTGTGCGTGTGCAGCCGCGGCGTGAGTCACATCCTCTATCACATCTCCATCTGTGTGCTTTGTGGCGCAGGAGGATCCCAACGGCACTCCAAGAAGGCAGGATTGTGCAGAGATGACGGCACCCAGTCCGAGCTGTGCCTTCTGTCGCAGGCTCCTTGAATGGTGAGGGCTTCTTGTGGCTACATTCCCAGGGTGGATTGGAGTCAGTCCTGGCATAGTAACTCCAGTGAGAGTGGGCGGCAACTAACTGAGGCCACTGGCTGAGTTATAGAGTCACAGATCTCAGGCCTGGGCACAGAGCCCAGCCTCCCTCGCACCCTACAGATCCTCTAGCAGTGGTCCTCAACTGGGGAGACCATCAAAATCACCATGGGAGATTTTACAATCATGCACATGCCTCCATCCCACCTACTGTCTCAGCATCGCCAGCGGTGGGGCTCTGGTAGGAATATTGCTTTTAAATCTCCCCAGGTGATTCCGATAAGCCCCCTTGGTTAAGAATCATGGTTACAGCCCACGGAGGGTGGTCCTGTAGGCTTTTGATCATTGCCCACATGGGGGATTCTTATCCTGTATAACAAACAGCTCCCACCATCCCTACTCTCTCCTTATGATGAGCAAAAGTCTTCTCTGTTGGGTTTCACCTGAGCCCCCCAGTCCCAGGAACAAGCCTCATCCCTCTTCTCAGGGCTGATTTCTTCCCATTCCTAAGGACGAAATCTTCCAGAGCTAACAAGCTGTAAATCATGTAAAATCCTCAGGAGAAATCCTTTGTTTTTGAAACACCCATTGGTGCAACTATTAATCTGTGTCGATTCAGTATCATTTATTTGAAGCTTCTTTCAGGTAGCGAGAGATGTTACCTCTAAGCTCACTGTGGACTCCGGCCAAAGCTCGGCTCATTGACCTTTGGAAGGTCAAGAGTCAGGGAGGCAGCAGGTGTTTAGCAACCACTGTTATATGTACGTAATGGATTCTAATAGAAGCAGATGACAGGGTCTGAAAGACTGAGGCTTCCTGTTAGAAAGCATTCCATTGTGGGAATGGGCACCTGCCTTAAGAGTTCTAATGAGTGTCCACCCCTGAAAAAAGAAACTGCATGAAGCTCGTGCTAAAAATGGTCATGTGTCATTGTGTGTGGGTCATTAAACCACCATGTCAGTCATCAGCTTTGAGCTGCCCTTTAATCCAAGGGGCACTCATGAAGCTTACTCACTGAGTCATCCCAGGCCTACTATTTTTATTTATTGAATTAAAGTCTAATTTTGGATTTTTAAAGGTTTTACTAAGTATAATGAAAGTATTTTGACATTAAAGAACCATTTTTATTAAGCACTCAAGGTACTAAATTTCTCTCTTCTAAATTCCTAGTCTAGACCCTACAGAAGTACATTAAGTACCAAGACAGGGACCAATGTTCCAGACTAAATAATACTTTTTTATGATAGACAAGCTGGAAAGACAAGCACAACCAAGTGTAAAATCAAATCTCACAGTGAATCCACTGCTGGGGAGTGATGAGAAGATACACATGACTTATGAATTAAAATCTTGTAACTTACATAATCCCTGAGGAATTATTGATTGAAGGGAGGACTATATATTCTTTCTGTTAGAAGATTAAATCTCTCTCTGATGGGACTTGTCCTTTATGAAGCTTGCTGAGGTACATACTGTTTTCAGGATATTTGTAAATTGTTTATATATAAGTGGATAAATTACATATGTATAAAATGTAAAATATGCTTATCCCTTTATGTTATTTCTGATGCAAAACTTTGGATTTAAGTGTGTACTTTAGCTGCTTTGTCTTGTTGAAAAACTGTCTTCTCCAGAGGAATTATGTTTGGCCAGAAGATTTGAGTACACAAAGGAGTTTAAAAGCAGAAAAAGTCCTGTGTTGGACTGCATGCACTTGAGTGAGATCCAAGTTTCCCACTTTGGAGAGCAGATGTTCAAATGCCCCAGAGGAGAAGGGTGGAGACAGAAAATGAGGTGTGAGAAAATATGTGACTCAAGAGGACAGCATGTTTTTCCAAGAGGAGGGAAAGAGCCTGGCTTCTCAGCCCCAGCCCCACAAACCCGCAGCCCCATCCCTTCTCCGCCAACAGCAGGCCAGGGCACAGCGCGGCGAGCATGTGTTTGCCCAGCAATGCCTTGGGCTCAAACCCTAGCCCTGGGCAATCTGCCTCATTTATGCCAGGATATCTCGGGCACAGTGCCTTCCATACTAAGAATGAACAACTTTCCCTGGGGGCTATGACTGTATCCCAGGAGCTTAGCAAGAGCTTTGTTCAGAACTGTTATTAATTCGAATTCCTTTGGAGGAGTTGGGATTTCTGAGGAGGAGGGAGGAAGCTGCAGGTGGGCCACAGGAAGGCTCCTGAACAATGTCCATTGCAGTTGCTTCTTTCTGACGCCACCTGGTGGCCATGTGCAACTAAAATCACCTTCACGTGCTCCCTCAGCCTTTAGTCCCACAGACACCCGGCAAAGCCCACTTTGCTGGAGTTGTTGGATGTAATCAGCTTGTACTTCCAGGACCAAAGCTACGTGACCCATTACTGACGTATAGCATAGTTTCTTCCCCTGGTAGGAACTGTTTGTTTGTTTGTTTGTTTGTTTGTTTGTTTTTGAGATGAGGTTTTGCCATGTTGCCCTGGCTGACCTTGAACTCCTAGTCTCAAGCCATCCACCCTCCTTGGCCTCCCAAAGTGCTGGGATTACAGGCATGAGCCACCATACCCAGCCTGGAATGGATTTTGATGCATGAGGAAAACTCCAAATTTTATAATTCCATACTTCAAATGTGTTTTGTGAATGTGTATGTGATGATTAGATATTAACCTCGGCAGAACAAAACATTTATTTTTCATGTCTTGTATACATTTTCTTTTTTTTTTTTTTGAGTAGGAGTCTCGCTCTGTCACCCAGGCTGGAGTGCAGTGGCGCGATCTCGGCTCACTGCAAGCTCCGCCTCCCGGGTTCCCGCCATTCTCCTGCCTCAGCCTCCCGAGTAGCTGGGACTACAGGCACCCACTACGGCGCCCAGCTAATTTTTTGTACTTTTAGTAGAGACAGGGTTTCACCGTGTTAGCCAGGATGGTCTCGATCTCCTGACCTCGTGATCCGCCCGCCTCAGCCTCCCAAAGTGCTGGGATTACAGGCGTGAGCCACCGCGCCTGGCCTGTCTTGTATACATTTTCTTATCAGGCCAAATTGTGCTGGGGTGCAATTTCTTGTAGAAAAGCTCTCAAACAGGCAGGCAGAGGAGAGCTCTGTGTAGAGGATGACAAGCCCCTCCTACACTGTTCCAGGCTCTAATATAACAAAATTTAACGTTTCAACTTTACCAAAACTTTCCCTATCTATTGGAAATGCACTAAAAGTTTACAGGATCTTATGCACCTTTTTTTAGGAAGCAAAACGTGGAGAAAAAGGGCCACGGAAGGATCAACTGTGGAAGATTTTCAATTGTCCTTCATGAAAAGGCACCACACTCAGATTCAACTCCCAGTAAGTTGATGGGCTTGGGCTGGGTGCTCATTTTTCAGTGTCCCTCCCCATGGGGTCTGCTCGCAGTAGGCACCAGCTTGCCATCTGCCACTCCAAGAGCATTTCCCTACACTAGGATGTTGCATGTTGTATTTATTTATTTGCAAAATGTAAAGAATTAATAGGCTGGGCATGGGGGCTCATGCCTGTAATTCCAGCACTTTGGGAGGCTGAGGCGGGTGGATCACTTGAGCTCAGGAGTTCAAGACCAGCCTGGCCAACATGGTGACATTCCATCTGTACAAAAAAAATACAAAAATTAGCCAGGTGTGGTGGCTCACGCCTGTAGTCCCAGCTACTTGGGAGACTAAGGTGGGAAGATTGCTTGAGTCCGGGAGGTTGAGGCTGCAGTGAGCCATGATCATGCCACCGTACTCCAGCCTGGGCGACAGAGTAGGACCCTGTTTCAAAAAAAAAAAAAAAGAAAAAGAAAAGAAAAGAAAAAAAGAATCACTTTCAATAAGATGTGGTTAAGTAGAGTAAAGCATGAACACCTGTTTCTAGCTGAAAATGAAGGACTCCATGGACTCAATCACAAGATGTCATTCAGTCTGTCCATCCTCATCCTTCCCACATGACCCATAACTGTACCTGGTAAGGTTACTGGCTACGTGAGAATTGCTGCTGCTTTGGATATATGCATTTCATAGAAGCAAAGAAAGTTGGAGCTGGGAGGTGCCCCAGTACACGCAATTCAATGGCTTTTAGTCATAAGATCCTTTTTTTCAAAGATAGTTTAAGGAGAGAAACATCTAGCAGAACTGCCCTGGGAGAAGAGGTGGGGCTGGAGGCCTCTGCTCAGGCAGCTTCTGAGCTTAAAAATCACCTCTGAGCCTAACCTACCTACCCAGCTTGTCTCCCCAGCTTATGCACCAGGAAGCTGCACTGGAGAGCTACCCAGGCTTTCTTACATCTGCACTGCCTGTGGCCCAGAGCCATGCCTCCAGCTCTGCCTTCTGTTATGTCACACTTGGTTCTGCACTGGCTTCTCTGTAGATGACACATTTCCAAATAATAATAGGGTTCATTGATTGAAGACGTATTATGCCAGATGGTATAACAAAGTAGGAGTTTTCCAGGTGTAATCGGAGGGTCCCTGGGGTTTCCTGAAACCCTTTCGGGGGGGCCACCAGGTCCTTCCTTTACCAGCCATATAGCTGTGCAACGCTAGTATTACAGGCAACTGATGGAGATGCAGTTATGGAATCCAGTTGCCTTTTATTAAGCCAGATATTCAAGATATTTGCCAAAACGTAAAATGATGCCACTCTTCTCACTAAATTTTTTAGAAATAGTTATTTTCATTAAAAACTGCTATTTTGTTAATATGACATGGATTTATTACTTTTTAAATGCCATAATAAATAAAATTATCTTTTAAACCTCTCAGTTTAAAATTCTAAAAAAAAAGCGCCTTGGAACTGCTCATTTAGTTTTGGGAAATCTAAATGATTTGCACAAGCAAAAAATGACTAGTAATCTATACATTAGTACTTCTCTACCAATCCATCTGCAGTGGACTGAATGTTGAATGCTAGCTGTTCTCCAATGAGGGGGGATTTTCACCTCAGGTATATAAAATGGTATATATTATCATTTTATGGTAGATTAAAACCACAGAAACAAAGGCTGTTTAGGGTCCTCAATTTTAAGAGTGTAAAAGGGTTCTGGAATCAAAAGTTTGAAAACTGTTGCCAGTGTATGTCACATAACTCTCACAACATCCCTGTAATGCAGGAATGATTATCTTTATTTTATAGATAAGGAACTAGAGGCTCAGAGAAATTAAGTGACTTGACAGGACCAAAGAGTGAGTGTGAGTGAGTGTATTAGCTATCTATAGCTGTGTAACAAAGTATCCCAGAACTTAAGGCTGAAAACAACAAACATTTATCATCTTAGAGTTTCTGTGGGTCAGGAATTTGGGAGCACTTTAGCTGGGTGGTTCAGGCTCAGGGTCTCTCATGAGGTTTGGTCAAGTTGTCAGCCAAGGATGCCGTCATCTGAGGGCTTGACTGGGGCTGGAAGATCTGCTTCCAAGATGGCTCACTCACATGAGCATTGGCAGGAGGTCTCAGTTCCCTGACATGTGGGCCTCTCCAATAGGCTGCTTGAGTGTCATTATGACATGGCAGCCAGCTTCCCCCAGAGCAAGTGATCCAAGAGAGAAATACCGAGATGGAAGCTTCAGTGTCTTTCATGGCCTAGGTTTGGAAGTTATATGCCATCACTACCGCTTTATTTTATTTGTTAGAAGTGAGTCACTAAACCCAGCCTATACTCAAGGAGAGAGGAATTAGGCTCTACATTTTAAAGAGTGTCAGTTGGGTGTGGTGGCTTATGTCTGTAATCCCAGCACTTTGGGAGGCTGAACCAGGATTGCTTGAGCCCAGGAGTTCAAGACCAGGCTGGACAACATAGGGACCCAATATTTAAACATAAAAACAAAACAAAACAAAAAAAACACAGAAGGTTGAGGCTTATGATTGAGCCACTGCATTTCAGCCTGGGAGCAACAGAATGAAACCTTGGCTCAAAAAAAATAAAAATAGCACGTTAAAGAATTTGTAAACATATTTTCAACCATCATAGCTAATAAGTAGCAGAGCCAGGCTTCAACCCTGGGCCTTCAAACTCATTCCATTTGCTAATATGAAATGGATTTGTTATTATACAATGAAGTTACTATATATTGTATAATATGTTAAAAGTCAAGATGTCAGCCAGGGATGACTTCACTTTAATGTTAAAAATGAGTCTAACCATGAGTTCAGTAAGGCAAGAAGCATTGGAAGAGGCTTTGTCACTGCAGCATCTGTCCTGCAGCGAGATGTTGCTTGGACATTCAGTCCTGACATGCTCACCCGCCTGGCCCCAGGCTTTCATACTCTGGCCTTACCTGGAGTGCTGTTCCGTCCACAGCCTGCCAGACAGGTTCTAGACCTGCACCAGATACACATGCTGTCTGCTACTAGCTTCTTTGAGGCTAAGAGAGCAAAGTCATGATTCAGGTTCCCTTATAGGCTTATGAATGTCACATAGAAGAAACCCATCTTTCCAGTTGTCTGGATGACAAAATACAAGCTCTTGGCCACAGCAGGGTCTGAGAGAAAGAATGTGGATGTATCAGGCCAACTATGGAAAAACAAATACAAATACAAGGTTGTCTGATAGTTCAGTGGGCCAAATTGCCGCAGATCCATTCATTCAGCAGACCTTTACTAAGCCTAAATATGTATGCTACATCTTGAGATTTTCATACAAGAAATGTTAATTATCAAAACATTTCTCAGTTGTCAGAAGGGAATCCCAAATGTTACCCCAGGCTGGCAACTCCTCTTGGTGACACAGCCGGGACATTAAGCACTTTGGTGCCAAACACATACCCTGCACAGTTACAGCTCTGCTCTCCACACCGTATTTTATGACTATAATCAAGACACTTACCCTTCATTCATGCAACTTGGGCTTTTTCAGATTCTGATACAGGACACAGCTTCTGTTCTGATTCTGGCACTGAAATGCAGAGTAACAAATGTCAGGACTGTGGCACTAAGATTCCTACCTCCCGAAGAGCCTGCAGGAAAGAACCAACTAAAGGTAACACTCACCTGGGGCCTCAGAAAGGCGAGTGGGGACAGTCACTGTTCCCAGGCAATTAACTGTATTTTTAATCTTTTCTTCCCAGAATTTCATTATAGATACAACACTCCAGGACAGAATTACTCAAATCATAGCAAAAGAGGTGCCTTTGTCCAGCCCCATTCTTTAGATGAAAGTAAAAACTCTTCACCCTGTAAGTACATCTCCTGCATGACCCCATCCATATCAACAACCTAATGTCCCAGGTATGGGACATTCACATGACACTGGCCACTGCTTCCATCTGGGAAGCCCTGGCCTCTCCATTTTGCTGCCCAGGTCTTGTGCACTCACCTGACACTTCCAAATCCAGCCCTACATCTGGATGGCAAGAGGCTGAGCTGGGGCTGGAAAATATGAAATCGCAGTGACCAAGGACTTTGAAAGTTATTAAGGGCTACACCAGTGCAAGTTGGTAGCAACCCATAAATGTTTGCTGAACAAATAAATGACTTACTGGATAATCACTACTATTATTGTTACTATTCAGAGGTGGCTAATGCTTTACATATATCCCTACTAAGAGTCAGCATGTAGAGAAGTAGACTATTTTTACACTCCATAGACATCATGTTGCTAACTTCCAATGCAAAAATTTGCTGTCTTTGAAAAAAAATTAAAACCCTACAAACACATATTTAAAAAGATGAATGACATGGCTGCTCCTTCCCAAGCTCTTGAAAGAAAGAAACTCATACCCAAATAAGGAGAGCTCAAAGCAAAATGGGGTAAGTTCAAAAAGCAGGGCAAAGTGTGCCAAGGGAACAGGAAGGAGGGAAGGAAATACTCCTAGTTTTACCACTGAACGACAGCTATACCTGGTTCTCTGACAGGCGCTACATCCTTGGCCTCATACCTTCAGAGCTCTTCCTCTCCTTCTCTGGGAGAGGGCACCAGGGAGAATGTTTCTTATCTTTCTTGATGGTCAGTGCCCAAGACTTAAGAATGTCATTTACCTGACTGACCTCAGCTGTGTCTCCCCTCCCCACCTCCAGCTGCCACATCCTCCAATTGCATGTATTCTTTTGAAGTGACAGTCACTAAGACTGGAGAAGCCACAGGACAGATTTCTTCACTATCTCCTTGGTTTTGAGGTCTACAGCCTGTGACACTTGTCATGCCAGTATACGAACGAGGGCTGCAATGGATTCATCCACAATGTGATCTTGAACTCCATTAGCTAACTAAGGGGGTAGAAGTCATAAGGAGGCAGCTTTTCCTCCAGGTTACAAAGACCCTTACAGCAACTAGAGCAGACAGAAAATGGAGGGGGCTGTGGCAGGAGGTTGTGAGCTCATCTGTGGACTGGAAGGCAATGGATTTTGTCTGGAAGCTGTAGATCTGTACACTGGACTAGAACCGGACCAGGTGACACTGTGGTGCTTTCTAACTCTGAGTTTCCAGTAAAATCCAAAATTACATTTGGAGACCACCAAAGAATCAAGATTGAGCTCATTAGTGCCTCTTCATCATGCCCCAAGTCTAGGTGGTCAGCATGACTAAATCTTGGTTTCTGGCTTCTGCCCTGCCTTGCATGTCTGAGGGACAATCTCTCCCAGCATCCTTTGTCCAACGGGAGCCTCCTGAGTGTGAGTGAAGCCTGGCTACTTGACACCAATGAATAAGACAGGAGACCTGGAGGGAGAACGAGGGGAAGACAGAGAGAAGAAGAAGAAGAGGGAAAGGGAAGGGGAGAAGGGAGCCTTGGTGACAGAGAAGGCAGATTTCTTGGCCACTGACTCGTCTTTTTTCCTTTATCTGTCTTTCTTCTTGTTTTCCATGGTGACTTTTCCACATTTTCCTTCTGTGTTTAGACTCTATTTTCTGGAATTGTCTTTGTAACATAATCATTAATTTCTACTCCTAGAATCTTAACTCCTAAAATTGAAGAGGATTTCAGAAATCCATTTGGCCCAACCTCTTGGAAGATATTATTTCTCCATTTATCAGATGATGTGGTTGTTAAACCCAGAGAAGTCAGATGTCATGCACAGATCACACAGCAAGCACCCAGGGAACCTAAACTCCTGGTTTCTATCTGCTAATAAAACCTTTTTTGTTGTTTTGTTTTTTGAGACAGAGTCTCACTCTGTCACCCAGGCTGGAGTGCAGTGGCACTATCTTGGCTCACTGCAACCTCCACCTCCTGGGTTCAAATGACTCTCATGCCTCAGTCTCCCAAGTAGCTGGGATTACAGGCACCCACCACCACACCCGGCTAATTTTTGTATTTTTAGTAGAGACAGGGTTTCACCATGTTGACCAGGCTGGTCTTGAACTCCTGACCTCAGGTGATGTGCCCACCTCGGCCTCCCAAAGTGCTGGGATTAAAAACATGAGCCACCACGCCTGGCCTAAAACTCCCTTTAAAATTGAATTTCTTTTCCTAAGTTCAGAATACTTCATAGAAAGTTCTTTATTAAAAATTTCATTTTTAGAGACAGGGTCTAGCTCTGTCGCCCAGGCTGGAGGGCAGTGATGTGATCATAGCTCAATGCTTCCTTGAACTTCTGGGCTCTAGTGAACCTCCTGCCTCAGCCTCCTAAGTAGCTACAAAACTGTAGGCACATGCCACCATGCCCAGCTAAGTTAACAAAAAATGTATAGTTAGTATGGAAGGGGTTTATGAATTTTTTTTTTGTAGAGACAGGGAAGACTGGTCGCAAACTCCTGGCCTCAAACAATCCTCCCACCTTAGCCTCCCAAAGTGCTGGGATTACAGGCGTGAGCCACCGCGCCCAGCAAAAGTTCTTTGTTGTCTATGTTTCCCAGTTTTCTGATTTATTAAAATTTTATGAAATATTTCATTCATACAAAAAGTTCAAGGAATGATACATAGGCACCATTTGGGGCTCATTTTTGATACTCTGAATTTAATGATAGCTAACATTTTTCAGCTTTTTTAAAACCCAAACGGATCTGTTCTCAGAGAGTGAATTCAAAATCCTTTAAAGGTGAACATGAGCCCACACCAGGAAAGTAAGTATTATTTCATTATCAGTAACAAAATATTTCTCATTGGTTGGGTGGATACAGTGTACTTGATAGTGCATTAACTACCTACCCCAAGATAACCTAGATGATTAGGAGTAGAGCCAGGATTCAAACCTAAACCTATCTAATCCTTCAATCATTCATTTGTTTATTCAATAAACCAAGTCATTGTACTAGGTACTGAGAACACAGGACAAAGTCAGCCACTGTCCCTGCCCTCACAGAGCTTACTTTTTTGGCAGAGAAGCCGCATAGTCTTTGTAAGTGCCAAGAAGGGGACGTACAAAGTCCCATTGATCTAATTTGGGGGCTCAGGGAAGCTGAGCTTCGAAGGATAAGTATGAACGAACTAGCAAGGGGATCTGGGGGCAGTGAAGAACATTCCAGTCTAGGAAAGCTTCCTGTTGTGAGAAGGCACTTGGCAAGTTCAGGAATGGTGTGGCTGGAACCCAAAAGAGGGAGCGGCAGTGGAGCAAGATGAGGCTGATGAGGAAAGGTTGGTGGAATTGTCAGGGCCAGACCGTACAGAGACTTGTCAGCTCCAGGAAGTATTTCAGAATCTTAGGAGCAAGAGGAAGCCAATTAGGGTATTTTTTTTTTTTTTTTTTTTGCTGTTAATTCATTTTTATTTTTAGAGATAGGGTCTCCCTCTGTCACCCAGGATGGAGTGCAGTGGTGATCATATCTCACTGCAGCCTTGAACTCCTGGGCTCAAGTCATCCTCCCGCCTCAGCCTCCTGAGTAGCTAGGACTATAGGTGCACATTAAAAAAAAAAAATTTGTAGAGACAGAGTCTTGTTATGTTGCCCAGGCTAGTCTCAAACTCCTGACCTCAAGTGATCTTCCCACCTTGGTCACCCAAAGCACTGGAATTACAGGTGTCTGGCCCCCCAGTGAAGTTAAAAAAAAATTTTTTTTGAGGCAGGGTCTTGCTTTGTTGCCCAGGCTGGAGTGCAATCTTGGCTCACTGCAGCCTTGACCTCCTCGGCTCAAGTGATCCTCCTGGCACAGCTTCCTGGGTAGCTGGGAGTACAGGCATGTGATACCACAGCTAGCTACTTTTTTTTTTTTTTTGGTAGAGATGGGGTCTTACTATGTTGCCCAGGCTGATCTTGAACTCCTAGCCTCAGCAATCCTCCTACCTCAGTCACCCAAAGCACTGGGATTACAGGCATGAGCCACTGTGGCAGGCCCACCCAATTAAGTTTTTTAATCAGGGAATTTAAAAATTTCTTAGTGTTTTAAAGGGTCAGTCTAGCTACTGAAGGAGTGGAAACGAATTAGAGGAGTTAAGATTGGAGGACAAAGGCCAAATAAGAGGCCAGTGCAATAATTCAGGTGAGATGATGCAGCTTGACCAAGGGTGGTGGAGATGGAAAGAGAAAAGTCTGTGTATTCATTCAAGAGCTATTTAAGAGACAGAACCAATAGCGCAGCAGAGTGGCTAACAATTCAGGCTCTGCACTCAGAGCCACTCAGTCTGAACCTACTACCCTCCACCATAGTCTAGCACAGTGTTTAAGAACGTGACCTTTGGAGACTTCTTGGTTTTTTTTTTTTTTTTTTGAGATGGAGTTTCACTATTTCGCCCAGGCTGGAGTGAAGTGGCACGATCATGGCTCACTGCAACCTCTGCCCCACCAGGTTCAAGTGAGTCTCCTGCCTCAGCCTCCCGTGTAGCTGGGATTATAGGCACCCGCCACCATGCCCAGCTAATTTTTGTATTTTTAGTAGAGACGGGGTTTCGCTATGTTGACCAGGCTGGGCTCCAACTCTTGACCTCAGGTGATTCACCCACCTCGGCCTCCCAAAGTGCTGGGATTACAGGCGTGAGCCACCATGCCTGGCCGACTTCTTGGGTTTGTCTTGGTTCTGTGTCCTTGGGCAGGTTCCTTGACCTATGTGTGCCTCCATTTCCCCGCATGTAAAGTGGGAATCATAATGGTGCCAAACTCATTGAGGACTGAGTCCATACATATAAAGCACTTAGAATGGTACCAGGCTCATAATAAGTACTCAGCAAGCGATGGCTGTTATACTGTTGACAGTGGAGACTGATGGGATATGGGGAGAGAGAGGACTCTGCACCACTCTGCTATCCCCTGCCCAGAGTATTTCATTAGTTAGGGGCCCCGGATGCTGGACCACCTCTTGCCTGGAGGATCAATCCAATGTGTTAAAATAACTTGCAGAACCAATTGATGCTCCTATGGTAGGGGAGAGGGATGAAAGGATATTTTCTGGAGATGATATTCCTCACAAGTGTTTTATGCACCAAAGTAATGCTTAACAGAGGAAACCTGAAGCCGGAGGAAGCTGTGAGGGTGGCTCTATGACTGCTCAGTCAACAGGCAAGTTCTCATGGCATCCCTCAGGGCCACTGCTCATGCTTGAGAAAAGCCTAACTCCAGGCAGTGCCCTTCACAGACTATGCAAATAACCCCCTAGAGCCATGCTCTGCACAACCTTAACAGCCCAGTGGCCCTGCACCCCTCACTCACCTAGTGCAGACTTCTGGCCCATCCCTGAGAGAGAACCAATCACAGTGTAGCAGGCAAGGGGAGCCTGTTTACTTCAAAAGGAGCTGCTTTTATTTTTTGACTGCTTCTGCCTCCTTGGGGTGAAAGCTCACTGGTGCCAGAATGAACTCAACCCAAGGTACCTGCAATTGGCAGTTTTGTGTATTTGTTTTATAAAAATGCAAGGTAGAAAGTTGGCCCCAAAAGGCCGGACGCGGTGGCTCAGGCCTGTAATCCCAGCACTTTGGGAGGCCGAGGCGGGCGGATCACGAGGTCAGGAGATCGAGACCATCCTGGCTAACACGGTGAAACCCCATCTCTACTAAAAAAAAATACAAAAAATTAGCCGGGCGTGGTGGCGGGCGCCTGTAGTCCCAGCTACTCGGGAGGCTGAGGCACGAGAATGGCGTGAACCCGGGAGGCGGAGCTTGCAGCGAGCAGAGATCACACCACTGCACTCCAGCCTGGGCAACAGAGCGAGACTCTGTCTCAAAAAAAAAAAAAAAAAAAAAATTAAAAAAAAAAAAAGAAAGTTGGCCCCAAAAGAATGAAAACGGAATAAAAAATGTGTTTAGAGTCTTGCCTCTTTCTGTACTAGAGGAAAAGGAGATCAATTCCGGGAGAAAACACCCGCATGGTCATGGCAACAACCATTTTCTGAAGCCCAGCTGCGGTCAGCCACATGGGAGTATGAGAGCTAGGAGGGCAGCGGGTGCACGAATCCACCCACACCCAAACCACACAGAGCCATTACCTACCACAGAGCTGACGTGAACAGGAGTGTGCTTGAGGGTGGCGCTTGACACAAGTATCAATGTGCTTTTGTCTTCCAGAAAAAAACTTCAGGCTTTCATGACCTACAGCTCAGACCCTGCAACACCCTCACCCCATTTCTACTCCTGCAGGATTTCTGGAAGCAAATCCTTATGTGACTTTGATAGCACTGAAGAAATAAAATCTGAGGTGAGGACTTAGAAAATCATTCGAGAAGCATTGCAGCTCGTAAGTTTGATCTTGATGCCCACAGAACTGGCAGCTCTTAAGTTATTACAGTATCAGAGCTTCAGAAAATGCTCTGCTAAAGACAATTTTGTGCTCAGAACTAAGCTAAAGACACACAGCCTCAGCAGTCGCAAGGTTTGTATTATTCTAAATTGGTTCCAAGGGAAATTTCCTGGAGAAAGTGATTTGTGGGTGGTGCCTCAGCTACAGGATTTCCCTGGCCGGGGGTTGAAGGCACTGGGTCTGTTCCAGTGACACTGTGATCAGAGTTGCCAACAGTTTCCTATTTCAAATCACTAACTCGAATCCCCAGGCCACTTTCAAATGTTTCCATACGCATGCGCTGTATCCCTGAATACCCTCTCAGTGGTTATGGCCCCCCAATCCCCATCAATGGCCTCTAAGAGCTGTTCTTTTTTTCTCTTTCTCTGCGGCAGGGAAACAGCCCAGCTGGCGGCTGACCTCACCCTCTGATTCATGCTCATCAGTCACGTGCTGGTCTTTTTTTCAATCCCTTTCCCTAACAAATATATTCCATCTCAGACTGGTCTCCTAGGAAACCAACCCTCAAAAACAGAAATAGACCAAGAGGAAAACAGGAATACTCCCCAAATTCCACCTTGTAATGTTTAATAATGAGAGAACCCAAAGAACAGAAACAGCAGTTAGTTTATGTAATTAAAATGTGTGGACTTTTCCTCTGTAGATTTTAAACTCGGCTTTGGATCATGCCCTAAGGACAGCAACCATTTTGAAAGAAACTACAGATCAAATGATTAAAACGATTGCAGAAGACCTTGCTAAAGCACAGAGGTGGAGGAATCGACTGAAATACTAGTTCAACGCTAGGCTACCAAGGATTCAAAAGAAAAAAATGCAAAGAAAACTTGATCTTCCCCCAAAATGTATTTTACTTACTACACAATTTAGGAAGATGACTTTCTAGAGAAAACACAGAAACCATAAGAAATGGGTAACACAAAGTACTTAAAGGAAAAAGAAAAAAGAAAGGACTTCTGATTCTTAAAATCAAAAGCAACCAACAAGTATTTATTTTAAAATAAATCTATGTTCTTCTTAACTCATAATAAAAGAAATCAAAACAAAACAATGAATTTCCTTTTATCTATTAGTCTGAAAAAAGATTAAAGTTTGAAGAAACCCTGTGTCAGTGAGGATGGAGGGAAACTGGTACTCTCATATGCTGTTGGCAGAAATGCAACCTTTTTGGAAGACTATTTGGTAATATCTACCAAGTTCCACAAATTCCAAATCATGTACCTTCAGAGCAGCAATTCCACTTCTAGGAATTTCTTTTACATATAAGCCACACAATGTGGCATGATATATGTACAGGGAAGGGCACTGGAGCACTGATGGTAACAACCCCAAGGGGGAACTAATCTAAATACCCCCTGTGATGATTCATAAATGACAATACTTTGTGGCCACCGAAAAGAATGAGGTTGGATTATCTGCAAAAGTCAGTGAAAGAAGCAAGATGCCTAAGCATATATATAGAGAGTTGTAACCTCTGGGGTCTTTCTATGTTGCCCAGGCTGGACTTGAACTTCAAGCAATCCTCCCGCCTTAGCCTACTGAGTGGCTGGGACTACAGGCACACACCAATGTGCCTGGCTCTTCATTTGTGTATTTTTTTTAAAAGGGCATACGTATTTTCAGGAAAGATACCTAAAAATCTGAAGTGAACCTCTAGTAAAGGAAACTGGGAGTTTTGGGGGAGAAAGGGGTTTTTACCTTCTTTTCTGTACTATATGAAATTCTCACAATATACTTATAAGTCAAAATTATTTGTTTAAAGATCGCTTGAAGTCAGAAATATGTGAAAATAATAGCCTTAATGAAATTTTGGAAAAGACAATTCATTAAAACTGTGTACCAGAGATTAAGTACATTTTCATGCAGACCAGAGCAGGCTTTTTTTTTTTTCCTTCCAGATCAAGCTTTTGCTTTCCTTCTTTAAGAGTGATTTATTACCTCCTTAGTGACAGCACAGCAGGGTATTGGCTCTTTCCCCCTTCCCTGAAACTTCTGATTTTCATTCACCCTAGACATTCAACAAATGGTTTCCCAACTCCCAGAGTTTGGCTCAGTGGTCAGGAGGGAGTTGAATCTATTCCCACTTTAGATTTTCGTGCCAATGTGAGCAGCTGGTATTCGTCTAGCTGGCTGGAGAATGGACTGTTTTTAACTTTGGGGTTTGTAAATTGGTTTAGGGTGCCCTGGAAGAGATAATGCACAGGTCAGTCTGAAAATACCTCTGACTTTATGGCCAAATTTACTTCAGGCTGTGGCACTGTAAGGAAGATAGCAAGGAACCATGGCTGGTATTAGAAAAAACAGAGCTTAAACTGTGTATGTTCTATTAAATAAAACTTATGGGAGGTCATTTTTTTGGACTAAGCTCCTACAGGGGACCCCAACAGACCAGACCAAACTAGAATGGAGTCACTCATGCTAGGTGCCACGTAATCAAACTGAACTTTAAAATAGGTCAGTTTAAAAGAAAAAAAAAAGACCCAGAACATTCACAGTATCCCATTAGAAGGGGCCCCGTCAACCTGAGCTGGCATAAGGAAGTCCCCTCTGCTTTAACCCATATAAAGACACCTTTTGTTCCTTGTTTCCATTTTCTTCTGTTTTTTTCTGCCTATAAAGCCCACTCCTGTGCTCAGCCTTTCTATTTCATAGATAGGATGCTGCCTGATTCATAAATTGCTAATAAAAGCCAATTAGGTCATTAGACTTAATTTGTTGACATTTTGGTTTTTGGCAGTTCCAAGAGGCTTCCAGTATCATCACATATCTAAATTTAATCACAACTTGCTAATCTGTTTTGTATGTTAGTACCACTATCTCATCCCCAAGTTTAAAATCATATACTTCTCTGGCTTGAAGTGTTCTTATATGATTCATTAGTTCTTAACCTTTTTTGGGCTCATTTTTTGGGAATCTGGTGAAAGCTATGGAGTCTCCCTTCCCCCATGCTCTGCCTTCTCGTGGAAAAGAATACATTCATTTTTAAAAGTTCGTGGACACCATGAAACAAATCCATGGAACCTTGGTTAGAAACGTCTACCATTAACGAATATTTCTAAATCCCTCAAATTAACATTTATAGAAATTGGTAATTATAATCATTTTTGATTTAAAAATATGGCCCATTTCTGCTTTATCAAACCATATTCTAAATGTAATTTTCCATTT
This sequence comes from Homo sapiens, assembly GCF_000001405.40. Classification (NCBI taxonomy): domain Eukaryota; kingdom Metazoa; phylum Chordata; class Mammalia; order Primates; family Hominidae; genus Homo; species Homo sapiens. The sequence goes on along the minus strand of NC_000001.11, from coordinate 108,813,780 downwards.
CCTTGAAGATTAGGGGTCATTATGAGCAATCACTGCAACACGACTAATCTAAGAAATAGCAAAAAAGGGCAGGCAATGCCCTTAAGGAGTTCCACAAAGACACTAGGCTCTGATTTACAAGGATAATTTTATACTTACTGATCCTGTAGTCTTGGCCATCTCCTCCCTCATGCAATTCTTGTGTCAATTCTAATGACCTCTCTTCTAATTCTGTTCGAGTAATAAACCAGAAAAACAAGCTTGTGAAGTAAAAGTAATGGTACCCCTAATGCTGGCATCAAGGGACTCAGCATTGCCTGAGGGCTGTAAAGAAACACCTGGCAGTCTCCAGGGTGCACAGGCCTCTCAGTATTTACTCCAAGGTCTAGCTGTGCTCTGGCCGCTGGAAGCTGCCAGCAGGATGCAATGGGACTGTCTATAGAGGGCTTTTTATCATCTTTTTATTATTTTTTTTTATTTTTATTTTTTTTGAGACGGAGTCTCACTCTGTCGCCCAGGCTGGAGTGCAATTGCGGGATCTCGGCTCACTGCAATCTCTGCCTCCCAGGTTCAAGTGATTCTCCTGCCTCAGCCTCCCGAGGGATTATAGGCACCCACCACCACACCCAGCTAATTTTTGTATTTTTAGTAGAGATGGGATTTCACCATGTTGGTCAGGCTGGTCTCCAATCCCTGACCTCAGGTGATCTGCCTGCCTCGGCCTTCCAAAGTGCTGGGATTACAGGCGTGAGCCACTGCGCCCGGCCTATCATCTTTAAGACAAAGTTCTAGCCATCCCCTTTAGTTAACTATTATAGTTTGCAAAAGAAATCTCATCTTTTTATCCTATTATAATCTTGCTGTTAATGAATTATATAAAATAGGCCTAATTTGTACTAAATACGAATATGTGTTTATATTTAATAGAAAAAACATTGTTTTGGTGTTAAAAATTTTCCTATAGAAGGAAGACATTTCTTGCTCCTTTGATTTTAGAAGAAATCTGCTTGCATTCCAATAGGACTTACAATGGGTACAAATACCTAGGGAAGAACTGAGTTATGGAGGTGTCGTATCTTACACAATAAACTGTGGGGTCAGGCCCTTTGGGGCTCAAATCCAAGACTTTTGAGATCTTGTGAACTCCTATTGTGATCCTGGAGCAGTAAAGGCTAAGGGTCTAGGAACCAGGATAACAGGATTAATAAAGATATCCTTATTTATTTACTAATATGATTGAAGAATGTGAATCCACTGTACTTTATAAATAAAGCACATTTCAACAGGAAGCAAATCTGTGTTTCAGAGACAGTGAATAAATGGTTTCCATTGGTTGCAACAACAAAAAAGTCTTTTTCTGGGTCTTGAAATCAAAACCTGTAATTTTTTTTTTTCAGACAGGGACTGACTCGCCCAGGCTGAAGTGCAGTGGTGTGATCACAGTTCACTGCAGCCTCCACCTCCTTGGTTCAAGCAATCCTCCTGCCTCAGCCTCTTGAGTAGTAGCTGGGATCACAGGTACGTGTCACCACACCCAGCTTTTTTTTTTTTCCTTTTTTTGTAAAGATGTGGTCTCACTTTTGGAATATTCATAGAACGAAAAAAAAAAAAAAAAGATGTGGTCTCACTATGTTGCTCAGGCTCGTCTCAAACTCCTGGGCTCAAGTGATCCTCCTGCTTTGGCCTGTAATTGCTAATTCTATGGGGGAAAAAAAATCAGCTTATACAAGGAATTTATGTGAGATGACGTCTTATGGCTTCAAATTCATAAGAGATTTTGTAAACAAAGGGTCTCTGCAATTCAAAGCTTAACATATATGTGAAATACAGGACTCAAAACATCCGATATCAGTGTGATCAGGGTAAAGTGGTCACTGAGATGTCAAGTGATCAAATGAATAAACAGTCCAGTGTTTGCTGTCATCACACTCTTAGTTCCATTTGTTCCAGGCCATTGGATTAATCTAAATACCTATTCCACACATGTTCTGACCCTGGAGAGGGAGTTACTGAGGCACACAAAGATCTCAGATAAAATGCAGACACCAAAAACTAATCCTCTTACTGGAGATATATTGTTTTCATGCGTAGTTTGCAAAGAGGGCTGTTTATTGTGCCAGGCCCTTCCTTTCCATGCACTCATCCACACCAAGTTACATCCATCTCTTTGTGTCGGTTTCCTCAGCTTTAAAATAAAGATGATAATCACAGTACCTATGCTCACAGGAATACACGAGAAGATGGAATGAATTAATAATAGAAAGCACTAAGTAAGCATTTGTATATTATTACTTTATTATCAATACTTAGTAAAGTTGTAAGATTAACATATCAAAAGTTGGCCAGGCACAATGGCTCACACCTGTAATCCCCACACTTTGGGAGGCTGAGAAGGAGGATTGCTTAAGCCCAGGAGTTTGAGACCAGCCAGGGCAACACAGTGAGACTGTCTATACAAAAAAACAAAAACAAAAACAAAAAAACCCAAAAATTAGCCATATGTGGTGGCCCATACCTGTAGTCCTGGCTACTTGGGAGGCTGAGGCAGGAAGATCACTATCGCCCAGGAGTTCAAAATTCCAGTGAGCTATGATCACATGACTGCACTCCAGCCTGGGTAACATAGCAAGACCCTGTCTCTATTTAAAAAAAAATAAATAAATTTCTATGTGTAAAAAACCATTTGAAAATAGTAGAAGATTCAACCCACAAAGGAACTACAAAAATATTTTGACAATGTGCAGTAACTATATGAAGAAAATGAAGATTCTGAAGGTTATGAAGATTTAAATGAAAAGACATTTCACATTCCTGAATATCAAAGTTTCAATATTATAAAAGATGTTGATTTTTCCTAAGTTAACCTAGGAACAATGCAAATCCTATGAAAATACCAAAATGGCTTTTTTTGGGAACTCAACAAAAGGATACTAAAATTCATCTAGAAAAATCTGATAGAAAATTTCTGAAAAATAATAGTAATTTAGGTGGATTGAATAGGAACTTCTTCCACTACATATTGAAACATACCATGAATTGAAATAGGGAAAAAGAAATACAAAACAAACTGTAGGTCATTAAAAGAGAATCCAGAAATAGACCACAATACAAATGGAAATTTAGTCTATGATAATGGTGGTATTTCAGATTAGTTGGGGAAAGAGAGATTATCCAATAGGATCTGGTATAACATCTGGCTGTTTAGAAAGGAGTGAAGCTGGACCACTATGAAATACTCCATCAAGTCAGGGTTCTGTGCAGGAAACAAACTTCTCTAGATATTTCAAGCAGAAAGGCATTTAATACAGAGAATTAGGTCGTTACAAAAATCACTGAAAAAGCAGTAGGAGCAGAAACTGGAGACCCACGATCATTTTACCATCTGTGACCCAAAGGACAGGAAGCTAGTGCTGCTGCCACAGCATTAACTCATACCCACGAAGCAGGCGACAAGACACTAAAATGTGGAGTCTGGTTGCTACAAACAATTCCTGTCTGCGGGAGATTGCTTACTGGCATAGTAGATGGCCTCTGCCTCCAAATCTTGACCAAGTGCACATCATTGGTAGAATATAAACTGTTCAGACCTTACTTATCCTAGAACCTGAAAAACTTCATGTTTAGCCTTTCATCCCCTGTGGTATGGGGTAAGGAGGCATGGGACGTCATGCCAAGTACTAAGAGACAATATCTAGCACACATTCTTACACTAAAATCAATTCCAGATGGGTGAGTTACCTGTAAAAAAATAGAATGAATCTATCAAAAATTTATAATCCTGGAGTGTGGAAGGTATTTCTAAGTAGCATGTGAAATTCAGAAGCCAAAATGGAAAAGCGATGGATTTACTTAAATAAAAATTAAAAATGGATATCCATCAATATTTAAATGCACAAATCCCTTGACCACTGCTAGGAATTTACATTATGGAAATGTCTGTGTAAGTCTGCAAAGGTATGTACCCAAACAACGCAGCATTATTTATAAGAGCAAAACTCTGAATCAATAAAACTATGGTCTGCCATATGACAGAACACTATGAGGGCAAGTAAAAGAAGAGATTTGAAACAAAGATGTTCCCTTTGTTTAACAAAACACATCTGCAGACATATATTATCTAACCCTATATAGAGATTACGTTATTTTTGAAAAAGTCATTAGGAGTTATCTTGGTGGGAATATTACGGTAGATTCCTTTTCTTCTTTGTTACTCTAATTTAGAACTTTTAAAATTTGTAACTTTCCCCTCTCCCCTACAGAAAACACAAACCAGAATAATTTTTTAAATTCTATATTTATTTTCTCTTAGAATGTTCATGATTTTTGGTTTTCTAATTTAAACATACATGATTTCAAAATTATATAAAATTGTGTTCTTTAGAAGTATGTGGCAAAACAGTACACACTGTGAAATCACTCCATTTCTATTAATGACTGAATTATTTTACACATAAACTGAATTTTAGTTGAAAGAAAAACTACACTTAGAGGAAACAATTCTATCATACATATACATTTACAGTTTTTTACTTTTACAATCTCTTTATTTAAAATCATTCTTTCCCAAAAACTATACTTCAGCATGAGACTTTTAGATATAAGTATCCAATGGGTAATTAGTATGTACATAGGTGGCTGTGAAAAATTACCCACAACTCTAATATATTCTCCTCCAAAGGTGAAAAAATTTCCTTTTAGAAAGCACTTTAACATTTCTTCTCATCATCTACAAAGCAGCAGCAATATTTAAATTATCAAAAATGACAAATCCAGTAATAATCATAAACAGTTCCTTAAGAAATGTATTTGAAAAGCCATTATTCCATAAAATATTTACATTGTTTAAATTACATGACAGCAACATTTTCTTTCTATTTTAGTTCAACATATTAGTAAGAATCTCTAAACCCTCCAAAAAGAAATGCTATTCATCTTTAATTAAGGAGACTTTATCCTTGGGTTTATTCAGCATCTTTATATCATCCAACAGCTTTTTGGGTGTTAAAACATGTGTAGAACCTGGTAGGAGAAAAGAGAATTTTTCAGAGGCCAGCAGTTAAATCAATTTTCCTTCGCTTAATATAATGTGTTGTCCTTCAAATATGTAAAGTGCAGTAGCCTGGGGTAATGTAACAAAATTTCTGTAAGACATCTTCCTGAAATCTGCCTATGCTGCAATATTTCAATCCTTCTTCACCACTGAGCATGTTCAGTAACTTTTCAGAAACAGCGGCCATTCCTAGTGCTTTGTCTACTTTGTGCTATACGTTGGTATAATGAAGGGCAAAACGGGATTATCCTATCCTCAGCACTATAACAGTTATTGTTCAATAATAGAGATCCACTAAGCAGTGCTGCAGGTCAAGGCTTAACACACAGATCCATCGCCTCCATGGGTCAGGAGAGTTTACCTATCATTGGCTTTGACTGAAATTCTTATTTTTTAATTTTTTGTAGAGACGGAGTTTTGCTTTATTGCCCAGGCTGGTTTCAAACTCCTGGCCTCAAGTGACCCTTCTGCTTTGGCCTCCCAAAGTGCTGGAATTACAGGCCTGAGCCACTAGCCTGGCCTGAAATTCTTAAAACTTAATTCCACACAGGCCTTGCCAATGTCATGTCCATATCCACAAAAAATTCAAAATATTTTTGAAGTAGAAATGTATTTGTGCCTCAAAAACTATTTAATGGTTAAACAAACGTACAGAACATACTATTTTAAAGGAGCAAGCTCCTTTTCCTCAAATAAGCACATTTTAAAATAAAACTATCAAAAAGTCAACTAGGAAAAAACTCCAGCACATCAGACAAAACACATTCTATGGTTAACAATTTTTTTGCATTAAATTTTGTCTCAAATGTATAACACAAGATAACATTTTACATGTATACTTTTGCATTTAGAGTTTGTTTAAAAACAGAAAAGAAGGCTGGGTGCGGTGGCTCATGTCTGTAATCCCAGCACTTTGGGAGGCCGAGGCGGGCGGATCACCTAAGGTCAGGAGTTTGAGACCAGCCTGGCCAACATGGTGAAACCCTGTCTCTACTAAAAATACAAAAATTAGCCAGGCGTGGTGGCAGACACCTGTAATTCCAGCTATTCAGGAGGCTGAGGCAGAAGAATCGCTTGAACCTGGGAGGCGGAGGTTGCGGTGAGCCAAGATTGCGCCATTCCACTCCAGCCTGGGGGACAAGACCGAGACTTAGTCTCAAAAAAAAAAAAAAAAACAGAAAAGAAGAAAATGAAAGTCTTACCAATAATAACTTCACAGGATTTATGTGCCTGAGAAACTTCATAAGCACAACGCACTTCAGAGTATGTGATCCCTCCAATTACAAAAACAATCAGCTTTGACCCATTTTTTCGGTCTTCTAAATAATTAGCTCTGGGTTTCTGGCGAGCACTAAAAAGTAATTTAAAAAAAAAAAAGTAAACATGTTATAAACATTTCCAAAGCCATAATGCTTGTAGACTTAAAAAGCCTAACTCAACCAAACTCAAACTTGCTACCAATTACATTGATTTTTTTTTTTTTTTTTTTTTTTTGAGGTGGAGTCTCACTTTGTAGCCCAGGCTGGACTGCAGTGGAGCGATCTTGGTTCACTGCAACCTCCGCCTCCTGGGTCACAGTTCAAGCAATTCTCCTGTTTCAGCCTCCCGAGTAGCTAGGATTACAGGCATGTGCCACCATGCCCAGCTAATTTTTGTATTTTTAGTAGAGACAGGGTTTCACCATGTTGGCCACGCTGGTCTTGAACTCCTGACCTCGTGATCTGCCTACCTTGGCCTCCCAAAGTGCTGGGATAACAGGCATAAGCCACCGCGCCCGGCCCAATTACATTGATTTTTAAGGAAATGACTTAACCATAGTATGACTAACCAAGACTTAAGCAGGACAGCCACATTTCAAAAACAATTCTAACAAATCATGCATAATCTGGCTTGGCATTTTAACATATAGAGTAGAGCTAACAACCTCCCTTATTATTTCATAAGAAGAAATAATATACCTGAGAAGTCTGCAGCTTCTTGAAATTAAAAAAAAATTAGAGAGTGGCACTGAAAAAGGTTTTGAAGATGTGAAGGGGAAAGGGGCAAGTAATACTTTGGAGCTGATATAGTATTAGGTTGTTCCTTGATGGAATGGAATTCAGGAACCTACGATGGTAGGAGGTTGGCTGTTAAGAATTAGACCTGTGTTTCGATTTTTATTCTGCTTGTTTTTGATTCAGTATGACTTTCAGAAAATTACTTAACTTCTCTCTAAACCTCAAAGGCTGTTACAAGGATGAAATGAAACAATGTACAGAACACACTAAGTACAGAATCTGGTGTTGGGTAAGTACTCAATAAATAGTAGTCATTACTTTTACCATTCCTCCTCCAGATTGCTCTAGATCCCCAGAATCCCATATAGTAGCCACTAGCCACATGAGGCTATTTAAATTTAAATTAGTTGAAATTAAATGAAATAAGAAATTCAGTTCTTCATCCATACTTAGCCACATATCCAGTACCCAAAAGCCACATGTAGCTAGTGGCTGTCATACTGGACAGTGCCAATATAGAACCTTTCTATCACTGCAGAAAGTTCTATTGGCTAGCACTGCTCTAGAGCATAGGAATTACTTTTTTTGTTCACAAGCTCCACTGGTAAAAATTTTTAGCTTTTATTTGAAAAGTAAATATTTCAAAATAAACATTCATTTATAAACAAATATATTAATGTGTAAATGACATATGTGTACTAGTATATATTAGTAAAACTTAATTTCTTCTTTTTTAGGTAAAAATAAGTACCCAATTGTTCATTTTGTTACCTACTTTGAGAGCCACTGTTCTGGATGACCTAGAATGCCTTGCAGTATAGGATCTCATAGCAAATTTTTGTTTTGTTAGAGATGGGGTCTTGCTATGTTGCCTAGGCTACAGTGCAGCAGCTGCGGACCAGCATCATCACAGGGCACTACAGCCTCGAACTCTTAGGCTCAAGCAATCCTCCCACCTCAGCCTCAAGTAGGTGGACTTACAGGGGTGCACCACGGCACCCAGCCCCATAGCAAACTTTTAATAATGTTCTTGGCTGGGCGTGGTGGCTCACGTCTGTAATCCCAGCACTTCGGGAGGCCGAGGTGGGCGGATCATGAAGTCAAGAGATCGAGACCATTCTGGCCAACATGGTGAAACCCCCTCTCTACTAAAAATACAAAAATTAGCTGGGCATGGTGGCGCATGCCTGTAGTCCCAGTTACTCAGGAAACTGAGGCAGAAGAATCGCTTGAACCTGGGAGGTGGAGGTTGCAGTGAGCCAAGATCACACCACTGGACTCTAGCCTGGGTGACAGAGCGAGACTCCGTCTCAAAAAAAAAAAAAAAAAAAAAAATCTGAATCTAGCCTTTCAGATGATTGCTTCCATTCATTACCTTAAAGAATGAGGCAGTGAACAACAGGAAACAAATTTTAAAAACTAAAATTAAAAATTTCCTTTCCTTTTGAAAGATGAAACAGGAACAAGACCCACTCTTGTTCCCAAAGTCAAGGACGTATTAATAACTTTGGCTTAAGAACTGTTTCAACAGAGAGAAATAGAGTAAGAAGGCAAAAGAAAAGGAGACAACACTGCTCAAAACAATTCTAACAATTTCTAAGCTTCTGAATAGCAATTTTAGAGTAACGGGATTATATTTAATTTGTTTCACACACATGTGAAGACTGAGAGATATAAAGATAATTAAATCCCTAGATCCTGAAAACTTCCCTCTAAATAGCACCAAGGAGCACTGATTAAGAGGAAACATGTTTTTAAAGCATAGCTGAGAGTAAACAAGTCAGAGAAATCTCCAGGGCTATTGGTAAAAAGGAAGCTAAATACTAGAATGGTAAACTGAGTTGAGGCTTGGTCTGCCTTGTGGAGTATTTTCTGATGTTAGCAAACAAGGGGCCGAGCCCTGGGTACTGTGCAAGGTACAGATTGGGAGCTGACACCCTGCATAAGGTCAGGACAACCTCAAAGGCAAGGGGAGATGCAAGGAAGCTTCTCCTCTGATAATTTAGCCACAGGCCTGTCTCACAGAGTCTTAGGTATTAATCATACTACCTTCATGGTCTGAGGAACCCCAAACTGAGACATTAATACAAAAAAGAAAAAACCTCTAATCTGGCAAAAGCACATGCAAAACCTGCCTGAAGGGATGCGTTCTCAATGCTGGCTACTGAAATAAACTCAGCATTCAAAATTACAAGACACATACTGAAATAAGTAACTATGAGTCTGCAGAAATAAAAGGCAACAGAATTGAACCCAAAGAGTATAAATTAGTGAATTTATTAGATATAGACTACAAATTAGGTATGTTTAAAATGACAATAGACAATAAAGGAGGATAGAGAGTATGACAAAATAAGAAATAACAAAAAGTCCAAGCATGTTTAAAAAAGAAACATGAGAACTTCTAAAACAGAAAAATAAAGTCACTGAAAATAGAAAAAGAAAAAACAGCTTATACAGCAGATGAGACACAGTGTAAGAGAGACCTAAAGAACTGAAAACTAAATCTGAAGAAAAATTTCTAGAATGAAACACCAGCAGAAGAAACAAAAAAGTTTAAGAAATTAAGAGACATTATGACAGAATAAGATGTTCTAACAAAACCAAGACTACAGAAGTGGCAATATTTGAAGAATTTATGAAAGATGTAAATCCTCAGATTCAGGAAACATAAATGAATTCCAAAGAAAGAAATAAAAATAAATCCTCAGATACACATAGCACAGAGAATATACAGAACCGAGGACAAAAAACAACCAGAGAAAAAAGGTTAATTATTTACAAAGGTACAAGACTGACAGAAAACACAACCCCCTCCACCTTCCCAAGAGCTAAAGTAGAACCCTGGAAACAGCAGAATATTTTCTACAAGTGTTGACTGAACATAACTCAGCTCTTAGAAATTCATAGCTGGCTAAGAACAACGACCAAATGAAGAAACGGATAAAACTGTAAAGACTACCACCGCTGGCCAGGCGTAGTGGCGCACACCTGTAATCCCAGCACTTTGGGAGGCCGAGGTGCGTAGATCAAAGGTCAGGAGTTTGAGACCAGCCTGGACAACATGGTGAAACCCTGTCTCTGCTAAAAATACAAAAATCAGCAGGGTGTGGTGGTGCACATCTGTAATCCCAGCTAGTCAGGAGGCTGAGACACGAGGACTGCTTGAGTCCGGGAGGCACAGGTTGTAGTGAGCCGAGATCGTGCCACTGCACTGCGGCCTGGATGACAGAGCAAGACTCTGTCTTGGAAAAAAATAAAAAATAAAAAAGACTACCACCAACAGACCCGCATCAAAGGATACACTTCAGAAAGAAAGAAACTGAGCCCACACGAAAGGGGTGGTGGGCGATTTAACAGGTTCACATGCACATACAACTGAATTTTAAAAAACCAATAATGCTGCTTAGTAATATGGGGGGTAAAAAAGATACAAAGTGAACACAAATGAAGTATTATAACATTTAAGGGGTGCATGGTTTACATCCAGTTGGTCTAAGGTTCTTGTATTGTTCAAGAGGAGGGCAGAGATACTAATTAATCTTCGACTTTGTTGAGTCAAATATGCTTAGTAATAAACTGCTACAAGAATAAAAATAGATAACATAACCTCCAAACCTTTTGTAGAAAAGGAAAAAATAAAACAAAAGTAAAGAAAAGTCCTCAGTCCAAGGGAAGCACCCTATCCAGATATACGTAAAAGTACAAGAATGCTCACTGCATACTGTTTGTAATAATGCCAGTTTTGAGATAGCCTAAATTTCTATCATGTGGAAAACAGATGAATAAGTTGCTATACTCATATAACTATATACCAACTAGCAGTGAAAATTTATGCATGTATCAGTCTGGGATAAATTTCACAAACATAATGTGACAGAAACAAAAAAGCAGGCTGCAGGAGGACACACAATATGACACTATATTAAGTTTAAAAACATAAGATAGAGAGCACTTGTGGTCATGGCAGAATAAGGTGGTCAGGAGATTCCCCTCTAAGAAAACAAGTATATTCCTGGATGAAATTGTGGGGAAAACAAAACAAAACATTTCAGGTTAACTGGAAACCATAGGCAGACAACAAATTGAGAAGCATTTAATCTTGAATATCTGCTAACATATCTGGTAAGAACGGTGGTGGTGAATATGTAACCTTCTAGCCTGGGCTGCATCTAACCCTCACTGCTCTCCCAGCTCAGTCAGATAAAAGTTATAGCTTTACTGCATTGGTGGAAGACTTGATTCAAGGTGGGGCAGTGAGGCGAGTACAAAATCCTGCAGCTTTGCTAGGTGTGGTCTCAACTTAGGATGGGCAGCCAATCAGGTACAAATAAATAAATTAATTAATTAATTAATTTGAGGTGGAGTCTTGCTCTGTCACCTAGGCTGGAGTGCAGTGGCATGATCTTGGCTCACTGCAACCTCCACCTCCCAGGTTCAAGCGATTCTCCTGCCTCAGCCTCCTGAATAGCTGGGATTACAGGAGTGTGCCACCATGCCCGGCTAATTTTTGTATTTTTAGTAGAGATGGGGTTTCACTATGTTGATCAGGCTGGTCTCGAACTCCTGACCTCAAGTGATCTGCCCGCCTCGGCCTCCCAAAGTGCTGGGATTACAGGCATGAGCCACCGCACCCGGCCAGGTAGAAATTTAATAAGGAAATCCCAGAAGTAAAGAAGCCAAAGAAAGAAAAGATAAGCTCTCTACACATCATTAGTTGACTGCTAAACTATGCATGTGTGGGGAAAACCTGAGAAAGTCCAGGAAAAAAAATGAGGGAAAAAAGGGCTGGCTGCAGTGTCTCACATCTATAATCCCAGTGCTTTGGGAGGCTGAGGCAGGAAGATCGCTTGAGCCCAGGAGTTCAAGACCAGCCTGGGCAACATAGTGAGACCCTGTCTCTACAAGACATTTAAAAATTAGCTGGGTGTGGTGGCATATACCTGGAACCTTAGCTACCTGGGAGGCTGAGGTGGGAGGCTCACCTGAGCCCATGCGTTTGAGTTTATAGTAAGCTACGATCATGCCACTGCACTCCTGCACTCCAGTGTGGGCAACAGAGAGAGGCCTTGCCTCTATTTAAAAAAAAAAAAAAAATTAAAAAAAGGAGGGAGACTTAAGAACTGCCTATTTTGGAATGCAACCCCTAACCCACACTCAGCTTGATCAGTAGAGGATGGAAGCCATACAGGCTTGAAGTGTCTGAACAGATAACTGACTGACCTCTAAACTACACAGACATAGGGGCAACCACTAGAAGCTAAGATAAAAAATTAAAAAATTTTAAAAACTCAACAAGGACATCAGTGGCTACAAGAGAGCAAGAGAGAAAGATTCCATAGTTCAAAGTCCACACAAATTACTAAAACAATTTGGAGTTGCTATAATACATTATCTAAAAGGTCCAATTTTCAACCAAAAATTAGTAGATATACAAAGAAACAGGAATGTGTGACTCATACTTGGGGGAAAAAAAAACATTCAGTAGGAATTAACCCTGAGTAGACTCAGATGTTAGGGACTTCCAAGCAATTATAAATATGATCAAAAGAATTAAAAAGAAAAATATGGTAACAAGTTAACAACAGGGAATCTCAACAGTCAGAAATGGAAATTTAAAAAAATCAAATGGAAATTCTACATGTGAAAGTACAATAACAAATTTTAAAAAGATGAAAGAAAAGAGCCTCAGTAACTCACAGGACAATGTCAAACCCTCCAACTTATGTGTAACAGGAGTTTCAGAAAGAAAGGAAGGAGAGAGAAAGGAGCAGAAAAATATTTGAAAAAAATAATGCCTGAAAACTTCCCAAATTTGATGAAAATTATTAACTTGCAGATTTAAGAAACTCAACAATCCTCAGGTAGAATAAACACAAAGAGAACTATACCTAGACACAACACAGTTAAAGGCTGAAAGCCAAAGATCAAGAGGAAATCCTGCAAGATATAACTCAAGACACTGTTTAGGATACAAACATATGTAGAAAAAGTATAAAGACATACAGGCAATAAACACCAAATTCAGGACAGAAAATAAGGGAAAATAATAAAACCATAGTGTGATATACAGGAAGCTTGAATTATAATGATTTAGTTAATAAGCTGGGCACTGGGCATAAGGGTATGCATTGTAACATTCTCTGTATCTTTTTAAATGTTTAAAGTACCTCAACACAAAAATAATTATCAAAAAGGATTAAGGTCTCTGCTATGTGAAGGAAGAGGAGGTGGGGAAGGAAATACTTCTTGTTTCATGAAAATATTTTTTATAATAAAGTACATTTTCATATTGCTTATCTGGATTCATTTAAAACAAGTTACAGTTAAAGAAAAAATACAGGATTATATACTTGAAAGAAAGTTGCCAAATATGAGTATCTGTGTACCATTTTAAATTATTAGTCCGTAGAATGAAAATTTCATTGATTTTCACTTGTAGAATTTACCTTACAGCTCCTGAACCATTCCATACTGCTGGACACTGGGAACAATATGGCCATTCTTTTGAATCTAATCTATTATCAATAGCATCCTAAGGAAGGAAAGAGTTAATTCCATCAATAAAATTGTAAATTGCAGGACTTTGTTTGGCATAAAGGTCAAAACTTGCATTTGCAATTGAGGAACCTTAGACATAAATATTTAGTATAAGATTAGTCTTTTCTTTGAAACTCACAAACCTTATTTCCTTCAAAAATCAGTGAAATCATTTACTTATTACACCAATATTTGCTGCATGACTCCCTTTCTTCATTTGGAGGGTCCCCATGCTGTTATAAGGATTCCAGGCACCTTATCAGAGCCTTTAGTTCTATGGTGCCGGGGGTCTCTAATCATTATTCCAGTCGTGACACACTTCTAAAGCTTTGCCCTTCATAGCTACTACTGCTATGGCCTAGGGGTACTCAAGACAATTCAATGGGATATGGGAAGTTTTCCTTTTCATTTTATTCTTTAAAATTTTCCCTTTTTTCAATGTTAGATTTTATGATATATGTATGTATATAAATATACTGTATACATAGATTATATATTTTTTATTACAGTAATGCTTAACTTATAAGTAAATAGGTTCATGCTCACATTTTTTTTATGGTTAGGTGTGCATGAACTGAAAAGTATGGAGACCACTGCTTTACGGCATGGTAGTACAAGTAGTATTAACAAGTGGGCACATGGATTGGGCACAAAGTACTCAGTAGTCCAAGAATATTTCAGTAAGACTGCAAGAAGGGAGGAAATCAAGTTTCAGGAGAAATTCTAAAGGCCTAAGACTGTCATGGATCCAAATGTGTATTTTCTGAATTTAACATGCAAATCTTTGTTAAGGGGTTCAAGAAAGTCATTTCTTATTTTACAAATACTAGCCATGGTAAACTGATTAGGAATATGTTTAAAAACAAAAAAACAAAAAACTAGCCATAAGAAACTACTTAGTTCTATATCATCCCTGTGAGAAAGGAAAAAAAATTCTTATGTTAGAGAAAACAAAGTCTAAATTCTTTAGATTTTTCATATATGTTTAAGCATGTGTGAATAACATAAAATTAGCCAAGCAAAACAGAGAAATCATAGTTATGCACTGTACCAAATTAGCTCCCCAAAGAAAGTATAAACTGGGGTTTAAGTCAAAGGAAAAGGGGAATAAAAACTATATGATCATGACCGAAGAATCAGTGTCATGATTTTATTAAGCTCATAATTTTAAAATTAGCTCATTTTATAATTTCCTATAATTGAATAATGTTCTCTAAGTGTAAACAGTATTAAAGGCATGATTCATCTGACAGCAAACTATAATGAAGTTTACATTTTAATCCAAAAACATTTCCAAGAATATTGGCATCTAATACTTTTTAATAGTGGTCCACATACAAATGTTATTTTGTTGAACTTTCATTCAAATAAATTATATTTTGCCACATACAGTTATTAAAACAAAGCAGTATTTTTTATAAAGCATATATGTGTTTATTTTATTTTTTTTGAAACAGTCAGTGGTGTGAGTTTGTCTGAGGTCTTTAAGAAAAGAATCTTCAGCCGGGCGCAGTGGCTCACACCTGTAATCCCAGCACTTTGGGAGGCCAAGGTGGGTGGATCATGAGGTCAGGAGTTCGAGACCAGCCTGGCCAACATAGTGAAACCCTGTCTCCACTAAAAATACAAAAATTAGCCAGGCATGGTGGCGTGTGCCTGTAGTCCCAGCTACTCGGGAGGCTGAGGCAAGAGAATTGCTGGAACCTGGGAGGCGAAGGTTGCAGTGAGCCAAGACTGTGCCACTGCACTCCAGCCTGGGTGATAGAGTGACACTCTGTCTCAAAAAGAAAAAAAAAAAAAAAAAAAAAGAAGAAGAATCTTCAAGAGTTTCCCAGATACAGGCTTTTTTGTGAAGCCTCCAACCACTGCAGAAACTTCCTGCCCAATACATATACTCAGACTGACATAAACTACAAAAAGTAAAGAATACTCTAAAGAGGGCACTCAGGTAGAAAAAAACATTTTAATGATTTTTACCTCCATAATATCTTTGATAAAAGGTGTCCACCGAGAGAGCTGAAAAGTTTCTTCTGCAGACCGATCCTTTCTTAACGGTTTGCCTTGTTGAGACTAATACAATTAGAGGAAAAAAATTAAAAACCAGTAATTCTATTCAAATATAATACTCTTACGTTTCCTAACGAAGATATTTAATTTACCAGTAAATACTATATTGTATTTGACTTAAAACTAAGAGTGGAGATGCCTATTTTAAAAAATCTGAGTGTGGTCGCATAACTCCACTGAACAGTATTTTGTGCTTTAATGCTAAAATTTATTTATAATCATATCAGAACATATGTCTATTAAAATAAAAGTATTATAAAACTTGATGGCTGTAGTCCCAGCTACTAGGGAGGCTGAGGCAGGAGAATGGCATAAACCCAGGAGGCAGAGCTTGCAGTGAGCCGAGATCGAGCCACTGCACTCCAGCCTGGGTGACAGAGTGAGACTACGTCTCAAAAAAAAAACACACACACACACATACACACAAAAAAACTTGATGGGGCCAGATGCAGTGGCTCACACCTGTAATCCCAGAACTTTGGGAGGCTGAGGCGGGCAGATCACCTGAGGTCAGGAGTTTGAGAGCAGCCTGGCCGACAGAGTGAAACCCTGTCTCTACTAAAAATACAAAAATTAGCTGGGCGGATGGCAGGCGCCTGTAATCCCAGATGGGAGGCTGAGGCAGGAAAGTTGCTTGAACCTGGGAGGCAGAGGTTGCCGTGAGCCGAGGTCATGCCACTGCACTCCAGCCTGTGCTACAGAGAGAGCCTCTGTCTCAAAAAAAAAAAAAAAAGATGGGAAAGAGTGAGATTCTAAATAGAGCTCTTCAAAATTTGACTTTGAGCCTTTTTTTTTTGTTTTTTTTTTTGAGACAGAGTCTCACTTTGTGCTGGAGTACAGTGGTGTGATTTTGGCCCACTGCAGCCTTGACCTCCTGAGCTTATGAGATCCTCAGCCTCCTGAGTAGCTGGGACTACAGGTACACACCAACACACCTGGTTATTTTTTTGTTTTTTGTAGAGGCGAGGTCTTACTATGATGCCCAGGCTGGTCTCGAACTCCTGGGCTCAAGAAATCCTCCTGCCTCAGCGTCTCCCAGAGTGTTGGGATTACAGGTGTGAGCCACCATACCCAGCGAGCCTAAATTTTTTTAATCAAGAAAATATATACTTATTTTCTCTGCCATATTATAGTTAAAGGTTACACGTTTAACTAAAATATGACAATTGTTATAAATGAATCATAAAGACAAAAATGTAAGTAGTGAATTATGACAGAAGCCATAAAATACAAATTCGCTAGAAAACTGCATTTGCCCAAATTACATATGGAAAAGAGAACAAAATCTTTAATTGCTTACTTATTCAAAATCTATAGAGTGAACTTAAGAAGACTGTCCACATAAAAAAAAAAAACAGTTAATACATACAACCATACATACACATACATATAAAGTATATACACAACATAAGACTTCTTACTTGGGGAACAATGGGAACACCAAGGTAACTCCAGTTACGAATCATGTCACTCTCATTTTCTATCTTTACATTCTGGATCAACCTGTCCAAATTTTCTTCCGTAGTTCCTTAAATAGGTAAAAATATGAGTGCACAATCACACAATTGCTACCAAAATAATTTCAAGGCTTTAGGTAGTACCCATGAATGAAGCTTTTAAAATAAAAAACAGTCAAATTATATCTCCTTCAGTCTTCTCTCGATTTCATATTTTCCCTTTTATCTTAACCAAGTTCAGCAACTATCTTTCAGTTTTCAAAGATTCTTTTATGATCAATAGTAAAATACTTATTAAAAAGTGATTATCTCCATTACCATTAATACTGAAGATATAAAGTAGAATTGCTCTTATTTTATCACAATTATCATGATTTTTGTTGAGTAGAACTGGAAGGAGTACTCGCATGGAATCTTTCACCTTCTGTCCTTCTGCATCAGTTCCAAGTGCCAGGTCCTTAATGAAAATAAAATATTGTCAGTGATCTATAACCAAAATTCATTTTTTAGTTAAAAACATCTATTATTGGCTGGGTACAGTGGCTCACGCCTGTAATCCCAGCACTTTGGGAGGCCAAGGCAGATCACCTGAGGTCAGGAGTTGGAGACTAGCCTGGCCAACATGGTAAAACCCCATCTGTACTAAAAATACAAAAAATTAGCCGGGCGTGGTGGCAGGTGCCTATAATCCCAGCTACTCGGGAGGCTGAGGCAGGAGACTCACTTGAACCCGGTGGGCAGAGGTTGCAGTGAGCCATGATTGGGCCATTGCACTCTAGCCTGGGCAACAAGAGCGAAACTCCGTCTCAAAAAAACAAAAAACAAACACACAAAATCTATTATTAAATCTTGTCAAATTTTAATGGAACACTGATGACATTACACAAGAAAATATGAACATCACTTGTAAACTATTGTTTATACAAAATACAAAAGGTCAAAAAATAAATCAGAGAAGATAAAAATCATTAATCTAAACCTATGCTATCCAGTACTGTGGCCACTAGCCACATATGACTACTGAACACTTGAAATGGGATCAGTCTGAATTAAGATGTGCTGTAGGTACAAAACACCAGGAGACTTGAAGTAATACAATGCAAAATTATCTAATTAATAACTTTTTATACTGATTATATGTTGAAATAATATTTTGAATACATCAGGTTGTCAAAGTTTTTTTTTTCTTTTTTTTTTTTAAAGAGACAGGGTCTTGCCCAGGCTGCCCTCAAACTCCTGGGATCAAGCAATCCTCCCACCTCAGCCTCCTGAATAGCTGGGACTATAAGCACACACCACTGCACCCAACTTATTCGTAAAATTAATTGCACTTTTTAATTTTTACCTGCATTAACATGGCTATTAGAATAATTAAAATTACATGCAGCTTGTATTCTATGAGGGGCAATGGTCTAAACAGTTGAGGCATGATATAAAAGGCCCCTTGTAAAATGAGCTCTGCTGGATGCTATATTAAATCCCGTACTGAGAAGGTCCTGCCAATAATGCCACCCTGAAATCATGCTCCCAAAATTTAAATCATTCCATTAAACAAAAAATATATAATATATTAGGAGGGACTGTTTACTAAGATACTCTACAGCTACTTGTTAATGTTAGCGGGGAATGACATTAAATACTGCCTAGGTGGCTCCCCTGATAAGAGAGAGTCTGTGATTCTGTAAAAACCAACCACTGTATCAAGCAAAAAGTTAGGTTTTAACTTACAAAGTTTATCCTTGAAATTTGTTATGAACAGAGGCATTTCTGACTCTGCACATACCTGTTCAGTTTTGCAGAGCTTTTCTATATTAAGCTTGAACTTATTCATGCAATCTTCTGCTAAGTTAAGATGGACAACTTGCTGAAAAACAGAAGAAATCAATCATTTAAAGGATTTTAATGACTTTTGTGCAACTGGTAATATTAAACTTTTGAGACAGGCCTGAAAGAAAGTATGGGCTGAGGTGAAAGAAGGTAACATGTAAGCAAGGGAACAGCTCAAGAAAGGAAGTAAATGAGAAGGTGATTTACAGGTGAAATGGTTTGGCTATGTCCCCACCTAAATCTCATCTTGTAGTTCCCATAATCCCCATGTGTTGTGGGAGGGACCTGATGGGAAGTGTTTGGAACATGGGATGATGGGAGTGATTTTCCCCATGCTGTTCTCATAATAGTAAGTGAGTTCTCATGAGATCTGATGGTTTTACAAGTGTCTGGCATGTGCCCTGCTTGTACTTCTCCCTCCTGTAGCTTTGTGAAGAAGGTGCCTGGCTTCCCCTTTGCTTTCTGCCATGACTGTAAGTTTCCTAAGGCCTTCCCAGCCATGTAGATCTGTGAGTCAATTAGACCGCTTTCCTTTATAAATTACCCAGTCCTGGGTATTTCCTTACAGCAATGTGAGAACAGACTAATACAACAGGAGGCAATCAACAGACAGCATAAATGGGATGGAAGCATTGAATTGTTGAATTTGTGTTGAGTTTGACAGTAATGAAAAATAACATGAGAAAAATACCCAGAAGTTCTTCAAGTTCATATTCTATTTATCTTTCTAAATGTTTCAAGTATTTTAACACACACAAAAATCATTGGTTGACTAGGGTGCAACATGACAAAAATGTTAAGATTATTCTGATAGTGTTTTTAAGGAGCAAAAAAATAGTTTACCTGACTAAACAGCTTAAATGCTCTTAAATCTACTAGTAAGTAACTATTACTTTAAAGAAACATGTAGAATAACATCCACTAGTCAATCTAGTGCTGAATTTCTTGTAAGGTTGATAAATGTGACTCTGTTAGGCTATTCAAGACAAAGATATAGAAACTTTAAGCTGGATTCAGATAAATCTAGGTTATACATATAGAGAAGTTATGAAGAAGCTTAGATATATGGGATATCTCTCAGACCTATAGTAAGGTTTTAGAGGACAAATAACACCAAGTATTCCACGAAACCCACTGCTAAATCGAACTACAGAACTGAATATAAACTGAATATAAACTAAAACTAATCAGGTATCTCATATACAATACTGCTTACCTTAGTAATCTGTTTTCGGAAATGGGGCATCTTTTTCATCAGCTGGGTAAGAGCACTAAGTGATGTCTAGGAAAAATCAAACATTTTTTTAGGCAAGCCTATGATTCAGTTATTCCATATTACAACTTTGAAATCCTAGAGTTTTACAAATTATCAAATCTAGTTAATTTACTGAATATTTGACAATTTTTTTGAAAGAAGAATTTAGGAGGCTTCCAGTTTCACTCACAATAACGTAGCTGATATCAACATTACTCTCCCTTCATAAATAAATAAGATTGGACAAATAAATAAAACAATAGCTTTCAAGTAATGGATAAAAATAGCTCACAGCTGAGACAGCTGAGTGAAGGAAAGCACCAAAGGTGATCCCTGCACGCACCCTTCCTTTCCCTAAAGATGTTTTCCAAACACCACTGAAAGGAAATACAGTTCAAGTAGAGAGCAATTATCTCCCTGGGTGCAAAAAAAAAAAAAAAAAAAAAAAAAATGGAGATAAGAGCTTGGGGCTGTGAGGTAGATTTTGGGAAGCAGAGTGCTAAAAAGAAAGGAGCTAGACAGAACATAACCCAAAAATGTGTAAAGAGATTGTCCTTGAACCCCTAAGCTGCA
Source organism: Homo sapiens (assembly GCF_000001405.40). Lineage (NCBI taxonomy): Eukaryota > Metazoa > Chordata > Mammalia > Primates > Hominidae > Homo > Homo sapiens. The sequence goes on along the minus strand of NC_000001.11, from coordinate 108,793,035 downwards.
CATGTACAGGGCATAACCCTCAAAGGTGTAGTAAAGAACAACTTCTGGGTGGCTAAATGTTGGACAAGATTTCAGAGGGGTCTTAGTGCTAAGAATATACTAGCATCTCCTGATCTAGACAAAGTAAAGAGACCTAAGTGAACATCCTACACATTCAGTCCTGGGACTATGCCTTAGGACTCAGTGCAAAAGTGAAATAAATTTACCATAACATTGTCTAACATGAAGTTACAACAGAATCACGATTATTCCTCAGCAACTTAACTGCCTGCCAGAACAAAACTCAACATTCTGTGTAGAGACAGCATCATCTAGAACCTCTGCAATGTATCATCCACCATGTCTAGCACAATAAAACATTAATAGGTGAAACAGGAAAGTGATTGATACTCAAGTGACAAAACAGTCAATAAAAGTAGACCCAAGATAAGGAATAAGTTCTAGTGTTTGATATCACAATGATGGCTATAGTTAACATATATTTTGTATTTCAAAATAGCTAGAGGAAAAGATTGGAAATGTCCCCAACACAAAGAAATAATAAATGTTCAAGGTGATGGGTATTCTAAATACAATGATTTGATCATTACACACTGTATGCACGTATAAACATATTACATGCCTCATAAATATGTACAGTTACTATGCATCAATAAAAAAGCTAAGAAAAGAACACCTCAAAATGTAAAAACAAAGAAACTCCCAAAAAGTAGACCTAAGATGTTGTTGGCAGAAAAAGACTTCAAAGTAACACATTTATGTTAAAGTGGAAACAGAGGAAAAGATGGACTACATGGATCAAAAGATGGAGTATTTTAACAGAGAACTAGAATTTATTTTCTAAAAATCCAATGAATGTCCTAGAGTTAAATATAAGACTTTAAGTTAGCAAATGATAACATCTGTTCATAGACATGAATGTCTGATATGAAGAAGGTGAATATTTTTAGTAGCTTTATTCATAATTGCCAACAACTGGAAAAACTAAAATGTTCTGAAACTGGTAAATTGATAAACAACTTGTGGTACATCCATATGATGGAATACTACTCAGCAATAAAAAGTAATGAAACTACTCTTGCATGCAGCATGAATGAATCTCAAATGCATTATGCTAAATGAAAAGAGCCATAGTGTATTACTCCATTCATTGGACATTCTGGAAAAGGCAAAACTACAGGGTCAGAAAACAGATTAGTAGTTGTCAGGGGATGGGGACTGAGTTAAGGGGTTATCTGCAAACGGGCATGAGGACATTTTGGGGGGTGATGACATTATTCTCTATCTTGATTGTGGTAGTGGTTATATGAGAGTGTGCATTTGTCAAAACTCACAGAACTGTATACTACAAAGGGGAAATTTTGCTTTATACCTCAGTTTTCAAAAGGATACAATGAATGGGTTTAATAGCAGACTGAATACAACAGAAGACAGAAGTAGGGGACTCAAAGTCAGGTTAATAGAGAACATTCAGTTGCAATGCGGAGAGGTTAAAAAAAAAAAGGTAACAGAATGCAAGAGATATAGAATACAGTCAAGAGATCTAAAAAACATGTTGACTGGGGTCCCAGAAAGAGAGAAGAGAGAGGATGGGACAAAAGGAAGATGTGAGGAGATAATGACCAAGAATTTTACAAACATAATGAAAGTTATCAACCCAGTGACTCAAGAAGCTCAGCAAACCCCATGGAGGATAAATAGCAAGCAAACCACATTACAGTAAGGCATATCATGGTCAAATTGCTAAAAAATCAAAGATACAGAGAAAATATTAATAAACACAGTTTATCTTCAGGAAAACAATAATACTTAACAGCTGCCTTTTTTCAGCAGAAATTATGGTAGCCAGAAGGTGATGTATTGAAAGCTTTAAATTGCTGAAAGGAAAAAAATTGCCAACTTTGAATTCCAAATCCAGCAAAAGTATCTTAGAAAAAATTGCAAAACGAAGATGCCCTCAGACAAAAAGAAAGCTGGGAGAATTCAATCTAACCCAGCTGGAAAAACTGAAGAGCAGTAAGAAATAAACAGTACCAGAATGTATAAATATGTGGGTAATAATAAAAGTCTACTGAGTGTTTATAACAAAATAACATCTTGCTTTTATTTTTTTGGGTTTTTCTTTCTGAAAAAAATAACATCTTGAGTTTATAACATACATTGAAGTAAAATACATGAAACAACTGCACAAAAGAGAAAGGGGATAAAGTTAAACTATTATAAGATTCCTGAATTATTCAGGACATGACATATTCAGGACATACTATTAAACTAGGGTAAGAATACATTTTTAAATTTCCAGTATAATAACTAAAGGAAGGACTAAAGGCAAAACACAAATGTTTATATTGGAGATGAAATGGAATTTATTTTTAAAAAAGACTTGATAAAGAAGGAAAAGAATAGAATATAAAAAATGAAGTGAAAACAAGATACTAGATATAAATTTAACTATATCAATAATTACATGAAATATATATGAACTAAACAAGCATTCTAATTAAAAGATTTTTGGGCTGGATAAAAAAACAAAATTCAACTACAAGCTCTTTTTAAGAAGCACATTTTAAATATCAAGACACAGGTAGTTGAAAGTAAAGGATGGGAAAAGATATACTATGTAAACACTAACAAAAGAAAGAAGATATAGTGGTATTAACATCAAAGTAGACCTCAAGACAAGAAATACTGCAAGTAATAAAAGGGACATTTTATGATGATAAAAGGCCAAATTCAACAGAAAGATAGCTATCTTAAATGTATAATGAACTTAACATAGCTTTATCAGTTAATATAACTTCAAAAGTTGAAAGGACTAAAGAAAAACAAACTAATTCACAGTCATGATCAGAGTTTTTAATATACCACTTCTAGTAACTGACAGAGCAGGTAAAAAAAAATCAGAAAAGAAATAGAAGATTTGAACATGATTAACCATCTTGATTTAACTGACACATACAGAATTTATATTCCTTTCAAGTACACATAGGGCACTTATGATAATATATGCTAGGTCAGAAATCAATTTTTTTTTTTTTTTTTTTGAGACAGAGTCTCACTCTGTTGCCCAGCCTCCTGAGTAGCTGGAGCCACAGGTGTGTGCCATCACACATGGCTAATTTTTGTATTTTTAGTAGAGATGGGGTTTCGCCATGTTGGCCAGGCTGGTCTTGAACTCCTAGCCACATGTGATTCGCCTGCCTTGGCCACTCAAAGTGCTGGGATTACAGGCACGAGCCACCATGCCCAGCCCCATAAATCAAGTCTTAACATATTTTAAAAGACTGATGTCATATAGTGCACATTCTCTGACCACTGTATAATTAAATTACAACTCAGTAACAGAAAGATAACTAGAAAATTCCCAAATGCTTTGAAATTTAAAAACGTATTCCCTATATAACACATGGGTCAAAGAAGAAATCATAATAAGGGTTAGAAAATGTTTTGAACTAAATGAAAATAAGTTATTCCAAAACTCCTGGGATGCAGCTAAGTTTGAAGATGTAAATAACTATAAAATATATACAATAGAACAGAAGAAAGGTTGGAAATCAATGTTCTAAAACTCCAACTCAGGAAGCTAGAAGAAAAAATTTAAACCAGGGGTGTCCGATATTTTGGCTTCCCTGGGCCACACTGGAAGAAGAACTGTCTTGGGCCACATATAAAATACACTAACAATAGCTGATGAGGTTAAAAAAAAAATCACAAAAACATCTCATAATGTTTTAAGAAAGTTTACAAATTTGTGTTGGGCCACATTCACAGCCGTCCTGGGCTGTATGTGACCCATGGGCCACAGGTTGGACAAGCTTCATTTAAAACAAAGTAAGCTGAAGGAAGGAAATAAAACTGAGTAAAAATCAGCTAATTAAAGATAAAACATGCAAGAGTGAAAATCAACAAAGACAAATGTTGGTTCTTTGAAATATTAATAACATATGCAGTGAATTTTATTTTATTTTTTTTTACATGGAGTCTCACTCTTTTCTCCAGGCTGAAGTGCAGTGGCACTATCTTGGCTCACTGCAACCTCCGTCTCCCAGGTTCAAGCAATTCTCCTGCCTCAGCTTCCCGAGTAGCTGGGATACAGGTAGGCACCATCAAGCTCGGCTAATTTTTGTATTTTTTTTAGTAGAGACAGGGTTTCACCATGTTGGCCAGACTGGTCTCAAACTCCTGACCTCAGGTGATCCGTCTGCCTTGGCCTCCCCAAGTGCTGGGATTACAGACGTGAGCCACCGTGCCCGGACTGCAGGGGATATTAATAATATATAGGGGAATAAACAAATTAACAATAGCAAGATTAGTAAATAAAATCTAACTATAGATTCTACACATATTGAAAGGATAAGAGGACATTTCAAAATTTAGATATAATAGACAAATTCCCTGAAAAATGCGATATCCCAAAACTAATGAAGAAAAAGTAAAAAACTAAATAGTTCTATATCTATTAAATAACTTATCATTAATTATAACGAAAGACCTCCCCATAAAGAAGTCTCTATGCCTGAACTGCTTCAATGGTGAATTCTTTCAAGCAGCAATAGAACAAGCAGTAACAATCTTACACAAACTCTTTCAGAGAATGGAATGACAAAGTGTGCATCACAATTCATTTCATAAGACCAAAAAAATCTTGCTGCTAAAACCTGACAAGAACATTACAAAAAAGGACTATTACAGAAAAGTATTTCTCATAAATATAGAAGCAAATATCCTACAACAAAATATTAGCAAACAAAATCCAGTGATAGAGGAAAAGGATGATGCATCATGATCAAGTGGAGTTTATTCTAGAAATGGTTACTTTTATGTTAGTAAGTCAATAAATGTAATTCATCACATTAACAGAATAAAGGGGAAAAAAAGACAATATCAAAATGCCTTTGATGAAATCCAACATCGAAATTTCCTGATTAAAAGAAAACAGAAACAGGCTGGGTGTGGTGGCTCACGCCTGTAATCTCAGCATTTCGAGAGGCTGAGGCAGGAGGATTGTCTGAGCTCAGGAGTTCGAGACCAGCCTGAGCAATATGGTGAAATTCTGTCTCTATTAAAAACACACAAAAATTAGCTGGGCATGGTGGTGCACACCTGTAATTCCAGCTGCTTGGGGGCCTGAGGTGGGAGGATCGTTTGAGCCCAAGAGGTTGAGGCTGCAGTGAGTTGAGACTGCACCACTGCACTCCAGCCTGGGTGACAGAACAAGACCCTGTCTCTTAAAAAAAAGAAAAAAGAAAAAAACAAAAAACAGAAACACATAAAAACCTGTTGGTAAACTAAGAATAGAAAGGAACATCCTTAATCTGATAAAAGAAAACTACCTAAAACTAACATAATACTTAATGATGAAATATTGAACTCATTTCCCATAAAGCTGGGAATGAGACAAGGACGCTCATTATCACCAGTTTGATTTCATGTTATACTGGAGGTATCAGCCAGAACCAGGAGGTATTAACTACTAAAAAAAAAAAATTTTAAACGTATGACAAGCTTGTCTAACCCACCTTATTTTGTTGTTGTTGTTGTTCTGTTTTGTTTTAGGCTTTTTGCAGCCTGAAGCCATGGTTTTTAGTTTCTGTCTCTAGTGATAAGTGGAAAAGAGGGATAAGGAAGGGACTTTACTAGCCGAAACAGAAACTAAGAACCCATGACTGTATTCTCTCCTTTGGACACCTCTGGAAGATTAATTTAGAAAGGAAGACACTAAATTTTCTTTATTCACAGATTATATTACTGTGTATATAAAAATCCAGCTAGGTGCACTGGTACCTGCCTGTAGTCCCAGCTACTAGGGAGGCAAGGGTGGGGGGATTGCTTGAATTCAGAGACTAGCCTGGCCAACAGAGTTCCGATCTCTTAAAAACAAAAAAGCCAATCTATAAACAAAGTACTAGAATTAAAAAATAAATTTAGCAAGGTCACCAGATCCAAGGTAAATATACAAAAATCAATCACATTTTATATACTAATAAAGTAAAATGGAATTTAAAAAATACCATTTATAACACCAAAAAATCAAATACCTAGAAATAAAGAAAAAATGTGCAATACCACTAAAATGAAAATTATAAAATGCGGCTGAGATAAACTATCTACATAAGTGGAGCTATATTCTATGTTCTTGGATCAGAAGATGCAATATTTTTGTCAGTTCTTCCCAAATTAGTGTACAGATTCATGTAATCCCAATCAAAATTTCAGTTAAATGTTTCTGTTGAAATTGTCAAGCAGAATCTAAAATGTGTATTAAAAGACAAAGGTTGTAACAGCTGAGACAATCTTGAAGAACAAAGCTGGAAGACTTATACTACCAAATTTCAAAACCATTACAAAGGTACACTAGTTAAGACAGTGTGGTCTTGTTACAAGGATAGACAAATTGACCATGGAAAAGGACATGGAGTCCACAGACCCACACATTTATGGTCACTTGATTCACAACAAATGCATTACTGCAACTCAATGGTGAAAGGATGGTCTTTACAATAAACAGTGCTTGAGTAATCAGATATGTATATCGAAATAAAATGAAGCTAGACCCTTACCTCACACCATAAATCAAAATTAATTTGAGTGAATGGCATGGTTTGGCTCTGTGTCTCCACCCAAATCTCACCTTGAATTGTAATAATCCCCACGCGTCAAGGGCAGGACCAAGTGGAGATAACTGAATAATGGGGGCAGTTTCCCCCATGCTGTTCTTGTGATAGTGAGTGAGTTCTCATGAGATCCGATGGTCTTATAAGGGGCTTCCTCCTTCACTCGGCATTCTTTCTCTCCCCTGCCACCCTGTGAAGAGGTGCCTTTCACCATGACTATAAGTTTCCTGAGGCCTCTGCAGCCATATGGAACTGTGAGTCAACTGAATCTCTTTATAAATTACCCAGTCTCAGGTATTTCTTCATAAAAGCGTGAGAATGGACTAATACAGTTTTGGTACCAGGAGTGGGGTGCTACTGTGAAGACACCTGAAAATGTGGAAGAAACTTTGGAACTGGGTAACAGGCAGAGGTTGAACAGTTTGGAGGGCTCAGAAGAAGACAGGAAAATGTGGGAAAGTTTGGAACTTCCTAGAAACTTGAGTGATTTTGGCCAAAATGCTGACAGTGATATGGATAATCAAATCCAGGCTGAGGTGGTATCAGCTGGAGATGATAAACTTCTTGGGAACTAGAGCAAAGGTGACTCTTGCTATGCTTTAGCAGAGATTAGTGGCATTTTGTCCTTGCCCTAGAGATCTGGGGAACTTTGATCTCAAGAGAGATGATTTAGGGTTATCTGGCAGAAGAAACTTCTCAGCAGTCATTTATTCAAGAGGTGACAGAGCATAAAAGTTTGAAAAATCTGCAGCCTGACGATATGATAGAAAAACCCATTTTCGGGGGAGAAATTCAAGCTGGCTGCTGAAATCTGCATAAGAAACAAGGAGCCAAATGTTAATCACCAAAACAACGGGGAAAATGTCTCCAGGGCATGTCAGAGACCTTCGTGGTAGCCCCTCCCATCACAGGTCCAGAGGCCAAGGAGGAAAAAATGGTTTCGTGGGTCAGGCTCAGAGCCTTGCCGCTTTGTGTGGTCTTGGGATTTGGTACCCTGCATCCCAGCTGTGGCTAAAAGGGGCCAAAGTAGAACTCAGGTCATTGCTTCAGATGGTGCAAGCTGGTGGCTTACACGTGGTGTTGGGCTTACAGGGTGCATAGAAGTCAAGAACTGAGGTTTGGGAACCTCTGCTTAGATTTCAGAGGATGTATAGAAATGTCTGGATGTCCAGGCCGGAGTTCGCTGCAGGGATGGAGCCCTCATGGAGAACCTCTGCTAGGGTAGTGCAGAAGGGAAATGTGGGGTTGGAACCTCCACACATAGTTGCCACTGGGGCACTGCCTAGTGAACTGTGAGAAGCGGGTCACCATCCTCCAGATCCCAGAATAGTAGATCCACCAACAGCTTGCAACATGTGCCTGGAAAAGCTGCATACACTCAACACCAGCCCATGAAAGCAGCTGGGAGAGGGGCTATATCCTGCAAAGCCACAGGGGCAGAGCTGCCTAGGGCCATGGGAACCCACCTTTTGCATCAACATGACCCAGATGTGAGACACGGAGTCAAAGGAGATCCTTTTGGAACTTTAAGATTTAATGACTGCCCTATTGGATTTTGGACCTGCATGGGGCCTGTAAGCCCCTCTGTTATGGCCAATTTCTCCCATTTGGAACAGGTGTATTTACCCAATGCCTGTACCTCCATTGTATCTAGGAAGTAACTAACTTGTTTTTGATTTTATAGGCTCATAGGCAGAAGGGACTTGCCTTATCTCAGATGAAACTCTGGACTTGGACTTTTGGGTTAATGCTGGAATGAGTTAAGACTGTAGGGGACTGTTGGAAGGGCATGATTGTGTTTTGAAATGTGAGGACATGAGATATGGGAGGTACCAGGGGCAGAATGATACGGTTTGGCTCTGTTTCCCTACCCAAATCTCACCTTGAACTGTAATAATCTCCACATGTCAAGGGCAGGACCAGGTAGAGATAACTGAATCATGGGGGCGGTTTGCCCCATGCTATTCTTGTGATAGTGCGTTCACACAAAATCTGATGGTTTTATAAGGGGCTTACCCCTTTGCTTGGCACTCATTCTCCCTGTGACATGGTGGCTTCTGCCATGATTGTTAAGTTTCCTGAGGCCTCCCCAGCCATGTGGAACTGTGAGTCAATTAAACCTCTTTTCTTTATAAATTACCCAGTCTCAGCTATTTATTCATGGCAGTGTGAGAATGGACTAATATAGTGAATTACAGACTTAAATGTAAAAGCTAAAATGATCAGCCTTACTGAAGAAAACAGAAGAATATATTAATGACCTCAGGGTAAGCCAAGACTTCTAAGGACACAGAGAAAGTATAAAAGAAATAAATTGATAAATTAGATTTCATTAAAATTGAGATCTTCTGTTCATCAAAAGATACATACATACATAAATACATGTATAGGACTCATATCCAGAAAATAACTTCTAGAAATAAGAAAAACAGACAACTCAATTAAAAATGGGCAAAAGACCTTCAATGGGCACTTCACAAAACAGAATATCCTAATGGCCAATATGCACAAGAACATTAGAGAAATTGAAATTAAAACCACAATAAGATACCATCTCGTGCAATGAAATTTTAATTGAAAATAAAGACAAGAATATATCAAGTGTTGGTGGCAATATGGAGCAACTAGAGCACTCAATTATTGCTGATGGGGATGTAAATCAGTTGAAACACTTTGCAAAACTTTTGGCATTACCTATTAAAGCTAAACACAATCCTACCCTATAACCCAATAATTTTACTCTTAATATACCCAAGAGAAAGAGTGTGTATGTCCACCAAATTACATGTACAAAAAAATCCATAGCAGCTTTGTTCATAATAATCCCAAACTGGAAACAAACTAAATGTCCATCAAAAGGAGACAAGATGAACAAATTGTTGTATATTTACATAATGGTATTACTACTATACACAAATGAAAAAAATGAATTACTAAAATACGTAACACAGGTGAATCTCATTATGTGAAGTTCAAGAACACAATCTATGGTGATGAAAATTAGAATAGAGTTTACCTCTGGCAGGAGGGGTACTGACAGGGAAAGGACAAGAGGGAATATTCTGGAATGATGAAAATGTTCTGTATCTTGATTTAAAGTGGTGGTTTCAAGGGTATATATAAGTAAAAGTTATCCAGTATAAATTTAAGATTTGTGTGCTTTACTTATAAATTATATCTGAATGTAAAATCCCAACAATGCATTGATAAAATTGACTAAATGGCCTTAAAATAAACTTTATGGCCAGGCACAGTGGCTCACACCTGTAATCCCAGCACCAAAGTGGGCAGATCACTTGAGGCCAGGAGTTTGAGACCAGCCTGGCCAACATGGCAAAACCTTGTCACTACTAAAAATACAAAAATTAGTCAGGTGTGGTGGTGCACACCAGTAATCCCGCTGAGGCAAAACAATCACTTGAGCCTGGGAGGCGGAGACTGCAGTGAGCTGAGATGGCGCAACTGCACTCCAGCCTGCATGGCAGAGTGAGACTATGTCTCAAAAAATAAAATAAAATAAAAAAATTTTAATGAAGCAGGACAGACAAAAATGTTGTTAACTATTGAAACTAGGCAATGGGTACGTAGGAGTTCATTCTCTACCTCCATGTTAGAACTTTCCAAAAATAAAAAGTTACAGAAATAAAATAAAGATTTTAAACAAACTTTAAAATTCACCTTCACTATTACTTTGAAAGTTAAGTAAGACTCTTACCTTTCCTTCTGTTGCTTTCTTTGTTGATGAAATTTCTTTCATAAGCTTGGGAATTTCCCTGTCAAATTGTGAGAGAATTCTTTAAATTTCTAAGATGTAATTCTTTACAGAACTATTTTAAGGTTACAAAATGTACTATCACATAGTGTCTAAAAATTATGGAACAAAAATTAAAATGAGTTCACATACTCTAACACAACCGCAATATGTCGATGTCGAATTCTAACCCAGAGGTCATCTTCTTCTTCAAGGATGGCCTCCTTTTCTTTTCCATCTGTTTTATATCTACAAGTAGACAGAAGCACTAAAACTTTTTGATTTTTTTCCCTCCAAAATCAAAAGAAACATTTTTACAAACAATAATTTCAAGACACAACTCAAGAAACTGAAAAGTAAAATCCACTATTTTAGGGGGGTAATGAATACCTACTCAAAACTAAGGCACGCTGCTATCCTTACATTAAAAATAAGTCCTAAGCCTACCAAGACATTTTCAAATATTCAGTTTAGGTGCCATTATTAGAGTTTTAGTTCAGCAAAATTGTACTTTATAAAAAAAATTCAACGTCCTACAGTTAACTTTAAGAACAAGACTCAATATACTAACGCTTTGTGTTCTAATTCCCTACAACATTGTTTTGATGTGCTAATAACCCACAGTACAATTATCAAATTTCCATTAAGAACAGGAATATCGGCCAGGTGCAGTGGCTCACGCCTGTAATTTTAGCACTTTCGGAGGCCAAGGTGGGCGGATCACTTGAGGTCAGGAGTTCAAAACCAGCCTGGCTAACAAGGTGAAACCCTGTCTCTAAAAAAAAATACAAAAACTTAGCAGGGTGTGGTGACACACACCTGTAATCCCAGTTACTCTGGAGGCTGAGGCAGGAGAATCACTTGAACCTGGGAGGCAGAGTTTGCAGTGAGCAGAGATCGCACCACTGCACTCCAGCCTGAGTGACAGCACAAGACTCTGACTCAAACAAAACAAAACAGGAATATCCTCCCCAATATAACCTATTAAATATTGAAGGTGTTTCAGAATTGGTACAAAATTCACAAACATTTATCATCTGTTTCTTTATTCTCCCCCAACCCTATAACCACATCTCCTTTACAGAATGAGAAAGAAAATGAGATTAAAAAAAATTAATGTAAGCCATAAAAATTGTGATAGCTTTAATGAGTTCTGCTGAAGTGAGCAACAATTTAAGGGATTCATGAAGCTATTCAAAATGGGCTTCCTGACTGATTCCCCTTATCTTTTTATGCAGACACCCTCCTTCCATTTGTGGAACTAGACAAGACTGAATCATCCTTGGAACTACTGATTTCCTGAGTCAAGATCAGGAAGGACTGCATTGAGTTTTCCTAGCTCTGAACTACAAATAATACATATAGACTTTGCTATATGAATATAATCGTTTCTATAACCCCCACAAATTACACATCAATCTATAAAACCATCCACCTGTGTGGATTACAGATGACCAAAGACAGAATCACTGTGCTCAATTATATAAGGCTGCACTAAGGATGAAAGCCCTTTTGTCATTTAAAATACCACTTTGTTCTTACACAATACCTTTGACTTATAAGTGATCTGTAAACAGAGATAAGAGTAACAAGCCTGACAATACTCAGGTGATGAATATCCCATTTTAAAAGTAAATTTAGTTGGGAGGCCGAGGTGGGTGGATCATGTGAGGCCAGGAGTTCGAGACCAGCCTGGCCAACACAGCAAAACCCCATTTCTACTAAAAACACAAAAATGAGCCAGGCGCAGTGGTGCACACTTGTAGTCCCAGTTACTTGGGAGGCTGAGGCTGGGAATCATTTGAACTCAGGGGACGAAGGCTGCAATGAGCAGAGATCGCGCCACTGCACTCCAGCCTGGGTGACAGAGTAAGACTCTGTCTCAAAAAAAGAAAAAAAAAAAAAAGTAAATTTAAAGAAGGCACCAACATGAAAACTTGAATCTGGACACTTAGAGCTTCCTGCTGCTTTGTATTCTGTTTCCATAAAAAACTGTGATGAAGGCTGGGCGTGGTGGCTCACCCCTGCAATCCCAGCACTTTGGGAGGCCGAGGCAGGGGGATCACCTGAGGTCAGGAGTTCAAGACTAGCCTGGCCAACATGGGGAAACCCTGCCTCTACTAAAAAAAAAAAAAAAAAAAAAAAAAATTGTGATGGAGCACAAACCACAGGGAGCTTTACTTCCATCTAATTCTTATCTCTGAATGTTTTTGATTCAGAAAGAAGGGAGTATAGTAGCTTTTTAAAAAATAAGTCTACTTAAAAGTTTAGAGACCTACAGGGTAACAGAGGTAAATAATATCCCCTCTGAATAAACTGCTTAAAATAACTTTTATATTAGAAAAATAGCTATGTTATCTAACATTAATACAGATAATACAGAGAAAAACTCAGAAACCAAGATTTGACCAGAATGCAAATAAAAATACAATAGAAAATACAAATTTTAACAATATTTAAGAAAAAAAACAGTATCATAACTATCACAAGTGTCTGTATCTTAAAACTAACAAATTAGTTTAAACATAAAATTTCAGAAAACTATTTTCATTTTTATTACTGTACTCAAGCAGTAAATCTTAGCTGACAAATACCAGTTTGGATTCAGAAATCATGACATCAAATAACATTTGTAATGTATGTAACACATACACCATAAATGATACAGAGATACAGTAAGATGATTCCTTGATAGAAAACTATTTCATTTTTCATTTAGGTTTTTATTTGACATTACTTTTAAAGTAAATATGTTTATACCAAGATTAACTCAGTAGAAGGTACCAAAATGGTAAAACTATGCCTGTTGTCCTCAATAGCCATCCTATTTAGTTTTCTAGTGTTCCAATCTTTTAAAATACTTTATGTTGATAAGACACATACACTTTTGAATGTATGATTCAGAACAATTATAGCCTAACAATTTTGAATATGGTTTCTCCTTCAATGATAGTGAGCCTGGTATTTACTTTTAAAAGCAAAAGGGCCAAATTCCCTGTGTTTAAATGTAGCTCTACTGTACACACAGTTAAGGAAGCAAACACACCAAAAATGCTCCAAAGCAATCAAATTACACTTTAATTTACAAGGTCAACATTATCTGTCAAAGACTATAACTGTAGGAATAAGAGAAGGATAAAGTCTCTGAATAGAAAAGGTTATAGGGGCTTTCAGATTTCTGGTGCCTATATAAATCATTAAATGCTCATATTCTATCCTGTTTGTATATGCCCTTTATATGCCCTTCAAGTTATACTTGCTTGTATGTATCATTCTCAATTGGTAGTAGATCATATGCCATTGCCTGAAAGGTCAGTTCATGCAGGACAGTGGACACAGGATCAAAGCCACGATCAATTATTAAGAGCTGTGAATGAGTTTTACCCTAGAATAACAAGATAAAATCATCTTAAGCAGCTTCAATTTCTTAGTGTGAACATAGTTTTAATATCTTAGAATACAAAGCACCCTTTTCCTAAGTTCTGTCCCTTTTCCCCACCAAAAACATACAACAGAACAAAACAAATGGTTAATTGTCTTAAGAATGTGAAGTTATAATAAAACAAAGAAAAATCTGAGTAGCCCAAGAGAGGAAAAATGAAGACTATATAACTAAAATCTAATTACTTTTGTAATTAGAGTAAGAGGGTATATTTAATAACTTGGGTTTGAACTGCATGGATGCACTTATACTCAGAGTTTTTTCAACTAAATAACAGATAGAAAATACAGTATTTGCAGGATGTGAAACCTGCGTGTATGAAGGGCTGACTTTCCAGATATGTAGGTTCTGTTGGGCTGATGCAGGACTTGAGTATGTGTGGATTTTGGTATACACAGGAGGTCCTGGAACCAACCCTCCTCTGTGTTTACCAAGGGACAACTGTATAATAGCTTGAAAATTCCTTTTAAAAAAGTAACATTTTGTTTGCACTATATCTATTTTCTTATGAATTGAGTTCCAAAAGCACTAAAACTTAAATTATGAATAGTAGCTACTATTTGAGCTCTAAATATTAGACATTTTACTAAACAAAAATACATGGACTATTTCATTTAATTCTTTTAGTAATCCTGTGAGACAGGCATTATTATCTCCAGTTGACCATGAGGGCATTGCGGTCTGAAATGAACTAACTTGCCCAAATCACACAGGTAGTAAGAGGCAGAATGGAGATTCAAATGCAGGTTTGCTCCAACATCTGTGCTCTTATCCATTATGCTATTTTAAAAGACTGTACTGATACCAACTAAGATGATAAATCACAATGAAAGCCTTGTTATCATTAATTCGCAAACATCACTAATCACTAAACAGTGAATAACAGTGCTGGAAACATTTATTGTTAATGTCAGTATCTTTCATATTTCATTTTAAAAAGTAATAAATTCTTTGGATTAGTATTCAAAGCAATAACAGATAACTACAGATCATTATACAAACATTTTCTATTTATTTACATATAACAAGTAAATTTTATAGGCTAGATTTTTAAAATATTTTAAAATTAAGCACATTAATTTAATTAAATTTTGAGACAGTATGATATGGTGGTTCAGAGCACAGCCTTGGAAATCAGCTAGGTCTGAATCTGAGTCCAGCCTTGACCACATCTTGCAGTACAAGTTTGGACAAAATGCTTATCCTGTTTACATGGCAGTATTCTCTTTGTAAAATGAACCACAATTATGGAATCTTTGCCTTATAAGATGACTGAAAAGGTTAAACATAATCATACTATGAAACACAGCACAGTAAGCCCTCAAAAATATGAGCTATGAATCTTCAGAAATATAAACAGGAAAAAGTGCAATATAAATTCTATAGCAGGCTTAGGGCTTATGATAGCATGTGGGAGGAAGCAACACTTGGCCTGAAGAGTCAAGGAAGGCTTCAAAAATAAGGTGACACTTTATCACTTTATCAGGTGTCCCTGAATAAAGGAAAGGTATCAAGTATTTGAAGGATGATTAATTTTCCAGGCAGAAAGAGTGGAAAGGACAAGTTTAATTTTTGTGGATTTTGCTCTTTTTCCACTGAAAACATGAAGGACTAAAAGCATATTTGATTGTATATCTCTTCATTCAACAAACATTTATTCACTATCTACGATGTGTACTAAGCCATTCTGTCTTCAAAACTACAACCAGAATAACAGCCTTCACCAGGCCTCTAAACCAAAAACAGGTTACTTTTAAGGTAACTAACCTAACATCTAAGTTTATATCTTCCATTCCAGCCACACTGTTTAATTGTGGATTTTGCCTTTTTCTCTATTGCCTCTACCTGAAGAATCCTGTTTTCCATGCAATGAACTCCCTCTTTATCATGTTACTTCATTCTTCAAGCTAAAGGGCCTCTTCTTCTTGGGATGCCTTCCAACACTCCAGTTTAGAAGATAAGCCCGGGACTATATTCCCATTATACTCTGTATATTCTTCTCTCATTCCACTTATTACACAGTATTGTAATTGGTGGTTTCCTGGCACAACTCCTCTTCTAAACTAGCAACAGTTCCTTTTCTTCATTCTCCAGCTACTGTAATATGGCTTCCTAGGCCTCTGGCACCACCTCTGTCAGTCTCCTCAAGCTCTTCATTCTCTCACCCACATGTAAATGCTGGTATTTCCCAGATTTCAACCTTAGTCTTTGATTATATTATTTCCATAGGATAACAATGGCTGCCATTTATTAAATTCACATTGGTGCCAAATACTTACATGCTAACTTAATCCTCATACCGCCTAGCAAGGTATATATTATTTCATCTATTTCACAGATGGAAAACTCAAGGTCACAGAACTAGTGATAATAGGAATTCCTACATTTATTAAATGTTTACACATTGGCAAGCATTATTCTAAGGACTTTCCATGTATTAACTCATTTAATCATAACTTTTAAAATAGGTATTCTTTTATTATCCCCATTTTATAGAAAAGAAAATGTAGTTACATAGAAGTTACATAATTTGCCCAAATAGACATTAACTATGAATTAAACGGCAGAACTAGATTTGGACACAGTGCTGACTTCAAAATCTGTTAGTTAATAGATCCCCCTCTAAACCATACCATCTATTAAGGTTTGCACGATTGTGTATGTTAATGATTCTCAAATCAGTATTGGAGATCTATGTTAATGACTCCCAAATCAATACTAGAAAATGAATGAGCAAGTTTCTTTGGCTTATAAAGAAATAAGACAGACTTTATGCATAGTCATTACTTGCCTTGCATACATTACCTTTATTAGGCTCTTTTCATCAATCTTGTAGTAGTCTTCAAGCTTTTTTTCAACAAGCTGTGCAAGCTTACTGGCATTATCTAGAGGTTTACTAGAAATGGAAAAAAGGATCAAACAATTATCTTTCTTTCAGTGTATACTTTATAATATCATGAAGTTTAATTCTAAAATTAAACTGAAATTTAAAAAATGTTTACAAAATGAAAAATTATTTTATAAACATGTAAAAGTTCAGATAATGTATCAAATAATCTTATATCGATATATTTGGAATTTACAAGGAAAAACCTTATCATATCTGCTTCAGATTTTTTAATATAAAGGAAATAAAATATTACATGTAAAGTTGCAGTTCCTTTTATTCCACTCCTAAGTCCTGGTCCTCTCCCATACCCCTGCCTCAAACCAAGGCAACCATTATAATTAATTTCATGTGTATTCTCCCTCCAGTCATTTCTGTTTCATATGTATGTGTGTGTGTGTGTGTGTGTGTGTGTGTGTGTTTGAGATTTATCTACATTGACATTGACACACATATCGGATTTATTCATTTTATCTCCTATACAGTATTCCATCATGATTATATTGGATTCTATGTATCGATTCCTCTAAAGATGGACATATGAGTCATTCTTATTACACTATTACAAATACTGAAACAAATGTTTCAGCCATAAAAAAGAATGGATCTTGACATTTACAACAACATGGATGGAACTGGCGGTCACCATGTTAAGCGAAATAAGCCAGGCACTGAAAGAACATTTCGCATGTTCTCACTTGCTTCCGGGAGCTAAAAATGAAAACAATTCTCATGCAGAAAGTAGAAAGATGGTTACCAGAGGCTGGAAAGGGGCAGGAGTGGTGGGTGACTGTTTAGTGGGGATGGGTAATGGGTACAAAAATATAGGTAGAATGAGTAAGATCTAGTATTTGATAGCACAACAGGGTGACTACAGTATATTTAAAAATAACTAAGAGTATAATTGGATTGTTTTTATCACAAAGAAAGGATAAATGCTTGAGGTGATAGATATCCCGTTTACCCTGATGTGACTATTATGCATTGTATGTCTGTATCAAAATGTGTCACGTACCCCATAAATATATACACCTACTATGTATCCACAAAAATTATTTAAGAAAAAAGAGAGAGAGAAAGAAAAAGGCTCTTCACCAGCATAACAACCTCAAAAATGGGAGGTCTCATTGTGAGGGCTTCAAAGTTTTACAGAATCTTTAGGTTGTATACCTTAAAAATAAATAATGTAACATCTATAAAGGGTAATTCAACTCTTTGTACAATAATTAAACTCTGTACAATAAATTGTACAATAAATTAATTGTACAATAAATTAAACTCTTTGTACTATATTTTCAAAAGAAAGAAACTTCATTTTTAAATTATACTTTATAAAGCGTAAAGGAATATTTTGTGGAAACAGGTAGAATTTTAAAAGACAGGATTACAGATTATTTATTAGCATAACTCAAAACTAGCCCTTATGTGAGTGATAAAATTATAAATTGGCTATATTTACTCATTTCCCTGAACGTAACCAATCACCAACAGTAGAAGCTTCAACAGTTACTAAACCCTTAACAGGAGCCAAACCACTTAGCTCCACTGAGTCCAGAATGTAATTAGCACATCTCTGACAAGAAAAAGATAATCCCAGCACTTTGGGAGGCAGAGGCAGGTGGATTGCTTGAGCCCAGGAGTTTGAGACCAGCCTGGGCAACACATAGAGACCCCCATCTCAAAAAAAAAAAAAAAAAAAAAGGAAAGAAAGAGAGAAAAAGAATGTTTCTAATACCCAAGGTATGAATAAAGAGCTTGTCTGGTAATACCTGAATTAAGGAGATAACTTAATCTCCAAGGAGATCACTATACTTTTTCTAAGTACTAATAGTGGAATTTTTAAATGGTAAGTGAAGAGTAATGTGACTTAAAGTACTACATGAATTTAAAATTAAACAGTTCAGCCAGCTAACTTGACAAATGCCAATGTTCAAATTAAAGGACTTTTTAAAAGACAAATGAGTAATACTTATTACGAGTAGTGCAATATATTTACTACCATATTTATTAGTGCTGAATGCTTTACAGATATTAATTCATTTAATTCTAAAAACAACTGTATATGGTAGGTATTATTATCATTCTTATTTCATAGATAAGGAAACTGAGGCGAGAGGGTCACACATGAACTAGCAGACCAAAATTAAAACTAAAACTGCCTGGCACACACAACAAACATGGATGACTCTCAGAAAATAATGTTGTGCAAAGAAGTCAAAAACAAAAAATATCATGTGGTTCCATTTATACCAGCTCAAAATCAAGCAAAATTTAACTATGTGTTAAAAGTCAGATGGTAGTCATCTCTAGGGAAGAAAAGGGACGGGAGAGCTGGGAGGGATCACAAGAGAGGCCTCTGAGATGCTGTTAATGTTCTATTTTTTTGACCTTGGTAGGGTTAGATGGATATGTTCATTTTGGAATGAATTAACATGCCATATCTAGCACGTCCTCAAATAATGTCATTTTGTTCGTCATCTCGATATAATGCAGAGGAAAAAAAAAAGATTCCTGGCTGAGGCCACTGTCTGTGTGGCGTTTGCATGATCCCTCCACGTCTGCATGGGTTTTCTCCTGGTACTCTGGTTTCCTCCCACATCCCAAAGATGTGCAGCATGTTTGGTTAACTGGCATGTCTAAATTGTCCCAGTCGAGTGAGTGTGGATGTGTGTGTAGTGTGCCCTGCAATGGGATGGTATCCTATAATCTGGGTGGGTTCCTGCCTTGTGCCATGAGCTGCTGGGATGAGCTCTGGCCATCCTTCTAATGAGCCTGAACTAGAATAACTGGGCAAAAAAATGATCCTGTTTTTATTAATCTTTCTTAAATGTACATATAGTCACATTTCTTTCAATGTTTAATATTCGAAGTGTTTCAGGTCTTTATGTAGAAGTTTGGTGACATTACATAACCAAGGAACTTAATTCTTGTTTATATCAATTAGCCTATGGTAAAATTGGTTTTGTCAGTTAACAAGAACCTATCAACAACATTTTAAGTGAGGACTTACTGTATAGACAATTTAGGCACTTTATAGTAAACTTCATTTTTAAAAAGAAGTATATAAGTCAAGGTATATTGTACTAAAGTTAAATTTTACCCCTTAAGAAAACCCCAAAATTTATTTAGAATAGGCAGATTAGATACTATAGATACTTTGACATTGTAACAGGTATCCAGAGAATATGGTCATTTAAATTTGTTGGTGATTTAATGAAAAACATTAACTGTAACACTGTATTCCCTATGTGACTATAAAGACATTTCCTCTAAGCGTTCTTTAAACTGATGAAAAACCGTCCGTAAATTGTACCAAATTTAGGCTCCGAAATTCAGTAACAGAAGCTATTTGCTAGTCTGAAATTTAAACCACAAGCTTTAAATCTCCTATATGTAGAGCATGGTAATCATACAAAGAAAATAAATTTTGCAAACCAACATGCCAAGGTACAGACACATTACTTACCTCTATAATGAATGGTAAATAGGAAGCATAACATGTGCAGATGCTCAGTGTCTTACCTTTTATATCTTACTCCGGGATTTTCATCCAAGGTGGCACACACTGTAACTATCTGGTCAGCCATTGTTTCCATAATGGCATCTTTTCCCTTTGCATTACCAGGGTCTGGACTATAACAGTAATAGAATGCATCTGGTACATCAAGAGTATACACCTAAGTTAAGACAAAAAAACTCACTGTTAATCTGGAGACCTGATTTAAAAAAAATATATATTTATATTTATGTTATATATAATGTATATATTATATAGATATATATCATATGTATTTATATATTATATAGATATATATCATATGTATTTATATATTATATATAGATAGATATCATGTATTTATATATTATACAGATAGATATATGTATTTATATATTATACAGATAGATATCATATGTATTTATATATACAGATAGATATCATATGTATTTATATATACAGATATCATATGTATTTATATATGATACAGATATCATATGTATTTATATATGATACAGATATCATATGTATTTATATATGATACAGATATCATATGTATTTATATATGATACAGATAGATATCATATGTATTTATATATGATACAGATAGATATCATGTATTTATATATGATACAGATAGATATCATGTATTTATATATGATATATAGATAGATATCATATGTATTTATATATGATATATAGATAGATATCATATGTATTTATATATGATATATAGATAGATATCATATGTATTTATATATGATATATAGATAGATATCATATGTATTTATATATGATATATAGATATCATATGTATTTATATATGATACAGATATCATATGTATTTATATATGATACAGATATCATATGTATTTATATATGATACAGATATCATATGTATTTATATATGATACAGATAGATATCATATGTATTTATATATGATATATAGATAGATATCATATGTATTTATATATGATATATAGATAGATATCATATGTATTTATATATGATATATAGATAGATATCATATATTTATATATGATATATATAGATAGATATCATATATTTATATATGATATATAGATAGATATCATATATATTTATATATGATATATATAGATAGATATCATATATATTTATATATGATATATATAGATAGATATCATATATATTTATATATGATATATATAGATATATATCATATATATTTATATATGATATATAGATATATATCATATATATTTATATATGATATATATAGATATATATCATATATATTTATATATCATATATATTTATATATGATATATATAGATATATATCATATATATTTATATATCATATATATTTATATATGATATATATAGATATATATCATATATATTTATATATGATATATATAGATATATATCATATATATTTATATATTATATATATAGATATATATCATATATATTTATATATTATATATATATAGATATATATCAAGAAAATGCAGCAACTATTTGGGGCAGTTAAAAAAATACTTGCACTAACCATGCTGTTTCCTGAAACAACTGTGTCTTTACCTTAATCAAATCTCATTTTCTCTGTCATCCTGATTTCATCCTTTATTTCTTTTCTCGCTCTCCTCTCCTGCTTTAGTCTACCTCTCTCCTTCAATTCTTGTTTCATACACAGATTGTACTATCTGCTTTTTACTACCAGTGCAACAGATGAAGGAATCTGAGATAGACTAAAATAAAAATCTAACTCCTAGCACAGAGAAACACAACATTACCAAAATCGGCCTATATCTCAGACATAAATTATAAACCTTAACCCATTAGAGAGTAACCCAAAAATCTCCCATAGTTGATACATGTCTTCCGTTCTTTAGCTTATACTCTTCATGTCCTTAAAATAAGAGACATATTTCCCCAAAAGACATGGCATTGTGCTAGACATAATATAAATCTTACTGTACGTATGTACAGCAAAACCTCACAGATACATTCATTCATTCAATTAACAAAATAATTTACTTATGTACAAAGAACTGGGTTAGAGGATTTGGAGGATACAAAAGCCAGGAGCTCCCTAAATGGTATTGAGAGTTCCCCGTTAAACTAAATTTTGTTGTTTTCTAAACAATGATAATTTCTCTTAAACTATGAAAATTTATTGTAAGTGAAAGTAGGCAAGTAATAAACATTATAGGTTAAGTAATGAATTATGAACAAACTTCTCGCATTTCCTTTTACACACAGTTATTCATTTCTCTGGACATAACCCAGCACCAACAGCAGCAGCCTGAACATAGATGAAAATTTAGCTGTGGCTCATCCACTTATCTCTTTCCTGCTCAAAAGGCTAGGATGCTGTATTAATTGTCAACAAGCACCCTACACTTGAACTGTGGCTTCCTCATAGTATAATATCCCACAGCAGGAGATAACATTATTCGATTAAAAACATTTATCGCACGGCCGCCCAAGGCTTCTCCCTCCCACTCACTGATACCAGGTTTAGCCATGGTCATGTGTAGGTTTGTTTTTGTCTTTGTTTTTTAAGATGGGGACTCACTCTGTCACCCAGGCTGGAGTGCAGTGGCATGGTTATGGCTGACTGAAGCCTTGAGGTCCTGGGCTCAAGCGATCCTCAATTTCAGCCTCCCACGTAGCTAGGACCACAGGTATGTGCCACCACACCTGGCTAATTCCTTTTTTAAGTTTCTTTGTAGAGACAAGGTCTCACTTTGTTGCCCAGGCTGGTCTAGTACTCCTGGGCTCAAGCAATCCTTCCGCCTTGGCCTCCTAAAGTCCTGGGATTACAGATGTGAGCCACCGTGCTCAGCCTGGAATGTATGTAGAAGATACACGTGCCACTTCCCAGCAGAAGCTTTAAAAGCTATTGTGTGGCTCCACTATTTTCTCTTTTCCCTCGGCTATGTCCCAGACTAGCCCTTCGGCCTCAGTACTAGAAGGTAGAGGATGTAGAGCAAAGCCCCAGCCAAACAACAATGGACAACACAAATGAGAAATAAACCTTTGTTGTAGTAATGCACTGAGATCTGGGGGGTTCCTACCACAAATTAATCTAAGCTATCTAATACCCCAATGTACCAAAGATAATCTGGGTGCTGGTTCTCATTCTATACTCACATTTCCTCCATTTCCCTCTTCCTCTATCTCCTCCCCACTTTCCATCACCATCATTAAAAGTTTTTTAAGACTACTGCCACATGCTTTTTTCATCTTTATAAACCTATAATCAGCTCCTTAAATACAGATCCTGTCTTCCATCTACTCTTCATGCTAATCTATAGCTAGCTTGTTTCTATCTCTACCAGATCCCTTCTAGTATCCTCTCTACTAACTGTACCAGACTCTCTGTACTCACTAAGGTTCACTGTAAACAAACTCCCTCATATTCTTGAATGCTTTCTATGTTTGTCTGACCCTTGAACAACAAGGGCTTGAAGTACACAGGTCCACTTATATGCAGATTTTTTTCAATAAAAGTTACAAAGAGTGTGCCTGCCTCCCCTGCCACCTCCTCTGCCTCTGCCACCCCATGAGACAGCAAGATCAATCCCTCCGCTTCCTCCACCTCTGCCTACTCAACTTGACAATGACAAGAATGAAGACCTTCATAATAATCCACTTCTATTTAATAGTAAGTATATTTTCTCTTCCTTTTGGTTTTCTTAATAACATTTTCTTTTCTCTAGCTTACTTTGTTAGAATATAGTAAAAACAATATTAAAATATGTGTTATTCTATTGTTTATGTTATCAGGAAGGCTTCCACTCAACAGCAGGCTATTGGTAGTTAAGTTTTTGGCGAGTTTAAAATTATACACAAATTTTTCAACTGCACAGGGGGTTGGTGCCCCTAACCCCTATGTTATTCAAGGATCAACTCTACTTGCCTTATTATATATGTGACAGCATCACTTACCTTAAATCCTCTGAAAGGGAAAGAAAGATCTTTCTTTAATCCCTTTGACTCATGGAATCACCATGAGTGAGTTAATCTTCTTCCTCTCCATGTAATTTCTAAATGTGCTGATGTCCAACTTTATTTCTTTGAAGCACTATCATATCTGACTTTACCAATCTCTCTGCAATGATCTCCTGACTTCTAGGATTCTACTTTTCATTAAGGACTTTACGACCAGTTCCACAGTTTTCTGCACCAGCTAATTTTCTGTCATTATTTTTGGTAGAACCAGGAGCCTCCTACGTACAATAGCCCCAACCTACCTACAGAGAGCCTATCTTTCATTCCTTCACCTCTTATAAGCCACATTCCTGCTGTTCTCCTGCACTCTTCTGATTCTGTATCTTTACATCTAGATTATTTTTACCTCCTAGGTTCTTTCCCTCTTCATTACTACCTTATAAAAATACATCCATTCTTCAAATATTTTCCCAATCTCCCAGTAAGAATTAGCCTCTCTCAATGCTGGTGCAGTGGCTCATTCCTGTAATCCCAGCACTTTGGGAAGCCGAGGCAGGCAGATTGCTTGAACCCGGGAGTTCGAGACCAGCCTGGGCAACCCCATCTCTACTAAAAATACAAACAAAACCTAACAAAACCTGGCTCCTAAATGCATGAAATGATGGATACATTCCTTGTATCATTATACAACACAGATATGTATCAAAACATCAAATTGTATCCCATAAATAGGTACAATTACAATGTGTCAAATAAATAAATATTTAAAAAGAGAATCTCCCTCCTTTTGTGGCCGACTACAAGATGCTTCTCCAACAAACATCCTCCCCTTTTCAGTAACTGCACTTCAGTTCTTTGTGAAGAACAGCCATATATGCCCAGCTAAAAAATTTTCTCAGTTTCCCATGCACTTATGTGTAGCCATGTGACTCAATTTTAGCTAATGAGATAAAAACGAAAATTATTCTCTCATTCTTTTGTATATCCTCAAATGATGATGTAATAATTCTACAGTATGGCTGGGAGTGGTGGCTCATGCCTGTCCCAGCACTTTGGGAGGCTGAGGTAGGAGGATTGCTTGAGCTCAGGAGTTCTAGATCATCCTGGGCAACATAGCAAGACCTCATCTCTGCTATAAATGAAGAAAAAATTAGCTGGGCGTGCTGGCATGCATCTGTGGTCCCAGCTACTTGGGAGGCTGAGGCGGGAGGACTGTTTGAGCGAGACCCTCTCTCAAAGAAAAAAACAAAATTGGGCCGCCCACCTTGCGCATGTGCAGGCAGCGACGTGGCAGGTTGCAGCAAGGCACAGGTGCTATGGGGCTGAGCCACGTGCAGGCCATTTTCTTTGACCTGGACAACACACTCATCAACACAGGTGTGACAAGCAGGAGAGGCATGTTGGAGGCAATAAAGCTCTTACAATCAAAATACCAGTATAAACAGGAGGCTGAATTCACCTGTGATAAAGCTCAAGTTAAACTCAAGAAGGAATGTTTTCACCATTACAATACATGCATTACTGATCTAAGGACTTCACAATGGGAGGAAGCAATCCAGGAAACAAAACATGGTGTAGCCAATAGGAAACTGGCTGAAGAACGTTACCTCCTTTGGAAAACCACACATTTACAGCACATGACACTAAGGTCAGTGAGATGTCAAAGCTATGCTCATTGAAATCAGAAAGGAGGTCTGCCTACTTTTAGTAATGAATGGGGTCAGACAGACCCAGAGGGAGAAGATGAGGCTTGTGTCTGTCAGTCCTATGTCCAAGTTGTTGTAGGTGAACAGCAGAGGGAGGAGAAGCCAGCACCTTCCATATTTTATTAATGCTGCAATCTCCTTGGAGTACAACCTGTGGACTGTGTGATGGTTGGTGACATGTTAGAAAGTGACACACAAGGGGGTCTCAAAGCAGGGTTGAAAGCAACAGTATGGATCAATAAAATTGGAATAGTGCCACTGAAGTCCTCCCCAGTTCCATATTACAGTTTCTTTTGTGCTAGAGTTACCTGCTCTCTTACAAAGTATAGACCACAAAGTCAGTATGCCCTCTTAAAGCAACTAAAAGGGCATGATTATGAATGTTAAGAGTCAATTTGGAGGGTTTGAGCTAAGAAAACTTAAGGCTTTCTGCTTACTATGGTCCAGTTCTAAGAATAATTTTACTTATGATTTAAGAGCCGATATTGTGAAGGTCCTCCCAACTCAACTGCTTTTAAGTTTTGACAACCAACCTCTCACTGGTATTTACATCTGAAAATTCAGATTGCATTAATATTAAGTCAGCAGTGTGGCCCAGAAAACTTGAAGAAATATATTCTTTGCTAGTCTGTGACTGAAGATTTTAAAACTTCTTTTATTAATCTTTTAGTATCTTGATTCCATACCAAGCAGGATAGCTTACACACGGATGCACAAATGTAACGTATATGTTCTGGCTTAAAAATAGATATTTTTAAAGAATAGCTATTCTAAAACATAGAGACTTATCATAGCAACTGGATATGGTTAATATGAAATAAGTACTAAGTCACATGCAAATCAAAGCATTTCATAGTGAAATTTTACATATTTTCTTTTTAAAACATAAACCATATTTTTGCCTACTTTAGATATATACATTTTTATATTAGGAATCTGATTTTCTTGCATGACCTTTTTTTTTTCAGGGGCGGGGGCAATTTTTCTGTGGTGTGTACATAACAAATAGATTTCTCCAGTTAAAAAAAAGCTATTAAAATCAGCTAGGCACGGTGGCTTGTAACTGTAACCCCAGCACTTTGGTAGGCCAAGGCGGACAGATCATTTGAGGTCAGGAGTTTGAGACTAACCTGGCCAACATAGTGAAACCCAGTCTCTACTAAAAATACAAAAAATCAGCTGGGCTTGGTGGCACATGCCTGTAATCCCAGCTACTCGGGAGGCTGAATCAGGAAAATCGCTTGAGCCCAGTAGACAGAGGCTGAAGTGAGCCAAGATCGCACCACTGCACTCCAGCCTGGTGACAGAGTGAGAATCTGTCTCCAAAAAAAAAAAAAAAAAAAAAAAATGCCGGGAGCAGTGGCTCACACCTGTAATCCCAGCACTTTGGGAGGTCAGGAGTTTGAGACCAGCCTGGTCAACATGGTGAAATCTCATTTCTACTAAAAGTACAAACATTAGCCCCGCGTGGGGGTACGTGTCTGTAATCCCAGCTACTCTGGAGGCTGAGGCAAGAAAAATGCTTGAACCTGGTGGAGGTTGCAGTGAAACGAGATTGCACCACTGCACTCCAGCCTGGATGATGGAATGAGACTCCGTCTCAAAAAAAAAAAAAAAAAAAAAATTAGCATGTGGTGCTTTTTACCATGACATTTTCACACCTTTGCACAGTGAGCTTGTAGCTTTGTTATAGTCTTTGCCTCTTATGGAAATATTTTCACTATCTTTTCCCAGACACACAATGGGGTTGAGGGAACTAGATTGTTTTGCTGGAGATAAGGACAAGCCACATGGCACCAAAAATTATTTTTCTTCTGTGGATCCATAAGAGGAAAATTCCCTTGGCGTGGGCCTACCCATGGAGGCTCCTGTTTGTTTTCTACTGACAATGGTTGCACCCATGTGATGAACCTAACAGAAAAGAAGGTTTTGCAACATGACACTGGTACAAAAACAGACACTCAGATCAATGAAACAGAATAGAGAGCCCATATATAAGGCCGCATACCTACAACCATCTGATATTCGACAAAGCTGACAAGAACAATGTGGAAAGGACTCCCTAATCAATAAATGGTGCTGGGATAACTGGCCAGCTACATGCAGAAGACTGAAACTGGACCCCTTCCATACACCATATACAAAAATCAACTCGAGATGGATTAAAGACTTAAAGGTAAAACCCAAAACTATAAAAACCCTGGAAGACAGCCTAGGCAGTACCATTCTGGACGTAGGAACTGGCAAAGATTTCAAGACAAAGACGCCAAAAGCAATTGCAACAAAAGCAACAACCGACAAATGAAATCTAATTAAACTGAAGAGCTTCTGTGCAACAAAAGGAACTATCAACAGAGTAAACAGACAACCTATACAATGGGAGAAAGTATTTGCAAACTATGCATCTGACAAAGGTCTAATATTCAGCATCTATAAGGAACTTAAATTTACAAGAAAAAAAACCATTAAAAAGTGGGCAAAGGATATCAACACTTTTCAAAAGACATACAGGTGACCCACAAGCATATGAAAAATGGCTCAAATCACTGATCATTAAAGAAATGCAAATCAAAACCACAATGAGATACTATCTCACACCAGTCAGAATGGCTATTTTTAAAAAGTCAAAAAATAACATATGCTGGTGAGGCCGCAGGGAAAAGGCAACGCTCACATTCCGTTGGTGGGAATGTATATTAGTTGAACCATTGTGGAAGACAGTGTGGTGATTCCTCAAAGACCTAAAAAACAGAACTACCATTTGCCCCAGCAATCGCATTACTAGGTATATACCCAAAAGAATATAAGTCTATCATAAGGACACATGCACGTATATGTTCACTGCAGCACTATTCACAATAGCAAAGACATGGAATCAACCTAAATGCCCATCAGTGGGAGACTGGATTAAAAAAAATGTGGTATCTCTCTCTATATATATATGTACCATAGAATACTAAGCAGCCATAAAAAAGAATGAGATTATGTCTTTAGCAGGAACATGGATGGAGCTAGAGGTCATTATCCTTAGCAAACTAATGCAGGAACAGAAAACCAAATACTACATGTTTTCACTTACAAGTAGGAGCTAAATGATGAGAATACACGGTCACAAAGAGAGGAACAATAGGCACTAGGCCTACTTGAGGGTAGAGGGTGGGAGGAGGGAAAGGAATAGAAAAAATAACTATTGGGTACTAGGCTTAGTACCTGGGTGATGAAATAATCTGTGTAACAAACCCCCTTGACATGAGTTTACCTATAACAAACTGGCAAATGTACTCCAAACCTAAAAGTTAACAAAAAAAGTTAGGGCCAGACGCAGTGGCTCATGCCTGTGATCCCAGCACTTTGGGAGGCTGAGGTGGGCAGATCACTTGAGGTCGGGAGTTCAAGACCACCCTGAACAACATGGAGAAACCCCATCTCTACTAAAAAAAAAAAATACAAAATTAGCTGGGCATGGTAGCACATGCCTGTAATCCCAGCTACTCGGGAGGCTGAGGCAGGAGAATCGCTTGAACTCGGGAAGTGGAGGTTGCAGTGAGCTGAGATCGCGCCACTGCACCCCAGCCTGGGTAACAAGAGTGAAACTCTGTCTCAAAAAAAAAAGTTGGGTTTTGCTATGAGCCATTTCCAGAGTGCCATTATAATACTTCAGTGACTCTTATTAGAGTTACCATCTGCCTTATCTGTTTTTCGTATTTTTGGAAATATATCATCATTTCATAAATATCTGCTTCAGTTCACTTGGAGCTTAATAATTAATGGTTCCACAGCAAGGCATCATCTTACACCCACAGAATTTTCCCTAGAGCATTAGGCTAGACAATCTCATGATTACACTAATCAAACCTGGAGTAAAGTGGCTGATAAAGGATAAAAGGGGTTATCCAATGGTTAATAAATATAATTTGGGTTGGTTTTTGGTAGGTTTTTCTTTTAAATATTGAATAAGAAACTACTAATGTAAAATATTAGATTGTATGTTGGAATGTATATAGCTATGTCTCCAAGTTTAATACTCAAAGAATCAAATTCTAGATTGTATCTATCTGTAAACCTATTTCTTTAGCCAGTTGTTTTCTGTCTATTGCCAAGAAACAGGATTCTGTGCCTTGTGCAAATATTCTTTTATGTTTACTTCTTACTCTTGATTTTAAAAAATGTGATTGTGTCCTAACCTGTCCCAGGATGCTGTTGCTGTAACACTGAATGTGTGTGAAAAGGGTATGTTTCTAGTTCCAGGTACAGTACCCATATGGCCTTGACTATATTTCAGCTATTTAAAAATTAAGTTGGAGGATTTTGGCAAAAGTAGTTATGTGTGTGATTGCTCTAACAGACTGGTTGGCATGTGATGCTGAGGTCTTGTCCTTTTAGCTGTCCTACAGGATAGATATAAGCAGTGTCACATTCATTATACTACGGGTGAAGGTTCATTGCTTCAACATGATGGTGGCAAATTTCAACAAGATCACTCCCAGGATATTAAGTGAGCAGTTCTTCAGCAAAAATGAGGTAGGAAGAAAAAATGGAATAACTGAATAATATAATATCACATTCCATTGGCACCCTTCCTATGGGAAGAATTTTGTTATCTACCTTCTGAGTGGAATGTTACAGAAGATATTTTAAAATATTGAAATAAGCCTATGATTTTTATAATGTTTTAAAATAACATTCCTTAAAATTAAAAAAAAGATATAACAGTAAAAAAAAAAAATTTACAATCATCTTAGATCATAAGGGCCATGCCTAGGAGACTAGACCCCTGACAATTTCATAGAGCCAGCATTATCACCCTTATATAGCCTATTCCTGATTTCTTGTGTATTAGGAAGAAATAAATTTCCGTGTTGTGTAATCCACTGAAAGTCCAGAGTTTTCTTTTAATTAGTTGAGCCTAGTCCTACTTGATTTAACCATGATTGAAACAGTTTTTGAAAATGTCTAATACTTTTTAATCTCTTTATAGTATTCAAATGAGGGTAGGACATATATCTTGCTCATCTTTTCACAGTAGACTGCTTTGCATTTAACAAACAACGTCCACTGAACATAATCTTGATAAATGCTCAGTAGGCCTTTGCTCACAGCTCAAAGCACCTAGTAGTATTTCATTTACATTTTCACTTGCAAACAATCAAAAATCCAAAATATTTTCAATGTAATTTCTCCAAAACAGTTAGATTTATTAAGTAGAACCTCTTTTTTTTTTGGAGATGGAGTCTCGCTCTGTTGCCCAGGCTGGAGTGCAGTGGTGCCATCTCGGCTCACTGCAACCTTTGCTTCCCCAGTTCAAATGATTCTCCTGCCTCAGGCTCCCAAGTAGCTGGGACTACAGGTGCTAATCACCATGCCCAGCTAATTTTTTTGTATTTTTAGTAGAGACGGGGTTTTACTATGTTGGCCAGGCTGGTCTTGAACTCCTGACCTCATAATCCACCCACCTCGGCCTCCCAAAGTGTTGGGATTACAGGGGTAAGCCACTGTGCCCAGTCAAGTATACCCTCCTAAGACTCTTTTCAAGTAAGTAAATTAAAAGAAAAAAATTCTTATAGGAAAACCATTCACAGATGGGACCTTACATAATCACAATATTTTGTAAAGACTGATAAGTAGAAACTTCTCAAGAGCATTCTCTAGACATGCAAAGACAGGTTATTTCTATTCACCATCAAATTATTCAGATATCTACACAAATCATTCCTTCAAATGCAGCAACTGCAGAATTTTAATAAATTCTGGGGCTAAAATTATATTTATCTTCTGTGAAGCGAGATGTTCTAGAAATGTTTGTAATATTTCTCACACTACCACTTAAATCCTACATCATTTTCAGAAGCTCATTTTCACCCTATACTAAACTTACATATTAAAATAATAAGTTTAAAGGAAACTTTTGGAAAACAGTTTAATGTTAAGCAGATATGTTAAAATCTTATAATTTGGATTATTATTTTTCTTTGTCAAAAACAGCAGTATCAGCTGGGCGTGGTGGCTCACACCCGTAATCCCAGCACTTGGGAAGGCCGAGGATACTGGATCACCTGAGGTCAGCAGTTCGAGACCAGCCTGACCAACATGGAGAAACCCCATCTCTTCTAAAAATACAAAAAAATTAGCCAGGTGTGGTGACGCATGCCTGTAATCTCAACTACTTGGGAGGCTGAGGCAGGAGAATCGCTTGAACTTGGGAGATGGAGGTTGCAGTGAGCCAAGATTGCGCCATTGCACTCCAGCCTGGGTGACAAAAGCGAAACTCAGTCTCAAAAAAAGAAAAAAACAAAAACAAAAAACCCAGCAGTATCTTAAAAGTAATATAGTAGAAATCCCTTGTCTAGGACTTGTCTATCCCTTAAAATATTGATCATAGTTCCAAACAACAGTCAACTATTTCAATTCTATAAAATGCTAGAATCCAAACACAGAGAACAGAGCAAAACAAACCTTAACAATTCATTAGCTGTGTGATTTGAGGCAAGGTACTTAACCTCTTTGATTTCTTGATCTTCAAAATGGAGAAGTACAATCTATTACTATGGCTATTGTGAGGATTAAATGAATAAATTTATGTAAAACACTCAGGAAAGTATATGACACATAGGGAGTATTATATGAGTGTTTGCTTATATCATTATAATCATTGCTATTATTAATTGAAGGCTCAATGTTCCAAAGGCAAAACAAGTCAAAAATCCCCTCACTTTATAAATTAAAATAATTTACATAATATTATATAAAAAGTTTATTAAAGAGCATTTGTTTTAATATCACAAAAGGTTACACAAGCTAAATGAAACACTTTTTTTGGAGTCATCTAACAAAGACTGTGCTCAAAACTCTCTTGATTTCATAACCTGGTAGTTCTGTAATTTGACAAAGGACTTGGTGGCAGATATGAAATTTAAGCCCTGCTATTCATTTTTAATTCCAATTTATTGCTCACGCGTCTGACTTCATCATGGGAAATGTCTATTTGTGGATTAGGTTCAAAATTCACCAAATACATATAAAAAATATCTTCAGAATATACTTTATTAACAATAAGCCATAAAACCAAATTTGAAACCTCTCATGAACTAAAAAATAAAAATAGAAAGTACCTGAGATTCATGTGGAATGAAGGAAATATTTATTTCTTTACATCTTCTTATTGACTTGGAGCAAGAAGCCTTAATTTTGTTAAAGAGATTATCAGGGCAAACTGAGGGGAAAAAAAAACAAAGCATATAGTTACATCTAGATTTTATTCCTTTTAAATAAATCATTCCAACATCCAAGAATAGTTATACATAATTACTGGCTTTCACAGTTATTATGAGGACATAAATAATATATAAATATTGTTATTTGCTTTACAAAAGATATATTCTACTGAAAAGGACTATAACAGAAATTCCATCTTTCCCATTCACATCCACCACAACCTCAGATGTATTTCCTTAAAGATCTGCTAACAGAGCAAACTGAAATTGTTAGGAAGAAAAATCAAGTCCAAACTTATGACTTAACAAACAGCAGCACTTTCAGGACATCTTAGAAATTTATACTACTTTTCCAAATTGCCACTAAGTGATCCATACTACAATCATACAACACAAATGGTTAATTTTTCCTTCAATTAAAGGCAGCTTTCTAACATTAGAAAATTCTAAGACTCTATAATACTAAGTTCTGGAACTCAGAGCCAGTGTTTTTCCCCTTTCATCAAAGAGTTTATCATTCCACTAGATCTAGGTTGGAATATCAACCACTGGCTCCTAGTATCTTTTAACATGATATTCTTTAGCCTTAAGATTCCTTAAGTTAAAAGAGGGTTCACATTCATTAAATTTCATCAATTCCATAAACATGATGCTCTGTATAATAAGGTTACATTACAAATACTTATGGTGTGACATTTTTAAAAATGCAAACTATTAGGCATGAGATAAAAATTTATAGGAAAAATGATATACTACTTACTTAAAGTGAGGAATCTCTAACAGCAGAGACCAAGACTTAACTTAGATATGATATTTTTATTTTGAAGTATATTATATAACATGTAACATAAGACAGAATTGTATGTGTCTTTGGACTTCTCTGTGATTCTTTAGTTACCAGTTTTCTATGTGATCATATGGCAGAGTAAGATAAATGTGACAGATTTTCTCCCTTTATATTTGCCAAACAGATGGCTGTTTTCTTCAGTGCCCTCTCAAAAGGTCTTTGTTTTTCACAAGAGAATCAAATCCCTAACTGAAATGCTGATTAAAAATATTTCTTCCTGTCACCAGCACAGGATTTGAGGGCTAGCCCTCTCCACCCATCCCTCACATCCCAGCATCCCAGCAAAATGACTGTCTTTTGAAAGCAGTTGGGAATAGTTTCTTTTAATTTTCTATCACCTTAATATGAATTAGGATAGATATAATCTTACATTTTTAGATTCTTTCTAGCCTAATTAGAACAAATGATAAATAGAAAATCACCAGGACTGAAATAATATTATAAAAAGTAGATACTTTAATGACATTTTGGGCTGATTTTTAAAAAGTCGACAGTTTAAAACCAATGGCATTTTGAACAATGAAGCAATAACTTTTTAAAAGACTTACAGTCAGTGAAGTAAATATATGCTGCTTTATACTTGTTCTCCGATTTACTTGCAAAATCATGTAAGAAACAATCTACAGACTTAAAAAAGGTTAGATGTTAATACACATTTTATTAAATATTAATTTAAATATGTTACCTTTTGAAATGACTAAGATTATTTTATTTCAGTGACAAAATAAAACTTTACTGGCTAAAAGTTTAATTTATAAACTGATTTTTTAAGATGCTATGTTCTCCAGCCAGTGATAGCTAATAAGGTAGTAAGGTAAAAAGAGTAAGGTAATATTAACCATTTTTGGTTTTGGAAAAAAAAAAAAAGAGTAAGGTAATATGTATGAACAGGATGCTCTTATTGGCAATGAAGAGGTCTAGGAAAACTGAAACAACATAGAAGACAAGACTATTGGAATATAACAGATTAAGGAACTAGAAACCAACATACTATAAGTATCATCTACATGGATAACGAACCACCAAGACTTATGACTGGAGAAGTGTTGAAGTGAGACACAGTGAGTGAGAAGCTTAAACTATCAAGTGATTAGAAAGATCCAAAGCTTGGTAGGTGACTGCAAGAATGAGGAATATACAATTTTGTATCTTGCTTTTGTCACTTAACATTCAAAATGAACATTTATCTAGGTCACTAACAACCCCTAGAAAAATTATTTTTAATGGCCACATGGGTTTTCATTTATTTATCATTTTATTCATATATTTCATTCAGATATCATCATATGGTCTATTATTTATTAATGCTAAAATTTAATTAGATTTATTTACTACTAGAAACTTAGCTAAACCATTTATTTATTTCC
Source organism: Homo sapiens (assembly GCF_000001405.40). Taxonomy (NCBI): domain Eukaryota; kingdom Metazoa; phylum Chordata; class Mammalia; order Primates; family Hominidae; genus Homo; species Homo sapiens. Next base: position 108,757,769 of record NC_000001.11, on the reverse strand, counting down.
TAACAATAAACTCTAAAATATAAAACATTTTTTAAGGTTCTTGATAACAAATTACAAACTATTTTCCAAAAAGGCTGTATCAATCTATACTCCCACTAGCAGTATATGGCAGTTTCTGCTCCATTATCCACTGATAACCAGAATAGCCAGAATGCACACACACATACATACCCATATATATATATTTTAAATCCCTCTGCCAATTTGCTAGGTGAAAAATGGTACTTTTAAGTTGCATTTTTTTTTCCAATCATGAATTTTTCTCTTATGGAATTATATTACAGATAAGATATAAAATGTCATTAAAACCCACTAGCAGCCAACATGTAGAGACTAAAAAGTGTGTATCTTTTTGTTTTTTTAAAAATGTCTGCTAAAGTTTTTTAGAAGTGAAATGAAACAGAGATTGCCAAATTAACGTTCTACATGGGAATAAGTGAGAGATCAGGTTTTCAAAAATGCATTCTCAGATATTGTACAGAATAAAGAAATCTGATAATTTGGCTCTGAAAGGTTGGCATCAAGTATGAGTTAGGTCATAGAGTCAGATTATAAACTAAAGAATTTCCTTTCACATAAAATATATACATACACACATATATACCCATCTTCATATATACATACAAATATGCTACAGGAAAGTCACTGAGATAAAGAAGTAATCCAAGACTATAGATTATTTCTTTTACCTACATTACCATCCCCCCAAAAGGTATAGTTCAATAGGAACTGCATGAAAAACAAAACATGCAAAGAAATGTTATTTTATACAATTTAATTCTGCTTTCATATATGGGGAAAAAAGGAATCCTTTTACTTATACATTCTCATTCGGAAGAATGCAAATAATCTTCTAACACAGAAAAAAACTTTCCTAAGCAAACTAGTTTATGGCAATATTTTTCTACTAAAGTGTACTTTATTACTTTGAATTTTCTGTTAGTAAACCATAACAATGGTGAAATATTGATGAACCTGCTTTTTAAGGTCTCAAAATACTCACCTTTGATGTCGGAGTGATGAAATAAAGAGCTTTCATTTGTCTGACAGGTTCACGGTTCTTATAAATATTCTCTACAACTAACAAGAAAAAAGGTCATTTTATATAACCAAATATTTATATACTTAAAATAATTTTTAAATAAACTTTACTGTACTTTCCATTTATAATAATATGAAAATACATTTACAAATAATATGAAAACAAAAACATTTACTGGGTTTAACATTTTCTTTGTCTTCACTGGATACATTTTAAAATCCTGAAAAATGAAAAATAAAAATTCTTCATTTTCTTACATGAATAATGTAAGAAATTATTCATTTCTTAAATTAATAATTCATTTTCTTACATGAATTACTCATTAAAATTCATAATAACCTTGCAAGTATTTTACAAATGAGGAAACTGAAGCTTAAAGAAGTAACTTATCCAATCACACAGTTAGGAAGTGGAACAGGCAGGCTTCTAACCCAGATGTGACTCCAGAGCCCAAGTTTTTACCTGCCACAATGCTGTTTAAATAAATTGCCAATTAACGCCTATTCTTTCAAAACCACACATATTTATAAAGTATTTTTTCAACAACAGAACATCACTAGAATTTAGTCAATTATATTTTTTATTATGGAAATTAAGCAGTTTATAAGATTAGCTAAAGCAAAGTGAATATAAAGTTAATAAACTTTGTCAAATTAACTATTTAAAGCTACATATATATTTCTTAAAACTAATTTAAAGTATCCTTCAACAAATCCAGGGAACCATCTTTCAAGATTCATGTTGACAAAGGGCCTAGAAAGAATTAACATTAATGTGACGGGCAAGAGAGGTTACTGCTGGACTTCTCTTTTAAATATGGTGATTTCCTTTTCTCATTCCTAAATGTATATTAGTAATGTATAGGTTTATCATAACTACTACTAGACAATCAAATAATATTTCCAAGGAAAAATTTAATCTTTTTATCTTCATTCTCAACTATTATAGTTTTACTTGAAAAAATTAAGGTTTAATCTGTTTTCATTTATTTCAATTGTTTAATGTTCAAAATGGAGTGTCTTACAGTCATGCTATACATATTATTTTGTTTGGTGAATAATGTATTTGTTAAAACACTGAAAATACTGTGATAAATATGATTTAGGGCTCAGGCTCTGAAAATATTCTGAAATCTCTTTATTAATAACAGAAAGTGCCACTTCTCCATTCACTGAAAAATACACATCTATCAAACAACTAAAAAAACAAAGAGAAAGGTCTTTAATAGTGAAAAAAAAAATCTAATTCCCAGTCTGTTTTTTACTTTTTATTTATTTTTTTGAAATAAGGTCTCATTTTGTCACCCAGGCTGGAGTGTAGTGGCACAATCAGGGTTTACTGCAGCCTTGACTTCCCTGGCTCAAGCAATCCTCCTGCCTCAGTTCTCCAAGTAGCTGGGATTACAGGTATGTGCCACCATGCTTGGTTAATTTTTTTGGATTTTAGTAGAGACAAAGTCTCACTATATTGCCCAGGCTGGTCTTGAACTCCTGAGTTCAAGTGATCTTCCTGCCTCAGCCTCCCGAAGTGCTGGGATTACAGGCATGAGTCATTGTACCCAGCTTCAGTTTATTTTTTTTAAGGTTTTATACTTGACTTTATTCTCCACTCAAGTAGCAAATCCTGACAGAGCATTTTTTTTCCCGATTTTGTTTTAATCCCAAGACACTACTAAATATTTTCATGAATGACCTGAATGACAACAGAAAGTTTGACTGCTGAACCTGCCAGTGCCCAGTTTCATAGAGGGATTTTCAGGAGAGCTAATGTGGAACTCAAAAGGACTGTTTTGAGTTTAAGTTAGAAGATATGACTACAATTAAACCATAGCAAACTTAGGTGGTTCTGGAGGATATCAAAGGTATCCCACAGCAGCGAGCTCTATGATATACAGTCCTATGAAATGCTTCTCAAAAATAGCTTTCTGTGGCCAAATAAGTTTAGAAAACTGAATACTATCATTTTACCCAGGGGATCCACTTATACCTTGGCATATAAAGACTCTTAAGTCCTAAAGAAAGCTGTGGAGCTCTGTTTAATACTGTTTCCTAAATGTACTGGCCATGGAATCCCTTCCTTGAAGAATATCTATTAATAGTGAGCATACAGTAAGAAACAATGGTCTACAAAATGCAATAAAACCTCCCTACAGTGCATAATGGCTCTGCAGTTCCACAGAACTTTTATGTATTATCAAATGGTTCTCACCCTAGTTTCACATCAGAATGACCTTTCAGAACTTAAAAAACTTAAGTGGCTTAATCAATATTTCACTTATCCAGGAGTAGAAAAATCAAGGCTTCAATTTTCTAATTTCTAGTTTAGAGCTTTTTACATTGAGGGTCAGAAAGACCACAATTGAATATGTAATAAACAATAAAGGTTACTTTATGGCTGGGCATGGTGGCTTACACCTGTAATCCCAGCACTTTGGGAGGCCAAGGCAAGTGGATTACTTGAACCCAGGAGTTTGAGACCATCCTGGGCAACATGGTGAAACCCTGTTTCTATCCAAGAAAATATACAAATTAGCTGGGTGTGCTAGTGTGTGCCTGTAGTCCCAGCTACTTCGGAGACTGAGATGGGAGGATTGTTTGAACCCAGGAGGAGGAGGCTGCAGTGAGCCAAAATCGCACTACTGCACTCCAGCCTGGGTGACAGAGTGAGATCCTGTCTCAAAAAAAAAAAAAAAAAGATTATTTTATGTGTAAACATCAAAACATAAATATTATATGGTCAGACTTTCTTGAGAATACTGGGTATACTTTTGAACTTCATTAAGTTAGGAGTAACAGACGGTACATAAACTACATTAGGATCCAAAATATAAATGAATTATATTTCACTTGGAGCCTCAGATTCCTCATTACAAATGAGAGTATTTATCTGTCTTCATAGGGTTATTATGAAGATCAAATTTTAATAAGTGAGTTAAAGGATGATGAATTAAGAATAACATGATTATGCATGTTACAAGATATTGGTATTTTCCTCAATAGGTAATACAGATTAATATCTCAATAACATAATCCCGCCTAGAGGAAGATAACTTCTTATGACATTATGATTTTTTTTCAGAATCTGTAAGTATTTCAAATTTTCATACTAAAACTGATTTAAACTTATAATTATTTGTCTCATTTCTGGTAATAAAGATAAATTTACGAAGTCAGCATTATGCATTTGTAAACATGTACAACAGCTGATTTTATGACATAAATCTTGATATCCATTTTAAAGCGATATATGAAACCATAAACTAAATCAAAATACTGAAGTAAAGCTTGTGTATCAATATACAAAATTGTTTTATATATATATATGTATATATGAGTAAAACATTTAAAGAACAACCTCAACAAAGCAATTAAGTTAGGCTTGGTTAGAGGTCTTAATTATATGTCTCGGCTGAGGGAAAAAAACTGACAGAAGATTCAGAGAAAAGAATGTTAAATCTAATAGTTATGGCTACAGTAATTTAAAAAAATAAGCTCCTTAGAAACACAACTACTAACTAAAATTTAATACCTCAGATCTCCCCCAATTACAATTAAAAAGTGTTCATGCCAAGAATAACACTTACCAGTAATACCTTCTTCTAGAAGATCTGTCATTTTGCAACACGATGCCAAAAGCTTAGTGGTAAATTCATCTAAAAGCATTATCTTAAAACAAACACAAATTTAAAAATACTGTAAGCATCCTATTACCAAGAATGAAAAAAAGAATTTTATCCATTAAACTTTATAAGCCTTTTATAACACAAAATATCAGAACAGTAGGCAAAATGATCTCATCTTTTATCTTGCATGAGCTAGAGATTTTCTCAATATACATGCATATAGTATCGTACATAAGTAAACAAACAGAAATATTTCTAATTTGAAACATAGAGCTTATTCATTTTGAATGACACTGTTTAACATCAAATTTTCTTAAAATTACAATTGCCACTTGTAGAACAATTATTGCACAAAGCACTGTTTTAAGTAATTTCCATGGATTAATTCACCTCATATTTACAATTACCATATGAGGTATTACCATCACCATTTTTATAAACAAGGAAATGGGGCAGAGAGAGGTCAAGTAACTTGTGCAAGGAGCCACAGCTATTAAGTGGTGAAGTTAGTATTTGGAGCCAAGCAGTGTGATTCCAGACCCTATATAGTCATCCCTCGGTATCCATGGGGGTTCGAGGACCCCTGTGTATACCAAAAATCCATGGATGCTCAAATCTCTTATATAAAATAGTGTAGTGTTTGCATGTAACCTACACACATCCTCCCACATACGTCAAATTATCTTTAGATTACTTATACTAGAATACCTAATACCATGTAAATACTATGTAGTTTTTATACTGTATTGTTTTTAAAGTTTGTATTATTTTTTATAAGAGCAAGGTATGCAAACTCTACCTTCCATTCGCCTTCTTTCTTGCAGTCATCAAACACTGTTGCTTTTATCTCTGTTTAAAAAAGAAAGGAATTACTTAGGAATTAAATAAACAGAAACATAGTAATCCAAAGGGTCCAAAATGGCTAAGGAAAAATCCAATTTGAAATTTGTTAAACTACATAAAAAGCATACATATTTGTTAAACCTTACGGAAAAATCCAATTCTAATACCTAGCCTATACAGTACATTTAAACTGTAATCAATTTTTTAACTTTAAAAGGTATTATAAAAAGGGTTAATATATTTAAGTACATGAACGTACCGAGAAAATATTTCTAAAATTATTACCTGATTTGGTTTTTCCTATTCTACTTAAATCCCAAGTAAAACAAGATGAAAACAAAAAACCCACGGGAACATCCTTAAGTTGCCCATTGCTAAATTATATCTGATGATCAAATCTGCATAAACATTTTTCATACTGATTTACTACATTATGCTTTTCAACAATACATATCACAGCATTTGGATACCAATATTCAGTCTTGATTTATAATCAATAAATATGTTCCTTACAATGACTTTCAAAATTATCTAAATATGTTTTAAAAATTAGTTCACTGATTTAAAAACATTTTCCATTATGTATTAAATAATTCATGTGGACAATTTATACAAATATCTGTTCTACTTAATAAAACAATTTCCCACACTATGTTTTATTAATGTTCAATTGATTTTAAAATCGGTAGTAATACATAGTAATACATAAAATATAATTAAAATATAAATTATAGTAACCTATTTTTCATTAAATCTTATTAATGAGATGGTTATTTCATTAACTTAAGCTTTTCTATTTCCTAATTTATATTTAAGTTAATGCTTTTGGGAAATTTATCAACAAGTTTTTGGTAACAAGTCATGTTAAAAACTGACGGCTCTTCTATCAGAGGGTATAAATAATAACAGTTACTGTGGTACAATAAAAAATATTTGGTTTTTACCCCCTGTTCCTAGCACAGAGCCCCTAAAGACCTTGGAATCTCCTGAGTGATAGCATCTCTTCCGTCTGCAAATGAAATGACTCTTGGGTGAGGGGCCCCTATACAGCTTTAGATTGAGGGCTGGTCACCAGACCAAGCCATGTTTAGAGGGTTGGAACTTTCAGCCCCACCCCAGGACCTCTGGGAAAGAAGAGGGACTGGAGATTGAGTTCAATCACCAGTGATGTAATCATTCATGCTTATATAATGAAGCCTCCATAAAAACCCCTTAAGAGAGTTTGGAGAGCTCCCAAGGTGGTGAACAAACCATGTGCCAGGAGGGTGAGACACCCAACTCCATGTGGATAGAAGCACCTATGCTTAGGACCTTTTTTGACCTTACCCTATGTACCTCTCCAACCTGGCTGTTCATTTGTATCTTTTGTAATAAACTGGTAATAGTAAGTTAAGCGTTTTCTGAAGTTCTGTGAGCCATTCCAGCAAATTAATGAACCTGAAAGGGAAGGGAGGTTGTAGGAATTCCTGACTTTGTAGCCAAGACAGACAGAAGTGTGGGTAACCTAGGGACTTGGTACTGGCATTTGAAGTGAAGGCAGTATTGTGAGACTGAGCCCTTAAACCTGTGGAGTCTGACACTAACTAGTGTTCCTAGCTAACTAGTTCCTAACTAACTGGATATCCTACAATTCATTTCAATTCTGACACTAATACAGCTGGTGTCCAGAGTTGGAGAACTGGTTGGTGTGAGGGGGGAATAAAACACATATTTGGTGTCAGAAATGTTGTTAGTAAAAGCAATTCAGTTATTTATAGTCATTTTTAGAATTGTGATCTGGAAGGTTGTATTGTGATTGAGAAGATTTGGAAGTGTTATGAAATATCAATTGAGATAATTATATATTGTTTGCTAGGAGGATTATAGTGTTATATGAGAATTATGGTGAAAGTCCGAAATATTTAACCATAATTTAAGCCAAAAGCGCTGGCTTCTAGAACCCTACAGGCAAAAATAAAGGATTTTCTCCGGTAGAGCTCAGATACAGAAATATTATGCTGCTTTTCCTTTCAAAGCTAGCTTCATTCCTTATACCTCAAACAGCTGAAAATTGAAGACATTTGCTTGTTTTTATCAGATTTATTTGTGTCTTTCTCTTAAGAAATGAATGCTCATGGAATTTATGATGGAGCAGATTGGAGAAAAGCTCCCCAAGCAGAAGTCATCTCATTACAGTCTTTGAAACCTTAGAACTGCATTGTCCTAGATGGTGGAAACCAGCCATATCTGGCTATTGAGCACCTGAAATGTGGCTAGTCTGAACTGAGATATCCTGTAAGTACAGAATACATATGAGACTTCAAAAAACCTTAGCACAAAAAAAGGAATGTAAAAAACTTATTAGGTCAAATATAATATATTAATTTTACCTTTTTCTTTTTACCTTTTTATGTGACTACTAGAAAATTTAAAATTACATATGTGCTTTAAATTTCTAATGATAGAACTGTCTTGGAATCTGAAGATACTTGGATCTACCTGTGTCTGCCAGACGAAAAAATAAAAAGAATCTGAAGATACCTACAGAGTCAGTGTTATTGTCTAAAAGAACGAACTAGTTTTATGGAGATAGTAAGGGCACCCATAAAAAGTGACACAGTCACAGGTAGGTATGTTTAGAGAGGAGTCAAAGGAAATCATATCAACAAATACTATAGAACTAAGGAGGTATTTCCTCTAAATACTAATGAAAATCATTTGACCTTATATCCATTTCTCTAGCATCCTAAATATGGATATATCTCAAGACTCAATTCTCTTACTTTTGCTCTGCTTGTTCTCAGAGCAAAGGTAAGAGAATTTGCTCCTGTGGCTGGTCTTCTCAGAGACCATATTCATCATCAAAGTTTCATCTATCATATTAATCTTTCGATTTTCCACAATCTTACAGCCTTTCTCTCTTTGAACTTCATTCAACTACGCAATACAGATACAAGCAGCTACATGTCTCAAGTTGAGATTACAGCACCCTGAAAACTACTCTAGACTTATTTCTCTAAGTATTATTGTCATTTTCTTAGTCATTGTCTTTGTCTATTTCCTCCTTTCCCCACGCCCACCTATTAGGCATATTGATTGTTCTCCCTGGTAGCTATTATTTTTCATTGCTACTGTCACCCAGCATCGACTTGATTCTTCTCTCTCACTGAAGTACTGCAATAGAATCCTATCTGGATTTCCTGCTTTCCACCTCCAACACCTTTGCTATTTCAATCCATTTTTCACACAGCTGTCAGAGTCACCTTCCTGAAATACAACCCTTTGTTTATATTAATACACACCTCGAAATTCCCTCAAATGCTCACTCTTGCTTATAGAATAAAATCTAAACTCTACTATTTAACATCCTCCACTGACTGGCTTCTACCTAATCTCTAAATTAATCTTCCACTAGTCCAAAAGTTACCCAAATAATTTTTGTTTTTGTTTTTTGAGACTGAGTTATGCTCTGTCACCCAGGCTGAATTGAGTGGCATGATCACTGCTCACTGCAGCCTCAACTTCCCAGGCTCCAGCGATCCTCCCACTTCAGCCTCCCGAGTAGCTGGGACCACAGGTGTGCGTTACCACACCTGGCTAATTTTTGTATTTTTGATAGAGAGAGAGTTTCACCATGTTGCTCAGGCTGGTCTCGAACTCCTGAGCTCAAGCAATCCACCTGCTTTGGCCTCCCAAAGTGCTGTAATTACAGGCGTGAGCCACTGTGCCCGGGCTTACGCTAGCTATTTATTTATTTATTTAGACTCAGGGTCTTGCTCTGTCACCCAGGCTGGAGTGCGGTGGCACAATCAATGTCCACTGCAGCCTCAGCCTCCTGGGCTGAAGGGATCCTCCTGCCTCAGCCTCCCATGTAGGTGGGAACACAGGTGCATGTCACCAAACATGGTTAATTTTAAAATTTTTTTGTAGAGATGGGGTCTCACTTTGTTGCCCACTCCTAGGCTCAGGTGATCATCTTGCCCCGGCCTCCCAAAGTGTTGGGATTACAGGCGTGAACCACTGCACCTGGCCATAATTTTTTCTTTTCTTTTCTGCTATCAAAATTTTTTGCCACCTCAAGGTATTTAAAAAGCAATTTAAAATGTTAATTACGAGATTGTGAAGCAACATGAAAAATGTTGAGTCAATGTCAGTTGTTTAAAAAAAAGGAAGTCACAGAATGACAGATAATAAAAACAATGTCTTTATCTGTATGAGGATCAGAAGGAAAATGTGAAAAAGGGAAAAGCTTATGATTCAATATGTAAAGAACTGGCTTAAATACATACATGCGGATGTTAATCACATATATATCTTGGAAATTATACAACACAATTTGTTACCCATTTTCACATAAATGTATTTAAATACCATTGTTTTAAAACATCTCAAATCTTAAGTCAGCCATGTAAATCTTGAAAAAGCAAATGCCAACCTTAAAATTATCTAATCTTTTAAAAGATAATTTCATATTTTTCACCTATTTATACATTTGCTTAGTGCCTGCTATATGTTAAGCACTATCCCAGTTACTGATTTGGATTTTTAATTTTAGACAAGGAACTCTAACTCCCAGAATTCTGCTGACTAAATCATTTGTTTTTTGTTCAACAAGTTGGACTAAGAAATACTAATTAGATGCTACTCCCTTTCCACTACTAGGCCATAATTATCTTGAACTCAGAGATACCAAACAATGATGGTTATTCCTGTTGGGTGGTTTCATTCTTTCTCTAACCTGCCAGACCTAGGTTTGGAGCGATGTTTATGAAAGTTGTGGATGATACCGCAGAACATCAGTAACCAATAAGGAGTCCGGTCCTAACAGCAGGGAGGGGCCCCCGAGAGTAGGGAAAACGGAAGGAGCGGCTCTTGCCCAGGCTATGCAGGAAGATGTCACGGCTGGACACCGGTCATTCCAATGGTCTCTTCTCAAGAACTTTTCAGAAAGTAGGCTCCTCTCGGAATAGGGGAAGATGAGTCTGTTAAACAGTGAGGTTTTTTGAAAAGCACGGGTTGATACTAACACGAATAAGCAGAATAAACAGTCCTTGCAAACTCCAGTGTGGGGTGGAGATGGGGGCGGAATAAACAGCGCCCGAATTGTCTCGGATGGAGAGACATCCCCAACTGGTGGAGCGCGGACGGGAGCGGAGAAGAGTGGGGAGCGCGGCCGAGGGCACGCACGGGCTCCGCGGGAGGGAAAGCCGGGCCGGGCGGCTCACCCGGGGCGGAGCTTCGCGGCCAGAGCGCGGCCGAGGCGAGGGGGTGCCCGACGCCAACGAGAAGGCCGCGTCCCGTCGCACCCCGCCCATCCCTGGTGCTGGCAAGGAATAAGGCAGGGCAGGAAAGCAGGAAGAAGTCCTCACACAGGTCCCAAAGCAACAAGTGCTCGCGGCGGCTCCTCAACAGACCGCTGGGTTGGGGCTGCAAAACGAGGCCCGGCACGGCAGCCTCCCGGCCTTCCCTCTCTCAACCCCTACCCCACCGCACTCACTCTGCCACACGACGCTCTTTAGCCCCCTCTCTGCCACCGGCGGCGCCATCTTCCCGACACTGCGGAGCAGCAGCCACCACCTTCCACTCCCAACCTACTTTGGCCGCAGAAGCGGCGTTGGGGTGGCCCCGCCCCTTGCTGCAGGGGAATGCCCCACCCCCTCTAGCAGACCGCGCCCTCCGGTGACGTCACGCGCGTCAGCAAGGGAATTTCCGCCCACTCCCGGACGGAGGCTGCGCAGTACAGGTGGAACCTCCGTGGGAAGTCGGGAGCCCCCTAGCGGGAGGCTGCTGTCGCCCGAGGTTCGACGTCCTGTGGCCTAGGAACGCGAAGTGCCAAACCGATCGTGAGCCAAGGCCGTCTATGAAATTCCGAGTTCACACATACACGAAGACTGGAGGATCCTCCCCATTACAGAAGAACCCTTCACTTCGCAAGGCGATTCATAATAGACTTCACTCAGTAGCCAGCCCAACTACCCAATGGAAAATGTACTGTCCCCAAATGATTATTTCATTCATTTTTTCAAGGACACAGTAATTGCGTAGAACTGTGAGGTTCCCTCCAGTGTGCCAAGAACTGTGCTGGACTTTTAGGAAACTCAAAGAAATGAGAGATCAACTCTTTCCCCTGAATAATTTACAATCTAATTAAAGAGCACAATTCCTGGAATGCTGCAGGTAGTTAAAACTTAGTTTAAAAATTGAATGCCTTAATGATAAGATATACATAAATGAACCAACAAAAGAATAATCATTTATTAACAAATTTATGCAACAAATGTAGGGAGGGCCTGTTAATGCTTCAGAATCTACAATTATTGTTGAAAGTTGATTCACAGAGGAGGAGATCTGAGCTCAGAAAGTTTAGGTAGAGATCTGTTTACTGAGATGGTTCCTTTGGGACTTTAAATCAAAGTAATCAAACGTAAGTGAGATCAGTTTAGTTGCTAAGAGCCCTAACTGTGAGATAACCATGTGACATTGGCAGAAAGTAGGCTTTCCTAGAAGGATTTGCAAAGAACCAGTGGCTGTAAAGATTCAAATTGGTCACACAGGGAAGTAGAAGTGGTTAGATACTACTACTAATAATAATGTCTAATATTTACTGAGTGCTTACTTACCATATGCCAGGCACCATGCTAAGTAGATTACCTCACTGATCCTCAAAGCAACACTTACAACAAGGAAACTGAGGCTTAATGAAGTCAAGTAACTTGCCAAGGATGCACTTAGTGGTGGAGTGGGAACAAAGATCAGGCTTGGGCTACATGGAAAGCAATAGAGTAGTCTGTGGGGTAACCTGCAATTTTTAGGAGAGGAAAGGCAAATGAAGAATTAAGAACAGGCTGGGCATGGTGGCTCACACCTGTAATCCCAGCACTTTGGGAGGCCTAGGCAGGAGGACTGATAGAGGCCAGGAGTTTAAGACCAGCCTGGGCAACATAGCAAGACTGCTGTCTCCACCAAAAAAAAAAAAAAAATTAATAAAAAAGTTAGCTGGGCATGATGGCGCATGCTACCTGCAAGCTGAGGAGTCGTAGCTACTTGCGAGGCTGACGTAGGACGACTGCTTGAGCCTGGGAGTTCCAGGCTGCAGTGAGCTATGATCATGCAACTGTACTCCAGTTTGGGGAACAGAATGAGACCCTGTATCTAACAATAAAAAAGGCCATAAAATGGGTTCTGGCACAACCTATGGCTGAGTGGTTTTTCTGTTCAAGGCTTATATGAGAATAGAAGCTGGAGCCCTGACCTCCTTTAAACCTACTCTAAATTGATTCAGTTGCTCAATGTTTTAAACAAGTGCACATATGATTTCCCTCTCCCTTTTCATTTTAAGTTAGGTTCTGCTTAGTTTAGCAGGGTGAAGCCCCAATCCATAAGAAAAATATGTGCCAGGGAAAATTCACCCTTCTGAGGTGAAGCCCCTTGCTCTGAAGAGCCAAACCAAGAGGGAAGAGTGAGATGGGTGAGGTGCCTCCATCTCTTACCCTTCAGGAGAATGACCAGGTGCCAGGGAATAATACAGGTCCCTCTGGGTTGGAAGTTTGACTCTGGTCACATGGGGTGCAGTTCTGGCTCATGCTCCTGAAGGCCAGAGTCCTTGGTGGCACTGCGGAATAGTGGAGCAAGCATGGTCTTTAACTGCACGTAGGCATAGGTTTACATCCTACAAAATCTGGCTCTGCCTCTTACTAGCAGTGTGACCTCAAACACCTCAGTTTCATTGCACCTGTGTGCTGAATATGAATATATTATCTCAAACCTCGCAACAGCCCAGCAAGATGACCATTGCCATTTTACATATGAGAAAACTGAGTCTCAGGGAGGTTAAATAAATCATGAAAAATCTCAAAATGAGCTAGGATCTGGATCCATCTGGCTCCAAGGCCATTGCTCTTTCTAGTGTACCAAATTGCCTATCCTCCCAGGCTCCCCTAGATTTGCATAAGCTCCCTAAGCAGTTTCTCTACGTCTCCTCTAGTTTGCTTGCCTAAACAAATTGAAAAATGAACTTGGATTCCCTAAATGTGACACAGCAAAGTAGAAGGTAAAATCTGCTAACACTGGCCAGGGATGAAAAGCTGCTTTGTATAATTCAGAGCAGGTAAATGGCCAAAATAACCGAGGGTTGAATGTACACGCACTTGAGTTAGGGCAGATCACTCACTCACTATCCTATTCCCAGATCTCCTCTAATAAGCGATCACTTATTCATAATAATCTAGAGAAATATTTTCCATAAAGATATCATGGGAGGCCGGGCGCGGTGGCTCACGCCTGTAATCCCAGCACTTTGGGAGGCAGAGGCGGGTGGATCACAAGGTCAAGAGATCGAGACCATCCTGGCCAACATGGTGAAACCCCGTCTCTATTGAAAGTATAAAATTAGCTGGGCGTGGTGGCGGGTGCCTGTAGTCCCAGCTACTCGGGAGGCTGAGGCAGGAGAATCGCTTGAACCCAGGAGGTGGTGGTTGCAGTGAGCTGGGATCACGCCATTGCACTCCAGCCTGGGCGACAGAGCAAGACGCCATCTCAAAAAAACAAAAACAACAACAACAACAAAAAAAAACAAAAGATATCATGGGTACCTAACATAAAGATATGATAAATGCTTGAGGTAATGGATGCCCCAATTACCCTGATTTGATCATTATACATTGTATACCTGTATCAAAATGTGACATGTACCCCATAAATATATACAACTATTATGTACCCATAATAATTAAAATTAAAATTTTAACTGAAAGATAGCATGAATTAGCAGGTCTAACCAATGCTACTTACTTCTCTCCCTGAAACTTTGTGTTTGAACTGATTAGCCGTGTGAACATGGGTGGGCTACTTGACCTTTCTGGGCCCGTTTTTCCCTACCTGTATAAAGGAGATAATGTTATTACTTAGCTTGTAGGGTTGTTATGAGAATAAAACGAGCATATGGAGAGCACTTACAAGCTGGTAGTTTGTGCTATATACACGTTAAATAACCTAATTTTATCTTTACCCACTGTGGATCACATTTTCTTCTGTGACATTCTGACCAAAACAATTCAGCCTTAGGTGCCTAGCTAGGCAGATGGCTATTTCACTTTCTGTGCCTTGGTATTTGTAGGGTATTAGGTGTGCTCTCTGATGCTTCCAATTCCATTTTTAGAGATATATACCTTTGGCTTGTCTCTGTTCATGTACAGATGTTCTGGGGAAGATCTCTTATTAGTGACCCATTACGTATCTCTGATCAGTCTCATAGAGAAAGCATATCACTTCTCTCTTGCAGCGCACGTTGATAGGAAGTTGAGAGAACAGAAAGGGAAGTTTGTTCTTTCTTCCATGCTTAGTTCGAGCCTAATTCCATGGTCCAATTCCCCCTGGGCAGAGTTTTATGGTTGTTCCTAACTAGAGACATGCTTGGCTCCATAGCCATGTGTTTGGGGAGCAAGCACTATAACTGTGTGTGTGCATGTGCGTGTGTGTGTTATACAAGTCTACTCACATGTTTTAAATTAGGTTACTGATATTTGAAGGACAAACTTTTTTAGGTATGAGAGATTTATGTTATATTTCATTGCCTTCCCCCTCCAAAGATGAAAAAAGTAATTACAATATGAGTGGGGGATATGGCCAATAAGATGGATGGTCCTCCCCCAAAAGATGCACGCATGTCAGTCGGCCACAGTTTGAGGCTCTCCATTTGACATCTTCTCTCATGCAGAAAGCATAACTGCAACCCTTCTAGCAACAGGCTGGCAGCTCTGCTTTCCCAGATGCTCCCATAGATGTCACGCCACCTGATGCTTTGGCTCAGCGAACCCTGCAAGCAGCTCAGCTTTGCTCCTAACTTGCGATGAGGGCGTTTGTTATCTCAGGTTGCCCTGGCAGCTACTGCTTTCCAACCTATACTGAAGTCCTGCTGGAGGTTTGTCTTGGGATAAGTGCTGTCTGCATGTGGGTGGCTTGACTTTCTGGGAGTGAACATTTCCAGCCCCTGAGGGGGCTGCAGACAAGTGCTGTTGTAAAACACTCATGAAGTGGATGTGTTGAAGTCTGTGGTGTGTGTGGATGTGAAATCTCAGAATTTCTGCTAAGCAGAACTTTCTTGTTTCCAGGGTTCTCACAGTGTGCCAACTCAGGCTAGCAGCCGTCCAGGGGACTTTCTGGATTCATTTCTCTCCAGAGTCCTCACATAGCAGATCTCCAACTGCTGTGCAGGTGAGGACACACCTGACCTTGCCCTCAGGAAGCAGAGTCAGAGTTGTTCTTCTAAAGGCCAAAGGAGCTTTTCCTATCCTAGAGGCATTTTTATTCTACATTCTAGTAGATCTTTTCCATCTCTAATCACTAACAAATGAGACAACTCTGCAAGACAAATGGGAAAACATTTTAAACAAAGACAAAAAACTTTGCCATAAAATCACACAAAATCAATTTACGTTACTCACTTGGTCAAGTTTTTGTTTTTATCTGGGGCTCACTTTGTCATTCTTCATTTCTCTTCCCTCTATAAATCACTGAAAAGGGTAAGGAAGGGAAGCAGTAAAAGATGCATTCAATATGCAGACATTTTCTTAAAAAGCACCAGTGTCTGAGATTTTATGTGTATGTTGATTTGAAATGCTATTTTTGCAGCACTTCACGGCAAGTAAACATGAAACTATGACAACTGACAAAGTGTTCAAACTGATCAGCAGTTTCTAACCAGAGCAGTCTCTCTCCTGCTTCACCAAATGAACCCTCCCAGAGTCTCTTTAATCCCAGACCACTGGTTCAAAACAAAAGGACTTTCCTTTTCACCCCCAGGCCAACTTGCTGTGCTCCTCAGGGAACTCCAAAATTTTAATGACTCAGGGAGTTTTATATGGAAAACATAAACCTGTTTAGCTGCTAAGTATGTCACAGAGAGGAAGCTTCCTCAAAGTTGCCCAGGATGTACAGGTGACACTGAAACATGTTGGGTCCTAAAGATGAAGGAACACCCCCAGCCCCTGCTCATGGTGTGATGTCAGGCACAAACCCCTCCCATCTATCTACCTCTTGTTAGAGCCGCTATCACCTCAAATAGGTTTTTTTTTTCCTTTCCCTTCCAACTTGCATCAAATTTCCAGCATTGAAATAGCTTTCTTGAATTAAAGCCATGCTTTTTGTACTTTAGCATCCATCAGAAGCACTTTGAGGGCTTGTTGAAACAAAGAAGGCTGGGCCCTAGCCCCAGAATTTCTGATTCAATAGGTCTGTGGAAGAGTCTGAAAAATTGCATTTCTAAGAGGTTCCCAGCTGATGCTGATACTTTTGGCACCAGGACCACACTTAGAGAATCAATGAGGAAGTGTATTATGAGGACCAAGGTTAAAATGCAAATGTCTTCGTTAGAAGTAGCACATTAAAATGTTAATAATTGGTACATAATAGAATGTGATATGAGCTTAAACTGAATATGAATTAACAACTACCATTTATTAAGTAGTTGTTATGAGCCTATTATTGTGTCCAATAATTTACATTCTCATTTAATCCTGATTTTCTTTTATGAGGGATTATTATTTACTCTAATTTTCAGATGAGGAAACCTAGGCTCAGAGAGAATTTACACAACTTGACTAAGAGCAAGTGATGGTGGCAGGATTTGAATCCAGATCTCTCTTAAAAAGTCTGTTTATGGCCGGTGCGGTGGCTCACGCCTGTAATCCCAGCACTTCGGGAGGCCAAGGCAGGTGGATCGCATGAGTCTAGGAGTTCAAGACCAGCCTGGCCAACATAGTGAAACCCCATCTCTGCTAAAAATACAAAAATTAGCCAAGTGTGGTGGCGCACATCTGTAATCCCAGCTACTAAAGTGGCTGAGGCGCGAGAATCGCTTGAATCCCAGAGGTGGAGGTTGCAGTGAGCTGAGATTGCACCACTGCACTCCAGCCTGGATGACAGAGCAAAACTCCATCTCAAAAAAAAAAAAAAAAAAAAAAAAAAAGTTTGAAAAGCTTTAGGATACTCCAAGAGTCAAAGAAAACCCAAAGAAAACCTTAGACCAGCAAGATTCCCATGGCTCCCCTCAGCATATCCAGAGGCTCCAATGTCAGCCCAGGGACCTGATTGGACTTGCTCTGTGTTTGGGGAGGGGAAATGCTGAAATTGAAGACAGCAATTTAGAATTTCCCCCTAGATATAATGACTTCCATATGACCTTAGAAACCCTCAAATAATCTGGCTTACTCTTGTTTTTGGAGGGCCTTGCGGGATTTTTTTTTTTTTTTTTTTTTAGAGAGATGGCGTTGAGGGCAGGGGGCTCTCACTATGTTGCCAAGGTCGGCCTCAAACCCCTGGGCTCAAGTGATTCTCTACCTCAGCCTCCTGAATAGTTGGGACTACAGGTGTGTGACACTGTGTCTGGCTCCTACAGGATTTCTACAAATATCTACTTCAAGAGAGTAGCAGATTTCAGGCTAAAGACTGAGCCCTGGCTAAGGAAGGGAATGGTGAAGATAAGCTGAAGCCTAGAAGGACAGAAAAGAGGACATTAGTGATCTAAAGCAGTGCTCCTCAAACTTCATGTGTATCAAAATCACCTGGGAACCTGATGGAAATATAGAGGCACTTCACTAGGCCAGGACCTGGGCCTCTGCATTCATTATTAACTGTCCAGGAGATTCTAATACACAGCAGAGTTTAAGAGCAGTACCTAAGCAGTGCTACTCAAACTTGAATACATGCACGAATCACCTGGGGATTTAGTAGGTCAGGATGGGGCCCAAGACTGTACATTTCTAAAAAGCTCTCTGGTGATGCTGGTGTCTCACTCTGTCACCCAGGCTGGAGCGCAGTGGTGCTATCATAGCTCACTGCAGCCTTGAATTCCCAGCCTCAAGCAATCTTCTCACCTCACCCTCCCAAGTAGCTGGGACTACAGGGGAACTACAGGCACATGCCACCATGCCTGGCTACTTTATTTACACTTTGTAGAGACAAGGTCTCGTTTTGTTGGCCAGGCTGGTCTCCAACTCCAGGGCTCAAGCAATCCTGCTTTGGTCTCCCAAAGTGCTGAGATTACAGGCGTGAGCCACCATGCCTGCTCTCCTTGCCACCCCACCTTTTGTGTTTTTTGTTAAAACATAGACATTCTTTCTTTTCAAACATTTTTAAATTTTTTTTTTTACATTTTTACATTTTTATTTTTTTTGTTTTTATTTGAAACCCTTCCTTGAACAAAATCATAGGCAAGGCCAATATATCATACACCACTCCTCTCCCCTGGGGACCTAGGACACTTCTACCACACCTCTATGTCTCAGGGAGATACTGATTAAAGAATGCAGACCTAGGTCCATGTACCTTTCACTGAAGACCAGGGTGTATGGTCTCTACTACTTTGGGAGACTTTTTTATAATTAGAAGTGTCCTCACAGTTTGTTTTCAGTAAGCCAAGTCTGTTCCTTTTTGTAGTCATAGAAAACAAAAACTCTTGAAAAATTAATAAGGATTGTGCTTATTTCAGACCTGCAGGTGGGACAGGAAT
This sequence comes from Homo sapiens, assembly GCF_000001405.40. NCBI lineage: Eukaryota > Metazoa > Chordata > Mammalia > Primates > Hominidae > Homo > Homo sapiens. Next base: position 108,738,776 of record NC_000001.11, on the reverse strand, counting down.
TGAAAAGTGTGTAACCTGCTGTGCTCAGAGAAGCAATAGACTGGGAGAGGAAGGGAGCCCAGGCAGAGAACAGGGAGTGGAGACTCTAGACCCAGTTCCTGCCAGTGGAAGGGGGTGTGGGTGGGGAGCCAGCCCCGACTGGAAGGCTGTCCAGTGGGGTTTACGGGCAAGAAGGCTTCATTTACACTCACACCATTCAAAATCAGCCATGTCTGAATGGGGAGGGGTGGGGTGGGGGTGGGCGGGAGAGAAGTTCTGTAGTTTGGGGTTGATAATATTCCCAGGGGATTTTTTCCTAAGGCCCCAGACCAAGCTGTCCCCTAAAAGGCTGTGGCAAGGACTCCTCATGAGGCAGCATACACTGCTTACTGGGTCAACACTCATGGCTCCATTTGCTCATCTCCACTGCCCTGCCAAGAGTCATCTCTGTGGGGGCAACCAAAATAGCCTAGACAAGATCATCCCTGAGCAAAACCAAGGAGGCAGTGAGGGTTCTCTTTATTCCAACTGCCCTTTCAGCACCCTCTCTCTCCACGGGGTATACCCACTCATGCAAACCAGGAGCAAACATCGTAGCTCTCTGCAGGCCGTTAACAGATTCTCTCTAACTCCTGGCTACTCCATGTGTGGTCAGACCAGCAGCCTCGGCATCGCCAGCATCACCTGGACCTTATGGAAATACGGAGTCTCAGACACTTCCTACACCGACCAAATCAGAATCTGGCTTTAACGAGGCCCCAGGTGATGTGTGTGCACAATAAAGTTTGAGAAGCACGGCTCTAAAGTAGCAGTTCTTAGCCTTGGCTATACTTCAGAATCACCTGAAGAGCTTTTACAACTCCTGATGCCCAGCTCTCACCCCAGACCCATTAAATCAAACTTTCTGGGGACAGAACCAGACATCAGTTAATTTTAAGCTCTCCAGGTGACTCCAGTGTACAGCTGAGCTGGGAATCACTTTCTGAAGTGTGAGGGATGAAGCCGCTGCCCCTCCCAAAACTATTTACATTTTCCTGTAGGATCCTAGAATACTAAAAAGACTTCAGAATTCAAAGAAATTCATCTCAACTGGTGGAATCTCAGAGGAGGCACTATAATGGGGAGAAAAAGTCATGGGATAAGAGAGCAGGAGCCCCTTGTATCAAAGAAAGAAAGCATTTGCTTTCTAATTGAAAAGTCAGCTGACTTCATTAACCCCAAAATGGAGCAACAAAAATCCTGTTCTATTTTATCCATGAGAAAAATGACTTACCCATTCCAAGTGTACTTCCAGAGCAAGTTACTGTAATAAAAACACAAGCATTTAAAATAAAATCTATTCATTTATGTATTTAAGATAGTGAAGATTTAACTTAAGAAAGAATAAAAGGAAAGTAAACCAAAAAACGAACAAGAACGAACTTGGGTGATAAGAGAAGGAGATACTACTAGCAGTATGACCTGGGCAAGTCACTTTACTGTGCCTCAATTTATCTGAAAAGCAGTAAGAATAAGCATACCAAGCTCAGCTGGGCGCAGTGACTCACACCTGTAATCCCAGCACTTTGGGAGGCCCAGGTGGGCAGATACCTGAGGTCAGGAGTTCAAGACCGGCCTGGCCAACATGGCGAAACCCCCATCTCTACCAAAAAATACAAAAATTAGCCGGGCATGGTAGTTGTGCACACCTGTAATCCCAGCTACTCAGGAGGCTGAGGAGGAGAATCACTTGAACCTGGGGAGCGGAGTTTGCAGTGAGCTGAGATTGCGCCATTGCACTCCAGCCTGGGTGACAGAGCAAGGCTCCATCTCAAAAAAAAAAAAAAAAAAAAAAGAATGCCAAGCTGATAGGTTTGTTGTAAGGACTGAGTTAATATATGTAAACCCCTTAGAACAGTGCCTGGCACATGGCATTCAATAAACATTAGTCGTTATTGTCATTTACAATATTGTCCTGATTATCAGAATAAGACATCACTGATACTGCAAACAAACAAAACCAAAAAACATCTCCCAAATGTATGGCTTTTACCAGGGACACTGAGCAAAGGAGGATTTCCTAACTTGAGTCTAGATACCTAATGTTACTAAGCTGAAATGGCTACAGGCTTGAGATGGCATCCCATCAAAGAACTTGAGTTCTAACTCACAAGGACTTCTGGTGGCTAACCAGCCCTCAGAGGAATGACTCTCTAAGGGTGAAATTGTGGGCATGGAGCAGGAGAAAGAACAAAAGACTTCCATCACTCACTTAGCTGTATATTCATTGATTCATTCTTTTTTAAATTTCAAATATATCAGGCAACAGTTACGTGCTACGTACTGGGAGTCAAATAGATAATCATTTATTAGGAGAAAAGCACACATTCAATTCACAGTAATATGTTGCAGTACAGATAAGGGTGCTGTGGGGTCATAAAGGAGGGAGAGAGAGAGGGCTAACTCTGCTTATGATAATTGGAGAAGGCTTCACAGACAAGGAAAATTGGGGCCAGTAGAGTTCTCTTGGTGGAAGTGGGGTGGAATTCCGGGCAAAGAGAAGAGCACTGCAGTAGCTCCAGAACATGACATAGAATAGGAGGTGTGTGTGGCCGAAGCAGGCACACGTTAATGATGCCAGATGCCTAGACTAGAGAATAGAGTCCTCTCAGGACGGATGTTGTGGAATGAGCCTAGAATTTCTCTGTTCAGGCTGGGCACAGTGGCTTATGCCTGTAATCTCAGCTCTTTGGGAGGCTGCGGCGAGAGGATTGCTTGAGCCCGGGAGTTCAAGACCAGCCTGGGCAACAAAGCAAGACCTTGTCTCTACAAAAAAATTTTAAAAATTAGCCAAGCATGGTGGGGCATGCCTATAGTCCCAGCTACTTGGGAGGCTGAGGCAGGAGGATTGCTTGAGCCCAGGAGGTCAAGGCTGCATTGAGCAGTGATTGCACCACTGAACTCTAGCCTGGATGAAAAAGCAAGACCCTTTCTCAATAAAAAACAAACAAAAAAACCCCACAAAAAAAAACAATTTCTCTGTCCAGTACAGTGGACACTGAAGTAGCTATTGAACATATGGCTAGTTTGAACTAAATGTACTATAAGTACAAAAGACACACCAGATTTCAAAGACAGTATGAAAAATGTACAAAATATCTATTAATAATTTTTATATTGATTAGATGTTGAAATGATAATATTTTGGATATATTGGGTTAACTAAAATATATTATGAAATTAATTTCACCTCTTTTTACTTTTTTAATATGGCTACTAGAAAATTTAATTTTTCATGCATGGTGCATATTAAATTTCTATTGAACAGTGCAGGTATAAGTAGACAGGGGACAGATTATAAGGGACTGTGAACACCATGCCCAGAGGATTGAATGTTATCTTATGGGGAAATGGAAAAGTTTTGAAGATGTGGCAGCATAAAAGTAACACAATTGGACCAGTGTCCTGGAATGATAACTCTGGTAGCATTACAGAGGCTGGAGTGAGGACAGGGAGATGGGACTGGTGCAGTAGTCTAGGGGAGAGGTGGTGAGGGCCTGAGGCATAGCAGTAGCTGTGGGAATGAAGAGAAGACTCGGGATTTAGGAACCATCATGAAGGTGACCAGGACGAGAATTCGAGATTACTTAGATATGGAGGGTGAGGGAGACAGAAGCTGACTCCAGGGTTTTTAGCTAATGTACCTGAAACAAGGACGATGGGAGGAAGATCAGAAACAGCAGAGGATCAGGAGTTCCTTTTGCCCCTGAGGGGTTTGAAATGCCTGGGCACCTCCAGGTGGAGGTATCAAATTTGAATACGGACTTAGGGGTCAGGAGAAGAGAAGAGTTGTAGATAGAGATTTGGGAGCCTCTGAGCTTCAGTTTTCTCATTTACAAAGTGGAGATAATGAAATATGTTGAGCCTATAGCATAGCATATTTTGAGCATTTGATGAGATTTGTGATATGAAACCACTGGATAAATTATAAAATATTATGCAGTTATGATGCAGTATTGTTATTGAGCTGTAGACTCATCTTCCTAAGAGCTCATCCTGACACCAGGAACCTATTCCTGTCCCTTCCCATAGGGCTATGCTTTGGGCCAGCTTGTCCTGTGGACCAAATAATGGAAAAACAAGGAATCAGAGCATGACAGCCAGGGACAATGAGAACAGCCCCTTGGGAGGAACTGTCCTCCTTCCATCACCAAGGGCCATCCTGAACCTCCTGTCACCTACATATCATTCAAAATTTTAGATTCTGGCTATCAGTAAGGGCTTGTGAGCCAATATTTATTCTTTTTTTCTGTGTTCACCTGCAAAATTCTAGGGCTTCATCATCTCTTTTCTTCTAGGAATACATGAAAAATATATGACTGTGCCCTGGGCAAGGTAGCAGAAGGTGCTGGAACACAGAGCGGAGAATTGCTAATGTTTTCCTGCCAGCTCTGGTGAGATGGTAGTTGCTGACAGCCATGCTTTGTGATCACAGATTGTCTGCCCACTCATATTGCCAAGCCTAGCTTGTGATTTATAAATTTATTTTTTCTGATCCTCTAACTTTTCCTCAGTCATAATTCTCAGTCTGTGCAAATAAAAGTTCAAGTTTCCTAATTTCCAACATCCCAGGATGTCTATCATTATCAGCAAGACTATGTTAAAAAATCTATCCCTAAATCTCAAAGCAGAAAATTATCTTAAATTTGCTTTACTAATTAAGCAGCAAGCATCTAGTCCTTTTTAGGAAGGGGAAGAGTGGGACAGAGAAGATAATCTCTAAATTAAATAAAGCATCACAATTCCAAAGAATCTTGGGGTCTTCCACAGCCAGAATCTGCCTGTGCTGTGTAGAAATTTTATACCCTTGACTGGGTGCAGTGGTTCATGCCTGTAATCCCAGCACTTTGGGAGGCTGAGGCAGGAGGATCACCTGAGGTCAGGAGTTCATGACCAGCCTGGCCAATATGCTGAAGCCCCGTCTCTACAAAAATACAAAAATTACTCAGGTATGATGCCAGGTGCCTGTAATCGCAGCTACTTGGGAGGCTGAGGCAGGAGAATTGCTTGACCCTGGGAGGTGGAGGTTGCAGTGAGCCAAGATCATGCCATTGCACTCCAGCCTGGGCGACAGAGTGAGACTGTCTCAAAAAAAAAAAAAAAAAAAAAGAAAGAAATTTTATACCCTCTGTGCCCTTCATACATAGTAAATAAGTTTGATTGCATCTTAATTCACAGATATGAGTTCAGGGTTAGTTTTAGATAAACTGTCATAACTTGCTTTACCTGAATATATTTTTTTTGGACAGAAAGTAAGCTTCAATCCTGTTTTAGCAACTGGTGAGACCATCACAGTGTATACATCCCCACAGGGTATCTCAGTGACATCACAGAAACTGAGGCCAGCACTCGGGGTGCACGTGAAAATGCCTTTGGAGCCATAGAGGTCAGTGCTGTAATTGGCAGAGCCCCTGGAGGCTTGCCAGTAGATCCGGATGCCATTAGGGCCCAGCCTATATAATTTCACCCCCAAAGGGCAGCAGGCACCTAGGCAATAAAAATAACAAACACAAAATCACTTGTTTTATTCCACCATCATCCAAAAATGGCCTTGATTACTGCAGGGAAAAAATATAAGCAAACTAGTCTAAGTAACAGGATTAATTACTGGTTAGATCAGAGCAAGATTTGAAGGGGTACTCGAGTTATTTCCATGGTGGGCCACATAATCAGAAATCCATGGGTGGCTGGGCATGATGGCTTATGCCTATAATCTGAGTACTTTGGGAGGCCAAGGCAGGAGGATCGCTTAAGCCCAGGAGTTTGAGACCAGCCTAGGCAACATAGGGAGACCCTGACTCTACAAAAAAAAAAAAAAAAAAATTAGCCAGTTGTGGTGGTGCACACCTGTGGTCCCCTTGGGAGGATGAGGCAGGAGGATGGCTTAAGGCCAGGAGTTCAAGGCTGCTGTGAGCTATGATTGTGCCACAGCACTCACTCCAGCCTAGGTGACAGAGCGAGATCCTGTCTAAAAAAAAGAAAGAAAAAGAAAGAAAGACAGACAGAAAGAAAGAAAGAAAAAAGAGAAAAGAGAGGGAGGGAGGGAAAGAAAGAAAGAGAGAGAGAGAGAAATCCATGTGTGAAGGTGGTGTGCAGTATGAATTTTTAATACAGAACAATGGTGAGTCAGAAAGGTCCAAAAATTGGCAGATACATATTGTACATGATTCAAACTGTGAGTCAAAGGCACAGAATCCTTGTCAAGATCCCTCATAATGCCCTAGTTTTATTTGATTTTGGTGGCATTAAACTTAAATATAATTAACTGCATTCAGCCTTAATTGAAGAACCAATTTTGCCGAGATGAGTAGTATGACACTTTAGGTGCAGCCATTTATACAACATGCCAGTGACCAAGTTTGCTGGTCCACGCTTCATCCATGGTAGCTGATTAGTATTTTTTTTTTTTTTTTTTTTGAGACGGAGTCTCGCTCTGTTGCCCAGGCTGGTCGGCTCACTGCAAACTCCGCCTCCCGGGTTCACGCCATTCTCCGGCCTCAGCCTCCCGAGTAGCTGGGACTACAGGCGCCCGCCACCACGCCTGGCTATTTTTTTGTATTTTTAGTAGAGACGGGGTTTCACCATGTTATCCAGGATGGTCTTGATCTCCTGACCTCGTGATCCGCCTGCCTCGGCCTCCCAAAGTGCTGGGATTACAGGCATGAGCCACCGCGCCAGGCCACTGATTAGTATTTTTTTCCTTTTCTAAATACCTTGAGCAAGCCACACATTAGGTGCCAATAAGGGCATCAAATGGATTCCTTAGTAACTAAGTTAAAGATCCTACTGTATAATTTTTAAAAGTTATTATAATCAGGCTTACTTGATTTATTCTTAAAAGAATAAGCAATGGGTCATATTCTGAGAACTGGATATCAAGGTGAGAACTTAAGCAGTAAATCTAATACAAGATAATGGGTCAAAAGAAAGTACATACCAGCTGACATACGTGCAGCATGTTCTGAATGTTCTCACATTATGATTTATTTTGATTCTCAAAACAACTTCGAAGGAAAATATTACTATTCCTGTCTTTTTCAATGAGGAGACAGAATCAGGGAAGATTAGGCAACACAGCTTATTAGAATCCATGTCTAATTTTGACTCCCAGTTAAGACTCTTTCTACTACCTCTAGGATGCCAAAATTATATTCCAACTCTTCCATCCCATGCCCCAGGCAGAGGTAACTTATCATTGTACTTTTTCTCCTTAAGCCTAGGAAGCATCCTCAAGAGTTTTATCAAAACCGTGTTACAAGCAGCCACTTCAGTGAATTAGAATCATGCAAGAGATTTGGTAACCTTGCACTGCTTTTACTTTCCCCTGCTATTCCCTAATGGTTTGGTCTTTGTGAAGAACAAGGTACAATACTGTCAGTAGACAGATGTCTTTGCTCTCTTAGCCTGTTGAAATAAGAAACCATTGAAGCAGCTGAAGAAGCTTAGAAAAGAGAGGTAGTAGCACAATAATAATGAGAAGAAAAAAATGCAAACCAAACAGAATGTGTGATCTAGCTTTCAGAAAACTCTGCCAGGCTACGTTACTCTGTGTTGCAAGTAGCTATGTCATATAAAGATACATGGTCCCTTCAGAAAAAGCATAGAGGAACATTGTTACTAGGGGAGTTAATTCACCAACTACCAACAGAAGCCTCTGAAGCTTTGAGGTTCTAAGTCAAAGGGAAACTATAACCATTTTAGAAAGTAATCTGAGTTTATAATGCAAACTAGGTGGAGATGCAGCATCTTTTTAAATGAGGAGGAAAGGCTCATGCCTGGATTGATAATAGTCAAGTCCTTACTGCTACTCTAGAGCTAGAGTTCACTTACCAGAGAAATAACTTTGGTAGGAGCAATCTGCAGTCAACCCGGTGGCACTAATTGCTTTTAATGTCACTGTGTAATTGATGCCACATGTGATGCATCCTAGGAGGCAGTGGTTTTGATGAGTGTGACACTTAGACTGTCCAGTGTGTGACTCCAGAACTGCAACATGGGTTTGAGCCACTCTCCCAATAGTCCAGCTCACGTTGATTACTGACTGGGTGATTTGAGTTACTGTCAGACCGGTTGGACAGCATGGCACTTAAATGGGATAAAAGAAAAAGAATTGGAGATTTATTTCCACTGAAGATTATTTGTGAAAAATGATAAAGAATGGTATTTTGCCTGTGTTTCACTCAATATCCTACATTCCCCAACTTTCCATTGTTAATAAAAAATTTCCTTTTGTTCATTCCCTCTGATGCGTCATGTAACATTCACTGTATATAGTGGGTACTTTCCCCAAGAATGCACTGCACCAACTGGCTGTTGCAGGTTTCCACCATTTTTTTTTTTCAGAATAAGAAAGACATCCTTTGTTGCCCCCATCTTCAACATTTTTTTTTTTTTTTTGAGAAGGAGATGGAGTCTCGCTCTGTTGCCAGGCTGGAGTGCAGTCAACCTCCACCTCCCAGGTTCAAGCGATTCTTCTGCCTCAGCCTCCTGAGTAGCTGGGACTACAGGTGCGTGCCACCATGCCCAGCTAATTTTTGTATTTTCAGTAGAGATGGGGTTTCACCATGTTGGCCAGGATGGTCTCAATCTCTTGACCTCATGATCTGCCTGCCTCAGCCTCCCAAAGTGCTGGGATTACAGGCATGAGCCACCATGCCCGGCCCATCTTCAACAATTCTAACTGCAAATTTCAAAGTAACGGTTGCTTTCACTTCTCCCAACAGAACATTTCATAGCATTAGCAATTAAGTATAATTTGCCTTTCTTGAAAATTTCATAGTACATCACTGATATAAAAGCTTGATTTCTTAGCTGTCTAAAATACCACAGCCATCTTGACTTTTCAGGGACCCATTACCCGAATATAGGATACCTAACATCTTCACGTATGCAGTATTTTGTATGGTCTCTATCTTACTGCTGGCTTCTTTTTTTAGGTATTTCAACTTTTATAGTCCAAAGTGCCATCTATCACTGTATATAAGAAAAACTAATGTCCACAGGCTTGAAGTGATTTGCCACGTTTCATTCATACACAATGCTACGCTGTAATAATAGTTTTCTTTTATGGAGCTCTTGCTGTGCATCAGGCATTATGCTAAGTGCTTTGCAGCATTAGTCAACTTAATACTCATAGCCACCCTATGAGGCCATTATCTCCCTTTTACCTATCAGGAAATTGAAAGTCAGAAAGCATTTTTTTTTTTTTTTGTGACGGAATCTCACTCTATTGCCCAGGCTGAAGTGCAGTGGCATGATCTCTGCTCACTGCAAGCTCCGCTTGCTGGGTTCACGCCATTCTCCTGCCTCAGCCTGCTGAGTAGCCAGGACTATAGGTGCCCACCACCCCGCCTAGCTAATTTTTTGTGTTTTCAGTAGAGACAGGGTTTCACCGTGTTAGCCAGGATGGTCTCGACCTCCTGACCTCGTGATCTGCCCGCCTCGGCCTCCCAAAGTGCTGGGATTACAGGCGTGAGCCACCATGCTGGCCAGAAAGCATTTTTTAAAGAGAAAAATTTGAAAGGGCTGAGCCAAAGAAATAAGTAACAACCCAGCTCATTTGGCTACTCATTTGTTAGCTGTTTCGATAGATTATATCATAGGGGAATATGAATTCAAATAAATGTTTTGCAGAATGAGTAAGTATTCCTTCTCTGATGCCAGTGAATGGATATACTAGTCTTGAGGATATTTTTACAGAACTTGTAAAATATTGAAAATTTTATTGTCTATGACCGGGACTCTTTGAAACGTCTCTGAGTTTAATGTATTTCTGTTGCACTGAGGGTAGATTAAATAAGGAAGTTCATGTCTTGAAACACTCCATAAGGACCCCACTGAAGTCAACATTCAGGCTGGTGGTTGCTACATACCTGTTTCCAGGGGCACACTGTAGCTGGGCAGGCTCCGTCCTGCCTGTGTTTCGGCCACAGCAGTGACAGAGAACACTGAGCCACAGGGCAAGCCCCGCATGGTGCAGGACTCTCCTGTGCTGCTGCACTGATACAGTCCTTTCTCCCCTTGGGCAGTCACCGTGTAAGTAGCATCATCATTAGTGGATCGCCAGTGCACATTAATCATGGAGAATGCATCCCTTGAAACATTTTTTATTTCAGGACTGCAAGGAGCTAAGACATTTTAGAGTATTAATTGAACCAGCATGAGTCAAAAATATCACATGTGCCATTTGGTCTAAAACTGATTTTGCCCCCAGTGAGATCATCACAGTTTTCAACCACGTCATGCATGCGGGCCAAATTCATAGTGCCTATGCGTGGGGAACTGTTGACATTAACACAGGGCATTGGGTTCATAGAGTACTGGACTAGCTGGAAAATGTTTAAAAGCATTGTGAACTCCAAAAGCAAAAGTAAGTAAGAAACATATTTATACACCTTCATGGTGTGAGTACAGGCAGGCCCCTCAAAGATAGGAGGAACCGAATGGCTGAAGTCATCATGGGCAAAACCTTCTACTCTCCCCGTGGTCTCCCCTTTTGTTTTCATTTTTTCCACTTTCCTCTTCTGCCTTCTCCTCTGCCTCTCCTTCGTACAACGGGGGCTCTCTTGGTCTCCACAAAGATTGATTAATGGGATTTAACCTTTTTATTGGTCTCACTGAATGCCCATCCTGAGGCTCAGAGCTGGGGTGAATCATTCAGACACCAGTGAGTGGAATGATAGCTGTGCCTTACCTGTGGTTATGAACTGGGGAGTACATGACATATTGCTGCCTCGGACTTCATTGAATGAATACACTGTGATGTTGTACTTGGTGTCACACTCTAGAGCCGAAAGGGTGCACGCAGGAGTAGTGTCATTGCACTCAACCATGTTGTACCCATCTACAGCCTTGGTTTCATACAGTTCGGCACCACGGACAGGAGACCAGACAATCTCAACTCTGTCACTGGACACCAACACGGGGTTAATGTCACTAGGACAACAGGGAGCTGAAAGCAGGAGCAGAGGGAAAATGGCGGTCCCATCAAGAGCAATGCAGCTGGGGGTACACTGTGTCCTGACCTCCCATGCCCAGAGCCTCTGCCACTGCCCTCCCTGATGACTACAGTGACTCCCTATGGGTCTGTCAAGGTCCAATCTTGGCCTAATTGCCACTGCATAGAGGGTAAATCCTCAGCATGACATTGAAGGTCATTGCAAGCTATAAGGTTCTGCTGTACTCCCCCCACTCCCTGCCACACCAGACTCCTCAATTCCCCCACGCCACGTGCGCCCTTGTTCTCTATGCAGAGAAGATTGCTGACCCCTCCACTGGAAAGCCATTCCCCTCTTCTGCCTGGTAAAATCATATGCAGTCTAACTTCTCAGATCCTGTCAGCCTTTCCAGACAGTAAACCAAATAAAACTGGGGGGTAGGGCTCACAGTTATATAAGTAGTTTTTTTGTTGTTGTTGTTGTTTTGTTTTTTCAAAGAGACAGGGTCTTGCTCTGCCACCCAGGCTGGAGTGCAGTGGTGTGATCTCAGCTCACAGCAACCTCTGCTTCCTGGGTTCAAGTGATTTTCAGGTCTTAGCCTCTGGAGTAGCTGGAATTACAGGCACATGCCACCACGTCCAGCTAATTTTTGCATTTTTAGCAGAGACAGAGTTTCTCCATGTTGCCCAGGCTGGTCTCAACTCCTGACCTCAAGTGATCTGCCTGCCTCGGCTTCCCAAAGTGTTGGGATTACAGGCGTGAACCACTGTGCCCGGCCGTATATAGGTAGGTCTTAAGAGACCCTAAAGAACCCCACTGGCAAATGTCTGACTCAGCTTGGAGTTTCCCTGGGATGCTCTTGCCCCACCTACATTCCCATTCATCCTTCAAGATCCAGTTCAAGGCCACTCTGGAGGGCCCTCTCGTGTCGGGACCTTATCGATAGCCTCTTTTTCCACATTCCAAAGGCACCAATGATTTAGATCCCTCATCCTGTCAAAATTTACTGTAATTCAGCTAGACTTTTACATAATTATGTTTGAGTATTCTTATTTGTAATGTAGTTATTTAATTTCAAATCACTCCACTCATTCTTCAAAACTTGAGCATCTCCCATATGCTGATCACACTATTATAAGCACTGAGGATGAAGAGATAAATAAGACATAATTCCTGCCTTGTACAAGATGCAAGCCTAGTAGAGGAGAATAATAGCAACAGCAACGGTGATGCTAATAATAAAAATATGTGCATCATGCTTTGTCACACACAAGACCTTTTTACATTCATGTTTTCATGATTTGTCCCATTTTGCAGTGGAGGATACTAAGGAACTAGCAAGGTGGGCATCATTATCCTCACTGAAGGAATGAATTAGTGGTCAAGTTAGGGTGTAAACCCAGGTGTCCTACTCCAAAGCCCTCCACACCATGTAGCGTCTTGGCCATTGTATGTCTGTCTTGGTCTCAGGGAAAGAGTGACCTCCTGAAACGGAGGCACTGCCTTCTCTCTGGCAGCAGCACATGCTAGAACACTCACTGAGTACATCTTTGTGGCGAGTTCAATCTTTCAGAGCAAGGTTGAACAACTACATTCTTTCTCCTCTTTTCACTCCCAAACCTTGCAGTCTAGTTATGCTTAGGTCCACAAAGCCAAAATTCCCTAGTCTGGAAAGAATGTGAGATAAGAGATTACTTTCTGTTCTTGGCTCTAGAATGACTCCCAGGTGGTAAGTCAATAAGTGGAATAGGTGATCCATTCTGCTGCTGAGGTTAGAGATCTCAGAACTCCCTTAACAAACATCAAATGGGACTTACCTGTGGTATAATTGAATATGTCACCCAAAGGACTTTGCCCTGCCTTGTTATAGACAAAAACACTAATAAAATAAGTGAAGCCACACTCAGATAAGAAGTTGCACTGAGTGAGAGATGTGTTGCAGTGTACTTCCAAGCCATCATCACTCTTCACAAAGACCACATAGTAGTCACCCAGATCTACACTGGACCAAGCCACAGACAGGTGGCCAGGGGGATCTTCTTGGATCGTCACTCTTCCGGGTGCACAAGCAACTAGGAAATGATCAATAATAAACATGAGACTACTGCAGGAGATTTTCTTCGCATCTTTGCAATTATCCAAGATTTCAATACAACCCAAATTAGCAACTCTGAGCTTTGTGACAGATTGAATTTGGTGCACAAAATGCAAAACTGTGCACTGGAAGCATTAGAAGATTTTCTTTATAGGACCAAAGGCTATGTTACAGGCCCCAAACCACTACAACAAATTTTAATGACCTCTCACATTCTCTTGTTATATGAAATATTGTTTGAAATAATGAGCCATCAGAGATTCATAGTCATCTTAAGACATACAAATTTTCATCGTTAGATTATTTGTTGAAATATTTGACTTCATCCAGAGATGAAGCTAGTCTGGCTTGAGTGGAATAATGAATATCCCAGAAGTTACCTGTTTTAGAGATTAAAATACAGACATCATTCATTGTGTTTTATATTAATATATTCTCTAATTCTTCCAGCAACTATCATCATTTTACAATTGAGGAAACTGAGGCTTATAGAGGTTGGTAAGTTGTCTAAGATCACATAAGTAGGAAGGAATGGAGCTGGGTCTTTCTGGGGGTTTATCTGTAAAGCCTCCATAGCATGGAAAATTCTTTTATTAAAAAAACTATTTTTTTAAATTTATTTTTTATTTTATTTATTATTTTTTTTGAGACAGAGTCTCACTCGGTTGCCCAGGCTGGAGCACAGTGATGTGATCTCGGCTCACTGCAACCTCCACCTCCTGGGCTGAAGTGATTCCCTTGCCTCAACCTCCCAAGCATCTGGGACTACAGGTGTGCACCACCATGCCCAACTAATTTTTGTACTTTTAGTAGAGACAAAGTTTCACCATGTTGGCCAGGCTGGTCTTGAACTCCTGACTTCAAGTGATCCTCCCCTCTCAGCCTCCCAAAGTGCTGGGATTACAGGCAGGAGCCAATGCGCCCAGCCTAAATTTATTTTTTAATTAATTAATTAATTAATTTTTTTTTTTTGGAGACAAGGTCTCGCTCTGTCACCCAGGCTGGAGTGCAGTGGTGCGATCTCAGCTCACTGCAACCTCTGCCTCCCAGGCTAAGGTGATCCTCCCACCTCAGCCTCGTGAGTAGCTGGAACTACAGGTGCATGCCACCATGAGCAGCTAATTTTTGTATTTTTTGTAGAGACGGGGTCTAGCCATGTTGCCCAGGCTAGTCTTGAACTCCTGGACTCAAGCAATCCACCCATCTCGGCCTCCTGAAGTGTTGAGATTACAGGCATGAGCCCCCGTGTGCAACCTGGAAAGTTTTTCTAACTGCAGCCTCTCATGCACTGAATGACAGAATACATTCTTATGCCCATTACATCCTCCAGGGAGCATCTTAAGCATAGAGTTAAGATACTAGATGCTACGAATAAGGAACAAATCAAATAGTATGTACAACTCAGTACAAACCCAGGAGACATTCTCAGATGTCCTAAAATTTATCTCACACAATAAGTGCTAGACTATGTCAAAAGCAGGCATGTATTGATTTGATTAATATTGACTGTTTCTCTGTGTTAAGGCAATACCTCATTTATCCACATAATGCCTCATTTATTGATGGAACAAAATCTTCTGAAAGAATGAATTCAAGTAAAGTTTGTTCATTCAAGTGCTAAGCTTTAAAAATTTTAGTTTTCTCTAGTGGAAATCTTCCCGAAATATATTACACACTTCTGGGCCCCAGGAGACACACCGTAGTTTGTAAACATAGTTCTTTTATTAATAAGTCAAGGTCATCCCTATGATCATGACTGTGTTATACACAAACTGCCTTAGAACATCCTGGACCTGTTAAGTGTGAAGGATTATTTCAATGGCACTTAACCCTGACTGCATAGTAGAATCAACTGGGGAGCTTTTACAAACTATTCATATCCAAATTCTATTCCCAGCAACTCCAGTTGGTCTTAAGTGGGACCTGGGTATTGGGATTTTGTAAAAGTTCCCCAGATGCTCTTAATGTGTGTCCAAGATTTAAAAACTCTGCATGGTTCTCCCCTGCATTAAATGCCTAACTGCGTAACTCAGAACTGCTATGCTTTTGAAAGTATTTTTTCTCTCTTCTCCCACTCTTAGCTATCTTGTCCTCATAATCGCTTCTAATGTACCATTCACATTAAATCACAGTTGTCAAAAGAGAAGCCAAATCATCAAGTTTGTTATCATTGACCTTAATTTAACATAACTATAAGAGAGTGCGGGCCTGAAAGAATAGCTTTATTTTTTTTTTCCTGTGGAATGGAGTGCATCAACTTGATGACAGCTCCTTTTCTTTCTGTTCAGAAGCTTTTTAAACTTAGAATGACATAACTGACTGTTAGATAAAGTAGATATTATTGTAATTGTCAACATTTTCTTTGGCTTTAAGCATTGGAATTAGGCAAACTTGAGCAGCTTGAATCTCAGCTCTACCACTTATTATCGGTGTGCCCTTAGGAAAATTATTTAACTTCTCTGAGCTTCAATTTTCTTATGTAAAAAAAGAGAAAATAGAACCCACCTCACTGAGTTGTCATGAGATTTAAATGAAATAACATACTTATAGTGCCAGAGACATAGTAGGTCTTCATTAAGTGTTAGTTTCATTAAGTGTTAGTTTCCATCCCCAAGACACATAGATATTTCTAAATAGAGGAGTCAACTTCCACATGTGTATGTGGTTATCTCTCTGATAAGAATGAAAATGGAAAAATATCTAAACGCATGTTCAGAACTAGAAATATCCTATCTTTTTCTTAAAAAATGGCGGCTCCCACCAAGCCTAGGACATGAGACATGACGCAAAGAAGACGCAGTTATCTGTATGCACAGTTAGAGCTGTGTACAACTCAAATCACATCTTAGAATTTTCACAGCTTTACAAAGGAAAAAGAAAAAACTAATTAATGAAAGATCTGGAATAGAAACCAGGCCTCCTAATTTTCCAAAAAGTGCTTTTTGCAATACACAATATCTCGCTTCACTATCAATATTATTCAAACTCATGAGAATGTCCAACTCTATGCTTTCATTTAGACCAGGCTTTCATTTTCATTTTTTCCAGAGTATTCAGAAACATTGTCAGTGAACGTCTCCCTTACAGCAGTCAGGGCTGCAAGCCCGACAGCAGTCTCACTCTTGTTTACATACCAGTTTTCAGGGTCATTGCTGAAGATGATTTGCTAGATCCAGCATCATTACTTGCTAAAACTGAAATCAAGTATTCAGTTCCACACTGGAGGGAAGAGATGGTGCAGGAACTGAAAGTTGTACTGCAGGTCAGCTCTGAAGAGTCGCTCAAAGCCATCACAGTATAATTGAAAGCTCCTTCTGCCCGTGCCCAGGAAAAAGATGCCTTCAGAGCTCCACTATCGAAAGAGACTTGAATGTTGGCAGGGGCCCGAGGACCTACATTTTAGAGAAACAATTAAGATTTTGTAGTAGCCTTACAAACTACGTAAGAGTTGGCATAACAATGTTGCAGAGCCTGGAGGATAAGGTACCCAATAGTTGGATAATTACAAGTGTTCAAAGCATAAAATTGGGATTTAGGATGATGCCTGGGAACTGGTAATTCATCTGCTACTATGCAAACTCATAATATACTGTGTGACCTTGACCCCATATTATTTACCCTTTTTGTTATTTATTTTTTTCTTATATCTAAATAGATCTAATAAGATCCATGCCTAACACCTATAGGTGCCAAAAGACATATTTTGAATGAATTAATGCATTATTTAATAAGTAGTTAAAATAGTTAAATGAAATTATAAATGGGGAGAACTAAAAGGGCCACGTGGGTACGTTATTATTAAGTGATAGGTCAAATATTTTCTGTTATTGATCAATGAAACTAAACATATCCCTTCGTTACTTTTGACATCTGCTACAACTTTTACTGTAATAGCTTTTCGGTCATAATTGTTTCTAGAGGAGCAGATTTTCTTTCCATTCATTATCAAAAGGAAGGAAGGAAGGTGTCAAGTGTGATGCATACATATTAAGGCAGTCTTTTAGTGTCTCCAAAACACTTAACCCTACATTCTTGTAAATATACCTTCCTTTCTTAAGAGTTACCGCATTAAAAAAGCGTAAGAAGGTGTCCTGGCCTGGGGAGGGGAGAAATTGGCCTCCGTTCTTTGGAATCTGTACTGTAATAACGCCCACGCAGCAGGCCTTAGGAAACTGCTTAAACAGTCTGTGAGCAGAGACCAGCATCCTCTGGACATGTCTGGGACAAACAGGGAAGGCCTCTTTTTTTTCTTTTTTTTGAGACGGAGCCTCGCTCTGTCGCCCAGGCTGGAGTGCAGTGTCGCAATCTTGGCTTACTGCAAACTCCGCCTCCGGGGTTCATGCCATTCTCCTGCCTCAGCCTCCTGAGTAGCTGGGACTACAGGCGCCCGGCACCATGCTCTGCTAATTTTTTGTATTTTTAGTAGAGACGGGGTTTCACCATGTTAGCCAGGATGTTCTTGATCTCCTGACCTCGTGATCCACCCGCCTCAGCCTCCCAAAGTGCTGGGATTACAGGCGTGAGCTACCGTGCCCGGCCGGGAAGGCCTCTTTGAGGACATGAGGACCTAACTCATTCTCTGTAAGGCAGGCATCTGCCATGATTTTCCCGTGGGCCATCTTGACAGGCCCCTTCCCACTGCATGGTCAGCTAGTCTGCAGAGGCAGTTCTGCTTTAGGGAAGTGCTGGGCCCAGGGCTGGTAGGGGTAGCCTGCAGTGTTTTAGGGCAACTTGCTTTTCCCACAGGAAGCATGGGAGAACTAGGAAAAATAGGTAGAGTAGTGAGAGCCTGTTATGAGTTGACTTGAGTTCCCTCCAAGTTCATATGTTGAAGTTCTTGCCCCTAGTACTCTCAGAATGTAGCCTTATTTGGAAATAGGGTCATAGCAGATGTAATCAGGTAAGATGAGATCATTAGGGTGGGCCCTCATCCAATATGGCTGATTTCCTTATTAAAAGAATAAATTTGGACACAGATACACATATATAGGGAAAATTCCATGTGAATGTGAAGATAACCATCTACAAGCCAAGGAGAGAGGCCTGGAACAGATTCTTCCTCACATCCCTCAGAAGGAACCAACCTAGCCAACACCTTGATTTCAGACTTCGTAGCCTCCAGAACCATGAAACCAAACATTTCTATTGTTCAAGTCACCCAGTTTGTGGTTCCAGCAGCCCTAGGAAACTAATCCAGAGGTGAAATCTAAACTCTGTAAAGCTTTGTAAAACATGGGGAAACCTATGTAGGGGAAGTCTTTAAGAAACAAGTTATTCTAGGGGATGCTGTCTCAGTGCCCCAGCCTGATGAAGATGCTGCCTCCTGTGCCTCGCTGTGTCGGCAGCCTTCTGCCAAAGCACTGGTCAGGTGAAACTGGAAACGCTGACTCACCATTGGTCTCTCCTTTGACATAGTCCATTCTTTGAATGGAGGGATCATGCTTTATTTGCTTTTGTATTTCCATCAGCTAACTTATGCCCAGCACACAGTGGGCCCTCAACAAATGTGGAAAGAAAAAAGCAGTGTGAAAGGGAAAGGAAAGGGAAGGACAGGAGGGGAAGATAAGGGAAGGAGGGAAGAAAGCAAGCCAGCCAGCCTAGGAAAAGGCCCAGGGAGACTGACTTGTCACAGACATCCTGACTCACCAAGACTGTCATGAATCACCGCAGGGCTATGATTATACTACCTCCCTAGGGAAATAGTATAAAAGGCAAACCCCTCTCTTCTCCCTACATTCTGCCTTGGCCCATACACTATGGGGCTTCCATTCCCCTCCAAACTTAGGGAAAGTTGGAGAGAACATTTCTGGTTTCTTTCCATCCTTTCCTGTGTCCTCCCCAAGTGGAGAAACAGCTAATCTGGTTGGTGAGAGTCTCCTATCTATGTAGGTTACATTGCCAGTGGATGGCTTACTCTGCCTCAAGGAAAGAAAAAACACCCCCTCTCGTTCTCTCTCTCTCTCTCTCTCTCTCTCTCTCTCATTCGCTTGGCTCACTCCAGCAGCTCAATTTGGACCTCCAGTTGTAATGCTGCAGAGTCCTTTGCTCGGGGGACCTCTAGGTGGGACGGTGAGAAAATGCACACCAAGCTTCAGCTTCTCCCCACAGCTGGAGGAGCAATAGTGGGAAGCCCCATGCTGACTTCAGACCCAAGCTGAGGCCTTTGGGAAACAGATCTGAAACATGAATTCCACTGCAGCATCAAGCACTGTGCCTGCAGAAACCTTGCTTTGCTTGCTGCTGTATCTCTAGAACAATGCCAGCTCAAAGTTGGCACACACTCACTCAGTATCTGCTGAACAAATGAATTCCTATTTGGCCCAATTCTTATACTAATTGGCCTGAACCCAGAAAGGGACAAGGGGTGATGGGTAAACTTAACAAGAATCATCTTCTTTTGTGTGAGGTCGAATGTGAATGCTGAAATTGAGTTGGATATTAGAGGGCGGAGCCATGCTGTGTGCATTCTGAGTAGCATTTCTTTATCCATGCAGGAAGCGTTTAAACTACCGAGGAGGAATAGACAAGGCACTATAAATAACTTTATAATAAATTTAAATAGCTGTTGCCAGCTGCTCTGTACTTGTCATGTAACACTGCCCTTGATGGCTGCAACACACAGCCCCCCTCATTAATCAAAAGTAGAATTGTTCGAGGCTGAGCTGAGAAGTTCTTACTTGTTCTCTGATTGCAGGTGGAGTCATCCCCAGGGATTCTGTTGGCATTCCATGCATAGGCCTTTATGGTGTAGAGAGTTCCGGCTTCTAAACTGGTGAATGTCAAGGAGGTGTTTGTAGTATTCTCTTTCCATATACTCCCCAAGCCATTGGCTCGCATAATGGACACGGAGAATGCAATTGCCATATATACAGCTTCCCACTGCACAAGAATGGAGTCTGAACTTGGAGAGCTTACTTCTAGAATTGGTGCAGCCAACACTAAAAAAATAAAAACACATGCATTTGTGTTACCAAAGTCCAATAGAGGATAATTCAAATTTAGAAGCAAGTAAATTGATATCCATAATATACAATAATTATTTGCTTTAGAAGAGCATTCACAACAAAGTTTCATTAAATAATTGCTATTTAAGTGTATACTAATCATAAATGACTTGGCAGAGGAATGGGAAACAGAGAAACGCTAAATATCAGGCACTACTTTTAACTGAAGTTAGTCAGAAATTAGATAAAACATTCCTATAATCATAATATAAATCAATGGGAAAATTAGGGGTTACACCATTTTAATGTGCACATAACTTTTCAGAAATATGCCTAGGTACAACTTTATCAAATCAATTTCAGTAATGCTGATGACAAACTCCAAATGCTTTTATTTGTTTTGTTAACATATATGCCATACGGTCAGAGTGCAGCAAAATCCCTTCTCTGTGTTCTTCATTTGGCGTGTTAAAACCAGAAATCCCTATTTCAGAGATTTAAAAGCTGGGATGCTTTTAAAGATGCCCAGAAATGGGCTTTATTTTCCAAAGCAAAGCAGCTGGCATTTAAATGCCACCTCCTCCGCAGATAGCTGAATTCTCAAACAGCATCATTTGGTAGCTTTCACTTCTGGGCCTTGAATTGTAGGCACTCATGTGACACCAAATCACATTCTGCATTTGCAGCACCAGGATAACTGATCCAAGTCACAAGCAAACACTCAACGGAGGATGAGCATCCATCCAGCCACCTGTCTTTGCCTGCTTTGGAGGTGACGCCTGGCTTCTCCCAGCAGCGCTGATGGATCTGATGGTGATTTCATACCAGGTTGCAGCCTTTAGTCCCGTCACAGTGCCTGGGGAATTGGCCACCGTGGTTTCAATGACTGTGTCCCCGTCTTCAGCCGTGAGGAGGTAACTGGTGGCACCCGGCACTGTAGCCCATTCTACAGTGATACTGTTGCTGAGTTTTGAATATGCCTGATCAATAGTGGGTATTTCAGGAGCTGAAAGAGGTTTTAGAGTTGTACATTAGCCAAGATACCTACGAGGATGACTTCTTTCATCATTTTACTCTTCAAGCTAAATCATTCTCATGCCTTCCTTCAGACAGAAGTTTTGCCCTTATTATTCAGATCAAGGAAAAACAGAGAAAAAGAAAGACAAAGCTACTCTCCAGAAGAGATCCAGAAAGCTCAAACCTCTCATTCAGGGATGGGATTTTAAAGTTTTCCCCAATTGCCTGTGGGGTAATTTGCACTTTTTGTACTTTTAAAAGAGCTAAATAAGAATGAGAAGTAATTACGGGAAAGAACTCTGGGAAGAGAGAGAGAATAATTGAGAGGCTTTCTTCCAGAGTATTCTACTCCAATTGGGCATTCTGTGACTTTTGCAGGCTGCTTTGCCATTGATCTCCCCTCCTGGTCCCACAGCCATCCCACTGCCTCCAGCTGGACCCATCTCCATTCCTCCTGCCTCCGCTCAGTGGCTGCGGTCACTCTCTCATGCACTTTGCACGTTTTCCAGATAACCTTTAATCCAATGGAGCAAGGAGGGAGGATTGAGTTCTTTGTTATAATTACTCCATAGCACTTTCTTTCATATTATCAGAGTGGAATAATTCTCAGATTCTTCCATACAAAATAAAAGTAAACTTTATTCTCCCTTTCTCTATCACAATATCTGCCTCAGCATAAGAATGTGATGGGCCGGGCTATGGTTTGCCAGGAGATATGAATGCTTATGTCATGGGCTTACACAAAGCATTCCTACACTCAGGAGTATGGAGTAGGAGATACAGCACAGTAATCAGATTGACTACTTTACAAAATTCCATAGATGCAAAAATGTCTTGGATATAGGAGATCTAAGTGGAAGAAAAGGTCAAACAAAAATAGCTGAGTTTTATTTGAAACTGGCACTTGGACTTTCAGGTTTAATGTACTCCACTTGCTGGGTAAAATCACTATATGTCAAATTCAAAACTAAAGGGAAGACAAACAAGCAGAACTATAGGGCAAAGAGGGAGAAGGAGTAAAGACAGACAGGTGATTCTCCAGCATCAGCTCCCCTTCTCCCAGAGCCAAGTCCCTATGTGCACGATACAGACAACTTTCTCTTTCTGTACCAATAGCCCAGAGAGTTAGCTTTGGCAGCATCTCAGAAATAACCATGCTGCAAAAATGAACAAAGTCTCCTCTGTGCCCTGGCCAGACATTCCTTGAACATCACCCAGGATAGTCTCTTTTGCCATTGAAAGAAAATTATGACACTTATATATGCTGGAGGAAAATCTCAGGCCTGCTCATCATAGCCACTTGCCAGTGGAAGCCAATTCTATAGGAAAGGGCTTCGCTCCCTCTCTCCCCTACAGAATAGAAAGCCCCAGCAGGGGCTCCCTCTTCCAACACACACACACACACACACACACACACACACACACACACACACACACACACACACCTCTCTTCTGCTCCCCAAGCTAATGATCCTGTGCTATATGCCTTCTTTCCTCTAATTTTCTGGTGTCTCTCAACTCCTTCTGTTTCCTCTGTCCCCAGAGTTAATCTTATCTCCTATGTTACCAGTTCTGTTCATTGGAATGAACTAACTTCCTGGGAAAATGACAGCCAAACTGGCCACAGACACAGGAGGCCGGATCATGCATTCACGGAGCAGTTTGAAAGGCATCTAAAAGGCTAGCATGACACAGACCCTCTCCCCACAGGCCTGTCATGGGGCCCGCGGGCTCCACAAAACTGGCCTCATGGAATTGATCTAGGAGAGGCACATTTGCTTGGAAGTCATAATGCAGGAAGCCAGTATCACAGAATGAAACTCGGGGTTGTGTGGTGGGAAAATAGCAAAGGGTTTGGATTCAGGAGCTCTGGGTTTGAGCCCTGGCCCTGCTATTTACTTTTGTGTGTGAAGGCATGCAAGTCATTTTACCTCTTCTAGACTTGTTACCTTCCTTGACAAATACGGATTATTAATACCTACATATTAGGATTTACTTTGAAATTTAAAATACCTGCATTTTAGGATTGTTGTAAAGAATAAGTGAAATAATGTATGTTAGGGCACTTGGAAAGTGTGTGTGTGTGTGTGTGTGCGCGCGCGCACGCACGCGCATGTTTGTGTATGAGCCAAGACAAGTAAATTTTGATGGGTTCGGAAAAGCCAGACCATATGGCGCTGCCATGGAGGGGTCCTGTGAAAGTGGGATTCTGAGGAGTATGCGGCAAACACAGGCTGGAGAGAGAGATTGTCTGTTTTACACCTGGTTTTAGGGCAGGCTGTGACCAGCATCAACAATGAAATGAGATCAACACCTATGTAGTATGTTGCCCTTTAGTAGATGAGAAGCTGGAGTGTAAAGTCCATAAAATAGCAGCAGTTCCTTACTCTTTCTTACTTCTATGTTTAGCCCACTGACTGGACTGATGAAAGAGAAAACTTTATTCCCTAGATGTGCAACCAACCACTCTGGTCAGTCAAAAATGAACCCTTTGATTCTCAGCATCTGTGCATTCCACCAGCTCAAAGAGATCTAAATTAGCCCACGAGGCCCCAGTGACCAGACACAGATACACAGCAATACCAGAGCCCAAAGAGAATCAAAACACACACAACCAAAATGAAACCTTCTATACAGTGTAGCTAAAACACATTCTATCTGTTGAAAAGCCGGGACTCAATTAGCAATTGAGTCAATTAGCAGCAGCATCAGTAGCTTAGCCTGACCCACCATTTCTCTAGATTAGTGCAGATGCTATAAACACCAAAAAGGGGCCTGTTCTGAGGGCTTGGTCTGTCCTGGGTGTGCTAGGACCTTGTAAGAGACGGCAGAGTTAGATTCTGTCCACCCAAAGTCGACTTATTTAAGAAGCCGGCCGGGCGCGGTGGCTCACGCTTGTAATCCCAGCACTTTGGGAGGCCGAGGCGGGCGGATCATGAGGTCAGGTGATCGAGACCACGGTGAAACCCTGTCTCTACTAAAAATACAAAAAATTAGCCGGGGGTAGTGGCGGGTGCCTGTAGTCCCAGCTGCTCGGAGAGGCTGAGGCAGGAGAATGGCCTGAACCTGGGAGGCAGAGCTTGCAGTGAACCGAGATTGCACCACTGCACTCCAGCCTGGGCGACAGAGACTCTGTCTCAAAAAAAAAAAAAAAAAAAAATGCCACTTTGTATATGGCCAAGCAGACCCTCCTATAGTTTCCTGGCTAATCCTAAAGATCTCTCAAGAATAAGACAAGTAAATAAGAATAAAGCAAGAGGTGGGGTGTTGCTATGTTGCCCAGGCTGGTCTTGAAATCCTGGGCTCAAGCAATCCTCCCATCTTGGCTTCCCAAAGTGCTGAGATTATAGGCGTGAGCCTTGGTACCTGGCCAGGAAATAGAAATTTTTAAAAACTTACTGTATATGCATGAATTTTATGAAATTTCATGGCTCAGACATGTATCTGTATCAAATTTTTTAACTGTCTTAATTTCACTTCCTTTTCTGTGGTGTAGACAAAATAATAAATAAAAATTTTTCTAATTTATGTTGAATCACTATGAGAATTTATCGGTGATATGGTTGATATTATGTGGTTCCTACAGATAAGTTAACCCTCCTAAAAATAAATTTCCATTCCAGGTACTTAGATTTCTAGCACAAATGAGCTAGGAGGGGCCTCTAGATAAATTATTTTTGCCTTCGGTTATCTACTCAAGAAAGATGGAGATCAACTATTTTTAAAAGAGGGTCCCCTTTCAGCCCTGAGTGACTATTGTCTATATTTCAAATATGCAATATTAGAAGTATAAAGTTCTTTTTAAAGTAGGGAATATTGACAATTTAATCAAATATAACATTTCTCATTTTCCCTCTAATTCCCCGGAAGATAAACAAGAACATTTGTATAAATTAGACTCTGTACAATATCTTAACTGGAATGATGATCATTGTAATATTTCACACATGGCTAACCGTATATGAGAAAATGCATGCCTACATGGCTCTGTACATTATAGTCCTCAGCAAGAACACTTTATGAAGATTTGTCTTTCGAGTTCAATCCATTTATTTGTCTTACCAGTTATTGTCTCCCCAGGACCCAATAGAGTGCTTAGCACCCAGTGTGAGTGCTCAGAAAATATTGAATTTTTTTTTCTCATATAGCCTTTAGATTTCAGGGTAGCCCGTGAATTAACAATGGAAATTAAAATCAAATACGAGAAGGAAAAACTTGCAGGTCAGAAAATTGTACCTGATTTTGCTGAAGCAACCTGAAAAGGAAAGTTTGGAAAATTAGAACCACACAGAAAAACACAACTTGAACAAACGTAAAACATGAATAAAAGCGGTAATAAATTAATCACAACATTTTTACATCTAACGTGAGCAGTCTTTCAATCCATACAAGTATTTCTCCACACAAATCATTTCCCAGCACCCAAATCTACCACAAAACAACTCTAAATAGAATTTAGAGGCTGGAGGCAGATCCCATTACTATTTCATTTTTTTCCCCTTTGAATCTGCCTATTGAACTAAGTCAGTAGCTGCTGACAGATTTTTCAGAAATCTTTGTTCTTAAAATATAATGATAATCTTGTTTTCTTTCTCTAGTATATGGCATTAAATTTCAAACACGCAAACATATACAACCTCGGTACAAACCAAAGTATTCTGATTTCTATCTCCCTATTCCCCAACTCCTCAAAAAAAAAAGGAGAGAAAAATAATGTGTCTTTCTTTTTTCCCCTAAATAGTTGTGGGTAGTTGGAATGATGAACTCACCATTTTAAGACAGATAAGAATGAATCCAATCAAAGGCAAACATGTCTCTCGTCCACCAGCCATCCTGTTGGACATAGTACTCACATGGCACAAAACAAAGCAATCCGGGTCCTCTTTGGCCCCCAGGAGTATAACACCGTTGGTCGCTGGGATGTAGGGCTGTGATGCTGGGAAGAGACCCTAGGAAGTAGCTCCTCCCCTTCAGTGTGGAGCTGACCTGTAACCAGGGGCACTTGGAGACCGGCAGGGACAGGTATTGCAAAGACTGAAAAGAAGAAGAGAGTTGGAGAAAGCCACGGCAAGCGGGCCAAAAAGCTACTGTAACCTTGGTTTCAAAGCAACCTTCTTTTTAAAACAATTTCTGTCTAAATAAAAATTTTAGAAAGCTGCACAGAAAGTTGTTGATGTGGTAGAATAATTATTTTGAACTCGGGGATGCTGACCAGTTTTATTTTTCTTTTTCACCTTTATTTGTTGTTGTTCTTTTAGTTCAAAGTAAGTGATTGGTCCTACTGTCAGGAAGAATTTGTTGCAAAACTTCAACATGGAATATGAAAGGGCAGGAGCATGTCCCTGTACTGAGAAAGATAGTGAGAGGTCCCTGGTGAGCACATTAAATTTATCCATCCCCCGTACCACCCTGCAGTTCCAGTACCTTTTTTTTTTTTTCATTTTTTTAGAGACAGGGTCTTGCTATTTTGCCAAGCAGCCTCCAACTCCTGGGCTCAAGCAATCCTCCCACCTCTGCCTCCTGAGTAGCTGAGACTACAGGCATGCACCACTGCGCCTGGCTAGTTCCTTTTATTTCCGGAGCTGTCTTCCTAGTTCACACTCTTAATAATAATTAGCATTTAATTTAAGAATTACAATGTATAATTTTAACAATGAACAGATACATAAATGAATAATAAACATAATTAATTGGCTTATCTGAAATCACACAAGAATTAAATGATCAAACTAGAGTTAAAACGCATCAGTCTGATTTCTACTTTCAACCAAGATAGGATTACAAAAAAGGGAAAAGAACTGCATTTACCGTCCCTGACTTTAAGATTTACCATAAAGCTAAAATAAAATAGAGACCGGGTGGTATTGGCATGAAGATAGATAAATAGATCAATGGGACAGAGAGTCCAAAAATAAACCCACGCATATATAGATAATTGATTTTCAACAAAGATACAAGGCAATCCAAAGGAGAAAGAATAGACTTTTCAACAGATGGTGCTGGAACAACTGGATAACCATATGCAGAAAACATAAACTTTGGTTCATACCTCACACCACATTAAAAAATGAACTCAAAATGGATCATAGATCTAAATGTAGCACCTGAAACTATAAAATGTCCAGAAAAAAAAACACAAGAGAATATCTTTGTGACTTTGGGTTAGGCAAAGATTTCTTATATACAACACTAAAAGTATAATCCATTTTTAAAATTTGATAAATTTGACTTCATTAAAATGAAGAATATCTGCACTATTAAGGGAATGAAAAGATAAGCCACAGACTGCGGGAAAATATATATCTTATAAAGGACTTGTATTCTGTGTGTGTGTATTCTCAAAACCCAGTAATAGGAAAACAACTCAATACAAAATGGGCAAAAGATATGAACAAACACTTTACAAAAGAAGACATACTCGTGGAAAATAAAGGCATGGAAAAAATCCTCAGCATCACTAGTCATTAGCAGAATGCAGAAAAGGTTTTTTTTTTTTTTTTTGGAGACGGGGTCTCATTCTGTCATCCAACCTGGAATGTAGTGGCGCAATCACACCTCACTGCAGTCTTGACCTCCCAGGCTCTAATGATCCTCCCACTTCAGCCTCCTGAGTAGCTGGGACCACAGGTGTGCAGCACTACACCTGGCTAATTTTTGTATTATTTGTAGAGATGGGGTTTCACCATGTTGCCCAGGCTGGTCTCAAACTCCTGGGCTCAAGCCATCTGCCCACCTTGGCCTCCCAAAGTGCTGGGATTATAAGCGTGAGCCATTGCGCTGGGCCCACAGAATGCAAATTAAAACCACAGTGAGATACATACTTATTGGATGTCTAAAATTAGAAGCTGGTCATTGTGGCTGTGCCTGTAATCCCAGCACTTTGAGAGACCAAAGCAACAGGATCACTTGGGGTCAGGAGTTTTGAGAACAGCCTAGGCAACATCGTAGGACCCTGTCTGTACAAAAAATTTTTTAAAATTAGCTGGATGTGGTGACATGCGCCTGTAGTGCCAGCTACTTGGGAGGCTGAGGCGGGAGGATCACTTGAACTCAGGAGGTCAAGCCTGCAGTGAGCCATGATCGCACCACTGCACTCCAGCCTGAGCAATAGAATGAGACCCTGTCTCAAATAATAAATAAATAAATAAATAAATAATAAAATTAGAAAGACTGAGTAAACTAAGTGTTGGCAAGGATGTGGAACAATCAGAAATCTCATACCTGGTAAGAATGAAAAATGGTACGATCATTTTGGAAAATAATTTGGCTGTTTCTTAAAAAGTTAAACACATGCCTCACCATTTCACTCCTAGGTATTGACTCAAAAAAAATGAAAGCATATGTCCATACAAAAACATACAGGAATATTCACAGTAGCATTATTTTTAACAATCCTCAAACTATAAGCAAACCAAATGTCTGTCAGCCAAAATAAGTAATAAACAAATGAAATTTTTCCCAGCAAAAAAAGGAACACACAAAAACATGGATGAATCTCAAAAAAAGTCAGACCTAAAAAAAGAATACAGATGGTTTGAACTAATCATATAAATTTCTAGAAAATGCAAACTACTCTTAAAAACAGAAAGCAAATCAGTGGCTGCCTGGGGATGGAGAATGGCAGGAAGGAGGGATTACAAAAGTGCAAGAGGAAACTCTTGGGGGTGAAGAACATGTTCATTATGTGAACTGTGGTGGTGAATTTATGAGTGTATACATATGTCAAAATGTATTGAGTTTATGTCTTAAATATGTGCAATTTATTAAATGCTACTTATACCTAAATAAAGGTGTTTTCAAAAATCAGTCTAACTCCAAACCCTAAGCTCCTTCCACTAAACCACTCTGCCTTATGAGCTGACTACTATGAATTTAAGGCGTTTCAATTTGTGCACCCATCAAATATATGTTGACATATTGAGGACCTAATGAAGACCAGGAACTATTCAGGACATGGAAGATACAAACAAATCAGAACCCTGTCCTCTTGGAGCATGCACTCTAGCAAAGGAAGGCCAAACCAAGCAGCTAAAGTAATAAAATATGTTGAGTGCTGCTAAATTTTATGAAGAAAAAGTGGAGTGATAGGAGAGAATACAGCTGTTAGGGAAGACCTCTCTGGCAACCAGATGCTTGAGCACAGGCCTAAGGGAAGTGAAGGAGTGCATCCTTTGGAAACTTAGGAAAAGAACATCCAGGCAGAAGGAAGTGGAAGTGCAAAAGCCCTGAGGAGGGAGCAGCTTGGTTAGAACAGCCTGTGCTCTTACGCCCCCAGCAGCAGGGAGTGTTGGTGGTTGACAGCTCCCGCTCAGTCTCTTGCAGACTTGCCCTTGGCTCATGAGAGCTGCCTGGCTCAAAGTCATACCTGCTCCCTGGGCCACCTACATCCAGTGATTGGTGGATAAAGGAATGTTAGTGCTCCTGGCCCGGATTCAGGACAACTCTGGAGGGGAGATCTGGATGGTACACCATGGTGTCCACCAGGGCAACGGAGGCACCTAGGGTGCAACATTTAAAGAACACCCACTCTCCAGTTCGCTGAAGCCCAGAGTTCCAGAAGGGGGCAGCACAAACCCCTCAAGTGGGTCATTGGGAGTGATGGCAAACAGGACCAGTCATGTTCAGTCACTTGTGTGCACAGAGTAGACAGAGAGTTGTATCTAACTTGGATTGGAGTATTACTAGACAAGGGTGATGGAGACCGCAGTAAGGGAGTTAAGAGTGTTTTCAAGGATGTGATTTATAATATTGTACAGTGGAAACTAAGCTGGGTAAGCAAGGAACTGTGGCTTGTAATACCTCACTGCAATGGAGGCTAAAGGGGCTGCAATGGAATGAAAAGTTGGCAGGAGCAATAGAATGGAGGACCCAAGGGAGTTAAAGAATTGTTGGAGAGGATCTTAGAGAAAGTAAGCAGGAAATATAGGAGTTGGTGATTAGAGAATGGGATGCTTGATTGAAATGGAAACCGTGGAGAAGTGCCAGTTATTGATGATGGCCAGGTCTATGATGTAACCATTGGAACTGGCAGCTGAGGTCAGATGGAGGAAAAAAATCATTGGAGGTCAGGAGGTCAAAAAATTGAGAGGTCTGAGTATTGGAAAGATTGTTCAATGGATATTGGAATCACTAAGAATTATGGCAAGAGTGGTGAAAGAGGTATTGAGCCTCTATTAAACTCTATAATTATTAAAATATTAGGGGAGTATCTATTGGGTATGGATGATATAGACAACTGAGGGACAGTAGATGGTGTAATCTGATGACGTGTTTTATAGGACCTAGGGGATTCAGGAAAGAGAGAAAAACAATGGTCTGGAAGTACAATGATTTTAAAGAAATGAGTTAGGAAAGATAATTATTGTGTTAGCAACCGTCTCTGGCTAATGTCAACTTCTTGGTTGTCAAAATAGGTAATGAGTGTTATCGCTGAACTGTTCCATTGGGAAACAATGCAAATAAAGCGGTTGCTTTTGTAATATGAATTTACTTTAAAGCTTTGAATGACTAAATTTACCAGCTGTCTGAAATTCTCGCTTCAGGAATGAGATTCTGCAAAGCAGTGAATGCATGAATTTTGATACTGAAGGGAATGGAGCTAAGACAACCAAGAGGGGAAATAGCTACAAGAGTAAGTCTATTTACACATTATTAGTGTACTAATAAGGTAATATCAGCAAATTTAAGATTAGTAAATAATGCAAAGGCCAGGAGAGGGACTGAAAATAAAAGATAAAGATAAGAGTCTGGAACGGAAGAGGGAGAAAATGTGAGGATGCTCCACACAAGAATCATCCACTTTCCAGACCACACATGCCTGTGTTGATGCTTCCTGACACCCACCCTCCTTCACTAAGCTCATGCGCACTACTTTAGCTTATGTTACTTGGTGTGCAATTCCAGATCTCAGAACTGTGATTAGTCGGGATTAGGTTTTGCTGAGAGTGGACAGAAAACCTATAACAGTGGCTTAACCAGAAGTTTCTTCCTGATATAAAATAGTAGAGGCAAAGCCTCCAGGAGTGGCGTGGCAATTCTATTCCACGGAGTCTTGAGAGACCCAGGCTCCTTTTTCCTCTTTAGTCTGCCATCCCTAGGAGGAGGCCCTCCTTCTTGGTCCAAGATAAAGTTCCAGCTATCACATTAAAGTTCTAAGCAGCAGAATTCAGTGAGAGGAGATAAAAGAGACTAACGATACATTCCAGTAATCTCTATTGGGGAACAATTGGCAGTCTACCACACAAATGAATGAATAAATAAATGTGATCTGGTGCATAGGTAGATCAGCCAAGGGCAGAATTTAAGACATGTAACGGAAAGATATAGAGAGAGGTGGCCAGGCGCATTGGTTCATGCCCATAATCCCAACACTTTGGGAGGCCAAGGCAGGTGGATCACTTGAGCCTAGGCGTTTGAGAGCAGCCTGGGCAACATGGAGAGACCCCATCTCTACCAAAAATATAAAAAAGTCTCCAGGTGGGGTGGCGTGTGCCTGTAGCCCCAGCTACTCAGCAGGCTGAGGTGGGAGGAGTGCTTGAGCCCAGGGAGGTCAAGGCTGCAGTAAATATGAATATGAAATGAATATGGAGATGAAGTAGGAACTTCAGAAACTAGTAAAGATTTGAAGTGGCCATTGTAGGGGATATCAAAAAGAAATATTTAGGGATATAGAAGGAATGTAGAGTAGGATTAACTCCAGGAAAACATTGGAAACTGCAAGATTTTTAGTGGCCCTAATCCATAATGTAGTCTTCCACCATGCCCTTACATCCCCCTTCTGCCAAAGGCAGACCATTTCCACCAAAAAAAAAAAAAAAAGAGGAATCATATAAAACTTCCTATTTGGGCCCAGCATGGTGTCTCATGCCCATAATCCCAGCATGTTGGGAGGCCAAGGTGGGAGGGTTACTTGAGCCCAAGAGTTCCAGACCAGCCTGGGCAATGCAGTGAGACCCCACCTCTATAAAAAATTAGCCAGGTGTGGTGGTGTGTGCCTATAGTCTCAGCTACTTGGGAGGCTGAGGTAGGAGGATCACTTGAGCTTGGGAGGTTGAGACTACAGTGAGCCACGATCGTGCCACTGTACTCCAGCCTGGGCAACGGAGCAAGACCATGTCTCAAACAAACAAACCCCACTTTTTGTCACAAACACACACCACTTTTTTTCTTCTTCACTCAAATTAAGTAGATGGTATTTTCTTGCTGGTACTAACAAGGATAAACAGATTAAAAACTCAATGTTAGAAAATATCAGGAAGACCCTTACTGATCAGAGATTCCTGGTTATTACAATAAAAGAAACCAGAGTTAGGCTCCTGTATTCCAGGGAAGAGAAACTCAGGCCACCTTAAGAAAAACAGAGAAATTGCAAGGATATCCACTGACCAGACTGGGAAAAAACTAGAAAGCCAGCAGGAAGTGAGGCAGCTTCAGGGTCCGGTGACTCTTTTACATGGTCACTGTTGTAAGACAACTATGCATCTTGTCCACTCTTCTAAGGACTGGCCAATTCTTAGTTTTCTGTTAAAATTCTGAAAGAAGCCTGTCTGATTCACTTACATAATTCTCAACAAACTTCTTGGGCTGAGCCCTTTATACTAGACTACTTCATCAGCCAGCCAAAGGAGGGAGCATCCATATGACTGGCATCATTTTAATACATTGTACCATTCAGGGTCCAGTCCAGAGACAGAAAACACACAGTAATTCCAAGAGGCAAAGTTTGATACAAAGAATTATTAACCAGTAACGGGGTTAACTACTAAAGGTAAAGAGAAGGCTAAAAAAATACAGTAATAGTGGATATAGGGAGCAGCCATTACCTCTAGTGCTGAGGCAGAGGACCCAAGAAAAGAACAAATGTGGGGGACGTGGCTGGGCACAGTGGCTCACATCTGTAATCTCAGCACTTTGGGAGGCCAAGGAGGGAGGATTGCTTGAGGCCAGGAGTTTGAGACCAGCTTGGGAAACACAGTAAGACCCAGTCCCTAGGAAGAAAAATAAAAATCAGCCAGTTGTAGGGGCACCCGCCCATAATAATCCTTCCTAACCACTCAGGAGGCTGAGGCTGGAGGATTGCTTGAGCCCTGGTTGAGTCTGCAGCGAGCTGAGATCGTGCCACTGCACTCCAGCCTGGGTGACAGAGCAAGGCTCTGTCTAAAACAACAATAACAACCAAAACAAAACAAACAAACAAAAAACGAAAACATTAGGAGACGTTCCCTTGCTAGACTGAGATTCAGACCTTGTTGGCGAGGGTGCAGTTGTGGCTTCTCAGCAAATGCTGAGAAGCTGAAGGTTGGAGCTGGAGAGCAGAGGTGTCAACAAAAGTAGCTAGGAGGCCACCCACTGGGGTGCCACTGAGACTTACTGGGAAACCTGTGAGGTCCTGCTGAAACTCCTGGGCAGGTGCCTGCTGGAGCACTAGCAAACTTGCTGGGAAGCGGGCAGGGGACTCGTGGACTTGCGGGGAACTCCCACTTCTCTCAATGAGATGGTACTGAAATTTGCTGGGGGATATATATTGCTGGGTGCTCTACATGCCACTGGCCCCTACACAATGGAGAAGCAAAAAGAAAAAAGAAAACACACCTCTCTGCTGCAGCTCCCTCCAGCATGCTCCACTGACACGCTTAACATTATGCCAGCCGGCAATGGAAAAATGTTTAAAAGGCCCAGCTCCAGAATCACGAAGCAGGGAAATAAAAGGTGGATGTGGAGCTAGAAAATGTATAAATAACTGGCACATCCACAAATCACTGGCTGTCCCTGCACAAGTTTCGGCTAACCCATGGAACACTTCATTCAGGAAATGTTCACCGAACCAGTACCTGGATTGGCTGGATGAGTGTTGCATTTAAGATTTTCCCTCTATTGGTATAGTCGAATATCCAGGACATTGACTTCAAAATTTCTAAATAAGAGGGAAGGAGAAGACAAGAGGTCTTCCCTTGCATTTGCTCAGCAAGCACTGCTTGTTTTCACTTAGATTATATGTTTATTTTGGATGTCAGAGGTTCATAGCTGATGGAATTTGTTGGAGGGCGGGGCAGGGATGTGTGTGACTAATTGCACTGACTCAAGAAACAGAGAAATAATTCAGCTTCAGAATGGCCAGAACAAGAATCAGCCAAGGAAAACCAACTGAAGATTGGTGGACTTTAAGTACCTGCAGATCAGGGAAGCTTATGTGAGGATTTCTTTACAATAAGTAGTTCTTTTTCCAATCCTTGTGGCAAAACCTCAGGGCTTACATGAAATGCTGTAAGGTCAGTTCTCTGTTTATGCAATAGGCTGAAAAAGCACCCCCCACCCCCTAACACACACATCTGGATACATATCTGTGCTACACATTGTGGATCATGATTATGTAAATAGAAATGCTTTGAATATCAATACTCTGAGAAATCAAATAACGGATTTTAAGTCAGCCATGATGCTAACATTTTCCAGTTGTGACAATGGTCCCAATAAATGCCATTTCAGAGGTACTTGCAAAGTACTGTGGGACTTTATAGGGTGGAATGACGGAGGGGAAATTTCAGAGTGACACTACCAAGAAGCGTTTCCTGCCACGTAAAATCATCTCTACTTAAGAGGTCCTATAATTTAGTCATTCAAGGCTGATTTCAGCATTTACGTAATAGAATCAAACTAGGAACAGAATCAACGCCCATCAGTTGGCCAATATCACCTGAGAATTGGTCCACTAGTCAGTGTTTGAGGTTGCACGTTGGCATCAGTTGAAAGATGTACAAACTGCCAGTGGTGGGACCTCATCTCTACTAACCAAAAACTTTATAATAAAGCACAACTTTTAGGGAAGAGAATTAAGTGAATACCATTGTCATTTTTTTCTTCCTCTGCAGCTCTAAGTAAAATAACAAAACAGATACTGCCTTTGCAACTAACTGCCTAAGTACTCTTAGGAACTTAAGTTTCTGGTTTATTAATTCCCAAACACTGTACATCTAAGCATAGTTTTAAAAAAATCAGTTAATGAACAGAACCAAAGTCCTAGGGCAGTTTGTGAGTTCCTTTGAAGTTACACACAAATTTTAAGGTACTTTTTGAGACACAGCCTCCTTCTCTCGCCCAGGCTGGAGTGCAGTGGTGAGATCTCGGCTAACCGCAACTTCCGCCTCCCAGGTTCTAAGCGACTCTGCTGCCTCAGCATCCGGAGTAGCTGGGATTACAGGCGTGCACCACCACACCCGGCGTATTTTGTATTTTGTATTTTGATTTTTTGAGACGGAGTCTTGCTCTGTCAACCAGGCTGGAGTGCAGTGGCGTGATCTCAGCTCACTGCAACCTCTGCCTCCTGGTTTCAAGGGATTCTCCTACCTCAGCCTCCCAAGTAGCTGAGACTACAGGCATACACCACCACACCCGGCTAATTTTTGTATTTTTATTAGAAACGGGGTTTCACTGTGTTAGCCAGGCTGGTCTCGAACTCCTGACCTTGTGATCTGCCCGCCTTGGCCTCCCAAAGTGCTGGGATTACAGGCATGAGCCACCACACCCGGCCCGTATTTTCCACTTTTTAGTAGACATGGGGTTTCAGCATGTTGGCCAGGCTGGTCTCAAACTCCTGACCTCAGGTGACCTACTGGCCTCGGACTCCCAAAGTGCTGGGATTACAGATGTGAGCCACTGCACCTAGTGGGGTACTTTTTTTTAGACAGGATGGTAGCTTTCATCAGATTACTAAAAAGTGGGCCCAGAACTCAAAACAACCATTGCCTTAGAGGAACTGAGGAACTAAATCAGAGTTAGGAGATAAAAACAGGGCAATATTAAAATGAACACTTTATATTAAAAGTTTAAGATTGATGATATACTCGCCCATGTATAGAATTTAATTGCAAATTGAACATTAAAAACAGGCAAAAGATTTTAATACATGGAAAGGTGAAATCATTCCAGTAAGTACAAAAACTGGATGGAGGATGCTTATTAAGCTGTATTAAAAATTTTTTTAAATTATACTTTAAGTTCAGATACATGTGCAGAACGTGCCGGTTTGTTACCTAGATATACATGTACCTTGGTGGTGAGCTGCACCCATCAACCTGTCATCTACATTAGGTATTTCTCCTAATATTATCCCTCCCCTAGTCCCCCACCCCACAACAGGCCCCGGCGTGTGATGTTCGTGTCCAAATGTTCTCATGTTTCAAGAAATGTGAGATGTCTTTCATAGCCACTTGTTTTCCCAGTTTCTTAGGAAGCCACTCTCCAAATAAATCATGCATATATATAGCAATAACTAGCACAATTTACATGTTCTCACACCTACCATAATTTTCCTCAAAAGCAAACATATTTAAAAATCGTAAGAAGGGACTGGAGTGGTGGCTCACACCTGTAATCACAGCGCTTTGGGAGGCTGAGGTGGGTGGATCACTTGAGGCCAGGAGTTCAAGACCAGCCTGGGCAACATGGCGAAATCCCAACCCTACCAAAAATACAAATTAGCCGGGTGTGCTAGCATGCACCTGTGGTCCCAGCTACTTAGGAGGCCAAGTTCGGAGGATCACTTGAGCCAGGGAAGTGGAGGCTGCAGTGAGCAGAGATTGCACCACTGCACTCCAGTCTGGGTGACAGAGCCAGGCCCGTCTCAAAACAAAAACAAACTAAAAACCCACAAGAAATCAAATGTAGTGACGATCATCGAACTGTCAATCGAGGTGATAGTTCTTTCACCTCCATGTGAAGTAATTTAAATTCTTTCCACATTTTACTTAAAATAGTCAGATAAAACATTTCACATGGAACCATATCCAAAGTAGTAGCTCCATAATTTAGGTATGCTAAAAGTAGATTTTCAACACAAGACAAATTTAGTGGCTTTCATATTATACAATAGGTTTTTCTAACTTCTGGGTGTCTATAGCACTAATTCACTTGATGCTCAATTTAAAAGACAAAGGAATTTTCTTAAAAAAGAAAAAAGCATATCATTTTTAGAAGAATTCATTTAATGAGATTTTTCTAAAATGGAGTGGTACATATGTTAAGCCCACATATGGAGGACTCTTGCAAGTGTACTCGTTTGCTCCATTTAACATTTTTGCAAGGTGGCTTCTGAGTGCGCATTAGTTGGCCAGTATAACCAGTGAGATAAAACAAACCTCAATGTGCGTGCCAGGTTCACTACACTGTCAGAATACTGAGTTTTAGCCCTAGCACTGACATCATTACTTTGGGCCTCTATTTTCTTTTCTAAAAAGAATTGGGTGAATTATCTTAAAGAATTTCAAGTCCAAATTTTAAAAAATGCTAACATATTGTCCAAGTAAAAGGTATCCCAATAAACGTCTTTGACATGGAACAAAGTAATCAAATGACACATGTAACAACCACTGACAAAGGGAACTGCCATTATCAAGTATTCTAATAAAGATTATTGATTACCACATGCCCAATCCCAGTCTATGCATTTCTCCAAAATTCACTTGTCATCTGGGCACTAAGACATCCCTGTACACAAAGTGTGACTCTACTGACGTTTCATCAATTTCCACAATATAAATATGCTAAAAAAATTTAACAAATGGGGGAAAAGCCAAGACCCAGGATAAAGGATTTAATCCAGTATTTATTCCACACTCATGATGGTTCTGTAATCAGAATACAAGTTGTAAGAACAATCTATCAAATAATTTGCTGATAGTCTTAAATAATGCAGCACAGCATTACTTTTAATACTCCTCTGTTCTAGATTAAGTTTAAAAACTCAAACAGCAATCTCCATTATCAATAAAAAAAGTTCTGAATTTTAAAAAAAGGACACTATATCAAGCTGTTTCATAATTTAAGGATTTTCCATTTATAAAAATGCTTTGGAAGCTTGAGGCTTGAATCTGTTTCTCTACTCATCTGCCCCACCCTCTCCCCATTACATGTTAGTATAGGGTTCTGCAAGAATGCTAGGCTTTAGACATTAATTTTTTTCTTTAATATAGTACTTTAAAATCTGAGAAAGAATTCAAGAAAAAAAGATTACATGTCATGTATTTTTTCAAATAAAAAAGGAAAACTAAGTGAATAAATTTTAGGCATACTAAGTGTCCCTTTGAGGTAGAATGCTAAAAGGACTTTTGATGAAATCACAGCCTAAAAACCTCTGCATCAGAAACTAACTTCTCAT
Organism: Homo sapiens; assembly: GCF_000001405.40. Taxonomy (NCBI): domain Eukaryota; kingdom Metazoa; phylum Chordata; class Mammalia; order Primates; family Hominidae; genus Homo; species Homo sapiens. The sequence goes on along the minus strand of NC_000001.11, from coordinate 108,700,613 downwards.
AAATTCTCTCTAAAGGTAACTGTGGAGAATATTAAGTGTAACATATTAACAAGAGCCTTCCAAGATAATATACAGTAGACAAGAATGTTAATCCTACAATGCTGCCTTCTTGTACATTGGCAGCACATACTTCTCCTATAATAGACATCCAAGATCCATTCTCAAAGTCTTTAGCATTCTATTACGAAAAGCACAGCCATGCTAACTTCAGTACACAAACCATAATCCCACACCTACAAAACAAAAATAGATTAGTGGCAGTTTATTGCCTTATACAAATTTAACCAACATGGCAACCATGCCAAAGGAATTAAAACATTTTCAGGACATATGTACAGACTGTACATTTCAAAAACAAACAATAAAAATGCAAGAACAATCTGTGCATCATGTATCAAACTTAACAATTGGGTGAAAACACCAATGCAATAAATGGAATTACAAAGGCACTTCCCTACACGAAAGAGGAAATGAAAATGCAGCCTACAGGGAGAGCTTGAGGAGTGCGAACTACTGCACAATCTCAACGTGGGGGAAAAAAGCAGATTTAATCATTTATAGGATTCAATGTGATCCACTTTTACAAAATATTTTCACACAGTCTCATCTTTGTTTTTATGCTGTTTTTCTTGGCTCTCTTGTTCTATACTTTGGCTCCTTCGACGATCATGTTTGTCTGACTGGTCCTTACTATCACTGTGATCTCGTTTGTGGGAACGTTCTTTGCTTCTACTACGCTTTCTAGATTTTTCTTTGCTGGGACTATGTTCCCGTTTTTTTGATTTTTCAACACTGTCAGTTCTTCCTTGACTGCCACTTCGACTTCGTTTATTTGATTTTTCTTTACTTTCATTTTTATGTTTACTTGATTTCTCTTTGCTTCTACTTCTACTTCGTTTCCCTGCATTTCTACTTCGACTCCTACTTCTGTGTTTCCTTTCTCTGCTTCTGCTTCTACTGTGTTTTTTCTCTTTCTTGGAATCTCTTTTGTCATCTCTGTGCCGCCTATCATCTTTGTCTTCTTTATGTTTCTTCTCTTCTACCTCTCCCCTACTTCTCTGTTCCTTGGACCTTTCTCTTGATCGCTCTCTCTCTTTTTCTCGTTCATTTCCTCTTTCCTTATCATAGTCACGATCTCGTCTTCTACCTCTCTCATTTTCTTTCTCTCTTTCTCGATCCCTGTCCCTTCTATCCCCTTTCCTATCACGACTTCGACTGCGACTTCTATGCCTTTCCCTACTTCTGCTGCGCCTGCGTTCTAACCCCCGGTCAATACTTCGGGATCTTCGCCGTTCTTTCTCCCTTTCTTTGGCTTCACGCTCTAGTCGCTGGCGTTCTTTCTCTCTTTCTAATTCTCTGTCAAAACTAGAAGACCCATGGCCCTCCCGATGATGACTTCTACTTCTTGACCTTCTTGGGGACCTCCGTGGACTCAGAGATCTCCTTGGAGACCTAAGGAAGGCGGAGGGAGAAAGAAAATTTCAATGAATAAAACATATGCAATTCTTTTCACAGTAAAACTTTCAACAGCATTATTTATTCATGTCCTCAAGCTTAAGGCCATGTCAAGAATCATTAAAGCAAAAAATTTTATTGTTCTCATTTACAGATGCATAATTTTATAGAAAAAGCCCTGAAAGGAAGAAAATAATCTTTGGGGGGTAAAAGTGACAAACTAATAAAATGAACAGTAAAAACAAATTCCTAAGAACTTGCTATTTCTCAGAACCATTAATTTTGTATAAAGCATATATGAAAAATAAGCATAATTCAAGAGTGACATTACCTTGAACGTCTGCGTTCAACATGTCTGTCTATTTCCTCAGCACCTTCCTTCCCATCTTTCTTGATTTTTCTAGGTCGGGTTTTAATCTGTTGATCAATATTCTTTTGAACTGGAACTGGAATTCTTGGAAACAAGGTAGAAAACCACTCCAGTTTTGTGAGAAAAGATCGTAGCATTTCTCCAATGGTCATTACACAGCCTCCACCAGCCTTCACATCTAGGTCCTACAGAAACACAAAAGATACCCTAGCCGTCAAAAAAAGTATTTCCATATATACATGAATATTATAAAAATATTACCATCTTTGGAATCTCAATACAAAAAAAACTAACAGAAAAATTTTATTTTCATATCCTGATCTGACAATGAATGAACAGAAATATTTGGGCTTAGTGTGTGCATGCAAGTGAGAACAAACCCTGCAGCCTCACAGGCATAAAGGGAACTGATCTCACTCAGTTAACAATATGAAAAAGCCCCTTACATTTCTAAACTATGCGGAACGATTGACTTAAATTTACATTCCACATACCTACTATGTATTTATTTCTGTGGACATATTTGCACACATCATATACCTTGCACCATAACCTAGCTACATATGATCTACTTTAGATAATTCCTGTCTAAAGGTTATCTTTTAACAGCTCTAATATAAAATGAAGCCCTAATAAAACTGGAAGCAATAGCAAACCAACTGCCATGAAGCAGTGAGGTTTCTAATTTAGTTATGTAGAAAATAAATAAATGAACAAATAATTGGAAACGCATAATCCATGATGACCATTGTCTCTGAAAAGGGTCATTACCGCATGAAGGCCTTCTTGCTATGCCCTCTCACAGCTCAGGACATGTTAGTCAGCTATTGTCAGTCCCAAACCTATAGTGCAAGCACACAAGGAAAGTGAGATTTGTTATCTAAACAGGAAAACAAGAGCTAAAGGTAAAACTGCTTGCACTCACACACATTTAAGTGTTCAGATATACAGTATTTCCAAATATAATCGCTGCAGATATCTAAGGAAGAAAACAATAAGTTAGCTTAAATAGAGGACCTCAGATTTGTAAACACAATAAAAAACATAAAATAGAGGCATCCAGAAACAAAACCAATACAACACCAATTATGAAGAGGAACATGCTTTTTTAAAGACAGAAGGGAGAAGCACTTCAGTCTGAAAAACTGATCTAAAGATAAAAAGACCTTAAAGATTGTGATTTAAAACACGTTTTGCTTCTTCTGAGTGAAGTAACTCAGTTAACAGGCAAAAAAAAAAAAAAAAAAAAAGAGAAAAATAAAAATTCTCCATGTCTAAATGAGATTTTTTTTTTTTTTAGGTGTGCATGTAATAACAAAACACAATAGATTTCCATTAGAACCATCCTTTAATTCAATAAATTCTTTGGATGAACTCTGTAAATAGACTACTGACACATAGCACTCAAAAAGTCTTATGAACCTTAAAACACAAAGTAGTAGACTGGGTAGACATAGGGACAATACAGCTCATCATTTCATTTTTGACATGTTGGACTTCACCATGCAAGTAAATTAATGCATATATGATATTTTGTTTTGTTTTGAGAAAGGGTCTTACTGTGTTACCCAGGCTGGAATGCAGTGGCAATGATCTTGGCTCACAGCAAATTCTGTCTCCTGGGCTCAAGTGATCCTCCCACCCCAGCCTCCCAAGTAGGTGGGACTAAGATGCATACCTCTATGCTCAGCTAATTTTTAAACTTTTTTTTGTAGAGATGAGGTCTCACTATATTGCTCAGGCTGGTCTTGAACTCTCGAAGTGTTGGGATTACAATGTGAGCCACCACGCCCAGCCAATGCATACACGATTTAAATCTAACTTAGTATTTCAGATTTCAAATTAGGGAGACTCGAATTACAATTTAAAAAATTTCTTTTTTAAAGGTGTGTGTGGTGTACTAGGAGTCAGAAAACTGGAATTAAAATTTTGTCACCTTGAACAAGTCATCCAAACACTTAGCCTATTTATGTAACACCCAACTCTTCAATTCTGCACTTCTATGCAAGTGGGAATACTGATATTTGGAAGAAGCTAGAGGGTGAAGAACTGAAATGTTCCAGAAGAAAAAAAAGCTACAATTAGTATTCTATGTGCATATCTTTTATTATCTGTTCGATCTTGAGCATGCCCCATCTTGAAAAGTCACTATTAACTATACAATTCAGGATCAATACAATACACAGAACATAATTAAGAAGAGAAAATTTTCCAATAGTTACCAAACACATTTAAACAATTTTAAAACAAGAAAATAAAACTTCAGAAATTTACCCTAAAATACATAAAAGCCATCAGGTCTCAGTAAAAGGACATTAATTCCAAAAGTATCTCACTGAAATAAATTTAACTACAGGAAGTTCTTGAAGACATTAAACCACCAATAAATAAAAGATAATAAAAATATGAGAGTAATCAGAAGAAAACAAATTATTACCCTTGTTGACATACCTCTTCATCATCAAGGAAGGATTCAAACCAGTCCCACAGATCTGTAGGGGGCTGTGTATATCTAGAATTACAAAAGACTATTATTAAACACATGTGAATTAAAATGAGATATTTACTGGAAATGTACATAAATGTACGCTCACCTTATATACATAAATCCAAGCGCTCTAATATATGGAGAGTCTGTGTGTGTTATAAGACCCATCACTTGCTTTCGAGTTAACTTCAGGGTAAATAATTTGTATAACAGGCAAAATGCTGTAGAAACAATTCCTCCTGTTCCAACACCTCGAACCTTTAGGGGAAACGAGTTAAGAAAAAGTAGTAAAATAATTAACGGACTCTTAACACCAATTGATTAATCCTGTTAGGTATCAATAACAATCCATAATCCAGAACTAAGGAGCATTAAAAAGTAACACTTTTCTAACCCTATTTCACTGAACACTTGAATTTGGATTAAAAAAATTGTCACTCAAGTGTATAATTGACAGGCCTCTAGTTCTCTAAATATAAACTTAGTTATTAGACACAGAAAAACTGAAAAATGCACGTACTTCTACTTACCCCTCCGCACATCCCTGTCTGGCCCGCTGTTTTCCTGCTTCCTTTCTCCCATGGTTCAACGTGCGTGACCTGAAAATAGAAAAGAGGAACACAACAAACATTCATACTTTGAATTTGTTTAAAAGCCTGATAAAAGTAAACCCAAGTCCATAATAGAGCAGCTCTTCCAAAATTATTTTGGCATTAAGTATATGTTTACTGATATTAAGTGTGTAAATCATTTTTGGAAAAACTGCTTAGACATTTAGACAGCACCCATAAAGCTACTAGGGTTTAACAAAACCTTAATAGCTTTGCAGAGGAGAAATCCCACTCAACTAGCTTTATAAAGAGCTGATATCTACATCTGGGAGTCAGAAAATTTCTATAGTCTCACTTGGTTGCAAAAACTATTTGGTAATATTTTAACTTTGATAATATTTGACAATTTAACTTATGGGTTGCTTAACATTTTCCTTTAAAAATGGATTTAAGTCTCCAATTTAAAGCAAAAAGTATTAACGTTAAGCATTAATTTAAAAACTTCAAAACACCTTCAATAGTTCAATTTTATTGTAATTTAAAATCTACATTATAAAATTAAGGAAAATTACTTGAAGAAAATTTTCTAAAACAGTAACGAGTTACTTGTGATGCAAAATTATGGAACTTTTTATTTGTACATTTTTTCCACCAGGGTCAGGTTTATTCCTGATTAAAGATAAAATTACAAAGGCCACACTTACAGAGATCATTGTTGTAATTAAGCTTCAGCCTAATTATGTGTGAACCAATCCAATTATTCCCCAGAATATAAATTGTGTCAAAAACTGAGTGTGAATAGTCACTGGCATATACTAAGTATCATCAAAGATGATACAGTATCATATTTGCTAAGAGGAACATCTTACAAAAACTAGTCCTTATCTAAAAATAGCAACAACAACAGCAACAACAACAAAAGAATATTAACTCTAAAATAGAATCCAAAAAGGTCTTTTGGGAAGACCCATCTTTGTTTTTTTTTAAAAACATAAAAAAAAATCCTGTTTTTTCACTGCATATTTCTAAAATTCTATTTCCACCCACATGGTAAATTTTGTAGTCCTGAACAATGGCTTTAGATAGAAAAGCGTGCATGTAAGTTTAAGCACTACACTATTTTGCAGTGCTTTAACGTTTCCTTTCTTCCCCACAGATTGCCATGTAAAAGATGTTTCAATTCCTTAAAAGCTAGCCAAAGGCAGGGCTGGATGCATACAAAATAAAATTACAAAGTTGGAAACTTATAAATTTCAGTGAGTATTTGATCTGAAAGTCTTAAGTCTTCTTAATATTAGTAAAAAAACTGGGTCTTTAGTTTTTTAACGGAATTTAAAAACAATTCCTGGTAGAATCTTGTTTCAAAACACATTTGAAACTTAAAAACGAGACTTTCCTCTATTACATTAACATTTTGCCTATGTTAGAAAACAGAACCTGCCGCAGAAAGAGCAGGAACCCAATTTTCAACTGTTTAAAGTTTACTGCATAAATAAAGCTAAGGATTAAATGTTATTCACCATACTGTATCCATGCTAAAAAGGTCTTACCTTTTAAAAGCTAAAAAAACTAATTCATAGAATTACAATCAGACCTACTCTCGTAAGAGGATTCCAAATTTATTTGTGTACTTTATCAACCCAAAGTTGAACTGTATTCAAGAGATGTTTTCTATAAAAAGCAACTAATCTCTCAAAATCCTTCAATAACCTAATTACTCAACTGGGGGAAAAGGTGGGCAAGACAAAAGAGAATGTCCTTTTGTTACCATCTCTACACATACGTTCAAATGATAGAAAACACTTTGTGCGGTCTGTCAAGTTTTTAAGAGTGAATATAGACAAAAATGGATTGTGTATTAGATGCTCCGGATAAAATTTTTAAAGACCACTAAGGCTATTATTAATATTCTTTAAAATAGAAATTAACTTTCGGAGGCCTGGAAGGTATTTTTTATACTACATAATTTGCAGGGAAGTGGAAAAAGCCTACCTAATTGGTGAAGGACCAAAAGCAATGGCCAAAAAAACCCACAAAAATCTAATTAGTCGTTCATTTAACCAGGGAAATGCATTTATGGCGATTGAGCATGATTAATAGTGCATACCTCTACCTGCGACCCTGGGCTGCTCCGAGCCTCGCTGCAAGACTGAGTCAATCCTGCTAACGAAACAAGAACTGAGACAAGAGTGCAGTGAGGAGGCGCCAGGTGAGCTCCCCAGCACAGCCAAGCCAGCACCGACCCTGCCGCAGAAGCCCAGGGCCCAGATAATTCTAAATTAGCCCAATGCACAGGTGGCTGAGACCTCTTACTCCTGACTTCCTGCTGGGAAAATTTCCAGGCCTTCTGTACACCTCTTGAAATGGCACCTCTCCACCCTCATCCCCCCACCCCACCCGACACACACGCACTGACCATTTCCCTGCCTGGATCGGATAGTGAGTACCAACAACACGAGGCCAATACTGAAGTCATTACACGCCCTGGCCAGGGGTGAGCGGGAGAAGCACCAACAAGTTGGCGCTCAGCAGATCCACGTCAAAAGGAATAATTTTAAAGCTGTAAACTGGAAAGGCTTCTGTTACTCTTTCCTCCTCTCCCCCATCCCTCTTGCCCAACTCCCCCCAGGGGTGGGCAGGAGGTTGGGGGAGGAGAGAGATCAATAGTGGCGGGCTCTCCCGGCCCTAAAAATCTAAAATGGAAACGAGAGGGCGGCCCCAGTCCGACCCCTCCCAGACACACTACAGGCCGCAGCCACCCCTCCGCCGAACCACCTTCCCCCACCCACAAATCTTCAGATTTCGGGGGCCGCCTTCGCCCGTTTCCTCCATACCCCCTCTTCCGAACTTACCCCCAAAGCCAAGGCCTACACACTTCGTACCTTAAAGTAGATCTCGTCCACCACCTCGTGGTAGGTCTTGAGCTCGTAGAGCTGTACTTTGAAGTAAGGCGACGACAGGATGTTGGTCAGGATCATGGGGTTGAGGTTCATGGTCTTCTCGTTGCCCCAGAGCGGGAGCACATTGCCCTGCTTGCCGGAGACCGCCGGCTTGGTAGCGCCGCCGCCGCCGCACTGCTGCTGTTGCTGAGCCGCAGCTGCAGCCGCCTGGTGCTGCGGCTGCGAGTTGCCTGTCAGCGCGGGGCTGTTGTTAGCCATGTTGCGGCGGAAGGAAGGAGGGAGGGAAGGAGGGGGGGGAGGGGGCCAAGCTCGATCTCGCTCTTCGGGACAACGGTCTGGGACCCTACTCCATCGAACGTCGTCGGGAGAAGGGGCCGCCTCGCTGTGCCCCAGCTGGGCAAGAGAGGGCACCCGACGCCGACAAAATGACCCCGGGCCAAGAGCAGACAGCGAAACCCAGACCGCGAGAACTCCACGCAGAAGGCGAGCCGGCAGCCAGGGAGCTCGATCTCTTCCGCCAACTGCCCCTGGGAACAAGATGGCGGGCCCGGCGGATATGACGCCACGCACCCCAGCGTTCCAAGCTGAGCTGGCGGCCAATCAGAGACGCTCAGTTGGGCTGGAGCGTCCTCTTCCTAGGTCCCCGCGTTCTCTGCACGCTGAAGTCGCTGCAGTGACCTCCGTACCTGACTCTTAGGGGATTTCTCCTGAGAATTTGGGGGCCGGGGGAGAGGGTTGTAGGCCTAATCCGTTGTTGTTGTATTTTGACTGGGGGCTTGATTTCTTTTGTCGGGAGCTGAGCCAGGAAGGGTTCGCATGGCTGCGGTGTGCTTGCTAATATCGTCACTCTGACTTCTGCAGAGTATCCGAGAGGGGTCTCCTGGGATCTCAGTTTTAAGGTTCTCTGGAAGGTACAATGGTCAGGGACCCCACTCCTCCAGGAGATTCTGATCAAAGGTCACGTACTTCGCCAGCCTCTAGTGTCCAGCCAGAAGTCTTAAATTTATTCATCCGTAAGATTGAGATAACATCTGGCTGGGCTGTTGTGAGCATTGAAAGAGCTAATGTACTTGTAGTGCCTAGTAGACTGTTCCAGGCATCTGGTAGGCGCCTTTTCTTTTTCTCCCTGCTCCAGATCTTTGGATTCTAGGAATGTATCCGGAGTGATAAACATTGGGCGAGATACTGTATATTGGGAGTGGGTGTGTGAATGTGTGGGGAGTTTGAATGTGGCAATCTTGACTTCAGTGGCGCATACACAGGAGGAGAAAAGGATAAGATGGAAACTTTGGGGAAAATCCACATCTGGATGAAAATAAACCAGAAGAGGAGAGAGAGAGAGCGAAGACCAGCAGAAAAGTATTTAAACCAAGAGACAGTTGTTTGACAGAATACAAGGAAATAGAAAAGATAAGTGAATGGAGTGATTGATTAGTGTTTGGAGCTGTACGGTACGAAAGTGGATATCCTGTCTGGTTCCTTTGTTTTAGGTTGCAAGAGAACTAGAACCCTGAGAGGAGAAGCAGTTTTCACCTTCTTACTAGCAAATCTTGTTTTTCTCTATAGTGGTTTTTATTAACTTCCAAAGGAAAACTGAAGATCCTAACCCCTGTGTCATGAGTTATCACGTTAAAAGTCCATAGAAAAAATTTTTTTTAACCCAGTTCTTTTTGTGTATATATTTTTTGCCTTGATAATACTAGTTTATTGAGTTTGCCGAGTGACACATTGCCAAATCTTATGCCCTATTTTTAATTCCTCAGATACATGATCTTTCTGTATAGTCTTAGACAGTCTTTACCCCTAGTCTGTTTGGATGAAGAGCTTGGTAGAGAGGTTGAGTTTGATATCTAAGTGTCAGCGGCATCAAACTCGGAGCCAGGTATTATGATAAAGTGCTTTAACATATTCAGTGAATCCCTACAACAGGCTGAAGATGTTATTTTTATCCCCATTTTTTAGAAAACTTTATTCAGTTATAATTGAAGACCTCTACGCTGCACATATATAAAGCCGTAAGTTTGGTTTGATCAGTTTTGACATATATGTATACCCATTAAACCACTACTACAATAAACATAATCTTCTGTCAATCCCAAAAGTTTTCTTGTGCCCTTTGTAATCCATCTCTCTTTCCAACCTCATACCGAAGCAACCACTTTCTGTCAGTAGAGACTAGTTTGCATTTTCTTGAATCTTAAATAAATGAAATCATTATCCCCACACAGTGTTCTCTTTTTTTTTGCCTCCTTATTGCATGTATCAGCAGGTTGTGTTTTGTTTTAATTACTGATTAGTATTCAGTTGTATGGATTTATCACTATTTTGTTTATCTAATCATTGATGGGAACAGCATTTTTATTTGTAATAGCCCCAAATTAGAAACAACACAAATTGTTGTTGAAAATGCTGTGAACATTTGTGACTAGACTGTCTGGATTTTTTTTTTTTTTTTTTGAGACAGAGTCCCACTCTCTGGCCCAGGCTGGAGAGCCCTCTTTCAGCAGGAAGTAGCCAGATAGACTTGACATCCCTCTTCACTATGCTATTTTCTCTTTCTTGAGACCATGATATGCAACAGGCTGACTTGAGCATGGGGGAATATAAAGGGTCCAAGATTTGACCAAGTTATTTGTCAGGGGAAAATGACCAGAGCAAAATTACCTGGTGACCATCCAGCAGGCCCTGGAGACAAAAACTTCTTATCTGAGGAATTCAGAAGTAATTAGACTTTCCTGTTATGTAACACAGGCATCTGGTTCCAGTTTTTTTTCCCCAAAATTTATAAGTAACTAGAATTTCTATACATCTCTTGAATGCATGCATATCAAAACTCATTGTGTGACCCTTGCTGACATTAAGGCACCAGAATGTCTACAAATGTAATCACTTATCATGACCTACATGGCTAATATGGTCCAAATTGCCCGTAAGCTCCCTCTTTGAGGTCCATAAATATCCCTAAGGAAAAATTCACTGGCACACTCAGTCCTCTCTTTCTGAGGCGCCCCGCTGCACTCTTTTGCAGCATTCTATTTAATAGAAGTTTCCTTTTTAAACCTATACTGTTGTCTGTAAATTCTTACCAACCCGTGAGTTGACCACTTTCTAGTGCTAGGGCTCTGACACCTCACCCAGCACTTATGAAATAGCCAAACTGTTTGCTGAGATGGTTGTACATTTTTCATTCCCACCAGCAGTGTATGACAGTTCCAGTTGCTCCATAACCTCACCAACACTTAGTTTTAGCTATTCTGGCTGGGAGCAGTGGCTCACACCTGTAATCCCAGTGCTTTGGGAGGCTGAGGAGGGAGGATCCCTTGAAGCCAGGAATTTGAGACCACCCGGACCAATGTAGTAATACCCATCTACAAAAAAATAAAAATCTAGCCAGGTGTAGTGGTGCTTGCCTGTAGATCCAGCTACTCAGGGGCGCAAGAGGGAGGATCACTAGAGCCCAGGGGTTTGAGACTGCAGTTAGCCATGATCCCAACACTGCACTCCGGTCTGGGTGACAGAGAAATCTTGTCTCTAAAAAGGAAAACAGAACATTTTTTTTTAGCCATTGTAATGGGTATAAGGTGGTATCTCATTGTGACTTTAATTTACATTTCTCTTACCACTAATGATGTTGAACATTTTTTCAGGTGCTTATTGTCATTTATATATTTTCTGCTGTGAAGTAACTTCAAATAATTTGCCAATTTTGTTATTTTGTTTGTCTTATTGTTGAGTGGCAAGGACTGGTTACATGATCTGTATGTAAGTCTTTTGTGTATATATGTGTTTCAAGTATTTTTACACAGTCTTTGGCTTGCTATTGAATTATCTTATTTTTCTTTTTTTGGAGACAGAGTCTCTTTCTGTCACCCTGGCTGGAGAGCAGTGGTGTGATCATAACTCACTGTAACCTCAAACTCCTGGGCTCACACAATCCTCCTGCCTCAGCCTCCCGAGTAACTAGGAGTACAGGCATGTGCCACCATACCCAGCTAATTATATATTTTTTGGTAGAGACAGGATCTCACTATGTTGCCCAGGCTGGTCTCAAACTCCTGGTCTCAAGCAATCCTCCCTTCTCAGCTTCCCCAAATGCTGGGATTACAAGTGTGAGCCCCTGTGCTGGGTTGCCTTTTCATTTTCTTAATGATGTCCTTCAAAGAGCAGTTTTTTTTTTTAATCAGGTTCAATTTATCCATTTTTTGTTTTGTTTATGTGATTCCTGCTTTTTGTGTTCTGAGAACTACCAATCTCAACCACACAGGAGAGTGTAATATTCTCCTATGTTTTCTAAAAAGGTATAGTTTGGATTTTTACATCTAGGTCTCAGATCCAGTTTGAATTAATTTTTGCTTATGGTGTGAGGTAGGGTTGATGTTCATTTTTTCCCCCCACAGGTCCTGAGTTGATCCAGCACAATTTGTTGAAAAGACCTTCCTTTCCGTTTGGAATTGCTTTAACACTTTGTCAAAAATCAATCAACCCTACCATGTGTGGGTCTACTTCTGGCTGTGTTCTATCGATCTTTGTGTTTATCTTTTCACTGATACAAAACTATCTTAACTACTATCACTTACAGTAAGTTTTGGAATCAGGTAGAGTAAGTATTCCAACTTGATTCTTCCTTTTAAAAGTCTCTTTGGTTACTCTAGGTCCTTTATATTTCCATCAATTAAAAAAAAAAGCCTGGCATATTGATATGTATTGGTGCTCAGTGAACATGTATCATTCTTGAATAAATGATTAAAATGATGACCATGTGTAACTAAAATAACAGAAACTGAACATTTCATCGTTCAGAACAACACAAATCTAGAGTAACATAAGAAGCCATTGACTAAAGTACGCAAGAACTAAAAATCTGAAGCAATTGGTGGTTTGTGTTGAAGAATCAAGGGTGTTGGACAAAACTACCCATCTCCTTGGTTATTACTTCAAAACACTGAATCAGATGAGTTATGAATTGAGAGTTAAGAATTACTTGGAGTTAACTAGGTGAATAAAGGGGAACAGATATTCTAGGTAGGGCAAACCTGTGCAAAGTCTCTGAGGCACGAAAGAACAGATGATGTGTTTGGAATGGGTTGTCACTATTAAGGCACTTGGCTATTTTTTCAGGGACAAATTAAAAACCAGTGGTGGCCTGGCATGGTGGCTCATGCCTGTAATCCCAGCACTTTGGGAGGCCAAGGCCGGTGGATCACTTGAGGTCAGGAGTTCGAGACCAGCCTGGCCAACATGGTGAAACCCCTTTTCTACCAAAAAAAAAAAAAAAAAAAAAAACCCAAAAATTAGCCGGGTGTGGTGGCTCATGCCTGTAATCCCAGCTTCTTGGGAGGCTGAGTCATGAGAATTTCTTGAACCTGGAAGGCATAGGTTGCAGTGAGCCCAAATCGTGCCACTACACTCCAGCCTGGGCAACAGAGTGAGACTCTGTCTCAAAAAAAATAAAAATAAAAACTAGTGGTTCATACAAATGCATACTTGCTGAAGAATGGGGCTGAATATCTGCTTGTCATCTCCGGCCACCAGAGGAAGGGTCTATGCCTTTCATCTAATCATTCCAGGCCCCAGGCACACAGTGATTGACATATAGTAGGTACTAAGTAAATATTTATTTATTGAGATAACAAATAAATGAAAGAATTATTGGTTCTACGTGGCTGGAAAGTAAGACTGATCCAAAGCCTTTAATGAATGTGAGAACAGTCCAGGAAGTCAGTTAAAGCCATGTCAGGGGAAAGAAGATATACGTCTCACAGATGCAGCAGTTTTATTCAAGGGAGGAATATTACAATGTAAGATAACATAAGAATGAACCTGAATTATTTAAATTATGGTCATTTGATTATGGCATGGGGTTATATATTTTAGAAAACTTTACATGAAAATTATTGAAGTTATTTAAATTCACCTTGAAAATGTTATAGAAGTCTTATTTTAAAAAATCTAACAGTTAACTTTAATTCCCATGAGGAATCTAAATTCTGATACAGTGTTTGCCAGGGACATTTTTGTGTGGCTGCCAACTATGTAGCATGGCCAGGGTTACAGATGGAAGTGATCTGCTCAGCAGATGGGTCATAAATTTGTTGATACTGGATTCATTTTAAGCTGCTGATAAGAAATATTCAGAGGTTATATCTCAAACCTTTGGAAAAATTACACAAGAGGGGATAACTGTCACTATCTTTTTTTTGAGATGGAGTCTTACTCTCTGTTACCCAGGCTGGAGAGCAGTGGTGGGATCTTGGCTCACTGCAACCTCCACTTCCTGGGTTCAAGTGATTCTCCTGCCTCAGCCTCCCGAGTAGCTGGGACTACAGGTGCCTGTCACCAGGCCCAGATAGTTTTTGTATTTATAGTAGGGATGGGATTTTGGTATGTTGGCCAGGCTGGTCTTGAACTTATGGCCTCAAGTGACCCTCCTGCCTCAGCCTCCCAAAGTGCTGGGATTAGAGGTTTGAGCTACCGCACCTAGCCCTTTTTTTTTTTTTTCTTTTTGAGACAGAGTCTCGCTCTCGTCACCCAGGCTGGAGTGCAGTGGTGCGATCTCGGCTCACTGCAACCTCCGCCTCTCGGGTTCAAGCGATTCTTCTGCCTCAGCCCCCCGAGTAGCTGGGATTACAGGCCTCCACCACCAAGCCTGGCTAATTTTTTTGTATTTTTAGTAGAGATGGGATTTCACCATGTTGGCCAGGCTGGTCTCGAACTCCTGACCTCAGGAGATCTATCCACCTCGGCCTCCCAAAGTGCTGGGATTACAGGCGTGAGCCACTGCACCTGGCCCAGCCTATCTTTTACAAGACAAGTCTTTGTATGTCTGATCAGAGACAGAGTACTGGACTGAATGAGTGATTGTCACACCTGGGCCCAAATGAGATTAGGTAATGGATTCCAAACCTTTTTTTATCCTTTTGTTAATTGCTTTTGCTGCAAAATGAAGTCAGGATTGAAGAGTTCTGACTGGTCCCTTCTTTATTTGGCCTTTGTAAACCCATTGCTCCTTGTAAGTGAAATTGTCTCATTCACAGTGCTATTGACAGGGCAAACTTATGTGGCCATGATTTATACCAAGCAACCCTGGCTCTCTCACCACAGCCAGTTGGACCACCTGTGGCACTAATCTACATGCTAGCCAGGCACCTGTTATATAGCTCCCTTGTGAATTGATCTAGGGTTTCCAGATCCTGGTAGGAATTTGAATGGGGAACAGAATCAAGCAGTTAGCAGTAGGCACTAAAAGAAAGAATGGAATGAGATAGGGAAGGAAACATTCAGGTTCATACCCAGGTTCTGAGTAAACAAAATAAGCAGGCGCTATGAAGTGGAGAAAAGATTAAGTTCTCAAGTCAGTATACTATGAAAATGTAGCATAATCAATATTACCCTTTAAAAATTTCTTAAATAACTTACAAGTAGTACAATAACATAGTTTTGTGAGGTTCTCCTGTATACATGGACATTCGGATTGTTTTAAGGGATTCACTTTTTCACTTTCCAGGTCCTCAACTTCTATGCTATATTTGTATCTAAAAGTGATGATGTAATATGGGTTCTCTTTTCCTGCCTCCTCCTCTTCCATGCTGCAAAAGAAAGGTACACATCTAACTCATCCAGATCTTACAATAGTGCGTTGTCCTGAGGTATAAAAACCTCAAGGTACCAAAGTGCCATTTTAAAAAAATGGTGTTGGAAAGACCAGGTAAAATTTCCTTTTGCAAGTCTGGTGGTTTCCAGTGTGCTGCTTTCAACAAAATAGGTGAAGGACCTAACCAAATTGTCCACTGAGAAATCATTAAACATATATATATATATTTTTGAGACAGGGTCTTGCCCAGGCTGGAGTGCAGCAGCTTCCGCTTTCTGGGCTCGAACTATCCTCCCACCTCAGCCTCCCAAGTAGCTGGGACTACAGGCATGTGCTATCATGCCCAGCTAATTATTTTTGTTTTTTTGTAAAGATGGGGGTCTTGCCATGTTGCCTAGGCCAGTGTTGAACACCTGGGCTTAAGTGATCTTCCCACTTTGGCTTCCCAAAGTGCTGGGATTACAGATGTGAGTCACTGCACCTGGTCATTCACCATAATTTTAGATGAAAGCTCACGAAGTCATTTTAGCATGTAACTTGGAACTTTTTCAAAGAATTGTCACACTGCTATAACAAAACTTTGAGACCCATTTACTCATTTACATAAATGAGGTTTCTCAACACATCTAATAAAAAAATAGGGATAGTATTGATGCTAAACTGTCTCATTTTTTGAATCAGTAATATTCATAAACAGCTATATGAATTGCTAAAAAGACATATCATCTCATCAAAAGACATAGTTACAATAAAATGCTACTTTTTGTGTTTAGTAATTACTTATCAATATTTATATCTATGTTATTTTGATATCAGTTATGTCCTAATAGTAACTGTTTAAACAGTCAAACAGAAGAAAAAAATTTCAGAACTTAACAGCCGTATTGGAAATGAAACATTTTTAAAACATAGGCAGTTTTATATAATAATGTGACCAATAGGAGATGTCTGAACATAAAAATATTTGTCACTAGGATAAAATTTTATCCACTCCATATCCAGATAGGGACTTTCTTGTTAGCAGATACCATTAGTTTGCCAGGTCTGTAATTACCATATTTATAAGAATCATATGTTTGCTTGCTTTCCTGGGAATATTGCTCTATAAAGGGAGAAGATGGATTATAGGTCTTCTACTTAACTCCTTCCTTCCCACTCACTGATAGATGAAAAATGGTATTTCATTGTTTATTTTAATTTACATTTTGAGTGACATTGAATATTTGTTCACATGCTTATAATTGATTTGCACTTCTTTTTCTGCCTTATAGAAATAGCAACAAAATATTGAAAACCTGCAAAGTAGATGAGTCAAGTGGTCGTTACCTGAGCAGACTTGAGAAATAGGGATCTTAGCAGGCTTTGGAGCAATCTGATTTACACAGCTAAACCCTGCATAAGGCTCAGGAATTGGGAGCACCAGCTAATCCTAGAAGACAGCATGATGGGCTAAAAATATAAGGAATGGTAGAAAGTCTGCTATAAGAATCAGTGAGATGCGGCTGGGCATGGTGGCTCACGCCTGTAATCCCACCACTTTGGGAGGCCAAGGCGGGCAGATCACGAGGAGGTCAGGAGTTCGAGACCAGCCTGGCCAATATGGTGAAACCCTGTCTGTACTAAAAATACAAAAATTAGCTGGGCATGGTGGCATGTGCCTGTAGTCCCAGCTACTCAGGAGGCTGAGGCAGGAGAATCACTTGAACCCGGGAGGCTGAGGTTGCAGTGAGCCGAGATTGTGCCACTGCACTCCAGCCTGGGTGACAAAGCAAGACTCCATCTCAAAAAAAAAAAAAAAAAAAAAAAAATCAGTGAGATGCTCAGATTCCTTCCCTAGCATAGCAGAAGCCCAGAGATTTAGCCTTGGAAAAGGGTAAGACATAGATTCTCCAGCTTGGAGGATACCAGGCCCATTTAAGAGTGAAGATCTCATGTAGAAAAAAAGCAAGAAAATTAGAGGACTGACCTCTGAATAAGGGAGCTCATAAAAAGATAGGGGAGGAAATAATCAAATAATTTAATCAATAATCAATAACTCAGTGCTATTTATAATCTTTCAGGCTGACCAGTTTATTTGATTCATATTACCTGTAAAATGACATTTTCTAAGTTTTCATAAATGTTGGGGATAGTCAAAGGGCCTTTGTTCAGGTGATTAAAGGAAGGGGTTTGCATTACCTCTCCCCTAAGCAATCATACCAAAGTGGCAGAACTAAAGAACTACGATTAAAAAACAAATTAAGAAACAAAAAGAATGGATAATTTATAGAAGCTGTGCAGTGACCTGCCTATAGAGCTCAATAATCATACCTTAAGTTGTCAGTGTATAAAGGCTGAGGCTGTAATTGGCTAAAGCTCTAACTGGCTAAACTACCAAGGCAGGAAGTCCCCCCTTACAAGCAAATATAAGATATATAATCAACCGTAGAAGAAAACAATCACTTCTGGGTCATCTATAGAGTCTGGGTAGTCTCACTGTCCTGTCCAGGCCATAAGAAGCTTTTCTTCTAAGTGAGGCATTTCAGTTCAAGCCAGCCTGACTCTGGGTTAGTAAACTCACAGGTAGTGAGTCTAACTGTGGGTTTTCTCTTATTTGTTTGAGGGGAATAGAGCAGTGGAGTGGCCATGCAAGGGCCATTTGCCATCTGAAACTTGAAGGTTCCCGTGTCTGGATCTAGCTATTCCAGGTTACAACTAAGGGATACAGGGAAAAGAACACTGAGTCCTCATCCCCAAATCTATCCAAACTAGCATGTAACTTTCAGGAAATCTCCTCTCTGGACCAGCTATTCCTACCATCTAAAAAAAGGAGCCTGGACTAGTAACGCTTAACATTTCCAAGTCTAGGATCAAATAGATCTCTTTTCTTCAGAAAAGTCCCTAGGCAAACACAAAGCAGGTCACCACCTTCTAAACGTCTCATTAATCCCAGTATGGAACCTCAGCGCCCATGGTGAGGGATGTCACAGAGCTTCCTACACCTCCCCAAGCACCCTCCACACATGGCCCCCAAGAGTCAGTTATTATTCCTCCCTAAAACACAGCATAATCTGGGGGATCAGGATCTAAACCACGTGTTAGGAATAACGCTTAAAATCCTAAGGAAATTGAACACTTCAACAAAGGATTCTTAGCAAAGCAATTTTACTTCTGTGCAGAGGGGTGCCTCCTTGGCCAGTCGCCATGAGAGCACACCTGAACAAAGGGGCACAAGAGCCTTTATTCCTGATGCAAGTCCTGCCCCTGTACCCTTTCCCCATTGGCCGGGGTCGGGTCATGCAATCTAAACTAATCCCGGTTGGCTAAACATTTGATTTTTTAGATAAGATGGGCCTGTAAAAGGAAGTAGAGAGGAAGGGAAGGGGTGTCTGTAATGAGCTGTAAAGTTAGTCCTCTTTCCAAATAAGGAAAGGAATGTGAGCTGGTACTGATAACACCTAGTACTGTGGTGTGCCTGGGCATTTAACAAAGGCAAAAAGGAAAAGAGGAGAAAAAGGAAAAAGTGGGAGGGGGATAAAGGATTGATCAGATTATTTGAAGAGAAACCTCATCATATCACACACGCACGTGGACCGGGGCTCCTCTGGGTAAAGACTCAAAGGTGGAATGAACTCCCTCAATGATCTCCATGTCTTCTACTTAAACTTTTGATGAAAAAATTTAGATATTAATTTAAAGATAGCTAAGAGACATTTCATAAAGGCACATGTAATAAAGGACTTTTATTCAAAATATACAAAGAACTCTTTTTTTTTTTTTGAGATGGAGTCTCACTCTGTCTCCAGGCTGGAGTGCAGTGGTGCGATCTTGGCTCACTGCAACCTCTGCCTCCCAGGTTCAAGTGATTCTCCTGCCTCAGCCACCCAAGTAGCTGGGACTACAGGTGCTCGCCACCACGCCCTGCTAATTTTTATATTTTTAGGAGAGATGGGGTTTCACCTTCCCAGGATGGTCTCGATCTCTTGACCTTGTGATCCGCCCACCTCGGCCTCCCAGAGTGCTGGGATTACAGGCGTGAGCCACTGCACCTGGCCACAAAGAACTCTTAACACTCAACAATAAGAAAAGAACTCAATTAAAAATTGGGGAAAAGACCTAAACAACACCTCACCAAAGAAGATACACAGGTGGCAAATAGGCATATGAAAAGATGTTCAAAAGCTGGGCATGGTGGCACACGCCTGTAGTCCCAGCTACCGGGGAGGCTGAGGGAAAGCAATTTGCTGGTGATTTAGCTGCCGAGCTTTTATATAAGCAGGTCAACATAGCAAGAAAGGCAATGAAACTTGAAATAAGCTTGTTGAAGAAATCTTGGAGAAGAACTGGCATATAATTTTACCATTAATTATATAACCATTAATTATATTACCATATAAAATAACCATTAATGGTTAAGAATTTTTTTCTTAACCATTAACAAAGTTGAAGCACCTTATTCAGGTGGAGATGAAGGAATTGACTGATAAAAACATTTATCTATTGGTTTTCAAATTGTTTGACAATGAAAGGACATGCAGTCATCCTACTTTATTTTTTATTTTTATTTATTTATTTATTTATTTATTTTTGAGACAGAGTCTCGCTTTGTTGCCCAGGCTGGAGTGCCGTGGCACCATCTCAGCTCACTGCAAGGTCCGCCTCCCGGGTTCATGCCATTCTCCTGCCTCAGCCTCCAGAGTAGCTGGGACTACAGGTGCATGCCAACACGCCCGGCTGATTTTTAGTATTTTTAGTAGAGACAGGGTTTCACCATGTTAGCCAGGATGGTCTCGATCTCCTGACCTCGTGATCCGCCCGCCTTGGTCTCCCAAAGTGCTGGGATTACAGGCGTGAGCCACCACGCCCAGCCCCTACTTTATTTTTAAGGCTTGATATTATTTTTTCTTTCTTTTTTTGACACAGAGTCTCACTCTGTTGCCCAGGCTGAAGTGCAGTGGTGTGATCACAGCTCACTGTAGCCATGACCTCCCAAGATCAAGCAATCCTCCCACCTCAGCCTCCCAAGAAGCTGGGACTACAGGCTGGCACCACCATACGTGGCTAATTGTTTATTTTTATTTTTTGTAAAGACAGGGTATCACTACGTCGCCCAGACTGGTCTCAAACTCCTGCGCTCAAGCAATCCTCCTACCTTGTCCTCCCAAAATGCTGGGATTACAGGTGTGAGCCACGGTACCTAGCCTGATAATTTTTCCTAACCCATTTCCTGTTTGCCCTGAGAAATGAGCACTGGCAGCGGAGTTGCACTTTCTTTTCCTAAACAGGAAATGGGTTAACACGTCCAGTTCAGCTTTTGTCAGTAACAAAGATGACATTTTAATCTCCATTTGTCTGAGTTAGCTGTCTGTTGATTCTGAATTCAAGCCCTGTCAAACACCTAACATCTAATATACCCAAAATAGGGTTAAAGGATCTGTTGTTTTGGGAAGGCGGCACTTCCTTTCCTTAGGTCAGAAAGACATGTGACCCATGGCAACAATAGCCAAAGCCTGCTGGCAATGTCTGGCAATAACAGACCTGAAGCATCATTGTTAAAACCTATTACGGCAATACAAAAAGGAAAGAGCAGGTTTTTGAGAGGCGAGGAACACTTACGTACAGTCATCCCTTGATATCCTTGGGGGACTGGTTCCAGGACCCCCCCAGGGATACCAAAATCCTCAGATGCTCAAGTCCCTTGTATAAAATGATGTAGTATTTGCATATAACCTCCCATATACTTTAAATCATCTCTAGATTACTTATTTATTTATTTTTTGTAAAGGTGGGGTTTCACCATGTTGCCCAGGCTGGTCTTGAACTCCTAGGCTCAAGCAATCTGCCAGCTCAGCCTCCCAAAGTGTGGGATTACAGGCATGAGCCACCATCCCAGCCTTATCTCTAGATTACTTATAATACTTAATGCAATGTAATACTTTGTAAATAATTATACTGTATTTTTTAATATATTATTTTGACTGTTGTATCTTATTTCTTGTTTCTTTCCCAAATATTTTCAATTCACTGTTATTTGAATCTGTGGATGCAGAACCTGCAGATATGGAGGACCAACTGTAGGTAATTGTTCTTCATTCTTCCTTATTCTAAAAAAGTTTTATGAAAGAGAAAGTAGAGGAAAAAAGTAGCAGAGGTGTAGGTTGGGAGGGTCAGATCAGGTAACCTGAAAACCCCAGCCTTTTTGCACTCCTGTATATAAATTGTGCATAGCACTTGGAGGGTATTTCCTCACCAAGGGAGAAAATATCAGTTCCCAGCTCCAACCAGAGCATGGTGAGAGCCAAACTGACCTGACCTCTCAGTCCAGCTCTGGTGCTTATGGAATTTATAATCTTGAGTAACTATAAATCTCAGTTCCTCATTTGTAAGATGGAATCAATGGAGCCAGCTGCAGTGGCACGTGCTTGTAGTCCCAGCTACTAGGGAGGTTGAAGCGGGAGGATCACTTGAGCCCAGGAGTTTGAGTCTGTAGAAAAAACTCTAGGAAAAAGAAAATAAACTTATCTGAGGAATGCAAGCGCCTTTAAATTATAAGACCCAGAAAGCCATCGAAAGTCGTGTCCCACACCCCACTTTGAGCTAAGTAATCTGCCTGCTATATGGACTCCAGACTGAGTGTCAACACCAATAGCCATAAATTAATCTAATGGAGTCATACTCTGGACACCATAACTCATACCCTATGGTTAAAAAATATATAGCCAATCACCAATCAATGTTATTTCTGTATACCAATGAAAATTCCTGGCAAACAACTTTTGTAATTGTCCCTTTCCTGATTTGTCCTTTTTTCTTTAAGAAAACTTGAGCCTCTTGGAGGTATTTCCTTGGTAGTTGTCCTGAACCTTGGCCCAAATAAACTCTCTGTATTAATTTTGACTCTATTTCTTTCTTAAGGTCAACAGATATGATCAAGACTGTGAATAGGGCCAGGCATGGTAGCTAACGCCTGTAATCCCAACACTTTGGGAGGCCAAGGTGGTAAGATTGATTGAGTCCAGGAGTTTGAGACCAGCCTGGGCAAAATAGTGAGACTTCATCTCTACAAAAAATAAACAAAATTAGCTGGGCACAGTGGTGTGTGCCTAGAGTTCCAGCTACTCAGGAGGGTGAGGTGGGAGGATTGCTTGAGCCTGGGAGGTTGAGGCTGCAGCAAGCCGAGATTGTGCCACTGCACTCCAGTGGCACAATCCTGGGTGACAGAGTGAGACCTTGTCTCAACAAACAAATAAACAAACAAACACTGCAAATAGCCACTGCACCCCAGCCTGGACAACCTAGTGAAATCCCATTTCTAAATGAAAAAAAGAATTAATGATACTCAGCTTGCAAGTTTTTATGAAGATTAAATGATTAATGTATGTAAAATATCTAGTACCACAATGTACACAGAGTAGTTGGTTACAAAAGGTCAGTTATCGTAAAGCTGGGTGTGGTAGTATGCACCTGTAGTCCCAGCTACTCAGGAGGCTGAGGCAGGAGGATTATTTAGCCCAGGAGTTCAAATCCAGCCTGAGCAACATACAGACCCCCATCTCTAAAATTTAAAAAGTTACAATAAAGTACTAATTTTTTAAAATTATTATGTCATTATTGACTGTAATCCAGCTCTTCTGGACTCTTTCTGTGGATTTTGTGGCTCGAGACATGAAGGCACACAGGTTAAGCATCCCTTATCTAAAATTTTTGGTGCCAGAAGTGTTTTAGATTTCAGATTTTGAAATATTTGCATGTACATAATGAGATATCTTGGGGCTAGGACCCAAACCTAAACATGAAATTCATTTGTATTTCATATACACCTTATACACATAACCTGAAGCCAACTTTATACAATATTTTATTTAAAAATTTTTCAATTTGTAATTTTTATGAGTACCTAGAAGGTGTATATATTTATGGAGTACATGAGATATTTTGACACAGGCATGTAATGCATAATAATCACATTATGGAAAATGGGGTATCCATCCCTTCAAGCATTTATCCTTTATGTTACAAACTATTTATTTATTTATTTATTTATTTATTTATTTATTCATTGAGACAGAGTCTGACTCTGTCACCCAGGCTGGAGTGCAGTGACATGATCTCAGCTTATTGCAACCTCTGCCTCCTGGGCTCAAGTGATTCTTGTGCCTCAGCCTCCCGAGTAGCAGGAATTACAGGTGTGTGCCACCACATCCGGCTAATTTTTGTATTTTTAGTAGAGATGGGGCTTTGCCATATTGGCCAGGCTGATCTCAAACTCCTGACCTCAAGTGATCTGCCCGCCTTGGCCTCTCAATGTGCTAGGATTACAGGCATGCGCCACCATGCCCAGCCATCCATTTATACTCTTAATTATTTTAAAATGTACATAGTATTAGTTCTTTAAATATTTGGTGGAATTCAGCAGTGAAGCCAGCAGGTCCTGGGCTTTTCTTTATTGGGAATTTTTTTTCTTTTTTTGTAGAAGGAAGGGCTTTATTCAGCTGGGAGCATCGGCAAGCTACTGCCTTAAAATCCGAGCTCCCCGAATGCACAATTTCTGTCCCTTTTTTTATTTTATTTTATTTTATTTTTATTGATAATTCTTGGGTGTTTCTCACAGAGGGGGATTTGGCAGGGTCATGGGACAATAGTGGAGGGAAGGTCAGCAGATAAACAAGTGAACAAAGGTCTCTGGTTTTCCTAGGTAGAGGACCCTGCGGCCTTCCGCAGTGTTTGTGTCCCTGATTACTTGAGATTAGGGAGTGGTGATGACTCTTAACGAGCATGCTGCCTTCAAGCATCTGTTTAACAAAGCACATCTTGCACCGCCCTTAATCCATTTAACCCTGAGTGGACACAGCACATGTTTCAGAGAGCACAGGGTTGGGGGTAAGGTCACAGATCTACAGGATCCCAAGGCAGAAGAATTTTTCTTAGTGCAGCACAAAATGAAAAGTCTCCCATGTCTACTTCTTTCTACACAGACACGGCAACCATCCGATTTCTCAATCTTTTCCCCACCTTTCCCCCCTTTCTATTCCACAAAACCGCCATTGTCATCATGGCCCATTCTCAATGAGCTGTTGGGCACACCTCCCAGACGGGGTGGTGGCCGGGCAGAGGGGCTCTTCACTTCCCAGTAGGGGCGGCCGGGCAGAGGCGCCCCTCACCTCCCGGACGGGGCGGCTGGCCGGGCGGGGGGCTGACCCCCCACCTCCCTCCCGGACGGGGCGGCTGGCCGGGCAGAGGGGCTCCTCACTTCCCAGTAGGGGCGGCCGGGCAGAGGCGCCCCTCACCTCCCGGACGGGGCGGCTGGCCGGGCGGGGGGCTGACCCCCTCACCTCCCTCCCGGATGGGGCGGCTGGCCGGGCGGGGGGCTGACCCCCCCCCACCTCCCTCCCGGACAGGGTGGCTGCCGGGCGGAGACGCTCCTCACTTCCCAGATGGGGTGGCTGCCGGGCAGAGAGGCTCCTCACTTCTCAGACGGGGCAGCTGCCGGGCGGAGGGGCTCCTCACTTCTCAGACGGGGTGGTTGCCAGGCAGAGGGTCTCCTCACTTCTCAGACGGGGCGGCCGGGCAGAGGCGCTCCTCACATCCCAGATGGGGTGGCGGGGCAGAGGCGCTCCCCACATCTCAGAGGATGGGCGGCCGGGCAGAGACGCTCCTCACTTCCTAGATGTGATGGCGGCCGGGCGGAGACGCTCCTCACTTTCCAGACTAGGCAGCCAGGCAGAGGGGCTCCTCACATCCCAGACGATGGGCGGCCAGGCAGAGACACTCCTCATCTCCCAGACGGGATGGTGGCCGGGCAGAGGCTGCAATCTCGGCAGTTTGGGATGCCAAGGCAGGCGGCTGGGAGGTGGAGGTTGTAGCCAGCCGAGATCACGCCACTGCACTCCAGCCTGGGCACCATTGAGCACTGAGTGAACGAGACTCCGTCTGCAATCCCGGCACCTCGGGAGGCCGAGGCTGGCGGATCACTCGCGGTTAGGGGCTGGAGACCGGCCCGGCCAACACAGCGAAACCCCGTCTCCACCAAAACCAGTCAGGCGTGGCGGCACGTGCCTGCAATCGCAGGCACTCGGCAGGCTGAGGCAGGAGAATCAGGCAGGGAGGTTGCAGTGAGCCGAGATGGCAGCAGTACAGTCCAGCTTCGGCTCCGCATGAGAGGGAGACCTTGGAAAGAGAGGGAGACCGTGGGGAGAGGGAGACGGAGAGGGAGAGGGAGAGGTAGAGGGAGAGCGGGAAACTTTTTATTACATCTTCGATCTCATTACTTGTTATTGATCTATTCAGGATTTGGATTTCTTCATGATTCAATCTTGGTGAGTCATGTCTAGGAATTATCCATACCTCTAGATTCTCTAGTTTATTGGCATATAGTTGCTAATAGTAGCCACTAATGATCCTTTGAATTTCTGTGGTATCAGTGGTAATGTCTCCTTTTTTGTCTCTGATTTTATTTGGGTCTTCTCCCTTTTTTTCTGTTAGTCTGGCTAAAGGTTTGCCAATTT
Source organism: Homo sapiens (assembly GCF_000001405.40). Lineage (NCBI taxonomy): Eukaryota > Metazoa > Chordata > Mammalia > Primates > Hominidae > Homo > Homo sapiens. The sequence continues at coordinate 108,674,774 of NC_000001.11, read as the reverse complement.
TGTTTATCTTTTTAAAAAAAACCCAACTTTTGGTTTAGTTTATCTTTTGTATTGTTTTCTTCATTTCAGATTCACTTATTTCTGCTCTGATCTTTGCTATTTCTTTCCTTCTATTAATTGTGAGTTTGGTTTGCTCTTGCTTTCCTTGTTCTTTTAGATGCATGCACTGTTAGGTTATTATTTGAAGTTTTTCCTTTTTTTTGATGTAGGCTTTTATAGCTTTACATTTTTCTTAGTACTGCTTTCACTGTATCCCATAGGTTTGGGTATGTTGTGTTTCTATTTTTATTTTTTATTTTTATTTTTGAGACGGAGTCTCACTCTGTTGCCCAGGCTGGAGTGCAATGGCGCGATCTCGGCTCACTGCAAGCTCCGCCTCCCAGGTTCATGCCATTCTCCTGCCTCAGCCTCCAGAGTAGCTGGGACTACAGGCACCCACCACCAAGCCTGGCTAATTTTTTTTTGTATTTTTAGTAGAGACGGGGTTCCACTGTGTTAGCCCGGATGGTCTCAATCACCTGATATTGTGATCTGCCCTCCTCGGCCTCCCAAAGTGCTGGGATTATAGGCATGAGCCACTGTGCCCAGCCCATTGTGTTTCTATTATTTGTTTCAAGAAATTTTTCAGTTTCCTTCTTAATTTCTTCATTGACTCACTAGTCATTCAGGAGCATATTGTTTAAATTTCTATGTGTTTGTATTGTTTCCAAAATTCCTCTTGTTATTGATTTCTAGTTTTATTCCTTTGTGGTCAGAGAAAATGCTTGAAATTATTTCAATTTTTTTGAATGTTTTAATATTTGTTTTGTGATCTAACATATGGTCTATCCTTGAGAATGGTCCATATGCTAAAGAGAAGAATGTGTATTCTGCAGCTAGTGGATGAAATGTTCTTTTAATATCTATTATGTCTATTCGTTCTTTAGGGCAGATTAAGTCCAATGTTTCTTTGTTGAATTTCTGTAAGGGAGACTTGCCCAATGCTGAAAGTGGGGTGTTAGAGTCTCCAGCTATTATCCTATTGAGGTCTATCTCTCTCTTTAGTTCTAATAATATTTGCTTTATATATCTGGGTGCTCCGGTGTTGGGTGCATGTATGTTTACAATGGTTATATCCTCTTGCTGAATTGACCCTTTTATCATTATATGGTGACCTTCTTTGTCTCGCCTTACAGTTTTCATCTTGAAATATATTTTGTCTGATGTAAGTACAGCAACTCCTGCTGTGTTTTGGTTTCCATTGGCATGGAATATCCTTTTCGATCCTTTTATTTTCAGTCTGTATGTATCTTTATAGATGAAGTGTCTTTCTCGTAGGCAGCAGATCCGTGGGTCTTGTTTTTTTCATCCATTCAGCCTTTTTATTGGAGAGTTTAGTCCAGTTATATTCAATGTTATTATTGGTGAGGAGGGACTCACTCCTGCCATTTTGTTATTTGTTTTCTGGTTGTTTTGCAGTCTTCTCTTTTTTTTCCTTTATTCCTGTCTTTCTTTTAGTGAAGGTGATTTTCTCTGGTGGTATGATTTAATTTCTTGTGTATGTGTTGTATGATTTTTGATTTGCAGTTACCATGAGGCTTGCAAACACTATCTTATAACCCATTATTTTAAACAGATGACAAGTTAACACTGATTGCATAACAAACACACACAAAAAACTAACAAAAAATCTACACTTTGACTTCGTCCCCCTGCTTTTTAGCTTTGGTCCTCTTTATGTCTTATTGTATTGTCTACATCTTGAAAAGTTGTTGTAGTTATTATTTTTTATTTGTTCATTATTTAGTCTTTCTACTTAAGTCAAGAGAAGTTTACACACCACAGTTAGTGTTATACTATTCTGTGTTCTTACCCTTGCCAGTGAGTTTTGTACCTTCAGGTAGTCTCCTCTTGCTCATTAATATCCTTTTCTTTCAGACTGAAAAATTCACTTTATCATTTCTCACAGGACAGGTCTGGTATTGATGAAATCTCTCAGCTTTTGTTTGTCTGGGAAGGTTTTTTTTTCTCCTTCATGCTTGAAGAATATTTTTGCTGAATATATTATTCTAGGGTAAAAGTTTTTTTCCTTCAGCATTTTAAATATGTCATATCACTCTCTTTTGGCCTGTGAGGTTCCCACTGAAAAGTCTGCTTCCTGCCAGATGTATTGGAGCTCCAATGTTTGTTGGTTTTTTTCTCTTGCTGCTTTTAGAATCCTTTCTTTATCCTTAATATTGGGATTTGATTATTAAATGCCTTGAGGTAGTCTTCTTCGGGTTAAATCTGCTTGGGATTCTATAATCTTGTACTTGAATGTTGATAACTTTCTCTAGGTTTGGGATGCTCTCTGATACTATTGCTTTAATAAACTTTCTACCCCTATCTCTTTCTCTACCTCTTCTTTAAGGCCATTAACCCTTAGATTTCCCCTTTTGAGGCTATTTTCTAGATCTTGTAGGCATGCTTCATTCTTTTTTATTTTGTCTTCTCTGACTGTATTTTCAAATATCCTGTCTTCAAGCTCATTACTTTTTTCTTCTACTTGATCAGTTCTGCTATTAAGAGACTGATGCAGTCTTCAGTATGTCAATTGCACTTTTCAACTCTAGAATTTATGCTTGATTTTTAAAAATTATTTTAATCTCTTCGTTATATTTATTTGGTAGAATTCATAATTCCTTCTCGGTGTCATCTTGAATTTCTTTGAGTTTCCTCAAAACAGCTATTTTGAATTTTCTGTCTGAAGGTTAACATATCCCTGTCTCTCTAGAATTGGTCCCTAGTACCTTATTTAGTTTGTTTGGTGAAGTCATGTTTTCCTGAATGATCTTGATGCTTGTAGATGTTTGTCAGTGTCTGGGCATTAAAGAGTTAGGTATCTATTGTAATGTTTGCAGTCTGGGCTTGTTTGTGCCCATCCTTCTTGAGAAGGCTTTCCAGGTATTTGAAGGGACTTGGGCCCCAAGCCCAATAAAGCTGTATTTCTTGCATACTTACAGAGGTACTGCCTTGGTGGTCTTTGATAAGATCTGGAAGAATTTTCTGGACTACCAGGCAGAGACTCTTGTTCTCTTCCCGTACTTTCTCCCAAACAGAGTCTCTCCCTGTCCTGAGCCACCTGAAACTGGGGGTGTAGTGATGCAAGCACCCCTGTGGTCACCACCACTGGGACTGTACTGGGTCAGACCTGAAGCCAGCACAGCTCTGGGTCTTGCCCAAGGCCTGCTGTAACCACTACCTGGCTACTACCTATGTTCACTTAAGGCCCTAGGGCTGTACAATCAGCAGGTGGCAAAGCCAGCCAGGTTTATGTCCTTCCCTTCAGAGCAGCAAGTTCCCCTAGGCAGGTCCAGAGATGAGCCAGGGATTGGAGTCAAAAACCTGATACATTTGTCTGATATTCTAGTCTACTGTGGCTAAGCTGGCACTGAAACCACAATACAAAGTCCTTCCTGTTCCCCTCTCTGCTTTACTTAGGCAGAAGAGCCTCTGCCTATGGCCACCATCAGCCCAGAGCGGGGTTCTGCCAGGCCACTCTTGATTTTCACTTAAAGCCCAGGGGCTCTTCAGTCAGCTTGTAGTGAATGCTAAAAGGCCTGGGACTCACCTTTCAGGGCAGTGGGCTCCCCTCCGGCCCAGTGCAGGTCCAGAAATGCTGCCAAGAGCCTAGGTCTAGACTTGGGAACTGCAAGAGCCTGTTTGTTGCTCTACCCAACTGTGGCCAAGCTTGTATCCAAGGGGCAAGACAAAGTCCCCTTTCCCTTTCCCTCTGTTTTTCTTAATCAGATGGAGTGTGTCACCATAGCCACCACAGCTGGGAATGTACTATGTCTCACCTGAAGTCAGCACATCTCAGAGCCCAAGGCCCATGGCATACTGCCTGGGTATCATTGCTGGTTATACAGGGCCCAAGGGCTCTTTAGTGAGCAGGTGATGAATCCTGCCAGGACTGGGCCCTTCCCTTCAAGGCAGTGGGTTCCCTTTTGGCCCAAGGTATGTCTAGAAATGTCATCCTTGAGCAAGGGCCTTTAATGGGGGCCTTATGACTCTGTTCAGTGCTCTATCCTATTGCAGCTGAGCTGGTATGCAAGACAAAGTCCTCCTTACTCTTCACTCTCTTCTCCTTAAGCAGAAGGAAAGAGTCACTTTTGCCACTGTGAACTGCACTGCTTGGGGTTGTGGAAGCACTCCTTCAGCCACCCTGCCTGGTGTCTCTCTAGGTCACATACCATCCTAGTCCACTGGCTCAGAGCCCAGCCCAGCAATTAAGAATTGCCTAGGAATTGCAGTCTTTCTGTCCTAGACTGCCTTTCAACTTTACTAGGACCCCAGAGCACTTTGACTTGCAGTGGCGAGGCTTACCAAAAAAACTCAAGTTCTGACCACTGGGGTGGGTGATTCCCCGCTGGCTAGGTATGGTCCAAATGTTCCTTTCACGCGCAGGCACTGCCTGATTGCAGCACAGCTTTCCTCTCCTCTCCACTGTGACAGGGAAGCACTGAGTTCAATGTAAAGTTCCCCAGTCACTGTGCTCTCCCACCCCCAAGTGCATAGACTCTCTGTGCCAGGGGATGAGGAAAGGGTGGTGTTGGCGGTTCAGGACTGTCTCTCTGACCCTCTTCAATGCCTTTTTCAGTGATAGGAAGTCAAAATCAGGTACTGTGATAGCTCATCTGAGTTTTGGTTCTTGTGACGGTGCTTTTCTGTGTATAGATAGTTGTTAAAATTTGGTGTTCCTGCCAACGGGCAGGGGGCAAACAGTGTAGGCTTCTGTTCCACCATCTTACTCCCCTTTCTTATACAATATTTTAAATAATGTTGTGCTTGAAACAAAGTTTTAACTGCGTTTTGGCTGTGACTCATCATATGAGGTCAGGTGTGGAATTTTCCACTTGTGCCATCGTTTCGGGTGCTCAGAAGTTTCAGATTTTGTATTTTTCAAATTAGGGATACTCAACGTGTACTTTTCTGTGGTAGAAATTTGTTATTTGTAGATTTGAACACTGTCCCTACATTTCGGTAGTTTCCCACGTAATGATATTCATCTTACCCAAATGGAAGCCTCATCCCCACCACCTAAAACATTTTACAACCCAAGACCCTTGAAGCTGGAAATAACCTAGGCTCAATCCATTAGATACGTGGATTTGAGAATTAGATTCAGAAGCCAGTCATGGTGGTATGCATCTGTAATCCCAGCTACTTGAGAGGCTGAGGCAGGAGGATCGCTTGATCTCAGGAGTTTGAGACCAGGCTGGGCAACACAGCAAAACATTATCTCAATTTAAAAAATAAAATAATGAGTAGGGTTCTTTAGTTGTCTAAGAGATTGGGTGAGAGTTCAATAATAAATTACTTTTCGGCTGGGCGTGGTGGCTCATGCCTATAATCCCCACTTTGGAAGGCTAAGGCGGGTGGGTCACCTGAGGTCAGGAGTTTGAGAACAGCCTGGTCAACATGGCTAAACCCTATCTCTACCAAAAATGCAACAATTAGCTGGGCATGGTGGCAAGCGCCTGTAATCCCAGCTACTTGGGAGGCTGAGGGAAGAGAACTGCTTGAACCTGGGAGGCAGAGGCTTCAGTGAGCCAAGATCTCACCTTTGCACTCCAGCCTGGGCAACAAGAGTGAAACTCCATCTAAAAAAAAAAAATTACTTTTCTACTTAAACCAGCCTGAGTGCATTCCATTGTTTGCAATTAAGAACCCTGACTGAATACATACTTCCTCTCCCCTCCCTCCCTTTCTTCCTTCTTCCCTTCCTTCTTTCTTCCCCCTCCTTTCTTCCTTCTTCCCTCCCTCCCTTCTTTCCCTTGCTTTCCTCTTCCCTCCCTTCTTTCTTTCTCTTTCTCTGTCTCTCTTCCTCCCTCTCTCTCATTTTTATTTTTTTCTGACACAAGTTATCCAGGCTGGAGTGCAGTGGTGTGACCATAGTTCACTGCAGGCTTGAAATCCTGAGCTCAAGTGATTGATTGTCCCACCTCAGCCTCCCATGTAGCTGGGACTATAGGCATGGACGACCACACTGGCCAATTTTTAAATTTTTTATAGAGATGGGGTCTCGTCATGTTGTGTCTGGAGTTGGTGGGTTCTTGGTCTCACTGTCTTCAAGAATGAAGCAGCGGACCCTCGCGGTGAGTGTTACAGTTCTTAAAGGCAGCGTGTCCAGAGTTTGTTCCTTCTGATGTTCAGATGTGTTCGGGGTTTCTTCCTTCTGGTGGGTTCGTGGTCTCGCTGGCTCAGGAGTGAAGCTGCAGACCTTCGCAGTCAGTGTTACAGCTCTTAAGGTGGCGCGTCTGGAGTTGTTTGTTCCTCCCGGTGGGCTCGTGGTCTCGCTGGCTTCAGGAGTGAAGCTGCAGACCTTCACGGTGAGTGTTACAGCTCATAAAGGCAGTGTGGACCCAAAGAGTGAGCAGTAGCAAGATTTATTGCAAAGAGCAAAAGAACAAAGCTTCCACAGTGTGGAAGGGGACCCGAACAGGTTGCCACTGCTGACTCGGGCAGCCTGCTTTTATTCTCTTATCTGGCCCCACCCACATCCTGCTGATTGGTAGAGCTGAGTGGTCTGTTTTGACAGGGCGCTGATTGGTGCGTTTACAATCCCTGAGCTAGACACAAAAGTTCTCCAGGTCCCCACCAGATTAGCTAGATATAGAGTGTTGACACAAAGGTTCTCCAAGGCCCCACCAGAGTAGCTAGATACAGAGTGTCGATTGGTGCATTCACAAACTCTGAGCTAGACACAGGGTGCTGATTGGTGTGTTTACAAACCTTGAGCTAGATACAGAGTGCCGATTGGTGTATTTACAATCCCTGAGCTAGACATAAAGATTCTCCACTCCCCACCAGACTCAGGAACCCAGCTGGCTTCCCCCAGTGGATCCTGCACCAGAGCTGCAGGTGGAGCTGCCTGCCAGTCCCGCGCCATGCACCCGCACTCCTCAGCGCTTGAATGGTCGATGGGACTGGGCGCCGTGGAGCAAGGGGCGGTGCTCATCAGGGAGGCTCCAGCCGCACAGGAGCCCACGGAGGGGGTGGGAGGCTCAGGCATGGCAGGCTGCAGGTCCCGAGCCCTGCCCCGCGGGAGGGCAGCTAAGGCCAGGCGAGAAATCGAGCACAGCGCCGGTGGGCTGGCACTGCTGGGGGACCCAGTACAACCTCTGCAGCCACTGGCCCGGGTGCTAAGCCCCTCATTGCCCGGGGCCGGCAGGTCCCGCCGGCTGCTCCGAGTGCGGTCCCCGCCAAGCCCACGCCCACCCGAACTCCAGCTGGCCTGCAAGCGCTGCGTGCAGCCCGGGTTCCCGCTCCCGCCTCTCCCTCCACACCTCCCTGCACGCTGAGGGAGCCGGCTCTGGCCTTGGCCAGCCCAGAAAGGGGCTCCCACAGTGCAGCGGTGGGCTGAAGAGCTCCTCAAGTGCCACCAAAGTGGGAGCCCAGGCAGAGGAGGCGCCAAGAGTGAGCGAGGGCTGTGAGGACTGCCAACACACTGTCACCTCTCAATGTGGCCAGGCTGGTTTTGAACTCGTGGCCTCAAGTGACCCTCCTGCGTTGGCCTCTCAAAGTGCTGGGATTACAGGTATGGACCACCATGCCCAGCCTGGATACATTTCTAAGTATACAAATGTCAGAAACCTTTTCTCTTCATTTCATCTACCCCATCTTTGTGATCAGATCATCAACTTAGTGTTAGAGATCATTTTAGTTTTAAAAAACAATGGTAAATTTATACACTTCTTTACAAATTTTTTCACTTATCTCACCAGAATGACCCCCTGAAGTTGGTAGGTCTTATTAATCCTCATTCTATAGATAAGCAAACTGAGATGCAAGAAAAGTACTATATAGGTTAAAAAAAAAAAGCTCAATATTTTGGGGCCTTCAATGTGCTCAAAATATTTCCTCTCTGTATTAGTCCATTTTGTGTTGCTATAAGCGAATACCTGAAACTGGATGATTTATAAAGAAAAGTAGTTTATTTGGCTCATGATTCTGCAGGCTGTGCGTGAAGCATGGTACCAGCCTCCGCTTTTGGTGAAGGCCTCAGGAAGCTTCCATTCATAGCAGAAGGTGAAGGGAGCAGTTGTGCCATATGGCGAGAGGGGGAGCAAAAGCAGGGAGGGAGGTCCCAGACCTGCCCTCAACATTGAACATCAAATTTCAACATGAGATTTATAGGGGACAAATATCCAAATTATATTACTCTCTAACCATTTATCTCTTGAGAAGTCCTGCTCTCCCAAGTCCAGAGAGGCAGCCCTAAGTCCCTTGTGAGCCCAACCCTTTCTCTAACCCTTACACGTGATTGAACTAGGAAAGGAGACTTGGTCGAAATTAGCCCATCAGATTCTCTCTTGCGAAGTGGGACCTGGACCCACAGAACTACATCTGTTAAGTGTGAGAGTATTGCTGTAGACTCCAGAGCTGAGGTTACCACCTGCCCAAGGCCCTGCCGACCTGTATTGGGATAATGGAATTGTGATGGATAATTTTATGTGTTAAGTTGTCTGAGCCATGGGACTTAGATATTTGGTCAAATATTCTAAATGTTTCTGTGAAGGTTATTTATTTTTTTGTGGATGAGATTAATATTTAAATCAGTAAACTCTGAGCAAAGCAGGTTTCCCTCCATAATGTTACTGGGCCTCATCCAATCAGTTGAAGTCCTTGGTAGAGCAAAGCCTGACACCTCCCCTTTCCATCTACTCCTGCTTCCCCAGTGTTACCCAGCAAGAGGGAATTCTTCCAACCGACTTTGGACTTGAACTGCAACTCTTCTCTGGGTCTCCAGTCTGCCCATCTGCCTGCCCTACAGATTTTGGACTTGCACCTCCATAATTGCATGAGCCAACTCCTTAAAATAAGTCTTTCTTCACATATATACACATATCCTGTTGGCTCTGTTTCTCTGGAGAATGCTCACTGATGCAGGGATGATCAGATTGGTTGTGCTATTGTGGAAGTAGTAGTTTTCCTCTAGATGCTGATCCTGGCAGGGCAGATCCAGGTTTTGTGGGGCCTGAAGCTTATACAATGTCAGGGCCTGCTATAAGAAAAAGCATAAAGAATTATGGATATGAAATTACAACTTTGCATGTCTGACAACTGGAAGAATTTTCCAGACTCTTTTGGAATCATGCTTTTCAAATCTTATTTCTTCTTTGCTACTTTCATAGGTTCACAGCTGGCCCATAAAACACACTCATAGTGTGATTCAACTTCTGGCCCTGCACCTTCCCATCAGGATATGAGGCAGCTCAATGGCCATTCTTACACCGAGACAGCCAGCAATAATTTCACTACTGTGCAGAAAAAATATCCAACACTTGGAAATAGATTATTTCACAGTATTTAACATTTTCTAAAAAAAATTTATTTTTAATTTTGGAGACAAGGGCCGTTCCCAGGCTAGTCTCAAACTCCTGGCCTCAAGCAATCCTCCTGCCTCAGCTTCCCAAAGAGCTGGGATTACAGGCATGAGCCACTGCACATGGCTGACATTTTAGTAACATGCCAGAGAATTAAGCCTGTCTCTCAGGCATATGGCTCTCTTGGGGACTCTAACTTTCTCTGAGTCACTCCCTACAAACAAGAGAGTCCAAACAGTTAACAACCCTGAGAAGTTAGAGGTTAACTTGTAGAATATTGATAAGGTGAGAACGTTTTTGTTTCTTGCTTGGTAGAGAAGATGCTCCAAATGTGCTCTTATTGCTCCATAGGTGGTTATTCAGTTATGTACATAATTCAGTGTTATCAGTCAGCTTGGGTAGCTGTAACAAAATACCACAGACTGGATGGCTTAAACAACAAAAAATTATTTTCTTACAGTTCTGGAGGCCGGAAGTCTGAGATCACGGAGCTGGACTTTTATACATCCACACCGGTCAGTCATTAGCAAAGCACTACCTAGGAAAATGTAAATTTTCAGGCACTTCCCACTCTCTGTGCACATGGACAGAGCTGCTGTCTTCAGTCAGTTTAAATGGCTCACCGGGCCTGGAGGATTCACTTCCAACATGGCTCACTCACATGGCTGGCAAGACAAGGTGGTGCTGGCTGACAGCCTGGGATAGCGGGTGAGGGGGGATTGAGTTTTCTCCATGTGGGCCTCTCCGTGGGGCCCCTTAGTCTTCTTCGCAGATTGTCATTTGGGTTCCAAGAGTGGATGCGTTAAAAAACAGGAAGTAGAAGCTGCCAGTTTCTTAAGTCCTAGGCCCAAAAACTGGCAGAGGTATTCTATTCATTGGTGAAATCACAAAACCCATATAGATTCAAAAGGAAAAGAAATAGACCCCGTTTCTCTCAATAGGTGAGAAGGAATTCGTACATCTTAATCTGTTACAATCTTCCTTCTAGACACAAACTATTTACATTCCTCTTACATGGAATATACAATCACCCTCTTCTCAAGACCTCCAAATATTCCATCCTGTTAAGCATCAGGCTCAAACTGGCATCCAGAATAACTTAAAAAATTTTGTCAGGCGCGATGGCTCACGCCTGGAATCCCAGCACTTTGGGAGGCTGAGGCGGGCAGATCACTTGCGGTCAGGAGTTCGAGACCAGCCTGGCCAACATAGTGAAACCCTGTCTCTACTAAAAATACAAAAATTAGCTGGGCATGGTGGTGCGTGACTGTAATCCCAGCTGCTCATGAGGCTGAGGCAGGAGAATCGCTTGAACCTGGGAAGTGGAGGTTGCAGTGAGCCGAGATCACGCCACTGCACTCCAGCCTGGGTGACAGAACCAGACTCCGTTTTAAAATATTAAAAAATATTTTAAATTTTGAAATTAATTTTTTGTTAGACAGGGTCTCACTCTGTTGCCCAGGGAGTGCAGTGACATGATCACAGCTCACTGCAGCCTCAAACTCCCAGGCTCAAGCGATCCTCCTGCCTCAGCCTCCTGAGTACCTAGGAGTACAGGTGCCCGCCAGCATGGCCAGATAATGTTTTTTTTCTTTGTAGAGACAGGTCTCGCTATGTTGCCCAGGCTGGTTTTGAACTCCTAGCCTCAAGCCATCCTCCTGCCTCAGCCTCCCAAACTGCTGGGATTACAGTCATGAGCCACCTCACTCAGCCCAGGATAACTCTTGATTACCTATTGTGTGCCAGACACCTACACCTGCTGGACTGTAAAAGCTATGAAAGGATCTTTATCTGTCTTTTAAATTCAAACAAGTACTTGATCCATAATAAATACTCTATACACATTTACCAAATAAGTAATCATTTCTCATTTTTTAACTTAAAAAAACCCCCTAACACTCAGAGAGGATGCAACTTCCAAAGGTTATGCAGTAATAGTAAAATCTGGATTTAAGGCCTATTTGACTTAAAATCCACTCTAAAAGACGTTACATGGTCTATAACTCAGTAGGACTTACCTTGTGTACGAAGGAAAGATGAGTTATAATGACAAAATGAGATGACAAGGCTAAGCTATTAGCTGTGGGAAGGAACAGATGGTAGATGACAGCTTGAAGAAGTCAAAATTTGGTGATTGTCCAAGTGTGGGAAGGACAAAAATGGACAGAGCCAAGGATGATTTTTCAGACTCTAATAAGAGTAGGAGGCCAGGAGAATGATGAAATAGGCAAATTTGGAGAGGGAATGGACATGAGGAGCTCAAGTTCATAAATGGGCTAACCAGCAGGGGAGGCAAAAACCCTAGATCCAGGAATGCTGTATAGATGATAGCTTTTATGTTTTCCTTAAAATTTTTGAAACTGTGGTAAATATACATAAAACCACTTTAACAATTTTTAAGTTCAGTGGCATTCAGTGCAACCATCCTATCTACAAAACTTTTCCATCACCCATTAAACAACTCTCAATTCCCTCCTCCTCTCAGCCCGTAGCAACCACCATTCTACTTTGTCTCTATGAATTTGGCTACTCTAGGTACCTGATATAAATTGAATCATGCAGTATTTGTCCTTCCGTGACTGATTATATATCACTCAGCATATCATCATCAAGATTCATCCATGTGGCAGCAAATGTCAGAATTTCACTCCTTTTAAAGGTTGATTTTCCTGAAACTCTGATTGGAAAAATAAAGGCTGAATATTCCATTGTATGTATATCACATTTTGTTTATTCATCCTTTAATGGACATTTGGGTTGTTTCCACATTTTGGCTACTGTGAATAATGCTGTTACGAACTTTGGTGTACAAATACCTGTTTGAATTCCTGCTTTGAGTATATACCCAGAAGTGAATTTATTATTTAAACATTCTATTTTAAATTACATCCTGTAGTAAGGTGTACACTCCTTTAATGAAGTCTGCTAAAACTAGTTTCCCCAAGTCAACAGGAACCTCTCAAACTGTAATGTGAAATTATCACTGAGTGTTTTTTCTTTTTAGACATGGTCTGGTTCTGTCGCCCAGACTGGAGTGCAGTGGTGCAATCATAGCTCACTGCAGGCTCAGATTCCTGGGGTCAAGTGATCCTCCGGCCTCAGCCTCCCAAACAGTTGGGACCACAGGCAGGCACCACCATGCCCAGCTAATTTCTTTTTTTTTTTGGTAGAGACGGGGTCTCACACTCCGGGGCTCAAGTGATCCCCCAAAGTGCTGGGATTACAGGCGGAAGCCACGGTGCCGGGCCTTATGATTGAATTTTTGAAGCTTATTGTTAGTTATGTACTTCTTTACCTATGACACTAGACTCCCCAAAATGCCAAAAACAAGATTGGTGTAATTTATCATTGTGGTACCCTTAAGCTGTCAGCATAGTGCTTTGCATACAGCAGGCGTTAAATGTTTGAAAATACAGTTCCAATATATCATTTGTGGCATATTAATAGGCTATTAATTCAGTAGCAAAAACACCAGCTTTTGCATCTTTCAAAATATAAGTCAATCTTTTTTCCCTAAAGAAGGCAGCTTCGTCCCTCCCCTCACCCCCCTAATACTCTTCCATCATATACAGGAAAGAAAGTACTTATATATATTAAGTGGAGTCTCCAGAGGGAAGGATGGCAGGATACAATAACTTTTCCAAGAGATCAACAGTTCTATCCACAACACTCGGGGAAAACTATTTCGGGGGTCGGGTGGCGGTGGAGAGGGGGCGTTGGGAGCGGAAAGAACGTTTTTCTGAACGCAGGTGTCACTGGGCCAACTTCACCCAGCCTACATTCCTTTAAGGCCCCCGTGGACTGCTCTGGGATGAAAGCGGAGGCTGACTGGGACTCCAGCCGCCGGCCGCCTCGCGTGGAGCCTTGCTGCTCCTCTTGCCGCCTTCCGCTGGCCAGGACCGTTTTTAGGCCTTTGCCACGCCTCGGGAGCGCCACGAACTCAACAGCCGCCCAAGCCGCCTTCCGGCTCGCGGTCTGCGGACGCGCTCGGAGTTGGGGGCCTTCGCCAACAGCTGCCGTACCGTGCCGCGTCGCAGCCGCACGCTAGCGGGGTCAACGGCGCGGCAGGCGCAGGGGTCCTCGCCAAGGTTCGGAAGAGGACCTTGAAAATGGCTTCTGGGCATGCGCCACAGCGGCCGTTACGAGACGCAAAACCGACGCCTTGGAACTGAGAGCCTAGAGGGACGGAGCTCGGCGCACCATGAGGCTCCCGGGGCCCAAGGCCGACCGTGAGAGCGCACGAGGTTGGCGAGCCCCGCGGGGAGGCCGAGGCGCGGGTGCGGGCGCCGGCGTAGCCGCGGCGGTAGCGTCACGCAGCGAGGCCGTGCGTGCGCGGGCGTCAGGGCGGCGCTGAGTTGAGGACGCTGGCGGCTCCGCGACGAGCTTTGTTTTTTCGGTTGGGCATGCTGCTTACCGCAGGATGATGGAAGCGACGGCCCGTACAAAGACAGAAGCGTTGGTTTCAGTGAGCAGGGTTTCTTTTTCTTTTTCTTTTTTTTTTTTTGAGACGGAGTCTCGCTCTGTCGCCCAGGCTGGAGTGCAGTGGCGGGATCTCGGCTCACTGCAAGCTCCGCCTCCCGGGTTCATGCCATTCTCCTGCCTCAGCCTCCCAAGTAGCTGGGACTACAGGCGCCCGCCACTACGCCCGGCTAATTTTTTGTATTTTTAGTAGAGACGGGGTTTCACCGTTTTAGCCGGGATGGTCTCGATCTCCTGACCTCGTGATCCGCCCGCCTCGGCCTCCCAAAGTGCTGGGATTACAGGCGTGAGCCACCGCGCCCGGCCAGGGTTTCTTAATACAAGTTGGTGACTAACATGTTGCCTAGATTCCAGATTAAAGTCTAGTTGTTGGAGACACATGTGCAATAGAGAACTAAAATTTAAATTCAAGTTCGTGAGTGAATTGAATAGATGTTGGAGCATCTCTAGTTTATCAAGGACACTTTTTTTCCCCCTCGAAATTTCATTTTGACGATGTGTGGAAAAATTTTTGAAAAAATTTGAAGTTGAGGGTCTTAGCAATGAAATGGGCAGAACTCCTAAGATTGCTCCGTTTGTATCTAGTTGAACTATTCATGATAGTAAAGGGAAAGGATGGCTGTTTTCGCTCTTAGTAGGGTTTGACGTAGTGAAAAGTTACGCTTTCTGAGCCTGTTTGCGAATGTCTGAAAAAATACTGGATACATTCTGTGGATTAAATGGTAGTCCACATTTAATCCACAGATTGGCTATTGTGAATAATGCTATGAACTTCGGTGTATAAATATCTGTTCGAGTCCTGCTTTCGTGTTTTTTTTTTTTTTTTTGAGTACTCAGAGGTGAATTCATTATTTACTTTTAAGCGTTCTATTTAAATTATATACTGTAGTAAGGAGTAAGAAAGAGGCTTTCGTTCTTCCCTTCTGAACTAGGCAGCTATTTCTTTCAGGTATCGCTTTACAAAAACGGTTTTGTATTTATTACAGCTGAGTCAGTGCTGATTCTCTCAAATAGAGCTTGAAGGATAAATCTTCATTTTTGTTTCAACAAAACTTCGAAACAAAATGGAAGAAAATAATCTACAGGTAATGCCACCCTTCTTAGCTGCGTCTTTGACTCTTAAGAATTATCACCTGGATGTATTGTGAGATAATTGCAAACAAAATTGATCACATTTAGGTCCTAGCATTTCCCGGGGTGTTGGTTGAGGTAAACAAGGGTATACATAGATGAAAGAGTCACATTTGGTGTATGTAAGTAAAATAAATGTTTTTACTTTTATCACTAGGTGTTAAAGTAGCAAAATCTATTTTAAAAACACTCTAAGTAGTGTTCCCCAATGTGGTTGTGTATATGGATCACCTGGGGATTTTGTTAAGTTGCAGATTCTGTTTAAGGAGGTCTAGGGTGAGGCCCAAGCTTTTGTGTTTCTAAAGTTTCTAGGTGAAGATGCCACTGGTTTGGAAACCACATTGGGAGTACCTAGGGTGTAGCTCCCTGCTGTCCAGTAGCTACACATGGCAAGTGGGCACTTGAAATGTGGCTAGTGGAATTGAGGAACCGAACTTTAATTTTTTTTTTTTTTAAGACAGGGTCTTGCTCTGTTGCCCAGGCTGGAATGCACTTGCCCAGTCACGGTTAACTGCAACGCTGACCACCTGGGCTCATAACTTCATTTTTAATTTTAAGTTTAAAATTGGATATTTGATTACATTATTGGAAAAAAGTATGTTTGGAATAACTTGGGTATGTGCATGTATATTTTAAATGTAAAGTTTTTAAATCCAATACAGACAAGTATTTCTGATGAAGGTTTTGGAACTGAGACGCAGAAGTACAAAATATGTAGCACACTGGATTTTGAAGACTTAATGTGAAAAACAAGAATCTAAAATCTCTTATATTGATTTTATGTAAAAATTATATTTTCGATATATTGGTTTAAATATTCTAATTCCGATTATAATTCCAATTCTTGGGCTACAAGAAAGTTGCCTACTTGTATTTTATCTATTGGACAGTGCTACATCAGATATCAAATACCCTTTGGACTACTTTTATAATACTGCTGTATAGGAATAGTAACAGCTATTACAGATTAATCTTATAAATTCTGTTTTTTCTTGGGGTCATGTTAAAGAAAAAATTAGTCTGACTTTATTGAGGACTGTTGCAATAAGAACATTGCAAAGATGAAGAATTTGACCAGATAGGGTGATCAGATATCAGGGGTAGAAGATTCTGTCTAAACTGACTTAGAAGTATTCTTATTAAAACTGGGCTAGGCAGCCCAAAGATAGGATTGGGGCCAGGGTTTGAGGTCTATTCAAGAAGATGGCTCAGAGGAACCTGACTGAAGTTTGGTCAGTGAGAGAGTCTTTTGCTGGTGTGTTGGAATGTTCCTACAGATGCCCAACTACTCAGGAGGCCGAGGCCAGAGGATTGCTTGAGCCCAGGAATTTTAAACCAGCCTGGGCGACATAGTGAGATCCTCTCTCTCTCTTAAAAAGAGTGTTGGCTGGGTGTGGTGGCTTACACCTGTAATCCCAGCACTTTGGGAGGCCAAGGCGGGTGGATCACGAGGTCAGGAGTTCAAGAAGAGCCTGGCCAACATGGTGAAACCCGTCACTACTAAATACAAAAATTAGCCAGGCATGGTGGCGCATGCCTGTAATGTAATCCCAGCTACTCGGGAGGCTGAGGCAGGAGAATTGCTTGAATTGAGGGAGGCGGAGGTTGCAGTGAGCTGAGATCGCGCCACTGCACTCCAGCCTGGGTGACAGAGCAAGACTCCGTCTTGGGGGGAAAAAAAAAATATATATATATATATGTGTGTGTGTGTGTGTGTATATATGTGTGTGTGTGTGTGTGTGTGTGTACATATATATGTGTGTGTGTGTGTATATATATGTGTGTGTGTGTAAGTGTGTGTACATATATGTGTGTGTGTGTGTGTATATATATGTGTGTGTGTATATATATATAGTCAGTCATTATAAATATTTTCCAGCCTCCTGCCTACTTGGACCACAGGCTTTGGCGACTCACTCCACAAAAGGTCCCTTATGGTTAGGAGTCATCTAATTGTTTTCATTGAATACATTCATTGGTAATGTTCCCTTCAGCTGAAACTAAGCTATAGGGAGCATACAGCTAGATTCTCTCTTGTTAAAAGGCATGAGAGGATGCTTACATGAACTGTGGAGGAAATGCAGTGCTACCTAATGATTTTAGGACAAAGGGTATGTGAAGGCCAGTGTGTTTTTCAAAGTGATTGGGGGAAATAAAGTTTTTTTTTTTTTGCCCCTTATTTAATTTCTGAAGTCATGCATGATTTAGAACCTGTCTTTTTTTGTTTGTGAACTTCAGTGCAGTAGTGTGGTTGACGGTAATTTTGAAGAAGTTCCCAGGGAGACGGCAATTCAGTTTAAACCTCCACTATACAGACAGCGGTACCAGTTCGTTAAAAATTTAGTGGATCAACATGAGCCTAAGAAGGTAGGTATTTCTCTTTCCAAACATTTAATTATTAAGACTAGTAGACTAGTCATATGAGGTGTTTTGTCAAATGGATTAGTATGGAGAGACTTTTCACAGGGGTTATTGCAATAGGGAGAATGCCGTAACCACAAGATCTGCAGGTGTCTCAAGAGTTAAGCAAAAGGGGTTTTTCTTTTACTGGAGAAGTGAACAAAGCTAGAAACTAGGGAGGTGGGATGAGAGGGTGGTTTGAAAGGACAGTGGAATGGGGAGCCTTAAGGAGGGGGCTGTTTCCTCAGGCTGTAGTGCAGGGCCCTGGGGGAAGAAGTAAAGTTTGAATAAAGTATGGTTAAAAAAGGAATTTTCTTCCCATTGATCAGTGGGGACAAGTATTCATGATAATCATTTGAGGCAAAGAATGGAAACACAAGGAATCTTATCTAAGTTTTATGGAGGAGGGTGGTTTTTTGCAGTGAGCCCTTTCCTGGAACACAAAGCACAGGTGGATTCCTTTAGCAGATGCCAGAAACACAGGGCTCAGACAGAATTCAGCATTGTCAGGTTCAAATGTGAAGAAAATCTTAAGATTTTATAGTTGGATGTGATCTTGTAGGTACCGTACTTCTAGAGCATTTAGTTAGAATATCAGGCAAACTGGTATTGTAGCCACAGGTATTGTGGTTCTTTTAAAATTAGATGATAATGGGCCGGGTGCAATGGTTTACACCTGTAATTCCGGCACTTTGGGAGGCTGAGGCAGGTGGCTAGCTTGAGACCAGCCTGGCACCATAGTGAGACCCTGTGTCTACAAAAAATAAAATTAGCTGTGCATGGTGGTGCGTGCCTATAGTCCCAGTTACTCAGGAGGCTGAGGTGGGAGGATCCCTTGAGCCCAGGAGGTTGAGGCTGCAGTGAGCTGTTATCACCTGCATTCCAGCCTGGGCAACAGAGAAAGAGCCCGTCTCAAAAAGAAAATTAGATCATAATGAACCTACTCGGTTAACTTCAGAGTAAAGTCATAATTGCATATAATCTACATCCATCCATCCATACCTGGTTACTATACTAATGGATTGGATGTGAATTAGATGCGGGTAAGGTGAATTTCTAGATGAAAGCTTTCTTTTTCTGCTTGATGTTGAAGACTCAGTGAAGATTCCTGTGTGTGAAGGTTTCCCTTAACTCCACCACTACTGTTTCTACACTTGGACACAAAGGCGTAGGTATTAGTTTATATCTTTGTAGCCATCTAGGCATGTGTATTCAGGTAAAGCATCTAAAATTGGCTTTTTGGCAGCTCAGAGTTCAGTATGGAATTTCAGATGGTTTGAGGTAATTGTTTAATCAAATAAATGTGTGAGGGGTGAAAGCTAAGTTTTAGAAAGCTTTGTTTGCTGAAATATGCTGAGAATATTTGACTCCAAATTCTGATTCTGAATGGGAAAACTGTGTGTACGTAATTGTTTCTCATTAGTTCAATATAGACAATAACAGTTGTTCTGGAATAGGAATGGACCTTTCTATTTTAGTGTGATCAAATAGAAATTTGCCTATGGGCTTATAAAGTTTCAGGTTAGTGTGTGTGTGTGTGTGTGTGTGTGTGTGTGTGTGTGTGTGTGTAGCATCTTCTGCCAAAAAGATCCTTCCATATAATACTTTCATTATTTTATTACTGATATATACTCCACTCTCTCCTCCTCAAAAAAAAGTTTTTGATCATACTTCTCTTGCTATAAATGTCTTTGAAATAACATTCTGTCTCATCTACAGGTTGCAGACCTGGGATGTGGTGATACTTCACTCTTAAGGCTGCTAAAAGTCAATCCATGCATTGAATTGCTTGTTGGAGTAGATATTAATGAGGATAAATTACGATGGAGAGGGTAATACTTAGTTTCTGAAAGAATTATGCGTTAATCTAAAACTAATGGCATTATTGAGTTTAGAGAAAGTGTTGATTTTATATTTGTTTTAAAAGATTGGGGCCATTAGGGATCTTCAACTCACTGAATAATCAGGCTTTGCCATAACACTAAAAATACCTGCATTTTATTGCTACCAACTTAAAGAATAGCCTCAATTAAATGATTATAATAATCAAAGCATTGTAAATTAAAATTCAGATAGCAAAATCTCATCACTTTAATGCTGGACACTATGATAATTTATAGCAGAGGATTTAAAATGCCCCAGAACACTGAGGCCAAGGCTCCAGGCCACCGCCTGCATTTTGAACCATAGCATTTCTCCTATCTCTTGTATATATAGTATATATACATTAGATTTCCACAGATTGCTTCAAGAATATTCTTTTTCTAAAGAACAAAAATCTCAAAATCACTGAATCAAAGTAAGCTGGAAAACCAAAAGTATTACAAATGAAAACAATATAACAATATTAAATATTCAGTCTTTTTTTCATTGGCCAGTAACTTCCCACTGTGAGAGGAAGTTTCCCCATGACCTGGTCTTTAATATGTCAAGACAAGGAAAACAGGCTGTGTCAGACTTATATCAATAGAGGTAGAAGATAATTATCAGAGGATCTGAGTTCTGTAGCTGGTGAGAATTTTTAAATAGATAATGTTCAGAAAGTTTCTTCAATAATTATTTTGCAGGGATTCGTTAGCTCCTTTCCTGGGGGATTTTCTGAAACCTCGGGATCTGAATTTGACCATCACATTGTATCATGGCTCCGTTGTGGAGAGAGACTCTCGTTTGCTTGGATTTGACTTGATAACGTGTATTGAATTGTAAGTTTTAAACTGATACACTGTATAACTGTTCATTTGAAAAGCCTGAATAAGTCTCAGTGATCTTAGTGTCCTAAATATAATAGGTCTTGATTATTGTAAGGAAAACTGCTCATTGGTTGGGAATATCTTTTTACTCTGCTTTTCCAACATTTTACTTAGAAATTTCAAGTATACAGATAAATTGCCACAAATACATAGTACCAAGAATACCTATACCCCCCTTTATCCAGATGTTAACATCTCACTTTTTAAATCATTTGTACATTGCACCCTCCCTCTCCTGTTCACCCCTCCTCCATCTCCCTTTAGAGTTATTTTTTTTCCTGAATCAATTAAGGGTATACACATGGCCTTTTGCCTCTACTAAAAAATTCAGTTTAAAAGTTGGAGGCCTCACACTACTTGACTTGAAAATGTACTACAAAGCAGTAGTAATAAAAACATCGTGGTTCTGGTATAAAAACAGAGACATAGACCAATGGAACAGAATAGAGAGAACCCAGAAATAAATCCATGCATTTACAGCCAACTGATTTCAACAAAGACACCAAGAACATACATTGGCAAAAGGACACCCTCCTCAATAAATGGTACTGGGAAAACTGCATATCCATATGCAGAATGAAATTAGACTCCTATCTCTCACTGTATACAAGCATCAACTCAAGATGGATTAACGAGTTAATTGCAGACCTAAAACTATGAAAGTACTGGAAGAAAACAGGAAATGCTTCAGGACATTGGTCTAGGCAAAGATTTTGAGTAAGACTACAAAAGCACAGGCTACAAACAGAAATACACAAATGGGAATATATGAAACTGAAAGGTTTCTGCACAGCAAAGAATAGAGTGAACAGAACCTATAGAATGGGAGAAAATACTTGCAAAGTATTCATCAAGGGATTAATATCTAGAATATACAAGAATCTCAACAGCAAAAAAACCCCAAATAAAAAGTGGGCAAAGGACCTGAACAGATATTTCTCAAAAGACATACAGATGGTTAACAAGTAGATGAAAAAATGCTCAACATCACTAGTCATCAGGGAAATGCAACTCAACCACAGTGAGATATCTCACCCCATTTAGAATGGCTGTTATTAAAAAGACAGTAAATGCTGGCAAGGATGCAGAGAAAGGGAACTCATATAAACTGGTGTGAATGTAAATTAGTACAGCCGTTATTGAAAACAGTGTGGAGGTTTTTCAAAAAACTGAAAATAGAACTGCCATGTGATCTAGCAATCCCACTACTGGGTATTTATCCAAAGGAAAGAAATCAGTTATATTGAAGAGAGATGTGCACCCCAATGTTTATTAACAGCACAGTAGCCAGGATACGGAATCTACCTAAATGTCCATCAGTAGATGAATGGATAAAGAAAGTGTGGTATTTAGGCTGGGCATGGTGGCTCACGCCTGTAATCCCAGCACTTTGGGAGGCCGAGGCAGGTGGATCACCTGAGGTCAGGAGTTCAAGAGCAGCCTGGCCAACATGGTGAAACCCCGTCTCTAGTAAAAATACAAAAAAATTAGCTGGGCGTGATAATGGGCCCCTGTAATCCCAGCTACTTGGGAGGCTGAGGCAGGAGAATCACTTGAACCTTGGAGGCAGAGGTTGCAGTGAGCCAAGATCACGCCATTGCACAACGAGCAAAACTCCGTCTCAAAAAAAAAAAAGGGATGTATATGCACAATGGAATACTATTCAGCCCTAAAAAAGGAATGAAATTGTCATGGATGAACCTGGAGGGCATTAAGTGAAATAAGTCAGGCATAGAAACACTGTTGCCTGGGCTGGAGTGCAATGGCGCGATCTCGGCTCACTGCAACCTCTGCCTCCTGGGTTCAAGTGATTCTTTTGCCTCAGCCTCCCGAGCAGCTGGGATTACAGGTGCCTGCCACCACACCTGGCTAATTTTTTGTATTTTTAGTAGAGATGGGGTTTCACCCTATTGGCCAGGCTGGTCTTGAACCCCTGACCTCGTAATCTGCCCACCTCGGCCTCCCAAAGTGCTGGTATTACAGGCGTGAGCCACTGTGCCTGGCTGGTTTACAATTTTCTTGTGAATTGCATAGAAGCTCAGCCCTCTGTGAAGCATTTTTGTCAATGTCTAGTTTGCTTAGGACACACTGACTTAGATGGGATGGCAGCAAGACTTTGTCAGACCCGGTTTTGGTAACATTTAATTGTTATATAATTGCAAATTTACAGAAGTTGCAGGAATGGTCCAAGGAATTCTCATCTGTTCTTTACCTAGATTTACCACTTATTTATATTTGATCCTATTTACTGTGTCTTTTTCCCTAAATATAACTTTCTACGTGTATTTTTTATCTGAACCATCTCAGAGTAGGTTGGATACACTGTGTCCTGTTACCCTAGATACCTTGGTATGTATATTCTGAGAACAAAGACTTCTTACCATAACCATGTAATTCTATCAGGAAATTGAACATTGATACAGTACGATTACCTAATCTAAGTCCACATTCAGCATTCATCATTTGTTCCAGTAATGTCTTTCTATAGCTATTTTAAAATTTAGCTATAATTTAAAATGGCCCAAGATCACACAATGCATTTGTCACGTTTGCCTGGGCTCCTTTAATCTGAAGCAGGTCTGTGCAGCCTTTCTGCCTGGTCCTATTTGCCCTTGATATTTCTGAAGAATATGTGCTATTTTCTAGAATGTCGCTGTATCTGAGTGTCTCCTCATTATCAGATTCAGGGCATGCATTTTTGACAAGAATATCATAGAAGTGATTTTGTCCTCCTTGATGCATTATATCAGGGAGGTATAACCTCAGAGACTTTTTTTTAGAGGTATTGATAATGAGGCCATAGAGCACAGCAAAGGACCTTGGTTGGATAAGGGAGCCATCATAGATGGAGTTGGGGGGTAGGAAAGGATGAGAATATATGAATAATTGTTCTTTTTCCCCCTCCCCTCCCCTCCCTTCCCCTCTCTTCTCTTCTCTCTCTTTCTCTTTCTTTCTGTCTGTCTCTCTCTCTTTCTTTTCTTTCTTTCCTTCCTTCCTTCCTTCTTTCTTTTTCTTCTATCTTTCTTGACTGAGTTTTGCTTGTCACCCAGGCTGGAGAGCAATGGTGCAATCTTGGCTTGCTGCAACCTCTGCCTCCTGGGTTCAAGTGATTCTCCCGCCTCAGCCTCCCGAGTAGCTGGGATTACAGGCATGCACCACCACACCCAGCAAAATTTTGTATTTTTAGTAGAGACAAGGTTTCATCATGTTGGCCGGGCTGGTCTTTAACTCTTGACCTTGGGTGATCCATCCACCTTGGCCTCCCAAAGTGTTGGGATTACAGGCGTGAGCCACTGTGCCTGGCCCGAATAATTGTTCTTAGGTCATATAAGCATTATTACATATTCAAAGAAGGGAGAAATCGATACACAGATGGAAATTGTTTTTGATAAATCAATTAGAAAAATAGGTGCAAGTGAAGCTAGATTTTATTATGTCTTTCTCATTAACCATTTTAGAATAGAACATTTGGATTCAGGTGATCTGGCCAGATTTCCTGAAGTGGTATTTGGGTACCTGTCTCCATCCATGATTGTCATCAGCACACCAAACTCTGAATTCAATCCCCTGTTTCCATCAGTGACCTTAAGAGATTCAGATCATAAATTTGAGTGGACCAGAATGGAGTTTCAGACCTGGTAAGTTCAGAAGGGTTTTTGTTTATTTGGGATCCTGTTGGAGTTTAAAATCTTAGGAAATAAATATTGATATACATACATTACCTAAATTGTTTTGTACTTTCTTCCAATAAAATTGATTCCAATGTGTGACTTAGTATGTAATAAGATCACAAAGGAACCATTGCATTTGGGCAAGTGTGGAAAGGGGGTGTGGTTACTGGGCACCTTTTATGTGAAGGCATCTGTAGTACTGGCATGGAGATGAGGAACAAAACAGAGGGAAGGTTTGGGACAGTGAGAATGAGCCTCATGCCCCTCCCCGGGATATCTCCTGAGGCTTAGTCATGTTTTCTGGTGTAATTGCAAACCCAAATGGGTAGTTGGGTTGAGCACTTGTTGCCTCCTTGTCCACCCCTACACCCTGCCCATAATTTTCCTTTCGTCTTCCATATTCTTAGGGTAAATTGGAAACTGACACTATATCCTTGCCTTGACTTCTCTTAGAAATAAATACACTGGTGGTTAGGAATTTGTAACTTAGAAGTATTTATGTTCATTGTATTTTTCATGTTCTCTTTTACTGCTGACCAGAAATGGTTCCTTATTTAACAGTAGCTCTACATTTAGAAAAATGATTGCTGTCCTCGTTTTGGTTTCAGGGCTTTATATGTGGCAAATCGCTATGATTACTCTGTGGAGTTTACTGGTGTCGGGGAACCACCAGCTGGAGCTGAGAATGTTGGATACTGTACCCAGATAGGAATCTTCCGGAAAAATGGAGGAAAGGCAACAGAATCATGTCTTTCAGAGCAGCATGATCAGCATGTTTATAAAGCTGTGAGTATTCTTTGTGAGATAGCTATCAGGGCTAGAGATACATTAGGATGGTGAACTTTTTTGGGGAGTAAGAATCCCCAAAGTAGAGATGAGTGTAAATGACCTTGCTTTGTGGTTCACTCTAGGAGAATTCTTCAGGCCCCATGACTACTGTCCGAGTTAGCCTACGGTGTCCTTTGAGACTGCCTGGCCTTTTGGTGTTTCAAGGCATGTTAAAGGGAATGATCTGCTGGGGTTGTCTTAGAATACTTCAAAGTAGCTGGGTACAGTGGCTCACACCTGTGATCCTAGCATGTTGGGAGGCCAAGGTAGAAAGATTGCTTGAACCCAGGAGTTCGAGTGCAGCCTGGACAACATAGTGAGATCTCCCATCTCTACAAAAAAACACCCAGAATACTTGAAAGCAATAGTTGAGCAACCTCTTTTTGTAATCTGTTAGGATTATCAGTAGTAAAAAGGAAAGCCAGCAGCAGTTTCTCCCCAGCTTGGCTTAGGACATTACTCTTTGAGCCTACAAACTTCTCAGACCCTTTTGGTTTAAAGAGAGAAGAAGAAGAAACACTTCCTCCCCCTCTTTAAAAATTTTATTTAATTAGGGACAGGGTCTTGTTCTGTCACCGAGGCTGGAGTGCACCGGCACAATCATGGCTCACTGTAACCTTGAATTCCTGGGCACAAACGATCCTCCCACTTGAGCCTCCTAAGTAGCTAGGACGACAGGCGTGCACCACCATGCTCAGCTTTTTTTTGTTTTGTTTTTTGTTTTTTTTTCCGTAGAGACAGGGTCTCACTATGTTGCCCAGGCTGGTCTTGAACTTCCATCCTCAAGCAATCCTCCTGCCCCATCTTCCTAAAATGCTGAGATTACAGGTGTGAGTCACTGCACTTACCCACGTTTTCCCTTTTAACTGAACCATTTTTCATTTTTTTTTGCCCTTGCCCCTGTAATATCAAGTAGAAATACTGGGTTCATGTGACTTGGTAGAAACCTGGCTGGGAGACATTGGGCATTAGCATTAGAAAGCAAATCGGATAGTTAATTTCTATGTGTCAGTGATTTGATTCCCATTATAACTGAGGCATTTACGATTAGTAGGATCTGACATATATTCAATATGTACATTTATTCTTACATGGCAAAAAAGTTATTGATGGCTTTGAAAATTTATGTATGTTTATATTATTATACACTTGTAAGTGTTTTGTTTTTTCCCTTCAGGTTTTTACCACCTCATACCCAAGCTTACAGCAGGAAAGGTTCTTTAAACTTGTGTTGGTTAATGAGGTGTCCCAACAAGTGGAAAGCTTAAGAGTGAGCCACCTGCCAAGGCGGAAAGAACAGGCTGGGGAACGGGGTGATAAGCCCAAAGACATTGGTGGCTCAAAGGCCCCTGTCCCATGCTTTGGACCAGTCTTCACAGAGGTTGAGAAGGCCAAGATAGAGAACTCTCCCACACCCTTCTGTGTTGGAGATAAATTTTTCGTACCTCTGCAGAGACTCCTTGCGTATCCCAAGTTGAACCGCTTATGTGCTAATGAAGAGATGATGAGATCAGTCATTGCTGACTCAATTCCTCTGAGCAGTGATGGTTCTGCAGTGGTGGCTGACCTGCGTAATTATTTTGATGAACAGTTTGAGTTTTGAACCATGTTTATTTCCTGAAATTTCAGGGTCTCAGCGATAGTTGTGCTCACTTAGAATTTAGTTTTTTTTGTGTAATCCTAATTCAAGTAATGTTTTTAAAGTTTCACTGCAAAAGTCTATGTTCCAAGCCATTGGACAGACCTGCTTGAGATATGGCCAGACTGCAGTGAGCCCTGAGAAAGATATGAGGGTTTAAAACGGGTGCTTTCCTTTGATTTTGGACTTTTTTGTTTTCTCAAGAATAAAGAAGTTGGATGTGGTAATATGTTAATTTTGAACTTACCTATTTTTTTTGTGTTAAAGCCATGAGTTGATTGTTGTTAGTCTGTTCTCACATTGCTGTGAAGAACTACCTGAGACTGGGTAATTTATAAAGAAAAGAGGTTTAATTGACTTACAGTTCTGCAGGCTGCACAGGAAGCATGCAGGAAGCTGGGGAGGCCTCAGGAAACTTACAGTCTTGGTGGAAGGCGAAGGGGAAGCAGGCACGTCTTATATAGCTAGAGCCGGAGGAAGAGAGCTTGGGGAGGTCTACACACTTTTAAACAACCAGGTTTAATAACAAGAATAGCAAGGGGGAAATCCGCCCTCATAACCCAATCACCTCCCACCAGCCCCCTCCTCCAATATTGGGGATTACAATTTGACATGAGATTTGGGCAAGGACAGAAATACAAACCATATCAATTGTGATATTAAAAATTTAAGAGAAAGTTATCAAATATAGTGTTCAAAACCTTTTCTTTGGGGTAAGAGTAGCTTTAAAATTTTTCTGGGATTCTCTATCTCCTTAATGCCAAATTCTAACCTGTGTAATATTTAGCCTAGAACATCAATAAAACAGGAATGCAGGTGGTTGGAGGGCATAGAAGCCTCTTCATGATGTAATTGCTGTCCATGTTTTGTTGTTGTTGTTGTTGTTTTTTTGAGACAGGGTCTTGTTCTGTTACCCAGGCTGGAGTGCAGTGGCACAATCATGGCTCATTGTAGCCTCAGCCTCTGGGCTAAAATAATCCTCCCACCTCACCTCCTCCCCACCAGTAGCTTGAACTACTGGCATGTACCACCATGCCCAGCTAATTAAAAATTTGTAGAGATAGGGTCTCACTATGTTGCCCAGACTGGTCTTGAACTTCTGGGCTCAAGTGGTCCTCCTGCCTCAGCTTCCCAAAGTGCTGGGATTGTTTTTTGAGCACCCTCTTCTGAGGATGGAATTGGGGTGGTAGTACTTCTCTGGTTGGAATTGGGGTGGTAGTACTAATGGGAGAAAGAAACATAGCTTCACCTCATGGGGGAAAACAGTAGTTTAAATGAGAGGCATTTCTTAGGCACAGGAGTCCAGAGGTAAGCCCCAGGCATGGGAGCTCTGCCACTTTTGGGACCCAGACGTCCATCTTGCATGTTGTGGCTACTTAGTATGCCATCCAGGGACAGAGAGAGAGATTTGAGCTCTGGCTACTACTTTCATATTCTGAAACAGCAGAAAGAAGAGAAGGGACAAAGGGCACACACAAGCTGTCTGGTAAAGCTTGCTGTGGGTTGTTACGCAACACGACTGCTTACTTCCTGTTGATCAGAATGTGGTCTTCAGGCCACACAAAGGGAAGCTGATATATTAGTCTGTTCTTGCATTGCTGTAAAGAAATAGCAGAGACTGGGTAATAAAGAGGTTTATTGGCTCATGGTTCCACAGAGTGTACAGGAAGCATAGCAGCTTCTGCTTCTGGGGAGGCCTCAGGAAACTTCCAGTAATGGCAGAAGGCAAAGGGTTGGGGCGGGGCGAGGCATCTCACATGGTGGGAACAGGAGCAAGGCGGAGCGAGGGGTGGTGCTGAACACGTTTAAGCAGGTCTTGGGCGGACTCTGTCACGAGAACAGCACTAAGGGGATGGTGCGAAACCATTCACAAAGGACCCACCCCCATGATCACTTCCCAGCAGGCCCCTCCTTCAATATCAGGGATTACAGTTTGACATGAGATTTGAATGGGGACACAGATCCAAACCGTATCAGCTGCGAAATACAGTTTTTATTCTGGGAGGTCATGTGTCCACTTGGTCTGCCAAGGAACAAGGGGAGAAGGAACACTGGCAAATAACCATCTGTGCCACAGCTAGGACATCCTGAGCGGTCTGGAATGGGGGCTATGGAGATGCAGAGTTGGTGCCTGGGAGAGGGCTGGGGGGAGTAATTCTCAAGCTGAGTTTCCAAGGGTTAATAATTAAGCAGATGGGAAGGGGATTTGGTGAGGGGGGAGAGAATTGAGGGATTCTGATGAGAACCGTCTTTTAATCACATTACATTGGTAAACCAGCTGTTTTTTCCTTGAATTTCTAATACTGCTATCAGACTTCCCCCATGAATGCTCAAAGGTGCACATGAACAAGAGATTTGTAGCCCCACCCTATTCCTGCTCTCAAAGGCCCTCTGTCCGTCCTCACCTTTCTAGGCCTCTGCAGTTTTCACTCTAGAGTTCCCTTCTCATCATTGCTCTTCTGTGGTAGAGCCAAGGTTTCTAGCCAAGACCAGCCGTTTCTCTGATCTTTCTTGAAAGTTAATCAGTTAACTTTGTTCGAGCCTAATCACTGGAGCCCCCATGTGGAAACATTTTAAGTGCTCATGACTGCCATGGGGG
The DNA here is from genome assembly GCF_000001405.40 of Homo sapiens. NCBI lineage: Eukaryota > Metazoa > Chordata > Mammalia > Primates > Hominidae > Homo > Homo sapiens. The sequence goes on along the minus strand of NC_000001.11, from coordinate 108,645,930 downwards.
CTGGAGCTGCTCTTCCCCATGGCCTTCCCGCTCTCTCTGCGGCTTCTGTACCTACGTTCTTCTTGAGAAGTTTGTCTTTCCCCCAACCTGGATACAGGCCTTTCTTTGCACACTGAAAGGCTCATTAATACTTGAGGTCAGGGGTTGCCAGACGTGCTTTTGGGGCTAGACAGTAAATCTTTGCAGGTGATCCAGTCTCTATCACAACTATTCAACTCTGCTTGAGTCAAAGCCACCACAGACAATGTGAAAACAAGTGCGCTGAGCAGGAGACAGAGTTTAATCTGCAGTCTTCTTTGAGAGAAGGTTCTCACTGCCACTGCCCACCTCCCAGACTAGATACGAAATCTGCACTACCAGGTATTGAAACCTCCCTGGCCCTTGAGATCTGAATATAATTTGCCTCCAACTCCTATTTCCATAGTCTGGGTAACTCCAAAACTCTGAGACTTCTATGATTTCCTAAAAGCTTACGTTATCACAGCACTGCCTGCCTTCAAGTTCAGTTCCATACAACTGAGATGTGAATCTCAGCCCCTTCTATGCTGCTCCGAGGCTCCTCAAACACATCCCACCTTACCCTCCTTCTCATCTGGCAGCAGCTCCCAGCTCACCTTCCCCAGCTGCCCTCGCTTGCCCCACCCCCTCCCCTCCTTTCCTGTGACTGCCAACCTGCTGCCCCACGGCACGCCCAGCAGTTCAGCTCCCTTCAAGTGTTCTCAGCCCTCAGTTCTGCCAGCGGTTATCAAGGGAGAACTCCAAATAAAGGCAATTTCTTCAACTAGAGTTTGGGTGCCAAGAACATTAAATCTTTATCTCGTTATGCCTGGTCCTGTGGAGACTGTGTGTCGAGCAGTTGACAGGAAGTCAGGGACTGAGCAGTGTCAGCAGTGGCAATGTGGTCTTTTGAAGACTGAGAACTGTGGGTTTCTGCCTTCATGAAGGATGCTAGGTGCTAACTACAGCAAACATGGCTTATCATTATATTTGTGAACCTCGAACATTTGAGACAGGTCTCAGCTAATTTAGAAAGTTTATTTTGCCAAGGTTGAGGACACGCTCCCATGACACAGTCTCAGGAGGTCCTGACAACATGTACTCAGGGTGGTCGGGGCACATCTTGGTTTTATACATTTTAGGGAGACATGAGACATTAATCAATATATGTAAGAAGTACATTGGTTCCATCCAGAAAGGCGGGGACAACTCAAAGCAAGGAGGGAGCTTCCAGGGCACTGGTAGAGGAGAGACAAATGGTTGCATTTTTTTGAGTTTCTGATAAGCTTTTCCAAAGGAGGCAGTCAGATATGCATCTACCTCAGTGAGCAGAGGGATGACTTTGAATAGAATGGGAGCTAGGTTTGCCCTGAGTAGTTTCCAGTTTGAATTTTCCTTTCGCTTAGTGATTTTAGGGGTCCAAGATATTTTCCTTTCACATATATGATGCACATCCTTGGTGATATCTAGAAAAAGGGGACAGCTGGGAATATTGCTGAGGTCTAGCAAACAAGCTGCTAGGAGCTGGAAGTTGGAAATGTGTATAGTAAATGTTAAATACAAGCTTTTGAAGCCAGCAGTATGTGTTAATACCTTTTATCTTGAAAGTTAACAATTCATGTCCTCTATTTCTCTGTTGGGTTCTTAATGTTCCTGCTGAATTGTGTGTACTCTGCCTGCACACTTTTGCCTCCACTGCTGCAACAATCTCATTTCTTTCTACATGCTCAACTTCATCCTGCATGCTAGACTCAAGCTAGAATTAGTCAGATTAAACTGTGATCTGATTGTATTGTCTTACCCAACAACATGACTCCCTGCTCCCACACATCACCCTTGACCCATCAGAGCCTTTGCTTTCACTGAACAGGCTCTGTGTGTTCTCACTGCTGTTTCCCACCTGGCCCTGTACATATGTTCTTTACCATGCTGCCCAAGCAGTGCTTTTGGGTAGAAATCTTCATGGAACTGTACTTAGAGAATTTTTCATTAATCCTACACCAAAGGAAACAATTTTACTTTAAGCAAAATGTGCAATGCTTCAAAGTCTGTTGAAATTATTTCAAATTTTAAAAATTACAAGATAAAAAATGTGTTTTTCCTTTGGTCTAAATTTCATGAAATATATGTGAAATAGGAGCAGATAGGATCACTTGAGACAGGTAGATTTGAACTGAATCAACAGACGTTCAAGGCCAGAAGGTGGCACACTTTTCCTATTTTAAGTAGCTGCACATACTCGCTTTAAGGGTTCCCCAATATAAGATTCAAAAAACAAGATGCCAAAAAAGCTTAGCATGCCAACTTTCTGCAGAGGTTTGAGGTTTTCTGCAATGCATACACTAAGGAAAAACAGTGTTGAAATGGTTTGAAGATCTGCGGTGAAGTCAATTTCTTAAGAAATGGTTGAGGTAATACCTCAACCTAGCTGGGTTATAAATGCATGGGAATGAGGTCTAAACATTCATTTGGGAAATTTTCTGACATTTCCTATTAAATAGGTTCACATGGAATAGAGATCACTGACCCAGGGACTGTCTAAATTTATGCCTGTTTAGGTTTCTTTTTTTTTTTTTTTTTAGACAGAGTCTTACTCTGTCGCCCAGGCTGGAGTGCAATGGCACGATCTCAGCTCACTGCAACTTCCACCTCACGGGTTCAAGTGATTCTCCTGCCTCAGCCTCCCAAGTAGCTGGAATTACAGGCACCCGCCACCACGCCCAGCTAATTTTTTGTATTTTTAGTAGAGACGGGGTTTCACCATGTTGGTCAGACTGGCCACAAACTCCTGACCTCAGATGATCCACCCACCTCGGCCTCCCAAAGTTCTGGGATTACAGGCGTGAGCCACTGCGCCCAGCCTAGGTTTCTTAATTTTCTGTTAAACTTTGTATAATGTGGACTGGATTAATTCCACCAGTGATTTCCTACCTATCATACAAATGGAAGGAAAGATTTCATTATGTGCTGCTACCAGATAAGTGATGCATAGGTACAGGAAGCGAAGTGAAAACAGGTGAAAGAGAAAGGGAAGGACAGACAGAGAAAGAGGAAGAAAGCCACCAGGTGTTGAAGAAAGGTGGGCCAAGTCGAAACAAGAAGGCTGGGTCTGAGAACTCCATGTTGGAGATGTGGGCAGCATCTGAGGGGGCAGATCAGAGTCCTGCCAGGTTCTGCTGTGATCTGGTACAAAGTTATTCTGGGTGATCCTCTGTACTGGGGAGGAGTGTGGAGGTTTTCCCCTAGAGTGTCCATACCCTACTCTGTCCTGACAAGAGCAGGGTGCTTTCTCTTTAGTCATATAACCTTTTTAAATCTGCACTGTCCAGGGAGGCCCTGACAATCTGCAGAGAAGATGCTGGGTTCAAACTGACATTAAACCATAGTTCTTTATTAATATTAAATTGCTATTATAATTTGAATATCAGCAGAGGGACACTGTTGGCATTGTTTTTGTTCTCTGAGGACATTCTGGTCTATGGGAATAGAACAGTCTGTACGAGGATATAGGTGACATAAATACCATTTGTTAAGTGATGATCTTAAACTGTAATAGTGAAAAAATGTTTGTGGGTACATAGTAGGTGTATATAGGGGGTATATGAGATATTTTGATATAGGCATGTAATGTGTAATAATCACATCAGGGTAAATGTGTTTTAACATTTATCATTAATAATGTGAAGTAACAGTATCTGTTACTTCAAGCATTTATCCTTTGTGTTACAAACAATCCAATTATACTTTTTTTTTTTTTTTGAGATGGAGTCTTGCTCTGTCGCCCAGGCTGGAGTACAATGGTGCGAGCTCGGCTCACTGCAACCTCGTCTCCTGGGTTCAAGCGATTCTCCTGCCTCAGCCTCCTGAGTAGCTGGGATTACAGGCGTGCACCACCACACCCGACTAATTTTTGTATTTTTAGTAGAGATGGGGTTTCACCATGTTGGTCAGGCTGGTCTCAAACTCCTGACCTCTAGTGACGCGCCTGCCTTGGCCTCCCAAAGTGCTGGGATTACAGGCTTCAGCCACTGCGCCTGGCCCAATTATACTCTTAAAATGTACAATTAAATTATTTTTGATTATAGTTACCCTTTTTTGCTAGCAAATACTACATCTTATTCATTCATTTTTTTTGCCCACCTCCCACACCCTACCCCCTAACTACCCTTCCCAGCCTCTGGTAACTATCCTTCTACTCTCTTATCTCCATGAGTTCAATTATTTTAATTTCTAGTTCCCACAAATAAGTAAGAACATCTGAAGTTTGTCTTGCTGTGCCTGGCCTATTTTACTTAACATAATGGCCTCCAGTTCCATCCATGTTGTTGCAAATGACAGGATCTCATTCTTTTTTATTGCTGAATAGTACTCTACTGCATTTATGTACCACATTTTCTCTGTGAATTCATCTAAGTGTTGATGGACACTTAGGTTGCTTCCAAACCTTGGGTATTGTGAATAGTGCTGCAATAAATGTAAAAGTGCAGGTATCTCTTCAATATACTTATGAGAGGTGACAGCATGCTGGCAGTCCTCAGAGCCCTCGCTTGCTCTTGGCACCTCCCCTGCCTGGGCTCTCACTTTGGTGGCATTTGAGGAGCCCTTCAGCCCCCCCACTGCACTGTGGGAGCCCCTTTTTGGGCTGGCCCAGGCTGGAGCCCACTCCCTCAGCTTGCAGGGAGGTGTGGAGGGAGAGGCACCAGCGGGAACCGGGGCTGCGTGCGGCGCTTGCGGGCCAGCTGGAGTTCCGGGTGGGCGTGGGCTTGGTGGGCCCCGCCCTCGGAGCAGCCTGCTGGCCCCGGGCAATGGGGGACTTAGCACCCGGGCCAGTGGCTGCGGAGGGTGTACTGAGTCCCCCAGCAGTGCCAGCCCACCGGCGCTGCGCTTGATTTCTCGCCCGGCCTTAGCTGCCTTCCCGCAGGGCAGGGCTCGGGACCTGCAGCCCGCCATGCCTGAGCCTCCCACCCACTCCATGGGCTCCTGTGCGGCCCGAGCCTCCCCGACGAGCACCACCCCCTACTCCACGGTGCCCAGTCCCATCGACCACCCAAGGGCTGAGGAATGGGAGCGCACGGCGCAGGACTGGCAGGCAGCTCCACCTGCAGCCCCGGTGCGGGATCCACTAGGTGAAGCCAGCTGGGCTCCTGAGTCGGGTGGGGACGTGGAGAGTCTTTATATCTAGCTCAGGGATTGTAAATACACCAATCAGCCCCGTGTTTAGCTCAAGGTTTATGAGTGCACCAATCGACACTCTGTATCTAGCTGCTCTGGTGAGGACGTGGAGAACTTTTATGTCTAGTTCAGGGATTGTAAATACACCAATCGGCACTCTGTATCTAGCTCAAGGTTTGTAAACACACCAATCAGCACCCTGTGTTTAGCTCAAGGTTTGTGAATGCACCAATCAACACTCTGTATCTAGCTGCTCTGGTGGGGCTCTGGAAAACCTGTGTGTGGAAACTCCCTATCTAACTAATCTGATGGGGACGTGGTGAACCTTTGTATCTAGCTCAGGGATTGCAAACACACCAATCAGTGCCCTAACAGGCCACTCAGCTTTACCAATCAGCAGGATGTGGGTGGGGCCAGATAAGAGAATAAAAGCAGGCTGCCTGAGTCAGCAGTGGCAACCCCCTCGGGTCCCCTTCCACACTGTGGAAGCTTTGTTCTTTTGCTCTTTACAATAAATCTTGCTACTGCTCACTCTTTGGGTCCACACTACTTTTATGAGCTGTAACACTGACTGCAAAGATCTACAGCTTCACTCCTAAGCCCAGCAAGACCACAAGCCCACCAAAAGAAACAAACAACTCCAGACGTACTGCCTTAAAAACTGTAGCACTCACCACAAAGGTCTACAACTTCACTCCTAAGCCAACAAAACCACAAACCCACCAAAAGGAAAAAACTCCAAACACATCGAAACATCAAAAGGGACAAACTCCAGACACGCCACCTTAAGTGCTGTAACACTCACCGCGAGGGTCCACGGCTTCATTCTTAAAGTCAGTAAAACCAAAAACCCACCAATTCCGGACACACTTATTTCCTTTCTTTTGGGTATATGCTAATAGTGGCACATTTAATAAGCATCTGTATGTCCAACACTAGAAATTAGTATATGTGTGTAGATGCTATACGAAGGCAAATTTTGGCTTGATGGACCACCGAGTGCCTAGAAAGTAGCATACTCTTAACAATAATGCCCGTGTCTTTCATCACAACCCAGTAAGAGTGTTGGTGTTATGCCCATCCTAGATTAGAAAATAGGTTCAGGCCAGGCGCATGGGCTCACACCTGCAATCCTAGCACTTTGGGAGGCCAAAGTGGGAGGATCACTTGAGCTCAGGAGTTTGAGGCCAGGTTCAGAGGGGAGTTTGTATTCAGACTCAGGTTTGTCTCACCCAAAGCCCAGGTCCATGCCACTGCATGGGCTGCCCAAGGGTTCAAAGAGAAATCCGCCACTGGGGGCGTTCAAATCTGTCCCATGCTCCCTGGTAATAAATAAATAAACCCTCAGGGATAAGTTATTTTGGTTCTTTCATTTCACCTTGGCACAATTTTCTGATGGAATCTTAACTGATATTTTAAAAGATAAAGAACATCTAAACTTTTAATATATGATTTTTATTGAACATGTTCACCTTTACATTATTACAAACATTTTACAAATAAAAAGTTTTTGTAAAAAAAAAAAAAAAAGGAAACATTTCCTGAATTATCACTGGATAGTTGAAACAAAGAAATAAAATATATAAATATGAAGGTCATTCTCCAAGTATTAGAACAGAATACGGATGGAATCACTTCAGTAAAGTTATTCATAAACATTTGCATGGTTACCCACATACTGTATCACCTTCCAAAAAATCAAACACATGAGAGGAAGGGGAACCTCAAATGAGATGTCTTTTCTCCATGGGATTTGGTCAACGCATATCAGTAAGATAATTTCTTTGCTATATACACAACATAAACATTTGAAAATGCAGAATACATTGTGTAAATTAAAAATTTTGTCAGCTTTGTTGTATGGGGAGTAACTACACAGACCACCCACACAAACATTTAAAATATACTGTGTATATATTATCTTACAAAAATCGCATGTGTAAGGGAATAAGGCCTTTATTTCCAGAGCATCTTAACATAGGATTAATATGGGTATATTCATCTTTTATATTTTAGACTTCAAATTCTTTAACATCTCAGCTATTAACATTATGCGTAGTACCTAAGACAACATGAGTAGTGGCATAACACAATTTCAACTACAGTGCTTGGTTGCATTCACATGACGTACCATCTAGAACTGACCAAACAGAATTTCAGAACTGCCCAATTTAAAGACCTGTTAAGAAAATAAAATGCAACCCCGTCATATGAGCCCAGTTTGTCTCTCAGAGCGTTGCTATATATACTGGAAGCCTGACACTTCAGAGTATGTACTTAAATGAAGTATTTGGTAATAATGTCAGCTTCAGCCTGCAAAGTGTTCTAGTCAGCATAGAAATCTGAAAGTCTAAAATTACTTCTGTATGTTAATTAAAACTAACTGCTGTTTGAATTTGAGTATGTTTTGTCTGGAGGCTAGTTGGAGATTTTTTTCTCCCTTCTAGCAACAAATTGGCTAAGTGGTCAACCTCTGTGGCTCACAGTTTTGTAAAAAAAGCATACAGAAAAGAAACTAGGCTGGGCACAGTGGCTCATGCCTGTGGTCCTAGCACTTTGGGAGGCCAAGGTGGGAGGCTCATTTGAGCCTGGGAGTTGGGAGGCTGTAGTGAGCAACGATTGCGCCACTACACTCCAGCCTAGGTGACCGAGCAAGACACTGTCTCTCTTAAAAAAGGAAGAAAAAAAAGTAAAAAAGAAAAAAATCTGGAATTTGGATATTATTCTGATAGTGTTAAGCTGGAATGGGAGGAGTGGTGGAGTTTAGGATTCTTGGTCAAGACTTTTTCAAGATCATAAGCACTAATCCACATTAGCTGTTGGTATAAGCAGCCTTCAAAAACACCACAAAGGGGAGTCAACAATTCGAGTGTAAACTGATGGCTCAGGGCCTTCTCTGCCCTTTACTAGCCTTCATGATCTGTCGGGTCTCAGCAGCTCAGGGCACAGGAGGAGGTGGGTCTCCTGACTGGCCTGTGCATTCTCCCAAACAAGATGTTTAAGACTCTTCTTTATCTCGTCACAAATACACAGCTTTGAAATACCATTAGTCTTTTTCTCTAGGATATAATTAGAAAAAGCCAGGCATGGAGATAGAAAAGACATAATTAGAAAAAGTATTGTATACATCTGCAAATTCTTCAACACTGGGTGATTTGAAATTTGACTTTAATATTTAAAAATAAATTTATTAATAATCTAAATTTTCAAGTCAAATTTTCTAAACTCAAAACATAAACAGAAGTGAACTTGTTATTTAATAAACAGATTTTTTCAACAGCTATATGGTTAAGATGTTCTTAACCATGCTCTCAGAAAAGGACAATCAGAAAGTAAGGCAGACACTTAGGCAACCCTTAGCGAGTATTTTGAAAGGACTGCACTGAAATTTGAACACAAAGTGTGCCAATGGAACACAAAATAGAAAATGGATCCAGACTTTTGCTGACTACAGAAGACATAGACATTAGTTCTTTTTTCTTCCTTATCAGTGTTTCTATTTATTAAAATATTTGTTATATTTACTACTACATAAATCAAGGTGTATCTGATGGCTGCTAAGATTATAAAGGCATGATTTTTATGCTTTTCAAAATCTCTCTACTTTTTAAAAAGAATTCTGTACCATTTAAAATACTGAGAACCAGTCTTGTATAGAGAGGTGTCGGACCAAGGGCAGCCAAGGATGAGTAAGATGGGCATCACCCTGATTGCAGCACCTCTTACGTGTCTGATGAATGTCCTCACTGAACCCCACTTACAATCTAGTTTTATCATTTTCAAAACTGCAAAATCATTTGCACAGCACCAATAAAAATATAGCCTAGAAATAATATTTTGAAAATAGAAAAATATGTTTTTAAAAAATGTCATAATAAATATCTCTCTAAATAATATCTTCATATCTCTATAAAAAACTTTCTTTGATTTTTCCCATAATATATAATGAACGGATCAGTTCACATGAAGACATAATGCAAGTCTTTACCACTTAAGTCCCTTGGTTAGGCTAAAATGTTCAGGTCAATGTTTTATTCTTAAAAATAAATCTTAAAAAATAAAAAGTATAACTCAGAACATTCTCTCTCTCAGAGTCTCTCTACATTCAAAATATAAAACAGGGTATCATTTTTTAAAAACTTCCAGAATCTCTTTGTTGGAATAGTATTGGATTAATGCAGAATACTCAATCCTTGAAATATAAAAAACAGCAACATAAGTTCTAATATTAACTATTCAAAATTTTCCAAACCTTTAAATTTGGATATTAAAATAATATAATTTCCTCCTTATTTTTGCCAACGTGAAAACACCTAGACCAAAGTCATTCTATTCTGACATATTGTCTTTCTTGGATATGACTTTGAAAGTAAGAATTGGGGAATTACTGGTTATACAGATTCTACATTTTTCTTCACTAATAGTGATTCCAAGAAAGTTTAGATCTTTCCACATGGAAACCGTCATGTAAGAACAGAAAAACTCTAAGGTTTATCTGCTGTGCTGCTCAACTGGATCCAGACCAGGTATTCTTATTTTAAAAGCTATATTTGATAGATGTTATATTCTACTCTTGCTTCAAAACAAATCACTTTCGACACAGTGGGGAAGAAAACAGTACCTACAGAGAGCTAAAATGGAAACCTAGTAGTCTGCATCAGTCATGGCAAGCAGCTGTCATGCTGCTACCCACCACCACTTCGGAAAACTGTTAGCCTCAGATAAGTCTGAATTTACATAGAAAAGGCTTCTCTGTTTCTGACCATATTACAATTCTCCTCTTTTTCTACATTTTGACTCCTGAAACCAGCAGATCTTAATATTCAATGAGTTAAGATAGCTCTTCTGTTAGGGTGCCCAACACAGTAAGTGTTAAACTTATTTTGAGTCTTTTATGTAGTGCTTGGGGGTGGTTCTGCAGCTCATCTAATATTAATGACAATTAACAATATATACTGCATAACGGCATTACATCCATTCACGTATCTCTGACTTAAATGCACTTGTTATTTCATTTATGACTGATACACTGAGAATTATGAATAAGCACATCACATGTTTAAATTGTAGTCTAACATTTTCCCAAAGCATGAACACCCACACTTTATACAATGCTGTAGGTAGTGTAATAGGGAAGATTTCCAGAACAGGAATTACAACTATCTTGACAAAATCTATAGGGTTTAAGTTATATTCATGTACTGTCTCTCAAACTAAAAAAACCAAACCATAGAGCCCAAATCTATTGAGCCTCTTGATCACAGATTTTTACACTTGAATCCTAAAATGATACTCCGATGTATATAATGCTGTTTTCTCCGCTGGGGTGTTCTGAAAGAAAAAGCAGGCTTTTCATTATGATGTGCAGTGACCACAGAAGCCAGGTGCTTCCAAGGCACACAGTGGCACAGTGCCTGGAGACTGCCATGTAGATGTTCCCCTTTGGTGGCTGGTACAGGATGGCGGTGGGTCCTTCCAGAGAAGAAACCAGCATTGGCTTTCCTCTTGATAGTTGAGGTTCATTTTCTATTAAGTGCTTGAATAAAATGCCTTGATACATCAACTACTCACATCTTAAATCCACAAGGAAATGTTTTCACCGACTTGACTTCTAGCGTTTGATCACAACTTGTTCATAAGCTCCAGACCCCACCCTAAAACAGCAGTGGAAAAAAACTTCAAAATTTTGAGCTGCAGTGTTTGAAACTGTTCCAAGTAACCTTACCCCTGGAGAGATGGGGCACTGGGTATTTTTCTACTAGATTTGATTTCCATAACGTTTAAAGGCATCACGGATAGAAACTATGTGAAATATTAAATGTTTATCATTAATACATTGGATTAGCCTAGATCCTGATTCTCTCACACTTATTCCCACAATAATCTATTAGAATTCCCCAATTCTTGACCTATCGACAAATGGTGGCAAGAAATGCTCTTCAAACATGTTTATCTATTCATTCTAAAATAGGTCTCATCCAAGAGCATATGTTGACTCTGGCAGTGCATCAGGACTTGCACTGAGTTAATGATGATGGTCTTCAGCTGTCATAATATTGTGGCGTTTTCATGGCAGGGTCTCATTCTGTTGCCCAGATGGAAGTGCAGTGGCATGACTGAAGCTCACTGCAACCAGAACTCCTGGGCTCAAGCAATCCTCCTAACTCAGCCTTCCAAAGTGCTGGATTACAGGCATGAGCCACCACGCCTGGCCCATTACTGCCTGAAGTTATCACCAGGTACCCATTTCCCAATTTGTCAAGATGTTAGGGTATACCCTACTACTTGTCATTTTACCATGAGTGTGCCTGAGTTTAGTAAGCCCAGAAGCAACCACCATGACTAGTGTCTCTCCTTAATGGCATTTTAAGAGGAAATTCTAAACAACAGAAGTAAGGTAGTGATTACTAGCCCACCATGGACTTGGCTGGACTTCTCAGTTGATTGCCCAGAAACTCCTGTTCTCACAGATTCATTCTACAGAAGAAATAGGAACTTCCTCAACAGAATGCCAGTGAGCACCCATTCATCCTACAGAAAATCAGAATTTGAAGAAACCATGGTGGGCAGCATGGCACACTGGCTTTTAGATGCCCTTTTAAATATGTTCTGCCTCTGGCCATGATGAAGTAACAGGAACCAGATTTTCCCTCCTGCCTTATATAATTAGAAAACCGGATAGAATAAGTGAAATGACAGTTTGCACATACTAGACAACAGGCAGTGCAGGACTGTGGTCCCAAGAAACAAGAAATAAATGAAGAGAGCCCGACAACCGCCCCAGCTAGCTGCCTGAAGCAGTTTCCTTCAGGATCTTCCGAGCCTGCAGTGCAGAGAGGAAGACCCCAAACACAGCCTGCTGGTCTCTCTGAGTGAAGGAGTCAGAGATCAAAGCTCAGAGGGGCTAGGGACTAGAATTTGTAGATCAGAATAACAGAAGGAGGGGTTGGGGAAAATAATGGCTGGAGAATTCCAGATTTGATGAAAACTGTAAACCCATAGATCCAAAAAGCTTGATGAACCCCAGGCAGAATAAACACAAGGAAAAACATATTCAAGGCACATCATAGCCAAAGTGCTAAAAACCAGTAATAAACAGAAAATCTTAAAAGCAGCCAGATATAAAAGACAAATCACATACAGAAGAATAAAATAAAAATACAGGCAGACTTCTTGTCAGAAAAAATTTAACGTCCCTAAAGGAAAGCAGGCAGGTGCATGCCGGTCCCAGTAAGAAAACCCAAGTGGGCCAGGCTGTATCCTGGGCAACACAGCAAGACCTTGTGTCCACAAAAAGTTAAAAAAGAAAAGCTGGGCATGGTGGCTCACACCTGTAGTCCTAGCTACTCAGGGGCTGAGGCAGGAGGTTCGCTTGAGTGCAGGAATTGGAGGCTGCAGTGAGCTGTGATCACATCACTGCGCCCCAGCCTGGGCAACAGAGTGAGACCTTGTCTTTCAAAAATGAAAACCAAAAAATGTTACATAAGTCATCTAATTTAGTCTTACATCCTATGAGTTCAGGATCTTATTTATCACTCTCATTTTATAGGCAAAGAAACTGAGACTTACAGAGGTCAACAGTATCAATCAATAGTGGAAGAGCTAGGACTTGATCCCAGGCAGTCTAAGACAGCCCGTGCTTTTGACCATTTACTATTTAAATGCCTTTTGGTTGAAGGCTTGGCACAACGGCTCATGCCTGTAATCTCAGCACTTTGAGAGGCTGGAGTGGGAGGATCACTTGAGGCCAGGAGTTTGAGACCAGCCTGGGCAACACAGTGAGACTCTGTCTCTATAAAAAAAAAAAAAAAAAAATGCTGGGCATGGTGGTGCATGCCTGTAGTCCTAGTTACTCAGCAGGCTGAGCCCGGGGTTGAAGGCTGCAGTGAGCTGAGATTGTGCCGCACTCCAGCCTGGGTGACAGGGTGAGACCCTATCTCTTAGAAAAAAAAATTCCATTTGGTTGGAACTACCTTTTCTGCTGTTCTGTACCTAAATTAATAAAGCCAGGGCTTACTGAGTATATTATGTCATTTACCCTTTAAAATTACTCCATGAGATAGGCATGGTTATTCCTACTTTTCAGCAGAGGTAACTAAAGTTCTATTGAAGTTAAGTGATTTACTCAGGCCCCAAAAGTGGTCTGGCTAGGATGTGAACCCAAGTCTCTAACTCAAAAACACATGTTCACTCCATCATTCATACCACTGTCCTCATAAATGTTACTTTTCTACCTAGTTCCCCCTGCTACTGGTCTTTCCTTGCTCTAATCTACCCTTCAAATTATGGCCGGTTATTTTTCTAAAATGCCAATCTGATAGGTCACTTCCCTGCAAAGATGGCCAATGGCTCCCCACTGTGCACATGAGAAGAAGAAACTTTGTTATGGCAAGTGAGGCCCTTTACAACCTAGCTCAGAGATGCTTGCCAACCTCATGCCCCTAAATACCCTTTCACAACCCCCTCTCCTCAGAAGAACCTGAACTATGTTATATTATTAATGAGCCAGTAAAATATACTGGTTAAGTACAATGGGATTTGGACTCAAAGAGACATGAGTTTTAATCTTGGTTTTACCACTTACTAGTTTTAAGGCCTTGGGCAAATTACTTCTTCTTCTTCTTCTTTTTTTTTTTTTTTTTTTTTTTTTGAGACAGTCTCATTCTGTCGCCCAGGCTGGAGTGCAGTGGTGCAATCTTGGCTCACCGCAGCCTCCACCTCCTGGGTTCAAGTGATTCTCCTGCCTCAGCCTCCCAAGTAGCTGGGATTACAGGCGCCCGCCACCACACCCGGCTAATTTTTTTATTTTTAGTACAGATGGGAGTTTGCCATGTTGGCCAGGCTGGTCTTGAACTCCTGATCTCAAGTGATCCACCTGCCTCGGCCTCCCAAAGTGCTGGGATTACAGGTGTGAGCCACCATGTCCAGCCTCAAATTACTTCTTTGTATCTTTGTTTCCATTAAAAAAACACCAAACTAATTGTAGTATGTTGTGAGCACTGAAAGATACTACTACATAAGAATTGAATAAAAAATATATATGTACCTGTGCCTGGCACATAACTAATAAATGCTCAATGCTACCTATAATTGCTATATGTTTATTATGATATAATTATATATCATAATTACTGTACTTATAAACTCATTCTATTTGTTACCAGGAGTATTTGTATTCATCATATTCACCTTATAAGCCCCCCACTTATTTTTTATTCTCCCAAAGTCTCTCTTCAAGTGTGAACTCTGAGATCCTGTTTCTGTTCTCTCAAACTTCCCTCTATTACAGTATTTATTATAATGTTATGACTTTTAGTTTGTCCATCTCATCTGTAAAAAAGAGTCAGTAAATATTTTAGGCTTTGTGGGCCACAGAGTCTCTGCTGCACCACTCAGCTCTGCTACTGTAGCATCAAAGCAGCAGTAAACACTATACAAATAAACAGGCATGGTTGTGTTCCAATGAAACTTTATAAATACAGGTAGTGGGCCAATTTGGCCTATGGGCTATAGCCTGCCAGCCCCATGTGCTAGACCATAAGCCAGCAGAGGGTAAGAGCTGGGTCTTTTCTACTTGCATCCTTACCTACAAATTGGCCCAAGAAACAGTTACTGAATTTAATAAGCAGATGAGTCAATCAAAGATCTAAATAGTGTTACATCTTCTGTAAATCCTTTTTCACATTACTCCCTGAAAGTAGCTTTATATGTCTCTCTCTTACCTACTTATGATATCTGATTGTAGTTAATCGTTGATGTAGGTTTTTGCTGTTAGTCTATTTTTGAGCCTTGTAATGTGCTGGACAAATAGGAGGTACTCATTAAAATGAGTATTAGTAAAAGAAATGAATGCAAAATTCTTTTAGGTTTTGACCACGAGAGAATACAATAACTGTCTTGGTCCAAGGAGCTACCCACCTGCAACTGTGACTCACTCTGTAGTTGTGCAGGGACTCTACATAAATACGACATGGAATGGAATTAGGGGTGCACAGAAGTGTGGGGAGCAGGTTGTTAAGGAGCAAGTGAGTGATTAGAATTCCTACACTGTCCTTGGTGTCTGTGCTCACTATTATCTGCTGCAGTGCTGATAATCAATGTAAGTTTGGCAGGTGACTTTTCTTCATCTGCATCTGAATAACTAGCAAAATGGTATTTGGTTTTTCAGAACTTTTCTTTTTTTATTATTATACTTTAAGTTTTAGGGTACATGTGCACAACGTGCAGGTTAGTTACATATGTTTACATGTGCCATGTTGGTGTGCTGCACCCATTAACTCGTCATTTAACATTAGGTTTATCTCCTAATGCTATTCCCTCCCCGCTTCCGCACTCCACAACAGGCCGTGGTGTGTGATGTTCCCCTTCCTGTCTCCATGTGTTCTCATTGTTCAATTCCCACCTATGAGTGAGAACAAGCGGTGTTTGGTTTTTTGTCCTTGCGATAGTTTGCTGAGAATGATGGTTTTAATATGTATGGCAGTGGGGTGGAGAAAAGGAGAGTACAAGAAAGGTTAACAGCAGCTTAAGTTGCTCAGTGGCTGTGTAACTGCTCGGAAAAGATAAGATCATTGACTGAAAATGTAATTTTGCTTTGCTCTTCCTAAATTATCAGACTAGCGATGCACAGTGGCGCATGCCTATGGTCCCAGCTGCTCAAGAGGCTAAGGCAGGAGGATCACTTGAGCTCAGGAGTTTGAGGCTACAGTGATCTATGACTGCACCACTGCACTCCAGCTTGGGCAACAGCCCTGTCTCTAGAAAATAAATTAATAAAAAATTAATGTTTTGAAAGACTAAGAACTCTTTTCTAAGTGTCCTTTTATATTGCAACTTTCCCAATGGTCTACTGGTCCTTGACTAATACCCTTTAAAAATATTTCTAAGGAAATTAAAAACTAATTTATAAAATATAATGTCAAACATACCCAGAATTAAGAAAACTGAGAGCTACACTAAGAGCTGTAACTCTTCGCATGTAACTACTACTATCTGTGTTTCCTTGCTTCAGCCTAGTACAAACTTTGCAACCATCATCCTCTACTCATGATTTTTTTAAAAAAATTAGTCTATATTTTAATAAGACACTATTTGTACTACTTACCTATTTGGAAGATGATGACTGCCAAAGGTTGTACTTCCCCCAGGACCCACAAATAGCCTTAGTCCTTCTTCTGCAATACACATTTAAAATGTTTGTTACATGTACAATTATTAGACTATTGTCAAATATATGGATATTGTAATAATTCATATTTTACAATTGTTTATTAGAGAAATAAACAACTTAAAAACCAAAGTTATATACATGTTTTAAAATAGGCAATTTAAAAGATACTCTAAAGGTTATTTCTCTTCAATGTTTCTAAAACTCTTTTTCTTTTAACTGAGTAATGGAGATAGCTCTTCCTAGAAATTTCCAAAGTAAGGTTTAATTATTTCTCTTTACACCCAACTACATAATGAAAATAAGTCCACTGTTAAGTGCTTTCTATTCACATCAACATGAGTAATTATACCTTTCAAATTGGTGGCATACAAATTTTCAGCTTCAGTGAAAATTCTAAGGAGGGAATGAAGGATTCCATTATTCACTATTGTTCTAAGACCACCTCCAAATTACAACAGTGGCTTAAAGCACTTATAACAAAAGCAGATGTAGATACCTATCATTAGGTATACGAACGCTGTAGACATCTAGGCATAATTAAAAACACAATAAATGTTTTATTTAAAATTGATCACTTTTAACTAACATTTGTTCTTTTTCTAAACTCAATACTCATTCTCATTAATAAATGAGCTATAAAGTTATCTTGATATTTTTATGGGCATGAAATTTACTATACAAATATGCAACAGTCAGTATTATGATGTTCTGAGCCTCTTTACTGCTGACTACACAGATTACAAAAACCTGGATTGCAGGAATCTATGCTTAACAGTTACCTACACACCTTCCGCACTGGAATCTAGGCTGAAGTCTTGACTTTGTAATATTTTCTCTACAATGTCATCTGCATCCACCCTGGTGTCATCAACTCGCTTCAGCTGAGATTCTACAGAATCTTGTTTCACTGGGCATCTTTGAAAAGAATTACATTTTTTCCTTTTTATTATGTTATGAAAACAAAGTTTTTTAAAAATTAAAATTTATTCTTTAAACTAAAAGGATACCTGCTGAGTTTTTCTGAAGCTGTATCTTCTTTATCAGCTGTATCAAGATTTGGCTCAGCGATTTTCTGCTCAATTTCATCACATGGCTCTAGAATACTTTCAACTCCTGTTGATGTGCTTCCCACTGAGGTATTTCTCCTGTGGCAGAGCTCAGAGAAACTAGATGACCGGGAGTGACACGTGCTATACCCTGTCAGAGAAAATCACCTTGGATATAATACTCATATCAAACACTCTGCAATCTGACATCGTTCCCCCACACCACAGCAGTTTCAAGTCCCTTTGGAACAATAAGGAATTCAACTTCACTGTTAGCCTCTACCTGATACTTTTGACTGCTGACTTGCATAGCTTGATGTTCTAGAATGTCCACAGGCACCAAGTTCGTCTGGAACAGAGGCACTCTTTGCTGAAAGATCTGTAATATGTCATAACATGATGTCATTCTTATTGCCAAAAAGTTAATGGTCAATTTGTATTCTACTCTGCAGACTTTATAAACTCTGCCAAGTTCATTATCAAAACAATAAGTTACAAAATGAGGGACATCCTTTTAAGTCAGTGCAATGGAAGTAACTGTATTGCAAGATATACAAAGTATTTAAATACCTTAGTTCGCTGAAGAATTATATTTTTCATAACATTAAAAAATTATTTCAGTCCTTTATTAGTTCAGTCTATGCAATAAACTCCTGTTGTTCAAAACATTTAACAGCACTCTATCTTAAAACTGCTACAGTTTTAGTGTTCAGTATTTCTCTAACAAAAATGACTCAGATGTATTCTTATAAATGTTCACAAAATTGGTAGGTTTTAATGTGGTTTCTAAGGAAATACTGCTTCCTTAAAAATCCATCACAACAGCAAGCTAAAGAGTACTCTATTACTTTAATGTTAGTGTTGTTAGTGCTAGGCTATAATTTGGGCAATGTCTGTGGCTTAAATCAACACAGCATGGGACGTAGCACTGAGAGTAAAAGTTCTTAAGAAAGTGATTATAGTATTCATATTCAAAGTAAATGTACAAAAGGCAGTGTCAAAGCCATTTCTAATAGTTTCTGATCATGTGTATGTTCCAGGTGCCAATTACATATTTTCAGAACCAGGCTTCTTCCAGAGAATGCAGAACTGTGACCATTTTCCCTAGGGCACAATCATATTTGGAAACAAGAACTGTTTTTAACTTAGAAGCAGAAGGAAAGCAATTGAGTAACATAGCTATTATAGCAGCTATTCTATAAATGATACTGCATGCAGTTGGACCAACAAATGCTGCAAAACAAGGAAAATACTGGAGTAACCTGGTCCTTCTGCAAAGGTTTCTCATTTCTGGACAGAGTATAAGTGGTCCAAAAGCAAACATTCAGCAAAATCTGAACTCAAAAAGTTGGTTCATATCGAGTTATGCAGCGCTCTTTACTTCTGGGTTTGGCCCAGATCTTAAGTCATCCACATATCTTCTGGTTTTCAAAATTTATTCATTCAATCAATATTTATTAATATTTTACCCAGTCAGGTGCCTAATACTGTACAAGGTATAGGAAGTACAAAATAAGACAAAATACATGCTTAGAGTTTAGAGGTAGAAGCAAAACTTATACAATGTGGTAAGTACAAAAATACAAGCACAAAAAAGCAGCTATTAAGAGCTCCAAAGGACAGTGCATCTGACACAACCTGGTAACAGAGGAGGTTAACCCCAGGACTTGAGCGACGTATAGGAACTCCTGAGCTAGATGAGCAAGGAAAGGCACCGGGAAGAGCATGCCTTCTTTGTAGGGAAGCAGATCGTTTGGTAAAGTTGGCATATAGGGTAGTGGAGTATAATAACCGAGGGAAAAGGGGCTAGAAAGATGAGTAGATGCCTGTTGATGAAGAACCTTCTATGAGTTTAAAGAAGAAAACAGTTCAGTGGCTTTAAGAAAGGGTGTGACATGATCAAATCTACATTTTGGGAAGAACACTCTGGCAACAGGATAAACAGGGGGCATAAGAGTGTAGGTTTTCATAATAATCCAGCTGAGAGGGAGAGATGTTTCATAGGCACAAATAGCAGGACTCAATAAGAAAGGAGAAGTTTGTGTCAGGAAAACTGAAGTAGAAAAGACAGGAGGAAAAGGTAGGAAGACTTGTGCTAGATATGCGGAATTAGAGACACCTGAGGATGCCTATTCAACAGTCACTCATCTACTGTGTCCCGGGCCTTCTGCTGGGGATACAGAAATAAATAAGACCTGATCATGAAGAACTTAGTTAGACTCTGGCTGGGTAGAAAGAGAAACAGATGGATTTCAGTGTTACATTTGGTATGAAGTGGACCTTTCCCCAAAGCATTTGATCACATGTACATCACAGAATCACATTTACATTTATGTGATAGATAAAGCCAAGGGTATAGATGGTATTGCTCAAGGAAGTGAGGGGACCAAACCCTTTGGAACATCAATATGTAAAGGGAAGTTGGAGGAAGATGAAGAAGCCTCTAAGAAGCTAGAAAAGGAAAGATCAGAGAGGTAGGAGCCAAGGGAAGAGAAAGCATCAAGAATGAATAACTGGCCATCAGATAAGACCAGAACAAATGTCCACAGGACTTGACAATCATGTATCAGGGGATAGCAGCAAGAGAGGGCAGATGATGGAAGCCAGACTGCTAATGTGTTTAGGAATAAATGGACAGTATATTCTTTCTAGAAGTTTGGCTATAAGAAGTGTGTGGTACATATATCATCTCTTGCTGATCTTTCTCTCTCTCTCTCCACACACACACACACACACACACACACACACACACACACACACACACACACACAGAGAGAGAGAGAGAGATGTATCTATATTTGGGGCAGAGTGGGGGAAGAGAGAGAGCATGTGAGCACATGCGCCAGCCTGCTGGAGTCTAAGGGAGTGCAGTAGATAGAGAAGGATGTAGGGCTAAGGAGTTTTTGTTTTCATTTTTTCAGTAGGAGAAAGAAATCAGCATATTTACATGCTGAAGAGAAGGAGCTAATGGAATGGTTACAAGTTCCCAAAAGATCCACTGATCCCAAAACAGGAAATTTCAGAGTCACCATTATTTATAAGAAACCAAATATTTGCATATTTTAAAAGGCAGTGAAAGGGTTAATTATATAACTTCACCTTTCCCTTCTTTCAAACAATACATCCTGTTCACATAATACTGAAGAAAGAAGGAAGCTCCTAAGTCCTTTTCCTCCTGCAACCTTGACATTATCCCCACCATGCTTTTACTTCTGGAGCAGATTCTGACTGCTGCCAGAAGTGTGTCTGGAAATGTGGATCTCAAGGTGTGGTCAGGGACTAGCAGCATCAGCGTCTTGTGGGAATGCCTTAGTGATACAAAACTTCAGGCTCTAACCCAGATCTACTGAATCGAACACTCTGGCTGCTGCCGCCAGCAACCTGTGTTTTCACAAGCCCTCCAGGAGACTCTGATGCACACTAGGGCTTGAGAACCACTGACAGAGGGAAAGCGATTCATGGAAGAGGAGCGACACCCGAGAGGCAGAAGCTGCTTTGCAGAAGTTGCAGGGTAATGGAACGGGAAAAATGGAAAAAATCCTGTAGTATTCTCTTGTACCTGTGGGGAGTAGATGCATACAGTGAGGAGAGTGTCATTGTAACATCTAGTTTTTAATCTGTCAGAGCACAATACTTTAGACAAAATAAAGCACTGGATCAACCAAGAATTACATAATTAAAACTGTTGATTCTTATTGGCCTGTTTCAAGTCAAATACCCACACAATTCCCAAAGAATTTTTAGGGCATCAAGTCGTCTCTCACAAATTAAAAAACCAGTAAGCCACACATCCATACCTGCTATTCCAAGATGCACTTTGAGAGTCTCTCCACCTTTTCTATCTTCTTGCAAAGATTCAGATTCACCAGCAATTGGTATAGACATTGAAGTGGAGGGAGGCCTGTAAATAAACATTTACGAACTGGAGTTGTGGGGGAGCCTCAAAGTTTACAATAGTTATTGATTGGTGAGCTTAGTAAGCCTTAGCATAGACTGCTTGGTAATGTTACCCCTTTGAGAGTGAAAGTAACAAAGATCAGCAAATAACGTATAAGCATCTTTTCAAAACTTGAATAAAATTCATAAAAGAAAAGGGTTTTTTTTTTTTTTTTTAACATAACAAGAAAAGGGCATTGTCTCCATAGAGTCCTAAAAAGAGAGGCCTCTGTCAGTGTGAACCCAGCACTGGTCAAGGGAGGGTTGCTCTAACTGTCAACTCAGGACAGCACCTTTCAGCTGAGGAAGGCAGTGCCAAGCCCTTTTGAATCAGGCTGGGAGGAGAATGCCTCGTGCCTCCTGCTTCAGAGACTGTGCTCCCTGGCTGGCTCCACTCACTTTTTAAATAGTATCCATGGTTTTATCTTCTACCTTCATCTCTGTAAACAGTTCACCTGCCCAGGGAGAGTCTACAGAGAGGCCCAGTTGTTTAGATTTGTTTTTTGGATTGGATTCTCTGGGAGTAGTAATGGATCTATTTTCATTGGTTAATTCAAACTCCTATTCCACGTAAAAGCTGTGAAGCAAGGAGGGGTAAATTTAATTTCTAACAGTTTTTTTTTTCTTTAAAAATTTTTGGCTGGGTGCAGTGGCTCACGCCTGTAATCTCAGCACTTTGGGAGGCCAAGGCGGGTGGATCACCTGAGGTCAGGAGTTCGAGACCAGCCTGGCCAACATGGTGAAACCCAGTCTCTACTAAAAATACAAAAATTAGACGGGTGTGGTGGCATGCATCTGTAGTCCCAGCTACACAGGAGGCTGAGGAAGGAGAATCACTTGAACCCGGGAGGCAGAGGTTGCAGTGAGCCGAGATTGCACCATTGCACTCCAGCCTGGGCGACAGAGCGAGACTCCGTCTCAAAAAAAAAATATTTTTTTATTTTTGTAGATACATAATAGGTATATACATTTATGGGTTACATGAGATATTTTGATACAGGCATGCAATGCATAATAATCACATTAGGGTAAATGGGGTATCCATCACCTCAAGCATTTATCCTTTCTTACAAAACAGTCCAATTATACTCTTTTATTTTTTACTCATTTATTTTGAGACAGGGTCTCGCTTTGTCACCCAGGTTGGAGTGCGGTGGCGCAATCATGGCTCACTGCAGCCTCCACTTCTCCAGCTCAAGCAATCCTTCTTCCTTAGTCCCCCAGTTAGCAGGGACTATAGGCACACAGAACCATGCCTGGCTTTTTTTTACATTTAGTAGAGACTTTAAATTTTTTTTGCAGAGATGGGGGTCTCCCTATGTTGTCCAGGCTGGTCTCGAACTCCTGGGTTCAAGCAATCCATCTGCCTCAGCCTCTCAAAGTGCTGGGATGACAGATGTGAGCCATGGTGCCCAGACTCTTTCAGTTATTTTAAAACGTGCAACAAATTATTGTTGACTAGTGATCCCATTGGGTTTCCTTTTTAACATAGGGATTTTTATTAGAAAACATCCCTAACCTTCTAAAAACATTTTTTTTTAGAGACAGGGTCTCATTATGTTGCCCAGGCTGGTCTCTAACTCCTGGTCTCAAGTGATCCTTCCACCTTGACCTCCTGAAGTGCTGGGATTACAGGTACGAGCCACCATGCCCAGCCAATCCCTAACCTTTTGAGGCTGATATTGCAGAGGAAAACCACATCTTCCCAGAAACTATGCCTTGGTGACCAGAGATAAAACAGGGAGGTGGCTGAAGGAATCATGCAGCTGACCTGCTTTATGGCAATTCTTAAATTCTTACCCTGTTATTCTTAATGGAGTTCTCAGGCTACTCGGATTCTTGGGGATAGAGACATTTAAGATTGCTATTAAATCTATTGCATTTATTGACTATTTCCAGCCTAGGATCTCCTAAATTCTAGACTTACATATCCTATTGAGACGCTTTCAAGTATTTGTCCTACAGGTACGTGAAACTCAATATCTCCCCAACTAAACTCATCTTTCCCAAAACTGTTTTCTTCTTGTATTCTCTCTGTAAATGTCATTGCAATCCACAAAGTCACCAAAACTAGAATTACGGATATCACCTCTGCCTCCTTCCTAATAACATTTTCCCATGTCCAATCAATTTCCAAATCTCAGATCCTCATTTAGTATTTTTCCTATTCATCATCTCTTCTCCATCTCCACTAATTACTTGAGTTTTGGCCTTTGTACCTTTCTCCTGGCTGACTGCAAGGGTCTCCTTGCTGGTCTGCCAATCTCTACTCCATGCTACTGTCACTGTGGTCTTTCTGAAACTTGCCTCTGAACATGTTACTCTCTTATTTAAAACCCCTCCATAGCTCCTTCGGCATAAAACTCAAATCCCTCAGAACTTGCAGTCTGGCCTAGACCTGCCTCTTCAATTACCAACAGCTGTATTTTCTTTCTCCTTTCTTTTTTCTTTTTTGAGACGGAGTTTCGCTCATTTCCCAGGCTGGAGTGCAATGGCGCACTCTCGGCTCACTGCAGCCTCCGCCTCCCGGGTTCAAGTGATTCTCCTGCCTCAGCCTCCTGAGTAGCTTGGATTACAGGTGCCCGTCACCATGCCTGGCTAATTTTTGTATTTTTAGTAGAGACACGGTTTCGCCATGTTGGCCAGGCTGGTCTTGAATTCCTGGCCTCAGGTGATCCATCCACCTCGGCCTCCCAAAGTGTTGGGATTACAGGCGTGAGCCACCACGCTCGGGCTGTATTTTCAAATAATGTAAAATAGCTTTGTGGAAAAAAAAAAACACCCTGCATTAAATATTTCATGGGAAAAACTAATACACAGAAGAAACACAAAGAATGGAGCCTACAGTCATAGTCATTAATCACTGATGGCTGACTCATGCCTGCATGTCTAAAAATTCTTACCTTTTTAATGCCAGTTTCTTTCACAGGTGACCTGATTACAGTGTCCCTATCCCCTCTATGTCTTAGACCTGTTTTCCAACCCTCAGAACTCCCAAACATTGGCCCCTTCCCTCTCTATTTCCCTCTGGCTCCATTCTCCCTTCCAGCCTGACTCCACAGCCACAACTCTTTAAGCAACACCTTCAATTTGGCACCCCTTGTTCTGCGGTCTCAAAAAAGCTGAAGAACTGCAACCCTTGATAATATCAGCCATCTATACTAACTGCTCTATTACTGGGGCAACTAAGCATTATGGAGAAAATTCACTGACTATGGGGACTGATAGTAAAGCAAATTTAGAATCCAAAATCTTAGCTGGGGCTTGGCAGCTCTCTTACCTCCCTGGACAACTCAGTCTTGTTGAATAAATAATCACTGAGTGCTTGCCATGTGCCAGTTTTTGTTCCATTACCCCTTTTGTTCTGAAAATGCTTTTATATCTCATCTGAAATCACTTAATGTGGGTCAAGTATAGAAAAAGAAATGGGATTACTTTAATTTGATTGCTTTATAGTAATGTTAAGAATATGTGAAAAATGACCTCATAAAACGACAACATTACCTATTTGACATTTCTTAAATACTCAATGCCCTGTAACGATGGCATAAACTTGTGCACAGTTTTCTCTCCTGGGGTGTCCCTACCTACCTCCTGTGCTTAGTAAATTCCTAGTCATCCCCTAAACTTAGCTCAGTGTCCCCTTCTCAGTAAAGATTTCCCTGGCTTTCAAAGAACTGTGGCTAGGGATCCTATCCTGTGTGCCCCAGTGACACTGTATGCTGTGTGCCTGTCTCCCACGTAATCAGTGAATCCCTTCAGAGCAGGGGCTGGTCTTTTCTAGCTTGTTAAGTCTTGGCATGTGGCAGGCAATCAATACACATGTACCGAATGAATGATTGCATCCTGGGACCCTGGAAGAATTAATTCCTTAACCTCTTAGTCTCGATGTCCTCACTCAAAAATATGGATAATATTTATATTACAGAGTTTTAAGAATTGAGAGACAGTAACATTCATGAAATCATTTTCACAAATGATAATTTCCTTCCTTTTGGAATATGAACGCGTCAGAACCTTGCTATTCAAGAGACTTATATCACCCCTAGATCTGCTTTGCCACCACATTCCCAAATGCCAGCAGAGTATACACTTTCTCTCTCAAAATATCTTTTTTCTTTATTAGCACTTTTCAGAGTGAATTTCATTCTTTTACAAGAGTTGGTGGGTGTTTGATGAGTTGTAGAGAACTATGCAATAAAGTTTAGGGTAGGTGGTTAGGCTGACTTACCAGCTGTCTTCTTCATAAATTCTGGCCTTATGGTATATAATTGGTGCTTCAGAAGAATTATACAATCTATGTCACAGATCTTCTGCTCAGAAAATATTAAAACTAGGATTTAAACTTGAGACTAAGGATCTGCTATACTCCTGTTTCTCAAGTAAATTTAAAACAATTTATATCATGAAAAATTTAAAGATAGACAAAAGCAGACAATGGTAGAATGAAGCCCTCCAGCAGTTATTTACATCTTCATTCTGGACAAAGATACTGAGTAAAGTCACACAATTGCTCTGTTACTCCGTTTCCTCATCTGTACAATGAGAACTTGGATTACACCAACACTTTTAAAACTGGTTTCATGATCTCCTTTAGGGACTTCTGGAAGTAGGTATGGGAGTGTGCTCAATGGAAAATCTATTCTTATCTTACCTAAGTTGGAGGGGATATAAAGTAAAATTTTATATACTAGGATTCATAATATATTTGCTTTATTTTTGAAACAGGTCTTGCTCTGTCACCCAGCCTGGAGTGCAGTGGCATGATCTTGGCTCACTGCAACCTCAGCTTCTTGGGCTTAAGGGATCCTCCCACCTCAGACTCCTGAGTAGCTGGGACGACAGGCGCACCACCACGCCTGGCTAATTTTTTAATTTATTTTTTGGTAGAGACAGGGTTTCACCATGTTGCCCAGGCTGGTCGTGAACTCCTGGACTCAAGTGACCCACCTGCCTTGGCCTCCCAAAGTGTGGGATTACAGGCATAAGCCACCATGCTTGGCCTCATAATATATTTGAGCAAAGGATTTTGTAGCTAAATAGTCTAAAAAAATCACTGGATTAGACAACTTCCAACATTCTTTTCGGCTCTAAAGTAATGTGACTTTACATATTTGACATATATTTAAATATAACTTGATAAAACTAATTTACTTTTTACATCAGTAGTTAAAATGTTTTTCTATTCAGTACATATTCAGTATGTGCAAGTGTATGAATGTGTTAGAATTTCCCCTTTTTCAATGACATTTGAACAATTTCAAAGAGAAAAGAAAAACTACTGAGGGTTTGATTCTCTTGAAAAATATTTTATGTATTTGGAATTAGGTAATGTCTGCTTATTTTTATGAATTACAAAAGTCTTTCTCTGTAAATATAAACTCCAGATTGTCAGAATTAAATTTATGGAGATAATATAAAACATTAGATGATCTACTTTCAAGCTCTTCAATATGTGAGTTTAAGTAGAGAGAGAAAAGGGAAGAGAAAGGGCAAGAAAGGGAATATCCATAAAAAGTTCATGAGAAGGAACGATCAATTTATTTTCTTCTACTAAGTTTTGCTGCTCATTTTCTTATTTTACCCTAAATCTTACTCCAATAGAAAAACAGTTACCTGAGACACCAAAAATAGTATAGCAAAATTGGTTTAATCCCAAGAAAGCAGAAAATAAAGGAGTCAGGAAACCATGGTTTATCAGAAGACAGCACAGGAAGGCTAAGTTATAGGAAGATGTGTGGTTTTAATCAAGAATTGATTTTTTTTTTTTTTTGAGACAGGGGCTTGCTCTGTCACCCAGGCTGGAGTATAGTGGTGCAATCTTGGCTCACTGCAACCTCCACTTCCCAGGCTCAAGCAATCCTCCCCTTAGCCTCCCAAGTAGCTGGAACCACAGGTGTGCATCACCACGCCTGATTTTTGTATTTTTTGTAGAGTGATCCTCCTGCCTCGGCCTCCCAAAGTACTGGGATTACAGGCGTGAGCCACCGAGCCCGGCCAAATGTTGCTTTCTAAGTTACAGCTATTAAAAACATGAAGTTGATACATAGGGAGGTAATGTTTTCTTTAGTTTTCTATGTGTATTTTTCTCAGATATTTCAATGGTATCAATGAACTTTCACTTTTAATCATTAAGTGTCCTCAAGGCTGCTGACAGGCAATCCTGCATTTCCCTGTTCCATTCATGCTCACTCTCTGTGAGGACTTCTGCACACCTTTTCCTTTCTTCAAACCCCTTCCTCTATCTTCCCTGTCCTTGCTCTTCAATGAGCATCTTGTTTCCTATTTCACTAAGAAATCAGAAGCAACTGGAAAAGAACTTCTATATGCTTCCATTTCTCCTCTACCTGCGTCAGTAGCCATGTTCTCTGCCTTCCTCCCTCCAACAATCCAAGGGCGCTGTTCTAGCAACAGTCCCTTTTCTGGATCATCAGTTTTTCCCTCTTGTTGAGCCAATACTATTGGTACTCAAATATGTTATATCATCTTCCATCTTAAAAATGAATAAAACCTGCCCTACTCCAAATCCTCTCTTTACTTATGACCCCATCTTTCTGTTTCTTTTTTATAGCAAAACCCCTCATAAGAATTGTTTATACTCACTGTCTCCAATTTTTCTCCTCCCAAACTCTCTTTAACCCATGCTCAAAAGGCTTTAGTCTAAGGGCATTCTACCAAAGTGCCTGCCAAAGTCATCAATAGTCTCTATACTGCAAATTCCAAAGGTCAATCCTCAGTCCTCATTTTCTGAGACCCACTCCAGCAGCGTGTGACACAGGTGCTTATTCCTGCCTTTCTGAGGCCGTTTCTTCATTTGGTTTTCAGGACAGGACTCTGCTTTGCTTTCCTCCTCTGATCACACTGGTGGTTTCTTTGCTCATTCTTCTTCCCAATCTCCCCGACCTCTAACACGCTGGGGTGTCCCCACCTCAGTCTCTGGTTCTTTTCCATCTCTACTCGTTCCCTCTAGTTACTTATTCAAGTCTCATGGCTTTAATTACTACCTGTATGCTGATGATGTAATAATTTCCAAACTTCTATCTCCTGCCCAGATCTCCCCACTGGACTCTAGTTGATCTATCCACCAATTGCCTACTTGACATGCCCCGCTGGATGTTAAATAGGGATCTCCAATTTAAAACGTCTAACACCCAAGCTCCCAATTTGTTCCTCTTGTCTTTCTCATCTCAACAAATGAGAGCACCATTCTTCCAGTTACTCAGGCTTAAAACCTTGGATTACTGAAAACAGCCTTTTATCTACTTATTTGTGTCCCTGTCCTCTCTGTTACTCCTACAGATTGTCTATTCCCTATCTAGCAGCCACAAGTCAGATAATTTTACTCCTCTGCTCAAAACCTCCAATAGCTTTTCTATCTCACTCAGAGTGTGAGTGGCAGTCCTTTTTATAATGGCCACAAGACTCCTTATCATCTGACCTCATCTCCTATCACCCGCCTCTTCATTCACTCTGCTTTAGACCCGCTGCTCTCCAGGCAGCTACTTGAACGTGCCAAGAACACTTCTCCCTCAAGGTCTTTGTCCTTGTTTCCTCTACCTCAAATACTCTTCCCCCTAATGCCAGTGTGACTTGCTTCCCACCTCCTTCAGGTCTCTACTCAAATATCATCTTTACCGGGGGGGGCCTCCCCTGACTACTATATATAGAATAGCAACACTTCTCTTCACGATGGCCCTCCCATCCTTTTTCTCCAAAGCGCTTATGAACCGTTTGTATATTATATATTTACTTGTTAGCTTATTGTCCATTTTCCTCTTAGAATATAAGCTCCAGGATGGCAGGGACTTAATCTATTTTTTTCACAGCTGTTTCTCTAGTATCTAGAATATGGCCTAACACATGGTAAGGCACTTAATAGGTGTTTATTGAAGAAATGAATATGTTCACAGAAGCCGTATTAAAAATTTTTGCTTATATAATTTTACGCAAAACCCGAAGATGATGAAAGACCTATAGCATTAATAATTTGGAGTATGGAGAACTCATTTGGTAATAGGTAAACATAACTTCTAAGAGGGTCAGGTCAGTCTCCCAGGGAAGAAACTATCCCTTAACTGGTATTTTCTTATAAGCACTACAAAATATTAATGTAAAAATTTAAACAAATAAATCTTTCTTATACTTTTAGATACATAATCCATTTATTGGGTATCAACTTACGTTTTAAAACATGGGTCACCAGACATCAGTTGCATACTGATCAAAACCTAAATATAAAACAAGAAATATCACGATTATAAAAAATTATAAAATGCTTCCTTCACAGCACTTAGTCCGATATTTTCTATTGGGAAAGCATTAAATAAAATGATTGTTGAATTGGGTTATATCCACGGGAGGCTAAGGCAGGAGGATTGTTTGAGCCCAGGAGTTTGAGGTTATAGTAAGCTATGGTCATGCCACTGCACTCCCGCCTAGGCAACAGAGCAAGACCCTGTCTCTATTAAAAAAAAAAAAAAAAAAAGAAGAAGTGGGTTATATTCAATATTCAATTACTGCTCCATATAGATTAAAATCATTTTTAACATTCAAAACCTCAAAATTGCAAAAATCTGAATGGAAATAATGGAAACAAATAGCAATAATAATTTACCAGTAATAATCCTGTGGGTGTGTGGCTGTGCTAATCTATCTGTCTTTACTCCCAAATTCCTGTGGTACCTAAGTGTCTGGTAATGTTTTCCTTCAAGTTGCCACGTTGATGTTTCAAGGGATGCCAGCTGGTGGCTTCTAAGAGTAAAAAGCTTCTGACCTTTGTTCCAGCTTTAGATCAGAATTTAAAACTTTTTTTTTTTTTTTTTTAATTCTTGAGATAAGGTCTTGCTTTGTCACCCAGGCTGAAGTGCAGTGGTGCTATCACAGATCACTGCAGTCTTAAACTCCTGGGCTCATGATCTTCCTGTCTCAGCCTTCTGAGTAGCTGGGACTATAGGTGCACACTACGCCTGGCTAATTCTTTCCTTTTTCTTTTTTTTTTGCAGAAATGAGGTCTTGCTTATGTTGTCCAAGCTGATCTTGAACTCCTGGCCTCAAGTGATCCTACCCCTTGGCCTCCCAAAGTGCTAGGATTATAGGTGTGAGTCACTGTGCCCAACCAGGATTTAAAGCTTTTCTAATACTTTCTAAGATGCTGCTATTCTCTAGTTGCTGACTACCTTTAACAGTCAGTCATAGGACCTCTTTATGTTCTTATGGGAATAATAATGATAATGGTAATAGTAACAACAACATTAACAACAATCATGATTTGAGAATTCATTATGTGCCAGGCATAAGCTATGTGTTTAATATGCATTATTTCCTTTAATTTTCAGTATTCCTAGGAGAGAGCAATTATTTTCATTTTAACCTCAGGGAGATTAAGTGATATTTTAAAAACCAGATAACTAGTAAAGGGCAGAGCTGAGATGTGATCCCAGGGCTGCACATAGCAAAATTCATAGTCTTAATGAATACAAGAATATGTACATTGTTGTATGTTCTGCAGCTAATGGATGACATGTATCTTATATAGCCTTATTTCATTCCTATCTCCTCATCCCAGCACCTCCATGACTCTTTTTTCTCTTTAAATGCCAAATCTATCCTGCTGCACTGATTTCCTCATCATCTCTTCTTTCATAGAACCCTGAGGTCTGCTTTCCAACTCCATCAAAACTGCACTCTTGAATATCACGGATGTCTCAGAAAGGAGATGGAGATGGCACATACAGCTTTAAGGAACTGAATAGTTAAGTAGAACAGAGATGTGGGACAGTAGTTGAAGAAGATGAGAGGTTAATTTTTGTCTTTCTTTATAAATATGGGAAACAGTGGAGCTGTTTCTTTATATGTTGATGAGGATGATTCATTCGAGGTAGAGATGATGAGAAGAGGGGATAGTCTAAGGGGTAAAGCTCTTGATTAGGCAAACTTTGGATTCCAGAAGCCAAGAGGAAGGACTGACTTCTGACAGGAGAGGGGACATGCCATCCATTGTAACAGGAGACAAAAAGGATAAGGCGGGAGAGGCAGGTAAAGTCTATGATGGGAAGATGAGGGAATTTGAGTTTAATGGCTTCTGTTTTCTCAATAGGATAAGGCAAGGTCAGTATCTGAGAGCAAGAATAATGTGTTGGGATACGAGGAGAAAAAAGGTATGAGACAGAATATCTAAAATTGAGAAAGGAAGCATATGAAGGAAGTAGAGTATGACTGCCAGATGGCAGTGAGCATGGCTTTAGTAATGGCAGCTAGTCTGGTTGTGTGATTCTCTTCAGCAATGCTCAGCATGCAAGGGTAGATATTTAATAAGTGAGTTAACAAAAGTTGGGGATTATTCAGACAATGCAGGGAGACAGGGACAGAGGAGCCAGGAGTATTTTTTTTTTTTTTTTTTTTTTTAGAGATGGGGTTCTCACTATGTTGCCCAGACTGGTCTTGAACTCCTGCCCTTATGGACCCATGAAATTTAAGCTGGATAGACAGGGAAGTAGAAGCAAGTCAGGGCTGATGGATAGTGGGAGAGTGGTAAGGTTAAAGATAGCTAAGTGAGTAGGAGACTAAGAGGACTGGAAACATAAGAGACAGTGGTAGGAGGAAGAAAACTTTAAATTGAAATTTTTTGGGGGTGAAGTTTCTAGGAGTAAAAAGGTCTAGACTCTAGAGTGTGACCATGGGAGTAGGAACTGAGATGAGGAGGAGGAAAATATTGCTGGAGATAGGGAGTTTAAGGAACCGAGAAGCCTTAGACTCATAGAAGATCAGCTATCAGGAGAGAAAATATAGATAAGATAGTCCACAAGGCTAGCTCGTCTGCACAGATGGTGAAGCTATGGAAAAATGATGACCTGAGAAGAGATATAGAGAAAAACTGTGAGCCAGGAGCTAAGTCATCAATGGATAGGAGCGAGACGGTACCTAAGGGGTCAGGAGATGGCAGAGATTGGGAAAGGAGAGAGTGTTATGACTGAATGGCATGATCTTCAAAGAGTATTTTTTTTTGTAGGACAAAGTGGGAGAGACGGTGTGGAAGGATGAATGGGAAGCCAGAAGGAAATTACTCCATGAGTTGGCTCTTAGGAAAGTGGGGGTCTGAAATTAAAAAGTTATTTCAATTTCCAATGAAAACATTGTCATTCTGAGAAGAATTATCCATCTTTTCATATAAGAAATACGAGGAAATAAGAACCCTGACCAGGCAGGAGAAGACATGCACTGTGGTCCCAGCTCTGCCACTGACTACTTTTGTGAGATACTTTAGTTTCAGCTCTTCATCTATAAAATGTGAATAACAATCTATCCTCATCCGTCTAACCCTGTTCATCTCATGGAGATATGGGCAAGTGCTTTGAAAACTTTTTAGAGTTATAAAACCACAAAACTATGCAATCAACATGATGTGTACAGAAGTTTATATTGTGATACTTTTCTAATTTCTTCCTTGTCTTCTGAACATTTTCCTTCCCATATCAACTCGCTGTCCCACCTTTCTTTCCAGCTGCTAAATTTGTGTGAGGGTTACAAAAACCACTTTATGCATTGGACTGGCCATAATAACCATTTTACACATTTTCGTATGTTCAGAGCTTAAGATTTGCTGCAAAAAAGTTTGAAAACTGTAGAGTATCAGGTAATTCTTTGCTTCACTAACTTTTGAACACCAGTTTTTACTCAGAACTATTTTCCTTTCTTATTAGATAACTTACCATCATGGGGTAACCTAACTGAAACACTGCAAAAGGTCTATCTAATGGGGTTTCCTAGGCGCAAAGTACTTTACAAATATTTTCTCAATTAATCTCATTTAATACTACAATTAACTCTATGAAGTATACATTCGCACTCATTACTAGAGCACATAGCTCCTGATGGTACTTGGAAAAAGCCGGGCAGATGCCCAGAAGTGGGTTCCATCTGTCACTTCACTAGTTTACAAGAGAACACAGTGGCTTCTATGTACCTATCGCAGCTGCTCTGTAAATCACCTTATGGGAGCTACAAACATTTTAAGGTATTCATTAATTCATCATGCTCCTTCCTCCCAATGAGCTCTTATGTTATAGTGGTGTATGTATTCTCTGAATGCTCAAACGTCAAAGAAAAACACCTTTGGACCATGAAGGTGAACATTTGTTACTTTTCACTGCATTTGTGACTTAGATGGGGTTTTTCCCTAAGTGATGAATACTTCAGTGGTATGGTCAGTTTATCATATCAGCACTGATTCACATCTTGTCCTTGACAATATATACATACGCTTATTTAAAGGCAGATAATTTTATTCTTGACAAGTAAATCCTGAAACGTGCTTACTTTAAGAATGGAATTATCCTGTCTTGTATTTTTGGTATCATAGCCTTCCAGTAAACAGCGGCGAGTGGTATTTCCTGATCCAGCAAACTCTGCCAGGTTTAGATCTGCAAAGCCCAGCTATGAAAAGAAAGAGAATTATATTAATAGACTATCTAGTAGGCTTCTATCATATGCTCCTTAAAATAAATATTCAACCCATACCCTAGACAGGTTTTCTCCAACTTCATTTATTTGCAATTTTTGACTCTTAATACCTGTTCTATTATTTGCTTTGTGTTTTTAAATTGGTTCACCTTTTATATGAATTTATTTATTCTATTCTTGCGTTCAGCAACAGGATCTTTGAACTCAGATTTGATGTGGTAAATATATTTTTTCTATATACATTAAAGAATATATATTACTGTTAAAGTAAAAATAATGTGTATCAAACAGCTAAAATCATTGCAAATAGTGGTATTTACACCACCCTGTGGGAAATACTAGCAAACCAAGAGTGATAATTTGCATACACATAGAGAAGAATGATTAGACCCTTCTCTCCCTATTCTGGGTCCAGTTCTATGCCAAGTTAACCACTGGTGAAGGCAGATAGTTGCAGGTTATTAAGTTTTCACTTCCCATGCAAGAACTGGAGTGACTTAAGTGAATCACCTATTTTCTTTGGTACCAGTGCCTTCTCTTTCACTACCTTCCACATTTGCCTTGCTGATCATCCTTGAACTAAATCTCTCTTTATGAAACCTAATTCCTCCCTTTCTCAGAACTCTGCCCCACATCAACCCTCTCTGCTGCTGTCAGATGTTCAGCTCAAACCTGTTCCTTCTTGTTATTACTGCTCAGGTTCAGTCCCCATTTTCTGCAGCTGCCAAAGGTTGCCCTATAGTCTTTCCTCTGTTGTTGCTCAACCCTGTTTCTCATTTCCATGTGGTACAACAAATCAACCTCATTGTATCATTTTTTGAGCAAGCTAAGTCTATATACAGTCTTTTTATTAACAAAAAATGAATTGAGTTGCAACTTATTAAGCATATTTCCATAAATATACAATAAAAAGTATTATACATTTCAAAAACTGCTGTGATTCTAAGTTGTTTGCCTTAGGGTTTTAAAACACACAGTGGGCACATATAAATGGCATTCAAGATGAATATTTTAATTGCAGGCTGGAGCATTATTTTAATAGCTTTTAATTGGTACAAAAAGAATGTAAGAATAAGAACCCAGAGAGCAGCTGAAGGGCCACAAGCCCCAAATGCAATAAGTCAGACACACATCAGGCAGCAGTAATACCCACCTAATTTGCACATGGTTACTCTAGTCTTATTGCCTCTCTTTTTTTTTGAGATGGAGTCTCGCTCTGTCACCCAGGCTGGAGTGCAGTGGCACGATCTTGGCTCACTGCAAGCTCTGGCTCACTGCAAGCTCTGCCTCCCAGCTTCACGCCATTCTCCTGCCTCAGCCTCCCAAGTAGCTGGGACTACAGGCGCCCACCACCACGCCTGGCTAATTTTTGTTTTGTATTTTTAGTAGAGATGGGATTTCACCGTGTTGGCCAGGATGGTCTCGATCTCCTGACCTCGTGATCCGCCTGCCTTAGTCTCCCAAATTGCTGGGATTACAGGTGTGAGCCACCGCGCCCAGCTGTCTTATTGCCTCTCTTAGAGGGGCAAAAGATCAGCAGAAAAAGCTTGGATATGTCCAGGACAAAGCCATATCCAACTGGGCATGTGAATACTTACATGAATGATCACACATTATCAGTGCACCCTATTATGATTCATACATTATCCTTTTCGTTGACCCTCCAACATCGCTTTCTCATCCTCACTCTCTGCTGATGACCTTACTTCCTATTTCAATCGGAAAATTAAAGCAATCAAAAGAGCACTTAACTTCCATAAGCTTTTACTGCCAGTGACATCCACTCACCTACC
Organism: Homo sapiens; assembly: GCF_000001405.40. NCBI lineage: Eukaryota > Metazoa > Chordata > Mammalia > Primates > Hominidae > Homo > Homo sapiens. Next base: position 108,610,357 of record NC_000001.11, on the reverse strand, counting down.
TGCATCTGTGCCCACATGCTTGCTTTCCCACTTACAGCACTGTCTGAGGCCAACCACTCTCCTCTCACCCACTCAAGTTAATCACTTCAGTTATGCTTTCTGCTCTTGTGCATTCTAAAATTTCCCTTCTCTGCTGGATCGTTTCCAAAAGCACACAAACATGCTGGATTTTCTCCTACTTTAATGAACAAAAGAAAACAAAACAAAACCTCACCCTTTGTCTCTCTCCAGGCTATTGAACCATTTCTCTGGCCCTCTTTACAGCAAGATTTCCTGTAAGAGTTTTTTAAATTTTGATTTTATTTTAAGTTCTGGGGTACATGTGCAGGACGTGCAGGTTTGTCACATAGTTTGCTATGGTGATTTACTGCACCTATCAACCCATCGCCTAGGTATTAAGCCCAGCATGCAACAGCTATTTTTCCTGATGCTCTTGCTCCTCCCGCCCCCTCCCGACAGGCCCCAGTGTGTGCTGATCCCCTCCCTGTGTCCACGTGATCAACATTTGCTCAGCTTGCACTTATAAGTGAGAACATGCAGCGTTTGGTTTTCTGTTCCTGCATAAGTTTGCTGAGGATAATGGATTCCAGATCCATCCATGTCCCTGAAAAGGTCATGATCTCGTTCCTCTTGGAAGAGTTTTCTCTGCGGTCTCCTATTCCTCTGTGCCTGGCTACCTGGCCAACTTCATTTCCTCCTCCTCCGCATTTACTCTGGCAGCCACAATGTCCTCTTTCTTGAAAATGCCAAGATCACTTCAAGGCCTTTAGCACTTACTGTTCTTTTGCGGGAAATGCTGTCTCTCGGATTTTCTTATAACTTTCTCTTTTACTCCATTCAGGTCAATGTTTAAAAGTCATCTCTCTAAAGGGGCCTTCCCTGACCATCCTATATCACATCCCTCTTCCCTGCCTTACCTTGTAGTTACCGCCTTCCACCCCTTACCCCCTCTATTTTTCTCCTTAGTAGTTACTATCACATCATGTACACACATATTTCATATTTGCATATTGTCTGTTCCTCCAACGACCCCTGCTTCCATTAGCATGTAAGCTCCACAAATGCAGGGGATTTGTCTGTTTTGTTCACTGCTGTATCTCCAGTACTTAGAATAGTACCAAGAACAGTGCCTGGCACTTAATACATATTTGTTGAATAAAACAATAGCCCATTGGCTTACCATCTACTATTGTAATGTTGGTATATTACAATGTCAATAAGTTAAAAAGGGGGAGAATCTGATCAGTGCCTCTTATGCCTGCATGTTTATGTCCCCCCAAAATTCATATGTTGAAACCCTAACCCCCAAAAGGGTGGTATTAGGTGGCAGAGCCTATAAGAGGTAATTAGGTCATGAGAGTGGAGTCCTCAAGAATGGATTAATGCCCTTTTAAAAAGACAAAAGAGAGCTTGCTTCCTTTTTCTCTGCTCTCTGCCATTTGAGGACACCATGAGATGACAGACATCTGCAAAGCAGAAAGCAGGCCCTCACCAGACTGGATCCACCAGCACCTTGATCTTGGACTTCCCAGCCTCCAGAACTGCAGGAAATAAACGTTGTTTAAATCACCTAATCTATGGTAATCTGCTATAGCATCCCAAACTAACTAAGACAGCCCCTATTAAAAAGTATATTAAAAGGTGGGGCATGTCAATGTGATATTTCAGGCTAAAAGTTACTAATGAGTGAAGTCAATATTATCAAGCATCTTTTATATGACAGGCTCAGTTGCAGACACTGGGAAACAGTGATGAACAGGACACCTACTCCGCCTTGAAAGAGCTTACATTCTAGTGAAGAACCAGAAAGTCTATGTTTCCTTATGATTTTTTCTTTGGCTTCACTGAGTAACTGTCTCATGAAATGGCATATATACATAAACACTAGCTGTATTTGTCCCAGATATTAATTCATTCATGAAATAATCTTCAGCATCCACATTTCAGGTAATATGGAAGTCATTCCTACTCTTATAGTTTAATAGGGGAGGATAGAAAAGTGAACAGATTCTTTAATGCAGTGTGAAAGTGCTGTGATAGAGGAAGACACAGTTACAAGAAAGAGAGGAAAAGAAAAGTTCTCAGTGGGGAGGGATGACTAAGCTGAGTCTTTAACGATACATGAGTTGACAGGACAAGAGGAGGGAGAAATATAAGCATGGCAGGAAAAACATCAAGTTACAAATCAAAAGGCTAAGATAGCATGGGATACTCCAGGTTTGTGAGGGTGGTATGTGTGAGGCATAAGGATGAATGTATGAGTGTTTACTTGTGTGTTCATGTGCAGATGACAGTAGAGATGACAAGATGTGTCTTACATGCCAGACACACGTAAATTAAGAAATTTTCATTTTCCTTTATAAGCAATGAATAGCTGCTAAAGGACTAAAAATGGGGGAACGATATGATCATGTTTTAATTTTAGAAAGATTATTTTGGCAATAATATGGAGGATGGAGGGAGATAACAGAGACAGACTCTAGAAGGCCAGTGCAGGCTGTAAATAAAAAATAATGAAGGCATAACCTGAGGCAGTGGCCCTGGGAATGGAGAGAAAGTATGGTTTCAAGACCTTTTTAGAGGGGAAAAATCAAGAGGACTGGTCAACTACAGCAGACCTTGTTGTTTGCCTAGCCCAGAATCAATGCCCTGCTATTCCTTGATAGCAAAGCCTTGATTTATTTTATTTATTTATTTACTGAGACAGGGTCTCACCATCTTGTCCAGGATGGTCATGAATGCCTGGGCTCAAGTGATCCTCCCACCACAGCCTCCCAAAGTGCTGGGATTACAGGCATGAGCCACCACGCCCAGCCACAAAACCCTGGTTTTATTCAGGCGTCCAGCCTCAGTTCACCCATGTGTACAAGGAAGGAAACCCAAACCCTAGCTCATTGTTAGATTGTGATTAGTTTAAGCTAACCATGGCAATCCATTCCTATTGCCCACAACTAGTTTACGGTGGGCATATAATCTAGTTCCAGCCAATGAAAGGTATGGGAAAACCCTCCGAGGGCCATCTAGGAAACATTTCCTCACTCAAAAAAAAGTAATACAGGGAGAAGCAGCTGGATTTTTGTCATACGTGAATGTGTTGACTTAAAATTAAGCAGCCAGCCACCTGGTGTCCAGGAGGGGAGCTGGCCAAGAACAAAGTCATCACATAGAGAATGGCAGAATGGAAAGAGAAAAATAATGAGTTCTTGATGACGTTCTTCAGTCAGTGGATTGACCAGTTTTGAAGCAAGTCTATCTCACATCTCCTTGTTTTGTAACATAGGAAAAATCTCTAGTTGAGGAAGGTTTTCTATTACTTTAACAAAGAACATCCTGGCATTGCAACCAACTAGATTTAGGGTGTTTGGTAGATATGGAAGTTAAAACTAGTGTACAGGGGCTAGGCATGGTGGTTAACGCCTGTAATCTCAGCACTTTGGGAGGCCAAGGCAGGAGGATCACTTGAGGCCAGGAGTTCAAGACTAGCCTGGGTAACATAGCAAGACCCCATCTCTACAAAAATAAAAAACAAAATTTAAAAAATTAGGGGAAAAAAAAGACTAGTGTACAATCTCTCAGTTCAGGTGACTGGATTGATGGAGGTACCATTCACAGAGACTGGAAATACAAAAGGACTATGTGAATTTCTGGTAATGTTGTTACTAATTCCTTCTAGTCAGCAAAAAGGTGAGCACATTCTCTAGTAATTCCACATAGCTAGTAAAAGTAAAAACCAGCAGTACTGATCATGTATACACAGAGTGCTAAGACAGCATAAAGGACAGGTCCTCTTACAGTTGGGGGAGGTGGGCCTGGCAACACTTCCCAGGTGAGATCCTTTGAATTATCACATGCTATGGCTTAATGCAAACTAGAGATCATCCTCTAGCAGGGAGGCTGAATCTAAAGAATAATATTCCATAATCAGCATTTAGAAAGAATATGCCTATAATTTACTGTTAGATCCAACTGTTCAATCTCCAAGTTGCATACAAAAAGAGCCAAGCTTGAACAGATATTAGAAGAGTAAACAATTTAATTTTTAAGCCTATAAATAGCAATAAGCAACATTACATGTTCCAAAACAGTTAAAAGAACATCTGCTTACCTTTGCATAAGCTTTTCCACCTTTTAATTCCTGCCAAAGACAGAAAATACTATAAGGATATCACATAATGAAAGATTTAAAATTAAATATATGTCAAATAATTCTGAAGCAGACATATATATGCTGGCAAATATCATAGACAGTAAAATTCTGACGATCTTAAATCCAACTATTTAGACTCCCACAAGCCCCCCAAATGACCAGAATTTTTATTTAGCATTTAACTTTAATCTAAATGAGACAAATGGTGAGAATATAAGCTAATATTTTATCTATTTGCTGAAGAAGAAATGGTCAAAAAGTGTTGTGGACTCACTGCAAAAACCTGAATCACCAAAGAAAGGTTAAATTATTTACTCAGTTAAGCATACTAATATAATATAGAAAGATTTCAACAGGACTTGAAACCACACCCCAGGGACAACCAGTTTTTATGAATCATTGAAGAGATACTCTGTGCATGTAAAAGTATACATTTAGTATAGTACAAACCCTCTTACCTAATGTGAAAAGGCTGGCCAAAGTGGAAAATAATAAAAAATAATAGATGATGTCTTTTTTTAACTTAAAATATGTCACTGTACATAAATTTGCCAAATCTTTAGATTTGTTTTCACACAGCTGTGAGAATTAAGTGTAAAACACTCAGAACAATACCTAGCACATGGTATGTGTTTGTATATATGTCTTTGTCATTATTATTAGGGCCAAACTCCCCACTCCCTACCTACTTTTAAAAATGCATCTGCTGGATGGTGTTGTCTCTTATCTTTCTTGCATAAATCAGATACATAATGCATTATCTATCATTTCCATCTTTCAAGCAGTGAATACAAATATGTTAAGGAACAATCTATGATAAACTCTATTATCATTCATGAATATTTGCTGTTCCTCCCCTTCCCTGCTTCAGTGATTTCAGGTGTGGCCATCCCACTACATCTACCCCATTATGAGTGATCACATTTTCATTAGGTCACTGTTATATTCCTTAATAGTGCCCTTCCATAAGAAAACAAAATTTTCTCCAGATGATCCTTGTTTCTGCTAGCTAATTCTTTTCTTTGCTCCCCTCTATAGCCAAACTCATCAAAATATTTATCTATATTTGCTATATCCTACTCTCTCTTCAACCCACTCCAATTGGGGTTTCATCCTTATTTTCCCTCTGCAATAGTTCTTTTTCATTTTTTATTTATTTTATTTCTTAGAGACAGGGTCTCTCTCTATCAACCAGGCCGGAGTGCAGTGGGATGACCACAGCTCACTGAAACCTCAAACTCCTGGGCTCAGGAGATCCTCCCACTCAGCCTTCTGAGTAGCTAAGACTACAGGTGCGTGCCACCACACCCAGCTAATTTTTTTTTTCTCTTTTTTTTTTTTTTTTGGAGAGGTGGGGTCTTGCCATGTTGCCTAGTTTTGTCTCAAACTTCCGGCCTTAAGCAGTCCTCATTCCTCGGCCTCCCAAATTGCTGGGATTACAGGTGTGAACCACTGTACTCGGCCCTTTATAATAGCTCTTCAGATTACCAATGATCTTCATTTTGTTAAAGCCAAAGGCTCCCGATCTTCATCTTATTCAACATCTCAGTAGTAGGTGACACACTTGGCCACTCCACCTCCTTTGTTGCATCATTTTCTTCGCTAAACTTCCATGGCACCACAATTGCCTGGTTTTATTCCTACTTCACTGGCAACTCCTCACTCTCGTTTGCTGGATCTATTCCTTCATTCAATCTCTGTAGAAAGAATGCTAGTCATATCCCAATCATCCATATCCCCCACTCCATAGTAACAGAATCCTCTATTTTTAGTTGGATAACTGGCTGCACAATAATGACCACTTATATGTTTTAACTCTATTCAAAACATAAGCACTTCTCCCTTCAACTAACACAAACCACCTAAGTGGTCTCTGTGATTCATCTAACACAGCAGCAAAAGTGATCTTACAGAAGATGATGTCTCTCCTTATTAAAATCCTCCAATACTTACAATTATAATTAGATCTAAACTCTTCATAAGGCCCGGCCTGATCTACTGCGTCCAATCCCACTACCAAGAACTTTGCCTCTCTGTTTCCCACGCCACAGCCAGGCTGGTCTTGTCATTTAAACATGCCAGACTTGCTGTTTACACTGCATAGGGTTCACAGTACTTCTGAATCTGTGGTTCGATATCTTTGATTGGTTTTAGAAGATTCTCAGCCACACTCACTTGTCTCTCCTCCTAGGGCTTATACAATTAGACCTTTCTACTGTCTCCTACATGTCTTACCTTCTTTCTTGTGTATTCCACCCTTGTTCTCTCTGTGATTTAGCCTGAATATTTTCTTCTATTTTCCAATTTACCAATGCTCTCTTCAGTTATGGTAAACCTGCTGTTAAATCCATCTGTTGAAGTTTTATTCATTTACTTAGCTTTAAATTTTAGTTAATGTACTTTTCAGTTTTAGAATTTAATTTGCTGCTTTTTTAAAAAACAATTTTAGTTCTCTGATGAAATTCTCCATCTTGTTCACTAATTATAGTTATTGTAAAAGTTTGTCTTTGATCTTTCCAAAATCTGTATCTTCCATGGGTCTCTTCTTATCATATTTTTCCTTTTGATTTTTGGTCATGTAGTCATGTCTCTTCGTATGCTTGATAACTGGGTATGAAAACTTGAAGAAATAATTTGAGGTTCAGAGTGATGTGATATAGGAGAAGGCATACATTTGCTTTTGGCAAGTAGTAAGGAAGAGGCAGATCACCTTCATCCAAGAAGGGATTGAGCGGACTGGAGGCTGGGTTTGTCTTTGTAAGGCTGATCTGTGTGTATTACACTCTTCCTACTAGGTTGAAACTCTCAGAGAGTGAGTCCCAACTGAAAGCCTGAGGTGTTTATCAAGGCCCCTCCTCTTTGGTTGTCCCCAGATTTCAGTTTTTGTTCCTTTAGACCTGTTAAGATTGCTGCAATCTCAACTCAGTGTCTTCGCTGCTCAGCCATTCTTTTGTGCTCAGTTTCTTTGCCACTACTTGCAAATCAGCAAATGCTTTGAGGGTAAAAGCAATGCCAAATGTCAGGCTTATCTCTATGCTTCCCTCCTCTATGGATTCTAAGCCTCTCAAGTCCTTACTACCTCACTAGCTTCCAATGCCTTCAAGCGGCTGTTTTGGATATTATGTCTAGCTTTTCTAATAGTTCTCAGAGGGAGCAGTGGTCTGCAACAAGCTAGTCCATTAATATCAGAAGTATTAAAATAATCTCCATGTTTATTATACTTTAGGGCCTGTTATGGGTTGAATTATGTCCCCCGTCTCCCTCATCCAAAAAAAGACATGAAGTCCTTACCTCAGAATGTTACCTTATTTGGAAGTAAGGTCTTCTTTTTTTTTTTGAGACAGGGTATGGCTCTGTCATCCAGGCTGGAGTACAGTGGCATGATCATGGCTCACTGCAGCCTTCTGGGCTCAGGTGGTCCTCTAACATCTGCCTCACAAGTAGCAGGGACTACAAGTGAGTGCCACCATACCTGGCTAATTTTTGTATTTTTTATGGAGATGGGGTTTCTCCATGTGACCCAGGCTGGTCTTAAAATCCTGGGCTCAAGCAATCTGCCTGCCTCAGCCTCCCAAACTTCTAGGATTACAGGTGTGAGCCACCACACCTGGCCAGAAATAGGGTCTTCATATAGGTACACAAGTTAAAATGAGGTCCTAATCTGATATGACTGGTATTCTTATAAAAACAGGAAATTTTGACAGAGAAACAGACATGCAAAGAGGGAAAATTATGTGAAGACACAAAGGGAGAAAACAATCACGTGAATGGAATAATGTATCCACAAGTCAAGGAATGCCTGAGGCTGCTGGACATTAGGCGAGAGGTGTGAGAGTTTCTCCCCCAGCACTTCCAGAGGGAGCATGGCCCTGCTGACACCTTGACTTTGAACTTCTGTCATCCATAACTCAGACAGTAAGTTTCTGTTGTTTAAAGCCACCCAGAGTGTGCTATTTATTTATAGCAGTCCTAGGAAACTAGTACAGGGGCTTTTTTGCTTTCAGGTCCTACTCTTTTAGAATGGCCTTTCCCTAGACCTTTACATGGTTGCCCCTTCTTCAAATGTTACCTTTCAGAGAAGTCTTCACTGACTCCTGCCTCAGTTCTCTAAAATAATCTCCTTTGCCCAAGCTATTCTCCATTACTGAATTGTTTCCTACACATAAAACTTATCATGACCTCAAATAATCTTATTTGGCTACATGTTTACTATGGTCTCTGTCTTCCCTATCACACCTCCCCCAACTCCATCCAGAAAGTAAAGTCCCTGGGGGCAGGAACTCATTCCAGTTCACCACTGTCCTCCCAGTGCCTGGAATAGTACTGCTGGCTGGTCACTGATTGCTTCCCTGTGTCCTAGGCAACAGAGCACACTATCAAACTTTTTCATTTTTGTCAACTTTATAGGTAAAAAATGGTATCTTATTTGTAGTTTTGTGTCAGATTGAGCACATTTTTATGTTTAAAAGCTATTTATAGTTTTTTTGCCAAGTGTTTATTCTGCCCCTTGCCTATTTTTCTAAATGGTTGTTTATTTTTAAAATTAATTTATTTGAAAGTGCTCTTTCTATACTAAGGAAAGTAGTCCTTTGTCACAATTTGTGACTATTTTCCCCTAATTTAAGACTTTATGTTATATTTTGTAATGCATAAAATGTTTATATAGTTGAGTTTACTAATTTTTCTTTTATGGCTTCTTTTATATAATACTTAAAATATTATTTAGTATATTATATTAAGTATTTTATGTAATACTTAAAATACCATGGCAATGGTATTCTGACTGACAAGGACGCAGAACTGGCGTGGAAAAGAGCAAGGCCAGAGACTCTTGCTTTCATTCTAAATCCTTCTTCTCTATTTAATTTTTGACCATTATATGTATTATTTTGGTAAGTAAAACACATGCATACACACACACACGCACAAACACATACACACACACACAAACAGAAAGTTGAACCATATGAAATTACCATTTTTTTTTTAGATTATTGGTAATTTGCTTCAACCTAATACTGGGAAAGAAAATATACAGGAAAGAAAACAGACTTGGAGTCAGAAAACTCTGTTTGAGTCCCGACTTTGCCATTTATTAACTATGTAAATTTGGGCAAGTAACTTCTCTGAGCCCTGGTTTTCCTGAAAATGGAGAAAATAACACCTAATTTCAGGGTTATTAGATATATTACACATAAAGTTCCCAGAACAATGCCTAATAAAAACTAGGAATTTAACAAATAGTGGATATAGATATATACAGTCCCCAAACTAACACAAGTAAGATTAATACTTATACGTATAGTGACAGTGAGATGAAGGTTCTTGAATAATAATTTTAATTTATAACCTCAGATTCTTCATCATATTTGCCATGGTATTTTAATTACTGCAGCGAGCATGAAGTGAAACTGCATATACAGTTCTAATGAAACAGATAAAGCAGAGATAAACAAAGCCAGCCAGTGACTACGGAACTAATTATGGTTTCTGAAAGGGAAGAAGTAATAGGCTATTTTTATACCTTCCTCACGGATACTCTGTAGATACAAGGATCTAGGATGCCTGTGGCAGCACTTGCACTCATTTTGCACATAAATGAGAACTTCTTTCTCCAGCGAACACAGTTTGCTTGTACCACCTCCCTGAAGGAAAGAAAAAAAGAGCCAATTAATTAACTATTATTGATGACATGTTAAAAAGCACACCCATACTTTCACTCAAGTCTAACATGCAAAAGTAATGTGTTAAAAGCCAGTATTTGTAAACAGTGTAGCAGGAAGGAAGCAAATTCCTAACAATGTGATCTGAAAATCTTTGGAAGGTTTTAATTATCCACTGGAAACTGGAAAAAAAGTGAATTTACTTATCAATTCAATCAAAATATACATTAGGCTACACCATTCATTCATTCAACACATAATGTACATTTACTTTATATGCTGCGCATGTGGTACATGTTTAAAACATAAAGACGAGGACAGAGTTCCTGACCTTGTAGGGATTATATTCATAGTTAATGCAAGAGGCATAAATATGAACAAATGCTTATTCTAGGAATAAGCAAATTCTTATTTTAAGATGAACTACTGTCATAGTTTTACTCCAGCCATAACAGCAAGAACAGCTACCATTTATTGAGAGCTTACCATATGCTATGAAATCTCCCAACAACCTTGTGAAGTAGCTGGCATTTTCTTCACTTTACTTATTTTGAGACGGAGTCTTCCTCTGTCACCCAGGCTGGAGTGCAGTGGTGTGATCTCCGCTCACTGCAACCTCCGCCTCCTGGATTCAAGCAATTCTCCTGCCTCACTCAGCCTCTTGAGTAGCTGGGATTACAGGCACCTGCCACCACGCCAGGCTAATTTTTTTGTGTTTTTAAGAGACAGGGTTTGGCTATGTTGTCCAGGCTGGTCTTGAACTCCTGACCTCAGGTAATCCACCTGCCTCGGCCTCCCAAAGTGCTGAGATCATAGGCGTGAGCCTCGTCACTTTAAAGATAAGGAAAATGAAGTGTGATGAGAGAAGTGAACTCAAGGTCATTTAAGTAGGAGGTGGTAGAGAAGAACTGGCATTCAAACTAGGCCTGTTTAAATCTAAAGCCCACTTGTCCACAAAGGAGAATCTGTATTTTTCCACAACTTTGCTCTTTCAAGCTCCCAGGCCTTTGTACATACTGTTCTCTCTGCTGTCGTATGTAGGTATTGGGGTGGGGGGGTGCTCAGCCTTAGAAAAAGATAACCATTCCTCTAACATAGGAAAGAGACAAAGATAACAGATGAAATAAAGAGAAAACTAGAGAAAGCAAAAGAGAACGGCAAGAGAGCCCAGGTTGAACAGTTTTGATTTTCTTAGGGGAGTAATAAGTCATATCTACGGAGTGATAGGACTGGTAGGTGAGTTGAAAATTTAGATAAAGGCTTAGAGACAGGAAAACTGCTGTGGTGAATGTGACAGGCAGTCAAACTTATAGCTGCCTCAGGGAATAAAATAGATTTTTATTACGATCTATCAGTTGTTTTTTTTTTGTTGTTGTTGTTTTTGAGACAGGCTCTCACTCTGTCACCCAGGCTGGAGTGCAGTGGTGCAGTCACAACTCACTGCAGCCTTGACCTCTCAGGCCAAAGAGATCTTCCCACCTCAGCCTCCCAAGTAGCTAGGACCATAGGCATACACTACCACACTCAACCAAGTTTTGTATTTTTGGTAAAGATGGGTCTCTCTATGTTATCCAGGCTGGTCTGAAACTCCTGGGCTCAAGTGATACTCCTGTCTCAGTCTCCCAAAGTGTCAGGATTACGATACTCTTGTCTCAGCCTCCCAAAGTGCTAGGATTACAGGTGTAAGCCACCTGGCCTGGTTTTTCTGATTTCTCCATCAGTACACAGAAATCCAAGAACAGGAATTATAAAAAAAAAGCAAACATAATTTAAAAATCAAGTATGTATTTGTGTGTCATATGTGCACTTTTGTTTACTTTTATGTTCTAAACAGACACACAAATGGGAGAGGAGGGCATGCATTCTACCACCAGTTCTACTATGATAACTTTGGCCATTTTTTTTCCTTAGGAACCCTTAAGTGATTTAATGAATCATGATATGAAGAATGTATGTGTGGGTTCACAGTGGAGTCTCCCTTGAAATCCAGGCAGGGTGTAATTTATTGGTATGGTCACAATGCAGGCGAGATAAGTGTTATTTGACAAAGGATGGACCTGGAGGTACTTGTCAGGCAGCTGGAGGACTCCCTGGTAAGGAGGGCAGTTGCTAACCTGTACACTCAAAAATAAATACATTTAAAAAACTGTGAATAGTAATAAAAATAAGCAAGAAAAAAAAAATCCAGATTTTTTTTTTTTTTTTTTTTTTTTGGATACAGGGTCTTGCTCTGTCGCCCAGGCTGGAGTGCACTGGTGCAATCTTGGCTCACTGCAACCTCCGCCTCCTGGGCTCAAGCAATTCCCATGCCTCAGCCTACTGAACAGTAGCTGGGATTACAGGTGTGCACCACCATGCCTGGCTAATTTTTGTATTTTTGTAGAGACGGGGTTTCACCATGTTGGCCAGGCTGGTCTCAAACTCCTGGCCTCAAGCAATCTGGCCACCTCGATCTCCCAAACTGTTGCTATTACACATGTGAGCCACGGTGTCCGGCCTAGAATTTTTTATTATTGCTTCTCTCCCAACATCTCTTGGCCTCAAGGCTTGCTGGAGGCATCAGCTATGGTGTCCGGAGCTCCCAACAAGGAGATATAAACACTGATGTCCTGGACCCTTCAGGGTCCACTGAGCATCAAGGCGCTTGGTTGTTGCTGTCACTGAGACCACTGATATATGATCAGATATCAAGAAATAACATTTACAATAAAACTCTTTTACTTTTCTTACAAAATTATATACAAATTTATAGTTAAACATGGCAGGTTGAGTGCATGTATTAGCCTCTGCTCCCTCCCCAAACCTACTAAATAAAAACAAGCAAAGGCATTATCTCACAGGGACAAAGAGAACTAGAGACAAAAATAAGTGGCCAGAGACAGACAGACAAGTGATAACTAGTTTAGCATACTGAGGAAATTTGAACCTCATGCTGGCAATAGTAAAAGCCAAGAGAAGGAAACTTAAACAGGTTTTGAAGTCGAATGAAGGAGGGACACAGCAGAGGATTGATCAAAAACTGTTTTGGAAATAGTCAGACTGCAGACCTCTCCTTCCCTGACTCCTGCAGATGACTGAGATGTATTCTCCTGATAAGATGAAACAGAAGGATCTCTGGACAGCCTGAAGTGAGGGCAGGTATCAGAAAGAGCACAAAGAGCACAAAAGCATGCTGGCTGGGGTAATGAAAGATGACTTAATGCTGAGACTTCCAACCTTCTTCCCCTAACCTGGCTTCTCACAATGCCAGAACCAGGCACCTGTTCTTCAAAATGTGGGAAGAATATTCTCTGGGGAATCCAACCAGCCTCAAAGAAAAGATTTCATGAGACAGATGTTGAGGGTTCCCAATGACACAGCCAGCCAAATCAGCCTACAATAAAAATCTGAGATGACAAGCACCTGCCACATACACAGAGCTCCTAATCAACTTTTAGTGCTTCATAGTTAAATATGGGCAGATAAGTGAGGAAAGTCTCTTAATATGAAAGAAACCAAGATGAATAGAAAAAAACTAACTTGGCTGGTTGCAGGGGCTCATGCCTGTATTCCCAGCACTTTGAGAGGCTGGTGGAAGGGTCCCTTGAGCCAGGAGTTTGAGACCAGCCTGGGCAACAAAGGAGACCCTGTTTCAACAAAAAATTTACAACTTATGGTGGCGTGCACCTGTAGTCCCAGCTACTCAAAAGGTTGAGGCAGGAGAATCACTTGAGTCCAACAGTTCAAGGCTGTAGTGAGCCATGAGTGTGCCACTGCACTCCAGTCTGGGTGACAGAGCAAGATACAGTCTTAAAAAAAAAAACAAAAAAACAGAAAAATAGCAACTTGAACAAAACAGAGCCTGTGCTTGAAGAATAAAAAAATTTCTGAGTGATATAAAAAAGAAACTGCATCTACCATACAGGAATAGGATGCTATATTTTTAAAAAAAGCATACAGGGAATTAAAGTGCTCATGGAAATCCAAACTAGTGGGCTTGATATTTTATCATTCCAGATTCACTCTACCCTTCTCTGTGGTCCAGGACGCCAGTCTTATGAATTACATCAACCAAGCTCCCTTGCCCTCTACCTCCGATTGTGCTAAAGTGACAAACATTGCAAGGATAGAGGGCAGGAAGGGAGGGAAGCTGATGCATTTATTCTCCTGGCTCCTTCCCTGTTGGGCCATGTGAGAAACAGGTCGGTTGTTGGGGACTGTGCTTTTCCATAATATGCCTTGTGGAACTTAGACTCTAAATTATTAGTATTTATGACTTTGTTAAAATAAAAACAAATTCAAAAACATTGTCAAGTACTGAATAATCTAAAAATGGGAACAGAAGTATATAACTTTAGATGCCTTTTTTTCCTAATTGCTAAAAAAAAAAAACCCACTAAGAATTTTCTTTATTGTCTAACATGAAAATTGGATGGTATCTTAAAAAGCAAAGTCCTAATCCCTGCCTCCCTTACTTCCTGTTCACTATCTCTATTTTACACTGTAATTCCAATTACCTGTCTGTATTTATAATGCTGTGCTGAAGTTTCTTAATCTCTTGTTTTTTCCCCAAGCCCATCAAACTTAATGTTGGCTTCCTCCACTCTCTAACTAAACTAGATTAATATTTCTGCAAATACGTCTTTCCTGCTTGTCTGGTTTGTTTCTTAAAAGAAACATTCACATACAGAGTTCACTTGATTTCTTTGGTTTTTATTACTCAGGCCAAAGCTGCCCTCCATTTGTGCAAATGATAACATATACGATTAGGCATGTAAAAGCTACTACATTTCCCTCCCTTCCTCTCTCCCTCCAGCATGTAAAAGCTATTACATCTCCCTCTCTCCCTCCCTTCCTTCCCTTGGCATGTAAAAGCTACTACATTTCCCTCCCTCCCTCCTTCCAGCATGTAAAAGCTATTACATCTTCCTCCCTCCCTCCCTTCCTTCCCTTGGCATGTAAAAGCTACTACATCTCCCTCCCACCCTCCCTTTCCTCCCTCTCTCCCTCTCTCCCTCCGTAAAAGCTACATTTTTTTCCTCCCTCCCTCCCTTTCTCCATACAATTAGGCATGTAAAACTTGCTACATTTCCCCCCTCCCTTCCTTCCATCCTTCCTCCTTCCCTCCCTCCCTCCTTTCCTCCTCTCTCCCTCTGTAAAAGCTCGCTCCTTCCTTCCTTCCCTCCCTCCTTCCCTCTCTCCCTCTGTAAAAGCCACTACATTTTCCTTCCTTCCTTCCTTCATTCTTTCCCTCCCTCCCTCCCTTCTTCCTTCTCTTTATTCTTTCCCTCCCTCTCTCCATCCCTCCTTCCCTTAATTCCTTTCTTTTGAGATGGGGTCTTGCTTTGCTGCCCAGGCTGAAGTACAGCAGCATGACTGTCACATTTCATTTGTTTGTGAAATAAGTGGAATTCCTTGGCAATACTAATATATAAATACTTTAAATGCCCTTATAATGTAGTAGCTTTTACATGCCTAATCGTATATGTTATTATTTGCACAAATGGAGGGCAGCTTTCGCCTGAGTAATAAAAACCAAAGAAATCAAGTGAACTCTGTATGTGAATTTTTTTTTAAGAAACAAACCAGACAAGCAGGAAAGAAATATTAGCAGAAATATTAATCTAGTTTAGTTAGAGAGTGGAGGAAGCCAACATTAAGTTTGATGGGCTTGGGGAAAAAAACAAGAGATTAAGAAACTTCAGCACAGCATTATAAATATGGACAGGTAATTGGAATTACAGTGTAAAATAGAGATAGAGAACTGGTTTTCATACAGGACATGTCTTTTAATCTTACGGGAAAAAATACACTTCCCACAATTCCATGTCCTCACCTACTTACTATCACTCTGCCTTCAGGTCCAAGCTCCCTGAAGATGATGATACTAAGGATAATGATGACAGCACTTATTGAGTGATTATTATTACAGGCATTGTTATAAATACACATATTAAAAATTACACATATTAACTACTAAATCCTCAAAGCAACTATATGGGGAGGGTACTACTAACTCCATTTTATAGATAAAGGAACTAAGATACACAGAAATTATGTGACTTGTCAAAGGTCACTCAGCAGGAAAGGTTGGAACTGAAATTTGAAGAACTGTCTCTACAGTATAGACATTTTCCATCTCCTCACCTCCCAGTTACTTTTCAGTCCCTCTTAATCAGGCTTCTACCCCGCACAATTCCACTGAAACTGCTCATGAGTAAGTAACTAATTGTCAAATCCAAGGGTAATTTTTTAGTATCATACTTGACCCTTCTTATACATTCTTACAATATTCTTGTCCTTGGTATTTATGTGACTATTTCTTTGCAGTTTCTTGCTCCTGTCTCCTTAAAATGTTGATGTCCACCAAGCTTCTGTCCTTGGCGGCTTTCTCATTTTTTTTACTCTGATGGACTTAACTATTATGCATGTACTGAGAACTTAAAAATCTAAGTCCTCAGGCTGGGCACGGTGGCTCAATGCTTGTAATCCCAGCACTTTCGGAGACCAAGGCAAGCGGATTGCTTGAGCTCAGGAGTTCGGGACCAGCCTGGGCAACATGGTGAAACCTCATCTCTACAAAAAAAATATAAAAATTAGTTGAGCATGGTGGTGTACGCCTGTGGTCCCAGCTTCTCGGGCAGCTGAGGTGGGAGGATTGCTTGAGCCCAGGAGGTTGAGGCTGTAGTGAGCTGAGATTGCGCCACTGCACACTAGCCTGGGCAACAGAGCGAGGCTTTATCTCAAAAAACAAACAAAACAAAACAAAACAAACAAACAAAACTAAGTCTTCTTCTTTAGTCCTCAGATTCATATATCAACATGTTAACTGGTGAACCCACCTAGTAGTCCTAGCCTCTAGATAAGGCTTTAGGTCTCTGACATCTGTTTATCATGGTACTTCCTAGCAGGCTAGTAAGTAACCTACCAGCTTGACTAGTCAAATGGTTTGCCCAGGAGCGTATGTGGCAAAAACTGTCAGTTACTTATCCAATATGCAGTCTCTCTTCTTCCTTAAAAGGAGAACCCTGATTTTACTCAAACTGGCAATATGTCCAGTTAAAAGACTGCATTTTCCTGACCTCCCTTGCAGCTTACAGGGTAGGCATGGGATGGAGTATAAGCTAATGAGATATAAATGGAGGTTATTGGGTATAACTTTTGGAAAGGCAGAGTAAGAGAGGGACAGTTGAAACATACCCTTTTACCTTTTATTCTTTCCTCTGCCTGGAAAACTGTCATGATGATGATTAGATTCTCATCAGTCATTTTGGACCTCGAGGTTACCCTCAGGAAAAGCCATGTGATGATGGTGCAGAGCCAGAAGGAAGGTGGGTCTCTAAGAAACATGTAGCCCTGGACTTTCTCCCTCCAAACTCCTTTTATTTATGTATTTATTTTTTATTTTTTTGGAGACAGAGTCTCACTCTGTCATGCAGGCTGAGTGCAGTGGTGTGATCTCAGCTCACTGCAAACTCCACCTCTCAGGTTCAAGCAATTTTTCTGTCTCAGCCTCCCGAGTAGCTAGGACTACAGGTGTGTGCCACCATGCCTAGCTAATTTTTGTATTTTTTGTAGAGATGGGGTTTCACCAAGTTGGCCAGGCTCATCTCAAACTCCTAAACTCAAGTGACCCGCCCACCCTGGCCTCTCAAAGTGCTGAGATTACAGGCGAGAGCCACCATGCCTGGCCAAGTCACCACACCCAGCCCAAACTTCTTAAATCTTATTATTTAAAATGCTTATTTTGGATTTTGTTATATGCAGCTGAACTAAATCCTAACTGACATAGACTAAGTCTTACCATTTCCAAATCTGCAAAGTTCAAATGTTATTCACATTGTTGTAGGTGGTCCATCCCAGAGTCCTGTTCCCCTCATTTAAGTATACAGACGAAATACACTGGAACCTATTGTACATATTTTTCATGACCCGTAGAGTCCCACCCAATGAAGACACAAATAAGCTCTGATTCACTTCCTGGGCAATAAGCCCCTATCCGAACACATAGATACTGCCTCCCAAGTAGTAGACTGACAAATGTGCTAGGACTCTGAAACAGGTTCTTATGTGAGTAAGAAAGTCAAATAAGCCAAGACAAGAGATCAGGTTGGGATGAACTAGAGCCATGCGAAGTGCAGTTGTCTATTAATTACCTCATGATGTGCAAACAAAGAATCCTTAATGGAGAAGAAATCCAGAAATGATGAAGGTGGGAAAGAGTACAGCATAACACTAATCATTTGCCAAACACAGGAAACAATAAAGATTTGTTGACCAAATGAATAACTGAAGTCAGGCATGGGCCACAAATGACTGGTTCCAGCTACCAATTCTTGCCTGTGTTACTTCCTATTTGTAAATCAAGCCCTTTCCTGTGTCTAGCACCACCACAATTCAGACTCTCAATATCTCTTCCCTGAAGCATGGCAACAGCCTCCTTAATGGTCCCCGCTCAGATCTATCTTCCTCATTGCTACCAGAGAACTCTTTTTAAAATACAAACTTGATAATGTCATTTCTGTTTAAAATCCTTCACTGCTTCCTCTTATAGGATTAGGTTCAACCTCCTTAATGGGGCCTCTTTATGATTAAGCCCCTGTCTGTCTTTAGTCTTATCTCTTGACCCTTTCTTTCTGTCTTATATTGTTTGTCATTCCCATTTACTTCACACTATTTCTCATTTGCATGCCTTTGTTCATGATTTTTTCTTTCCCTTCTATTCCATCCACTCTCCTTTCAACTTCCCGCACTCACCAGTTTAATTCTAACGCATCTAGTTTTGTCATTACCTCCTCTAGAAATCTCTCTGCAACTCGGTGTCCCATATGACCAGGCCTGCCTTGGTTCCCTTCTCAGTGTCCTCTTTTCCCTACCCTAGAGCACTGTCCCCCAGGGAGGGGCAGGAAAGAGCTGGCTGCCTCCACTTCTTCCATCATTCACTCAGTCTTCAGTCTCCCAAGACAGTGTCCTCATTTCCCGTTCTCTCTGCCTTGTTTCTGGCAGAGTCTCCTATGATTGATACATTTCAAATAAACAAATATTATAAATGAATTTTTTAAATGTATGGGCTTAAAAATTGATGACTGTGTGCCCTTTCTTAATAGGAACTGAAGTAGAAAGATATGTTAAGTAATCTTTATCGTTTTGTAACATCAAAATAGCCTTGGATTCTCAAACAATCTCTCTAAAAAAAGGTTTTGTTTGTGCAACTAAGGCAATTACTCAGATTTTTTTTGTGTGTGATAATCTTTAATGTGTACACACACGCACACACACAGCTATCAGAAAGCTGTCCAAATGAAACAAACAACCAAAAAAGTAGCAAAGTTAGTTTGCGACCATTTGTTATACTGATGGGTTACCATGGAAACAAACTCAGACTACTTGGCATCTGAGACAAAAGTCACATTAGTAAATGGTTTCCGTTATGTGAGTCATTAATTTCCTATGACTTTTATACAGTTGCTTAACCACTTTCCAGAAACAAAGCAACAGAATATGATTTGTGTTGATACTGTGAAAACCCAAGTATTTCTAAGATAAAGTGATACAGCTGCTGACATAAAATAAGCAGAGGACTCAGAAGAAATGTTGCTATGGCCTTGTGTTTCAAACGAGTCAAAGAAAATCTAGAAAGTCTTTAAAAAATAAAAGTAAAATAAAAGGAAAATTATGGATCCATTTTTTTGTGACTACTGTACCAGCAAAATGCATTACTTATTCTCGAATAACTTGCATAGGTATACCCTAGGTACACATTTAAAATTATGCCATGTCTTGGTAATTCAGTATATTTTTAACTTTTTAAAAAACAGTGATAAGAAACTGCTATGAAGAATGCAAACTGTTTGCCAGATAGTATTGCATAGAGGTTAAGAGCTTAAAGGATCCAGAGCCAGGCTGCTTGTGTTCAAATCCTGCCTCTGCTCCCTGCCAACTGTCACGCTGGACACGTTCCTAACCTCTCTGCATTCTGCATTTCCTCCTCTGTGAAACAGGATGTAACAATACCTACAACTCATGGGAATTTGGGGAAACCAAATGAATTATTACACACAAGAGTTCAGAACAGTGCCTGGCTTACAGTGTATCTCAATAATAAATGTTACAAGTTATTATCAAGGATGTATATAGTCCACCTCAATTTGCCCACCAGAGTGAAATAATGGTCAAATTTATAAGGAAAGATTTTTTTCAATATTAATGAAGATTTCTACTTCTTAAAAGATACAGACTCTTGAGAAAAAAGAAACCTGTGGGAACAGAGGCAAAAATAAGTATTTTAATACTCCAAGGATAAGTCAGATCTACAAAATTGTGACACAACACTAAGGATAAATGAACATCTCATACATCAGAGATATTTTTGGCTTGGGTAAATGGGTGAAAAGAATTGGACACAAGAAGATTTTGTTTTATTTATTTCTTATTTATTCACTCACTCATTTTGCTAGTGGGATTAGGGAGTGAGGGAAATGATAATCCAGTTTTGGATATTTTGAGGTTGAGGAGCCTGTGGGTTCCCTATTTGGAAATGTCTAGGAGGCAGACAGATACACAGACCTAGAACTCAAAGGTGGTCAGGGCTGAAAATACAAATGTAAATGACAGGCTGCACATGATGGCTCAAACCTATAATCCTAGCTACTTGGGAGGCTGAGGTGGGAGGACTGCTTAAGCCTGGGAGTTTGAGGCTGCAGTGAGCCATGACTGCACCACTGTACTCCAGACTGGGTGACAAACTGAGATCTTGTCTCAAAAAAAAAAAAAAAAAAAAAAAAAGGACAAAAGACCTCAGCATGTAAATAGTCACTGAAGCTATGGGAATGGATAAGGCCATTCAGGGAGAGTGGGTAGAGGAGAAAGGGAAGAGGGCAGAGTTTGGAACTCCAAGGAACATGAACACTTAGGGTATACGAGAAGAAGGGGCACAGGCAAAGGAGGCTAACACGTCAACAGTGGGAGAAGCAAAGGAGATTACGTTGTCACCAAAGCCAAGGGGAAAACCTTTAAAGAAAGAATTGTTGAATTATCAAATGTGGCAGAGAGGTCAGGTAAGATAAAGGCTAAAAAAAATTTAGCAATGAAGAATTCACTAATAACACTAGCAAGTGTAGTTTCAGTAAAAGGAGGGATGGAAGCCGGATTACTATGAGGAGCAGAGACAGGGAACACAGACATTTCAAATATTTTAGTAATAAAGTGGAGAAAATTAGGGTGGCAGCCAAATGGGGATATGCATAAAGTGAGGATTTCATTTTAACATGTAAGAAGAGACTTAAGCATGGTTTAGTGCTGATAGTAAAGAACCTGTCAGCACTAACAGTAAGGAGAAAAGATTTGAGAGGGTATGAATAATGGTGCCAGAGGAGGTTCATCCCTGAGAATGCCAGACGATGGGATCCAGGTGATAATTAGGGGGACTGGCCCTGAACAGGAGAAGAGGCTCCTCTTCCATCATGAGGAGATAAAAAGAAAAGAGTGAGCTCTAATGCAAGGAACTTTGTCAGTAGACAACTGTTCATTGTCTAGAACTGTTCTAATGAGAAATTTCATATAAAAACATAGCACTGATTGGCACACAGTAGGACCTCAAATGAATATTTGCTGAATACTTGTTTATAATCTTCTATATTACAAAAAGTCTTATAGCTTCATGCAGGGTTTTTATTCAGTGACTGACAGATGTCTTGATGAAAAATTTCATTAAAAAAACGTATGTCCCCTACAGAGGGGAGAAAATATTTACAAACCTTACAAACCATATAGCTGATAAGGGGTTAATATCCCAAATATATAAGAAACTCATACAACTCAATAGCAAAAAAAAAAAAAAAGTCAAATAACCTGATTAAAAAATAGGCTAAGGACTCAAATAGAGATTTCTCAAAAGAAGACAAACACTAAGAGAGTAAATTTCAAATGTTACCACAAAAAACATCAAGTATCTGAGGTGATGAATACATTAACTAGTTTATCCCACATTGTATTCATAAATTATGACATCTCTTTTTATACCATAAACTTATACAATTACAAATTGTCAATTTACAATAAAAAAAGAAGACATACAAATGGCCAAGAAGTATGTGAAAAGATGCTCAACATCATTAATCATCAGAGAAATGCAAATCAAAACCGCAATGAGTTAACACTCCTATCAATTACAATGGATATTATCGAAAAGACAAAAGACAAAGTGTTGGTGAGGATATGCAGAAAAGGGAACCCTTTCACACCGCTGGTGAGAATGCCAATTGGTACAGTTTGGAAAACAGTATGGATATTCCTCAAAAAATAAAAAATAGCACCATGATATAACCCAGCAATTCCACATCTGGGTATATATCCAAAGGAAATTAAATTAGTTTTTTGAAGAGATATCTGCACCCCCATGTTCATTTCATCATTAATCACAAGAGACAAAATATGGAAACAACGTAAATGTCCATCAACAGATGAATGGATAAAGAAAATGTGGGATGTATATACATAAATGGAATATTATTCAGCCTTAAAAAAGAAGGAAATCCTGCCATTTGTGACAACATAGATGAACCAGGAGGATATTATGCTAAGTGAAATAACCCCGGCACAGAAAGACAAATATCACATAATCTCACTTATATGTGGAACCTAAAAAACTCAAACTCACAAAATTTATTTTGCTCTAACTATGCAAATTCTACATAGCATCACCTCTCCACTTTCTAGAACAATATAGATGCAGAGGACACAATAAAAATGAAGTAACAGGAGAAAAAAACATTCCTAGATTAATTGAAGGAAAGACTTCATACCGAAAATTTCAGAATACACATCATAGACTGGGAAATCTGATGAAAGCTACACAAAATTTTCCTACGGATAAGGTAAAAATCCTGCAAGGATATAGGAAATTAAAATTAGCTTATGAACTATGACATACTGGAAAAGGCAAAACTGTGCAGATAGAAAAGAATCAGTGATTGCCAGGGGTTGGGAGTAGGAGGGATGAACAAGTGGAGCACAGAGGATTTTTAGGGCAGTGAAACTTCTCTGTATGATGCTATGATGGTGGGTACATGTCATTATACATTTGTCAAAACACAGAATGGACAACACCAAGTGTGAAGCCTAACGTAAACTTTAAAGTACTTTAGATGATGCTGCGTCAAGGAAGGTTCATCAACTGTAACAAATGCGCCACTCTGGTTAGGAATATTAATAGCTGGGGGATATTGTGTGTATGTGGGGACAGGAGGTATAGGAGGCATTTCTGTACCTTCCACTCAATTTCTCTGTGATGCTAAAACTGCTCTAAAAAACAGTCTATTCAAAATCAGATTATGCACATAGAAATGAAAATATGTTCTCCACAACTCTTAAAAACAAGGACACAGGGAATAAATAACTTCACAAAACCCAGAAGTTGATATGAACTATGGATTCTACACCAGCCCAAACTAAGCATTGTGTAGGAAGGAGAAAGAAAGATAACTCTTAGGCAAAAAACTATCACCCAGGTACCCTTTCTGAATAAAACACTTGAAGAAATGAAAAATGAATTACAAGTTAGATCTTAAGAAACAGGAAAATGTACATTGGTGTTGTGTAGGAAATTTAAATAACAAATCAAGAAAAGGCAAGAAACCAAATTAGTAGGTTACTTGTTCTTCCAAAGAGACTTTACTTTTGAACAAAAAGACTTATTCTTTCTAAATATTCTAAAAAGGTGTGGGAAAATAATAGTTGTAAACAGTTTCTTCAATTACAGCTCCAATCAGCCAGTTTCCAGATCAATAAATTTATGGCTTCTTATGTATGTACACGAAAAACCAAACTCTTCAGCTAGTATTCAATCTTCTTCCTTCAACCTCTCAAATTTGCGCCCCTACAGTTCTTCACTATTTTCTGCCCTGGCACTATGCACCTGCATGTCTGCCTTCGTGGTTTTCCCATCCTTTAGGATGCCCTCCCAAATGTCTTCTTATCCTTTCCTAGTATCCAGCCTCACCCACATGGTAAAAAGAGGAGGGAACAAATTTTAGACTCAGCAGATCTGAGCTCAAGTTTAATTTCAACACTGAAGGGATGTTGAAAGTAATTTGTAATTATTCTCCTCTGTATAAATTTCCTCTTATGAAATGTTTTATAGTTAGGTACAAATTGGTAAACATATGTTGTCTGGATCTAAAATGCTTATAAAAACTTACTAAATTAAATGGCATTACACACACACACACACACACACACACACACACACACACACCCCTCTGCGTAAACCACCAAGTGTTATATAATTCAAGACATTGCTCAAAAGCTTTTCCTATGATGCATTTCCTGAGTCCTTGGGTAAAATGATTCTCTGGTTCCTAAAAACTCCTGGAGTCTTCTGCATGCATGTCTGGAGTAGCTGCCTTGCAAATGAAAGCTACTGAGAGTAAGGGAAATAGGAGTTTAATGAAATTTTTGCTATGTATTATTATTAATTTTGCCATCCTCCAGTACTGTGAAAAATACTGCTACATATTATGAAAGTATTCCTCCGTTGGTATTTTCACAAGTATAATTATCAAAAAGGAACTCTATAATATCAGAGGAGGAAAATGTATCAGTTTTCTGGAACAGGAATATTAAACAGTAAGTTCAAAAGAATATGTTCGGGTCACCAAGACATACTTGGAAATACAGGTAAGAAGATGGTAGGGTGTTTACATTCTTGAGATCAAGAGAGAAATGAGCCAACGACATGGCCAGGGTATGACAAAACAGCACAAAGAGTTATTACAAACTGTACTATGAAGGCTCTGCTCTGGTTGTCTTGCTTATCCTTACACTAATGATATTACAATAATTCAGCACTTATGCGGATGAAGTAACTTATAATCAAAGGCACAGCAGCACAGCCTACTATTAATATAGCTCTACTTTGAAGGAAGGTCTGGGGAGGAGATGGAAGGGATCATATGCATTGGTAAAAGGATGAGATTATAGATGGCTGTATATAAAAGGACTGTAGTGAGCATACATGCTGGGACCTTCCTTGAGTGGCACAGACCTGCTGTGGTATCTCCTGCTGATATTGATTACAGTCAGTGTAAACAGATTTCATGTTTATGCCTTATATTGTGTTACTTGACCCATCTGACACCACTCCTCACATAGAAGGAAACCCCAGAGGGAGCAGGGTAGGTTAGAGAAACTCTAACAAACAGTTAAAATAGCTTCTTAATTATTTTGAATGCCGGACTGATGTTCCTTTGAAGGCAATACAGTACCAGCAGAGAGTCATGTGGCAGCTAGGGTTTATATAAGTTATCTTAGCAAAAATAGCTCTTGAATTCATTTTGACTTACTACCAGTTGGTAATAATTTTCAGTTTCTTGAATGAGCAAACAGTAAGAGCTAATATTGCAGTTATTACTGAGTTCCTAGTTGCTTCAGGAAGGCTTACACTTGATTAGCATAATGACGGAAGTTACAGTTTTCAATTGTGTATAATTACAAATGCATATTATCTGTATTCCTAGTTTGATGATTTTGTTTACTTTTCTATTAACAGAAATTATAAAGGTAATTTATGATTGCTTATAAGAGGTTATTAATTTAGTTTAAAGCAAAATCTTGCAACCAATTACCTTTTTTTGGAAGGACTATGAATAATCTTTTCTAACTACTTCCTGAGGCTATTTCTAAAGCTATTTCTATGTATTTCTGCCTCATACATAAAGGAAATAGTGATGTCCACAGAACTGTCCACATAAGATATTCAGGTACACTTCCTGTAAGTCATTTGTTAACCATAAAGATGCCTGGGATGGTACACAGACGTGATACTTTAACAATACAAAACCTTATGGTAACCTGAACTGGCCTCAAAAAGGTAAAAATAGCAGATAAAATGTTAATAACCATGTTTAGACACCAGCACTAGAGAATTCTCAGAAACTGCCATTGAAAGGTGGTTGTAATCTGCGAACAAGGAAATACAGAAAATGTTAACTAGAAATAAAATGTCACTAAATGCGTTTATTCTTATGCTATGCTAGCGATGACTCACTTAAATAAAACAAAGCAAACATGCAAAGTCCAAAATCGATACTATGGGTAGTTCCTCATTTCAGTAAGATAAAATAAGTCTTGGGTGTAAGCCAGTTTTTAAGCCACAATGCTTGGAAATAGCATTTGATTAGGAAAAGTCTGGGAATTTCTTCTTAAACTAGTAATCAGGTTTTAGGACAGAAAAAAAAATATTTTTTAAGAAAGCATACAGACTCTCAATCATGAGTTTGTTTTTAATATTTGTATCCCTATTTTCATTTACACTAATCCTTTGCCTCAATGTATAATCATGTTCAAGTCCTTCTCCTAAAAATAAATAAAATATTGCTGTTTATTCTTGTCTCTTTTACCCAATTGCATTTTTCTCCTTTTCTTCATTAACAGGGCTTCCAAAAGAAGTTACACTCCACACTTCTGCTCCTTCACCACCTGCTTGCTCTCTAATCCCTTGAAACCTGGTTTCTGTTCCTACAACTCCATTGAAACTTTTCTCTCAGAATTCCCTGAAGACTTGCTGATTGCCAAATAAACAGAGCATCTCTCATATTACCCCATCTCTCTACGCTATGGCAGAGCTGAACACCCTGTCCTCTAACGTACTTTCCATAGTTAGCTTCTGTGATACCACATACCTCCCCAATGTTTGGTCTCATTGGCCCTAATTAGGTCTTTTTCTACCAAGGTTCTGTCCTCTGGCCCTTGTGTTTTGTCCTGCATACTATCGTTGGCTTTATTATCTTGTCCCGGTGGATTATCTTAAAATCTAGGTTTGCGATCCTAACTATTCTGCAATCCTAACAGTTTATGTCTGTTTTCAGACTTAAACTTTCAGCCACTTACCACATACTGTCATATACCTCACTTGCTTCTTACACTCAAATGTTTAACAGCACAGAATTAGCAATAAAGGGAATACGTAGGAAACAACAGTAATAACCAAAACAGAAGAACTGTTACTTAATTTACACTCCATCCATTAAAGAATATGCATAGTATTATTGAAATAAATATACTAAAGTTTTTAGTAACATGGTACATGCTTATATTACAATGTTCAGTTAAAAAAAAAAAAAGCAGGAGGGTTGGACACAATGGCTCATTCCTATCCCAGCACTTTGGGAGATCAAGGTAGGTGGATTGCTTGAGCTCAGGAGTTCAAGACCAGCCTGGACAATGTGGTGAAACTCCATCTCTACAAAAAAAATACAATATTAGCAGGTGTGGTGGTGTGCACCTGTAGTCCTAGCTACTCAGGAGGATCACCTAAGCCCAGGGAGGTCAAGGGTGCAGTGAGCTATGACTGTGCTACTGCACTCCAGCCTGGATGACAGAGTGAGACCCTGTTTCAAAAAAAAACAAAAAACAAAAGGCAGCATAAAAAATTATGTATGTAATTTGGTTTCAACTGTGTAAAACACAAAATGGAAGACACTGGAAAGCTATATTTTAAGATATTAGCAGTGATTACCTCTGATAGGTAACATTTTCTTCTAATTTTATATATTTTCCACATTTTGTATGCTGATCAGGAGAAAGTGTGTGTGGGGGGTTCAAATCATATTACCTAAAGAATAAAATCATCTTCATGTGACTGCACCCAAGGCCTGCCAAATTCTGGTTCCCAGAGGACCTTTCCAGTCTTGTCCTTCACTGCATCCCCCAAATATGCTCTACTCTGCTCCCCCACTCAGCTACCATATTCTCTGCAATGTATCTGTTCATGCGCTTATCAAGTCTGTTTCTGTCCTACCCCAAAGCAGGACATTTCTACCCTGAAGATCTTTGCTGCCTAAACCCTGCTACAGAGCTGGAGGGCAATGCTCAAAATTCTCTCTTGGATTTGCTTAAGAAAGAAAAAATTCTGTTAAGTCTTCTATCCAAACCATGATGATTATTATTGGTAGTAATAACAAACATAAAACTCACTGGCTAAAATGACACATGATAGCATTTGCTGACTATAAATTGCCACAAAAAAATTAAGAATTCGTAACAGAATTTAGATATGTAAAATCTAGTCCTGAAAAACTGAATTTAATAAAAATTATAGCCACTATATATATTATGGCAGATTAATACAAATTAAGATAGCTATTACAATCTTTATACTTTGTGTAGATAATAGAATAAACACTAAAAAATAATCTCATAATGTAAAAAAATTGCAGTGAAGAATAATATAAATAGTTCAATGGCCTGGAATACAGGCATACCTCAGGGATATTATGGGTTCACTTCCAGACCACCGCAGTGAAGCAAATATCACAATAAAGTGAGTCACATTCATTTTTTGGTTTCCCAGTGCATAAAGAAGCTATGTCTACACTATATTTTAGTCTATTAAGTGTATAACAGCATTATGTCTAAAAAATGTATATACCTTAATTTAAAAATACTTTATTGCTAAAAAATGCCAACAATCATCTCAGCTTTCAGTGAGTAGTAATCTTTTTGTTGGTAGCAAACCTTGATGTTGATGGTTGCTGACTGACAGGGTGGTGGTTGTTAAGGGTTGGGGTGGCTGTGGCAATTTCTTAAAATAAGAGAAGAAGGAAATTTGCTGCATCAATAGACTCTTCCTTTCATAAAATATTTCTCTGTAGCATGTGATGTTTGACAGCATTTTACTCACAGTAGAAGTTCTTTCAAAATTAAAAATCCTCTCAAACCCTGCTGCTTTATTAAGTTTATGGTTTATGAACTATTCTAAATCCTTTGCTGTGAGTTTAACAATTTTCACAGTATCTTCACTAGGAATAGATACCATCTCAATAAACCACTTTTTTGCTCATATGTAGAGAAGCACCTCATTGTCCATTCGAGTTTTAATCATGAGATTGCAGCAATTCAGTCACATCTTCAGGTTCCACTTCTAATTCTTGTTCCCTTGCTATTTTCACCGCATCTGCAGCCAGTGAAGTCTTGACTCCCTCAAAGTCATCCATGAGGACCGAAATCAACTTCTTCCAAACTCCTGTTAATGTTGGTATTTTGACCTCCTCCCATAAATCACAAATGTGCTTAATGGCATCTAGAATGGTAAATCTTTTCCAGAAGGTTTTCAATTTAATTTACTCAGGTCCATCAGAGGAATCACTATCTAAGGCAGCAACAGCCTTACAAAATGTATTTCTTAAATAACAAGACTTGAAAGTCAAAATTACTTTTTGATCCACAAGCTGCAGAATGAATGTTGTTTTAGCAGGCATGAAAACAATATTTATCTTGTACATGTTCATTAGAGCTCTTGGGGACTAGGTGTATTGCCAATAAGCAGTAATATTTTGAAAGGAATCTTTTTTTTTCTGAGCAGTAGGTCTCAACAGTGGGCTTAAAATATTCAGTAAACTATGCTGTAAATAGATGTGCTGTCATCCAGGCTTTGTTCTTCTATTTATAGAGCACAGGCAGAGTAGACTTAGCATCATTCTTAAGGACCCTAGGATTTTCACATTGATAAGTGACCACTGGCTTCAACTGAAAGTCACTAGTTGCATTAGCTCCTAGCAAGAGAGTGAGCCTGTCATTTGAAGTTCTGAAGCCAGGCATTGACTTCTCTCTAGCTACAAAAGTCTTAGATGGCTGTTTTGTCTACATTGAAAATCTGTTGTTTAGCATAGCCCCCTTCATCAATGATCTTAGCTAGATCTTCTGGATAAGTTGCTGCGCTCTTACTTTAGCACTTGCCGCTTCACCTTGCACTTTTATGTTATGGAAATGGCTTCTTTCCTTAAGCCCTGTGAATCAACCTATGCTAGCTTCAAACTTTTCTTTTGCACTTCCCTCACCTCTTAGACTTCATAGACTTGAGGAGAGTTAGGGAGTAGGCTTAAGGGAATTTGGTTTAAGGGAATATTGTGGCTGGTGTGACCTTCTGTCCAACCACTAAGATTTTCTCCATATCAGCAATAAGGCTGTTATACTTCCTTATCATTCATGTGTTCATTGGAGCAGCACTTTTAATTTCCTTCTACAACCTTTCCTTTGCATTCAGAGTTTGGCTAAATGTTCAGTGCAAGAGGCCTAGCTTTTGGCCTATCTCAGCTTTCAACATGCCTTCCTCACTAAGCTTAATCATTGCTAGCTTTTGACTTAAAGTGAGAGAAGTGCAACTCTTCCTTTCACTTGAACATTTAGAGGCCATTGTAGGGTTAATTAGCCTAATTTTAATATTGTTTTGTCTCAGGGAATAGGGAGGTCCCAGAAGGGGAAGGGAGATGAAGGAATGGCCAGTGAGTAGAGCAGTCAGAGCACACTCAACACTACTAAGTTCGCCACCTTCTATGGGTGCAGTTCATGGCTCCCCAAAACAATTACAACAGTAACATCAAAGATCACTAATTACAGATCATCATAAGAGCTGTAACAATAATGAAAAAGTTTGAAATGCTGCAAAAACTACCAAAAAGTGACCTAGAGATATGAAGTGAGCTCACACTGTTGGAAAAATAGCACTGAGCCAGGCACAGTGGCTCACATTTGTAATCTCAGCACTTTGGGAGGCTTAGGTGAGAGGATGGCTTGAGGCCAAGTGCTCGAGACCAGCCCAGGCAACATAGCATGACCTTGTCTCTACAGAAAAATTAAAAATTATCTGGGGGTGGTGGCATCCACCTGTAGTCTCAGCTACTCAGGATAACTGCTTGAGCCTAGGAGTTCAAGGCTGCAGTGAACCAAGAATGCATCATCGCACTGCAGCCTGGGTGATAAGAGAGTGGGTTTCTTTCTCTCTCTCTCTCTCTCTCTCTCACACACACACACACACACACACACACACACACACCAAAAAAACAAGGAAAAACAGCACTGACAGACTTGCTTGGTGTAGAGGTGCCACAAATCTTCAATTAAAAAAAATGCAGTGTGGTGTGGTGCTGAAAAAAATGTATATTCTGTTGATTTGGGGTAGAGAGTTCTGTAGATGTCTATTAGGTCCGCTTGGTGCAGAGCTGAGTTCAATTCCTGGGTATCCTTGTTGACTTTCTGTCTCGTTGATCTGTCTAATGCTGACAGTGGGGTGTTAAAGTCTCCCATTATTAATGTGTGGGAGTCTAAGTCTCTTTGTAGGTCACTCAGGACTTGCTTTATGAATCTGGGTGCTCCTGTATTGGGTGCATATATATTTAGGATAGTTAGCTCCTCTTGTTGAATTGATCCGTTTACCATTATGTAATGGCCTTCTTTGTCTCTTTTGATCTTTGTTGGTTTAAAGTCTGTTTTATCAGAGACTAGGATTGCAACCACTGCCTTTTTTTGTTTTCCATTTGCTTGGTAGATCTTCCTCCATCCTTTTATTTTGAGCCTATGTGTGTCTCTGCACGTGAGATGGGTTTCCTGAATACAGCACACTGATGGGTCTTGACTTTTTATCCAACTTGCCAGTCTGTGTCTTTTAATTGGAGAATTTAGTCCATTTACATTTAAAGTTAATATTGTTATGTGTGAATTTGATCCTGTCATTATGATGTTAGCTGGTGATTTTGCTCGTTAGTTGATGCAGTTTCTTCCTAGTCTCGATGGTCTTTACATTTTGGCATGATTTTGCAGCGGCTGGTACCGGTTGTTCCTTTCCATGTTTAGCGCTTCCTTCAGGAGCTCTTTTAGGGCAGGCCTGGTGGTGACAAAATCTCTCAGCATTTGCTTGTCTGTAAAGTATTTTATTTCTCCTTCACTTATGTAGCTTAGTTTGGCTGGATATGAAATTCTGGGTTGAAAATTCTTTTCTTTAAGAATGTTGAATATTGGCCCCCACTCTCTTCTGGCTTGTAGGGTTTCTGCCGAGAGATCCGCTGTTAGTCTGATGGGCTTCCCTTTGTGGGTAACCCGACCTTTCTCTCTGGCTGCCCTTAACATTTTTTCCTTCATTTCAACTTCGGTGAATCTGGGATGCAAGGCTGGGTCAATATACGCAAATCAATAAATGTAATCCAGCATATAAACAGAGCCAAAGACAAAAACCACATGATTATCTCAATAGATGCAGAAAAAGCCTTTGACAAAATTCAACAACCCTTCATGCTAAAAACTCTCAATAAATTAGGTATTGATGGGACGTATTTCAAAATAATAAGAGCTATCTATGACAAACCCACAGCCAATATCATACTGAATGGGCAAAAACTGGAAGCATTCCCTTTGAAAACTGGCACAAGACAGGGATGCCCTCTCTCACCGCTCCTATTCAACATAGTGTTGAAAGTTCTGGCCAGGGCAATCAGGCAGGAGAAGGAAATAAAGGGTATTCAATTAGGAAAAGAGGAAGTCAAATTGTCCCTGTTTGCAGACGACATGATTGTTTATCTAGAAAACCCCATCGTCTCAGCCCAAAATCTCCTTAAGCTGATAAGCAACTTCAGCAAAGTCTCAGGATACAAAATCAATGTACAAAAATCACAAGCATTCTTATACACCAACAACAGACAAACAGAGAGCCAAATCATGAGTGAACTCCCATTCACAATTGCTTCAAAGGGAATAAAATACCTAGGAATCCAACTTACAAGGGATGTGAAGGACCTCTTCAAGGAGAACTACAAACCACTGCTCAAGGAAATAAAAGAGGATACAAACAAACGGAAGAACATTCCATGCTCATGGGTAGGAAGAATCAATATCGTGAAAAAGGCCATACTGCCCAAGGTAATTTACTGATTCAATGCCATCCCCATCAAGCTACCAATGACTTTCTTCACAGAATTGGAAAAAACTACTTTAAAGTTCATATGGAACCAAAAAAGAGCCCGCATCGCCAAGTCAATCCTAAGCCAAAAGAACAAAACTGGAGGCATCATACTACCTGACTTCAAACTATACTACAAGGCTACAGTAACCAAAACAGCATGGTACTGGTACCAAAACAGAGATATAGATCAATGGAACAGAACAGAGCCCTCAGAAATAACGCCGCATACCTACAACTATCTGATCTTTGACAAACCTGAGAAAAACAAGCAATGGGGAAAGGATTCCCTATTTAATAAATGGTGCTGGGAAAACTGGCTAGCCATATGTAGAAAGCTGAAACTGGATCCCTTCCTTACACCTTATACAAAAATCAATTCAAGATGGATTAAAGATTTAAACGTTAGACCTAAAAACCATAAAAACCCTAGAAGAAAACCTAGGCATTACCATTCAGGACATAGGCGTGGGCAAGGACTTCATGTCCAAAACACCAAAAGCAATGGCAACAAAAGCCAAAATTGACAAATGGGATCTAATTAAACTAAAGAGCTTCTGCACAGCAAAAGAAACTACCATCAGAGTGAACAGGCAACCTACAACATGGGAGAAAATTTTCGCAACCTACTCATCTGACAAAGGGCTAATATCCAGAATCTACAATGAACTCCAACAAATTTACAAGAAAAAAACAAACAACCCCATCAAAAAGTGGGCGAAGGACATGAACAGACACTTCTCAAAAGAAGACATTTATGCAGCCAAAAAATACATGAAAAAATGCTCATCATCACTGGCCATCAGAGAAATGCAAATCAAAACCACTATGAGATATCATCTCACACCAGTTAGAATGGCAGTCATTAAAAAGTCAGGAAACAACAGGTGCTGGAGAGGATGTGGAGAAATAGGAACACTCTTACACTGTTGGTGGGACTGTAAACTAGTTCAACCATTGTGGAAGTCAGTGTGGCGATTCTTCAGGGATCTATAACTAGAAATACCATTTGACCCAGCCATCCCATTACTGGGTATATACCCAAATGACTATAAATCATGCTGCTATAAAGACACATGCACACGTATGTTTATTGCGGCATTATTCACAATAGCAAAGACTTGGAACCAACGCAAATGTCCAACAATGATAGACTGGATTAAGAAAATGTGGCACATATACACCATGGAATACTATGCAGCCATAAAAAATGATGAGTTCATGTCCTTTGTAGGGACATGGATGAAATTGGAAACCATCATTCTCAGTAAACTATTGCAAGAACAAAAAACCAAACACCGCATATTCTCACTCATAGGTGGGAATTGAACAATGAGATCACATGGACACAGGAAGGGGAATATCACACTCTGGGGACTGTGGTGGGGTGGGGGGAGGGGGGAGGGATAGCATTGGGAGATATACCTAATGCTAGATGACGAGTTAGTGGGTGCAGCGCACCAGCATGGCACATGTATACATATGTAACTAACCTGCACAATGTGCACATGTACCCTAAAACTTAAAGTATAATAAAAAAAATGCAGTATCTGCAAAGCACAATAAAGTGAAATAGATAAAACAAGATATTACCGTAGGCAGGTATTTGCTAAATTAAAAAATGAATTTGTCCAGGAATTATATTAGTTTAGGGGAATTTTGTCAGAAAATGCTTTTTTAAGAAAGCTTTATTAGGAGCCAGGCACAGTGGTGTGTGCCTGTGGTCCCAGCTACTTGGGAGGCTGAGGTGAGCGGATTGCTTGAACCCGGGAGTTTGAGAACAGCCTGGGCAAACAGTGACACCTGTATCTCACACACACACAAAACAAATAACATTAAAATGGAAAAGCCTGCTTTACTGAGATATAATTCACATATCATATCATTCACATATCATATCTCATTTTAAGTGTACAAATCCATAGCTTTTAGTATATTGTTTGTGAAACTATCGCCAGTCAATTTTAGAACATTTTCATCACCTCCAAAAGACACCTCATATCCACTAGCAGTCACTGCCCATTTCTCTCCAATCCCTCAGCCCTAGCCAACCACTAATCTACTTTCTGTCTCTGTAGATTTTGCTTATTCCAGATGTTTTATATCAATTGAATCATAGAATGTGTTTTTTTGTGACTAGCTTCTTTACTGAGCATGATGTTTTCAAGCTTCATCCATGTTGTTGCATTTAGCAGTACTTCATTTCATCTTATTGCTGAGTAATATTCCATGCTATGGATACATCAGGTTTCATTTATCCTTTCATCAACTGATGGACACTGGGGTTGTTTCAACTTTTTGGCTGTTATAAATAATGGTGCTAAGAAAATTCATGTACACATTTTTGTGTGACATTATATTTTCTTTTCTCTTGAATACAGAATTTCATTCCACCTAGGAGTGGAATTGCTGAGTCATATGGTAACTGTTTCCCTTTTCTGTTTAAGTCCTACCAATCCCTGAAAGTTCCCAGAAGGAAGGGAGTTATTAATTTTAGCTGAGAAATTCGGGAAGACTCCTTAGAAGAGTTGGCATCTATAAGCTTTAAAGGATTAGTAGGATTTAACCAGGAAGGGCAAAAATGGGATGATAGAATGTCAGACATTTTGACTCTAATAACATTTTGACTTGTGCTTATCGTGAAAAACCACTTTAATAAAGAGTGCTATAGCAACACTGAATCTTCATCAGGAAAGCATTTTTCAGTGTAGCCTCTTTAAAAAACAGTCTGACAATTCCTCTGATGTTAAACAGTTATCATATGACAGAGGGATTTTTCTAAAACTGTTAAATAAAAATCAATTACTGTTTAAGCCCATATGTGTATATTCTACTAAATCGCATTAGTTGATAGAATGATTGCAGGAACTCATCATTGCTACTGCAGAAAAATTCATAATGAAATGTTCCTAAATTATGAAGTTTAAATAAGAGAAAACTTTTTTTTAATGGAGTCTATATTAGTTGAATATACTAATGTACAAATAATTGGTTTGGCCTAATAAACATTTGGAGGGGATGAAATATTTATTCATTTAAAAAATTGTGGTAAAATACTCATAAAATTGACCATCTAACCCCCCCTTTTCTTTGAGACGAAGTCTAGCTCTTGGCATCCAGGCTGGAGTGCAATGGCACGATCTCAGCTCACTGCAACCTCCGCCTCCTGGGTTCAAGTGATTCTCCTCCTCAGCCTTCCGAGTAGCTGGGATTACAGGCACCTGCCACCACGCCCAGCTAATGTCTGTATTTTTAGTAAACACGGGGTTTCACCATGTTGGCCAGGCTGGTCTTGAACTCCTGATCTCAGGCGATCTGCCTGCCTTGGCCTCCCAAAGTGCTGGGATTACAGGCGTGAGCCACCACGCCTGGCCCATCTTAACCATTTTTAAGTATACAGTTCAGTAGTGTCCAATGTCCAGAACTCTTTTTATCTCACAAAACCAAAACTCTATATCCATTAAACTCTTCATTTTTCCCTACCACAGGCCCTGGCAACCACCATTCTACTTTCTATCTCTATGACTCTGACTACTTTTGGTACCTCATTTAAGCAGAATCATAAAGTATTTGTCTTTTTTTTTTGTGATTGGCTTATTTAGCATAATGTCCTCAATGTTCACCCATGTTGTAGCATGTATTGGCATTTCCTTCATTTTTTAAGGCTGAATAATATTCCACTGTATGTATATACCACACTTTGTTTATCCATTCATCCTGTGATGGACACTTAGTTTTCTTCTACCTTTCAGTTATTTAGAATAATGCTGCTATGAACATGGGTGTCCAAATATTTAAGTCCCTGCTTTTAATTCTTTGGGTATACATCCAGAAGAATTGCTGGTTTAAAGTTTTTTGAGGGACCACCATACTGTTTTCCATAGGGGCTGCCCCATTTTACATTCCCAACAATGCAAAAGGGTTCTAATTTCTCCACATCATTGCCAACACTTGTTATTTTTTTGTTTTTGTTTTTTGTTTTTGATAGTTGCCATCCTAATGAGTAAGAGGTGATACCTCACTGTGGTTTTGATTTGCATTTCCCTAATGATAAGTGATGCTGTATACCTTTTCTTGTGCTTCTGGCCATTTGTATAACTTCTTTGGAGAAATGTCTATTCAAGTCCTTTGTCCAGTTTTTACTGGGTTGTTTGGTGTTTTTGTTGTTGAGTTGTAGGAGTTCTTTACTTATTCTTGATATCAATCTCTTATGAAATATATGACTTGCAAATATTTTCTCCCATTCTATGAGTTGCCTTTCCACTCTTGGCCTAATACATTGTAAATACAAACAAATTCTTGGATTTATTGGAGACTCTAATATCCTCATCACTAAAGGCCCTAACAAAGACTGTAGTTACCTTTCCAGCCTATTCCCTTTCCCAGCCAAGGCTATATGAGGTACTGTAGTTTTTCAAGGGTTGTGTAGCAGTTCTTGGCTTGGACCTCCAGGTGAGAAATCTAAACTCTATTTCTCTGTTACGTAATAAAGAGGTCACATAAGATAATGAAAAAGTCTTGGATGAATCGGCAGGAATCTTGAATTTTAGACTTGCTCTATCACTTACTACTAGTATAATGTTGGGTAAATCATTTGCCTTTTCTGATCTTTATTTATTTGCAAAGTAGAATCCTAATAATTGCCCTCATTGCCTCACAAATCCTGTGGAAGCCTTTAAAGATGGGTGGGCAATACTCTTCTGATATGATCCAGCAGTCATGCTCCTCAGTGTTTAACCAAATGAGGTGAAAGCTTATGTCTACACAGAAACATGCACACACAAATGTATGGCAACTTTATTCATAATTGCCAAAACTTGGAAGCAACTAAGATATGTAGATGAATGGGTAAACCATAGTATATCCAGATAATTACTATTATTCAGTGCTAAAAAGAAATGAATTACGAGGCCATGAAGGAAGAGGAACCTTAAATGCATATTACTAAGTGAAAGAAGCCAATATGAAAAAGTTACATACTGCATGTTTCCAACTATAGGACATTCTGGAAAAGGCAAAACCATGGTGAAAGCCCATCTGTACTAAAGATACAAAAAAAATTAGCCGGGTGTGGTGGCGCGCTCCTGTAATCCCAGCTACTTGGGCAGCTGAGGCAGGAGAATTGCTTGAACCTGGGAGGTGGAGGTTGCAGTGAGCCGAGATCGCACCATTGCACTCCAGCCTGGGCGACAGGGCGAGACTCCGTCTCAAGAAATAAAATAAAATAAAATAAATCAAATAAATCAAGGATTAGAGGAGAAAGACGAATGAAAAGGTGGAACACACAAGATTTTTAGGGCAGTGAAACTATTCTGTATGATACTAGATTGGTGAACACATGTTATTAGATACTTGCCGACCCCCTAGAATGTACAACACCAAGAGTAAACCCTAATGTAAGCTGTGAACTTTGGGTGATAATGATGTGTCAATGTAGGTTCTCTACTGGCAAAAATGTACGACCGTGTGGCAGGATGTTGCTAGTGGGGGAGGCTATGTGAGTGGGAAGCAGTGGGTATATGGAAACTCTGCGTATTTTCCATTCAATTTTGCTCTGAAAATAAAGTCTATAAAAAAAGGGCAGGCAGAAGAAGTGCCTTCAAGCAATTCAGAGAAGGAATTAGAGATGTGAAGAATAGGATTCATGGAAGTCAAGATAGTCAAGTTTCAAGAAATAGGTAATTTTCAGAATGTTTCAAACACAGTACAAAGGTACAAATGAGAAAATACTGATTAGACATGGCAATCAGGGATGACTGATGGTATTAGCAAAAACAGTTTTAGTTGAGTGCTGGGGCAGCAGTCAGAGTGCAGGATTGAGGGCAGAGGAGGAATGCTTAAGAGACAGGAAATGTAGTTATTTTTCTCATGAAGTTTGTATCAGAATTGTATAGAGAAGGAGAAGGAAGGTAAACAAGGACAGGATCAAAGATACAGAGAAATGGCAAGGAACAGAAGGAAGAATAGTTCATCCTCTGAAATAATAGTTAAAAGACTGGTGAGGATGAAGATTAAGTTTGTCAGCAGAGGGGTGTGAGACAGTAAGGAGGAAGGACGGACAATAAAAGGAGGGATGGACAATAAAAGAAGGCATGACCTCCTAGGAAGTGGGCGGCAGGACCTAACGCAACCTCATTTTTACACTCCAAGAAGTAGCAGCCAGAGAAACTGTCTTGTATCACTTGACACTAAATTATTTCATATCCACACTGAAAATTTTGAGGCCAGTCAGTTCAAATTATACCTTTCATCCCTGTAATCTGTAGGAAAAATCTAAGATGAAAGTCTTGGTCACCTATTCTCCCTAAATCCTCAATCTTCTCTGTCCTACTGTTCTGTTTTTCCTCACTTCAACTCATTCTGTTGCTCCTCTCTCTCCCAACTCATTCCACGATAACCACCTGAAACCTCTGTTCTAGGATTAAACAAACCCTCATACTCTTAGTCTCTTCATAGAACACTCCTCTTATTGTCTAACCGAAACCTGGCTATCTCACGAGGACACTAGCTGTATTGTACCCCTACAGCAGAGGTGATGTTTATTCTCCACCCCCATCTTCCACAGGTCCAGAGGCAGTGCCGGCACTCTCATTGCCACTTGCAGGCTGTAACTCTACTACTTTCAAGCTTAGGGTTTAAAAGCTTGAGGCACGTGATGTCTGGCTTATGTCACACTCTTCCCCTCCAGGTTGATGTGACAGTGAAGTAGCTGTTTTGCAATTTTTCTCTCTTCACTCCAACACCTGCAATCATTCTGGCTATCGTAATATCATGCAAACAACACGCCCTAGACTCACGGTTCTTTGCCCTATGCCATTCTTCACACCATCTCAGCAACATCCATACCCTGCCAACTGTGGCCTGCTCTACTGAAGTAATCCCAAGCGTTAATATCCCACTCTGAGTACAGCCCCTCCCCACCAACTAATTCTGCACAGCATCTTTCCTTCCACACATATCTTCCTTTAACATCACTAAGGCCTTCATCCTCCAACTGTTCCATATTTTCCTTATTTATCTTCCTGGCCTGGTTTTGCTCCATATGAAATCTGGACCCCATTACTGATTCTTTAGATTCCTTTCTCACCAGTACTCCCAACTGCCTTTCCACATACCCATAAACTTCCAAATCTGAATCAATTCTACTACCCACTGCCTCCTATCCCTGACATACAAGCACTGCTGGAGAAAACTGCATGAACACGTATACTGCCATCATTAAAATTCATGTTTTTAAATTTCAGTTGGGCCTTTTGGACTTGTCTTTGGTCAGCTTCCTCTCCCATTCCTTGTGGAAGCTTTTCTGATCTTTCATCATTATCCTCACATCCCTTATTCTACCTTTCTTGGTTGCTACTGAGAAAGCTAAGGTCATGTGTCAGATGAGAATTCTCTTCAATTCCAACCCTAAACCAAACCACTAACTTTGCATATCACTCCCTGCTTTTGGCTCCCTAGACTACAGCACAGAACCAAGTCTAGGCTCCTTGAAATGACCACTTCCTCTCCCTTCCTCTATGTGGCAGCAGTTATACACCACTCTACCCACTGTGCCCTCAACACAACATGCTGCTTCATGTCACTGTGTCTTCTGTTCCCTTTATCATTCTGTTTTCTCCTCCAGCTAGACTTTTAAAAAAACCCTGCTAAGGAATTCTCTTCCATGACACTTCCCCTGACCTCACCCCCACAAAAAATCCCAGTTAAACACTTTCTCCTTTCTACCTATTCTTGAGTTTATATTTATTACTGCAAATTGTACACTGTATGGTAATTTTTCATGAAGGTAATTAAAAGAGTAAATTTGGTGTGAAATGACTGGTAGCAACAAGAACTGTAAGAATTGAGTGACAAGTGAAATCACAGTGGGATGGTGAGAAAAGTTTTCATTCATTCAACAAATAACCAACATTAATTAAGGATACAGTATGTGTAGTAATGTTAGGAGCCGTGGGTGGACTGTAGGTTGGACACGTATGGGTATAAAACTGAGAAGATAACTGATTTAGATCTTAAAGAATGGCTGAAATGTGGACTGACTAAAAGAAGGGTGAAGGAGAGGATATCAAAGAGACACAAATGCACACATAATTGGCTGATATAAGCTGTCCAGTCCCAGCTATAGTGAAAGATTTAGGAAGAGTAGTATTAAAAGACAAAATTGAAAGCTTAGTCATAGAATTTTGGAGTTAGAAAGGGCCTTAAGAATCATTTAGGTGAGGCTAGGTACAGTGACTCACACCTGTAATCCCAGCAGTTTAGGCGGCTGAGGCAGGATTGCTTGAGGCCAGGAATTTGAGACCAGCCTGGGCAACATAGCAAGACCACATCTCTACAAAAATAGAAAATTTAGCATGTTCATGTGGCACACACCTGTAGCCCCAGCTACTTGGGAGGCTGAGGAGAGAGGATTGCTTGAGCACAGGAATTCAAGGCTGCAATGAGCTATCATCGTGCCACTGCACTCAAGCCTGTCTAGCCTGGGCAACAGAGTAACTGCCTCTAAAAAGAATAATCAGCATCATCATCTAGATGACCCATCCTCCTAACGAGGAATAACATTCCTGACAAATGGATGAGGTCATTCAACTGTTAGTAGTACTGAGGTAGTCTACTCACTATTTTACTCTCCTAAATGTTAGAACTTATTTGTTTTAATGTTATACTGAATAGAAACATGCCTTCTTTAACATCTCCCCACTGGTCCTAGTTCTGTCCTCAGCTGCACCCAGCATAGTCTATTCCTTCTTTATGGCACAATTTTTCAAATATCTTTCATTAGTTGATATGTGACTTTGAACAAATTATTTTCTAAGGATCAACTTTCTCATGTCTAAAAGAGTGGTATGACAGAGGCTAATTATCCTGATATCTGTCCTCTCCTCCCTTTATTCTAATTCAGTGTTTCGTTAGGCATACAGGCACCCAGCAAAAACTAAATTTCTCAACCTTGGGGCTGGATGTGGCATGGTGCTGATGTTCTGGTCAATGGACTGTGAGCACAAGGGACCTTCCCTTCCCCTCTCCTCCTTCCCAGTGGCTGGAATTCGGATGTGGGGTGAGCCAAGTCAGTCCCTGTGGATGAGAACAATACCCTGAGAGCAATAAGACAAAAAGAGTCCAGGCCCCTGACAACTGGACAGAGCACAGCTACCACACTAGGTTGGACTTCATATGAAAGAGAAGTAAACTTCTATCTTGGTTAAGCCAGTTATTTTTTAAAAATACCTTGTTATAGCACCTGACATCCATTCTAAATCAAAAACAGGTGACAATGGTTTCCTACTTCTATTAAAGGGGTTTTGTAAGAATCAAATAAAATTAGGAATGTAAAATATACATATATACAAGTCAATTTTTTAGTATTTGAAGACCATTATCTTCTCTCAAGACTAACCCCAGTCTCCTGTTATTAGCATAATTCAAGATTCTTAAGAAT
The DNA here is from genome assembly GCF_000001405.40 of Homo sapiens. Classification (NCBI taxonomy): domain Eukaryota; kingdom Metazoa; phylum Chordata; class Mammalia; order Primates; family Hominidae; genus Homo; species Homo sapiens. Next base: position 108,568,403 of record NC_000001.11, on the reverse strand, counting down.
CCGAATATCTTCCTTGGACCTCCATTTGATAACCCTCAAAGGCCTGCACCCCAAACCGAACATAATTTTTTACAAGCTGTGTAGATAAAACATGATCTACTTCCCCATATATTTAATTTAGTGATCTCTGTATGTGTGTCATCTTTAGCAAAACTACAACAGATCTTTTCTCCCAATATTTGCTTTCTTTCAATATTTACAAAATGCTGGCTATGTAAGGCTCAGTGATACAGTGGTGAATATTAACTTACTGGTGTAAAATGGCATTAATACTATTTTTATAAGATATGACTATCCAATAATGTGACTAAATTTTGTGAACTTAGTTGTACAAAGCCACATCTTGAAAAAAAAAGTGGCATGAGTACCATTTTTCTTTTCTTTTGTTTTCTTTTCTTTTTTTTTGAGACAGAGTCCTGCTCCATCACCCATGCTGGAGTGCAGTGGTGTAATCATGGCTCATTGCAGCTTCAATCTCCCAAGCTCAAGAGATTCTCCCACCTCAGTCTCCCTGAGTAGCTGGGAACACAGGTGCATGCCACGAAACCCAGCTAATTTTTAAATTTTCTTCAAAGACAGGGTCTCACTATGTTGCCCAGGCTGTTCTTGAATTTCTGGGCTCAAGCCACCCTCCTGCTTCAGTCTTCCAAAGTGCTGGGATTACAGGCATGAGCCCATAAAAATGCCTCGCTGCATTTTACTTATCTTTCATATACAATTGCCTCAGGGAAAATCTAAAGGGGCCAGGTCTTGTAACCTGTTTAGTGATGTCACATATTGGAACCAGTTTTCTGAAACTGACATTCAGAAAAAGTTATACTACATATATTTACCTACCATTTTTATAAAACATAAAAATGAGAAAGCATACAACACAAAGCCTGAAAGGCAGTAGAATTTAGTGATTAACAGTGGTCCTTGGAGCTAGAATGCCTCCTAGCTCTACCACTTACTAGCTGAGTAACTTTTAGCATCTCTTTGTGCTTCTGTTTCCCCAGGTATAAAATGAGAGTAATAGCAGCAATAATGGCAAGGGCACTAATAATGGTAATGACGTAATAATAGCACCTTCCTCACGGGAATATCTTGAAGATTAAATGTAAAGGCTTAGAAAAGTTCCTGACGCACTGGGAAAGTGCTCAAATAAATGTCAGCTACTATTATTACAGGTATTATAATAATGTGAATTGATGACTCCATTTCTGGTCAGGGTATAAGGAATTTTTTAATTAAAAAATTTTTTATTTTAATTACTTAACTATATTAAAATATAGTTGACAAAAATTGTATATACTTACTGTGTACTATGTAATGTTTTGATATGTGTATATATTGTGAAATTGCTAAACCAAGCCAATTAACATAGCCATCAACTCACATATTTATTTTTTTTGCTGTTGGAGAACACTTATGATCTATTCTCTTAGCAATTTTCAAGTATAATACATTATTATTAACTATAGTCAGCATTCTGTACAACAGATCTGAACATATCCATGCCACCTAATTGAAACTTTGTGCCCTATGACCAACAGTTCCCCATCTCTCCGTGCCCTCACCCACTATGAGTTCACCTTTTTTATATCCCACATATATGTGAGATGATGCAGTATTTGCCTTTCTGTGCCTGGCTTATTTCATTTTAAACAAAAGTCCTCCAGGTTCATCCATGTTGTCACAAATGACAGGATTTCCTTTTTTTTTTTTAAAAGGCCGAATAATTTCCATTGTATATACCACATCTTCTTTATCCATTCATCTGTTTACAGACACTTAGGTTGTTTCAATAACTTGGCTATTGTAAATAATGCTGCAAAGACAATAAGAGTACAGAATTCTCTTCAACATACTGATTTCAATTCCTTCGAATGTATACCCAGAAGTGGGGTTGCTGGATCTAGTGTATAAATAATTCTGTGCCATATGGTCAGACAGTACTTTCTACTACTAGTAACTTTTGATAATTTGCTGCTTATTAGTGATTACTAATCTTAAAAAATCAATTTAATGCACTGAAGGGCAAGTTGGTAATATATATCAAAACCCTTAAAAATCTGCATGCCCTGTGACTCTATAATTCCATTTCTAAGTGTTAATCCTAAATAAATAATAATGGATGTATACCAAGCTTGGTTATAAGGATGTTTATTGTAGTTTATTTATAAAACTATTAACAAAAAAGAAAGGAAAGGAGAAAGCCTTTCAAAAGTGACTTGGTTCAATAAGTCATGGAAACTCATACAATAGAATAATATGCACCATTAAAATAATCTTGTAATTGAATATTTAATGATATGAAAAGATACATGAAGTAAAAAACCATACTAAGTATAGTATAATCTCATTTTGGCTTAAAAAGGGTATGTGATAGTTGTGTGGGGGAGTGTGGTCATACATGTATGTGTACAGATCAATAAAGGCTCCTAATTTCTATACTAAAATATTTATAATAGTGATTATCCCTGGGTGGTTCATTTATGGGCAATTTTTGTTCCTTTCTTTCTGCCTTTCTATTTTCTAAGTTGTCCATATGAATCTGTATTACTTTTTCAATAAAGAAATGTTTACTAAAAAGAAATACACAATGTGCAGTGAACTAAAATCTTGAAAACAGAAGGATGTACTCTGGCCAAAAGAAAGAAATCCTTTCCGCTTGTTTAGAGTAAAAGGTCCAATACATAGATGTGCTCATCAGCTTCCCAGACACTCCCCAAATTCACATGTGTTTCTGCCACAGCCTCATGTGAAACTTAGAAAACTATTTGGCTATCAGCACAAAAAAAAAGATGAACAAAATAAGGCAAACTAGGGAATTCTAAAAGATATAGAAAAAATTTCTTCCTATTATTCCTTTGTTTAAGTAGGCCAGAATTAAACCTGCCATGCCAGTTTTAATAAACCTTAAAAGTGATTTAAATGCTTTTGCAAAGGAAGTACGGTGAAAAGATTTAAATACAATAATACTGTCCTTTTGAAACATCTTCAGAAATACAGTCATGTACTGCATGAGGACATTTTGGTCAACAACAGACCAAATACACGATGTGGTCAGAGCAACAGGCTATACGACATAGTCTAAGCACGTAGTAGGCTATACCATCTAGGTTTGTGTAAGTACACTCTATGACTTTTGCACAATGATGAAATCGCCTAAGGATGCACTCCTCAGAACAGATCCTCATTGTTAACTGATACATGACTGTATTTTATTAGACAACAATTTAGCCTCAGTTGAATAGACCACCATAATCGTACAATGTATTTTCCAAATATTTTATTAACTATGGCATGTAAAAATCTGACAATTTACCCTGACCATTTTAATAATATTTATTACAAATAATTACCTTTTAGTCTTTATATTTTTCCAATCTCTTCATTGAAAACAATACCAAGAAAAACTGGCTTCTAAAATTAATTTTCACTAATAATCTTTATTTTTATTTATTTATTTTTGAGACAGAGTCTTACTCTGTTGCCCAGGCTGGAGTGCAGTGGTGGTGATCTCAGCTCACTGCAACCTCTGCCTCCCGGGTTCAAGCGATCCTCCTACCTCAGCCTCCTGAGTAGCTGGCATTACAGGTGCCCACCACCACATCTAGCTAATTTTTTGGTATGTTTTTTGTAGAAATGGGGTTTTGCCATGTTGCCCAGGCTGGTCTCAAACTCCTGAGCTCAACCAATCCGCGTGTCTCGGCCTCCCAAAGTGCTGGGATTTACAGGCATGAGCCACTATGCCTGGCCTTTTTTCACTAATAATCTTTAAAAGGGTAAAAACAATGTAAGGAAATTCTAAATAAGTTTAGTAAGCAGGCCTATATGGCTCCAATAGACAACATCTAAGAAATCCACATACCGCATAAATGCCTCCCACTACTCATCAGGCTGTCACCTCAAATGTAGCATGCTAAGCATACAACTTAACCCACTATATCTTCCACCACCATATGCAATATTCCCCTTAAACAAAACAAATAATTTTCCTGACTTCTTTACTTCTGTGGTGGCGTCAAGGCATCTGTCATAAGATTATCATTTATCAGTCACTTACATGAGACACCTCGGAGTTCAGGTTCTCATTAGCTCCTGCCTGGGTTATTTTAATAGCCTCCTAATTTGTCTCCCCATCTCTAATTTCCCCCCCACCCAACCTTGAATACAGATAGCATCAGCCTGTCAGCCAGGTGATACGCCACTTTAACCACACAACAACTCAGTTCAAGAATCTTAGGTTTAATTTTACCCTATGAGCAGTAGAAAGCAACTCTCATTTATAGAAAGAGAGTAGAAAGAAACTCTTTACAACAGTATTCAAAGTCTTTCTCTAATCTTATCTTCTGCTTCCATTCAACATGAACGCTCTGCAATCAGGCTGATCTATTATCAACTCCTATTGATGACTTGCTCAAGCTGTCCTCCCATCCTCACTTTGTCAATGCAAACTCATCCTCCCAGAGTGCTCCACAGAAATGCCAATGTGGTTGTCAGTAACCATTACAGTTGTAAATTAACTCTTTTGCTTTAGAATTTCAACAACACTCAATATATTGTCTGATCCATTGATTGGGCACTAAGTCACACTGTCTTCTACTGTCAAGCAATTATACATCTATGATCTAATTTCATTAGAAGTAATTCCCTTGTGGATCCTTATATTTGTTGTACTTCTCACAATCCCAGATGGAGAGCTATTAATAGAAACCTGGTAAATGCTCAACTAATACTTGGCCAAGAATAAATGATCTGCATGTTTAGTTGTTGTACAAAGCCAAATATATTAATATATATATCAAATACATATGACCTATATATATTTGGGTCTCTCTATTTATATCTATATATGCAATTTTCTGTGTGCCTCTAAGGCTTTTCTGTAGCAAGATGAGTATTATTTTATAAAGGTTCATCCATCAGGGAGTCTCCAAGACCAATCCTAAGTTTGGTGATTCATTAGGACTCACAGGACTCAGCATACAGTCCTACTCATGGCTAAGGTTTATTACAATGAAAAGATACAAAGTCGAATCAGCACACACTTAACTTCTCTAGAATTAAATTGTGATGTGCTGTCTACCAGGGAAACTCATTAGAGACTCAATGCCCAAAATTTGTATTAGGGCTGGTCACGTAGGCTGCCTAGCAAGAACCAAAATTCCAGATGGAATTTAGCATAAACCACTCCGTACAGTCTAGGCACAGTGAGCCACTCTTATCATTTACGTAAAGTTTTGTATCATGTATGGAACCATTTACCATTCAAGCTCCCAGATGCCAGCCAAGGGCCAGCCTTGTACATAGGCCTTTCTAAGAATAGCAGTCTTGGGCCTGCTATATTACCTCTTTTCTATGTAATTCATTTCATATTTTTACAGGAGAAATGTTACAGTGTTAACTACACCTGACTTTTAAGGGGCACATACAGCAATTTTTTAGAAGTTAAAATCTAGCGTTCAATTAGAGATGCACTGCCTTGACTGGCACCCACTAATTAAAAGTTCTGTGATTTTGAAATAATTCACTTCCTTTAGATATTTCAGATTTTCTTTTTTTTTTTTCTTGTAAAATGAGGTCTCTTTCTCAAACCAACAATTTTGTAGTTGTTAGGATAAAGGAATCAAATATAACATCTCAAGCAAATGGACCTTCTTGGACAAGTTCCTGGTCTCCTCTTTAAATGCCAACTGGGTGCTAAGGCACTGTTTAGGTGTTTTGGGCACATCATCTCACTAAATCCTCACACCACCACATGTCAGTGATGGTTTCTATTTTACATACAGAAGTTTTGGGACTCTAAGTAACCCATCCAGGTTTACCACAGTGGAACTGGGGTTTAGGCTTAGACTCACCGCATTCCAAATCCTTGCTCTTAGCTTTACACCAACTATCTCTACCTAATGTCAAAGGCACAGGCTCCTTATTGTGAGTCATTTCCCCCATACTATATGGCTTTTTGGTTTGGCTACACAGAGCACTATTCCTAATCTTACTTAAAATCAAATTGATCAAAGTCAAATTTTAATTGGAAGAAAAAGGGGTGAGTTTAACCCAAGATACTCAACTTTTTCATTTCTAAGTCTTGCGGAGTATACCCCTTGCTCATTAAAGTCATTAGGAAGCTCCCTATTCAGAAACTTTCATATATGGCACACGATTTATTCCTTTATCTGGCACCACCCTGTTTGAAGTTACACAGACCTGATCAGAATCTTGGCATCGCACTTACCAGCTGAGGGGACCTTAGGAAAGTTAGTTATGCTTTCTGAGCCTCAGTTTATTTATCTACGAAATGGAACCCCTACCTTATAGACTTGCTATGAGAATTAAATAAGATAATATATTTAGAAGCCAACACATATTTGCTGAATAAATGACTGCCTACAACGAAAGAATAAGTGACTTGTGGGAAGTAAGCCAAATAAACATAACTGAGGTAGGAAGGAAGCCCCGTAGACAAGTGCCCTGACCACCAGGTGTCACCACTGGCCCAGGAGCGCCAGTCTAACTGCCTGGCGTCGGGGGTGGCACCCTGCAGCAAAACAGTCTAGGCCTCAGGGCAAGACTGTCACCTGCACCAACAGGACCTTCACGAATCGGCTTAGGCTTTTCAACAAGTAAGAGATGGTCCAATATTTTTTTTGCACCAAAATAGGTTACATTCTTCTCTTACAGGTGTTTAAAATACTTAGCTGAATATCCACTGATGTGTCACCACAGTTTAATTTTAAAAACTGTCTTCGGCAAACTATTAATTTCATATATCCTTTGGTTTAGCCAACTAGACATTTTCTGGCTTCCATAGGCTTCAATATTGCCCCAAAGACAAGTTTCTAGCCCCAATTCCACAATCCAGTGACATTATTTCCTTTATACTATAAATGGGATGACGGAATTTTTTTTAAGTAGAATATTTTTAGGGCAGAAATAAAGCCTAAGACCAGTATATATGGGCAAAATAACATTAACTTTTAACCCTTCTTGATCTCAGGAACTCAAAAGTTCATTTAAAAAATTGTTTTCTCTCTCTATGTATATATTTTAAAGAAAGCACCTTAGGGTACATCTGTCAACCTGTGAGTAGCTCTGAAATTACTCAAGAAACACTGCCACACCTATTATTAATGCCACACCTATTATTTAATAGCTTCATTCTGTAACCTGCTAATGCCTCTCTCTGGGAGTGCCCAGGGGCTCATTTTAAAATGAGGGCAGGGCCTGGGCTCCCCATCTGGCTCTAAGCCCTCCCACAAGGAGACCTACTAGTGGCCACTTCAAGACTAATTCATCCAGCATTAGCGCCTAACTGGAGACGCCGCTCTCTGATGAGGCACAGACCGTTGTCTCGTCTGCCAGGAGCACTTGACTCAAGTCAAGCCTGGCCAGGCCTACCCCAGCCTCAGAGTGGGTGGCCAAGTCCCCTTGTAATCTACAAGGGAGAAGGAATTGTGCTAAGCACAGGTTTCTGTTCAGAGCTGGGCTCTTGGAACTCCTGCAGTTTGGGTTATTTTAGTTTTTAACAGCTCAAGTTCTACTTTGCATTTCACAAATATGGAAATGTCTTAAGAGAAAACAGAAGCATCCTCCCTCTCTGGCCATTGCTCCCATTCCTAGAGGATTTGGGAGGGAAGAGCAGATACCAGGCACCATCTGGAGTCAGGAGCGCAGGAACCAAGGCCAGCTGAGAAGAACCCATTTGCAAAGCACTTTGCAGATCAATAAATTCGACTGATTTTAGAGCGGTCCCTAGGGAAAGGCGAGCAAATGGGCCAAGGAGAGATGCTGCCCATCCAACAAGCCCTGGCCAAGCAGAAAGGGGCGAGGCGGCGCGGGAGGCGAGTTACCTGGAGGACTCGGCGGTGAAGCTGCCGCCGTCCAGCAGCCGCATCTTGCAGAAGAGGACCCCATTGACGAAGGGCACTGAGGAGAGCTCCTCGAGCTCGAAGTCCACCTTAAACTTAAACTTCTTCTTCTTCATCATCGTGAGAGCCAGGCGCCTGCAAGCTGGGCGCACGGCCGGGCGCCGCCGCCTCAGCTTGGCCGAGCCCCGGATCAGCCCAGCCCCATGGCCGGGGCCGCGAGCTGTGCGCGGGGGCGCGGCCGGGGGGCGCCGCAGGCCGGCCGCGGCCGGGGCCGCTGCCGCCGCCTCTCGCGGCAGCCTGGGCCGGAACGCGGCGGCAGCTGCGGCGCGGACCCCGACCGCCCGCGGGGAGCGGTCGTGCTGCAGCTCGCCCGGGGAGGTGAGCGCCCTTTTGGTGCTCAGCTCGCCGCCGCCGCCGCCGCCGCCTCCGCCGCCGCTGCCGCCCGTCTGGGAGTCGGGAGAGGCGAGGCTCGAGGAACCGCCGCCTCAGCGCCTCGGGGGTCGGGGGCGCCCCCAGCGGCCGCGGCCTGCAGCGCACGGCGGGGCGGAAGCCGGAGGGAGGGCGGGGACTTTGTGGGCGGGCGCGGGCTTGGCCGCGGACTCTAACCCGCGACGGCAGTTAGCACGTCACGCCTTTCTGGGGTTAAAAAAAGACAAACCCGACAGAGAAAGCTTCCTTCTACCGCTTCCTCTCCGCCTTTCTTTTCAGTTTTTGCACCGCCTCCTTTCTCCCCCACCCCCTCCAGTGGTTTCTTTCCTTTGGGTTTGAGAGCCATGGGTTAATAGAGGCAATTAAAATCTCAGCGTTGTTTTGGTCAAATTGAAATCCTAAAACTAAAATTTCCGTTAGGTACTCTAAATTCACGAGCCTTCAAATATAAAAGGAAGATAAGGTAGGAAAAAGGAAAATGATGTGCTGAGGGACTATCAAGGGCCCAGGCACCGTACTGCTGCAGGCGCTTTCTCTGGGGTATAGCTTATCTAGTTCCTGTCACCCAGGACAAAAGATAAAAGAGCAAAGAAGCAGTTAAAATAATACCCTCCCTTTAAAAATTTGTCTGTCTATACTGAGAACTGAAATGCTTAAAATCAAATTCTGCAGGCAGTCTGGCATGGCTACGCTGTAATCCCAGCTACTCGGGAGGCTGAGGAGGGAGGTTAGCCTGAGCCGGGGAAGCGGAGCTTGCAATGATCGGAGATCGCGCCACTGCACTCTAGCCTGGGCAACAGAACAAGCCCCTGTCTTAAAAACAAAACAAAATCTTCAGAGCAGGCTTAAAAAAAAATCTCCCTAGGGGAATAACAATTACCTGCCTTCTGTAATCATGCATGTATTGTTACAATGAATGTTACAAAGTTGGTTACGTGATGTTCATGTTTTTAAACTGAGTTATTGTCATTTTCACTCAGATTCTGCCACAGTAATTCTGAAAGGGTTTAATTGAAAATATTTTCTTTCTCAGTTTACTCGTTTACTCATTCATTCATATAAAAAAATTGCTTAAAATGTCAATCATCGGCTAGACCCCATAACCAAAAGCCAATAACTGCCCTCAAGAATTTTACAATCTAGTGAGGAAGACATGTTTAGACAGGTCATTAAAAAAACACAACCTAGCACCAAGCTATGTAGAACTCAGAGAAGCAATTAATTGAAGTTAATCAGTTTTCTGAATTTCAAAGGATGAAAATGATTTGGGACAAAGTGGGGTAAGTTGTTCTAGGAGAAATAAATTAAAAAAAAAAAAAGATTCAGAGGCAGGTTCGGGGGTGGGGATTTGGTAATGGATAAAGCTTCTTACCCTGCAGGACAGGGGGCAAAGACAGTGAGATGCATTTGGGGACTTTGAGATTTGTCATTTAGAGCACTGGATGAATGTTAATTTCATTGACTGAACATTGAAAGCAAGAGGAGGGCAGGTTGGGAATGGAAGAGATAATGAGTCTTTATGGGATCTGCTTGCAGTACATCTAGGGAGAGAGAGGCAGCCTTAGCTCATAAAAATGCATTGGCAATTGAAAATATACATTTGGGAATTGAGGTAATCGCTGATGGCTGAAGCCCAAAAGGTGGATAAGGATGAGTTACTCTGAAGAATATTTAAAGGGTAGGCAAAGAGGAGATCGTGAAGGTGCCTAAGAACAAGCAGTCAAGAGAAAAAGGAGATGAAGAAAGAGATGGCCTGGAAGCCCAGACGGTTTTAATCATGTAACATTCGTAGTTACAAAGTTCTATTGTGTGCCAGGCACTATGCTGGGTACTAGAGATGCAAATGAATAAGACATAGGGGCTTATAAAGGAATGGAGAAAAACAGAGATATGCAAACAGATCAACTAAAGTGTGTGTGTGTGGTATGTGAGTATGTGTGTGTGAGAGAGAGAAGAGAGAGAGAAAGAAAGAGAGAGAGCAATCTGTGATCCATGTAGGACAGAGGACCATTTCAAGAGAGTGCTGCAGAGCAGTCCCAGAGGATTTGGACTGAAAAGAAGCTACTGAATTGAAGGTCTAGGAGGTCATTGGTAATCTTGGCAAGAGAAGTCATCATAAAAGATAGTGACAAAGTAAGATGAAAAGTGACAAAGTAAGTGAAAAGATGACAGTGAAAAGTAAGATAGTGACAAAGTAATGTGGGTAAATAAAAATTATATTTTTATTGATGTTTTTCTGATTTTTTTGTCAGCGAATGAAAAGAGAGAGAGAATGGTGACCAGAGGAGGACAGTTCAATCTTTTTCAATAACATTCAGGAACTATCCAATATTTATTGAGTGTCTATTAGGTGCCAAGCACCTTAATAGGTCCTATGGATTTGAAATGCCGTCCCTGTCTTAGATCTCACGGTCTACTGGAGGACACAGAGAAGTAAGCAGGCAGTTGCAGTACAATGTAACACTGAGTGCTGTCTGTGTATGATGGTGAGTGGAGACTGCTGTGGGAGACTATAAAAGCTAACAGGGATAAGTAGTAGGTTTATGGAATGCCTTCTAGGGTAAGTGAAGCCTGAATTCAGGCCTTTAAGCTGAGGCCTGAATAATGAGCATGGGTGGGGAGCAGTTTCCAGGAAGGAGGTAGTGTCTGTGCAGAGGCTCAAAGGAAGAGAGACCATGTTGCAGAGGGAACTGAAATTAGTTCTGTCTGGCTGCAACTTAGAGTTGGGTACAGTGACAGGGGTTAACAAAGAGCCATTGAAGTTTTAAAGAAGAAGCATGATATATTCAGATTTACATTTTGTAAAGCTCTTCTACTTTATAAAATGGAAGATAGGAGACAGTCTGTTACTGTTTTTTAGACTCATGGTTTGATTATTAAACCCCTGATAGGAGTCATAGTCAAGGCAGGAAACAGATATCATATTCAATGTGTTTAAATGGGGAAAATTTAATGAAAGGACTCTTCACAGAGTTGACAGGGTAAGGGACCCACAGTCTGGTGAGAAGTTGAAAGGAAGAAGGGATAAATATCCTGATTTCTCTCACCTCCTACTTTCTGATCTCTTGGTGGTGCTTCCCATGATCCAAAACCAACCAAGGCCAGAGGGTAGAGGGGCTCGGAACATGCAGTTCATACAGGACAGACTCCTGGGGCACAAAGTAGGGCACTGAAAGGTAGAGAATGGTTGGAGGTAAGGGGATGGAAAGCCACTAGCACACAAAGGATACAGTCAGGGTTCACCATAGGAAGCTGAAACCACTCTGGATGTTTCAAAAAAAAAAAAAAAAAGGGATTTCATTCAGGCACTTCACTGCTTCTGAAATCTGTGGAAGGGCTGAAGGGGTTGAGGTCAGCAGACTGTCGAATTCAAAGTCACATGCTTTGTGGTAAACATTACTAGTGTTCACTAGTATCCGGTCCTCCTTGATTTCTGAGCATATGGGAGTTTACAGTTCCCAATTCCCTTGCGGTTAGTGGGGCCTTGTGATGAGGTCTAGCCAATAAAATGTGAGAAGTAACACGTCACTTCCAGGATGAAACAGTGAAAAGCCTTTGAGCAGTTCTCTAGACTACCTCTTCCCTGCCACAATAGTTATAGAGGAGACCTTGGGTTAAGATGTAGCAGCCACAAGATTGAAGCAGCCCAGATTTCTTAAGTCAGCACATGGAGAGCAACTGCCCACACCTGCAGGAAACATTTTGTCTGTGAGAAAGCAACTTTTATTATATGAAGCCACTGAGATTTTGGGGGATGCTTGTCACTACAGCATAAGTCTAGTTTATTCTGACTAACATACACTGCAGCTGGGATGGGAAGCTGACACTAGAACACTGCTACTGCTGCTGCCACCACCACTGGCTCACACCTGTCAAGACTATGAGGAGTCTGAATGCCACAGGCATGTCATCACACCTTGCTTGCAAGTGACACAGCAGTAAGAAGAGAGCCTCCATTTCACTTGCACCTGTGTTTTCATAAGGAAATTTATTTGGCAGGCCTTATTTGCACCCAAAAATTGAGTGGCAAAGGAGTCTGAGAAATGTAATTTTCAGCTTTCCAACTTCTTCAGATAGGATGGTGGAATGAATGTTGAGGCTAAGTATCTACTCCAGTACTTATAATTCAAGTTTCTTAAAGGCAGGGATGGTTTGCTGATCATCTTTGTATCTTTTCTAAATAGCCCAGTACCTAGTGGGTATTCAATACATGTTTCTTGAAATGACCTGAATTTATAGACCTATCCTAAGTGTGTTAACTCTCAGGTAAAACAACAGAGTGAATAGACATGTGCTAAGACTGCTTACTGCCAGAGGTGTGACAATTCTTACAGGTTTATTCAATTCCCTTGAAAAGCATTTACTACCCCTTAAAAATGCGTACACTCCCCCTTTACCTCTCCCCTACAAAAAGGATATTTAAGTCTCAACCCTCTGGTCTTTCTTTGAGTCTCATATTCGCAGGACTACTCTGTCCATGTGCACTGATAAATTTGTATGCCTTTTCTCCTGTTAATCTGTCTATTGTCAGTCATTTCAGCAAAGCTTCAGAAGGCAGAGGGGAAGCTTTCCCATCAATCTTATACCTACAATAATTTGGTAAGAAAGTAAGATATCTATGAAACCCATAGTTCTATAAGAGGTTGAAAAATGGAATGTTAGTAGGTTATATTTATGGCTGCATTCAGTAAGATATTGGAAACATAAGATGAACTCATGCAATAATTAGCAGGTTTGCAAGCATAAATTAAAAGGAATATAGAGAGTCCAGAAATTTGGAGCCTCAAGGGATGGGAAAAACTAACTGCTCTATACCTCAAAGAATAGGAAATAAGATTGAAAAAGCTCTTGAGCAACAAGGGCCCATTAAGACTCAGCCGTGAAACAAAGATTATATTTAGGGTGTGGTCTTCACATTTAAGTCTGATGTTCTCAAAGTAGCCTCCTTAAATTGAGAGGAAGAGAGGAGTGAAGAAGCAAAGAGATAATCAGGATTGAGAATTATCTCTAGGAAACCTCAGTGTTTCTGGCATATGGAACTGACTGGAAGCAAAAAGATCAAATACTTTTCAGTTTTTGAACTACTGTATTGCTAAAGAAATCATGAGCCTGCGTTAAAAGTTGTACTCTCCTCAAGAAAGTCACGTTCCTCGACACTCATTTTAAATGTGGGCTTAGAGGAAAAATTTCCAGAGGGCAGAGCCAGGGACCACAGAGGACAACAGATAAGCAGATTCCTCACAGATAATGGAAACAGGGTGTAGCTGAGAAACAGCTCCCACTGCCAGCTCAGAGCCATCACAATGCCTCCCTGCAAAATTTCATTTTTGTGATGGGCCAGGGTCCCACTTTTCCCCCTTTCCTACCTGGAAGTATTTACTATATTTGTTCTATCATTATACATTGTGTGTGAGTGAGGGAAGATATTTTATTAGTTCATAAGCCACAGCTCTAATTGAAATGTTAGACTGGACAATTCTTTACAGTGGGGCTGTCCTGTATATTGTACGAGGTTTAGCAGCCTCCCTGGCCCCTACCCATCAGTTGCCAGTATCATCCCCCTCACTCCCAGTTGTGTTAATCAAAAATGTCTTCAGACATTGCCTAATATCTCCTGGGGGACAAAATCATTCTTAGTTGAGAATAACTGGGTTACAGGACGATGTGGAATTATATTCAGATCTGACTGAGAATTCTGTGCATTACATGGAAATCCTGCACTTTGAACTTGATGCAGTGACTGGGTGGATTTTAGGTTATCTCATTTGGTGACAATAATGAGTGTATTATTTATTTGGGAAGAAGAGTGAAATGGCTTTTTTTTGGTATCAGATGGATGGACTATGGCATAGATGACTAGGTCATGACCAAACCTGTTTTCTTGAGTACACAGTTCGACTATGTTTTCCAGTTTCCCTTGCAATTAGGTGCTGCTGCAAGACTGAGTTCCAGCCAGTGGAATGTGTGCAACTTCCAGGCCTGGCCCATAAAAACCTCTTGCATATGACCCTTTCACTCTTCTCCCATCTGATAGCTGGATGTTGACGTCAAGGATGATGCTAGACGCCAGATGTGGAAGATAGAAAAGCCTCTACCTGCCTGGGTCCCTATTGGCAATTTATAACCAGGAAATCGATCTGTGAGGTTAAGTGAGAAATTAGCATTTAATTTGCTGTGTGTGATTTTAAACATTACTGTTTTAAAAAATTGTGGAAAAATACATATGACATAAAATTGACCATGTTAACCATTTTTAAGTGCACAGTTCTGTGGCATTAAGTACAGTCACATAGTTGTGCAACCATCACCCCCATCCTTCTCCAGAAGTCTTTTCATCTTGCAAAACTGAGATTCTGTACCCATTTAACAATAACTCCCCATTCCCTGGAAACCACTCTTCTACCTTGCGTCTCTATGAATGGAATCACACAATATTTGTCCTTCTGTAACTGGCTTATTCACTTAAACATTTAATCTTTTAAGCCACTGAAATTTGGGATGTGTTTGTTATAACAGCTAGAATTACATACTGTATGCCTGGAACAGAGCAGATCCTCAAATAAATGTTTGCTGAGTAAGTGAACATTCAAATATTGTTAATTTGAAACATATGTTTAGGACATTATGTTGTATTTAATTTATAAATTTATATTGTTTTATAATGATATAAAAGTTATAAGATATTTAATTTTATGTGTAATATACACTTAGGTAACATTATAATTATGATAATTTAAATCAACATCAGGAGTCCATGACTTTTTACCCCATACATCATTTATTTTTGGGAAAAACTGCTATATTGGGTTGTTTGAAAAAGCATATATTCTAAGAAAACTGAATCAAGTACTTGCTTTAATTTTCCATTGCCTAAAACCAAACTTGACTAGAGTTGTTGAGGATTCATTATCAGATAATGACCTAGGAGCTTGAATAATTACATTCCCAGCCAAGCAAAAAGTTTTTTAGTTTACATCAAAGGGAATATGACAGTTAAAAAAAAAAAACCAGCAACAAAAAAAAGCCTCTCTCTTTGGCCTATGGTTGAATAGGGATGTTATTGATACCTAAATACTGACATTTTATCATCTTGATTACTAGTCTGTCTGACAGGAGAATAAAGGCTTTCAAGGAAAGAACCAGATACTTTCTGAGGCACCTCCTTTAATTCTAAAACTTGATCTCTTTCATAACTAGTTCTTTTTCATCTAATTTTCAAATTTCTATGGGAAGATGGCAAATTGCCTTTGTAATTCTTAAAAGCAACACTAGATTATATACTTTTCTATCAGAAACCACAATATTTGTTCTATAACTTCTTTCCAGTCAAGACATATCTAGAGTGGATCAAAAAGTGTTCTTTGAGTAATTGTAATATCTCTAAGAACTCTAGACTGATAGCATGTGGGTGATCTCAACTCCAATTTTGCCCCCCACTTCCTTGCCTCCTTCACATTCTAATGTTAGGATAGCTATGGGGATGATCACTTCCTAACCTCATATAATTATTCCTGTCCCGCCAAGCAGAACTGGATAGCTCTTTCTGGGAAATACTAAATACTAATTTTATAAACACATACATTTATGGAAGTTGTAGAAAGTAGGCTCTTTCTCTAAGAAAGAGCATTTTAGAAAATACTGATGCTTTCTAAAACAGTTGCGAAAATCTTTTAAGAATTTAAACCAAACCCACCTTAAATTCCAAATCTGGAAAATCTTAGTAATTTGTTGATTTACTTTGCTTATATAACCTGTACATATGTGTATGTGGAAATGCTTGGGAGATGTGTGTTTTTTTCCAATTAGTCTGGTTCCCATCTCCTTAGAGGTGCACTATATCATGTTTTCTGTCATTGTACTTTTTTCTTTCTTAAGACCAATTTTCTTGCAGTTCTTTGGTACGCACTCAATAGCTGGTGATGTTGTATTAAAATATGGCCTTTGTTTTTAAATTTAAAAAATCCCCTTTGTTTTTTGAAAAAAGTAACTTGTTGATTTGGATCCAAATAATTTTCAAAAATTAATAAACCAAAGAGGAATGCTTTTAAAAAACCAAAGCAAAAAGCACATTTGACCAGAGCCTATGCTGTGCCTTTTCTAAGTAAATGGTCACAAGACCAGAATACTATAATATTTTATTTAGTTAGATACCTGGAAAGTATTTTTAAAATTAGCATTATTTTTTCTTTCTATACCAGAGGTACAGAACTTCCAGGTACATTTTTTTAACCTGTTATATATATTTTTATCAAACATGCAAATTGATCAAGTAAAATACAAAAATAAAATCACTTCTATGACAATCATAACACAAAGACGATGTTTCCCCTAATATCATACCATAAGCTCATATGGAGCTTTAAGTTAGGGCCACATACAGTTAGAATTCTGAAATGAATCAGAGGTATGACTCAACAACAATGGATATTGATCTAGGAGTTCCCAGTTTTAATCTCAGTTCTGCTTCTGATGGTTTAATTTTGAGCAAGTGACAACTTCCCTGAGCTCATTCTGTTGTGCAAAGTGAGAGAAATACTCTAGATCAACACTGTCCAATAGAACTTTCTGCAATAATGGAAATATTCTCTGCTCTGTCCAATATGGTAGTCACTAGCCACATGTGGTGACTGAACACTTTAAATGCAGTAGGTGTGACTAAATAACTGATTTTTAAATTTTGTTTAATTCTAATTAATTTAAATACCCACATGTGGCTAATGGCTATATTGGATAGCAGAGGCCTAGATTCACTCTCATTCACTCACTTAGCAAGCATTCAAGTGCCTGCAATCTGCCAAGCAAGCATCTGGCTAGGTGGGGAAGGTGTGTCATCACAACATCTTTGTCTTCAAGGAGTTAACTTGAAGAAAACTAAGTACTTTGCTAGTACATGTGCTTCAATAAGCATATGCAAAAAGCTGTGCGTACTCATAGAGGAGAGAGCAATAAACAGAAGGTATATCATTTCTAAGGTCCTCTCCAGCTCTAAAATTATGTAACTATAGATATATATGCATCTATATATCCACATATCTATGTATATCTATATCTATGTATATATATTCGATAGATATATACTTAGATAGATCTAAATGGATATATATTCATAAATATATATGGATATACCTCTGCTATCCAATATTCTAATATATAAATATATTTAAATATATAAATATATGAATATATAAATATAAATATATATTAAAATGTATATAGATATACATATCTTTGTATATCTATATCTATATATATTAGATAAATATTTAGATAGATCTAAAAATGTATACATAGATATACATATTCATATGTATACATAGATATACATATTCATATGTATATCTCTGTATATTTTATATGTATTTATATTTATATATTCATATATTTAAACATATTTATATATTAAAACATTGGATAGCAGAGGTATTCCATATATTTATGAATATATATTCATATATAATTATATATTTAAATATATAAATTTATACATCCATATATATTTATATATTTAAATATATAAATTTATACATTAAATATATATTTTAATATTTATGTATTTATGAATCTCTATTTATGTACATGATATCTATCTATCTATCTATCTATTTTTAAAATTAGAGAAGGGGGTCTCACTATATCGCCCAGACTGGTCTTGAACTCTGGGCCTCAAGTGATTCTCCTGCCTCAGCCTCCCAAAGTGCTGGGATTAGAGGCATGAACCACTGTGACTGGCCAGCTCTAAAATTATGTGAATTAAACTCAACAAATATTTACTGAGCACCTATTTCTGTGCAGCTGTTTGTCAGCTCAATGTATTGGTATAGGATTATCACTCAGAGGGTAGTAGCTACAACTACCATCAGCACTCTTGTTGATTGATTCATTCATTCATCCAATATGTGGTGTTTATGAGTGTTTATATACCAAGAACTTCACTAGACACACATGAAAAAAATGAATTTGATGATGATTTCAAAGGTTCATAGTGAAACATCGACTTTAACTCTATTTTTCAGGAAATGAATTACCAGATTCTGGGTTCACTTTGGCCATATTTAGAATTGATGGTGTTTCAAATGTTATTTCAACTTTCTAGAGCCAAATCATCCTAGTATTAGTAATAAATAAAGTAAAAATTAAAGAATTGGGTATATTTGGCCATTAAAAACTGTGCACACGCTTTACAATAAAATATATTGGTTAAAGTAAATACTCTGAGATCTTCCTTAGAAAAGATTCTTTTATATTTTTACCTAGATATAAATATTTATTACTTTTCAATGTACTTTTTTCTTTTTTGCTGATGTCTAGCTACAGTATCAAGTACAGTATTTTTCTATGTGTTAGATCATGTCTTCTTTTACATAAAACTGATGTGATGTCGCCTCTTGTTTGTTGGATATACACATATTTATTTCTTCAACTATTTATTTAGTCAACCAGCATGCAAATATTGCTGTGCCATTCAATTGGAAAATACAAAAGCAAATAAGAGTTGGATTGTCTTCTTAAGGAGTTGATAAAGAAAATAAGAAACAGAAGAAAGTTGAGAAAGAGGCATTTTCAAAATGTCCTTCAGAGTACTTTGGAGGTGGAAGCAGTTACTTCCAAATGAGACATTAAGAGAAGGCTTTGTGGAGGATGTGGCACTGAGCTAGACCTTGAGCCTTGAAGGAAGTGTAGAATCTGCAACAGCAGAGAAGGAAGGAAAGGCTGTTTCCGAGTCAGGAAAGCACAAAATTAGGGAGGAGAAGAATGTGAGTTAAAACAAAGGAAAAAATAGCTGTGAAAAAGTAGAGGAAAATCCGATTTTAAACATAGATTGTGGCTAGATCCTGCTTTTAAATGCTGGGCTGGGGATTCTAGACTTTATGTTGTAGATTGTAAGGCATTTGGGCAAGGGGATGAAAAATCAGAGTTGTTCATTAGGAAAATTAATCTGACAGAAGTATTTAAGATATGTTGGGGTAGGGAGAGGCTAAATGCAGGGACCAGTTATTGGGCTAGTTATTACAGCCATGCAGATGATAGGTTGCTATGAGGCCCTGAATTATAATACTATCAGGAGATTAGAGAGGAGGGGGCTCACGAGAGGTTATTGTAAAAGTAGAATCAATAAGACCGGGCAACTTACGGCATATAGTGACAGAATAAGGAAAAGAAGAAGTATAAAATATCTCCAATATTATACGTCTTCATAAGAGAGGAGGAAGAGAGACATTTAGATTGATGTAGAAAATATACTCTGTAGGGAAGAAAAATGTATTACGTTCTGGTTGAATATGTATGTATATATTCAACTAACTTTAACTGATGCTAGTGATGAAAATGTGAAGTGCATTGGAGATATCTTGAATTTTTGCACTGTGATAGTAATCTGAGTAGCTAGGTTACTTATATTCAATGTTGTTTCTTTTATTATTTAAGTATATTTATGTTCTCAGACTGATGAGTTGGATAAATCCCTCTCGTAACCTTAACCTGACCTTGGTTCAGCCAAGTGTTCGAGGTTTATAGATTTTCTTACTGCATTCAAGATCTTTCAACAAGGAGATTCTTAAAATAGCACAAAAGATCTTTCTCTTTAACAACAAAAAGTTCCCATCCATGGATGGCCTTGATTTAAGCTTTTAGCTTATACGCTTTTTGAACACTTAAATTGCAGAGCTTTCCAGATTAAATCTGATGTGGTTAATATATTTAAAACAAATAGCCTGCAGACAATTACTGTCATAAAATGAAATATAATTTCTCAGTTGGAAAGCATAATTTTTATTCGACCTTTCTAAGAAGGAACATTCAGGTTTCAGTAGAATTGTTTTAAACAATTTTTTTAAGGGTTTAACAATTGTTTTACGGGAGCATTTTCTCCAATAGGTGGATAGGGAAGATATGTTATTACCAGTGAGTCCCTAAAAGACATAATGTCTCAAGCAGTACTTTAATCCACATCTATGGTTTTTCATTTTCAATCTAAAAAGAATCACAGTAGGAATATGCAGTAGGCCTATTTAGTATGATAATCATAATGCCATATTTAACTTTACTAATTTTCAATTTTCCTTTATATCTTAAGAGCCATCTTTCTTAAAGGCTATTTTTTATATATATATACTTTTAAGTTCTACGGTACATGTGCACAACCTGCAGGTTTGTTACACAGGTATACATGTGCTATGTTGGTTTGCTGCACCCATTAATTCTTCATTTACATTAGGTATTTCTCCTAATGCTATCCCTCCCCGAGTCCCCCACCCTATGACAGGCCCCGGTGTGTGATGTTCCCCACCCTATGTCCAAGTGTTCTCATTGTTCAATTTCTACCTATGAGTGAGAACATGTGGTGTTTGGTTTTCTGTCCTTGTGATAGTTTGCTCAGAAAGATGATTTCCAGCTTCATCCATGTCCCTACAAAGGACATGAACTCATCCTTTTTTATGGCTGCATAGTATTCCATGGTGTATATGTGCCACATTTTCTTAATCCAGTCTATCATTGATGGACATTTGGGTTGGTTCCAAGTCTTTGCTATTGTGAATAGTGCTGCAATAAACATACGTGTGCATGTGTCTTTATAGTAGCATGATCTATAATCCTTCGGGTATATACCCAGGAATGGGATGGCTGGGTCAAATGATATTTCTAGTTCTAGATCCTTGAGGAATCGCCACACTGTCTTCCACAATGGTTGAACTAGTTTACACTCCAACCAACAGCATAAAAGTGTTCCTATTTCTCCACATCCTCTCCAGCATCTGTTGTTTCCTGACTTTTTAATGATCACCATTCTAACTGGTGTGAGATGATATCTCATTGTGGTTTTGATTTGCATTTCTCTGATGACCAGTGATGATGAGTATTTTTTCATGTGTCTGTTGGCTGCATAAATGTCTTCTTTCGAGAAGTGTCTGTTCATATCCTTTGCCCAATTTTTGATGGGGTTGTTTGTTTTTTTCTTGTAAATTTGTTTGAGTTCATTGTAGATTCTGGATATTAGCCCTTTGTCAGATGGGTAGATTGTAAAAATTTTCTCCCATTCTGTAGGTTGCCTGTTCACTCTGATGGTAGTTTCTTTTGCTGTGCAGAAGCTCTTTAGTTTAATTGGATCCCATTTGTCTATTTTGGCTTTTGTTGCCATTGCATTTGGTGTTTTAGTCATGAAGTCCTTGCCCATGCCTATGCCCTGAATGGTATTGCCTAAGTTTTCTTCTAGGGTTTTTATGGTTTTAGGTCTAACATTTAAGTCTTTAATCCATCTTGAATTAATTTTTGTATAAGGGGTATGGAAGGGATCCAGTTTCAGCTTTCTAAATATGGCTAGCCAGTTTTCCCAACACCATTTATTAAATAGGGAATCATTTCCCCATTTCTTATTTTTGTCAGGTTTGTCAAAGATCAGATGGTTGTGGATGTGTGGTGTTATTTCTGAGGCCTCTGTTCTGTTCCATTGGTCTATATCTCTGTTTTGGTACCAGTACCATGCTGTTTTGGTTACTATAGCCTTGTAGTGTAGTTTGAAGTCAGGTAATGTGATGGCTCCAGCTTTGTTCTTTTTGCTTAGGACTGTCTTGGCAATGCGGGCTCTTTTTTGGTTCCATATGAACTTTAAAGTAGTTTTTTCCAATTCTGTGAAGAAAGTCGTTGGTAGCTTGATGGGGATGGCGTTGAATCTATAAATTACCTTGAGCAGTATGGCCATTTTCACAATATTGATTCTTCCTATCCAGTAGCATGGAATGTTCTTCCATTTGTTTGTATCCTCCTTTATTTCATTGAGCAGTGGTTTGTAATTCTCCTTGAAGAGGTCCTTCACATCCCTTGTAAGTTAGATTCCTAGATATTTTATTATCTTTGTAGCAATTGTGAATGGGAGTTCAGTCATGATTTGGCTCTCTGTTTGTCTGTTGTTGGTGTATAAGAATGCTTGTGATTTTTGTACATTGATTTTGTATCCTGAGACTTTGCTGAAGTTGCTTATCAGCTTAAGGAGATTTTGGGCTGAGATGATGGGGTTTTCTAAATATACAATCATGTCATCTGCAAACAGGGACAATTTGACTTCCTCCTTTCCTAATTGAATACCCTTTATTTCTTTCTCCTTCCTGATTGCCCTTGCCAGAACTTCCAACACTGTGTTGAACAGGAGTGGTGAGAGAGGGCATCCCTGTTTTGTGCCAGTTCTCAAAGGGAATGCTTCCAGTTTTTGCCCATTCAGTATGATATTGGCTGTGGGTTTGTCATAAATAGCTCTTATTATTTTAAGCTACGTTCCATCAATACCTAGTTTATTGAGAGTTTTTAGCATGAAGGGCTGTTGAGTTTTGTCGAAGGCCCTTTCTGCTTCTATTGAGATAATCATGTGGTTTTTGTCATTGGTTCTGTTTATGTGATGGATTACCTTTATTGATTTGCATATGTTTAACCAGATTTGCATCCCAGGGATGAAGCCGACTGGATCGCGGTGGATAAGCTTTTTGATGTGCTGCTGGTTTCGGTTTGCCAGTGTTTTATTGAGGATTTTCGCATTGATGTTCATCAGGGATATTGGTCTAAAATTCTCTTTTTTGGTTGTGTCTCTGCCAGGCTTTGGTATCAGGATGATGCTGACCTCATAAAATGAGTTAGGGAGGATTCCCTCTTTTGCTATTGATTAGAATAGTTTCAGAAGGAATGGTACCAGCTCCTCTTTGTACCTTTGGTAGAATTCGGCTGTGAATCCGTCTGATCCTGGACTTTTTTTGGTTGGTAGGCTATTGATTATTGCCTCAATTTCAGAGCCTATTATTGGTCTATTCAGAGATTCAACTCCTTCCTTGTTTAGTCTTGGGAGGGTGTATATGTCCAGCAATTTATCAATTTCTTCTAGATTTTCTAGTTTATTTGTGTAGAGGTGTTTATAGTATTCTCTGATGATAGTTTGTATTTCTGTGGGATTAGTGGTGATATCCCCTTTATCATTTTTTATTGCGTCTATTTGATTCTTCTCTCTTTTCTTATTTATTAGTTTTGCTAGCAGTCTATCAATTTTGTTGATCTTTTCAAAAAAAACAGCTCCTGGATTCATTAATTTTTTGAAGGGTATTTTGTGTCTCTATCTCCTTCAGTTCTGCTCTGGTCTTAGTTATTTCTTGCCTTCTGCTAGCCTTTGAATTTGTTTGCTCTTGCTTTTCTAGTTCTTTTAATTGTGATGTTAGGGTGTCGATTTTAGACCTTTCCTGCTTTCTCTTGTGGGCATTTAGTGGTATAAATTTCCCTCTATACATTACTTTAAATGTGTCCCAGAAATTCTGGTACGTTGTGTCTTTGTTCTCATTGGTTTCAAAGAACATCTTTATTTCTGCCTTAATTTCGTTATTTACCCAGTAGTCATTCAGGAGCAGGTTGTTCAGTTTCCATGTAGTTGTGCAGTTTTGAATGAGTTTCTTAATCCTGAGTTCTAATTTGATTGCAGTGTGGTCTGAGAGACAGTTTGTTGTGATTTCTGTTCTTTTACATTTGCTGAGGAGTGTTTTACTTCCAACTATGTGGTCAATTTTAGAATAAGTGTGATGTGGTACTGAGAAGAATGTATATTCTGTTGATTTGGAGTGGAGAGTTCTGTAGATGTCTATTAGGTCCACTTGGTGCAGAGCTGAGTTCAAGTCCTGGATATCCTTCTGAACCTTCTGTCTCATTGATCTGTCTAATGTTGACAGTGGGGCGTTAAAGTCTCCCATTATTATTGTGTGGGAGTTCAGTCTCTTTGTACGTCTCTAAGGACTTGCTTTATGAATCTGGGTGCTCCTGTATTGGGTGCATATATATTTAGGATAGTTAGCTCTTCTTGTTGAATTGATCCCTTTACCATTATTTAATGGCCTTTCTGTCTCTTTTGATCTTTGTTGGTTTAAAGTCTGTTTTATCAGAGACTGAAATTGCAACTCCTGCTTTTTTTTGCTTCCCATTTGCTTGGTAGATCTTCCTCCATCCCTTTATGTTGAGCCTATGTGTGTCTCTGCATGTGAGATGGGCCTCCAGAATACAGCACACTGATAGGTCTTGACTCTTTGTACAATTTGCCAGTCAGTGTCTTTTAATTGGGGCATTTAGCCTGTTTACATTTAAGGTTAATATTGTTATGTGTGAATTTGATCTTGACATTATGACGTTAGCTGGTTATTTTGCCCATTAGTTTATGCAGTTTCTTCCTAGCATCTATGGTCTTTACAATTTGGCATGTTTTTGCAGTGGCTGGTACCGGTTTTTCCTTTCCATGTTTAGTGCTCCTTCAGGAGCTCTTGTAAGGCAGGCCTGGTGGTGACAGAATCTCTCAGCGTTTGCTTGTCTGTAAAGGATTTTATTTCTCCTTCACTTAAGAAGCTTAGTTTGGCTGGATATGAAATTCTGGGTTGAAAATTCTTTTCTTTAAGAATGTTGAATATTGGCCCCCACTCTCTTCTGGCTTATAGAGTTTCTGCTGGGAGAGCTGCTGTTAGTCTGATGGGCTTTCCTTTGTGGGTAACCCGACCTCTCTCTCTGGCTGCCCTTAACATTTTTTCCTTCATTTCAACCTTGGTGAATCTGACAATTACATGTCTTGTGGTTGCTCTTCTTGAGGAGTATCTTTGTGGTGTTCTCTGTATTTCCTGAATTTGAATGTTGGCCTGCCTTGCTAGGTTGGGGAATTTCTCCTGGATAATATCCTGAAGAGTGTTTTCCAACTTGGTTCCATTCTCTCCATCACTTTCAGATACACCAATCAAACGTAGATTTGGTCTTTTCACATAGTCCCATATTTCTTGGAGGCTTTGTTCATTTCTTTTTACTCTTTTTTCTCTAAACTTTTCTTCTTGCCTTATTTCATTAATTTGATCTTCAATCACTGATACCCTTTCTTCCACTTGATCGAATCGGCTACTGAAGCTTGTGCATGAGTCACGTAGTTCTTGTGCCATGGTTTTCAGCTCCATCAGGTAATTTAAGGTCTTCTCAACACTGTTTATTCTACTTAGCCATTCATCTAACCTCTTTTTCAAGGTTTTTAGCTTCCTTGCAATGGGTTTGAACATCCTTCTTTAGCTCAGAGAAGTTTGTTATTACCAACCTTCTGCAGCCTACTTCTGTCAACTTGTCATAGTCATTCTCTGTCCAGCTTTGTTCTGTTGCTGGGTAGGAGCTGCAATCCTTTGGAGGAGAAGAGACACTCTGGTTTTCAGAATTTTCAGCTTTTCTGCTCTGGTTTCTCCCTATTTTTGTGGGTTTATCTACCTTTGGTCTTTGATATTGGTGACCTGCAGATGGGGTTTTGGTGTGGATGTCCTTTTTGTTGATGTTGATGCTATTCCTTTCTTGTTTGTTAGTTTTCCTTCTAGCAGTCAGATCCCTTAGCTGCAGGTCTGTTGGAGTTTGCTGGAGGTCCACTCCAGACCCTGTTTGTCTGGGTATCACCAGCGGGGACTACAGAACAACAAATATTGCAGAACAGCAAATATTGCTGCCTGATTCTTCGTCTGGAAGCTTCATCCCAGAGGGGCACCCACCTTTATGAGGTGTCAGTCAGCCCCTACTGGGAGGTATCTCCCAGTTAGACTACACTAGGGTCAGGGACCCACTTGAGGAGGCAGTCTGTCCGTTCTCAGAGCTCATATGCCATGCTGGGAGAACCATTGCTCTCTTCAGAGTTGTCAGACAGGGATGTTTAAGTCTGCAGAAGTTTCTGCTGCCTTTTGTTCAGCTATGCCCTGCCCCCAGAGGTGGAGTCAACAGAGGTAGTAGGCCTTGCTGAGCTGTGGTGGGCTCTGTAAATGGCTATATTTTGTTTGTTAGGTTGTTTGAGGGACAGGAGGGCCAAATCTTAAGGTATGTTGAGACACCCAGTATCATTTTCTTTCTTTGGCATGCTTCAAAATACTAAGAAAAGATGGGAGGTTGCTATGTGGGAACAGGAAGACTGCTACATACTTGGCAAGTAAGTTTGGCTGAAGAAGATTGTAGCAGAATCTCACCCTGATGGTTTTAATCCGTCAGGATGCAAGCAAAGCAAGAAAGCAAATGAACAGACAAACCAACACAACAACAAAATGCCAGAACAATAATTGTGGATGATAAAAAGAGGAAAAATTCCCCTCAGTGACGTGTAGGAAATGAAGCTGAGATAAATGCAGAAACAACTTACTTAAAAGCAAGTGTTATCAAAATTATTCAGGTTTGGCTTCAATTTTTGGCTTTACTTTTAGTGCAGAAGTGATTTCTTAACATGTAGCTTAGCTAATCAAGCACCTTCATTTGTGGAACCCTGTTTTCAGGCTAAGTATATTGGTCTTGCCCTAATATGATAAGCCTGGGCTATAGCATGAATCATGTTGCTGCCTTCAAGATAGAAGTTGTTAGTAAGAGAGGGATATAATGGTTATGTGGAATAGAGGGGGCAAGGGCAGGAGGAAAGGGCTCCATCTGTCTTTGCCGATTATGGTGACGTTAAGTATTGAAGAGTTCAGATGTCTTTTAATTTACCCTGTAGGTGTATTCCTGAAAAGTTGTATATAAACTGATTTATTTTGGTTGTTAATCAAATCTGAATGACTACCTCATATTTTCATAATTATTTTTATTTCATAGTGATTTGTAATTGGAAGCGATTTTTAATACTTTCATTCTAAGTTTCTCTGCTACTTCTTACCTCTCATGCAGTTAAGGCCTGCTTTGTAAATCCCAATACATATTTATTGTTTATGACTTTAAAAATTCCTTTAATGTGAAAAATGGCCCTTTCCTCTATTTTCTTAATTTAAACACTGAAAATCTGGAATTCTGTAATAATAATAATGTCAGCAAACATTTATTGAGTACCTACTATGTATTATACTATGCATTGTTCTAGTCTAAGAACTTCATTATTCATTTATTTAAGCCTTGCACTCTTATGAAACAGATGACATTATTCCTCCATTATACAGATGAAAAAACTGAGGCACAGGGAGATCAGGCATCTCTCTCAAGTTTACCCAGTCAATAAATGACAGAATGCTTGTATGTCAGGGTTTCCTAAATGTGGCTCATAACTGTGATTGAGTCAAACTTGGAAGGTTTTATGGTCACTTGTTTATAATCTATCGGGGAACCTGCCCCAATAGTCACATAGGTTCTTTTCTATTTTCCTTAAGAATTGGCCAGCTTGAGAAATAAAGGGACAGAGTACAAAAGAGAGAAATTTTAAAGCTGGGCGTCTGGGGGAGACATCACATGTCGGTAGGTTCCGTGATGCCCCAAAAGCCACAAAACCAGCAAGTTTTTATTAGGGATTTTCAAAAGGAGAGGGAGTGTGTGAATAGGTGTGGGTCACAGACAACAAATACTTTACAAGGTAATAGAATATCACAAGGCAAGTGGAGGCAGGGCGAGATCACAGGACCACAGGACCGGGGCGAAATTAAAATTGCTAATGAAGTTTTGGGCACCATTGTCATTGATAACATCTTATCAGGAGATAGGGTTTTGAGAGCAACCGGTCTGACCAAAATTATTAGGCGGGAATTTCCTCTTCCTAATAAGCCTGGGAGCACTATGGGAGACTGGGGTCTATTTCACCCCTACAGTCTACAGACCATAAAAGACGACCACACCTGGGGGGCCGTTTATAGGCCTATACCCCTAGGCGCGTATTCTCTTTCCCAGGGATGTTCCTTGCTGAGAAAAAGAATTCAGCGATATTTCTCCCATTTGCTTTTGAAAGAAGAGAAATATGGCTCTGTTCCGCCCGGCTCACCAGCGGTCAGAGTTTAAGGTTATCTCTCTTATTCCCTGAACAATTGCTGTTATCCTGTTCTTTTTTCAAGGTGCCCAGATTTCATATTGTTGAAACACACATGCTGTACAATTTGTGTAGTTAATGCAATTATTACAGGGTCCTGAGGCGACATACATTCTTCTCAGCTGACAGGATTAAGAGATTAAAGTAAAGACAGGCATAGGAAATCACAAGGGTATTGACTGGGGAAGTGATAAATGTCCATGAAATCTTTACAATTTGTGTTTAGAGATTGCAGTAAAGAGAGGCATAAGAAATTATAAAAGTATTAATTTGGGGAACTAATAAATGTCCATGAAATCTTCACAATCCACATTCTTCTGCCATGGCTTCAGCCAGTCCCTCAGTTTGGGGTCCCTGACTTCCCACAACAATAATCCATTAATCAATTTGTTTATTTAACAAATACGTATTGAGTTCCCACTCATTGGTAATGACTCTTCTATGCACTGAAGAAACAGCAATGGACAAGGCAAACAAAATTCCTGCATTCATGAAGCTTCCATTCTGGCAAGTGAGCAAATACGTAATATCAAATAGTAATAACTTCAAAGAAAAAAATAAAATAGAGTAAGAGTATGGGCAGGGACAGTGGGAGGATGCAAGGTGCTATTTTTGATAGATTGGACAAGCCTTCTTAAGGATGTCTGAATGAAGTGCAGGACAAAGCCATAAGTAGATGGTAGAACCGAGTTCCAAGCAGGGGAATAGCAAATACAAAGGCCCTGAGGCAGGAATGAGCTTGCTTCTTTCAAGGAACAATAAGAAGATTTGAGAAGCGTGTGCATTGGAAAGTGTGGTAGAAAATGAAGTCAGAGCAGCCAAGAAGGAGGAGGCCATGAAAAAATGTTTGAATTTTTTTGAGTGTATCAGAAAGCTGTACAAAGGTTTCAAACAGGGAAGTGGCATTATCTGATTTGAATTTTGAAAAGTTCATGCACCCTAGATGTTGTGTGAAGAACTCATTATATGGACATCAGCTATCACTGGATGAGATATGATGGTGGCTTAGATTCATCTGCTCACATGTGGAAGACTGTGGGAGGAGGTTTTTGGAGAGAAGTAAAGAGTTCTGTTGTGTACATGTTAAACTTGAGAAATTTTTAGACAGCCAAGTAGAGACTTTGAGGAGGCAGTTGAATATAGAAATCCAGAACTTCACTGGAATTAATAGCTCTGGAGATAAAAATGTGGAAGTTGTCAATGGCTAGATGTATGAAAAGGCTGGGACCAAATGTGATCATCTGGAGGTGAATATAAATAGAAAAAAGAGCCCACTATTCCTATCAAACTACTAACTTCATTTTTCACAGAAATAGAAAAGACTATTCTAAAATTTGTATGGAACCAAAAAAGCTCACATAGCCAAAGCATCCTAAGCAAAAAGAACAAAGTCAGAGACATCACATTACCTGACTTCAAACTGTACTGCAAGGCTATGGTAACCAAAAAAAGCATGATGCTGGTACAAAAATAGAAAATCACCAATGGAAGGAACAGAATAGAGAACCCAAAAATAAAGCCACACATCTACCGCTAGTAAGCAGTGGGAAAAGGACTCTATTCAATAAATGGTGTCTGGATAACTGGCTGTCCATATGCAGAAGAGTGAATCTGGACCCCTATCTCTTACCATATACAAAGATTAACTCAAGATGGATTAAAGACTTAAATGTAAGACCTGAAACTATAACAGAAGAAAGCCTAGGAAATATCCTTCTCAACATCAGCCTTGGCAAAGAATTTATGACTAAGTCCTCAAAAGCAATTGCAATAAAAGCTAAAATTGACAAGTGGGACCTAATTAAACTGAGGAGCTTCTGAATAGCAAGAGAAACTATCAATGGAGTAAATAGATGACCTAGAGAATGGCAGGAAATATTTGCAAGCTATGTATCTGACAAAAGTCTAATATGCAGAATCTATAAGGAACTTAAATCAACAAGCAAAAAACAAATAACCCTATTAAAAATGGGCAAAGGACATGAAAAGACACTTCTTAAAAAAAGATATACAAGCAGCCAACGAACATGAAAAAATGCTCATCACTAATCATCAGAGAAATGCAAATCAAATCCACAATGAGATACCATCTCACACTTGTCAGAATGGGTTTTGTTAAAATGCCAAAAAATAACAGATGTTGGTGGGGCTGTGGAGAAAAGGAAATGCTTACACATTGTTGCTGGG
Source organism: Homo sapiens (assembly GCF_000001405.40). Classification (NCBI taxonomy): domain Eukaryota; kingdom Metazoa; phylum Chordata; class Mammalia; order Primates; family Hominidae; genus Homo; species Homo sapiens. The sequence continues at coordinate 108,538,145 of NC_000001.11, read as the reverse complement.
AATGCAAATTTGTTCAGCCTCTGGGGAGAGCAGTTTGGAGATTTCTCAAAGAAATAAGAATTGAACTACTATTCAACCAAGCAATGACATTACTGAGTTTATACCCAAAGGAAAATAAATCATTCTACTAAAAAGACACATGCACCTGTATGTTCATTGCAGCACTATTCACAATAGCAAAGACATGGACCCCGCCCAGGTGCCCATCAACAGTGGATTGGATAAAGAAAATGTGGTATTAATGCTTATATACCATGGATTACTGTACAGCCATAAAAAAGAATGAAACCATGTTCTTTGCAGCAACATGGATGCAGCTGAAGTAATGAAGAAACAGAAAATCAAATAACACATGTTCTCACTTATAAGTGGGAGCTAAACATGGGGTACACATGGACATAAGGAGGAGAACAATAGACACTTGGAAATACAAGAGTGGGAAGGAAGGGGGGCAAAGGTTGAAAAAATACCTATTGGGTTCTATGCTCACTTCCTGGGTGGTGGGTTTAATCATACTCCAAACCCCAGCATCATGCAATATGCCTTTCTAACAAACCTGCATGTGTACCCTGGAATCTAAAATAAAAATTGAAAAACAAAAGAAAGAAAAGAGAGCCCAGGATGCAATGAAATATATTTAATATTCTGTGAATATTCTTCTTCTTCTTCTTCCCATCACAAATAATAGCCATTGATGATCATTGTCTAGATTCATGAATTCATTAGGGTTTAATATAGTGGTAATCTAATTCTGTCATTCTTTCTTCAATTTACTTGCTGGAATACTTCTATAAGAGAAAATTCAATGACTTAACCTAATAAAAATTTGTTTTTTGCTCAAGCAATAGTCCAGTGAGGCTGCTGCTGATATCTTGACTATACTGGACTCTCTCCTCTAAGCACTAACTCAGATCACTTTCCTCTTGTGATTGTATGCTTTTCTGGGTCTTTGAAATCTTCTCTATTAAGGCGGTGAATGGAAAAAAAGAATAGGGGATCAGATGTGGCAAGATTTTACAGGCCAGGCCTGGAAGTGTGTTCTTTTTCTACCTACATTCCATTGACTACAACAGTCATATGGCTGTACCTAACTGCAAGGGAGGCTGGGATATGTAGTTCAACTGTATGTCCAGTAGGAAAACAGAAATAATTTAGTAAATCATTAACCAGTTTCTGGCCATATGGCCATAAACTTGAAAATACACAATCACGCTCTCTCCCTCCTCTCCCTCCTCTCCCTCCTCTCCCTCTCCCTCTCCCTCTCCCTCTCCCTCTCCCGTCTCCCTCCTCTCCCTCCTCTCCCTCCTCTCCCTCCTCTCCCTCCTCTCCCTCTCTTTCCACGGTCTCCCTCTGATGCAGAGCTGAAGCTGGACTGTACTGCTGCCATCTCCGCTCACTGCAACCCCCCTGCCTGGTTCTCCTGCCTCAGCCTGCCGAGTGCCTGCGACTGCAGGCGCGCGCCACCACGCCTGACTGGTTTTCGTATTTTTTTGGTGGAGACGGGGTTTCGCTGTGTTGGCCGGGCTGGTCTCCAGCTCCTAACCACAAGTGATCCGCCAGCCTCGGCTTCCCGAGGTGCCAGGATTGCAGACAGAGTGTCGTTCACTCAGTGCTCAATGGTGCCCAGGCTGGAGTGCAGTGGCGTGATCTTGGCTCACTACAACCTCCACCTCCCAGCCGCCTGCCTTGGCCTCCCAAAGTGCCGAGATTGCAGCCTCTGCCCGGCCGCCACCCTATCTGGGAAGTGAGGAGCGTCTCTGCCTGGCCACCATCCCATCTAGGAAGTGAGGAGCGTCTCTGCCTGGCCGCCCATCGTCTGAGATGTGGGGAGCGCCTCTGCCCTGCTGCCCCGTCTGGGATGTGAGGAGCGTCTCTGCCAGGCCGCCCCGTCTGAGAAGTGAGGAGCCCCTCCGCCCGGCAGCCACCCCGTCTGGGAAGTGAGGAGCGTCTCCGCCTGGCAGCCACCCTGTCCGGGAGGGAGGTGGGGGTCAGCCCCCGCCCGGCCAGCCGCCCCGTCAGGGAGAGAGGTGGGGGGGTCAGCCACCCGCCCGGCCAGCCGCCCCGTCCGGGAGGTGAGGGGTGCTTCTGCCCGGCCGCCCCTACTGGGAAGTGAGGAGCCCCTCTGCCCGGCTGCCACCCCGGCTGGGAGGTGTACCCAACAGCTCATTGAGAACGGGCCAGGATGACAATGGCGGTTTTGTAGAATAGAAAGGGGGGAAAAGTGGGGAAAAGATTGAGAAATTGGATGGTTGTCGTGTCTGTGTAGAAAGAGGTAGACATGGGAGACTTTTCCTTTTGTGCTGTACTAAGAAAAATTCTTCTTCCTTGGGATCCTGTTGATCTGTGACCTTGCCCCCAACCCTGTGCTCTCTGAAACATGTGCTGTGTCCACTCAGGGTTAAATGGATTAAGGGCGGTGCAAGATGTGCTTTGTTAAACAGATGCTTGAAGGCAGCATGCTCGTTAAAAGTCATCACCACTCCCTAATCTCAAGTACCCAGGGACACAAACACTGCGGAAGGCCGCAGGGTCCTCTGCCTAGGAAAACCAGAGACCTCTGTTCACATGTTTATCTGCTGACCTTCCCTCCACTATTGTCCTGTGACCCTGCCAAATCCCCCTCTGCGAGAAACACCCAAGAATGATCAATTAAAAAAAAAAAAAGAAAAAAAAAAAGAAAATACACAATCACACATTTACAATTTGTGGTAAATGCTGTAAAGTTAAATAATATATATGAATGAGAATAGTTGGCTGGGGGCAGAGAGCTATAATACTTCAGGAAAATCCTTTGCTATGAGATAATATTTAAGCTGAGACCTAACAAATGAGGACAAGAGTGGTAGGAGGAAGAATCTCCTAGGCATGTATGAAGGTCCTGAGGTAGGAAAGAGCTTAGAGAATCCAAGGACCTGCAAGAAGACCAATGCAGCTGAACCTGAAAAGAGAGTTATGAAACAAGGCTAGACAGGTAGGCAAGGCCCATATCATGCAGTGCTCCATAGAATGTGGTAAAGAGTTAGCGTTTAATCGCAATAGCAGTGGAAGGACATAGTATGATTAGTGTTTTTTAGTATTTAATGCTAATAGCGATGGAAAGGCATGATGTGGTATTTCTAACAGAGTGTTAAAATGGGACTCTTCCTGATTCACTGCAGCTGAGGGCCTAATTACCCCCACATTTCAAAGTGCAGTGAGTGAGATCATCTATGGCAGAATTATGAAAGAGGTGCTGAAACCACTTCTGTGGATCTTCACCCCTCTGCCTATCTTAAGGCTATATAGGAACTAAAATTGAAAAGGCCAAGGAGATAGTTGAGTTTTGGAAATTCCCATTGAAAGAATCTCCAATGCATCATGTCTTCCCTACAACCCCATGAGAGATTGGTAGGACAGGTATTTTTACCTTGCCTCAGGTGTGCTAGTGAGGGGTGCTCCAAGGAGACCACATGGAAGGTTTGACCTGTAGCCTCTGGAGTCCATGGGTCACAGAAATACCTGGTAAATAGCTTACTGTCATCAAAGTAAGGAACTGCATTTGGAAAGTTAACTAGTATTGACAGTTTGCATTGGCAGCTCCAAGGTATGAAATCCTTGGGAGGAATATATACGTGCGGTCATTTAAAAGGGGATCATGCTTAAGAGAACTTCTGTCCACACCAGACAACCTTAGCAGACAGAGGCTGGAGACGTGTCTTCAGATTCAGAAGCTGAACGTGGGGCTGGAGTGGGTATGTAAGCATCCAGCTAAGGTCGAGGCTTTGCCTATTTCAATGAGCTCCAATCAGCGGAACTTACAGAGGACTATCTAGGGTGAGGAGATCGAGACCATCCTGGCTAACACGGTGAAACCCCGTCTCTACTAAAAAATACAAAAAAATTAGCCGGGCGTGGTGACGGGCGCCTGTAGTCCCAGCTACTCGGGAGGCTGAGGCAGGAGAATGGCGTGAACCCAGGAGGCGGAGCTTGCGGTGAGCTGATGCGCCACCGCACTCCAGCCTGGGCGACAAAGCGAGACTCCGTTTCAAAAAAAAAAAAAAAAAAAAAAAAAGTCCTGAGAGTAAGAGTCAGCTTTAAACACCTGCCACGGCCAGAGTCTGTCAATGGTAGATTACGCCTGTGTCTGTCACACAAGATCTTTTCTGTTTCTTATCTCTCTTTCCTGGCCCCTCCAACCTTGGCTGGCTGAAGCGGCTGAGACAATGAAGAGGAGGAGGCCAGGAGAGAGGAGCCAGCCCCACCACAAAGGCCGCCAGCCCTAGCAGGTTTGGGGTTTGGGTGGGTGGTGGGGAGGAAGCATTAACTGTAATGAAATTCAGTGTTTCAACCAACACGCTGAACTGGGCATTTTTATTATTGAAATGAGACCATTTTGCGACTGAAAGAGAGAATTCGTATTAACTGACAGCACCAAAAAAAAGTCAAGGGACTTGCCCCAGGCGCCAGGAAAGAACCTGTCCTGCAGAGCCGGTTTGATCAGGCTGTTGGGAAGAAAAGAATAAAGTTGTTTTCTGTTCTCACTTCAAGGTTTCTGGTTCTGTATAAAAGTTACTTGTTTAAACAATCACACTGGTTGCTGTGTGGAAATCAGACCGGAGGATGGCAGGTGTGAGTGCAAAGGGTCAGTGAGGAGGGGACAGCTGGCTCCTCCACTTCCTAGCTGTGTGATATTGGGAAAGTCAGTTAACTTCTCTGTGCATCAGTTTCTTCATCTTCAAGTGGTGCTAGAATGCTTTATAGGGTTATTGAGAAGAATAAATCAGCTAATGCATTTAAAGCACTTAGAGGGGTACCTGACCCATAGTAAGGATTATAAGGTGTTTGCTACTATTTTTATTTAAAAAATTCTGATTGTAGCAGCCCCAATGTAAGACAGTGTTGACTTGGACTACCTTTAACCAGAGAGCGTGAAAAAGCTCATGATGTATTTTAGAATGATATTCAACAGGGCTTTGTGGGGGATGATTGGATATGGAGACTGAGGCAGAGGGAGAGGACAAGAATCGCTCCCAGGGTTCTGGTTTGGACATCTGGTTGGAATTGAGATGACTGAGTTTGAGCAGGACAAGAATGGTATACAAGCTTAATAGAGATTCCTGGTTACTGATGCTTCAAAAAGTATGCATTTTATTTTATTTTTTAGAGACAGGGTCTCACTGTTGTCTGGGCTGGAGTGCAGTGATGCAATCATAGTTCACTGCAGCCTTGAGCTCTTTGGCTCAAGTGATCCTGCCACTTCAGCCTCTAGAGTAGCTGCGACTACCGGTGTGTGCACATGTCCGGCTAATTTTTGCATTTTTTTAATTGTAGAGATGGGTTCTCACTATGTTGCCCAGGCTGGTCTTGAACTTCTGGCCTCAAGCCATCCTCCTGCCTTGGCCTCCCAAAGTGTTGGAATTACGGGCATGAGCCACTGTGCCTGGCCAGAAAACTGTGATTTAATAGCATTGAAAGCTCTGAGCATCACGGGAGTGATTTTTCTGAAGTGTAAAGGCTCTAAAACAAAGTACTTGTTTTGCTAGGTCACCTTCCGATCCTTTGTCCCACTCTTTTAGATAATGGTGCAGGGGGAGTCTGGGTAATTATATAATAATATGGTTTTCGTTTTGAGAACCAAGAATGACCTCAACAGGCAATCAGTCCTTGCATAATAAACACTGTTAGAAAATAAATGGCATAATATTAACAGTTCTAAAACTAAAGTTACTGTCTTTGACAGATGTCTTCTAAAATTGTTATATGTCTAATAAACTTAGTAAAAAATATATTTATCCAGTGGGGACTGCAATATAGTGACAGGCCTTTTTTTTCAAAAGCACACACATAAATGCATGGATAAAATTTTAGTGCTTATGTTTTAAATACCTTGAATGGCTTGTCACCTTACCTTTGCTATTGGAAGTTGATCTTTGAAACTAAGGTAACAGCCTGATTCCCATCCTAAAGATATGCTGTGGAGATATAGAAACACTGTCCTTTGGTATTAATTTTCTATTTTCTTCCCTACCCTCCTGGGATACAGTGTTGAGAATCAAAATTTCTCTTTCTCCTGAGGTCTTGCCAAAAGCTGTCTTTATTACCCCCTCCTGCCTTGCTAGGGGTTGTGGAAGAGCATTTATGTTAGATGCTAGGGCTGACCAATGAACAAGTGGCTGAGGGCCTTTTTTATTCTCAGTCTTTAAATTTTGTAGAAACTATAAAAGTGACTCGAGTAACTCTTTGTAGACTTGCATATCCCCTCATCAGAACTTTCCTTTTAGTTGTCTTTCTTGACAGCACTCCACTAGGAGAGGCTGGGTCCTTCAGGGCTCTGTGAGTGGGAAGAGCAGGGTGTTCTCTGAGACCTTGGTGTCCATGGTCACACCATCCACCTGGCCTAGGGCCTCATCTGGCTTAATGACTACAGTATTCTTGATGTAGCAAGTATTCTTTTAGGTAAAAATAATAAATCTCCTGCAGTTTAGTGACAGATGTTTGGTTTGGCATGTTACTCTCGCTTTTGGCAAACTCATACGGTGGCGAAGCCAATCCACATGATCCAGAAGGGAGAAAATAAGATCAAATGTTAAAATGCTATACTAATCCCCTAGCAGATAACGGATGGGAGAGGAGGCCTTGGCTTTCAAACAGTGACTATCTTAGATAATAGAGGAAAAATTTGAAATCCATACAGGTACATATCAGGAAGTTAAAGTACCTAAAACCAAATGTTTAATGTTGTTATATCTCCTTTTATTTTTACAGCCATAGTGATCAGCTTGTAACATCCACTTTGAAAATTTCCAAGGCCAACATCATCTCAGTCATGAAGTATGGTACTTTGGGGAATCTATTGGATATTTGTTTATGTACTAGAGTGAACCTGGAACTGCTTATTCCTTTGCTTCCTTAAAAATGTATTTTCTAAAGTCAGCTGATTAGCAAAAAAAAGAAATAAAATTTATTGTCTTTTAATTTTCATCAAAGTAATTGTATACATAGTAAAAATAAGGTAGTGCTGAGGAGTTTATACTGAAAAACAACAGCTGTCTGCCACACTTCCCAGTCCCACTTTCCAGAGGAAAACCGCCTCCCTTTTTTGATAAAAAAAATTACATATTTTTGAGACGGGTTTTACTCTGTTGCCTAGGCTGGAGTGCAGTAGTGTGACCATGGCTCACTATAGCCTTGACCTTCCAAGCTCAGTGGATCCTTCCACCTCGGCCCCTTGGGTAGCTGGGACTACAGGCATGTGCCCCCGTGCCTGGCTAATTTTTTCATTTTTTGTAGAGACAGGGTCTCACTATGTTGCCCAGGCTGGTCTCGAACTCCTGGGCTCAAGCGATCCTCCCACTTCTGCCTCCCAAAGTGCTGGGATTATAGGTATGAGCCACCGTGCCTGACCAAGATTAAAATTTTTAATCACTGATTTTTATCCCTTTATTCCTTTAAACTGCCTCCTGCAAAGTTACAACTGAAAGTAATTTGGTGTGTATCTTTCAAGACTTTATTTCTATGTATTGTACTTATTCTCTATAATAAAAACAAGGATTTAGCTACCCTCTCCCAGTTTTTGATAGCTATTATTATAGTTTTATTCTTGGTTGCTTTTATACCTTTAAATAAAACACTTAAACCTCTAGTTTTTGTCCCATCAGCCATATATAATACCTCTTGACTCCCAGGCTATATTTATATAATCATGATTATTTATTGGATACTTAGTATGGCGACAGGCACTGTTCTAAGTGCTCAGTGAACAAAACAGAGCTCTCAGGCTCATTGGCACTTACATGGTAGTTGGGGGTAGGGGTGTTCAGATACAGAAATTATATAGTAGACATTGATGGGGTGTTCAGATACAGAAATTATATAGTAGACATTGATACATTCAAAATTAAAAAAAGTAAGACAGGAAAAGATAGTTCAGGAATCTGGAAAGTGGGAATAATGATTTTAAATCGGATGGTCAGATTTAACTTCATTGAGAGATGATGTTTGAGCAGACATAAAGGCAGGGAGGATGTTATTCATGTAAGCATTTTAGGGAAGAGAGTTCCAGGCAGAGGCAACAGCAAAGGCTGCAAGGAAGGAGTGTGCCTGGCACATTCAAGGATTACAGGTGGCTAGTAGGGCTAGAATGGAGTGAGCAAAGGGCAGCGTGGTGGAGGATGAGGTCAGAGAGATAACAGGGTGAGATGATATAGGGCTATGTGGATCAATATAAAGAATTTTTGCTTTTACGTTGGGTACAATGAGAAGCCATTGCAAGGTTTTGAGCAGAGTGACACGGTCTGACTTGTGGATATGTATAGCTTCCATGTTGAGAACTGTAGGAAGGCATAGGGGGAGGCAGGGGAGTAGTCGGGAGGCTTTTACAGTCGTCAAGACAGAGATGCTGGTAGTGCTGACCAGGAGATACTCGTGGAGTTGGTGAGAAGAGGTCACATTCTGGAGATATGCTGATGAGACTATTGGCCCTTTTCTCCTTTCTTCCACCTTCTACCCTTCCACCTACCATAATATTCTGTCAAGAATATTATTATTATTTTTTTCTCCTGAAACAGGGTCTTGCTCTGTTACCCAGGCTGGAGTGCAGTGGCGTGATCTTGGCTTACTGCAACCTCCACCTTCTGGGCTCAAGCAATCCTCCTGCCTCAGCTTCCCAAATAGCTGGGACTATAGGCAAGTTCCATCATGCCAGGCTAATTTTTGTATTTTTTGTAGAGATGAGATTTCACCATGTTTCCCAGGCTGGTCTTGAACTCCTGAGTTCAAATGATCCACCCACCCTGGCCTCCCAAAGTGTTGGCATTCCAGGCGTGAGCCATCGGGTCTGGCCTAGACTTTTGTTTTTATGTTTTCAGAGTTAATGCCAAATTCTTTCTTTATTGTAACCCATCTTTTATAAACTGTTGCTTACAGTTTGATTCTGGGAGTTAAATATCAACATAACCCCCCAATTTATGTTATTATGACTATTTAATTAATATTCATTGCATAGGCAAATAATATGCAAAAATTACATTTCCTTTTCTATAGGTCCAAGACCATGACCTCTGGGCTCTTTGAAGAAGGATATTTTAGAGTCTAAATTAAATAAATTCTCTTTCATAGTTACAGAAATTGCTGAAAATTGTGCTACATTTTAGCTGGCTTCATATTTGTATCTTGACTTTTCTATATAATTCTTGTCGTTTTTTTTTTTCCTGGAATTTCCAATTATCTTTCTTTTATCTTGCTGAGAGAAGAAACATATGTTTTCTTCACCATGTCACTGATATCATCTATTTTCATGGTCATTCTATGTTTTGTGTAAACTACATTTCATTTTTCTTCCTGAAGATAGTATTAATGTTATACTTGGGACCCACTGACTCCCTCTCCTGATTTAGATTGTTTTGTAAACCCTATGCACAGCTGTCACTCTGAAATGATTTTTCATTATACTCCTGAGTGAGTTCTACTCTTTCTTGTATTCCATATCTTCCTCTGTTGGTTTGCACTTCACTTCTCTGGAATATCTCCAAAAGTATCTTCGTCAGAAAAAACAGACGGGAGATGAAATTTCTGAGTAATTGAAAATCTGAAAATGTCTTTAGTATGCCTTCACATTGATTTATAGTTAGGTGGAGTACAACATTCTATATTCAAACATTTTTTCCCTTCAGAACTGTGAAGGAATTGTTCTGCTGTCTTTAGCATGGAGTATTACTAATAAGCTTGGGCCGGGCACGGTGGCTCAAGCCTGTAATCCCAGCACTTTGGAAGACTGAGGTGAAAGGATCGCTTGAGCCCAGGAGTTCATGACCAGCCTGGGCAACATGGCAAAATCCTGTCTTTACAAAAAATGCCAAAACTTAGCTGGGTGTTGTGGCTCATGCTTGTAGTCCCAGCTACGCAGGAGGCTAAGGTGAGCAAGACTGTGTCTTGGAGGAAAAAACGAAAAGAAGCAGCAGCTTGATGCTGGTGTATTATTGTTCCTTGGTAGGTGATCTTTTTTCTCTTCCTCTCTAGAGTCTTCCCATGTTCATTGCAACACTATTCCCAATAGCCTAGATGTGGAAACAATCTACATGTCCATTGATAGATAAATGGATCAAGAAACTTTGCTATATACATAAAATGGAATATTATTCAGTCATAAAAAAGGAAATCCAGTCATTTGTGACAACATGGATGAATCTGGAGGACATTACGCTAAGTGAAATAAGCTAGTTGTTCATTTCTATGGCAGAGAGTAGAATGGTGGCTGCCAGGGGCTGAGGGAGGGGAAATAGAGAGGGCTGCCCAGTGGATATAAAGCTTCAGTTATGCAAGATGATTAAGTTCTAGAGATCTGCTGTATAGCATTGTGTTTACAGTTAATAGTACTGTAAACTTAAATTTTTTTCAGAAGGTAGGTCTTATGTGTTCTTACCACAGTAAAGAAATTAATTAACTTAAAAATCTCTTAATATTTAATCTTCCAGAATTTCATAATGTGATGTCTAGTTGATCTTTTTTCATTCATTTTGCCTAGTACTCATTTACACCCTTCACTAGGAATAGTTACATCTTTCTTTAACTCTCGATGAGACATATATACATATATATATATATAGAGAGAGAGAGTGTGTGTGTGTGTGTGTGTACTCACATACATACTAAAGCTTTAAAAGATATTTCATTCCTTGTTTTTTTTCTTTTTGGAACTTCTATTTGCTGGATATAGGATCTTCTGGATTTATTCTGTTTCGTCTTTCTTCTGACATTTCCTCTCTTTTCATCTTTTGCTTTATGTTCCAGGAGAGGGTCTAGGCTGTCTTTCAACCCTTCGATTTTTAAAATGTCAGCAATTATATGCTTAATTTCCCAGAACTCTTTCTTCTTTTGGATTTTTATTTTGGTTTGTGTGTGTGAAGTCAGGGCAGGGTGTAGGAGTATCCAGTCGTAGTTTCATGGAAGCAGTGTCTTTTCAAATGTCTCTGAGAACAGTAATTAAAAATGTAATTTTTTCTATTCCATAGATAATCTCTGCTCTTTTCTTAGGATGAATACTGTTTATCTTGGTCTTTCTTTTTTATGTTGCTTGTTTTCTTTCTTGTGATCTTTAGTTGTCCATCATATTTTAGAATGAGACTTCTAAGTAGCTTTTAGGAGTTTCTTACTCTGATGTATATAAGTCTGTTTTCCCATGGAATATCTGCCAGTAGTTGGGAGCTCTGTGTACCTGGGCGGTGGGCTGGGGCGGGGGCGGGGGGGTGCAGATAATTGATTGTGGTAATGCTGGTTATATAAATTTCAATGGCTTTACATAATAGATGTTTGTTTGTCATCTGTATTGTGGTCCAATGCCTGATTGGCAGGTGGCTTCTTGCATGTGGTGATTCAGAGACCCAGACTCTTTCCCCTGGCACCACTAGCATCTCCGCAGGCCTTGGTGCCTTCTGCCTCTGGCTGGCAGAAGAGTAAATAAGAAAGTGCAAAGGCACACCTACTTTCTTAAAAGCCCTGGCCTGGAAGTGATACACATCACTTCTACTTATATCCCATGTAGTTAAATGACTACATTGGAATGCAAGCGAGGCTGGAAAATATAGTCCCTGGCCTGGAAGTCACCTACCAGAAGAGGCATCACAGTAAGGAATGAGGAACACAAATTTTTGTCACTCATTTCTAGTCATTCCTTTTGAAAATAGACTTATCCACTAGTCATGTTCATTTTAGGGTTAGAATGCTGGAGACTTTTAGTTTTTGCGGGGAGGAATGGGGTTACAAAATGCAAGAATAGAGAGAGCTTTACTTGGGGCACTGGCATCCATTTTCACCATTTCTGATTCTTCTCAGCCAGTTTACTCAATTTTTCAAGAAAAGAAACTTTTTTTTTTTTTTTTTTTTTTTTTTTTTTTTTTTTTTACGGCCAGGATTTCATACTAGTTGGTATTCTGTGTATTTAGGAGTGGGAGACGAGGGTTGGGAGTGTAGGTACATGTCTGGTGTAGACTGTGCACTAGGCAGGCTTTCAGTTAACCCTTCTATTTTACCTCTCCTCTGCCCCTGCCCTCTGAGGCACCTGCCAGCTCAGCCCTGGGCTTCTGTGGGTTTCTGCCGTAGAGACAGACTCACTCTGGCATTAAAATCCCTTCCTGCACATTCTGGGCTGCTGATTCTCTCTTATCTAGCCTTAGGCTTCCAGTCTCTTTCTGTCTTCCATTGTTTTAAACTCTCATCCACTGGTGACCCTCTTACTGTTCTGTTTACTGTTCTGAGTTAACCTCTATGTTATCATTAGGTCTCAGAAAGTAGAGAAGAAAAAGCTTTGTGCTGGGTCTACTGTATTGGACTTGAAGTCCCCAGAACCTTTTCTTGAGGAAATCCCAAGTTTCCCTGCAGGAACCATTCAGGTATTTGTCTAGAGTTCTATTTTGACAAGCTAGTGACTTCGTTTTTCTTCTGTAGAGGGAGGATCTCACTATATTGCCCAGGCTGCATTTATATTTCATTGTCTTAGAAATGTAACTTTTCTAAACAATTCTAAAATTCATATGGAACCAAAAAAGAGCCCACATAGCAAAAACATCCTAAGCAAAAAGAACAAAGCCAGAGACATCACATTACCTGACTTCAAACTATACTACTAGGCTATAGTAACCAAAACAACATGATACTGGTGCAAATATAGACATAGATGAATGGAACAGAATAGATAACCCAGAAATAAAGCCATATAGCTACAACCATCTGATCTTGAACAAAGTTGACAGAAATAAACAATGGAGAAAGAACTCCCTATTCAATAAATGGTGCTGGGAAAACTGACTAACCACATGAAGAAGAATCAAACTGTACCCTTATCTCTCACTATATACAAAATTGTATATATCTCTTACTATATACAAAAAAAGATGGATTAAAGGCTTAAAAGTAAGACCTGAAACTACAAAAATCCTAGCAGAAAACTTAGGAAAAACTCTTCTGGATATTGGCCTAGGCAAATAATTTATGATTAAGAACTGAAAAGCAAATACAATGAAAACAAAAATAGACAAATAATTAAATGAATGAGCTTCTGCACAGCAAAAGAAACAACAGAATAAACTAAGACAACCTACAGAATGGGAGTGATATGGTTTGGCTCTCTGTCCCCACCCAAATCTCATCTCGAATTGTAATCCCCCTAATCCCCATGTGTCGAGGGAGGGACCAGGTGGGAGGTGATTGGATCATGGGTGTGGTATCTCCCATGCTGTTCTCATGATAGTGAGTGAGTTCTCACAAGGTCCCATGGTTTTATAAGGGGTTCCTCCTCCTTCGCTCCACACTTCTCTCTTCTGCTGCCTTGTGCAGAAGGACATGTTTGCTTCCCTATCTGCCATGATTATAAGTTTCCTGAGGCCTCCCCAGTCATGTGGAACTGTGAGTCAATTGAACCTGTTTCCTTTATAAATTACCCAGTCTCAGGCCATTCTTTGTAGCAGTGTGAGAACAGACTAATACAGGGAGAAAATGTTTACTTACTATGCATTCAACAAAAGGACTGATATCCAGAATCTATAAGGAACTCAAATGAATCAACAAGAAAAAAACAACCCCTTAAAAAAGTGGGCAAAGGACAAGAACAGACATTTCTTAAAATACAAGTAACCAACAAACATGAAAAAAATGCTCAACATCATTAATCATCAGAGAAATGCAAAGTAAACAACGAGAAACCTTGTCACATCAGTCAGAATGGCTATTATTTAAAAGTCAAAAAATAATAGATGTTGGCAAGGATGCAGAGAAAAGGGAATACTTATGCACTATTGATGGGAAAAAAAATTAGTACAGCTCCTGTGGCAAACAGTATAGAGATTTCTCAAAGAGCTAAACATAGAGCTATCATTCAACTCAGCAATCTACAGGGAAGCTACCCAAAGGAAAATAAATTGTTATATCAAAAAGACCTGCACTCATATATTTATCACAGCACTATTCACAATAGGAAAGTCATAGATTCAACCCTAAGTGTACATCAGTGGTTGACTAGGTAAAGGAAATGTCATATATCTCATATATATCATATAATATATATAATATATGTCATATATAAATATATCATATATGTCATATATATCATATGTGTCATATACCATATATCATATGTCATATATAGCATATATATCACATATATGTCACATATATGTGTCACATATATGTCACATATATCACATATATCATATATATCACATATATCACATATATCATATATACCATATATATCATATATATACCATATATATGATATATATCATATATATCATATATATACCATATATATGATATATATCATATATATCATATATATACCATATATATCATATATATCATATATATACCATATATATCATATATATCATATATATACCATATATATCATATATATCATATATATACCATATATATCATATATATCATATATATACCATATATACCATATATATCATATATACCATATATATCATATATATCATATATATCATATATCATATATATCATATATATCATATATCATATATATACCATATATACCATATATATCATATATACTATATATCATATATACCATATATATCATATATACTATATATCATATATATACCATATATATCATATATACTATATATCATATATATACCATATATATCATATATATCATATATATCCCATATATATCATATATATCATATATATCTGGTATATATATATCCTATATATATCTGGTGTATATATATATCCTATATATATCTGGTGTATATATCCTATATATAGCTGGTATATATATATCCTATATATAGCTGGTATATATATATCCTATATAGAGCTGGTATATATATATCCTATATAGAGCTGGTATATATATATCCTATATAGAGCTGGTATATATATATCCTATATAGAGCTGGTATATATATATCCTATATAGAGCTGGTATATATATATCCTATATAGAGCTGGTATATATATCCTATATAGAGCTGGTATATATATATCCTATATAGAGCTGGTATATATATATCCTATATATATCTGGTATATATATATCCTATATATATCTGGTATATATATATCATATATATATCTGGTATATATATATCATATATATATCTGGTATATATATATCATATATATATCTGGTATATATATATCATATATATATCTGGTATATATATATTAGAATACTATGCAGCCATAAAAATGAATAAAATCATGTCCTCTGCAGCAACATGGATGGAGCTGGAGGCCATAAGTGAAATAACTCAGAAACAGAAATCAAATTATGCATGTTTTCACTTGTAAGTGGGAACTAAACAATAGGAACACATGGACATAAAGATGAAAATAACACTGAGGACTCCAAAAAAGGGGAGAATGGGAGGAGGATGAGGGCTCAAAAATTACCTATTGGGTACAATATTCACTATTGCTGGTTGGTTCATTAGAAACCCAAACATTACCACTACATAATATATCCATGTGACAAACTAGAACATGTACTCCCAAATGTAAAATTTAAAGAAATATGTAATGTATCTGTCTGTTCACTTGTTTTTAAAGCATGTATGGATTTAACAGCTCTGAATATTAGCTTTCTGTGTTCTCATCAGTGAGCACAGGAAGATAGAGTCTACTATCCCATACCTAACGAAAGGCTAGGTGGGAAGGTGATATTTAGGGAGGTGAGTTTGAAGGGTGTTTGTTTTAGTTACATTCTAGTCACTTTAACTTGTATTCTTGGAAAAAGCTGGAATCATTGGCTTGTATTATCTTGGCCCTTCCCATAACTGCCTTGACTGAGTTATGTTTTAGCATCATGGCCTCCACTATAACAAAACAATTGATAAGAAGCAGCCTTATAAAGCTGATTTTGCAATTACTTCAGCAATTTTAAAAGGACATTATCTACTCCCTTCATCACTCAGCAAGACATTTTTAAACAACTCATAGCAAAACTTGGCTTTTCCAAAGGAGCTGATGCATTCTCTTTTTTCTGATAATGAGAATTGTGCAACAGACTATATTTCCTTTTATCATCTCTATTTCATCATTCTCTGGTCTTGACTGTTAAAACTGTGATAATGTCTCTGAGATAATGTAAATTCAGATGGAATTCAACTGGCAATTGGCTCCCATTCTTTTCCTGGGTGCAATTCTCAAATGAAGACCAGCTAAAGGTATTATCTTCTGCATGGTGAAGAGTCAGGAAGTGACTACTTTGTGATAATTTGGGGCTTTCTCAACTCAGTGTATGCTACATATTTTGTAATAATTGGTCTATTTCTTACATAGCTCATAAATGAAAACAAATAAAGCACACATTAACTGGAAGACTAATTGAGCAGTTTTTTTTTAAACTTTGCAATAATGTAGCCATGGATTTTATGTGATTAAACTTTGTGGACTTCACGTATAGTAAGGATTTTACTATATCTTCCTTTATTACTGAATCTCTAATTTTATATTGTTAATAAAAACTATACACTATTGACAATGAGCAGCATACATTTTATGCTGTGCATATTATAAACTAAGTGTTCTTATTGTAAGACACCCCAAAACCCTCATAGAACAAGGCAAGGTATAAATATAAATATACATAAATATAAAAATAATGTAAAATAAAAAGACTCAGTTGAATGTACTTTGGGATGTGTCTATTCTAAATATAACATATTCAGTATCCATATTATATTTCCATAAAGGAATTTTCTTCCCTTTTACAATTTATTTGAAGACATACTAAATAGCATTACTATACTTGTGCTGGGTTGAATAATGTCCCCCCAAATTCATATGCATTTGGAACCTCAGAATGTGAACTTATTTGGAAATAGGGTCTTTGCAGATATAATTCATTAAGATGAGGTCATATTAGGTTAGAGTGGGCCCTAAATCCAATGACTGGTATCCTTATAAGAAGGCTATATAAAGACACAGATGGGGGTTCTGGGCAAGATGGCTGAATATGAACAGGTCTGGTCTGCAGCTCCCAGCGAGACCAATGCAGAAGTTGGGTGACTTCTGCATTTCCAACTGAGGTACCCGGTTCATCTCACTGGGACTGGTTAGACAGTGAGTGCAGCCCACGGTGGGTGAGCTGAAGCAGAGTGGGGTGTCGCCTCACCCGGGAAGCACAAGGGGTTGAGGAACTCCCTCCCCTATCCAAGGGAAGCAGTGACGGACTGTGCCATGAGGGATGGTGCTATTCGGTCCAGATACTACATTTTCCCCATGGTTTTTACAACCCACAGACCAGGAGATTCCCTCAGGTGCCTATACCACCAGGGTCCTGGGTTTCATGCACAAAACTGGGTGGCCACACAAGCAGACACTGAGCTAGCTGCAGGAGTTTTCTTTTGTACCTGGGTGGCACCTGGAACACCAGTGCCACTTTCCATTCACTGCCCTGGAAAGGGGGCTGAAGCCAGGGAGCCAAGTGGTCTTTCTCAGCAGGTCCCAACCCCATGGAGCCCAGCAAGCTAAGATCCACTGGCTGGAAATTCTCACTACCAGCACAGCAGTCTGAAGTCAACCTGGGACACTTAGGCTTGATGGGGGCAGGGGCATCCACTCTCACTGATGCCTGAGTAGGCGGTTTTCTCCTCACAGTGTAAATAAAGCCGCTGGGAAGTTTGGACTGGGCAGAGCCCACTGCAGTGTGGCAAAGCTGCTGTAGCCAGACTGCCTCTCTAGATTCCTCCTCTCTGGGCATCTCTGAAAGAAAGGCAGCAGTCCCAGTCAGGGCCTTATAGATAAAACTCCCATCTCCCTGGGACGGAGCACCTGGGGGAAGGGGCAGCTATGTGTGTAGTTTCAGAAGATGTAAATGTTCCTGCCTGAAAGCTCTGAAGAGAGCAGTGGCTCTCCCAGCACAGGGCTCGAGCTCTGCTAAGGGACAGACTGCCTCCTCAAGTGGGTCCCTGACCCTCGTGCCTCCTGACTGGGAGACACCTCCCAGCAAGGGTCAACAGACACCTCATACAGGAGAGCTCTGGCTGGCACCTGGTGGGTGCCCCTCTGGAATGAAGCTTCCAGAGGAAGAAGCAGGCAGCAGTCTTTGCTGTTTTGCAGCTTCTGCTGGTGATACAGAGGCAAACAGGGTCTGGGGTGGACCTCCAGCAAACTCCAGCCGACCTGCAGAAGAGGGTCCTGGCTGTTAAAAGGGAAACTAACAAACAGAAAGCAATAATATCAACATCAATAAAAAAGACACCCAAGCAAAAACCCCATCCAAATGTCCTCAGCATCAAAGATCAGAGGTAGATAAATCCACGAAGATGAGGAAACACCAGCACAAAAATGCTGAAAATTCCAAAAACCAGAATGCCTCTTCTCCTCCAAAGGATCACAACTCCTTGCCAGCAAGGGAACAAAACTGGACAGAGAATGAGTTTGACGAATTGACTGAAGGAGGCTTCAGAAGGTGGGTAATAACAAACTCCTCCGAGATAGAGGAGCATGTTCTAACCCAATGCAAGGAAGCTAAGAACTTTGATAGGAGGTTACAGGAACTGCTAACTAGAATAACCAGTTTAGAGAAGAACATAAATGACCCGATGGGGCTGAAAACACAGCATGAGAACTTCGTGAAGCATACACAAGTATCAATAGCCAAATTGATAAAGCAGAAGAAAGCATAACAGAGATTGAAGATCAACTTAATGAAATAAAGCATGAAGACAAGATTAGAGAAAAAAGACTGAAAAGGAACCAACAATGCCTCCAAGAAATATAGGACTATGTGAAAAGATCAAATCTACAATTGATTGATGTACCTGAAACTGACAGGGAGAAGGGAACCAAGTTGGAAAACACTTCAGGATATTATCCAGGAGAACTTCCCCAACCTAGCAAGACAGGCCAACATTCAAATTCAGGATATACAGACAACACCATTAAGATACTCCTCAAGAAGAGCAACCCCAAGACACATACTCATCAGATTCACCAAAGTTGAAATGAAGGAAAAAACATTAAGAGCAGCCAGAGAGAAAGGTCGGGTTACCTACAAAGGGAAGCCCATCAGACTAACAGCGGATCTCTTGGCAGAAACTTTACAAGCCAGAAGACAGTAGGGGGCCAATATACAACATTCTTAAAAAAATAATTTTCAACCCAGAATTTCATATCCAGCCAAACTAAGCTTCAAAAGCAAAGGAGAAATAAAATCCTTTACAGGCAAGCAAATGCTGAGGGATTTTATTACTGCCAGGCCCACCTTACAAGAGCTCCTGAAGGAAGCACTAAATATTGAAAGGAAAAATTGGTACCAGCCACTGCTAAAAAACATATGAAAATATAAAGACTAATGACACTATGAAGAAACTGCATCAGCTAACGTGCAAAATAGCCAGCTAGCATCATGTTGACAAAATCAAATTCACACATAACAACATTAACCTTAAATGTAAATGGGCTAAATGCTCCAATTAAAAGACACAGTCTGGAAAATCGGCTACAGTCAAGACCCATCAGTGTGTTGTATTCTGGAGACCCATCTCACATGCAAAGACAAACATAGGCTCAAAACAAAGGGATGGAAGAATATTTACCAAGCAAATGGAAAGCAAAAAAAAGCAGGAGTTGCAATCCTAGTCTCTGATAAAACAGACTTTAAACCAACAAAGATTTAAAAAAAACAAAGAAGGGCATTATATAATGGTAAAGGAATCAATGCAACAAGAAGAGCTAACTACCCTAAATATATATTCACCCAATACAGGAGCACCCAGTGAAGGGGTGGGTTGCCCCTCCACACCTGTGGGTGTTTCTCGTTAGGTGGAACGGGAAACTTGGAAAAGAAAAAGACACAGAGACAAAATATAGAGAAAGAAATAAGGGGGCCCAGGGGACCAGTGTTCAGCATATGGAAGATCCCACCAGTCTCTGAGTTCCCTTAGTATTTATTGATCATTCTTGGGTGTTTCTTGGAGAGGGGGATGTGTCAGGGTCATAGGATAATATGGAGAGAAGGTCAGCAGATAAACATGTGAACAAAGGTCTCTGCATCGTAGACAAGGTAAAGAATTAAGTGCTGTGCTTTAGATATGCATACACATAAACATCTCAATGCCTTACAGAGTAGTATTGTTGCCCGCATGTCCCACCTCCAGCCCTAAGGCAGTTTTCCCCTATCTCAGTAGATGGAACATACAATTGGGTTTTATACCGAGACATTCCATTGCCCAGGGATGGGCAGGAGACAGATGCCTTCCTCTTGTCTCAACTGCAAAGAGGCATTCCTTCCTCTTATACTAGTCCTCCTCAGCACAGACCCTTTATGGTTGTTGGGCTGGGGGACGGTCAGGTCTTTCCCTTCCCACGAGGCCATATTTCAGACTATCACATGGGGAGAAACCTTGGACAATACCTGGCTTTCCTAGGCAGAGGTCCCTGTGGCTTTCCGTAGTGTTTGTGTCCCTGGGTACTTGAGATTAGGGAGTGGTGATGACTCTTAACGAGCATGCTGCCTTCAAGCATCTGTTTTAACAAAGCACATCTTGCACAGCCCTTAATCCATTTAACCCTGAGTTGACACAGCACATGTTTCAGAGAGCACGGGGTTGGGGGTAAGGCTATAGATTAACAGCATCTCAAGGCAGAAGAATTTTTCTTAGTAGAGAACAAAATGGAGTCTCCTATGTCTACTTCGTTCTACACAGACACAGTAACAATCTGATCTCTCTTTCTTTTCCCCACAACCCAGATTCATAAAGCAAGTTCTTAGAGACCTACAAAGAGACTTAGACTCCCACACAATAATAGTGGGAGACTTTAACATCCCACTGTCAATATTAGACAGATCAATGAAACAGAAAATTAACAAGGATATTCAGGACTTCAACTCAGCTCTGGACCAAGCAGAGCTAATAGACATCTACAGAACTCTCCACCCAAAATCAACAGAATATACATTCTTCTCAGCACCACATAGCATTTATTCCAAAAGTGACCACATAATTGGAAGTAAAACACTCCTCAGCAAATGTAAACGAACAGAAATCATAACAAACAGTCTCTCAGACCACAGTGCAATCAAATTAGAAATCGGGATTAAGAAACTCACTCAAAACCACACAACTACATGGAAACTGAACAACCTGCTCCTGAATGACTACTGGGTAAATAACTAAATTAAGGCAGAAATAAATAAGTTCCTTGAAACCAATGAGAACAAAGACACAATGTACCAGAATCTCTGGGACACAGCTAAAGCAGTGTTTAGAGGTAAATTTATAGAACAAAATACCCACAAGAGAAAGTAGGAAAGATCCAAAATCAACACCCTAACATCACAATTAAAAGAACTAGAGAAGCAAGAGTAAACAAATTCAAAAGCTAGCAAAAGACAAGAAATAACTAACATCAGAGCAGAACTGAAGGAGATAGAGACACGAAAAACCCTTCAAAAAATCAATGAATCCAGCAGCTGGCTTTTTGAAAAGATTAACGAACTAGATAGAAAAAATATAAGACAGAAGAATTAAATAGACACAATAAAAAATGATAAAGGGGACATCACCACTCATCCCACAGAAATACAAACTACCATCAGAGAATACTATAAACACCTCTGTGCAAATAAACTAGAAAATCTAGAAGAAATGGTTAAATTCCTGGACACATACACCCTACGAAGACTAAACTAGGAAGAAGTAGAATCCCTGAATAGACCAATAACAAGTTCTGAAATTGATGCAGTAATTAATAGCCTACCAACCAAAAAAAAGGCCAGGACGAGACAGATTCACAGCCAAATTCTACCAGAGGTACAAAGAGCTGATACCATTCCTTCTGAAAGTATCCCAAACAACAGAAAAAGATGGACTCCTCCCTAACTCATTTTTATGAGGCCAGCATCATCCTGATGCCAAAACCTGGCAGAGACACAACAAAAAAAGAAAATTTCAAGCCAATATCCCTGATGAACATTGATGTGAAAATCCTCAGTAAAATACTAGCAAACCGCATCCAGCAGCACATCAAAAACTTATCCACCACGATCAAGTCAGCTTCATCAGCTTCATCACTGGGATGCAAGGCTGGTTCAACATACACAAATCAATAAACATAATCCATCACATAAACAGAACCAATGACAGAAACCACATGATTATCTCAATAGATGCAGAAAAGGCCTTCAATAAAATTCAAAACCCCCTATGCTAAAAGCACTTGATAAACTAGGTATTTGTGGAACATACCTCAAAATAATAAGAACTATTTATGACAAACCCACAGCCAATATCATATTGAATGGGCAAAAACTGGAAGCATTCCCTTTGAAAACCAGCACAAGACAAGGACGCTCTATCTCACCACTCCTATTCAACATAGTATTGGAAGTTCTGGCCAGGGCAATCAGGCAAGAGAAAGAAATAAAGTGTATTTAAATAGGAAGATAGGAAGTCAAATTGTCTCTGCTTACAGATGACATGATTGCATATTTAGAAAACCCCAATGTCTCAGCCCAAAATCTTTTAAAGCTGATAAGCAAGTTCAGCAAAGTCTCAGGATAGAAAATCAATGTGCAAAAATCACAAGCATGCCTATACACCAATAATAGAGAGCCAAATCACGAGTGAACTCCCATTCACAATTGCTACCAAGAGAATAAAATACCTTGGAATCCAACTTACAAGGGATGTGAAGGACCTCTTTAAGGAGAACTACAAACCACTGCTCAAGAAAATAAGAGAGGACATAAACAAATGGAAAAACATTCCATGCTCATGGATAGGAAGAATCAATATAGTGAAAATGGCCATACTTCCCAAGGTAATATATAGATTCAATGCTGTTCCTATCAAGCTAGATTCAATGCTGTTCCCATCAAGCTATCATTGACTTTCTTCACAGAATTAGAAAAAACTACTTCGAATTTCACATGGAACCAAAAAGGAGCCCATATAGCCAAGAGAAACCTAAGTCAGAAAAACAAAGCTGGAAGCATCATAGTATCTGACTTCAAACTATGCCACATTCTACTGGGTACCAAAACAGATGTATAGACCAATGGAACAGAACAGAGGCCTCAGAAATAACACCATACATTTGCAACCATTTGATCTTTGACAAAACTGACAAAAACAAGCAATGGACAAAGGATTCCCTATTTAATAAATGGTGTTGGGAAAACTGGCTAGCCATATGAAGAAAACTGAAACTGGACCCCTTCCTTACACCTTATACAAAAATTAACTCGAGATGGATTAAGACTTAAACATAAGGCCTAAAACCATGAAAACTCTAGAAGAAAACCTAGGCAATACCATTCAGTATATAGGCACTGGCAAAGACTTCATGACTAAAACACCAAAGGCAATTGCAACAAAAGCCAAAATTGACAAATGGGATTAGTTAAACTAAAGAGCTTCTGCACAGCAAAAGAAATTATCATCAAAGTGAACAGGCAACCTACAGAATGGGAGAAAATTTTTGCAATCTACCCATCTGACAAAGGGCTAATATCCAGAATCTACAAAGAACTTTAACATATTTGCAAGAAAAAGACAAACTATCCCATCAAAAAGTGGGTGAAGAATACGAACAGACACTTCTCAAAAGAAGACATTCATGTGGCCAACAAATATATGAAAAAAATGTCATCATCCCTGGTCATTAGAGAAATGCAAATCAAAACCACAATGAGATACCATCTCATGCCAGTTAGAATGGTGATCATTAAAAAGTGAGGAAACAACAGATGGTGGAGAGGATGTGAAGAATAGAAACGCTTTTACACTGTTGGTGGGAGTATCAACTAGTTCAACCATTGTGGAAGACAGTGTGGCGATTCCTCTAGGATCTAGAACCAGAAATACCATTAGACTCAGCAATCCCATTACTGGGTATATACCCAAAGGATTTTAAATCATTCTATTATAAAGACACATGTACATGTATGTTTATTGCAACACTATTTACAATAGCAAAGACTTGGAACCAACCCAAATGCCCATCAATGACAGACTGGATAAAGAAAATGTGGCACATATACACCATGGAATACTATGCAGCCATAAAAAAGTTCTTTGCAGGGACATGGATGAAGCTGGAAACTATCATTCTCAGCAAACTAACATAGGAACAGAAAACCAAACACCACATGTTCTCACTCATAAGTGGGAGTTGAACAATGAGAACACACGAACACAGGGAGGGGAACATTACACACTGGGGCCTTTTGGCGGGTAGGGGCAAGGGGAGGAATAGCATTAGGAGAACTACCTAATGCATGCAGGGCTTAAAACTTAGATGATGGGTTGATAAGTGCAGCAAACCACCATGGCACATGTATACCTATGTAACAAACCTGCACGTTCTGCACATGTATCCCAGAGCTTAAAGTATATATAAAAAAAGTCACAGACACCCACAGAGAATGCCATGTATGGTGGAGGCAGAGACTAGAGTGGTGCAGCCAGAAGCCAAGGAATGCCAAGGATTGCTGGCAATCAGGAATGAAGCAGGGAACAGATTCTCCCTTAGAACCTCTGGAAGGAACCAACCTTGCCAACACTTTGATTTTGGTCTTCTGGCCTCCTGAACTGTGAGAAACTAAATTTTTATTGTTTTAAGCCACCCAGTTTCTAGTAATTTGTTAAGTCAGTCCTAGGAAACTAAAACAGCACTCTAGCCTAACTCAAAGTTTCAAAAATCTCTTCCTCTGAACATACATAAATTGAGCACCTAGTGTGTGCTCCACAAATAACTGCTCATTTATGCCCTTGAAAAGGGAGAGTTAATTGTCCATAATAACATAAATAAGAAGCACTTTCACAATAATTGTAAACAAAATATATTCGGATGAAGAAAAGCCACTTTCTCTTTTTGTAGGAAATGCATTATAATAACATAAATAAGAGGCACTTTCACAATAATTTTAAACAAAATATATTCTGATGAGGAAACACCACTTTGCTGTAGTTGCATTTTAAAGAGTTTTATCATGTGAATATTATATATGACATATTACTGTCAAAAGAACTGACGTAAATCAGGGTTATTAAATTTCATGCTTCAAAAAGATGCTACCCACAGATATAAAGATTTTATCATTCTTTTGTCTTTTGCTGTTGCCATGCACCTACCACATTGGCTTTCATTAACTTGACCCTTAACATGAAAGATACCAATAAGACAACCTTTATTTGTAACACTTATGAGAAAAAACTGGTGCAATGTATTTCCTCGGTCGATGAGCTTTCCTGATATTGTAACACGGAGGAAAAAAATGTAATAAAGAATAATAAATAAAACAGGAATAAGTGAAAATTGCTAATTTTTTCCCCTTGCTTTTCCCAAATTATGACTGCACTTTATTTATAATTTCCTTATGTACTTTTATATTCATAGCTAAATATGTCATTGAGTTTGTGGAAAAATATTAATTGAATGAATTGTTTATAGAAAAATACAACGTGGTCTAAAGGCATTCTCAAGCTGTCATTTTGGTGTTCTATCACCCTCTACTGCTCAGTGAGCCAAATTACATTTAGCCTTTTTCCCCACCAAAACTGGTATCTTTTCCAAGGCTAAAAAAATATTTTTTATCCATTTGCTAAATTTATAAAATCTGTTCATAAATAAAAAATCACACTGAAGATAAACAGAGAGAAAGTTATCTGTTTATGTCTCTGTTGGCTCCTCAATGGAAGTTAGAGACTATTTCATGTTCATATCCCTAGCAGACAACATACTGTGTAGCACTGTTTATATACTCCATAAATACTGGCTAAATGAAATGTTGAGGCAATTTGCACAATTATTGCTGTTTTCATTTATCATTTTTACAAAGTCTTTTATTTCATAAATATCATTACTATGTGGATTTATAAGTTAGTAAAACAGATATTTCTAATCTCTTGATTTCATATAAACGCGAAAGTTATTTTGACTTCAATATAATTAACAGTTTCAAACCCTATATTGATAGTCATTTTTACTATGGTTTAACATGGGCATTTTTGTGGTGATCCGTTATTCTGAATAGTTGTACATTATTCATTGGAGCTTTTTGTTGGTTATATTTACAATCAGCTGGGGGTGGTGGAGAAAACCTGAAATACCAGTGGCTTAAGGTCCGATCCTAGTTTATTTCTGTCACACATAAACCTATGTAATCCAGGATGACATGACGTTTCCATAGCAATCAGGATCCTGGCTCCCTCTGTTGTTCAGCTCCATAATGCCTAAATTCTGTACACTAAGAAGAATAGATTGGCGCAGAGCCTCTGGACTGTAGACTAGAATAACTGCATGTCATAGCAGAGTGGAGGCTGGTATACTCTGACAAAGGGTTCTGAAATAGTGGTCCACTAAAGCTACATAAGGTCAGTGTGCTCAGTTGTGAGCTACTTGATGCACTGCAAGTTTCACAAATTGATATCCTAAAAAATCATGATTGTAAATTGGTACTCATAGTGCCCAGTTTCTCTGGTAACATCATCTCCCTGTCTCCATAAAAATGATGCTGTACCTTTTTCAAATCTCTTCAAACTTCTGTCCTCACATCCTGTCTTTCTGATCCTCTCTCCCTCACATCCTTACATCCTCACTTTTACCACAGTGCTTCATTCTTCACTGAAGACATGGAAGCCATTTTATGGGCCTCCTTCATCTTTCCGCTATCATATCCGCAAATTCTTAACCGAATTTGTACCCGTTTTTCAGCTGCATTGGAAGAAGTGTGCCTATAGCTCCAGTCAGCCACAGAGGTGAAGTTGCAGGGATTTACTCAAGGTGATGGTTTTGCCAAATGAATAAGGGAAATAAAAGAGGCATCAGGAGTAAAGGGATATGTAAGGTATTGGTTAAGTTGATGGATCATGGAATCTAAGTGGGACTAAGGAAAGAAATGAGAGCCCAATGAGGTGAGGACTGTGATAATATAGAAACATGAATAAGTTATAAGTCCTATGGGGTCCCTTTTCATATTCTTTGCTTATTCATTACATTATTTGTCTTTTTCTTAGTGATTGATAGGATTTCTTATGTACTCTGAATACTATCTTTTGTTAGTTGTAAGGTTTGTATTTTTGTTCTGTGGCTTTTATTTTTCATCTTTTTAATGATGTGTTTTGATGCACAGGTGTTTTCAATGTTACCAAATTTGTATTTTATGATTTATGATTTTTTCCCCAAAGACCAGATTACAAGCTTCAAGATTTATTTTTTTAAATAATAACATCTCTTATTTGTATAGAATTATGAATTATAAACTATTGTTTTGCTTAATCCTTTTAATTACCATGTGAGACAGACAGGCTAGAGGATATTAGCTCCCATCTTACAGACAAAGGGTGGAAACACTGTACCCATATTTAGTATAAGAGAGAGCTGGGATGTAAGCCCTGGGCTTCCATACTCACAACTGCTTTTTTCCCATGACTTTGTGGTACCTCATTTTAAAGTAATCTGATTTCACAATGTTTCATTACAGTGTAAGAGTAACATCTATATCATATCTTCCTGGCAGGTTACCTCTGGAGCTAACCAACCTAATTAATTACCTCATAGGCTGAAACATTTTAAGGCACTGTTATACCTCTCACTCAATTTCTCAGCCATGTATGAGGGCCCCATGAACCAAAATTGCAGCAAAACTGACCTCAAAGGAGCAGGGAATACAAGGTCAAGTATGTTTTCAAGTGTAACCTAGGCCTGGCACATCCTCGCCAATTGCTCAGATGGCAAGTGGAGGCAACCAAGTGAAGGGAGTAGTGCGAAGGCCCATTTAGGGGTGGACACTGATGAAAAACACTACAGTGTCAGACCCACTGTTTTCAGGATTAAAATCCCAAGAAGCCCAGTTGCTGGTCTACTATCTACTACTATATTATTACCAGCAGGAGACTAGAGTCTCCTGGACTAGACTACTGGAGACTAGAATATACAAGGAAATGCTAATTAACCTGCCTGCCTGGGGCCCAAAAAATCAAACAGCACTAATTTTATCCACACCAAACTGAGAAAATGGTTCATTCCTTTTTTATCTGGATTTTAAGGAGAGTGCTGATCATCAGAGAAACCAGGAAATTCTTTCCTGAAGCCCAAGAGAAGATATGATGGGCATTTCCCAGAGTTATAGATGGCGCAGGGGCAACACAGTCTGCCACAGTGAAGGGAAAAAAGCTATCTTGGTGAGCTTTGGTCCTCCACAGGACATGGAACCAGAGATGAGCAAGATCAGGGCCTGGATGACCAATCCTGATAAGAGCAGGACTTCCTCACATAAGGTGCATAGGTCCCTGAGGAGAAGGGTCTAAACATCCTAAAACTGCAAGCAAAATTTTGAGTACATACATGTTTTTCTGGTGAAAGGGTCCTTCATTCTCAAATTCTGAGCTTTTAGAAAAAAGGACTAAGCTAGTTGCAGACTATGATACAAAAGCCAGCAGATATACCTAAAGTCAGCCAAGTCTGAGCGCTCTCAAAGTCATCAGTGAAAAGTTGGAACATAGACTCACAAGAGACAACCCACCACCTGTTTTTGTGCCCGTCTTCCTAATTGTATTTCAAGTCTTTTCAGAACAAGGCCCTAGGAACTCTCAGATTCAATTATGTCCTTGGGCTTGGTCCACTGCTACAGGAGTCTTAGGGGGACTCGTGCAAATGTGACAAAGCAGGACTCCTTTCATGACACGTGATTATTTCAGAGGAGGCAGCAGCCAATGTAGAAAACACTGGAATGTTTCCTTGGAGCTGGACTGTGATGAGAGGTGCCTGCCATGTACATAACTTGCTGTATTTTCATTGACTCTTCTCTTCCAGTTTTTGAAGATAAAGCAGGAGATACTCTTCCCTCAAGATACAATTCCAATTGTTATTTTTGATAACAGTTCAAAAAAACAGAAACACATGCTTCCAATGCACCATGCATTCAGGTATTCTGGGTCTAGTTCAGCTGGTGGTTGAGCTGATTGCTGCATTCACTCTGACAGCCAGGCGAGCCCATCTCATGGAAGAACCTCACTCTATTCTTGATAGCGTGATGGGCCACCAAGAGCTGGAAAGGGTGCAGGAACCATGAGATCTGGAAATACTTCCTTGGGAAGGCAACATCATGAATGAGGTCTTCTAAGCAAATGACAGCAAACTTCCTCAGGTGCTCCTCACTGTGTTGTCTGTTGGAGAGATGGTCTTATTCTTGACCTTGGCTTGTCCGTGTTTCAAGATGAGTTCCCAGATGGGCTTCAGATTTAGAAATCCCCAGGTCATATAAGATTCCAATATGTACAGCAGTTTTAGGCTCTGGGGGTGGCTTTTACAAAGACACTACTAAAAATTTTCTTTAGGTGAACCATTTTCTTCTTGCAGTGGTTCTCTGCACCAGTAAACTCATGCTATTAATTTTTAGGATGTGTACAACAAAGGCCAAGGAATGTTTATCTGGCAATTCCAAGGCATGAGATTTCACTTCTAGTCATCTGAGAGGCACCTTGTTGTGTTTCTGCCACCGGAAATCATGTAGGAACGATTCCAGTTGCTTACACCTGAGGCCATTTCTCCCTTTTCTTTTTTTTTTTTTTTTTGCTAAAAGTGCATTCTTTGCCTGAGTGGCTCTGAGGACAATAATGCACTAAATAATATTTGCTTGTGTATCTTTTCAAACTTTCCAGTTGATCCTTATTTTCTTTATTCCTTTAAAGGAGTGATGGATACTTCAGAAATTTATCGATGCTCTCAAGTTAACAGGTATAAATATTCCTAAAAAAGAGGCAGAGAAGATTCTTGAAAGGTCAGCTCTCATATATGTATGTATATATTAAACTTAATTTTTATTATTATTAATTTTATTAGCTCTAAACCCTTTTTAATGATAAAAGTGATAACTATGGAAATGTTAGAAAAATATGAATAATGGCTTTTCATTATTGAACATCTGTCTGCTAGCACTCTTCTAAGAACATTACATACATTATCTCATTTAATCCTCACAAGACTTTAGAGACCAAGTCTATTATTTTTCACAGAAGAGGAAATTGTTGAGAAGTGAGGTTAAGTAACTTCCCCAATGTCACCATAATCCAATCACCCAAATGTTAACCTGGTATCATTTTAGTGTATAGATTTATTGCTTTTTATAAGATTATGTCATTTTATATTTATCAAGTTTGATCCTTTTTGCTGGGCATGTACTAGCTAACGAGGATGCAGTGGTAGCCTGGCCCTTGTGCCTGTCCTTACAGAGCTGACAGTCCACTGTGTGTGTGTGTGTGTGTGTGTGTGTGTGTACACGCACATGTGCTAACAGTGAACAGACAGTTGCAATGTGGCAAGGATTATGACAGGAACATATAGAAGAACAACAAAGAAAAGTATCTTATCAGGAGAGTGCTGAATTTTATTAAACTGTATAATGTGTCATTTGACCTATTTATATAATGAATTATAGTAATAGATTTTGTCATGTTAAACATTCCTGAAATAAGGCTAACTTATTATGAACTATTTTATACAGAACAATAAAGAGAATAATATAACCAAAAACCATACCTACCACTGTGTTTGTCATATTTAACATTTTACATATTTGATTCAGATTTTTAAAAACAAAATTACAGGCAGCAAACATTTTCAATGTATTATTCTCTAAACCCATTTCCTCCATTCCTGCCAGAAGTAACTACTATTCTGAACTTATTATTCTCATATAGACTTTTATATTTGCATACATTTTACTATACATATACTGTTAAAATATAGGATATTGTTTCTTATGTCTTAAGCCTTTAAATGGTGACATACAGGATTTTTTTATGACTATTTTCTAATCCTTCAATTTTTGGAGATTTATTTATGTCAATGCATATAGCTCTAGTTCAATTATTTTAACCACTGTATGGTTCCATTTAATAAATATAACTCAGTTTACTTATGAATTCTGATGGTGGTTATTTAGGTTAAAAATTTCTTTTGTTGCTAATATAATATAAAGCTGCAATGGATATTCTTGTGTGCATCTCCTTGTGTATTACTTGCGGTGGAATTGTTTGGTCATAGGCTTTACAGATATTTAACTTTAATTAAATATTCCAAATTGCTCTCCAAAGTAGTTGTACCACCTTAGATTCCTACCAGAAATGTATTTCCATTCCAACACTTGATACCGTAGTATTCTAATATTTTAATATTTTCCAAACCTATGGGTCAGAAATATTATCTCATTATTTTTAATGTAACTAAATGTAATTAATTATATTCCTTATTACTAGTAAAACTATCTCTTCATATATTTGCTGGTCATTTGGATTTTTTTTGTGAATTACCTGTTTATTCCTTTTGTCAATTTTTCAGCGAGATTGGTTGTCTTTTTCTTAATGGCTTGTAGGTGTTCTTTCTAAATTCTGGATATTAATCCTATGTTGGCATTATGCAATATGAATATCTTTTCCCAGCTTGTTGCTTATTTAAAACAAATTTTTGGTGTTTTTTTGTTGTGCAGACATTTTAAATTTTAATGCAGTTATATTTGTCTCTTTTTCTTTTATGGTTGTGCTTTTGACATATTGAGAAATTCTTCCTTACCCTGGGGCATGAAGATATTCATCAATATCTTATTTAAATATTTAGATATTTCATATTTAGTTCTTTAATTCACCTGTAATTGATGTTTGTGTATGGTGTGAAATAGGGATTCAATTTCTTTTTTTTTCTGTATAGTCAATTGTCCTATCACCATTTATTGGTTAGTCCCATCCTTTTCCTACAGATTTGAAATGCTTACCTCTAGTCATATATTAAATTTCCATCTGTGTATGGGTGTGTTTCTGGTTTCCTTTTCCTGTTATATTAGTTGTTGTCTACTGTGTATCAATACCGCATGTCTTAATTACTATCACTGTATAATACATCTCGACATCTGGACTTACATTCATCTCCAATAGTGTCAATGCTATTTTTGACCCTTTCCTCTTCTATATGAATTTTAGAATCAGATTGTTTTGTTATATACATGTGCATACACATGCACATATATATATATATCATTTTTGGAATTTTGATTGCAATTTATTGAATTAATAGCTTAATATTGGGGAGAATTGATGTATTTATGATGTTTCATCCTCTATTTCTTGAACATTTTATGTGTCTTCATTTTTTAGATCCTTCCTTTTTTCAGCAGAAAAGAGCAGCAATAACATTATTGAAAAATATCCATTGGATCTGGCGTTTGGGAGATTTCCGGGGATGTCAGTGAAAGGAGTTTGAGTAGTGTGGTAAAGGGTTAAGTCAGGTTGCATAAGGCTGTTGAGTGGGTGAGGGTGAGGATGTGGGGACTGTGGTTTAAGAGAAATGGTTAATGTGGGGATGTGGTTTAAGAGAAATTTAAATGAGAAGGAGAGGACAAGTCTTTTTAAATTTTATTTTTATTATCTTTTGGTGGATAGGAGAGATCTGAGAAGTAGTCACCAGAGAAGGACATGTTGGATCTGTTATAGAGACAGGAGATGACTGATTGGGAGAAAAGGGTTCCAACAACTCAAGACAGGGAGTCCTTGAATAAGACTCAATATTTCAACCTCTGAGTGTAGAGCACAAGAGGTGGTGATGAAAAGTGGATTTATTTATTTACTAACAAATATTTATTGAGTGTCTGTGATATGCCTGTCATTCATCTAGGTGCTAAGGATGCAGTAGTGAAGGAAATAGGCCAAAATCCTTGCTCTCATAGAGCTCACCATAAACAAGAGGAGAAAAACAATAAACTAGATAAATAATTAAGCTATGTTAGATAATGAAAAGTGCTAAGGGGAAATGAAGCAGAGGAGGGAGACTCGTGTGTGTGTGTGTGTGTGTGTGTGTGTGTGTGTGTGTGTGTTGGGGAAATGCAATTTAACTGTGGTGAGTAGGGAATTCTTGAAAGTGACATTTGAGTAGAGATAAGGAGGAAGTAAGAGAGGGAGCTATGATGATCTTTGGGGGAAGAGCTTTCCAGGCAAAGGAAATAGCAACAGCAAAGGGTGAAGTAGGTAGTGTCTCTGACAGGGTTAGGGCATTGAGAGGAGGCCAGTGTGTGCAGAATAGAGTGAATGAGGGAGAGCGTGGTAGGAGATGAAATCTAGAGGTAATAGGAGGCCAGATCACATAAGGCTTCCAGGAAATTGTAAGAACTTTGGTTTTTACTCAGTTAAGTCATTGGGTGGTTTTAAACAGAGGTGTGACATGATCTAACTTAAGTTTTAACCATCTCATTCTGGCTGGTGTACTGCGAATAGTTTATAACGGCAAGGGTGAAAACAGAGAGACCAATTAAGACAGTGCTGCAATAATAACAGACAAGATTTTAGGATGGCTTGCACCAGGATGGATGAGGGTGAGAAGTGAGTAGATGCCAGGTAGATTTTGAAATACTGACAAGATTTACTTCTGGATCATGTGTAGGGTGTTAAAGAAAGTGAATAGTTAAGGATACTGTCAAAGTTCTTGGTCTGAGCGTCTAGGAGGCTGTAGCTGCCTCATGTATTGAAATGAGTAAGACTGTGAGAGGAGCAGGTTTAAGAGTAAGACTGTGAGAGGAGCAGGTTTAAAATGGAGTAGATCTCAGAGTACAGTTTTGTTCTCAAGTTTCAGATGCTAATGAGACATCCAAGTAGAGATATCAAGTAGGTATCTTGAAATGAGTCTGGAGTTCAGATTTGGGAGTTACAGGCTTATAGATGATGTTTGAAGCCATAAGAATGGCTGAGAAGACCAGGGAGGGAGTACAGTACGCTGGGTCCTGGTATGCTCTAATGTTATGTGGCAGGGGAAATGAGGGGAAACCAGGGAAGGAGAATAGGAGGAAAGAACTAGAGAGAAAGGAAGAAAACCAGGAGAATACTTTGTTCTGGAAGCCAAATAAAGAACACATTTCAGAGAGGAGACAGTTCTGTCTGTCAAATGCTGATAGACTAAGATGAGGACAGAGAATGGACCACTGGATTTAGTGCCATGGAGGCCACTGGTAGAGTAATGGTGGTGAGAGCCTGAGAGTGGGCTCAAGAGAGAATGACAAGGAGAAGGTGGACATGCAAGGGAGACAAGTCTTTAAGGGGTGTTGCTGCAAAGGCAAAGAGAGATAAAGGCCACAGTGGGGAAAGCGGGGTCAAGAGAGGCAATGGCTCACACCTGTAATCCCAGCAGTTTGGGAGACTGAGGCGGGCAGATCACAAGGTCAGGAGATCGAGACCATCGTGGCTAACATGGTGAAACCCCGTCTCTACTAAAAATAAAAAAATTAGCTGGGTGTGGTGGCGGGCGCCTGTAGTCCCAGCTACTCGGGAGGCTGAGGCAGAAGAATGGCATGAACCTGGGAGGCGGAGGTTGCAGTGAGCTGAGATCACGCCACTGCACTCCAGCCTGGGAAACAGAGCGAGATTCTGTCTCAAAAAAAAAAAAAAAATAAAATAAAATAAAATAAAGAATTAACAGACCCTCTTAATTTGTTTTAAATATTTTTAAGGTTTAAAAAGTGTTTAAAGTTTGTAATTCCTAGTAGAAAGCATTATCTGCATGAATACCCTAATGGCAAACCGCTGTAAAATGCTTTAGTTGCATTCAGGGTAGACAGGTAGAGATTATCTTCAAAGCACCCCAGCTGTCTTGATAAGGTCAGAGGTACACTGGTTTGCATAATTGCAACATCCATTAGGTGATCTAGGTTGCTTTTCCTTTATCAAGGGCTTTATTTATCAGAAGGGCATTACGCTTGACCTCCAAATTTGGCTGACAATTTACTGATGAGATTCTTAACCTTTGGGTTGCTCTGGCATTTTGACATATTTGCTGGGTTCTGGGCCACATCCTGGAAGGCCACCATAACTTCTGAACCCTGCATGGCTGTGAGAACCTCTGGTCACTAAGAATTTTGAGTCCATGCATTCCTGCCATTCCAGACATGTCCCCTCCCATTCCAGGCATTTCTCTGAGAAAATTACCAGGCATTCTCCCAGAAAGGCCACTTGGAAAAGAGCCATACTGAGCTCTGGATCATCTTCTGGCTTCTTCCTCCCTCTGGGATCTCTCATGCTTTTCTCGAGAGCCTTCTTAACCCTTTCTATTCTTTCGTTGATCTCTTGCTCTTCACGTTTTCACTCATACTTTCTACAATGTTCTATAATTTTCTAGGCCCTAGATTTGAACTTCTTTCAGCATTTTACTAGCATCTTCATCATAATCCAATTTCCAAGCAAGGGCAAGAGCATGGGCTGCTTCTTCCCAAAGACCCAGAAGTCTGTGTGTGTTTTCTCACCACTTGTAAGTCTGAGCTGAATCAGGATTTATCTCAATGGCTCTGTCACTGTCTTGACTGGCAGCATTGGGCTTCTGTAATTTGATGAAGACACTGGCTCTCTTGGCACACAGAATGGCCAAGTGAGGATTCAGCTTAATGGCATCTGTGAATAAGCCACAGTTCACCATCATTTACGGTTTCAGTGGCAACCACTTTCTTACCATTTGCTGATCCATCATCTCCTCCGTTTTCTCTGCATTTTCATCTCCCATTTCTTGAGGGGCATCAGTGTCTTGTTCAATCACACCTTCATTATCAATTTCTAGATCAGTTTTCTCATTTGATGGTTCATCTATCTTTATGTTTTCTTTCTGCCTTCCTGCTATCTGTTTTTCCTTCCTTGATATTTTCTTCTGATTTAGCTTTCTGAATAGCAGGTGGTAGTTTACCCCCCATGCTCTTCATCCATTCCTTCAGGAAGTGCATTTCTTTGGTGTGCAGAACACTCAGATCCTGCTTACACATTTTCAGGAAGGCCCCAGGCTTGCTCATTTGGTGGGGATCCATGGTCAAGAGGTCAAGAGGTGGAGGGCGAAGCTTAGGGGGCTGTGGCCCAATTGCAGGCACAGGAGCTGGCTCAGCATGACTATGCAGAAGGGCTTTCTTCAAATTCTTAACTGCATACAGGAATTTGAGAAATTCTTCACTGAGAATTCCTAAAATTCTTTTTTTTCGTTTTTAAAAATTTTTATTTTACTTTAAGTTCTGGGATACATGTGCAGAACTTGCAGGTTTGTAACAGAGGCATACATGTGCCATGGTGATTTGCTGCACCTATCAACCTGTCATCTAGGTTTTAAGCCCTGCATGCATTAGGTGTTTGTTCTAATGTTCTCCCTCCCCTTCTCCCGCACCCCCTGACAGGCCCCAGTGTGTGATGTTCCCCTCCCTGTGTCCACGTGTTCTCATTGTTCAACTCCCACTTATGAGTGAGAACATGCGGTCTTTGGTTTTCTCTTCCTATATTAGTTTGCTGAGAATGATGGTTTCAAGCTTCTTCCATGTCTCTGCAAAGGACATGGACTCATTCTTTTTTATGGCTGCATAGTAGAGAATTCCTAAAATTTTAAAAATTGACTTGAGCCAGGGACAGTGGTACTTGCCTGTAGATCCAGCTACTAGGAGGTTGAGGCAGAAGCATAGCTTGAACTTGGAAGTTCAAGACTAGCCTGGGCAACATAGTAAGACCCTGTCTCAAAAAAAGTTGGCTTCAAAACTATTATTTCATATTAATGGGAATTATATTTCCAAGAATATATGGATGTCTTGCTATTTTGGATACTGGATATTTTATAGCCATAGAAAATGTATATTGTCTTGTAAGATCCATAACCAAAAAGGGTAATTGTCAACCATTCTTTGCTAGAGAACATGCAAGAAGTTATAAAATGAGGTTATAAGACAGAAAGAAGGAGAAATGTTTAAGAAGAAATACTAGAAAATTGGGATGCAGTACTACTGACTTACAAGTTCTGTAGTTGTGTAATTTATAAGGCCATTGTACACATAAACTTATTTAATAGTCTAATAGCTCTGTGTTATAGGAATTATTCTCACATAAACTGAAGTTCAGAGATGTTAAGTGGACTCTATATCACAAAAGTAACAACAGGAAGAACGCAACTACAATCCGACTTTTCTGGCTTTAAGAATATGTCATTTTGATAATGTTTTTTGAAATATATGAATCATAATTTATATTTGAGCATATTCTTCTTAAATAATATACAGCACGGATATTGATGGGTCCATGACAGTGGATTGGGTTGAATGGAGGAAAAATTTTTTCTTAAACCTGCAAAAAAAAGATGTTGAAGAAGTTGCCCATTACTGGAAACACGTTACTGAAAGTGGTCTTTTTCTTACTATTGGTATATTTTATGCTATGCGTCAAGGGCATAAAAATGTAATGCATTATAAACTATTAGATTTGCTAGTGGATCTTGCTGATTAAACAAGTGATGCTATAGAATGTTGCTTCATTAGAAATTTGTACAATGCCAAGAAGAATTGGCATATAATATCTACTTCAACCAAAGTCTCAATTTGCAAAAGGCATCCATTTATTGAGAACAACTACACTCTTAAGAGTCGATTACTCCTACTCAGCACCATCATTCTGTAGGATAGTTGCCTATTTACTTGCCTGAAAGTAGGAATTGTGAGTTGCAGATTTAGATAATGCTTTCCCAATATTTACTGGATGAATGTATAAACCATAACTGAAATTCTCTTGAAAGAGTGGCAAGGCTCATAGTCATATATATATCATAGTCTGCATAGCATTTGCCTCCAAGTACTCTTAGAGATCTATGCTTCAAAATATCTTAAAATTTGAGGCTGGGTGCGGTGGCTTATGCCTGTATCCCAGCACTTTGGGAGGCCGAGGAGGGCGGATCACCTGAGGTCAGGAGTTCAAGACCAGCCTGACTAACATGGTGAAACGCCGCCTCTACTAAAAATACCAAAATTAGCCTGCCTTGGTGGCGCATGCCTGTAATCCCAGCTACTTGCGAGGCTGAGGCAGAAGAATTGCTTCAATCCGGGAGGCAGAGGTTGCACTGAGCCCAGATCACACACCATTGCACTCCAGCCTGGGCAACAAGAGTGAAACTCTCTCTCTCTCAAAAAAAAAAAAAAAAAAAAAAAAGTCTTAAAATTGAAAACGTTTTAAAAAATTTCCTAAAAATTTTGCTTGGTGATTCCCAGTTATGATCTACACTGTTCTTCTGTGTACCACAATATGCTTCTACAACTCTGAGGTAGGGATTATTGTTCCTATGTTATAGATGAGGAAACCAAGGCAGAGAGAGGTTAAATAACTGGCCTCTTCTTTTTTTATTTTTTTGAGACAGAGTCTCTCATTCTGTTGCCCAGGTTGGAGTGCGGTGGCGTGATCTTGGCTCACTGCAACCTCCCAGGTTCAAGCAATTCTCCTGCCTCAGCCTCCTGAGTAGCTGGGATTACAGGCATGTGCCACCATGCCTAGCTAAATTTTTTGTATTTTTAGTACAGACAGGGTTTCACCATGTTTGGCTGGTTTCGAACTCCTGACCTCAAGTGATCTGCTTGCCTCAGCCCCCCAAAATGCTGAGATTACAGGTATGAGCCACTGCACCTGAGTAACTGGCCTCTAAAGGTAAGGAGGGTAGTGTAACATTTAAGATCATGAACTCTAGAATCATACTTCCAGGGTGTGCTTCTTAGTGCCCCTATTTAGTAGCCCTGTGACCTTGGAGACATCGTTTAACCTTTCTAAGCCTCATTTTTTTCAACTATAGAGGGATATTACCTACTCCATAGGGCTGATGAGAGGATTCATGAGACAGTCGTACTAAAATACTGAATACAGTGCCTTGTGAACAGGAACTACACCTTAGTTTGTTTTGAGGATTAAAGTAGTTAATATATGTAAAGCACTTGCGACAGCATCTGACACACGTTAAACACCATACGTATTAGCTGTTATTATCAATTATTGGTAGGAAATAAAGAACCTTGAGCTGAAACTTGTATTTCAAATCTGTGACATCTATTGTTTCTTTATGAAGTCTATCTTTTTTCTTTCATTTTTCTTTAACATTGAGACTTTCTTTTAATAGTCTATGTGTTGAAGAAAAAGTTGCAATAAATACCAACCTGCTGCCCTCCTATTTTCTATAACTCCCCAAATCCCAAGATGCCCAAATCAAATATATGAAAGCTAAGCCTAACCTGACTCCTTTTAACTGCCTTCTGAGGAAACTGAACTAAGTGAAAAGGAGTTTTGCATGAAGCTCTACAGCTTTTCCTATATCTCTAAGAGATTGCTCTGAGAAAGAGAGATGATCAGTAGAATCACATTAATATTGACAGGTAGAAAAATAAAAGACATTCCACTATAGCCTTAGATTGAATAGTGTGTCTTCTTAATTCTTACCATGTTACTTATGACACTCTTCAGTTACCAACATTATTTTAATTTAAAACATATATAATCATTAAGAGAATATGTTATCTTTTTGGTGCTTTTTCCTCTGTACTCTTAAAGATGATTAAAGGAAATTCAAGTCAGTGAAAAACTATATTTGTTATATGCCTACCATAGGATAAACTTTCTGTTTGATAATGAAGATAAAAGGAAGATAAATACATGGGAAATAGCTATTTTGAAGACTAAATGACATATTGTCTGTGACAACCTAGTAAAGAAATATAAATTAAATTCAATAAACTGTCTTTTTGAGTATAGTGCTAACAAAGGGTGCTTCATTTGTTCCAGGGGCACATTCACATTTTGGCTTATAGTAATTTCATGAGAAACAAATAGGTTTAGCAGTATAGCTGTACAGCAAAGAAGTAGAAAACAGCCCGTTTTCGGGGTGGAATACGGAGTGCAGGCTCTGGATTCAGGCTGCTTTGGTTCAAATCCCGGCTCTGCCACTTACTGGGTGAATTGGGATAAATTATTTAATCTCTTTGGGCCTCAGTTTTCTTAACTCTAAAACTGGGATGATAGTACCTCTCAGGGTTATTATGAAAATTAAAGATGACACATATAGCTTTAATATAGTGCTGACTTTGCTCTGCAAATGTTAGTTTTTATTTATGTAACAGATACCTATTTTTCAGTCACATTATTGCTAATGTCTATGCATAGCATAGGCACTGGAGGCCAAAATGCCACCAAACAGTCTGTGTTTTACAACTGATAATACCAGTAACTAACATTCACTGAATCTCTTTTAGTGCGAAGCACTGTGATAAGTACTTTATGTACTTTTAAGTCATTTAATCTTAAGAACCCAACAAAGTAGGTATTACTATTGGCTTCAGTTTGCATTTGAGGAAATGGAGACCCAGAGAGATTGTTCCATTAGGAATTCAGGAGGTCAGAATTTGAATTCTATCTGGCTCCTGAGCCCAAGTCCTTGATCATGATAAATGTTATCAACCTTCTGGGCCCTCAAAATATTCCTATTTTATGATATATGTGTAGCAGAGCTTACTATCTGCTTTGGGCACTACATGGAAAGACTTAGTTTTTTGTCACATCCACTGTAGGTAAAGATGTAAAAGGAAACTGCTTTAAATGTGTGTTGTATATTTTATATTTATTTCATTAAAAGTAAAGAGTCTGACTGAAGATATTAGGTTGGTGCAAAAGTAATTGTGGTTTCTGCCATTACTTTCTTACTTTTTTTTTTTTTTTTTGAGGTAGAGTCTTGCTTTGTAACCCAGGCTGGAGTACAGTGGTGTGATCTTGGCCCACTGCAACTTCTGCCTCCCAGGTTCAAGCAATTCTCCTTCCTCAGCCTCCGGAGTAGCTGGGATACAGGCGCATGCCACTGCACCCAGCTAATTTTTGTAGTTTTAGTAGAGATGGGGTTTCACCATGTTAGCTAGGTTGGTCTCAAACTCCTGACCTCAAGTGATCTGTCTGCCTTGGCCTCCAAAAGTGCTGAGAGGACAGGCATGAGCCACCATGCCTGGCCTGTTTTTATAATTTTTATTTTTATTTTAATTCTAGGGTACATGTGCAGGATATGCAAATTCGTTACATAGATAAATGTGTGTGATGGTGATTTGCTGTAACTATCAACCCATCACCTAGGTATTAAGCCCAGCAAGCATCAGCTATTTTTCCTAATGCTCTCCCTCCTCCCACCCACCCCCAACAGGCCCCAGTGTGTGTTGTTCCCTTCCCTGTGTCCGTGTGTTCTCATTGTTCAGCTCCCACTTATAAGTGAGAACATGCAGTGTTTGGTTTTCTGTTCCCGTGTTAGTTTGCTGAGGATAATGGCTTTTAGCTTCATCCATGTCCCTGCAAAGGACATGAACTCGTTCCTTTTTATGGCTGCATAGTATTCCATGGAGAATATGTATCATATTTTCTTTATTCAGTCAGTCATTGATGGGTATTTAGGTTGATTCCATGTCTTTGCTATTGTGACATGTGTTTGCTGTAGTGCTGCAATGAACATATGTGTTCATGTATCTTTGTAATATAAATATTTATATTCCTTCGGGTCTATACCAAGTAATGGAATTTGAGTCAAATGGTATTTCTGGTTCTAGATCGTTGAGGAATCACCACATTGTCTTCCACAATGGGTGAACTAATTTATAGTCCTACTAACAGTGTAAAAGTGTTCCTATTTCTCTGCAATCTCTCCAGCATCTGTTTTTTCTTGACTTTTTAATAATTGGCATTCTGACTGGTGTGAGTTGGTGTCTCATTGCGATTTTGATTTGCATTTCTCTAATGATCAGTGATGTCAAGCTCTTTTTTTTCTAAATATGTTTGTTGGCCACATGAATGTCTTCTTTTGAGAAGTATCTGTTCATGTCCTTTGCCCACTTTTTAATGGAGTCATTTGTTTTTTCTTGTCAATTTGTCTAAGTTCCTCGTAGATTCTGGATATTAGACCTTTATCAGATGGATAGATTGCAATAATTTTTTCCCATTCTGTAGGTTGTCTGTTCACTGTTATGATAGTTTCTTTTGCTGTACAGAAGTTCTTTAGTTTAATTAGATCCCACTTGTCAATTTTTGCTTTTGTTGGAATTGCTTTTGGTGATTTCATCATGCAATCTTTTCCTGTGCCTATGTCCTGAATGGTATTGCCTAGATTTTCTTCTAGGGTTTTTATAGTTTTGGGTTTTACATTTAAGTCTTTAAATCGATCTTGAGTTAATTTTTGTATAAGGAGTAAGGAAGGGGCCCAGTTTCAATTTTCTGTGTATGGCTAGCCAGTTCTCCCAGCACAATTTATTAAATAGGGAAGCTTTCACCATTGCTCGTTTTTGTCAGGTTTGTTGAAGATCAGATGATTGCAGATGTGTGGTCTTATTTCTGAGTTCTCTATTTTGTTCCATTGGTCTATGTGTCTGTTTTTGTACCAGTACCTTGCTGTTTTGGTTACTGTAGCCTTGTAGCATAGTTTGAAGTCTAGTGGCGTGATGATGCCTCCAGCTTTGTTCTTTTTGCTTAGGATTGTCTTGGCTATATGAGCTCTTTTTTTTGGTTCCATATGAATTTTAAAATAGTTTCTTTATTAATTTATAATTGACGGTACCTCAAGCTTATTCATGAGTTATTTTAAATTGTGCTAGTCAGTGAAGCCCAATGTTCTTGGAGAGGATATTAATTTACTGTGGATCTGAGATATTTAAAGCATTATTTAGATCTTATAAGGAGATAAAATTTTTATTTGAGATCATCTAATTATTATTAATTTTTTTAAAGCAAGGAATTGATATGGGAGATAAATGGACTTTTCATAATTTCATTGATGAAGGAAGAAAATCTAGCCTGTTGTGGAAATATCTATTGGCTGGAGGCATAGTTGGTACATATCCTCAGACATGCACAATGCCATTAGACCATCTGAAAATCCTGCTGCAGGTATGTTGCATAGTTCATGTGTATGATTTTGAGTGATATGTATTGGGGGAACCAGCCCCCAGTATTTCAACATAGGTTCTTTTCTATTTTCCCTAAGTGTCAGCCAGTCTGAGAAATAAAGAGAAAGAGTACAAAGAGAGAAATTTTACAGCTGGGCCTCTGGGGATGACATCACATATCAGCAGTTTCTGTGATGCCCACCTGAGACACAAAACCAGCAAGTATTTTTCTAATTTATTTTTATTTTTTAATTTTTTAATTTTTTAATTTTAATTTTTATTTTTTAATTTTATTATTATTATACTTTAAGTTTTAGGGTACATGTGCACAATGTGCAGGTTAGTTACATATGTATACATGTGCCAAGCTGGTGTGTGCTGCACCCATTAACCTGTCATTTAGCATTAAGTATATCTCCTAATGCTATCCCTCCCCTCTCCCCCAACCCCACAACAGTCCCGAGTGTGATGTTCCCCTTCCTGTGTCCATGTGTTCTCATTGTTCAATTCTCACCTGTGAGTGAGAATATGCGGTGTTTGGTTTTTTGTCCTTGTGATAGTTTACTGAGAATGATGATTTCCAATTTCATCCATGTCCCTACAAAGGACATGAACTCATCATTTTTTATGGCTGCATAGTATTCCATGGTGTATATGTGCCACATTTTCTTAATCCAGTCTATCATTGTTGGACATTTGGGTTGGTTCCAGGTCTTTGCTATTGTGAATAGTGCCGCAATAAACATACATGTGCATGTGTCTTTATAGCAGCATGATTTATAGTCCTTTGGGTATATACCCACTAATGGGATGGCTGGGTCAAATGATATTTCTAGTTCTAGATCCCTGAGGAATCGCCACACTGACTTCCACAATGGTTGAACTAGTTTACAGTCCCACCAACAGTGTAAAAGTGTTCCTATTTCTCCACATCCTCTCCAGCACCTGTTGTTTCCTGACTTTTTAATGATTGCCATTCCAACTGGTGTGAGATGGTATCTCATTGTGGTTTTGATTTGCATTTCTCTGATGGCCAGTGATGGTGAGCATTTTTTCATGTGTTTTTTGGCTGCATAAATGTCTTCTTTTGAGAAGTGTCTGTTCATGTCCTTTGCCCACTTTTTGATGGGGTTGTTTGTTTTTTTCTTGTAAATTTGTTGGTGTTCATTGTAGATTCTGGATATTAGCCCTTTGTCAGATGAGTAGGTTGCGAAAATTTTCTCCCATTTTGGAGGTTGCCTGTTCACTCTGATGGTAGTTTCTTTTGCTGTGCAGAAGCTCTTTAGTTTAATTAGATCCCATTTGTCAATTTTGGCTTTTGTTGCCATTGCTTTTGGTGTTTTAGACATGAAGTCCTTGCCCATGCCTATGTCCTGAATGGTATTGCCTAGGTTTTCTTCTAGGGTTTTTATGGTTTTAGGTCTAATGTTTAAGTCT
Source organism: Homo sapiens (assembly GCF_000001405.40). Lineage (NCBI taxonomy): Eukaryota > Metazoa > Chordata > Mammalia > Primates > Hominidae > Homo > Homo sapiens. The sequence continues at coordinate 108,494,041 of NC_000001.11, read as the reverse complement.
TTAATCCATCTTGAATTAATTTTTGTATAAGGCGTAAGGAAGGGATCCAGTTTCAGCTTTCTACATATGGCTAGCCAGTTTTCCCAGCACCATTTATTAAATAGGGAATCCTTTCCCCATTGCTTGTTTTTCTCAGGTTTGTCAAAGATCAGATAGTTGTAGATATGCGGTGTTATTTCTGAGGGCTCTGTTCTGTTCCATTGATCTATATCTCTGTTTTGGTACCAGTACCATGCTGTTTTGGTTACTGTAGCCTTATAGTATAGTTTGAAGTCAGGTAGTGTGATGCCTCCAGCTTTGTTCTTTTGGCTTAGGATTGACTTGGCGATGCAGGCTCTTTTTTGTTTCCATATGAACTTTAAAGCAGTTTTTTCCAATTCAGTGAAGAAAGTCATTGGTAGCTTGATGGGGATGGCATTGAATCTACAAATTACCTTGGGCAATATGGCCATTTTCACCATATTGATTCTTCCTACCCATGAGCATGGAATGTTCTTCCATTTGTTTGTATCCTCTTTTATTTCATTAAGCAGTGGTTTGCAGTTCTCCTTGAAGAGGTCCTTCACATCCCTTGTAAGTTGGATTCCTAGGTATTTTACTCTCTTTGAAGCAATTGTGAATGGGAGTTCACTCATGATTTGGCTCTCTGTTTGTCTGTTATTGGTGTATAAGAATGCTTGTGATTTTTGTACATTGATTTTGTATCCTGAGACTTTGCTGAAGTTGCCTATCAGCTTAAGGAGATTTTGGGCTGAGACAATGGGGTTTTCTAGATATACAATCATGTCATCTGCAAACAGGGACAATTTCACTTCCTCTTTTCCTAATTGAATACCCTTTGTTTCCTTCTCCTGCCTAATTGCCCTGGCCAGCACTTCCAACACTATGTTGAATAGGAGTGGTGAGAGAGGGCATCCCTGTTTTGTGCCAGTTCTCAAAGGGAATGCTTCCAGTTTTTGCCCATTGAGTATGATATTGGCTGTGGGTTTGTCATAGATAGCTCCTATTATTTTGAGAGACGTCCCATCAATACCTAATTTATTGAGTGTTTTTAGCATGAAGCGTTGTTGAATTTTGTCAAAGGACTTTTCTGCATCTATTGATATAATCATGTGGTTTTTGTCTTTGGTTCTGTTTATATGCTGGATTACATTTATTGATTTGCATATATTGAACCAGCCTTGCATCCCAGGGATGAAGCCCACTTGATCATGGTGGATAAGCTTTTTGATGTGCTGCTGGATTCGGTTTGCCAGTATTTTATTGAGGATTTTTGCATCAATGTTCATCAAGGACATTGGTCTAAAATTCTCTTTTTTGGTTGTGTCTCTGCCCGGCTTTGGTATCAGGATGATGCTGGCCTCATAAAATGAGTTAGGGAGGATTCCCTCTTTTTCTATTGATTGGAATCGTTTCAGAAGGAACGGTACCAGTTCCTCCTTGTACCTCTGGTAGAATTCGGCTGTGAATCCGTCTGGTCCTGGACTCTTTTTGGTTGGTAAGCTATTGATTATTGCCACAATTTCAGAGCCTGTTATTGGTCTATTCAGAGATTCAACTACTTCCTGGTTTAGTCTTGGGAGGGTGTATGTGTCGAGGAATTTATCCATTTCTTCTAGATTTTTCTAGTTTATTTGCATAGAGGTGTTTGTAGTATTCTCTGATGGTAGTTTGTATTTCTGTGGGATCGGTGGTGATATCCCCTTTATCATTTTTTATTGAATCTATTTGATTCTTCCTTCTTTTCTTCTTTATTAGTCTTGCTAGCGGTCTATCAATTTTGTTGATCCTTTCAAAAAACCAGCTCCTGGATTCATTAATTTTTTGAAGGGTTTTTTGTGTCTCTATTTCCTTCAGTTCTGCTCTGATTTTAGTTATTTCTTGCTTTCTGCTAGCTTTTGAATGTGTTTGCTCTTGCTTTTCTAGTTCTTTTAATTGTGATGTTAGGGCGTCAATTTTGGATCTTTCCTGCTTTCTCTTGTGGGCATTTAGTGCTATAAATTTCCCTCTACACACTGCTTTGAATGTGTCCCGGAGATTCTGGTATGTTGTGTCTTTGTTCTCATTGGTTTCAAAGAACATCTTTATTTCTGCCTTCATTTCGTTATGTACCCAGTAGTCATTCAGGAGCAGGTTGTTCAGTTTCCATGTAGTTGAGCGGTTTTGAGTGAGATTCTTAATCCTGAGTTCTAGTTTGATTGCACTGTGGTCTGAGAGACAGTTTGCTATAATTTCTGTTCTTTTACATTTGCTGAGAAGAGCTTTACTTCCAACTATGTGGTCAATTTTGGAATAGGTGTGGTGTGGTGCTGAAAAAAATGTATATTCTGTTGATTTGGGGTGGAGAGTTCTGTAGATTTCTATTAGGTCTGCTTGGTGCAGAGCTGAGTTCAATTCCTGGGTATCCTTGTTAACTTTCTGTCTCTTTGATCTGTCTAATGTTGACAGTGTGGTGTTAAAGTCTCCCATTATTATTGTGTGGGAGTCTAAGTCTCTTTGTAGGTCACTCAGGACTTGCTTTATGAATCTGGGTGCTCCTGTATTGGGTGCATATATATTTAGGATAGTTAGCTCTTCTTGTTGAATTGATCCCTTTACCATTATGTAATGGCCTTCTTTGTCTCTTTTGATCTTTGTTGGTTTAAAGTCTGTTTTATCAGAGACTAGGATTGCAATCCCTGCCTTTTTTTGTTTTCCATTTGCTTGGTAGATCTTCCTCCATCCTTTTATTTTGAGCCTATGTGTGTCTCTGCATGTGAGATGGGTTTCCTGAATACAGCACACTGATGGGTCTTGACTCTTTATCCAATTTGCCAGTCTGTTTCTTTTAACTGGAGCATTTAGTCCATTTACATTTAAAGTTAATATTATTATGTGCGAATTTGATCCTGTCATTATGATGTTAGCTGGTTATTTTGCTCGTTTGTTGATGCAGTTTCTTCCTAGCCTTGATGGTCTTTACAATTTGGCATGATTTTGCAGTGGCTGGTACTCGTTGTTCCTTTCCATGTTTAGTGCTTCCTTCAGGAGCTCTTTTAGGGCAGGCCTGGTGGTGATAAAATCTCTCAGCATTTGCTTCTCTGTAAAGTATTTTATTTCTCCTTCACTTATGAAGCTGTTTGGCTGGATATGAAATTCTGGGTTGAAAATTCTTTTCTTTAAGAATGTTGACCTCTCCCTCTCCCTCTCCCTCTCCCTCTCCCTCTCCCTCTCCCTCTCCCTCTCCGTCTCCCCATGGTCTCCCTCTCATGCGGAGCCAAAGCTGGACTGTACTGCTGCCATCTCGGCTCACTGCAACCTCCCTGCCTGATTCTCCTGCCTCAGTCTGCCGAATGCCTGCGATTGCAGGCACGCGCCGCCACGCCTGATTGGTTTTGGTGGAGACGGGGTTTCGCTGTGTTGGCCGGGCCGGTCTCCAGCCCCTAACCACGAGTGATCCGCCAACCTCGGCCTCCCGAGGTGCCGGGATTGCAGATGGAGTCTCGTTCACTCAGTGCTCAATGGTGCCCAGGCTGGAGTGCAGTGGCGTGATCTCGGCTCACTACAACCTACACCTCCCAGCCGCCTGCCTTGGCCTCCCAAAGTGCCGAGATTGCAGCCTCTGCCTGGCCGCCACCCCGTCTGGGAAGTGAGGAGCGTCTCTGCCTGGCCGCCCATCGTTTGGGATGTGAGGAGCCCCTCTGCCTGGCTGCCCAGTCTGGAAAGTGAGGAGCGTCTCCGCCCGGCCGCCATCCCATCTAGGAAGTGAGGAGCGCCTCTTCCCAGCCGCCATCACATCTAGGAAGTGAGGAGCATCTCTGCCCGGCCGCCCATCGTCTGAGATGTGGGGAGCGCCTCTGCCCCGCCGCCCCATCTGGGATGTGAGGAGCGCCTCTGCCCGGCCGAGACCCCGTCTGGGAGGTGAGGAGCGTCTCTGCCCGGCCGCCCCGTCTGAGAAGTGAGGAGACCCTCTGCCTGGCAACCACCCCGTCTGAGAAGTGAGGAGCCCCTCCGCCCGGCAGCTGCCCCGTCTGAGAAGTGAGGAGCCTCTCTGCCTAGCAGCCACCCCATCTGGGAAGTGAGGAGCGTCTCCGCCCGGCAGCCACCCCATCCGGGAGGGAGGTGGGGGGGGTCAGCCCCCGCCCGGCCAGCCGCCCCATCCGGGAGGGAGGTGGGGGGTCAGCCCCCCTGCCCGGCCAGCCGTGCCGTCCGGGAGGGAGGTGAGGGGGTCAGCCCCCCGCCTGGCCAGCCGTGCCGTCCGGGAGGGAGGTGGGGGCGTCAGCCCCCCGCCCGGCCAGCCGCCCGGTCCGGGAGGTGAGGGGCGCCTCTGCCCGGCCGCCCCTACTGGGAAGTGAGGAGCCCCTCAGCCCGGCCAGCCACCCCGTCCGGGAGGGAGATGGGGGGGTCAGCCCCCCAACCTGGCCAGCCGCCCCGTCCGGGAGGGAGGTGGGGGGTCAGCCCCCCGCCTGGCCAGCCGCCCTGTCCGGGAGGGAGGTGGGGGGGTCAGCCCTCCCCCTGGCCAGCCGCCCCGTCTGGGAGGTGAGGGGCGCCTCTGCCCGGCCGCCCCTACTGGGAAGTGAGGAGCCCCTCTGCCCGGCCAGCCGCCCCATCTGGGAGGGAGGTGGGGGGGTCAGCCCTCCGCCCGGCCAGCCGCCCCGTCTGGGAGGTGAGGGGCACCTCTGCTCGGCCGCCCCTACTGGGAAGTGAGGAGCCCCTCTGCCCGGCCAGCCGCCCCGTCCGGGAGGGAGGTGGGGGGGTCGGCCCCCCGCCCGGCCAGCCGCCCCATCCGGGAGGGAGGTGGGGGGGTCGGCCCCCCGCCCGGCCAGCCGCCCCGTCCGGGAGGGAGGTGGGGGGGTCAGCCCCCCGCCCAGCCAGCCGCCCCGTCCGGGAGGGAGGTGGGGGGGGTCAGCCCCCCTGCCCGGCCAGCCACCCCGTCCGGGAGGTGAGGGGCGCCTCTGCCCGGCTGCCCCTACTGGGAAGTGAGGAGCCCCTCTGCCCGGCCAGCCGCCCCATCCGGGAGGGAGGTGGGGGGTTCAGCCCCCCGCCCGGCCAGCCGCCCCGTCCGGGAGGGAGGTGGGGGGGGTCAGCCCCCCTGCCCGGCCAGCCGCCCCGTCCGGGAGGTGAGGGGCGCCTCTGCCCGGCCACCCCTACTGGGAAGTGAGGAGCCCCTCTGCCCGGCCACCACCCCGTCTGGGAGGTGTGCCCAATAGCTCATTGAGAACGGGCCAGGATGACAATGGCGGCTTTGTGGAATAGAAAGGCGGGAAAGGTGGGGAAAAGATTGAGAGATCAGATGGTTGCCGTGTCTGTGTGGAAGGAAGTAGACATGGGAGACTTTTCATTTTGTTCTGCACTAAGAAAAATTCCTCTGCCTTGGGATCCTGTTGATCTGTGACCTTACCCCCAACCCTGTGCTCTCTGAAACGTGCTGTGTCCACTCAGAGTTAAATGGATTAAGGGCGGTGCAAGATGTGCTTTGTTAAACAGATGCTTGAAGGCAGCATGCTCGTTAAGAGTCATCACCAATCCCTAATCTCAAGTAACCAGGGACACAAACACTGCGGAAGGCCGCAGGGTCCTCTGCCTAGGAAAACCAGAGACCTTTGTTCACTTGTTTATCTGCTGACCTTCCCTCCACTATTGTCCCATGACCCTGCCAAATCCCCCTCTGTGAGAAACACCCAAGAATTATCAATAAAAAAAAAAAAATAAATAAATAAATAAATAAAAAAAAAAAAAAAAAAAAAGAATGTTGAATATTGGCCCCCACTCTCTTTCAGCTTGTAGAGTTTCTGCCGAGAGATCAGCTGTTAGTCTGATGGGCTTCCCTTTGTGGGTAACCCGACCTTTCTCTCTGGCTTCCCTTAACATTTTTTCCTTCATTTCAACTTAGGTGAATCTGACAATTATGTCTTGGAGTTGCTCTTCTCGAGGAGTATCTTTGTGGTGTTCTCTGTATTTCCTGAATCTGAACGTTGGCCTGCCTTGCTAGATTGGGGAAGTTCTCCTGGATAATATCCTGCAGAGTGTTTTCCAACTTGGTTCCATTCTCCCCGTCACTTTTAGGTACACCAATCAGACGTAGATTTGGTCTTTTCACATAGTCCTGTATTTCTTGGAGGCTTTGTTCATTTTTTTTAATTCTTTTTTCTCTAAACTTCCCTTCTCACTTCATTTCATTCATTTCATCTTTCATCACTGATACCCTTTCTTCCAGTTGATCGCATCAGCTCCTGAGGCTTCTGCATTCTTCATGTAATTCTCGAGCCTTGGCTTTCAGCTCCATCAGCTCCTTTAAGCACTTCTCTGTATTGGTTATTCTAGTTATACATTCGTCTAAAGTTTTTTCAAAGTTTTTAACTTCTTTGCCTTTGGTTTGAATTTCCTCCTGTAGCTTGGAGTAGTTTGATCGTCTGAAGCCTTCTTCTCTCAACTCATCAAAGTCATTCTCTGTCCAGCTTTGTTCCATTGCTGGTGAGGAATTGCGTTCCTTTGGAGGAGGAGAGGTGCTCTGCTTTTTAGAGTTTCCAGTTTTTCTGCTCTGTTTTTTTCCCATCTTTGTGGTTTTATCTACTTTTGGTCTTTGATGATGGTGATGTACAGATGGGTTTTTGGTGTGGATGTCCTTTCTGTTTGTTAGTTTTCCTTCTAACAGACAGGACCCTCAGCTGCAGGTCTGTTGGAGTTTGCTAGAGGTCCACTCCAGACCCTGTTTGCCTGGGTAACAGCAGCGGTGGCTGCAGAACAGTGGATTTTCATGAACTGTGAATGCTGCTGTCTGATCATTCCTCTGAAAGTTTTGTCTCAGAGGAGTATCCGGCCGTGTGAGGTGTCAGTCTGCCCCTACTCGGGGGTGCCTCCCAGTTAGGCTGCTCATGGGTCAGGGGTCAGGGACCCACTTGAGGAGGCAGTCTGCCTGTTCTCAGATCTCCAGCTGCATGCTGGGAGAACCACTGCTCTCTTCAAAGCTGTCAGACAGGGACATTTAAGTCTGCAGAGTTTACTGCTGTCTTTTTGTTTGTCTGTGCCCTGCCCCCAGTGGTGGAGCCTACAGAGGCAGGCAGGCATCCTTGAGCTGTGGTGGGCTCCACCCTGTTTGAGCTTCCCGGCTGTTTTGTTTACCTAAGCAAGCCTGGGCAATGGCTGGCGCCCCTCCCCCAGCCTCGCTGCCACGTTGCGGTTTGATCTCCGACTGCTGTGCTAGCAGTCAGTGAGACTCCCTGGGTGTAGGACCCTCCGAGCCAGGTGCGGGATATAATCTCCTGGTGCGCTGTTTTTTAAGCCCATCGGAAAAGCGCAGTATTAGGGTGGGAGTGACCTGATTTTCCAGGTGCCATCTGTCACCCCTTTCTTTGACTAGGAAAGGGAACTACCTGACCACTTGCACTTCTCGAGTGAGGCAATGCCTCGCCCTGCTTGGGCTCATGCACGGTGTGCTGCACCCACTGTCCTGAGCCCACTGTCTGGCACTCCCTAGTGAGATGAACCCGGTACCTCAGATGGAAATGCAGAAATCACCCGTCTTCTGCGTCGCTCGTGCTGGGAGCTGTAGACTGGAGCTGTTCCTATTTGGCCATCTTGGCTGCCCCCTAAAACCAGCAAGTTTTTACTAGGGATTTCAAAAGGGGAGGGGTGTATGAATAGGGATAGGTCACAGGGATCACATGCTTCAGAGGGCAATAAAAGATCACAAGGCAGAGGGCGAAATTAGAATTACTGATGAGGTTCCATGTCCCGCTGGGCATGCATTGTCTTGATAAACATCTTAACAGGAAACAGGGTTCGAGAGCAGACAACTGGTCTCACTAGAATTCACCAGGCTGGAATTTCCCAATCCTGGTAAGCCTGAGGGCACTGCAGGAGACCAGGGCATATTTCATCCCTTATCTTCAACTACATAAGACAGATACTCCCAGAGTGGCTGTCTATAGACCTATCCCGGGAATGCATTCCTTCCCCAGGGTTATTCCTTGCTGAGAAAAGAATTCAGCAATATTTCTCCTACTCACTTTCTGCAAGAAGAAAAATATGGCTCTATTCTGCCCGACCCTGCAGGCAGTCAGACCTTAAGGTTATCTTCCCTTGTTCCCTGAAGATCGCTGTTGTTCTGTTCTTTTTCAGGGTGCCCTGATTTCATGTTGTTCAAACACACATGTTTTACAAACAATTTGTACAGTTAATGCAATCATCACAGGATCCTGAGGTGACATACAACCTCAGCTTATGAAGATGATGGGATTAAGAGATTAAAGTAAAGACAGGCATAGGAAATTATAAGAGTATTGTTAGGGGAAGTGATAAATGTCCATGAAATCTTCACAATTTATGTTCTTCTGCCATGGCTTTAGCCGGTCCCTCTGTTTGGGGTCCCTGACTTCCTGCTAAATCATGAATGTTTGATAATTTTCGAAAGAAGGATTTCAGAGGTGTTAATATTATTATCTGATGCTCTCATGTGCAAATGACTTCATTACCAGTAATCTACTAGACTAATTTCTTCAGCAAGCTGCCAGGCACTGAACCCATCTTGATGGTACAAAAACCAAATATATATTATTCTCAACCATATGCATTTTGGAGTTTAGTGATGAAGACAGATCTGTAAAAAAAATAATTAAACACAGTCTAATAATGTAGCTCTAGTGTTCTAAGGAAGGACAAAATTAGAGAAGCCTCCTTTTTATGGGGAGGTGTGTAGAGGTGGACCTAAACCATTCTGTGATTCTCTCTATAAGGTAGAAATTTTGACACCAAAAGACAGAGACTGGTCAAAAAGTTGTACTCACTATGTATTCCTTACCAAATGCAGGGTCCTATAGATGGAAACCTTCAGTGAAAGGTATTGGGTCCTAGAACTGTTCTGGTCTCTTTGAAGATGGGACAAGCAATGCAGAAATTGACTGTGCAACCAGGATAGGGGAGAAGGGTTTCCACCCTCTTCATTGCTCTACTCAAGGCAGAAATTATGGGCCTGCAATAGTCACTATCTCCTTTTACGTTTTTTGGGCCATCAAGGAACACATTTCTTTCTAATTTTTATAGACACATACAAAGCAAGCAAGTATGCCTGGCTGCTGGGATTCTGGGTTCAAAGCAGAGAAAGAGGCAGAAGGCCTGCTATCCATTGTGTGTATTTTTTTCACTGAATCCCTGTGTTTCCAGTCCTCACCAAATTATTGAATTCTGTATTATTGAATCAAGAACTTCTTCATTTTCTCCAGAGAATAAAGCCTCCAGGGGTTTTTAAGGGCAAATCAACTTCTGTGTGCATTCCCTTCTGTAGAATTTGTTGTAATTTTTATTCTGCTAAGTCAGTTATCACTTTTCCATTTGCTGTCCACCTCCTCCAAATCTGTTGAAATTGATAGTTTTTTTTTAATTTGTAGATTAGTTATGGGGTGACCATATAATTTTCATACAGACCAAGATCCTTTTGGAAGTGGAAGGGGGCCGGGGGTGGTGGCTCATGCCTGTAATCCCAGCACTTTGGGAGGTCAAGGTGGGTGGATCACCTGAGGTCAGGAGTTCGAGACCAGCCTGGCCAACATGGTGAAACCCCGTCTCTACTGGAAAAATACAAAAATCAGCCTGCTGTGGTGGTGGGCGCCTGTAATCCCAGGTACTCGGGAGGCTGAGGCAGGAGAAACGCTTGAACCCAGGAGGTGGAGGTTGCAGAGAGCTGAGATCTTGCCACTGCACTCCAGCCTGGGCGACAGAGCGAGATTCCGTCTAAAAACAAACTAACAAAAAAAGTGAAAGGGGGTGCTTAGTAATCACGAAGGGACAATCCTTGGACAAAGAAAGATTCCTGTGCCACCCTAGGTACTGTCTTCTTTATTACATTACTGGTGTTTTTGTGTGGTTTTGGGAGGGAAAGAGAAAAATATGTTTGGTCAATGGCCATTTTTACTTAAAGTTAATTTCTTGCATGTCTAAAAATTATTTAATTTTGCTTTTTTCCTAGACTGGCAGTTTGGCTGAGTTTGAGCATCAAGTTCAAAAATGCTTTCCCTCAGAGCTGTTAAGGCATTAATTACCCTATTAATTTCTAGCATCTAATGTGATTTCTGAGAAGCCTGAGCCACTCTGATTTTTCATATACAACCTGTTTTTCCTCTGTGCAAGCTTTTAGTCATGCTTCTATCCTGGCTGTTATGAAATTTTACAATGTGAGTTTAGGTAGGTTCTCTTTTCATTCATTATGCTTGACATTTATGGGCTCTTCCTAACTATAAATTTATTTTTCCTTAGCATTAGTGTATTCTATTATTTTTCTTAATTTTCTTCCTTCTATTTTCTAACTCTAGAATTCTTATTACTTGGATGTCATACCTTCTGGGTTGACCTTGTGTGTTAGTCAGGGTTCTCCAGAGAAACAGAACAGAACAAAGCATCAAGTGATCCTTCCACCTCAGCCTCCCAAGTAGCCAGGGCTGTAGGTGTTCACCACAACACCTGGCTATTTATTTATTTTTATATTTTATTTTTTGGAGACGAGGTCCCACTAAGTCACCCAGGCTGGTCTCAAACTCCTGGGCTCAAGTGATCTGCCCTATTCAACCTCCCAAAGTGCTGGGATTACAGGTGTGAGCCATTGCACCTGGCTGCATCTTATCTTTTCATAAATATTTTCTATCACTATGTCATTTTCTAGGACATTTCTTCAATCATATATTTTAACCCTTCTATTGAACTCATGTCAACAATCACATCTTTACTTCCAAGAGCTCTTTTTATCCCTTTGATTGTATTTATCCCTTTTCATAGTATTTGTTTCTTGCTTGGTAGTTTTTTTCTTAATTAAGTATCATCTTGATTCTTTTTGAGGATATTAGAGGGTGCTTTATATAGTTTTGAACACTGAAGACACTTTGTTGTTATTGCCAGTTAAATAGCTACTATCTCATCAGTTGTTTGTGTAGCCTGTGTTTCATCATAGCTAAAATTATTATTAGAATTTGGAAAATCATTCTTTTTGTATTCAATCTTTGACAAATATTTCTATATCAGAAGTTTATTATAGGAATTGGCTCATGGGATTATTAGAAGGTGTGGAGTTCCACAATATGCTCTCTGCAAGCTGGAGAACCAGGAAAGCTGGTGCTTTCCAAGTCCAAGTCCAAAGGCCTGAGAACCAGGGGAGCTAATGGCGAAATTCCCAGTCCAAGGTCCAAGGCCTGAGAACTAGGGTGGAGGGCAGGGACACTGGTGTAAGTATTAGAGTCCTCAGGCCCAAGAACCAGCAGCTCTGATGTCTGAGGGCAGGAGAAGATGGATGCCCTAGCTCAAGAAAACAGAGAAACAGACAGACAGAGACAGAGACAGAGACAGAAACAGAGTATTTGCCTTTCTTCTGCTTTTTTGTTTTATGTGGGCTCTCAAATGACTGGATAATGTCCACCCACGTTGGTGAGCGTGGACCTTCTTTACTCAGTGTATGGATTGAAATGCTAATCTTTTTCTTAAACAGCTTCACAGTCATACTCAGAAATCATATTTCACCAGTTATCCGGAAATCCCTTAGTCTAGTCAAGCTGACACATAAAATTAACCATCTCACCCTCTATGCATCTTATTTAATTATTTATTTTTGAGGCAGGGTCTTACTCTGTCACTCAGGCTGGAGTACAGTGGCACGACCACAGCTCACTGCAGCCTTGACCTCTTGGGCTCAAGTGATCCTTCCACCTCAGCCTCCCAAGTAGCCAGGGCTGTAGGTGTTCACCACAACACCTGGCTATTTATTTATTTTTATATTTTATTTTTTGGAGACGAGGTCCCACTAAGTCACCCAGGCTGGTCTCAAACTCCTGGGCTCAAGTGATCTGCCCTATTCAACCTCCCAAAGTGCTGGGATTACAGGTGTGAGCCATTGCACCTGGCTGCATCTTATCTTTTCATAAATATTTTCTATCACTATGTCATTTTCTAGGACATTTCTTCAATCATATATTTTAACCCTTCTATTGAACTCATGTCAACAATCACATCTTTACTTCCAAGAGCTCTTTTTATCCCTTTGATTGTATTTATCCCTTTTCATAGTATTTGTTTCTTGCTTGGTAGTTTTTTTCTTAATTAAGTATCATCTTGATTCTTTTTGAGGATATTAGAGGGTGCTTTATATAGTTTTGTTTTTGTTGACTGTAGTTTCCTGAATTGTTACTACATTCTCTGGAATTAGTTACTGTGTTTATCTTAGTTTTAGATTTTTATGCTGCCATTCATGCCCCCAAACATGTGGTGATCCTTTATTGTTGTTTCATGGTCAAAATGAAAGACTACATATTTTAGGTAGCTGATACAGATTTCTGTACAGTTAGTTGTATTTTCTAGTTATGTTTCTCTCACAGAATTTTTGTTATAAAAGGAATCTACACATTCTGTTTGTGTTCTCTCTGTCATCAAGAGGACTGAGGAATGACCACAGAACTAAAATCCCTTTGAACCAATTTCTTGAAAACTCCCCAAGTGTTTTGCAGTCTCATTGTTTCTTTTGCCAGCTTCCTTTCCCTCCCTGCATAGCAGGCTCAAGGTTCTGCACTCCACCACCCTTGCTCAGACTTGTCTGCTAAGGCTGAACCCCCAGGGCCATGGGGCAGGAACCCTTCCAGACCTCGCCCTCCCCTTGGAGCTCTATCAGTTTTTCCTTTATATATATTGAGGCCAAAAGCTGATATGCTCTTGGTAAGTTGAATCTTTTATCATTGCGAAGTGATCAAACTAACCTTCTATCCCTGGGATAAATCCCCCTTGGTGCCTGTAATCCCAACCCTTTGGGAGGTCCGACACGGGCAGATTATTTGAACTCAGGAGTTCAAGACCAGCTGAGGCAACATGGTGAAACCCTGTCTCTACAAAAATAATTTAAAAAAATTAGCTGGACGTGGTGGTGCATACCTATGGTCAGAGCCACTAGGGAGGCCGAGGAGGGAGGATTGCCTGAGCCCAGGAAGCAGAGGTTGCAGTGAGCCGAGATCACACCACTGCACTCCAGGCTGGGTGAGAGTGAGACTCCATCTCAAAAAACATGCATTTTTTAAAAAGTCAAATACAAAAAAAAAAGAAGTCTAAACATTCAGCAGAATATATTTTGTCTTACTTGGATTTTAAGGTTCCATTGGAAAGAGGTAGAATTGTTATTTCTGGAAACCAGAGAAAAATAAAGATGAAAGAAAACCCTGCAAACTAAATTTTCAATGAAACAAAGGAACAAGAGAACACATGCTATATGATTACAGGTAAAACTCAGACCTATTAGGAGTGCACAGAGTGTTTTTGGTGTGTGTGTGTGTGTGTGTGTGTGTGTGTGTATTTTTTTAGTATGTGTGTGTCTATGTAACACATATACAATGCAGTATTTTTCAGCCATGAAAATGAAGGAAACCCTGTCATTTGTGATAATATGGATGAACCTGAAAGACATTATGCTAAGCAAAATAAGCCAGACACAGAACAAGTACTGCATGATCTCACTTATACATGGAAACTAAAAAAGTTGAATTCATGGAAGCAGAGAGTAGAATGGCGGTTACCAGAGGAGGGGTGGGAGATGGGGAATGAGGAGATGTTGGTCAAAGGATACAGAGCTTCAGTTATGTAGAATGAATTGTAACAGAGTGCCCCAATTTTTCCTAAGATAAAAAGAATGAGTTACTTTTATTATTGTTATTATTATTATTTCTTCTCTTCTCCTCTCCCCTTTTCCCCCATTCTATGTTTTCTACATAGTCCTTTGGAAATGGAAACATAACCTATCACCTCCCCATCAGCAGACATACCCTTCAGAACAAATTCTTCTGTGTGTTTCAAGACAGATCTCTCCTCAAGAGTGCACAGTTGATTTGCAGACCAAACCACACCCATCACAGAACTTCCACCATTTGGGGTCACCTCAGAACTTACACCCACTAGGAGGGCATGTTGAAAGCATTCCCACCTGGTCACTTTTACAACTTACTTCTGACCAGAAAGATACCATCTTGACTGCCCAGTGGATAACTGCCTGGGAGCAGGGAGACCCCTCTGTCCTTGCTCACTTCTCCCTTTAACTTATAAAAAATCCACTTTTTGCTCCAAAGGTGAGGTGACACATTCAAAGCAGGACATGTTATGCATCTTTCCCCAAGCCAGCTTTGGAAATAAATTCACTTTTTTTTTTGTGCCAGGCCTCACACTTAATTGCACTCTGCATGTGGTGAGCAACTAACCTGCTTTTGGTTACACAATGAGTTTTAGAGACCTAATGTACAGCATGGGGACTATTGTTCATGCTGTATTGTATACTTGGAGTTTGCTAAAAGAGTAGATCGTGTGTTCCATTACTCTTAAAAAGGAACTATGTGAAGAGGTAGATATGCTAATTAGCTTGAATGTAGCCATTAGTTCATTATGTAGATACATGTGGAAACATCATGTTGCAGACCTTAAATATATACAATTTTAATAAAATTTTTAAAAAGTTTCTTTTAAGCAAACATTTACAATAGCATCAAAATATAAAAACTGCATTGCAAAGGATGTGGAAACCCATACACTGAAGACTACACCATATTGCTGGAAGCAATTAAAGACCTTTGGAATAAGAGGTGTTTATTCTTGTTTTTCAAGATTGTTTTTGCTATTTGGGGATACTTGCAATTTTTTTCTGAATAAGAAGTTCTTCTTTTTTATTTCTGAAAAAAAAATAGGCCACTGAATTTGGATAAGATTGTATTGAATCTGTAGATTGCTTGGAGTAGTATTTCTATGTTAACTATATTAAACTTTCCAACCCATGGACACAGGATGTTTTCCCATTTATTTAGTTCTTCTTTGATCTTTTTATGCAATGTTATGTAGTTTTTAGTGTACATGTATTTCACCTTCTTAAATTTATTCCTAGATATGTTATTCTTATGGGTGCTATTGTAAATGAAATGTATTAATTTTCCTTTAAGATTTTTCATTGCTAACAAACCTGGTTTTTATCTGTTTATCTTGTATGCTGCAAGTTTACTGAATTAGTTTATTAACTCCAGTAATTGTGTGTGTGTGTGTGTGTGTGTGTGTGTGTGTGTGTGTGGTGGGGTGGGGGGGTGTTTATTATTTGGTATTTTCTCTATATAGGGTCATGTCATCTGCAAATTGAGATAATTTTTTTTCTTTCCAAAACTTTTTTGCTCATCTTCAGTTTTGAAAGATATTTTGACTGGGTATAGAATTCTAGGTTGACAGTGTTTTCTTTTTTTCAGTACTTGAAAGCTATTGCAAACTTTTTGTTTGTAACAGTTCTGATGAGAAATTGGATGCCATCCTTACAGTTAGTCCTCTGTATGTAACATGTCTTTTCACCTTTTATTCCTCTGAGGAGTTTCTCTTCATCACTGGTTTTGATCAATTGGAGTATGGTGTTCCTTGGTGTAGTTTTCTTCATGTTTCTTATTTATTTATTTATTTATTTATTTATTTATTTATTTATTTTTTAGCAACATGGCTGTTTATTTCACCTGGGTGCAGGCAGGCTGAGTCCAAAGAAAGTCAGCGAAGGGAGATAGGGGTGGGGCCGTTTTATAGGATTTGTGTAGGTAAAGGAAAATTACAGTCAAAGGGAGGTTGTTCTCTGGCAGGCAGAGTGGGGGTCACAAGGTGCTCAGTAGGGGAGCTTTTGAGCCAGGATGAGCCAGGAGAAGGAATTTCACAAGACAATGTCATCAGTTAAGGCAGGAACAGGCCATTTTCACTTCTTTTGTGGTAGAATGTCATCAGTTAAGTCAGGAACTGGCCATCTGGATGTGTATGTGCAGGCCACAGGGGATATGATGGCTTAGCTTGGGCTCAGAGGCCTGACATTCCTGTATTCTTATATTAATAAGAAAAATAAAACAAAATAGTGGTAAAGTGTTGGGACAGTGAAAATTTTGGGGGATGGTATGGAGAGATAATGGGCGATGTTTCTCAGGGCTGCTTTGAGCAGGATTGGGGGAGGCGTGGGAACCTAAAGTGGGAGTGATTAAGCTGAAGGAAGATTTTGTGGTAAGGGGTGATATTGTGGGGTTGTTAGAAGAAACATTTGTCATTTAGAATTATTAGTGATGGCCTAGATACAGTTTTGTATGAATTGAAAAACTAAACAGAATAAGAGAAGGAGAAAAACAGGTATTAAAGGACTAAGAATTGGAAGGACCTAGGACATCTAATTAGAGAGTGCCTAAGGAGGTTCAGTATAGCCTTGCCAGCAAAGATTATTTATTTACTTTAAGAGTTAAGAGTGGCGGTTTGGGGATAGTACCAGGAGATATCAGCTGTGATGGCTTGGAGAAACAGTGTAAACTGGCAGTGTAAACAAGAGCAGGGCATGTATAAGTAGTTGAGAACGGTGAATAGGAGTATGACTAGACAGAAGATAGTAGGGATGACAAGTTTTTGGGGGCACAGTCTAAGTTGGTCTGGTGTCTGGAATGAGACTGGGGCCTAATAAAAAGGAGTGTCTATACAGGAGCTTAAATGGGCAGTGTCTTGTAGCATTCTGAGGACAGGCCTGAATTCTGAGAAGCAAAAGTGGTAAAAGTATTGTCCAGTCCTTTTTAAGTTGGTGGCTGAGCTTTGTGAGGTGTGTTTTTAATAGCATTAGTCTGTCACTGAATACTAAGAGCCTGAAAAAATGCTTGGCTGATTTGACTAATAAAGGCTGGTCTGTTATCAGACTGTATAGAGGTGGGAAGGCTAAACTGAGGAATTATGTCTGACAGAAGGGAATGACAAGGCTAAACTGAAGAATTTTGTTTGACAGAAGGGAAGAAATGACTGCAGTGGCCTTCTCAGACCCTGTAGGAAAGGACTCTACTTATCCAGTGAAAGTGTCTACCTAGACTAAGAGGTATTTTAGTTATCTTACTTGGGGCATGTTGAGTAAAGCTAATTTGCCAGTCCTGGGTTGGGGCAAATCCTTGAGCTTGATGTGTAGGGAAGGGAGGGGGCCTGAATAATATCCATGAGGAGTAGTAGAATAGCAGATGGAACACTGAGAAGTTATTTCTTTGAGGATAGATTTCCATGATGGAAAGGAAATGAGAGGTTCTAAGAGGTGGGCTAGTGGCTTGTACTATAGCATAGCCTGCCTTTGCTGGTGTGTGGTGATTAGGCCTGGTGGAACTGCCATCAATAAACTAAGTGTGATCAGGGTGAGAAACAGGGAAGAAGGAAATGTGGGGAAATGGGGTGAACGTCAGGTGGATCAGAGAGATGCAGTCATGAGGGTCAGGTGTGGTATCTGGAATAATGTGAGAGGCCAGATTGAAGTCTGGGGCAGGAACAATGGTAATTGCGGAGACTTAACAAAGAGTGAGTATAGCTGAAGGAGCCGGGGAGCAGAAAGCATATGCATCAGGTGTGAGTAAGAAAATAGATTTTGGAAATTATGAGAGTTGTAAAGAGTGAGTTGAGCATAGTTTGTGATTTTTAGGGCCTCTAAAATTATTAAAGCAGCAGCAGCTGCTGCACACAGACATGAGGGCTAGGCTAAAACAGTAAGGTCAAGTTGTCTGGACAGAAAGGCTACAGGGTGTGGTCCTGGCTCTTATGTAAGAATTCTGACCGCACTAACCATGCCTAGGAAGGAAAGGAGTTGTTCTTTTGTAAGGGATTGAGGTTTGGGAGATTAATTGGACAAGATCAGCAGGGAGAGCACATGTGTTTTTATGAGAATTATGCTGAGATAGGTAACAGATGAGGATAAAATTTGGGCTTGACTGAAGTAATGGGGGCTGTCTGTGAAGCCTTGCAGCAGTACAGCCTAGGTAATTTGCTGAGCCTAATGGGTGTCAGGGTCAGTCTAAGTGAAAGCAAAGAGAGGCTTGGATGAGGGGTGCAGGGGAATAGTGAAAAAAGCATCTTTAAGATCGAGAATGGAATAGTGAGTTGTGGAGGAAGGTATTGAGGACAAAAGAGTGTATGGGTTGGGCACTACAGGGTGGATAGGCAAAACAATTTTGTTGATAAGGCGCAGATCCTGAAATAATCTGTAAGACTTGTCCGGTTTTTGGACAGGTAAAATGGGGGAATTGTAAGGAGAGTTATAGGTTTTAGAAGCCCATGCTGTAGCAGGCGAGTGATAACAGGCTTTAATCCTTTTAAAGCGTGCTGTGGGATGGGATATTGGCGTTGAGCAGGGTAAGGGTGATTAGGTTTTAATGGGATGGTAAAGGGCATGTGATCAGTTGCCAGGGATGGAGTAGAGATGTCCCATACTTGTGGGTTAAGGTGGGGGGATACGAGAGGAAGACGCGAAGGAGGCTTTGGGTTGGGGAGAAGGGCGGCAATGAGATGCAGCTGTAGTCCAGGAATAGTCAGGGAAGCAGATAATTTGGTTAAAATATCTCAGCCTAATAAGGGAACTGGGCAGGTGGGGATAACTAAAAAAGAGTGCATAAAAGAGTGTTGTCCAAGTTGGCACCAGAGTGGGGGAGTTTTCAGGGGTTTAGAAGCCTGGCTGTCAATACCCACAACAGTTATGGAGGGAAGGGAAACAGGCCCTTGAAAAGAAGGTAATGTGGAGTGGGTAGCCTCTGTATTGACTAAGGGGACGGACTTACCTTCCATTGTGAGAGTTACCTGAAGCTCGGCGTCCGTGATGGTCTGAAGCTTCCGAGGCAATCGGGCAGCCTCAGTCTTCAGCCGCTAAGCCAAGAAGGAGTCAGTCAGAGAGCCTTGGGCCAGAGTTCCAGGGGCTCTGGGAGTGGCTGCCAGGTGAGTTGAACAGTCCGATTTTCAGTGGGGTCCCGCACAGATGGGACACGGCTTAGGAAGAATCCTGGGCTGCAGGCATTCCTTGTCCTGGTGGTCAGATTTCTGGCACTTGTAGCAAGCTCCTGGGGGAGGAGGTTCTGGAGGAACGCCTGGCTGCTGCAGTTCAGGTGTTTGGAAGTTCTTGTGTGCTGGAGATGTGGCTGGGGTTTGTCTCACAGAGGAGGCAAGGAATTGCAAATTTTTTCTATTATTGTACACCTTGAAGGCGAGGTTAATTAAATCCTGTTGTGGGGTTTGAGGGCTGGAATTTAATTTTTGGAGTTTTATTTAATGTCGGGAGCAGATTGGGTAATAAAATGTATTTTGAGAATAAGACGGCCTTTTGACCTTTTAGGGTCTAGGGCTGTAAAGTGTCTCAGGGTTGCTGCCAAACAAGTCATGAACTGGGCTGGATTTTTATATTTGACAAAAAAGAGCCTAAATGCTATCTGATTTGGGATAAAGAAAAAGGAGCATTAACCTTAACTATGCCTTTAGCTCTAACCACCTTTTTAAGAGTAAATTGCTGGGCAGGTGGGGGAGGGCTAGTCACCGAATGAAGCTGTAAGCCAAACCGGGTGTGAGGAGGGGAGGTGATAAAAGGATTATAGGGTGGAGGAGCGGAGGCTGAGGAAGAATTGGGACCTAGCTCAGCCTGGTGAGGAGGGGAGAGGTCAGATGGGTCTGTAGAAAAGGAAGATTAGAAAGACTCAGTGACGCTTGGGGTTGGGACTGAGGGGACAGGCGGGAGGGAAAAAAGGAAGATTTGGGACGAGTTGCACCGGGCACAGAGACTAGGGAGGGACCGATATGTGAAAGAATGCCTGGACGTCAGGCACCTCAGACCGTCTGCCCATTTTATGACAAGAATTATTTAGATCTTGCAGGATGCAAAAATTGAAAGTGCCGTTTTCTGGCTATTTGGAACTACTGTTGAGTTTGTATTGGGGTCAAGCGGCATTGCAGAAGAAAATAAGGCATTTAGGTTTTAGGTCAGGTGTGAGTTGAAGAGGTTTTAAGTTTTTGAGAACACAGGCCAAGGGAGAAGAAGGAGGAATGGAGGGTGGAAAGTTGCCCATAGTGAAGAAAGCAAGCCTAGAGAAAAGAAAGAGTAGAGACACGGAGGGAAGGGGTTTGGGGGTTCTTACCTTCCAGAAAAGTGGGAAAGGGGTTGGGGCATGGATATAAGGGGTTGGGGCACAGAGATAAGAGGTCAGGGCATGGAAATAAGGGATTGGGGCACAGAGATATAAGAGGTTGGGGCACAGAAATAAGAGATTGGGGCACAGAGATATGAGGTTGGGGTACTTGCCCCTCCTCTAGAAAAGTGGGACTTGCTGCTAAGAGTGAAGGAGAAGGGGTTGGGGGTTTCTTGCCCCCCAGAAAGGTGGAGAAGGGGTAGAGACCCAGAGAGAAGGGGTTGGGGTACTTGCCTCTTTCCCAGAAAAGCGGGACTTGCCGCTAAGAGTGAATGACCAAGGCAGGCATCCCTTCGTGGTCTGACACCTCTGAAACCTGGGTGAATAATCAGAGAGGCGTCCCTGCAATGATTAAACACCAAGGGAAGGCTGCCTTCCTTAGTCCATGACCGGCGCCAGAGTTTTGGGTCCACAGATAAAACACGTCTCCTTTGTCTCTACCAGAAAATGAAAGGAATTGAAATTAAGAGAAGGGAGAGATTGAAGAGTGGAAAGGAGAAAGTGGTTGAGGGACAGTGAGAGAGGTTGGAGAAGAGAGTAAGAAGAGGCCGCTTACCCGATTTAAAATTGGTGAGATGTTCCTTGGGCTGGTGGGTCTGAGGACCTGAGGTCGTAGGTGGATCTTTTTTACGGAGCAAAGAGCAGAAGGACAGGGGATGGATCTCCCAAGGGAGGTCCCCTGATCTGAGTCACGGCACCAAATTTCATGTGCGTCCATGTGAAGAGACCACCAAACAGGCTTTGTGTGAGCAACATGGCTGTTTATTTCACCTGGGTGCAGGCGGGCTGAGTCCGAAAAGAGAGTCAGCCCATGTTTCTTATCTTTAGGATACATTATGTTTCTGGGATATTTGGGGTTTATGGTTTTCATGAAGCTTAGAAAGCTTTCATCCAGTATGTTTTAAATATTTTTCTATCCCTCTTACCCACTCCATTCCCTTCAGGGATTCCATTTACCCCTACAGTAGGGTATTTAAAGATTTCCCACTGATGGGCTTTTTATTTTTTAAATTCATTTTTCTCTGTGTGTTTCATTTGTGTTAGTTTCTACTGCTATTTCTTCTAGTTCATTAATATTTTCTTCTGCAATGTTCAATTCAGTGCATTTTAAAAATTTCAGACTGTAAACCACAGTTTGCACTTATGAAGTTTGATATTTAAAAATATCTCCAACATCTTCACTTAAATAAAATTATAACTGCTCTAATGTCCTTGTCTTCTATTTTTAATGTGTGTCATTTTCAACTGAATTATTACATTCTTCATTATGTTTCATGTTTTCCTTCCTTTTTGCCTGTTTGAGATTCTGGGATTTGATGCCAGACATTTGATGTTGATGCCCAAATGTGCCCAGTGACACAACTTGGCCTCAGTTTCTATGCATACCCAAGCTTGTTCAGCAGGAGTGGTAGAGACACTATGACAAATGAAGTGTCCTCTGGAGATTTCTGGTGAAGAGAATGAATGGAGTAACTGGCAGAAATTAGAGGTCCTGATAGAACAAAATAGAATCCCAGAATGAGAACACACACCATGCATGTCACTGAAAGCAAGACAATGTTTCCTAAAATCTCAAGAAAAAATCATTTTTGGTAAGTACCTTATATCAAGTGAGGTGTCCATGTACCAAGGCAGTGGGAAAAGTTTATTAAGGATGCAAAAGTCAGTGAGACCTGATTCTCTCATGGAGACATTGTTAAGGATGAATGATACTCAGTAAGTGATGCCTAGGACATGCACTTTTGAATAGCTCATGAGCATCAATGTATTTAATTGCAGATCTAAACCAAAAACCAAGGTGGGGACAAGGTGGGAGACATAGGCTGTCCCTGGTATATGTTTGGGTTGAAATAACACTATCAGAAATGGCAGGTAAAGAGGTCAGAGAAGACAAAAATAATTTCTTTGATTGTTACAGTGGTAAAAATTTGAAGTTGACAGATATAATTTAAAATTTATAAACCAAATATTAGAAATGTGTCAGGTTAAAAGGGGACTACTGATGTCAAAACCTTTTTAGTGCAATGTTAAACAGGATCTATACAACCCTTCCTAAATAACAAACAAAAGGCACACACACACATGCACACACACACAAACAAAACAAATAACATTGACAAAGAAATACAGTAAATACAATCTACTACATATGGTAAATAAGACTAAAATATGGAATACTTTAGAATATAAACAGGTAAATAAGAATGTTTTTATTAATCTATATTCTTATCCATGAAAACCAATAATAAAATAAAAGCTTAAAACATTGTATGTGAAAAATTCACTAGTCCAGGGTGATAGGCAAAAAAATTTAATTAAAGTGATTTAAAACTTTAACATTTTAACTTTAATGGACTAAAATTAATTTTGGATGAAAGTCAAACTTTGGGCAGGGAATGTTCCTTTTTACGACAGAATGCCAGCAAAAACAAGTACATAGTAAAATTTTGAGAAGACAATTTCCAATGTAAAAACATAAATATAATAACTGACACAGGCAGGGGTGATTAATTGATGATAAAATACTCAGAAGAAGATTGTTAGAATACAGGATATTTATACTATTTCAAACCACTTTCCAATTTAATTATAAATAAGGTGTCTTTACAAGGGACAGAGCTCCTAGACCCCTCCTTGACCAAGTGAACATCCTAGTATCACCGCACTGGGGATGGACACACTGGGCCTTCTCTGCCTGCAGATGGGCTGAGGTAGGAAGCTCACAGCATGGACTCTGCAGAGTTCCTGGCAAAATGTTTAGGCTGAATTTAATCATGACGACATTTTCAGATAACTTCAGAATGTAGACCATTGAGCCAGAGAGCTGACCCGTCCTCCACAAACAAGTCCATGTCACCACCATCGATGACAACAACAAAAAGATAAGGAGATGTTTTGGGTTCAAAATGACTAAAAAAGCATAAGCTGCATAGGCTTTTTACTCTTTTTGAACTCAAAATGTCTCTTCTCCTTTTTGTTGTTTTCTTGGTGGTGACATGGACTGTTTGAAGGAGACATGTCAGTTGTCCTGTTCAATGTTCTACATTCTGCAGTTATCTGAGGGTTACCTCCTATGAAACTCAGGCTAAACGTTTTCAGCAAGAACATGGCATTGCTCATACTCTGCCCTGGCAGAGTCCCGGCTGACATGCTGTCTCCTGCCAGCAGCTGCGGACTCCTGTTCTCTACATGATGGGAATTGAGAAACAGGGCTAACGCCAGTCAATGCTATTTGTCCATCTGGGCATTGGTCTCCCTAGGTGTTGATCACAATTGGAGGGGGATGGAATGTGGCTTCTCAAATCAAAGGAGCATAGTGGCTTGAAGTCATCAAGAGTATTCTGTGTCTGAAATTCAATCCTCAGTGAAGGACCCCTGCAGTATTGTGTTTGGACTTAAACTTGCTTTGCTGTTTTAGTTGTTTTTATCAAGTGGAAAAGCTGCTTTTTGTGACATTCTTTCATCCTATCATCCTTTGCATCCTTTCAGCAGTATTTGGTATCTGTAGGGGAGAGAGAGAAAAAAAATCAAATGAGCATTTTTGTCAGGTCCACCTGATGGCTGAGTCTGGAGGGATTGCTAAGCAGTGATATCTCACTGGGATCTCCTGCTGGGAGGATGAGCTGGAGGGTGAGTCCTGGGCTGTCAGAAGGGGGAAGCACCATCCACAAGTGAGAAGAAAACACTCCTGAACTTCCAGTCAGCCTGGGGTGCAGGATATAAGGACCCCACCTATGCCCAACCAGCAGTGGGCAACATCATCCCCTTTCCTCCTGATCCCCTCTGTCTGGAGCAGAGTGAGGGCTTTTCCTCCCAGTGAGCATGTACTCAGCATCAATCATGCATGCCAAGAAACAGAGGGGAGCAGAAGGACAGGAGCCTCTGCAGAGAAACCCACCCCCTTACAACTCCATGTCCTAGTCTTCTAGGGAGGAGCGGGAGGGCCATGGGAAGAACCCTGGATATGAGAAGCAGCAGAAACCTCAGACAACATCCACGTCCAGGTCCACATTTTACAACAGAGGAGTAGTGATGCCACAGGGGTAAGATGGAACTAAGGCCACATGACTTGCTATTGACAACCCAGGAATTAGAATCCACCCACTAAGGCCTTTCAATAAAGATTGGAGAAAGCGAGAGGAAAGGCTCCAATCTGGAGGTCTCAACAGTCATGAGTGGTGGTTGGGTCACCTTGGCTAGGACAGGAATAAGGTTTTACAGATAAATATGATGGTGCTGCTGTTTCTTTGGTTGGTTAAAAAAATAAAAAATATATATAATTATAAGTTTTTGTCCAAAGGTCATCAGGAAAGAAAGGGAGTTTAAAAAAAGAGACTCAAAATGGAGTTAGCAAAGTGAGAAAAGGGACTGTAACCATGGCCCAACTTATTTTCCCTAATGCCCTGAAGTTGATTCCACATCCGGTTCCACCTTAAGGCATTTCTAGAAATATTCTCAATATCTAGACCAAGAAAACTCTGAAGTACAAAGTGAAAAGGATTAGTTTGTGTTTTACTACAGTCTCCCGTCCCGCTTATTGTTTTCCCCAAGTACATTATGAGAAAGGTTTCTTTTTAATATTTTATGCCAGTGTGAAGAGAGGCATGAAGAAGTATTCATATACAATCTCTTGCAGCATTTCAGTCTTAATTTGTTATTGTATGCTCTTCAGGACAGGGGGACCAATGAGTTCTCTTTGGGGATTTTGCAGAAGGACAATAATTGACCAAAAGTAAAATTTTCACATTGCAGTGGTGAGACCATTGGTGGGCTATAAAATGGGTGTGGGGAAATGTAAACTGGAAGTTTTATTTTAAAATGCAAAAGAAAATACTAAATTCCACTATATGTAATATGGCAGGTATTATTTCCGTACATTAGGTGTTAATATCATGACTATTTCTTACTTATCTTGTATTCAAAATTCAGCAAGTGTGCTTCAAGCAGAGGCTAAAAGTCTAATCTATTAATTTTCTTGTTTTTCTTCTTGATTTTTTTCTATGCTATACGAAGAGTACTATTGAGAGGGGAATACAGATCCCATCAAAGTCTGATAGAGGCTCAGCCTTTTCTGTGGAGTAGCCACACATATGTGGCACTTCCATGTTGGTAACCTGAGGTCATAGTAGACCAGGGGTCCTTCTCATCTTTAGCCACATATTAGAATCACATGGGAGCATTTTGAAACTACAGATGCTCAGACCACACCCCAGGCCATGTAAGTGAGCATCTCTAAGTGTAAGTTGAAGGCATTCATCTTAATTGAAATCTCACCGGGTGCTTATTACATGGCAGCAGGATTTAGAGATACTAAATGGACCAGCCCAATTTCCCATCATTTTCTTTCCTTTCCCCGTTTATCTCATGACTGGCTTTGTTCCCAGTGGTTCCATGGATTTTAGCCTTCTCTCTGACAATTTCAGTTAAATCTCTGTCTTATCAATTGGGCTGCACCGAAGCAAAGACTGTCCTGTAGACAGATTCCTGTCATCTAGTGTATGCATAAAGCTGGTCCTGGAGTCACTTTTCTCAAAGTTAATTCATAAAATGCTCTCTCATATACAATGGCCTCAAGATTCATCTGACTTGCATTTCAGACCCTTAACTGGACTTGAAAAGTGGAAATGAGAATAAAAAGGAGAGAGGTTAGAATGACGTACCTCATGATGTATGCAGTTTTCAAGTCCTGCCCTCTGCATGTACTTTTGGAGTGATGTCCCTTTAGAATGTCATAAATGTTCCCCAGTTAACATCAGCTCAAGTGAGTCCATGAGGTGAGAACACTGAGACCCTGGCAACTCCATCCACGTTGGCACTAAGCTGCACATCTGGGGCTAAAGACAAACCTGACTCCAGGCCAGTAGGGAACTCCCACCTGTGACCCTGGTTCTAGTTTAGTTTCCTAGGGGGGCTCTTAGTGCTTAGTTTTAACACTTCTCATTCAGAGGAACAAGTGATGATTAAGAGTTGAATTAGTTGTGTTGCTCAAAAGAAGACTCAAGAGGAAAATCTTCGTGTAAATGACGTATTAAAGCAATGATTTCTACACAAAGAGGCAATGGAGTTGGGGATGCAGCAAGGAAAGGTAAATTTCCCAAAGGAGTGTGTGATTCCGGGCAAACAACCCTGTGTTCAGCAGCTTAAACTATGTACTTGGATGGGGACAAGGAGGCCTGGCTCTCCTGTGGCCATGAGAGGGACTCTCAAGACAGTAGAAAAAGGAATAGAGCAGAGTTCAGAGAGTAAAGAGAAGATGGGTAGAGAAGGGGCCAGTCAGGGTGGGAGCCCATGGGACACAGAGCTAAGACCAGACAGAGGTTAGAGCAGCTGTTGGAGAGAACAAATGGGAGAGAAAAAGCAGTGAGAGAATGAGCTGTCACCATAGACAGAGAAATAAGAAGTGAGTGCAGCTATCAGCCATAGATGTGATTACCTCTGCACTCTCAGCATGCGGGCCAGCGAATCTGAATGCCAGTCTCCACTTGCTGAACGGGAGTCTTCTTCTGATGGTCTTCAGTATCAGGACAAGGGAGGCACGAATCCGGCCAGTGACTTGACGCCCTTGTGTGTTGCTTGCTGAGCCTTCAAGTGCATCATCTTCCAGCTGGGGAGGGTTCTTCATCCCCAGAGAGGGCTCTAAAACCAGCTCTGAAAAGAAAACCACAGCCAATGGGATCCGCTGCCATCCATGATCTTACCGTAACTTTCTCTTCCACCCAGAGGACATCAAATCAGGAAAGAGCCTTGGACAAGAAAGTCCAAAGGGCGAGGGGAAGCCGATAGAGTCACTTTAATACTTTCTTTTTTGTTGATCTTTCCTACATTACTCAGTAATGACAAGATTGCCAGGATCCAAAGGCACTGCCAAGTCACAAAAATATTCCAGAAACATAGGATTCAGAAACACAAATAGCTTCCAGGTAGATAAGGCAAAGGCAAGGAAATAACACTGTATGTAGGCTATGCTTTGGGGAGAGAAGAGATTACAAAAATCAAAGTTAAATAAGAACTGGGTTCAAACAGGAGATGGGAATGGAAGGGCCTGGCAGGGTGGCAGCCCATGTGGCACAGAGGTGAGACCAGACATAGGTGACAGCAACTGATGAGAGGAAAGAACCAGGAAGACTAAACCTAGAGAATTTACAAAAGTTGCATCATTATATGATCTACTGCATATATATATACACCCTATATAGCATACACACCAGATATACATAGTCACACGTAATAGGACAAATGATACAAATGCATGTATCTGTACACATTAATTTAAAGAAAAAAAATATAGGGATTTGGGAGGGATTGAATGTAAGAGTAGAGTCACTATTCTGGTCCATCGAAATTGGAAAAATAATTGGAGACATGAGAAGAATGAGAAAGAATAGGTATGGGAGAAACAAATGACCTGGTAGACAGCAGGGAGAAATCACCAGGTGAAGGAAAGTGTTAATGAAACGAAAGGCGTTCACTCTGTCCTCTTACCTGGAGCCTGGTTCAGGCTCTGGACTCCAGGGAAAGTGAGCAAGAGGGAGTGTGTCTGAGCCAGTGGGGTGAGTCTTGGCTGGGGGTGTGAGAATCCACAGAGAAGCAAAAGAGAGTTCAGTGCTAAGAAATCAGTCTAAATAAGTTATCATGGCACGTGTCAGGGACTGCACATCCCCCGACACTCCCGGAGCACCTTCCATGTGTCCTCTCCACTGGCCCAGATGGTGCTCATTATCTCACGCAACCCTCCCTCCCCCTGAGGACAGGGGTTCCCTCATTCCTCAGCTGAGGGCATCGCCTGACAGATGAGCACCAGGCAGCCCCAGGGGCTCCAGGAGGAGATATTGAGTGGGATGGAGAGTGAGAATGAACACGACCCAGGATTTTAAGGTAATCTGAGCAGAAATGGATCCCTGTGAGACAGAAACCGAGGACATGGCCACGGACATGAGTGGAGAATGTGAACTAAATGGAATTTCATAAAAGAGACTGATGTGAACACTTTCCATGTGAAAGTTGCCCTTTTATTTCAAAAAAAAGCAGAAAAAACAGCAGAAGCAGCTGGACATGTCAGGAGACTGAGTGTGGGCCCAGGATTTACACTGTTACTCAATGTGCCTCATAGGTTGTTATTGAAAGTGCCTGACAGGGGAAAATTGGCTTCATGAGGGATGGAGAAGGAGAGGAAGAAAACTGGCAGAGGAGTCTGTGTGAGAAAGGAAAGGAAGAGGGGTCCTAGAAAGCAGAGATCTTCATAACTGCTCTACCTCAGAGGAGACATCGTCCGTGAAATCACTTGCTAAGTGTAAATTTAGCAGAAAGATAAAAGGATTAGATAACACCTACTCATAGGTTTATTGGGCAATTCTTATGGAATCAGGCCCTTTGGAAATTATGATTGCAGGTAGATGTTATTCTTCAGGTATCTTAGATGAGGGAACAGAGATATAAAGAGCAAAAAGACAAAAACCTTGGCCAAAGTCAACAAGCAGAAAGTGGCAAACCCAGGTCCTGAGAGCAGATTCGGTCCTAAGCTCCAGGCCTTTGCTCACCTCACTGGGTTGGAGCATCATGGATTTCAACTTGACCCTGAGGAAGCATGGGAGGCCCCATTCTCTCCTCCACCCACAGCACCGTCGTGACCACCAACACCTGGATTAGAGCTTCATGACGCCGTTTCCTTCCCTACCTTGGAAGGGCCATTGGTTCCCAGAATCAGCATTGGCTGAGAAGCTGCAGGTGGTGGAGGAAAGGCCCCGCTGGGCCAAGCCGTTCCCACAGTGGAACCCTTGATCCAGCTGTAGTCGCAGACAACTGGGCACCAGGGTGCTTGGTTCCAGCTGTGCCTGTGAAATTTGAACCTCTGACCGGTGGTGGCTCAAGTCTCCACTCCAAGTCCCTTGGGGACAGGCCGCCTCGGTGGGGGCTGAAAGGAGAAGGGGCTTCAGTAGGAACAATCTCAGTTTTCCCTTTGTTAAGTCATCCCAGAACACCCATCCCTGATGTCCCTGCTCTCAGTAAAGCCACCCAGTGACCCACGCCACACAGACAGACATCATGTAAATGCAGGTGACGTCACCTCTCCTGCCTGTGCCTGGGGACGCTGACACGGTAGGGGCCCAGGCTGGGGTGTCCCTGAGGTGAAAAACCTCTGCTTCAGCCCAGAGGGCTTTGGATTGTCTAACAAGACCATCCCGATTATTCTGTTACTATTCATCTCTTTCCTGTGCCCAGAGGGAAAGTTCTAGAGAGGCATCAGAGCACAGGAGAGGAATGGTTATTTTTCTCCACACACAGGGGTGTAAGAACGGGTCAAGGGTTAGAGCTGCGAGGCTTTGAGAAAGAACCACGAAAAAGGGGGCTGGGATGCTACAGACCAAACGCTAAGTGAGGCAAACTTTTCTGGGTTCGGGGACATTTTGAATTTCCCATTGACTATAATGGTTTGACCCCCTACCCACACATATCCATCCTCTTGCCATATAGTGGGTGTCAGCAGACATAGGCAATGTAGGAGAGGGACCAGTCCCTTCCTGCAAATTCAGGGGCCACAAGTGCTACAGATCAGCATGTGCGGTTCCTTAGGAAGGCAACACAGGACACGATCCTCACATTACCCACTCCTCCAGTGGGGTTCGGGTGGCACCCCTTAAACAAATTGTTTCCATTTCCACAGGGAGAGGAATACACGTTCTGAGTGGACTAAGAAAAGACTTCCAATGACCTCACGCCAGTCCAGGTCGGTCTCAAGATGGGGACGGGGCCTGCAGACTGGATCCACGTTGCTGTGGGGCTCCTCTCTCTCCTCCCCTCTCCACATCTTCATTCTCTCCAAGGTTTTCTAAGTTTTCTTAAAAATGCCTCATTGTTCTCAGCTCCAACATGGAGATGCCACTGCCCACTTGGGCGTGTCCCTTGATCCCTGAATGGTTTATAGCAGGACAGAGCTTGCTTGCAAAGGGGCAGGGCATACAGCAGGTGCAAGGTCAGTGTGTATTCTAATTGTTTCATGAATCACTGTGATGCTAGAAAAGCATTTGCTTTTTTGAAACTCAGGGAGAAATGCAAAATGGGAAAGGGGCTGGTCCCAGTATGAAAGGCACTTGCAAGGTCAGTGTGTATCCTAATTGTTTCATGAATCACTGTGATGCTAGAAAAGCATTTGCTTTTTTGAAACTCAGGGAGAAATGCAAAATGGGAAAGGGGCTGGTCCCAGTATGAAAGGCACTTACCAAAATAGAATAGAGGCCAACATTTTTGTTGCTAGTTTCTTTCTTTGTGTGTGTGTGACACAGGGTCTCACTTTGTTGCTCAGGCTGGAGTGCAGTGGTGCAATCATGGCTCACTGCAGCCTCAACTAACCAGGCTCAGGTGATCCTTCCACCTCAGCCTCCCAAAAAGCTGGGACTACAGGTGTGTACCCCCATACTCTGCTAATTTTTTTTTACAGATACGGTTTCACCATGTTACCCACACTGGTCTCAAACTCCTGAGCTCATGCGATCCACCTCCTTAGCCTCCCAAAGTGCTGGAATTACAGGCATGAATCAACACACCTGGCATTTTTGCTAATCTCGTTACAACATAATCCAATATACTGGGGGACATCACAGAGTTCCTTGCTCTTACTAGAAGATAATGTAATGGGTAAAACCCCCAACAATCCACATGAAATTCCCAGAATTGAAGTAAAAAAAAAAGAGAATGAGCAAGAAGAAATGAAAATTGGATTTTCTTTTTACACATCCTGTGAAGCTGCTATCTCAAGGGGCGATTGCTCAGAGGAAGGGTTTTCTGGACCTCATGGGGACAGGAACCACTCTGCTTTGCTCATCGGTTAGGCCAGAGCCTCATGAGGGACACTAGTTGTCGATGGTTTTCATGAGAATAGAGCACTGAGACCAAAACTTGATTGACACTACAAACCCACACATGGAGAAAACCACTGGAGCTCTGCAGAGGATGCAAGCCCGGCCACACATAAAGGAAGGGTCGCTGGACTGCGTCAGTGGAGGGAAGACACCTCAGAGGAAGTAGAGCCGCAGTCCCAAATCTTTTTGGCACCCGGGACTGGTTTCATGGAAGACCATTTTTCAGGCACCAGGTTGGGGGGGATGGTTTTGGGATGATTCAAGCACATTCCATTTACTGTGCACTTCATTTCTATAAACATTATATTGGAATATATAATGAAATAATTATACAACTCACCATAATGCAGAATCAGTGGGAGCCCTAAGATTGTTTTCTTGCAACTAGATGGTCTCACCTGGGGGTGACAGTTACTGGGAGACAGTGACAGATCATCAGGCATTAGATTCTCGTAAGGAAAACACAATCTAGATTGCTGGCATGCACAATTCACAATAGAGTTCGAGCTCCTGTGAGAATCTAATGCCACTGCTGATCTGACAGGAGGTGGGATCCAGGCTGAAATGCTCTCCCACCGCTCACCTCCTGCTCTGCGGCCCAGTTCCTAACAGGTCATGGACCCATAATGGCCCATGGCCCCAGGGCTGGGGATCCCTGAAGAAGAGAATCTAGCTTGGGACACAGGAATCATGAAACAGGCCTCCAAATAATTGGGCAAAACTCCCAACATATGTGGATGGCCAGAGAAGAGATAAAGACATGGAATTAGCAAGATAATTTCAGAAAAGAGAGATGCCCTATCTTAAAGAAGGAGGGCTGTTACATAAATTTCTCCAGCTGAGCTACTGTGGCCAGGAATTTGCCATAAGCCCTCACCACTCCCTTCTCTGGCCTGTTTTGATAGCCAAAGCCTGCTCCTGTGAGAAGGAGCCAGGTGACAGAGGAGGCACTTGGAACAGGAGAAGAGGAAGTTCTACCCAGTGGATGTCTGTGCTTAAAACTGGATCCAAGAGCCAGATTCAAAACAAGCTCAGTGTATAGAGCCTGCTGCAGAGATGGTCTGTCTCAGCTGCACAAGTTGCAGGAAACAAAACATACAGAGGCTGCCTGGGAGGACAGTGGAGCTTTGTGATCTCCAGGGTGAAGTACTCACAGGCTACATCCAGAGCAGAGCAGGCAAGCTGATCCTCCAATGAGGACAAGGTGCTGCTATAAGGCTGGTGGCAGTCAGACACGTCATGGTGAACTGAGGGAGTCAAGTAAACTTCATTCACAGAGTCCTCTGGGACTTCCTGCTCCTTCACCTCTGGCAGCTCCTGGCTGAGCCTGGGGTAAAGAAGACAGAAGATAAACACCAGAGAGAACCAACACCCAGCTGGTTCTATAGGGAGGCCCTTAGGAAGGCCCAGAGGAAGCAAAGTACATTCCCCTGAGAGAGATACAACCATCCTTCCCTGTCTCGAGTAGGAGACAGAGCACGACAGGCTCTCAGTGCACTGGGCAGGCAATGAGCTGGGGAGGAAGCAGATGGAGTGATCCCTGCGGGGAACTGCCAGGACACAGTGCATTCGGCACTTTTGCATCCATTTTGTTGAAATTAGCGTCAGTGGCCAAATGAATACAGGCTCTTGAGTCTTCACAGAGTTCCTGTATCCTCAACAGCTCTTGTTCTCAACATTGTAGCATGGCATGATTTATTTTCATTCACTTCCCTGCTATCGAATACTTGCAAACATGGTAATGCCAAAGAGGCAGACATCAGATGTGCAACTCAACTTCACTTTAAGCAAAAAGGACAGAAAAGGGGACTGCAGAAAATGTCTGTGAGTGATCAGTTCAACAGAGTCAACTGAATGCAGATTAGACGAATTGAAAGGAATTAATAAGGAGGAACTAGAAATACAGGTGTACAATGAAAAGAGTCAACCTTATGAATATGGCATTTCATGGTTGGCTGAACAGATGGAACAGGTATATTCAGCACACTCTGATTTTCCCTGCATCTGAGACTCCAGATATCAACACTGAATTAACTGTTCAGGATTCCTCAGAGTTACCTGGGGCATGGTGGGCTTTGGTCTTCTATCTCCTCTTGATCCTTTTTAATTTCTGTAAATAAATTCACAAAGGGACAGACAGATTAAGCAGGTTCTCCTACACACATAAACAATCCACTGTGCAATCCTAACATAGAAATGTCAGTTTCCTCAGTGGGAGAACAGGACACTGTGAGAGAAATATTCCAGGAGGCCTGAGGTCCTGTCATGAGAGAGATGCCTTGGTTTTCTTCCCTGGGCCTAGGAATGCAATCTCCCTGTTCTGGTAGATCATTATCCCAACATCATCTGTCCTGATTTTGTGCAAACAGTTATGCAAATTTTTCACACCAGTTGAAGGCAAATACCCCAGCTGCTTTCTAGAAGGAAAACTGCAATATTCAGCTTTCAATCATCAAATACTCACGTTGTTCATGGTTACAAGGATTTTAGACACTGAAACTAGAATGTAGGAGGGAATCTACAGACCCTTGAATGAAAATGAATCTTTGGTTCAATACAAAGAGACATTGGCTATTCGTGACATCTAGGAGTGACAAGGCCCAATCTTGTTTCTAGAAACATAACAAAAGGTAATGGACTGCTCAGCTAAAACAGGATAACATCAAAGACATACAGAATGAGGCTAGGTTCTTTGAAACCTGGGTAATATCTTTAATGAAAAGTAGACAAAAATGCCACAGGCGTTGGGCAGGCATAGAATCTCACAGGACATGGTTGGGGAAAGGAACTTGTAAGGAACACGATAGCTGGCAAGACAAATCTTATTCAGATTAAGAGGCCTGACAGACACCTGTTGGGCACGTGCTGCATAGGTTGGTGTGAATTTGTCAATGTCGTGACAGTGGGCGCAGGGTGACACAGGCATGGTCTGAGATGAGGAAGAGAGCAAAGCTCACTGACCCACCCCTGTCTGTGCTTCCAACTTGATTTTTGATGCTGATGCAAATCATCCTGTGTCTGTGAGTCACGCCCACACCAATGACACATCTCAGTCCAGCCAGGGATGTGAAGTGCAAGGATTACGGAGTCTACCTGGGACACCAATTGGAGATTTATCATGTTCACAATGGAGTACTCACTGTCTACAAGAGCCAAGCTGACTTGCTTGTCTTCAAAAGAGTACAAAGTGCTCCAATAAGGGTGGTAGGAGGGAGTCAGGTCAGGAAGGATGGAAGGAGTCAAGCAACATCCATCCAGTGACTCCTGGGGGATTTCATGCTTGTCCACTCTCAGCGGTCCCCTGCTGAGCCTGTAGGGTAAGAAGGACTAAAGATTAATCCAAGGAGTTTCAGAGCCCTAGCTGGATTTCACGTGAGGCATGAGGGAGTGATCGCAGAAAACAAATGGGTCAACCCATTAAACAGTTAAATATTCTCCTCTTCTTGGTGGGCACAGTGTGGTTGCCATGGGTAGGTTGCAATACAGAGAGAGGGAAAGAGAGAGATGAGAGAGAGAGAAGCATCAGGTGCTCAGCAAAGTAGCCAGATTATGATTTTCTGAGGAAGGAGACTGAGTCTCTCTGTATGGTAGAGTCGTGACTTACTGAATATCATGTCCTATAACAGTGGTTTCATTCCTTTCTTTTAAATGATGTTAAATTTTATGTGTAGTGGCCAAGTAAACATAGGTTTTGAGGCATAATCGTATCCCCGAAATCGCATGGCATCAAGTCCTCTTTCTCTCAATATTGTGCATGGTATAACAATAATTTTTTCTACCTAATTTCCTTGCCTTGAAATGCTCACCACTGTGCTAATGCAAAACCAGCAGAAAGCAGATATGCATCTCAGGCTGGTTGACACCATAAGAAGAGTATACTTACTTTAAGGAAATCTGTGTGACTGATTAGTTGTTCACAAGGTCAAGTGGTTTGATGTACTGAACTTAAGAAGTTAATAAGAAATGCAAACATTAAAAGTTTCACAATGAAAATGTAAAACATGGTTAAAAAAGATCATTTCCGGTTGGCTGAAGGGATGAATTAGGTATATTCAGGACTTTCTGGTTTTCTGTGGAGATGAGTTTCACAGATATCACCCCTGAATAGACAGCCCCTGATTTTTCTCAATTACCTGGGAGCAACTGTTTCTTGTCCTTTCACCTCTTCAAGATCACTTTGCTTTTCTGTAAATAAATTAAGAGAAGACCAGCCAGGTGAACCTGATCACATTCACACATGCACAACCTTGTGTCCAAATCTACATAGGGGCATAAATACACGCAGTGCGAGAACAGGCTATTGTGAGAGAAACTTTCCAGGAGGTCTCAGGGTGAGCCTTGTGAGAAGTCACTAGGTTTGCTTTCCTGAGTCATGGAGCAAATCTCCCTGATCTGACAGGTCATCATCACAGTCCCTTCTGTCTTGAGTCACAGCAAACTGTTAACCATATCCTGTTTACTAACAGATCCTGGGGATCTACTTTAATGCTTCCTAGCAGGTTACTGCAGTATTCAGCATGTTTCCTTCTGATAAGCTGTTGTCAGTGTTTTTGTAGAATTTGCATTTAGAGGGACAGATTAAATCAAAAGAATCTCTAATGCTACATGGAAACATTGGCCTTTCATATGGCAGGGAGTTCCAGGGCCCGGCCTCCTTTCAGAGAAACATACAAAATTTAATAGTGGTGTTCATGTTCTGGTACTCAGAGACTTCTTAGCTAAGACAAGCCTACTAAAAGGGGAGGGAGTCTAGCCTGAGAGAAGTGAACGAGGGAAATGACAGCTCCAAGAATATCGATAAGGCTGCCAGTGGCCTTGGACAGGCAGAGAAACTCAGGTTGTTTGGGAGGGAAAATTAGATTTCATGTGAGATGACAGATTAAATCTAAATCAGGAGGACTGGTAGATACACCCTGCACCCAGGCTGCAGAGGTGGGTATGAATTTGTCAGGTCAACCTTGGGTACAGTGATCTGCCAATGGGGCAATGATGAAAGACAATGTGTGGTTTTGGACTAGAATGGAGCACAACTCTGACTTATAGGATGCCTTCCTTCAAACTCAATCCTAGAGCCTGGTTCTAACCAGTATATAAGCATAGAGTCTTCCTGAAGGTATGACATCCGTCACTATGGACAAATCTGGGGTACAAACAATAGGGAGCCTACCGAGGAAGCCAAGTGAGGTTTCATCCCATTTGGGATTGGAGTAATCCCTGGCAACATCCTGAGCGGAGCAAACTTTCTGTTCATCCAATGCCAAGAAAGAGACTTCACGATGCCGGTAAGAGTTGGACTTGTCATGGTGTCTAGAATGAGACAAAACACATTTCTCTGGCAAGTCCTGCAGGACTCCCTTCTCTTCAGAATCCTGCAGCTTTCTGATGAGCCAGGTAGGATAGAACGACAGAAGGTTAGACCAAGACAGATTCAACACCATAGTATCTCAGGTGATTTGATAGGACACAAAGGGTGTGGTCACAGAAAGCAAAGGAGGGTCTCCTCCAAGAGAGAAAAATCTATCCTTCTAAATGTGGGGTGGAGTGTGACTGTCCTGGAGACAGAGCAAACATGAGCAGCAGGTGCTCAGTGCACTTGCCACAAACGAGCGGCTGCAGGAGGACCCAGACTCTCCCTGTAAGCTAGCATCAAGCATCATGACTTGCAGCACTGAGAACTAAGCTGGGACTTCACTTCCTTTACACAAATTGCGTTGACATTACATGCAGCATCCAAGTGAACACAGCTCTTGAGGCATTCCCAACGCACAGATCCTGTGTTTTTAAGGTCCCCCTTTTTTTTCAATATTTTGACATAATATGAAATTTTTATTTTTAATTTTCTCGATTGCATTCAAATACTTGCCAACATGCTGTCACAAAACATACAGAAAGCATATATGCATCTCACCCTGGATTAGCCACATGGGAGACCACAGGTGAGATCAGGAAATCCCTGAGGTTGGTCAGTTCACCTGGTTCAAGTGATTGTCGGTTCCTATGCTTGAGAGGGATTAAGAAATTGAAACCTATTCAAGTACCACAATAAAGAAGACAACATTGTTAAAGGGGCAATTTGCACTTGGATGAATGGATGAGACAGTTCTATTCGTCACTTCCTATTTTCCCTTGATCCGTGGTGTCCAGATGTCACTATTGAACTAACAGCCCACAAATCCACAGTTACCTGGGGGGCACTGGCGCTTTCCCCTCCTCCTCCTCATGGTCATTTTGATTTTCTGTAAACAAATTCAGAAGAGCAGGTCACAGTAAGGAAATCACACAAGAGCAAATAAGTGTCCAGTCATAGCACAAGAACATAAATATCCTCAGTGTAAGAATGTGACATTTTGACAGGATCATTCTGACTTATTTTCAGAAGTAGATGTGCCTGCTTTCCAGACCCATAGGACAAAATCTCCCTCATCTGGTAGATCATAATCACCTATCCTCTGACCTAAGTCTGTGCAAACAATTAAACAAAACTTTTTCCCCAAGATTTTCAAAAATTGCCCTAACCACTCTCCAGAAGTGTTGTTGCAATACTGATTTATCTCATCATATATCATGGTCAACGAATGGTTAGAGAAATTTGTATAGGAGACTGAACTGATGGATAAATTCTAACAATCCTTGCATAAAAAAGAGTCTGCGGTGCTACACAGAAACATTGACCGCTCATGGGGTGAAGAACTCAGGGCCCAGCCTCGTTTAGGGAAACTTATAAGCAAGATAAAGGTAGAAGTGTTTATGTCCTGCTTTCAAGGTGACTGCTTAGCTGGGACAAGCTGACCTAAAGGAGACCAAGCCTGGGGCCGAGAACAGTGAATCCAGAGACACATCTCCAATTACATAGGCAAGACTGTCAGTCGCCTGTGACAGGCATAGAAACTCCATGGACATTGTTCAGGGACACAAATCATTATTGCATGTGACAAGAGACATAGGAACCGAGCCAGGAGGCCTGACAGATACCTCCTGTACACAGGTGGCTATGACTTTGTCACACCTGCCTGTGGTCCAGTATGCTAATATTGGGGCCAGGAAGACAAAGTCCATGCCATGGGCCTAGGAGGAGAGGAATGTTCTCTGACCCTCACATAACTGTGTTTAATATTCTATCATAGTTTCTCTCTTTCTTTCTTTCTTTTCTTTTCCTTCTCTCCCTTTCTTTCTTTTTCTTTCTTTCTTTCTTTTTCTTTCTTTCCTCTCTTTCTCTCTCTCTCTCTCCTCTCTCTCTCTCTGTTTCTTTCTTTTTCTTTTTTTGAGACACAGCCTCACTCTGTCACTCAGGCTGGAGTGCAATTGTGGCTCACTGCAGCCTTTACTTCCTGGGCTCAGGTGATTCTCCCGCCTCTGCTGCCTGGGTAGTTGGGATGACAGGCACGCACCACCATGCCTGGCTAGTTTTTCATGTTTTTTGTAAAGACGGGTTTCATCACATTTCCCAAGCTGGTCTTGAACTCCTGAACTCAAGTGATTCACCCGCCTGGGCCTCCCAAAGTGCTGGGATTATAGGTGGGAGCCACCGCCCCCGGCTCCACTATACTTTGTGATTCAAACCAATATGTATGTATACAGTCTGTCCTCAGAATTGATCTTCCTCAGCCTAGACAGAGCTAGGAGGGACAAAGAATAGAGAGGCTACCTGGGGGAATGTTTAGAGCTTCCTCCTCTTCATCATGAGGGTGTTCACTCTCTACAACCAGAGCAGAGTCGACTTCGTGTTCCTTAAATGTGATTTTGGTGCTCCTGTGAGGCTGGTTGGAGTTAGAAGGGTTGTGACTATTTGAACAAGTGACAGCACATTCCTCCAGTGAGTCCTGAGGGACTTCCTTTTCTTCAGTCTTCTGCACCTCTCTGATGAGCCCAGTGGGATAGAGATGACAGAAGATTAATCCAAAAGGCATTGCACCCCAAGAAGTCCTAGGTGGTTTTGAAAGGAGGCTTAAGAGAGTGGTCCCAGAATGCAAAGGAGAGGTTCCTTTTAAGAGGGAACAGGCAATCCTTTTCTGTCTGCAACAGAGCGTGGCTGCCATGGGAACCAGAGAGGAAGACAGCAGCTAGTGATCATTGCACTGGGCAGATAGGAGCTGAGGAGGAGGAAGACTCAGCTGTCCCTGTATGGTACAGTCTTGACAGCACACACAGAGAACCAAAAACAGCTGCCACATGGTGTGTCTAAGCTGGGTTGTAGTTAACATACTGTGGCCATGGCTATACAGGCATTTGAGCCATTGTAGACTTCAGAGATGGTGTGCCTTCTAGTTTTTTTAAAATTTTAATATTGTGACATGAAATGTAAATTTTTTTGTCTAGGTACTGTACTTTGTGTTCAACTTTGCTAGGTGCTTCCTATTTCCTCTGCTTGTTGCCTCTCTGCTATTTATCTTTCCTAAAAAGAACCTAAAGACAACAGTGTAGAAAGCAGCTTTACATCTCATCCTGGCTTTCACTACAGGGGAGAACAGGTCTCCTCTGTGTGTGCAGGAAGTCCCTAGGGATGGTGAGTTCATCTAGGGTCATGCTTACAGGCACCAGGAAGACAATGGACAAGCACGTTAATGGGGCTATTTCCTTGTTGGGTGAGCACATGAAATCAGTGCACTCTGCAGCTTTCTTTATCCTGCCTCTGGAATCTGTGACTACCTTCACCTCCCTTTTATTCTTTCTGAGACCTTTTTCATATTTTACCACCCATTACCCGCTCCTGATTATTCAATGTTACCTGGGGGCAGGTGATTCCTGTACTTTCTCAACCTCCTCGTCTTTGTCGTCTTCATCCTCATCTTCATCTTCATCATTTTCTGCAAATACAGATGTGTCCATTGAAATATTTCCCATTTCACCCACTGCAAGCACAGTGAGCCCTATGTGCACAGGGACATAAACATCTACATGTATAAGTCCACACTGTGCTGAAAGCTCTCATGTTTTATCTCTAAAAAAATGCCCTGGCATGTTTTCCTGATCCATGAGGCAATGTGTTTCTGATCTGGAGGGTCACCATCAAGATGTGGCCAAATATTGAAAAGACCTTTTCCTCTTCATATCACTGGAGGCTTGCCCAGCCTCTCTCTGAACTTCAGCAGCTGTCTCCCCAATCCTGCCACAGATCTGATTCCCACGCACAGGCTCTGTATCCTGTCACAGTTCGCATTTAGAACCTATATCTTTCTCTTCGAACAGGACAAACAACCTTGTCCCACAGTATTCCATACATTAGGGACTTCATGGGCCCTCCAAGTGGCTTCCACTGTGTTAACCGGGGACAATCTCTCCATGGGGAGTGCTCCAGTCTAAACCACTTCCTACCACCAAATGCCACCACATCAAGTGCCTTCTCCAACACCACACAGCAAGGGGCTTTATCTCATTGTGAAATATAGTCATAAGTGTTCCCACATTTGAATGCAAGAGACAATTTGTTTGCTTTTACAGATTTAGAGACAGAAACCCAGGAAGGATAAATTAATCAGTTGCCCACAGTTGCTAAAGACATTGCTGAAGATAGATCCTGGGAACATTCATTCTTAGTCCAGGGCTCCTTTCACTCTAAAAGCTGCTTCCTGTCACAGCCTCCTTCCTGTTCTTTAAAACTGGACGGATGTTGCCTCTTGCTCTAAAGACCACATTCCATCAAGAAAGGAGGATACATTTGCCATTCTGTAACCTCCACCCCATGGGTTTCCCATCTCTGCTCCCACCCAAGAAATTCTGATCATGTCGTGGCCACAAAAGTTTACTGGAAAGAAACACTACCCATACAATTGTCATTGTGGAGGTGTGGAGGTCTGGGGACTTTCATAAGCCTGAAGCTGTGTGTCATCAGGGCCCATGGCCACCTTACCTGGGCTCAGCTTGTGAACAAGGTGCTCTGCCAGCCTGTGCCCCTCAGCCAGCTGCTCTCGGAGGTCCTGACCCTGGGACTTGTCAGGGTCATCAGGAGTGAGGAGGGTTTTCAGATGCTTGTTCAGCCAGCGGGAGGCATCTCTCCCTTCCCGTAACTTCTCCCGTAACTGGGTCAGCTCTTTTGCCTGAGAGTGAACCAGGGCTTTATACTGCCTAAGGTGAGATAGTAGAGAACATTTAATAATGGAAAGGGATGAGTGATCAGTTCTAATACCGCAACAGAGGTTTCTGTGAGAATGTCCTCAAGGAGACCTCCAAGCAGAAGGTCAGAACATGTTTGGGGAAATGTCTGTGGCCAAGAGAAAGAAGAATATATATATATATACACACACACACACACACACACACACACAAACAAACATACACACACACACACACACACACAGCCTTCTGATATATGAGAGAGTGCTTCTGTAAGATCCTCACAGATGTTCCACTCATCTTTTTCTTCTGTAAACAAAAGTTAGCGTCTTCCTAAATCAGTTCCACAAGGATGTCCTTTCAGTTCCTCACTTTGGCCATGGGCATCTCTATGTGAAAATTCACATAGCGCATCTTGCAGTGACTAGATACAAAGCCATGCACAGAAATGTGGCCAGGTGCAGATGGGGTGAATTGGAAAGATGAAAGAAGAAAAGAATGACAGTGTTAAGAAGGCAATATTGATTGAACAAATGAAACGCCACAGTCAGTCAAGAGGTGATTCTGACGAAGAGTAAAGGTGGTGGTGATCGCACACCATTCTGAGTATCCTAAATGCTTCTGAGTGGTTCACTTTTTTTGGTTTATTTTGTGTTATGCAAATTTTACCTCAACAATCAGTGGTTTTAAGAAGAGAAAACAAGGCTTAAGAAACAACTACAACCCATAACTTACTAAGATGACTGTTCTCTGTTTTATAAATATTTGTGTGACACGTGCCTGCCATGTAAATGCCTGCCGTTGTCCTGGCCCAGCTCAGCTCTTAGTTCTCCCAGCTGAGTTGCTGCACTTCAGAGATTCACACCCCTGCCCATCTGCCTGCCCCCAATGGGGCCCGCTCACCTGAGCTCCTCAGCTTGCCTGAGCTTCTCTGCCAGCTTCTCCATGGACTGCAGTTCATCCCTCAGCACAGAGTCTATGATGTCTTTGTACTCTTCACACTCTGAGAAAAGACAGACACGCCTGCCTCAGTGGAAGGTGGGACATGCTGCTGGGGTCAGTGTCTATAGGGCAGGCGGCAGCATCCATCCCAAGGACGAAAGCAGCTCCAGTACCAGGCTCCAGGCAGGCATTTCCACATCTTTATTTATCAACCTCCCAACTTTCTGGCATCTGATACTCCCCAGCTCAGGGATGGGGAGAAAGAAACACAAGGGCACATCAAGTAACTTGACAAGATGATTCACCTGGAAGAAGGCGGAGTCAGAATTCACAGCCCCTGAGGTCTGACTCTGAATCCTGGGCCACTTTCCCAAGCCTTGCGGCCTCTCCTGTAAAACACTGCACTGGTGCATGAAGTAGTGATTTTCTATACAGTCAGGAAGGCCCTAGGACTATGGGACCCAAAGTTTCCCTTGTACTGGGAATTTCAAGTGCGAATATGTCAAAC
Source organism: Homo sapiens (assembly GCF_000001405.40). Taxonomy (NCBI): domain Eukaryota; kingdom Metazoa; phylum Chordata; class Mammalia; order Primates; family Hominidae; genus Homo; species Homo sapiens. Next base: position 108,451,742 of record NC_000001.11, on the reverse strand, counting down.
ATTTAAAAAATCATATCTGGATATAATTGCATAAAATATGAGGCACAAGACCGTGAGGCTATAGTAGAAATATGCCCAAATACTACTAAAGTTTGAATTAAGTTAGAAATAGTAGAATGAAGAACTAATAGATAGTGTTTACTCTGTTCCAAGAACTGTTCTAGGAAATTTACAAGAAATAGGTCATGTAATTCATTGCAGTAATTTACAGAGGTAGGTATTATTATAGTCCTCAATGAGCAGATGAGGAAACTGAGGCACAGAGAAGATAGGCAACTTGGATGGAGCCCAGGAGACTGGCCCAGGGTCCCTGCTCTGCACACTACACTGCTACCTCTACAATGTCTCATGTGCCATCTTTCTTCCTCTTCAGGAATAAGAGCCTGTGCCCCAGGAAGCAGCACTTCCCTTTCACTGGGACACTCTGTGCTTTGAAGGGTGTCACAGATATCACAGTTTCTGTTAGGGGCAGTCTCCTCTTTAAGCTCCTTAGAGTGGGTACTCTGTACAGTTGCCATGTTTCCCCCAGGGTCCTCTGGATGGAGCTTTGCCTATTGGGCCTCAAAGAAGCTTGAACTGAATGGAAGTTCATTAGTCCCAGACATTTAGACCAACAGACTAGATGTTACTTGTCTGTAGAATCTTATATGGTACAGAGAGGATTCTCATAAACATGATTTAGCCTCTTACTGAGGAAAACAGGTGGTTCTGTGCCTGTGTCAGAAGACAATAAGTAGGATTTTAAGTCTAGTCCCACCTCACACCAGACTGCCAATGTGGAAAAGTTGCTAAATACTTTGTGCCTCTGTTTTCCATGTTTAACAAAATGAGGTTAAAACATCCACTTCTATTTTCCTAGAAGTATGGGAAGGATGAAATTAATTTCGATGAAAAGACCGTTCAGTTTCTCAGAACACAGGTGATCATTCATCACGTTCATCATTGTGAATCTATAGAACTTACTGTATTTCTTCAGCTGGTTGGCCAGGGAGTAGGCAGTAGCTTGAGTTATAAGGAATTTCTCTTTGAGGTCTCGGAACTGCTGATTGCTCTCTGCCAGCTGCGAGCGCAATTCCTGGTTGATTTCTAGGATGTTCATCTCTGCCCTCTCGCTGGACAAAGGGTCGGCAGATACCACCATGCTGACGTTTGTGGCAGAAGAGGTAGAGCCAGGGACTGGGGAGAAGAAACCCAGACACATGATGGGTCAAAAACTAGTGAAATCAATTAGGTTTAATCAGGACTGAGAGATGACAATTACTGGAATTGTTAACTTACGGTTGAGAAAAAGTTGATGAACACGACACAACACTTTAGAGTCCTTAACCGCAAAAACAGGGACCGGGATGCCTGAGCTCAGAGCTGAAGGCACTGCCTGTAGCTCCGACTCTGACAAGAGTGAGGGAGGTAGCAGCCAGTGTACCAGGTAACGGTCTGCAGTTGCAATAACAGAATTAGAAGGTGGGGGTGTCATGGAATCTTAGAAACCCTGCATTCCAATTGCCCAGGCTGTGCTGAAACACTAGGCCCCCTGGTCTCACCTGAGGGTCACTGATGGGGACCATTTCTTCAGCAGTCACTCTCAGTATTTGTGCACCCTTGTGACAATGCTATAGGCCCACCTCTTTCTCAATACATATAAGCATATTCCTCATTGTTCATCTCTTGTGTGTATAAAATCATCAAGGTAGGGATAGTTTTCCAGAAGGTTATATTTTCTTAGTGGTAGTCATCAAGTCACCTCACCTTCTTTTTAAGGTAAAATGATCTTAATGCTTTTCCACAAGTGAAAGATAGCAAACTTTTAGTCTGCTATGATATCCCTCTGGGTCTTCTGCAGTTTTTTCTGTATCGACTGAAAATGAAGGAATAATTCACTTTTAAAAAAGATTTTCTACCCTGTCTCAGTATTCTTGCTGCATCCCATTGTTATGTTGATTTCTTTTCTCTTACTGGGGCAGCATCTTGGCTTTTCATTACACTTAAGACCAGTTTCACATCCCTACGTCCAAAGCTCTTCCTCTATGTGTGGGTCGGTTTGCTTTTTTAATGTCACTGAACACTCGTTTCATACTTGTCACTTACGAATATCATTCTCGTCCCAAAATAGCTCTTTTCAAGGTATCAAGTGATCAAAATCATTTGTATATATCCCCTGAAAACATGTGTGACCATCTATCTTGGGAAGTCTTGTAAACCTGATGGTATTTTGTTGTTTTTAGTTTTCCCATATATTGAAAAGAACAGGGCATTGAACGCTTCTCAGGGAATATTGTTGGAGATATATATATATATATATATATATATATATATATATATATATATAGTTGTTCTAACACTGTTGATGTGTGGTTGCATTCCACTAACCGAACCTGGCAAGATCAAGCTCATGGTCACGGGTGGTTGGTGATCCTCAGTGTTCCTGTGCAGTAGAAGGTGAGTTTGAGATGAGAGGGATGAGTAGGGGAGTGTGCTCCCCCAAACCACCTCCTCACTTTCTCAGCTTCCATCTTCAACTAGGTCTTGTGAGGCTAGGACTTGGGAGATTGTCCTGTAGCCCAGGTCTCCTAAGTGTGGCTGCTGGACTTGCCTGAGTTGAGGGTGTGATGAGTGTGACCACGGGCTACGCAGCATTCATGTGGAAGTGAAGGAGGAGGACTGGATCAATCCCAGTGGAAAGCGCACATCTCAGCAGCCCGCACCATCCTCCACCTACACTGTGTAGCGACAGTGCTTTGAGATGTAGCAAAGGCTATAAATTTATCTATTCTCTGGTGTCTCAAAGACCTGACATTCTGTGTCAGAATGAAAATCTGTCTAGTTTCTTCACTTTAAAAATGATAAAACTGCAGGTTCACAAAGTTACTGGTTTACTTGAGGTCACACAGGGATGCATTTTGAGCACTGCCAATAAAAGGAATCACAATAATTATTCAGTAATTATTTATAGAATCCATGTAATTCAATAAATAAAAATAATTATTTATTGACCAATTCATACTAGGCATTTTGTTCAAAACTGTACACATACTTGGATATCATATTTTCATCATAATCCTTAAGGCAATGTTATTATCCATAAGAAACAGGTAAGAAACCTGAAGAAGAGGGATAGCAAATCATGTATTTGGCTATATTTCTATTTTTTGGTTTCTGTGATGCTGGAAGAATGACCAGAATGAGTCATGGGAATAGCATTCATTCCTGTGTCATTTTCCAGGACAGAGGTGTGCCCTCCTTCAGCATTGGGACCGAAATTCAGAAGTGTCTGCAACCTTGCTTTAACAGTGTGGGAAATAACCTCTATTACCTGGAATTTCACTGGAACTTTGGAATATACAAGAGAAATATGAGACTTGGGTCTTCCCCTGGCTGTATTTAATTCACTATTCTATTGAGTACCAATGATTCTCATTAAGACTTTTGCCTTTTTATAACTTTTCTTTCTGACACAGAATGTCAGGTCTCTGAGACACCAGAGAATAGATAAATTTACAGCCTTTGCTACATCTCAAAGCACTGTCATTACACAGTGTAGGTGGAGGATGGTGTGGGCTGCTGAGAGGCATGCTTTCCGCTGGGATTGATCCAGTCCTCTTCCTTCACTTCCACATGAATGCTGGGTAGTCTATGGTCACACTCATCACACGCTGAACTCAGATACAACATATATTTTATGTATAGATACAATATATATTTTATGGAGAAGATTTTACTCTTAGCTCTATTTAAAATGAATAATCTAAGCACTGGTTTAGGTTTTATGCCCTGGACTTGATATTTTTTCTGATTTCTGTTTTGAGATTAAATTCTCATGTAGATAGAAAAATGCTTATTACTTATAAGAGCAAATTAGTTATTGATTTGAGTTTCTGAAGTCGAAGCACAAACTTTTGTTTTTAATCTTTGTCTGACCCCATCAGTGCCACTCATTGTCTCTCAGAATGACCTGGCCGTGATCCTGCACTTACCCTCGTCCTGCTGAACCATTTCCACGCACTGTCCAATTCCATCAGTGATCTGGGCTCTTCCCAAAGCTCCTTGAAATGGGTCCAGGTCTCAGGATGTCAGACACCTTCCAGACACAAAAGTAACCCATACTGTAGAGAGCGCAGCTGGGTTCCCACCTCCCTGAAGTTGGCAGGGATGTCCTAGGGCAGGAAGGAAGGCTTTCCCTTTTTAGCGGGTCTTTTCTTCATGTCTCAGTGCCTCTGATCTAGTGAACACAATTGTCCTGAGCGGGAAAGAACTTGCTAAATTTCTGGTTTCTTGTTAGGTTGCTAGAATAGATTTGTAAGAGTTCCTTGTTTACCCATGTCTGCTGAAGTTTGAATTCTTAGCCGTATGATTTCTTTTCTTGTAAATTGAGCAGCTTGGAGAAAACTGGCCCTGTTGCTATGCAAAAAGATGTAAACTTAATTTCTACTCAAAGCAAGTTTGAATTTGAAACTAGGGCTTCCACTGTTTCAATGTTGGACTGTCACTACCTCAGGCATGTGTCCCAAAGTGCTCCTGTCTCTGCCGTACTCAGGATAAAGTTAAGATGGAGCCCAGCAAGCCAGGTTTCCTTCACTTCTAGGTTCCCTCAACAGTTTTCTCCACTTTAGAGAATGCATTGAATATATTCTTGTTCTGCTTCTGTGTTTGGGCTTTGGAATGATGTGATGCAGCTCAATGGTTCCTACCCCCAAGTTGATCAGAGTAAGAAACATCTGGAAGGTCAGTGCAAATACAAGATCATTGTCCTCCTTGCAGGGATTCTGATTCAGTGCGCTCAGTTGGGGCCTGGAATGTGTTTGTTAACGACTTAGATGTGCAGTCAGACTGGGGACCCTCTGATACCACGGACCTTACAGTTTATGGGATGATTCTGTTTTGCTGATGACAAAACCAAGGCACAGAGAGTCTGTAATTTGCCCAAGTTCCCTTTGCTGTTAGTACTGGAGCCAGATCTCAGAAAGAGTCCCCTCCCCCAATCCCCTTTCCACATTTTCCAATTCAGTTGTTTCGGTGCTTTCCAAGTAGGTGTTTCTCTCCCCTGTACCTCATTTCTGCAAAACAAACAAACAAACACACATTAAAAAACAAAACAAACAAACAAACAAAAAACCTTCTTGAATTCAATTTGTTTCATTTAATACATTTCCTCACAACATGCAGTCAGCATTATGTTCTGGCCACTTACTATGAGTGTGAGATGCTTTTTTTTTTTTTTTTTTTTGAGACAGGTTCTCGTTCTGTCATCTAGGCTGGAGTGCTCACTGCATACCCAAATCCTGGGCACAAGTGATCCTCCTGCCTCAGCTTTCCAAGTAGTTCGAACTCTAGGCACACATCACCATTTCTGGCTATTTTTTTTTTTAAATTTTTTGTAGAGACAAGGTCTTGCTGTGTTGCTCAGGCTGGTCTTAAACTTCTTTCACTCAAGAACTTTTTATTGAAAAGTCTTTCATTTCCCCAATGAGAGGCACTGGCGTGTTTGTTTTTAAAAGCTTTAAATAACTGTATATATGTGAGCATAATGTTTGAGTCTGTATTCTTTTTATCTTGATATACTTCTATATACTTACACTAGTACTATAGTTTTTAAATTATTGTAGCTCTAAATGAGTTTTGAAATCCAGCAGAATAACTCCTACAACTTACTGCTTCTTCAAGACCAACTTGCCTGTTCTAGCTTTTTTGATTTTCAAATACATTTTGAAATTAGCTTTTACATTTCTCTAAAAATTCCTACTGGAAACATTAGTCAGAATTATGTTGATGTAATATCTTAACAAAATTGAATCTTCCAATCCATGAATGTAATATATATTTCTCTATTTAGTCTTCTTTAATTTCTCTCACCAATAGCTTTCAGGGGCTTTGTACCTGCTTCATTATATGTATTCTTAAATATGTAATGATTTTGGATATTAATCTCTATTATGTTTTATTGAATTTCATTTTCTAGCAGCTAATTGCTAGTATGGAGAAATTAAGATGATTAAATAAACTTTATAAAGGTATTTATTAAGTACAATAGACTGCACCACTTTAAACTATGTAATCCAATGCATGTTCACAAATGTATACACTAATGGAACTACTGCCATAATCAAGATATAGGAATTTCCATAAGCCCAAAATTTCTTGTAACCCTTTGCAGTTAATCAGTATTTCAACCCTCAGGTTCAAGGAGCCACTGTCACTTTCTGGCAGTGCCTTTTTCACCATTTTCTATAAATGAAATTATACCTGTGTTCTTTTGCATCTGCCTTCTTTCATGCATCATATTAATTTGAAAATCCATCCATGTGAGCATTTTCGTCAACAGTTAATGCCTTGTAATTGCTGAGTAGTATTCCTTTGTGTGGCTACACCATGTTTGTTTATACATTCACTTGTTATTGGACATTTGTGTCATTCTAGGTTTGGGCTATAATGCATAAAGTATCATGAGCATCCACATACAGATCATTGTGTGGACATAGAGTGTAAATTCCTAGGAGTGCAAGGACTGTCCATTTGATCTGTACATGTTTAGTCTTATAAGAAACTGTTAGCCAGATTTTCAAAGGAGTTGTACCATTTTTCATTTCCACAAGTATAGGACTTCCAAGTACTTTATATCCTCACCAACATGTGGTATTTTCAGTCTTTTTAATTTTAGCCATTCTCATGGACATGTAATGGTATCTCAGCATTGTATTGATTGATCTCCCTGATGACTAAAGAGTTGAGCATCATTTCATTTGCAAATTGACCCTTCATATATCTTCTTTTCTGAAGTATCTATTCAAGTCTTTTGAGAAATTGTTTCATTGTGCTGTTTATCTTATCAGACTGCATTATATATATACCATTAAAAAATCTTTTGTTGGAGATAAATATAATTTCTCCTATATTGTGGCTTCTTTTTATGTTCTCTTAATGTTCCCTGTTTTGGAGATAAAGATAGAAATCATCAAACAGGTGATTATGTATATATACATATAACTATATTCACGTCTAAGAATAATTTATTAGACATATATGTAAGGGTCTATTTCTGAGTTCTCTTTTCTCTTCCATTGATATATGTTCTATTTTTTTCAACAATACACATGGTCTTGATTTCCATAGCTGTATAGTAAATCTGGAAATAGGTAGTGAATTCATTCACCATTGTTCTTTTATAATATTGCTCTCTTATTATTCTTGATCACTGACATTTTCATATAAATCAGCTTGTAAATTTCTACCAAATTGCCTGTTGGAATTTTTTGTTAGAATTGCATTGCATCTGGAGATCAATTTGGGAAGAACTGACTTTTTAACTATAACAGCTCTTCTGATCCGTGACAAGGTTTATCTCCCCACCAATTTAGTTTGTTTATATATATATCTAATTTCTCAAAGCAATGTTTTGTAGTTTTCAGTGTACTGGCCTTACATAAATTTTCTTGAATTTATTTCTAAGCACATCACGTATTTAGATGTTACTTTAAATGAAATTGTATTTTTATTTTATTTTCCAAACACTCATTGCTAATATACAGAAATACAACAGACTATTTATATTGAACTTATATTCTGCAACATTGCCAAACTCGCTTAATAGTTTTGGTATATTTTTGTAGATTTCTGGAATTGTTTACATACATAATCATGATCCGTGAATAAAGACAGCTTCAATTCTAGACAGCTTCAATTCTTTCTTTTCAATCTTTTCAATGTTTCTGTTTATTTATGTTCTTACTTTATTGCATCGGATAACATCTCTAGTTTAATGCTGGATTGAAAGAGTAACAGCAGATATTCTACCTTTTTCGCTATTTAATAGAAAGCATTCAATCTTATTAATGTTACCTGTGGGTTTTTCAAATCTGCCCTTGCAGGGTTGGAAGTGTTGCCTTCTGTTCTTATCAAGTTGAGAGTTTGTTTTTGTTAATGATGAAAAAAGTTTTCAATTTGCCAAACGCTTTTTCTGTGTATGTCAGGGTAATCATATGCTTTTTCTCTTTTGTCCTGATAATATACAGAATTTTATCAGTTTTTTAAAATATAAAAAGATGTATTAAATCAAGCTATGGCAGTTTTAAAATAATGTTTTAAACTTTTAGCAATTATATTGATATATAACTTACATGCAAAAAACTGCACATAATTAAAGTGTATAATTTAAAAAGTTTGAGCATAGTACACATCTGCAATCAGGATTAGTAAATACAGGCCGGGCATGGTGGCTCATGCCTGTAATCCCAGCACTTTGGGAGGCCAAGGCAGGTGGATTGCTTGAGCTCAGAGTTCAAGACCAGCCTGGGAAACGTAGTGAAACCCTGTGTCTAAAAAATATACAAAAATTAGCCAGGCGTGGCGGCATGTGCTTGTAGTCCCAGCTACTTGGGAGGCTGAGTTGGGAGGATGGCTTGAGCCCAGGAGACAGAGGTTGCAGTGAGCCAAGAGTGTGCCACTGCACTCCAGTCTGGGTGATAGAACCAGACCCTGTGTCAAAAAACAAACAAACAAAAAAGATAGTGGATATATCTACCACTTCCAAAGTGTCCTTGTTTACGTAGTAATTCCTCCCTCACCTTTCTCCCCACACCTCAGACAACCACTGGTTGGCTTTCTGTCATAATAGATTAATTTAAATTTTCTCAAGTTTTCTATAAATAGAATTATATACTATGTACATTATTTTGGTTTCATTTTTTAATTCAGAATAATTATTTTGAGATGTAGCTTTGTTGTCATGTGTATTAATAGATCACTCTGCTATATTGCTAATATTCCATGTGATGGTTATATCACAGTTTATTTTATTTATTCACCTGTTCATAGATTTGGATGGCTCTGGTTTTAAAACTAAAGCTTTTATCAACGAATTTGTATGGACATATCCTTTCCTTTCATTTGAGTGAAATAGCAGTATCATATGATACGTACAGGTTTACTATTTTAAGAAGCTGCCAAACTGTTTTATAACATGCTTGTAAAATTTCACATTCCCATCAACAGTGTATGAGTGTTTTTGTTTCCATATATCTTTGCCAATATGTGGAACGGTGATTCTTTTAACTTCAGTCATTTTACTTGGTATACAGTGGTTTAAATTTGCATTTTCCTAGTGACTAATGATATTGAATATCTTGTCATATTGTTATGTGCCTTCCATATATCTTCCTTGTGGAATATCTCTACAAATCTTTTATTCATTTGAAAATTTGATTGCCTGTTTATTAATAAATTTTGAGAGTTCCCTTAGTGTTGCAGACAGAGGTCCTCTATCGGATACATAATTTCCAAATATTTTCTACCTAAGTGTGGCTTGTCTTTTCATTCTCTTACCAATGTCTTTGAAGAGCAATTTTTTAAAAGTATTATTGAAGCGTAATTTATTGTTTTGTTCTTTTACCAGTTCTTAGGGGAAATGCTTCCAGCTTTTGCCCATTCCGTATGATGTTGGCTGTGGGTTTGTCATAGATAGCACTTATTATTTTGAGGTATGTTCCTTTGGTGTCTAGTTTGTTGGGAGTTTTAACATGAAGGGATGTTGAATTTTATCAAAAGCCTTTTCTGCATCTATTGAGATAATCATGTTGTTTTCAGTTTTAGTTCAATTTACGTGATGAATCACATAACATATGTTGAACCAACCTTGCATCCCAGGAATGAAGCCTACTTCTTCATGGTGCATTGGCTTTTGGTGTGCTGCTGGGTTGGATTTGCTAGTATTTTGTTGAGGAGTTTTGTGTCTCTATGTTCATCAGGCATATTGGCTTGAAGTTTTTTTTTAATGTTGTGTGTCTCTGCCAGGTTTTGGTATCAGAATGAGGCTGGCCTCCTGATAGGAGTTAGGGTAGAGTCCTTCCTCCTCAGTTGTTTGGAATAATTTCAGTAGAATTGTTACCAGCTCTTTATTATATAAGAATTCAGCAATGAATCCACCTGTTCTGGGCCTTTTTCTGGTTGGTTGGTTTTTTATTACCAATTCAATTTAGAACTCCTTATGGTCTGTTCCAGGATTTCAGCTTTTTTCTGGTTCAATCTTGGGAGAATGTACGTTTCCAGGAATTCACCCATTTCTTCCAGTTTTTTTTTTTTTCTGGATTTGTTGAGCTGTTGTATGCATTTTCACATCTCAATTTTATTCAGTTCAGCTCTGATTTTGGTTTTCTTTTCTTCTGCTAGCTTTGGGGTTGGTTTGCTCTTCTTTTTCTAGTTCCCCTTGGTCTAATGTTAGGTTGTTAATTTTTTTCTTTTTTTATTTCAGCACAGAGTTGTTGATTCATAGATTGTTCATTTGAGCTCTTTCTAACTTCTACAAGAATGCCCACTCTTACCATTCCTATGCAACATGGTACTGGAAGTCCTAGCCAGAGCAATCAGGCAAATGAAAGAAATAAAAGGCATTGAAATACAAACAGAGGAAGTCAAACTATGTCTCTTTGCTGATGATTTAATTCTATATCTAGAACACTCCATTTTTTTTGCCCAAGACTATCCTTTCTTCATTGTGTGTTATTGGGAGCATGGTCAAATGTAGCTGACTGAATGTCTTTCCCCAAAGGCTAGAACTGCTAAGCAACTTCAGTAAAGTTTCAGGATATAAAATCAATGTACAAAAGTAGTAGCATTTGTATACATCAGTAACATCCAAGCTGAGAGCCAAATCAGGGATGCAACCCCATTCACAATAGCCACAAAGAGAATAAAATGCCTAGGAATACAGCTAACCAGGGAAGTGAAAGATCTCTACAACAAGGATTCCAAAACACTGTGGAAGGAAATCAGAGACAAGACAAACATATAGAAAAACATACCATGCTCCTAGGCGAATTAATGCAGAAACAGAAAACCAAATACTGCACATTCTTACATGTAAGTAAAAACACCATTTGTGATGGACATTTAAGTTGTTTCCATATCTTGGCTATTGTAAGTAATGCTGCAATGGACATGAGAGTGCAGGTATCTCTAGTAGGTGCTGATCTCATTTCTTTTGGATATATACTCAGAAGAGGGATTGCTGGGTCATATTTTTAACTTTTTGAGAAAACTCCATGCTCTTCTCCATAAGGAATGTACCAGTTTACATTTCCACCAGTGTACAAGTGTTTCCTTTTCTACACACCCTTGCCAACACTTCTCTTTGTCTTTTATACAATTGCCAACCTAACAAGTGTGAGGTGATATCTCACTGTGATTTTGACTGGCATTTCCCTGATGATTAGTGATATTGAGCAACTTTTCATATATGTGCTGGCCATCTGTTTGCTCTCTTTGGAGAAATATCTATTCAGGTCCTTTGTCTATTTTTTATTTATTTGGTGATTGAGTTCTATGAGTTCCTTATATTTTGGATAGAAACTCCTTAACAGATATATGGCTTGCAAATATTTTCTCCAAATCCATAGGCTGCCTTTTCATGTTGTTGATTGTTGCCTTTGCTGTGCAGAAGCTATTTGGTTTGATGTGGTCCTTTTTTTTTTTTTTTTTTTGGCGGAGTTTTGCTCTTGTTGCCCAGGCTGGAGTGCAGTGGTGCAATCTTGGCTCACTGCTACCTCCACTTTCCGGGTTCAAGCGATTCTCCTGCTTCAGCCTCCCGAATAGCTAGGATTACAGGCTCCCACCACCATGCCTGGCTAATTTTTTTGTATTTTCAGTAGAGATGGGCCTTCGTCATATTGGCCAGGCTGGTCTCATCCTCCTGACCTCAGGTGATCCACCCGCCTCGGCCTTCCAAAGTGCTGGGATTACAGGTGTGAGCCACCATGCCCAGCTGGTCCCATTTGTTTGTTATTGCTTTTGGTGTCCTATCCCCCTGCACCCCCAACCCCCACCCCACAAAAGTCATTGCCAAGACCAATGTCAAGGAGCCTTTCCCCTTTGTTTTCTTCTTGGAGTTTTATGATTTTGTCTTACACATAAGTATTTAATCCATTTTGAGTTGATTTTTGTGTATTTTGTATATGAGTCCAATTTCATTCTTTTGCATGTGGATATCCAGTTTTCCCAACACCATTTATTGAAGAGACTATCCTTTCCTCATTGTATGTTATTGGGGGCATGGTCAAAAAGTAGTTGACTGTATGTACTTGGGTTTATTTCTGGGCTATCTATTCTGTTCCTGGTCTATGTGTCTATTTTAATGCCAGTCCCATACAGTTTTGATTACTATAACTTTGTAATATAATTTGAAACTAGCTAGTATGATCCCTTCAACTCTGCTTTTCTTCCTCAGGACTGCTGTGTCTATTCTGGTTTTTTGGCAGATCCATACAAATTTAGAGTTTTTTTTCTATTTCTGTGAAAAATGCTATTGGAATTTTGATAGGGATTGCCTTGAATTTGTAGATCACTTTAGGGCAGTATGAACATTTTAACAATATTTATTCTTCCATACCATAAACATGGGATTCCTTTCCATTTATTTGTACCTTCAATTTCTTTTAACAACATTTTATAATTTTCAGTGTATAGATCTTTGCCTCCTTGGTTAAACTTATTGCTGATTTTATTCTTTTTAATATTATCATAAATAGGATTTAAAATTTTTTATTGAATAGGTCATTATTGGTGTACAGAAATGCAACTGATTTTTATTAGTTGATTTTATATCCTACAACTTTACTGAATTCATTTATTAGTTCTAACAGGGTTTTCTTGCAGAGTCTTTAGAGGTTTCTACATATAGGATCATATTATCTGCAAACAGTGATAATTTCATTTCTTCCTTTCCAATTTGAATCTTTTAATTTCTTTTTCTTTCCTGGTTGCTTTTGCTAGTACTTCCAGTACCATGTTGAATGGAAGTGGTGAGAGTGGGAATCCTTGACTTGGACTGGATCTTACAGGAAAAGCTTTCAGTTTTTCTTGATTGAGTATCATGTTAACTGTGGGCTTCTCATAAGTGGCCTTTATGATGTTGAAGAAATTTTCATCTATGCCTTATTTGTTGAGAGTTTTTCTCATGAAAGGATGTTGAGGTTTGTCATCTGCTTTCTCTGGAGCTACTGAGGTGATCATGTGGTTTTCATCTTTCATTCTGTATCACATTGATTTGCATATACTACACCAAACTTACAGCCCAGGGATAAACTCCACTTGGTTAAGACATATATCCTTTTTGATGTGTTGTTGAATTTGGGTTGGTAGTATTTTACTGAGGAATTTTGCATCTATGTTCATCAGAGATATTAGCCTGTAGTTTTATTTTCTTCTGGTGTCTTTGGCTTTGGTATCAGAGTAATGCTGGCCTCATAAAATGATTTTGGAAGTATTCTCTCTACTTCTATCTTTGAGAAGAGCTTAAGAAGAAATGCATTAATTCTTTTTTTAATTTTTAGTAGAGTTCAACTGTGAAGCCATTTGGTCCTGAGTCCTGGTCCTGGCTTTTGTTTTTTTTGGGAGGTTTATAGTTACTGCTTCAATCTTTTTATTTGTTATTGGTCTGTTCAGGCTTTCTATTATTTTTTGATTGAATCTGGGTAGGTTGTATGTGTCTAGGAATTTATCTATTTTCTCTAGGTTATCCAATTTGTTGCTATATAGTTGCTCATAATAGTTCCTTATGATACTTTTTATTTCTGACACATCTGCTGAAATACCTCCACTTCATTTCTGATGCTATTTATTTCACTCTTCTCTTTTTTTCTTAGTCTAGTTAAAAGTTTGTCAATTTTGTTTATTTTTTCAAAAAATTAACTCAGTTTTGTCAATTTTTCTAGTTTTTCTATTCTTTGGTTGAGTTGCTCCTGCTTTGATTTTTATTATTTCCTTCCTTTTGATAACTTTATTTCATTCTTTTCCTAGTTATTTGAGGTATAATGTTAGGTTACTTATTAGAGACCTTCTTTCTTAATGTGGGTCTCTTCCTTCCTTCCTTCCTTTTTCTCTTTCTTTCTTTCTTTTTTCTCCCTTTCTCTTTCTCTCCCTCCCCTCCCCTCCCCTCCCCTGCCCTCCCTCTCCTCCCCTCCCCTCCCTCCCTCTCTCCCTCCCTCCCTCCCTCCCTTCCTTCCTTCCTTCCTTTCCTTCCTTCCCAGGGTCTCACTCCATTGCACAGGCTGGAGTGCAGTGGCACAATCTTGGCTCACTGCAACTTCTACCTCCTTGGTTCAAGCAATTCTCCTGCCTCAGCCTCCCTGAGTAGCTGGGATTACACGTGCGTGCCACCATGCTGGGCTAATTTTTGTACATTTTGGTAGAGATGGGGTTTCACCATGTTGGTGAGGGTGGTCTTGAACTCCTGACCTCAAGTGATGTGCCTACCTTGGCCTCCCAAAGTGCTGGGATTACATGCATGAGCCACTGTGCCCAGCCAATATAGGCATTTATCATTACAAACTTGCCTCTTAGAGCTGCTTTTGCTGTTTCCGGAGGTTCCATTATGTTTGTTTTCATTCTTGTTTGTCTCAAGATATTTTAAATTTCCCTTTTGATTTGTTCTTTGACCCATCAGCTGTTCAAAAGCATGTTATTTAATTTCCATGTATATGTGAAATTTTCCAGTTTTCCTTCTGTAGATTTTTAGTTTCTTACTATTGTGCTCAGAAAAAATACTTGATGTGATTTCAATCATCATAAATGTGTTCATGATCTACTTTTCATTCATATTTTAATTGATGTATAGTAGTTGTACATCTTTTGGGGGTATGTGTGATAATTTGATAAATGTGTATAATGTGTAATGACCAAATCAGGGTAATTAGGATATCTATCACCTCAAACTTTTATCTTTTCTTTGTGTTACACACACTCCAATTATTATAGCTATTTTTAAAAATATACAACAAATTATTGTTAACAGTAGTCTCCCTGCTACCCTATTGAATACTAGAACTTACTACTTCAACCTAACTGTATTTTTGTACCCATTAACCAACTTCTACCCTCTCCCCACTCTCATTCCCAGCCTCTGGTACACACTAATTTTTATATATGGAGTGACACACGAATCTGATTTTTTACTTATTTTTATACACATATAGATGTCATACCCATTTGTTAAAAGAAAATCCTCTACCATTTGTTGAAAGTATATACATTTTTAAATATTTTTCTTTTTCATGTTTGTCAAATATCTTTTTATCCATATATGCATTGGTTTATTTTTGGACTGTGTATTTTGTTCCTATTTTATCAATCTTTTTTTCTTTTCTTTTCTTTTTTTTTTTTTTTTTTTTTGAGACAGAGCCTCATTCTGTCACTCAGGCTGGAGTGAAGTGGTGTGATCACTTCCTGGGTTCAAGTGATTCTTGTGCCTCAGCCTCCCAAGTAGTTGGAATTACAGGAGTGCATCACCATGCCCGGCTAAGTTTTTGTGCTTTTAGTAGAGACGAGGTTTCACCATGTTGCCCAGGCTGGTCTCGAACTCCTGAGTTCAGGCAATCCACCCACCTCGGCCTCCCAAAGTGCTAGGATTACAGGTGTGAGATCATATCCCAACACCATTCTGTTTTGATTACTATAACTTTATAATAGTTCTTTAAATCAGGTAGAGCTAGTCCTCCAAGTTTGTTCTTCATTTTAGTAGCATTTTGATTATGCTAGTTCATATTAATTTTGGAATCAGCTGATCACTTTCTACCAAAGATGCTCGCTGAGATTTTGAGTGGAATTGCATTGAATTTATAGATCAGATTGGGGAAAAGTAACACCTCAACAATATTAAGTCTCTTGACCCATGAACAAAGAATTTCTCTCTAGTTTTTAGGTATTCATTATGTTCTCTGTGAAACATTTTATAATTTGCAGTCAGATTTATCCCTATGCATTTTATACATTTGACACTATTGTAAGTGGTATTGCTTTTTACATTTCAATTGTGCATTGGAATTACATAAAATAGAATTGATTTTTGTATATTGACGTTGTATCCTGCTAGAAACAAATGCTTTTCAGACTGAAGTTACATTTGGCAGTGACAATATCTTTCGGGGGGGGGTCCTGCGTATTTACCAGGTGAAAAGAATCTTTTTCATTTTACTTGGAGCTTTATCATCAGCCCAAGGAAGAGGAACGTCCCAACCTATATTCAGTTTTCAGGCTGGGCAGAGTGTGTACCTTGTGGACCAATGCATGTGAAATGTTCTGTATGTTCATCAATAGGTTTTCCTTAAGAGTGCTCATGCAGTTGATGAGGCTTCCCATGTGCGTGTCTGTTTATCTGCAATGTTATCCCTTATTTTAAAATTTAGTATTCAATAATGTATCCCAGCATTATGTAGTATCAGAGACTTTGGGATGGTCTTCAATGATATATCTATCAAGTTATCATGAGTTTGTACCTGATCCTGACTAGTCTTATTTCTGATGTGATCTATTATAAAATGAGACCAAAAGCTTTAAAATAACTAATAATGTTGGGCTGAGGGGATTTCTTTGTGGGATACTCAGCCTTAGGAGACAGTAGATCCTATTACACATCTGAAGTAGGAGTCCACTCACTTCAGTATGTGAGCATCAGGACCCTGATTCTGCAGTAGTATCTGCAGTCCCTTGCACTATCAGCTTCATTCCCTCAAGGGAGAATGAATGGCCTTCAGTTTGTTATGTCACAATTGACACGTGTAGCACATTTGAGTATCTCTTTAGTTATTGACCTAGGTTTACATCCAATCATGTTAAGCTTGCTCACCTGGGTGATTCACAAGGTCACATTCCCAGTGGGTCAGTTGACTGTCACAAAAAAACAAAAGCATTCATTTGTCATTATGTAAAACATGGCTCACAAACAGCTTTAAAGGTGGTTTCTCAAATGTTTATCTATAAAGTCTAGTTACTCAAATGAATTTATCTTCTACTCCAGTTTTTTATTTCTCCATGTTCTGCCTCTACGACAGAACCCAAGGGCCAGTATAAACATAGATTTAATTCTGCTGATTTATAACCAATCAACAGTTTCATTATTACATATGATTCTGTACACTGGGTTGTCAGCCTTCTTCCTTCTTTTACCTGTTCCTATTGGATGTTAAGATGATATGGGCTGAAGGTGATGGCTCAAGCTTGTGATTCCAGCATTTTGGGAGGCTGAGGCAGGAGGATCACTGGAGTCTGGGAGTTTGAGATGAGCCTGGACAACACAGTGAGACCTCATCTTCTTTTTTAAAAAAGATGATGTAATGTTATTTGCCACTTTTATTAACATCCCTGGACTACAGTTCTACCATTTCTTTTTTTTTGAAAGCATCTCTTATTATCATAAGATGTACTTAAATCTTCATATTTGTGAGCATCATTAATATTATTAATAGATAAAATCTACAATGGTCAATTCTTTGGTTAGGTCAGAGACTAAAATCTGAAAATTAGAAATTCACTATTTCTTTCAGGCGTGTGTGTGCTGTTGTGCTAATCCCTCACCTCTCTCAGAAAAGTCATTGTAGGCCCAAGCCAATAAGTAAACAGTCTGTGAAAGAATGAATGCAAATCCTAGAATAAGTATGTAGTGCCCACTGAGTGGAGGAAAATTTTGCAAAAGTTGTTTTTCTACAGTTGTGCAACTTTCCTCTGAGCCAGCTCATCTGCTGCTTCAAAGGCCCCAAATAATTTTTTTCATCATCTTATGGCCATTGTCATAAACTCCATTCTGCCCCTGCCTATGTCACCTACCATGCAATCTGTTTCACTGCATGGCCTTAGAGGCAGAGACATTTTTCCAGCTTTAAGTGCATTAAGGTTCTCCTGTTTCTGCAAGACAATGGAAGTTAGTGGTTCTCTCTGTTTTTTGGTATTTAAGTCCATCATCAGGGTCAGTTGGGAAATATGTTTTCTCCAGAAGCTGTTAGGTGCTGTTCAGTGCAATAATTTTTCAGTTCTTACACTATAATTGATCCCATCTATGCATTATAGTTCCTAAAATCACTTTCTGAGAAGGCCCTTGATTACTTTTTTAAAATAGCCCAGCCAGCAGCATTATTATATCTTTCCTAGTTCTTAGAAGGAACATCCTCATGCTCCTTCTGGTGATGTTCCTACTAACAACATGTAATCTGTGAAATGGAACAGAGGGAGGAGACCCATGCCAAGATTCTGTGACACTCAGCTCTGACAGTTGGCAGGCAGACACTCTCTGCAGAAGATTCTCCTGAGGCTGTTTGACCAGAATCCTTGGGAGGTTGAAAGCCCAGTCTTGACAGAACCACCATTCACAAGGCCAGGTGTGTGGCTCACGCTGTAATCCCAGCACTGTGGGAGGCCAAGGAGGGAAGAATGCCTGAGCCCAGGAGGTAAGACCAGCCTGGGGAACGTGGCAAGACATCATCTCGAAAAAAAAGAAAATAGAAAAAGAAAAAAACCCCACCATTTATTATCATCTCCCATTTTATCAGAATAAGCCTGTGGGTGTTGGCTGTCAATTTTCTCACTTACAGGCAACCCAAGCTGACCTGGGCACAGAAATCTTAAGCTCTTTTCAGGAAAGAATGCTCTACTCATCCTCTGTATCACTAGTTACGCAGTGTAACCAGCACAGAGCTTTACTCACAAGGGCTCAGGAAATGCATTTGCTGAGCTCAACAAATTGACAATCCAACTTATTTTGATAAGCAGAGATTTTGTAGTTTAGAGAACTGAATAGGGTAAGCAGAGGAACAAAACAGAATGTTATTTTATTTTGTGTCTAAGAGTACAAAAATCATAATCACCAACCTCTTGGGAATCCCAAGGCAGAATTTTAGTCCCAGACCCCCCAACATCCTCACTACATACATGGAAGTTGCTTTACTCCTTTCTACCTTAGTTATTTGACCTATAATTAGAGGATAAAATACAACATTCTAAAATCCTGGTAATATGGCCGATATATAATTTTATTTTTGATGTGGGTGAGAGTCTTGAAGTCTGGAAAGCATTTAACTTATTAAAAGACAGATCATCACTGATCATTATGGCAAGGACAAATTTAGAAGACTTATTAAACTTACCTCGGCGGGGAGGGGCCAAGACTGCCGACTAGAAGCAGCTCTGGTCTGCAGCTGCCAGCGAGAGGAACGAGGAATGTGGGTGATTTCTGCATTTCCAACTGAGATACCCAGTTCATCTCACTGGGACTGACTAGATGGTCGGCATGACCCACAGAGAGCGAGAAGAAGCAGGGTATTGCTTCACCCAGGAACTGCACAGGGCAGGGGGACCTCCCTCCCCAGCCAAGGGAAGTGGTGAGGGACAGTGCTACCCACCAAGGGTACTAAGCTTTTCCCACAGATTTTTGCAATCCACAGATCAGCAGATCCCCTCGGGAGCCTACAACCACCAGTGCCCTGGGTCTCAAATACAAAACTGGGCAGACCAATGACAGCTGCTCCCGTCGGCGGCTGTTTGGGCAGGCACTGAGCTGCAGGAATTTTTACATACTCCGGCAGCACCTGGAACTCCAGTGAGGCAGGAGAAATGTCCACTTCTGTGGAAAGGGGGCTGTAGCCAGGGAGCCAAGTGGTCTCGCTCAGAGGGTCCCACTCCCACGGAAACCCCGCAAGCTAAGAACCACTGGCTTGAAATCCCCGCTGCCGGCACAGCAGTCTGGAGTCCGCCTGGGACAACTCAGTTCCCAGGGGGAGGGGCGACCGTCATTACTGAGGCTTTAGTTGGAGGTTTTCCCCTGACAGTGCTAAGGAGACTAGGAGGTTTGGACTGGGTGGAATTCCCCACAACGCAGCAAAGTGGCTGTTGCAGATCGTGGCCAGACTGCTTCCTAGGTGGGACCCGAAGCCATCCCTCCTCACCTGGAGGGCATCCCTGCAGGAATTCCAGTAGCTACAGTCAGGGGCTTACAGACAAGAACTCTAATCTCCCTGGGACAGAGCACCTCGGGGGAGCGGCGGCCATGGTCCGAGGTTCAGCAGACTTAATCTTTCCTGCCTGCTGGCTCTGAAGAGACCAGCTGATCCCAAGGAGGGTTATTCCTCCAATACAGTGCACCAGCTCTGCTAAGGGACAGTCAGTCTGCCTCCGTAAGGAGGTCCCCCTTCCAGTCCCGTGCTTCTTGACTGGGTGAGACTTCCCATCAGGGGTCGCCAGACACCTCATGCAGGAGAGTTCCGGCTGACATCAATCAGGTTGATGCCACTGTGGGAAGAAGCTTCTGGAGGAAGGAGCAAGCAGCAATCTTTGCTGTTCTGCAAACTCCACTGGTGATACCCAGGCGAACAGGGTCTGGAGTGGACCCCCAGCAAGCCGCAGCAGACCTGCAGAAGAGAGGCCTGACTGTTAGAAGAAAAACCAACAGAAAGTAACAACAACAACAACATCAACACAAAAGACCCCACAAAAACCACATCCAAAGGTCAACAGCTTCAAAGATCACAGGTAGACAAAACCATGAAGATGAGGAAAAACCAATGCGAAAACACTGAAAATTTCAAAAGCCAGAATGCCTCTTTTGTTCCAAACGATCTCAACACTTCTCCAGTAAGGGCACAGAACAGGGCTGAAGCTGAGACTGATGAACTGACAGAAGCAGGTTTCTGAAAGTGGGTAATAATGAATTTCACTGAGCCAAAGGATTATGTTCTAACCCAACGCAAGAAGCTAAGAACCATGATAAAAGATTACAGGAGGTATTAGCTAAAATAACCAGTTTAGAAAGGAACATAAATGACCTGATGAAGCTGAAAAACACAGCACAAGAACTTTATGATGCAAACACAAGCATCTGTAGCCAAAACAACCAAGTGGAAGAGAAGATATCAGACCTTGAAGACTATCTTGCTGAAATAAGGCAGGCAGACAAAATTAGAGAAAAAAGAACGAAAAGGAACAAACAAAACCTATGAGAACTATGGGAGTATGTAAAAAGATGGAACCTATGACTGATTGGAGTACCTGAAAGAGTTGGGGAGAATGGAACCGAGTTGGAAAACGCACTTCAGTATATCATCCAGGAGAACTTCCCCAACCTAACAAGACAAGCCAATATTCAAATCAGGGAAATCCAGAGAACCCCAGTAAGATACTCCACAAAAAGATCTACCCCAAGGCACATAATCATCAGGTTCTCCAAGGTTGAAATGAAGGAAAAAATGTTAACGGCAGCCAGAAAGAAAGGCCAGGTCACGTACAAAGGGAAGCCCATCAGACTAACAGCGGACCTCTCAGCAGAAACTCTACCAGCCAGACAAGATTGGGGTCCAATATTCAAGATTCTTAAAGAAAAGAAATGCCAACCCAGAATTTCATATCAGACCAAACAAATCTTCATAAGCAAAGGAGAAATAAAATCTTTTTCAGACAAGAAAATGCTGAGGGATTTCATCACCACCAGGCCTGCCTTGCAAGAGCTCCTGAAGGAAGTACTAAACATGGATAGCAAAATCACACACAAAAACACACTGAAGTACACAGATCAGTGACATTATGAAACAACTACATTAACAAGTCTGCAAAATTAACCAGCCAGTATCATGATGACAGGTTCAAATTCACACATAACAATATTAACCTTAAGTGTAAATGAGCTAAATGCCCCCAATTAAAAGACACAGAATGGCAAGTTGGATACAAAGACAAGACTCATCGGTATGCTGTATTCAAGAGACATATCTCATGTGCAAAGATGAACACAGACTCAAAGTTAAGGGATGGAGGAAAATTTACCAAGCAAATGGAAAGCAGAAAAAAAAAAACAGGGGTTGCAATCCTAGTTTCTGACAGAAAAAACTTTAAACCAACAAAGGTCAAAAAAGACAAAGAAGGGCATTACATAATGGTAAATGGATCTATTCAACAGGAAGAGCTAACTATCCTAAATATACATGCACCCAATACAGGAGCACCCAGATTCATAAAACAAGTTCTTAAAGACCTACAAAGAGACTTAGACCCCCACACAATAATAGTGGGAAACTTTAATACCCCACTGTCAATATTACACAGATCATTGAGACAGAACATTTACAAATATATTCAAGACTTGAACTCAGCTCTAGACCAAGTGGACCTGATAGATATCTACAGAACTCTCCACCCAAAACAACAGAATATACATTTTTTTTGGTGTCACATGGCACTTAATCGAAAATTGATCACATAATTGGAAGTAAAACACTCCTCATCAAATGCAAAAAGAACTGAAATAATAACAAACAGTCTCTAAGACCACAGTGCAATCAAATTAGAACTCAAGATTAAGAAGCCCACTCAAAACCACACGACTACATGGAAATTGAACAACATGCTCCTGAATGACTCCTGGGTATATAATGAAATTAAGCCAGAAATCAGGAAGTTCTTTGAAACCAATGGGAACAAAGAGACAACGTACCAGAATCTCTGGGGTGCAGCAAAAGCAGTGTTAAGAGAGACATTTATAGCACTAAATGCCCACATCAAAAAGCTAGAAAGATCTCAAATTGACAGCCTAACAGTACAACTAAAAGAACTAGAGAACCAAGAGCAAACAAACCGCAGAGCTAGCAGAAGACAAGAAATAATGAAGCTCGGATCTAATTAAACTAAAGAGCTTCTGCACAGCAAAAGAAACTACTGTCAGAGTGAACAGGCAACCTCCAAAATGGGAGAAAATTTTTGCAACCTACTCATCTGACAAAGGGCTAATATCCAGAATCCACAATGAACTCAAACAAATTTACAAGAAAAAAACAAACAACACTGTCAAAAAGTGGGCGAAGGACATGAACAGACACTTCTCAAAAGAAGACATTTATGCAGCCAAAAAACACATGAAAAAATGCTCACCATCACTGGCCATCAGAGAAGTTCAATCAAAACCACAATGAGATACCATCTCACACCAGTTAGAATGGCAATCATTAAAAAGTCAGGAAACAACAGGTGTTGGAGAGGATGTGGAGAAATAGGAACACTTTTACACTGTTGGTGGGACTGTAAACTAGTTCAACCCTTGTGGAAGTCAGTGTGGCGATTCCTCAGGGATCTAGAACTAGAAATACCATTTGACCCAGCCATGCCATTACTGGGTATATACCCAAAGGACTATAAATCATGCTGCTATAAAGACGCTTGCACACATATGTTTACTGCGGCACTATTCACAATAGCAAAGACTTGGAACCAACCCAAATGTCCAACAATGATAGACTGGATTAAGAAAATGTGGCAGATATACACCATGGAATACTATGCAGCCATAAAAAAGGATGAGTTCATGTCCTTTGTAGGGACATGGATGAAATTGGAAATCATCATTCTCAGTAAACTATCACAAGAACAAAAAACCAAACATTGCATATTCTCACTCATAGGTGGGAATTGAACAATTAGAACACATGGACACAGGAAGGGGAACATCACACTCTGGGGACTGTTGTGGGGTGGGGGAAGGGGGGAGGGATAGTTTTAGCAGATATACCTAATGCTAAATGACGAGTTAATGGGTGCAGCACACCAGCATGGCACATGTATACATATGTAACTAACCTGCACATTGTGCACATGTACCCTCAAACTTAAAGTATAATAATAATTTAAAAAAAAAAGAAAAGAAATAATGAAGCTCAAAGTGAAACTGAAGGAGATAGAAACATGAAAAACCCTTCAAAAAATCAACAAATCTAGGAGCTGGTTTTTTGGAAAAAAAAAAAAAAAGGCAATAAAATAGACCACTAGCAAGACTAATAAAGATGAAAAGAGAGAAAATTCAAATAAACACAATCAGAAATGATATGGGGGATTCATGTACCTCAGCCTCCCAAGTAGCTGTGACTACAGGCATGCACTACCATGCCTGGCTGATTTTTTACCTTGTTGACCAGACTGGTCTTGAACTCCTGACCTCAAGTGATCTGCCTGCCCAGCCTCCCAAATTGCTGGGACTACATGTGTGAGCCACCATACCTGGCCTGTTTCATTAGTTTCTACTCCTATCTTTACTATTTCATCCTCCTTTCTTTCTGTTTATTTTCCTGTTTAGTTTCCTGGGTTTGAAGTTTAGGTCATGGGTTGGCAAACTTTGGCCTGAGGGCCAAATCTGACCTGCCACCTATTTCTGTAAATTGAATTTAATTGTAACACAGCCACTTCCATTTGTTTTTGTATTGTCTATGGCTACAAGGGCAGAGTTGAGTAACTGCGAGAGATCACATGGCCTGCGGAGCCTAAAATATTTATTATCTGGACAGTAACAGAAAAAGGTTGCCAATCCCTGTCTTAAATAATTGACTTTTTTTTTCTTTTCTAGTATATTAATTTAAAGTTTTAATTTCCCTCTAAGTTCTGCTTTCCCTACACTCAATAAATTTTGATATGTAATGTTTTCATTATTGTTTATTTCAAAATGTCCAGTTTCCATTGTGATTTCTTCTTCACCCATCAGTTATGTAGAAATATATTGCTGAATTTACAAACATTTGGGGATTTTTCCAATTACCTTCCTGACGGTGAACTCCTGTTTTAATTGCACTGCCATCAGAATGTGCTTTGTATGATTTCTGTTCTTTCAAATAAATGGATTTTGAAGTTGTATTTTGTGTTCTATATATGTGTTCTATAAGATCAATTAGTTAAATGTGTTATTCAAATGTTTTAGATTCCTATTAATTTTTTTGTCTGCTTGTCTTACTGGCTACTGAAAAAGGTATGTTTAAATCTCTAACCATGATTGTGGATTTCCCTATTACTCCTCTACGTTTGCCACTTTAGCATTATGTATTTTGAAGCTATATTATTATGTGCACATAAATTTAGGATTGACCCTTTTATTATTATAAGATGTCCTTCCTTATTGCTAGTAATAAGGAAGAAAGTCACTGCTTCAAGTTATGGGAGAACAAACAATGGGAGAGCAAACAATGCAAGAAAAACAAAGAGAGAGAAGAAAAGTACATTGACATAAGAACTTCATTCACCCTGTTTTTTTTTCTTAGATATTTAACAAATTTCAGCTTAGGTGAATAGGGTCCAAGTTACAGGACAGATGGTAAATATTTTAGAAAGAAAACAAAGATGTTATTAAACTGAGGAGACAGCAAATTTCATAGCCTCTCCTATGAAGTATTTTTGCCCAGATTTTTTTACTAGAATCTGACCATGTCTTTAGAACTGTAGAAAATACAGGTGATGGAGGAACAAGTTAAACAATACCATTAAGAAACAATCAAACAAATCATGATTGTGGAATATTCTACAAGACAGTTGAGCTGGGTTCTTCAAAAAGTCATTGTTGTGGAAAAAACAGTGTTGGTGGTGGACTGTTACTAGTCTTGATTAAGAGAATAAACATAGTAAGGGCAATGGGTAAATTTATTTGGATATTAGTTTGAAAAAATCTGTAAATGGCATTTTGGGGACAATTGGGAAAATTTGAATATAGAATAAGTATTGATGGTATAGAGGTTATTTGTTTGTTTGTTTATTTATTTATTTATTTATTTTTAAAGAGACAGGGCTTTGCTATGTTGCCCAGGCTGGCTTCAAACTCCGGAGCTCAAGTGATCCTCCTGCCTTAGCATCTCAAGTAATAGAGAATTATTTTTAAATTTCTAAAATATAATTATGGCATTGTGGTTATGTAAGCTAATCTCCTTGTTTTTAGGATATGTCCAAGTACTTTATGGTTAAGTGTCATCATATCTGTAACTTACTTTCAAATGGCTCAGATAGACACACACACATTTATATATATGTTTAAGTAGAATGGAGAGAGACAAAATGTAATTATGGCAAAATGTTAAATTTTATAGGTGGTGAATATATAAATGTTCATTGTGCCATCCTTTTTAGAGTTTACAGTTTTCATAATAAGTTGGGAGAAAATCAATGGGCAAAGTAAGTTCAACATTAGAAAAAAGTAAGAAAGTTTCCAATTTAATTACAAAACTATAAAAACTGGAGGGGATGTTACTAGTTTCTGATTAAAAAGCAAAAAGACGCATATAGCAATAGAACATTTTCCAAGAAATTCCGTGGCAAGTAAATATTTTCTAAATTTTCAAGGGATCTTCTCTACATTTTAAAGGAGTTATTTAATTTCTTGTAGGGGTGGGTGGGAGGGGGGAACAGAATGTTTAGACTAAAACAGTGAAAGACTTACTTTTCAATTGCCTATTGATTTCACTCTATTTAGCTACATCAATTTTGGGAATATAATATAAAGATTAGAGAGAAAAATGCTAGCAAAATATAAAGATTAGAAAGAAAAATACTAGCTATTGTAATTTGAGAATTTAAGGTAGCCAGGTACTGTGCAATGTGCCAAACACATGGGGTTCGGGTGAGCAAACAGAGACCCTGCTGTTATAGAATTGATAGTCTAGTAGGGAAGACAGAAATTAATTAAACATTTATACAAATATATAGTTATAAACTGCGATTATAGCTACAGAGGAAAAATAGGGTTCTCTGAGGGCCATTAATAGGGGAAATGAGGAAGTTCTGGAAAGAGTTTCTTAAAAAATATATGAACAGAGAAAAATACTGAACTGAGAGCTGAAGACTGAGGTGGAGTTAAATGAGCAAAGAACAGGGAATGACTTTCATGCAAAGGGGAAAGCATGTGTAATGAGCCTGAAGAAGGAAGAAGAATGGGACACTTTGAGAAACTGAAAAGTAGCTTGTATGGCTGGAGTACAGAAAGCAAGAGTGGTACAGGTGAGTTGGGAGGAGGAAACAGAGGTCAGATGATACTGTCTTTAAGCATAATGGGAAATTACTGAAGAAGGAAAGTATCAGATTTGCATTGTTGGAAGTTTACTCTGGTTAAAGGATAGAGAAAAAAATGGAAAGAGGAGGGTAATCACAACAGTCTAGGCAAGAGATGATGGTAGTTTGGAGACAGAAGGTGTGGCAGTGGACATGAAGATAAGTGGATGGATTTGAGAGAAACTTGGAGAGTGAAACTGGTAGGTGATGGTTTAGATGTGTAAGATGAAGGAGAGGGAAATGTCATGGATACATTCCAGGTTTTCAGTTTCAGAAGCTATATGAATGGTGCAGCCATTCCCTGAAAAGTGAAACATGGAATGAGAAACATATTTTTTTTTGTTTCTGAATTTGAGATGTTCTTAAGACATGAGAGGTTGAATGAAGGTATCTGTGTATGCCTAGAGAATTTTTAAAATTGTAACTCCACAATAATTATAAGTAGATTTCACCATTAGTGGACTGACTTTGTTCCTAAAAGGAATGAAAATTAAATAGTGATGATCATCACATAGTTCCATGAGAGCCTCCGACTATAAAGTGTAATTAACCAGAGATTTTCCCTTGGGGATCCTTGTGAAGTAATTTAATTAATTTTATTTTATTATCTGTTTTAGCAAGTTTTAGCTTACTATTTAAAAGAAAGCTAAAATATCAAATTAATTGGACTTTTCCCTTTCCTTGAATTCTCTAGCCATGATATGAGTCCCACAGCTAAATATGATCAGCTTATTTTCTTAAATTTATAAAAGGAGTGGAGTGACAGGATTTTCCAGAGGCATGACTCCATATTTCATAAAGTTTCTTACTTCAGTGTGTTGTAAACTGTGTGGTTTATGAATCAGCAAAACCGCTCTTGGGGAATATTTTACAAACGAAATCTTGAGGCCGGGCATGGTGGCTCACGCCTGTAATCTCGGCACTTTGGAAGGCTGAGGTGGGCGGATTACCTGAGGTCGGGAGTTCAAGACCAGCCTGACCAACATGGAGAAACCCCATCTCTACTAAAAATACAAAATTAGCCAGGCATGGTGGCACACGCCTGTAATCTCAGCTACTCAGGAGGCTGAGGCAGGAGAATCGCTTGAACCCAGGAGGCAGAGGTTGCGGTGAGCCGAGATTGTGCCACTGCACTCCAGCCTGGGCAACCAGAGTGAAACTCCGTCTCAAAAATAAAAAGCAGAAATGAAATCTTGAACCGTCATTATCTGGACACTTGTTTATAAACATGAAAATGTCTTGGCTTTTTCCTTAATTTGCAAAAGGTCTGTATGAAAAGATGCTATATCCATTTTCCCAAGAGGTAAACTTACAAATTAAATATTGAATTTTAAGTAAACAAGAAACAGTTTATTAATTTATTGGTGAATTAAAATCTTCAACATTCATAAAATCTATTTATATTTCTCCAAATTTTAATGAACAGTCATAGAAATTTGCATTTAAGTGGATTAGAATGCAATTTATAATACAGAATATAACCTAAGTATATAATTAACCTAGTATTTCATATTAAACAGTTGGAATATTTTGAAGTTTTCCTGAATTCTCTACTTTGTATTTTAAAAAGCTAACATTTTAGTGCTTTATGTGCATTTTAAATTTATTTTTATTTTTTCACCTCTCCTTGCCATATGCGAACATTTAAAATGTTTGAAAGCACTAATAGAAAACTCACGCATTTAAAACTATAATTCATAGCAAAACAGTCAAGTTTGGGCTCCTTTTCTTTCTCTAAAATAGACAAAACAAAATAGAAAGTCCTAAACAGAATTTCATGGCATCAGAATACCTCAGTCTCCTACCAGTGTTGTCAATGGAATAATGGTGACCTCTTATTCCTTTTCTGAGCACTCTTATTTAGAGATACAGACATTTTTAGCTACGCTTGCTTTTTTTTTTAATATTTAAACATTACACGAAATCACCAACGTGACCAAAGTAATTCAGAAAAATGTGTGAGCTCTTATACTTAAATCTGTGTTAAAAAAGACTGAGTTTTTCTTTTTTTCTCTATGTACTTTATACTTTACTTTCAAGCTCCGATCTACTAGAACAAAGGCTGACTGGAACTTCCCTTTACAGTCTTAAACTTACATGAAGGATGAATAGTATTCTCATCCATCCCTACTTTTTTTGCCTCTATCTTTTCAATTTATGTTGAAAGAGACTAGGCCAAAGATATTTTAAGATGTCTATGTATAGCTACATTATAAAGATTAGATGGGTTCTAAAATTGTGATTTAATAAATGTAACTATAATTATATAATTTATAATATACCAAACAACTAGTAATACATTAGATCAGTCCATTTTTCCAGTTTTTCAGGACACAGATATTTCTGCCATTTTATAAATTAAAGATTTTGAGTTACTTTAATATTTGGGGTTGTAACATACTTCTCAAGGTTATTAAAATGTAGTTAAAATCTGCTCTCACTGTAAAGTGTTAAAATTCAGAAGAATATTTGATACCATTTTTTCCCTCTTGTTAAATGCCATGTTTGAATTTGCTGTGAAATTAGAGAAATTTAATTTTCTCAGGTTGGGATAGGGTACTTAATAAATGATTAATGATGGGATTAAGTTGTTAAATTTTCTAAAAATTGAAATGAATATAAATGCACAATTAACATAAATTTGAGTAACCAAAGTCAATTTTTAGTTAGATTCTCCCTTTTTTTCTTAATAGGATTACTAGAAAGATTTGAAACTTAAATATAATCAACTCCTAAAGTTCACATAAATGTGACTAATATAAAGCACATCTTGATAAATTAGTATGTGTTATCATGCCTCATAATTAACAAGGAATTAGAAATTAAATTTGTTTATACGAACTTCTAAAATATAGAGGAAAAATAAACGGCAACTGGATCCCTTAATAGCCCTATAGATAATAAAAATCAGAGATTGATTTAAAATAAATGCATACCAAAAAATACTTTGAATGCTTCAGATCTACTTTAAAGTATTTTGCTATTTATTTTTTCTCTTTATTTTAGAACAAAATTTATGAATAGAAATGTGGCATATAAATTGGAACTGTTATGATGTGTGTTTCATATTTCTGGATTTGGAGACATGTTCTAATTTTAATCTGTATGTATCTTCCCTTTAGTTATTATTTATTTTTATTTTTCTTTTATTAATAGAGATAGAAGTATTTCTGCACCCAATCCAATTAACTGGAAAAAGGTCATATAAGAACATGAAAAGTCTAATCCCAGTATGGCCAAAATAGGTTTGCCAACATGGGCTAGGCCGGTAAGGAGGGAAGAGACAGGGACAGGGCAGAGGCTCCTCAGGAGGCCTTCCCTCTTTAGACCTCTTTTGGGGGTCGCCGGGGTCCTGACCCCCAGGTGCAGGTCGTCCTGGGAGGAAGGGTGGCACCAGAGTACTGGATGCTGGCATAAGAGCGAGTCTGAGCAGCTCACTCCATGCCACATCTCCCGCAGCAGTGACTTCCGGCAGGAACTGAGTCTGTACCGCGAGAATCTTAAACACCCGCGAGTGCCCTTTCAAGCCTGCTGGGGAATGCGCTCCCTTTCCCCAAACGTCCCTTGGTTCCCCCGTCGACCTACCCGTCCGAGGGTCCTGGGTACCCAACGCCGCCACGTCTGGCACCTCAACTCACGTCTGGCACCTCAACTCACATCTGGCGTCTCAACTGTCGCGTGGCGCCTCGGCCAGAGGTCCCACAAGGTGGCGCAGCCTTTCCGTGGCGCCCAAGAGCCCGCAGGCGCGGGTGGCTTGGCCCGCGTGGGCTCCGAACTGC
The DNA here is from genome assembly GCF_000001405.40 of Homo sapiens. Lineage (NCBI taxonomy): Eukaryota > Metazoa > Chordata > Mammalia > Primates > Hominidae > Homo > Homo sapiens. The sequence goes on along the minus strand of NC_000001.11, from coordinate 108,421,380 downwards.
GGCGGCTCCGCTAGACAGTTGCAGAAGCTGGCGGACGGCCGGGACCCCCTGCCTTGCGCAGCCAGGCGTCGAGGAGGCGGCGGCGAGTGCTGCGGTGCTGGCTGGGTGGCCGAGTGGTCCCCGCAGCCTCTGGACCCAGCCATGCTGCTCTGGATGCAGGGCTTCGTGCTGGAGGCGGTGGCCTGCCAGGATAACGATGACTACTTACGCTACGGGATCCTCTTCGAAGACCTGGATTGCAATGGGGACGGCGTGGTGGACATCATTGAGCTCCAGGAGGGGCTGAGAAACTGGAGCTCCGCGTTTGACCCCAACTCCGAGGAGGTGAGACCGGAAGGTGGCACAGGCAGCCTGGGGAGACGTTGGGCAGAGGGAGAAGCAAACCCTGCCCTTTCCAGAGCTGCTTTCAAAGGCCTTTGGAGTAAGGGTGGGGTTCTCCTCTGTGAGCCTCGTCACGCAGAATAATGCGACCCAACGAAACATGTTCTCAATCTTCTTAAAATAGCCACTTTCCGGCCGGGCGCGGTGTCTCACGCCTGTAATCTCAGCACTTTGGGAGGCCCAGGCGGGTGGATCGCCTGAGGTCAGGCATTCGAGACCAGCCTGGCCAACATGGTGAAACCCCCGTCTCTACTAAACAAATACAAAAATTAGCCGAGCGTGGTGGCGCGCGCCTGTAATCCCAGCTACTCCGGAGGCTGAGGCAGGAAAATCGCTTGAACCCGGAAGGCGGAAGTTGCAGTGAGCCGAGATAGCACCATTGCGCTCCAGCCCAGGCGACAGAGCGAGATTCCATCTCAAAAAAAAAAAAAAAAAAAAAAAGCCACTTTCCGTAGTGACAAAGACCTTCAGGGGGCTTTTGGGGAGATGCTGTTTCTGGTGACTCGTTCAAAATTTATGGAACCAGCACACAACGTCAGGCGCCATGTTAGCCTTTGTGCAGAAGTAAAGGAACATCTCTTTTCTTAGGGGTTTCTCTGCCCAGGGCAGTGTGCTTCAGGGTCGTCTCCAAACGACAGGCACAGATAAGAGCCCCAGAGCTATTCTCTTTCTGACATCCACACCAAGGTCTAGGGGAAGTCAGACTTTGATCCATGGGTGTACACTTCAGCTGATTGTTTTAGAACCTCATCTAAATTAGGAATACCTTCCTTCTCTAGGCCAGTCTTGACTTGATTATTTTTAAACTATTTAGATGGAAGTTTCAGAATATCAAGAGAAAAAAATTATTTTATTTATTTTCTGTCAATGCTTAGCAGTCTTCAGATATAACTCCTATTGAATTTTAGGAGTTAGGTCTGAAGACTGTAAAGCTCTTTATTGGTGAGATTTTTTTTTTTTTGGTTGTTGCTAGAAGTCCAAACCATCTGGACTCCTCTTTAGTGATGCTGGGCATCTTTACATGTGCTTAGTAGCCATTTGTATAACTTCTTTGGAGAAATGTCCAAGTTCTTTGTTCATTTTCAAATTAGGTTTTTTTTTGTTGTTGATTTTTAGGAGTTTTCTGTATAGTTTGTATATGAACCCCTTATTATATATATGATTTGCAAATGTTTACTTCCGTTTTATGAGTCTCCTTTTTACTTTTGATGCACAAAGTTTTAAATTTTCATGAAGTCCAATTTGTCGTGTTTTGGTTGCCTGTACCTTTGATGTCATGTCTAAGAAATCAATGCCAAATCCATTGTCGAGAAGATTTTGCCCTGTGTCGTCTTCTCTAAAGTTTCATAATTTTAAGAGTTACATGTAGGTCATAGATCCTTTTTGAATTAATTTTTAATAGGGTGTTAATTAAGGGTCCAATGTCATTCTTTTGCATGCAGATATTCAGTTTTCCCAGCTTCATTTGTTGAAAAAACTGTCTTTTCCCTATTGAATGGTCTTTGCACTGTTGTCAAAAATTATTTGAGCACATATGCCTAAGTGTTTATTTCTTGGCTCTCTATTCTATTCCACTGGTGTATATTTCTGTCTTTATGTTAGTAGCACACTGTTTTAATCACTCTTGTTTTGCAGTAAGTTTTGAAATCAAGAAGTGAGTCCTCCTGCTTTGTTCTTCTTTTTCAGAATTGTTTTGGCTATTTGGGGTCCCTTGAGATTCCATGTGAATTTTAGTATGGGTTTTTCTACTTCTGCAAATTCATCATTGGGATTTTGGTAGGGATTGCACTGAATCTGTAAATTGTTTTGGGTAGTATAGACATCTTAACAATATTAAGTCTTCCAGCCCATGAACGTGGGACATCTTTCCATTTATTTATGTTTTCTTTAATTTGTTTCAGAAATGTGTTATAGTTTTCATTGCATAAGTCTTTTACCTTCTTGGTTAGGTTAATTCCTAAGTGCTTTATTCTTTTGATGCTTTAATGGCATTGTTTCCTTAATTTCCTTTTCGGATTAATTATTGTTAGCATATAGGTATAGAAATGCAACTGATTTTTTTGTGTTGACTTTGCATCTTGCCACTTTGCTGAATTTGTTTATTCTAACATTTTGTGTGTGTGTGGGGGGGGTGGGTCTTTAGGATTTTCTAAATATAAAGTCATATCATCTGAAAAAGGGATAATTTTACTTCTTGCTTTCCAAATTGGATGGCTTTTATTTCTTTTTCTAACCTAATTGCTCTGATTAGAACTTCCAGTACTACGTTGAATGAAGTGATGAAAGTGGGCATACTTGCCTATTTCTAATCTTAGAGAAAAAAGCTTTTAGTCTTTCACTATTGTGTATGATGTTCATTGTAGGTTTTTCACATACGATTTTTATCATATTGAGGATAGTTTTCTTGTATTCCTAGTTTGTTGAGTGCTTTTATCATGAAAGGTTGTTGACTTTTGTCAAATGCTTTTACTGCATCAATTGCGATGTTTGTGTTTTTTGCCATCATTCTGTTAATGTTATGTATTACACTGATTGATTTTTTAAAATGTTGAACCCTCCTTGTATTCCAGGAATAAATATCACTTGAGGATGGTGTATAACCTTTTTAACCTAATAAATTCAGTTTGCTATCATTTTTTTGGAGGATTCTTGTATTAGTGTTCATGAGAGACATTGGTCTGTAATTTTCTTTTCTTGTAGTGTCTTTGTATGGCTTTGGTATTGGGCCTCATAGGCCTCATAGGGTATATACTGGCCTCATAGGATGAATCAAATTTTAAAAGTTTATTTGGAAATGTTTGAGAAGTAGTGGGGTTAGTTTTTAAATCATAGAATTTAGCAGTGAAGCTATCAGATCCTGGGCTTTTCTTTTTTTTTTTTTAATTGGGAGATTCTTGATTACTGATTCAACCTCCTCATTAGTTATAGACTATTCAGATTTTCTATTTCTTCATAATTTAGTCTTGGTAGGTTTTGTGTTTCTAGGAATTTTCTATTTCATCCAGGGTAACCAATTTGTTGGCATATAGTGTATTGTACTCTCTTATAATCCTTTTTATATCCATAGAATCAGTAGTTATGTCCCCACTTTCATTTCTGATGTTAGTAATTTGACTCTTGTTTCTTTCTTTTTTCTTAGTCCATCCACCTAAAGGTTTGCCGATTTTGTTGATCTTTTTGAGGAACTAACTTATGATTTAGTTGTTTTTCTCTATTATATTTCTTTTCTCATTTCATCTATATCTGTTCTAATCTTTATTTTTTCTGCCTGCTAGTTTTGGATTTAATTTGCTCTTTTTTTTTAGTTCCTTAAGTTGTAAAGTTAGGTTGCTGATTTGAGATCTTTATTCTTTTTTTTTGTTGTTTTTAAATGTAAGCATTTATCTCTGTAAACTTCTCTCTTAGTACAGCTTTTTGCCATATCTCGTAAGTTTTGGTATCTTGTACTTTTGATTTCATTTGTCTAAAGATATTTTCTAATTTTTCTTATTTTTTCTTTGACCCATAGTTTTTCAAGAGTGTGTTATTTAATTTCTACCCATTTATGAACTTTCCAGTTTTAATTTTGTCATTGATTTCCGGTTTCATCCACTGTGGTAAGAAAAGATACTTGGCATGATTTCAGTCTTTTAAAATTTATTAAGACTTGTTTTGTGACCTAGAGTATGATCTTTTCTGGAGAATGTCCTCTGTGTTACTGAGAAGAGTGTGTATTTTTTTCCTGTTGTATAGTATATTCTGTATATGCCTGTTAGATCTAGATGGTTTATGGTGTTCAAATTCTCTGTTTCCTTACTTATCTTCTGTTTGGTTATTCTATTCATTATTCAGTTTGGGGTATTGAATTCTTCAACTAATATTGTAGAACTAACTATTTCTCCCTTCTATTCTTCCAATTTTTGCTTTATATGTTTTGATGGCCTGTTATATGCAAAAAATATTTGTAATTATTGTATCTTCTTGATGTATTGAAACTTTTATCATTATATAATGTCCTTTATCTCATTTTTTTTTTTTAGTTTAAAGTCTGTTTTATCTCATATTAGTATAGCTATCAGTGGTCTCTTTTGGTTACCATTTGCATGGAATTTTTTTTCATTCTTTTACTTTCAATGTATTTGTGTCTTTGGCTCTTAAGTGAGTTTCTTATAAACAGCAGATAGTTGGACCATTTTCTCATTTTTCTGCTAATCTCTATCTTTTGGTTGGAGAGTTTAATCCACTTAGGTTTAAAGTAATTAGTGATGCATCAGAGGGAAAGTGGTGGATAGTGGTGTGACCTCGACTCACTGCAACCTCCACCTCGCGGGTTCAAGTGATTCTCCTGCCTCTGCCTCCTGAGTAGCTGGGATGACAGGCGTGTGCCACCACACCAGGTAATTTTTGTATTTTTAGTAGAGACAGGGTTTCACAATGTTGGCCAGGCTGGTCTTGCACTCCTTACCTCAAGTGATCTGCCTGCTTCAGCCTCCCAAAGTGCTAGGATTATAGGGGTGAGCCACCACGCCTGGCCTTTCATTTATTTCTGCTTTGATTTTTAATATTTCTTTTTTTTTCTTTGCTAACTTTTCACTTAGTTTGTTCTTTTTCTAGTTCCTTTAGGTGTAACATTAGGTTAATTATTTGAGATGTTTCTTCTTTTTTTATCTAGGGATTTATTGCTGTAAATTTCACTTTTAGAACTGCTTTTGCTGTATCCCACAAGTTTTGGTATGTTGTATTTCCATTTTAGTTTGTTTCAAGATATTTTTAAAATTTTCCTTTTAATTTCTTCATTGACTCGTTTGTTGTTTAGGGCCTGTTCAGTTTCTATGGATCTGTGAATTTTCCAAAATTCCTGTTGCTATTTATTTCTGGTTTAATGGCATTTTGGTCAGAAGAGATTTGATACTATTTCAGTCTTCTTACATTTGCTGAGGCTTGTTTTGTGCCCTAACATGATCTGTCTTGGAAAATGTTCTGTGTGCCCTTGAGAAGTATGTGTATTCTGTTTCTGTTGGATGAAAGGTTTCATATTTGTCTGTTAGGTTCATTTGGTTGAAAATGTTGGTCAAGTCCAATCTTTCCTTACTAATTTTCTTTCTAGATTAGATATCCATTGTTGAAACTGGGGTATTGAAGCTCCTGAGTATTATCATATTGCAATATCTCTCCCTCCAGATCCTATAATTTATAAATCATGGTCTAGTGTTGGGTGAGTACATATTTATAGCTGTTCTGTTCTCTTGATGAATTGAGTCCTGTGTCATTATATAATGTGTTACTTTGTCTCTTTTTACAATTTTTGACTTAAAATCTATTTTGTCTTAAATAAGTTTAGCTATCCCTGCTCTCTTGTTTTCCAAAATAGTTTCAATTATATGTGTCCTTAAAAGTAAGAAGAGTCGGCCGGGCGCGGTGGCTCACGCCTGTAATCCCAGCACTTTGGGAGGCCGAGGCGGGCGGATCACGAGGTCAGGAGATCGAGACCATCCCGGCTAAAACGGTGAAACCCCGTCTCTACTAAAAATACAAAAAATTAGCCGGGCGTAGTGGCGGGCGCCTGTAGTCCCAGCTACTCGGGAGGCTGAGGCAGGAGAATGGCGTGAACCCGGGAGGCGGAGCTTGCAGTGAGCCGAGATCCCGCCACTGCACTCCAGCCTGGGCGACAGAGCGAGACTCCGTCTCAAAAAAAAAAAAAAAAAAAAAAAAAAGTAAGAAGAGTCTTTTGTACACAGCATTCGATTTAAAAAATTTCTTTAAAAAAAACAGGACGTTTAAAATCCATTTATCACTCTATATCTTTCTATTCAGTTATTTAATACATTTACATTCGAGGTAATTTTTGATAGGTAAGGACTTAATACTACCATTTTGTGAATTGTTTTCTGCTTGTTTTGTAGATACTTAGTTTCTCTCTCCTTCTCTTGCTATCTTCCTTTATTGTTTGATATTTTTCTGTAGTGGAATGCTTTGAATGCTTTCTATTTTTGTTTTGTCCTTCTGCTAAAGATTTTTGATTTGTGGTTACCATGAGGCCTACATAGAGCATCTTATACTTGTAATAGCCTATTTCAAGCTGATAACAACTCAACTTTGTACATAGCAAAGTACTTTTATGGCCCCTTCCCCATATTTTATGCTTTTGATGTCAGAATTTATGTCATTTTATAATGTGTTTCTTTCGACAATTTATTTTAGCTACAGTTATTAATAGTTTTCTTTTAACCCTTGCACCAGGGATAAAATTGCTTTGTCACCATTACATTCCCAGAATATTCTAAATATGTATCTGTGTTACTTACACCATTTAGCTTAGTGCTTTCATTTGTTTCGTGTCATTAATTACCAGCCTTTTGTTTCAGCTTAAATAACTCCCTTTAGCAATCCTTGCAAAGCAGGTCTCATGATAATGAACTCCCTTAGCTTTTTTCTGGGAAAGTTTTTATGCCTCATTTCTGAATGACAGTTTTGCAGATAAAGTATTCTTGGTTGGCAGTTTTTTTTTCTTTAGCACTTTGAATGTATCATCTCACTGTCTCCTGGCCTGTAGGGTTTCTGCTGAGAAATCTACTGATAGTTGTATTGGCACTCCTTTTTACGTGATATGTTTCTTATCTTTTGCTGCTCTCAGAATTTTTTGTCTTTGATTTTTGGTGGTTTGATTACTATGTGTCTTGGTGAACTCTTCTTTGAGTTGAATTTGATTGAACATCTCTGTGTTTCCTATATCTGGATGTTGGCATCTATCCCCAATTAGGGAAGTCTTTAGCCAATGTATCTTTAAATACATGTTCTTGCCCTTTATCCTATTATGCAAAGGTTTGATTTTTTTTTTTTTTTTTTTTTTTTTTTTGAGACAGAGTCTCGCTGTGTCGCCCATACTGGAGTGCAGTGGTGCGATCTTGGCTCACTGCAAACTCTGCCTCTGGGTTCACACCATTCTCCTGCCTCAGCCTCCCAAGTAGCTGGGACTACAGGCACCCACCACCATGCCCAACTAATTTTTTAGTATTTTTAGTAGAGACAGGGTTTTACCGTGGTAGCCAGGATGGTCTCAATCTCCTGACCTCGTGATCCACCCGCCTTGGCCTCCCAAAGTGCTGGGATTACAGGTGTGAGCCACCACACCTGGCCAGGTTTGATCTTTTGATGGTATCCCATAGTTCCTGTAGGTTTTCTTCATTCTTTTTCAGTCTTTTGTCTTTTTGTTCCTCTGACTGGATAATTTCAAATTTTCTATTTTTTGGCCCATTGATTCTATCAGAAGAAAGATAGAATCTGTGGTTAATAATTTTTACCGAATTTTTCAGTCCAGTCATTGTATTCTTCATCTCTAGGATTTCTACTTGATTCTTTTTAATGTTTTTATTTCATCGTTGAGCTTCTCACTTTGTGTATTGTTTTGCCAAATTTCATTAAATGTTATATTTGTATACTTTTATGTTGATCTTTTAGAGGATTATTTTGAATTCTTTGTCAGTAATTTCATAGATCTCCTTTTCTTTGGGGTCTATCATTGGCACTTTATTACTTTCTTTTGGAGGTGTTATGATTCCTTGATTTTCTGTAATCCTTGTGTTCTTGTATTGTTATCTGCATATTTGCAAGGCAGCCTCTCTTCTGTCCTTTAAAGTTGTTTTGAGGCAGGGATAAATCTTCACTATTTAGTCCAGCCTGTGATTCTGGAAGGACCAGCTGGTGATGACCCCTGGCAGGCAGAACTTGTTGTGGGTTCTCTAGTTGGCTGAGATGCTGCCTTTGCTCTGATGTCATCTGATATCAACATCTGGTATCAGATACTGGCTGGGCTGCACTATCTGATGAGACCACTGGCTGGGCTCTGCTATCAGGCAGTACTGTGATGGCTTCTGGTCAGGCCAGTCACAGTGTATTTTTTTAATGAACAATTTCACTATTTGGGTTCTTTAGTTGGGCAGGACCATAAGCTGGGCTCTGAGTTTAAGCAGAGTTGCTGCTCGTGATAGGTGGGACTAGGGGCAATGCTCCTTAGAAATGCATGATTGAGGATTATTTCCCTTTAAGGGTGAATCCATGGGATGGGCTTTTGGTAGGGTATGGCTGCTGCTTGACTTACGTAGTCAAGCTGGTCGTGTCCCTTTGCTTCTTTGAAATGGGTAGAGGTAGGCATCTCCCTGCCTGGTTGGGGTCACTGGGAGCCTCTGAGGCTGGGCAGAAAGACTAGCTGTCTTGGGACCCAAGCTAGTTCCTAATTTGTATAGATTTAACCATTAAAGATTAAATATAGCAATACCATCACTAACCTTTACCTGGCAAACATACATAGAATATTGCACTCAAAAACTGAAGAATATGTGTTTCCTAAAGCACACATAGGGCGTTTATAAGAATTGCCCATACATTGGGTCATAAAGGAAATGCAAAAGATTTTAATAAAGAACTGGAATCATACAGAATATGTTCTGTATTCATAAGTAATTAAACAAGAAATAAGCTTTCTTAAAATTAAAAAAAGCTTTTTTAAAAAAAGAAATAACAGGACAAGTTTGATAAAAACTTGGGAGTGTTGTCAATCTATGGATTTTTTCATTGATATGACAAGTGATATTTTATAAGCCTTTACTCACAAACTTATATGTTGCTATACTGTTTTTGGAAAATTGGAAATACCCTGCTGAATCATACTCTAAGATAAATTATGAATTCCTGATCTCAATGATTTATTCAAAATTTATTTATAGAACTTTTATAAATGTCAGTCATAGCTCCAGCTACAAAAGATGCAGTTGTGAACAAGCCAAAGTCCCCACTTGAGGGTTTCAGGCTAGTAGATAATTCCAGATGATTACAATGTAGTGTCATAAGGCAAAGCAGATTGAAGCGGTGCACATTGCCCACAGGTGAATTTTGTAGGGAATATTTAGTTTACCTGAAAATGTCTTTATATCACCTTCATTTTTGAAGGTTATTTTTATTGCAATTGCATTCTAGGTTGACAGTTTTTTTTCTTTCAGCACTTTGAAGTTATCACTAAAGATGTCTACTATCGGCCAGGCGCAGAGGCTCATGCCTGTAATCCCAGCACTTTGGGAGGCCGAGGCAGGTGGATTACCTGAGGTCAAGAGTTCAAAACCAGCCTGGCCAACATGGTGAAACCCTGTCTCTACTAAAAATACAAAAATTAGCTGGGTGTGGTGGCGGGTGCCTGTAATCTCAGCTACTCAGGAGGCTGAGGCAGGAGAATCGCTTGAACCTGTGAGGTGGAGGTTACAGTGAGCCAAGATTGTGCCACTGTACTCCAGCTTGGGCTTGGCGACAAGAGCCAAACTCTGTCTCAAAAAAAAAAAAAAGGTGTCTGCTATCAAGAGCTGACTCTGATGTCAGTGGTTGCTTTTTTCAGTTCCTCCTGTATGTAATGTTTCTTGCCCTCACTTCCATCTTTGCTTTATTTTTTGGACTCCAATATTGCTCAGCTACTGAATTTCTATAAACTCACAGTCCTCCAGCAGCTATTTTTGTCAGGCTGATGGAGTCAAGTGTAGCTTAGTATTCAGCCAAAGATTCAAGGTTACCGGTATAGTTTCTGGAACACTGTCCAAAATTTGACCTGAAAATCCTGCCCTCTCAGCAGCCCTGAGCTCCAATCTTTGTTTATTCTACCCACCTGTTCTTTATTTAGGCTTCTACTTATCTATGCTACAATTTGGAGTGTCCCCAGCAGGAAACGAGAATCAGTGGAGAGCTCAACTTCTCGGTTTCCTTCTCTAAGTATCACAACCCTGTCCTGTTTGTAGACCAATGCCTGAAAACAATTTTTCATATATTGTGTCCAGTTTCAGATTGGTTTACAGTGGCAATCTAAGTTCTATAGCCACTATTTTGTCTTGGCTAGAACTGGAAATTGTACTAATCTTTTCGTTGGCAGGATGGAATTTGTTTTTTAGAATTTGTATTTACAAGAATGCTACTTAAAAAGCATTTCACTAATTCCACCTTTTAGTCAGACACAATGAAACAACTTCTGATCCTTTTTTAAAAAAAATTGAGAGGCTTAAAAATTGAGTAAATCCTAAATTTTCCATGGTAAAAAGTGAGTCTTCTCTTTAAATTCATAAATAAAAGGTTGTTTTAAACTTGATTAAAAAGCTATAAATAGGGAGAAGAGGATAAGAAGTAAAAATAATATTTGAAGAGCCAAAAGACATAAAATTACCCTTCAATCAGTTTTATTCACTTTTCACCCATTTATTTATTCACTCAACAGATATTTATTGAATGCTAAGTGTTGGAGATACACAGATGACTTGGTCTTTCCCTTCAAAACATCATAGGAAAATATGGGAGAAATACATACAAGTAAATAATTAAAAAGCAATATGGAATAAATTCCACTAGAGGGGCATTCTGCCAATTACCTGATCAGCACTCCTTGAAGCTATCAAGGTTATCAAAAACAGGGAAAGAGAAACTATCATAGCCAAGAGGAGCCTAAGGAGATGTGATGACAAATAGAATGTGCCATTTCAGCTGGGATCCTAAAACAAAAAGAGGACATTAGTTAAAAACTAAGAAACTCTGAATAAAGTATGGACTTTAGTGAATAATAATGTAGCTATATTGGTTCATTAATTATAACAATAATAATGTGAAATGTTACCAATGGGGAAACTGAGTGTGGGGACATATGGGACTCTCTGTGTTATCGTCTCAATTTTTCTGAAAATCTGAAACTACTTAAAAAATAAAGTCCACTTAAATAACAATATGAAAATACAGTCATTTCACAAAGTCCAAAGGAGTGACTCCAACAATAAATATTTAAGAAGTATTTATTTTTATAGTGGTGCTAACTTTGATATAAATGTTACAAGTACTATTTTCTTTTTTTTTAAATTTCAGCATGGATAGTGATGGATCAATGACAGTAGACTGGGATGAATGGAAGTACTACTTTTTACTGCATCCTGCAACAAATATCACTGAAATGATTCATTTCTGGAAGCATTCTACTGTAAGATTACTTTGTATTTTACTTTGTTTTTATTTTGCTCTAAATGTCATAGCTGTTATGATAACATAACCCCTACAATACTTGCAGCCTCAGGGGCTAAAGTTACAATATTTCCCCCCTAATAATGTTCTGCTAATTTAGCTAGTGGTATTAGTATTGTGTGTATAAACAGAGCAACCAGTTTCTTTGTTTGCCAAAATCTAGAACTTAAAATCATAATCTACCTGCTGAAAGTGCCTACTTTGTGTTAAGAATTAATTTCTATGACATAGTATTTAGATTGCCCTAGAAAAGTGAAAAATAATATATTTTTCTTTTTTCACAGATATGCTGTATCTGATTGGGTCTTCTATCATAGAAAACATAAAGTCAAATATTAGGATTTGAAAATTTTAGAACCAGAAAGGGTCAAATATTTAATAATCTGCCTGCTCATTTTATATAAGCCCTTGACTTGGAGTTGTAATAAGGAGATCCTGTAATTGAAGACTTTGTTTCCTTTAGCAGATCTCAGGTGTGGGGGTTAATTATTTATTCATGGCATACTATTCTCATTTACCCTCCTGAGTTTTTGCCTCCTCTCCACAGAGAACATAGGGGAAGCAAAGAGCACAGGCTCTGGACTGCCTAGGCTTGAATTCCACATCTACCACCCACTTGCTCTATCAACCTCTCTGTGCATCATTTTCCTCAGTTATACAGTAGGGATAAAAATGATAAATGTTTTGAGAATTAAATTAGTACATTAGTTAGTAGATTTAAAACAGGGCTAAGCACATAAGTGTTCAATAAATGTTAGTTGTTACGATAGGCACTTATTCTATCTGATATGTTTCATCTGTGTTCTTGGATTTATATATTTACATATTCTTAGGGAGCATGTAGTATTGTTTCACACATGTGTTTTTGATTTGTATAGCTAGTATTGTGCTAGAGACCACATCTGATTTCTGACTTTATGATTTGTCCTTGATGTTATATGCTTATCTAATTTATTGCTCCTAACATACTCATAGTATGCACTTATCACTTCTTCCTTGTCTATTCCCCAAGAAATGGACATCTAGTTTTTTCTCCAACTTCACCCATAAAAAATGCTTTCATTTTATGTACCTTAGAGAATTTCACCCAGTTTTCCATCATAGGGAATGTGCATTTGTACCTTTTACAACTACTAAGGTATCCAGTTTCAATTTTGTTTTAATTTCATGAAATATTGCCGTAATTTTTTTCCAGAATGGCTAGCCGTAGCAATTCACACTCCTGCCAGCAATGTATGAAGGTTCCCATTTCTTTATGTATTGTTTATTACTTGGTATTATTCAGTTTTATAGCATTTGCTGTTCTGTTGGGCATAAAGTAGAATTTCATTGTTTTAACCTGCATTTCCTTGATTCCTAGTACATTTTGAACATCTCTTCATAGGAATATTAGACATTCACATGTTCTTTTCTATGAATTGTCTGTTTATATGCTTTATCTAGTTTTTTATGGATTTTCTATCATGTCCCTAATGTTTCATAAGAGTTACATATTTATCTTAGATAGTAATCTTTGTTGTACTTTGACGTGCACATATTTTTTCTAGTATGCCATTTGTCTGTTGTTTCTTTGTTTTGTCCATGATATTCCTGGTTGAACAGAAATATTTGATTTTTGGTGAGTAAATCCACAAAATATGTAATGGTTTACAATTTTGGTATCTTATTAAGAAGTACTTTCCTACCTCTTGGTCACAAAGACGTTCTGTATCTTCTATTAGTTCTATGGTTTCTGCTTTTACATTTAGGCCTTTAATGCATCTGTTAGTTCACATTTCTACATGATTAAAAGCAGGGCTCTGATTTTATTATTTTTATATGTAGAGGGAATTTTCCCAGTATACCCTACTAAACATTGAATTCTTTTCACATTCATTTGTGATGCCACCTTTCTCACACATCAAGCTTCCATAAATACTTGGATATTTTCTTGAGCTTCCTTTTCTGTTCCATTGTTTTCTTTTTTAATGCCAATATTGAACTGTCTTTATGACTATGGTTGTGTAGTATAATACTGACCTGGTAAAGTAAATACTTCCTCTTTGTCCCCCTTCCCTCACTGATTTTTCTTATCTTTAAAAAAATTTATTCATTTTATTTATTTATTTATTTATTATGCTTCAATTTCTGGGATACATGTGCAGAATGTGCAGGTTTGTTACACAGGTATACATGTGCCATGGTGGTTTGCTGCACCCATCAACCCATTACCTGGGTTTTAAGCCCTGCATGCATTAGGTATTTGTCCTAATGCTCTCCCCCTCCTTGCCCCCCACCCCCTGACAGGCCCTGGTGTGTGATGTTTCCCTCCCTGTGTCCATGTGTTCTCATTGTTCAGCTTCCACTTATGAGTGAGAACATGTGGTGATTGGTTTTCTGTTCCTGTGTTAGTTTGCTGAGAATGATGGTTTCCAGATTCGTCTATGTCCCTGCAAAGGACATGAACTCATTATTTTTTATGGCTGCATAGTATTCCATGGTGTATATGTGCCACATTTTCTTTATCCAGTCTATCATTGGTGGGCATTTGGGTTGATTCCAAGTCTTTGCTATTGTGAACCGTGCTGCAATAAACATACGTGTGCATGGGTATATACCCAGTAATGAGATTGATGTGTCAAATGGTATTTCTGCTTCTAGACCCTTGAGGAATCTCCACACTGTCTTCTGCAATGGTTGAACTAATTTACAGTCCCACCAACAGTGTAAAAGCGTTCCTGTTTCTTCACATCCTCTCCAGCATGTTGTTTTCTGATTTTTTAATGATCTCCATTCTAACTGGCGTGAGATGCTATCTCATTGTGGTTTTGATTTGCATTTCTCTAATGATCAGTGAGGATGAGCTTGTTTTCATATCTTTGTTGGCAGCATAAATGTCTTATTTTGAGAAGTGTCTGTTTATATCCTTTGCCCAGTTTTTGATGTGGTTGTTTTTTTCTTGTAAATTTGTTTAAGTTCCTTGTAGATTCTGGATATTAGACCTTTGTCAGATGGATAGATTTCAAAAGTTTTCTCCTATTCTGTAGGTTGCCTGCTCACTCTGATGATAGTTTCTTTTGCTGAGCAGAAGATCTTTAGTTTAATGAGATCCCATTTGTAAATTTAGCCTTTCGTTGCAATTGCTTTTAGTGTTTCAGTCATAAAGTCTTTGCTCATGCCTATGTCCTGAATGGTATTACCCAGGTTTTCTTCTAGGGTTTTTATGATTTTAGGTTTTACGTTTAAGTCTTTAATCCATCTTGAGTTAATTTTTGTATAAGGTGTAACAGTTTGAGTTTTCTGCATATGGTTAGCCAGTTTTTCCAGCAGCATTTATTAAATAGGGGATCCTAAAGAAGCAAGAGCAAACAAATTCAAAAGCTAGCAGAAGAGAAGAAATAATTAAGATCAGAGCAGAACTGAAGGAGATAGAGACACAAAAAACTCTTCAAAAAATCAATGAATCCAGGAGCTGTTTTTTGAAAAGATTAACAAAGTAGATAGAATAGTAGCCAGACTAATAAAGAAGAAAAGAGAGAACAATCAAATAGACACAATAAAGAGTGATAAGGGGGATATCACCATGGACCCCACAGAAATACAAACTGCCATCAGAGAATGTTATAAACACCTCTATGCAAATGAACTAGAAAATCTAGAAGAAATGGTTAAATTCCTGGACACATACACCCTCCCAAGACTAAACCAGGAAGAAGTCGAATTCCTGAATAGACCAATAACAAGTTATGAAATTGAGGCAGTAATTAATAGCCTACCAACCAAAAAAAGCCCAGGACCAGATGGATTCACAGCCAAATTCTACCAGAGGTACAAAGAGGAGCTGGTACCATTCCTTCTGAAACTATTCCAAACAATAGAAAAAGACAGAATCCTCCCTAACTCATTTTATGAGGCCAGCATCATCCTGATACCAAAACCTGGCAGACACACAACAAAAAAAGAAAATTTCAGGCCAATATATTTGATGAACATTGATGTGAAAATCCTCAGTAAAATACTGGAAAACCAAATCCAGCAGCACATCAAAAAGCTTATCCACCACGATCAAGTCGGCTTCATCCTTGGGATGCAAGGCTGGTTTAACATACAGAAATCAATAAATGTAATCCATCACATAAACAGAACCAATGACAAAAACCACATGATTATCTCAATAGATGCAGAAAAGGCCTTCAATAAAATTCAACACCACTTCATGCTAAAACCTCTTAATAAACTAGATGTTGATGGAGCATATCTCAAAATAATAAGAGCTATTTATTTCAAACCCATAGCCATTATTATACTCAATGGGCATAAGCTGGAAGCATTCCCTTTGAAAAACAGCACAAGACAAGGATGCCCTCTCTCACCACTCCTATTCAACATAGTACTGGAAGTTCTGACCAGGGCAATCAGGCAAGAGAAAGAAATAAGAGGTATTCAAATAGGAAGAGGGGAAGTCAAATTGTCTCTGTTTGCAGATGACATGATTGTATATTTAGAAAACTCCATCGTCTCAGCCCCAAAACTCCTTAAGCTGACAAGCAACTTCAGCAAAATCTCAGGATACAAATTCAATGTGCAAGCATCACAAGCATTCCTATACACCAATAACAGACAAACAGAGAGCCAAATCATGAGTGAACTCCAATTCAGAATTGCTACAAAGAAAATAAAATACCTAGGAATACAACTTATAAGGAACGTGAAGGACCTCTTCAAGGAGAACTACAAACCACTGCTGAAGGGAATAAGAGAGGACACAAACGAATGGAAAAACATTCCATGCTCATGGATAGGAAGAATCAATGTCATGAAAATGGCCATACTGCCCAAAGTAATTTATAGATTCAATGCTATTCCCATCAAGCTACCATTGACTTTCTTCACCAAACTAGAAAAAACTACTTTAAAGTTCATATGGAACCAAAAAAGAGCCTGTATAGCCAAGACAATTCTAAGCAAAAAGAACAAAGCTGGAGTCCTCACACTACATGACTTCAAACTATACTACAAGGCTACACTAATCAAAACAGCATGGTACTGATAGCAAAACAGATATATAGACCAATGGAACAGGGCAGAGGCCTCAGAAATAACACCACACGTCTACAACCATCTGATCTTCAGCAACCTGACAAAAACAAGCAATGGGGAAAGGATCTTTCTTATCAAAATTAGCCTAGTTTTTTTTTTTTAAAGAAGAACTTTTATTTTAGATTTTAGATTTTCTTAATTTCAACTGAATTTTTGATTTTCTTAATTTCAACTGTATATTTTTAGAAACTTGATTGCAATTACGTTTGTCTTGGTTTGG
Source organism: Homo sapiens (assembly GCF_000001405.40). Lineage (NCBI taxonomy): Eukaryota > Metazoa > Chordata > Mammalia > Primates > Hominidae > Homo > Homo sapiens. The sequence continues at coordinate 108,404,687 of NC_000001.11, read as the reverse complement.
GCTGCTATAAAAAATTACCATGGTCTAGGTGATTTAAACAACAAACATTTATTTCTCACAGTTCTGGAGGTTAGAAATTTGAGATCAGGGTGCTGATATAGTCAGGTTCTTGGTGAGTGCACTTTTCCTGGTGTACAGAGGGCTGTCTTCTTTCTATTCCCTCACATAGTGGAAAGAGAGCTAGCTAGACCTCTGGTGTCATCTTTTAAGGGCACTAATTCCAATTATAGTGGATCCACTCTCATGACCTAATTATCTCCCAAAGGCCGCAACTCCAAATATCATCACATTTCGATTAGGATTTCAATATATGAATTTGGAGACATACGTTTCATTCATTGCATTCTGCCCCTGGCTCCCCCAAATTCATGTTCTTCTCACATGCAAAATAAACCCATTCCATTCCAACAGCCCCCAAATACTTAACTTGTTCTGGCATTAACTTTAAAAGTCTGAAGTACAATGTCTCATCTAAATATCACATAAATTGGATATAGGTAAGATTTGAAGTACAATTCATCCTGAGGCAAATTCCTCTCCAGCTGTGAACCTGTGAAAGTAAGCAATTTATGTGCTTCCAAAATATACAGGAATAGGAGAGACATTCCCATTCCAAAAGGGAGAAAGAGGAAAGAAGGAAAGGAAAAATGGGTCCTAGGCAAGTTAATAGCAAGGCAAGCTCTGTGAGATCTTAAGGCTCAAGAATAATCATTTTGATGTTCTACTCTCTGGACTCATGGTGGCAATGGTTCCTCTTTTATACCTCTGCCCAGTGGGGGTGGTGTCCCAGTGGGTCCCAACAGCCCTGCCCCATGGCTCTGCTGCGTGTTGGTCCCACCGTTTGAAACTGAGGTGGAGGCAGCCCCATTCTCTGGCTCAGCCCATGGCACTCTGGGCCAATGGTGGAAGTGGCAGCTCTGTGGATTTCTGAATCTCCTTTGGGGTCCTTCTTCTCTTGTTTTGGATAGTGCATGTTTTCTGCTCAGTGGTTGAGTCCTGTAGTCCTGAAGTTCTAAGAAGTCTGATGGTCTTCCTTAATTGTATCCTATTTTCTCTCTTTCCTTTAGTCTCAGCTGGCATTTCTGCTAGAATTGCCCCATCTCTGTTCCTGGTTTCTGTTGAGATGGCTGATGAAGTCCATGGTTCACACTTACACGAATCTCCTTTTCAAGTGGTTAGTTCACCACACCCTTAGTGTTCTCTTCTGAACATGCTTTTTAAAAATTTTTTCGTAACATTAACAGTTCAGAAATTTTCAAATATTTAAGTTCTGGTTCCTTTTTGCTTAATGATTCCATCTTCAACTTATTTCTCTCTTACCTTTTTCTATAAGTGATCGGGAAGAAGTAAGCCACTCCTTCAACACTTTGCCTAGAAATTTCCTCCACTAAGTATCCAGTTTCATCACTTACAAGTTCTACATTCCACAAAACACTAGAACATAAACACAATTCAGCCAAGTTTTTTACCACTTTATAACAAGGATGGGCTTTCCTCTAGTTTCTAATAACATGTTTCATCATTTCCATTTGAGGCTTTGTCATGAATGGCCTCTACTATCCATATTTCTACTAACATGGTTCATAATTATGTACTGTCTTAAGAAGACAGAAGCTTTCTGTACAGCTCTCCTCTTTTATTTCTGAGCCATAATCACAATTGCCTTTAAAATCCCGTCATGGCAACATTGACATTTTCTAGCATGTACTTCACAATTCTTGCAGCCTCTACCCATTACCCACTTCCAAGATTGCTTCCACACTTTCATGTACTTGTTATTGCAGTGCCTCATTTCTCAGTACCAATTTCTGTCTTAGCCAGTTCATGCTGCTATATGTACTGGGCTACTTAAAGTTCAGGCATTTATTTTTCAGAGTTCTGAAAGCTGGAAGTCCTAGATCAGGTTGCCAGCATGGTTGGGTTCTTGGGGAATGCCCTTTTCCTGGCTGACAGAGAGCCGTCTTCTTGCCATCCTCATACAGTATGGAAAGGTAGCTAGCTAGCTGTCTGGCTTCTTATGAAGGCTTCTGATGTAATTATTTTTCAAAGACCCCACCTCCAAATACCATCACACTGGGATGAGGGTTTCAACATTTGAACTGACGGTGAAGCAGGACACAAACATTCAGTCCATTGCAGCAGTGAATTTATAGAATAATTTGGGTAAAACAGGTATCTTCATAATTTTAAGTTACTCTATCCACAAACATGATCAAATTATCTCTATTCAGATTTCTTGTTATATTATTTAACAGAGGTTACATTTTTTTCCCTGAAATGGTCTTCTGTCCTCTTTGTTAGGTTAAATCTTAGATGCTGTATAGATTTTGCCACTTTTGTGAATGTATCTTCTTTCCTATTAAATTTTCCACTTGATTATTTCTGCTTTGAGAAACTCCTTTTTGTAAGTTGATCTTCTATCTGGTACTTTGCTGAACTCTCTTATTTATTATAACAATTTGCCACCTAATACTTTTGTTTTTCCTTGTTTATGACCATATTCTTTTAATAACAATATTATTTCTTTTATTTTAGTTCCCATATGAAAACAATTCTTTTTAGCTTATATCTTTGGCTAGAATCTTCAGTACTGTGTTAGATAGCAGCAGGGATGGCAATCATTATTTCTTATTCATGAAGCATTTTTTTAAATGCTTCTAAAATTTCTTCTATTAAGTATGATGCTTGCTATGTTGTTGTTCTTATAATTATTAGCAAACTAAGGAAGTTTTCAGAATTTTAAAAATATAATTATTTAAATATATTTATATAACATAAAATTCACCCATTTTAAGAGTGCAAATAAATTCAATTATTTTAGTAAATTAAGAGAACAGTACAACAATCACCATAATCCATTTTTAGAACATTTCCATTATCCCCAAAATTCCTGGTACATGTTTACAGTTAATCTCTACTCTTCCACCTATCCCTGGGCAACTGCTCTTTACTTTCAGTCAGATACATATTTTTTAATGATAAATCGGTGATGAGATTTATTAAATAACTTTTTTGCATCCATGGAGATAATTTCCAAGAAGCAGTGCAGTATAGCATACTGGTTGAGAGACAGACTCTGAAACTACACTTCCTAGGCTCAAATTATAACATTGACAATGATTGTCTGTGTAACTTGGGCAAGTTATTGAATCTCTCTGTGCTTCAATTTCTTCAGTAAAATGAGAATAATGATAGCTATCTATTAGTTGAACTATAGGAAATTTCTGATATCCAACTATTTTTGACCTACAAGAATGGTAATTTGCAGAAAGTCCCCATCAGCGAGCAGGCTCTCACAGATGTGTCCCCTCAACCTTGGACTTCTCAGCCTCCATAATTGCATGAGCCCAATGAATGAATTCCTGTAATAAACTCTATCTATCTATCTATCTATCTATCTATCTATCTATCTATCTATCTATCTTATATCTATCCATCCATCCATCCTATTGGTTTTGTCTTTCTGGAGAGCCCTAACTAATACAGAGTGCTTCCATGTTTTCACCATTTCATGTTTTCTGAAGGATGTATTTTATGTTTTTTTCAAACTACTAGTACCTGTATTCTATGAGTTTTTCTTTCCTAGGTCCAACTGATACCATATATATTTTGATATATAGTGTTTTTATTGTCATTCAGGCACCATTTATTTTACAACTTCTCCCTGAGATTTCCTCTTTAATCCTAGGATTAATTAGGTAATATCTTTATTTTATGTGTGTGCATAATTTTCTGGCTGAGGGTTTTCTTTTAAAGACATCCTTTTGTTATGTATGATATTGAAATATAGTCAGGAATTATAGAGGGTATGATATAGATTCCTGGGAATTTATTGTGGCTTCATTTGTTGCCTATTAAATGGTCAGTTTTAAAAAATATGTTCTATGCATGTGTCCTAAAAAATAATGTATATTTTTTGCTTGTTGGATGTAAATTTCTATATAAATCAATTAAGCTAAACCTTATTATTTTATATGCATTATAATTTTTATTCTGTTTGATCTATAAAATTCTGAGAAGAATATTTTAAAATTAGCAAGTATAGTTGCTAATTTATTTCTTCCTGTAGTTCCACTGGTTGTTGCTGAAAATATTTTGAGCCTGTGTGGTTAACGTGTATATATGTTCATAAATTTTATATCTTTTTGATTAGTTGTTCCTTTTAACAATCTCTCATGATGGTTTTTCTTCTGAAGTTCAATCTGTATCTTCTCCTAAACAATATAGGTGTACTTCAATGTACTCTTACTTCCATTTGTTTTTTGCCATAACCCATATTTCCTTGGTATTATCTAGAATTTTAGTGGATTTTATTGGATATAGTTGCGTTTGTATGGTGTGTATATTTGCCTTTTTTAAAAAAATAATAAATTTTAGCTTACTTTATTTATCTTTACTTCTCATTTATCTTCTAATGTTCTTCTGGGTTTATTTCTCTCTTTGCTGGAGTGCCTCTTCCAAGAGTGTTTTCAAAGAGGGTCTTTGGGCGCTAAGTCTGCTGAGATATTCAATAGATACTGTTCTTGTATGTTTGCTTTTAGGTGATTTTTTTTTTTGTTTTTTTTTGTTTTTGAGACGGAGTCTCACTCCTTCACCCAGGCCGGACTGCAGTGGCACTATCTCAGCTCACTGCAAGCTCCGCCTCCCAGGTTCACGCCATTCTCCTGCCTCGGCCTCCTGAGTAGCTGGGACTATGGGCGCCCGCCACCGCGCCTGGCTAATTTTTTGTAGTTTTAATAGAGACGGGGTTTCACCATGTTAGCCAGGATGGTCTCGATCTCCTGACCTCGTGATCCGCCCACCTCGGCCTCCCAAAGTCCTGGGATTACAGGCGTGAGCCACCGCACCCAGCCCGGTATTTTTGTTTAAAATTCTAGATTAAAAGTTTCTTTAATTGATTGGTTTGAAAATATTATTGCATTGCCTTCTTACATCGTATGACCTCAATTGGATTCTTGTTTGTACAGTCGTCCCTAGGTATCCACGGGCATTGGTTCCAGGATCCCACTCTCCACCCCAACACCTGCTGTCAATACCAAAATCTGTGCATACTCTAGTCCCGAAGTTGCCTTGGTAGAACCTGGTATATGAAAAGTCAGCCTTTGGTATTAGCAAATTGCACATCTTATGAATACTGTAGTTTCAGTCTGTTTGGTTGTAGACACAAACCCACAGATACAGAGGGCCAACTGTATTTATTGCAAAAAATCTTTGTATAAGTGGACCTACACAGTTCAAACCTGTGTTGTTCAAGGGTCAGCTGATTTGTTCTTTATCTCAGAACACTTAAAAAACTTTTTCTCTCCTTGTCTTTGATGTTTTAAAATTTCATTACAATGCATTTGGATGGTCAGGAGTGGTGGCTTACACCTGTAATACCAGCACTTTGGGAGGCCAAGGTGGGCAGATCTCTTGGGCTCAGGAGTTGGAGGCCAGCCTGAGCAGCATGCCGAAACCCCACCCCCATCAAAAAAATACAAAAATTACCCAGGCCTGGTGGTCAGGAGGGTCAGAAGGGGGAAGTGGGAGAATCATCTGAGCCAGGGAAGTCAATGCTGAAGTGAGCGATGATAGTGCCACTGCACTCCAGCCTAGGTGATGGGAGTGAGACCTTGTCTCAAAAAAAAGAAAACAAAACAAAACAACAACAACAAAACTATATATTTATAATGTATGTATATAATGTATATATGTATATGTATAATGTATATATAATGTATTTATAATATATATGTAATGTGTATATATAATATGTGTATATATATAATGTATATAATACATTTAGGTAAGCTTTTCTCAAATATTTTTTCTGAGCCCTTCCAATATGAGGTGCTTCATCTCTCTCCAATTCTGGAAAATTCTTGGTTATTATTCTTATATTTTCTTGACATTTATTTTTTCTACTTTTTAAAGACTTACATAGAAGTTAACCTTTCTTGTTCTATCTTCACAGTCTCTTACCTTTTCATTTCTAATCTCTGTGCCTTTCTTCCTGCCTGATGTTTTCTGGGAGAGTTCCTTTACTTGACCATTCTTTGGCTGTAGTCATTCGGCTATTTATTCCATCGGTAGGTTTTATTATTATATATTTCATGTCTAATATTTCTACTTGGTTCTTCTTTATACCTTAATGCCTGCATTTTGTGAATAATATGCAATATAGCTCCAATATTTTGGAGAATGTTTATTATATTTATTATGTGTATTTAAATTCTTGATTTGTCTACCTATTAATCCTAATAGATAATGTAGTAGAGGTTCAGTTTGTGGTCTTTCTTTTTACAGGAGTTATGGATTTCTTTTTTTAAAATTTTATTTTAGGTTCAGGGGTATATGTGCAGGTTTTTTAATATAGGCAAACTATTGTCATGGGGGTATGGTGTAGAGACCATATTGTGACCCAGGTACTAAGATAGTACCCAATAGTTATTTTTCCTTCTCCCACTCTCCTTCCTCAAGCAGGCTCCAGTATCTGTTGTCCCGTTAGTGCCCACTGGTTCTTATTATTTAGCTTCCATTTATAAGTGAGAACGTGAGGTATTTAGTTTTCTTTTCCTGCATTAGTTTGCTAAGGATATTGGCCTCCAGCAACATCCATATTTCTGTAAAGAACATGATTTTGTTCTTTTTTTAGGGCTGCATAGTATTCCATGATATATATGTACCACATTTTCTTTATCCAGTCTGCCCTTGATGGGCATTTAGGTTGTTTCCATGTCTTTGCTATTGTGCATAGCACTGCAGTGAACATACATGTGCATGTGTCTTAGAATGATTATATTTTTTTGGGCATATACCCAGTAATGGGATTGCTGAGTTGAATGGTAGTTCTGTTTTAAGTTCTTTGAGGAATTGCCACACTGCTTTCCACAATGGTTGAACTAATTTACATTCCCACCAGCAGTGTATAAGCATTCTCTCTTCTCCACAACCTCACCAGCATCTGTTATTTTTTTTAATTATAGCCATTCTGACTGATGTGAGATGGCATCTCATTATGGTTTTGATTTTCATTTCTCTAATGATTGGTGATTGTATTAGTCCATTTTCACACTGCTGATAAAGACATACCCGAGACTGGGAAGAAAAAGGTTTAATTGGACTTGGAGTTCTACATGGCTGGGGAGGCCTCAGAATCATGGCAGGAAGTGAAAGGCACTTCTTACATGGTGGTGGCAAGACAAAATGAGGAAGAAGCACAAGCAAAAACCCTTAATAAACCCATCAAATCTTGTGAGACTTATTCACTATCATGAGAATAGCACGGGAAGGACCAGCCCCCATGATTCAATTACCTCCCCCAGGGTCCCTCACACAACACATAGAAATTCTGGGAGATACAATTCAAATTGAGATTTGGGTAGAGAAACAGCCAAACCATATCATTCTGCCCCTGGTGCCTCCAAATCTCATGTCCTCACATTTCAAAACCAATCATGCCTTCTCAATAGTCCCCCAAAATCTTAACATTTTAGCGTTAACCCACAAGTCCACAGTCCAAAGTCTCATCTGAGAAAAGGCAAGTCCATTCCGCCTATGAGCCTGTAACATCAAAAGCAAACTAATTACTTCCTGGATACAATGGAGGTACAGGTATTGGGTAAATACAGCTGTTCCAAATCAGAGAAATTGACCAAAGCAAATGGGTTATAGGGCCCATGTAAGTCCAAAATCCAGTGAGGCGGTCAAATTTTAAAACTCCAAAATGATCTTCTTTGACTCCAGGTCTCACATCCAGGTCATGCTGATGTAAGAGGTGGGTTCCCATGGTCTTGGGCAGCTCAGCCCCTGTGGCTTTGCAGGATATAACTTCCTTCCCAGCTGCTTTCATGGGCTGGCATTGAGTGTCTATGGCTTTCGCAGGCACACAGTGCAAGCTGTCAGTGCATCCACCATTCTGGGGTCTGGAGGACAGTAGCTGTCTTCTCACAGCTCCACTAGGCAGTGCCTTAGTAGGGACTCGGTTTGGGGGCTCCAACCCCACATTTCCCTCCTACAGTGCCCTAGCAGAGGTTCTCTGTGAGGGCTCTGCCCCTGCAGCAAACTTTTGCCTGGGCATCCAGGCGTTTCGATACATCTTCTGAAATCTAGGTAGAAGTTCCCAAACCTCAGTTCTTGACTTCTGTGCACCCGCAGGCTCAACACCACATGGAAGCTGCCAAGGCTTGGGGCTTCCACCTTCTGAAGCCACAGCCTGAGCTGTATATTGGCCCATTTCAATCATGGCTGGAGCAGCTGGGACACAGGTCACTAAGTCTCTAGGCTGCATGCAGCATGGGGACCCTGGGCCTGGCCCAGGAAGCCAGTTTTTCCTTCTGGGCCTCCAGGCCTGTGATGGGAGGGGCTGCCTTGAATGTCTCTGCCATGGCCTGCAGACATTTTTCCCATGGTCTTGGGGATTAACATTAGGCTCCTTGCTACTTATGCAAATTTCTGCAGCTGGCTTGGATTTCTCCCAAGAAAATGGGGTTTTCTTTTCTATCGCATAGTCAGGCTGCAAATTTTCAAACTTTTATGTGCTGCTTCCCTTATAAAGCTGAATGCCTTTAACAGCACCCAAGTCACCTCTTGAATGCTTTGCTGCTTAGAAATTTCTTCCATCAGATACCCTAAATCATCTCTCTCAAGTTCAAAGTTCCAGAAATCTCTAGGGCAGGGGCACAATGCCTCCAGTCTTTTTGCTAATACATAACAAGAGTCACCTTTACTCCAGTTCCCAAAAAATTCTTCATCTCTATCTGAGATCACCTCAGCCTGGACCTTATTGTCCATATCACTATCAGCATTTTGGGCAAAGCCATTCAAAAAGTCTATAGGAAGTTCCAAATTTCCCCACATTTTCTTATCTTCTTCTGAGCCCTCCAAACTGTTCCAATCTCTGCCTGTTACCCAGTTCCAAAGTTGTTTCCACATTTTTAGGTATATTTTCAGCAATGCCCCACTCTACTGGTACCAATTTATTGTATTAGTGCTTTTTCACACTGCTGATAAAGACATACCCAAGACTGAGAAGAAAAAGAGGTTTAATTGGATTTACAGTTCCACATGGCTGGAGAGGCCTCAGAATCATGGTGGGAGGTGAAAGGCACTTCTTACATGGCAATGGCAAGAGAAAATGAGGAAGAAGCAAAAGTGGAAACCCCTGATAAACCCATCAGATCTTGTGAGACTTATTCAATATCACAAGAATAGCACAGGAACGACCAGCCCCCATGATTCAATTACCTCCACCTGGGTCTCTTCCAGAACACATGGGAATTCTGGGAGATACAATTCAAGTTGACATTTGGGTAGGGACACTGTCAAACCATATTATTGATATTGAACATTTTTTCATATGCTTGTTGGCCATGTGTATGTCTTCTTTTGAAAAGTGCCTGTTCATGTCCTTTGTCCACTTTTTAATGAAGTTATATTTTTTTTCTTGTAAATTTAAGTTCCTCATAGATGATAGATATTAGACCTTTGTCAGATGTATAGTTTGCAAATACTTTTTCCCATTCTGTAGGTTGTCTGTTTACTCTGTTGATAGTTTCTTTTGCTGTGCTGAAGCTCTTTAGTTTAGTTAGATCCCATTTGTCAATTTTTGCTTTTGTTGCGATTGCTTTTGGTGTCTTCATCATGAAATCTTTGCCCTTTCCTATATCCAGAATGGTATTTCTTAGGCTATCTTCCAGGATTTTTATAGTTTTATGTTTTACATTTAAAATCTTTAATTCATCTCAAGTTGATTTTTGTATACGGTGCAAAGAAGGGATCCAGTTTCAATCTTCTGCACATGGCTAGCCAGTTATCCCAGCACCATCTATTGAATAGGGAGTCCTTTCCTCATTGCTTGTTTTTGTCAACTTTTTCAAAGATCAGGATAGTTGTAGGTGTGTATCCTTATTTCTGGGCTCTCTATTCTGTTCCCTTGGTCTGTATGTCTGTTTTTGTACCAGTGTCTTGCTGTTTGGTTACAAGAGCCCAGTAGCATAGTTTGAAGTTGGGTAATGTGATGCCTCTAGCTTTGTACTTTTTGCTTAGGATTGTCTTGGCTATGTAGGCTCTTTTTTGGTTCCATATGAATTTTAAAATAGTTTTTCTCTAGTTCTGTCATTGGTAGTTTGACATTGGAAGAATGTCATTGGTAGTTTGACTGAACAGCATTGAATCTATAAATTGCTTTGGGCAGTATAGCCATTTTAACAAGACTGATGCTTCCTATCCATGAGAATGAATGTTTTTCTATTTGTTTGTGTCATCTCATTTCTTTGAGCAGTCTAATTGTAGAGATCTTTCACCTCCCTGGTTAGCTATATTCCTGGGTATTTTGTTCTTTTTGTGGCAGTTGAGAATGGCATTTCATTACTGATTCCACTATTGGTTTGGATGCTGTTGGGGTACAGAAATGCTAGTGATTTTTGTACATTTATTCTGTATCCTAAGACTTTGCCAAAGTTGTTTATCAGCTCAAGGAGCTTTTAGGCTGAGACTTTTGGGTTTTTTATATATAGAATCATGTCATCTACAAACAGGGATAGTTTGACTTTCCCTCTTCCTATTTGGAAGCCCTTGATTTCTTTCTCTTGCCTCATTGCTCTGGCCAGGATTTCCAATACAATGTTGAATAGGAGTGGCGAGGGAGGGTATCTTTGTCTTGTGTCAGTTTTCAAGGGCTATGGTTCCAGATTTTGCCCATTCAGTATGATGTTGGCTGTAGGTTTGTCATAGGTGGCTCTTATCATTTTAGCAGGAATGATACCAGCTCTTCTTTGTACAAGTGCAATACTTTGTATTTTAAAGTATGTTTCTTCTATACCTAGTTTATTGAGAGTTTTTAACGTGAAACAATGGTGGATTTTGTCAAATGCCTTTGCTGCATCTGTTGAGATAATCATGTGGTTTTTGTGTTTAGTTCTGTTTATATGATGAATCATATTTATGGATTTGCATATATCGAACCAACCTTGCGTCCCAGGGATAAAGCCTACTTGATCACGGTGGATTAGCTTTTTGATGTGCTGCTGGATTCAGTTTGCAAATATATATATAGTTTTAGAGACAGAGTCTTACTCTGTCACCCAGGCTGGAGTGCAGTGGTGTGATCTTGGCTCACTGCAGCCTTGTCCTCCTGGGCTCAAGCAATTTTCCTACCTCAGCCTCCTGAGTACCTTGGACCATAGGTGTGTGCCACTGTACCTGGCTAAGTTTTTATATTTTTTTTGGGGGGGTGAGTGGGTAGAGATGGGGTTTTGCCATGTTGTCCAGGTTGGTTTCAAACTCTTGAGCTCAAGTGATTTGCTCACCTTGGCCTCCCCAAATGCTGGAATTACAGGCATGAGCCACTGTGCCTGGCCATTTGCAAGTATTTTGTTGCGGATTTTTGCATCGTTTTCATCAAGGTTATTGGCCTGATGTTTTCTTTTATTATTGTGTCTCTGCCAGGTTTTGGTATTGGGAAGATGCTGCCTTCCTAGAATGAGTTCAGGAGGAATCCCTCTTTCTCAATTTTTTGGAAAAGTTTCAGTAAGGATAGTACCAGCTCTTCTTTGTACATCTGGGAGAATTTGACTGTGAATCCTTCTGGTCCTAGGCTTTTTTGGGCAGCTGGGGGTTGGAAAGCTATGTATTAATGATTTAATTTCAGTTTCAGAGCTTGTTATTGGCCTGTTCAGGGAATCCATTTCTTCCTGGTTCAGTCTTGAGCATGTATGTCTGTCCTGGAATTCATCCATCTCTTCTAGGTTTTCTAGTTTGTGTGCCTAGAGGTGTTTGCAGTAATCTCCATGGTTGTTTGTATTTCTGTGGAGTCAGTGGTAACATCCCCTTGGTAATTTCTAATTGTGTTTATTTGGGTCTTCTCTCTTTTTCTTTATTAGACTGACTAGTGGTCTATCTATATTAGTAATTTTTTCAAAAATCCAACGCCTGGATTTGTTGGTCTTTTGTATGGTTTTTCGTGTCTCAGTCTCTTTCAGTTCAGCTCTGATTTTGGTTGTTTCTTGTCTTCTGCTAACTTTGGGGTTAGTTTGCTCTTGCTTCTCTATTTCTTCTAGTTGTGATTTTAGGTGGTTAATTTGAGATCTTTGTAACTTTTTGGTGTGGGCATTTAATGCTGTAAATTTCCCTCTTAACACTGCCTTAGGTATGTTGCAGAGATTCTGGTATGTTGTATCTTTGTTCCCATCAGTTTCAGAGAACTTCTTGATTTCTGCCTTAATTTCATTATTTTCCCAAAAGTCATTCAAGGGCAGGTTATTTAATTTCCATGTAAATGTATGGGATTGAGCAATTTTCTTCATATTCTATTTTTATTGTTCTGTAGCCTGAGATCTGAGAGTGTGGATGGTATAATTTTGGTTTTTAAAAATTTCCTGAGGATTGTTTTACGTCCAATTGTGTGGTCGATTTTAGAGTATGTACCATGTGGCAATGAGAAGAATATATATTCTGTTGTTTTTTTGATGGAGCATTCTGTAGATGTCTGTTAAGTCCATTTGGTCAATTGCTGAGTTCAGGTCCTGAGTATCTTTGTTAATTTTCTGCCTTGATGATCTGTCTAACACTGTCAGTGAAGTGTTGAGGTCTCCCACTATTATTGTGTGGGAATCTAAGTCTCTTCATAGGTCTCTAAGAACTTGCTTTATGAATCTGGGAGCTCCTGTGTCAGATGCATGTATATTTAGTATAATTAGATCTTCTTGTTGAACTGAACCCTTTTCCATTATGTAATGTTCTTGTCTTTTTTTATCTTTGTTGATTTAAAGTCTGTTTTGTCTAAAATTAAGATTGTAACCCCTGCTTTTTTTGATTTCCATTTGCTTGATAGATTTTCCTTCATCACTTTACTTTGAACCTCTTGGTGTGAGATGGATCTCATGCCATGTGAGATGGATCTCCTGAAGATAGCATACCATTAGGTCTTGCTCTTTTATCCAGCTTGTTACTCTGTGTGTTTTAATTGGGACATTTAGCCCATTTACATTCAAGTATTGCTGATTTACATTTAGTATTGATATGTGGGGATTTGATCCTGTCATCACGTTGTTAGGTGGTTGTTATGCAGACTTGTTTGTGTGGTTGCTTTGTAGTGTCTGGTTTGGGTATTTCAGTGGTAATCATCTTTCCTTTCTATATTTTGTGTGATTTTTAGGAGCTCTTGTAAGGCAGATCTGGTGGTAATAAATTCTCTCAACATTTGCTTGTCTGGGAAGGATCTTTTTTCTTCTTCACTTATGAGGCTAAATGTGGCTAGATATGAAATTTTTGGTTGAAGATTTTTTTTTTTTAAAGAATGGTAAATATGGGCCCCTAATCTCTTCTGGATTGTAGGGTTTCTGCTGAGAGGTCTGCTGTTAGCTTGATGGGGTTTTCCATTTGTAGGCAACCTGCCCTTTCTTTCTAGCCGCCTTTAACATTTTGCCTTTCATTTTGACCTTGGAAAATCTAATGATTATGTGTTTTGGGGATGATCTTTTGTGTAGTATCTTGTAGGGGTTCTCTGCATTTCCTGTATTTGAACTTTGGACTCTCTAGTGAGGTTGGGTAAGTGTTAATATATGATATCCTGAAATATGTTTTCTAAGTTGCTGCTTTCTCTCCTCCTCTTTCAGGGATGACAATGATTCATAGATTTGGCCTCTTTGCAAAATTCGATATTTTTCAGAGGTTTTGTTTGTTCCCTTTCATTCTTTTTTCTTTATTTTTGTCTGTCTTATTTCAGAGAGCCAGTGTTCACCTGTTGAGATTCTTTCCTCTGGTTAGTCTATTCTGCTGTTAATACTTGTGACTGCATTGTGAAATTCTTGTAGTGTGTTTTTCAGCTCTATGAAGTCAATTAGGGTTTTTTTTCCTTGCTATTTTATTTGTCAGCTCCTCTATTGTTTCTATAGTGTTTTTGGACTGGGTTTTGCCATTCTCCTGAATGTCAATAATTTTTATCTATAGTCCAAATTGTATTTCTGTCATTTCAGCCAGTTCTTCCTGGTTAAGAATGCCTGTTGGAAAACTAGTGCAGTGATTTGGAGGACATAAGATACTCTGGCCATTTGAGTTGCCGGAGTTCTTGCATTGGTTTTTTCCCCATCTCTGTGTGTCTGTGTGTGAGTGTTCCTTTAACTGCTGGGCTGCCACTGATTGAAGTGGTCAGGTGGAGGCAGGGGGATTGTTTTGGAACCCCAGGTTGGGTGCCCCTGTCCAGTGAGTAAAAGTGAGGACTGGGACCTGCATGGAGAAAAGTCTGGCCACCTTTCTTTCAGATGAGTGCTCTGTGCTAGGGGTCCAAACCACGCCATGGTTCCTGTGGACTCTCCAGGGCCTGGAGACAGCAAAGATGGCATCCCACTCTTCTCACTGGGAGCTTTGTCTCAGTGAGTTGCATAGCTGCCACTGGCTTGATAGACCCAGCAGGGGTGGTTAGAGACCCAGTCTGGGAGGACCTGTCTAGTGAGGAGGTACAGGATTGGGGACCCACATAATAAAGAGTTTGGCCACTTTTTCCTAGGGCTGCTGCAGTCTCTTGGGGGTTCACTCCAGTCCATAACCACCTCAGATTTTTCAGCAGCTGAAGGTATCAACAGTGAAGGCTGCAAAACAGCAAAGATGGCAGCCCAGCCCTCCCTCTGGGAGTTTTGTCCCACAGACTTTTGAAGCTGCTGTCAGCTGGAAAACACCAGCGGGGTGGATAGATATCTCGGTTGGGAGGTTCTGCTTAGTGAGGAGGAACAAGATTGGGGACCCATGTGAATAAACAGTCTGGCTGCTTTTTATGAGCAGTTGTACTGTGATGGGGCTCCATTCCAGTCTCTAGTCTCTTTGGACTCTCTAAATCCCAAAGGCAGCAATGGCTAAGGCTGAGAAACAGCAAGGGTGGGAGTGCATCCATTCCTCTGGGAGCTCCATCTCAGGGCGGTTTGAAACTATTGCTGGCTGGAAAACACCAGTGGAGGTTGTTAGAGACCTCCATCAGGAGATTCTGCCCAGTGAAGAGAAGTGGTATCCAGGACCCTCATGTAAAAGCGATCTGGCTGCTTCTCCACAGAGCTGCTGCACCATGCTGGGGGACCTGCTCCAGTCACTAGTCACTAGTCAGTCCTAGAGCCTGAAGGTAACAACAGCTTAGGCTGTGAAACAGCAAAGATGGTGGTCTGTCTGCTTGTGAGTTCCATCCCAGGGAGGCTGGGAACCACTGCCAGCTGGAAAATACAGGTGAGGGTAGCTGGTGACTCCAGTTAGGAGGTCCTACTCAATTAGGAAAAGTGGGGTTAGGTATCCATGTAAAAAGTAGCCGTCTGGCCACTTTTTCGTAGGGTAGCTGCATTGAAGGCAACAATGGCTAAGCCTGCAAAACAGCAAAGATCGTGGCCCACCCCTCCGTCTGGGAGATCCATGTCAGGGAAATATAACACTGCTACTGGTGGCGGGCTGGAGTTCTAAGCTAGTGTGTCTTATCCTGTGAGGTGCCATGGAAGCAGGACCTGCAGACCTTTGCTGCTCAGCCCCATAGATTCAGTCCCTTTCCTTAGGGGTATGTAGAGGGGTCCAGCCTCCCACTTTGCTGGAGTTGCAGCTGCATTCACCAGGAAGCTTGGGTATCTGAAGTTCCTGTGGCTCTGTGTATGCCTCAGCAGCTGCTTTGCCAAGACTCCATGTAGCTCAGTGTGTCAGACTGCAAGCTCTGTTGGAGTGAGTTCATGAAGGGATCTCCTGACCCAAGTGTTGCAAAGATCTGTGAGAGAAGCATGGGTTCTCAGGGTCACGCATTCACTCGCCACTTTCCTGGGCAGGGGAGGCTCCATTGGCTCCATGTCACTCCTGGGTGGGTGGTCATCTTGCGTTGCTTTTCTTCATTCTCCATGGGTTGAGTTGTTTTCTTGATGAATCTCAATGTGTGTACCTGGATGTTTCAGTTGAAGGTGCTTTATTTACTCACCCTCTCTATTTTTTCATGAGAGCAGTGCCTCTTTATTGATTTTCAGTCTGGAAGATCTGTCCAATGAGAAAGTGGGATGTTGAAGTCTAGCTATTATTGTATTGGGGCCTCTCTTTCTCTTTAGCTCTAATAATATTTTCTTTATATATATATGGGTGCTCCAGTGTTGGGTGCATATATTTATATATACAATTGTTATATCCTTTTGCTGAATTGACGCCTTTATCATTATAATGACATTTTTTGTGTCTTACAGCTTTTGACTTGAAGTCATTTTGTCTGATATAAGTATAGCTACTTCTGCTCTTTTTTGGTTTCCGTTGGCATGGAATGTCTTTTTCCATCCCTTTATTTTCAGTCTATGTGTGTCTTTATAGGCGAAGTGTGTTTCTTGTGGGCAACAGGTTAATGGGTCTTGTGTTTTCATCCATTTAGCCACTCTATGTCTTTTGATTGGAGAGTTTAGTCTATTTACATTCAATGTTATTATTGATAAGTAAGGAGTTACTCCTGCTGTTTTGTTATTTGTTTTCTGGTTGTTTTGTGATTTTCTCATCCTTCTTTCTTTACTTCCTATCTTTAGTGAAGGTTATCTCTTCTAGTAATATGATTTAGTTTCTTGGTTTTAATTTTTTTATGTATCCATTCTGTTTTTATGTTTGAGGTTACCATGAGGCTTGAAAATATTATTTTATAACCCACTATTTTAACCTGATAAGAACTTAACAGTTTGCATAAACAAATATGCAAAAAGAAAACTAATACAACTCTATAACTTCATGCCTCCACTTTTTAACTTTTTTTGTGTCTCTTTATGTCTTATTGTATTGTCTATGACTTGTAAAGTTGTTGTAGTTATTTTTGATTGGTTGATGATTTAGTTTTTCTAAAGATAAGAATAGTTTACACACCACAATTACAGTGTCGTACCATTCTGTGTTTTTCTGTGCGCTTACTACTACCAGTTAGTTTTGTACCTTCAGATGATTTGATTGCTTATTAATGTCCTTTTCTTTCTGACTGGAGTACTCCTTTTATCCTTTTGTGTAGAACAGGTCTGGTATTGATGATCCTTTAGCTTTTTGTTTGTCTGGGAAAGTATTTCTCCTTCACGTTTGAAGGATATTTTTGCTATATATATTATTCTAGGGTAAAAGTTATTTTCTTTCAGCACTTTAAACATGTCATGCCACTCTCCGGGCACCTGTAGTCGCAGCTACTCAGGAGGCTGAGGCAGGAGAATGGTGTGAACCCGGGAGGGAGAGCTTGCAGTGAGCCGAGATCACGCCACTGCACTCCAGCCTGGGCAACAGAGCGAGACTCCATCTCAAAAAAACAAATAAACAAAAAATGTTATGCCACTCTCTACTGGCCTGTAAGATTTTCACTGAAAAGTCTGCTGCCAGACATATTGGAGCTTCATTGTACAGTATTTGCTTCTTTTCTCTTGCTGCTTTTAGGATCTTTATCCTTGATCTTTGTGATTTTGATCATTAAATGCCTTGAGGTAATTTTCTTTGGGTTAAATCTGCTTGGTGTTCTAGAACCTTCTTGTACATGGATATTGATATCTTTCTCTATGTTTGAGAAGTTCTCTGATATTATTGCTTTGAATAAACTTTCTATTCCTATCTCTATCTCCTCTTTTAAGGCCAATAACTCAGATTTGCCCATTTGAGGCTATTTTTCTAGATTCTATAGGCATGCTCCATTGTTTTTTATTCTTTTTTTTTTTTTCGTTTTGTTTCTTCTTTGTGTTTTCAAATAGCCTGTCTTCAAGCTCACTAATTCTTCGGCTTGACCAATTCTGCTATTAAAAGACTCTGATCCATTCTTCAGTATGCCAGTTGCATTTTTTAGCTCCAGAATTTCTTCTTGATTCATTTTAATTATTTTAATCTCTTTGTTAAATTCGTCTGATAGAATTCTGAATTCCTTCCCTGTGTTATCTTGAATTTCTTTGAGTTTCCTGAAAATTATTTTGAATTCTGTGTCTGAAAGGTCACATATCTGTTTCTTCTGGATTGGTCTTTGGTGCCTTATTTAGTTCATTTGGTGAGGTTGTGTTTTTCTGAATGGTGTTGATGCCAGCAGATGTTCTTTGGTGTCTCAGCATTGAAAAGTTAGGTTTTCATTATAGTCTTCACTGTCTAGGCTGGTTTGTACCTGTTCTTCTTGGGAAGGCTTTCCAGTTATTTGAAAGAACTTGAGTGTTGTGATCTAAGCTGTATCTGTTTTAGAGGGCACCCAAAACCCAGTAAGCCTGTGGTTCTTGCACACTCATAGAGGTACTGCCTTAATGGTCTTGGACAAGATCCAGGAGAATTCTCTGGATTACCAGGAAGAGACTCTTCTTCTCTTCCTTTACTTTTCCCCAAACTAACAAAGTCTCTTTTCTGTTTTGAGCCACCTAAAGCGGTGAAACCACAAGATACAGTCTTTCCCAC
Source organism: Homo sapiens (assembly GCF_000001405.40). Taxonomy (NCBI): domain Eukaryota; kingdom Metazoa; phylum Chordata; class Mammalia; order Primates; family Hominidae; genus Homo; species Homo sapiens. The sequence goes on along the minus strand of NC_000001.11, from coordinate 108,386,327 downwards.
TCTTCCCTCCCCTTTCCAAAGGCCACCACCACTACAGGCCATGGGGAATACTGGGATACTGCCAGACTACTGCCAGTTTTCTCTTAAGGCCCAAGGTCTCTTAAGTCCACTTGTGGTGAATGCTGCCTGATCTTTCAGGTCAGCTCTGGTCCACAGCAGGTCAAGAAATGCCATCCAAGAGTCAAGTCTTGGAATCAGGGGCCTAAAGAGCCCATTTAGTGCTCTACCCCCTTCCCCCACTGTGGCCATGCCGGTGCCTAAGTTTCCTTTACTTTTCCCTATGCTTTTTTCAAGCAGAAGGAGTTTTGCCTTGTACCCACCACAGCTTGTAATATACTCAGTCTCACCTGAAGTCTCATAGGCTTACCTAAGGCTCTTGACATAGTTCTTGGGTATCACTACTGGTTATTCAGGGCCTAGGGGTTCTTCAGTTAGCATGTGATGAATGCTGCCAGGACCGAGTCCTACCCTTCAAGGCAACAGATTCTCTTCTGGCCAAGGGTGTGTCTAGAAATGTCATCCAGGAGGTAGGGCCTGGAACAGGAGCCTTGCAACTCTGAGTGGTGCCCTATCCTCCTGTGGCTGAGCTAGTATTCAAGATGCAGGATAAAGTCCTCCCCACTCTTCCCTCTCCTCTTCTCAGGTGGAAGGAAGGGGTCTCTTTTGGTGCCATAAGATGTGCAGCCTGGGGTTAGGGGTTGGACGATGTCAGCCCTCCCTTAGCCACCTCAGCTGCTGTCTGAGTAGGTCTTGAGATTTCCCCTAGTCCTGTCTCTGGGCCCAGTTCAGCACTAGGATTCACCTAGCAATTGAAGTCCTTATGGTCTACACTGTGTTTCCAGTTTACTTAGAGACCCAGTGCAGCGTGGCCTAATGGTGGTAAGGTTTGTGGGAACTCAAGTTTGTACCACTGGTATTAATAGTTCTCCTCTGGCTAGGGCTGGTTTAAATGCTCTCTCTGGCTGGGCATAGTTGCTCACACCTGTAATCCCAGCACTTTGGGAGCCCAAGATGGGAGTATTGCTTGAGTCCAGGAGTTTGAGACCAGCCTGGGCAACGTGGTGAAACCCCATCTCTACTAAAATACAAAAATTAGCCTTGTGGTGGCGCATGCCTATGGTCCCAGCTACTTGGGAGGCTGAAGTGGAAGGATCACCTGAGCCCAGGGAGATCGAGGCTGCAGTCAGCCATGATCACACCACTGCACTCCAGCCTGGGCAACAGAGTAAGACCCTGTCTCAAAAACACATATGCACACATACACACACACACACACACACACACACTTGCACACACATACATCTTATTTCTTCCATGGGTGGGTGTCCGCTGAGTTCAGTTCACTTTTCCTTTCTTCTTTAACAGGACAGCACTGAGTTTAATGCCTCACAATTGCTGTGCTCTCCCTCCCCCAGTGCCCAGAGACACTCCCCGTACCTTGCCACCACTGTTGGGGTGTAGCAGGGATGGTGCCAGCGATTTAAGGCTGTTTGTTCTATCTCTTCACTGCCTCGTTCAGTGATACAAAGCTGAAATCAGTTACTATGAGGGCTCATCTGATTTTTAGTTCTTATGAAGGTGTTTTATTTGGGTAGATAATTGTTGAATTGGTGTCCTTGCAGGGGGATGATGGGTAGAGTCTTCTGCCTTCTTGCTTTGCCTCCAGCCTCTATACTGTCTTCTTAAGACACCTTTATTTGCTACCCTTGTTATTTTACTTATTTTCTCTGTATTATAATTGCTTTTTTTCCTTTCCTATCTCTTTTATTACTCTGTAAATTCCTAGAGGGCAGAAACTAACTTCTGCACTAAACCACATTGCCTCATCATTTAGAAAAAAGTGATCATCTTGTCATAAGCAAGTATGATCACTGAAAATAAAGTAAAATGCAAAAGTGGTTAGAGTATAGACTTTTAAAAAGGAAACTGACATTTGAAGAAGGAGTCAATGCAAATAATAAAGAAATTTAATCAAATCATATAAGATGCTACTCTTGAATTTTGACTTAGGTTTAAGTAATTAAAGGAGTTTGAGAGAATTTGAAATAAAGCAAGGAATATTTATTATTTATTCCTTGCCTAGTATGTGGCAGACATTGTGATGAGTGGCTGGTATGTAATCCCTGTACTCAGGGTTTACATTTTTCAGAGAACAGATTAACTAAATAGTTTGAGAATTTTAAATTAATAATTGCTCTAATTTAATTGATTTTACATTAAATCTATATGTCAATGCATTATTAAAAATCACTTGATGTAGTACAGGTGCTAAGAAAATTGTTGATCTTCAGTAACAGGAAGTGGCATGAAAAAAATCTTTGGATTTTTGGTCCTTGTAAAAAGTTATCTTTGCTCCTTGTAGAAAGCTATCCTTATAATTTATCAAGTGTTTACACTTTTGTTTATTGTCTAATAATTCTTCCTATTTATCAGTTAATTGATATAGGAGAGAGTATAGCTATTCCAGATGAATTTACCGAACAAGAAAAGCAGTCTGGAGATTGGTGGAAGCGTTTGGTGTCAGCAGGAATAGCTAGTGCGGTTGCACGGACATGCACGGCACCTTTAGACCGCTTGAAAGTCATGATGCAGGTTTTTTGCCAGTTTATAACCAGTTTGCAGGTTTTAACCAGTATATAAGCATAGAGTCTTCCTGAAGGTATGACATCCGTCACTATGGACAAATCTGGGGTACAAACAATAGGGAGCCTACCGAGGAAGCCAAGTGAGGTTTCATCCCATTTGGGATTGGAGTAATCCCTGGCAACATCCTGAGCGGAGCAAACTTTCTGTTCATCCAATGCCAAGAAAGAGACTTCACGATGCCGGTAAGAGTTGGACTTGTCATGGTGTCTAGAATGAGACAAAACACATTTCTCTGGCAAGTCCTGCAGGACTCCCTTCTCTTCAGAATCCTGCAGCTTTCTGATGAGCCAGGTAGGATAGAACGACAGAAGGTTAGACCAAGACAGATTCAACACCATAGTATCTCAGGTGATTTGATAGGACACAAAGGGTGTGGTCACAGAAAGCAAAGGGGGGTCTCCTCCAAGAGAGAAAAATCTATCCTTCTAAATGTGGGGTGGAGTGTGACTGTCCTGGAGACAGAGCAAACATGAGCAGCAGGTGCTCAGTGCACTTGCCACAAACGAGCAGCTGCAGGAGGACCCAGACTCTCCCTGTAAGCTAGCATCAAGCATCATGACTTGCAGCACTGAGAACTAAGCTGGGACTTCACTTCCTTTACACAAATTGCGTTGACATTACATGCAGCATCCAAGTGAACACAGCTCTTGAGGCATTCCCAACGCACAGATCCTGTGTTTTTAAGGTCCCCCTTTTTTTTCAATATTTTGACATAATATGAAATTTTTATTTTTAATTTTCTCGATTGCATTCAAATACTTGCCAACATGCTGTCACAAAACATACAGAAAGCATATATGCATCTCACCCTGGATTAGCCACATGGGAGACCACAGGTGAGATCAGGAAATCCCTGAGGTTGGTCAGTTCACCTGGTTCAAGTGATTGTCGGTTCCTATGCTTGAGAGGGATTAAGAAATTGAAACCTATTCAAGTACCACAATAAAGAAGACAACATTGTTAAAGGGGCAATTTGCACTTGGATGAATGGATGAGACAGTTCTATTCGTCACTTCCTATTTTCCCTTGATCCGTGGTGTCCAGATGTCACTATTGAACTAACAGCCCACAAATCCACAGTTACCTGGGGGGCACTGGCGCTTTCCCCTCCTCCTCCTCATGGTCATTTTGATTTTCTGTAAACAAATTCAGAAGAGCAGGTCACAGTAAGGAAATCACACAAGAGCAAATAAGTGTCCAGTCATAGCACAAGAACATAAATATCCTCAGTGTAAGAATGTGACATTTTGACAGGATCATTCTGACTTATTTTCAGAAGTAGATGTGCCTGCTTTCCAGACCCATAGGACAAAATCTCCCTCATCTGGTAGATCATAATCACCTATCCTCTGACCTAAGTCTGTGCAAACAATTAAACAAAACTTTTTCCCCAAGATTTTCAAAAATTGCCCTAACCACTCTCCAGAAGTGTTGTTGCAATACTGATTTATCTCATCATATATCATGGTCAACGAATGGTTAGAGAAATTTGTATAGGAGACTGAACTGATGGATAAATTCTAACAATCCTTGCATAAAAAAGAGTCTGCGGTGCTACACAGAAACATTGACCGCTCATGGGGTGAAGAACTCAGGGCCCAGCCTCGTTTAGGGAAACTTATAAGCAAGATAAAGGTAGAAGTGTTTATGTCCTGCTTTCAAGGTGACTGCTTAGCTGGGACAAGCTGACCTAAAGGAGACCAAGCCTGGGGCCGAGAACAGTGAATCCAGAGACACATCTCCAATTACATAGGCAAGACTGTCAGTCGCCTGTGACAGGCATAGAAACTCCATGGACATTGTTCAGGGACACAAATCATTATTGCATGTGACAAGAGACATAGGAACCGAGCCAGGAGGCCTGACAGATACCTCCTGTACACAGGTGGCTATGACTTTGTCACACCTGCCTGTGGTCCAGTATGCTAATATTGGGGCCAGGAAGACAAAGTCCATGCCATGGGCCTAGGAGGAGAGGAATGTTCTCTGACCCTCACATAACTGTGTTTAATATTCTATCATAGTTTCTCTCTTTCTTTCTTTCTTTTCTTTTCCTTCTCTCCCTTTCTTTCTTTTTCTTTCTTTCTTTCTTTTTCTTTCTTTCCTCTCTTTCTCTCTCTCTCTCTCCTCTCTCTCTCTCTGTTTCTTTCTTTTTCTTTTTTTGAGACACAGCCTCACTCTGTCACTCAGGCTGGAGTGCAATTGTGGCTCACTGCAGCCTTTACTTCCTGGGCTCAGGTGATTCTCCCGCCTCTGCTGCCTGGGTAGTTGGGATGACAGGCACGCACCACCATGCCTGGCTAGTTTTTCATGTTTTTTGTAAAGACGGGTTTCATCACATTTCCCAAGCTGGTCTTGAACTCCTGAACTCAAGTGATTCACCCGCCTGGGCCTCCCAAAGTGCTGGGATTATAGGTGGGAGCCACCGCCCCCGGCTCCACTATACTTTGTGATTCAAACCAATATGTATGTATACAGTCTGTCCTCAGAATTGATCTTCCTCAGCCTAGACAGAGCTAGGAGGGACAAAGAATAGAGAGGCTACCTGGGGGAATGTTTAGAGCTTCCTCCTCTTCATCATGAGGGTGTTCACTCTCTACAACCAGAGCAGAGTCGACTTCGTGTTCCTTAAATGTGATTTTGGTGCTCCTGTGAGGCTGGTTGGAGTTAGAAGGGTTGTGACTATTTGAACAAGTGACAGCACATTCCTCCAGTGAGTCCTGAGGGACTTCCTTTTCTTCAGTCTTCTGCACCTCTCTGATGAGCCCAGTGGGATAGAGATGACAGAAGATTAATCCAAAAGGCATTGCACCCCAAGAAGTCCTAGGTGGTTTTGAAAGGAGGCTTAAGAGAGTGGTCCCAGAATGCAAAGGAGAGGTTCCTTTTAAGAGGGAACAGGCAATCCTTTTCTGTCTGCAACAGAGCGTGGCTGCCATGGGAACCAGAGAGGAAGACAGCAGCTAGTGATCATTGCACTGGGCAGATAGGAGCTGAGGAGGAGGAAGACTCAGCTGTCCCTGTATGGTACAGTCTTGACAGCACACACAGAGAACCAAAAACAGCTGCCACATGGTGTGTCTAAGCTGGGTTGTAGTTAACATACTGTGGCCATGGCTATACAGGCATTTGAGCCATTGTAGACTTCAGAGATGGTGTGCCTTCTAGTTTTTTTAAAATTTTAATATTGTGACATGAAATGTAAATTTTTTTGTCTAGGTACTGTACTTTGTGTTCAACTTTGCTAGGTGCTTCCTATTTCCTCTGCTTGTTGCCTCTCTGCTATTTATCTTTCCTAAAAAGAACCTAAAGACAACAGTGTAGAAAGCAGCTTTACATCTCATCCTGGCTTTCACTACAGGGGAGAACAGGTCTCCTCTGTGTGTGCAGGAAGTCCCTAGGGATGGTGAGTTCATCTAGGGTCATGCTTACAGGCACCAGGAAGACAATGGACAAGCACGTTAATGGGGCTATTTCCTTGTTGGGTGAGCACATGAAATCAGTGCACTCTGCAGCTTTCTTTATCCTGCCTCTGGAATCTGTGACTACCTTCACCTCCCTTTTATTCTTTCTGAGACCTTTTTCATATTTTACCACCCATTACCCGCTCCTGATTATTCAATGTTACCTGGGGGCAGGTGATTCCTGTACTTTCTCAACCTCCTCGTCTTTGTCGTCTTCATCCTCATCTTCATCTTCATCATTTTCTGCAAATACAGATGTGTCCATTGAAATATTTCCCATTTCACCCACTGCAAGCACAGTGAGCCCTATGTGCACAGGGACATAAACATCTACATGTATAAGTCCACACTGTGCTGAAAGCTCTCATGTTTTATCTCTAAAAAAATGCCCTGGCATGTTTTCCTGATCCATGAGGCAATGTGTTTCTGATCTGGAGGGTCACCATCAAGATGTGGCCAAATATTGAAAAGACCTTTTCCTCTTCATATCACTGGAGGCTTGCCCAGCCTCTCTCTGAACTTCAGCAGCTGTCTCCCCAATCCTGCCACAGATCTGATTCCCACGCACAGGCTCTGTATCCTGTCACAGTTCGCATTTAGAACCTATATCTTTCTCTTCGAACAGGACAAACAACCTTGTCCCACAGTATTCCATACATTAGGGACTTCATGGGCCCTCCAAGTGGCTTCCACTGTGTTAACCGGGGACAATCTCTCCATGGGGAGTGCTCCAGTCTAAACCACTTCCTACCACCAAATGCCACCACATCAAGTGCCTTCTCCAACACCACACAGCAAGGGGCTTTATCTCATTGTGAAATATAGTCATAAGTGTTCCCACATTTGAATGCAAGAGACAATTTGTTTGCTTTTACAGATTTAGAGACAGAAACCCAGGAAGGATAAATTAATCAGTTGCCCACAGTTGCTAAAGACATTGCTGAAGATAGATCCTGGGAACATTCATTCTTAGTCCAGGGCTCCTTTCACTCTAAAAGCTGCTTCCTGTCACAGCCTCCTTCCTGTTCTTTAAAACTGGACGGATGTTGCCTCTTGCTCTAAAGACCACATTCCATCAAGAAAGGAGGATACATTTGCCATTCTGTAACCTCCACCCCATGGGTTTCCCATCTCTGCTCCCACCCAAGAAATTCTGATCATGTCGTGGCCACAAAAGTTTACTGGAAAGAAACACTACCCATACAATTGTCATTGTGGAGGTGTGGAGGTCTGGGGACTTTCATAAGCCTGAAGCTGTGTGTCATCAGGGCCCATGGCCACCTTACCTGGGCTCAGCTTGTGAACAAGGTGCTCTGCCAGCCTGTGCCCCTCAGCCAGCTGCTCTCGGAGGTCCTGACCCTGGGACTTGTCAGGGTCATCAGGAGTGAGGAGGGTTTTCAGATGCTTGTTCAGCCAGCGGGAGGCATCTCTCCCTTCCCGTAACTTCTCCCGTAACTGGGTCAGCTCTTTTGCCTGAGAGTGAACCAGGGCTTTATACTGCCTAAGGTGAGATAGTAGAGAACATTTAATAATGGAAAGGGATGAGTGATCAGTTCTAATACCGCAACAGAGGTTTCTCTGAGAATGTCCTCAAGGAGACCTCCAAGCAGAAGGTCAGAACATGTTTGGGGAAATGTCTGTGGCCAAGAGAAAGAAGAATATATATATATACACACACACACACACACACACACACACACACATACATATATACAAACATACACACACATATATATACAAACACACACACACACAGCCTTCTGATATATGAGAGAGTGCTTCTGTAATATCCTCGCAGATGTTCCATTCATCTTTTTCTTCTGTAAACAAAAGTTAGTGTCTTCCTAAATCAGTTCCACAAGGATGTCCTTTCAGTTCCTCACTTTGGCCATGGGCATCTCTATGTGAAAATTCACATAGTGCATCTTGCAGTGACTAGATACAAATCCATGCACAGAAATGTGGCCAGGTGCAGATGGGGTGAATTGGAAAGATGAAAGAAGAAAAGAATGACAGTGTTAAGAAGGCAATATTGATTGAACAAATGAAACGCCACAGTCAGTCAAGAGGTGATTCTGACGAAGAGTAAAGGTGGTGGTGATCGCACACCATTCTGAGTATCCTAAATGCTTCTGAGTGGTTCACTTTTTTTGGTTTATTTTGTGTTATGCAAATTTTACCTCAACAATCAGTGGTTTTAAGAAGAGAAAACAAGGCTTAAGAAACAACTACAACCCATAACTTACTAAGATGACTGTTCTCTGTTTTATAAATATTTGTGTGACACGTGCCTGCCATGTAAATGCCTGCCGTTGTCCTGGCCCAGCTCAGCTCTTAGTTCTCCCAGCTGAGTTGCTGCACTTCAGAGATTCACACCCCTGCCCATCTGCCTGCCCCCAGTGGGGCCCGCTCACCTGAGCTCCTCAGCTTGCCTGAGCTTCTCTGCCAGCTTCTCCATGGACTGCAGTTCATCCCTCAGCACAGAGTCTATGATGTCTTTGTACTCTTCACACTCTGAGAAAAGACAGACACGCCTGCCTCAGTGGAAGGTGGGACATGCTGCTGGGGTCACTGTCTATAGGGCAGGCGGCAGCATCCATCCCAAGGACGAAAGCAGCTCCAGTACCAGGCTCCAGGCAGGCATTTCCACATCTTTATTTATCAACCTCCCAACTTTCTGGCATCTGATACTCCCCAACTCAGGGATGGGGAGAAAGAAACACAAGGGCACATCAAGTAACTTGACAAGATGATTCACCTGGAAGAAGGCGGAGTCAGAATTCACAGCCCCTGAGGTCTGACTCTGAATCCTGGGCCACTTTCCCAAGCCTTGCGGCCTCTCCTGTAAAACACTGCACTGGTGCATGAAGTAGTGATTTTCTATACAGTCAGGAAGGCCCTAGGACTATGGGACCCAAAGTTTCCCTTGTACTGGGAATTTCAAGTGCGAATATGTCAAACATTTAAAAAATCATATCTGGATATAATTGCATAAAATATGAGGCACAAGACCGTGAGGCTATAGTAGAAATATGCCCAAATACTACTAAAGTTTGAATTAAGTTAGAAATAGTAGAATGAAGAACTAATAGATAGTGTTTACTCTGTTCCAAGAACTGTTCTAGGAAATTTACAAGAAATAGGTCATGTAATTCATTGCAGTAATTTACAGAGGTAGGTATTATTATAGTACTCAATGAGCAGATGAGGAAACTGAGGCACAGAGAAGATAGGCAACTTGGATGGAGCCCAGGAGACTGGCCCAGGGTCCCTGCTCTGCACACTACACTGCTACCTCTACAATGTCTCATGTGCCATCTTTCTTCCTCTTCAGGAATAAGAGCCTGTGCCCCAGGAAGCAGCACTTCCCTCTCACTGGGACACTCCCTGCTTTGAAGGGTGTCACAGATATCACAGTTTCTGTTAGGGGCAGTCTCCTCTTTAAGCTCCTTAGAGTGGGTACTCTGTACAGTTGCCATGTTTCCCCCAGGGTCCTCTGGATGGAGCTTTGCCTATTGGGCCTCAAAGAAGCTTGAACTGAATGGAAGTTCATTAGTCCCAGACATTTAGACCAACAGACTAGATGTTACTTGTCTGTAGAATCTTATATGGTACAGAGAGGATTCTCATAAACATGATTTAGCCTCTTACTGAGGAAAACAGGTGGTTCTGTGCCTGTGTCAGAAGACAATAAGTAGGATTTTAAGTCTAGTCCCACCTCACACCAGACTGCCAATGTGGAAAAGTTGCTAAATACTTTGTGCCTCTGTTTTCCATGTTTAACAAAATGAGGTTAAAACATCCACTTCTATTTTCCTAGAAGTATGGGAAGGATGAAATTAATTTCGATGAAAAGACCGTTCAGTTTCTCAGAACACAGGTGATCATTCATCACGTTCATCATTGTGAATCTATAGAACTTACTGTATTTCTTCAGCTGGTTGGCCAGGGAGTAGGCAGTAGCTTGAGTTATAAGGAACTTCTCTTTGAGGTCTCGGAACTGCTGATTGCTCTCTGCCAGCTGCGAGCGCAATTCCTGGTTGATTTCTAGGATGTTCATCTCTGCCCTCTCGCTGGACAAAGGGTCGGCAGATACCACCATGCTGACGTTTGTGGCAGAAGAGGTAGAGCCAGGGACTGGGGAGAAGAAACCCAGACACATGATGGGTCAAAAAATAGTGAAATCAATTAGGTTTAATCAGGACTGAGAGATGACAATTACTGGAATTGTTAACTTACGGTTGAGAAAAAGTTGATGAACACGACACAACACTTTAGAGTCCTTAACCGCAAAAACAGGGACCGGGATGCCTGAGCTCAGAGCTGAAGGCACTGCCTGTAGCTCCGACTCTGACAAGAGTGAGGGAGGTAGCAGCCAGCGTACCAGGTAACGGTCTGCAGTTGCAATAACAGAATTAGAAGGTGGGGGTGTCATGGAATCTTAGAAACCCTGCATTCCAATTGCCCAGGCTGTGCTGAAACACTAGGCCCCCTGGTCTCACCTGAGGGTCACTGATGGGGACCATTTCTTCAGCAGTCACTCTCAGTATTTGTGCACCCTTGTGACAATGCTACAGGCCCACCTCTTTCTCAATACATATAAGCATATTCCTCATTGTTCATCTCTTGTGTGTATAAAATCATCAAGGTAGGGATAGTTTTCCAGAAGGTTATATTTTCTTAGTGGTAGTCATCAAGTCACCTCACCTTCTTTTTAAGGTAAAATGATCTTAATGCTTTTCCACAAGTGAAAGATAGCAAACTTTTAGTCTGCTATGATATCCCTCTGGGTCTTCTGCAGTTTTTTCTGTATCGACTGAAAATGAAGGAATAATTCACTTTTAAAAAAGATTTTCTACCCTGTCTCAGTATTCTTGCTGCATCCCATTGTTATGTTGATTTCTTTTCTCTTACTGGGGCAGCATCTTGGCTTTTCATTACACTTAAGACCAGTTTCACATCCCTACGTCCAAAGCTCTTCCTCTATGTGTGGGTCGGTTTGCTTTTTTAATGTCACTGAACACTCGTTTCATACTTGTCACTTACGAATATCATTCTCGTCCCAAAATAGCTCTTTTCAAGGTATCAAGTGATCAAAATCATTTGTATATATCCCCTGAAAACATGTGTGACCATCTATCTTGGGAAGTCTTGTAAACCTGATGGTATTTTGTTGTTTTTAGTTTTCCCATATATTGAAAAGAACAGGGCATTGAACGCTTCTCAGGGAATATTGTTGGAGATATATATATACATATATATATATATATATATATACATATGTGTATATATATATATATATACATATATATATATACATATATATATATATATATACATATATATATATATATATATATATATATATAGTTGCTCTAACACTGTTGATGTGTGGTTGCATTCCACTAACCGAACCTGGCAAGATCAAGCTCATGGTCACGGGTGGTTGGTGATCCTCAGTGTTCCTGTGCAGTAGAAGGTGAGTTTGAGATGAGAGGGATGAGTAGGGGAGTGTGCTCCCCCAAACCGCCTCCTCACTTTCTCAGCTTCCATCTTCAACTAGGTCTTGTGAGGCTAGGACTTGGGAGATTGTCCTGTAGCCCAGGTCTCCTAAGTGTGGCTGCTGGACTTGCCTGAGTTGAGGGTGTGATGAGTGTGACCACGGGCTACGCAGCATTCATGTGGAAGTGAAGGAGGAGGACTGGATCAATCCCAGTGGAAAGCGCACCTCTCAGCAGCCCGCACCATCCTCCACCTACACTGTGTAGTGACAGTGCTTTGAGATGTAGCAAAGGCTATAAATTTATCTATTCTCTGGTGTCTCAAAGACCTGACATTCTGTGTCAGAATGAAAATCTGTCTAGTTTCTTCACTTTAAAAATGATAAAACTGCAGGTTCACAAAGTTACTGGTTTACTTGAGGTCACACAGGGATGCATTTTGAGCACTGCCAATAAAAGGAATCACAATAATTATTCAGTAATTATTTATAGAATCCATGTAATTCAATAAATAAACATAATTATTTATTGACCAATTCATACTAGGCATTTTGTTCAAAACTGTACACATACTTGGATATCATATTTTCATCATAATCCTTAAGGCAATGTTATTATCCATAAGAAACAGGTAAGAAACCTGAAGAAGAGGGATAGCAAATCATGTATTTGGCTATATTTCTATTTTTTGGTTTCTGTGATGCTGGAAGAATGACCAGAATGAGTCATGGGAAGAGCATTCATTCCTGTGTCATTTTCCAGGACAGAGGTGTGCCCTCCTTCAGCATTGGGACCGAAATTCAGAAGTGCCTGCAATCTTGCTTTAACAGTGTGGGAAATAACCTCTATTACCTGGAATTTCACTGGAACTTTGGAATATACAAGAGAAATATGAGACTTGGGTCTTCCCTTGGCTGTATTTAATGCACTATTCTATTGAGTACCAATGATTCTCATTAAGACTTTTGCCTTTTTATAACTTTTCTTTCTGACACAGAATGTCAGGTCTCTGAGACACCAGAGAATAGATAAATTTATAGCCTTTGCTACATCTCAAAGCACTGTCATTACACAGTGTAGGTGGAGGATGGTGCGGGCTGCTGAGAAGCACGCTTTCCGCTGGGATTGATCCAGTCCTCTTCCTTCACTTCCACATGAATGCTGGGTAGTCCATGGTCACACTCATCACACCCTGAACTCAGATACAATATATATTTTATGTATAGATACAATATATATTTTATGGAGAAGATTTTACTCTTAGCTCTATTTAAAATGAATAAATCTAAGCACTGGTTTAGGTTTTATGCCCTGGACTTGCTATTTTTTCTGATTTCTGTTTTGAGATTAAATTCTCATGTAGATAGAAAAATGCTTCTTATTACTTATAAGAGCAAATTAGTTATTGATTTGAGTTTCTGAAGTCGAAGCACAAACTTTTGTTTTTAATCTTTGTCTGACCCCATCAGTGCCACTCATTGTCTCTCAGAATGACCTGGCCGTGATCCTGCACTTACCCTCATCCTGCTGAACCATTTCCACGCACTGTCCAATTCCATCAGTGATCTGGGCTCTTCCCAAAGCTCCTTGAAATGGGTCCAGGTCTCAGGATGTCAGACACCTTCCAGACACAAAAGTAACCCATACTGTAGAGAGCGCAGCTGGGTTCCCACCTCCCTGAAGTTGGCAGGGATGTCCTAGGGCAGGAAGGAAGGCTTTCCCTTTTTAGCGGGTCTTTTCTTCATGTCTCAGTGCCTCTGATCTAGTGAACACGACTGTCCTGAATGTGAAAGAACTTGCTAAATTTCTGGTTTATTTTTAGGTGGCTAGAACAGATTTATAAGACTTCCTTACCCATGTCTGCTGAAGTTTGAATTCTTAGTAGTAGGATTTTGTTTTTTTTCCTTGTAAGGTAAGCAGCTTGCAGAAGACTGGCCTTGTTGCTGGACAAAAAGATGTAAACTTAATTTCTACTCAAAGCAAGCTTGAATTTGAAACTAGGGCTTCCACTGTTCCAAAGTTGGACTGTCACTGCCTCAGGCATGTGTCCCGAAGGGCTCGTGTCTCTGCCGTAGTCAGGATAAAGATAAGATGGAGCCCAGCAAGCCAGGTCTCCTTCACTTCTAGGTTCCCCCAAGAGATTTCTCTGCTTTAGAGACTGCATTGAATATATTCTTGTTCTGCTTTTGTGTTTGGGCTTTGGAATGATGTGATGCAGCTCAATGGTTCCTACCCCCAAGTTGATCAGAGTAAGAAACACCTGGAAGGTCAGTGCAAATACAGGTTCAGTGTCCTCCTTGCAGGGATTCTGATTCAGCGTGCTCAGGTGGGGCCTGGAATGTGTTTGTTAACATGACTCAGATGTGCAGTCAGTTTGGGGACCCTCTGATACCACGGACCTTACAGTTTATGGGATGATTCTGTTTTGCTGATGAAGAAACCAAGGCACAGAGAGTCTGTAACTCACCCAAGTTCCCTTTGCTGTAAGTACTGGAGCCAGATCTCAGGTAGATTCCCCCTCCTACAAGCCCCATTCCAAGTTCTCCAATTCAGTTGTGTGGTTCTTTCCAAGTAGGTGTTTCTCTCCCCTGTACCTCATTTCTGCCCCCCGCCTCAAAAAAAGTTTTTGAATTTAATTTGTTTTATCTAATACATTTCCTCTAGACATGCTGTCAGCAACCTATTCTGGCCACTTACTATGTGACATGCCTCTTTGTGAGACAGGGTCTCATTCTGTTACTCAGGCTGAAGTGCAGTAGTGATTACTGCTCACTGCTACCTGAAACTTCCAGGCTCAAGCGATCCTCCTGTCCGAACTTCAGAAGTAGCTGGAACTCTATGCACACATCACTATCTTGGCTAAGTTTTTTAATGTTTTGTAGAGATGAGGTGATGCTATGTTTCTCAGGCTGCTCTCAAACTTCTGGCCTCAAACCATCCTCCCACCTAGGCCTCCAAAATTGCTGGGATTACAGGAGTGAGCCACTGAACCTGGCCTTAAAAAGCCTTTTTTTTTTTCTTTCTTAATAAAAATACAGGACATGGAGGTGTGGAAAGATACCTCTCTTTATTACTGTTGCTATTATTACTTCTAAAGTATAATTCATATATCACAAAAGTCACCATTTTTATGCATACCATTCAGCGTCTTTTACTATATTCCGAAGGTTTTGCAACCATCACCACTACCTAATTTCAGAATACTTCAGCAATGCTGGAAAGCATTCCTGTACTTACTGGCAGTCACTCTCCAATTACCCCGTTTTTGCAGTCCCTGACAAACACTAATCTACCTTCTCTATATATAGATATATTTGATCTGGGCATTTCCTGTATATGGAATAATGCAACATTGCCTTTTGCATCTGCATCTCTTACTTAGCACAATGTTCTCAAGGTTCATCCTTGTTGTAGCATGCAGCAGTACTTCAATCCTTTTTGTGGCCAAATGATATTCCATTTTATAGTTATACCACATTTTGTTTACCTGTTCATCAACTGATGGTGGTTTGGGATGTTTCCACTTTTTCACTATTATGAATAATGCTGCTATGAACATTTTTGTACATGTTTTTGAGTGAATATTTGATTTTAATTTTCTTGGTTATATACCTAGGAGTGCCATTGCTGCATCATATATGACTTTATGTTTAAGTTTTTGAGGAACCGACAGACTGTTTTCCAATCTCAGTGGCTACAGCATTTTACATTCCCACTAGTAATATATGAGAATTCCATTTTCTCCATAACTTTCCAAACATATGTTGTGTTTTTTTTAAAGTCACCCTTGTGGGTCTGAAGTGGTATTTCATTTTGATTTAAGTTTACATTTTCCTAATGAGGAAAAACATTGAACCTCTCCGTATGTGCTTGTTGGCCATTTGTATGTATCATTTACAGAAATGTCTATTCAAACTTTTTTCCCATTTTTAAATTGTCTTTTTTGCTCACTTATATGAATTCTTTATATACTGTAGATACTAGACCTTTGTTAGGTATATGATTTGCAAATAGTTCTCCCATTACATGGATTATCTTTTCACTTCCTTGACAGAGTCCTTGGAAGCATGAAAGATTTTTTATTTTAATGAAGTCCATTTATCTTTCTATTTTGGTGTTGCTTGTGCCTACTTAAGCAGTGTCTAATCCAGAATCACAAAGATTTATACCTATGTTTTCTTCAAGACATCGCTTTTGGAATGAGAACTTTCCTGGGTTTTAGTGGAGGACAGACATTGTTTATTTATGCCTCTTGTCTATTACTGATATTTCCCCTGATTGGTACTGATATGCCCACCACCCCTCCAGGGAGCATCCCGTGGCCTGGAACAGAGCTCTGGGGACTGGCATCCTTCCACTGACTTTGATGCTGATGACAGCCCTGATCGTGTGATTCAGCTGGCCTTAACCCGACCCACGTGCACGTATTCCTCAGCACATCTAGAGCTGAAGTCGAGAGCCTCTGTGGGAACGCTTGGCAGCCCATGCTGTTCTAAGGCTGGAGCAGAATTTCTTAGTCTATTCCAGGTAGACAGGCCTGCAGGGGGTCCAACCCCTACAAGCCCCTCTGTCTGGAATAGACTGCTTTCATCTCTGATGTTAGAAAGCAGACCTGTTTCAGGGTTTGGGGAAGGTTGTTCGATATGAACTGGGTCCTCTCTAATTATTTTTACTGTATGTGTGACTTCTTCCTAGAAAGAATGGAAGAATGTTTATGTTAGAACATTTTATCTATTCTTTGTCAATTGTTGTTTGTCTGCAATTTTAAAGTAGATAAAGGATAGCTCAATGTAAATATATTCTTAATAATTAACTATGGTTGATGTCCACTGCCATGAGATCATATTCACTTCTACATATGATCTATTACTTAGGAATTATCCTGCTCCTGATGAGAAAACAGACTCAGAAAGATTACAAAATTACCTAGGCCACAAGTCTAGTGGGGAGAAGAATAAGAATTAGAAACTAGTTTCTTTTGGCCTTCAAAGCTAACCTCATACCATTAGATTGAACTGAATGACAATACTTTCGCTATAATAAGTCTCAGAGTTTGTGGTTCTGCATTGTGTTTCCAAGGAAACAGGGTGTCACTTTAATATTATTTCAAACTTTTAAATGTCAAACTCTTTTTTTAAATAAAACTTTTTTGTGTTTGTTCTATTCCATTGTTTTTGTTTTTCTTTTTTTCTCAAGTGATCCCTATTATTTATCTGCTGAATATTTGTTACCTATCTTCTGTCAATTTTTATTTTTTGAGTGTTTGCCATCTGTCACTTTGTTTTATGCTACCAGCTATTCACTAAGATATAATTTGCATGGAGTAAACTACAAAAAACCTAAGGGTACAGACTTATGACTTTTAATATAATTATACCTTATATAATAACACCCACATCAAGAGAGGGAACATTTTCCTCTATGCCAAAAAGTTCTGACGTGCTCCTTGCCAGTCAATACTCATCCCCCAAATGAAGAATATATTCTAAATTTTGTCACTATCTTAGTCCTTTTGTCCCTTTGCGTTGCTATAAAGGAATACAAGAGGCTGGGTCATTTATAAAGAAAAGAGATGTATTTCGCTCATAGTTCTGTAGGCTGCAGAAGAAGAATGGCACCAACAACTGCTCTTAATGAGGGCCTGAGGCTGCTTCCCCACCCTGCAGAAGATGAAAGGGAACCAGTGTGTGCAAAGATCATATGGTGAAAGAGGAAGCAAAAGAGAGAGGAAAAGCTCAAGACTCTTTTTAATAAGCAGTTCTTGCAGGAACTAATAGAATGAGAATTCACTCACTACCTTCTCCCAGGGAGGGGATTAATCTATTCACGGGGGATCCACTCCCATAACCCAAACACCTCCCATTAAGCCCCACCTCCAACATTGGGGATCAAATTTAAACATGAGATTGGGAGGGGACAAATATCTAAACTATAGCAGCCACAACTGATTAATTTTGCTTATTTTTGTGCTTCATAACAATGAAATCATTCAGTATCTTCTCTTGTTTTGACTTCTCTTAATCAGTTGGATATATCAGTATGCTACCAATTTGTTTGTGTTTTTCTTTCATTTCATTTTGTTTTGACCTAGTAATATCCTATTTATTGCATAATTATCACACAATTTCATATCCATTTTTGTGATGGTAGACAGGTTTACTTGTTGGCTCTTATGCATAAGTAACTGAATATTCTTATACACTTCTTTCTGTGAATATACATACTCATTTCTCCTTGGTATCGATAGCTAGGGATGGAATTTCTTGGTGAAAGGCTGAAAACGGACACAGAGTTTTGCAAAATGATTATATTATTTTACATTTCTATGAAAAACGTAGGCTATTTCCAGTCGTTCTACATTCCTACACACTTAATATTTTCAGTCTTTTAAATTTTAGCCATTCTACCAGATGTGTAGGGATATTTTGGTTTTCACATGCTTATTGGTCATTTGGATATCTTCTTATGTAAAGCACCTTTTCAAATTTTTCCACTCATTGATACACTGGGTTGTTTATCATTTTCTTTGTGATCTATTGGAGTTATTTATATATTTTGAATGAGTCCATTGTTTCATATATGTACATGTGAAGCGTTGAAGTTGAGACCCTCTCTGAGAATGCCTGGCAGTCCATGCTGTTCTAAGGCCAGAGTGGACTTCCTCACCCCATGCCAAACAGAGGGGACCATAGAGGTTGGACCCACTCAAGACTAATATATATATATATATATATATATATATATATATATATATATATATATATATATAAATATATATATATATTAATATATATAAATGTATTTATTTGCAACATGCATATATGTTGCAGATAATTATTCTTGGTCTCCAGATAGGTTTTGCCTTGTTAAACACTAACCTATAATAAGCAGAAGCTTTTTAAAAATGAAGTACAATTTAACTGATTTCTTATTGTGGTCAGTGCTACAGTCTAAGAAATATTTTCTGGTCTAAGAAATATTTTCCTATGTCAAGTTCATGAAAATAGTTTGTATTTTTTCCTTTAGAAGGTTTCTAATTCTAACTTTCACATCTTAAGTTAATTTCAATGTATGGTAGAAAGTGGCTGTTACTATTAACTTTTTAAAACAACAAATATTATTTCACTCGGAAACTTTCTATTGAAAAGTCTCTCATTTCCCCAATGAAGGGCATTGGTGTCTTTGTTTCTAAAAAATTTAAATAACTGTACATAGGGGGTGTATTTTTTGAATCTGTATTCTTTTACTTTATTTATGTATACTTACACCCGTACCATAGCTTCTAAATTATTGTTGCTCTAAAATGAGTTTTGAAATCTAGTAGAGTAAGTCTTCCAACTTTTTCAAGACCAACTTGCCTATTCTAGATTATTTGATTTTCAAATACATTTTTAAATTAGCATTTACATTTCTTTAAAACTCCTACTAGAATTATTAATCAGAATTATGTTGATGTGATATCCTCACAAAATTGAGTCTTCCAATCCATGAACATGATATACATTTCTCTATTTACTCTTCTTTAATTTCTCTCACCAATAGCTTTCAGGGGCTTTGAATCTGCTTCATTATATGCATTCTTAAGCATGCAATGATTTTCGACATTAATCTCTATTATGTTTTATTGAATTTCATGTTCTATCTGGTAATTGCTAGTATGGAGATATTAAGATTATTAAGTCAATGTTATAAAGGTATAAATTAAGTACAATAGACTGCAGCACTTTAAAATGTATAATTAAATGCATATTTACAAATGTATACACAAATGGAACAACTGCTATAATCAAGACATGGGAATTTCCATAAGCCTAAAGTTTCTTGTAAGGCTTTGCAGTTCATCACTCTTTCAACCCTCCACCCCAGGGAGCAAGTGTCACGTTAGGTCAGTTTGCATTTTTAACCATTTTCTGTAAATGAAATTAGACCTGTGTTCTTTTGTGTCTGCCTTCTTTCATGCATCATATTAATCCATCTGTATAAGTATTTTCATCAACTGTTAATACGCTGTAATTACTGAGTAGTATTCCTTTGTGTGGCTACACCATGCTTGTTTCCTAGGCTGACTAAGAATCCCTAAGCCTAGTTGTGAAGGTGACCGCATCTACCTTTAAACAAGGGGCTGGCAACTTAGCTCACACCCGGCCAATCAGGTAGTAAAGAGAGCTCACTAAAATGCTAATTAGGCAAAAACAGGAGGTAAAGAAATAAGCAATCATCTATTGCCTGAGAGCACAGTGGGAGGGACAATGATCGGGATATAAACCCAGGCATTCGAGCCAGCAACAGCTACCCTCTTTGGATCCCCTCCCTTTGTAGGGAGCTCTGTTTTCACTCTATTAAATCTTGCAACTGCACACTCTTCTAGTCCGTGTTTGTTACAGCTCCAGCTGAGCTTTCACTCACTGTCCACCACTGATGTTTGCCACCATCGCAGACCCACCGCTGACTTCCATCCCTCCGGATCCAGCAGGGAGTCTGCTTTGCTCCTGATCCAGCGAGGCACCCATTGCTGCTCCCTAATGGGCTAAAGGCTTGCCATTGTTCCTGCATGGCTAAGTGCCTGGGTTCATCCTAATCGAGCTGAACACTAGTCACTGGGTTCCACGGTTCTCTTCCATGACCCACAGCTTCTAATAGAGCTATAACACTCACTGCATGGCCCAAGATTCCATTCCTTGGAATCCATGAGGCCAAGAACACCAGGTCAGAGAACACAAGGCTTGCCACCATCTTGGAAGTGGCCCACCACCATCTTGGGAGCTCTGGGAGCAAGGACCCCCCGACTCCCTGCCCCCCCCACCCCCCATAACAGAAAGACTGCCCATCTGATTTGTATGTGTTTAAACTTAGAAGAAACTGTTATCCAGATTTTTAAAGAAGTCAGACCATTTTTCATTCCCACAAGGGTAAGACTTCCAAGTGCTTTATATCCTTACCAACATGTGTTATTTTCAGCCTTTTTAACTTTATTGTTCTCATAGATATGTAATGGTATCTCATCATTGTATTGACTGATCTCCCAGATGACTAAAGAGTTGAGCATCTTTGCATGTGCTAATTGACCATTCACGTAACTTCTTTTCTGAAGTATCTACTCAAGTCTTTTGCGAAATCATTTCATTGTGCTGTTTATATTATCAGACTGCATTATATACATACTATTAAAAAATCCTTTGTTGGATATAAATATAGTATCTCCTATATTGTGGCTTCTTTTTAAGTTCTCCTAATGTTCCCTATTTTGGAGGTAAAGATAGATAATCATCAAAAAGGTGATTATATATATACATATAACTATATTCATGTCTAAGAATCATTAAACATATATGTAAGGATCTATTTCTGAATTCTCTCTTCTCTTCCATTGATATATGTTCTATTTTTTCCAACAATACACATGATCTTTATTTCCATAGCTGTATAGCTTCTCCTGATGGTGTAAAACATTCCTTCAGCTTCTCAGACTGCAGCAACCCTTTCCAGTGTTGACCTGCATCCTCTGTGTGTGAAAGGAAAAGGAGGTGACAGGACATGGGGGAGTGGGAGCAGAAAGAGGAAGGAGGAGTGGTGACAAAAAGGCTGAAGGACAGAATGAGGAGGAAGGGAGGAGTGGGAGGCAGGATGAGCAGGACCAGGAGAGGAAGAGGACCAGAGCCTGAATACCAAGGAATCCATATTCTCAGCCCCAGAAGGCAACCCTGTCTCTCTGGAACTCCACTAACCTCATCCTGGACACACACACAGACACACACACACACACACACACACACACACACACACACACACACAGAGTTCTCTGATCCTCCAGCCACCTTTCTTTCTCTAAGAAGAGCCTCTCACCCTTCCTCCCATTCCTCATCCTGGGGATTCTTTCCTTTTCCACTGGGTCTTCCAGGACTGGTTCACATCCTTCACCTGCAGCCAAACCCTTGCCTTGTGGTTCTGGAGAGTCCAGAGCAGTGAAAGCTCTCAGGAAAAGGAAGTGCAGGGCACGTGAGGTCACAGGGTCACCCCGCAGAATCTGAGTGCAGTTGTCCAAGGTCAGATATCAAACTTTTTCCAAAGAAAATCAAAGAAGATCCTTGATCCAGGTCATTCTTTCTTGTGGACAATTAAGCTATGAAACCATAAACTTATGACCAAGTTTCTTTCTGAAGACCAAGATCAGCCTAAACAAGGGTAGAGCAGGTGTGGATGCAGATTACAGAAACTGAGCACTGAGCAAAACCTGGGCTGCTCCCACAAAGGCCCATGTAAAAGCTGCCTAGGCCACTGTCTAAGAAACCTTCTGAGGCAGTTCCAAGATGGCCGAATAGGAACAGCTCCTGGCTACAGCTCCCAGTGCAAGCGATGGAGAAGATGGGTGATTTCTGCATTTCCAACTGAGGTACCGGGTTCATTTCACTGGGGCTTGTCGGACAGTGGGTGCAGGACAGTGGGTGCAGCGCACTGAGTGTGAGCTGAAGCAGAGCAAGACATGGCCTCACCTGGGAAGCGCAAGGGGTCAGGGAATTCCCTTTCATAGCCCAGCAAAGCTGTGACAGATGGCACCTGGAAAATCAGGTCACTCCCACACTAATACTGCACTTTTCCAATGGTCTTAGCAAACGGCCCACCAGGAGATTATATCCTGCGCCTGGCTCGGAGGGTCCCACGCCCACGGAGCCTCACTCATTGCTAGCACAGCAGTCTGAGATTGAACTGCAAGGTGGCAGTGAGGCTGGGGGAGGGGCGCCCACCATTGCTGAGGCTTGAGTAGGTAAACAAAGGGGCCGGGAAGCTGGAACTGGGTGGAGCCCACCGCAGCTCAAGAAGGCCTGCCTGCCTCTGTAGACTCCACCTCTGGGGGCAGGGCATAGCTGAACAAAAGGCAGCAGAAACCTCTGCGTACTTAAATGTCCCTGTCTGACAGCTTTGAAGAGAGTAGTGGTTCTCCCAGCACAGAGTTTGAGATCTGAGAATGGACAGACTGCCTCCTCAAGTGGGTCCCTGACCCCTGAGTAGCCTAACTGGGAGGCACCCCCCAGTAGGGGCAGACTGACACCTCACACAGCCGGGTACCCCTCTGAGATGAAACTTCCAGAGGAACGATCAGACATCAACATTTGCTGATACCCAGGCAAACAGGGTCTGGAGTGAACCTCCAGCCAACTCCAACAGACCTGCACTTGAGGGTCCTGACTGTTAGAAGGAAAACTAACAAACAGAAAGGACATCTGCACCAAAACCCCATCTGTACGTCACCATCATCAAAGACCAAAGGTAGATAAAACCACCAAGAAGGGGAAAAAACAGGACAGAAAAACTGAAAATTCTAAAAATCAGAGCACCTCTCCTCCTCCAAAGGAAAGCAGCTCCTCACCAGCAACAGAACAAAGCTGGATGGAGAATGACTTTGACGAGTTGAGAGAAGAAGGCTTCAGATGATCAAACTTCTCCGAGCTAAAGGAGGAAGTTTGAACCCATCTCAAAGAAGTTAAAAATCTTGAAAAAAGATTAGATGAGTGGCTAACTAGAATAACCAATGCAGAGAAGTCCTTAAAGGACCTGATGGAGCTGAAAACCATGGCACGAGAACTACATGATGAATGCACAAGCTTCAGTAGCCAATTCGATCAACTGGAAGAAAGGCTATCAGTGACTGAAGATCAAATGAATGAAATGAGGCGAGAAGATAAGTTTAGAGAAAAAAGAATAAAAAGAAACAAACAAAGCCTCCAAGAAATATGGGAATATGTGAAAAGACCAAATCTACATCTGATTGGTGTACCTGAAAGTGACGGGGAGAATGGAACCAAGTTGGAAAACACTCTACAGGATATTATCCAGGAGAACTTCCCTAACCTAGCAAGGGAGGCCAACATTCAAATTCAGGAAATACAGAAAATGCCACAAAGATACTCCTCGAGAAGAGCAACTCCAAGACACATAATTGTCAGATTCACCAAAGTTGAAATGAAGGAAAAAATGTTAAGGGCAGCCAGAGAGAAAGGTCGGGTTACCCACAAAGGGAAGCCTATCAGACTAACAGCTGATCTCTCGGCAGAAACTCTACAAGCCAGAAGAGAGTGGGGGCCAATATTCAACATTCTTAAAGAAAAGAATTTTCAACCCAGAATTTCATATCCAGCCAAACTAAGCTTCATAAGTGAAGGAGAAATAAAATCCTTTACAGACAAGCAAATGCTGAGAGATTTTGTCACCACCAGGCCTGCCCTATAAGAGCTCCTGAAGGAAGCACTAAACATGGAAAGGAACAACTGGTACCAGCCACTGCAAAAGCATGCCAAATTGTAAAGACCATCGATGCTAGGAAGAAACTGCATCAACAAACAAGCAAAATAGCCAGTTAACATCATAATGACAGGATCAAATTCATACATAACAATATTAACCTTAAATGTAAATGGGCTAAATGCTCCAATTAAAAGACACAGACTGACAAATTGGATAAAGAGTCAAGACCCATCAGTGTGCTGTATTCAGGAAACCCATCTCATGTGCAGAGACACACATAGGCTCAAAATTAAGGGATGGAGGAAGATCTACCAAGCAAATGGAAAACAAAAAAAGGCAGGGTTGCAATCCTAGTCTCTGATAAAACAGACTTTAAACCAACAGAGATCAAAAGAGACAAAGAAGGCCATTACATAATGGTAAAGGGATCAATTCAACAAGAAGAGCTAACTATCCTAAATATATATGCACCCAATACAGGAGCACCCAGATTCATAAAGCAAGTCCTTAGAGACCTACAAAGAGACTTGGACTCCCGCACAATAATAATGGGAGACTTTAACACCCCATTGTCAACATTAGACAGATCAACGAGACAGAAAGTTAAAAAGGATATCCAGGAATTGAATTCAGCTCTGCACCAAGCAGACCTAATAGGCATCTACAGAACTCTCCACCACAAATCAACAGAATATACATTCTTCTCAGCACCACAATGCAGCTATTCCAAAATTGACCACATAGTTGGAAGTAAAGCACTCCTCAGCAAATGTAAAGGAACAGAAATTATAACAAACTGTCTCTCAGACCACAGTGCAATCAAACTAGAACTCAGAATTAAGAAACTCACTTAAAACCAGTCAATTACATGGAAACTGAACAACCTGCTCCTGAATGACTACTGGGTACATAATGAAATGAAGGTAGAAATAAAGATGTTCTTTGAAACCAACGAGAACAAAGACACAACATACCAGAGTCTCTGGGACACATTTAAAGCAGTGTGTAGAGGGAAATTTATAGCACTAAATGCCCACAAGAGAAAGCAGGAAAGATCTAAAATTGACACCCTAACATCACAATTAAAAGAACTAGTGACAAGAGCAAACACATTCAAAAGCTAGCAGAAGGCAAGAAATAACTAAGATCAGAGTAGAACTGAAGGAGATAGACACGAAAAACCCTTCAAAAAATCAATGAATCCAGGAGTTGGTTTTTTGAAAAGATCAACAAAATTGATAGACTGCTAGCAAGACTAATAAAGAGGAAAAGAGAGAAGAATCAAATGGACGCAATAAAAAATGATAAAGGGGCTATCACCACCAATCCCAAAGAAATACAAACTACCATCAGAGAATACTATAAACACCTATATGCAAATAAACTAGAAAATCTAGAAGAAATGGATAAATTCCTGAACACATACACCCTCCCAAGAGTAAGCCAGGAAGAAGTTGAATCTCTGAATAGATCAATGACAGGCTCTGAAATTGACGCAATAATTAATAGCTTACCAACCAAAAGAAGTCCAGGACCAGATGGATTCACAGCCGAATTCTACCAGAGGTACAAGGAGGAGATGGTACCATTCCTTCTGAAACTACTCCAATCAATAGAAAAAGAGGGAATCCTCCCTAACTCATTTTATGAGGCCAGCATCATCCTGATACCAAAGCCTGGCAGAGACACGACAAAAAAAGAGAATTTTAGACCAATATCCCTGATGAACACCGATGCAAAAATCCTCAATAAAATACTGGCAAACCGAATCCAGCAGCACATCAAAAAGCTTATCCAGCATGATCAAGGGGGGTTCATCCCTGGGATGCAAGGCTGGTTCAACATATGCAAATCAATAAACATAATCCAGCATATAAACCGAACCAAAGACAAAAACCACATGATTATCTCAATAGATGCAGAAAAGTCCTTCGACAAAATTCAACAACGCTTCATGCTAAAAACTCTCAATAAATTACGTATTGATGGGACGTATCTCAAAATAATAAGAGCTATTTATGACAAACCCAAAGCCAATATCATACTGAATGGGCAAAAACTGGAAGCATTCCTTTTGAAAACTGGCACAAGACAGGGATGCCCTCTCTCACTACTCCTATTCAACATAGTGTTGAAAGTTCTGGCCAGGGCAATCAGGAAGGAGAAAGAAATAAACGGTATTCAATTAGGAAAAGAGGAAGTCAAATTGTCTCTGTTTGCAGATGACATGACTGTATATCTAGAAAACCCCATTGTCTCAGCCCAAAATCTCCTCAAGCTGATAAGCAACTTCAGCAAAGTCTCAGGATACAAAGTCAATGTGCAAAAATCACAAGCATTCTTATACACCAATAACAGACAAACAGAGAGCCAAATCATGAGTGAACTCCCATTCACTATTGCTTCAAAGAGAGTAAAATACCTAGGAATCCAACTTACAAGGGATGTGAAGGACCTCTTCAAGGAGAACTACAAACTACTGCTCAACGAAATAAAAGAGGACACAAACAAATGGAAGAACATTCCATGCTCATGGATAGGACAAATCAATATTGTGAAAATGGCCATACTGCCCAAGGTAATTTATAGATTCAATGCCATCCCCATCAAGCTACCAGTGACTTTCTTCACAGAATTGGAAAAAAACTACTTCAAAGTTCATATGGAACCAAAAAAGAGCCCGCATTGCCAAGTCAATCCTAAGCCAAAAGAACAAAGCTGGAGGCATCACGCTACCTGACTTCAAACTATACTACAAGGCTACAGTAACCAAACCAGCATGGTACTGGTACCAAAACAGAGATATAGACCAATGGAACAGAACAGAGCCCTCAGAAATAATACCACACATCTACAACTATCTATCTGATCTTTGACAAACCTGACAAAAATAAGAAATGGGGAAAGGATTCCCTATTTAAAAAATGGTGCTGGGAAAACTGGCTAGCCATATGTAGAAAGCTGAAACTGGATCCCTTCCTTACACCTTATACAAAAATTAATTCAAGATGGATTAAAGACTTAAATGTTAGACCTAAAACCATGAAAACCCTAGAAGAAAACCTAGGCAATACCATTCAGTACATAGGCATGGGCAAGGACTTCATATCTAAAACACCAAAAGCAATGGCAACAAAAGCCAAAATTGACAAATGGGATCTAATTGAACTAAAGAGCTTCTGCACAGGAAAAGAAACTACCATCAGAGTGAACAGGCAACCTACAGAATGGGAGAAAATTTTTGCAATCTACTCATCTGACAAAGGGCTAATATCCAGAATCTACAATGAACTCCAACAAATTTACAAAAAAAAAAACAAACAACCCCATCAACAAGTGGGCGAAGGATATGAAGAGACACTTCTCAAAAGAAGACATTTATGCAGCTAACAGACACATGAAAAAATGCTCATCATCACTGGCCATCAGAGAAATGCAAATCAAAACCACAATGAGATATCATCTCACACCAGTTAGAATGGTGATCATTAAAAAGTCAGGAAACAACAGGTGCTGGAGAGGATGTGGAGAAACAGGAAGACTTTTACACTGTTGGTGGGACTGTAAACTAGTTCAACCATTGTGGAAGTCAGTGTGGCGATTCCTCAGGGATCTAGAACTAGAAATATCATTTGACCCAGCCATCCCATTACTGGGTATATATCCAAAGGATTATAAATCATGCTGCTATAAAGACACATGCACACATATGTTTATTGCGGCACTACTCACAACAACAGAGACTTGGAACCCATCCAAATGTCCAATAGTGATAGACTGGATTAAGAAAATGTGGCACATATACACCATGGAATACTGTGCAGCCATAAAAAATGATATGTTCATGTTCTTTGTAGGGACATGGATGAAGCTGGAAACCATCATTCTCAGCAAACTATCCCAAGGACAAAAAAACCAAACACTGCATGTTCTCACTCATAGGTGGGAATTGGACAATGAGAACACTTGGACACAGGAAGGGGAACATCACACACAGGGGCTTGTTGTCAGGTGGGGAAGGGGAGAAGGATAGCATTTGGAGATATACCCATTGTAAATGACGAGTTAATGGGTGCAGCACACCAACATGGCACATGTATACATACGTAACAAACCTGCACGTTGTGTACATGTACCCTAGAACTTAAAGTATAATAAAATATATATATATATATATATATATATATATATATATATATATATATATAAAAGAAACCTTCTGTATTAGTGAACTCAGGCTGCCATCACAAAATACCATCAAAAGGGTGGTTCGAAAAGCAGAAATGTACTGTTTCAGAATTCTGGATTCTAAACGTTCAAGATCAAGATTGGATACCAGTGAGAGCTCTCTTCCCAGCTTGTAGATGCACACAGACTCTGTGTCCCCACATGGCCTTCTCACTGTGTGTGATTTGTGGGAGGAGGAGTGGTGTGAACAAGCTCCCTGAGTTTCCTCTTAGAAGGACACTAATCCTATCAGATCAGGGCCCCATGCTTATGATCTCACTAATCTTAATCACTTCCTTAAAGGCCTTGTCACTATGTAAATCACCCTGAGGTTAGGCCTTCAACATGTACGCTCTGGAAGGCTGTAAACCTTCAGTTCTGGCTGCTCCTCAGCCTGCTCCCCACATTTAGATATCAGCAGCTCCCAGCTCTGTGGGAGCCTCACAGGCACTGGATCATCAGGTTCTTCTCCCTCAGAGTTTCTCCTCCTCTCTCTGATTCAGATCCCTCTGCAGTGGCACTTGCATGGTCTTTCTTTATATTTTCCCCCTTCCTTGCATTCTTTTCTTCTTTCTGTTTTCCTTCTATGTAATTCTATACTTGTAACATTAAGGCATTTGTCAAATGAAGAGACCACCTCATAATTTCTGCATTAATAAACACAAGTCTGAATTTATTGCTTCTTAAAGGGAGGGAGCTATGCTGATCACTCAGTCTCTCTGAGACTGGACTTAGAATTTGTGGAAAGTGTGGAGTTCAGAGACTGGTTAAGGGCACAGACATCAGTGAGCTGGTGTTGATTGGTTGGCACTCAGAGCTGCTCATTGGACAGAGTTGCTTTCAACTGGCTTACTTTCAGAAGTGAGGGGCAAGCACTGACTGAGGGGCTTGCAGAAATATGTTCACCAAGGTGAGTGGCTGTGGTAGGCAGAGTAAACTCCCCTAAAGGGTTGCTGCTACCTCTATTAGTAAGAGGAATTGGATTTCACTCTCCTGCCTGGTAAAACAAAGAAAAAAATAAAACGGACAAAATATATGAAAAGAATATTTTCAAAATTACGGACATCAGGCGAAAAAGGACATCAGGCAAAAAAGTAATCCCTGAAGAAAGGCCCCAAACAGGTGAGCCCTATAATTGCTCTAACTTACTGCCTTGAGAGGGTTTCCAACTTAGGCACAGGGAGGGGAAAGTGAAGAGGAGCTCAGTGAGCCTTTTGAGTTGAGGACACTGAGCTGAGAGTCCAGGGAAGCCAAGATAGCAATGAGTCCATAGAGAGAGTAGCGGGGTGGAGCGAGCTGTGGAAAGTAAATCAGAAAGAACTGCAGAACATGACCCAGCATGCAGCATAGTGCTGATCCACATGAGGATGCCACTCAGGTTCAGAGGAAAAACCATTTGAAAAGATTAGAGAGAATAGTGCCTGGAACTCATACAGAGCTAGAATCATGCCTATTTCCCAAAGGATGACTGAAAAAAAGGCCTCATAATTCACAAGGCATAGAGTAGCGAACTCAGGAAGGTTTTGTCTCAGTAGTAAGAACTAATTGCCCCTAGACTGAGTACTGCTGTGGACCTCTTGAAACAAATTGTAAAAGCAAGACTTGAAATGATCAAACTGTTTGACAGCAACTTGACTGCCTTCCTGAACAAAACTCAAAGTTATAGGGACACAAAAATATGCAGCAACCAACAAAGTAAAATTCACAGTGTCTGGTTTTCTATCAAACTTTTGAGCCACACTAAAACAGGGAAATGACCATAATGAAGGGATAAATCAATCATGTTAAACTGACTCAGAGCTGACACAGGTGTAAGAATTACCAGAAAAGAACATTAAATCAGTTTTTATAACTGTATACTGTACATCCCCCAAATTAAGTAGACAAAAAAAAAAGATATAAAAATATTCAAGCTAACATTAAGAAAGAAAAACTGGGGCTTGGTGCTGTGGCTCATGCCTATAATTCCAGCATTTTGGGAGGCCTATGCAGGAGGATCACTTGAGCCCAGGAGTTCAAGACCAGCCTGGGAAACATAGTAAGACCCCATCTCTACAAAAACTAAAAAGAAATAAATAAAAACTGTGATATGTGAGAGGAAATGTCCTGCAAGGGATTAACAGAAAATTAGAAAATAAAGAAAAAAATATTGTAAATGTTAAGGCATAGCAAAGAAAAGTAGCCAAAAAGAAATACTGAGAAAAAAAAATAAAGGGAAAAGCATCAATGAGCTGTGGAGCAATTCAGCTGACCTCATATGTGGGTGATTAGAGTCCATCAAAGACAAACACAGTGATGGCAGAAAAACTCTTGGAAGAAATAATAATCCAAAACTCACCAAGCGAGGTGTGGTGGTACGTGCCTGTGGTCTCAGCTATTCAAAAGGTTGAGGCAGGAGGATCAGTTAAGCCCAGGAGTTTGAGAACAGCCTGGGCAATGTAGCAAGATCCTGTCCCAAGGGGGAAACAACCCCCCAAAAAACAAAAATGTAATCTTACCAAATGTAATAAGAACTATAAATCCACATATCCAGAAAGCTCACTAGAGCTTTCAAGCACTAGAAATATGAAGAAATGACATCAAGGCATATCAAAAATTGCTCAATGATGATTAAAAACATCTTAAAAGAAACCAGAGGAAAAACACGCCTTATCTACGCTGGAACAAACATATTTAAGGATGACATCAGATCTGTCACCAGCAACAATGCACACAAGAATACAGAGGAGTCACATCTTTAAATACCCACAGACTAAAATTGCCCACATAGAATTCTATACGCTGCAAAATTAGCTTTCAAAAAACAAAGGTGAAATAAAGATACATTCAAAAATATAAAATGTGAAAGAATTCATCACCAGCAGACCTGTGCTCCAAAAATGTTAAAGGACATCCTTCCTACAGAAGGAAAAAGGTATGAGATGGAAATCTGGGTGTCCACAAAACAATGTCAAGCACTAGAAATGGTAACACGTGAACAAATACACACATTTCATTTTCTTATTTGTTAAAACTCTTTAAAAGAAAATTGAGGCCCTGAGCAGTGGCTCATGCTGATAATCCCAGCACTTTGGGAGGCCGGAGCAGGTGGCTTGCTTGAGGCCAGGAATTTGAGACCAGCCTGGGCAACATGGTGAAACCCTGTCTCTACTAAAATACAAAAATTACACAGACATGGTGGTGTGCACCTGTAGTCCCAGATACTTGGATGAGGTACAAGAATAATTTGAACCCAGGAGCCAGAGGTTGCAGTGAGTTGAGATTGCACCACTGCACTCCATCCTGGGAAACAGCAAGACTCCTCAAAAAAAAAAAAAAAAGGAAAATAAAAAGAAAATCGATTGTATAAACAATAATAGCAATGGATTGTGGAATTTTTTAATTTTTAAAAAATTTTTATTTTTTTATTTCAATAGGCTTTTTGGGGAACAGGTGGTGTTTGGTTAAATGGACAAGTTCTTTAATAATTACTTCCAAGCTTGTGGTGTACCCATAAACTGAGCAGTGTACACTGTACCCAAAGTGCAATCTTTTATCCCTCACCACTTCTCATCCTTTCCTCCCAGTCCCCAAATTCCATTATATCATTATTTTGCCTTTCTGTCCTCATAGCGTAGCTCCCACTTATAAGAGGGAACATACTATGTTTGGTTTTCCATTCCCGAGTTACTTCACTCAGAAAAAATGTCTCCAACCCCATCCAGGTTGCTGCAAATGCCTTTATTTCATTCCTTTTATGGCTGAGTAGCATTCCATGGTGTGTGTGTGTGTGTGTGTGTATCACATTTTCTTTATCCACTCATTGACTGAGGGACATTTGGGCTGGTTCCATATCTTTGCAATAATCAAATTATGCCACTATAGACATGCATGTGCAAGTGTCTTTTTCATATAATGAGTTCTTTTCCTCTGGGCAGATACTCAGTAGTGGGATTCCTGGATCAAATGATAGATCTACTTTTAGTTCATTAGGGAATCTCCATACTGTTTTCCATACTGGTTGAACTAGTTTACATTCCCACTAACAGTGTATAAGTATTCCCTTTTCACCACATCCAGGCCAACATCCATTATTTTTTGACTTTTTAATTATGGCCATGCTTGCAGGAGTAAGGCGGTATTGCATTGTGGTTTTGATTTGCGTTTCCCTGATATTTAGTGATGTTGAGCAATTTTCACATTTGTTAGCTATTTGTATACATATTTTGAGAATTGTCTATTCATGTCCTTAGCCCACTTTTTGATGGGATTTTTTTTCTTGCTGATTTGAGTTCCTTGTAGATTCCTAAAATTCATATGGAGCCATAAAGAGCCCACCTAGCCAAAGCAAGATGAAGCAAAACAAAAACAAAACAGGAGGCATCATATTATCTGACTTCAAACTACACTAAAAGCTCTTAGTCACCAAAATAGCATGGTACTGGTATAAATATAGGCACATAGACCAATGAAACAGAATAGAGAACCCAGAAATAAAGCCAAATACTTACAGCAACTTGACCTTTGACAAAACAAACAAAAACATAAAATGGGGAAAAACACCGTATTCAACAAATGGTGCTGAGAAAATTGGCAAGCCACATGTAGAAGAATAAAACTGGATCCTCATCTCTCACCTTATACAAAAATCAGCTCAAGATGGATAAAAGACTTAAATCTAAGACCTAAAACCATAAAAGTTCTAGAAGATAATATCAGAAAAATGCTTCTAGACAATGGCTTAGGCAAAGACTTCATGACCGAGTACCCAAAAGCAAATGCAACAAAACCAAAGATAAATAGATGGGATTTAATTGAACTAAAAACCTTCTGCACAGCAAAATAAATAGCACAGTAAACAGACAACTCA
This sequence comes from Homo sapiens, assembly GCF_000001405.40. NCBI lineage: Eukaryota > Metazoa > Chordata > Mammalia > Primates > Hominidae > Homo > Homo sapiens. The sequence continues at coordinate 108,353,403 of NC_000001.11, read as the reverse complement.
CAAAGTGGGAGAAAATCTTCACAAACTATGCATCTGACAAAGGACTAACAACCAGAATCTACAAGGAACTCAAACAAATCAGCAAGAAAAAACAAATAATTCCATCAAAAAGTGGGCTAAGCAACATTCAAATTCAGGAAATACAGATAACACCACTAAGATACTCCTCAAGAAGCGCAACCCCAAGACACATAATCATCAGATTCTCCAAGGTTGAAATGAAGGAAAAAATGTTAAGTGCAGCTGGAGAGAAAGGTCAGGTTACCCACAAAGGGAAGACCACCAGACTAACAGTGGATCCCTCTGCAGAAACCCTACAAGCCAGAAGAGAGTGGGGGCCAATATTCAACATTCTTAGAGAAAAGAATTTTCAACCCAGAATTTCATATCCAGCCAAGCTAAGCTTCATAAGTGAAGGAGAAATAAAATCCTTTCCCAACAAGCAAATGCTGAGGGATTTTGTCAACATCAGGCCTGCTTTACAAGAGCTCCTGAAGGAAGCACTAAATATGGAAAGGAGAAACCATTACCAGCCACTTTGAAAACACACCAAAATATAAAGATCAATGACACTATGAAGAAACTGCATCAACTAATGTGCAAAATAACCAGCTAGCATCATGATGACAGAATCAAATTCATACATAACAATATTAACCTAAAATGTAAATAGGCTAAACACCCCAATTAAAAGATGCAGATTGGCAAATCAGATAGAGTCAAGACCTGTCGGTGTGCTGTATTCAGGAGACCCATCTCATATGCAAAGACACCCATAGGTTCAAAAAAAAAAAAAGATGGAAGAATATTTACAAAGCAAATGGAAAGCAAAAGAAAGCAGGGGTTGCAATTCTAGTCTCTGATAAAACAGACTTTAAACCAACAAAGATCAAAAAAGACAAAGAAGGGCATTACATAATGGTAAAGGGATCAATGGAACAAGAAGAGCTAACTATCGTAAATAAATATGCATCCAATACAGGAGCACCCAGATTCATAAAACAAGTTCTTAGAGACCTACAAAGAGACTTAGACTCCCACACAATAATAGTGAGAGAATTTAACACCCCACTGTCAATATTAGACAGATCAACGAGACAGAAAATGAACAAGGATATTCAGGACTTGAACTCAGCTCTGGACTAAGTGGACCCAATAGACATCTACAGAACTCTCCATCACAAATCAACAGAATATACATTCTTCTCAGCAGCACATAGCACTTATTCTAAAATTGACCACATAATTGGAAGTAAAACACTCCTCAGCAAATGCAAAAGAATGGTAATCATAACAAACAGTCTCTCAGACCACAGTGCAGTCAAATTAGAACTCAAGATTAAGAAGCCCACTCAAAACAGCAAAACTACATGGAAACTGAACAACCTGCTCCTCAACAACTACGGGGTAAATAACAAAATTAAGGCAAAAATAATGTTCTTTGAAACCAATGAGAACAAAGAGACAATGTACCAGAATCTCTGAAACACAGCTAAAGCAGTGTTTAGAGGGAAATTTATAGCACTAAATGCCCACACAAGAAAGCAGAAAAGATCTAAAGTCGACGCCCTAACATCACAATTAAAAGAACTAGAGAAGAAAGAGCAAACAAATTCAAAAGCTAGCAGAAGACAAGAAATAATTAAGACCAGAGCAGAACTGAAGAAGATAGAGACACGAAAAGCCCTTCAAAAATTCAGTGAATCCAGGAGCTGGTTTTTTGAGAAGATTAACAAAATAGGCTGCTAGCCAGACTAATAAAGAAAAGAGAGAAGATTCAAATAGACACAACAAAAAATGATAAAGGGGATATCACCACTGATCCCACAGAAATACAAACTATCATCAGAGAATACTATAAACACCTCTATGCAAATAAACCAGAAAGTCTAGAAGAAATGAATAAATTCCTGGACACATACATACACACGCCCCCTCAAGACTAAACCAGGAAGAAGTCAAATCCCTGAATAGACCAATAACAAGTTCTCAAATTGAGGCAGTAATAGCCTACCAACCAAAAAAAGTCCAGGACCAGACAGACTCATGCCAAATACTACCAGAGGTACAAAGAGGAGCTGGTACTATTCCTTCTGAAACTATTCCATACAGTAGAAAAAGAGGGACTCCTCCCTAACTCATTTTATGAGGCCAGCATCATCCTGATAGCAAAACCTGGCAGAGACACAACAAAAAAGAAAATTTCAGGCCAGTATTCCTGATGAATATCCATGCAAAAATCTTCAATAAAATACTGGCAAACTGAATCCAGCAGCACATAAATAAGCTTATCCACCACAATCAAATCAGCTTCATCCTAGGATGCAAGGCTGGTTCAACATAGGCAAATCAATAAATGTAATCCTTCACATAAACAGAACCAATGACAAAAGCTACATTGCTACATTATTATCTCAATAGATGCAGAAAAGGCCTTCAATAAAATTCAACACCTTCATGCTAAAAACTCTCAGTATTGCGGCACTATTCACAATAGCAAAGACTTGGAACCAACCCAAATGTCCAACAATGATAGACTGGATTAAGAAAATGTGGCACATATACACCATGGAATACTATGCAGCCATAAAAAATGATGAGTTCATGTCCTTTGTAGGGACACGGATGAAATTGGAAATCATTCTCAGTAAAATAGCGCAAGAACAAAAAACCAAACACCGCATATTCTCACTCATAGGTGGGAATTGAACAATGAGAACGCATGGACACAGGAAGGGGAACATCACACTCTGGGGACTGTTGTGGGGTGGGGGGAGGGGGGAGGGATAGCTTTAGGAGATATACCTAATGCTAAATGACGAGTTAATGGGTGCAGCACACCAGCATGGCACACGTATACATATGTAACCAACCTGCACATTGTGCACATGTACCCTAAAACTTAAAGTATAATAATAATAAAATAAAAAATAAAAAGAAAAATAAAAACTCTCAGTAAACTAGGTATTGATGGAACCTATCTCAAAATAATAAGAGCTATTTATGACAAACCCATAGCCAATATCATACTGAGTGGGCAAAAGCTGGAAGCATTTCATTTGAAAACCAGTGTAAGACAAGGGTACCTTCTCTCACCACTCCTATTCAACATAGTATGGGAAGTTCTGGCCAGGCCAATCAGGCAAGAGAAAGAAATAAATCGTATTCAAATAGGAAGACAGGCAGTCAAATTGTCTGTTTGCAGATGACATGATTGTATATTTAGAAAACCGCATCATCTCAGCCCCAAAACTCCTTAAGCTGATAAGCAACTTCAACAAAGTCTCAGGATAAAAAATCAATGTGCAAAAATCACAAGCATTCCTGCACACCAATAATAGACAAGCAGAGAGCCAAATCATGCATGAACTCTCATTCACAATTGCTACCAAGAAAACAAAATATCTAGGAATACAACTTATAAGGGACTTGAAGGACCTCTTCAAGGAGAACTACAAACCACTGCTCAAGGAAATAAGAGAGGACACAAACGAATGGAAAAACATTCCATGCTCATGGATAGGAAGAATCAATGTTATGAAAATGGCCACACTACTCGAAGTAATTTATAGATTCATTTCTATTCCCACCAAGCTACCATTGACTTTCTTCACATAACTAGAAAAAATGACTTTAAATTTTATTTGGAACCAAAAAAAGAGCCTGTACAGCCAAGACAATCCTAAGCAAAAAGAACAAAGCTGGAGGCATCATGCTACGTGACTTCACACAAGGCTACAGTAAGCAAAACAGCATGGTACTAGTACCAAAACAGATATATAGACCACTGGAACAGAACAGAGGCCTCAGAAATAACACCACACATATACAACCATCTGATCTTCGACAAACCTGACAAAACAAGCAATGAGTAAAGGATTCCCTGTTTAATAAATGGTGCTAGGAAAACTGGCTAGCCATATGCAGAAAACAGAAACTGGACCCTTTCCTTACATCTTATACAAAAATTAACTCAAGATTGATTAAATACTTAAATCTGAAACCTAAAACCATAAAAACCCTAAAAGAAAACCTACGCTGGCATTTAGGACACTGGCATGGGCAAAGACCTAACGACTAACACACCAAAAGCAATGGCAACAAAAGCCAAAATTGACCAATGGGATCTAATGAAACTAAAAAGCTTCTGTTCTGAAAAAAAAAAAAAAAAACAACAACAAAAAACAAAAAACTATCATCAGAGTGAATAGCCAACCTACAGAATGTGAGAAAATTTTTGCAGTCTATCCATCTGACAAAGGTCTAATATCCAGAATCTACAAGGAAGTTAAACAAATTTACAAGAAAAAAACAAACAACCTCATCAAAAGTGGCCGAAGGATATGAACAGACACTCGTCAAAAGAAGACGTTTATATGGCCAACAAACATGAAAAAAAGCTCATCATTACTGGTCATTAAAGAAATGCAAATCAGGCCGGACAAGGTGGCTCACGCCTGTAATCCCAGCACTTTGGGAGGCTGAGGCAGGCGGATCACGAGGTCAGGAGATCGAGACCATGCTGGCTAACAAGGTGAAACCCCGTCTCTACTAAACAAAATACAAAAAATTGGCTGGGCATGGTGGCGGGCGCCTGTAGTCCCAGCTACTAGGGAGGCTGAGGCAGGAGAATAGCGTGAACCCAGGAGGCGGAGCTTGCAGTGAGCCGAGATCACACCACTGCACTCCAGCCTGGGTGACAGAGCAAGACTCTGTCTCAAAAAAAAAAAAAAAAAGAAAAGAAAAAGCAATGCAAATCGAAGCTACAATGAGATACAATCTCATGCCAGTTAGAATGGTGATTATTAAAAAGTCAGGAAACAACAGATGCTGGCAAGGATATGGAGAAATAGGAACGCTTTTACACTGTTGGTGGGAGTATAAATTAGGTCAACCATTGTGGAAGACAGTGTAGTGATTCCTCAAAGATCTGGAACCAGAAATACCATTTGACCCAGCAATCCCATTACTGGGTATATACCCAAAGGATTATAAATCATTCTACTATAAAGACACATTGGCACGTATGTTTATTGCAGCACTATTTACAATAGCAAAGACTTGGAACCCACCCAAACGTCCATCAATGATAAATTAGATAAAGAAAATGTGGCACATATTCACCATGGAATACTATGCAGTCATAAAAAAGAATGAGTGCATTTCCTTTGCAGGGACATGGATGAAGCTGGAAACCATCATTCTCAGCAAACTAATGCAGGAACAGAAAACCAAACACTGCATGTTCTCACTTATAAGTAGGAGTTGAACAATGAGAACACATGGACACAGGGAGGAGAACATCACACACCGGGGCTTGTCAGGGGGTTGGGGGAAAGTGGAAGGAGAGCATTAGGACAAATACCTAATGCATGCAGGGCTTAAAATCTAGATTATGGGTTGACAAGTGCAGCAAACCACCTGGGCACATGTATACCCATGTAACAAACCTGCTTGTTCAGCACATGTATGCCAGAACTTAAAGTAAAATTTTAGAAAAGTGGGCCAAGGACATGAATAGGCAATTCTCAAAAGAAAATAAACACATGACCAGGAAACATATGAAAAAATGCTCTCAACATCACTAATTATCAGGGAAATGCAAACCAAAACCATAATGTGATACAACCTTACTCCTGTAAGAATGGCCGTAATTTTAAAAATCAAAAAATTATAGATGTTGGCTTGAATTTGGTGAAAAGTGAGCACTTTTTACACTGTTGGTGGGAATGTAAACGAGTACAACCACTGTGGAAAACAGCGTGGAGATTCCTTAAAGAACGAAAAGTAGATCTACCATTTGATCCAGCAACCCTCCTACTGCGTGTTTAGCCAGAGGAAAAGAAGTCATTATATGAAAAAGACACTTTCACACTCATGTTTATAGTAGCACAGTTTTCAATTGCAAAAATAGGGAACCAGCTCAAGTGCCCATCAATCAACAAGTGTATAAAGAAAATGTGGTTTATGTATACCATGGGATACTACTCAGCCATAAAAATGAACAAAATAATGGCATTCACAGCAACCTGGATGGAGTTGGAGACTATTATTCTAAGTGAAGTAACTCAGTAATGGAAAACCAAACATTGTAAGTTCTCACTCATAAGTTGGAGCTAAGCTACGAGGATACAAAGGCATGTGAATAATATAATGAACTTTGGGGACTCCAGGAAAAGGGAGAGGAAGGGGGAGGGATAAAAGACTACACATTGGGTACAATGTACAATGCTTGGGCAATGGGTGCACCACAATCCTGGAAATCACCACTAAAAAACTTCTCCCTGTAACCAAACACCTCCTGTTCTCCAAAAGTTATTGAAATAAAATAATTTTAAAAAGGGGAAATTAGAAATTGCTTTGAACTGAAGGAAGGTGAAAACCTGAAAATGGAGAAGGGGGATTTATAGCATTAAAAGCCTATATTTATAAAGCCTATATTTATAAAAGCCCATAAAAATTTAAAAATTATTTCAAATCAGTGATTTCTGCTTCTACCACAAGAACCTGGAAGAATAAATTAATCTCAAAGTAAGAAGAAAATAAATTACAAAGATAAAGATGGAAATCAATGAAATAGTGTTGTGGGTAGAGAGTATGTTCTCATTTTGTACTATTAGTATATAGCAAAAGTTCATAGCAGTTTTTCTCTCTGCTGCCTTCTGTTAACCAAAAGGTTGCTGGGTCAGACCACACAAGAAACAAATCTCCTCAAATCCCACCAAAGATTTTTGAGCAGCTTCTGTTTTGAGCAACCCCCTCATTCTGCAGCCCTCACTTCTTCCCCATGATTTTTTCCTTTTGTCACCCAAAATGTCCGCAGAGCTTCTTCCAACAAACTGACTCTCCCCAGACCTTTATATGGTGCAACTGGTCTCCTTGCACTACCTGAGAGGCAGAGGCTGCCTTCATTTACCACATCTACTATCTGGATTCTGCGGGAGCTAGCAGGGCCAGAGACTGAAAGCCCAGGAACCCCTTCCTCAAGCATGTGACATCGGAGTCACCACCTGCTCTAAGTAACCATCTGCTGTTGACTCAGATTGTTGCACCTCAACATGCAGTGATCGTCACAGGATCACAGGACACCCAACCCTTTGATTCAGCACTTTCCTGTCCTTACTTTCATATCAGATTTTTATATAATGAAATGGACCCATTGTAAATATATGACTCAATTTATATAGAGTGTCTCAACCAGTACCATAATACACTTTTAGAACATTACCTTTACCTTCCCAATTTTTTCCAGTGCTCTTGTAGCGAATCCTACTGTCTCCTCCAGCCCCAACAAAACAATTAATCCGTTTTCTGCCTACAAATGTCAATCTTTCTGGACATATTACATAAATGGCATCAGACCATAGGCAGTCTTTTGTGACTAGCATCTTTCATTTAGCCTAGTGTTTTATGATTCATCCAGGCTGTAGCATGTATCAGATTTCTCTGCTTGTTAATTGCTGACTAGAATTCCATTGTGCAGATAATACCACATTTTATTTATTCATATAACAGTGATGGACATTTGTTTCCAGGTTTTGCTATCATGAATAACACTGCAACGAACATTTCAGAACAAGTTTTTGGTGGACATATGTTCTTGTTTCTCTCAGATTTCTAAGTGTGAAATAGCTGGGTTATATGGTAAACTTATGTTTAACTTTTTTTTTTTTTTTTTTTTTTTGTTGAGATGGAGTCTCACTCTGTCGCCCAGGCTGGAGTGAAGTGGCGCGATCTCGGCTCACTGCAAGCTCCGTCTCCCGGGTTCACGCCATACTCCTGCCTCAGCCTCCCGAGTAGCAGGGACTACAGGTGCCTGCCACCACGCCTGGCTAATTTTTTGTATTTTTTTTTTTTTTTTTTTAGTAGAAACGGGGTTTCACCGTGTTAGCCAGGATGGTCTCGATCTCCTGACCTCGTGATCCGCCCGTCTCGGCCTCCCAGAGTGCTGGGATTACAGGCCTGAGCCACCGCGCCCAGCCGTTTAACTTCTTAAGAAGCTGCCAAAGTGGATTTCAAAGTACTTCTATCATTTTACATTGTTACCAGCAATATACGAAGGTTCCGGTTCTCCACCTTCTCAGCAAACTTGCTGTTCTCTTAATTTTTTTTTCTTTTTTATCATAGCTACACTAGTGAGTGTAAAGTGGTATCTTATGTTGTTTTTATTTGCATTTTCCACTGACTAATGATATTCAGCACCTTTTCATGTGGCAATTACCCGTATATATGCCTTTAGAAAAACACAGCGTTAGACTAATGGTTTTACTTCATGTAGTCACTGCATTATTTCATTCTCTTCTTCATTTTTGTATTTTGTTTTTTATATTTGTTATGTATTACTTCTCAAAAGCTCTAAGGATCTTCCATTGCTGATTATGCTAAAATTTAAGAGTGATTAAGGGGAACCGATTAATATGTTTTTTCATTTTTAAAAAAATAAAGTAAAATTTTAACATTCCTTTGATCATTCATCACTACATGTTATGGCTTAGTCTTTTTCTTATGTGGACTTATTTTTAATAGACAATATATCTTCTCTTGAGTAACCTTTACTTTTCCAAATCAACATTATGCAAAATTATATATATACACATCATATGTACACACATATATACATATATATACACACAGATATGTCTGTGCATGTGTGTGTTTCATCCGATGCACGATGGAAGACAGTAGCAACATTAGTTTTGTACAGAGTTTTCAATTTAGAGAAAAAATATGTCATGTGGGTTAAAATTTTATTTTATATTTCCTTTTCAACTTTTATTTTCGGTTCAGGCAGTACATGTGCAGGTTTGTTACATGAGTAAGTTGTGTGTCAGTGGGGTTTGGTATACAAATGTTTTTGTCACCCAATTAGTGAGAATAGTATTTGATAGGTATTTTTTCCACCCCCACCCTCCTCCGACCCTCCACCCTCCTCCTACCCTCCACCCTCAAATAGACTCTGTTGTCTATTTTTCCTTTGTTTCCACGTGTACTCAATGTTTAGCTCCCACTTATAAATGAGAACGTGCGGTATTTGGTTTCCTGTTCCTGCATTGATTTGCTTAAGACCTTCGTCTATGTTGCTGCAAAGGATATGTTTATGCCTTTAAAAAAAAAAGGCATAGTATGTTATGGCTGCATAGTAGTCCATGGTGTTTATGTATCACATTTTCTTTACCCAGCCCACCACTGATGGGCATCTAGGCTAATTCCATTTCTTTGCTATTGTGAATAGTGCTGTGATGAACATATGAGTGCATGTGTCTTTTTGGAAGAACAATTTATATTCCTATGAGTATATACCCAGTGATGAGATTGCTGGTTTGAATGGTAGTTCTATTTTAAGTTGCTGGAGAAATCTCCAAACTAATTTACACAGTGGCTGAACTAAGTTATATTCCCACTAGCAGTGTTTAAGTGTTCAATTTTCTCTGCAACCTCACCAACATCTGTTATTTTCTGACTTTTAATAATTGCCATTCTGACTGGTATGAGATGGTAGCTCATTGTGGGTTTGATTTGCATTTCTTTGATGATTAGTGATGTTAAGCATTTTTTCGTATGCTTGTGGGCCACATATATGTCTTCTTTTGAGAAGCCTTTGTTCACCTTGTTTGCCCAGTTTTTAATGGGGTTGTTGGTTTTTGCTTGTTGATTTAAGTTCCTTATAGATTGTGGATATTATATCCTCGTCAGATGCATAGTTTGCAATTATTTTCTCCTTTCTGTAGGTTGTCTATGTACTCTGTTGATAGTTTCTTTTATTATGCAGAAGCAATTTAGTTTACTTACATTGTACTTGTCTGTTTTTTCATTGCTGCTGTTGTTGTTGTAATTGCTTTTGGAAACTTAGGCATGAAATCTTTGCCAAGGCCTATGTTCAGAATGGTACTTCCTAGGTTTTCCTCTAGAGTTTTTATAGGTTTAGGTCTTACATTTAAATCTCTAATTCATTTTACATTGATATTTGTATGGTGAAAGGAAGGGATTCAGTTTTAATCTGCATATGGCTATAGCCAGTTATCTCAGTGCCCTTTATTGAACAGGGAGTCCTTTTCCCATTGCATGTTACTGTCAGCTTTGTCAAAGATCAGATTGTTATAAGTGTCATGCTTTATTTCTGTGTTCTCAAACCTGTTTCATTGGTCTATGTGTCTGTTTTTGTACCAGCACCATGCTGTTTTGGTTACTGCAGCCTTGTAGTACAGTTTCAAGTTAGATAGTGTGATGCCTCTGGCTTTGTTCTTTTTGCTTATGATTGTTTTGGCTTTAGGCTCCTTTTTGGATCCATATGAATTTTACAATATTTTTGTCTAATTCTGTGAAAAATGATGTCGGTAGTTTGTTAGCAATAGCGTTGAATCTACAAATTGCTTTATGCAATATGGGCATTTTGACAATATTGATTCTTCCTATCCGTGAGCATGGAATGTTTTTCCACTTCTTTGTGTTGTCTCTGATTTATTTCAGCAGTGTTTTGTAATCTAGTTGTAGAGATCTTTCTACTCCCTGGTTAGCTGCATTCCCAGGTATTTACTTCCTTTTGTTGCTATTGTGCGTGGGATTGCCTTCTTGATTTGGAGCTCAACTTGGACGTTATTGTGTATAGAAATACTACTGATTTTTGTATATCAATTTCGTACCCTGAAACTTGACTGAAGTCATTTACCAGTTCTAGGAGCATTTGGGCAAAGACTATGGGGTTTTCTAGGTATAGAATCATATTGTCTGCAGAGAGAGAGTCTGACTTTCTATCTTTCTATATTAATGCCTTATTTTCTTCCACTTGTGTGATTTCTCTGTCTAGGGCTTCCAGTCCTGTCTCTACTACCGTGTAGATGAATATGAATAATTTCATATTCATCCAAAGTAAGCTCCATAGTGAAGGAGAAGTAAAATCCTTTTCAGACATGAAAATGTTAAGGAAATTCATTACCACCAGACCTGCCTTACAAGATGTCTTTAGGGAAGTGTTAAACATGGAAGCAAACAAATGTCACCTGCCACCACAAAAACACGCTTAAGTACACAGCCAATGACACTATATTCTACCGTGTTAGCCAGGATGGTCTCGATCTCCTGACCTCGTGATCCGCCCACCTCAACCTTCTAAAGTGCTGGGATTACAGGCCTGAGCCACCACGCTCGACGGATTGGTAAATTTTTTATTACTGATTAAATTTTGGAACTCATTACTGGTCTGTTCAGGATTTCTGTATCTTCGTGATCCAGTATGGTGTGTATATTCCCAGGATTCATCCCTTTCTTCTAGATTTTCTATTTTGTGTGCACAGAGATATTCATAATAGTCTCAGATGGATTTTTGTATTTCAATGAGGTCGTCAGTGATGTCACCTCTGTCATTTCTGATTGTGTTTATCTGGATCTTCACTCTATTTTTCTTCATTAACCTAACTAGCACTCTATTCATTTTATTTACTCTTTCACAAAACCAATTTTGGTTTTGTTGATCTATGGATTTTCACATCTGAATTTCACTCAGTTGAGCTCTGGTTGTGGTTGTTTCTTTTTTCTGTTAGCTTTGGGGTTGCTCTTGTTTTTCTAGTTCCTCTAGGTGTAAGGTTGTTAATTTCAGATCTTTCTAACTCCTTGGTGTAGGCATTTAGTGTATAAACTTTCATCACTGCTTTAGCTGTGCTCAGAGGTTCTCATATATGTTTGTTTTCATTAGTTTGAAGGAATTTTTTTAAATTTCTACCTTAATTTCATTCCTTACCCAACGCATTCGGGAGCAAGTTGTTTAATTTCCATGTAATTATATGGTTTTGAGAGATCTTCATGGTATTGTTTTCAATATTTATTGCACTGTGCTCTGACAGTGTGGTAGGTACAAGTTTTCTAGTTTAATTAGGTCCCACTTATTTATTTATTTAAGTCCCATTTATTTATTTCTCTTTTAGTTGCATTTGCTTTTGGGGTCTTAGTCATGAATTCTTTGCCTACAGCAATGTCCAGAAGAGTTTTTCCTAGGTTGTCTTCCATAATTTTTATCATTTCACACCTTAAAGTCTTTGTCCATTTTGAGTTGATTTTTATATAAGGTGAGAGATAGGCTCTGCCTTCATAAATGGATTAATGCCATTATCACAGGAGAGGGTCCTTATAAAAGGGGGTGTTTGGCTTGCTTTTCTCCCTCTCTCTCACAAACCAGTGTGATGCCTTTGCCATGTTATAACATAGCAAGACAACCTTCACCAGAGACAGTCCCTCAGCCTTGGACTTCCCAGCCTCCAGAATCATAAGCCAAGTAAATTTCTGTTCTTACAAATTACACAGGCCAGGCATGGGGGCTTATGCCTGTAATCCCAACACTTTGGGAGGCCAAGGCGGGCAGATCACAAGGTCAGGAGTTTAAGACAAGCCTGGCCAATATGGTGAAACCCCGTCTCTACTAAAAATACAAAAATTAGCCGGGCGTGGTGGCACACACCTGTAGTCCCAGCTACTGTGGAGGCTGAGGCAGGAGAATCGCTTGGACCTGGGTGGCGGAGGCTGCGGTGAGCCGAGATCATACCACTGCACTCCAGCCTGGGCAGCAGAGCAAGACTCCATCTCAAAAATAAATAAATAAATAAATGAATAAATAAATAACACAGTCTGTGGTATTCTGCTATAACAGCATAAAAAAAGACTAGGACAAGGACTCATAGTTGCTTTTTGAGTTCTGCAAAGGTTTATAACCCTCCTTTAGCATATTATGACCAATATGCTATGACTTTCTCGGCTGCTTTCTTTAAAATAAATGGGTCAATAAACTAATTTTTAAAATATGCAGTCTGAGCAGAGTGAGAGTATCAAAACATCCAGCAGTGCCTTCAGAAACACGGGCTCTGCATGAAACTAGGGAAGTGGGCACTCTACTACAGTACTCTAGAGATCTGAGGGCTTACTGTTTTGCTTCTGTGGACTGCAAATACATTCCTGAAAGGATTCTGTACTTGTCCAGAGAGTTCTTTATCTTTCTGGATGAGGTGCAGATTTCTTGGAGTCAAAAATTTCAATAGGCACTTAATCCCAACCATCTCCCAGATGACAACTGCTATGGTCTTCTTTATATTTAATTCCTAGCCAAAAATCTTAATCACATAATATAACATTCTACTACGCTCTTCTGGTGGTCTCTGGCTTAATTTAGCTCAAGTTCCACAATTTTCTCCACTCTCCTACTTTAGGTCTCAGGTCCTCTTCCCTTGTATACAAGGTTCCTAACTCTTCTCACCTTAATTGGGATGGGCCTGAGTGAAACACAGTAACCCAGGGGCCATGAGACAGAATTTTACTAATTTGTGTCACAGGCCTGCAAGGTAACCCATGGGGAGGCTGATCTTTAAACTGTGCTATCTGAGAAACCACACAGAAATGTGCCTCTGTGTTAAACTCAACTTCTGATACCACAGATCTTATAATATTATCCAGTTATTTTCTCTCCAATGCTTAGAAAGAATTGCTGGCATTTCTTCTTGATTCATTCTAGATTCAAGTCTCAGTGTTCATGTTACATTGTGATAACCATTTTTACATAAAGGTTATCTGTCAAGCGTTCTCAGTACTTAAGAGCAAGAAGAGTATCAGTCAGGCTTGGACTCAAAGAGAACTGAGAGGCTGCACACTAAGAATGTGGGCTAAATCATCATTTTTAAAGTTTTTTACAAAATATCCAAGTCACAGCCAAGATTATGGCTGACAGCAGGATCTTACGCAAAATGAAGGCCCTGAAGGTGAGAAATGAGCACAATCCTTCATAAAGGGGGAAATGTTAGGAGATTTGCTTAGGGCACTTACCTCTCTAAACTTAGTTTCTTCATTTGAAAATCAGGATAATAATCTCAACCTAGTAGAGTTGATAGAATTAAGCAAGAGAATCTTTAAAAGTGCTTTGAAAGGGTACTTGGCACATATCAGGCACTTAATAAATTTTAATTTTCTAATTTCAAAAAAGACAGATTAGACTTTGACCTCGATACAATAATCAAAAAGCCTAGACTTCTACCTACTCTAAAGAGAAGTCTTTTACTTAGAAGCCAGCATTTTCTAACTAGATCTATGGTAATAATGTCTGAATTGATCTCCTTGGCTCTATTATCTCCTTTTTTTTTTTTTTAACTAGATGGATTCTTGCTCTGCTGCCCAGGCTGGAGTGCAGCGGCACAATCATAGCTCACTGCAGCCTCTAACTATTGGGCTCAAGTGATTCTCCTGCCTCAGCCTCCCAGGTAGCTGGGACTCCACACATGTGCCACCATGCTAATTTTTTATATTTTTTTTGTAGAGGCAGAGTCTCACTTTGTTGACCGGGCTGATCATGAACTCCTAGCCTCATGTGATCCTCCCATCTAAGCCTCTCAAAGCATTTGGTCTACAGGTGTGAGCCACCACACCTGGCCCTATCTCTTCTTTCAATGGTTTCATTCTATTGTCAAAGTTACCTTCTTACACTAGAGAATGTTATTAGCATATATAATCCAAAGCCCCTATTGCCAACCTACAGCAGTAGCCTTGTAGCTCACTATATCTTCCTATATACTATACATTTTCAAATGACCAGGTTACTTGCAATCTTCCCAATGTTCCATGAACTCCATTTTCATGTTACTGTTCAAGTTGTTTCATCAACTTGGAATGCTTTTTAAAACAACTACTGCCATCACTCAAATTTCTTACACACCCATTCCCCCAGGGTTCACATAAGATTTACCTTTCTCTCTTCTGTTGATCTGTGGCTTAATTTAGCTCAAGTTTCACAGTTCTTTCCACTCTCCTACTTTAGTTCTCAGCTCCTCTCCCCTTGTATGCAAGGTTCCCAACTCTTCCCACCTTAACTGGGATGGGCCTGACTAAAATATTCCTCAAAAGTATCTTCTTCTCTTTGTTCTAATTCCACATCAGTCTTCTTATTACCTATTAGGTTTCCAAGTAGTTTGACACTAGGAAACAGTGTGCCCTGGAGAAGGGATGAAAGTTCTTTGGTTAATGGAAAGTATTAAACACCACTATAAATTAATGGGTTTGCTTTGTGATCTATATCTCAATCCTGTGAGCAATTTTTGTTAATCTAGTACCAAAAAACTGATCATTTTAAGGAAATTAATGAGGTCAAACTTTTGGGCCATCAAGGCTAAAAATCAAAGCCTGGACTTCAGTCAGTTGAGCCAGGCGTCCTTCATTTGAGGCCTGTTAGTGTCCAATCAGCCCATTACCACTGTCTCTCCACTCATTTATTTAATCCCAGGAAAGAATATAATTTTTTTTATAAAAGTGAAGAGAAGATATTTAGGGCATCAACGCTGAAGTAAGAATTGCTTCAACAACTATAAGATAATGGATTTAATATATAAAATTCTTTCACTTGAATGTTTTCAACCAGAAGATAAATAAAATTTGTCCAGTGTTGGATTTGTTATCAATGCCAACTTCCTTATATAAGCTGAAAATATCAAGAATTAAAATGAACCAACAGTGTTCACATTTACAAATAAAAAGGCCCGGAGATGTAAGAAAGATGTTATCGTTATTCCATCTAAAATGTGATAGAAGGAATTAGAAACCAATTTTCCATTTTGCTTAAGTAAAAGAAACAGACTCCAAATTATTTGCTATAACATCAATTTTAAATGCACTGATTTTTCTGTTAGTGTATAAAGCATTTTCAAGCTCAGCTTTTTTAAAATAAGTTTTCAAATGTAAAAACGTTTTCAAAGATAAACTCCTATAACTGACCAAATGTTTTATGTTACATTCAAATCAAATCAAGAACAAATTTTAAATTAGGATTCAAGGGAGAGTAGTAGAAAATGTAAATAGTATTCTTTGGATATTAAATATTTTAACTTATTCAAGAACTTTATAAAAATTATTATTTAATTTATGTATTTTGTAATAATGAAAAAATATTTTAACAATTATCTGACATTTCTTTCCTCTTAGGAAAAGATAACATCTCTTTATAACACAGGTATTATCTTACAATTAAGTGATTACAATGACAACAATTTTATATATCACTTCCAGGTTAATCCAAAAAGTGGCTTCACTTTCTCATAGGCCACACAGCCAACGCCTACTGCAGGAAGCACCTTTATGATGTTTGAGGTGAAACCCCTGTAAAATCCCAATTTTCCTTCTTTGGTATATATTTCTTGAATGAGCTGAATCATAGAAGTTGTTTTTCCTTTTTCCACTGGGGCTATAAATTGGAAAAAAGTATAATTCAATATTTAATATTTATAAATTAAGAAAATCCAATGATAAATGGGAATTTACAGAGATTGAAATTACTTCAGAATATACCTCTCTCCCTACCTGTAGAATGTCTTGTGCTGTTCAATATGGTACCCACTGGACACATGCAGCTATTTAAATTTAAATTAATTAAAATTAAATAAAACTAAGAATTCATTGCCTCAGTTGCACTGGTAACAATCCCAAGTATTCACTTGGGAATAGTGACTATCATACTGAATAGCACAGATATAAAATATTTCCACCATCACAGAAAGTTCTATCAAACAACACTTGAAAGTCTTTCATGAGGGACCTCAAAGGAATATTTGGAATTGGATTTGACACAAATAGTTAGAGAGGAAAGGATGGGTGATGGGATGGATAGAGAGATTCTCCACCTGGAGAATGTAAATTAAAACCAAAAATCTAACTAAAAAGACAAGAAGAAGGAGAATGTAAAATAATATCACTTAACACATGACCTTTAAACAGTTTAGTCAAGAAGATAACAATAGGATTGTGTGGGGGTTTTTGCCTTCTTGAAAAGTGATAAAGATATTTTCTTAAAAACTAAATTCCTAACATTTCACTAAGACAAAACAGATATCCTCCCTTTTCTTAATATCTCTTCCTTAAGTAAATTGGAAAAAAAATTGAGTTCAATTCCACAAATGTATTAAGTTCCAGTTGCAGAATATGACAATAATAACAGAACTAGGGTAAAATTACACGATCATATGGAATAACTGTTTATTTGAAAAAACTATAATCTTTTCTATTGTTCTGCATGGTACTTTCTAATTGTAAACTCCTTAAAGAGATCATTAGTAACTGAAGAAAATGTGGAGAATTCCAAACAATACTTTGAGAGGAAATAAAATCTAAAATGCACAAAAAGCTTTAGTCAGTAAAATAATAAATTCGGGATTCTTGCTTATCAATTCTACAGTTTTTGTCTTTGAAGTCATTAATTTATACTCATTTAAAACATAATTTTAAACTTATTATTCATTCTTTTAAAAAAAAAAAAAACTCACCTGAAGCCTGCATGCGAGTTCTAATAAGGTTCACAGAGAAACTGGCTAACTGACCACAAGTATTAGACAATGTACTACATCCCACCAAAATCATTATCCCAGGATTCACAGAGTTTCCTGCATAATTTTCTAGCCAAAAATTCTTCAAAATCTGGCAGAAAAGAGAGTAGTAAATATATTACTGCACAAATACTATGAAATAGAAAACAAAACCTACTACTATGCAACTCTAAATGGAATAAAGTTTTAGTAAGGTGGGGGCTATCCCTGTAGTTTTTTTTTTGTTTTGTTTTGTTCTGTTTGTTTGTTTGTTTGTTTTGTGAAACAGAGTCTTGCTCTGTCGCCCAGGCTGGAGTGCAGTGGCGCAATCTCAGCTCCATCTCCCGGGTTCACGCCATTCTCCGGCCTCAGCCTCCTGAGTAGCTGGGACTACAGGCGCCCACCATCATGCCCGGCTAAATTTTTTGTATTTTTAGTAGAGACGGGGTTTTACCGTGTTAGCCAGGATGGTCTCGATCTCCTGACCTTGTGATCTGCCTGCCTCAGCCTCCCAAAGTTCTGGGATTACAGGCGTGAGCCACCGCGCCCGGCCTCTATTCCTGTAGTCTTATCAGGGACAGGGAGAACTAATGTTTTCAAACCAACATATTCATACAGCCTCAGTTTGAGTTCCCCTGCGTTTTGTTTTGGGTTTTGGTGTTTTTGTTTGTTTGTTTTTGTTTTTTTGTTTTGGGGGGGGGGTTGCTTTGCTTGTTCTTTGGTTTGTAATTATATTCAAACAAAAACCTGGAGATTCTCACAGGGATCAACACAATATTTTAGAGAGGAAGACTACACAATCCACTCCAGGTTAACAAAATCACATTTTCTCAACTTTTAAGAGTCCTCTTTCCCTATTTTCTTTTTCTTGCATAAAAGTGACTGGAAGAAATTAAGAAATATTGAGTTTAAAACATCACTAAGTGCTTCCAGAACTGTTTATTTATTAAAGGACAGCAACTTTACCATTATGCACTGCAATGATTACTACAAAATGTATAATTTGATGCTTTTGAAAAAATAAATTTTGAAATGTCTTTACTCAGTATGCACTTATTACAGTCATGTAACAATACAAAGAGAGATGTGTAATGGCATCTGGCAAATGTGTAAAGCAGAAGATACTGAACCATAGAAATCAAAGAATGAAGGCAGCCCAACACAAACAGCAGCAACAAACTTATTGTAATAAGATCATAGATGCAAGAAAACAAAAAGAAAAATAAATGCCTGCTATAATATTCAATACTTTAAACATCTACGAAAATATAAGTGTACTTGTAAAAGTGCTAAAGGAAGTTATCTGTCTTTCACTTGATGATGACACCACTTGCCAAAAATTCCACTGGGCTTGTATCTAGAGAACTGTCCTTCCTCCACTGAGAATGAATTTATTCTAATCACACACCTTCACCTGGTTCTTATGACAAAATGGTATATATATTGCTAAGATGCTCTTCCTGAAACAGATGTATGGCCATAGAAATGAAATGATCAGTTGAAAGGGGAGTAAGCTGGCATCCTGCCTCTGCATTACACTATCAGCTTTTTTGTCCTATCTCCATCCTGCCTTTCTTCCTCAAGCCACAATTACTCCTATCCTCCATTCTCATTTTTACAGCTGTGTGATAATATCTCAGCTTTCACAGTCTTACTTATACAACAGATTTTTCTGGGCAGTTAAAAAACCTGAATCCTAGGCCTCTCCTCAGGATAATTTTTAAAAAATTTTAAATCTATTTATTTATTTTGAGACCAAGTTATGAGACTGGCCAATTTTTGTATTTTTGGTCAAGATGGGATTTCACTATGTTACCAAGGCTGGTCTCAAACTCCTGGGCTCAAGGGATCCAACCCCCTCAGCCTCCTGAAGTGCTGGAATTATAGGCCTGAGCCACCGCACTCCACCTCCTCGGGATAATTAAATGAGAATATCTCAGGATGTGGCCCAAGAATCCTATTTTTTAAAGATCCATATGTATGTGATTCTGATATGCATCCAGGATTGAGAACCACTGTTTTATCAGAACTTAACATTATTATTACCAAAAACTGATTCACAAAAAAAACCAAATAAAAAATTATTACTAGAATACCAGATATGTAACATATAAAATGAAAAATCAAATAAAACCATTCAATTCACTCTTTGTCAGAAGCTGTTTTAATGAAAAGTCATTTATAACCATATTTCTACAATAAAAATTGTTGTTCCATATTTGCAAATCTAACATATAATTGTCATATTATGAGAATAAACTCACCTCATAAACAGCAAGATCTATGCCGGCATAAGGTACAATGCCTAGCAAGTTAGGAGTATAACCTTTGAAAAAGGATCTGACACCTTCTTGTTTTAGAAGCTTCTTGCCACAATCAATAATCCCTGAATACTCTCCAGTTTTACCTATAGCCAGTCTGGTCTTTAGTACCTAAATGTGAAAGAATATAAGAAAGATATATTGATCAGATTCACCCATCTTATTTAGCAATCCAGGGATTTGCATTATCTCATGATGTTTATAAATCAGAGAAATCATAAAAGAAAACAATTGTAAACATGATTGTAACTTCTCAATAACTGGCTCTTACTTATGAACAACTGATACAGTACAGAGATATTTTAAAATTATTCAAGCAGGAAAATAAAATCAATCCCAGTGTCTTTGAGTGATATATCCATGCAAATTCCTTTAATGTGCCGAAAGGCAACATGTTCTGAAATAAATTCATCATTGCTTCGGAAAAAAGAAAACAGCCAAAATTCAAGGTAAAACATATATGGTCATGTTAAAATAAAGAACCAGTATGAATAAAACATTCTACATATGCTTAAAGTACATACTCTGGTAACTATTTTAACAGTGAGGCCCATAGACTGCAATTTTATATAACTTGGGCTCATTCTGTGCTCATAAAGTATTGATATTCCAGAAGCTATAAGGACAATAGTAGGCCCAGGTAGGCTGTATATGATCAATATTCCTATGCACAATTTCATTCTCCTGATAGAGTCTCACTCCTTGTCATCTTAATTCTATTAATTTAAAGGTGCTTTATACATGCTTGGAGAAATGGCTCTCTAAAACAGCCAGGACATGTACCTCTCGTATCTAAAATAAAAGCTAAAATTTTTTTTAAGTATAAACTTTGTCTTGATTGAGAAAACTGTGTATCTTGACGGGGCTGCCTCTGAGTGGTCAGTAGGAAGCCTTTTGTTTTATGGACTTCTCTGCGGAACTAGACACGTTGGGTAGTCCCATTTTTAAAACTCTATCCTCTCCAGGGCAGTGCACTCTCCTCTTACCCAAGTAAATCTTTTCTGTCTGCTTCACTGGCATGTTTTTCTCCTCTCACTCCCTAAATTAAGGCCTTCTCAAAAGTCATCTTCTCAGCATTTTTTAAATCATTACTTTTTCATAGGCAATCTCCTGGCCTCAAATAACACCTCTCTCAGGTGACACACCAACACTTGAAATCTTAAGTCTCAGTATCACATTTGCAACGGCCTACTGAAAATCATAACTTGGTGGTCCCATCAACAGCTCAGTTTAAATACGCATAAATCTGAACTCATCACCTCTCTTGAGTCTGGCTCACTTCCTCCCGTTCTCTACCTGTTTTCAAGATGTAACTCAGATGCAACTCTCCTAAACACTCAGGCACAGGACCCAAATAGAACTTCGCCCTCTTCCTTTCCCCTGCTTTCTACTTTTCGAGTTGACAGTTCTCAAGACAGCTCTATCATGAGTTAATTTCCCCTAGTCACCATCATATTTCGAACTCTTATTATCAGTTCCCCGAATGATGGTAATATCTTGCATCTGGTCTTCCCATCTTTCTAGTCTTTTTTGCTGTGTTGCCCAGGCTGGAGTACAATGGTGCAATCATGGTTCACTGAAACCTTCACTTCCTGACAGAAGAGTGATCCTCCCACCTCAGCCTTCCGAGTAGCTGGTGCTACAGGCACACTTCATCACACCTGGCTAATTTTTGTATTTTTTGTAGAGATGAGGTTTCACCATGTTGCCCAGGCTGGTCTCGAACTCCTGGGCTCAGGCAAACCACCTGCCTCACCCTCACAAAGTGCTGGGATTACAGGCATAAGCCACCACACCCAGCCTCTATTCATGTCTTTCATGAGATCCCCAGCTTGAAATAATTTCTCCCCTTCTCAATTTCCATAGCACTTCATATTGATCTTTCTATAATTTATCATTTTTATTTTAGATTATTATTGATGTGCATGTTTTATTTCCCCTTCTAGACTACAAGCTACATGGCCAAAAATCCCTGTATGACTCTTCTCTCGATCCTGCATAGCGCCTAGCAAAATACCTTAAACTTAGTAGGTGTACAATACAAATTTACTCACTGAATGAATAAGTGATTCTATCAATCAATCAATCAATCAACAAAATTGTTTATCTTCTTGGTTCATATACAGTAATACCTGTGTCCTAAACAACAACCATAAAATCTACTGAGGCTGACTTTTTTTTTTTTTTTACAGACATGCACCACCATGCCTTGCTAATTTTTGTATTTTTAGTAGAGGTGGGGTTTCACCACGTTGCCCAAGCTGGTCTCAAATTCCCGAATCAGGTGATCCACCCACCTTGGCCTCCCAAAGTGCCAGGATTATAGGCGTGAGCTACTGTGCCTGACCACCAACTCACTCTTGATATAAGATTTTAATCCTATGGCTATAAAGCTGCTTATTGTACAAAATACTTACCTGAGATTCATTTATAAAAAGTTATAATTTGCATTAAAAGTATGACTTTAGTTAAAATTTTATAATACATACCTCCATGGGGTAAATACAGGTCTGGGCAGTTACACCAGCCAATGAGCCAAATATAAATCTTTCAAGAATTCCTAAATGAACACCATCAAAACTAAGCAATTTCTTATACTGTATAAAAAAATTGAAATGTATAATATTAGTGAAACAAGATATATATTGTTTCTATATTTATGACATTAATTAATTAGTAGTATAAAATTATATTTAAAAGTATACTAGATACCCAATATTAGCACAACCTAGCAGAATTCCTTTCATTTTTATGCAATTGATTATCTAAGATAATAAGTAAAGCCCTTTCATTTAGTCTCGCTTCCTTTTTTTGGTAGAATAAGTTGACAATATTAAATCACTTTATGCATATTTATGAATGTTCTATTACATAAGAGGCATATAAATGACACAAATGAGACGGAGATCATATCTTTTATCGCTTTTCAGCACCACACTTTACATACAGAAAGCACTCAATATTGTTTAGTTACTGGATAGTCAGGAATAGTAACTTAATGTGAGAGCCTTTTTATTTTTATTTTTAGAGAAACACTTTACTCCTTAGCCTAAGTAATAGCTAGTATATCACAAGAACACATGTGGAGAAAAAGAAAATGTAAATCTAACCTTTAGATAAGGCTTCACAGGAACTAAAGTCAACTTTCATTGAGATTAAAACTGGAAAACCACTTAGAATCCAAGATAGCTCTAGTAAGCATATTCTTTATAATGAATACTAGATATAATATTCCTTTTATTCATTTATATGTCTTCCTTTTAGTAACAGGGCTGACTCGGCTACACATTACATTTCCTTTTTCTCCTTCTTAGATAGGTTATGTGGCTAGGTGTCTAATTTTGGCTAATGAGCTATGAGGGGAAGTTGCATATACAAATTCTGAGACATCACCTTAAAGACACTTGTCTTTCCTCTACCTAGGAAATGGTAAAGACAGGTACAACCTTTGAAGCCAAATTGTATTGAAAATGGCAGAGCTGTAATGTTAACCCTGGATCACTTGCCTCTATCTTATTGAAGTTACTGTATTTTGGAATCTTTTTGTTACAATAGCTTAGAATAAACCCTAACAAGTATAGAAATTTGTTCATGGATATAGGGTGCTGCCATAACTGAAAGCTAAAATATGTGGCACTTGCTTTATTGTTAGGAAAGGACACAGACATTACAGGCTAAGAAGGTGATGACCTTTTTGATGTTTTATGGAAATGCTTGACTGAACTGCCTCCTGTGATAATTTTGAAGGTAGACTGTGTGAGCCTGAAGTTCTAGGAAACCTCACTGTAAAATCTCAGAATGTTGTTAGTGTTGTTTGCTCCTTGCTGCTTTAAGGAAGATCTATGAGACAATGCTAAAACATTGCTCTAATTTATGCCCCAAGGCCTTCTCCAAAGCCACTTTACAAGCAGAAGTGGGAGGAATAGAGCTCTGCTAAGGGAGCTTTCTTTGCCTGGATTGAGAGTCAAGAAACATGGCACTTCAGATTTGAAAGGCACCTGCTTCTGTAACCCAACAGAAGAAAATAAGGTTATACTAAAGAGCTTGGCTATCTGCAAAAATCAGATGTTGCTATAATAATCTCAAAGATCACTGACCACAGATCACTGTAACAGACATAATACTAATAGATTCTTGCAGGACAAGTCCTTTGATGACCTTGACAACCAAGCTCTTCCCTTTCTTGCTTGTAGTTCTCAAGAATAACTGTAGAATGTGCTGGAAATGCAACATCCTGAGATAGGGGTAACTGGCCAGACTAGCCTGGGCTCAGTCACCAAGCCTCCTAAAACAGGATATTCTACAGCACTAGCCCACATGCCAAGTTGCCCCTGAATATAAAACCCAGAGCTGAGTGCCTTTCAGAGTCTCTCAGCTGCAGTGTAACATGGGACACATGTAGACAAGACTCCATCCACCCTGGATGGACTTCCTGAGCTTTGGGGGACTGGCTTGCCATGAATTCTACGCTACTGTTGGCCCTTACTGCCTATCTATGAGTAATAAAGTTCCTTCGCTTAATTTATTGTGTGTGTTCTGTCTCACCAGAACCATGCAAGTGGTAGAGTAACCAATGCACAGTGAACCTGCTTCACAACCCTGAGACAAGGCATTGGAGGTGATGCTAGAACATATTGGTAGGGGACTGAGGATGTGAGAAAGGGAATAGCGAAAGCTGATAAAGTATGTGTTACTAAGCAAGCTGCAATGATATGCAACTGGGGCTTAATCTTGTTAAGAACTTCTGGGGAATAATATAGACCATAGACTTCAGAATTATCCTACCCAAGTGAACAAGGGCATTAGGGTATTCATCTACTAATGCCCATCACTTATTAGTGAAAGCTGCTCCCAGGGGCCTTCATTCCCTATCATTTCCAGCCTGCCATTTCCAGAAACAGAACAGGCTCCAGAGGCCAGAGGAAGACCTTAGGCAAATAGATTTTAGATGCTGGAAGGTAAAAGTCAGGTCACCTTTCACTGATATGGTAAAGCCCAAGGATACATAGGTGAGCACTTATATATATGGTATTTTACTGCATAGTGGTAACAGTGAATGGGGTAATGATAGCAAACAAAAAGAGAGAAGAACAAAGCAACTAAAAGTTCAGATTCCTCAGGGATAAAAGCCCATGTTACCCACCAAACAAAAAACTAGCCAAAGTACTGGCCAAATGAGATAACAAATATCAAGTATAGCTTTGAGAACAGTTACAATAGTATTGGTTATAATTCCCTCCTGTTGGGTAGAGGAAACAGCATATGAGAAGGACCTGAAATAAAAAGGAGCATAGTGTACTAGAATAAGTGAAAAAAAAGCCAGTTTGGCTGCAAAGAAGAATGAAAGTGAAGAAGAGGGCAGAGGCCAAGTCATTTTGCACCTTGCTAGTCAAAATAAGGATTTTAGATGTTGCAATTAAGAGAAATGAGTGACCAGTGGAGGGTTTTAAGGTAGAGAGATGACATAACCAGATTTATCTTTTTAAGAGACTACTCTGGTAGCAGTGTGAAAAATGGATTGGAGATATGAAGATACCAGTTGGGAATCTATGGCAGTAGTCCAGGCAAAAGATGACTGGCCAGCAATACTGATTAAGAGATAAGAAATAATAGATTTCTGGATGTGTTAGCAAGATGGTGGACTAAAAGGTCTCAACATTAGTCCCCCACAAAAACAATGTTTAAACTACCTACCGATTAAAATAGCTTTGAGAGAGCTCCAGAGTACAATGAAGGAGCTGCAACAACCCAATGGAGCACAAAGCTGAGACTGACCACAAAGGAAAACACAGGAAGCATTTTACCTTTGTCACCCTAACTCTCAGTCCTGTCCAGCTCTGCACCAAGAGAGATCTCCCAGGTCATAACTGCCCTCTGGTGGGAGGAAACAAGAGCAGAAAGACCCCAGCAGCCTTCACCACCAAGGACTACCACAGCCTTTGCCAGTGCTTCCCTCAGCTGACAGCTGCCTGAAGTACACATTTCTGTGCCCCACAACCAGAAAGTGCTGCCACTGTGCCCCGTCCAGGCCAGAGCCATGTACTATCCAGCACATACCCCCATACCCCAGCTCGGCAACTGTTCCACTCATGCCTGCATTCCAAACATTAGCACCACCACTGCCCCACACATACTTGTGCCTCAGATTCCGATAACACACAGACAGTTTGTGTGTTCTACACTCCAGATCTAGGCACCACTGCCACTCTGTGTGTCCTGGACAATGGCACCACCACCACTATGAGTACCCTTGTATCCCAGACCCTAGTACAAAGAGGGATCCTCTCAACCACAACTTCTCCCCATGAGTGAAAAGGAGAGAAGGGCATGCCAGCAGCCTTCACCACAGAGGACCTAATCAGCCCTCACTGTCACTGCAGGCACCTTTAACCTTGGTCGCCAGGGACCACTGCAGTCTTTGCTGATGTGGACCTAAGCTGATGGAGATGCCTGCAGTCTATGCTGCTATACTTCCCCTTTAACCAAAGCTGCCGCACTCCAGCCATCCACACCCTCACACCTACCTGCAGACGATGGTTTTCCCCCACCAAAGCCAGTCTGTAAAGCCTAGAAGTGACTCTTCCTTCAAATGTTTAAATGCAAACACAAAGTTACAAAGAACACAGGAAGAAATCATGGAAACTTTTCATCACCAAAAGAATATAATAATTTTCTAGTAACTGGACCCAAAGAGATGGAGATCTACAAATTGCCTGACAAATAACCCAAAGTAATTGTTTTAAAGAAGTTCAGCAAGCTAGAGAAACATATGTCAACTTGAAGACAGGTCATTTGAAATTATCCAGAAGAGAAAAAAGAAAAAAGAATGAAAAAAGAAATTCTATGGAATTTATGGGACACCGTCAAGCAAATCAATATATGCATTATGGAAGTTCCAGAAGGAGAAGAGAGATAAAAGGGGAGAAGAGAGATAAAAGGGAAGTAGAGAGCTTATTTAAAGAAACAATGGCCGAAAACTTGCCAAATCTTGAAAGGGAAATGGACATCCAGGCTCCTGAAACTCAAAGATTCCCCAAACAGGATCAACCCAAAGAGGAATACACTAAGACACTTTAGGATCAAATTAAATTGCCAAGGTGAAAAACAAAGAGAATTCTGAAAGCAGTAAAAGAAAAGTGACTCATCATATATAAGGTGACCCTTATAAAACTATTAGTTAATTTCTCAGCTAAAAGATGTATAACAGCAAAGTGTGGAATGATACAGTCAAAGCACTAAAGAAGAAAAACTCTGTCAATCAATAATACTATACCTGGAAAAATTACACTTTAAAATGAAAGACAGATAAAATATTTCCCAGGCAAACAAAAACTGAGGGAGTTTGTCAACACTATACCTGTTGTACAGAAATGCTTAAGAGAATTCCTCAAATTGAAAAGAAAATATGCCAAACAGCAATGCAAAAACATGTGTAACAATAAATCTCACAGGAAAAGGTAAATATATAGACAAATATATATTAATGTAACATTGTAATGGGGATGCACAAATTACTTTAAGTGTAATATGAAAGTTAAAAATATAAAAATTTGTTAGCAAAATAAACTATCAACAGATCAACAACAGATCAATAGAGTAAACAAACAACCTAGAGAATGGGAAAAAATTTTTGCAAACCACACATCTGACAAAGGTCTAATATCCAGCATCTATAAGGAACTTAAATAAATTTACAAGAAAAAAAAAAACAAACCACCCCATAAAAAAGTGGGCAAAGGACATGAACAGATACTTCTCAAAAGAAGATATACATGTGGCCAACAAGCATATGAAAAAAACAACTCAACATTATTCATCATTAGAGAAACGATCAAAACACAATGAGATACCATCTCACACCAGTCAGAATGACCATTATTAAAAAGTCAAAAAATAACAGATGCTGGCAAGATTGTGGAGAAAAAGGAACACTTACACTGTGGGTGGGAGTGTAAATTAGTTCAAGCATTATGGAAGACAGTGTGGTGATTCCTCAAAGACCTAAAGATAGAAATGCCATTTGACCCAGCAATCCCATTACTGGGTATATACCTAAGGGAATATAAATCATTCTGTTACGAAGACACATGCACACATATGTTCATGGCAGCACTATTCACAATAGTCAAGACATGGAATCAACCTAAATCCCCATCAATGATAGACGGGATAAACAAAATGTGGTACATATACACCCTGGAATACTATGCAGCCATAAAAAAGAATGAGATCATGTCCTTTTCAGGAACATGGATGGAGGAGGTGGAGGACATTATCCTTAGGAAACTAATGCAGGAACAGAAAACCAAATACTACATGTTCTCACTTATAAGTGGGAGCTAAATGATGAGAACACATGGAAACATAGAGGGGAACCCCAGTGTTCCCCTCTGGGAACCTGGGGCCTATTAGAAGGTAGAAGGTAGGAGGAGGGAGAGAATCAGAAAAAATAACTAATAGACACTAGGCTTAACACCTGGGTGACGAAATAATCTGCACAACAAGCCCCCATGACACACATTTACCTATGTAACAAACCTGCACATGTGCCCCTGAAGGTAAATGTTCAAAAAAAAATAAAAAATAAAAACTTTTTAAAAATTAAAAAAGTTGTTAATGAATACACAATACAAAAAGTATCAAACTCTGATTATAAGAACACAGAATGAGAGAGGGAAGTAAAGTGTAGAGTTTTTGTATGTGACTGAAGTTAAGTTGTATCAACTTAAAATAGATTATTACAATTACAAATATTTTATGCAAGTCTCAAAGTAACCACAAAAGAAAAACTCTGATACACAAATGACAAAGTGAAAAGAGTCAAAACAAATCATTGCAAAAAAAATCATAAAATAACCAAGAAAGACAGGAAGAGAAGAAAACAACTGCAAAACAGAAAACAATTAACAAGATGGCAATAGTAAGTTTTTACCTATTAATAATCACTTTAAAGGTAAATGCATTAAACTCACCAATCAAGAAACATACAGTGGCTGAATGGATACAAGAGACCCACTTTATATATATACATATGTTGGGTTTTTTTTCTCTTATTTTCGAGATAAGGTCATCTTCCTCTGTCATCCAGGCTGGAGTGCAATGGTATGATCATAGCTCACTGCAGCCTCGAACTCCTGAGCTCAAGTGATCCTCTTGCCTCAGCCTCCTGAGTAGCTAGGACTACAGGAAGGGCTTTTTTTTCTTTTTGTAGAGATGGAGGGGTCTCACTATGTTGTCCAGGATGGTCTTGAACTCCTGGCCTCAAGTGACCCTCCTGCCTCCGTCTCCAAAAGCACTGAGATTACAGGTGTGAGCCACCATGTCTGACCTCACTTTATATTTAAAGACACATATGGGGTGAAAGTGAAGGGATAGAAAAAGACAGTTCATGCAAACAGTAACCAAAAGAAAGCATGCATGGCTATACTTAGACAAAATAGACATCTCCAGACACAAAGAATGACACTATATAATGATAAAAGGAGTGATTGAACAGGAAGATATAACAAATATAAATATATGTGCACCCAACATCAGAGTTCCTAAATATATAAAGTAAATATTGACAAAACCGAAGGGAAAGATAGCAATGCAATAATAGTAGGGAACTTTAATACCCCACTTTCAGTCATGGATAGAACCCCCAGACAGAATATCAATAAAGAAACAGGTGATTTAAACAACAAATAAACCGAATGGACCTAACAACCATATATAGAACTTACCACCCAACAGCAGCAGTAGAATACTCATTCTTCTCAAGCATACATGAAACATTCTCCAGTACAGACCACATGTTAGGTCACAAAACAAGTCTTAACAAATTTAAGAAAAGTAAAGTCATTCCAAGTATCTTTTATGACCACAATGGAATAACACTGGAAAATAATAAGCAACAAGAAAATGAAAAAAATTCACAATATATGCATACTAATCAACATACTCTTGAACAACTAATAAGTTGTTTCAAAAGCAATTTAAATTCCAATTTCTTTCTTTTTTTTTTTTCTTTGAGATGGAGTTTCGCTCTTGTCGCCCAGGCTGGAATGCAGTGGTGCAATCTTGGCTCACGGCACCTCCACTTCCAGGGTTCAAGCAATTCTCCTGCCTCAGCCTCCCAAGTAGCTGGGATTACAGGCGCCCGCCACCACGCCCGGCTAATTTTTTGTATTTTTAGTAGAGACGGGATTTCGCCATGTTGGCTAGGCTGATCTCAAACTCCTGACCTCAGGTGATCTGCCCACCTCGGCCTCCCAAAGTGCTGGGATTGTAGGCGTGAGCCACCGCGACCAGCCAAACCCCAGTTTCTAGAAGGAAACCAAAAGAGAATTTTAAACATATCTTGAAGAAAAAAAAAACTACAAGATATCAAACCTTACAGGATGCAGCAAAAGTAGTACTAAGAGGGAATTCTATAGCAATACATGCCTGGATTAAAAAAAAAAAAAAGATCTCAAGGAAGCAACCTAATATGAAGAAACTAGCAAAAGAAAAACAAACTAATCCCAAAATTAACATAAAGAAGGAACTCATAGAGATTAGAGAGTAGAAATAAATCAAATAGAGAATAGAAAGGCAATAAAAGAAATCAATAAAGCTGAGTTGCTGTTGCTGTAGTTGTTGGTTTTTTGTTTGTTTTTGAAGATAAACAAAACTGACAAAACCATAGCTAGACTAAGGAAAAAAAGAGAGAAGGCTTAAATAACCAAAATTATAAATAGGCCGGGCTTGGTGGCTCACGCCTCTACTCCTAGCACTTTGGGAGGCCAAGGAGGGCGGATTACCTGAGGTCAGGAGTTCAAGACCAGCCTGGCCAAAATGGTGAAACCCCATCTCTATTAAAAATACAAAAAGTTAGCCAGGCATGGGGGCGGGCACCTGTAATCCCAGCTACTCCAGAGGCTGAAGCAGGAGAATTGCTTGAACTCGGGAGGCGGAGGTAGCAGTGAGCCGAGACCGTGCCATTGCACTCCAGCCTGGGTGACAGAGCGAGACTCCATCTCAAAAAAAAAAAAAAATAGTGGCCGGGCGCCGTGGCTCATGCTTGTAATCCCAGCACTTTGGGAGGCCAAGGTGGGCGGATCACGAGATCAGGAGATCGAGACCATCCTGGCTAACACAGTGAAACCCGGTCTCTACTAAAAATACAAAAAAATTAGCCGAGCGTGGTAGCACGAGCCTGTATTCCCAGCTCACGGGAGGCTGAGGGAGGAGGATCACTTGAACTCGGGAGGCAGAGATTGCAGTGAGCTGAGATGGTGCCACTGCACTCCAGCCTGGGTGACAGAGCAAGACTCTGTCTCAAAAAAATAATAAAAATAAAATAAAATTAGAAATAAAAAGGAGCATTATGTTACAAAAATAAGGATTATAAGAGACTTATAAGGCTTGTAAGAATTATATGCCAACAGATTGAATAACTTGAGAGAAACTGATATATTCCTAGGAAAATACAATCTACCAAAACTGAATGAAGAAGAAATAGAAAGCCTGAACATACCAATAACAAAAAGGAGATTGAATCAGTAATCAAAAACTTCCCAACAAAGAAAAGCCAAGGGCCAGATGACTTCATGGACAACTTCTACCAAACATTCAAATAATTAATACCAATCCTTCTCAAACACTTCCAAAAAGTGGAAGAAGAGGGAACACTCCCAAATTTATTTTATGAGGACAGCATCATGCTGATTCTAAACCAGACAAAGATAACACAAAAAAAGAAAACTACAGGCCAATATCCCTAATGAACACAGATACAAAAATCCTTCATAAAGTACTAGCGAACTGAATTCAACAGCACATTAAAAGGATCACACACTATGACCAAGTGGGATTCATCCCTGGGGTGCAAAGATGGTTCAGTATACTCAAACAATCAATGTGATACAACACAATAACAAAATGAAAGGAAAAAAACACACATAATCATCTCAATAGATGCAGAAAGAGCATTATTTAACATTCACTTATAATTAAAATGCTCAGCAAAATAGGCATAGATGGAACTTACCTCAACACAATAAAGTCCATATATTAAAAGTCCACAGCTAACGTCATAATAAATGGGAAAAAATTGAAAGCTTTCCCTCTAACATCCAGTATAAGGCAAGGATGCCCACTCTTACTACTTCAACATAGTACTGAAATCCTAGTTGAAGCAATTAGGCAAGAAAAAGAAAAGACATAACTAAAGAAAGAAGTAAAATTATCTCTGTTTTTGATGACATGGTCATATATATGGAAAATTCTAAAGACTCATCTCCCCAAAAATGTTGTAATAAACCAATTCAGTAAATTTTCAGGATAGAAAAATCACCATACAAAATTCACTAGCATTTCTGTACACAAACAATGAACTATCTGGAAAGGAAATTAAGAAAATAATAATCTTTAATCTTTTTGCCATTCACAATAGCACAAAAGATTAAAATATGTAGGAACAAACTTAATCAAAGAGGTTAAAGACTTGTACACTGAAAATTATAAAACATTGATGAAGGAAATTAAAGAAGACACAGATAAATAGAAAGACATCCATGTCCAATGATTGAAAGAATTAACATTGTTCAAATGTCTATACTACCCAAAGCTATCTACAAATTCAATGCAATCCCCAAAAATTCCAATGTTATTCCTTCTATAGAAATTTTTTAAAAATCCTAAAATTCATCTGAAACCACAAAAGACCCTGAATAGACAAATCAGTCTTGCGCAAGAGGAACAAAGCTGGGAACATAACCACTTTCCAATTTCAAAACATACTAATTATAAAGCTATAATAACCAAAGGAGGATGGTAGTAAAGACAGACAACTAGACCAATGGAACAGAAGAGAAAGCCTAGAAATAAACCCATTTATCTACAGTCAACTGACCTTTGATAAGATGCCAAACACATGGAATGGGGAAAAGATAGTCTCTTCAACAAACAGTGTTGGAAAAATTGGATATTCACATGTAGAAGAAAGAGACCCTTATGTCACACCATATACAAAAACCAACTAAAAATGGATTAAAAACTTAAACATCAGGCCTAAAACAATACCACTACTAGAAGGAAACATAGGGGAAAAGCTTCTTGACATTCATCTGGGCGATGATTTTTCAGATATGATACCAAAGCATAGGTAGCAAAAGCAAAAATAAACAAGAGCAATTACATCAAACTAAATATCTTCTGCATAGCAAAGGAAATAACTGGCAGAGTGAAAAGGCATCCTACAGAATGGGAGAAAATATTTGCAAATCATATTTCTGATAAGAGTTTAGTATGCAAAATAGGTAAGGAACTCACGCAACTCAATAGCAAAAGAAACAAACTGATTGTAAAATAAACAAAGAACTTGAGTAGACGTTTCTTCAAAGAAGACATACAAATGGCCAACAGGTATATGAAAAGCTCCTTAACATCACTAATAATCAGGGAAATGCAAGCCAAAACCACAGAGAAATCACCTCACACCTTTTAGAAGGACTACTATCAGAAAGACAGAAGATAACAAGTGTTGACCAAAAAAAATGTGAATTAAAAAAAGAATTCTTATACACTCATGATGGGATATAAATTGCTATATCCATATAAAGAACAATATGTAGGTTCCTCAAAAAATTAAAAACAGAACTACCTGATGATCCAGCAATCACACTTCTGGGTATATATCCAAAGGAAATGAAATCAGTATCTCAAAGGGATAATTGCACTCCCATGTTCATTTCAGCATTATTCACAATAGCCAAGATATGCAGGCAACCTAAATGCCCATTGATGAATAAATGGTTAAAGAAAATGTGGTATATAATGGAATATTACAACGGAATACATACAATCCATATGATGGAATATTATTTAGTCTTTAAAAAGAAGTAAATCCTGCCACTTATAACAGGGATGAACCTGGAGGACATTATGCTAAGTGAAATAAACCAGATACAGAAAGACAAATACTATACAATCTTACTTATATGTGGGATCTAAAATAGTCAAACTCATAGAAGCAGAAAGTAGAATGGTGATTGCAAGGGCCTGGGAGGAGGGAGAAATGGGGAGATGTTGGTCAAAGAGTACAAAGTTTCAGTTATTCAAAGTGAATCAGTTCTGGAGATTTAATGTACAACATTGTGAATATGGTTAACAGTAATGTATTGTACCCTTGAAATTTGCTAAGAGAATAGATCTTAAAGGTTCTCATCACACATTTCCAAAAAGACGCTGGTAACCATGTGAAATGATGGGTATGTTAATTAGCTTGATTTTGATGATTACCTCACAATGTATAGGTATATCAAATCATCAAGTTGTATACCTTAAATATACTATTTTTAATTGTCAGTTATACCTCAATAAAGCTATAGGGGGAAAGAACAGGCAAAAAAAAGATATAAGAAATAATAATAATAAAAATAAATAAAAGAAAGAAGTAATAGCATCCCTTGATGCCAAATAATTAGTTTGTATTTTTTTCAAGCTACAAGTTTACAAGGAAATTTCTTACCCTTCATGGTGACATTTCTAAAATGGTTTGTGTAAAGAAAAGAGTTAATACAGCAGGACTAAAACTGCTACCTTTAGAAAAGACTGCCTGCAAAGTTGGCCCTTGGCTGGTATTTGGTAACTTGGATTTGGGAAGGGTTCCCATCATTCCCTGATAAGAATGGCTCGCTGTGCCTAAACTTTTTATGCAAGCAATATTATTTGAGCTGAATATCTGCTTTCCTTGTAGGAGTCTGAAATATTGGAACATGCCATGCAGAGAGTACTTATGTGAGCAATCCCAGTGAAACTTTGGGCACTAAGTCTCTAATGGGATAGACATTTCATGTGTTATTATAACTAATTGCTGGAGGATTTAAGCGTGTGGCATGTGACTCTACAGGACACTTGAAAGCTTACATCTGGTTTCCTCTGGTCTTCACCCTATGCACTTTTTCTCTTTGGAAATTTTGCTCGTATCCTTTCACTGTAATGAATTAGAGCCACAAGTGTGACTATACACTGAGTCCTGTGAGTTCTCCTAGCAAATCACTGAACCTGGGGGTGGTTTTGCAGACCCTGACAGTCTAAAGTATCTGTTAATTTTTTAGACATTCTAACCATTTTTCCAGCTTAACACATGACAGTTGACATTCACATTTGCCACACATTTCCATGGGTTATGTTTTATGTACAATTCCATGCATGCCAGTATAAGGCCCTCTTTTCTCTCCTAGTTGCAAGTAAGTAAAAGTGCCCATTATGTTAAAAATATAGTCTTGTCTATTACAAAAAATAGAAATGTGTATAAATGCTTGTGTCAGATATTGTTCTAGGCACTTTATATACATGTTAATTCATTTAATTCCCACAACAACCCTAATCATTATTTCTTCTATTTTAAGTTAAGGAACATGTAAGAAAACTGAAGCACACAGAGGTTAAGAAGCTTGCTGTATTTTGCATAGCTAGCAAGTGGTAGAGCTAGGATTTGAACTTAGAAAGCCTGGTTCCAGTACCAGACCTTAAGTACTACCTTATAAAATCTCCCTTTTGAGTAAATCACTCATAAACTTTGGTATTTAACTACTATTAATCATAATTTACAACAAATCTCAGTTAACCATTTTAAGCCACACTGATATGTCCTACCAGTCTGACTGAGAACCTGTACTCTAACATAGTATTAGAAACATTGTCCCAAGGTAGGAGAACTGGGACCAAGGACAGGATTCTAACTGTGACTGTATTGCCAACTAAATGTGTAACTTCAAGTAACTTATCCTCTCTTGCCTCAGTTTTTACATCTATAAAATGATGACACTAGGCTCTTAGTAACACTCACTGATGTGCTGTCACTATTCTGGGAATGATGCTATGGTCCCTATTCTAAACAAGCATAATATTTTTCTGGAAGACATTGTTTAAAATATAGGTTTTAAAAAAGAGGACACAAACTGGTTAAGTGGCAGAGGCTGCTAGTGGTATCCCAAGAATCAATCTTCCTTTTTTCCTAAGAAACAAAAATCTACAGTTGTACCTATTGTTTCCCAGTTAAAGACTATATACTTAGATTCCTCTTCAACTAGATGTGTTCATGTGTCCAAGTTTTGGTTAATAATATATAAGCATAAGTATTGTATGTCACTTTGGGGAAGTGTCCTGCATGGAATGGGACATGCCCTTCTTTGCTTCTTCCCCTAGTTGTTACCTGAAACTTAGATGTCATTGCTGGAGTTCCAGCTCAGACTCATGGAGACAAGGATCATACCCTACAGAGGGTAGACAGTGAGCTGGTTGCAAGTGAGTTTCTTTTCACCTTCAAGGCACTTCCATACCAGTCCTAAATTCCCTATCCTCGGACTTTGTGAGAAAGAAAGAAAGTTCTATCTTATTTATGTCACTATTGTTTGGGGTTTTCTGTCACATGCATCTAAACCTAATTCTAGTTTACATAAGTGGTACAGGCAATAAATATACTAGGGCAGAAAGAACAGACACCAAAATAGGTTACTTCTCAGGAAGGGAAACACTTTAGTTCTTGAAATAATTTCGATATGTTAGAAGGAGAAAAAGGGTAACTCAATTAGAAAGAAAGTGTGAGCAAAATCAAGGAGATAGGAAAAGCACAACTTGTTAAGGTATAAGAAAAAGATTCTCTTACTTGAAAAGCAGTATTTGTCAAGCAGCAGTACTGGACATGTTAAGTAGGGATAAATTATGGTAAGTTTTAATGCTGGGATAAGAACTTTATAGAGGGTCCGAGAAGTAAAATAAAATCTCTATTACAACTTAAAATATTACAGCTTATTTTACCTGACCCCACACAACACTCCTCTCATGATAAGATGCTCTGCTATGGGTTAAGGAAAAAACCTGAGTCTTCAAGAAAAATCTAGGGAAGTGGAAAGTGGGTTAACCAGAGAAGGTAGGGCTTCTAGACAGTGAGGAAACAAATGAGATTATATTAATAAATAAAATTGGGCAGGAGCAACTTCTGTTTTTTGCATCTTATGTGGCATTTCTTTCATTCTCTTTTTCCCCATAAGGTGGCGTGCCCTTGGAAAGCTATCAGGAATCAGGATGTGTCCTAAGGGAGCAGAAGTATGAAATGGGCTGCTTCAGTCTGACTCTAGTCAAGTTTGGCACTAAATAGAGAAAAGGGTGTCCTTTGTTGCAGATTTTTGATCCACTCCAGCTCATCAGGGTTGAAGACAAGAAAGAAATTTGAAGCCAAAGTCCTGTTAGTAGTAAACAGTACATTTATCTGGAGTGCCCTTTATGCCACCTGTGTATCACCATAAATAGCGAGGATGACATACTGATGATTTAGGGTCCAGGCCATTTTTTTCCATCTGTGCCTTACCTCACAAATAACAACGCACATATTCCTAGTAATAATCATGAATACACAAACTGGTATGCTTCTTTTATACTTTGCAACAGTTTTCTTTTCTTTTTTTTTTTTTTTTTAAAGAAACAGGGTCTCACTCTGTCACCCAGGTTGGATTGCAGCTGCACAATTACAGCCCACTGCAGCCTCAAACTCCTAGGTCCAAGCAATCCTCCCACCTCAGCCTCCCAAGTAGCTGGGAATACAGGAGTGTGCCTCCACATCTGGCTAATTTTATTTTTATTTTTTGTAGAGACAAGATCTCACTATGTTGCCTAGGCTGGTCTCGAATTCCTGGGCCCAAATGATCCTCTCACCTCAGCCTCCCAAAGTGCTGGGATTATAGATGTGAGCCAATGTGCCTGGCCTAAATTGATATTGCATTTAGATAAACACTTCTTAAATTTCAACATCTAGTTTTGATAGAATGTAAGGTCTAGAAGGCCAAAGACAGTATCTATCTTGCTCTTTCATGTATTCCCAAACATAAGACCTAGATAGCCCATGGTAGGCACACAATAAATATTTAAATCTATGAAACTGCCAGAGTTCAAAACCTATTGAAAACAATATTTTATAGCTCTACATGCTGCCTGATATCACTTTAAATTCATGACTACTGACTTCAACTGTACCTTTGCCACCAGAAATCTTATTTTGTTTCCTCAATCCATTTACTCTCCCACTCTCCTAGAAGACTATTTCATACCTTCTGTTTCTTCAAACATCCAACATGTCCTTGCTTCCCATTTCATGGAAGAAATTGAAGCACTAGGAAAAATGCTTCCACAAACCTGCTACGACTGTGTCCACATAGTAGCACTTCTCCTATAACTATGGATAAAATGCTTAACCAAGGCCAAACCCTTCCATGAGCATTAGCTCCCATCTCCTGTCACTCACTCAAAGATTAAGGACAATCCCCTACCAACACTCCCCTCCTTTCCTATATTATCACTTATACCCCCTCCAGTGGATTATTCCCCTAAGCATACAAACATCACTTCTTCAATTTCTAGAAAAACATTCTCTTAATCCCATACCTCCTTCAGTTACCATTGCATTTCCCTTCTTCTCATCACAGCAAAACTCCTTGAAAGAGTTGTCAATTTCTATCTCCAGTTTCTATCCTCTGTTTTCCCCATAGCCATTGTCACCACCTGGCATACCATGTATTTCACTTCTTTAGTTATTGTCTCCTCCTATCTATATTCCAATACAAATCTGAAAAAGGAAGTCAGGTTTTTGTTTGTTTGTTTGGTTGGTTGGTTGGTTTCCTGTTTTATTTGCTATGGCATTTCCGTTACCTAGAAGAGAAACTGGACACATCAGTTATTCAAGAAAAATTAGTTAATAAAAGAAATACTTGCTGAATGAGTAAGCCAATCCCTGTTTAAGTAAGAGATGTATGTTTTTAAGATATGCATGCATTACAACTAAGTCCAGAGTCCTACTCATCTATCTATTTGCTTTTC
Organism: Homo sapiens; assembly: GCF_000001405.40. NCBI lineage: Eukaryota > Metazoa > Chordata > Mammalia > Primates > Hominidae > Homo > Homo sapiens. The sequence continues at coordinate 108,314,927 of NC_000001.11, read as the reverse complement.
AACTGTTTGGGTTGGAAAAGGATATGATCATTGTTTAATATTTTCTTAAAATGTTGAGGTTCTGGTGACCTTATAAACAAGAGTCTATAAAATAAGCACTTTAATGCTATATGCTATAAAAATGTTTAAAGAAAGGAGAATTACTATAAGATTTTACAGTGAAGATGGAAAACTTGAGAGACACACAGAGCACTCTTGGACTCTTATGTGACACTAATATTTTATAATATTTGAAAATAGACATATTTCAAAGTGAATAATCTAAATGAGCTTAACAAATTTTAAAATTAAGTGCATTTTTTAATCTCTTCATCACTTGACTAAATTAAGATGTTGATCCTCTATTCATTAACAAACGAACTGAAATTTCTGTAAAATTTTCAAATTTTTCAAAGAAAAAATCAATGATGAAATGTTTTGTGAAGACTTCGCACACTGTGACATTGAAATTAAAAGATTTACTAATAGATATCAGTTATGATAATATAGAGTAATTCATGGAACTTCTCTTGTAAACAATAGTAATATGAAAACACAAAAAATCAAATGAGAATGCACAAAGTCATTAACATTTACATTGAAACCTACTGCTTGTGCACACTCCAGTTTTCTCTTTCATGAGAGTCTGAATTTTTGAAAATTAAATTTAAAACCTGATTTTTGTTTAAAATTCTACAGACAAAAACGTTTTACCTGTTCATAGGCCCCAACCTTGAGTGCTGTCTCTGGTGCAATTTTTAAAACATTTACACCATTTCCTCACCAAAGGGAAAAAATCCCTCCTTCTTTCACCAACTGCTCAAGGCCACTAATCAATCTCATTTTCCTTGACTTTAAACTATGAACCTATAAATAAATAGCACATTTATTTACTTTTCAATTCATTTTACTGGCTTTATGGCATTGGTATTGCTATTGCTAATAAAAATAAATATACATATACGCATAAATTCATGATTTTCAAGATATTTTTAATTTTCCCTCAGAGACATCTAAAACTAATATATTAATATTTCTTGTCACGAAATACATACTTTAATTAATCTGACACATCAAAGAGAAAAGGACAACTTAAAAAAACAGAAATAACTTAATTACCAGGGAATTTGAGCATAAACAAGATGCGTTGATGGTACAAATATGTTACAAGATTATTAAAGAGTACATTGAAATATGCAACGAGAAAAGGATAAATGAAAATACATCGAACTTTCAACAGTGGATATTCCTGGGTGGCAAGGTGTTATGGGTTAATATGTGTCTCCCAAAATTCATATGTTGAAGTCCTAACCCTCATTCCCTCAGAATGTGACCTAGAGATAGGGTCTTTAACAAGTTAAAGTGACATCATTAGGGTGTGCCCTACTCTGACTGGCATCCTTATGAAAGGAAATTTGGACACTGAGACATGACACACACAGAGAGGAAACAATGTGAAGAGACAGAGAAGACTGCCTTCTGCAAGTCAAGGAAAGAGACCTGGAACAGATTATTCCTCGCACCCCTCAAAAGGAGCCAACCCTGCCAACACCTTGATTTTTGACTTCTAGCCTCCAGAACCAAGACAATAAGTTTCTGTTATTTAAGCCAGTCAGTTTATGGAACTTTGTTGTAGCATCCCTAACAACCTCATACATGAGGAGTACAGGTCATTTTAACGTCTTCCTTTATCCTTTTCTGTGTTTTCCCATTTTTCTAGTGTGCTATCTTACAATAAGAAAAAAATGCTATTTTTAAGAAAGTACAGTTAAAACATTAATTAAAATGCCCTTCTGTCTATAAAGTAAGAGAAAAATCATGGGAGAACAAGGCAAAATGAACATTCTCTTCTGTGGGTAGAACAAATTTAGAAAAAAATTCAGTAAAATATTTACAGCCTTAAAAATGTTCATATCATTACTTAAACCAGGAATTTTTCAATCAAATAATCTTAACTAGGAAAAAGATTAATAAAGAATGGTGTTCATCATAAAATTATGAATAATTGCTTTAAAAAAAGGAGGATTAAAAACCACCTACGTGTCTATGGATCAGAAAAAGTGATTAAAGTATCAAAAATTCCAACCCAGGGCTCTCTGACTGTAAAGTCTCTGCTCAGGAATCATATTAAATTACCTCTGACCACAACACATATGTCTTCCTCTGTTTCACAGAATTCTTTTCCAGTTGTGTGAAGCTCACACAATAATACCTCTATCAATAGAGTGGACAAGTTCTAATGAACCCATTTCACTGTCAAATATAAGGATAAATGAAAGCCATGAGACCCAACCTAGAACAGCATAAAAGGGCAGCGACTCTTTCCTGCTTTCCGTTCCTTCCTTTGCTTCTCATTATAGTACTCTCCTCACCCCACTTCAAACTCGCTTGTATCTATCATCTTCCCTCCTCTTTTTTCCCCTATTTTCCTTTTCTTTTTTATGTTTCTGTCTCCCATCCTCTTCCTACTTTTCTCTATCCACCTCCCTTACCCCTTTCTCTTTTTTCACTCTTTTCAGGTCTCCCTATTTGCCCCCTCCCTAATCCACTGACTCATTTCCATCCCCTCAGAGAACTGAGTGCCCTTACCCTGTGTCCTTACAATAGCCACAAATACAATTTTCTATCTTGTACACGGTGATTATGTGCAATTAATTGACAACTATTGTTTTCAATATTATCATCACCATCACATAGATATGTTGTTTGTGTCTCTGTAAGGTCCTGGAGTATAAGAAATATGCTTTTTCATCTTTGTATTTCTAGCACCTAGCATATGATGGGCGCACGACAAATACATTGTCTTTATTTTTCCTCTTGGTCCCATTCCTGTGTTTCTCATCTCCCTACATGTCTCCATCTCTGTGTAGCACTGTATCATGTCTGTATATTTCTCCTTTAAATTTCATTATTTAATTTTCTGACAGGCCCAGTTACTGAGGAAGCTGTTTTATATTTCCACCTGCAACACAGAATTTTCAGCTCCTGCTCTTACCTAAGGACTGACTGAACTGAGTCACCTATCTGAAAAGAATATAGATCACAGATGGAATCAAACATGCGGAAGGATGATGGGTTATGTGTCTTACCATCTAATGCCATTCAAAGTATGTTCCCTACACTTAGCCCACTGAATTAAAGGTTTATCTCCATGGGATGCATTAACCAGAATCTCAACCTATATTTATGTAAGAAATATTAGGCATGGGGGGAATAGTATTTACTCCCCTTGGTGCTCCCACAGTACTATGTGTATCATCTGTCTGGGTAGATAGCACTTATATCACATTTTATTATTACCTATCTAACTAACTATTGTCCAAGAGAGCTTGTAAATTCTCTAAGGACAAAAACTATGTCTAACATTTTCCTATAGTCCCTAATGCCTATTAAAGCAGCTAGTACATAATTGGCCCTAAATAAATATATGTGGAATTAATGAAGTCTTTTCCCTTGCAAAACCTATCCTTCTAACAACCTATATTTTCCATAAATGATATATTTATATAAGTTTAATTCCTAATTAAGATAAATCATTTTTTAGAATGAGACAGAAGTATAAACTAAATAGTTCTTAAACATGTGACACTAAAGTTATTACACAATTAATTCACATTGTATAATAACTGTTCATAATGCATTACTAAAATGTCACCAACATTACCGAAAAGCAAAAGATAGTAAAACACCCACATATGTGAATTTAATTTGAAATTTAAGTTAATTAGGTTGTGGATGATTAATTTTTATATCCTTGCAGAGAAAGTATTCAGCAAATATCAAACTTTAATTGTGGATTCTACTTATGATAATTAACACATTAAGCCATGCACTATTTTATAACTACTGTTGACAATCCATTATTCAATGAAATAAATGTAATTAAACAAAATATAATAATAGACTCTAAACTTATTTTCTGCCTCTTGGAAATATTTTTAGTAATTAAATGGTAGAATAGAACCATGCTATTATGTTGGTGCCAGGGTTAGAGATAACCAATACAAAGTCTAATGGTATCTTCTCATTTCTTTCATAAATTTAGTTCCATTTTTGAAAAAAATTCTAATAGAGTGGTTCTATTATTATTTAAAATAAAAATTAACTTGAATACACAGTAGCTTCTTTAAGAAAATTAAGAAATCTTTTAATATTGAAAATTAGCATTTACATTTTCAGGAAAATGTAAAATTTTAATGAGAAGTAGTATATGAGAAAACATTTTTTTAAAACCTTTTTTGAAAGCTGCCAAAGACTTTTCAAGTTACTTTAACTCTTAAAGGGTAGGTAAGGCGAGCAAAAAACCTGCATCATGACTTTCAAGCGGTCTAAAGGTGCCGTGCATGTCCGTGCAACCGCACTAGCTATTCCTGCTGACACCAAACGCTTCCACCAATCTCCAGACTGCTTTTCTTGTTCGGTAAATTCATCTGGAATAGCTATACTCTCTCCTATATCAATTAACTGATAAATAGGAAGAATTATTAGACAATAAACAAAAGTGTAAACACTTGATAAATTATAAGGATAGCTTTCTACAAGGAGCAAAGATAACTTTTTACAAGGACCAAAAATCCAAAGATTTTTTTCATGCCACTTCCTGTTACTGAAGATCAACAATTTTCTTAGCACCTGTACTACATCAAGTGATTTTTAATAATGCATTGACATATAGATTTAATGTAAAATCAATTAAATTAGAGCAATTATTAATTTAAAATTCTCAAACTATTTAGTTAATCTGTTCTCTGAAAAATGTAAACCCTGAGTACAGGGATTACATACCAGCCACTCATCACAATGTCTGCCACATACTAGGCAAGGAATAAATAATAAATATTCCTTGCTTTATTTCAAATTCTCTCAAACTCCTTTAATTACTTAAACCTAAGTCAAAATTCAAGAGTAGCATCTTATATGATTTGATTAAATTTCTTTATTATTTGCATTGACTCCTTCTTCAAATGTCAGTTTCCTTTTTAAAAGTCTATACTCTAACCACTTTTGCATTTTACTTTATTTTCAGTGATCATACTTGCTTATGACAAGATGATCACTTTTTTCTAAATGATGAGGCAATGTGGTTTAGTGCAGAAGTTAGTTTCTGCCCTCTAGGAATTTACAGAGTAATAAAAGAGATAGGAAAGGAAAAAAAGCAATTATAATACAGAGAAAATAAGTAAAATAACAAGGGTAGCAAATAAAGGTGTCTTAAGAAGACAGTATAGAGGCTGGAGGCAAAGCAAGAAGGCAGAAGACTCTACCCATCATCCCCCTGCAAGGACACCAATTCAACAATTATCTACCCAAATAAAACACCTTCATAAGAACTAAAAATCAGATGAGCCCTCATAGTAACTGATTTCAGCTTTGTATCACTGAACGAGGCAGTGAAGAGATAGAACAAACAGCCTTAAATCGCTGGCACCATCCCTGCTACACCCCAACAGTGGTGGCAAGGTACGGGGAGTGTCTCTGGGCACTGGGGGAGGGAGAGCACAGCAATTGTGAGGCATTAAACTCAGTGCTGTCCTGTTAAAGAAGAAAGGAAAAGTGAACTGAACTCAGCGGACACCCACCCATGGAAGAAATAAGATGTATGTGTGTGCAAGTGTGTGTGTGTGTGTGTGTGTGTGTATGTGTGCATATGTGTTTTTGAGACAGGGTCTTACTCTGTTGCCCAGGCTGGAGTGCAGTGGTGTGATCATGGCTGACTGCAGCCTCGATCTCCCTGGGCTCAGGTGATCCTTCCACTTCAGCCTCCCAAGTAGCTGGGACCATAGGCATGCGCCACCACAAGGCTAATTTTTGTATTTTAGTAGAGATGGGGTTTCACCACGTTGCCCAGGCTGGTCTCAAACTCCTGGACTCAAGCAATACTCCCATCTTGGGCTCCCAAAGTGCTGGGATTACAGGTGTGAGCAACTATGCCCAGCCAGAGAGAGCATTTAAACCAGCCCTAGCCAGAGGAGAACTATTAATACCAGTGGTACAAACTTGAGTTCCCACAAACCTTACCACCATTAGGCCACGCTGCACTGGGTCTCTAAGTAAACTGGAAACACAGTGTAGACCATAAGGACTTCAATTGCTAGGTGAATCCTAGTGCTGAACTGGGCCCAGAGACAGGACTAGGGGAAATCTCAAGACCTACTCAGACAGCAGCTGAGGTGGCTAAGGGAGGGCTGACATCGTCCAACCCCTAACCCCAGGCTGCACATCTTATGGCACCAAAAGAGACCCCTTCCTTCCACCTGAGAAGAGGAGAGGGAAGAGTGGGGAGGACTTTATCCTGCATCTTGAATACTAGCTCAGCCACAGGAGGATAGGGCACCACTCAGAGTTGCAAGGCTCCTGTTCCAGGCCCTACCTCCTGGATGACATTTCTAGACACACCCTTGGCCAGAAGAGAATCTGTTGCCTTGAAGGGTAGGACTCGGTCCTGGCAGCATTCATCACATGCTAACTGAAGAACCCCTAGGCCCTGAATAACCAGTAGTGATACCCAAGAACTATGTCAAGAGCCTTAGGTAAGCCTATGAGACTTCAGGTGAGACTGAGTATATTACAAGCTGTGGTGGGTACAAGGCAAAACTCCTTCTGCTTGAAAAAAGCATAGGGAAAAGTAAAGGAAACTTAGGCACCGGCATGGCCACAGTGGGGGAAGGGGGTAGAGCACTAAATGGGCTCTTTAGGCCCCTGATTCCAAGACTTGACTCTTGGATGGCATTTCTTGACCTGCTGTGGACCAGAGCTGACCTGAAAGATCAGGCAGCATTCACCACAAGTGGACTTAAGAGACCTTGGGCCTTAAGAGAAAACTGGCAGTAGTCTGGCAGTATCCCAGTATTCCCCATGGCCTGTAGTGGTGGTGGCCTTTGGAAAGGGGAGGGAAGAGTGGGAAAGACTGTATCTTGTGGTTTCACCGCTTTAGGTGGCTCAAAACAGAAAAGAGACTTTGTTAGTTTGGGGAAAAGTAAAGGAAGAGAAGAAGAGTCTCTTCCTGGTAATCCAGAGAATTCTCCTGGATCTTGTCCAAGACCATTAAGGCAGTACCTCTATGAGTGTGCAAGAACCACAGGCTTACTGGGTTTTGGGTGCCCTCTAAAACAGATACAGCTTAGATCACAACACTCAAGTTCTTTCAAATAACTGGAAAGCCTTCCCAAGAAGAACAGGTACAAACCAGCCTAGACAGTGAAGACTATAATGAAAACCTAACTTTTCAATGCTGAGACACCAAAGAACATCTGCTGGCATCAACACCATTCAGAAAAACACAACCTCACCAAATGAACTAAATAAGGCACCAAAGACCAATCCAGAAGAAACAGATATGTGACCTTTCAGACACAGAATTCAAAATAATTTTCAGGAAACTCAAAGAAATTCAAGATAACACAGGGAAGGAATTCAGAATTCTATCAGACGAATTTAACAAAGAGATTAAAATAATTAAAATGAATCAAGAAGAAATTCTGGAGCTAAAAAATGCAACTGGCATACTGAAGAATGGATCAGAGTCTTTTAATAGCAGAATTGGTCAAGCCGAAGAATTAGTGAGCTTGAAGACAGGCTATTTGAAAACACAAAGAAGAAACAAAACGAAAAAAAAAAAAAGAATAAAAAACAATGGAGCATGCCTATAGAATCTAGAAAAATAGCCTCAAATGGGCAAATCTGAGTTATTGGCCTTAAAAGAGGAGATAGAGATAGGAATAGAAAGTTTATTCAAAGCAATAATATCAGAGAACTTCTCAAACATAGAGAAAGATATCAATATCCATGTACAAGAAGGTTCTAGAACACCAAGCAGATTTAACCCAAAGAAAATTACCTCAAGGCATTTAATGATCAAAATCACAAAGATCAAGGATAAAGATCCTAAAAGCAGCAAGAGAAAAGAAGCAAATACTGTACAATGAAGCTCCAATATGTCTGGCAGCAGACTTTTCAGTGAAAATCTTACAGGCCAGTAGAGAGTGGCATAACATTTTTTGTTTATTTGTTTTTTTGAGATGGAGTCTCGCTCTGTTGCCCAGGCTGGAGTGCAGTGGCGTGATCTCGGCTCACTGCAAGCTCTCCCTCCCGGGTTCACACCATTCTCCTGCCTCAGCCTCCTGAGTAGCTGCAACTACAGGTGCCCGGAGAGTGGCATGACATGTTTAAAGTGCTGAAAGAAAATAACTTTTACCCTAGAATAATATATATAGCAAAAATATCCTTCAAACGTGAAGGAGAAATACTTTCCCAGACAAACAAAAAGCTAAAGGATCATCAATACCAGACCTGTTCTACACAAAAGGATAAAAGGAGTACTCCAGTCAGAAAGAAAAGGACATTAATAAGCAATCAAATCATCTGAAGGTACAAAACTAACTGGTAGTAGTAAGCGCACAGAAAAACACAGAATGGTACGACACTGTAATTGTGGTGTGTAAACTATTCTTATCTTTAGAAAAACTAAATCATCAACCAATCAAAAATAACTACAACAACTTTACAAGTCATAGACAATACAATAAGACATAAAGAGACACAAAAAAAGTTAAAAAGTGGAGGCATGAAGTTATAGAGTTGTATTAGTTTTCTTTTTGCATATTTGTTTATGCAAACTGTTAAGTTCTTATCAGGTTAAAATAGTGGGTTATAAAATAATATTTTCAAGCCTCATGGTAACCTCAAACATAAAAACAGAATGGATACATAAAAAAATTAAAACCAAGAAACTAAATCATATTACTAGAAGAGATAACCTTCACTAAAGATAGGAAGTAAAGAAAGAAGGATGAGAAAATCACAAAACAACCAGAAAACAAATAACAAAACAGCAGGAGTAACTCCTTACTTATCAATAATAACATTGAATGTAAATAGACTAAACTCTCCAATCAAAAGACATAGAGTGGCTAAATGGATGAAAACACAAGACCCATTAACCTGTTGCCCACAAGAAACACACTTCGCCTATAAAGACACACATAGACTGAAAATAAAGGGATGGAAAAAGACATTCCATGCCAACGGAAACCAAAAAAGAGCAGAAGTAGCTATACTTATATCAGACAAAATGACTTCAAGTCAAAAGCTGTAAGACACAAAAAATGTCATTATAATGATAAAGGCGTCAATTCAGCAAAAGGATATAACAATTGTATATATAAATATATGCACCCAACACTGGAGCACCCATATATATATAAAGAAAATATTATTAGAGCTAAAGAGAAAGAGAGGCCCCAATACAATAATAGCTAGACTTCAACATCCCACTTTCTCATTGGACAGATCTTCCAGACTGAAAATCAATAAAGAGGCACTGCTCTCATGAAAAAATAGAGAGGGTGAGTAAATAAAGCACCTTCAACTGAAACATCCAGGTACACACATTGAGATTCATCAAGAAAACAACTCAACCCATGGAGAATGAAGAAAAGCAACGCAAGATGACCACCCACCCAGGAGTGACATGGAGCCAATGGAGCCTCCCCTGCCCAGGAAAGTGGCGAGTGAATGCGTGACCCTGAGAACCCATGCTTCTCTCACAGATCTTTGCAACACTTGGGTCAGGAGATCCCTTCATGAACTCACTCCAACAGAGCTTGCAGTCTGACACACTGAGCTACATGGAGTCTTGGCAAAGCAGCTGCTGAGGCATACACAGAGCCACAGGAACTTCAGATACCCAAGCTTCCTGGTGAATGCAGCTGCAACTCCAGCAAAGTGGGAGGCTGGACCCCTCTACATACCCCTAAGGAAAGGGACTGAATCTATGGGGCTGAGCAGCAAAGGTCTGCAGGTCCTGCTTCCATGGCACCTCACAGGATAAGACACACTAGCTTAGAACTCCAGCCCGCCACCAGTAGCAGTGTTATATTTCCCTGACATGGATCTCCCAGACGGAGGGGTGGGCCACGATCTTTGCTGTTTTGCAGGCTTAGCCATTGTTGCCTTCAATGCAGCTACCCTACGAAAAAGTGGCCAGACGGCTACTTTTTACATGGATACCTAACCCCACTTTTCCTAATTGAGTAGGACCTCCTAACTGGAGTCACCAGCTACCCTCACCTGTATTTTCCAGCTGGCAGTGGTTCCCAGCCTCCCTGGGATGGAACTCACAAGCAGACAGACCACCATCTTTGCTGTTTCACAGCCTAAGCTGTTGTTACCTTCAGGCTCTAGGACTGACTAGTGACTAGTGACTGGAGCAGGTCCCCCAGCATGGTGCAGCAGCTCTGTGGAGAAGCAGCCAGATCGCTTTTACATGAGGGTCCTGGATACCACTTCTCTTCACTGGGCAGAATCTCCTGATGGAGGTCTCTAACAACCTCCACTGGTGTTTTCCAGCCAGCAATAGTTTCAAACCGCCCTGAGATGGAGCTCCCAGAGGAATGGATGCACTCCCACCCTTGCTGTTTCTCAGCCTTAGCCATTGCTGCCTTTGGGATTTAGAGAGTCCAAAGAGACTAGAGACTGGAATGGAGCCCCATCACAGTACAACTGCTCATAAAAAGCAGCCAGACTGTTTATTCACATGGGTCCCCAATCTTGTTCCTCCTCACTAAGCAGAACCTCCCAACCGAGATATCTATCCACCCCGCTGGTGTTTTCCAGCTGACAGCAGCTTCAAAAGTCTGTGGGACAAAACTCCCAGAGGGAGGGCTGGGCTGCCATCTTTGCTGTTTTGCAGCCTTCACTGTTGATACCTTCAGCTGCTGAAAAATCTGAGGTGGTTATGGACTGGAGTGAACCCCCAAGAGACTGCAGCAGCCCTAGGAAAAAGTGGCCAAACTCTTTATTATGTGGGTCCCCAATCCTGTACCTCCTCACTAGACAGGTCCTCCCAGACTGGGTCTCTAACCACCCCTGCTGGGTCTATCAAGCCAGTGGCAGCTATGCAACTCACTGAGACAAAGCTCCCAGTGAGAAGAGTGGGATGCCATCTTTGCTGTCTCCAGGCCCTGGAGAGTCCACAGGAACCATGGCGTGGTTTGGACCCCTAGCACAGAGCACTCATCTGAAAGAAAGGTGGCCAGACTTTTCTCCATGCAGGTCCCAGTCCTCACTTTTACTCACTGGACAGGGGCACCCAACCTGGGGTTCCAAAACAATCCCCCTGCCTCCACCTGACCACTTCAATCAGTGGCAGCCCAGCAGTTAAAGGAACACTCACACACAGACACACAGAGATGGGGAAAAAACCAATGCAAGAACTCCGGCAACTCAAATGGCCAGAGTATCTTATGTCCTCCAAATCACTGCACTAGTTTTCCAACAGGCATTCTTAACCAGGAAGAACTGGCTGAAATGACAGAAATACAATTTGGACTATAGATAAAAATTATTGACATTCAGGAGAATGGCAAAACCCAGTCCAAAAACACTATAGAAACAATAGAGGAGCTGACAAATAAAATAGCAAGGAAAAAAAACCCTAATTGACTTCATAGAGCTGAAAAACACACTACAAGAATTTCACAATGCAGTCACAAGTATTAACAGCAGAATAGACTAACCAGAGGAAAGAATCTCAACAGGTGAACACTGGCTCTCTGAAATAAGACAGACAAAAATAAAGAAAAAAGAATGAAAGGGAACAAACAAAACCTCTGAAAAATATCGAATTTTGCAAAGAGGCCAAATCTATGAATCATTGTCATCCCTGAAAGAGGAGGAGAGAAAGCAGCAACTTAGAAAACATATTTCAGGATATCATATATTAACACTTACCCAACCTCACTAGAGAGTCCAAAGTTCAAATACAGGAAATGCAGAGAACCCCTACAAGATACTACACAAAAGATCATCCCCAAAACACATAATCATTAGATTTTCCAAGGTCAAAATGAAAGGCAAAATGTTAAAGGCGGCTAGAAAGAAAGGGCAGGTTGCCTACAAATGGAAAACCCCATCAAGCTAACAGCAGACCTCTCAGCAGAAACCCTACAATCCAGAAGAGATTAGGGGCCCATATTTACCATTCTTTAAAAAAAAAAAATCTTCAACCAAAAATTTCATATCTAGCCACATTTAGCCTCATAAGTGAAGAAGAAAAAAGATCCTTCCCAGACAAGCAAATGTTGAGAGAATTCATTACCACCAGATCTGCCTTACAAGAGCTCCTAAAAATCACACAAAATATAGAAAGGAAAGATGATTACCACTGAAATACCCAAACCAGACACTACAAAGCAACCACACAAACAAGTCTGCATAACAACCACCTAACAACGTGATGACAGGATCAAATCCCCACATATCAATACTAAATGTAAATCAGCAATACTTGAATGTAAATGGGCTAAATGTCCCAATTAAAACACACAGAGTAACAAGCTGGATAAAAGAGCAAGACCTAATGGTATGCTATCTTCAGGAGATCCATCTCACATGGCATGAGATCCATCTCACACCAAGAGGTTCAAAGTAAAGTGATGAAGGAAAATCTATCAAGCAAATGGAAATCAAAAAAAGCAGGGGTTACAATCTTAATTTTAGACAAAACAGACTTTAAATCAACAAAGATAAAAAAAGACAAGAACATTACATAATGGAAAAGGGTTCAGTTCAACAAGAAGATCTAATTATACTAAATATACATGCATCTGACACAGGAGCTCCCAGATTCATAAAGCAAGTTCTTAGAGACCTATGAAGAGACTTAGACTCCCACACAATAATAGTGGGAGACCTCAACACTTCACTGACAGTGTTAGACAGATCATCAAGGCAGAAAATTAACAAAGATACTCAGGACCTGAACTCAGCAATTGACCAAATGGACTTAACAGACATCTACAGAATGCTCCATCAAAAAAACAACAGAATATATATTCTTCTCATTGCCACATGGTACATACTCTAAAATCGACCACACAATTGGACGTAAAACAATCCTCAGGAAATTTTTAAAAACCAAAATTATACCATCCACACTCTCAGATCTCAGGCTACAGAACAATAAAAATAGAATATGAAGAAAATTGCTCAATCCCATACATTTACATGGAAATTAAATAACCTGCCCTTGAATGACTTTTGGGAAAATAATGAAATTAAGGCAGAAATCAAGAAGTTCTCTGAAACTGATGGGAACAAAGATACAACATACCAGAATCTCTGCAACATACCTAAGGCAGTGTTAAGAGGGAAATTTACAGCATTAAATGCCCACACCAAAAAGTTACAAAGATCTCAAATTAACCACCTAAAATCACAACTAGAAGAAATAGAGAAGCAAGAGCAAACTAACCCCAAAGTTAGCAGAAGACAAGAAACAACCAAAATCAGAGCTGAACTGAAAGAGACTGAGACACGAAAAACCATACAAAAGACCAACAAATCCAGGCGTTGGATTTTTGAAAAAATTACTAATATAGATAGACCACTAGTCAGTCTAATAAAGAAAAAGAGAGAAGACCCAAATAAACACAATTAGAAATTACCAAGGGGATGTTACCACTGACTCCACAGAAATACAAACAACCATGGAGATTACTGCAAACACCTCTAGGCACACAAACTAGAAAACCTAGAAGAGATGGATGAATTCCAGGACAGACATACATGCTCAAGACTGAACCAGGAAGAAATGGATTCCCTGAACAGGCCAATAACAAGCTCTGAAACTGAAATTAAATCATTAATACATAGCTTTCCAACCCCCAGCTGCCCAAAAAAGCCTAGGACCAGAAGGATTCACAGTCAAATTCTCCCAGATGTACAAAGAAGAGCTGGTACTATCCTTACTGAAACTTTTCCAAAAAATTGAGAAAGAGGGATTCCTCCTGAACTCATTCTAGGAAGGCAGCATCTTCCCAATACCAAAACCTGGCAGAGACACAATAATAAAAGAAAACATCAGGCCAATAACCTTGATGAAAACGATGCAAAAATCCGCAACAAAATACTTGCAAATGGCCAGGCACAGTGGCTCATGCCTGTAATTCCAGCATTTGGGGAGGCCAAGGTGAGCAAATCACTTGAGCTCAAGAGTTTGAAACCAACCTGGACAACATGGCAAAACCCCATCTCTACCCACTCACCCCCCCAAAAAAAATATAAAAACTTAGCCAGGTACAGTGGCACACACCTATGGTCCAAGGTACTCAGGAGGCTGAGGTAGGAAAATTGCTTGAGCCCAGGAGGACAAGGCTGCAGTGAGCCAAGATCACACCACTGCACTCCAGCCTGGGTGACAGAGTAAGACTCTGTCTCTAAAACTATATATATATTTGCAAACTGAATCCAGCAGCACATCAAAAAGCTAATCCACCGTGATCAAGTAGGCTTTATCCCTGGGACGCAAGGTTGGTTCGATATATGCAAATCCATAAATATGATTCATCATATAAACAGAACTAAACACAAAAACCACATGATTATCTCAACAGATGCAGCAAAGGCATTTGACAAAATCCACCATTGTTTCACGTTAAAAACTCTCAATAAACTAGGTATAGAAGAAACATACTTTAAAATACAAAGTATTGCACTTGTACAAAGAAGAGCTGGTATCATTCCTGCTAAAATGATAAGAGCCACCTATGACAAACCTACAGCCAACATCATACTGAATGGGCAAAATCTGGAACCATAGCCCTTGAAAACTGACACAAGACAAAGATACCCTCCCTCGCCACTCCTATTCAACATTGTATTGGAAATCCTGGCCAGAGCAATGAGGCAAGAGAAAGAAATCAAGGGCTTCCAAATAGGAAGAGGGAAAGTCAAACTATCCCTGTTTGTAGATGACATGATTCTATATATAAAAAACCCAAAAGTCTCAGCCTAAAAGCTCCTTGAGCTGATAAACAACTTTGGCAAAGTCTTAGGATACAGAATAAATGTACAAAAATCACTAGCATTTCTGTACCCCAACAGCATCCAAACCAATAGTGGAATCAGTAATGAAATGCCATTCTCAACTGCCACAAAAAGAACAAAATACCCAGGAATATAGCTAACCAGGGAGGTGAAAGATCTCTACAATTAGACTGCTCAAAGAAATGAGATGACACAAACAAATAGAAAAACATTCATTCTCATGGATAGGAAGCATCAGTCTTGTTAAAATGGCTATACTGCCCAAAGCAATTTATAGATTCAATGCTGTTCAGTCAAACTACCAATGACATTCTTCCAATGTCAAACTACCAATGACAGAACTAGAGAAAAACTATTTTAAAATTCATATGGAACCAAAAAAGAGCCTACATAGCCAAGACAATCCTAAGCAAAAAGTACAAAGCTAGAGGCATCACATTACCCAACTTCAAACTATGCTACTGGGCTCTTGTAACCAAACAGCAAGACACTGGTACAAAAACAGACATACAGACCAAGGGAACAGAATAGAGAGCCCAGAAATAAGGATACACACCTACAACTATCCTGATCTTTGAAAAAGTTGACAAAAACAAGCAATGAGGAAAGGACTCCCTATTCAATAGATGGTGCTGGGATAACTGGCTAGCCATGTGCAGAAGATTGAAACTGGATCCCTTCTTTGCACCGTATACAAAAATCAACTTGAGATGAATTAAAGATTTTAAATGTAAAACATAAAACTATAAAAATCCTGGAAGATAGCCTAAGAAATACCATTCTGGATATAGGAAAGGGCAAAGATTTCATGATGAAGACACCAAAAGCAATCGCAACAAAAGCAAAAATTGACAAATGGGATCTAACTAAACTAAAGAGCTTCAGCACAGCAAAAGAAACTATCAACAGAGTAAACAGACAACCTACAGAATGGGAAAAAGTATTTGCAAACTATACATCTGACAAAGGTCTAATATCTATCATCTATGAGGAACTTAAATTTACAAGAAAAAAAATATAACTTCATTAAAAAGTGGACAAAGGACATGAACAGGCACTTTTCAAAAGAAGACATACACATGGCCAACAAGCATATGAAAAAATGTTCAATATCAATAATATGGTTTGACAGTGTCCCTACCCAAATGTCAACTTGAATTGTATCTCCCAGAATTCCCATGTGTTCTGGAAGAGACCCAGGTGGAGGTAATTGAATCATGGGGGCTGGTCGTTCCTGTGCTATTCTTGTGATATTGAATAAGTCTCACAAGATCTGATGGGTTTATCAGGGGTTTCCACTTTTGCTTCTTCCTCATTTTCTCTTGCCATTGCCATGTAAGAAGTGCCTTTCACCTCCCACCATGATTCTGAGGCCTCTCCAGCCATGTGGAACTGTAAATCCAATTAAACCTCTTTTTCTTCTCAGTCTTGGGTATGTCTTTATCAGCAGTGTGAAAAAGCACTAATACAATAAATTGGTACCAGTAGAGTGGGGCATTGCTGAAAATATACCTAAAAATGTGGAAACAACTTTGGAACTGGGTAACAGGCAGAGATTGGAACAGTTTGGAGGGCTCAGAAGAAGATAAGAAAATGTGGGGAAATTTGGAACTTCCTATAGACTTTTTGAATGGCTTTGCCCAAAATGCTGATAGTGATATGGACAATAAGGTCCAGGCTGAGGTGATCTCAGATAGAGATGAAGAATTTTTTGGGAACTGGAGTAAAGGTGACTCTTGTTATGTATTAGCAAAAAGACTGGAGGCATTGTGCCCCTGCCCTAGAGATTTCTGGAACTTTGAACTTGAGAGAGATGATTTAGGGTATCTGATGGAAGAAATTTCTAAGCAGCAAAGCATTCAAGAGGTGACTTGGGTGCTGTTAAAGGCATTCAGCTTTATAAGGGAAGCAGCACATAAAAGTTTGAAAATTTGCAGCCTGACTATGCGATAGAAAAGAAAACCCCATTTTCTTGGGAGAAATCCAAGCCAGCTGCAGAAATTTGCATAAGTAGCAAGGAGCCTAATGTTAATCCCCAAGACCATGGGAAAAATGTCTGCAGGCCATGGCAGAGACATTCAAGGCAGCCCCTCCCATCACAGGCCTGGAGGCCCAGAAGGAAAAACTGGCTTCCTGGGCCAGGCCCAGGGTCCCCATGCTGCATGCAGCCTAGAGACTTAGTGACCTGTGTCCCAGCTGCTCCAGCCATGATTGAAATGGGCCAATATACAGCTCAGGCTGTGGCTTCAGAAGGTGGAAGCCCCAAGCCTTGGCAGCTTCCATGTGGTGTTGAGCCTGCGGGTGCACAGAAGTCAAGAACTGAGGTTTGGGAACTTCTACCTAGATTTCAGAAGATGTATCGAAACGCCTGGATGCCCAGGCAAAAGTTTGCTGCAGGGGCAGAGCCCTCACAGAGAACCTCTGCTAGGGCACTGTAGGAGGGAAATGTGGGGTTGGAGCCCCCAAACCGAGTCCCTACTAAGGCACTGCCTAGTGGAGCTGTGAGAAGACAGCTACTGTCCTCCAGACCCCAGAATGGTGGATGCACTGACAGCTTGCACTGTGTGCCTGCGAAAGCCATAGACACTCAATGCCAGCCCATGAAAGCAGCTGGGAAGGAAGTTATATCCTGCAAAGCCACAGGGGCTGAGCTGCCCAAGACCATGGGAACCCACCTCTTACATCAGCATGACCTGGATGTGAGACCTGGAGTCAAAGAAGATCATTTTGGAGTTTTAAAATTTGACCGCCTCACTGGATTTTGGACTTACATGGGCCCTATAACCCATTTGCTTTGGTCAATTTCTCTGATTTGGAACAGCTGTATTTACCCAATACCTGTACCTCCATTGTATCCAGGAAGTAATTAGTTTGCTTTTGATGTTACAGGCTCATAGGCGGAATGGACTTGCCTTTTCTCAGATGAGACTTTGGACTGTGGACTTGTGGGTTAACGCTAAAATGTTAAGATTTTGGGGGACTATTGAGAAGGCATGATTGGTTTTGAAATGTGAGGACATGAGATTTGGAGGCACCAGGGGCAGAATGATATGGTTTGGCTGTTTCTCTACCCAAATCTCAATTTGAATTGTATCTCCCAGAATTTCTATGTGTTGTGTGAGGGACCCTGGGGGAGGTAATTGAATCATGGGGGCTGGTCCTTCCCGTGCTATTCTCATGATAGTGAATAAGTCTCACAAGATTTGATGGGTTTATTAAGGGTTTTTGCTTGTGCTTCTTCCTCATTTTGTCTTGCCACCACCATGTAAGAAGTGCCTTTCACTTCCTGCCATGATTCTGAGGCCTCCCCAGCCATGTAGAACTCCAAGTCCAATTAAACCTTTTTCTTCCCAGTCTCGGGTATGTCTTTATCAGCAGTGTGAAAATGGACTAATACAATCACCAATCATTAGAGAAATGAAAATCAAAACCATAATGAGATGCCATCTCACATCAGTCAGAATGGCTATAATTAAAAAAAATAACAGATGCTGGTGAGGTTGTGGAGAAGAGAGAATGCTTATACACTGCTGGTGGGAATGTAAATTAGTTCAACCATTGTGGAAAGCAGTGTGGCAATTCCTCAAAGAACTTAAAACAGAACTACCATTCAACTCAGCAATCCCATTACTGGGTATATGCCCAAAAAAATATAATCATTCTAAGACACATGCACATGTATGTTCACTGCAGTGCTATGCACAATAGCAAAGACATGGAAACAACCTAAATGCCCATCAAGGGCAGACTGGATAAAGAAAATGTGGTACATATATATCATGGAATACTATGCAGCCCTAAAAAAAGAACAAAATCATGTTCTTTACAGAAATATGGATGTTGCTGGAGGCCAATATCCTTAGCAAACTAATGCAGGAAAAGAAAACTAAATACCTCACGTTCTCACTTATAAATGGAAGCTAAATAATAAGAACCAGTGGGCACTAACGGGACAACAGATACTGGAGCCTGCTTGAGGAAGGAGAGTGGGAGAAGGAAAAATAACTATTGGGTACTATCTTAGTACCTGGGTCACAATATGGTCTCTACACCATACCCCCATGACAATAGTTTGCCTATATTAAAAAACCTGCACATATACCCCTGAACCTAAAATAAAATTTTAAAAAAAGAAATCCATAACTCCTGTAAAAAGAAAGACCACAAACTGAACCTCTACTACATTATCTATTAGGATTAATAGGTAGACAAATCAAGAATTTAAATACACATAATAAATATAATAAACATTCTCCAAAATATTGGAGCTATATTGCATATTATTCACAAAATGCAGGCATTAAGGTATAAAGAAGAACCAAGTAGAAATATTAGACATGAAATATATAATAATAAAACCTACCGATGGAATAAATAGCCGAATGACTACAGCCAAAGAATGGTCAAGTAAAGGAACTCTCCCAGAAAACATCAGGCAGGAAGAAAGGCACAGAGATTAGAAATGAAAAGGTAAGAGACTGTGAAGATAGAACAAGAAAGGTTAACTTCTATGTAAGTCTTTAAAAAGTAGAAAAAATAAATGTCAAGAAAATATAAGAATAATAACCAAGAATTTTCCAGAATTGGAGAGAGATGAAGCACCTCATATTGGAAGGGCTCAGAAAAAATATTTGAGAAAAGCTTACCTAAATGTATTATATACATTATATATATACACATATTATATATACACATTACATATATATTATAAATACATTATATATACATTATACATATACATATATACATTATATACATACATTATAAATATATAGTTTTGTTGTTGTTGTTTTGTTTTGTTTTCTTTTTTTTGAGACAAGGTCTCACTCCCATCACCTAGGCTGGAGTGCAGTGGCACTATCATCGCTCACTTCAGCATTGACTTCCCTGGCTCAGATGATTCTCCCACTTCCCCCTTCTGACCCTCCTGACCACCAGGCCTGGGTAATTTTTGTATTTTTTTGATGGGGGTGGGGTTTCGGCATGCTGCTCAGGCTGGCCTCCAACTCCTGAGCCCAAGAGATCTGCCCACCTTGGCCTCCCAAAGTGCTGGTATTACAGGTGTAAGCCACCACTCCTGACCATCCAAATGCATTGTAATGAAATTTTAAAACATCAAAGACAAGGAGAGAAAAAGTTTTTTAAGTGTTCTGAGATAAAGAACAAATCAGCTGACCCTTGAACAACACAGGTTTGAACTGTGTAGGTCCACTTATACAAAGATTTTTTGCAATAAATACAGTTGGCCCTCTGTATCTGTGGGTTTGTGTCTACAACCAAACAGACTGAAACTACAGTATTCATAAGATGTGCAATTTGCTAATACCAAAGGCTGACTTTTCATATACCAGGTTCTACCAAGGCAACTTCGGGACTAGAGTATGCACAGATTTTGGTATTGACAGCAGGTGTTGGGGTGGAGAGTGGGATCCTGGAACCAATGCCCGTGGATACCTAGGGACGACTGTACAAACAAGAATCCAATTGAGGTCATACGATGTAAGAAGGCAATGCAATAATATTTTCAAACCAATCAATTAAAGAAACTTTTAATCTAGAATTTTAAACAAAAATACCGGGCTGGGTGCGGTGGCTCACGCCTGTAATCCCAGGACTTTGGGAGGCCGAGGTGGGCGGATCACGAGGTCAGGAGATCGAGACCATCCTGGCTAACATGGTGAAACCCCGTCTCTATTAAAACTACAAAAAATTAGCCAGGCGCGGTGGCGGGCGCCCATAGTCCCAGCTACTCAGGAGGCCGAGGCAGGAGAATGGCGTGAACCTGGGAGGCGGAGCTTGCAGTGAGCTGAGATAGTGCCACTGCAGTCCGGCCTGGGTGAAGGAGTGAGACTCCGTCTCAAAAACAAAAAAAAACAAAAAAAAAAATCACCTAAAAGCAAACATACAAGAACAGTATCTATTGAATATCTCAGCAGACTTAGCGCCCAAAGACCCTCTTTGAAAACACTCTTGGAAGAGGCACTCCAGCAAAGAGAGAAATAAACCCAGAAGAACATTAGAAGATAAATGAGAAGTAAAGATAAATAAAGTAAGCTAAAATTTATTATTTTTTTAAAAAAGGCAAATATACACACCATACAAACGCAACTATATCCAATAAAATCCACTAAAATTCTAGATAATACCAAGGAAATATGGGTTATGGCAAAAAACAAATGGAAGTAAGAGTACATTGAAGTACACCTATATTGTTTAGGAGAAGATACAGATTGAACTTCAGAAGAAAAACCATCATGAGAGATTGTTAAAAGGAACAACTAATCAAAAAGATATAAAATTTATGAACATATATACACGTTAACCACACAGGCTCAAAATATTTTCAGCAACAACCAGTGGAACTACAGGAAGAAATAAATTAGCAACTATACTTGCTAATTTTAAAATATTCTTCTCAGAATTTTATAGATCAAACAGAATAAAAATTATAATGCATATAAAATAATAAGGTTTAGCTTAATTGATTTATATAGAAATTTACATCCAACAAGCAAAAAATATACATTATTTTTTAGGACACATGCATAGAACATATTTTTTAAAACTGACCATTTAATAGGCAACAAATGAAGCCACAATAAATTCCCAGGAATCTATATCATACCCTCTATAATTCCTGACTATATTTCAATATCATACATAACAAAAGGATGTCTTTAAAAGAAAACCCTCAGCCAGAAAATTATGCACACACATAAAATAAAGATATTACCTAATTAATCCTAGGATTAAAGAGGAAATCTCAGGGAGAAGTTGTAAAATAAATGGTGCCTGAATGACAATAAAAACACTATATATCAAAATATATATGGTATCAGTTGGACCTAGGAAAGAAAAACTCATAGAATACAGGTACTAGTAGTTTGAAAAAAACATAAAATACATCCTTCAGAAAACATGAAATGGTGAAAACATGGAAGCACTCTGTATTAGTTAGGGCTCTCCAGAAAGACAAAACCAATAGGATGGATGGATGGATAGATATAAGATAGATAGATAGATAGATAGATAGATAGATAGATAGATAGATAGATAGAGTTTATTACAGGAATTCATTCATTGGGCTCATGCAATTATGGAGGCTGAGAAGTCCAAGGTTGAGGGGACACATCTGTGAGAGCCTGCTCGCTGATGGGGACTTTCTGCAAATTACCATTCTTGTAGGTCAAAAATAGTTGGATATCAGAAATTTCCTATAGTTCAACTAATAGATAGCTATCATTATTCTCATTTTACTGAAGAAATTGAAGCACAGAGAGATTCAATAACTTGCCCAAGTTACACAGACAATCATTGTCAATGTTATAATTTGAGCCTAGGAAGTGTAGTTTCAGAGTCTGTCTCTCAACCAGTATGCTATACTGCACTGCTTCTTGGAAATTATCTCCATGGATGCAAAAAAGTTATTTAATAAATCTCATCACCGATTTATCATTAAAAAATATGTATCTGACTGAAAGTAAAGAGCAGTTGCCCAGGGATAGGTGGAAGAGTAGAGATTAACTGTAAACATGTACCAGGAATTTTGGGGATAATGGAAATGTTCTAAAAATGGATTATGGTGATTGTTGTACTGTTCTCTTAATTTACTAAAATAATTGAATTTATTTGCACTCTTAAAATGGGTGAATTTTATGTTATATAAATATATTTAAATAATTATATTTTTAAAATTCTGAAAACTTCCTTAGTTTGCTAATAATTATAAGAACAACAACATAGCAAGCATCATACTTAATAGAAGAAATTTTAGAAGCATTTAAAAAAATGCTTCATGAATAAGAAATAATGATTGCCATCCCTGCTGCTATCTAACACAGTACTGAAGATTCTAGCCAAAGATATAAGCTAAAAAGAATTGTTTTCATATGGGAACTAAAATAAAAGAAATAATATTGTTATTAAAAGAATATGGTCATAAACAAGGAAAAACAAAAGTATTAGGTGGCAAATTGTTATAATAAATAAGAGAGTTCAGCAAAGTACCAGATAGAAGATCAACTTACAAAAAGGAGTTTCTCAAAGCAGAAATAATCAAGTGGAAAATTTAATAGGAAAGAAGATACATTCACAAAAGTGGCAAAATCTATACAGCATCTAAGATTTAACCTAACAAAGAGGACAGAAGACCATTTCAGGGAAAAAAATGTAACCTCTGTTAAATAATATAACAAGAAATCTGAATAGAGATAATTTGATCATGTTTGTGGATAGAGTAACTTAAAATTATGAAGATACCTGTTTTACCCAAATTATTCTATAAATTCACTGCTGCAATGGACTGAATGTTTGTGTCCTGCTTCACCGTCAGTTCAAATGTTGAAACCCTCATCCCAGTGTGATGGTATTTGGAGGTGGGGTCTTTGAAAAATAATTACATCAGAAGCCTTCATAAGAAGCCAGACAGCTAGCTAGCTACCTTTCCATACTGTATGAGGATGGCAAGAAGACGGCTCTCTGTCAGCCAGGAAAAGGGCATTCCCCAAGAACCCAACCATGCTGGCAACCTGATCTAGGACTTCCAGCTTTCAGAACTCTGAAAAATAAATGCCTGAACTTTAAGTAGCCCAGTACATATAGCAGCATGAACTGGCTAAGACAGAAATTGGTACTGAGAAATGAGGCACTGCAATAACAAGTACATGAAAGTGTGGAAGCAATCTTGGAAGTGGGTAATGGGTAGAGGCTGCAAGAATTGTGAAGTACATGCTAGAAAATGTCAATGTTGCCATGACGGGATTTTAAAGGCAATTGTGATTATGGCTCAGAAATAAAAGAGGAGAGCTGTACAGAAAGCTTCTGTCTTCTTAAGACAGTACATAATTATGAACCATGTTAGTAGAAATATGGATAGTAGAGGCCATTCATGACAAAGCCTCAAATGGAAATGATGAAACATGTTATTAGAAACTAGAGGAAAGCCCATCCTTGTTATAAAGTGGTAAAAAACTTGGCTGAATTGTGTTTATGTTCTAGTGTTTTGTGGAATGTAGAACTTGTAAGTGATGAAACTGGATACTTAGTGGAGGAAATTTCTAGGCAAAGTGTTGAAGGAGTGGCTTACTTCTTCCCGATCACTTATAGAAAAAGGTAAGAGAGAAATAAGTTGAAGATGGAATCATTAAGCAAAAAGGAACCAGAACTTAAATATTTGAAAATTTCTGAACTGTTAATGTTACGAAAAAATTTTTAAAAAGCATGTTCAGAAGAGAACACTAAGGGTGTGGTGAACTAACCACTTGAAAAGGAGATTCGTGTAAGTGTGAACCATGGACTTCATCAGCCATCTCAACAGAAACCAGGAACAGAGATGGGGCAATTCTAGCAGAAATGCCAGCTGAGACTAAAGGAAAGAGAGAAAATAGGATACAATTAAGGAAGACCATCAGACTTCTTAGAACTTCAGGACTACAGGACTCAACCACTGAGCAGAAAACATGCACTATCCAAAACAAGAGAAGAAGGACCCCAAAGGAGATTCAGAAATCCACAGAGCTGCCACTTCCACCATTGGCCCAGAGTGCCATGGGCTGAGCCAGAGAATGGGGCTGCCTCCACCTCAGTTTCAAACGGTGGGACCAACACGCAGCAGAGCCATGGGGCAGGGCTGTTGGGACCCACTGGGACACCACCCCCACTGGGCAGAGGTATAAAAGAGGAACCATTGCCACCATGAGTCCAGAGAGTAGAACATCAAAATGATTATTCTTGAGCCTTAAGATCTCACAGAGCTTGCCTTGCTATTAACTTGCCTAGGACCCATTTTTCCTTTCCTTCTTTCCTCTTTCTCCCTTTTGGAATGGGAATGTCTCTCCTATTCCTGTATATTTTGGAAGCACATAAATTGCTTACTTTCACAGGTTCACAGCTGGAGAGGAATTTGCCTCAGGATGAATTGTACTTCAAATCTTACCTATATCCAATTTATGTGATATTTAGATGAGACATTGTACTTCAGACTTTTAAAGTTAATGCCAGAACAAGTTAAGTATTTGGGGGCTGTTGGAATGGAATGGGTTTATTTTGCATGTGAGAAGAACATGAATTTGGGGGAGCCAGGGGCAGAATGCAATGAATGAAACGTATGTCTCCAAATTCATATATTGAAATCCTAATCGAAATGTGATGATATTTGGAGTTGCGGCCTTTGGGAGATAATTAGGTCATGAGAGTGGATCCACTATAATTGGAATTAGTGCCCTTAAAAGATGACACCAGAGGTCTAGCTAGCTCTCTTTCCACTATGTGAGGGAATAGAAAGAAGACAGCCCTCTGTACACCAGGAAAAGTGCACTCACCAAGAACCTGACTATATCAGCACCCTGATCTCAAATTTCTAACCTCCAGAACTGTGAGAAATAAATGTTTGTTGTTTAAATCACCTAGACCATGGTAATTTTTTATAGCAGCCCAAACCAAGACAAACGTAATTGCAATCAAGTTTCTAAAAATATACAGTTGAAATTAAGAAAATCAAAAATTCAGTTGAAATTAAGAAAATCTAAAATCTAAAATAAAAGTTCTTCTTTAAAAAAAAAAAACTAGGCTAATTTTGATAAGAAAGATCCTTTCCCCATTGCTTGTTTTTGTCAGGTTGCTGAAGATCAGATGGTTGTAGACGTGTGGTGTTATTTCTGAGGCCTCTGCCCTGTTCCATTGGTCTATATATCTGTTTTGCTATCAGTACCATGCTGTTTTGATTAGTGTAGCCTTGTAGTATAGTTTGAAGTCATGTAGTGTGAGGACTCCAGCTTTGTTCTTTTTGCTTAGAATTGTCTTGGCTATACAGGCTCTTTTTTGGTTCCATATGAACTTTAAAGTAGTTTTTTCTAGTTTGGTGAAGAAAGTCAATGGTAGCTTGATGGGAATAGCATTGAATCTATAAATTACTTTGGGCAGTATGGCCATTTTCATGACATTGATTCTTCCTATCCATGAGCATGGAATGTTTTTCCATTCGTTTGTGTCCTCTCTTATTCCCTTCAGCAGTGGTTTGTAGTTCTCCTTGAAGAGGTCCTTCACGTTCCTTATAAGTTGTATTCCTAGGTATTTTATTTTCTTTGTAGCAATTCTGAATTGGAGTTCACTCATGATTTGGCTCTCTGTTTGTCTGTTATTGGTGTATAGGAATGCTTGTGATGCTTGCACATTGAATTTGTATCCTGAGATTTTGCTGAAGTTGCTTGTCAGCTTAAGGAGTTTTGGGGCTGAGACGATGGAGTTTTCTAAATATACAATCATGTCATCTGCAAACAGAGACAATTTGACTTCCCCTCTTCCTATTTGAATACCTCTTATTTCTTTCTCTTGCCTGATTGCCCTGGTCAGAACTTCCAGTACTATGTTGAATAGGAGTGGTGAGAGAGGGCATCCTTGTCTTGTGCTGTTTTTCAAAGGGAATGCTTCCAGCTTATGCCCATTGAGTATAATAATGGCTATGGGTTTGAAATAAATAGCTCTTATTATTTTGAGATATGCTCCATCAACATCTAGTTTATTAAGAGGTTTTAGCATGAAGTGGTGTTGAATTTTATTGAAGGCCTTTTCTGCATCTATTGAGATAATCATGTGGTTTTTGTCATTGGTTCTGTTTATGTGATGGATTACATTTATTGATTTCTGTATGTTAAACCAGCCTTGCATCCCAAGGATGAAGCCGACTTGATCGTGGTGGATAAGCTTTTTGATGTGCTGCTGGATTTGGTTTTCCAGTATTTTACTGAGGATTTTCACATCAATGTTCATCAAATATATTGGCCTGAAATTTTCTTTTTTTGTTGTGTGTCTGCCAGGTTTTGGTATCAGGATGATGCTGGCCTCATAAAATGAGTTAGGGAGGATTCTGTCTTTTTCTATTGTTTGGAATAGTTTCAGAAGGAATGGTACCAGCTCCTCTTTGTACCTCTGGTAGAATTTGGCTGTGAATCCATCTGGTCCTGGGCTTTTTTTGGTTGGTAGGCTATTAATTACTGCCTCAATTTCATAACTTGTTATTGGTCTATTCAGGAATTCGACTTCTTCCTGGTTTAGTCTTGGGAGGGTGTATGTGTCCAGGAATTTAACCATTTCTTCTAGATTTTCTAGTTCATTTGCATAGAGGTGTTTATAACATTCTCTGATGGCAGTTTGTATTTCTGTGGGGTCCATGGTGATATCCCCCTTATCACTCTTTATTGTGTCTATTTGATTGTTCTCTCTTTTCTTCTTTATTAGTCTGGCTACTATTCTATCTACTTTGTTAATCTTTTCAAAAAACAGCTCCTGGATTCATTGATTTTTTGAAGAGTTTTTTGTGTCTCTATCTCCTTCAGTTCTGCTCTGATCTTAATTATTTCTTCTCTTCTGCTAGCTTTTGAATTTGTTTGCTCTTGCTTCTTTAGGATCCCCTATTTAATAAATGCTGCTGGAAAAACTGGCTAACCATATGCAGAAAACTCAAACTGTTACACCTTATACAAAAATTAACTCAAGATGGATTAAAGACTTAAACGTAAAACCTAAAATCATAAAAACCCTAGAAGAAAACCTGGGTAATACCATTCAGGACATAGGCATGAGCAAAGACTTTATGACTGAAACACTAAAAGCAATTGCAACGAAAGGCTAAATTTACAAATGGGATCTCATTAAACTAAAGATCTTCTGCTCAGCAAAAGAAACTATCATCAGAGTGAGCAGGCAACCTACAGAATAGGAGAAAACTTTTGAAATCTATCCATCTGACAAAGGTCTAATATCCAGAATCTACAAGGAACTTAAACAAATTTACAAGAAAAAAACAACCACATCAAAAACTGGGCAAAGGATATAAACAGACACTTCTCAAAATAAGACATTTATGCTGCCAACAAAGATATGAAAACAAGCTCATCCTCACTGATCATTAGAGAAATGCAAATCAAAACCACAATGAGATAGCATCTCACGCCAGTTAGAATGGAGATCATTAAAAAATCAGAAAACAACATGCTGGAGAGGATGTGAAGAAACAGGAACGCTTTTACACTGTTGGTGGGACTGTAAATTAGTTCAACCATTGCAGAAGACAGTGTGGAGATTCCTCAAGGGTCTAGAAGCAGAAATACCATTTGACACATCAATCTCATTACTGGGTATATACCCATGCACACGTATGTTTATTGCAGCACGGTTCACAATAGCAAAGACTTGGAATCAACCCAAATGCCCACCAATGATAGACTGGATAAAGAAAATGTGGCACATATACACCATGGAATACTATGCAGCCATAAAAAATAATGAGTTCATGTCCTTTGCAGGGACATAGACGAATCTGGAAACCATCATTCTCAGCAAACTAACACAGGAACAGAAAACCAATCACCACATGTTCTCACTCATAAGTGGAAGCTGAACAATGAGAACACATGGACACAGGGAGGGAAACATCACACACCAGGGCCTGTCAGGGGGTGGGGGGCAAGGAGGGGGAGAGCATTAGGACAAATACCTAATGCATGCAGGGCTTAAAACCCAGGTAATGGGTTGATGGGTGCAGCAAACCACCATGGCACATGTA
The DNA here is from genome assembly GCF_000001405.40 of Homo sapiens. Classification (NCBI taxonomy): domain Eukaryota; kingdom Metazoa; phylum Chordata; class Mammalia; order Primates; family Hominidae; genus Homo; species Homo sapiens. Next base: position 108,286,561 of record NC_000001.11, on the reverse strand, counting down.
TACCTGTGTAACAAACCTGCACATTCTGCACATGTATCCCAGAAATTGAAGCATAATAAATAAATAAATAAATAAAATGAATAAATTTTTTTAAAGATAAGAAAAATCAGTGAGGGAAGGGGGACAAAGAGGAAGTATTTACTTTACCAGGTCAGTATTATACTACACAACCATAGTCATAAAGACAGTTCAATATTGGCATTAAAAAAGAAAACAATGGAACAGAAAAGGAAGCTCAAGAAAATATCCAAGTATTTATGGAAGCTTGATGTGTGAGAAAGGTGGCATCACAAATGAATGTGAAAAGAATTCAATGTTTAGTAGGGTATACTGGGAAAATTCCCTCTACATATAAAAATAATAAAATCAGAGCCCTGCTTTTAATCATGTAGAAATGTGAACTAACAGATGCATTAAAGGCCTAAATGTAAAAGCAGAAACCATAGAACTAATAGAAGATACAGAACGTCTTTGTGACCAAGAGGTAGGAAAGTACTTCTTAATAAGATACCAAAATTGTAAACCATTACATATTTTGTGGATTTACTCACCAAAAATCAAATATTTCTGTTCAACCAGGAATATCATGGACAAAACAAAGAAACAACAGACAAATGGCATACTAGAAAAAATATGTGCACGTCAAAGTACAACAAAGATTACTATCTAAGATAAATATGTAACTCTTATGAAACATTAGGGACATGATAGAAAATCCATAAAAAACTAGATAAAGCATATAAACAGACAATTCATAGAAAAGAACATGTGAATGTCTAATATTCCTATGAAGAGATGTTCAAAATGTACTAGGAATCAAGGAAATGCAGGTTAAAACAATGAAATTCTACTTTATGCCCAACAGAACAGCAAATGCTATAAAACTGAATAATACCAAGTAATAAACAATACATAAAGAAATGGGAACCTTCATACATTGCTGGCAGGAGTGTGAATTGCTACGGCTAGCCATTCTGGAAAAAAATTACGGCAATATTTCATGAAATTAAAACAAAATTGAAACTGGATACCTTAGTAGTTGTAAAAGGTACAAATGCACATTCCCTATGATGGAAAACTGGGTGAAATTCTCTAAGGTACATAAAATGAAAGCATTTTTTATGGGTGAAGTTGGAGAAAAAACTAGATGTCCATTTCTTGGGGAATAGACAAGGAAGAAGTGATAAGTGCATACTATGAGTATGTTAGGAGCAATAAATTAGATAAGCATATAACATCAAGGACAAATCATAAAGTCAGAAATCAGATGTGGTCTCTAGCACAATACTAGCTATACAAATCAAAAACACATGTGTGAAACAATACTACATGCTCCCTAAGAATATGCAAATATATAAATCCAAGAACACAGATGAAACATATCAGATAGAATAAGTGCCTATCGTAACAACTAACATTTATTGAACACTTATGTGCTTAGCCCTGTTTTAAATCTACTAACTAATGTACTAATTTAATTCTCAAAACATTTATCATTTTTATCCCTACTGTATAACTGAGGAAAATGATGCACAGAGAGGTTGATAGAGCAAGTGGGTGGTAGATGTGGAATTCAAGCCTAGGCAGTCCAGAGCCTGTGCTCTTTGCTTCCCCTATGTTCTCTGTGGAGAGGAGGCAAAAACTCAGGAGGGTAAATGAGAATAGTATGCCATGAATAAATAATTAACCCCCACACCTGAGATCTGCTAAAGGAAACAAAGTCTTCAATTACAGGATCTCCTTATTACAACTCCAAGTCAAGGGCTTATATAAAATGAGCAGGCAGATTATTAAATATTTGACCCTTTCTGGTTCTAAAATTTTCAAATCCTAATATTTGACTTTATGTTTTCTATGATAGAAGACCCAATCAGATACAGCATATCTGTGAAAAAAGAAAAATATATTATTTTTCACTTTTCTAGGGCAATCTAAATACTATGTCATAGAAATTAATTCTTAACACAAAGTAGGCACTTTCAGCAGGTAGATTATGATTTTAAGTTCTAGATTTTGGCAAACAAAGAAACTGGTTGCTCTGTTTATACACACAATACTAATACCACTAGCTAAATTAGCAGAACATTATTAGGGGGGAAATATTGTAACTTTAGCCCCTGAGGCTGCAAGTATTGTAGGGGTTATGTTATCATAACAGCTATGACATTTAGAGCAAAATAAAAACAAAGTAAAATACAAAGTAATCTTACAGTAGAATGCTTCCAGAAATGAATCATTTCAGTGATATTTGTTGCAGGATGCAGTAAAAAGTAGTACTTCCATTCATCCCAGTCTACTGTCATTGATCCATCACTATCCATGCTGAAATTTAAAAAAAAAGAAAATAGTACTTGTAACATTTATATCAAAGTTAGCACCACTATAAAAATAAATACTTCTTAAATATTTATTGTTGGAGTCACTCCTTTGGACTTTGTGAAATGACTGTATTTTCATATTGTTATTTAAGTGGACTTTATTTTTTAAGTAGTTTCAGATTTTCAGAAAAATTGAGACGATAACACAGAGAGTCCCATATGTCCCCACACTCAGTTTCCCCATTGGTAACATTTCACATTATTATTGTTATAATTAATGAACCAATATAGCTACATTATTATTCACTAAAGTCCATACTTTATTCAGAGTTTCTTAGTTTTTAACTAATGTCCTCTTTTTGTTTTAGGATCCCAGCTGAAATGGCACATTCTATTTGTCATCACATCTCCTTAGGCTCCTCTTGGCTATGATAGTTTCTCTTTCCCTGTTTTTGATAACCTTGATAGCTTCAAGGAGTGCTGATCAGGTAATTGGCAGAATGCCCCTCTAGTGGAATTTATTCCATATTGCTTTTTAATTATTTACTTGTATGTATTTCTCCCATATTTTCCTATGATGTTTTGAAGGGAAAGACCAAGTCATCTGTGTATCTCCAACACTTAGCATTCAATAAATATCTGTTGAGTGAATAAATAAATGGGTGAAAAGTGAATAAAACTGATTGAAGGGTAATTTTATGTCTTTTGGCTCTTCAAATATTATTTTTACTTCTTATCCTCTTCTCCCTATTTATAGCTTTTTAATCAAGTTTAAAACAACCTTTTATTTATGAATTTAAAGAGAAGACTCACTTTTTACCATGGAAAATTTAGGATTTACTCAATTTTTAAGCCTCTCAATTTTTTTTAAAAAAGGATCAGAAGTTGTTTCATTGTGTCTGACTAAAAGGTGGAATTAGTGAAATGCTTTTTAAGTAGCATTCTTGTAAATACAAATTCTAAAAAACAAATTCCATCCTGCCAACGAAAAGATTAGTACAATTTCCAGTTCTAGCCAAGACAAAATAGTGGCTATAGAACTTAGATTGCCACTGTAAACCAATCTGAAACTGGACACAATATATGAAAAATTGTTTTCAGGCATTGGTCTACAAACAGGACAGGGTTGTGATACTTAGAGAAGGAAACCGAGAAGTTGAGCTCTCCACTGATTCTCGTTTCCTGCTGGGGACACTCCAAATTGTAGCATAGATAAGTAGAAGCCTAAATAAAGAACAGGTGGGTAGAATAAACAAAGATTGGAGCTCAGGGCTGCTGAGAGGGCAGGATTTTCAGGTCAAATTTTGGACAGTGTTCCAGAAACTATACCGGTAACCTTGAATCTTTGGCTGAATACTAAGCTACACTTGACTCCATCAGCCTGACAAAAATAGCTGCTGGAGGACTGTGAGTTTATAGAAATTCAGTAGCTGAGCAATATTGGAGTCCAAAAAATAAAGCAAAGATGGAAGTGAGGGCAAGAAACATTACATACAGGAGGAACTGAAAAAAGCAACCACTGACATCAGAGTCAGCTCTTGATAGCAGACACCTTTTTTTTTTTTTTGAGACAGAGTTTGGCTCTTGTCGCCAAGCCCAAGCTGGAGTACAGTGGCACAATCTTGGCTCACTGTAACCTCCACCTCACAGGTTCAAGCGATTCTCCTGCCTCAGCCTCCTGAGTAGCTGAGATTACAGGCACCCGCCACCACACCCAGCTAATTTTTGTATTTTTAGTAGAGACAGGGTTTCACCATGTTGGCCAGGCTGGTTTTGAACTCTTGACCTCAGGTAATCCACCTGCCTCGGCCTCCCAAAGTGCTGGGATTACAGGCATGAGCCTCTGCGCCTGGCCGATAGTAGACATCTTTAGTGATAACTTCAAAGTGCTGAAAGAAAAAAAACTGTCAACCTAGAATGCAATTGCAATAAAAATAACCTTCAAAAATGAAGGTGATATAAAGACATTTTCAGGTAAACTAAATATTCCCTACAAAATTCACCTGTGGGCAATGTGCACCGCTTCAATCTGCTTTGCCTTATGACACTACATTGTAATCATCTGGAATTATCTACTAGCCTGAAACCCTCAAGTGGGGACTTTGGCTTGTTCACAACTGCATCTTTTGTAGCTGGAGCTATGACTGACATTTATAAAAGTTCTATAAATAAATTTTGAATAAATCATTGAGATCAGGAATTCATAATTTATCTTAGAGTATGATTCAGCAGGGTATTTCCAATTTTCCAAAAACAGTATAGCAACATATAAGTTTGTGAGTAAAGGCTTATAAAATATCACTTGTCATATCAATGAAAAAATCCATAGATTGACAACACTCCCAAGTTTTTATCAAACTTGTCCTGTTATTTCTTTTTTTAAAAAAGCTTTTTTTAATTTTAAGAAAGCTTATTTCTTGTTTAATTACTTATGAATACAGAACATATTCTGTATGATTCCAGTTCTTTATTAAAATCTTTTGCATTTCCTTTATGACCCAATGTATGGGCAATTCTTATAAACGCCCTATGTGTGCTTTAGGAAACACATATTCTTCAGTTTTTGAGTGCAATATTCTATGTATGTTTGCCAGGTAAAGGTTAGTGATGGTATTGCTATATTTAATCTTTAATGGTTAAATCTATACAAATTAGGAACTAGCTTGGGTCCCAAGACAGCTAGTCTTTCTGCCCAGCCTCAGAGGCTCCCAGTGACCCCAACCAGGCAGGGAGATGCCTACCTCTACCCATTTCAAAGAAGCAAAGGGACACGACCAGCTTGACTACGTAAGTCAAGCAGCAGCCATACCCTACCAAAAGCCCATCCCATGGATTCACCCTTAAAGGGAAATAATCCTCAATCATGCATTTCTAAGGAGCATTGCCCCTAGTCCCACCTATCACGAGCAGCAACTCTGCTTAAACTCAGAGCCCAGCTTATGGTCCTGCCCAACTAAAGAACCCAAATAGTGAAATTGTTCATTAAAAAAATACACTGTGACTGGCCTGACCAGAAGCCATCACAGTACTGCCTGATAGCAGAGCCCAGCCAGTGGTCTCATCAGATAGTGCAGCCCAGCCAGTATCTGATACCAGATGTTGATATCAGATGACATCAGAGCAAAGGCAGCATCTCAGCCAACTAGAGAACCCACAACAAGTTCTGCCTGCCAGGGGTCATCACCAGCTGGTCCTTCCAGAATCACAGGCTGGACTAAATAGTGAAGATTTATCCCTGCCTCAAAACAACTTTAAAGGACAGAAGAGAGGCTGCCTTGCAAATATGCAGATAACAATACAAGAACACAAGGATTACAGAAAATCAAGGAATCATAACACCTCCAAAAGAAAGTAATAAAGTGCCAATGATAGACCCCAAAGAAAAGGAGATCTATGAAATTACTGACAAAGAATTCAAAATAATCCTCTAAAAGATCAACATAAAAGTATACAAATATAACATTTAATGAAATTTGGCAAAACAATACACAAAGTGAGAAGCTCAACGATGAAATAAAAACATTAAAAAGAATCAAGTAGAAATCCTAGAGATGAAGAATACAATGACTGGACTGAAAAATTCGGTAAAAATTATTAACCACAGATTCTATCTTTCTTCTGATAGAATCAATGGGCCAAAAAATAGAAAATTTGAAATTATCCAGTCAGAGGAACAAAAAGACAAAAGACTGAAAAAGAATGAAGAAAACCTACAGGAACTATGGGATACCATCAAAAGATCAAACCTGGCCAGGTGTGGTGGCTCACACCTGTAATCCCAGCACTTTGGGAGGCCAAGGCGGGTGGATCACGAGGTCAGGAGATTGAGACCATCCTGGCTACCACGGTAAAACCCTGTCTCTACTAAAAATACTAAAAAATTAGTTGGGCATGGTGGTGGGTGCCTGTAGTCCCAGCTACTTGGGAGGCTGAGGCAGGAGAATGGTGTGAACCCAGAGGCAGAGTTTGCAGTGAGCCAAGATCGCACCACTGCACTCCAGTATGGGCGACACAGCGAGACTCTGTCTCAAAAAAAAAAAAAAAAAAAAAAAAATCAAACCTTTGCATAATAGGATAAAGGGCAAGAATTATGTATTTAAAGATACATTGGCTAAAGACTTCCCTAATTGGGGATAGATGCCAACATCCAGATATAGGAAACACAGAGATGTTCAATCAAATTCAACTCAAAGAAGAGTTCACCAAGACACATAGTAATCAAACCACCAAAAATCAAAGACAAAAAATTCTGAGAGCAGCAAAAGATAAGAAACATATCACGTAAAAAGGAGTGCCAATACAACTATCAGTAGATTTCTCAGCAGAAACCCTACAGGCCAGGAGACAGTGAGATGATACATTCAAAGTGCTAAAGAAAAAAAAACTGCCAACCAAGAATACTTTATCTGCAAAACTGTCATTCAGAAATGAGGCATAAAAACTTTCCCAGAAAAAAGCTAAGGGAGTTCATTATCATGAGACCTGCTTTGCAAGGATTGCTAAAGGGAGTTATTTAAGCTGAAACAAAAGGCTGGTAATTAATGACACGAAACAAATGAAAGCACTAAGCTAAATGGTGTAAGTAACACAGATACATATTTAGAATATTCTGGGAATGTAATGGTGACAAAGCAATTTTATCCCTGGTGCAAGGGTTAAAAGAAAACTATTAATAACTGTAGCTAAAATAAATTGTCGAAAGAAACACATTATAAAATGACATAAATTCTGACATCAAAAGCATAAAATATGGGGAAGGGGCCATAAAAGTACTTTGCTATGTACAAAGTTGAGTTGTTATCAGCTTGAAATAGGCTATTACAAGTATAAGATGCTCTATGTAGGCCTCATGGTAACCACAAATCAAAAATCTTTAGCAGAAGGACAAAACAAAAATAGAAAGCATTCAAAGCATTCCACTACAGAAAAATATCAAACAATAAAGGAAGATAGCAAGAGAAGGAGAGAGAAACAAAGTAACTACAAAACAAGCAGAAAACAATTCACAAAATGGTAGTATTAAGTCCTTACCTATCAAAAATTACCTCGAATGTAAATGTATTAAATAACTGAATAGAAAGATATAGAGTGATAAATGGATTTTAAACGTCCTGTTTTTTTTAAAGAAATTTTTTAAATCGAATGCTGTGTACAAAAGACTCTTCTTACTTTTTTTTTTTTTTTTTTTTTTTTTTGAGACGGAGTCTCGCTCTGTCGCCCAGGCTGGAGTGCAGTGGCGGGATCTCGGCTCACTGCAAGCTCCGCCTCCCGGGTTCACGCCATTCTCCTGCCTCAGCCTCCCGAGTAGCTGGGACTACAGGCGCCCGCCACTACGCCCGGCTAATTTTTTGTATTTTTAGTAGAGACGGGGTTTCACCGTTTTAGCCGGGATGGTCTCGATCTCCTGACCTCGTGATCCGCCCGCCTCGGCCTCCCAAAGTGCTGGGATTACAGGCGTGAGCCACCGCGCCCGGCCGACTCTTCTTACTTTTAAGGACACATATAATTGAAACTATTTTGGAAAACAAGAGAGCAGGGATAGCTAAACTTATTTAAGACAAAATAGATTTTAAGTCAAAAATTGTAAAAAGAGACAAAGTAACACATTATATAATGACACAGGACTCAATTCATCAAGAGAACAGAACAGCTATAAATATGTACTCACCCAACACTAGACCATGATTTATAAATTATAGGATCTGGAGGGAGAGATATTGCAATATGATAATACTCAGGAGCTTCAATACCCCAGTTTCAACAATGGATATCTAATCTAGAAAGAAAATTAGTAAGGAAAGATTGGACTTGACCAACATTTTCAACCAAATGAACCTAACAGACAAATATGAAACCTTTCATCCAACAGAAACAGAATACACATACTTCTCAAGGGCACACAGAACATTTTCCAAGACAGATCATGTTAGGGCACAAAACAAGCCTCAGCAAATGTAAGAAGACTGAAATAGTATCAAATCTCTTCTGACCAAAATGCCATTAAACCAGAAATAAATAGCAACAGGAATTTTGGAAAATTCACAGATCCATAGAAACTGAACAGGCCCTAAACAACAAACGAGTCAATGAAGAAATTAAAAGGAAAATTTTAAAAATATCTTGAAACAAACTAAAATGGAAATACAACATACCAAAACTTGTGGGATACAGCAAAAGCAGTTCTAAAAGTGAAATTTACAGCAATAAATCCCTAGATAAAAAAAGAAGAAACATCTCAAATAATTAACCTAATGTTACACCTAAAGGAACTAGAAAAAGAACAAACTAAATGAAAAGTTAGCAAAGAAAAAAAAAGAAATATTAAAAATCAAAGCAGAAATAAATGAAAGGCCAGGCGTGGTGGCTCACCCCTATAATCCTAGCACTTTGGGAGGCTGAAGCAGGCAGATCACTTGAGGTAAGGAGTGCAAGACCAGCCTGGCCAACATTGTGAAACCCTGTCTCTACTAAAAATACAAAAATTACCTGGTGTGGTGGCACACGCCTGTCATCCCAGCTACTCAGGAGGCAGAGGCAGGAGAATCACTTGAACCCGCGAGGTGGAGGTTGCAGTGAGTCGAGGTCACACCACTATCCACCACTTTCCCTCTGATGCATCACTAATTACTTTAAACCTAAGTGGATTAAACTCTCCAACCAAAAGATAGAGATTAGCAGAAAAATGAGAAAATGGTCCAACTATCTGCTGTTTATAAGAAACTCACTTAAGAGCCAAAGACACAAATACATTGAAAGTAAAAGAATGAAAAAAAATTCCATGCAAATGGTAACCAAAAGAGACCACTGATAGCTATACTAATATGAGATAAAACAGACTTTAAACTAAAAAAAAAAAAAATGAGATAAAGGACATTATATAATGATAAAAGTTTCAATACATCAAGAAGATACAATAATTACAAATATTTTTTGCATATAACAGGCCATCAAAACATATAAAGCAAAAATTGGAAGAATAGAAGGGAGAAATAGTTAGTTCTACAATATTAGTTGAAGAATTCAATACCCCAAACTGAATAATGAATAGAATAACCAAACAGAAGATAAGTAAGGAAACAGAGAATTTGAACACCATAAACCATCTAGATCTAACAGGCATATACAGAATATACTATACAACAGGAAAAAAATACACACTCTTCTCAGTAACACAGAGGACATTCTCCAGAAAAGATCATACTCTAGGTCACAAAACAAGTCTTAATAAATTTTAAAAGACTGAAATCATGCCAAGTATCTTTTCTTACCACAGTGGATGAAACCGGAAATCAATGACAAAATTAAAACTGGAAAGTTCATAAATGGGTAGAAATTAAATAACACACTCTTGAAAAACTATGGGTCAAAGAAAAAATAAGAAAAATTAGAAAATATCTTTAGACAAATGAAATCAAAAGTACAAGATACCAAAACTTACGAGATATGGCAAAAAGCTGTACTAAGAGAGAAGTTTACAGAGATAAATGCTTACATTTAAAAACAACAAAAAAAAGAATAAAGATCTCAAATCAGCAACCTAACTTTACAACTTAAGGAACTAAAAAAAAAGAGCAAATTAAATCCAAAACTAGCAGGCAGAAAAAATAAAGATTAGAACAGATATAGATGAAATGAGAAAAGAAATATAATAGAGAAAAACAACTAAATCATAAGTTAGTTCCTCAAAAAGATCAACAAAATCGGCAAACCTTTAGGTGGATGGACTAAGAAAAAAGAAAGAAACAAGAGTCAAATTACTAACATCAGAAATGAAAGTGGGGACATAACTACTGATTCTATGGATATAAAAAGGATTATAAGAGAGTACAATACACTATATGCCAACAAATTGGTTACCCTGGATGAAATAGAAAATTCCTAGAAACACAAAACCTACCAAGACTAAATTATGAAGAAATAGAAAATCTGAATAGTCTATAACTAATGAGGAGGTTGAATCAGTAATCAAGAATCTCCCAATTAAAAAAAAAAAAAGAAAAGCCCAGGATCTGATAGCTTCACTGCTAAATTCTATGATTTAAAAACTAACCCCACTACTTCTCAAACATTTCCAAATAAACTTTTAAAATTTGATTCATCCTATGAGGCCAGTATATACCCTATGAGGCCTATGAGGCCCAATACCAAAGCCATACAAAGACACTACAAGAAAAGAAAATTACAGACCAATGTCTCTCATGAACACTAATACAAGAATCCTCCAAAAAAATGATAGCAAACTGAATTTATTAGGTTAAAAAGGTTATACACCATCCTCAAGTGATATTTATTCCTGGAATACAAGGAGGGTTCAACATTTTAAAAAATCAATCAGTGTAATACATAACATTAACAGAATGATGGCAAAAAACACAAACATCGCAATTGATGCAGTAAAAGCATTTGACAAAAGTCAACAACCTTTCATGATAAAAGCACTCAACAAACTAGGAATACAAGAAAACTATCCTCAATATGATAAAAATCGTATGTGAAAAACCTACAATGAACATCATACACAATAGTGAAAGACTAAGAGCTTTTTTCTCTAAGATTAGAAATAGGCAAGTATGCCCACTTTCATCACTTCATTCAACGTAGTACTGGAAGTTCTAATCAGAGCAATTAGGTTAGAAAAAGAAATAAAAGCCATCCAATTTGGAAAGCAAGAAGTAAAATTATCCCTTTTTCAGATGATATGACTTTATATTTAGAAAATCCTAAAGACCCACCCCCCACACACACACACAAAATGTTAGAATAAACAAATTCAGCAAAGTGGCAAGATGCAAAGTCAACACAAAAAAATCAGTTGCATTTCTATACCTATATGCTAACAATAATTAATCCGAAAAGGAAATTAAGGAAACAATGCCATTAAAGCATCAAAAGAATAAAGCACTTAGGAATTAACCTAACCAAGAAGGTAAAAGACTTATGCAATGAAAACTATAACACATTTCTGAAACAAATTAAAGAAAACATAAATAAATGGAAAGATGTCCCACGTTCATGGGCTGGAAGACTTAATATTGTTAAGATGTCTATACTACCCAAAACAATTTACAGATTCAGTGCAATCCCTACCAAAATCCCAATGATGAATTTGCAGAAGTAGAAAAACCCATACTAAAATTCACATGGAATCTCAAGGGACCCCAAATAGCCAAAACAATTCTGAAAAAGAAGAACAAAGCAGGAGGACTCACTTCTTGATTTCAAAACTTACTGCAAAACAAGAGTGATTAAAACAGTGTGCTACTAACATAAAGACAGAAATATACACCAGTGGAATAGAATAGAGAGCCAAGAAATAAACACTTAGGCATATGTGCTCAAATAATTTTTGACAACAGTGCAAAGACCATTCAATAGGGAAAAGACAGTTTTTTCAACAAATGAAGCTGGGAAAACTGAATATCTGCATGCAAAAGAATGACATTGGACCCTTAATTAACACCCTATTAAAAATTAATTCAAAAAGGATCTATGACCTACATGTAACTCTTAAAATTATGAAACTTTAGAGAAGACGACACAGGGCAAAATCTTCTCGACAATGGATTTGGCATTGATTTCTTAGACATGACATCAAAGGTACAGGCAACCAAAACACGACAAATTGGACTTCATGAAAATTTAAAACTTTGTGCATCAAAAGTAAAAAGGAGACTCATAAAACCGAAGTAAACATTTGCAAATCATATATATAATAAGGGGTTCATATACAAACTATACAGAAAACTCCTAAAAATCAACAACAAAAAAAAACCTAATTTGAAAATGAACAAAGAACTTGGACATTTCTCCAAAGAAGTTATACAAATGGCTACTAAGCACATGTAAAGATGCCCAGCATCACTAAAGAGGAGTCCAGATGGTTTGGACTTCTAGCAACAACCAAAAAAAAAAAAATCTCACCAATAAAGAGCTTTACAGTCTTCAGACCTAACTCCTAAAATTCAATAGGAGTTATATCTGAAGACTGCTAAGCATTGACAGAAAATAAATAAAATAATTTTTTTCTCTTGATATTCTGAAACTTCCATCTAAATAGTTTAAAAATAATCAAGTCAAGACTGGCCTAGAGAAGGAAGGTATTCCTAATTTAGATGAGGTTCTAAAACAATCAGCTGAAGTGTACACCCATGGATCAAAGTCTGACTTCCCCTAGACCTTGGTGTGGATGTCAGAAAGAGAATAGCTCTGGGGCTCTTATCTGTGCCTGTCGTTTGGAGACGACCCTGAAGCACACTGCCCTGGGCAGAGAAACCCCTAAGAAAAGAGATGTTCCTTTACTTCTGCACAAAGGCTAACATGGCGCCTGACGTTGTGTGCTGGTTCCATAAATTTTGAACGAGTCACCAGAAACAGCATCTCCCCAAAAGCCCCCTGAAGGTCTTTGTCACTACGGAAAGTGGCTTTTTTTTTTTTTTTTTTTTTTTTTGAGATGGAATCTCGCTCTGTCGCCTGGGCTGGAGCGCAATGGTGCTATCTCGGCTCACTGCAACTTCCGCCTTCCGGGTTCAAGCGATTTTCCTGCCTCAGCCTCCGGAGTAGCTGGGATTACAGGCGCGCGCCACCACGCTCGGCTAATTTTTGTATTTGTTTAGTAGAGACGGGGGTTTCACCATGTTGGCCAGGCTGGTCTCGAATGCCTGACCTCAGGCGATCCACCCGCCTGGGCCTCCCAAAGTGCTGAGATTACAGGCGTGAGACACCGCGCCCGGCCGGAAAGTGGCTATTTTAAGAAGATTGAGAACATGTTTCGTTGGGTCGCATTATTCTGCGTGACGAGGCTCACAGAGGAGAACCCCACCCTTACTCCAAAGGCCTTTGAAAGCAGCTCTGGAAAGGGCAGGGTTTGCTTCTCCCTCTGCCCAACGTCTCCCCAGGCTGCCTGTGCCACCTTCCGGTCTCACCTCCTCGGAGTTGGGGTCAAACGCGGAGCTCCAGTTTCTCAGCCCCTCCTGGAGCTCAATGATGTCCACCACGCCGTCCCCATTGCAATCCAGGTCTTCGAAGAGGATCCCGTAGCGTAAGTAGTCATCGTTATCCTGGCAGGCCACCGCCTCCAGCACGAAGCCCTGCATCCAGAGCAGCATGGCTGGGTCCAGAGGCTGCGGGGACCACTCGGCCACCCAGCCAGCACCGCAGCACTCGCCGCCGCCTCCTCGACGCCTGGCTGCGCAAGGCAGGGGGTCCCGGCCGTCCGCCAGCTTCTGCAACTGTCTAGCGGAGCCGCCGCAGTTCGGAGCCCACGCGGGCCAAGCCACCCGCGCCTGCGGGCTCTTGGGCGCCACGGAAAGGCTGCGCCACCTTGTGGGACCTCTGGCCGAGGCGCCACGCGACAGTTGAGACGCCAGATGTGAGTTGAGGTGCCAGACGTGAGTTGAGGTGCCAGACGTGGCGGCGTTGGGTACCCAGGACCCTCGGACGGGTAGGTCGACGGGGGAACCAAGGGACGTTTGGGGAAAGGGAGCGCATTCCCCAGCAGGCTTGAAAGGGCACTCGCGGGTGTTTAAGATTCTCGCGGTACAGACTCAGTTCCTGCCGGAAGTCACTGCTGCGGGAGATGTGGCATGGAGTGAGCTGCTCAGACTCGCTCTTATGCCAGCATCCAGTACTCTGGTGCCACCCTTCCTCCCAGGACGACCTGCACCTGGGGGTCAGGACCCCGGCGACCCCCAAAAGAGGTCTAAAGAGGGAAGGCCTCCTGAGGAGCCTCTGCCCTGTCCCTGTCTCTTCCCTCCTTACCGGCCTAGCCCATGTTGGCAAACCTATTTTGGCCATACTGGGATTAGACTTTTCATGTTCTTATATGACCTTTTTCCAGTTAATTGGATTGGGTGCAGAAATACTTCTATCTCTATTAATAAAAGAAAAATAAAAATAAATAATAACTAAAGGGAAGATACATACAGATTAAAATTAGAACATGTCTCCAAATCCAGAAATATGAAACACACATCATAACAGTTCCAATTTATATGCCACATTTCTATTCATAAATTTTGTTCTAAAATAAAGAGAAAAAATAAATAGCAAAATACTTTAAAGTAGATCTGAAGCATTCAAAGTATTTTTTGGTATGCATTTATTTTAAATCAATCTCTGATTTTTATTATCTATAGGGCTATTAAGGGATCCAGTTGCCGTTTATTTTTCCTCTATATTTTAGAAGTTCGTATAAACAAATTTAATTTCTAATTCCTTGTTAATTATGAGGCATGATAACACATACTAATTTATCAAGATGTGCTTTATATTAGTCACATTTATGTGAACTTTAGGAGTTGATTATATTTAAGTTTCAAATCTTTCTAGTAATCCTATTAAGAAAAAAAGGGAGAATCTAACTAAAAATTGACTTTGGTTACTCAAATTTATGTTAATTGTGCATTTATATTCATTTCAATTTTTAGAAAATTTAACAACTTAATCCCATCATTAATCATTTATTAAGTACCCTATCCCAACCTGAGAAAATTAAATTTCTCTAATTTCACAGCAAATTCAAACATGGCATTTAACAAGAGGGAAAAAATGGTATCAAATATTCTTCTGAATTTTAACACTTTACAGTGAGAGCAGATTTTAACTACATTTTAATAACCTTGAGAAGTATGTTACAACCCCAAATATTAAAGTAACTCAAAATCTTTAATTTATAAAATGGCAGAAATATCTGTGTCCTGAAAAACTGGAAAAATGGACTGATCTAATGTATTACTAGTTGTTTGGTATATTATAAATTATATAATTATAGTTACATTTATTAAATCACAATTTTAGAACCCATCTAATCTTTATAATGTAGCTATACATAGACATCTTAAAATATCTTTGGCCTAGTCTCTTTCAACATAAATTGAAAAGATAGAGGCAAAAAAAGTAGGGATGGATGAGAATACTATTCATCCTTCATGTAAGTTTAAGACTGTAAAGGGAAGTTCCAGTCAGCCTTTGTTCTAGTAGATCGGAGCTTGAAAGTAAAGTATAAAGTACATAGAGAAAAAAAGAAAAACTCAGTCTTTTTTAACACAGATTTAAGTATAAGAGCTCACACATTTTTCTGAATTACTTTGGTCACGTTGGTGATTTCGTGTAATGTTTAAATATTAAAAAAAAAAGCAAGCGTAGCTAAAAATGTCTGTATCTCTAAATAAGAGTGCTCAGAAAAGGAATAAGAGGTCACCATTATTCCATTGACAACACTGGTAGGAGACTGAGGTATTCTGATGCCATGAAATTCTGTTTAGGACTTTCTATTTTGTTTTGTCTATTTTAGAGAAAGAAAAGGAGCCCAAACTTGACTGTTTTGCTATGAATTATAGTTTTAAATGCGTGAGTTTTCTATTAGTGCTTTCAAACATTTTAAATGTTCGCATATGGCAAGGAGAGGTGAAAAAATAAAAATAAATTTAAAATGCACATAAAGCACTAAAATGTTAGCTTTTTAAAATACAAAGTAGAGAATTCAGGAAAACTTCAAAATATTCCAACTGTTTAATATGAAATACTAGGTTAATTATATACTTAGGTTATATTCTGTATTATAAATTGCATTCTAATCCACTTAAATGCAAATTTCTATGACTGTTCATTAAAATTTGGAGAAATATAAATAGATTTTATGAATGTTGAAGATTTTAATTCACCAATAAATTAATAAACTGTTTCTTGTTTACTTAAAATTCAATATTTAATTTGTAAGTTTACCTCTTGGGAAAATGGATATAGCATCTTTTCATACAGACCTTTTGCAAATTAAGGAAAAAGCCAAGACATTTTCATGTTTATAAACAAGTGTCCAGATAATGACGGTTCAAGATTTCATTTCTGCTTTTTATTTTTGAGACGGAGTTTCACTCTGGTTGCCCAGGCTGGAGTGCAGTGGCACAATCTCGGCTCACCGCAACCTCTGCCTCCTGGGTTCAAGCGATTCTCCTGCCTCAGCCTCCTGAGTAGCTGAGATTACAGGCGTGTGCCACCATGCCTGGCTAATTTTGTATTTTTAGTAGAGATGGGGTTTCTCCATGTTGGTCAGGCTGGTCTTGAACTCCCGACCTCAGGTAATCCGCCCACCTCAGCCTTCCAAAGTGCCGAGATTACAGGCGTGAGCCACCATGCCCGGCCTCAAGATTTCGTTTGTAAAATATTCCCCAAGAGCGGTTTTGCTGATTCATAAACCACACAGTTTACAACACACTGAAGTAAGAAACTTTATGAAATATGGAGTCATGCCTCTGGAAAATCCTGTCACTCCACTCCTTTTATAAATTTAAGAAAATAAGCTGATCATATTTAGCTGTGGGACTCATATCATGGCTAGAGAATTCAAGGAAAGGGAAAAGTCCAATTAATTTGATATTTTAGCTTTCTTTTAAATAGTAAGCTAAAACTTGCTAAAACAGATAATAAAATAAAATTAATTAAATTACTTCACAAGGATCCCCAAGGGAAAATCTCTGGTTAATTACACTTTATAGTCGGAGGCTCTCATGGAACTATGTGATGATCATCACTATTTAATTTTCATTCCTTTTAGGAACAAAGTCAGTCCACTAATGGTGAAATCTACTTATAATTATTGTGGAGTTACAATTTTAAAAATTCTCTAGGCATACACAGATACCTTCATTCAACCTCTCATGTCTTAAGAACATCTCAAATTCAGAAACAAAAAAAAATATGTTTCTCATTCCATGTTTCACTTTTCAGGGAATGGCTGCACCATTCATATAGCTTCTGAAACTGAAAACCTGGAATGTATCCATGACATTTCCCTCTCCTTCATCTTACACATCTAAACCATCACCTACCAGTTTCACTCTCCAAGTTTCTCTCAAATCCATCCACTTATCTTCATGTCCACTGCCACACCTTCTGTCTCCAAACTACCATCATCTCTTGCCTAGACTGTTGTGATTACCCTCCTCTTTCCATTTTTTTCTCTATCCTTTAACCAGAGTAAACTTCCAACAATGCAAATCTGATACTTTCCTTCTTCAGTAATTTCCCATTATGCTTAAAGACAGTATCATCTGACCTCTGTTTCCTCCTCCCAACTCACCTGTACCACTCTTGCTTTCTGTACTCCAGCCATACAAGCTACTTTTCAGTTTCTCAAAGTGTCCCATTCTTCTTCCTTCTTCAGGCTCATTACACATGCTTTCCCCTTTGCATGAAAGTCATTCCCTGTTCTTTGCTCATTTAACTCCACCTCAGTCTTCAGCTCTCAGTTCAGTATTTTTCTCTGTTCATATATTTTTTAAGAAACTCTTTCCAGAACTTCCTCATTTCCCCTATTAATGGCCCTCAGAGAACCCTATTTTTCCTCTGTAGCTATAATCGCAGTTTATAACTATATATTTGTATAAATGTTTAATTAATTTCTGTCTTCCCTACTAGACTATCAATTCTATAACAGCAGGGTCTCTGTTTGCTCACCCGAACCCCATGTGTTTGGCACATTGCACAGTACCTGGCTACCTTAAATTCTCAAATTACAATAGCTAGTATTTTTCTTTCTAATCTTTATATTTTGCTAGCATTTTTCTCTCTAATCTTTATATTATATTCCCAAAGTTGATGTAGCTAAATAGAGTGAAATCAATAGACAATTGAAAAGTAAGTCTTTCACTGTTTTAGTCTAAACATTCTGTTCCCCCCTCCCACCCACCCCTACAAGAAATTAAATAACTCCTTTAAAATGTAGAGAAGATCCCTTGAAAATTTAGAAAATATTTACTTGCCATGGAATTTCTTGGAAAATGTTCTATTGCTATATGCGTCTTTTTGTTTTTTTAATCAGAAACTAGTAACATCCCCTCCAGTTTTTATAGTTTTGTAATTAAATTGGAAACTTTCTTACTTTTTTCTAATGTTGAACTTACTTTGCCCATTGATTTTCTCCCAACTTATTATGAAAACTGTAAACTCTAAAAAGGATGGCACAATGAACATTTATATATTCACCACCTATAAAATTTAACATTTTGCCATAATTACATTTTGTCTCTCTCCATTCTACTTAAACATATATATAAATGTGTGTGTGTCTATCTGAGCCATTTGAAAGTAAGTTACAGATATGATGACACTTAACCATAAAGTACTTGGACATATCCTAAAAACAAGGAGATTAGCTTACATAACCACAATGCCATAATTATATTTTAGAAATTTAAAAATAATTCTCTATTACTTGAGATGCTAAGGCAGGAGGATCACTTGAGCTCCAGAGTTTGAAGCCAGCCTGGGCAACATAGCAAAGCCCTGTCTCTTTAAAAATAAATAAATAAATAAATAAACAAACAAACAAATAACCTCTATACCATCAATACTTATTCTATATTCAAATTTTCCCAATTGTCCCCAAAATGCCATTTACAGATTTTTTCAAACTAATATCCAAATAAATTTACCCATTGCCCTTACTATGTTTATTCTCTTAATCAAGACTAGTAACAGTCCACCACCAACACTGTTTTTTCCACAACAATGACTTTTTGAAGAACCCAGCTCAACTGTCTTGTAGAATATTCCACAATCATGATTTGTTTGATTGTTTCTTAATGGTATTGTTTAACTTGTTCCTCCATCACCTGTATTTTCTACAGTTCTAAAGACATGGTCAGATTCTAGTAAAAAAATCTGGGCAAAAATACTTCATAGGAGAGGCTATGAAATTTGCTGTCTCCTCAGTTTAATAACATCTTTGTTTTCTTTCTAAAATATTTACCATCTGTCCTGTAACTTGGACCCTATTCACCTAAGCTGAAATTTGTTAAATATCTAAGAAAAAAAAACAGGGTGAATGAAGTTCTTATGTCAATGTACTTTTCTTCTCTCTCTTTGTTTTTCTTGCATTGTTTGCTCTCCCATTGTTTGTTCTCCCATAACTTGAAGCAGTGACTTTCTTCCTTATTACTAGCAATAAGGAAGGACATCTTATAATAATAAAAGGGTCAATCCTAAATTTATGTACACATAATAATATAGCTTCAAAATACATAATGCTAAAGTGGCAAACGTAGAGGAGTAATAGGGAAATCCACAATCATGGTTAGAGATTTAAACATACCTTTTTCAGTAGCCAGTAAGACAAGCAGACAAAAAAATTAATAGGAATCTAAAACATTTGAATAACACATTTAACTAATTGATCTTATAGAACACATATATAGAACACAAAATACAACTTCAAAATCCATTTATTTGAAAGAACAGAAATCATACAAAGCACATTCTGATGGCAGTGCAATTAAAACAGGAGTTCACCGTCAGGAAGGTAATTGGAAAAATCCCCAAATGTTTGTAAATTCAGCAATATATTTCTACATAACTGATGGGTGAAGAAGAAATCACAATGGAAACTGGACATTTTGAAATAAACAATAATGAAAACATTACATATCAAAATTTATTGAGTGTAGGGAAAGCAGAACTTAGAGGGAAATTAAAACTTTAAATTAATATACTAGAAAAGAAAAAAAAAGTCAATTATTTAAGACAGGGATTGGCAACCTTTTTCTGTTACTGTCCAGATAATAAATATTTTAGGCTCCGCAGGCCATGTGATCTCTCGCAGTTACTCAACTCTGCCCTTGTAGCCATAGACAATACAAAAACAAATGGAAGTGGCTGTGTTACAATTAAATTCAATTTACAGAAATAGGTGGCAGGTCAGATTTGGCCCTCAGGCCAAAGTTTGCCAACCCATGACCTAAACTTCAAACCCAGGAAACTAAACAGGAAAATAAACAGAAAGAAAGGAGGATGAAATAGTAAAGATAGGAGTAGAAACTAATGAAACAGGCCAGGTATGGTGGCTCACACATGTAGTCCCAGCAATTTGGGAGGCTGGGCAGGCAGATCACTTGAGGTCAGGAGTTCAAGACCAGTCTGGTCAACAAGGTAAAAAATTAGCCAGGCATGGTAGTGCATGCCTGTAGTCACAGCTACTTGGGAGGCTGAGGTACATGAATCCCCCATATCATTTCTGATTGTGTTTATTTGAATTTTCTCTCTTTTCATCTTTATTAGTCTTGCTAGTGGTCTATTTTATTGCCTTTTTTTTTTTTTCCAAAAAACCAGCTCCTAGATTTGTTGATTTTTTGAAGGGTTTTTCATGTTTCTATCTCCTTCAGTTTCACTTTGAGCTTCATTATTTCTTTTCTTTTTTTTTTAAATTATTATTATACTTTAAGTTTGAGGGTACATGTGCACAATGTGCAGGTTAGTTACATATGTATACATGTGCCATGCTGGTGTGCTGCACCCATTAACTCGTCATTTAGCATTAGGTATATCTGCTAAAACTATCCCTCCCCCCTTCCCCCACCCCACAACAGTCCCCAGAGTGTGATGTTCCCCTTCCTGTGTCCATGTGTTCTAATTGTTCAATTCCCACCTATGAGTGAGAATATGCAATGTTTGGTTTTTTGTTCTTGTGATAGTTTACTGAGAATGATGATTTCCAATTTCATCCATGTCCCTACAAAGGACATGAACTCATCCTTTTTTATGGCTGCATAGTATTCCATGGTGTATATCTGCCACATTTTCTTAATCCAGTCTATCATTGTTGGACATTTGGGTTGGTTCCAAGTCTTTGCTATTGTGAATAGTGCCGCAGTAAACATATGTGTGCAAGCGTCTTTATAGCAGCATGATTTATAGTCCTTTGGGTATATACCCAGTAATGGCATGGCTGGGTCAAATGGTATTTCTAGTTCTAGATCCCTGAGGAATCGCCACACTGACTTCCACAAGGGTTGAACTAGTTTACAGTCCCACCAACAGTGTAAAAGTGTTCCTATTTCTCCACATCCTCTCCAACACCTGTTGTTTCCTGACTTTTTAATGATTGCCATTCTAACTGGTGTGAGATGGTATCTCATTGTGGTTTTGATTGAACTTCTCTGATGGCCAGTGATGGTGAGCATTTTTTCATGTGTTTTTTGGCTGCATAAATGTCTTCTTTTGAGAAGTGTCTGTTCATGTCCTTCGCCCACTTTTTGACAGTGTTGTTTGTTTTTTTCTTGTAAATTTGTTTGAGTTCATTGTGGATTCTGGATATTAGCCCTTTGTCAGATGAGTAGGTTGCAAAAATTTTCTCCCATTTTGGAGGTTGCCTGTTCACTCTGACGGTAGTTTCTTTTGCTGTGCAGAAGCTCTTTAGTTTAATTAGATCCGAGCTTCATTATTTCTTGTCTTCTGCTAGCTCTGCGGTTTGTTTGCTCTTGGTTCTCTAGTTCTTTTAGTTGTACTGTTAGGCTGTCAATTTGAGATCTTTCTAGCTTTTTGATGTGGGCATTTAGTGCTATAAATGTCTCTCTTAACACTGCTTTTGCTGCACCCCAGAGGTTCTGGTACGTTGTCTCTTTGTTCCCATTGGTTTCAAAGAACTTCCTGATTTCTGGCTTAATTTCATTATATACCCAGGAGTCATTCAGGAGCATATTGTTCAATTTCCATGTAGTCGTGTGGTTTTGAGTGGGCTTCTTAATCTTGAGTTCTAATTTGATTGCACTGTGGTCTTAGAGACTGTTTGTTATTATTTCAGTTCTTTTTGCATTTGATGAGGAGTGTTTTACTTCCAATTATGTGATCAATTTTCGATTAAGTGCCATGTGACACCAAAAAAAATGTATATTCTGTTGTTTTGGGTGGAGAGTTCTGTAGATATCTATCAGGTCCACTTGGTCTAGAGCTGAGTTCAAGTCTTGAATATATTTGTAAATGTTCTGTCTCAATGATCTGTGTAATATTGACAGTGGGGTATTAAAGTTTCCCACTATTATTGTGTGGGGGTCTAAGTCTCTTTGTAGGTCTTTAAGAACTTGTTTTATGAATCTGGGTGCTCCTGTATTGGGTGCATGTATATTTAGGATAGTTAGCTCTTCCTGTTGAATAGATCCATTTACCATTATGTAATGCCCTTCTTTGTCTTTTTTGACCTTTGTTGGTTTAAAGTTTTTTCTGTCAGAAACTAGGATTGCAACCCCTGTTTTTTTTTTCTGCTTTCCATTTGCTTGGTAAATTTTCCTCCATCCCTTAACTTTGAGTCTGTGTTCATCTTTGCACATGAGATATGTCTCTTGAATACAGCATACCGATGAGTCTTGTCTTTGTATCCAACTTGCCATTCTGTGTCTTTTAATTGGGGGCATTTAGCTCATTTACACTTAAGGTTAATATTGTTATGTGTGAATTTGAACCTGTCATCATGATACTGGCTGGTTAATTTTGCAGACTTGTTAATGTAGTTGTTTCATAATGTCACTGATCTGTGTACTTCAGTGTGTTTTTGTGTGTGATTTTGCTATCCATGTTTAGTACTTCCTTCAGGAGCTCTTGCAAGGCAGGCCTGGTGGTGATGAAATCCCTCAGCATTTTCTTGTCTGAAAAAGATTTTATTTCTCCTTTGCTTATGAAGATTTGTTTGGTCTGATATGAAATTCTGGGTTGGCATTTCTTTTCTTTAAGAATCTTGAATATTGGACCCCAATCTTGTCTGGCTGGTAGAGTTTCTGCTGAGAGGTCCGCTGTTAGTCTGATGGGCTTCCCTTTGTACGTGACCTGGCCTTTCTTTCTGGCTGCCGTTAACATTTTTTCCTTCATTTCAACCTTGGAGAACCTGATGATTATGTGCCTTGGGGTAGATCTTTTTGTGGAGTATCTTACTGGGGTTCTCTGGATTTCCCTGATTTGAATATTGGCTTGTCTTGTTAGGTTGGGGAAGTTCTCCTGGATCATATACTGAAGTGCGTTTTCCAACTCGGTTCCATTCTCCCCAACTCTTTCAGGTACTCCAATCAGTCATAGGTTCCATCTTTTTACATACTCCCATAGTTCTCATAGGTTTTGTTTGTTCCTTTTCGTTCTTTTTTCTCTAATTTTGTCTGCCTGCCTTATTTCAGCAAGATAGTCTTCAAGGTCTGATATCTTCTCTTCCACTTGGTTGTTTTGGCTACAGATGCTTGTGTTTGCATCATAAAGTTCTTGTGCTGTGTTTTTCAGCTTCATCAGGTCATTTATGTTCCTTTCTAAACTGGTTATTTTAGCTAATACCTCCTGTAATCTTTTATCATGGTTCTTAGCTTCTTGCGTTGGGTTAGAACATAATCCTTTGGCTCAGTGAAATTCATTATTACCCACTTTCAGAAACCTGCTTCTGTCAGTTCATCAGTCTCAGCTTCAGCCCTGTTCTGTGCCCTTACTGGAGAAGTGTTGAGATCGTTTGGAACAAAAGAGGCATTCTGGCTTTTGAAATTTTCAGTGTTTTCGCATTGGTTTTTCCTCATCTTCATGGTTTTGTCTACCTGTGATCTTTGAAGCTGTTGACCTTTGGATGTGGTTTTTGTGGGGTCTTTTGTGTTGATGTTGTTGTTGTTGTTACTTTCTGTTGGTTTTTCTTCTAACAGTCAGGCCTCTCTTCTGCAGGTCTGCTGCGGCTTGCTGGGGGTCCACTCCAGACCCTGTTCGCCTGGGTATCACCAGTGGAGTTTGCAGAACAGCAAAGATTGCTGCTTGCTCCTTCCTCCAGAAGCTTCTTCCCACAGTGGCATCAACCTGATTGATGTCAGCCGGAACTCTCCTGCATGAGGTGTCTGGCGACCCCTGATGGGAAGTCTCACCCAGTCAAGAAGCACGGGACTGGAAGGGGGACCTCCTTACGGAGGCAGACTGACTGTCCCTTAGCAGAGCTGGTGCACTGTATTGGAGGAATAACCCTCCTTGGGATCAGCTGGTCTCTTCAGAGCCAGCAGGCAGGAAAGATTAAGTCTGCTGAACCTCGGACCATGGCCGCCGCTCCCCCGAGGTGCTCTGTCCCAGGGAGATTAGAGTTCTTGTCTGTAAGCCCCTGACTGTAGCTACTGGAATTCCTGCAGGGATGCCCTCCAGGTGAGGAGGGATGGCTTCGGGTCCCACCTAGGAAGCAGTCTGGCCACGATCTGCAACAGCCACTTTGCTGCGTTGTGGGGAATTCCACCCAGTCCAAACCTCCTAGTCTCCTTAGCACTGTCAGGGGAAAACCTCCAACTAAAGCCTCAGTAATGACGGTCGCCCCTCCCCCTGGGAACTGAGTTGTCCCAGGCGGACTCCAGACTGCTGTGCCGGCAGCGGGGATTTCAAGCCAGTGGTTCTTAGCTTGCGGGGTTTCCGTGGGAGTGGGACCCTCTGAGCGAGACCACTTGGCTCCCTGGCTACAGCCCCCTTTCCACAGAAGTGGACATTTCTCCTGCCTCACTGGAGTTCCAGGTGCTGCCGGAGTATGTAAAAATTCCTGCAGCTCAGTGCCTGCCCAAACAGCCGCCGACGGGAGCAGCTGTCATTGGTCTGCCCAGTTTTGTATTTGAGACCCAGGGCACTGGTGGTTGTAGGCTCCCGAGGGGATCTGCTGATCTGTGGATTGCAAAAATCTGTGGGAAAAGCTTAGTACCCTTGGTGGGTAGCACTGTCCCTCACCACTTCCCTTGGCTGGGGAGGGAGGTCCCCCTGCCCTGTGCAGTTCCTGGGTGAAGCAATACCCTGCTTCTTCTCGCTCTCTGTGGGTCATGCCGACCATCTAGTCAGTCCCAGTGAGATGAACTGGGTATCTCAGTTGGAAATGCAGAAATCACCCACATTCCTCGTTCCTCTCGCTGGCAGCTGCAGACCAGAGCTGCTTCTAGTCGGCAGTCTTGGCCCCTCCCCGCCGAGGTAAGTTTAATAAGTCTTCTAAATTTGTCCTTGCCATAATGATCAGTGATGATCTGTCTTTTAATAAGTTAAATGCTTTCCAGACTTCAAGACTCTCACCCACATCAAAAATAAAATTATATATCGGCCATATTACCAGGATTTTAGAATGTTGTATTTTATCCTCTAATTATAGGTCAAATAACTAAGGTAGAAAGGAGTAAAGCAACTTCCATGTATGTAGTGAGGATGTTGGGGGGTCTGGGACTAAAATTCTGCCTTGGGATTCCCAAGAGGTTGGTGATTATGATTTTTGTACTCTTAGACACAAAATAAAATAACATTCTGTTTTGTTCCTCTGCTTACCCTATTCAGTTCTCTAAACTACAAAATCTCTGCTTATCAAAATAAGTTGGATTGTCAATTTGTTGAGCTCAGCAAATGCATTTCCTGAGCCCTTGTGAGTAAAGC
This sequence comes from Homo sapiens, assembly GCF_000001405.40. NCBI lineage: Eukaryota > Metazoa > Chordata > Mammalia > Primates > Hominidae > Homo > Homo sapiens. The sequence goes on along the minus strand of NC_000001.11, from coordinate 108,261,080 downwards.
TCTGTGCTGGTTACACTGCGTAACTAGTGATACAGAGGATGAGTAGAGCATTCTTTCCTGAAAAGAGCTTAAGATTTCTGTGCCCAGGTCAGCTTGGGTTGCCTGTAAGTGAGAAAATTGACAGCCAACACCCACAGGCTTATTCTGATAAAATGGGAGATGATAATAAATGGTGGGGTTTTTTTCTTTTTCTATTTTCTTTTTTTTCGAGATGATGTCTTGCCACGTTCCCCAGGCTGGTCTTACCTCCTGGGCTCAGGCATTCTTCCCTCCTTGGCCTCCCACAGTGCTGGGATTACAGCGTGAGCCACACACCTGGCCTTGTGAATGGTGGTTCTGTCAAGACTGGGCTTTCAACCTCCCAAGGATTCTGGTCAAACAGCCTCAGGAGAATCTTCTGCAGAGAGTGTCTGCCTGCCAACTGTCAGAGCTGAGTGTCACAGAATCTTGGCATGGGTCTCCTCCCTCTGTTCCATTTCACAGATTACATGTTGTTAGTAGGAACATCACCAGAAGGAGCATGAGGATGTTCCTTCTAAGAACTAGGAAAGATATAATAATGCTGCTGGCTGGGCTATTTTAAAAAAGTAATCAAGGGCCTTCTCAGAAAGTGATTTTAGGAACTATAATGCATAGATGGGATCAATTATAGTGTAAGAACTGAAAAATTATTGCACTGAACAGCACCTAACAGCTTCTGGAGAAAACATATTTCCCAACTGACCCTGATGATGGACTTAAATACCAAAAAACAGAGAGAACCACTAACTTCCATTGTCTTGCAGAAACAGGAGAACCTTAATGCACTTAAAGCTGGAAAAATGTCTCTGCCTCTAAGGCCATGCAGTGAAACAGATTGCATGGTAGGTGACATAGGCAGGGGCAGAATGGAGTTTATGACAATGGCCATAAGATGATGAAAAAAATTATTTGGGGCCTTTGAAGCAGCAGATGAGCTGGCTCAGAGGAAAGTTGCACAACTGTAGAAAAACAACTTTTGCAAAATTTTCCTCCACTCAGTGGGCACTACATACTTATTCTAGGATTTGCATTCATTCTTTCACAGACTGTTTACTTATTGGCTTGGGCCTACAATGACTTTTCTGAGAGAGGTGAGGGATTAGCACAACAGCACACACACGCCTGAAAGAAATAGTGAATTTCTAATTTTCAGATTTTAGTCTCTGACCTAACCAAAGAATTGACCATTGTAGATTTTATCTATTAATAATATTAATGATGCTCACAAATATGAAGATTTAAGTACATCTTATGATAATAAGAGATGCTTTCAAAAAAAAGAAATGGTAGAACTGTAGTCCAGGGATGTTAATAAAAGTGGCAAATAACATTACATCATCTTTTTTAAAAAAGAAGATGAGGTCTCACTGTGTTGTCCAGGCTCATCTCAAACTCCCAGACTCCAGTGATCCTCCTGCCTCAGCCTCCCAAAGTGCTGGAATCACAAGCTTGAGCCATCACCTTCAGCCCATATCATCTTAACATCCAATAGGAACAGGTAAAAGAAGGAAGAAGGCTGACAACCCAGTGTACAGAATCATATGTAATAATGAAACTGTTGATTGGTTATAAATCAGCAGAATTAAATCTATGTTTATACTGGCCCTTGGGTTCTGTCGTAGAGGCAGAACATGGAGAAATAAAAAACTGGAGTAGAAGATAAATTCATTTGAGTAACTAGACTTTATAGATAAACATTTGAGAAAACACCTTTAAAGCTGTTTGTGAGCCATGTTTTACATAATGACAAATGAATGCTTTTGTTTTTTTGTGACAGTCAACTGACCCACTGGGAATGTGACCTTGTGAATCACCCAGGTGAGCAAGCTTAACATGATTGGATGTAAACCTAGGTCAATAACTAAAGAGATACTCAAATGTGCTACACGTGTCAATTGTGACATAACAAACTGAAGGCCATTCATTCTCCCTTGAGGGAATGAAGCTGATAGTGCAAGGGACTGCAGATACTACTGCAGAATCAGGGTCCTGATGCTCACATACTGAAGTGAGTGGACTCCTACTTCAGATGTGTAATAGGATCTACTGTCTCCTAAGGCTGAGTATCCCACAAAGAAATCCCCTCAGCCCAACATTATTAGTTATTTTAAAGCTTTTGGTCTCATTTTATAATAGATCACATCAGAAATAAGACTAGTCAGGATCAGGTACAAACTCATGATAACTTGATAGATATATCATTGAAGACCATCCCAAAGTCTCTGATACTACATAATGCTGGGATACATTATTGAATACTAAATTTTAAAATAAGGGATAACATTGCAGATAAACAGACACGCACATGGGAAGCCTCATCAACTGCATGAGCACTCTTAAGGAAAACCTATTGATGAACATACAGAACATTTCACATGCATTGGTCCACAAGGTACACACTCTGCCCAGCCTGAAAACTGAATATAGGTTGGGACGTTCCTCTTCCTTGGGCTGATGATAAAGCTCCAAGTAAAATGAAAAAGATTCTTTTCACCTGGTAAATACGCAGGACCCCCACCCCCCGAAAGATATTGTCACTGCCAAATGTAACTTCAGTCTGAAAAGCATTTGTTTCTAGCAGGATACAACGTCAATATACAAAAATCAATTCTATTTTATGTAATTCCAATGCACAATTGAAATGTAAAAAGCAATACCACTTACAATAGTGTCAACTGTATAAAATGCATAGGGATAAATCTGACTGCAAATTATAAAATGTTTCACAGAGAACATAATGAATACCTAAAAACTAGAGAGAAATTCTTTGTTCATGGGTCAAGAGACTTAATATTGTTGAGGTGTTACTTTTCCCCAATCTGATCTATAAATTCAATGCAATTCCACTCAAAATCTCAGCGAGCATCTTTGGTAGAAAGTGATCAGCTGATTCCAAAATTAATATGAACTAGCATAATCAAAATGCTACTAAAATGAAGAACAAACTTGGAGGACTAGCTCTACCTGATTTAAAGAACTATTATAAAGTTATAGTAATCAAAACAGAATGGTGTTGGGATATGATCTCACACCTGTAATCCTAGCACTTTGGGAGGCCGAGGTGGGTGGATTGCCTGAACTCAGGAGTTCGAGACCAGCCTGGGCAACATGGTGAAACCTCGTCTCTACTAAAAGCACGAAAACTTAGCCGGGCATGGTGATGCACTCCTGTAATTCCAACTACTTGGGAGGCTGAGGCACAAGAATCACTTGAACCCAGGAAGTGATCACACCACTTCACTCCAGCCTGAGTGACAGAATGAGGCTCTGTCTCAAAAAAAAAAAAAAAAAAAAAAAGAAAAGAAAAGAAAAAAAGATTGATAAAATAGGAACAAAATACACAGTCCAAAAATAAACCAATGCATATATGGATAAAAAGATATTTGACAAACATGAAAAAGAAAAATATTTAAAAATGTATGTACTTTCAACAAATGGTAGAGGATTTTCTTTTAACAAATGGGTATGACATCTATATGTGTATAAAAATAAGTAAAAAATCAGATTCGTGTGTCACTCCATATATAAAAATTAGTGTGTACCAGAGGCTGGGAATGAGAGTGGGGAGAGGGTAGAAGTTGGTTAATGGGTACAAAAATACAGTTAGGTTGAAGGAGTAAGTTCTAGTATTCAATAGGGTAGCAGGGAGACTACTGTTAACAATAATTTGTTGTATATTTTTAAAAATAGCTATAATAATTGGAGTGTGTGTAACACAAAGAAAAGATAAAAGTTTGAGGTGATAGATATCCTAATTACCCTGATTTGGTCATTACACATTATACACATTTATCAAATTATCACACATACCCCCAAAAGATGTACAACTACTATACATCAATTAAAATATGAATGAAAAGTAGATCATGAACACATTTATGATGATTGAAATCACATCAAGTATTTTTTCTGAGCACAATAGTAAGAAACTAAAAATCTACAGAAGGAAAACTGGAAAATTTCACATATACATGGAAATTAAATAACATGCTTTTGAACAGCTGATGGGTCAAAGAACAAATCAAAAGGGAAATTTAAAATATCTTGAGACAAACAAGAATGAAAACAAACATAATGGAACCTCCGGAAACAGCAAAAGCAGCTCTAAGAGGCAAGTTTGTAATGATAAATGCCTACATTGGCTGGGCACAGTGGCTCATGCATGTAATCCCAGCACTTTGGGAGGCCAAGGTAGGCACATCACTTGAGGTCAGGAGTTCAAGACCACCCTCACCAACATGGTGAAACCCCATCTCTACCAAAATGTACAAAAATTAGCCCAGCATGGTGGCACGCACGTGTAATCCCAGCTACTCAGGGAGGCTGAGGCAGGAGAATTGCTTGAACCAAGGAGGTAGAAGTTGCAGTGAGCCAAGATTGTGCCACTGCACTCCAGCCTGTGCAATGGAGTGAGACCCTGGGAAGGAAGGAAAGGAAGGAAGGAAGGGAGGGAGGGAGGGAGGGAGGGAGAGAGGGAGGGAGGGGAGGGGAGGAGAGGGAGGGCAGGGGAGGGGAGGGGAGGGGAGGGGAGGGAGAGAAAGAGAAAGGGAGAAAAAAGAAAGAAAGAAAGAGAAAAAGGAAGGAAGGAAGGAAGAGACCCACATTAAGAAAGAAGGTCTCTAATAAGTAACCTAACATTATACCTCAAATAACTAGGAAAAGAATGAAATAAAGTTATCAAAAGGAAGGAAATAATAAAAATCAAAGCAGGAGCAACTCAACCAAAGAATAGAAAAACTAGAAAAATTGACAAAACTGAGTTAATTTTTTGAAAAAATAAACAAAATTGACAAACTTTTAACTAGACTAAGAAAAAAAGAGAAGAGTCAAATAAATAGCATCAGAAATGAAGTGGAGGTATTTCAGCAGATGTGTCAGAAATAAAAAGTATCATAAGGAACTATTATGAGCAACTATATAGCAACAAATTGGATAACCTAGAGAAAATAGATAAATTCCTAGACACATACAACCTACCCAGATTCAATCAAAAAATAATAGAAAGCCTGAACAGACCAATAACAAATAAAAAGATTGAAGCAGTAACTATAAACCTCCCAAAAAAAACAAAAGCCAGGACCAGGACTCAGGACCAAATGGCTTCACAGTTGAACTCTACTAAAAATTAAAAAAAGAATTAATGCATTTCTTCTTAAGCTCTTCTCAAAGATAGAAGTAGAGAGAATACTTCCAAAATCATTTTATGAGGCTAGCATTACTCTGATACCAAAGCCAAAGACACCAGAAGAAAATAAAACTACAGGCTAATATCTCTGATGAACATAGATGCAAAATTCCTCAGTAAAATACTACCAACCCAAATTCAACAACACATCAAAAAGGATATATGTCTTAACCAAGTGGAGTTTATCCCTGGGCTGTAAGTTTGGTGTAGTATATGCAAATCAATGTGATACAGAATGAAAGATGAAAACCACATGATCACCTCAGTAGCTCCAGAGAAAGCAGATGACAAACCTCAACATCCTTTCATGAGAAAAACTCTCAACAAATAAGGCATAGATGAAAATTTCTTCAACATCATAAAGGCCACTTATGAGAAGCCCACAGTTAACATGATACTCAATCAAGAAAAACTGAAAGCTTTTCCTGTAAGATCCAGTCCAAGTCAAGGATTCCCACTCTCACCACTTCCATTCAACATGGTACTGGAAGTACTAGCAAAAGCAACCAGGAAAGAAAAAGAAATTAAAAGATTCAAATTGGAAAGGAAGAAATGAAATTATCACTGTTTGCAGATAATATGATCCTATATGTAGAAACCTCTAAAGACTCTGCAAGAAAACCCTGTTAGAACTAATAAATGAATTCAGTAAAGTTGTAGGATATAAAATCAACTAATAAAAATCAGTTGCATTTCTGTACACCAATAATGACCTATTCAATAAAAAATTTTAAATCCTATTTATGATAATATTAAAAAGAATAAAATCAGCAATAAGTTTAACCAAGGAGGCAAAGATCTATACACTGAAAATTATAAAATGTTGTTAAAAGAAATTGAAGGTACAAATAAATGGAAAGGAATCCCATGTTTATGGTATGGAAGAATAAATATTGTTAAAATGTTCATACTGCCCTAAAGTGATCTACAAATTCAAGGCAATCCCTATCAAAATTCCAATAGCATTTTTCACAGAAATAGAAAAAAAACTCTAAATTTGTATGGATCTGCCAAAAAACCAGAATAGACACAGCAGTCCTGAGGAAGAAAAGCAGAGTTGAAGGGATCATACTAGCTAGTTTCAAATTATATTACAAAGTTATAGTAATCAAAACTGTATGGGACTGGCATTAAAATAGACACATAGACCAGGAACAGAATAGATAGCCCAGAAATAAACCCAAGTACATACAGTCAACTACTTTTTGACCATGCCCCCAATAACATACAATGAGGAAAGGATAGTCTCTTCAATAAATGGTGTTGGGAAAACTGGATATCCACATGCAAAAGAATGAAATTGGACTCATATACAAAATACACAAAAATCAACTCAAAATGGATTAAATACTTATGTGTAAGACAAAATCATAAAACTCCAAGAAGAAAACAAAGGGGAAAGGCTCCTTGACATTGGTCTTGGCAATGACTTTTGTGGGGTGGGGGTTGGGGGTGCAGGGGGATAGGACACCAAAAGCAATAACAAACAAATGGGACCAGCTGGGCATGGTGGCTCACACCTGTAATCCCAGCACTTTGGAAGGCCGAGGCGGGTGGATCACCTGAGGTCAGGAGGATGAGACCAGCCTGGCCAATATGACGAAGGCCCATCTCTACTGAAAATACAAAAAAATTAGCCAGGCATGGTGGTGGGAGCCTGTAATCCTAGCTATTCGGGAGGCTGAAGCAGGAGAATCGCTTGAACCCGGAAAGTGGAGGTAGCAGTGAGCCAAGATTGCACCACTGCACTCCAGCCTGGGCAACAAGAGCAAAACTCCGCCAAAAAAAAAAAAAAAAAAAAGGACCACATCAAACCAAATAGCTTCTGCACAGCAAAGGCAACAATCAACAACATGAAAAGGCAGCCTATGGATTTGGAGAAAATATTTGCAAGCCATATATCTGTTAAGGAGTTTCTATCCAAAATATAAGGAACTCATAGAACTCAATCACCAAATAAATAAAAAATAGACAAAGGACCTGAATAGATATTTCTCCAAAGAGAGCAAACAGATGGCCAGCACATATATGAAAAGTTGCTCAATATCACTAATCATCAGGGAAATGCCAGTCAAAATCACAGTGAGATATCACCTCACACTTGTTAGGTTGGCAATTGTATAAAAGACAAAGAGAAGTGTTGGCAAGGGTGTGTAGAAAAGGAAACACTTGTACACTGGTGGAAATGTAAACTGGTACATTCCTTATGGAGAAGAGCATGGAGTTTTCTCAAAAAGTTAAAAATATGACCCAGCAATCCCTCTTCTGAGTATATATCCAAAAGAAATGAGATCAGCACCTACTAGAGATACCTGCACTCTCATGTCCATTGCAGCATTACTTACAATAGCCAAGATATGGAAACAACTTAAATGTCCATCACAAATGGTGTTTTTACTTACATGTAAGAATGTGCAGTATTTGGTTTTCTGTTTCTGCATTAATTCGCCTAGGAGCATGGTATGTTTTTCTATATGTTTGTCTTGTCTCTGATTTCCTTCCACAGTGTTTTGGAATCCTTGTTGTAGAGATCTTTCACTTCCCTGGTTAGCTGTATTCCTAGGCATTTTATTCTCTTTGTGGCTATTGTGAATGGGGTTGCATCCCTGATTTGGCTCTCAGCTTGGATGTTACTGATGTATACAAATGCTACTACTTTTGTACATTGATTTTATATCCTGAAACTTTACTGAAGTTGCTTAGCAGTTCTAGCCTTTGGGGAAAGACATTCAGTCAGCTACATTTGACCATGCTCCCAATAACACACAATGAAGAAAGGATAGTCTTGGGCAAAAAAAATGGAGTGTTCTAGATATAGAATTAAATCATCAGCAAAGAGACATAGTTTGACTTCCTCTGTTTGTATTTCAATGCCTTTTATTTCTTTCATTTGCCTGATTGCTCTGGCTAGGACTTCCAGTACCATGTTGCATAGGAATGGTAAGAGTGGGCATTCTTGTAGAAGTTAGAAAGAGCTCAAATGAACAATCTATGAATCAACAACTCTGTGCTGAAATAAAAAAAGAAAAAAATTAACAACCTAACATTAGACCAAGGGGAACTAGAAAAAGAAGAGCAAACCAACCCCAAAGCTAGCAGAAGAAAAGAAAACCAAAATCAGAGCTGAACTGAATAAAATTGAGATGTGAAAATGCATACAACAGCTCAACAAATCCAGAAAAAAAAAAAACTGGAAGAAATGGGTGAATTCCTGGAAACGTACATTCTCCCAAGATTGAACCAGAAAAAAGCTGAAATCCTGGAACAGACCATAAGGAGTTCTAAATTGAATTGGTAATAAAAAACCAACCAACCAGAAAAAGGCCCAGAACAGGTGGATTCATTGCTGAATTCTTATATAATAAAGAGCTGGTAACAATTCTACTGAAATTATTCCAAACAACTGAGGAGGAAGGACTCTACCCTAACTCCTATCAGGAGGCCAGCCTCATTCTGATACCAAAACCTGGCAGAGACACACAACATTAAAAAAAAACTTCAAGCCAATATGCCTGATGAACATAGAGACACAAAACTCCTCAACAAAATACTAGCAAATCCAACCCAGCAGCACACCAAAAGCCAATGCACCATGAAGAAGTAGGCTTCATTCCTGGGATGCAAGGTTGGTTCAACATATGTTATGTGATTCATCACGTAAATTGAACTAAAACTGAAAACAACATGATTATCTCAATAGATGCAGAAAAGGCTTTTGATAAAATTCAACATCCCTTCATGTTAAAACTCCCAACAAACTAGACACCAAAGGAACATACCTCAAAATAATAAGTGCTATCTATGACAAACCCACAGCCAACATCATACGGAATGGGCAAAAGCTGGAAGCATTTCCCCTAAGAACTGGTAAAAGAACAAAACAATAAATTACGCTTCAATAATACTTTTAAAAAATTGCTCTTCAAAGGCATTGGTAAGAGAATGAAAAGACAAGCCACACTTAGGTAGAAAATATTTGGAAATTATGTATCCGATAGAGGACCTCTGTCTGCAACACTAAGGGAACTCTCAAAATTTATTAATAAACAGGCAATCAAATTTTCAAATGAATAAAAGATTTGTAGAGATATTCCACAAGGAAGATATATGGAAGGCACATAACAATATGACAAGATATTCAATATCATTAGTCACTAGGAAAATGCAAATTTAAACCACTGTATACCAAGTAAAATGACTGAAGTTAAAAGAATCACCGTTCCACATATTGGCAAAGATATATGGAAACAAAAACACTCATACACTGTTGATGGGAATGTGAAATTTTACAAGCATGTTATAAAACAGTTTGGCAGCTTCTTAAAATAGTAAACCTGTACGTATCATATGATACTGCTATTTCACTCAAATGAAAGGAAAGGATATGTCCATACAAATTCGTTGATAAAAGCTTTAGTTTTAAAACCAGAGCCATCCAAATCTATGAACAGGTGAATAAATAAAATAAACTGTGATATAACCATCACATGGAATATTAGCAATATAGCAGAGTGATCTATTAATACACATGACAACAAAGCTACATCTCAAAATAATTATTCTGAATTAAAAAATGAAACCAAAATAATGTACATAGTATATAATTCTATTTATAGAAAACTTGAGAAAATTTAAATTAATCTATTATGACAGAAAGCCAACCAGTGGTTGTCTGAGGTGTGGGGAGAAAGGTGAGGGAGGAATTACTACGTAAACAAGGACACTTTGGAAGTGGTAGATATATCCACTATCTTTTTTGTTTGTTTGTTTTTTGACACAGGGTCTGGTTCTATCACCCAGACTGGAGTGCAGTGGCACACTCTTGGCTCACTGCAACCTCTGTCTCCTGGGCTCAAGCCATCCTCCCAACTCAGCCTCCCAAGTAGCTGGGACTACAAGCACATGCCGCCACGCCTGGCTAATTTTTGTATATTTTTTAGACACAGGGTTTCACTACGTTTCCCAGGCTGGTCTTGAACTCTGAGCTCAAGCAATCCACCTGCCTTGGCCTCCCAAAGTGCTGGGATTACAGGCATGAGCCACCATGCCCGGCCTGTATTTACTAATCCTGATTGCAGATGTGTACTATGCTCAAACTTTTTAAATTATACACTTTAATTATGTGCAGTTTTTTGCATGTAAGTTATATATCAATATAATTGCTAAAAGTTTAAAACATTATTTTAAAACTGCCATAGCTTGATTTAATACATCTTTTTATATTTTAAAAAACTGATAAAATTCTGTATATTATCAGGACAAAAGAGAAAAAGCATATGATTACCCTGACATACACAGAAAAAGCGTTTGGCAAATTGAAAACTTTTTTCATCATTAACAAAAACAAACTCTCAACTTGGTAAGAACAGAAGGCAACACTTCCAACCCTGCAAGGGCAGATTTGAAAAACCCACAGGTAACATTAATAAGATTGAATGCTTTCTATTAAATAGCGAAAAAGGTAGAATATCTGCTGTTACTCTTTCAATCCAGCATTAAACTAGAGATGTTATCCGATGCAATAAAGTAAGAACATAAATAAACAGAAACATTGAAAAGATTGAAAAGAAAGAATTGAAGCTGTCTAGAATTGAAGCTGTCTTTATTCACGGATCATGATTATGTATGTAAACAATTCCAGAAATCTACAAAAATATACCAAAACTATTAAGCGAGTTTGGCAATGTTGCAGAATATAAGTTCAATATAAATAGTCTGTTGTATTTCTGTATATTAGCAATGAGTGTTTGGAAAATAAAATAAAAATACAATTTCATTTAAAGTAACATCTAAATACGTGATGTGCTTAGAAATAAATTCAAGAAAATTTATGTAAGGCCAGTACACTGAAAACTACAAAACATTGCTTTGAGAAATTAGATATATATATAAACAAACTAAATTGGTGGGGAGATAAACCTTGTCACGGATCAGAAGAGCTGTTATAGTTAAAAAGTCAGTTCTTCCCAAATTGATCTCCAGATGCAATGCAATTCTAACAAAAAATTCCAACAGGCAATTTGGTAGAAATTTACAAGCTGATTTATATGAAAATGTCAGTGATCAAGAATAATAAGAGAGCAATATTATAAAAGAACAATGGTGAATGAATTCACTACCTATTTCCAGATTTACTATACAGCTATGGAAATCAAGACCATGTGTATTGTTGAAAAAAATAGAACATATATCAATGGAAGAGAAAAGAGAACTCAGAAATAGACCCTTACATATATGTCTAATAAATTATTCTTAGACGTGAATATAGTTATATGTATATATACATAATCACCTGTTTGATGATTTCTATCTTTATCTCCAAAACAGGGAACATTAAGAGAACATAAAAAGAAGCCACAATATAGGAGAAATTATATTTATCTCCAACAAAAGATTTTTTAATGGTATATATATAATGCAGTCTGATAAGATAAACAGCACAATGAAACAATTTCTCAAAAGACTTGAATAGATACTTCAGAAAAGAAGATATATGAAGGGTCAATTTGCAAATGAAATGATGCTCAACTCTTTAGTCATCAGGGAGATCAATCAATACAATGCTGAGATACCATTACATGTCCATGAGAATGGCTAAAATTAAAAAGACTGAAAATACCACATGTTGGTGAGGATATAAAGTACTTGGAAGTCCTATACTTGTGGAAATGAAAAATGGTACAACTCCTTTGAAAATCTGGCTAACAGTTTCTTATAAGACTAAACATGTACAGATCAAATGGACAGTCCTTGCACTCCTAGGAATTTACACTCTATGTCCACACAATGATCTGTATGTGGATGCTCATGATACTTTATGCATTATAGCCCAAACCTAGAATGACACAAATGTCCAATAACAAGTGAATGTATAAACAAACATGGTGTAGCCACACAAAGGAATACTACTCAGCAATTACAAGGCATTAACTGTTGACGAAAATGCTCACATGGATGGATTTTCAAATTAATATGATGCATGAAAGAAGGCAGATGCAAAAGAACACAGGTATAATTTCATTTATAGAAAATGGTGAAAAAGGCACTGCCAGAAAGTGACAGTGGCTCCTTGAACCTGAGGGTTGAAATACTGATTAACTGCAAAGGGTTACAAGAAATTTTGGGCTTATGGAAATTCCTATATCTTGATTATGGCAGTAGTTCCATTAGTGTATACATTTGTGAACATGCATTGGATTACATAGTTTAAAGTGGTGCAGTCTATTGTACTTAATAAATACCTTTATAAAGTTTATTTAATCATCTTAATTTCTCCATACTAGCAATTAGCTGCTAGAAAATGAAATTCAATAAAACATAATAGAGATTAATATCCAAAATCATTACATATTTAAGAATACATATAATGAAGCAGGTACAAAGCCCCTGAAAGCTATTGGTGAGAGAAATTAAAGAAGACTAAATAGAGAAATATATATTACATTCATGGATTGGAAGATTCAATTTTGTTAAGATATTACATCAACATAATTCTGACTAATGTTTCCAGTAGGAATTTTTAGAGAAATGTAAAAGCTAATTTCAAAATGTATTTGAAAATCAAAAAAGCTAGAACAGGCAAGTTGGTCTTGAAGAAGCAGTAAGTTGTAGGAGTTATTCTGCTGGATTTCAAAACTCATTTAGAGCTACAATAATTTAAAAACTATAGTACTAGTGTAAGTATATAGAAGTATATCAAGATAAAAAGAATACAGACTCAAACATTATGCTCACATATATACAGTTATTTAAAGTTTTTAAAAACAAACACGCCAGTGCCTCTCATTGGGGAAATGAAAGACTTTTCAATAAAAAGTTCTTGAGTGAAAGAAGTTTAAGACCAGCCTGAGCAACACAGCAAGACCTTGTCTCTACAAAAAATTAAAAAAAAAAAATAGCCAGAAATGGTGATGTGTGCCTAGAGTTCGAACTACTTGGAAAGCTGAGGCAGGAGGATCACTTGTGCCCAGGATTTGGGTATGCAGTGAGCACTCCAGCCTAGATGACAGAACGAGAACCTGTCTCAAAAAAAAAAAAAAAAAAGCATCTCACACTCATAGTAAGTGGCCAGAACATAATGCTGACTGCATGTTGTGAGGAAATGTATTAAATGAAACAAATTGAATTCAAGAAGGTTTTTTGTTTGTTTGTTTGTTTTGTTTTTTAATGTGTGTTTGTTTGTTTGTTTTGCAGAAATGAGGTACAGGGGAGAGAAACACCTACTTGGAAAGCACCGAAACAACTGAATTGGAAAATGTGGAAAGGGGATTGGGGGAGGGGACTCTTTCTGAGATCTGGCTCCAGTACTAACAGCAAAGGGAACTTGGGCAAGTTACAGACTCTCTGTGCCTTGGTTTTGTCATCAGCAAAACAGAATCATCCCATAAACTGTAAGGTCCGTGGTATCAGAGGGTCCCCAGTCTGACTGCACATCTAAGTCGTTAACAAACACATTCCAGGCCCCAACTGAGCGCACTGAATCAGAATCCCTGCAAGGAGGACAATGATCTTGTATTTGCACTGACCTTCCAGATGTTTCTTACTCTGATCAACTTGGGGGTAGGAACCATTGAGCTGCATCACATCATTCCAAAGCCCAAACACAGAAGCAGAACAAGAATATATTCAATGCATTCTCTAAAGTGGAGAAAACTGTTGAGGGAACCTAGAAGTGAAGGAAACCTGGCTTGCTGGGCTCCATCTTAACTTTATCCTGAGTACGGCAGAGACAGGAGCACTTTGGGACACATGCCTGAGGTAGTGACAGTCCAACATTGAAACAGTGGAAGCCCTAGTTTCAAATTCAAACTTGCTTTGAGTAGAAATTAAGTTTACATCTTTTTGCATAGCAACAGGGCCAGTTTTCTCCAAGCTGCTCAATTTACAAGAAAAGAAATCATATGGCTAAGAATTCAAACTTCAGCAGACATGGGTAAACAAGGAACTCTTACAAATCTATTCTAGCAACCTAACAAGAAACCAGAAATTTAGCAAGTTCTTTCCCGCTCAGGACAATTGTGTTCACTAGATCAGAGGCACTGAGACATGAAGAAAAGACCCGCTAAAAAGGGAAAGCCTTCCTTCCTGCCCTAGGACATCCCTGCCAACTTCAGGGAGGTGGGAACCCAGCTGCGCTCTCTACAGTATGGGTTACTTTTGTGTCTGGAAGGTGTCTGACATCCTGAGACCTGGACCCATTTCAAGGAGCTTTGGGAAGAGCCCAGATCACTGATGGAATTGGACAGTGCGTGGAAATGGTTCAGCAGGACGAGGGTAAGTGCAGGATCACGGCCAGGTCATTCTGAGAGACAATGAGTGGCACTGATGGGGTCAGACAAAGATTAAAAACAAAAGTTTGTGCTTCGACTTCAGAAACTCAATAACTAATTTGCTCTTATAAGTAATAAGCATTTTTCTATCTACATGAGAATTTAATCTCAAAACAGAAATCAGAAAAAATATCAAGTCCAGGGCATAAAACCTAAACCAGTGCTTAGATTATTCATTTTAAATAGAGCTAAGAGTAAAATCTTCTCCATAAAATACATATTGTATCTATACATAAAATATATGTTGTATCTGAGTTCAGGGTGTGATGAGTGTGACCATGGACTACCCAGCATTCATGTGGAAGTGAAGGAAGAGGACTGGATCAATCCCAGTGGAAAGCATGCCTCTCAGCAGCCCACACCATCCTCCACCTACACTGTGTAATGACAGTGCTTTGAGATGTAGCAAAGGCTGTAAATTTATCTATTCTCTGGTGTCTCAGAGACCTGACATTCTGTGTCAGAAAGAAAAGTTATAAAAAGGCAAAAGTCTTAATGAGAATCATTGGTACTCAATAGAATAGTGAATTAAATACAGCCAGGGGAAGACCCAAGTCTCATATTTCTCTGTATATTCCAAAGTTCCAGTGAAATTCCAGGTAATAGAGGTTATTTCCCACACTGTTAAAGCAAGGTTGCAGACACTTCTGAATTTCGGTCCCAATGCTGAAGGAGGGCACACCTCTGTCCTGGAAAATGACACAGGAATGAATGCTATTCCCATGACTCATTCTGGTCATTCTTCCAGCATCACAGAAACCAAAAAATAGAAATATAGCCAAATACATGATTTGCTATCCCTCTTCTTCAGGTTTCTTACCTGTTTCTTATGGATAATAACATTGCCTTAAGGATTATGATGAAAATATGATATCCAAGTATGTGTACAGTTTTGAACAAAATGCCTAGTATGAATTGGTCAATAAATAATTATTTTTATTTATTGAATTACATGGATTCTATAAATAATTACTGAATAATTATTGTGATTCCTTTTATTGGCAGTGCTCAAAATGCATCCCTGTGTGACCTCAAGTAAACCAGTAACTTTGTGAACCTGCAGTTTTATCATTTTTAAAGTGAAGAAACTAGACAGATTTTCATTCTGACACAGAATGTCAGGTCTTTGAGACACCAGAGAATAGATAAATTTATAGCCTTTGCTACATCTCAAAGCACTGTCACTACACAGTGTAGGTGGAGGATGGTGCGGGCTGCTGAGAGGTGCGCTTTCCACTGGGATTGATCCAGTCCTCCTCCTTCACTTCCACATGAATGCTGCGTAGCCCGTGGTCACACTCATCACACCCTCAACTCAGGCAAGTCCAGCAGCCACACTTAGGAGACCTGGGCTACAGGACAATCTCCCAAGTCCTAGCCTCACAAGACCTAGTTGAAGATGGAAGCTGAGAAAGTGAGGAGGTGGTTTGGGGGAGCACACTCCCCTACTCATCCCTCTCATCTCAAACTCACCTTCTACTGCACAGGAACACTGAGGATCACCAACCACCCGTGACCATGAGCTTGATCTTGCCAGGTTCGGTTAGTGGAATGCAACCACACATCAACAGTGTTAGAGCAACTCTATATGTGTGTGTATATATATATATATATATATATATATATATATATATATATATATATCTCCAACAATATTCCCTGAGAAGCGTTCAATGCCCTGTTCTTTTCAATATATGGGAAAACTAAAAACAACAAAATACCATCAGGTTTACAAGACTTCCCAAGATAGATGGTCACACATGTTTTCAGGGGATATATACAAATGATTTTGATCACTTGATACCTTGAAAAGAGCTATTTTGGGACGAGAATGATATTCGTAAGTGACAAGTATGAAACGAGTGTTCAGTGACATTAAAAAAGCAAACCGACCCACACATAGAGGAAGAGCTTTGGACGTAGGGATGTGAAACTGGTCTTAAGTGTAATGAAAAGCCAAGATGCTGCCCCAGTAAGAGAAAAGAAATCAACATAACAATGGGATGCAGCAAGAATACTGAGACAGGGTAGAAAATCTTTTTTAAAAGTGAATTATTCCTTCATTTTCAGTCGATACAGAAAAAACTGCAGAAGACCCAGAGGGATATCATAGCAGACTAAAAGTTTGCTATCTTTCACTTGTGGAAAAGCATTAAGATCATTTTACCTTAAAAAGAAGGTGAGGTGACTTGATGACTACCACTAAGAAAATATAACCTTCTGGAAAACTATCCCTACCTTGATGATTTTATACACACAAGAGATGAACAATGAGGAATATGCTTATATGTATTGAGAAAGAGGTGGGCCTGTAGCATTGTCACAAGGGTGCACAAATACTGAGAGTGACTGCTGAAGAAATGGTCCCCATCAGTGACCCTCAGGTGAGACCAGGGGGCCTAGTGTTTCAGCACAGCCTGGGCAATTGGAATGCAGGGTTTCTAAGATTCCATGACACCCCCACCTTCTAATTCTGTTATTGCAACTGCAGACCGTTACCTGGTACGCTGGCTGCTACCTCCCTCACTCTTGTCAGAGTCGGAGCTACAGGCAGTGCCTTCAGCTCTGAGCTCAGGCATCCCGGTCCCTGTTTTTGCGGTTAAGGACTCTAAAGTGTTGTGTCGTGTTCATCAACTTTTTCTCAACTGTAAGTTAACAATTCCAGTAATTGTCATCTCTCAGTCCTGATTAAACCTAATTGATTTCACTATTTTTTGACCCATCATGTGTCTGGGTTTCTTCTCCCCAGTCCCTGGCTCTACCTCTTCTGCCACAAACGTCAGCATGGTGGTATCTGCCGACCCTTTGTCCAGCGAGAGGGCAGAGATGAACATCCTAGAAATCAACCAGGAATTGCGCTCGCAGCTGGCAGAGAGCAATCAGCAGTTCCGAGACCTCAAAGAGAAATTCCTTATAACTCAAGCTACTGCCTACTCCCTGGCCAACCAGCTGAAGAAATACAGTAAGTTCTATAGATTCACAATGATGAACGTGATGAATGATCACCTGTGTTCTGAGAAACTGAACAGTCTTTTCATCGAAATTAATTTCATCCTTCCCATACTTCTAGGAAAATAGAAGTGGATGTTTTAACCTCATTTTGTTAAACATGGAAAACAGAGGCACAAAGTATTTAGCAACTTTTCCACATTGGCAGTCTGGTGTGAGGTGGGACTAGACTTAAAATCCTACTTATTGTCTTCTGACACAGGCACAGAACCACCTGTTTTCCTCAGTAAGAGGCTAAATCATGTTTATGAGAATCCTCTCTGTACCATATAAGATTCTACAGACAAGTAACATCTAGTCTGTTGGTCTAAATGTCTGGGACTAATGAACTTCCATTCAGTTCAAGCTTCTTTGAGGCCCAATAGGCAAAGCTCCATCCAGAGGACCCTGGGGGAAACATGGCAACTGTACAGAGTACCCACTCTAAGGAGCTTAAAGAGGAGACTGCCCCTAACAGAAACTGTGATATCTGTGACACCCTTCAAAGCAGGGAGTGTCCCAGTGAGAGGGAAGTGCTGCTTCCTGGGGCACAGGCTCTTATTCCTGAAGAGGAAGAAAGATGGCACATGAGACATTGTAGAGGTAGCAGTGTAGTGTGCAGAGCAGGGACCCTGGGCCAGTCTCCTGGGCTCCATCCAAGTTGCCTATCTTCTCTGTGCCTCAGTTTCCTCATCTGCTCATTGAGTACTATAATAATACCTACCTCTGTAAATTACTGCAATGAATTACATGACCTATTTCTTGTAAATTTCCTAGAACAGTTCTTGGAACAGAGTAAACACTATCTATTAGTTCTTCATTCTACTATTTCTAACTTAATTCAAACTTTAGTAGTATTTGGGCATATTTCTACTATAGCCTCACGGTCTTGTGCCTCATATTTTATGCAATTATATCCAGATATGATTTTTTAAATGTTTGACATATTCGCACTTGAAATTCCCAGTACAAGGGAAACTTTGGGTCCCATAGTCCTAGGGCCTTCCTGACTGTATAGAAAATCACTACTTCATGCACCAGTGCAGTGTTTTACAGGAGAGGCCGCAAGGCTTGGGAAAGTGGCCCAGGATTCAGAGTCAGACCTCAGGGGCTGTGAATTCTGACTCCGCCTTCTTCCAGGTGAATCATCTTGTCAAGTTACTTGATGTGCCCTTGTGTTTCTTTCTCCCCATCCCTGAGTTGGGGAGTATCAGATGCCAGAAAGTTGGGAGGTTGATAAATAAAGATGTGGAAATGCCTGCCTGGAGCCTGGTACTGGAGCTGCTTTCGTCCTTGGGATGGATGCTGCCGCCTGCCCTATAGACAGTGACCCCAGCAGCATGTCCCACCTTCCACTGAGGCAGGCGTGTCTGTCTTTTCTCAGAGTGTGAAGAGTACAAAGACATCATAGACTCTGTGCTGAGGGATGAACTGCAGTCCATGGAGAAGCTGGCAGAGAAGCTCAGGCAAGCTGAGGAGCTCAGGTGAGCGGGCCCCACTGGGGGCAGGCAGATGGGCAGGGGTGTGAATCTCTGAAGTGCAGCAACTCAGCTGGGAGAACTAAGAGCTGAGCTGGGCCAGGACAACGGCAGGCATTTACATGGCAGGCACGTGTCACACAAATATTTATAAAACAGAGAACAGTCATCTTAGTAAGTTATGGGTTGTAGTTGTTTCTTAAGCCTTGTTTTCTCTTCTTAAAACCACTGATTGTTGAGGTAAAATTTGCATAACACAAAATAAACCAAAAAAAGTGAACCACTCAGAAGCATTTAGGATACTCAGAATGGTGTGCGATCACCACCACCTTTACTCTTAGTCAGAATCACCTCTTGACTGACTGTGGCGTTTCATTTGTTCAATCAATATTGCCTTCTTAACACTGTCATTCTTTTCTTCTTTCATCTTTCCAATTCACCCCATCTGCACCTGGCCACATTTCTGTGCATGGCTTTGTATCTAGTCACTGCAAGATGCGCTATGTGAATTTTCACATAGAGATGCCCATGGCCAAAGTGAGGAACTGAAAGGACATCCTTGTGGAACTGATTTAGGAAGACACTAACTTTTGTTTACAGAAGAAAAAGATGAATGGAACATCTGCGAGGATATTACAGAAGCAGTCTCTCATATATCAGAAGGCTGTGTGTGTGTGTGTTTGTATATATATGTGTGTGTATGTTTGTATATATGTATGTGTGTGTGTGTGTGTGTGTGTATATATATATATATATATTCTTCTTTCTCTTGGCCACAGACATTTCCCCAAACATGTTCTGACCTTCTGCTTGGAGGTCTCCTTGAGGACATTCTCAGAGAAACCTCTGTTGCGGTATTAGAACTGATCACTCATCCCTTTCCATTATTAAATGTTCTCTACTATCTCACCTTAGGCAGTATAAAGCCCTGGTTCACTCTCAGGCAAAAGAGCTGACCCAGTTACGGGAGAAGTTACGGGAAGGGAGAGATGCCTCCCGCTGGCTGAACAAGCATCTGAAAACCCTCCTCACTCCTGATGACCCTGACAAGTCCCAGGGTCAGGACCTCCGAGAGCAGCTGGCTGAGGGGCACAGGCTGGCAGAGCACCTTGTTCACAAGCTGAGCCCAGGTAAGGTGGCCATGGGCCCTGATGACACACAGCTTCAGGCTTATGAAAGTCCCCAGACCTCCACACCTCCACAATGACAATTGTATGGGTAGTGTTTCTTTCCAGTAAACTTTTGTGGCCACGACATGATCAGAATTTCTTGGGTGGGAGCAGAGATGGGAAACCCATGGGGTGGAGGTTACAGAATGGCAAATGTATCCTCCTTTCTTGATGGAATGTGGTCTTTAGAGCAAGAGGCAACATCCGTCCAGTTTTAAAGAACAGGAAGGAGGCTGTGACAGGAAGCAGCTTTTAGAGTGAAAGGAGCCCTGGACTAAGAATGAATGTTCCCAGGATCTATCTTCAGCAATGTCTTTAGCAACTGTGGGCAACTGATTAATTTATCCTTCCTGGGTTTCTGTCTCTAAATCTGTAAAAGCAAACAAATTGTCTCTTGCATTCAAATGTGGGAACACTTATGACTATATTTCACAATGAGATAAAGCCCCTTGCTGTGTGGTGTTGGAGAAGGCACTTGATGTGGTGGCATTTGGTGGTAGGAAGTGGTTTAGACTGGAGCACTCCCCATGGAGAGATTGTCCCCGGTTAACACAGTGGAAGCCACTTGGAGGGCCCATGAAGTCCCTAATGTATGGAATACTGTGGGACAAGGTTGTTTGTCCTGTTCGAAGAGAAAGATATAGGTTCTAAATGCGAACTGTGACAGGATACAGAGCCTGTGCGTGGGAATCAGATCTGTGGCAGGATTGGGGAGACAGCTGCTGAAGTTCAGAGAGAGGCTGGGCAAGCCTCCAGTGATATGAAGAGGAAAAGGTCTTTTCAATATTTGGCCACATCTTGATGGTGACCCTCCAGATCAGAAACACATTGCCTCATGGATCAGGAAAACATGCCAGGGCATTTTTTTAGAGATAAAACATGAGAGCTTTCAGCACAGTGTGGACTTATACATGTAGATGTTTATGTCCCTGTGCACATAGGGCTCACTGTGCTTGCAGTGGGTGAAATGGGAAATATTTCAATGGACACATCTGTATTTGCAGAAAATGATGAAGATGAAGATGAGGATGAAGACGACAAAGACGAGGAGGTTGAGAAAGTACAGGAATCACCTGCCCCCAGGTAACATTGAATAATCAGGAGCGGGTAATGGGTGGTAAAATATGAAAAAGGTCTCAGAAAGAATAAAAGGGAGGTGAAGGTAGTCACAGATTCCAGAGGCAGGATAAAGAAAGCTGCAGAGTGCACTGATTTCATGTGCTCACCCAACAAGGAAATAGCCCCATTAACGTGCTTGTCCATTGTCTTCCTGGTGCCTGTAAGCATGACCCTAGATGAACTCACCATCCCTAGGGACTTCCTGCACACACAGAGGAGACCTGTTCTCCCCTGTAGTGAAAGCCAGGATGAGATGTAAAGCTGCTTTCTACACTGTTGTCTTTAGGTTCTTTTTAGGAAAGATAAATAGCAGAGAGGCAACAAGCAGAGGAAATAGGAAGCACCTAGCAAAGTTGAACACAAAGTACAGTACCTAGACAAAAAAATTTACATTTCATGTCACAATATTAAAATTTTAAAAAAACTAGAAGGCACACCATCTCTGAAGTCTACAATGGCTCAAATGCCTGTATAGCCATGGCCACAGTATGTTAACTACAACCCAGCTTAGACACACCATGTGGCAGCTGTTTTTGGTTCTCTGTGTGTGCTGTCAAGACTGTACCATACAGGGACAGCTGAGTCTTCCTCCTCCTCAGCTCCTATCTGCCCAGTGCAATGATCACTAGCTGCTGTCTTCCTCTCTGGTTCCCATGGCAGCCACGCTCTGTTGCAGACAGAAAAGGATTGCCTGTTCCCTCTTAAAAGGAACCTCTCCTTTGCATTCTGGGACCACTCTCTTAAGCCTCCTTTCAAAACCACCTAGGACTTCTTGGGGTGCAATGCCTTTTGGATTAATCTTCTGTCATCTCTATCCCACTGGGCTCATCAGAGAGGTGCAGAAGACTGAAGAAAAGGAAGTCCCTCAGGACTCACTGGAGGAATGTGCTGTCACTTGTTCAAATAGTCACAACCCTTCTAACTCCAACCAGCCTCACAGGAGCACCAAAATCACATTTAAGGAACACGAAGTCGACTCTGCTCTGGTTGTAGAGAGTGAACACCCTCATGATGAAGAGGAGGAAGCTCTAAACATTCCCCCAGGTAGCCTCTCTATTCTTTGTCCCTCCTAGCTCTGTCTAGGCTGAGGAAGATCAATTCTGAGGACAGACTGTATACATACATATTGGTTTGAATCACAAAGTATAGTGGAGCCGGGGGCGGTGGCTCCCACCTATAATCCCAGCACTTTGGGAGGCCCAGGCGGGTGAATCACTTGAGTTCAGGAGTTCAAGACCAGCTTGGGAAATGTGATGAAACCCGTCTTTACAAAAAACATGAAAAACTAGCCAGGCATGGTGGTGCGTGCCTGTCATCCCAACTACCCAGGCAGCAGAGGCGGGAGAATCACCTGAGCCCAGGAAGTAAAGGCTGCAGTGAGCCACAATTGCACTCCAGCCTGAGTGACAGAGTGAGGCTGTGTCTCAAAAAAAGAAAAAGAAAGAAACAGAGAGAGAGAGAGGAGAGAGAGAGAGAGAAAGAGAGGAAAGAAAGAAAAAGAAAGAAAGAAAGAAAAAGAAAGAAAGGGAGAGAAGGAAAAGAAAAGAAAGAAAGAAAGAGAGAAACTATGATAGAATATTAAACACAGTTATGTGAGGGTCAGAGAACATTCCTCTCCTCCTAGGCCCATGGCATGGACTTTGTCTTCCTGGCCCCAATATTAGCATACTGGACCACAGGCAGGTGTGACAAAGTCATAGCCACCTGTGTACAGGAGGTATCTGTCAGGCCTCCTGGCTCGGTTCCTATGTCTCTTGTCACATGCAATAATGATTTGTGTCCCTGAACAATGTCCATGGAGTTTCTATGCCTGTCACAGGCGACTGACAGTCTTGCCTATGTAATTGGAGATGTGTCTCTGGATTCACTGTTCTCGGCCCCAGGCTTGGTCTCCTTTAGGTCAGCTTGTCCCAGCTAAGCAGTCACCTTGAAAGCAGGACATAAACACTTCTACCTTTATCTTGCTTATAAGTTTCCCTAAACGAGGCTGGGCCCTGAGTTCTTCACCCCATGAGCGGTCAATGTTTCTGTGTAGCACCGCAGACTCTTTTTTATGCAAGGATTGTTAGAATTTATCCATCAGTTCAGTCTCCTATACAAATTTCTCTAACCATTCGTTGACCATGATATATGATGAGATAAATCAGTATTGCAACAACACTTCTGGAGAGTGGTTAGGGCAATTTTTGAAAATCTTGGGGAAAAAGTTTTGTTTAATTGTTTGCACAGACTTAGGTCAGAGGATAGGTGATTATGATCTACCAGATGAGGGAGATTTTGTCCTATGGGTCTGGAAAGCAGGCACATCTACTTCTGAAAATAAGTCAGAATGATCCTGTCAAAATGTCACATTCTTACACTGAGGATATTTATGTTCTTGTGCTATGACTGGACACTTATTTGCTCTTGTGTGATTTCCTTACTGTGACCTGCTCTTCTGAATTTGTTTACAGAAAATCAAAATGACCATGAGGAGGAGGAGGGGAAAGCGCCAGTGCCCCCCAGGTAACTGTGGATTTGTGGGCTGTTAGTTCAATAGTGACATCTGGACACCACGGATCAAGGGAAAATAGGAAGTGACGAATAGAACTGTCTCATCCATTCATCCAAGTGCAAATTGCCCCTTTAACAATGTTGTCTTCTTTATTGTGGTACTTGAATAGGTTTCAATTTCTTAATCCCTCTCAAGCATAGGAACCGACAATCACTTGAACCAGGTGAACTGACCAACCTCAGGGATTTCCTGATCTCACCTGTGGTCTCCCATGTGGCTAATCCAGGGTGAGATGCATATATGCTTTCTGTATGTTTTGTGACAGCATGTTGGCAAGTATTTGAATGCAATCGAGAAAATTAAAAATAAAAATTTCATATTATGTCAAAATATTGAAAAAAAAGGGGGACCTTAAAAACACAGGATCTGTGCGTTGGGAATGCCTCAAGAGCTGTGTTCACTTGGATGCTGCATGTAATGTCAACGCAATTTGTGTAAAGGAAGTGAAGTCCCAGCTTAGTTCTCAGTGCTGCAAGTCATGATGCTTGATGCTAGCTTACAGGGAGAGTCTGGGTCCTCCTGCAGCCGCTCGTTTGTGGCAAGTGCACTGAGCACCTGCTGCTCATGTTTGCTCTGTCTCCAGGACAGTCACACTCCACCCCACATTTAGAAGGATAGATTTTTCTCTCTTGGAGGAGACCCTCCTTTGCTTTCTGTGACCACACCCTTTGTGTCCTATCAAATCACCTGAGATACTATGGTGTTGAATCTGTCTTGGTCTAACCTTCTGTCGTTCTATCCTACCTGGCTCATCAGAAAGCTGCAGGATTCTGAAGAGAAGGGAGTCCTGCAGGACTTGCCAGAGAAATGTGTTTTGTCTCATTCTAGACACCATGACAAGTCCAACTCTTACCGGCATCGTGAAGTCTCTTTCTTGGCATTGGATGAACAGAAAGTTTGCTCCGCTCAGGATGTTGCCAGGGATTACTCCAATCCCAAATGGGATGAAACCTCACTTGGCTTCCTCGGTAGGCTCCCTATTGTTTGTACCCCAGATTTGTCCATAGTGACGGATGTCATACCTTCAGGAAGACTCTATGCTTATATACTGGTTAGAACCAGGCTCTAGGATTGAGTTTGAAGGAAGGCATCCTATAAGTCAGAGTTGTGCTCCATTCTAGTCCAAAACCACACATTGTCTTTCATCATTGCCCCATTGGCAGATCACTGTACCCAAGGTTGACCTGACAAATTCATACCCACCTCTGCAGCCTGGGTGCAGGGTGTATCTACCAGTCCTCCTGATTTAGATTTAATCTGTCATCTCACATGAAATCTAATTTTCCCTCCCAAACAACCTGAGTTTCTCTGCCTGTCCAAGGCCACTGGCAGCCTTATCGATATTCTTGGAGCTGTCATTTCCCTCGTTCACTTCTCTCAGGCTAGACTCCCTCCCCTTTTAGTAGGCTTGTCTTAGCTAAGAAGTCTCTGAGTACCAGAACATGAACACCACTATTAAATTTTGTATGTTTCTCTGAAAGGAGGCCGGGCCCTGGAACTCCCTGCCATATGAAAGGCCAATGTTTCCATGTAGCATTAGAGATTCTTTTGATTTAATCTGTCCCTCTAAATGCAAATTCTACAAAAACACTGACAACAGCTTATCAGAAGGAAACATGCTGAATACTGCAGTAACCTGCTAAGAAGCATTAAAGTAGATCCCCAGGATCTGTTAGTAAACAGGATATGGTTAACAGTTTGCTGTGACTCAAGACAGAAGGGACTGTGATGATGACCTGTCAGATCAGGGAGATTTGCTCCATGACTCAGGAAAGCAAACCTAGTGACTTCTCACAAGGCTCACCCTGAGACCTCCTGGAAAGTTTCTCTCACAATAGCCTGTTCTCGCACTGCGTGTATTTATGCCCCTATGTAGATTTGGACACAAGGTTGTGCATGTGTGAATGTGATCAGGTTCACCTGGCTGGTCTTCTCTTAATTTATTTACAGAAAAGCAAAGTGATCTTGAAGAGGTGAAAGGACAAGAAACAGTTGCTCCCAGGTAATTGAGAAAAATCAGGGGCTGTCTATTCAGGGGTGATATCTGTGAAACTCATCTCCACAGAAAACCAGAAAGTCCTGAATATACCTAATTCATCCCTTCAGCCAACCGGAAATGATCTTTTTTAACCATGTTTTACATTTTCATTGTGAAACTTTTAATGTTTGCATTTCTTATTAACTTCTTAAGTTCAGTACATCAAACCACTTGACCTTGTGAACAACTAATCAGTCACACAGATTTCCTTAAAGTAAGTATACTCTTCTTATGGTGTCAACCAGCCTGAGATGCATATCTGCTTTCTGCTGGTTTTGCATTAGCACAGTGGTGAGCATTTCAAGGCAAGGAAATTAGGTAGAAAAAAATTATTGTTATACCATGCACAATATTGAGAGAAAGAGGACTTGATGCCATGCGATTTCGGGGATACGATTATGCCTCAAAACCTATGTTTACTTGGCCACTACACATAAAATTTAACATCATTTAAAAGAAAGGAATGAAACCACTGTTATAGGACATGATATTCAGTAAGTCACGACTCTACCATACAGAGAGACTCAGTCTCCTTCCTCAGAAAATCATAATCTGGCTACTTTGCTGAGCACCTGATGCTTCTCTCTCTCTCATCTCTCTCTTTCCCTCTCTCTGTATTGCAACCTACCCATGGCAACCACACTGTGCCCACCAAGAAGAGGAGAATATTTAACTGTTTAATGGGTTGACCCATTTGTTTTCTGCGATCACTCCCTCATGCCTCACGTGAAATCCAGCTAGGGCTCTGAAACTCCTTGGATTAATCTTTAGTCCTTCTTACCCTACAGGCTCAGCAGGGGACCGCTGAGAGTGGACAAGCATGAAATCCCCCAGGAGTCACTGGATGGATGTTGCTTGACTCCTTCCATCCTTCCTGACCTGACTCCCTCCTACCACCCTTATTGGAGCACTTTGTACTCTTTTGAAGACAAGCAAGTCAGCTTGGCTCTTGTAGACAGTGAGTACTCCATTGTGAACATGATAAATCTCCAATTGGTGTCCCAGGTAGACTCCGTAATCCTTGCACTTCACATCCCTGGCTGGACTGAGATGTGTCATTGGTGTGGGCGTGACTCACAGACACAGGATGATTTGCATCAGCATCAAAAATCAAGTTGGAAGCACAGACAGGGGTGGGTCAGTGAGCTTTGCTCTCTTCCTCATCTCAGACCATGCCTGTGTCACCCTGCGCCCACTGTCACGACATTGACAAATTCACACCAACCTATGCAGCACGTGCCCAACAGGTGTCTGTCAGGCCTCTTAATCTGAATAAGATTTGTCTTGCCAGCTATCGTGTTCCTTACAAGTTCCTTTCCCCAACCATGTCCTGTGAGATTCTATGCCTGCCCAACGCCTGTGGCATTTTTGTCTACTTTTCATTAAAGATATTACCCAGGTTTCAAAGAACCTAGCCTCATTCTCTATGTCTTTGATGTTATCCTGTTTTAGCTGAGCAGTCCATTACCTTTTGTTATGTTTCTAGAAACAAGATTGGGCCTTGTCACTCCTAGATGTCACGAATAGCCAATGTCTCTTTGTATTGAACCAAAGATTCATTTTCATTCAAGGGTCTGTAGATTCCCTCCTACATTCTAGTTTCAGTGTCTAAAATCCTTGTAACCATGAACAACGTGAGTATTTGATGATTGAAAGCTGAATATTGCAGTTTTCCTTCTAGAAAGCAGCTGGGGTATTTGCCTTCAACTGGTGTGAAAAATTTGCATAACTGTTTGCACAAAATCAGGACAGATGATGTTGGGATAATGATCTACCAGAACAGGGAGATTGCATTCCTAGGCCCAGGGAAGAAAACCAAGGCATCTCTCTCATGACAGGACCTCAGGCCTCCTGGAATATTTCTCTCACAGTGTCCTGTTCTCCCACTGAGGAAACTGACATTTCTATGTTAGGATTGCACAGTGGATTGTTTATGTGTGTAGGAGAACCTGCTTAATCTGTCTGTCCCTTTGTGAATTTATTTACAGAAATTAAAAAGGATCAAGAGGAGATAGAAGACCAAAGCCCACCATGCCCCAGGTAACTCTGAGGAATCCTGAACAGTTAATTCAGTGTTGATATCTGGAGTCTCAGATGCAGGGAAAATCAGAGTGTGCTGAATATACCTGTTCCATCTGTTCAGCCAACCATGAAATGCCATATTCATAAGGTTGACTCTTTTCATTGTACACCTGTATTTCTAGTTCCTCCTTATTAATTCCTTTCAATTCGTCTAATCTGCATTCAGTTGACTCTGTTGAACTGATCACTCACAGACATTTTCTGCAGTCCCCTTTTCTGTCCTTTTTGCTTAAAGTGAAGTTGAGTTGCACATCTGATGTCTGCCTCTTTGGCATTACCATGTTTGCAAGTATTCGATAGCAGGGAAGTGAATGAAAATAAATCATGCCATGCTACAATGTTGAGAACAAGAGCTGTTGAGGATACAGGAACTCTGTGAAGACTCAAGAGCCTGTATTCATTTGGCCACTGACGCTAATTTCAACAAAATGGATGCAAAAGTGCCGAATGCACTGTGTCCTGGCAGTTCCCCGCAGGGATCACTCCATCTGCTTCCTCCCCAGCTCATTGCCTGCCCAGTGCACTGAGAGCCTGTCGTGCTCTGTCTCCTACTCGAGACAGGGAAGGATGGTTGTATCTCTCTCAGGGGAATGTACTTTGCTTCCTCTGGGCCTTCCTAAGGGCCTCCCTATAGAACCAGCTGGGTGTTGGTTCTCTCTGGTGTTTATCTTCTGTCTTCTTTACCCCAGGCTCAGCCAGGAGCTGCCAGAGGTGAAGGAGCAGGAAGTCCCAGAGGACTCTGTGAATGAAGTTTACTTGACTCCCTCAGTTCACCATGACGTGTCTGACTGCCACCAGCCTTATAGCAGCACCTTGTCCTCATTGGAGGATCAGCTTGCCTGCTCTGCTCTGGATGTAGCCTGTGAGTACTTCACCCTGGAGATCACAAAGCTCCACTGTCCTCCCAGGCAGCCTCTGTATGTTTTGTTTCCTGCAACTTGTGCAGCTGAGACAGACCATCTCTGCAGCAGGCTCTATACACTGAGCTTGTTTTGAATCTGGCTCTTGGATCCAGTTTTAAGCACAGACATCCACTGGGTAGAACTTCCTCTTCTCCTGTTCCAAGTGCCTCCTCTGTCACCTGGCTCCTTCTCACAGGAGCAGGCTTTGGCTATCAAAACAGGCCAGAGAAGGGAGTGGTGAGGGCTTATGGCAAATTCCTGGCCACAGTAGCTCAGCTGGAGAAATTTATGTAACAGCCCTCCTTCTTTAAGATAGGGCATCTCTCTTTTCTGAAATTATCTTGCTAATTCCATGTCTTTATCTCTTCTCTGGCCATCCACATATGTTGGGAGTTTTGCCCAATTATTTGGAGGCCTGTTTCATGATTCCTGTGTCCCAAGCTAGATTCTCTTCTTCAGGGATCCCCAGCCCTGGGGCCATGGGCCATTATGGGTCCATGACCTGTTAGGAACTGGGCCGCAGAGCAGGAGGTGAGCGGTGGGAGAGCATTTCAGCCTGGATCCCACCTCCTGTCAGATCAGCAGTGGCATTAGATTCTCACAGGAGCTCGAACTCTATTGTGAATTGTGCATGCCAGCAATCTAGATTGTGTTTTCCTTACGAGAATCTAATGCCTGATGATCTGTCACTGTCTCCCAGTAACTGTCACCCCCAGGTGAGACCATCTAGTTGCAAGAAAACAATCTTAGGGCTCCCACTGATTCTGCATTATGGTGAGTTGTATAATTATTTCATTATATATTCCAATATAATGTTTATAGAAATGAAGTGCACAGTAAATGGAATGTGCTTGAATCATCCCAAAACCATCCCCCCCAACCTGGTGCCTGAAAAATGGTCTTCCATGAAACCAGTCCCGGGTGCCAAAAAGATTTGGGACTGCGGCTCTACTTCCTCTGAGGTGTCTTCCCTCCACTGACGCAGTCCAGCGACCCTTCCTTTATGTGTGGCCGGGCTTGCATCCTCTGCAGAGCTCCAGTGGTTTTCTCCATGTGTGGGTTTGTAGTGTCAATCAAGTTTTGGTCTCAGTGCTCTATTCTCATGAAAACCATCGACAACTAGTGTCCCTCATGAGGCTCTGGCCTAACCGATGAGCAAAGCAGAGTGGTTCCTGTCCCCATGAGGTCCAGAAAACCCTTCCTCTGAGCAATCGCCCCTTGAGATAGCAGCTTCACAGGATGTGTAAAAAGAAAATCCAATTTTCATTTCTTCTTGCTCATTCTCTTTTTTTTTTACTTCAATTCTGGGAATTTCATGTGGATTGTTGGGGGTTTTACCCATTACATTATCTTCTAGTAAGAGCAAGGAACTCTGTGATGTCCCCCAGTATATTGGATTATGTTGTAACGAGATTAGCAAAAATGCCAGGTGTGTTGATTCATGCCTGTAATTCCAGCACTTTGGGAGGCTAAGGAGGTGGATCGCATGAGCTCAGGAGTTTGAGACCAGTGTGGGTAACATGGTGAAACCGTATCTGTAAAAAAAAATTAGCAGAGTATGGGGGTACACACCTGTAGTCCCAGCTTTTTGGGAGGCTGAGGTGGAAGGATCACCTGAGCCTGGTTAGTTGAGGCTGCAGTGAGCCATGATTGCACCACTGCACTCCAGCCTGAGCAACAAAGTGAGACCCTGTGTCACACACACACAAAGAAAGAAACTAGCAACAAAAATGTTGGCCTCTATTCTATTTTGGTAAGTGCCTTTCATACTGGGACCAGCCCCTTTCCCATTTTGCATTTCTCCCTGAGTTTCAAAAAAGCAAATGCTTTTCTAGCATCACAGTGATTCATGAAACAATTAGGATACACACTGACCTTGCAAGTGCCTTTCATACTGGGACCAGCCCCTTTCCCATTTTGCATTTCTCCCTGAGTTTCAAAAAAGCAAATGCTTTTCTAGCATCACAGTGATTCATGAAACAATTAGAATACACACTGACCTTGCACCTGCTGTATGCCCTGCCCCTTTGCAAGCAAGCTCTGTCCTGCTATAAACCATTCAGGGATCAAGGGACACGCCCAAGTGGGCAGTGGCATCTCCATGTTGGAGCTGAGAACAATGAGGCATTTTTAAGAAAACTTAGAAAACCTTGGAGAGAATGAAGATGTGGAGAGGGGAGGAGAGAGAGGAGCCCCACAGCAACGTGGATCCAGTCTGCAGGCCCCGTCCCCATCTTGAGACCGACCTGGACTGGCGTGAGGTCATTGGAAGTCTTTTCTTAGTCCACTCAGAACGTGTATTCCTCTCCCTGTGGAAATGGAAACAATTTGTTTAAGGGGTGCCACCCGAACCCCACTGGAGGAGTGGGTAATGTGAGGATCGTGTCCTGTGTTGCCTTCCTAAGGAACCGCACATGCTGATCTGTAGCACTTGTGGCCCCTGAATTTGCAGGAAGGGACTGGTCCCTCTCCTACATTGCCTATGTCTGCTGACACCCACTATATGGCAAGAGGATGGATATGTGTGGGTAGGGGGTCAAACCATTATAGTCAATGGGAAATTCAAAATGTCCCCGAACCCAGAAAAGTTTGCCTCACTTAGCGTTTGGTCTGTAGCATCCCAGCCCCCTTTTTCGTGGTTCTTTCTCAAAGCCTCGCAGCTCTAACCCTTGACCCGTTCTTACACCCCTGTGTGTGGAGAAAAATAACCATTCCTCTCCTGTGCTCTGAGGCCTCTCTAGAACTTTCCCTCTGGGCACAGGAAAGAGATGAATAGTAACAGAATAATCGGGATGGTCTTGTTAGACAATCCAAAGCCCTCTGGGCTGAAGCAGAGGTTTTTCACCTCAGGGACACCCCAGCCTGGGCCCCTACCGTGTCAGCGTCCCCAGGCACAGGCAGGAGAGGTGACGTCACCTGCATTTACATGATGTCTGTCTGTGTGGCGTGGGTCACTGGGTGGCTTTACTGAGAGCAGGGACATCAGGGATGGGTGTTCTGGGATGACTTAACAAAGGGAAAACTGAGATTGTTCCTACTGAAGCCCCTTCTCCTTTCAGCCCCCACCGAGGCGGCCTGTCCCCAAGGGACTTGGAGTGGAGACTTGAGCCACCACCAGTCAGAGGTGCAAGTTTCACAGGCACAGCTGGAACCAAGCACCCTGGTGCCCAGTTGTCTGCGACTACAGCTGGATCAAGGGTTCCACTGTGGGAACGGCTTGGCCCAGCGGGGCCTTTCCTCCACCACCTGCAGCTTCTCAGCCAATGCTGATTCTGGGAACCAATGGCCCTTCCAAGGTAGGGAAGGAAACGGCGTCATGAAGCTCTAATCCAGGTGTTGGTGGTCACGACGGTGCTGTGGGTGGAGGAGAGAATGGGGCCTCCCATGCTTCCTCAGGGTCAAGTTGAAATCCATGATGCTCCAACCCAGTGAGGTGAGCAAAGGCCTGGAGCTTAGGACCGAATCTGCTCTCAGGACCTGGGTTTGCCACTTTCTGCTTGTTGACTTTGGCCAAGGTTTTTGTCTTTTTGCTCTTTATATCTCTGTTCCCTCATCTAAGATACCTGAAGAATAATATCTACCTGCAATCATAATTTCCAAAGGGCCTGATTCCATAAGAATTGCCCAATAAACCTATGAGTAGGTGTTATCTAATCCTTTTATCTTTCTGCTAAATTTACACTTAGCAAGTGACTTCACGGACGATGTCTCCTCTGAGGTAGAGCAGTTATGAAGATCTCTGCTTTCTAGGACCCCTCTTCCTTTCCTTTCTCACACAGACTCCTCTGCCAGTTTTCTTCCTCTCCTTCTCCATCCCTCATGAAGCCAATTTTCCCCTGTCAGGCACTTTCAATAACAACCTATGAGGCACATTGAGTAACAGTGTAAATCCTGGGCCCACACTCAGTCTCCTGACATGTCCAGCTGCTTCTGCTGTTTTTTCTGCTTTTTTTTGAAATAAAAGGGCAACTTTCACATGGAAAGTGTTCACATCAGTCTCTTTTATGAAATTCCATTTAGTTCACATTCTCCACTCATGTCCGTGGCCATGTCCTCGGTTTCTGTCTCACAGGGATCCATTTCTGCTCAGATTACCTTAAAATCCTGGGTCGTGTTCATTCTCACTCTCCATCCCACTCAATATCTCCTCCTGGAGCCCCTGGGGCTGCCTGGTGCTCATCTGTCAGGCGATGCCCTCAGCTGAGGAATGAGGGAACCCCTGTCCTCAGGGGGAGGGAGGGTTGCGTGAGATAATGAGCACCATCTGGGCCAGTGGAGAGGACACATGGAAGGTGCTCCGGGAGTGTCGGGGGATGTGCAGTCCCTGACACGTGCCATGATAACTTATTTAGACTGATTTCTTAGCACTGAACTCTCTTTTGCTTCTCTGTGGATTCTCACACCCCCAGCCAAGACTCACCCCACTGGCTCAGACACACTCCCTCTTGCTCACTTTCCCTGGAGTCCAGAGCCTGAACCAGGCTCCAGGTAAGAGGACAGAGTGAACGCCTTTCGTTTCATTAACACTTTCCTTCACCTGGTGATTTCTCCCTGCTGTCTACCAGGTCATTTGTTTCTCCCATACCTATTCTTTCTCATTCTTCTCATGTCTCCAATTATTTTTCCAATTTCGATGGACCAGAATAGTGACTCTACTCTTACATTCAATCCCTCCCAAATCCCTATATTTTTTTTCTTTAAATTAATGTGTACAGATACATGCATTTGTATCATTTGTCCTATTACGTGTGACTATGTATATCTGGTGTGTATGCTATATAGGGTGTATATATATATGCAGTAGATCATATAATGATGCAACTTTTGTAAATTCTCTAGGTTTAGTCTTCCTGGTTCTTTCCTCTCATCAGTTGCTGTCACCTATGTCTGGTCTCACCTCTGTGCCACATGGGCTGCCACCCTGCCAGGCCCTTCCATTCCCATCTCCTGTTTGAACCCAGTTCTTATTTAACTTTGATTTTTGTAATCTCTTCTCTCCCCAAAGCATAGCCTACATACAGTGTTATTTCCTTGCCTTTGCCTTATCTACCTGGAAGCTATTTGTGTTTCTGAATCCTATGTTTCTGGAATATTTTTGTGACTTGGCAGTGCCTTTGGATCCTGGCAATCTTGTCGTTACTGAGTAATGTAGGAAAGATCAACAAAAAAGAAAGTATTAAAGTGACTCTATCGGCTTCCCCTCACCCTTTGGACTTTCTTGTCCAAGGCTCTTTCCTGATTTGATGTCCTCTGGGTGGAAGAGAAAGTTACGGTAAGATCATGGATGGCAGCGGATCCCATTGGCTGTGGTTTTCTTTTCAGAGCTGGTTTTAGAGCCCTCTCTGGGGATGAAGAACCCTCCCCAGCTGGAAGATGATGCACTTGAAGGCTCAGCAAGCAACACACAAGGGCGTCAAGTCACTGGCCGGATTCGTGCCTCCCTTGTCCTGATACTGAAGACCATCAGAAGAAGACTCCCGTTCAGCAAGTGGAGACTGGCATTCAGATTCGCTGGCCCGCATGCTGAGAGCGCAGAGGTAATCACATCTATGGCTGATAGCTGCACTCACTTCTTATTTCTCCGTCTATGGTGACAGCTCATTCTCTCACTGCTTTTTCTCTCCCATTTGTTCTCTCCAACAGCTGCTCTAACCTCTGTCTGGTCTTAGCTCTGTGTCCCATGGGCTCCCACCCTGACTGGCCCTTTCTCTACCCATCTCCTCTTTACTCTCTGAACTCTGCTCTATTCCTTTTTCTGCTGTCTTGAGAGTCCCTCTCATGGCCACAGGAGAGCCAGGCCTCCTTGTCCCCATCCAAGTACATAGTTTAAGCTGCTGAACACAGGGTTGTTTGCCCGGAATCACACACTCCTTTGGGAAATTTACCTTTCCTTGCTGCATCCCCAACTCCATTGCCTCTTTCTGCAGAAGTCATTGCTTTAATACATCATTTACATGAAGATTTTCCTCTTGAGTCTTCTTTTGAGCAACACAACTAATTCAACTCTTAATCATCACTTGTTCCTCTGAATGAGAAGTGTTAAAACTAAGCACTAAGAGCCCCTCTAGGAAACTAAACTAGAACCAGGGTCACAGGTGGGAGTTCCCTACTGGCCTGGAGTCAGGTTTGTCTTTAGCCCCAGATGTGCAGCTTAGTGCCAACGTGGATGGAGTTGCCAGGGTCTCAGTGTTCTCACCTCATGGACTCACTTGAGCTGATGTTAACTGGGGAACATTTATGACATTCTAAAGGGACATCACTCCAAAAGTACATGCAGAGGGCAGGACTTGAAAACTGCATACATCATGAGGTACGTCATTCTAACCTCTCTCCTTTTTATTCTCATTTCCACTTTTCAAGTCCAGTTAAGGGTCTGAAATGCAAGTCAGATGAATCTTGAGGCCATTGTATATGAGAGAGCATTTTATGAATTAACTTTGAGAAAAGTGACTCCAGGACCAGCTTTATGCATACACTAGATGACAGGAATCTGTCTACAGGACAGTCTTTGCTTCGGTGCAGCCCAATTGATAAGACAGAGATTTAACTGAAATTGTCAGAGAGAAGGCTAAAATCCATGGAACCACTGGGAACAAAGCCAGTCATGAGATAAACGGGGAAAGGAAAGAAAATGATGGGAAATTGGGCTGGTCCATTTAGTATCTCTAAATCCTGCTGCCATGTAATAAGCACCCGGTGAGATTTCAATTAAGATGAATGCCTTCAACTTACACTTAGAGATGCTCACTTACATGGCCTGGGGTGTGGTCTGAGCATCTGTAGTTTCAAAATGCTCCCATGTGATTCTAATATGTGGCTAAAGACGAGAAGGACCCCTGGTCTACTATGACCTCAGGTTACCAACATGGAAGTGCCACATATGTGTGGCTACTCCACAGAAAAGGCTGAGCCTCTATCAGACTTTGATGGGATCTGTATTCCCCTCTCAATAGTACTCTTCGTATAGCATAGAAAAAAATCAAGAAGAAAAACAAGAAAATTAATAGATTAGACTTTTAGCCTCTGCTTGAAGCACACTTGCTGAATTTTGAATACAAGATAAGTAAGAAATAGTCATGATATTAACACCTAATGTACGGAAATAATACCTGCCATATTACATATAGTGGAATTCAGTATTTTCTTTTGCATTTTAAAATAAAACTTCCAGTTTACATTTCCCCACACCCATTTTATAGCCCACCAATGGTCTCACCACTGCAATGTGAAAATTTTACTTTTGGTCAATTATTGTCCTTCTGCAAAATCCCCAAAGAGAACTCATTGGTCCCCCTGTCCTGAAGAGCATACAATAACAAATTAAGACTGAAATGCTGCACGAGATTGTATATGAATACTTCTTCATGCCTCTCTTCACACTGGCATAAAATATTAAAAAGAAACCTTTCTCATAATGTACTTGGGGAAAACAATAAGCGGGACGGGAGACTGTAGTAAAACACAAACTAATCCTTTTCACTTTGTACTTCAGAGTTTTCTTGGTCTAGATATTGAGAATATTTCTAGAAATGCCTTAAGGTGGAACCGGATGTGGAATCAACTTCAGGGCATTAGGGAAAATAAGTTGGGCCATGGTTACAGTCCCTTTTCTCACTTTGCTAACTCCATTTTGAGTCTCTTTTTTTAAACTCCCTTTCTTTCCTGATGACCTTTGGACAAAAACTTATAATTATATATATTTTTTATTTTTTTTAACCAACCAAAGAAACAGCAGCACCATCATATTTATCTGTAAAACCTTATTCCTGTCCTAGCCAAGGTGACCCAACCACCACTCATGACTGTTGAGACCTCCAGATTGGAGCCTTTCCTCTCGCTTTCTCCAATCTTTATTGAAAGGCCTTAGTGGGTGGATTCTAATTCCTGGGTTGTCAATAGCAAGTCATGTGGCCTTAGTTCCATCTTACCCCTGTGGCATCACTACTCCTCTGTTGTAAAATGTGGACCTGGACGTGGATGTTGTCTGAGGTTTCTGCTGCTTCTCATATCCAGGGTTCTTCCCATGGCCCTCCCGCTCCTCCCTAGAAGACTAGGACATGGAGTTGTAAGGGGGTGGGTTTCTCTGCAGAGGCTCCTGTCCTTCTGCTCCCCTCTGTTTCTTGGCATGCATGATTGATGCTGAGTACATGCTCACTGGGAGGAAAAGCCCTCACTCTGCTCCAGACAGAGGGGATCAGGAGGAAAGGGGATGATGTTGCCCACTGCTGGTTGGGCATAGGTGGGGTCCTTATATCCTGCACCCCAGGCTGACTGGAAGTTCAGGAGTGTTTTCTTCTCACTTGTGGATGGTGCTTCCCCCTTCTGACAGCCCAGGACTCACCCTTCAGCTCATCCTCCCAGCAGGAGATCCCAGTGAGATATCACTGCTTAGCAATCCCTCCAGACTCAGCCATCAGGTGGACCTGACAAAAATGCTCATTTGATTTTTTTTCTCTCTCTCCCCTACAGATACCAAATACTGCTGGAAGGACGCAAAGGATGGCAGGATGAAAGAATGTCACAAAAAGCAGCTTTTCCACTTGATAAAAACAACTAAAACAGCAAAGCAAGTTTAAGTCCAAACACAATACTGCAGGGGTCCTTCACTGAGGATTGAATTTCAGACACAGAATACTCTTGATGACTTCAAGCCACTATGCTCCTTTGATTTGAGAAGCCACATTCCATCCCCCTCCAATTGTGATCAATACCTAGGGAGACCAATGCCCAGATGGACAAATAGCATTGACCGGCGTTAGCCCTGTTTCTCAATTCCCATCGTGTAGAGAACAGGAGTCCGCAGCTGCTGGCAGGAGACAGCATGTCAGCCGGGACTCTGCCAGGGCAGAGTATGAGCAATGCCATGTTCTTGCTGAAAACGCTTAGCCTGAGTTTCATAGGCGGTAACCCTCAGATAACTGCAGAATGTAGAACATTGAACAGGACAACTGACCTGTCTCCTTCAAACAGTCCATGTCACCACCAAGAACACAACAAAAAGGAGAAGAGACATTTTGAGTTCAAAAAGAGTAAAAAGCCTATGCAGCTTATGCTTTTTTAGTCATTTTGAACCCAAAACATCTCCTCATCTTTTTGTTGTTGTCATTGATGGTGGTGACATGGACTTGTTTGTGGAGGACAGGTCAGCTGTCTGGCTCAATGGTCTACATTCTGAAGTTATCTGAAAATGTCGTCATGATTAAATTCAGCCTAAACATTTTGCCAGGAACTCTGCAGAGTCCATGCTGTGAGCTTCCTACCTCAGCCCATCTGCAGGCAGAGAAGGCCCAGTGTGTCCATCCCCAGTGCGGTGATACTAGGATGGTCACTTGGTTAAGGAGGGGTCTAGGAGCTCTGTCCCTTGTAAAGACATCTTATTTGTAAGTAATTTGGAAAGTGGTTTGAAATAGTATAAATATCCTGTATTCTAGTGATCTTCTTCAGAACATTTTATCACCAATTAATCACCCCGTCTGTGTCAGTTATTATATTTAAGTTTGTACATTGAAAATTGTCTATCTCAAAATCTTACCTTATACTTGCTTTTGCTGGCATTCTTTGTAAAAAAGATCATTCCCTGCCCAAATTTTAACTTTCATCCAAAATTAATTTTAATTTCTTTTTGCTGGCATTCTGTTGTGAAAAAGAATATTCTCTGCCCCAATTATAACTTTCATCCAAAATTAATTTTAGTCCATCAGTTAAAATTTTAAATTTTAAATCTGTTTAATTAAAACATTTCTTGCCTCTCACTCTGGACTATTGGATTTTTTACATATAATGTTTTAAGCTTTTATTATTATGATTGATTTTGGCG
The DNA here is from genome assembly GCF_000001405.40 of Homo sapiens. NCBI lineage: Eukaryota > Metazoa > Chordata > Mammalia > Primates > Hominidae > Homo > Homo sapiens. Next base: position 108,222,398 of record NC_000001.11, on the reverse strand, counting down.
GATAAGAATTTAGATTAATAAAAACATTCTTATTTCCTTGTTTATGTTCAAAACTCTTCCATGTTCTAGTCTACGTTTACCGTATGTGGTAGATTGTATTTCCTGTATTTCTTTGTTGATGTTATTTGTTTTCTTTTTGTGTTTGTGTAAGTGTGCGTGCTTTTTGTTTGTTATTTAGGAAGAGTTGTATAGCTCCCATTTAACATTGCACTGAAAAGGTTTTAACGTCACTAATCCCCTTTTAACTTGACACATTTCCACTGTTTGGTTTATACATTTTAAATTATTTCTTTGAATGTCAAATTTTTACCACTATGACAATCAAAGACATCATTTTCCTCTTCTCTAACCTCATTACCTACCATTTCTTATTTTTTATTTTAACCCAAACATAAAGTGACAGCCTATGTGACACCTTGGTTTTTGGTTGAGATCTACATTTAAATATGTTGATGCACATGAGCTGTTCAAAAGTGTGTCCTAAGCATCACTTGTTGAGTGGAATTTATCCTTAACAGAGTCCTCATGAGGGAATCAGGTCTCGCTGAGTTTTACCTACTTAATCATAAACTTTTCCCAATGTCCTGATACATGGATTGCATCACTGGATATAAGGTACTTGCCAAAAATGACTTTTGCTTGGGATTTTAGGAAATATTGTCTGGCTTTGGGGGACAGGCCTGTGTGCTCTCAGTCTGGGGTTCTATTTTGTTCAACCAGGACCTTTAATTTCTGCCAGTTACTTCATTCATTCTCTTCACCACAAGTCTCCAGAGGATGCTCCCTTTGTCCAGGCCTCCCCGTCTCCCAGCGATTCTGCCCTTTGAAGATTGGCCCCTCTGGTCCTCTGCACTGTGAAGCCCCTGCCTTTCAATTCCCCAGTAGCAGGGTTCTGACCCACCAGGTCTCAGGCCTGATCTGTGTTTCTCCACACTCGCTTTCTGAGAAAGGTTTTACCTGTGTTTTGTCATTAACAGGCCCTCGCTGCTGTGCTGGCCTCTATTTGCATGGTGTTTCCTGCTCCCTGTGCTGTTATGTGGCTCCCAGACCTGGCTAAATAAAATCACTTGGGGTCCCCAGTGTTCCCTAGCCCTGGTTGGGGGCAGGATTATGGGTGGTATTTTGGACTCTGTGTTAATCCCTAGGGCTTTGAAGTGTATGTGGAGAAATTCAGCTATTATTCTAACCTACTTCTTTAAATGCAGAACCTCAGCAGTATAAAAAAGGAGACAGAACCCTATACTAGAACATCCTCATAATCACTGGCCAGCTTCAACAATTATCATCGAATGGCTGAGCTTTACAAAATCCAATCCTTCCTACCTACCTATGAAGTGTGTGTGTGTGTCTATATGTATATATTAATATATATGTATGTATATGTATATGGCATATATGTGTGTGTGTATATACGCACAGTTTAGACATGAGATTCTGGAGGCTGAAATTCCCAAGATGGAAAGGGGGATACCCAGGAAAGTATTTCCTTCTTATTAGGCCTTTTACTTCTCCTCTGGCCTTTGGTTGATTGGTTGGGGCCCACTCACCTTAGGGAGGGCAATCTGCTTCACGTAGACTGCCTATTCCTGTGTTAATGTCATCCAGAACCCACCTCCAGTACAAACACAGAATAACATAGGAACGAATGTCCTGGCACCCTGGGGCTCAGTCACAGTGACACACAACCATCACACAAGTTCTTTGTCATATTACTGATTTCCACATTCTTCTCTCAATCTGTAGGATGTCTTTTTATTCTATGAATAGTGTCCTGTGCTGACCAAGAATTTTTAATTTGTATAAAGTTGAATTTACCAATGTTTTCTTTAATAGTTTTGTTGATGTGATAACTAAGAATACTTAGCTTAACTCCACATCATGAAGATTTTCTCTTATGCTTTCTACTGTAAGTTCTCTAGTTTTGCAGTTTACATTTAGTTCTGTAATTAATTTTGATTTAATTGTTGTGCATGTATGGAGGTTTAAGTGGATTTTTAAAATCGTTGTTTAGTTTTTTCCTTCAACTTTTAAGTTCAGGGGTACATGTGGAGGATGTGCAGGTGTGTTACATAGATGAACATGTGCCATGTGGTTTGCTGCACAGATCATCTCATCACTTAAGTGTTAAGCCCAACATCTATTAGCTACTATTCCCAATGCTCTCCCTCCCCCCTCCCCCATCCCTCACTTCTGACAGGCTGGGGCCAGTGTGTGTTGTTCCTCCCATGTGTCCATGTGATATCATCATTCAGCTACCACTTATAAGTGAGAACATGTGGTGTTCGGTTTTCTGTTCCTGCATTAGTTTGCTGAGGATAATGGCTTCTAACTTCAACTGTGTCCCTGCAAAAGACATGATCTCGTTCCTTTTTATGGCTGCATAGTATTCCATGATGTATATGTACCACATTTTCTTTATCCAGTCTATCATTGATGGGCAATGAAAACCATAAACCCCAAATATCCCAGAAAAATAGTGTATCCTAAGGACAAGAAACATGAAGAAAACTACACCAAGGAACACCATACTCAAATTGATCAAAACCAGTGATGAACAGAAAATCCTAAGAGGAATAAAAGGAGAAAAAACACATTACACACAGAGGAGTAAATGTAAGGATGACATTCAATTTCTTATCAGAACCATTACAAACTAGAAGTTTGCAATAGTTTTTAAATACTGAAAAAAAGCACAAGCAATCAAAACTGACATCTGAATAGACTTCTAAAACTAAAGAGATTGAATTAGCAATCAAAAAAACTACATGCCAACAAAAGCCTGGGCCCAGACGGATTCACTGCTAAATCCTACCAAATATCTAAAGAAGAGTTGATAACAACTTTTCACAAACTCTTCCAAAAATACAGGAGAGAACACTTCCCAGCTTATTCTACGAGGCCAGTATTACTCCAACACTGAAACCAAAGACATCACAAGAAAACTACAAATGAGTATCGTCTTTAAATACGGACACAAAATCCTCAACAAAATATTAGCAAACTGAATCCGGTAACATCTGCAAAAATTATACATCATGACCAAGTGGGATTTATCCCAGGGATAGAAGGTTAGTTTAACATCTGAAAACCAATTAAGGTAGCATCAGTAGAAAATAAACCAAAACTAATGTGATAATCTCAATAGACATGGGAAAGGCATATGGCAAAATTCAGTATTCTTTCAACAAACAAGGAATAGAAGGGAACTTCCTCAACCTGATAGAGGACATCTGTGAGAAAACTTCAGCTAACATCATGTTTAGTGGTGACAGACTGAATGCTTTCACCTTTAGATTAGGAATAATACAAAGATGTCCACTCTCACCACTTGTATTCAATGTTGTACTGGAGATAGTAGCCAGGACAATTAGGTAAGAGAATGAAATAAAAGGTATCCAGATTGGAACAGAATAAGTTAAACTACCTTTATTTGCAGATGTTATGTTCTTATATGTAGAAAACCTCAAGGAACGTACTAAAATACTACTAGAATTAATAAATTCATCAGGGTTACAGGACATGAGGTCAGTACTTAACAATAAATTGTGTTTCAGATTTTCAGATTAGGGATACTCAACTTATACACTTAAGTCTCTGGACAGTGAAATCATGAGTATTTTTTCTTCTGTGATCTCCTACATTTTCTATATGGTAAATACGTGCCAGTTTCATAATCAGAAATGAAATTACAAAGATCATTTAAAAACAGCAAAAGAAATTGGTATGAAGGAGATAAATTTAAGGTCGCTGAAAAAATCATTCTACTATAACCCAGTTAGCTAATGTAGTTTCTTTGTTTTTAAGATTAATTGCTTAGACAGCATGTAATCAGAATAAAACAGGTGTATTTTAATCTATTTTTAAAATTTAGTAATTTTATAATAGTTGATTTTCTTAGTCACCACTACTTTCATAAATAACCTTTGTTCTTCAAGGTGGAGCATGGTTAATATTTCCATGCAAGCAAAATGTTGTTTATAATGCTGTTCATTGATGCATCCTGTCGGGTCGCAAAAGGCTACCTGGAATTTGTGAAAGATGTTTGGTGGGTAGCAGGAAGTTGTGAGGTTTAACAAATAAATTTGGCTAAATAAAATTCTGATGGGTGCACATAGTAGCCAGTACTCCAATTCATTCATGTGCATTCTGGATTACTGCAGCCACGTCATAATTAGGGTGGTAATGACTTAATAAACCAAATAATTGAATGGGCTGGTGGCTCACACCTGTAATCCCAGCATTTTGGGAAGCCAAGGCGGGCGGATCACTTCAGGACAGGAGCTCGAGACCAGCCTGGCCAACATAGTGAAACCCAGTCTCTACTAAAAATACAAAAATTAACTGGGCGCGGTGACGCATACCTGTAATTCCCACTACTTAGGAGGCTGAGGCATGAGAATCACTTGAGTCCAGGAGGCAGAGGTGGCAATGTGCCAAGATTGCTCCATCGCACTCCAGCCTGGGCGACAGAGCAAGATTCTGTCTTGAAAAAAATAATACTGATAATCCAAATCGTTTTTCAGATTCAGCGATACAAATGAAGAACGATGGTCTTCATTTCTGTACTTCTATTTTTGGTAGCACTGTTATTGTTTTTAGACCAATATACCTTTTTTTAAATTAAAAAAGATCGTTTTAGAGTCGGTGTCTCACTCTGTCACCCAGCCTGGAATGCAGAGATGTGATCGTGACTCACTGCAGCCTCAAACTCCTGGGCTCAAATGATCCTGTCACCTCAGCCTCCTGAGTAGCTGGGACTACCAGGCATATGCCACCAAATCTGGCCAGCTTATGCTTATTTTTAAACATTTTTTCTTAAGAGAAGACATAATGACATTTAGTGTGATAGTATATTCTAAACAATTTATGATGATGATTTTTGATCCTCAAACACATGTTATTACTTCCAGTATAATTCTTCTGTCTGCAGAAGAGTGAGGACAAAAGATATTGCTCTCTTCCACCAATAATAGTATTCTTGAGTTAATGGAGTGCTTTAGAGTGTAGTGTGTGTATCTCATGATTCTTTCAATATTCTTTGGAGGATGGCAGAGCAGGCATTATGAATTTGGACTTGTACATAAGGAAACTGGAACTTAGAGATTTTCAGTTAATTTGCTAGAAGATGAAGATGTCTAAGAGAAGGAAATGTGAACTAAGATGATATTTAGAAAGGACAAGGTGGTTGGAACCAGACAAACAGGGATATGAGTCATGATTCTGTCATTTGGGAAAGTCACTCAATCTCACTGATAATCACTTTTCACATACGTAAAAAAAGGTATTAAGTCCAACTTTGAGGAAATGTTATAAGACTTAAATAAGAATAATACATGTTAAGCATCTAGAATTTAGGATGTTTCTTTAACAGCTATCTCCGTTCATTTCTCTTAAATATCTTCATGTTTAGGAGACAGTTGTAGCTGAATATTTTAAGTCTGGAAACAAGCATGACTGGCAGATGCAATTATAGACAATTTTAACTGTGATTCCCCGGGTCACTTTGAATTTCTTCTGTGGGATAAATTCTTCCCTTGCTCTAGATGAAAGGGCAACTCCTATAACTTACCACTTCCAGTTAATGAAAGCTTCTTCCAAAAAGGAATTCATATGTTAGACCCAGGGTGGTCATCAAACCTTTAACCTCAATTTCAAGCTAAAACTTCTCCCTGCACTCAGGCCAGCTCAGACCAAAAGCCTGCAGTGGAGAAAGTGGATGTGTTTGCCTTTTTCTTTTTTCTCCGTCTAGGATTCTTCCTTCTCTAGCTCGCTAACCACATCAGAGTCACAATAGGATAGCGAGGAGAGGAAGCGGGCAGTTAGCAGGTTCTTACTTGACACTAATATAGTTGTGAGTAGCCCTATGTTCTCTGCCCTGAGAGCTTTTAAAGCCCTCTCTTTCTCTTATGGGTCTGTTTTGTGAGTTATGTGGAGACTCCCTACCCCACCTGTTACTATGGATCTCTCATGTAGTTGCTTAGTGGGGATCATGTACTCTCCCCCTGGCTGGTCACTTACGTCTCCTTTTTCAGGTGCTAGACATCTGATGGTGCCTCAACATTTTTTCCCCTGCTGAAATCTGTATTTCTTCCAGAAATCCCTTTCAGAAAAAAATCTAAGACAACCCCACCCTGGCTGTCTTGCACAGCTCGCATCTGGTACAGGAGAAAAATTCACATATTCTTTGTTTCAACAAACTCTGAGCAAGTAACTTGCCCAAGGCAGCAGCTTCTCTTTCACTTTATTGTGAGAACTGTTAGCTGACATTTCTTAATTATATTTGCTGTGTCCTCAAAACCCATGATACTTGCATCAAACTTTGTGTCTGTCATGAAGAGGGGATAAGAAATGTGGTATATACATGCAATAGAATATGATTGCGCTTTTAAAAAGAAAGGAATTCTGACATGTTACAAATGAATGAAACTTGAGGACATTATGCTAAATAAAATATGCCTGTCACAAAAGGACCAATGTATGATTTACTTATATGAGGTACTTAGAGTAGTGAAATTCATAAATAGAGTAGAATGGTGGTTGCCAGGGGCTTCCAGGAGGGAGGAATAAGAAGTTACTCTTAATGGGTACAAAGTTTCCATTTTGTAAGATGAAGAGTTCTGGAGTTTGGTTGCACTAGTTTGAATGTACTTTATGCCACTGAACTGTACACTTAAAAACGGTTAAGACGGTAAATATTATGTTATGTGCATTTTACCACAATTAAGAAATAAGGCCAGGCATGGTGGCTTATGCCTGTAATCCAGGCAGTTTGGAAACCCAAGGAGGGAGGATTCCTTGAACCCAGGAGTTTGAGATCAGACGGGGCAAAATAGTGAGACCCAGTGTTTACAAAAAAAATTAAAAATTAGTTGAGCATCGTGGTGTACGTCTGTAGTCCTAGCTACTCGGGAGGCTGAGGCAGGAGGATCACTTGAGCCCAGGAGTTTGAGGCTGCAGTGAGCCATGATTATGCCATTGCACTTCAACCTGGGCAACCCCGTCTCAATAAAATAAAGCAAGAAAAGAAAAGAAAACTAACTTTAACCATCTCAGTCCATTTTTGCAGCTTAAAGTCACATTATACACTTCAGGCTTAAATAGATTACTGAGTCATGGATAAATCATTCACAGGAATCATAAAAGTCCTGACTCAATATGAACCTTTAATTTTATTATTGGTGGAAGGATGCTGATGTAATCGATTTTGCAATATATAATATAATTTTAAAAGATAAATGTATTACATTTCTTTTGTTGTTTTTTCATTATATTGTAGTGCACAGTGAGTGAATATGGACAGAGAATATTTTTTAAAACAAAAAACGTGTTACACTCAGGTTTAAAATCATATTTTAGTTCTGTATCATTTGTTGGTGTACTTCAAGGATCTATAACTGCAGTGATGTACTTTCAAAAAGTAAAGATCCACTTATTTTTCTTTCCTCTTACCTCCTCCTGCCTGCATTCACCTTTCAGCTTTCATAATCTATCCGAGAGCCATTCTTCAGCTTTAAGTTACAGCACCCTCTACTGAGCTGTTAGCAACATTACATTGTGGCCGTTTTTCTTTTTTCTTTTTTTTTTGACACAATAAATTTTATTGTTTCCATAATAATAGGCTCTGGACAAAGACAATGGAGACAATGACAACACATTTAATCTCCTATAACAAATTAATCTGTTACAAATTTCCAGTGGCTCAACATATTAAAATGCAAAATATATAAAGAGAAAAACAAGAAATATAAATATTGAGATTTTTACAGTATAATGAAATGTCCTTTAAATAAAGTTTGTTGTAACTGTGTATGTAATTCTGACAGTAATTCAAAACACAAAATCACACATTTTCCCTAACTTCCCACGATCTGGATCTGGGGATTGCAATACTACAGAAATATGCAAAAGTAAGTTTAGTGCTCAGAGATAAATAATTTTCCTTATTTCAATGCATCAATGTGCAAACATTTCAATTCAAAAAAGCCAATCACTGCTATATGCAGATAAATAAAACAGATTTGACAACACTTTAATAATCAAACCCAACACTATAAAAAATAATGTGTGCGCGTGCATGTACATGTGTGTGCATGTGTGTAGGCAATGCCCATTTTAGAAAAAAGGTGTCTTGATGAAAATGATTTTGAAAATAGTCACTGATACACATTATATACAAAACCTTTTATATAAAAAATTAAACTATTTTCAATGAAATTCCATGTTCACATCCTATCTGAAAACTGTAATAGAATCATAAATAGGTCTACTAATGGTTTCTCTCTGAAATCATGGCTAAGGCACTTCTTTTTCCAAGGGTTTTCTTATATATCCGCCTGATGTCACTAATACTAATGTAGTCAAGTATACAGATGCAACCTGACATGCCTATGCATTATTACCTGGAGCTCTGTTCACTGTTATAATGGGAGAATTTACAGTTTCTACAAAGAATATTTTTCTTTTTAAAATTATACTGGTTTCTGTATTCCAAATTAAGCACTTACTTAAGACATTAAGTTTTTCCATTAGTGGTTGCCTTTCTTTCAGAAGCAAAATATAATTTTCAAAATAATATTTTGAAAATGCACTACAGAGATGAACTCTCTGCAAATCCAATTGCTCTCAAACTATTTGAAACTTATTACAATTATACATTTACAGCCACATTACTGCAAAGATACAAGTAGTCATGAGTTTGAAGATACAGTCAGACTTTAATGTAAAGGACATTCAGTTTTTGGGTATATTTAGCAGAAAAGCACGAAAGAAAATAGCAAAAAGTTCTACTTTAAAAATGAGTAATAGACACTTTAAAATAAGAAATGTGCATTTAAAATTTTTCTCTGCAGAGTGTGTTAGCTGTTAAAATGAATGTTAGGGGAGCAATTTTTAGAGATTCTTAGGTTAATTGTTATTGATATGACCCAAATTTCTTCTAGCTATAAAACCCTTTAAGTGTGATAAAATTATTTCCTGTATCCCCTGACTAGATGATATGCTGTAGGAAGACTGAGAATTTTGTTGGTTTTCTTTACTGCTGCATCCCCTATATGAAGATCTGTGTACGGCACATAGCAGACACTCAATAAATATTTAATAGTCGAATGAACAAAGTATGTGGGAAGAAATGTCTATTCACACCTGCTTTGCACTTTAAAAGCACAAAAGACTTTATTACGGAACCACTTGTGATTAGTCCTTTTATTTCCATCTTACTTACAGCCCTTTTCTTCTTAGAACTTTGATCACCATTATTATAATATGGTACCGAACTCTTCAGTGTTTGGATCTCTTCTTGTAAAACTTTATATATGTAAGATGCGTGGGGGGAAGTAGTTTACATAAGATAATTCATGTAACTGGCCTTCTCTTTAAATAATTCTATGTAAACTTTTTATTAATATGGTAGCAATTCCTCTGTCTTCTCAAGCGAAGAATATAGATAATAATTAGCCTTTTTTGGAGTTATGCTTTCCTTGTGTTTGTTTTAATATTTCTGATTGCCTTGCATTGTAATGAAATTCTAGCTTGGATGTTAGCTCTTCCTCCACCCACTAGTCTCTTCTGTCACTGTGCCTGGCTCACACATTCCTGACCACTCCCCAGCTACCCTTTAGGTTTTCCTGCTTTGAATCTGCTCTTCTGCTGGAAAGCAATTAAGCAAATATGACAAGAGCCAGATATTAAATAAAATTGAATATGTCTCCGAATAAGGACCAAAAATCACAGTTTCCGTGCACAGCCTCTGTGCGGGGTTGAGAATTCCATCTTCATATGAATGAGGTGTTATCCCCATGTACCACCCAACAAATAGAACAAATTTTTCTCCTGGCTCATGATATCTTAAAATGAAAGCTGGGAAAGTTTGGAGTCTTTATGAACTTTTTTGTAGAATGTATTATAAAAGTACATAAGAAACAACATCAATTATGCTCAGTGCCCATTACATACATTGCATCTTGCCAGTGCTTATTTGAAATGTCTCCTACACAAGTAGGAAGAAATGTGGGTATCAGGGGAATTTGGTTTATTCTTCATTCACCCTTTCTTTTAGACATCTGGCCCCAAAATAAGCAGGAGGAAGGTATTCTAGAGGGAATTTTTGGAACGAATGCCAGCGTAATCTTAACTTGGGATTCTCTCGGGTTAAGGATGGATCATACGCTATGCACCTAGTATGCAATTCCCTTTTTCCTTAGCGACCTTTGTGGGTATGGAATAATCACTGCTTCCACTCACCTTTGCAGCCCTCTTCATGCCAGCTTTCTAACCCCTTCTCCGTGATGCTAGCAGCATCAGAGACAGCATCACAAGTGGAGAGATTGCAGGAAGGTAAATTATCTGCTGTAGCTTCATTCATGGCCATGAAACTAGGCAACAACGACAGGTATTCCATCAGTCTAGCATCACTTTGACCGCTTTTGCTATACTGCGCTGCTGATCTGATACAGTATTATAGGTTGGTTTTGTATAGATCACACAGAGGCAGTTTGCAAGGGAAAATATATCACAGGCAAACCTGAGGAGTGGTACAATCTGAGGAAGTTAGGGAGGGCTTTTTAAAGGGCGTTAGAAGTTTGTACGTTAAAAGAAATTAATTGACAAAAAATTTGCAAGCACACTTTAAGGAATGCCTACATATGTTCACCCAGAGATTCCATCCAAGTTTCACACCAAATGTCCCAACAACATCCTTTGGGATCACATATTACACTTACTTGTCAGATTTCTTTAGTTTCCTTCAATTCAGAACAATACAGTCATTCCTGATCTTTCTGGACTTTATGTATTTGAAGGTTGCAGGCTGGCTATTCTGTAGAATATCCTCAATTTTGTTTTCTCTGATGTTTCCTCATGATGAGATTCAGGTTATGCATTTTGTTGGGACTATCACAGAAGTGATGTTATCTCTATCACATGACCCATGATCTTATTTCCTGTTACTGGTGACGTTAAGTTTGGTCATTTGCATAAGCTAGTATTTGCTAAGCTTCTTCACTATAAATTCTTTGTTCCATTTGTAATATACAATATTTTATTGAGACACAGTTTGAAACAAGGTAAATATCACATTTCTTATCCAACTCTTACACACTGAGTGCTAGCATTTTTTGATATTTCTTGCCTGAATTAATTACTTTTACCATGATGATCACCAGACGGTGATATCCTAATTCCATCATTCCATTAACATTTATTAGTTGGCATTCAACTTTAGAGAAGGAATTTCTGTTGTCTCCTTGGTATGACATCCATGTGGATTGATGGATTCCTGTTTCATCTAATGTGATCTAATCTGCTAACACTATGTATTTTGATGCCCAAATTGTCTTAGGGTTTTCCAGGGAGAGCCCCTTCAAGCTGACTCTGTGTCCTTTTGACACTACTCCGTTCTTTGAGCACTTACTCTCTGGTGAAATGAGATGTTCTGTGCTTATTTTGGACCTTTGTTGTCCCTACCCTGCAATCAGCTATTTCTCCAAGGTCCCCTAGTTTCTTTCAGAGAGTGATATTTAGAAAGAAAGATCTGGGTACTGTATGTTCTCATTGCTACTAGGCCCTGTCAGTGGACAGAGGTAGAAAATATATGTATGTACGTGTGTACATACATACATACACGCATATTACACACACACACATCCCTTTATATTTCTATATCTAAAAATATTTAAAACCATGAACTCACACCACTACTACTAATTATAATCCAACACTATAGGGTTCATTCTAGCTTAACTCTTTTCATATTTGTAACTCACTTCTCTGACTTAGCTCTCATTATCCTCAACATATTTATTTGCTTAGTCTCCTTGTGTATAACCAATCCCTCAGCCTCATTAGGCTATTGCCCTTCTCAGCACCTTCCTTCCTGAGTTCTGACTCTGGTTGTGCAGCTTTCCTCATTCTAGCCTGCCTGATGACTTTAATCTGATGAGGAAGGAAGGAGGAAGGAAGGAAGGAAGGAGGGAAAGGAGGGAGGTGAGGGCTTTACATATAAAAAATAAGTGTAAAATATCAATTCAAGTTCCATGATTATTGATTCTTGGAAGTACAAAGTATTCTTTTAATTTAAATAAATTCTGAAAATCTAGAAACAGTCTTAATATAGTCTTTTTAATCATTTCAAAATACTGAGGTATGTGGTTTTTAAGGCAGTTTGAATTTAACACAACTATTTTGAAATGAGAAGTATTTACATATTTTAGTGAGGATGGCAATTTTCTGGTAACTAAGAGCCATATTTTTATGATTGAGAATTGTTTGCATTTATTTTGGAGGATGGAATGGGGTTAGGAGATAGGCAGAGCAAGAGATGGAATTTGTTTTACTTCGAATTCCATCTCCTAAATGACTTGGAAAACCTGATGAAATTTCCAATTAGCTTAATGTGATGTAAGTGAGCCAAAAACTTAAAATGATTGTTTCACTAAAGACTAGTAGGACACCCAAATTCAAAATTTATTGCACAATAAAATTATCCTCCCAGAGATCTTTTGTGGGGCAAGATGGCTGAATAGGAACAGCTCTGGTCTGTAGCTCCCAGAGAGACCAACACAGAAGGTGGGTGATTTCTGAATTACCAACTGAGGTATCCGGCTCATCTCACTGGGACTGGTTAGACAGTGTGTGCAGCACACGGAGGGCTAGCAGAAGCACGGTGGTGTGTCGCTTTACCCAGGAAGTGCCAGGGGCGGGGGAACTCCCTCACCTAGCCAAGGGAAGCCTTGAGGGATTGTGCCCTGAGGGACGGTGCTGTCTGGCCCTGATACTACGCTTTTCCCACGGTCTTCAAAACCCACAGATCAGGAGATTCCCTGGGGTGCCTACACCACCAGAGCCTGGGTTTGAAGCACAAAACTGGGCGACCATTTGGGCAAGCACCAAGCTAGCTGCAGGAGTTTATTTTCGTAACCCAGTGGGGCCTGGAACACTAATGAGACAGAACTGTTTCCTTCCCTGGAAAGGGGGCTGAAGCCAGGGAGCCAGTGATCTTACTCAGCAGATCCCACTTCCAAGCAGCCTAGCAAGCTAAGAACCACTGGCTTGAAATTCTCACTGCAAGCTCAGTACTCTGAAGCCAACTTGGAACTCGAGCTTGGTGCAGGGAGGGGTATCGGCCATTACTGGGGCTTGAGTAGGCGGTTTTCCCCTCACAGTGTAAACAGAGCCCCCAGGCAGTTTGAACGGGGCGGAGCCCACCAGAGTGCCGCAAAGCAGCTGTAGCCAGACTGCCTTTCTAGATTACTCCTCTCTGGGCAGGGCATCTCTGAAAGAAAGGCAGGAGCCCCAGTCAAGGGCTTATAGATAAAACTCCCATCTCCCTGGGACAGAGCACTTGGGGGAAGGGGCTGCTGTGGGTGCAGCTTCAGCAGACTTAAACATTCCTGCCTGCCAGCTCTAAAGAGAGCAGCGGATCTCCCGGCACAGCGCTGGGGCTCTGCTAAGGAACAGACTGTCTCCTCAAGTGAGTCCCTGGCCCCCAAGCCTCCTAACGGGGAGACACCTCCCACCAGGGGTTGACAGACACCTCATAGAGAAGAGTTCCTGCTGGCATCTGGCAGGTGCCCCTCTGGGACGAAACTTTCAGAGGAAGGAGCAGGCAGCAATCTTTGTTGTTCTGCAGCCTCTGCTGGGGATACCCAGGCAAACAGGCTCTGGAATGGACCTACAGCAAACTCCAGCAAACCTGCAGAAGAGGCGCCTGACTGTTAGAAGGCAAACTAACAAACAGAAAGCAATAACATCAACATCAACAAAAAGGAAGCCCATGCAAAAACACCATCCAAAGGTCACCACCATCCAAAGGTCACCAACATCAAAGATCAAAGGTAGATAAATTCATGAAGATGAGGAAAAACCAGCACAAAAATGCTGAAAATTTGAAAAACCAGAATGCCTCTTCTCCTGCAAAGGATCACAACTCCTCGCCAGCAAGGGAACAAAACTGTATGGAGAATGAGTTTGATGAATTGACAGAAGTAGGCTTCAGAAGGTGGGTAATAACAAACTCCTCTGAGCAGAAGGAGCATGTTCTAACCCAATGTAAGGAAGCTAAGAACCATGATAAAAGGTTACAGGAACTGCTAACTAGAATAACCAGTTTAGAGAAGAACATAAATGACCTGATGGAGCTGAAAAACACAGCATGAGAACTTCATGAAGCATACACAAGTATCAATAGCTGAATAGATCAAGTGGAAGAAAGGATATCAGAGATTGAAGATCAACTTAATTAAATAAAGCATGAACACAAGATTAGAGAAAAAAGAATGAAATGAACAAAACCTCCAAAAAATATGGGACTATGTGAAAAGACCAAACCTACATTTGATTGGTGTACCTGAAAGTGATGAAGAGAATGGAACCATTTGGAAAACACACTTCAGGATATTATCCAGAAGAACTTTCCAAAACTAGCAAGACAGGCCAACATTCAAATTCAGGAAATAAAGAGAATACCACTAAGACACTCCTTGAGAAAAGCAACCCCAAGACACATAATTGTCAGATCACCAAGGTTGAAATGAAGGAAAAAATGTTATGGGCAGCGAAAGAGAAAGGTCAGGTTACCCACAAAGGGAAGCCCATCAGACTAACAGCGGATCTCTCTGCAGATACCCCACAAGCCAGAAGAATGTGGGGGCCAATATTCAGCATTCTTACAGAAAAGAATTTTCAACCCAGAATTTCATATCCAGCCAAACTAAGCTTCATAAGCAAAGGAGAAATAAAATCCTTTACAGACAAGCAAATGCTGAAGGATTTTGTCACCAGCAGGCTTGTCTTACAAGAGCTCCTGAAGGAATCACTAAATATGGAAAGGAAAAACTGGTACCAGCCACTGCAAAAACATACCAAAATGTAAAGACCATTGACACTATGAAGAAACTGCATCAAATAACGTGCAAAATAACCAGCTAGCATCACAATGAGAGGATCAAATTCACAAATAACAATATTAACTTTAAATGTAAATGGGCTAAATGCCCCAATTAAAAGACACAATGACAAATTGGATAAAGATTCAAGACCCATCAGTGTGCAGTTTTCAGGAGACTCTTCTCATGTGCAAAGACACACATCCGCTCAAAATAATGGGATGGAGGAATATTTACCAAGAAAATTGAAAGCAAAAGAAAAAAAAAAAAAAAAAGCAGAGGTTGCAATCCCAGTCTCTGATAAAACAAACTTTAAACCAACAAAGATCAAAAAAGACAAAGAAGGGCATTACATAATGGTAAAGGGATCGATGCAACAAGAAGCACTAACTATCCTAAATACATATGCACTGAACACAGAAGCACCCAGATTCATAAAGCAACTTCTTAGAGACCTACAAAAAGACTCAGACTCCCACACAATAATAGTGGGAGACTTTAACATCCCACTGTTAATACTAGATTGATCAATGAGACCGAAAATTAACAAGGATATTTAGGACTTGATCTCAGCTCTGGACCAAGCAGACCTAATAAACATCTACGGAACTCTCCACCCCAAATCAACAGAATATACATTCTTCTCAGCACCACATAGCACTTATTCTAAAATTGGCCACACAATTGGAAGTAAAAGACTCCTCGCCAAATGCAAAAGAACGAAAATCATAAAAAACAGTCTCTCAGACCACAGTGCAAATTGAAACTCAGGATTAAGAAACTCATTCAAAACCTTACAACTACATGGAAACTGACCAACCTGCTCCTGAATGACTATTGGGTAAATAACAAAATTGAGGTAGAAATAAATAACACTTTGAAACCAATGGGAACAAAGACACAACATACCAGAATATCTGGGACACAGCTAAAGCAGTGTGTAGAGGGAAATTTAAAGCACTAAATGCCCCCATGAGAAAGTGGGAAAGATCTAAAATCAACACCCTAACTTCACAATTAAAAAAACCAGAGAAGCAACAGCAAAAAAATTCAAACGCTAACAGAAGACAAGAAATAACTAAGATCAGAGCAGGACTGAAGGAGATAGAGACACGAAAAACCCTTAAAAAAATCAATGAATCCAGGAGCTGGTTTTTTGAGAAGATTAACAAAATAGACTGCTAGCCAGACTAAAAAAGAAGAAAAGAGAGAAGGATCAAATAGACACAATAAAAATGATAAAGGGGACATTACCACTGATCCCACAGAAATACAAACTACCTTAAGAGAATACTATAAACACCTCTATGCAAATAAACTAGAAAATCTAGAAGAAATGGGTAAATTCCTGGACACATACTCTCTCCCAAGACTAAGCCAGGAAGAAGTCGATTCCCTGAATACTACCAATAACAAGTTCTGAAATTGAGGCAATAATTAATAGCCTACAAACTAAAAAAAAAAAATAGCACAGAACCAGATGGATTCACAGCCAAACTCTACCAGAGGTAGAAGGAGGAACTGGTACCATTCCTTCAGAAACTATTCCAAACAATGGAAAAAAAGAGACTCTTCTCTAACTCATTTTATGAGGCCAGCATCATACTGATACCAAAACCTGGCAGAGACACAACACAGAAAGAAAATTTCAGGTCAATATCCCTGATGAACTTCGATGAAAAAATCCTCAATAAAATATTGGCAAACTGAATCCAGCAGCAAATCAAAAAGCTTATCCACCATGATCAAGTTGGCTTCATCCCTGGGATGCAAGGCTGGTTCCACATACAGAAATCAATAAACGTAATTCATCACATAAACAGAACCAATGACAAAAGCCACATGATTATTTCAATAGATGCAGAAAAGGCCTTTGATAAAATTCAACAGCCGATTCATGCTAAAAACTCTCAATAAACTAGGTACTGATGAAACGTATCTCAAAATAATAAGAGCTATTTATGAGAAACCCACAGCCAATATCATACTGAATGGGCAAAAGCTGAAAGCATTCCCTTTGACAACTGGCACAAGACAAGGATGCCCTTTCTCACCACTCCTATTCAACATAGTATTGGAAGTTCTGGCCAGGGCAATCAGGCAAAAGAAAGAAATAAAGGATATTCAAATAGGAAGAGGGGAAGTCAAATTATCTCTGTTTGCAGATGACATGATTGTATATTTAGAAAACCCCATTGTCTCAGCCCAAAAACTCCTTAAGCTGATAAGCAACTTCAAGCAAAGTCTCAGGGTACAAAATCAATGTGCAAAAATCACTAGCATTTCTATACACCAATAAGAAACAGAGAGACAAATCATGAGTGAACTCCCATTCACAACTGCTACCAACAGAATAAAAAACCTAGGAATACAACTTACAAGGGATGTGAAAGATATCTTCAAGGAGAATTACACCAATGCCAAGGAAATAAGAGACAACACAAACAAATGGAAAAACATTCCATGCTCATGGATAGGAAGAATCAATATCATGAAAATGGCCATACTGCCCAAAGTAATTTATAGATTCAATGCTAATCCCATCAAGCTACCATTGACTTTCTTCACAGAATTAGAAAAAACTATTTTAAATTTGATATGGAACCAAAAAAGAGCCCGTATAGCCAAGAAAATCTTAAGTAAAAAGAGAAAAGCTGGAGGCATCACTTTACCTGACTTTTAACTACACTACAAGGCTACAGTAACCAAAACAGCATGGCACTGGTACCAAAACAGAGATATAGACCAATGGAACAGAACAGAGTCCACAGAAATAATGCCACACATCTACAACCATCTGAGCTTTGACAAGCCTGATAAAAACAAGCAATGGGGAAAGGATTCCCCATTTAATAGATGGTGTTGGGAAAACTGGCTAGCCATATGCAGAAAACTGAAACAGGACCCCTTCCTTACACCTTATACAAAAATTAATTCAAGATGGATTAAAGACTTAAACATAAGACCTAAAACCATAAAAACCCTAGAAGAAAACCTAGGCAATACCATTCAGGACATAGGCATGGGCAAAGGCTTCATGACTAAAACACCAAAAGCAATTGTGACACAAGCCAAAATTGACAAATGGGATCTAATTAAACTAAAGAGCTTCTGCACAGAAAAAGAAACTATCATCAGAGTGACCAGGCAACATACAGAATGGGAGAAAATTTTTACAATCTATCCATCTGACAAAGGGCTAATATCCAGAATCTACAAGGAACTTAAACAAATCTACAAGAAAAAAACAAACAACCCCATCAAAAACTGGGCAAAGGATATGAATAGATACTTCTCAAAAGAAGACATTTATGCAACCAAGAAACATACGAAGAAAATCTCATCATCACTGTTCATTAGAGAAATGCAAATCAAAACCACAATGAGATACCATCTCACACCACTCAGATTGGTGAACATTAAAAAGTCAGGAAACAACAGATGCTGGAGAGGATGTGGAGAAATAGGAACGCTTTTACACTGGTGGTGGGAATGTAAATTAGTTCAACCGTTGTGGAAGACAGTGTGGTGATTCCTCAAGGATCTAGAACCAGAAATACCATTTGACCCAGCAATCCCATTACTGGGTGTATATATCCAAAGGATTATAAATCATTCACATGCACGTTTATTGCACCACTATTCACAACAGCAAAGACTTGGACCCAACCCAAATGCCCATCAGTGATAGAATGGATAAAGAAAATGTGGCACATATATACCATGGAATAGTATGCAGCCATAAAAAAGGATGAGTTCATGTCCTTTGTAGTGACATGGATGATGCTGAAAGCCATCATTCTCAGCAAACTAACACAGGAACAGAAAACCAAACACCGCATGTTCTCAGTCATAAGTGGGAGTTGAACAATGAGAACACATGGACACAGGGAGGAGAACATCACATGCCGGGGCCTGTTGGGGGTGGGGAGGGGAGGGAGTGGGGAGGGGAGGGATAGCATTAGGAGACATACCTAATGTAGGTGATGGGTTGATGGGTGCAGCAAACCACCATGGCACATTTATACCTATGTAACAAACCTGCACATTCTGCACATGTATCCCAGAACTTAAAGTACAATGAAAAAAAATTATCCTTCCAGTAATGGTTATGGCTTTACACTGAACCAATCAAATTCTCTTACAGAGCCTAAGCTGTGATTACTCAAATTTGAGGGAGCAATGACCAGGATCTTTTTTTCCTTTCTGAATATTCTTGAAGGATTTTGAAATAGAATTGTTCCTTGTGGAGAGGCAGATTCTTTGGTCTTATTAGCACTACACAATAAGTAAGTGATTCAGTGGATAGAAAGAAGAAATGTGTTTATCAACTAAAACTAGCCAAATCCAGAATGATTATGAAAAGATTCCAAAGTAGGTGCTGAAAGAGGTCTTCAAGGACTGAAACTGGTCAAGTCTGAAGGTTATTCCAGTGGAAAATGGTAGTACATTAGAAGGCCAGAAGTTGGGGACAATAGAAGTAGCTAAATTGGGCTGAACCCTAGACTTCTGTTCTGACCAAGGAAATGAATTAAGGAAGTGTGAATTCTGGGTTTCTACTACTGCCCTCTAGGAACCACTGGTCTTTGGGAATTGCCAGTAGAATTAAGCAGGGGTGCCTTCTTTCGTCCAGATGTGTAAATGTCCATGTAAAGGTTTCTTCTCTTATGCAGGAAGTTGCTAGTGTTAATTACACCTTTTATCTTCATGGTGTTATCTCGATTCCTTGCAGACATAGTGTCGTAAAATACAGTAAAAATGCAATACTAGAAAATTGAAATTAAAAAGACAAGCTCTGAGTTTTATTATTAGATATAACAAAATTACTTTATCAAATTGCTATAAAGTTTCTAAATCCTTCCTCTCAATGTCTGACTCATTGCAGACAGGTAACAGGTTGCACTTCGAGTGGTTTGCTTCATACTAGCTGTGCTTTTCAAACTTTATGAAATGCTCATCCAGGGTTCTTGTATAAGTGCAATTCTTACTTAGTGGGCTTGGGCAGGCCTGAGATTATTTCTGACAAGCTCCCAAGTGACACTGATGCTGCTGGTCTGTGGCCCACACTTCATAAACGCTTTGATTTTCACAGTAACACTGATGTGACACCAATGCTGCTGGTGTGTGGCCCATACTTCATAACTATTCATAAACTGTTTTGATGTTCACACTGATCTTTTGAGAATTTTTATTCCATTTTACTCATGCTTAAGTCAGATTTATTGATATCCCAGAGTAAATTAACCCATGTTAGTGTGCAGTTCTGCTGGCACACACATGCAGTTGTGTAACCACTACCACCAAAAGCAAGATGTAAAATAGCTCCATCACCCCCACAAGCCTTCTGATGCTCTTTTGTCATCAATTCCCTTCCCGCTAGTCACAACTGGTAACTACTGATTTGTTTTCTGTCCCTATAGTTTTGCCTTTTCCAGAATGTCATTGTTGACAGGTATCAGTAATTCATTCCTTTTTATTGCTAATTACTATCTCACTGTATGAATGCAACACAGGTTGTTTACCAGTTCACCCGTTAAAGAACATTTTGTTTCTGCGCTTGACAGTTATGAATAGAACTGCTATAAACCCTCAAGTAAAAGTTTTGGTGTGAAGATAATTTTCTCAGCAAAAACGCTGACAGGTAATTTTTCTAAGTATTACTTTTTTAAAAAAGTAAAATAGCCTGTAGCCCCAGCTACTCAGGAGGCTGAGGCAGGAGAATAGCTTGAACCCAGGAGGCGGAGGTTGCAGTGAGTTGAGATTGTGCCACTGCATTCCAGCCTGGGCGACAGAGCTAGACTGTCTCAAAGAAAAAAAAAAAAAAAAAAGAAATAAATAAAAAGTAAAATGAAAGCATGTAAGTGTAAGATGACTAGTTCAAGCAACCTCTCTTCAAGTACAGAGTATTCAGAGTAGAGATTAAAAGAGGTTTTCAAGGACAGAGAAAATTTGAAGTTTGAAGGCAGTTCCAAAGGAAGGCAATGATTCTTAATAAGACTGGAAGTTGGAAGTAATATAAAAAGATAAATCAGTTTCAAGATGATTTTACTAAGCAGGCAGCCCTTAATTTACAAATTCTAGATTCATACATATCTTAAACATACAAAATGATATGAGGAGAGGTAAGTTCAGGGTCTGAGTTCCTGGCTGTTGTTGGAACTGATTTCTGTGTAGTGATTCAGAAGATGTGAGACACCCTAATTTACAAGTACAGAGGTATCTTCTTTTCTGCAAACAGCAGTACAACAATAGTTCCTCTTACGCAGCTGTGAATGAACAGGATTATTACAATTAATGATATCTCATTTGATTGGCGCCTTAGAGAATTAAGACCTTTCACACCTAATATACAACTTTGTTGTGAAGGCAGATATTTATATTCTCATTTTACTGATGAGAGACTACCCGGAGACGCTATGTCACACCTGAAGGATTAGGTACTTTCTCTGTTAAGTCCAATGTTCCTTCCGTTATTCCATGCTAGGCAGTAATAAGTTCTGTCTTGCCTGAGTAATAAGCTCCAAACCTCGGAACTGCACCCATCTTGAGAAGGAGGAGGGCGCTGTGGTTTTTTCTGATAAGTGCAGCTGGCAGACACTCTATACGCTTAATCACGGGCAAATCCTAGCTAAGCTGCCTACCAAACTAGTCCTTCTTTTCCCCGTTGCCCACGCAGATGGCTGTTGATCTTTTCTGCAACAAATCCAGGAGTTTCTCCTTTTTGTTTTATAATTGCTCCAATAGATGCTTTAGGATTTAACTCTCTGCTTTTTAAAGCAGAATCGCCATCCCAGGTGTGCAACCACGAAAAAATTAGACATCCGTGAGAGACAATGCCCTCCATGGCCCAGTTTCCAGGCAGAGAGAAGCAGCTCTGGGCTGACCGCCAAGGCTCCGGCCCGAGAGGGTCTTTAAGTGGAGTAACCAGTCTTCAAGACCCCGCTCCCAAGCCACCGACGCGCTGACGCTGCAGCCCTGGACCTGCTGGGGGCCTCTTCCTCGGACCCGCATGCTGACAGCGGGACTGGCAACTGGGCAGAGGTCGACCCCGGGTCCGCACAGCACCTCCCGAGACCCAGCTCCCAGCTCCCTCACTTCCGGCTCTCTGGAGGCGGGCCCGGCCAGTGCCGCCGAGGCCAGCGCGGCGAGCTCCTCCCCAGCAGCGGCGGGACGGCCACACCCTGCGCTCCGCGCGGGCTCGGGTGGGGTCTCCGCTCCTGCGCCCTGCGCCCTGCGCGCCGCAGCCGCAACCCCGACGGCGCCCCAAACGCTGTTGCGCCGCGCGCCCCGCCCAGCCCGGCCTCGCGCTGGTCCCGGTCTCGCCCCGCAGCCCTCGATCTCCCGTGACTTCCTCGGCCAGGCCGCCTGCGCCTCTGGGACCATGTTGCGCTGGCTGCGGGACTTCGTGCTGCCCACCGCGGCCTGCCAGGACGCGGAGCAGCCGACGCGCTACGAGACCCTCTTCCAGGCACTGGACCGCAATGGGGACGGAGTGGTGGACATCGGCGAGCTGCAGGAGGGGCTCAGGAACCTGGGCATCCCTCTGGGCCAGGACGCCGAGGAGGTGGGTCGCCGCCGGGGCGCCGCCTGAGCGTAGGGAGGGCTGCGGGCGCTGGGGACACTGCGAGGACCGAGGAGGGCGGCGGCTTGAGGCGTTGCCAGGAGAGGAAGGAGGAACTGTGGCGCCCAGCGCTCCGGTGGCTTCAGAAACTCGGGCGTGGGGCCGCGACCGGCGACCCCGGTAACAGAAGTGGGTCATAATACGAAAGTCTACTGGTATTTGTCCAGATAAAATGAGTGTTGTGGACACTCTGGCCCACGGGCACTGTTAAATTTTTAAGACACTTTTGTCCTGAATCCATCCCAGGTTCTTTGTTTTCTGTTTTAATACCTTGCAGACATGTAATCCGTTTTAGCTGTCAGACTTCAGTGGGTCCCAAGTTTTGTATAAAGGCGCACACATTCGATCTCTTTCGAAGCTGCTTTGTTACAGCAGCTATGTGTATTGTCTACTGTTTGAAAACTGTTTGAAAACCAATCGCGTGTTTCCCCCACTTCCTGTTGAGAAGGAATGGCGGCATTCCATTGTTTAAGACATTCCTAGGTTAATGCCCTAGGTACATAAATTGATCTGAAGGGTTGACTTGACCTGCGACTGAGCAATTTCATTTTCTCTGAGTCATCTTAACTGTGCCCCTGAACTTCTGCCCCTTTAGTAGGGTGGAGATATGTGGAACTTCTCCAACCCTGTTGAAGCGTTCCCTGACACTGGCATTCTCTTATCCAAAGAGGGAAAGTGATTAGGTTACTATGAGGGCCAACAACTGTTATATAGTTATATTTCACTTCTCTTTTAATGTCTTTGGTAGTTATAGGCCTCTTCAGTTTACTGTTTCTTCTAGAGTCAGATTTAGTAAGTTACAATTTTTTTTGAAACTGCCTGTTCTGTCCAAGGTTCATAATACTCACCGATGATTTTATAACACTTCTGACTGAATCTGTAGGTAGGTTCTCTATTTCATTCCTCATATCTATCCTTTTCTCCCCTTCAATCTTGCCAAAGTTTTGTGTATTTTATTCATACTTTGAAGGAACCAACTTTTGGTACTTTGTGCTGATTGTCCCAGAAATGGCCCAGTTGGAGTTCCCCACCATGTCCAATCATTGGCTGGAAGCAGCCCAGGAAAGGGACGACCTTGCTGCAGTGCATCAGCAGATGCCAGGGTTAGAGGCTAGAGAGTGGAAGTCAACTGTGTTCCTCACAGTAGGTGCCTTTGAAGGGAGATCTCAGTGGTACAACTCCATGGTCCCTACAATATACAAAAGCTCTTTGGAGTGCTCAATGATTTTTAAGATTGTAAAGGGATCCTGAGATCAAAAAGCTTGAGAATTGCTGCTGTATCACCATTTTTACGTAACTGCATCATATTCTGTTATATGTTTGTGTCATAGTATATGTTACCAATTCTTTTTAAATCACCTTTTACTTTATTGATAGTTTAAAAACGATTGTAAGTGAAATTGCAATGGATGTCCTTTGTATTCATTTTCTCATTCTGGTCCAGTTACTTTCGTAAGATAAATTTTGAGGAGTGGACATTGCTGAGTCTGAAGGTAACACACATTTTAAACTGGGATACGTATTGCCTTTCGGAAACCTTAGACCCATTTTCACTCTTTTGACTGACAGTGCTTGCTTCTCCACATCCTCGCTCATTCAGGGTATCAGTCTTTGTAAAGTCTCCTATTCTGCAGGTGAAATTCCTTTTCATTTCCTGTCTTAGTCCATTTAGTGTTGCTATAGTGGAATATCTGAGACAGGGTAATTTATAAAGAAAAGACATTTATTTAGCTCACAGTTCCGCAGGCTGGGAAGTTTAAGAAGCGTGGTGCTGGCATCTGCTGGACTCCTGGGGAGGGCTTTCCTGCTGTGTCACAACATGGTGGAAAGTCAAAGTGGAAGTGGACATGTGTGAAGAAGCAAAATCCGAGGGGTGTCCTGGCTTTATAGCAACCCAGCCTCGAGGGAACTGATCCATTACTGAGGGAACTAATTCAGTCTCATGAGAGAGAGAACTCACTCACTACTGCAAGAATGACACCAAGCCATTCATGAGGGATCTGCCTCCGTAACCCTGACACCTCCTGCTAGGTCCCTCCTCCCAACACGGCCACATCAGGGATCAGACTTCAACATGAGTTTTTGTGGGGACAAACAAAACGTAGCACTTGCTTTGCCTTTTGGTTCTATTCACATCCTCCACAGGATTGCATTATGCCTACCCATTTGGTGAGGGCAGTCTTCTTTAATTGGTTTACTGATTCAAATGCTACCCTCCTCCAGAGACATCCTCACAGACACACCCAGAAATCATGTTTTACCAGTTATCTGGGCATCCCTTAGTCCAGACGAGTTGATACATAAAATTAACCATCACACATGGGATAGAATTAGGATTACACAGTCAACCTTTATGGGAGAAAATTTCAGAGGCATGTCAGGGGTTTATGTAATGTCAAGGAGTGAGGACATTGGCTACTTGAGCATAGAAATGAGAACTGTGGGGTGACTCTTCGGTGGAAAGTTTCAAGGTAGTAGTTTGTATCTAAGCCAAATACTCAGCTTGAAGCAAAATCTCTATAAATTTTCATCTGATTTGATCTCATCTCCGTGTTTCCAAGCATTTGTAATGAATTGAGCATTTAGAAGAGAACAAATTTCTGTTTAAGTTTCTTTAGATTTTAGATGGAAAGAATGTAGAAATAAGAGTAGAATGTAGAAATAGGTATAAGGAATATAATAGCTAACCATTACTAAGTGTTCCAGAATTATCCAGGGAAGAGAAAAGAATTCAAGGCAAGTCCTGAGACAAAATTAAGAACCAATTGGAAGTGAAAGCGCTACATTTTTTTTTCTGGTATGACCTTTCTTTTCTGTATGTTCCAAATCTCCTCACTATGAAATTAGTGAAAAATTAAAGTTAAAAATTAGAGAAAATTCACATTAAGTTCTCCTAGGACTCAGTAGTATAAGGGTATAGACTGAGAGTAGAATGTAGTGTGAGAACAAGGAGATACAGTATTTAACCATTACTAATTCTCTTATACTTGTCTAGTAATCCTATTTCCTTTTAAAAGTCTTCAGTTATTTTCTCTTTACGCACCTCCTTCTCCCTCTTGTCTTCCTCCTTCTACCCCCATCTTCTTTCTTCCTGTGGAGCCTTCATGAATGGGATTAGTGCTTGTATAAAAGTGACCTGGAAGACCTTCCTTGCCCCTTCCACCATGTGAGGACACAGTGAGAAAACAGTGGTCCATGGAACCGGAAAGTGGGTCCTCACTAGACAGTAAATCTCCTAGCACTTCGATCTAGGACTTCCAGTGTCTGGAACTGCAAGAAATCAATGCTTATTTTTTAAGTAAGCCAATAGTATTTTTGTCATAGCAGCCCAGTTGGACTAGGACAATTATCAAGAGCAAGAAGGGAAGCAGCAAGCTACAAGAGAGTTCCGTCCTTGGTGTAAATTGACCGTGTAATCCTTGTCAAGTTTGAGCCTTACTGGAGCTTTACTTTCTTATTCTTAAAATGCAGATATCTTGCCTGCATCCTGGACAGAGCTTTTAACAAGGTCATATGTTGCAGAATATGAAAGTTCATGTTAAAAAACCCTTTAAAATGTGGTATCCCATTTACTAGCTGGTGAACTTCTTGAGGAACCTCTGTGCCCATGGGTATGAAGTGTATGCTGAATGATCACCCAATGTTAGAGGAGTGGGTGGACTGGTAACCTGATTTAAGGGCCATTCTAACTCTTACATTCTATGATTTTTTTAATTCTGTCTTTAAGTTTTTACATTTACAATCACAGAAAAAATAGTCACATAGAAGAATAGTAGCTTAGCAAATGTTTATTGCATTGAGTGGAATCAGGATTTCACTCCATTAAGTAATTCCTCTGTTAACAAAGAGGGTTCATTTCATTTTTATTTCATTAATATTGCTTTTTTTTTTTTTTTCTGGAGACAGAATCTTGCTCTATCACCAAGGCTGGAGTGCAGTGGTGCGATCTCGGCTCACTGCAGCCTCTGCTTCCTGGATTCAAGCGATTCTTGTGCCTCAGCCTCCCAAGCAGCTGAGATTACAGGCACATGCCACCACACCTGGTTAACTTTTGTATTTTCTAGTAGAGATGGGATTTTGCCATTTTGGTCAGGCTGGTCTTGAATTCCTGGCCTCTAGTGATCTGCCTGCCTCTGCCTCTGAAAGTGCTAAGATTACAGGCATGAGCTACCATGGCCAGCCCATTTCCTTAATATTTTAATTGTCAGACATGTTATGGTTTCTGGCACAATATTAAGAAGACATGATATGAAATCACAGGGTGAATTTTAGGGCATCACAACAGAAAGATTATGGTATAAGAAAAACAATGGAATTCCAACTACATTTCTGTCAAATGTTCTAAAATATATAAAATCTGTATCTTTTGTGTTCTCTCCTGATTTATATTCTAAATTTGATGTTATCCTTCTCTGCAGAAATAAAGTGTCTGAAAGAATGAAAAAAATGGAAGAATTCTTTAGTAAGGTATAAAATACCCTTTCTATCTTTGTAGCATTCTAAGCCTTTTGTCACCTTTCCAAACTCCCAACATGCCATATTCCCTGACTAGGCCACAGCCATGTACATTGATCCCTTTATTTTCTTCTCTCTGCCTGAGATTTCTCTCATTCCCCCTTCTCTGCCTGGTATATGATTGCCCATTGTTTAAGGCCCCAACTCACCT
The DNA here is from genome assembly GCF_000001405.40 of Homo sapiens. NCBI lineage: Eukaryota > Metazoa > Chordata > Mammalia > Primates > Hominidae > Homo > Homo sapiens. The sequence continues at coordinate 108,195,232 of NC_000001.11, read as the reverse complement.
TTATAATCTTCCTAGCCCACTTTCTTTATCGGTATTCCAGAAAAAACAAAAGAAGCTTCCACAAGACAACATTCTGTAATACACTGCTTAACTTCTTTTGACCCTGCTGAGTTCAAAAATCTTATCTTTTTAAGGATTGAATGGAGTCCACCAAGGTATCTATATTTGACAGGATTTATGAAAACAAAAGGATTTGTTGAGAAAGTTTGAAGCCTAACTCTGAAACGTGGATCATAGTGTTTACTACACATTAACTGTTTTAGTGGATGTAATAGTTATTATTATAGGCTGTGGAATCAGAACAGGGTTCAAATGTTTTCACCGCTTGCTAGACTGTGGCCTTGGGCATGTTATTTAATGCCTGGAGGCCTCAAATGTTAACTAGGAATGGTAAGACCTACCCAGTAACTTAGCATAAATAGTAAATTCATTCATTTAATGTTTTCAAACAGTGCCAGACATTGTTTAATGAACTGGGGATATAGTGGTGAACAACACTGACAGCGTTCTTCATTGTATTCTCAAAACCCTCCCTATAGTAAGTAGGTCTGTGTGTGTGTGTAGGTGCATGGGGAATAAAAAATAATAAGCAAATAATGAACAGGGTAATTTCAAAAAGCAGAAAGAGCTATTCAACAAAACTACCTGCCTTTTATTAGATGAAACTCTCAACTCTATGGTTTGTTCTCTCCTGTCAATTCTGTTAAATGCTGTCAGCCTGTTTTCCTTATCACCCTGGCCACGACTTCTGTCTTTTCTGCTTGGTCCTGTAGACTCTAACCCAAGGCTCATTCTCTGCCTGGCTATCTGCCTTCTGTGGCTCTTTGCCACTACCTACATTTTCTGTGTTGCACAGGGAAGGACCATTCCCTGTGGACCATAAAATTCTCTTTTTGAAAGAATTCATTCTTGATTGGGCCACAGCACATCTTGTGAAACAGCATTAGACATTTGCCACTGCTCAGCAGCTCTGGGGGAAAATGTTTACTGAGAAGCGTACAGTAGTTTTTTTGACTAACCATGGTGCAACCTCCTCCCAGAGGGAAACCTATGAGTATTTCAAGGACATGTGATGGTCTGTTTTTGTCCCCAGTATCTGACATGATGGGTAGTGTAGAGCAAGAGCTTACAGATAATGGCTAAATTAAATTTTCTTTTTGAATTTTAATATTCAACTTTTTAGGGTACCCAATCTCCATATTTAGGAAAATAAATTACATAAAAAGTGGAGAGTTTTTATTGTGAAACTGCACCTCCATATTCCCAGTGGTGCAGGATGAGGGAGCACAGGTGTTGGTCTGGGGAAGCCAGGGCCCTCTGTGGTTCTGGAGGGTGAGGATTAAGAGGAAGCCTTAGATAGTATTTATGAGTATCTGCTGACTTCTCTCTGGGACCCAAGATCACTGAACTTTTGCCTATTTTGAGATCATCTTTCCAATCCAGCCACTAACAGCTGAAGGATAGGCTTGCCCTGGAGCCATTGTAGTGGTTGGATGAAGATAAAAGATAAAAAACTGTGAGGGGAGGTGTCACAGAAGAAAGGGCCCATGTGGGCAGATTTTCATTCAATTCCTAGTCTTTATTACAGCAATTCTCCAGTGCTGCAACCTTAGAAAAGGATTCCTACAACACAATGTAGGTACCCATCAGCAGCAGATTGGATAAAGAAAATGTGGTACATACACACCATGGAATACTATGCAGCCATAAAAAAGGAGCAAAATCATGTCCTTTGCAGCAATATGAATGCAGCTGGAAGCCAATAACTTAAACGAATTATTGTAGAAACAGAAAAACAAATACTGTGTTCTCATTTACAGGGGGAGCTAAACCTTGGGTAAATGGGGCATAAAGATGGGAACAATAGACACTAGGGACTCCAAAAGGGGGGAGGGAGGGAGGAGGGCAAGGGCTGGAAAGCTTCCTACTGGGTACTTTGTTCACAACCTGGGTGATGGCACGATTAGGAGCTCAAACCCCAGTATCACACAGTATACCCTTGTAACAAGCTGATGGTGTAACCCCTGAATCTACAATAAAATTATTTTATTTTAAAAAATCATTATAAGGATTTTTAAAAAGAAGGATTCCTAGACAGGTGCAGCCAAACAATTTTTTTTAAATGTTGGCAGGCCGCCACCGCCAGTCACTTATGCTGCAATAGCCCATGTCCCAACATTCCCAACCTACTTCTCTCCAAAAGAGAAGCTATACTTTCAGATGGCCCTGTGCTGGGTTCTCCCTGGAAGTTTCTGGGGAAAGGGGCTTGAGTTGCCCCGACTGGACTCTTCCTGGAGTGGGAGCCGGGGCTTCTGATCAGACGTGAGTGAGGCAGGAACTCCGCGGTCTCCCAGCGCAGCCCAGAGTGCGGTCCCACGCAGGTCCCGGGTCCTGCGCGCTCGCGCCTTTGCGCTGAAGCCGTTAGGATGAGCCCTCTCCTTCCAGAGCTTTAACCGATGAAGGTGCATTGTGTTTGGCGCCCCTGAGGAGGATGCTGTCTTAGGCCTCTTCCCACTGGACGTGTGTGGTGGGCAGAGATCCCGTTCGTCGGTCGCACTTCCACCCCGCTGGGGCTCACTCAGGCCGCGGAGCTGCGAGGGAGACATCCTCGATGGACTCCCTCTACGGAGATCTCTTTTGGTACCTGGACTATAACAAGGATGGGACCTTGGACATTTTTGAGCTTCAGGAAGGCCTGGAGGATGTAGGGGCCATTCAATCTCTAGAGGAAGCGAAGGTGGGTCTCACTGGGGCTGTAATCAGAGAGACGTTGGGGCTGGGAGCCCTGGAGAGGCATTGGGCAGAGAGGGCAAAATTTACATGTTGTCAAGCTTGACCTGGGCCCACTGCAGTGTTCAGGTCGTTGACCAGCGTTACCGTTTATTAAGAATAACAACACAGCTAACACATTTCTCAAGTATTTTTCTCCGTTTTCTCCTTGGCTGTAGTAAAATCTCCAACTTCAGATTGCTCTCAAGATGTTGGCTACATACAGCCTTGTCTTAGGAGTCACCTTGTTCAATGTGCTCACCTGTCATTAGTCACCCAGAGGGGCGTCTAGGCTAAAGATGCGCCCTCCCCAGTTCAGAGAACTGGAATAATCACTCTACGTGTATTTGGGAGTGGGGTGGTGATTGGAAATTTTCTGATGTTATGTTTCGGTTTCTGTTCCTGGAAGGGGGCAGTGGAAGTGGCTTTTACTCTCGGGTTTCACTAGTGCTGAGGTTTCCTCATAATATGCCTTAATTGATAGACCCTAGTTATCAGTACCGAGCTTAGGCTAACCCTTCTCTTCCCCAGAAGGCTAACCTACAGGCTCCTTCTCAGCATGTTGTGCTTCGTACATACTCCTATTGCAGTATTTCCAAGTCATTTTTCATTTGGAATTTATTATTGTATATAATAATTACTTTATAAGTATATTTGCTCTTTGGATGTTTGACCCGGTAGACTGGGAGATCATGAGCATGTGGACTATTGAGTTTATTTTGGATAATTGGTACTTCGTGCCCAAAAAACTGTCAGTTGAGTTCTGTCATGTTGAAATTTAGTAAAACTCTTTCTATTAGCCATGTGAACTTTGGGAATATTGAAGCATCCATTCAGTCATGGGTCAGTTCTAGTTTGAGCACATTCTATATTCCAAGCCCCATACCCTGGTATCCTCATCTGTTATATCAGAGGCCTGGACTGTGTACTTTCTGTGGACCAATTCAGTCCAAAATGTTATTTCTGCAAAGCTTATCTGGATTTTTAATTCCTAGAAAAAAGCAGTGTTTCTCCTTTTAAAGTTAAGTGTTCTTGTTCAGGTGCAGTGGCTCATGCCTGTAATTCCAGCACTTTGGGAGGCCAAGGCAGGTGGATCACTTGGGGTCAGGAGTTCAAGACCAGCCTGGCCAATATGGTAAAACCCCATCTCTACTAAAAATGCAAAAATTAACCGGGTGTGGTGGTGGGTGTGTGTAGTCCCAGGAGGCTGAGGCAGGAGAATCACTTGAGCCTGGGAGGCAGAGGTTGCAGCAAGCTGAGATTGCATCACTGCACTCCAACCTGGGTGACAGAGTGAGACTCCATCTCAAAAAGAAAAAAAAAAAGTTAAGTGTTCTTCATATTTGTTTAAAGACACTCTTATATTTAGATTTGCAAGTGTAAGTTGTATTTGTTTATTTGATACAAACTAGCCTTTCATAAGAAATTCTGGGTTAGCTATCAAGTCGAATCTTTTGAAACACATTTCTTCCTTATTGAAACAAAAGGTTTGTAGAGCTGTCTTGCATTTTTGGCAAGGACGCTTTGTGTACCTAGTGGTGACTGAGGAGGGTTCACATGTCAAAACCCAAGGGAGGGGTGTCCCCAGAGAATTCTGCACCAACCACACAGAACATTCTGTTTCAGAGGAGCACCATTGTGACTTTTCCTCAAGTGGCAGTCACATCGTTAGGAGGTTTTGATGTGAGGTCTCTTCCCACACGTCTCCACCTCCCCAGTAGGAAAATTTGTTTATATAGACAAAACTCAACTGATTAAAAAAAAAAAAAAGAAATGATACTTACATTGTCGTGTTAAGATACAAAAGCAATAACTTTTTATTGTGAAAATAGTCTGTTTTTGAACAATATATTGTTTTGTTTTTTCCTGTGAAAGTTGAGAAACTAAATATACGAAGAGATAATGGTCAGACCATAAATAAAAATAGAACTTTGACTCAAAATTTACAGCAGTCTGCCCAGAAAACCAGCCCTTTATCTAAAATAAACAGACCAGGAAACCAGCCTGTTATGTCAGACTTATAGGAAGTCAGGTTGCTATCTCTAGAGACAATACACAAAGCTATGCAATAACTGCTGTAACAGCCCCAAATGGTCAGAATTTGATTAATAACCGACAGCCCCCCTAATTTTTTTCTTCACTTCCAACTTAGGACGAACCAGAGAAAGCTAAATATGCACCACCTACTAATCAAATAGGGTGCCGCGTTTCTAATGAACCCTCCTACAGCTTCCCCAGGCCAGCAGCCCCCAATCAGGAAACGCCTGAAGCCTTCCCTTTTTCTCACTGTAAAGCTTTCCCACTCCTCTGCCTGGCTTTGAGTCTCTGTCAATACACAAGTGAGGGTGTCTGACTCCCTTGCTATAGCAAACTCGGGCCAAGTAGATTTTACTTTTCTCATTTGATTGGTCTTTTATTTCTAGAAGGAACATACAAGAAAATTTAAAGGGGAATCCATTCCTAATCTTTCATATTATAGTAGTCCCCTTTTATCTGCAGGGCATATTTTCCAAGACCCCCACTGAATACCTGAAACTGTGGGTAATATTGAACCCTATATATACTCTCTCTATATATACATATATATATATATTTTTTAATTTTTTTTTACTTTATCTTTAATTAGCTTTAGCTCTTTTTTTTTTTTTTGAGATGGAGTCTCACTCTGTCACCCAGGCTGAGTGCAGGGGTGCAGTCTTGGTTCACTGCAACCTCTGTCTACCGGGTTCAAGCAATTCTTGTGCCTCAACCTCCGGAGTAGCTGGGACTACAGGCGTGTGCCACCACTCCTGGCTAATTGTTTTAAATTTTAGTAGAAACGGGATTTCACCAAGTTGGCCAGACTGGTCTTGTACTTCTGACCTCAAGTGATCCGCCCACCTTGGCCTCCCAAACTGCTGGGATTACAGGCGTGAGCCACCATGCGCCCAGCCATAGACTATATATTTTTGATCTGATAACTGGTTCAGCTACTAAGTGACTAACAGGCAAGTAGCATCTATAGTGTGGATATGCTGGACAAAAGGACATTCACCTCCTGGGCAGGATGGCACAGAATGTTGAGAGATTTTATCATGCTACTCAGAATGGTGTGCAATTTAAAACTTATGAGTTGTTTGTTTCTGGAGTTTTCCATTTAATAGTTCAGACCATGATTGACCGCAGGTAACTGAAACTGTAGAGAGTGAAACTGTGGATAAGGGAGGACTATTGTATTGTTAAGTCAGACTCATTAGGCAATCATAACTCTTGATTTGCCATCAGAAATGCTGCAGAAATATGGGTTAAAAAAAACTGTTCAAAAATAGGGTCAGGGATGTCCTTTAACTTGTTACTTCCAAAATGTTAGTGAAAACTGTGGCCCCAAAGAGTGAAAGGAACAAATGACTAAGAGAAAATCTTGTTTTCAGGATGACAGATTAAAAAAGAAGCAACTTGCTGAAACACTGAAAATCTCTCCACTTGTAAGATAACACAAAACTGGCTAAAACTGGTTGGAATGAATATGGCCAACTCAAGTCTGCACAGAACTAACTTGGTGATGTTACAGCCCAAATTTCCACCACATATTTTATACTAACTCCCCCCGGATTTTCACACATGATCTGTGAGGTAGCATGAAGAGGTAACTATGCATGCCTAAGGACTTGGGAGACCTCCCCATTTCCTTCCACCAATCACCCACTAATCCCAGAATCCGCCCCCAAACCTTTTCTAATAACTACCTTAAAGCCAGCATAGGGAGACAGATTTGAGCTGGACTCCTGTCTTCTTGTGGGTCACCTTGCAATAAAAAGCTTTTCTTTTCTCAACACCTGGTATTATAGTATTGACTTCTAGTTCATCGGGCAGCAAGCCCCTTTTGGTCGGTGACTATTCTTGTTCGCTGATATTTCCATTGGCCAAAATATAAACCTCTTAGATGAAACTTCAGTACGTAAATGGCGCCACAGAATGCTGTGACATTTTTCTCTTGGATTATAACAGGTTACTTTACTGAATACCGTAGGCAGTTATAACACACTAAGTATTTGTGTATCTAAACATAGAAAAGATACAGTAAAAATATGGTAATTTTTTTCAACTTTTAGTTGAGATTTGGAGGGTGTGTGCACATTTGTTACAAGGGTATATTGCATGATGCTGAGGTTTGGGGTACAATTGAACCCTGTCACCCAGGTAGTGAGCATAGTACCCAATCGATAATTTTTCAACCCTTGTCCATTCCCTCCCCGTTCTTGTAGTCCCCAGTTTCTGCTTTTCCCATCTTTATATCCGTGTGCACCCCATGTTTTGCTCCCATGTGTATGTGAGAACTTGTGGTGTTTGGTTTTCTATTTCTGCGTTGATTCGCTTAGGATAATGGCCTTCAGCTGCATCCATGTTGCTGCAGAGGACGTGATTTTATTCTTCTTTATGGCTGTGTAGTATTCCATGGTGAAAATATAGTACTATAACCTTACTAAATCACTGTCATATATATGGTCTATCATTGACTGAAATGTATACAGTGCATGAATATATATATATATATATCTATAATGTCTTATCCATTTCGTGTATTATGAGATTTGATTTGCTAATATTTTATACAGGAGTTTTGCATCTTTTTCACTAGTTGACATTGCTTGTAATTTTCCTTTTTTTGTGATGTCCCTGTTAGGTTTTAGAATCAAGTGTATACCCGCCTCATAAAATGGGTTGGAAAATGTTCCCACCCTTTCTGTTCTCTGGAAAATTGGTGTTTTTTTCTTAAAGTTTGGTAGACATTATTGTTAAAACCATGGGGTCCTCGATTTTTCTTCATGGAAATGTTTTCAAATTACACTTTAAATTTCTTTAAAATCTGAGTATAGGGCTATCAGACTTTCTGCTGTCTTATGTCAGTTTTTAATAAGTTGTTTTTGTAGGCGTTTGTTATCTCACTTTCATATTTTTGATATAAAGCTTTTCATAATATCATTAATGTCTATAGTGTCTAGTAGTTTCCATCTTTACTTTCTGACATTGGTTATTTGCCAGTTTTAGGAGTTTATCAATTTTATTAGTCTTTTCAAAGAACCATCTTTTGGCTTTGTTAATCCTCCCAATGGTGTGTTTTCTTTCTCATTACTTTTTGCTCTTTATTTCCTTCAACTTCTTTTTTGCTTAATTTTAAAATAATTTCTTGAGATTGAGATAAGCCTCAATGATGGGTCACCGATTTCCAGTCTTTCTTCTTTTCTAATTATGCATTTTAAACCAGAAATCTTTCTCTAAGTGTAGCTTTAGTTGCAGCTCACAAGTTTCAGATCTGTCTCTCAGTCTGGAGGTTGGAGATCTGACCATGACCATGAAACCATCCAGTCACAATGTGGCATTATTTTTTTAATTTTTTTTTTTTTTTGAGATAGAGTTTCACTCTTATTGCCTAGGCTGGTGTGCAATGGTGCGATCTCGGCTCACAGCAACCTCCACCTCCCAGGTTCAAGCGATTCTTTTGCCTCAGCCTCCCAAGTAGCTGGGATTACAGGCATGCGCCACCATGCCCAACTAATTTTGTATTTTTAGTAGAGATGGGGGTTCTCCATGTTGGTCAGGTTGGTCTTGAACTCCCGACCTCAGGTGATCCGCCCACCTCAGCCTCCCAAAGTGCTGGGATTATAGGAATGAGCCACTGTGCCCGGCCCAACTTGGCATTATTTACCCAGAAGAGCATGACCATGAGAACAGTAGAATTTGTAAGCTTTGAGTGGGTGACTATGAGTGTCATAATAGGTAGATAGGTTATATTTTGGGTGGTGGTAGGAGAGGGCTTACAGTTTGCTATGACAGCTTTTTATATGGATCATCCTTAGTAAAAGATTATTTAATTTTTGAAATCAAAGGGGAAAACACTAGTTTAGGCTTTCTTCTTTCTTTCTTTTTTAGAGACAGGGTCTTGCTCTGTCACCAGGTTAGAATGCAGTGGTGCAATATTGCTCACTGTAACCTCAAATTCCTGGGCTCAAGTGATCCTCCTACCTCAGCCTCCAAGTAGCTAGTATTTACAGGCATGCACCAACACATCTGGCTAATTTTAAAAATTTTTTATGGAGATGAGGTCTCACTATGTTGTCCAGTCTGGTCTTGAATCCTGACCTCAAGTGATCCTCCCCCATCAGCCTCCCAAAGTGCTGCAATATTTTAAATCCTGTGGTAGGTCAAGTGGTTGTCTTCTATCTTGGGGTTTATAAAGTACATGTCAAGAAATTTAGGGTATGGTTAGATTAGCTTTAAAAATGTCATGTTTTATAAAAATCAATGCATCATTTTTCTGATTGAAAATTTAACACAAGACTCAGAATCTTTTTGCAGTAGTGGAATTACTTTTATTATAGATCTTTGCGATAATGAATGATGATACATCTGGCCAAAAATAGGTACTATAGTCTTTTAGGAAAACAGCTAATCTGCTTGAAATATGTGTAGAAATAATTTAGTGCATCAGCCCATATTGGCAATAACTTCTCTCTAATTTTTTTTTATAGAAAATTTTTACTACTGGAGATGTCAACAAAGATGGGAAGCTGGATTTTGAAGAATTTATGAAGTACCTTAAAGACCATGAGAAGAAAATGAAATTGGCATTTAAGAGTTTAGACAAAAATAATGATGGTGTGTCTTTCTTTTGTATTTATCACCAGCTATGAAGAAGCATTTATCATGCTTTCAAGAGTCTAAAAGGATGCTTATTTAATCTCTCTGGTTTTAGATGATAATTATTATTTGTGTTAATACTTTTTTTTAGTAATGTGATTTTTATGTAGAGTTTATATTATTTAGTGAAGAAAACTTATAGATAGCTTTTCTTTTTCATTACTTTGAAATGTAATGAATTACATTTCTGAATTAAAAACTGTGGGCAGGGCCTGTTGTAAATGTTAACTATGGAACATTATGCTGATTTGAGTTAAACCTGTAGGTTAAAAATAATAATTATATTTTCTTGTCCTCTGGGTAAAATGAGATTTCTTTTTATTTGTATAGAAGAATGACAGTTGTGTCATCTAAAATTTAAAAAACTTTCAGATTATCTTGCATCTGTTAGTTTTTTTGGAAGAATTAATTTAGAGAAGATATCTCTGATCCTGGAAATTAGGGAAAAATAGCATATAAACGTTTAAGTGTGTACCTTCTGGTTAAGATTATGACTTCTATATTTCGATTAATAGGTTGGAGTTTGTCTTAATCTGTTTTCTGTTGCTGTAATGGAGTACCACAGACTGGGTAATTTATGAAGAAATGAAATTTATTTCTTATAGTTCTGGAGGCTGGGAAGTTCAAAGTTGAGCCGAATCTGGTGAGGGCCTCTTACTATGTCATAACATGCTAGCAGGCATCACAGAGCAAATGCACTACCTCAGATCTCTCTTCCTCTTCTTAAAAAGCCACTAGTCCCATCATGGGGGCCCTACTCTGAAGACCTTATCTAATTCTAATTGGAAATAGGGTCTTGAAGCCCTCATCACTAGAGGTAACCTTTAACAGGAAGAGAGAATTTATAAAAATTATAATGCAGCACCAAATCCCTCCCTACTTGTGAATAGTCAAGGTCATTTCATTTACAGACTTGTTATTAAAGAAACAGGTTAAACAAATAGATTGAGAGGAAATGTGGTTCATGTCTGAGATCAGCAAACTTTTTTGTCCAGAAGTCCAGATAATAAATATTTTAGCTTTGTGGGTCATGTGGTCTCAGTTGTAGCTACTTGTCTCTGCTGCTGTACCTCAAAAGCAGCCATGGATAATATGTAAATGAATGGGGATGACTGATTTCCAATAAAACTTTATTTACAAAGATAGTTAATACACCTTATTTGGCTTGAGGGTTATAGTTTGCCATCCCCTGATTTACAATGAATATTAAAGTTTAATTCAAAGCAAGTTCCTTCAAACAAACAAACTAAACTCTAGATGATTTTGAAGATTATTCACATCTGTGACTCTCAGCCAGGAAGAGCTGAGTTTGGGTTGGAAAGTAGTACTATTGGAACATTTGTTGCCCATAAGCCTTACAATATATGCCCCTAAGTCTAGCCTTAGTCCAGTCTTCTAGCAAAACTCAGTTTTCTTTCTTCTCTGCAAACTTTCATTCCAACATCGACCCTCTGCAGTTCAGATTGTCTTGCAGGTCAGATTGTCTGTGTGCTGCTATGGCAGGCAGTAGCTGAGAGATGGAGCTACCTTAAGATCAATTGCCAGATAATCAGAGGTCAATTATCCCAGTGCATAAGTAGTGTACATATCAATTGTTCATTTTATAAAATTCTAAATGAACCAGAGGCAATAATTAAAGATGAAATTTTGATGGTATATTTGTAGGAAATCTACACAATGTTTCCCTAATTTCCCATGTTTGTGTATTTTAAAACAATGTGGCATTATTGGTTCATATTTTTATTTTTTAGACTTCCTTAATGCAAAACATATACAGTTGATCCTCATTATTTGGGGATTCTGTATTTGCAAATTTGCCTACTCAATAAAATTTATCCCCAAAGTAACCCCAAAATATATACTCACAGTACTTTCCCAGGCATTCATGGACATGCACAGAGCAGTGAAAAACTTGAGTTGCTCAGCATGTACATTCCTAGCTAGTAGAATAAGGCAATACTCTGCCTTCTTGTTTCAGCTCTCATACTATTAACTAGCAAGTATCCCTTTCAAGGTCTGTTTTGTGCCAGTTTTTGCATTTTTGTATTTTTGTTGGTAATTTCCTTTTTAAAATGTTCCCCAAAGGTAGTGCTGAAGTGCTGTCTAGTGTTCCTAAGTGCAAGAAAGCCATAGCATGCCTTATGGAGAAAATATATGCGTTTGATAAGCTTTGCCCCAAATTCAATGTTAGTGAATCAACAGCACACATTAAATGAGGTGCGTTCAAACAGAAACAGACATAAGACATGGTTATGTATTAATCAGTTGATGAAAGTGTTGTAATCAGAGGCTCACAGGAACCTAACCCTGTTTTTCCTGTAGGAACAATGGTTTGGTATTTGCTAATTCAGTGTTTGCAATGAATATAGAACTTTATGGAAGATGATTGCTGTGAATAATGAGAATTAACCATATCTCTTTAAGAGTGCATTTCTAAAGGAGAATATTCAGAAGGGTATTTGCATAATTTCTTTACTAACAGATGCTGCCTCTCACTGTCCTTACATGGTCCAGATTCTCATGCTGCTCCTTCCCTCTCCCCAGGAGGATTCTCTCAGAATCCTGTCATCTCTCCAGGGTCCTTTCTCCAAGAAAGTCTATCCTTTCACCACTAACAGTAATTTTGGTCTTCCTCTTTTTCTGGAGAAGTCAGCTGTTTATGCTGCTTCAGCACCAGACCCTCTCTTACTTTGTTTTGTTTCATTCTTTTTCATGTACAGTAGTCTTAGGATTCTCATGAGCCTGTGAGCTGCTAGAAGGAAATACAGCAGTGCTTACATTTATTGCTTCTATTTTATTTTCTATTTTCTCTTCCTGTCTTCTGATTGTTCTCCTTCTGTCCACAAACACGCTCTAATTTCCCTAGTATTAAAAATTTTCTGTCTTTTGTTGTTCTTTTATCCTTGCTCCCTTATTTTTACTGCCAGATTTTTATTTTTATTTATTTATTTTTGAGATGGAGTCTCACTCTGTCACCCAGGCTGGGGTGCAGTGGCGCGATCTCAGCTCACTGCAACCTCCGCCTCCCAGCTTCAAGCAATTTTCCTCTTTTAGCCTCCCAAGTAGCTGGGATTATGGGCACCTGCCACCATGCCTGGCTGATTTTTCTATTTTTAGTAGAGACGGGGTTTCACCATGTTGGCCACACTGCTCTCTAACTGCTGACCTCAGGTGAACCACCCGCCTCAGCCTCCAAAAGTGCTGGGATTGCAGGTGTGAGTCACTGTGCCTGGCCTTTTACTGCCAGATTTTTAAAAGAATAGTCTGTGCTTTAGCTCTATTTCCTCATTTACTACTTCTCTTTAACTCAGTCATATATGATGTTTTGCATAGTAAATGTCTAGTAATTTATTAAAAATGTAGAAATAGGTACTTTTAAAATGAATAGATCCTACTTTAATTGAATTTATCTTGGAGTTAGAATATCTTGATTTGGATTTTAGTTCTGCTACTTCTTAATTACATTACTTGGTAAGGCCACTTGTGAAGTCAGTCTCTTTGGAGGAATATTATTTATCTATAAGGCTGTTACAATTACTGAATTTTAAAAAATGTGTATTTATTTTTTAATGTATTTGTTACATTTTTAGTATTGATGTTGGGATAGGCATTTAAGCAAGTCTATAACTCACCTACATGCACAATTTTGCCTTAATCAGTTTAAAGCTTTCTCTTAAATGAGAGATTTGAAATTCATAATTTCTGTGGTTCTTACCAGTTCTGAGTTTTATTTTTTGCCCTTTTTATTTTTTTAAAGGAAAAATTGAGGCTTCAGAAATTGTCCAGTCTCTCCAGACACTGGGTCTGACTATTTCTGAACAACAAGCAGAGTTGATTCTTCAAAGGTAAGCTCTTCATGTTGGTCAACAATTGACTTTCACTTTAATATTCTGCATTAGAACTCTGTGTTTGTAAGTGTGGCTTTAAAACACCTCCCTAGTCTTCATTATGTATATCCAAGATCTTTTTGTCTTTTTTCCTCCCATTCATTTTGTATGTGTACATTTATCTAAAGTGTAAGAATGGGAAGTGTAAGCTCAGACTGGACTCTTTCTTTCAAGGCCTCAAAGGATAGTGGAATGGCAGGAAGTAAGGTTTTAACTCCATAGATGAGGAGCTGAAGAGTTTTGGTGTTGCTTTTTCTCCATTTGATTTCTAATGTGACAGTAAAACTCATTGATTCAAACTAAGAAGACTAGCAGATTCATCACATTATTTAACCTAGATGTGACTGGAAAAAAGGGAAATTACTAAGCTCTCCAAGCTAACAAAGAAATACCTGTTTAAACTTTCAGAAAACAGAAATGCAAATTTGAACCTTATTGTCTGGGGCAATCAGTTTGACTATTTAAGTCAGACTTTTATACTCTTAATGTTTTGTTTCATGGGATAGAGCAGTAATCTCTGCAGCCCAGGTGCTCTCAAATACTCTGTTGCTATAAACACAGGGCAGGAACTGATTTTTTATGATAACGTAAAACAGAAAGGACAATTATATTGTATTAATATTGTTGTGAATATTTTCAGTCCTCACATTGTCTAAAAATCTTTCTAAATGGCTTTGTTATTGAATTTATCTCATTTTATATCTGTGCCAATAGCATTTTCATCCTTTCTCTCTCTTCATAATTTCTTTTACAAACAGCTGCTCAAGAGGAAGGCTCAAAGTCTCAAGGCTGAGCACGTAATGACTTTTGTTAGTACTAGATGAGAAGGGCTTTCCTGAGGAAATGAAAACCTAAAACATGAAAAGAAGATAAACAGAATTTGGACAGTGAGATATAGAGCATATAATATTCTGCTTCTAAAGTAATATTCTTATAGGAAAGTGAGGGCTTTTCCCTGGCTGTTAGGCCAGAAATCATATTCCTATATTTTCTTTGATAGCTTTAGGAATAATGCAAATTCTAAGCCCAAGCTTCAGAATAGACTAAGAAGTATTAGCTTAGCTGCCATGACAAAATACCATAGGCTGGATGCATTAAACAATGGAAATTTAGTTTTTCACAGGTCTGGGAGCTGGAAGTTTAAGATGAGAGTGCCAGCATGGTTGGGTTGTAGTGAGGGCTCTCTTTCTGGCTTGCAGATAGACCCCTTCTCACTGTATTGTCATATGGCAGAGAGAGAGAGAGAGAGAGAGAGAGAGAGAGAGAGAGAGAGAGAGAGAGATCTTTCTCTTGCTTTCTATTATAAGGCCATAGTCCTGTTGGATCAGGGTTCCATTCTTATGACTTTATTTGACTTTACCCCCTAAAGATGCTATCTCCAGATATAATCACACGGTGGGTTAGGGCCTCAACATTTGGATTTGGGAGGGACACAGCTCAGTCCATAGCAAAGGATAATGCAGAGGGTTGGATATTTAAAAGTAGCTACACAATTTTTAATATAAATATTTTATGGTAACTTTTTTTTTTTTTTGAGATGGAGTCTAGCTCTGTTGCCCAGGCTGGAGTGCAATGGTGCGATCTCAGCTCACTGCAACCTCCGCCTCCCAGGTTCAAGCAATTCTCCTGCCTCAGCCTCCTGAGTAGTTGGGACTATAGGCACGCGCCACCACGCCTGGCTATTTTTTTTTATTTTTACTAGAGACGGGTTTGCACCATATTGGTCAGGCTTGTCTCGAACTCCTGACATCAGGTGATCCACCCATCTTGGCCTCCCAAAGTGCTGGGATTACAGAAGTGAGCCACCGCACCTAGCCAGCAGCTTTACTGAGATGTAATTCACATGCCATAAATTCACTTTTCTAAAGTATACAATTCAGTGACTTAAAACATTTATTTATTTTTAAATTGACAGAATTACATGTATTTATCATGTACAACATGATGTTTTGAAGTATATGTACATTGTGGAGTGACTAAGTCTAGCTAATTAACATGATACATCTCATACTTAATGATTTCTGTGGTGAGAACACTTTACATCCATTCTCTTAGTATTTTTCAAGAATATAATATATTATTATTAATTGTAGTCTTCATGTTGTATAGTGGAGCTCTTGAACTTATTCCTCATGTCAAGCTGAAATTGTGTGTCCTTTAACACAAACCATACCCGACTCCCAAAGTATTCTGCTCTCTGCTTCTATGAGATTAACTTTTTCTGATTCCACATGAGTGAGATCATGCAGTATTTATTTGTCTTTACCTGGCTTATTTCATTCATATTGTTACAGATAACAGGATTTCCTTCTTTTTTTAATGGCCGAATAGTTTTCTATTGTATATATATAGCACATTTTCTCTCTTCATGCATTGGTGGACACTTAGGTTGATTCCGTATCTTGGCTATCGTGAATAGTGCTATAATGAACATGGGAATGCACATGGCTCTTTGACATATTGATTTCATTTTATATATGTGTATATATATATGTATACACACACATACATACAGTGGTGGGATTGCAGGATCATATGGTAGTTCTATATTTAATTTTTAAAGGAACTCCATACTGCTTTCCATAATGGCTGTATTAGTTTAACTCCTCACCAACAGGGTGCAAAAGTTCCCTTTTCTCTACATACTTGCCAACACTTGTTATCTTTTGTCTCTTTGGTAATAGTCATTCTAAGTGTAGTATGAGGTGATATCTCATTGTGGCTTTTATTTGCATTTCTGTGGTAATTAGTGATATCGAGCTTTTTTTTTTTTTTTGTACTTTTTGGCCATTTGTATGTCTTTGAAAAATGTCTATTGGGGTTTTTTGGTTGTTTATTTGAGGTTTTTTGTTTTTATGTAGGCATTTACTGCCATAAACTTTGCTCTTAAAATTGCTTTTACTGTGTTCCATGGGTTTTGGTATTATGTGTTTCCATTTTTTTTCATCTCAGGAAATTTTTGAATTTTGCTTTCAGTTTCTTCATTGACCCACTGATCATTCAGGAGCATGTTGTTTAATTTCCATGTATTTGTGAATTTGCTGAAGCACCTCTGTTACTGATTTCTAGTTGTTGTTTTTTTTTTTGAGACGGAGTCTCACTCTGTCCTCGAGCTTGAGTGCTGTGGCCCGATCTTGGCTCACTGCAAGCTCCGCCTCCCGGGTTCCCGTCATTCTCCTGCCTCAGCCTCCCGAGTAGCTGGGACTACAGGCACCCGCCACCACGCCCGGCTAATTTTTTGTATGTTGAGTAGAGACGGGGTTTCACTGTGTTAGCCAGGATGGTCTTGATCTCCTGGCCTCGTGATCTGCCCGCCTCGGCCTCCCAGAGTGCTAGGATTACAGGCGTGAGCCACCGCGCCTGGCCTGATTTCTAGTTTTTTATTATTGTGGTCGGAAAAGAAACTTGATATGATTTCATTCTGCTTAAATTTGTTAAGACTTGTTTTGTGGCCTAACATATGATATCCCCTGGTGCATGTTCCATGTGCAGTTGAGAAGAATGTGTATTCTCTTGCCATTAGGTGAAATGTTTTATGTCTGATCTGTCCATTTGTTCTAGAGTATAGTTTAAGTCTGATGTTTCTTACTGATTTTCTGTTGAGATGATTTGTCTATTGCTGAAGGTAGGGTGTTGAAGTCCCCTACTATTGCTGTATTGCAGTCTCTCTCTCCTTTCAGACGTATTAATGGTTTTTATTTTATTTTATTTGTTGTTGTTGTTGTTGTTGTTGTTTTTGAGACGGAGTCTCACTCTGTCACCAGGCTGGAGTGCAGTGGCAGGGTCTCGGCTCACTGCAGCCCCCGTCTCACGGTTCAAGCGATTCTCCTGCCTCAGCCTCCCGAGTCGCTGGGACTACAGGCGCATGCCACCACGCCCAGCTAATTTTTGTATTTTTAGTAAAGACGGGGTTTCACCATGTTGGCCAGGATGGTCTTGATCTCTTGACTTCATGATCCACCCGCCTTGGCCTCCCAAAGTGCTGGGATTACAGGTGTGAGCCACCACCCCTGGCCAATGTTTGGTATTTATCTTTAGGTGCTCTGATGTTGGGTTCATATATATTTATAAAAAACAATAGCTACATAACTTATTAAGGGATATGCAATATAAAATATATAAATTGTGACACTGAAAATTTAAAATGGGAGGAGTGGAGTAAAAGTACCTTCATATAACTTACTATTATATCCTCTTATTGAATTGACCCTTTTATCATTATATAGGAACTTTGTTTCTCCTTTACAACTTCTGACTTAAAGTTTGTTTTATATGATACAAGTAAAGTTACTCCTGCTCTCCTTTGGTTTCTGTTTCCATGGAATATCTTTTTCCATTCCTTCACCATCAGTCTGTGTGTATTTTTACAGATGAAATGAGTCTGTCATGGGCAGCATATAGTTGGATCTAGTTTTTTTAATCCACTCAGACACTGTGTTTTTTGATTGGATAATTTAATCCATTCATGTTCAAGGTAATTATTGATAAGTAAGGACTTTGTACTACCATTTTGCTTATTGTTTCATGGTTCTTTTATAGATCCTTTATTCTTTTCTTCCTCTCTTGCTGTCTTTTTTTTGTGGTTAAGTGATTTTCTCTAGTGGTATGTTTTGATTTCTTGCTTTTTATTTTTTGTGTATCTCCTATTGGTTTTTGGTTTGTGGTTACCAAGAGGTTACAAAAAACATCTTAAGAGTTATAATAGTTTATTTTAACTTGATAACTTAATTTTTATTGCAAAAACCCCCCAAAACAAAAAAATCTACACTTTTACTTAATCCCCTGAAATTTTGAATTTTTGATGTCACAGTTTACCTCTTTTCATATTGTGTATCCCTTAAATTATTGTAGCTATTATTACTTTTAATAGTTTTCTCTTTCCTACTACAGATGTAAGTGATTTGCATACCATCATTACAGTATTATTTTGAATTTACCTGTGTACTTTCTTTTATCAGCCAGTTTTATACTTTCAGATGTTTTTGTGTTACTCATTAGCATCTTTTTCTTTCAGCTTGAGGAGCTCCTTTTACGTTTCTTATAAAATAGGTGCGGTCATGATTATCTCCCTCAGCTATTGTTTGTCTGGGAAAGTATCTCTCCTTCATTTCTGAAGGACACTTTGCTGGGTACATTACCCTTGGTTGGTATTTTTCTCCTTGAACGCTTTAAATATATCATCCCTTTCTCTCCTGACCTGTTAGGTCTCTGCTGACCAGTCTGTTTCCAACCATATTGGGACTGTCTTATATGTTATTTGCTTCTTATCTTTTGCTGTTTTCAGGATCCTCTCATTGTCTTTGATTTTTGATAGTTTGATTGTAATATGTCTTGGGGTAGTCTTGTTTGGATTGAATCTGATTAGAGACCTTGGACTTTTCCTGCATGTAGATATTTACCTCTTTCTCCAGGTTTGGAAAATTTTCTGTTACTGTTTCTTTAATTAAGCTTTTTACCCCTTTTATCTTCCTTTTCTCCTTCTTCAACTCCTGTGACTCAAAACTTTGCTCTTTTGATGCTGTTCCATAAATCTTGTAAGCTTTCTTCATTCATTTTCATTCTTTTTTCTCCTCTGTGTATTTTCAAATAACCTGTCTTTGAGTTCATAGTTTCTTTCTTCTTCTTGATCACTTCTGCAGTTGATGCTCCCATATTGCATTTTAATTTTGTTCATTGTATTTTTCAGCCCCATGATTTCTGTTTGATTTTTTCTTTTATTATTTCATCTCTTTATTACCTTTCTCTTTGTGGTCACTCGTTATTTTCCTAATTTCATTGAATTGTTTCTTTGTATTTTCTTGAAGTTTGCTGAGCTTTCTTTGAATTCTATGTCAGTTCATACATCTCTGTTTCTTTAGGGATGGTCGCTGGTACTTTATTTTGTTTCTTTAGTGGTGTCATTTGTTCCTGATTGTTGTTGATGTTTGTGGCCTTGTGTTTACATCTGTGCATTTGAAGAAGTAGGCACTTATTTCAGTCTTTGCAGACTGGCTTTGTCTGAGAATGCCCTTCAACAGTCAGCCTGTCTAGAGATTCTTTAATATTTAATTAAATATCTTTAATATTTTGAAGAACTTCCAAATTGTTTCTAAAGTGGCTGCACCATTTTATAATCCCAGCAGCAATGAATGAAGGTTTCAGTTTCTCCATAGCTATATGAATACTCATTACTGTCTGTCTTTTCATTTTTTGATTTTTATTTTTTTTTTGAGAAAGGGTCTTGCTCTGTCATCCCATCTGGAGTGCAATGGCACAATCATGGCTCATTGCAGCCTCAACTTCCCTGGCTCAATTGATCCTCTCACCTCCTGAGTACCTGGGACTACAGGCATTGTACCACAATGCCTGGCTAATTTTTATATTTTTTGTAGAGATGTGGTTTTGCCATGTTGCCTGGTGTATTAGTCCATTCTCATGCTGCTATAAAGAACTGCCTGAGACTGGGTAATTTATAAAGGAAAGAGGTTTAATTGACTTACTTTTGCTTGGCTGAGGAGCCCTCAGGAAACTTACAATCATGGTGGAAGGGGAAGCAAACACGTCCTTCTTCACATGATGGCAGGAAGAGCAGTGCCTAGCAAAGAGGGAAAAAAACCCTTATAAAATAATCAGATCTCATGAGAAGTTACTCACTATCATGAGAACATCAGAATGAGGGTAGCCTCCTCCATGATTCAATTACCTCCCACTGGGTCCCTCCTGTGACATGTGGGGATTATTGGAACTATAATTCAAAATGAGATTTGGGTGAGGACACAGCCAAACCATATCATTTTTGCCCTGGTCCCTCCCAAATCCCATGTTCTCACATTGCAAAACACAATAATGCCTTTCCAGCAGTCCCTCAGCGTCTTAACTCATTCCAGCGTTAACCTAAAAGTCCAAGGTTTCATCAGAGACAAGGCAAGTCCCTTCTGCCTATAAGCCTGTAAAATCAAAAGCAAGGTAGTTATTATACTTCCTAGATACAATGAGGGTACAGGCATTGATTAAATATACTTGTTCCAAATGGGAGAAATTGGCCAAAATGAAGGGGCTACAGGCCCCAAGTAAGTCCGAAATCTAGTGGAATAGTCAAATCTTAAAGCTCCAAAATGATCTCCTTTGACTCCACATCACACATCCAGTTCATGCTAATGCAAGAAGTGGGCTCCCATGGCCTTGGGCATCTGCACTCCTGTGGCTTTTCAGGGTACAGACCCCCTTCTGGCTCTTTTCACAGGCTGGCGTTGAGTGTCTGTGGCTTTTCCAGGTGCATGGTGCAAGCTGTCGGTGGATCTACTATTCTGGGTACTGGAGGATGGTGGCCCTCTTTTCACAGCTCCACTAGGCAGTGCTCCAGTGGGGACTCTGTGTGAAGGCTCCAACCCCACATTTCCCTTTTGCACTGCCCTAGCGGAGGTTCTCCTCAAGGGCTCCACCCCTGCAGCAAACTTCTGTCTGGACATCCAGGCATTTCCATACATCCTCTGAAATCTAGGCAGAGGATCTCAAACCTTAATTCTTATCTTCTGTGTGCCCGCAGACTCAACACCTTGTGGAAGCTGCCAGGGCTTGGGGCTTGCACCTTCTGAAGCCATGGCCTGAGCTGTACCTTGGCTCCTTTTAGCCATGGCTGGGATGCAGGGCACCAAGTCCTGAGACTGCACAAAGCAGCAAGGCCCTGGGCCTGGCCCAGGAAACCATTTTTTCCTCCTGGGCCTCTGGGCCTATGATGGGAGGGCCCTTCCTGAAGACCTCTGAAGTGCCCTGGAGGCATTTTCCCCATTGTCTTAGTGATTAACATTTCACTCCTTGTTTCTTATGCAGATTTCTGCAGCTGGCTTGAATTTTTTCCTCAGAAAATAGATTTTTCTTTTCTGTCACATCATCAGGGTGCAAATTTGACAAACTTTTGTCCTCTGCTTCCTGTGGAATGCTTTGCCACTTAGAAATTTCTTCTGCCTGATACCCCAAATCATCTCTCTTAGGTTCAAAGTTCCACAGATCTCTAGGGCAGGGGCAAAAAGCCACCAGTCTCTTTGCTATAGCATAACAAGAGTCATCTTTGCTCCAGTTCCCAACAAGTTCCTCATCTCCATCTGAGATCATCTCAGCCTGGACTTCATTGCCCATATTACTATCAGCATTTTGGTCAAAGCAATTCAACAAGTCTCTGGGAACTTACAAACTTTCCCACCTCTTTTTGTCTTCTGAGCTCTCCAAATTTTTAAGAAGTTCCAAACTTTCCCAGTCTTCTTCTGAACCTTCCTAACTGTTCCAACCTCTGCCTGTTACCCAGTTCCAAAGTCAGTTCCATATTTTTGGGTATCCTTATAGTAGCACCCAACTCCTAGTACCAATTTACTGTATTAGTTCATTCTCACGCTGCTATAAAGAACCACCTGAGAATGGGTATTTTATAAAGGAAAGAGGTTTAATTGACTCACAGTTTCGCGTGGCTGGGGAGGCCTCAGATAACTTACAGCCATAGCAGAAAGGGAAGCAAACATGTCCTTCACATGGTGGCAGGAAGAAGAAGTGCTGAGCAAAGAGGGAAAAGCCCTATAAAACCATCATATCTCGTGAGAACTCACTCACTATCATGAGAACAGCAGCATGGGGTTGACCACCCCCCATAATTCAATTACCTCCCACCAGCTGTCTCCCGTGACACATGGAAATTATGGGAACTACAACTCAAGATGAGATTTGGGTGGGGACACAGCCAAACCATATCATCTAGGCTGGTATCGAAATCCTGGGCTCAAGCAATCCACCCACCTTGCCCTACCAAAGTGCTGGGATTACAGGCATGAGCCACCATATCTGAACTGTCTTTTGATTTCTTTTGATTTTAACCATCCATTGTTTCTGCTTCTCTAGATAACCCTGACTAATATATAATTGGTATGAAGTGATATCTCATGGCTTTGATTTATATTTCTTTCATGGCTAGTGACTTTTTTTGTACTTTTGGGATATTGTTATTATTATTATTATTATTACTAGTGTTTATACTTCTTCAGTAAAAGTGTTAGAAACAATTTTTAAAGGCAGAATGTGACCAGAGTTTCCTGTAGTTATATAACCATCATGGACCTTCCCTCAAGTGCTAAGCCATTAGTGTTACTCATGTCACTCCAAATGTCAGCTTGTTTTCTTCCATTTCACTGTCTCTTTGTGTCCCAAACTTGAATTCATGGGAAAAACATCTGAATGGTGCTTAATATGGTTTGGATATTTGTCCCCTCCAAATCTCATGTTGAAATATGACCTCCAGTGTTGGAAGTAGGGACTACTTGGGTCACGAGAGTGGATCCTTCATTAATGGCTTGGTAATAAGTGAACTCTATTAGTTCATGAAAGCTGGTTGTTGATAAGAGCCTGGCATCTCATTTCTCTTGTCCTTCTCTCACCATCTGACACACTTGCTCACCTTTTTTCTTCAGCCATGAGTAAAAGCTTCCTGAGGTCTCACCAGAAACTGAGCAGATGTTGGTGCCATGCTTGTACAGTCTGTAGAACTGTGAGCCAAATAAGCCTCTTTTCTTTATAAATTACCGAGTCTCAGGTGTTCGTTTAAAACAACACAAAACAGACTAACACAGTGTTGATTGAAACAGCTGTGACTGGGTCATCAGGGTGTAAGAGAGGAGTCACTGAGTTGAAATATAGCCTCCTACTTACACCTGTTCAGTAGAAGCTGTAGATATGAAGTAGCTGAAGCAGGCATTCCCTCTGAAACATGTGTTTCACATATGTCATAATTATCTTCTGCTCTCATTTTTCTTTTAGGCTTTTGTCTCCATCTCATTTCCCCTGTTTACTCTCATTTTCATATCTTTACATTTCTTTCTCCAGAATTGTTCAGAAGCTTGGAACCCTTCACTCCAGTTATTCTTTGACTATGCAATTTGTTTCTGTGCTTCATGGCACTTATGGTTTGTAATCCTTGACTTGTTTGTATAGCTCAGTGGTTAGGAGTACAGTTTGGAGTTAGAATGCCTGGGTTGAAACTCTTAATTCTACTCTACTTACTAGTCTTGTGACTATAACAAAATTCTTAGCCTCTCTTTGTCTGTAAAATGGAGAGTATAGTAAATACATGGGCTTGTTTTAAGGATTAAATGAGTTAACATGTGAAATACTTAGAACAATGCCTGGCAAATGCTCAATGAATATTGAGTATTGCTTGCTTTTGTTTAGTGCCATGCCTGTTGTTCCCACTGAGGGCACAGACCATGTGTATCTGGTTAACAGTTCTATGTCCACCACGTTGCAATAATGGACTCTCAGAAAATATTGAAGAATATGTTAAAGAATGAGTAGAATTATGCTACTGAAAAGGGTGAGTGGAAGGTAGGTAGGGGAAAGGACATATACAGCCCTGGAGGCAGCATATATGGGGAATGGGTCACACAGTGTTTCTTGGTACTCTCTAGACCATAGTGGGCCACCTCTTAGCTAGTGGCCTATGGATTATTTCAGCAGTCTGTTGGAAACATCCATGAATATGATAATAATGACCCATTTGTGGGTTCTAAGAAAAAGGACAACTACAATACTAGACAATAATAGTATGTAAGTTAGGAGGGAAGGGGATGATTTGTATTAAACTGTTCTAAAATTCTTACCTTATTTAGGATGATGGGGTCAGACATTAACTTTAGACTTTGTTATATATATGTGGTAAAATTTCAAGGTAAACCATTGAAACTGTAGTAGTTGAGTATATAACTTCCAAATCAGGGGGGAAAGAAATGGAATAAGAAAATAAATACATAAACATAAGATTGAAACAATCCAATGAAGAGTAGAGAGAAGAGGGAAAAACATAGAAAGAATGAGATAATTAGAAAGCAATAGGTAAGATGTGAGAAATAAATTCAAGTACAGTAAAACTCCACTAAAATGTGCCCTGCAGTAATGTTGGGGCATGATTTCCCTTCATCCCCATTCTCAAATGGGGCAGCCTAAATAGAGTTCTTATCCTGTTTCCCTGGGGGTTTGAGGTGGGTGACGAGTAAGTTAGAAGATAATCACCTTCTGATCAGTTAGGACTTTCTCAGTTTAGTCTTCAATTAATAAAAATTAATGTAAATTTCATCAGAAGGCAGAGATTGTCAGATGAAAGAACAAGCAAAATAAAAGTCTTACTGAAAAAAAGCTGGGGTAGCTATGTTAATATCAACTGTTAATTATTATTAATAATCTATTAATAATAGATTATATAGTAAAAACATTAATAAAAATAGAGTGTCACTACATTTTAAAATTCAGTATGAGGATATACAATTTTTAAGCTGGTTGATAAAATTCTGGGGATTAATTGGCAAATCCATCATAGTGGTGAGAGATTTTAACACAATTCTTCCTGTATTTGATAGGTCAAGCAGAGAAAAACTTTAGTGAAGACAAAAACTTCTAAATACATAAGCTTGATTTAATGGGCATGTAATAGGACCTAGCATCAAAAAATTAGAAAAAATATTTTTTCTTAGGTATTTATGGAACATGTATAAAAATTGATTTCATAGTAGGCCATAAAGCCAGGTTCAACACATTTCAAAGAACTGGTATCACAAGAACTGCTTTCTCTGACCACTATGCATTAAAATAGAAGTTAATTACAGACATAAATTATAAAAATGCCAATATTTTAAAGTGTGATATACACTTCTCAACTTATGGGTCAAAGGAAATCGTAAGTGGAAATTCAAGGACACGTTGACTTGAAAACATTAAAACTTATGGAATATTTCTAAGATGGAACTTGTATGAATTTTATAGTCTGAAAGCTTTTATTAGAAAAGAATTAAGTCTGAAAATTAATGTGCTAAGTTAGGGGAGAGAAAATGGAATAATCTCGAAGAAGGTAGGAGGAAGGAGATAATAAAGAATATATAGCAAAGATGCAGTAACAGGATCAACAAAGCCAGAAACTGTTGGAAAAGACAAGCCTCTGGAAAGATTGATGAAGAAAAAAGAGAAATGAGATGTAAATAAATCATGTTCAGTTATAAATAGGCACATAAGGACTTTTAAAAAACTAATAAAATAATATGAATCATTAATGCCAATAAATTTGAAAACAGACAAAGTAGGTGAATTTCTAGAAAAATATAACTTACTGGGACTGAATGAAGAAGCAACAGCTTATAGTACCTAAGCAATTGAAGAGATTGGGTCAGTAATTTAAAATTTTCTCATAAACAAAACGTTAGCCCCAGATGGTTCTTGCAAATGATTAAAGAACAGATGTACAAACATTTCCAGAGTGTAGAAGTACACTGTCCTATCCTTTCTAGGAGATCATTATAACACCAAAAGCAGACAGTATATGAAACAGGGAAATTAGAGGCCAAGATACCTATGACTTATATGTAAAAATTTAAAGAAAATATTAGCAAACTGAATCAGCCATTTTAAAAAATATACCACAATCAATGCATTCATAAGAGCAGCTTAACAAAATTTGTTAGAAGGCTTTAAAGAAGACTCAGTATAGAAAAGATGTACCTTCTCTCCAAATTGGTGATAGAGATTCAATGCCATTAAAAAAACCCACCTGGTTTTTTTGAGGAATTTGTCAAGCTGAGTCTCAAATTTATATCAAAGAGCAAAGGCCTAAGAATATCCAGGACATTCCTGAAGAACTGTAAGGAGCCAGGGGCCTGCCCTATCAGATACCAAGGGTTGTTATTAAGCCATAACCAAGTCAGTGCTGTTTCTACAGAAACAGACAAGTTAACAAGTGAAACATAATAGAGAGCCCAGAAACAGACCCATCCATATTTTGGATTTGTCACGTGAAAGAAGTAGCTTTGCAAAACTTTGGGAAAAGGAGAGTGTGTGCAATAGATGATGCTCGTGCTCATGCAGACAAAAAGGAAATTGGGATACCTGCCTCTTACCGTACACAAACACCAACCTAAACGTGAAAGTTAAACTATAACAGCTTGAGGTGGTGGGGAAGAAATATCTTTATCTCAGTGTAGGGAAGAATTTATTTTAAAAAGAAGACACAAAAGGCCATACATAGGAATGAAAAGATTGAATTCAGCTGCATTAAAAAGATTAAATTCAGCTGCGTTAAAATCAAGAGCATCTGTACTTGGACAGCATAGAGTGGAAAGACAAAGAGAAGGTATTTGCCAGCTTATAACTTGAAGGATTAGAATGAATGATATAAAGAACTATGTAAATAAGAAAAAGACATACAACCGGTTAGAAAAACGGGCAAAGACATGAACAGCATATTTCACGTGAAAGAAACAGCAGTAGCAAATGAACATGGTAAGAGATGCTCAACACGTTTAGTAATTTGAAGGGAAATGCAAGTTATACCCACAGCAAGACTATCTTATCTAGGAAGTTTGTCAATACCCTAAATGTTCTGTGGTTTTAAGCTACAGAGTTTGTAATTCATTTATTTATTCAATAAATACTCAGTGGCAGGCACTGTTTTAGAAACCTTGGTTATAACTTTGAATGAAATTAAAAAAAATCCTTGCCTTGTGGAGGATGCTTATGTGTGGGGAGTTGGGTGGTGGGGTCAAACAACAATTACATTAAAATAGAAAATAGTGACATAAATAAACCTATAAATATTGCAACCCAGAGTTATATTATAAATGTAAGTAGTGACTAGGACTCTCATGCAGATATACCTCTGTGCTGGGACAAATGAAAGTTTAAGTGTAATTTCCCATATGCAAGTCAAAATAAAAAGTGACACTAGAAAACACAATAATGAATACCTGAAAATTGCATTTTATTTGACTGCCATCCTTTTGCATCATTTTCATACTAATTATAGAATAAAATTTGTAGGATGCACCAAAGCTTTTTTTAGAGACATCCATTAATTCAATAAATAAATGAGCACCTTCTTTGTGCCAGCAGCTGTAAGAGGTGGCCCAAGGAAGGGAATAAAACAGTCAAAATCCTGGTACACTCAGAGTTTCTCTTAGGAGAAAACAGATACAAATGGCATTAATTACCAAGAAACTTGTAAAACAAGCCAAATATTAATGATAAATATTTGAGTACAGTATGTTAATTTTAAGATTGAAAATGAGGTGCCAGGATTTCTTAAGACTCAAAGGCGAAGATGGCTGAATAGGAACAGCTCTGGTCTACAGCTCCCAGCGTGAGCGACGCAGAAGACGCATGATTGCTGCATTTCCATCTGAGGTACCGGGTTCATCTCACTAGGGAGTGCCAGACAGTGGGCGCAGGTCAGTGGGTGTGCGCACCGTGCGCGAGCCGAAGCAGGGCGAGGCATTGCCTCACTCGGGAAGTGCAAGGGGTCAGGGAGTTCCCTTTCCTAGTCAAAGAAAGGGGTGACAGATGGCACCTGGAAAATCGGGTCACTCCCACCTGAATACTGCGCTTTTCTGACGGGCTTAAAAAATGGCGCACCAGGAGATTATATCCTGCACCTGGCTCGGAGGGTCCTACACCCACGGAGTCTCGCTGATTGCTAGCACAGCAGTCTGAGATCAAACTGCAAGGCGGCAGCGAGGCTGGGGGAGGGGCACCCGCCATTGCCCAGGCTTGCTTAGGTAAACAAAGCAGCCGGGAAGCTCAAACTGGGTGGAGCCCACCACAGCTCAAGGAGGCCTGCCTGCCTCTGTAGGCTCCACCTCTGGGGGCAGGGCACAGACAAACAAAAAGACAGCAGTAACCTCTGCAGACTTAAATGTCCCTGTCTGACAGCTTTGAAGAGAGCAGTGGTTCTCCCAGCACGCAGCTGGAGATCTGAGAACGGGCAGACTGCCTCCTCAAGTGGGTCCCTGACCCCTGACGCCCGAGCAGCCTAACTGGGAGGCACCCCCCAGCAGGGGCACACTGACACCTCACACAGCCGGTTACTCCAACAGACCTGCAGCTGAGGGTCCTGTCTGTTAGAAGGAAAACTAACAAACAGAAAGGACATCCACACCAAAAACCCATCTGTACATCACCATCATCAAAGACCAAAAGTAGATAAAACCACAAAGATGGGGAAAAAACAGAGCAGAAAAACTGGAAACTCTAAAAAGCAGAGTGCCTCTCCTCCTCCAAAGGAACGCTGTTCCTCACCAGCAACGGAACAAAGCTGGATGGAGAATGACTCTGACGAGCTGAGAGAAGGCTTCAGACGATCAAATTACTCTGAGCTATGGGAGGACATTCAAACCAAAGGCAAAGAAGTTGAAAACTTTGAAAAAAATGTAGAAGAATGTATAACTAGAATAACCAATACAGAGAAGTGCTTAAAGGAGCTGATGGAGCTGAAAACCAAGGCTCGAGAACTACATGAAGAATGCAGAAGCCTCAGGAGCTGATGCGATCAACTGGAAGAAAGGGTATCAGCGATGGAAGATGAAATGAATGAAATGAAGCGAGAAGGGAAGTTTAGAGAAAAAAGAATAAAAAGAAACGAGCAAAGCCTCCAAGAAATATGGGACTATGTGAAAAGACCAAATCTATGTCTGATTGGTGTACCTGAAAGTGACGGGGAGAATGGAACCAAGTTGGAAAACACTCTGCAGGATATTATCCAGGAGAACTTCCCCAATCTAGCAAGGCAGGCCAACATTCAGATTCAGGAAATACAGAGAACGCCACAAAGATACTCCTTGAGAAGAGCAACTCCAAGACACATAATTGTCAGATTCACCAAAGTTGAAATGAAGGAAAAAATGTTAAGGGCAGCCAGAGAGAAAGGTCGGGTTACCCTCAAATGGAAGCCCATCAGACTAACAGCGGATCTCTTGGCAGAAACTCTACAAACCAGAAGAGAGTGGGGGCCAATATTCAACATTCTTAAAGAAAAGAATTTTCAACCCAGAATTTCATATCCAGCCAAACTAAGCTTCATAAGTGAAGGAGAAATAAAATCCTTTACAGACAAGCAAATGCTGAGAGATTTTGTCACCACCAGGCCTGCCCTAAAAGAGTTCCTGAAGGAAGTGCTTAACATGGAAAGGAACAATCAGTACCAGCCGCTGCAAAATCATGCCAAAATGTAAAGACCGTCGAGACTAGGAAGAAACTGCATTAACAAACGAGCAAAATAACCAGCTAACATCATAATGACAGGATCAAATTCACACATAACAATATTAACTTTAAATGTAAATGGACTAAATGCTCCAATTAAAAGACACAGACTGGCAAATTGGATACAGAGTCAAGACCCATCAGTGTGCTGTATTAAGGAAACCCATCTCACATGTAGAGACACACATAGACTCAAAATAAAAGGATGGAGGAAGATCTACCAAGCAAATGGAAAACAAAAAAAGACAGGGGTTGCAATCCTAGTCTCTGATAAAACAGACTTTAAACCAACAAAGATCAGAAGAGACAAAGAAGGCCATTACATAATGGTAAAGGGATCAATTCAACAAGAAGAGCTAACTATCCTAAATATATATGCACCCAATACAGGAGCACCCAGATTCATAAAGCAAGTCCTGAGTGACCTACAAAGAGACTTAAACTCCCACACATTAATAATGGGAGACTTTCACACCCCACTGTCAACATTAGACAGACCAATGAGACAGAAAGTCAACAAGGATACCCAGGAATTGAACTCAGCTCTGCACCAAGCAGACCTAATACACATCTACAGAACTCTGCACCCCAAATCAACAGAATATACATTTTTTTCAGCACCACACCACGGCTATTCCAAAATTGACCACATACTTGGAAGTAAAGCACTCCTCACCAAATGTAAAAGAACAGAAATTATAGCAAACTATCTCTCAGACCACAGTGCAATCAAACTAGAACTCAGGATTAAGAATTTCACTCAAAACCACTCAACTACATGGAAACTGAACAACCTGCTCCTGAATGACTACTGGGTACATAACGAAATGAAGGCAGAAATAAAGACGCTCTTTGAAACCAACGAGAACAAAGACACAACATACCAGAATCTCTGGGACGCATTCAAAGCAGTGTGTAGAGGGAAATTTATAGCACTAAATGCCCACAAGAGAAAGCAGGAAAGATCCAAAATTGACACCCTAACATCACAATTAAAAGAACTAGAAAAGCAAGAGCAAACACATTCAAAAGCTAGCAGAAGGCAAGAAATAACTAAAATCAGAGCAGAACTGAAGGAAATAGAGACAAAAAACCCTTCAAAAAATTAATGAATCCAGGAGCTGGTTGTTTTTGAAAGGATCAACAAAATTGATAGACCGCTAGCAAGACTAATAAAGAAAAAAAGAGAGAAGAATCAAATAGACACAATAAAAAATGATAAAGGGGATATCACCACCAATCCCACAGAAATACAAACTACCATCAGAGAATACTACAAACACCTCTATGCAAATAAACTAGAAAATCTAGAAGAAATGGATAAATTCCTCGACACATACACCCTCCCAAGACTAAACCAGGAAGAAGTTGAATTTCTGAATAGACCAATAACAGGATCTGAAATTGTGGCAATAATCAATAGCTTACCAACCAAAAAGAGTCCAGGACCAGATGGATTCACAGCCGAATTCTACCAGAGGTACAAGGAGGAACTGGTACCATTCCTTCTGAAACTATTCCAATCAATAGAAAAAGAGGGAATCCTCCCTAACTCATTTTATGAGGCCAGCATCATCCTGATACCAAAGCCAGGCAGAGACACAACAAAAAAAGAGAATTTTAGACCAATATCCTTGATGAACATTGATGCAAAAATCCTCAATAAAATACTGGCAAACTGAATCCAGCAGCACATCAAAAAGCTTATCCACCATGATCAAGTGGGCTTCATCCCTGGGATGCAAGGCTGGTTCAATATACGCAAATCAGTAAATGTAATCCAGCATATAAACAGAACCAAAGACAAAAACCACATGATTATCTCAATAGATGCAGAAAAAGCCTTTGACAAAATTCAACAACACTTCATGCTAAAAACTTTCAATAAATTAGGTATTGATGGGATGTATCTCAAAATAATAACAGCTATCTATGACAAACCCACAGCCAATATCATACTGACTGGGTAAAAACTGGAAGCATTCCCTTTGAAAACTGGCACAAGACAGGGATGCCCTCTCTCACCACTCCTATTCGACATAGTGTTGGAAGTTCTGGCCAGGGCAGTTAGGCAGGAGAAGGAAATAAAGGGTATTCAATTAGGAAAAGAGGAAGTCAAATTGTCCCTGTTTGCAGACGACATGATTGTATATATAGAAAACCCCATTGTCTCAGCCCAAAATCTCCTTAAGCTGATAAGCAACTTCAGCAAAGTCTCAGGATACAAAATCAATGTACAAAAATCACAAGCATTCTTATACACCAGCAACAGACAGAGAGCCAAATCATGAGTGAACTCCCGTTCACAATTGCTACAAAGAGAATAAAATACCTAGGAATCCAACTTACAAGGGATGTGAAGGACCTCTTCAAGGAGAACTGCAAACCACTGCTTAATGAAATAAAAGAGGATACAAACAAATGGAAGAACATTCCATGCTCATGGGTAGGAAGAATCAGTATCGTGAAAATGGCCATACTGCCCAAGGCAATTTACAGATTCAATGCCATCCCCATCAAGCTACCAATGACTTTCTTCACAGAATTGGAAAAAACTACTTTAAAGTTCATATGGAACCAAAAAAGAGCCCGCATTGCCAAGTCAATCCTAAGCCAAAAGAACAAAGCTGGAGGCATCATGCTACCTGACTTCAAACTATACTACAAGGCTACAGTAACCAAACCAGCATGGTACTGGTACCAAAACAGAGATATAGACCAATGGAACAGAACAGAGCCCTCAGAAATAACGCCGCATATCTACAACTATCTGATCTTTGACAAACCTGAGAAAAACAAGCAATGGGGAAAGGATTCCCTATTTAATAAATGGTGCTGGGAAAACTGGCTAGCCATATGTAGAAAGCTGAAACTGGATCCCTTCCTTACACCTTATACAAAAATCAATTCAAGATGGATTAAAGACTTAAACGTTAGACCTAAAACCATAAAACCCCTAGAAGAAAACCTAGGCATTACCATTCAGGACATAGGCATGGGCAAGGACTTCATGTCTAAAACACCAAAAGCAATGGCAACAAAAGCCAAAATTGACAAATGGGATCTAATTAAACTAAAGAGCTTCTGCACAGCAAAAGAAACTACTATCAGAGTGAACAGGCAACCTCCAAAATGGGAGAAAATTTTTGCAACCTACTCATCTGACAAAGGGCTAATATCCAGAATCTACAATGAACTCAAACAAATTTACAAGAAAAAAACAAACAACCCTATCAAAAAGTGGGTGAAGGACATGAACAGACACTTCTCGAAAGAAGACATTTATGCAGCCAAAAAACACATGAAAAAATGCTCACCATCACTGGCCATCAGAGAAATGCAAATCAAAACCACAATGAGATACCATCTCACACCAGTTAGAATGGCAATCATTAAAAAGTCAGGAAACAACAGGTGCTGGAGAGGATGTGGAGAAATAGGAACACTTTTACACTGTTGGTGGGACTGTAAACTAGTTCAACCCTTGTGGAAGTCAGTGTGGCAATTCCTCAGGGATCTAGAACTAGAAATATCATTTGACCCAGCCATCCCATTACTGGGTATATACCCAAAGGACTATAAATCATGCTGCTATAAAGACACATGCACATGTATGTTTATTGTGGCACTATTCACAATAGCAAAGACTTGGAACCAAGCCAAATGTCCAACAATGATAGACTGGATTAAGAAAATGTGGCACATTTACACCATGGAATACTATGCAGCCATAAAAGATGAGTTCATGTCTTTTGTAGGGACATGGATGAAATTGGAAATCATCATTCTCAGTAAACTATCACAAGAACAAAAAACCAAACACCGCATATTCTCACTCATAGGTGGGAATTGAACAGTGAGAACACATGGACACAGGAAGGGGAACATCACACTCTGGGGACTGTTGTGGGGTGGGGGGAGGGGGAGGGATGGCATTGGGAGATATACCTAATGCTAGATGACGAGTTAGTGGGTGCAGCGCACCAGCAAGGCACATGTATACATATGTAACTAACCTGCACATTGTGCACATGTACCCTAAAACTTAAAGTATAATAATAAAAAAAAAAGACTCAAAGGCACAGTCACTGACAGTTTGATTTTTTATAATAGCTGTTAATTTTCCTAACTTCGAGGAAGTTGATAGCATGTTTTGAGTATATTTCAAAACTACATTCAAATGTTGCAATAGAACATTAAGAATTATCTTCATGATCCACTAAGTGCATGAAAAAAATGGATAATGAATCTATTCATTACCATCGTTTAATATTTTATCTTCAAGTTTTTGTGTTTTGTAGCTCATTGGCAGAGTTTGACAGAGTGCTGAAAGTATTCTTTAGTGAGCTGGCTGTAATTTTTGGGCCCATTTTTATCTAGATAATTAAAACTATCTGACAGGACCATAAAATGCTTGCTGCCATTTCCAACAACCTATATTTGTGGATGGGGTTTTTTAATTTAATGAGAATATTATGTTAGAAAAGAAACTGTCATTCTGTAAAGTGGCCAATAATGTTAGTTTT
Organism: Homo sapiens; assembly: GCF_000001405.40. NCBI lineage: Eukaryota > Metazoa > Chordata > Mammalia > Primates > Hominidae > Homo > Homo sapiens. Next base: position 108,161,340 of record NC_000001.11, on the reverse strand, counting down.
ATTTATCAATTTAGTTTTGTACTTTGATCATTTTTTTAAAATTTCAGCATTGATGTTGATGGGACAATGACAGTGGACTGGAATGAATGGAGAGACTACTTCTTATTTAATCCTGTTACAGACATTGAGGAAATTATCCGTTTCTGGAAACATTCTACAGTAAGTCTACTTTATGTATTTATACTTATTTGGAGCTATAAACCATAGGTACAGTTATCACCCAAGAACACTCTGTAACACTTATGGGCCAGGATACCTGAGTCCCAGTAGCTCCTTAACCTGTAGAGTTCTATTTATTCTATTAGGCATAGATTTATAGAGTATTAAACAAAAAAAAACAGCTCTCCCTCTCCCTCTCCCTCTCTCTCCCCCTCCCCACGGTCTCCCTCTCCCTCTCTTTCCACGGTCTCCCTCTGATGCCGAGCCAAAGCTGGACTGTACTGCTGCCATCTCGGCTCACTGCAACCTCCCTGCCTGATTCTCCTGCCTCAGCCTGCCGAGTGCCTGCGATTGCAGGCGCGCACCGCCACGCCTGACTGTTTTTCGTATTTTTTTGGTGGAGACGGGGTTTCGCTATGTTGGCCGGGCTGGTCTCCAGCTCCTGACCGCGAGTGATCCACCAGCCTCGGCCTCCCGAGGTGCTGGGATTGCAGACGGAGTCTCGTTCACTCAGTGCTCAATGGTGCCCAGGCTGGGGTGCAGTGGCATGATCTCGGCTCGCTACAACCTCCACCTCCCAGCCGCCTGCCTTGGCCTCCCAAAGTGCCAAGATTGCAGCCTCTGCCCAGCCGCCACCCCGTCTGGGAAGTGAGGAGCGTCTCTGCCTGGCCGCCCATCGTCTGGGATATGAGGAGCCCCTCTGCCTGGCTGCCCAGTCTGGAAAGTGAGGAGTGTCTCTGCCCGGCCGCCATCCTGTCTAGGAAGTGAGCGTCTCTGCCCGGCCGCCCATCGTCTGGGATGTGAGGAGCCCCTCTGCCTGGCTGCCCAGTCTGGAAAGTGAGGAGCGCCTCTTCCCGGCCGCCATCCCATCTAGGAAGTGAGGAGCGTCTCTGCCCGGCCGCCCATCGTCTGAGATGTGGGGAGCGCCTCTGCCCCGCCGCCCCGTCTGGGATGTGAGGAGCGCCTCTGCTCGGCCGCCCCGTCTGAGAAGTGAGGAGACCCTCCGCCCGGCAGCCGCCCCGTCTGGGAAGTGAGGAGCGTCTCCGCCCGGCAGCCACCCTGTCCGGGAGGGAGGTGGAGGGGTCAGCCCCCCGCCCGGCCAGCCACCCCATCCGGGAGGTGAGGGGTGCCTCTGCCCGGCCGCCCCTACAGGGAAGTGAGGAGCCCCTCTGCCCGGCCACCACCCCATCTGGGAGGTGTACCCAACAGCTCATTGAGAACGGGCCATGATGACAATGGCGGTTTTGTGGAATAGAAAAAGGGGAAAGGTGGGGAAAAGATTGAGAAATCGGATGGTTGCTGTGTCTGTGTAGAAAGAGGTAGACATGGGAGACTTTTCATTTTGTTCTGTACTAAGAAAAATTCTTCTGCCTTGGGATCCTGTTGATCTATGACCTTACCCCCAACCCTGTGCTCTCTGAAACATGTGCTGTGTCCACTCAGGGTTAAATGGATTAAGGGCGGTGCAAGATGTGCTTTGCTAAACAGATGCTTGAAGGCAGCAGGCTCGTTAAGAGTCATCACCACTCCCTAATCTCAAGTACCCAGGGACACAAACACTGCGGAAGGCCGCAGGGTCCTCTGCCTAGGAAAACCAGAGACCTTTGTTCACTTGTTTATCTGCTGACCTTCCCTCCACTATTGTCCTGTGACCCTGCCAAATCCCCCTCTGCGAGAAACACCCAAGAATGATCAATTAAAAAAAAAAAAAAAAAAACAACCCAAGACTGCATAAATGTCCATTCTGAAAACTTGGAAGAAGTACCACCTTGATGAATAAGCTGTCTAGCTTTTATTGGCATTTAAGTATTCTGCCATAGGGAAGTGTAAAAGTTGTAGGCTTTTACTTTTTATAGGTACTATATTGTCCAAATAATCTCAGCACCTCATGGTTGCTAAGGATCTGTGTCCTTGTTTGGTCAGATTATGTTTATCTCTGGCATAAGGCACTTAACAATATTCATTAAAGGTTACAGAATCTTTTTGCTTCATCTGCTTAGCATTTCATACCAGTTTGTTTTCCACCAAACTTTCAAATTTTGATTGTTTCATTAATATTCTGCATACTGATGTAAACCAAGTTCTATTATTGTGCAATCTGCTCCTGAAACCCTTAGGAACTCTCTGAAGGAGTTTTATTTATTTTTTGTTTTTGTTTTTGTTTTTGTTTTGTTTTTTTGAGACGGAGTCTTGCTCTGTTGCCCAGGCTAGAGTGCAGTGGTGCGATCTCGGCTCTCTGCAAACTCGGCCTCCGGGGTTCACGCCATTCTCCTGCCTCAGCCACCGGAGTAGCTGGGACTACAGGCACCCACCACTGCGCCTGGCTAATTTTTTTTGTATTTTTAGTAGAGACGGGGTTTCACCGTGTTAGCCAGGATGGTCTCGATCTCCTGACCTTGTAATCCGCCCGCCTCGCCTCCCAAAGTGCTGGGATTACAGGCGTGAGCCACTGTGCCCGGCCTTTTTTTTTTTTTTTTTCTTTATGGGCTTGTCTTCTACACTTCAGATTTGACTAAATTAAATATGCATTAAATGAAGTCAGGAGTTCACATTGCCACTAGTAACAATGCCTAAGCTTACATAAAGCATTATAAAATTGTTGGTGATTAGTGCCTTCTCAGCTATGAGTATAAGATAATATTATACTAGTAGTTCAGTTGCCTAGATAAATTGTACACTATGTGAAGTTTTATTTACATAATTCTTACGGTATTTTTTAAGGTAGTTGATAACAGTTGAGACTACAATTGTATCTCCATTTTATTGATAGTAAAATGAAGGAAGGGAGGGTTACTACCATAGGAGAGCTCCTCCCCGTTGCACTCTTGCCTGTAAAAATTTTTCTGCCAAAACAATTTAGATAATAGAATTGTAAAAATATTATTATAGAATTGTTTCTCTCAAACTATAGTAATGTAGAATAGGTTGAAGGGGTGATGATTTGAAACAATACCTCTCCATTAGCTAAATTTTATATAGAATCTATTGCATGTTTTAAATGATAAGTCAGATTTATAAAAATATTTTTATAAACAGTAGGAAATGAGTTTAGGGGTATTCACATACAGTTTTAATTTTTATTTACATATTTAAAACATATCATGGTATAAATATGATGTGGATATAAATTTGAGATAAAGGAAGTATTGTTTAAGAATTGATGAACGAATTTCTTAAAAGATGTCATCACCAGTTGGTTTTCTAGCCTTATGAAAAATGGTTGCAATAAAAAAGATTGACTATGATAAAATGCTGCCCTTTCATTTTAACCTAGACCAAGAGAAAACATACTGTGAATCTATGATGAATGAAAGAAAGTTGTAACTGTTGGTTTTGTATATTTGTAATTACTGTTTATTTTCATTTCTTGTGAACTGATACTGTACTTTGTTCATTGTGAGTAGACAACTTATAATCTATGTACTCAAATTGGTTTAGTATAAATTCTAGGGAATGAAGTTCATATTAACTGTAAAATAACATGATTCTTCTCTAAAACAAAACGTCTTCTGGGATTATTTTTAACTAAGGCGCATGGGGATCTTTTTTTCATTTTTACAGGGAATTGACATAGGGGATAGCTTAACTATTCCAGATGAATTCACGGAAGACGAAAAAAAATCCGGACAATGGTGGAGGCAGCTTTTGGCAGGAGGCATTGCTGGTGCTGTCTCTCGAACAAGCACTGCCCCTTTGGACCGTCTGAAAATCATGATGCAGGTGAGCTTTATTATCGTGTGTCCAGGTTTGCCCTAAATATTCTAAAACAATGAGAAATGTGGTGCTTTGAAAAAGAAGTTTTAAAATTTCTCAGTAATAATCTTTTATACCCTAAAAAATAAATCTATTTTGTTGCTGTTAACTCTAAATTCAGTCCATGTAAGTATGGCAGTGTACCAAACCTTAAATTGTTAGTACATGTGTGTAATGAACTTTTAATCTTTGGCATTCTATGACTATTCAAACATTTAATTCAAAAAATATCTCTAGCTATTGTTGTAGGATTCTCCTGATTTATAGTTTCCTTCTTTTTAATATACTTTATCAAAAGTAAAGTATTTTTGAAATCTAGAATCTTAGAGCAGCAATGTAATTTTGAAAATTATTCTAAAGCTGAGGTTAGCAGAAAAAGATCTGGCTTTATAGACTGACTTTGCTATTTACTAGCAGTGTAGCATTGGGCTGGCCAGAGTGGAAAGAGGGAATGGAAAAGAATTAATATGTATTTGCTCACTGTGGTAACCCAGTTAATCCTTGCAGCAGCCCAGTGAAGTAGGTATTTTATCATTTTTCCAGGGGGAATCTGAGGCCCAGAGAATTGACTTTTCCTTTACAACAAATGAGAGGGGGAATGCAGTATCTTTGCCTCCAGTGCTCCTGGTTCTCATGCTGCATGAAACCTCTGAGGTCTCATTTTCCTTCATTCTGGGATGGGGATAAGAATATCTAATAAGAATGGTTTAAGAATCAAGCAATATCAGGTATGTGATAATGTCTGGTACACTGGAATAACCTATTGGAACATAGTAGTTGTTTACAAAATATTTTTAAAACTTTGTTATACTTATGGTCAACACTTTTTATATTTGTCTGTAGATTTCTGTACAAAAAGATTCTGACACTGTTTTAAGCCAGCATTCCTTCAGAATGTACCCAAATCTCAAAATTTATTTAGGGGCAAAGCTAATGCTTTAAAGAAAAAGGAGAGGGGATTGGTGTGTGTTTTTCTTTAGGAACAGTAGTAACTTGACTTTTAGAGAACTTGAATAAGCATTTATTTTTTCCTTTGTCCTATTTTATTGTGAAGTTTATTTATTTAAAATAAAATGGATTTCTCTGGAATTTAGTTTCTGCAAATTTGAGGAGTTTCCAAAGTCAACCTTCAGGTTTGATACTTCTCTAGAAAGACTCACATAACTCACTGAAAGCTTATTACCCCTGGTTATGGTTTATTACGGGGAAAAGATGCGGATGAAAATCAGTCAAGTAAAGAAGCACATAGGGCAGAGCTTCTGTTGTCCTCTCCCTGTGGAGTCTCCATGTCTTACTTTCCTGGCACTGTTATGTGGCACTAGGCATGGAATATTGCAGACCAACCAGGGAAGCTCACCTGAGCCTTTGGTGTGCAGAGTTCTTATTGGGGCCCGTTTTCATACTGGCCACATGGCTGGCCTTCAGAATTCAACCCGTTCTGTGAGTGTGTGTGTGTGTGTGTGTGTGTGTGTGTGTGTTTAGTGGTAGTCACCCCTTTTATGTGAGCTGAAACAATCAGAAGAATAGCTGATTTGTTTAATTATTTTTGGTGTATTGGACTTAATCAGTTTTTATCTGTAGGTGGTCATAAGGTACAGTATTTTTAAGTGACTACCACATCTGTAGTATAAGCCAAGTAATTTATCAGTACTCACAGGATGGGTACATGTTGTAATGAATTTATTGCCTAGAGAGGGCCTCAAAATATGCCAAAGAGGGTGCAATTTTTATTTTTGGTTTCAGGCTGTATGCATTCCAGTGTTGGTAGCCCTGATATACACAATATCCAAACCATTTCAGACCCATTTACAGTTCATGTCTGTACTACTTCTTGAGGAGAGGGAGTAACATATTACTTTAAATTATATGTAATAATATACATACATTAAATTATATGTAATAATATAATATTATTATCTGCAGTATACTTTTTTATTTCCCTTTAACTGAGCCTGTTCATGTTTCAAAGGGTGTTCCATTGCCTGATACATAATTTAGTTAATATTATCTTATGAAGGTTGTTCATAATTTTAATACTCTTCTTGTCTTCTCTCTCTGCTTTCTCACACTGAAGATACCAATTATTCTTAGTTTTAGAGTCAGAGACAGGCCTCTAAAATCATGGCAATACTCCCTCTCATCATTATATATATTTTTCAACCTTTCTATATTTTATTTTCAAATATATCTTCTTGCAGTTAGAAAGGGTATTGAAAAAGATTGTGTGGTTGTTCTAGAAAAAGTAATAGTAATATGCCACCAGCATTTTATATCATTCTGCTTTTATTTTTAGGTTCACGGTTCAAAATCAGACAAAATGAACATATTTGGTGGCTTTCGACAGATGGTAAAAGAAGGAGGTATCCGCTCGCTTTGGAGGGGAAATGGTACAAACGTCATCAAAATTGCTCCTGAGACAGCTGTTAAATTCTGGGCATATGAACAGGTAATTGTTATCACCCGTGGAATTTATTAACAAAGAGGAGTTAGTAAACGGATTCAATAAATGTTAATGTATAATGCTTTTGGGATTCTTGTTTTAATACATGATAATCTTTCACATATACTCCATAAGGAGGATCACTTATAGGAGATTAGACTAAATAAAATCAGAGATTTCTCATGACCAAGTTATGGGATTCTTAATTCATCATATTATTTATAAAGTTTTTTTTTTCTAAGTAGTTCTTAAAGGAAGGGTAGAATTTTAGTTTATTCATTCTGAATCCTGAGCAGAAGCAGCACACTAACATAAGTTTTATGAAAGTGTCACAATCTAACCTCTGGAAGGAAAACTATAAGTTGAAGTCCTTTGTGTAATTTGACGTTGCTGTAAAATTGAGCTGAGTTTGGAGTGACACCTCCATGAAGGCAGGGGCGTGGCTTCTTCCCCATGTACTCCAGCACCTAGACAGAGCTTGGCATGTGATAAGTTTCAAGCGAGTGTTGAATGAGTCAATGAATGAACAAATGCATTTACCTCTGAATCACTTCTCTGTCGGCTTTTGTTAACTTGGATTATTTGAGCTATTGCTTCAGCCTAACTCAATGTAAAGGGGAAATACAGAGGTAAGTTTTAGAGTTTGGGTTCTCTTTATGGTCATTAGCAGAACTGTCTAGTTGAGCAGCCACAGATTATGTTTTCCATTATTTATTCCATCATTGTTTATCAAGGACTGTAAGGGCCTTGAAATTCAACTCCCCCCCCATAGTTTTTGTATTATTCCATGTAGATTTTAGATTATTCTGGAGAGTGTTTTGTTCTTGAGCAAGAGAATACTCTTGAGAAGTTTACGAAGTCCAGTGGTATCCTTTTCTTTGCCTAGGAAATAGAGAAGCAAAAAAAAAAAAAAAATTAAAGAAAATCTAGTCTCCAGGATTTTAATTAGAACCTATCCTTGGGAAGGCTATTTTCCTTATATGAAGGTTTGAAGATTCAAATCATGATTATTAAGGGCTAATGTTTGAGATACCCTTAGGTTATTCTGACCACATACTTGGATTTTATGATAGGAAAGCCACAGCCTAAAATAAATAAATACTCAATGCAGTTATTTCAGTATGCAAGAAGTTTGGTATTTTTGAAAAAGTCCATGGGTATTGCAAGCAAATATGCACATTTTGCTTTATGCCATTTGTCAGATTCTTACCTTGGATACCACCAACAGGCATCCTCTGCTTCTGTCCACCCAAGCTCCTTCCTGAGACCTCTTTATAGTATTGTGATTTCTGCACACTAACTTTCTTAGACATGAAGAGAAAGCTGTCTACACAGTGTGGTGTAGTGTTCTTATGGGCTCTGGACCTATGGTGCTGTTTTCTCTCCTCCTGCTGAAGGTCCATTCATCCCTCGGGGCTCTCTAAAAGCCACCTTCCTGTGACAAGCATATACTAAGCATCTCAATCAAAGCCAGTTCCTCCCCTGTCCAGCCTCCCTCGAGTGCTGAATTGCAGAATATCCCATTTTTCATTGGATGATGGAAAACCCATTGTTTTCCCAGTGGATTGTAAATTACTTCGGGGTAAATAGGCTGTATATATTCTCAAATTTCCCAGAGTATGTAACTAGGTCACTTTTAGATTCAGATAGATTTTGTTCCTTGAATAGCTAGTACTTTAGGAAACTAAGAAAAAGATCTTTTCAACCTGGTATGTAGCTCTGTCAAACACATCATCAGTATGGGGTAAACCTGTGTTCTCTGTGGGTTGTCATTACCATAGTAGTGTCATTGTATCATTGACAGTGTAATAGTGTGGGGTAGTGTTCTTGTGGTTTCAGCTGCCATCTCTGTACTGACTGCTTTCCACTCCAACATCTTCCTCTTTATCTCAACACTGTAGGTCTACCTGTGTACTGTGTGTTTCAGCATCTCTGCTTGCATGACCCAGGAGTGCCTCCCACTCAATATGGCCACCATGCATGGTCATCTTTCTGCTACTCCCTGTCTCCTGACCCTGCTCCAGCAACACAGACAGACACCCTTCCTCTTTCTATATGTCATATGGTGGGAAATGCCCTTTAGTACTTACTCAGGAGTTAGTTCCTCTGGGAAGCCTTCTGTTCTAGTTTCCTTTTGTTACAGCACTTTCACATTGAATTCTGACGTTCTCTGTACTTATCTGCTTTGTGAGACTGTGAGCTTCCTTAGGCAGTAGCTACTTGTATTCTTAGCACCTTGCCCAGTGCCAGGAAACCCTTATTAAGTAAATGAAAAGACAGAACTGACAGACTGGAATTAGAGCTCAAGCTTGCCTCAATCTCAAGCCATTAAGATGAAGGGGAGCCGGGCGTGGTGGCTCACGCCTCTAATCCCAGCACTTTAGGAGGTAGTTTGCTTGAGCCCAGGAGTTCAAGACCAGCCTGGGCAACGTGGCAAAACCCCATTTCTACAAAAAATATAAAAATTAGTTGGGCGTGGGGGTGTGTGCCTGTACTCAGGATGCTGAGGTGGGAGGATCACTTGAGCTCGAGAGGCAGAGGTTGCAGTGAGCTGGGATCACACCATTGCAATCTAGCCTGGGTGATAGAATGAGACCTTGTCTCAAAAAAAAAATAAATAAATAAATAAAGGGGAAGATAAGGATTGGAAACAGAAGGAGCAGCATGTGGACAGAAATGTAGGCACAAGAAGGCATCACTCACTGAAGAGACTGAAGGTGGTTCACTGTGCCTCAAGACTGGTGGAGTGTGTTTCCGGAAAGATAATGATGAAAGAGCTGGACAGATAAACAGGGGCCAAATGTAATAGGAGTCTGGATTTTATTCTGAATATGGTAGGGGCTATTGTAGCATCTTATATAGGGAAGTGAAATGAGTACATTCACATTTAAGGAATATCAACCTGAAAAAAGAGTGGAGACATTGTTGGGGGAGAGTGAGGTAGACTAGAGGCAGGGAGAATATTTAAATAATTGAGGTAAGAAATGATGAACACCAGTATAAGGTGATGTCTTTAAGGAATGGAGAAGGGAATGAACTGAGAAATATTTTGGAAGTAGAATCAACAGAACTCACTGACTGACTGGATATGGAGGTGAGAAAGAGAAGAGTCAAGAATGATATTCTAATTTCTAACTTGAGTGACTGCATTCAAAGAGAATACAATATCAGGTTCCATTTTGTGCATGCTGAGTTTGAGATGTGTGGGACATGTACAGGGAGCTGTCCAGTAAGCAATTGGGTATATCAGCTAGCCATTAAGAGAGAGATCTTTGATAGAGAGGTTGTTGCTGAGTTGAGCCATTGGAATGGGCAGGATCACTCAAGAAGAGCTTATAAATGAGAAGAATTCTAGGAATAAGTCCAAAGGGAGAAGTAAAAGAAGAAACTTGCAAAGGACACTGAGAAGAAATAGCTCGAGGGATGGGAGAAAATCCAGAGAGAGGGATGGCATAGGAGTCAGTGGAAGGAAACGGTTTCATGGGGGTCAGTACTACTGGGTAGTGAATATAATAAGAATATCTTTTAGGATTTCTCAACCCAGAGATAGGTAAGCTTAGTATAAATGCTTCTGTGAAGTAATGAAATGAGAAACCATGCTGAAATGAGCTTAAAGTGAATGGGAGGTGAAGAAACTTGGACAGTAGAGACACATTTTTAGGGAGTTTGACAGTGAAGAGAAGGAAACTAGAAGAGGGAGAGGGTGATAGATAAGAAAGATGTTGGGTGGAGGGGATTTGTTTTTTTGTTTTTTTGTTTTTTTTCTGTTTGTATGTTTGTTTGTTTTTGAGATGGAGTCTCACTTTATCACCCAGGCTGGAGTAAAGTGGTGCAATCTCATCTCACTGCAACCTCTGCCTCCTAGGTTCAAGTGATTCTTCTGCCTCAACCTCCTGAGTAGTTAGGATTACAGGAGTGCACCACAACACCCAGCTAATTTTTGTATTTTTAGTAGAGGTGAGGTTTCACCGTATTGGCCAGGCTGGTTTCAAACTCCTGACCTCAAGTGGTCCTCCTGCCTCAGCCTCCCGAAATGCTGGGATTGCAGGAGTGAGCCACCGTGCCTGGCCTGGAGGGAGGATTTTGATTTGACTTTAATGTGCCTGTTGCTGAAGGAAGCATGTCAATACAAATAAAGAAGTTGAAAACATAGGTAAGAGAGGTTGATTAACCCGGTAGGTGTTTCAAGGGAGTTTGTGTGTAGGGAAAGGGAGTGGGAGATGGAAAGGGGCTGGGGGAGACAGGTTCTATCCAGAGACTGTTAAAAGGATTAGTCTTTGATTACAAGAAGAACTCTTCTTATACGTGTTTGGGAAGAAAAAATATGTGAGTAGCTATGGATAATTTTGCAGGAGGTGGGCAGAATACCAAGATATTCTGCCTGGTGGCCTCTCTACTCTTCCTTGAGCTCCTGAGAAAGGATGTGATCTGAGAATGAGGGAGGAAGTGGTATTGGAAGCTGGAGGAGAATGGAGAAGATCAAAATGGTTAGTCTAACAAATGGGAGAGAACTGAGATAGACAAAAGGATTTCAGGGTGGTTTTGAGGGCTCAGTTAAGTCTCCTTTAGGAAGGTTCAGTTCTGTAGCCTTGGCAAGTTACTTAAAGTCTCTGTGACTATTACCTCATCTCTAAGATGGGGACTAAGCTTGGTGACATAGTTTTACATACCAGGCACAGTGCCTGACTTTTTGGCTCTGTCCTGAAGTCTTCCCTTTGTATATGGTATGTTTCGGGGAATAGGAGCCTCAAGCACTTATCCTTTAAATATTTATCCTCCATCAGTCACTAAACGTTTACTCTGTACTTTTGATAGGTGCTGTGGGGGTCCAAGGTATAAAAGGTACCTTCAAAGTTACTGTTAAAGTGCAGGAAGGTTTTTAAGCAAATTATGTTTAATGATTTTGACAATCTGACATGCAGGAAAATTAATAGGGCCTATGCAGAAGAGGAGTTTTATGTAACACTCTGTAGTTCAGGAAACAGAGCCCTTGGAAGCAGTGATCTCTCTGGGGAGGAATGTCTGGTATTTGGGAATCTCATGAAATGATAATATACTTAATTTTTATCATGAGCAGCAAAACACAGATTTGCTAGGAGAAAGTCATCGTATGTTGTTGCATTGGGCACTTTAGATCCCAGGGAACAGAAACTGGCTGGCACAGGAATGGGCATCACTGTGGGGATGGATCATGTAGGGGAAGGATCCCTGGAGAAGTCCAGGAGGTGAGACTTCCCCCTTCCCTTCTCCATGCATGAGTCCACTTCTCTCTGTTGACTTTCCCCTTGTCCCTCTGGTGACAGCAGCTGCTTACCTCTGGAGACCCCCTCACATTTCTGAGAGAAGGAATCTGGCTTGCCTGGCTAATTCCCATGGTCTATGTTTGGGCAGAATGTCTTAGCAAGTTGTGTAAAGATAGTGTATTCATATATTAATAATAATAATAACATCTACTGAACATTTGCTAGGTGTTCAGACCTGCACTAACCGTGTTACAAGTATTATTTTTTTGTAATCCTTTCCATAACCCTGTGAGGTAAGTACTGTTATCACAGACAAGGAAACCACAATGTGGACCTGTTCATGAACTTGCTCGAGGCCACGTGGCTCTGGAGTTCCAGCTCAGGTCTGCCTGACTCTCAATCCCATGATATTAATATACTGGCCAGTCACTATTTTGGCTGTATTGGGGTCATATTTATACCCTTGGTCCAGTTAGCTATGTTGGGTCACTTTAGTACTGATAGCCAGGGAGATGCTGGGCTTGATAGGTTAGTATAATTCTATGTATTACCTACAGAAACTGTTTTTATAAATTGTTTTGTTAATATTTGTTTGTCACCTATTTATTCATTTTATTTGCACTGGTGAAAATAAACTCATCTTTTAAAAACTGTGGGGAAAATATCCAAACATTGTGAAAACTTGATTAACCTTGTATTTTCTGTACACCTGGGGAGGGATGCTGTTATGCTGTTTCAGCAAAGGAGCAACTTGGTCCAATCTGGGAGACATCTGTGTTTTGTGGAAATCTGACTTGAAAACCACTGTCCAGTCACTGCGTGTATTAGCATTTAGGCCTTGCTCTTCTGCTATGTATTATTAATGTAGTGTATACATTTCGAGACACATCATCACATTTGTCAATTTATTGATTTCTAGGAGCTGATTTGTATTCTAGGATTGTCTAGTTGGCTTGGGCTGCCATAAAATACCACAGTGTGTGTGGAATCAACAACGGAAATTTATTTCTAACAGTTTCAGAGGCGGGAAAGCCTAAGATCAAGGGCCAAGCCAGTTTGATTTCTAGTGAGCGTTCTCTTCTCAGCTTGTAGACAGCTGGTATGTGCTCACATGGTCTTTTCTTGGTGCACATGTGAAGGGGGAGAGAGAGAGTGGGCTCTCTGGTGTCTGCTCTTACAAGAACACTGATCCTGTCATGAGGGCTCCATCCTCATGACCTCATAACCCTAATTACCTCCAGAAGCCTCATCTCCTAATACCATCACATGGGAGGTTACAGCTTCAACATATGAATTTGGTGGGGGTGCAGCTCAGTCCACAGCAGGTAGTAATGTGCATTTTAAAACTTGTTTATACAGTACAAGAAGTTACTTACTGAAGAAGGACAAAAAATAGGAACATTTGAGAGATTTATTTCTGGTTCCATGGCTGGAGCAACTGCACAGACTTTTATATATCCAATGGAGGTGAGTACCATTGTCAAGTCTGACTGTGTGATGGTGTTCGTGTTGGTTGTCTATTGCTCTCTAACAAGTTATCCCAAAATTAACAGTTTAAAACAAGCATTTATCATCGCACAGTTTCTCTGGGTCAGGAATCTGGAAGCAGCTTAGCTGGGTGCCTCTGGCTCAGGGTTTTTCACAGCCCACAGTCAAGATGGTAGTCAGAGCTTGGAATCAGCTGGAGGCGGATTCCAAGCTCACTCATGTTGCTGCCAGGCCTCACTGGCTATTGGCTGGAAACATCAGTTCCTTATCACGTGAGCCTTTCTGTAGGCTGCCTGAGTATCCTCAAAACACAGTAGCTGGCTTCCCTAGAGTCAGTGGTCCAACAGAGAGAGAGAGAGAGAGTGCCTAAGATGAAAGCTGGTATCTTTTGCCTCTTCTGCTGTATTCCATTGATCACACAGACCAACCCTGGTAGAGTGTAGGAGGGGCTGGTATAATGGTGTTAATAACCGGAGACAAATATCACTGGGGGTCACTTTAGAGGCTGGCTGCCACTTTAGAGGCTGGCTGCCATTCCTGTCCAAAGAGTTTCTGTACCATAAATTTAATAATGGAATCTCAGGATTTGATTATATGGTGATTATCCTAATTAGACATCCTTTCATTAGTGCATAGGTTGGCAAAACACAGACCTACGGACTGTTTCATACAGCCCTTGACCTAAGAATGCCTTTTACATTTTTAAAAAGTGGGCAACACAGGAAAAAGTGAGAAAGATCTAAAATCGACACCCTAAGATCACAATTAAAAGAACTAGAGAAGCAAGAGCAAACAAATTCAAAAGATAGCGGAAGACAAGAAGTAGCTAAGGTCAGAGCAGAACTGAAGGAGATAGAGACACGAAAAACCCTTCCAAAAATCATTGAATCCAGGAGCTGTTTTTATGAAAAGTTTAACAAAATAGACAACTAGCCAGAATAATAAAGAAGAAAACAGAGGAGAATCAAATAGACACAATAAAAAATGATAAAGGGGATATCACCACCAATCCCACAGAAATGCAAACTACCATCAGGGAATACTATAAACACCTCTATGCAAATAAACTAGAAAATCTAGAAGAAATGGATAAATTCCTGGACACATACACGCTCCCAAGACTAAATCAGGAAGAAGCTGAATCCCTGTATAGACCAATAACATGTTCTGAAATTGAGGCAGTAATTAATAGCCTACCAACCAAAAAAAACCCAGGACCAGACAGATTCATAGCCGAATTCTACCAGAGGTACAAAGAGGAGCTGATGCCATTCCTTCTGAAATTATTCAAACAATAGAAAAAGAGAGATTCCTCCCTAACTCATTTTATGAGGGCAGCATCATTCTGATACTAAAACCTGGCAGAGACACAACCAAAATAGAAAATTTCAGGCCAATATCCCTGATGAACATCAATGTGAAAATCCTCAATAAAATACTGGCAAACTGAATGCAGCAGGACATCCAAAAGTTTATCCACCATGATCAAGTTGGCTTCATCCCTGGGATGCAAGGCTGTTCAACATATGCAAATCAATATAACGGAATTCATCAATAAACAGAACCAGTGACAAAAACCGCATGATTATCTCAATAGATGCAGAAAAGGCCTTCGATAAAATTCAACACCACTTCATGTTAAAAACTCTCACTAAACTAGTTATTGATGGAATGTATAACAAAATAATAAGAGCTGTTTATGACAAACCCACAGCCAATATCATACTGAATGGGCAAAAGCTGGAAGCATTCCCTTTGAAAACCGGCACAAGACAAGGATGTCCTCTGTCAGCACTCCTATTCAACGTAGTATTGGAAGTTCTGGCCAAGGCAATCAGGCAGGAGAAAGAAATAAAGCGTATTCAGATAGGAAAAGAGGAAGTCAAATTGTCTCTGTTTGCAGTTGACATGATTGTATATTTAGAAAACCTCCTTGTCTCAGCCCCAAATCTCCTTAAGCTGATAAGCAACTTAAAGCAAAGTCTCAGGGTACAAAATCAATGTGCAAAAATCACTAGCATTCCTATTAACCAATAATACACAAACAGAGAGCCAAATCACGAGTGAACTCCCATCCACAATTGCTACAAAGAGAATAAAATACCTCGGAATACAACTTACAAGGGATGTGAAGGACCTGTTCAAGGAGAACTACAAACCACTCCTCAAGGAAATAAGAGAGGACACAAACAAATGGAAAAACATTTCATGCTCATGGATAGGAAGAATCAATATCATATCATAGGAAGAATCAGTGGCCATACTGCCCAAAGTAATTTATAGATTCAATGATATCCCCATCAAGCTAACATTGAATTTCTTCACAGAAATAGAAAAAACTACCTTAAATTTCATATGAAACTAAAAAAGAGCCTGTATAGCCAAGACAATCCTAAGCAAAATGAACGAAGCTGGAGGCATCACGCTACCTGACTTCAAACATACTACAAGGCTACAGTAACCAAAACAGCATGGTACTGGTACCAAACAGATATATAGACCAATGGAACAGAACAGAGGCCTCAGAAATAACACCACACGTCTACAACCATCTGATCTTTGACAAAAACAAGCAATGGGGAAAGGATTCCTTATTTAATGTATGGTGTTGGGAAAACTGGCTAGCCATATGCAGAAAACTGAAACTGGACCCCTTCCTTACACCTTATAAAAAAAAAATTAACTCAAGATAGATTAAAGTCTTAAACATAGACTTAAACTATAAAATCCCTAGAAAAAAACCGAGGCAATACCATTCAGGACACAGGCATGGACAAAGACTTCATGACTGAATCACAAAAGCAATGGCAACAAAAGCCAAAATTGACAAATGGGATCTAATTAAACTAAAGATCTTCTGCACAGCAAAAGAAACTATCATCAGAGTGAACCGGCAACCTACAGAATGGGAGAAAAATTTTGCAATCTATCCATCTGACAAAGGGCTAATATCCAGAATCTATAAGGAACTTAAGCAAATTTACAAGAAAAAAAAACCCACCAAAAAGTGGGTGACGGATATGAACAGACACTTCTCATAAGAAGACATTTATGCAGCCAACAAACGTGAGAAAAGGCTCATCATCCCTGGTTGTTAGAGAAATGCAAATCAAAACCACAATGGCATACCATCTCACGCCAGTTAGTTAAAAAGTCAGGAAACAACAGATGCTGGCAAATATGTGGAGAAATAGGAATGCTTTTACACTGTTGGTGGGAGTGTAAATTAGTTCAAGCATTGTGGAAGACAGTGTGGCAATTCCTCAAGGATCTAGAACCAGAAATACCGTTTGACCCAGCAATCCCATTACTGGTTATATACTCAAAGGATTATAGATTTTTCTACTATAAAGACACATGCACACGTATATTTATTGCAGCACTGTTCACAATAGCAAAGACTTGGAACCAACCCAAATGCCCATCAGTGATAGACTAGATAAACAAAATATGGCACATATACACCATGGAATACTATGCAGCCATAAACAAGGATGAGTTCATGTCCTTTGTAGGGACATGGATGAAGCTGGAAGCCATCATTCTCAGCAACCTAACACAGGAACAGAAAACCAAACACCACATGTTCTCACTCATAAGTTGGAGTTGAACAATGAGAATACATGGACACAGGGAGGGGAACATCACACACTGGGGCCTTTTTGGGGATGAGGGGCTAGGGGAGGAATAGCATTAGAAGAAATACCTAATGTAGGTGACAGGTTGATGGGTGCAGCAAACCACCATGGCACGTGTATACCTATGTAACAAACCTGCACGTTCTGCACATGTATCCCAGAACTTAAAGTACAATTTTTAAAAAGTAGGCAAAAACAAAAGAAAAGAAAAGTAATATACAACCGAGACCTAATATTTTAGGCTTGCAACGACAGATATTTTACTATTTAGTCTTTACAGGAAAAGTTTTCCAACTACTGCTTTATAGCAAAAATAATATTGTAGATGTGGAATTTATTGATATAGCAGAGGGGTTTTTAGTAACTGATGACTTAAGCAAGATAAATACAATTTTCACCGATATGTGGTATGCATGCTAATACAGCTTTTTTTAAGCATCTTAATATGATTGTTTATATTACTCCACACACCTCTCAAAAAAACTTAATACCTATTTTTCCTCTCATATCCTCCATATCAGTTAATAGTATCACCTTCCCAACTCCCCACTGCCCCATCCTGTGTTCCAAGCTAGAAGTATTGGGGTTATCCTTTATACTACCATTTCCCTCACCTTCCAGATGCAGGTGGTCACCAGTCAGTTTTGTTAAGACATCAATAGATTATCTTGCTTCCATTTCCTTGGTCACTTCCTTCATCAGATCCTCCTTGCAGTAAACGGGTCTCTCTGGCTTTGGTCTTAGCCCCCCAATAGAGGTAATACATGAAAGAGAATGTATCAACAAATTGTACAGTCTTTTGAGTGACAATATGTGCTAGGTATTTGTTCCATGTAAAATTACTTCATTTGAATCCCATGATGATAGAGTTAATATGAACAATCATATTTTGTTTTTTTTTATATCCAGGTTATGAAAACCAGGCTGGCTGTAGGCAAAACTGGGCAGTACTCTGGAATATATGATTGTGCCAAGAAGATTTTGAAACATGAAGGCTTGGGAGCTTTTTACAAAGGCTATGTTCCCAATTTATTAGGTATCATACCTTATGCAGGCATAGATCTTGCTGTGTATGAGGTGAGTTTGTAGAAATCTTTTGAATTGGAAAATGCAGTTAGATCTTGTTAGAATTGGACTTTATATGAAGAAGTAGATATATACCAGAAAACAGTGTGTGACCAGAAGTAAATTCAAGCATGTGTTATTTGAACTTTCAAGTAACTTGAGTGTGAATATGCATGGGGTCACTTTTGTATTAGATTTTCTTGGGAATTGCTTTTGTTAATGAAGAGTAGACTCAAAGTTAGGTATAGTTGTTCACCTTAAAAGGTGTTTCTAGAGATTTTTTCCTTTGTTTTGGATTTGCAAAAATCTGACATTAAGCCAAGTGACTAATGTGACTAACATGAGTAATACAGTTTCATTCCTTGTACGGAAGAATACAAATCTTGGATCAACCCTGCAATCTAAATCATTTAATAATTTATGAATCTCACAAACAATTATTGAGCACACACTATACAAACCACTAGGTTAGACACTGGATCTGGGGATTCAAAGGACTCAATGTGTGCCTTGAAGAAACTGAAGGTCTGGTGGGGGAGACAAACGACTAAAACTCAGCGTGGTTATCTGTGCTGCGACAGACATGAGCCAGGGTGCATGTTAGGATGAGACCTAAGCTACAGCGTAGAGGAAGAGTGGAATGTGTAATGAAAAGAAGAGTCGAATTTTTTTTTTAAAGAGCTTTATTGAGATTTAGTTCATATTCCTTACATTTCACTCATTTGAAGTGTACAAGCAAATGGTTTTTGGCTTCTTACATAATTTTTAAAAATTATTATAAAATATAAAATTTGCCATTTTACTAATTTTAAGTGTACAATTCAGTGGCATTAATTACATTCACAATATTGTGCAACCATCAACACTATTTCCAAATCCTTTTCCTCACTCCAAACAGAAACACCTTAACCTTTAAGCAATAACTTCCTACCCTCCGTAACTCAAACCTTTGGTAACCTCTAATCTGCTTTCTATGTCTAGGAATTTACCCATTCAAGATATCTTATAAGTAGAATCATACAGTATTTTTCTTTTTGTGTCTGATTTATTACTCTTAGCATAATGTCTCTAAGGTTTGTTCATGTTGTAGCATGTATCAGAACTTCATTTCTTTTCATGGCTGAGTAATATTCCGTTATGTGTATATACCACATTTTGTTTAGTCCTTCATCTGTTGAAGAGCATTTGGATTATTTCTACTTTTCCAACATTGTGAATAATGCTGCAGTGAACATTGGCATCTGCGTATCTGTTCGAGTCTATGCCTTCAATTCCTTTGGGTATATATCTCAGAATGGAATTGCTGAGCCATATGGTCATTCTGTGTTTAGCTTTTAGGAACTATCAGACTGTTTTCCATAGTGGCTGCACTTACATTCTCACCAGCAACATACAAAGGTTCCAGTTTTTCCACGTCCTTATTAACACTTAATTTCCATTTTAAAAAAGCTTATTTTTATTATGGCCGTCCTCTTAGGTGTGAGGTGGTATGGTTCAGGACTTTACTTCTTGTGCTGAGTTTTTTAAAAAATTGTGATTAAAAACACATAACATAAAGTTTATGATTTTAACCATTTTTAAATATATAGTACAGTAAGTGTTAACTGTTTGTGGTTTGTTGTGCAACAGATCTCTAGAACTTTTTCACTTCTCAAAACTTAAACTCTATAGTCATTAAACAACAGCTCCCAATTTCCCCTTCACCCCAGCGCTGTGTAACCTACTTTCTCGTTTTATGAGTTTGACTACATTAAATACCTTGTATAAGTGAAATCATGTGGTATTTCTCTTTCCGTGACTGGCTTATTTCATGTAACATAGTTTCCTCATGATTCATCCATATGATAGCATACAACAGGACTTTTTTGTTTTTAAGGCTGAATAATAATTTGTTGGGTATATATATCACATTTTCTTTATTCATCTGTTGATGGACATTTGGATTGTTTCTACATCTTGACTATTGTGAATAGTGCTGCAGTGAACATGGTTGTGCAAATATCTCTTCAAGATACTGTTTTCAGTTCTTTTTGACATATACTCAGAAGTGGAATTTCTGGGTCAAATGGTAATTCTATTTTTAAGTTTTTGAGGAACCTCCATGTCATTTTCCATAGTAACTAGACCTTTTTGTTTTTTAACATTTCTATCAATGTACACCAAGATTCCAATTTCTCCATGTCCTCCCCAACACCATTAAGTGGGGTGGTGGTCTACTACTATTGCTGTGTTGCTGTTTATTCCTCCCTTCAGTTCTGTAAGTGTTTGCTTCATATATTTAGGAGCTTAATATTAGGTCCATATGAAGTTATAATTTCTTCCTGGTAAAGTGACCCATTTATCATTATGTAATGTCCATCTTTGTCTCTTGTGACAGTTTGTGTCTTAAAGTCTATTTTGTCTGATGTAATTATGGCCACCCCTTTTCTCTTTGGGTTCCCGTTTTTATGGAATATCTTTTTCCATCCTTTCACTTTCAGCTTATGTGTGTCCTTAGATCTAAAGTGAGTCTCATAGATAAGGTATAGTTGATTCTGTATGTGTTATTCACTCAGCAATTTATATCTTTTAATTAGGGGATTTAATCCATTTACATTTAAAGCAGTTACTGATAGGGAAGGACTTACTGTTGTCATTTGGCTAGCTACCTTTTTATCTTTGTCCTGTGGCTTTTCTGTTTTTCCCTTCCTCTCTTCCTGGCTTCTTCTGTGTTTTGTTGATTTTTTTTTTTTTTTGTAGTGATATGTTCTGATTCCCTTCTCATTTCCCTTTGTGTGCATTCTATAGATGCTATTTTTGTGGTTACCATTGCAACTACATAAAGCATACTAAAGTTATAGCAACTTATTTTAAGCTGTTTACAACTTAACTTCAGTGGTATATAAAACTCTATTTCTTTACATATTTCACCTCCTCCCCACAAACTTTATGTCTTTTGATATTGTATATCCTTAACATAGATTTATAGTTACTTTTTATGCTTTTCTTCTTTAAATTCTGTTTAAATTTTGTTTTTGAAATTTAGATTTTCAAGTTATTTATATACCTTCATTACAATACTATAGGATTTTATAATATTCTAAATATTGACCTTTACCATAGAGTTTCATATTTTGTGGTTTTGTGTTGCTATTTATCATCCTTTTGTTTCTCCTTTTAGCCTTTCTTGTAGGGCCGGTCTAGTGGTGATAAGCTGTATCAGCTTTTGTTTGTCAGGGACAGTCTTAATTTCTCCTTTTTTGAAGGGCAGTTTTGCCCATACAGTATTTTTGTTTGGCAGTTTTTTTAAGTTTCAAAACATAGAATATAACATTCCATTTCCTTCTAACCTGCAAGATTTCCATTGAGAAATGCACTCAATGGATTTTTTAATCCATTGAGATAATTTTTTAATCCTGTAGGATTTAAAATTTTTAGTCTTACAGGATTAAAAAATTAAAAAGTTAAACTTGTTATATAACATATTAACATGTATTTTATACTTAAAGTATCTTATGTTTAAAAAGTTGATTATCATATATATTTTATACAGTTTCTCCTAATTATTGCCTTCTAATGAAATACAGGGACCTAGAGTAACAGGGATAAAGTATGGCCTTTTGATCAGCACGCCTGGTTCTGAGTCCTTCTTAAAAAAACTCTGGGCCTGGTGTGGTGGCTCATGCCTATAATCTCAGCACTTTGGGAGGCCGAGGCGGGCGGATCACCTGAGGTCAGGAGTTTGAGATCAGCCTTGCCAGCATGGTGAAACCCTGTCTCTACTAACAGTACAAAGATTAGCTGGGCGTGGTGGTGGGTGCCTGTAATCCAAGCTACTCAGGAGGCTGAGGCAGAAGAATCGTTTGAACCTGGGAGGCAGAGATTGGGCCACTGCACTACAGCCTGGGTGACAAGAGCGAGACTCCATCTCAAAAAAACAAACAAAAACTCCGCTGAGATGAATTTTTCTCATTTCTAAAATCAGAATAATAGATTTATGTAAGAGTTTCTGTAAGGCTCAAATGAAATATATGTAACGTGTAAAATGAGATACAATTAGTAGAATTATATTATTTTATTAATACTCACCATAAGAGGTGTTCTTTAGATCCTGCAGCGTTTGCTGCGCAGTTCACGTTTGTTTAGAAGAATGTCAGTAACCGGTGCAAACCTCATGTGTTCCGCACCCCCAGTGGCCTCCCACCTCTCCACAGAGTCACCGCCTCCTGCAGTGCCTGCTGCTTCTGCAAATGCGTGGCCTCATCCTGCAGAAACGGGGCTTCTCATGAGGTTGAGAATAGCTGTGAAAATGTTTACGTTGAAGTTGTAGAGTTCGTTAATTATTTTCTTCTTTATTTCTCTGGCAGCTCTTGAAGTCCTATTGGCTGGATAATTTTGCAAAAGATTCTGTAAACCCTGGAGTCATGGTGTTGCTGGGATGCGGTGCCTTATCCAGCACCTGTGGTCAGCTGGCCAGCTACCCATTGGCTTTGGTGAGAACTCGCATGCAGGCTCAAGGTGAATTTTTGATTACAGAACCACACCGATAAAAGTGCTGCACCAGTAATGTGCTTTTAGAACTCCAAGTTCTACTAAGATGCAGACTGTAGTTTTAAGACAGTATTTCTCAACCTTTTTTTCATTATTGCCTCCTTAAGGAATCTTTTCAGAAATTCTTTTTCTAAATGCTCCCTCGTCATGAAATTTTAATGCGACAGAAGCATTGCATATGTACTGTATGCATACATATGCCTTATAGATAAACAGAGTACTATTTTTTTTGACTGTGTTACATGCACGTTTTAAGATTATAAGCTTTAGTATCTGATGGATTTGGGTTCAGATCCTTGCCTCAGACTTCTTGGGGTTTTTAATGGGAATGAAAATTGTACAGTGTTGTAAGAATTACCAACAATATAAATAAAGCATCTTGGGTTTGTTAAATTTTTGGTAAATGGTGGTTGGAATCATTTTTTAGTGTTGCGTAGACCCTACAAGTTTTGAGCTGTGATTCCTCCTCACTGTGACAGTCTCCATTGTTGGCTTTGATTACACTGTACCATCCTGGTTGTTCTGCCAGCCCATTGATAACTTTTACCATTTGCTGGCTTTTATTGCTATCCCCACTCTATTAAAGTATGCATTCAAATGCCTTTCTTTTCTCTTTGATGCTTTCCCTGGTCAGTCTTATCCATTGTTTTCTTAAGTAGTACACCTTGGGCATCTACAGCTCTATTCCCAACCTCCCTTCCAAGTGCCAGCCACAGCAACCCCAGCCAAGCAGTCAGTAACTAATTGGCAAATACTCCCTGAGCCATTGTCCCATTCTAGACACTGCCAGATGCTAGGGGTAGAGCAGTCAACAAGTCAGGTGTGGCCCCGCCAGTGTAGAGTAGAGAAGACGTTATGTCCAGCAAGTAAACAACCTGGTTAAACCAACTCCTCTTTTGTTAGGGGAGCACAGAGCAAGGAGCTATAACCTAACTTGGGCGCTGCAGAATGCTGTCAGTGAAGCTGAGACTGGAAAGATGAGTGGGAGTTAGCTGGGCACAGGCCAGTGGAGTGGGAACAGAAAACATTCCAGTTGAGGGAAAGCATGTGTGAAGACACTGAGGCAGGCACCAACATGGTGTATTTAAGGAGCTGAGAGACAGTCATGGCTGTAGAGAAAAACACAAAGTAGTGAACTACACGTTTCTTGTGTATTCTCTCATTTCACCATCATAACCATCTTGGGGATGGGAATACTAACATTATCCCCATTTTTCAGATGAGCAACTGGGGCAGAGAGAATTTAAGTAACTCCCACAAGATTATACCTGTGGTAAATAGTGGGACTGAAATTCAGACACATGCAGTCTGATTCTAACCCTCCTGTCTGCCAGCTCTGATCCAGAACTTTGCATGACTGATACGGCTGATAGATTGTCTATGGCTGATAGACTGTCATTTCTGACCTAAAAGTCTGATCATTTTACATCTGTTCAGACATCTTTGCAGCCTTTCGGTGTCAGTTCCAAAGTTGTTAGTGGGAATTTCAAAGCCTTTAATAATCTAGCCCCACTTTGTTCACTCTCTGTGTAATAACCACATACAACAATTGGCTGCATCTCCATAGCACATGGTACTCCTCCCGTTGTCTTGGTTGTGCCAGCAACACTGGTTTTCGCTTTCTCTTCCTGCTTGTTGAGGTCATTTCCAAGGCCCAGGTCTTTGTGCTTTTTCCCAAGCTTCCCAGAGCTTCTTCCATACTCCCCTTACTTCCTGAGATTTAACTGTTCTCTCTTCAGCGCTTGTCTAGTAAGAAGGAGGCAGCAGCAGCACTGTGGGGTGGTGGAAAGTGTACCAGCTTTAGAGTCAGACCATTGGATCTCAGCCCTACCATTTTCTACTTAGATTTTTTTAGGACAAATTTCTCCATCTTTCTAAGCCTCCAATTGCTCACTTACAAAATTGATATAACATTTACCTTGCAAGATTGGTATGGAAGGTAATTAACCCAGTATTTAGAACATAGTAATTAATAAATAACTATTATTACCATCATTACTATAGTTAGGACACTCACTGTTAGGTGCTATACAAAGAGGATCATAAAAGGGATGTTGTCTTGGGCTTCTTGGAATAAATGTTGTCCTTTTACTGTATTTTAGAATATCATTCTGGGTCATAATTGTTTGTTGTCATAATAATGAAACATACTTGAATATTAAATTACCCTCTTTTTTTATTTTTTAGCCATGTTAGAAGGTTCCCCACAGCTGAATATGGTTGGCCTCTTTCGACGAATTATTTCCAAAGAAGGAATACCAGGACTTTACAGAGGCATCACCCCAAACTTCATGAAGGTGCTCCCTGCTGTAGGCATCAGTTATGTGGTTTATGAAAATATGAAGCAAACTTTAGGAGTAACCCAGAAATGATGTTGCATTTTTTGCTTTAGCCTGATAATTGAAACTTTCAACAATCTCTGGAGTGACTTTTTCTCCTCGAATTGAAACAAGTCTATGGCAAAAGAAGCTGCATTTTTTTCACAAAAGGGAAGATGGTAACAATGGTCACTTCAAACTTTTGGGCTAAATTATATGTACACAGAAATGTTCAAAATCATAGTTTTAATGTGTTTTGAAAAGGCCACACAATTATACTTTATCTTTTCTTAATAATCCTGCAAATCTCTGCCCTGAATCCGAAATCTGAAAATGTACTGGCTTGAACAAAATTTGTTTTGTGTGTTAGAGTTATAAATCATTAATCTTTATTTCGGGTGGTTTACGTTTATGCCAGTTCCTTTATATTTAAATTTCTTGTTTTATATATTTTGAATGTCTTTATAGATTTCTTTAAATTTCCTTATAGAACCATTAATAGAAAATCATTACATTTAAAATATACCTTACAGCAAAAGCATCCAAATAAGTATAGGGTTTATGTCCTTATTTTTCTTTCAGCTGAATACGAATGAACACAGTGGTGGAATTTCTGAAGGGAAGTGATGAAATTATATTTATTTCAGTGGGCACTTTTCCATTTTACCACTGTACCATTATTTGGTTCCTGGAGTTATACACTAATTTTCAGTATATTACTGTTAAATTACCAACACAAGGCAATTTATTTGAAAGATTCCGTTTATCCTGCCATTGCTTTGAAAAGCAGCAGGAAACGAAATCCTTTGACTTGTATCAGCTTCTGCAGAGCATCTTTGTTTTCCTTTGTCCTTTGTTTCCTACCTTTTGAATCAGATTCCGTTTTAGTCAGGAAGACTTCTTGGGACCATTCTTAGTAACCTGAAATTTCTTTTTTAATTGCATGAAGTGGATTGATCATGAGCAAATGATGTGCTTATTTCTCCCTCACTGTTGAATATCTTTGAACTTGCTGTTTTCAATATGGGCAGCACAAAGGTGAGAGATACATATTAATAGTAGTATGTATTACTCTTATACATTAGATACCTATATTTAAATGAAAGGCCCAATTTGTAAACATATACATTCATATTCTCTCTTGCCCCAAGTTTTAGGAACATGTTAGGATATAGGAGACTTAATTTATAATAATGAGAGCATTTTTTTATTTTACTAAAGCCATTTTTATAGTCAACTATCTTTTCTTATTTGTGTGATTAGAACTTAGAAAAATATTTACTAGTTGAAGTTATTATCAGTTTTTAATTTAGTTCTTAAACTCATTTCACTTCTAATAATTTCTGTTATAAATTTCCAGCATTTTAATGAAAATCTAATGATGTAATAGGCATTTTCTTTATTTGAACCTACCTCTTTTATTTTCTGAACCAAAGAGAAAGATGGACTGGTGTTTGTGAAACATTTTTAAAAATGTAGTTTCATTTATATTAGTTATGTTTGATAAATGTCTCAGTATTTTTATAATATGATAAGCCTGGGATTCTACTTTTAGGGTTATTTGTACTTTTGAGTAATATATAAAGTGACAATATTAAGGTACATGATCAGCTCTTTCTATTTTTACTCGTAAAAATTATGGAAATGAATAATTTTGCTAACAACTTTGAAATTTCAAACTTCTGGAAAATATGAAAATATTCATTGTTCATTATGAATTTAAATTGTAAGGTATGAATGTGATTTGTCTGTACATCTTGTATCTTTTCCAAAAAATGATTCTGTATCTTTTGGAAAAAAGCCGAGAGTTGAAGATAGTATATTTCTGGTAGTACTGAATATTTACTTACAGTTTCTATCAAAAATATATATTTGTTTCTAAAATTACTTGTTTTCCAGTTTTTATTTTTTTTAGAGAAAATTCTTAAGTCTCAGTTTCCTAATTGAAAAAAAAAAATTATAAATAAAGCAAAAATTGTATCCTACAGCTTAGCTAGCTTAGATGTTTGGCACCAGTTTGAATCATGCTTTTTACAGCTGGCTCCATGTAGTCTTTCCAAACATTTTGGCCTTTCCTGAGCAGCCCTTGTAGATATTGTCTGTATGATGCATTTTGACACAAGGTGATATTTTTTGTGATATCAAAATTCCACATTTACCCATTAGAGTTACAGCCCTGGGGTTCACAGTACCAAGGGGGACCCAGAGCCTCAGGATTGGCCAGGCTCATTTTGCCGTGGAGTATCAGTTTGTCTTGAAATTGTGGGAAAAAATTCTAAGTTGAATTCACTGGTAAGTAATTTTTTAAAATTTCATAATGCAGATTACATCCAAAATTTGATTTAAAAATTAAAACATAAGACTGCAGAGAAATTCTGCATTTCAACTCCAATACTATCCAGACTTCAGAAATAACTTATCAGTTATTTCTGTAAGCTTCTTGCTTACCTGGATACCTGACAGGTGAGATGGCTGTAGCAGACACTGGCAGTTCCCTGCCCACACACCTGTCCCTGTCCACAGCTGCACAAGGCAGCTCTGTGTGCAATTGCCAGCATCTGCTCCTCTGTTCTCAGGGAATCTTTGTTAGAAAAATGCTGCCATATTTGTTTCTCACCTATTAGTCTTGTCTCCCAGTCAAGAGAATAAATTTATGCAAGCAGAGATTGTACTTTACAGTATTTTGTCTTTGAGCTTGGCATTATGTTGCATTTGTAAAAATGTGGCATGGCTTCCTCATCCCCCAATAGGAACTTTGCCAGCCCTTTTGTTCTCATGGAACTTCCTTTTTTGAAAAGAGCACCAAAGGAGTAAAAATACTGTGGAGGGAGCAACCCTCCTTTGCCATATGCTCTCATTGGGAGACATGTGGAGCAGTCTGAAGTCATTTAGGCCACTCTCTGGGAGAGCACATCCTATGATGTTCTCCCAGCCTAGCCCCTTCCACTGTGCTCAAGTCCAAGCTGACCAGCTTTCTGACCACAGTGTAAACAAAGATGATTGTCAGTGGGCCCCAGAATCCTATACCCAGACACTAAGCCACAGCCACTAACCCCAGGCCACTTCAGCATTTATTCCACCAGCATTCACTCACTCATTTGTTCTTGCAGTGTGCATTTAGTAGGCACCTGTTATGGCTTGGCTTTATCCCCATCCAAATCCCATCTTGAATTGTAACTCCCACAATTCCCACATGTCATGGAAGGAACTGGTGGGAGGTGAATGAATTATGGGGGTGGGTCTTTCCTGCACTCTTCTCATGATAGTGAATGAGTCTCATGAGATCTGATGGTTTTAAAAACAGGAGTTTCCCTGCACAAACTCTCTCTCTCTTTGCCTGCTGCCATCCATGTAAGATGTGACTTGCTCCTCCTTGCCTTCTGCCATGATTATGAGGCTTCTTTTGTAAATTGTGCAGTCTTGGATATGTCTTTATCAGCAATGTGAAAATGGACTAATACAGTAAATTGGTACCCGTAAAGTGGGGCGTTGCTGAAAAGATACCTGAAAATGTGGAAGTGACTTTGGAACTGGGTAACAGGCAGAGATTGGAACAGATTGGAGGGCTCAGAAGAAGGCAAGAAAACGTGAGAAAGTTCTGAACTTCCTAGAGAGTTGTTGAATGGCTTAGCCCAAAATGCTGATAGCAATGTGGACAATAAAATCCAGGCTGAGGTGATTTAGGATGGAGATGAGGACCTTGTTAGGAATGGAGCAAAGTTGACTCTTGTTATGTTTTAGCAAAGAGACTGGGGGCGTTTTGCCCCTGCCCTAGAGATTTGTGGATCTTTGAACTTGAGAGAGATAATTTAGGGTATCTGGCAAAAGAAATTTCTAAGCAGCAAAGCCTTCAAGAGGTGACTTGGGTACTGTTAAAGGCATTCAGTTTTATAAGGGAAGCACAGCATAAAAGTTTGGAAAATTTGCAGCCTGACTATGCAACAGAAAGGAAAAATCCATTTTCTGGGGAGAAATTCAACCTGGCTGTAGAAATTTGCTTAAGTAGCAAGGAGCTGTTAATGTTAATCCCCAAGACCGTGGAGAAAATGTCTCCAGGCCATGTCAGAGACTTTATGGCAGCCCCTCCCATCACAGGCCCAGAGGCCCAGGAGGAAAAAGTGGTTTTGTGGGCCAGGCCCAGGGTCCCCATGCTGTGTGCAGCCTAGGGACTTGGTGCCCTGTGTCCCAGCCGTGGCTGAAAAGAGTCAATGTACAGCTCAGGCTGTGGCTTCAGAGGGTGGAATCCCAAGCCTTGGCAGCTTCCATGTGGTGTTGAGCCTGTGGGTGTAAAGAGGTCAAGCACTGAGGTTTGGGAACCTTCACCTAGATTTCAGAAGATGTATGGAAACGCCTGGATGCCCAGGCAACAGTTTGCTGCAGGGGCTGGGCCCTCATGGAGAACCTCTGCTAGGGCAGTGCAGAAGGGAAACGTGGGGTTGGAGCCCCTATACAGTGTCCCTACTAGGACACTGCGCAGTGGAGCTGTGAGAAGAGGGCCACCATCCTCCAGACCCCAGAATGGTAGATCCACAGACGGCTTGTACTGTGTGCCTGGAAAAGCTGCAGACACTCAACACGAGCCCATGAAAGCAGCCGGAAGAAAAGCTGTACCCTGCAAAGCCACAGGGGCAGAGCTGCCCAAGATCAAGGGAACCCACCTCTTGCATCAGCATGACCTGGATGTGAGACCTGGAGTCAAAGGAAATCATTTTGGAACTGTAAAATTTGACTGCCCTGCTGGATTTCGGACTTGCATGGGCCCTGTAACCCCTTTGTTTTGGCCAATTTCTCCCACTGGGAATGGCTGTATTTACCCAATAACTGTATCCCCACTGTATCTAGGAAGTAACTGCTTGCTTTTGATTTTACAGGCTCATAGGTGGAAGGGACTTCCTTTGTCTCAGATGAGACTTTGGACTGTGGACTTTTGGGGTTAATGATGAAATGAGTTAAGACTTTGGGGAACTGGTGGAGGCATGATTGGTTTTGAAATGTGAGGACATGAGATTTGGAGGGCCAGGGGTGGAATGATATGGTTTGGCTGTGTCCCCACCAAAATCTCAACTGGAATTATATCTCCCAGAATTCCCACATGTTGTGGGAGGTACCCAGGGGGAGATAATTGAATCATGGAGGCAGGTCTTTCCCATGCTTTTCTTGTGATAGTGAATAAGTCTCACAAGATCTGATGGGTTTATCAGGGGTTTCCACTTTTGATTCTTCCTCATTTTATCTTGCCGCTGCCATGTAAGAAGTGCCTTTTGCCTCCCTCCATGATTTTGAGGCCTCCCCTGCCATGTGGAACTGTAAGTCCATTGAAACCTCTTTTTCTTCCCAGTCTCAGGTATGTCTTTATCAGCAGTGTGAAAATGGACTAATACAGCAGCCAATGTGGGCTGAGGTCACAACATTGAACAAAAGACTCAGTACTTCTTGTCTAGTGGGGAGAGACAGATGATAAACTATTAAGTAAAACATGTAGTGTGTCAGATGGTGCTAAGTGCAGAAGGGAGAGCTGGGGCTGTGGCCAGGGCTGCAGTTGTACAGAGATTGATAGAGAAGGCCTTATTGAGGAGGTGCTGTTTGAAGGTGGTGCAGGAATGCTCTATACTGAGTCTGGAAAGAGCATCCAGGCAGCAGAGGGAAGCAGATGCAGTGGCCACAGGAGGGAGGAACCTGCAGGAGGCCCGTGTGGCTGCAGGAGAGGAAGCCCAGGGAGGCAGCAATCCAGGAAGCAGAGGGGACTCTGAGGGAGCCACATCATCATTCATTTCTCCATTTCTTGCTTTCTAGTTCTGCAATAGCAGCAGTTTCTTGGGGGTATTCCCTAAATAAGATTCAAATGTCTCTCCTCGGGGGGTGGGGGACACTTGGGGTAGTATCACTGGAAATGATGGAAAATACCTCAGTTTCTGGGAACTGTTATGTCCATCACAGACAGAATAGCTTACTGCTACCTGGACACGTGGGCCCATTCTCCAGGTAGCATGTCTATTGGCTTCTCTGTGCCTCTCCTCCTCCAGGGAGAATTGTAATTTTTAAAAAGAGAATTAACTTAGAAACCTTAAAATCTTTCTAGATATTTTCTGAGAATTACAGAGGATTTTAATCTTAGCAAACTAACAAGGCTCCCACTGTCCTCACTTCCTTCTCTGATCACTTTGTATCTGCCCAGGGTTGGTTGGTTTGTTTATTTGTTTTTAATTTACACAAGTTTGACAATGTTGGAAACAATCCTTTTATTTGATTTTTTGTTTTGTGTTCATTGATAATGTCCTGTTTTAAATTCACTTCCACAAAGTCAAGATAACCATAACAAACAAGTGATTTGTATTTTGTTACTCCAGAAAGAGAGGCTGGTTTGTCCAGGGATTTTAAAGCTTTCTAAAGTACGCTTCGAACCTAAGCTTATTATAGACTCCCAGTTTTCCCTAGTCAGCATGAGTTTACACTCATCTGATTACACCGATTCTACCACACAATCTCAGCCACGGGCTCAGGATGAAGTGGCCTGAATCCCAGCACCTGTAATCAGTGCCTTCTGTAGCTATGTGTCACCCAGCCAGTCTTTGCTGTACTGCAGGGGGTCCCCACATCAATCTTACTGCAGCAAATGGGATGGTAAAAATGTGGTTTTTTCTTTTTTAATTTAAATCAACTTAAGTCCAGCTCCTTAACCACTCAGTGTTGTGCCAATGATCTAGGATGTTGGCCCCTTTGGACACTGGCCATGGTCTACACCACTCACAGCTGAGGCGCCCTTTGTTCTAGCCTGCATGGTCCCTTGGTTCCAGCAGTTGTGCCATGCTTGGGATGGGAGGAGTTGGGAAGACATGGAGTGTCTGTGTCTGGGGTCCGGCCTTTCCATTCTGAAATGGTGATGAGTAGAATGTGGATCTCCCTTAGCCTTGGGACCCACTAACCTTTGTCTTCTTCCAAACCTCCGACCCACCTCTTTTTCTCTTTGCTCTTAAAATTATCCCTCTCCTCTTCCCTCTGAGGCCCCTGTCATCCTCTCTGCAGGTAGCTTCAGTGTTTGCAAAAGACAGAAAAGACTTTGATTGAAAGTGACTTCTGATTTCTACTTTAAAAAATCACCAAGGGAAGGAAATGCTAAAGGCCTGACTCCTGCTCTGAAATGAGAAAAAAGGGAAAATATAGGGACATAAATACAAGTTAGTATTTTACTCAGTTATCTTGCTATAGCCTCTCAAATTGCCTCCTGTCTCCTGGTACTCTGTCTCAGGAGTAAGCCTTGTGCCTTACAGCAGTAGGCTCTGCACATAAAAGGAGATGGCTGTTTTGTTTGTTTTAACATAAACAGATTGTTATACCTATTGAATCTCCAAGTTCCCACAACTATATTGATATGTGGCAATGCAGTTTCACAACCAGACAGTTCAATAAACGGTGTCCAGGTTGAAGGGTCAACTATGTACTTAAAATTCAACCCTTTTCAATGGCCTGGGGAGGAGATGGGAAGGATGGGAGAGGGTACAATTACTTGGAATGCTGAAAAGAATGATAAGGTGAGACTCCCTCTCTGCAAGGAGTCTAGAGCTGTTTCTAAATCTGTTTTGGTTTTGGATGTGTTGGTGAATATGAGTGCAAGCTCTCAGAAGACATGGCTGATAAAGTTGCAAGTGTAGAATTAGAGGTGAAATTGATGAGTTGGGTGCTTGAGTTTCTAAGTAGAAGAATCTGGTGGAATTCTACCAGAAGATGAGGAACATGGTTTAAAGCTCATCCTTTAGTGATCTTTGTTTTTGTCCTGATTTTATTCCCTTCCTGCTTTACTCTTTGTAAAGATGTTCCCCCTTAAGATATAGGGAAATGTTCTATAAGGTAATAAAGCTATATTAAGGCGAACAAAAAGTAAATGAATGGAGACTTTTGCTGGAGTTTGAAAAGTTAGCTATTTTATATGTATGTTTTCTTTGTCTAGTAAAAATGTACGACTATTGTTTTATGGAATTCCAATCAGAGACTGTGGGAGACTTTCTTTACTTTGCTAAGCCTTAATAATTCACTTACTCTTTTTATAAGGCAGTGAGAAACATTCATTGGTCAAATGGTTTGTTCAACAATGTTCTTTCTATTTTATTCACATAGCATTAACTAATAATCTTTCTATTTTATTCATGGTACCATTGACATCATCAACACTTTATTGAGTGTAACTGGATTTATTATAATTAATCACAATAAACTGCACATGTTTAAATTATATAATTTCATAAGCTTTGACATATGTACATACCCATGAACAAAAGATGGTGAACATACCAGTTTCTGAGTACATCAAGAAACCACTGATTGCTTTCTTTCTTTTTTTTTTTTGAGACGGAATCTCGCCCTGTTGCCCAGGCTGGAGTGCAGTGGTGTGATCTCGGCTCACTGCAACCTCAGCCTCCTGGGTTCAAGTGATTCTTCTGTCTCAGCCTCCTGAGTAGCTGGGACTACAGGAGCGTGCCACCATGCCTGGCTAATTTTTGTATTTTTGGTAGAGACAGGGTTTCACCATATTGGCCAGGCTGCTCTCGAACTCCTGACCTCGTGATCTGTCCACCTCGGCCTCCCAAAGTGCTGGGATTACAGGCGTGAGCCACCGCACCCAGCCTGATTTCTTTCTTTCTATCACTGTAGATTCATTTGTATTTCATAGAATTTTATGTAAATGTCTAGCTTTTCACTCTGCAAAGTCAATCAGAGTTATCTGTGTTGTTGCATGTCTCAATAATTTATTCTTTGTTTTGCAGAGTAGTATTCCCTTGTAGGAACATTCCACAGTATGAGACAAGGCCCTGCAGAGAAACTCTACATAGAAAGGGTCTCCATGGGGCTGGGCACTGTGGCTCACACCTGTAATCCCAGCACTTTGGGAGGCTGAGGTGGGCGGATCACAAGGTCAGGAGATGGAGACCATCCTGGCCAACATGGTGAAACCCCATCTCTAATAAAAACACAAAAATTAGCTGGGTGTGGTGGCACATGCCTGGAATCCCAGCTACTTGGGAGGCTGAGGCACGAGAGTCGCTTGAACCCAGGAGGTGGAGGTTGCAGTGAGCTGAGATTGCGCCACTGCATGCCAGCCTGGGTGACAGAGTGAGACTCCACTTAAAAAAAATTAAAAAAAAAAAAATAATAATAATAAAAAAAGAAAGAGTCTCCATGGAACACTTGATCCCTAATTGGCAGAAGAGGTCAAGGAAAAACACTAATGTGAAACAAGGGCAAAAGGTGCAAGAAAATTAAAAGGCAGTTAATAACTTCAGGAAAAATTAAAAAGCTCTAATATAAACGAAATGTGGCTGGGTGTGGCGGCTCATGCCTATATAATCCCAGCACTTTGAGAAGCTGAAGTGGGCAGATCGCTTGAGGCTAGGAGTTTGAGACCAGCCTTGGTAACGTAGCAAAACCCCATCTGTACGAAAAATATAAAAATTAGCTGGGCATGGTGGCCTGTGCTTGTAGTCCCAGCTATTGAGGGGAGAGCAGCTAAGGTGGGAGGATTGCTTGAGCCTGGGAGGTCAGGCTGCAGTGAGCTGTGATTGTGCCACTGCACTCCAGCCTGGGCAACAGAGCGAGACCCTGTCTCAAAAAAAAAAAAAAAGAAATGTAATTATAGTGAACACTAGCTCGGCAGTGAAAAATACTGCAAAGTCACATCATCAATGTGCTTTCAAAATCAAACTGTAGGCCTAAATATAGCTATAGAAGAATGTAAACAAGGAAGCAAATGTAATCAGAAGCTGAGCAGTAGGAGAGAGGAGGTGGGGTGAAAAGGGAAGGATGAGGAAGGTGGGGGTGTGCAAGGCTCTTGCTTACCTGGGTACCCGACAGGTGAGATGGCTGTAGCAGACACTGGCAGTTCCCTGCCCACACACCTGGCCCTGACCACGGCTGCACAAGGCAGCTCTGTGTGCAATTGCCAGCATCTGCTTTGGTGTTGCTCTTGGTGCTGGAGCTTACTTGCTGCCCATGTGACAGGAGCAGCTCTAAACCAGTGGTCGTGAGCTCTGTTTCGCACTGGCTCCCATTTCTACACTGGGTCTGGTGCAGGTGCCTATGGTGGCAGCTGGTGTGATGATTTGCCCTTTACTGATGGCCTTCTCCTCATCTTACTTTCCCATCCTGTCCTTGAATCATCCATTTCAGGATCTGCCTCTGAAAGAACCCAAACTAAGGCAGTCAATCCACCACAGACAGACAAGGAAATAGAAGCAGAGCGTTTTATTTAGAGATTATGGAGGAAAATACGAAAAGAAGCAACTAACAGAACTGCAGGTCATTACCTCTAGGGACCAAGACTAGAGGTGGGAAGGGGCGGAAGAGGAGACCATGCTTTTAAATATATGCATGGCATGTGCTACTTTAATATAATTAAAAACAATCACTTAAAGCAAATTGGAACAGTGTAACAAATGAAATCAAATGAAATCAAAAGGAGAGAGCACAAATATATCTGAGTAACTTGGTCTGTCCCCCAGCCCCCTTAATGTTGTTACCTGAATATGTCAATTGTTGTCAAAAGACAAGCATAAACTGAAATCGATTATTGTATGGATCTGAACCGATGGAAAATATTCTCTGTACAGCAATTTTAAAAGTATAATGGTAATCACTGTGTTAGGGATTAAGTATACTTCCCACCCTGTGTTTTTGCCATTGTATAGGAAAAATCATGCAGAATACATTGATAATCACTGTAGAAATGAGATGAGATTTATTAACTAAAACACTTAGCACTTCACCTGGCACTACTTTATGAAGAAGCACTTTGTATAGGGCACTATGTGTAGTTTATATATATAAAGAAACATTTGTGTATTGGGTTTGAATGTTACTTGTTGTTGTTGAATATTCTTCTGCTAGTCCACCCTGTCCCTGATGGAAGCTATGCCCCCGGATCAGAAACGCTTGATGCTCAAGCGGTCCTGGGAAACCACTATTGCAAGTAACTGTCAGTGCCCTCTACTTTCCACTAGATGGCAGACTTCCCCCAGCTCTGTGGACGGCAGATACCCAGGAGAGGAGGACAGAGCTTCAGATCTTTGCTTTCTCCCTTTCCCTTGACCTGGAAAATCACTGGGCTGCCTCTGAGGCCAGATTTAGATTTCCTGCACAAGCCATCATTACCTTGTTTAGAGGAGTGAAATTAGGGTCGACCTGTCCTGTCATTCCAGGACAGAAGGTGACAAATAAGGTCCTTTATGTGTAGCACTGAGGAGAAGGGCTTGTTCTTAATTTTTAAGATATTTTCCAAAAATAGAAAAATTCTGTTTTACAAGTCAAATAAGAAATGATTGAAAAACAAGTATCACTGTTCATATACAGAGTCGTAGGTAAATGTTCAGATACAAAAATTGTGACCATAGAGCATATTTTTGGATATTTGTTTTCATAGTGTGATGAATATTTTTGTTTGCTTAAAATTATTTCAGAAGTATAATCATAATTCAAGCTTGAAATACAAGAGTGGTAAAATGAGAGCAAAAATAAACAAGTAATAAAACGCACCACAAAATTTCTGACTCCATTCCCTTTTAGGGATTTCTTTTTTTACAAGAGTTATTTTTATTGATTTGTGTGACACACTGGCTGACACGTTTTAAAATAAATAAACTTTGGGTTTCAGATGAACACAGTTTGCATGCTGTCTCTCTGGAACAATACACATCAGAGGAAGAAGTTAATAGGAAAATCAGGCAACCCAAACTGTGTTTTTTAGGTTAATCAGGAATTTCCTTCAATTCTAGTAAACAGGTGGAAATAGAAATTTTGAGCTGAGAAAAGTAGGAATCAGGACGTGGAAGGGAAAAGCTGGGTTCTGCTGCGGTGATGTGGGTGACCCTTCATGATGAGCCAGCTGTCTATTCTCCCAGCTCTCTCCCGGCGGTAGGAACTGAGAAGAGGCGCCCCTCGCTGCAGGCCCTTTGATGCCTCTCCTCTCCCCTGTCCTTTCACCCCCGACTCTGTGAGTTGCTTTTAGATATCGTTCTTTACTTACCAATTGTCTCTTTCTCCCCTGCTTGTTAACGTATCATGAAAAAACTGTGACGTGATGACCCCCCATGAATGCCTCTGGAGGAAAAGTGCTAGAAAATTTAAAAAGAAAATTAAGGTGATAAAACTGGCCTCATTAATCTGTTAAACTCCTTCAACATTGCCAAAAACAGAGGTGAGCTTCTCAGCTCAGTTTCCCCAAAATTCACAGAAAAAATTACTGTGCTTGAAAAGAAAACACAGCGGGCCAGGCGCAGTGGCTCATGCCTATGACTCTAGCACTTTAGAAGGCCACGGTCAGAGAACTGCTTGAACCTAGGAGTTTGAGACCAGCCTGGGAACATAGTAAGACCTCATCTCTACAAAAAAAGGAGCAAAAATTAACCAGGTGTGGTGGTGCATGCCTGTAGTCCCAAGCTACAGGCTGGGAGGCAGAGGCAGGAGGATCACTTGAGCCCAGGAGGTAGAGGTTACAGTGAGCTGAGAGGGCATCACTGCACTGCAGCCTGGGCAACAGAGTGAGACCCCATCCCCTCCCCACAAAAAGAAAAGAAAAACACAGAGGATGTAAAATGGAGCTGAGATAGTGATATTCTGCCCAATATTTTAGGCAGTGCTGGGATTTTCTCACTAAATGATCAATATTGAAAACTAAAATATTTTATTAAAATGAGAAAAAATTATCAAAGTGAAGATTAAAATTATAAGGCTCATTCAAAGAGACGAGGGTGTACTTATATAATCTCCCAGTTTTAACTGCAAGATGTTTCATGACTTATGATGGGGTCATGTCACATCCTGATAAACCCATAGTAAGTCGAAAATAGCATAAGCCAAAAACGCATTTAATACCCCAATAAACCAATCATGAAGCTGAAAATCGTAAATCAAACCGTCACTAAGTTGGGGACTGTCTGTATTGTTTACTTTAATATTTTGGAAAGTTTTTTAGTGTGTGATACCAAAATCTACTTGACATTTAAGCACTGATTAACGCTAATGATTTTCACTGGGTCTTTTTTAAGCCCTAGCACAGCTGTTTGAAAACTTGGCTGAACATTAGAACCACCTGGGCGGGAGCTGGGGTTAGCTTTTAAAACTCTCAGGTCATATCCCAGACCAATTAAAGCAGAATCTCTGGGGTGGGACACAGGCACCAGTATTTTTAAAATTCCCCCAGGTGATTCCAACTGCTGCCAAGGTTGAGAACCACTGCAGTCTGGCTTCATTCTGACCACTGTCTACACATGATGTTAGTAATGGTTGGGATTGAAGGACTATAAATACAAGGACAGTGTTTCCCAGTGCCCTCCCAAGTGGAGGAGGCCAGGAGGGAGAGATGACGGGATTTGCTGACCAATTAGGTAGAGGTTTAAGAGAAGCTGTTAGGCCGAGGCGGACAGATCACTTGAGGTCAGGAGTCCAAGGCCAGCCTGGCCAATATGGTGACACCCCCATCTCTACTAAAAATACAAAAATCAGCCAGGTGTGGTGGTGGGTGTCTGTAATCCCAGCTACTCTGGAGGCTGAGGCAGGAGAATCACTTGAACCTGGGAGGCAGGTGTTGCAGTGAGCCGAGATAGTGCCGCTGCACTCCAGCCTGGGCAACAGAGCAAGACGATGTCTTAAAAAAAAAAAAAAAAAAGAAGAAGAAAAAAAAAGCTGTTGAGTCAAGGATGACTGTAATTGTTTGACCCAAGAAAGACAGAATGACGAAGTTGCTTTTGAGATGGGAAGGTAGCATGAATAACAAGGTGGGCAGAGTGGGAAATGGATAATTGGGTTTGGACACATGAACGTTAAGATGCTCATGAAATATCCAGGTTGAAAGTTCAAGTAGGAAGTTCTGGAATCCAGGGAGGGGTCCAGGCTAGTAGACACACACATTTGACAGTTATCGGCATTTAGATGGTGTTGAAAACCATGCGGTCAGATGATTCTCTAAGGAGTGAGGATAGATAAGGAGGGGATGAAGGCTGGCCCCTCTAGGAAACGGCCAGAGATGAGGAGGGAGCCGTGGAGGTGCTGAGAAGCAGAAGCCAGCAAAGTGGGAGGAAAACATGGGGAATGGGATGGGCCGGGGCCACATCAGGTAAGACGAGGACCCAGAACCGAACCTGCCTCACACTCCTCCTCGGAGGTCACCAGGGGAAGGAGAGGAGGAAAAGAAGCCGGTGGCAGGAAGGAGAGTCCTGCTCCACCACACTGGATTTTCTCCAGCAGCACTGATATTATCCAACGTGTGAGCACAAAGCCGGGTGCCTGATTGGCCCAGAGTGGAACCGGGTAAGTGCTGAGAGCAGAGGGGAGGGAGACTGAGAGTGCTTTGGAGGGACTCTGGTTAGAGCCATTGACTCCGAGTTAGGGGAAAGGAGGAGGTGGAGGCATAGAGAAGTGTAGTTAGTGGTCGATGGACAGGGCGGTCCCAAGGAATTCGAACAAAGGGCTGGGAATGATTGGCAAATAAATTGGAAGGGAAGCCTTGGGCCAGACAGATTTTGAATCATAAAGCTGACAGGAAACAGTTTGGGGTGATGACAATTTCTAGTGACCCAGATACCTTAAAGTCTTTAAGGGGTGAGGGGTGAGCAGCACGGGGGAATGTAACAACAAGGGGTGGGTAAGCGGTCAGACACGGGACCGTCGACGGTGCAGGGGTTTCACACGACGGTCTGTGGTGGTGGGTGGAAGAACTGTGAGGGAGAGGAGGGGGACAGTGAGGGGCACACACAGGCTGCCTGCCACTCTGAGGAGGGCGAGGGGCGTCCTCCTCGGAGGCCTTGGTTCAGTGAGAAGGGAGGCTGGGAGGAGGCACCTGGGCGAGGGCTGGGCGGACCTTTATGATGCAGAGATTTGAGGGCTGAGGAAGGAGGGTCCAGTGAAGACTGGTGCCACGCCTGTAGTCCCAGCTGCTCTCGGAAGGCTGAGGCAGGAGGGCCGCTTGAGCCCAGGAGTTAGAATCCACTCTGAGTAACACAATGAGACCCCGTCTCTAAAACCCAGAAAAAGGCCAGGTACGAGACCGTGCCGGTGCCCCACCAGTCCCCTCCCCTTCCTGAGGCTCCTGCTCCAGGCAGTTCTCCTAGGAGCAGGCCCGGCCTCTGGCTGCACTGGACGAGCGCAAGGCAGATCTGGAGGCCCCCTGCCGGCGGGATGCCAAGATCAGCTGGTCACTAAGTCCCAATGGAGTCATCATCCGTGTTACTAAGAAAGTGAGGGGCCCGCGGCACAAACCACAAGCGGGAGCGAGGAGAATCTGGAAAGCCGAGTGGGAGAGGTAGCTGGAAGGGCCGGCTGCGCGGGCCTGGGAGTATCCTGGAGGTCGGGCATGTACCGGCATTTTTGTGCGGTGATTTTTTCAATTCAGTCCCAAAGAAGTCCGGGGTGGGTGGGCGAGGCGCATCTAAAAGGGCAGGAATGGGATGAGCGGAAGGCACGGTTTCCTAAGAGGGCTATGCAGTAATTACTACAACAGTGACAAGGTTGGAAAGAAAAGAAGGAAACCAAACATTATAAAATATAGAGGCTGTGCCTTTTAAATCAAGAATAGCCAATTAGCCTATTGTGTTATGTAATATCTCATTCATTAGTGATTGAATTACCTCTGGCTGCATGTACTGTTTCCCTGAAGTTAATTTTTATTCCATTATGAAGGAATAAATCAAATCCATTGAAAGGAAATCTGACCTCTTTGCTGTCTACAGGAGGAAGGCCTTGAACCAAGTCTTTTTTGTGGTTTAATATTTTCGGTTTCAACTTAATAAAGAGGAGCCTGAGGGATAAGAAAAGAGGTCGGGTTTTGTCTTTTCCACTTGAAGTGCATAAACAGAATAGAAAGAAGTAATGACATGTAGTCAATTGTAAAGAACATGAAATCAACCCAGAAAATATGAAATGCTGATGGGGATGCACAAGCACCAAGTGTTCGTGGTACCACTGAGAATAATTAATTCAGAAAGTTTTTGCGGATGCCTGCTAACCATCTAGCAGAGCCTTTGCTAGGCGGGAGGCTTGTACAAAGGTAAACAATATGCTGTTTTTCCTTAGAGCTCACAGTCTGCTGGAAAGGCTGACGTGAGAAAATAGTACAGAGCGCTAAGTGCTGTAGCAAAAGCGTGTTCAATGATTTATGAGAACAATGGGCAGGGCAGTCGACAAGGTGTGAGAGGTGAGATGAAATTTTTGCTGTCTTTGGGGGACATGGAGAATATTTCCACACAAAGAAGGTAAGTGAGACATGTTCTGGAGAAAGGAGACGGCGTATGTAAAGGCATACAGACAGGCAGGATAGGTACATCTGGGGAAATTGCAAAGATGTTCTGTGAGGCTGGAGTGCTCCCTGGGGAGAGTGGTGAGAGCTTTGGTTAGAAAGATAGGTTAGTACCAGTTATATGGCACGCTGAGGCACTGGGTTTGATAAGAGAACCACTGGAGGATTTAATCAAAGGGGAATGCATGCTTAGCTGCATCTTTCCGAAAGGTGGATGGGTTGGAGAGGAGTGGATGGGAGGCAGGTGCGGACTGAAGGCAGAGGCTAAGTAAGCCCTTACCTCTCTCATGTCTGTATCCCCATGCGTTGTGTACATTATTTGGCACACGGTTGGTACTTGATAAATATTTGTTGGATGAATAACTGAAAGAAGGAAAATGAAATTTCTGATTTGGGGTGGTGGATGCAAGGTTTTGGGGGGAGCCGTATCTGGGAGAGTTGTGCCTCTCTTCTGCCCCTGCCAGATTTGTCAACCCATGACCCTCATGGCTTCACTGGCTCATAAAAGTGAAGTGTCAATTAGGGAGACTGAGAAGGAAAGAAACACCAAAGAGCTGATATCACAGTAGTTAGGGAATGAGTGTTTCCAAAAGAAAGGAGTGATCAACACCGTTCCATGTAGTACAGATGTCCAAAAAGAGCAAGGTCCTTGAGTTGTGCCAGGTCTGAGGCTTCAGTGAGAACAGTTTGGTGGAGTGGCAGCTACAGACTCCAGATGGCAGTGAGCTGAGGAGTGAAGGGGAGGGAAGGAAGAGGCGTTCAGGAGGGTAGACATTCTTTCTAAAAGCTGGGCTTGAAGGGAAGAAGGGGAGGAGGCAACCTGAGAGGGACGCGTGATCAAAGGGATGCTTTTTTTCAAGGGTGGTAGGCTTATGAATTTGAGAAAAAAACAGCGAGGGAAGAGGTTAAAGTCACTAGGGAGAGATGGAATAAGAGAGATGGACTCAAATATAGATAATTACAATTCAGATACCATTTTTAGTTTGAAGTTTGAAATCTGATTTTTGAAAGAATGAGTAAGTGACAGCTAGGGAAGCAGTAAGGGGTGGAGGGGAGAATGCTGGATTGAGGGTAGGAAACCCGGGTTCTGGTCCCTGCACCTTTCCTGACCAACTGGGAGTGTCCTCAAGCTATCAATCTGCTCTGCGCGTTCGCTGTTTCACCTCCCAAACAAGCCAAGTTCTCTGGAATGATTTCCTTCAGCAAAAGAATTCTATGATTCAAAGTATTGTAAGCTTGGCAATATCTACATTTGAAGGTAAGACTCTTCCCAAAGTACAGTTTGCTTCCCTCATAAATTAGCTACTTCATTTTTGGAATTTTTGCTTTATTTATGTTACCTTTAAGAAGAATTGACATAGTAGGTGAGAAAGAACTTTGGAGACTGAAGAAGTAAAACAGTATGAAAGTCACATTTCTGGTTATTAATAATCATGCTAATATTCTTGACCTACGGACCTCACATGTTTTTCCTATTTTGTATATATTACCCCAGAGTAAGAAATCTTAGCAAAAGGAGAACCAAAATTAAATTAGCTCCTTATCTAAAGCTTTTAGATGCCCTGCTACAAACCTCTCAAGGATAATAAATGAATCACTTCCCTGTGGATGGTGAATTTATGGTTTGCACAATTATTTCCTCATGATTTAATTGAAAATATGAAAGATTAAGCACACAGATACCAGGGATTCTAATACAGGATTACATACTTCCATCCTTTGTGTCTGCAGCACTTGTGGCCTGGAAGATTTAAATAGAAATGCTTGCGAAAGATGATGAGTCAGATGTGGGGCTGGGCCATTCTAGGGCATATTGAAGCACGTGATCACTGGCTGGTGGATGCCATTTTCCAGGGTTCTGTGGAGAGCAGAAGGCTAGCAGTTGCCTTTCCCTACCTCTAGCTTCTTCCTAATCTTGCCCATCAGATCACCCTGCAGGATCTGGCAACGCCACCAACCGTTCACACCCTCAGGCCTGGCAGCACAGGAATTGGCTGGCTTGTTATAATATCAGCCTTATGAACCCACCCATTGCACAGCTCTCTCCTGAACTCTGTATTTCAGAGGCTCAACCAGTTGCGCCAGCTGGAAGCCTGACAACCATCTTCAGTCCTCTTTTTCTTTCTTCCCCCATGTACCATGCATCATCAATGACTGTGGATTTTGCCTCCTCCACAGCCTGTCTTCTGTAACCCCTTGCTCTTGCTGTGTTCATGAGCTGACTCCTCCTCTTTCAGCCTACTCCCTTCATATCCACACACTGCTGCCAGGGTGAAGTTCTGCACCCTGGCATTCAAAGTTCCTCCTGTTTTTGGCCTCAGATGCTTCTGGAGTCTGGTCTGTCATCCCTTTTACTTTCACATCTATTAATAGATCCCCACAAATGTGGTGGCTCCATTTTTGCCTGAACTGTCCTTGGTACATGGCTTTTCCTGCTGCCAGAACTTCATGGTTAATGTCAGCTTCCCTTTGAAGCCTTCCTAGTCCAGTTTCTCCAACCAGCTGAAGAAGGAATTGCTAGTTTCTTTGTTCTACTCCTCTTGTTGCACAGATTAGAGGTTCTACATCATATTTAGAGGTTTAGTTTAATCTATCATCACAATTAGACTCTGAGCTTTTTAAAGGCAGGGGACTAGGTCCTACACATCTTTGTATCTTAACGTCTAGTATATAATAGGCACTCAATACATACATAGTAAATGGAGCTGAGTTTTGTCTTATTCTTTCCCTCATCAGCTATCTAACTTTTTCATTTCTATTTTGAAAAATATGTTAATTAGAATAGAGAGATTTTTACACATATTTTAATAATACTAATACTAATATTACTACTAATAATAATTACTTTTGTGTATTATGTGCTTCCAAAATGCCAGGCACCATTCTAAGAATTTCACATACATTATGTCTTTTATTCCTCACAACAGCCAGGTGAATGAGGCATGATTGCCCTTATGTTATCTACCTGAAGAAACTTAACCTCAGAGATGATGCAATTGGTCTAAAGTCCCACAGCAAATAGACACTGGAACAGGCCTGCAGACCTGGGCCCACCAGGAGCGTGCAGCCTTAGTTGTCTTGCAT
Organism: Homo sapiens; assembly: GCF_000001405.40. Lineage (NCBI taxonomy): Eukaryota > Metazoa > Chordata > Mammalia > Primates > Hominidae > Homo > Homo sapiens. The sequence goes on along the minus strand of NC_000001.11, from coordinate 108,117,346 downwards.
GGGACTCTTATTAATTGAACTTACCATTTCTTGAATGTACTTTAGCAACAAAATATTCATCAATTGTTTTAAAGAAGTTTTAAAAATTGCACAAAACCACAATGAGATACCATCTCACACCAGTCAGAATGGTGATTATTAAAAAGTCAGGAAACAACAGATGCTGGTGAGGCTGTGGAGAAACAGGAACACTTTTACACTCTTGGTAGGAATGTAAATTAGTTCAACTATTGTGGAAGACAGCGTGGCGATTCCTCAAAGATCTAGAACCAGAAATACCATTTGACCCAGCAATCCCATTACTGGGTATATACCCAAAGGATTATAAATAATTCTACTCTAAAGACAAATGGACATGTATGTTTATTGCAGCACTATTTACAGTAGCAAAGACTTGGAACCAACCCAAATGCCCATCAATGATAGACTAGATAAAGAAAATGTGGCACATATACACCATCGAATACTATGCAGCCATAAAAAAGAATAGGTTCATGTCCTTTGCATGGACATGGATGAAGCTGGAAACCATCATTCTCAGCAAACTAACACAGGAATAGAAAACCAAACACCACATGTTCTCACTCATAAGTGGGAGTTGAACAATGAGAACACATGGACACAGAGAGGGGAACATCACACACCAGGGCCTGTCAGGGGATGGGGGACAAGGGGAGGGAGAGCATTAGGACAAATACCTAATGCATGTGGGGCTTAAAACCTAGATGATGGGTTGATAGGTGCAGCAAACCACCATGGCACATGTATACCTATATAACAAATCTGCGTGTTCTGCACATGTATCCCACAACTTAAAGTAAAATAAAAAAAAATTGCACACTGTGTGAATACTTTCTCTTATTTAAAAGAAAAACATCACAGAGAGTTCTTTGACCACTGTAAGGGATAGAAAAAAGACAGTGTTTTTCCTACTCTCACAACACATCCTACTCAACACAGCGCATCCTGCTTCACTTCTCACTCCGGATGTGCGTGAAGTTTCCCCACACACCAAGCAGTTCTCCACTGGACTCCAAGGGGGTGTTCTGTCATTCAATTTAATTCTGACACTGTCTACCTGTAGTCAGAGTCAGATCCCACAGGTGAAGGGCTCAGTCCTATGAGACTACCTGCCATTTGAAAATGCCAACTGCAATTCCTAGCCTCTAGAACATCTGACTGACTGGCTATAAATTGGGGGTTTCCACAACCCCCTCTTCAGGTTTGTTCACTTGCTAGTGTGGCTCATGGAACTCAGGGAAACACTTATGTTTACCAGATGTTATATTAATAAACATATGATAAAGCATACAGATGAGCAGCCAGTTGGAAGAGAAACACGGGGCATGGTATGTGGGAAGGGTATGGCGCTTCCATGCCCTTTTAGGGAGTGCCACCTTCCAGGCACCTCTGTGAGGTCAGCAACCTGGAAGATCTCCAAACCCTGCCCTTTTGGGTCTTTGTGGAAGTTTTGTTACATAGGTTTGATTGATTAAATCACTGGCCATTGATGATGAACTCAACCTTTAGCTCCGCTGCCCTCCACAGAGGGGAATGTTCTAATTCTCTAACCACAAGGTATACTTGTCACTGAATTGTGTACTAATACAATTGTGTACTAATACTAACAGGGAAGGAACAAGCTATTTCAGCAAAGAGACCCCCAAATATAGCTGATTAAACAAAGTAGTTTATGTTCTCTCATGGAATAGTCCCAATGTGAGCAGTTGAAGAGGAACATTGGCTCCATTCACATGGCCATAGATCATGTTTTAGTCATGTCTGCAGGGTTGAAGCTAGGTGGAAGGTAGTTCCAAATTCTATCCTAAGTAAAGAGGAATGCATAGAGGAGCTCATGTTGGTGGTGTTCTAAGAAGCAGACCCCAAAAAGGTACACAGCGCTTTTCCTGATATGCTATTGGGGGGACATGGACATTTCATATCTTAATAGACGCTGTCAAACAACTTTCCATACTGGGTAACTCTACTTGTTAACACCGTTGCCAGCAGAATATGAGAATCTTCTATGTTCTCTTTATCACTTGATAGTAATGGATTTATTTTTTTGCTACCAGTTGAAAAGATGAAAAATGATACTCATTTTTCTGTTGAGACTTTTTCTTATTGATTTGTAAGTCTCTCTTTCTATTAGAGTCTGATCTTTTATCTGGGATATATATGCCAAACAACTTCTCTCAGTCTTTAACTTGTTTATTAACTGTTATGATTGGGTTTCTTAACCTTGGCACTACTGACTTTGGGGCTGAATAATTCTTTCACTGGGTGGGGTGGGGTCTGCCCTGTGTGTTGTAGGATTTTTGGAAGCATACTTGGCCTCTATCTATTAGATGCCAGTCAGACCCTGCCTCCCCTTCTGAGTTTGGCAACCCGAATGTCTCCAGGTATTGTCAAATATCCTCTGAGGTACAAAATTGCCCCAGCTGAGAACAACTGACTTACACAAAGTGTAATTCTTAGAGCAATCAAATTGATAAGGTGTTTCCTTAAGATTTTGCTTTTTGTGTCTTGTTTAGGAAAGTCTTTCCTACCCACGAATAAGGTATCTTATTTTTTCTAGTATTTTAATTGTTCATTTTTCTTTAAAAAAAAATAGGTCTTTAATGCCCCAGAATTTATTTTTGTATAAAGTAGGAGGTGGGGATCTGTAGCAAACTCAGTTTATGCACCACCCCAGATATGTCTGGGTCTGCCAACTGCCCTGGATCCTGGCCACCTGCCTTGTTTCCTGACCAGAGCAACCCTGGCAATGGTTCATTCATAGTCGTAAAGTTATGGCCCCCAATGCCACAGACCGAAGAGCCCCCTGTGCAGCATTGACTGACAAGCAGAGTTTGCCACACAGGCCACATGGGACCTGTGAAGCCTCTAACTTCCTCAGCAGCTCTCCAAGGGGTCAGGAAACATAACCAGGAAGTGCCAGGGAGTTAAAGCCTCAGCAGGTGGGCTTCTGCTAATGATAGCAAGGAGGGGAAGGGAAAAGCCAGCATTTAGATTGCTTCCTTTTCCCATGGTGTTCCAAGATGCAGTGGTTTCCTATGGCCTTCCCGAAGACATGCTGTGAGAGCAAGCAATGAGCTGTGTTGGTGGCAAAGCTGTGGCCAGCTCAGTAATTTGTTCTTCCTCCTTGCCGCAATGAAGTGTTAGCCCATAGGCTCTTCCTTGGGCCTGTTCTAAAGTCAAACTCTCACTTTAACATTTATCCCACATGGATAACTAGTTTTCCCCAAATTTTTTTATTGAATTGACCATGTTTTTTTCACCCTGGGGATGATTTTGGCTGCAAGTAAAAAAAAAAAAAAAAGAAAAAAGAAAAAAAGAAAAGAAAAGAAAAAGAAAATTGCAAATGAAAGTAACTGGGTAAAGAGTAGGGTGAGGTGAATGAGGGACCAGCCTTGGAAGAAAAATTTAGGAGGGACACCAACAAACTTAACAAGAAAGGTAAGTATTATTTTGATATAATATTCTTTTTAAATAAAAATCATTGCAAGAAACCCATGATGAACAAAATATTAAAATTTTAAATGAAGACAGAATTCAATCCTGCCCTTGCACAATCCTGCCTCACTTGCCTCACCCTAATCCTGGTCCTGCCAAGCAGCTTAGTCAATAAGGAATTACTGTATTCCATAAAAAGAAATCCACAGGAAGAAAAATACAGGCCCCAGGCATGTTGCTATCCTGAGCTTGATGATACCATGAAGAGACAGATGCTTTTCATCTTCTGTTCCATCATCCTCGGTATCAGCTTCAGCCCCAGGCTGGCTCCCAGTGGGATTGCAGCTCGCTGCATCGGTCCCAGGAATTACATCCAGAGGAGATCACATCCAGAGCCTAAAGGGGGACACATCTACTGGTGCTTTATTTCATGGCATTGTGGAAAGGCTTGTGTGATATGACACCTGGACGTTCAGTACTGTAATGAATTAAGATTTCTTAAACTCCTGCTCTGTTTTAAGTCACTCCACATATTTTCATTTTTAATCCTGGAAGTTCTGTAAAGTGTACACTACTCTATTTTAAATATAAAAAAACAGAGGCTTTAAATCATTATGGACTTTATTTAAGAACCAACTGCTGACCGGGTGCGGTGGCTCATGCCTGTAATCCCAGCACTTTGGGAGGCCAAGGCAGGCAGATCGCAAGATCAAGAGATGGAGACCATCCTGGCCAACATGGTGAAACCCCATCTCTGCTAAAAATACAAAAATTAGCTGGGCCTGGTGGTGCATGCCTGTAGTCCCAGCTACTCCAGAGGCTGAGGCAGGAGAATCACTTGAACCTTGGAGGCGGAGGTTGCAGTGAGCCAAGATCCCACCACCGCACTCTGGCCTGGCGACAGAGCAAGACTCCATCTCAAAAAAAAAAAAAAAAAAAAAAAAAAGAACCAACTGCTAACAAGTGACTGAGCAGCTATTCAAGTCCAGATTTTGCAGAATTTCAAATTTCATGCTCCTTCTACTATGCCACTGTGTAGATACTCGTTAAAAATTATTATCAGCCGCTTTTCCAACTCCCTTGGTGTGTGTGGTCCATGGAGGACCAGGCTGGGGCTAAAGGTGGTTTTTCCTGGTTGTGTCTGACTCCAGCTTGACTGGGATCCTTGGTCAGGTGCACCCCATAGGTCATTATTCAATCTCAGGAGAACAGAGGTATAGGGTTGGTCCTGGGCTCAGAAGGCAGCAGAATGGATTCAAGGAACTCATCTGATCCAATTGCCGTGTCAATCAGAGGAAGGAGAAAAAATAAACTGAAAAGGACAAAGAGGTGCCCTGTAGCTTTCTGGAGTTCCTGTTCTCAGGCAGGATTCTACCCTGGCCCAGGTGTTCCAGTGTGACAGATGTCCTTGCCCTCAAGTTGGGACACATGAGGAGACCAGGCTTGGGGAGTTCTAAGGCCATGGTTAGTTTAGGGCAGTGCAATGAGAGTTAAAAGATAAAGACTAAGGTGGACATACAGGAAGTTCTGTTTCTTTCTTTTGAAGAGAAGTTACCTAGAAACCACACAGATGGTCCTATCTCCTACCATTTCAAGGGAGAAACAAATACTATGCCTTAAAGGCTATGGCAAAGGCTCTCCTGCCCCCATTTACTCACGTGGTGAAATTCTACTAAGTTATGGTTTGGACAAAAAGAGGGGAACCTTTGTATGTGTTGATTCACTAAGATGTCTCCTTCCTAATATCTAGTTTGGCGTCCCTGAGGGAGACTGAGTTTTGGGAATGTGAGTAATCATGGGGAAAATGACCTAATTTTGTGATTTTTGAGACACTTCAGGGGAGGCAGGTCTGGGTGGGTTCTGGGACACCAGAGAACATGAGGTACAAGGGCACTGGGAATTCATGTGGGGAAATAGGGTGCCGGAAGGAAAGGGGAGAATGAGAGAGAGGAGCGGGAGAAAGAGGCTGAGTAATGACTGCTGTAAAAAGTGTGTAGGACCTGCCTGCTCCCCGACCCTCAGCAACCTTTTGACGAGTCCCATTTCCAGACAAGCTCAAGCTGTTATTTGACCTTCAGGATGTGCCTGGTTTCTCACTGGTTCCAGTGAGAGGCTCCATTGCTATTCACTCAGAACCTGGGGAAACTTCCCAAGCTGCCTGGGCAGAGGCCTAGCAACTTTTTAGTGCTCTGTGTATACGTGTGTGCCCAAGCACCCTCATGGATGCCTTTCCGACTTTGATGGTGCCATGGAGGCCATCATCCTCCCCATCCCCTGATGGAGCAGGCTGGAGGGCCAGGTCTGGAGGACTCTCTCTTGGTCCCATGTCACACTGAGTTGGCTGGCTCTTCGGAGGCTGAGCATCATAACCTTTGTTTGGGGCTCACTAGATTCCCGGTTGACTGACTGCTGTTCCAAATGAGCCTGGGCCTTTCCAGGATAAAGTGATGTGTCTTTACCCATTAGGCCAAAAGGAGAGGCTGGCCACAGCTGAGGGATATTGTAGTCTCTGAAAGGACATACTGTTAACTTTTGTTAGGGGAACCTCCATTTCACAGCCTCATGTTTCCCAGTGGGAAGACTTTACCTCAGTTAGCACTTCTGGCCTTGTTCTTAATCCATCCCTTAGCTCATTTCTCCCCAAGTGTGGAGGGTGGGAGGTGGCAACTTGATTTACTTGGGGAGGAGCTGAGCCTGTGTGACTCAGCCATCACCCTACTCTTTTTTTTTTTTTTTTTTTTTTGAGACAGAGTCTCACCCTCTTGCCCAGGCTGGAGTTCAGTGGCGCGATCTTGGCTCACTGCAACCTCCGACTCCCTGGTTCAAGTGATTCTCCTGCCTCAGCATCCTGAGTAGTTGGGATTACAGGCATGCACCACCATGCCAAGCTAATGTTTGCATTTTTAGTAGTGATGGGGTTTCACCATGTTGGCCAGGATGGTCTGGATCTCCTGACCTCATGATCTGCCCTCCTCGGCCTCCCAAAGTGCTGGGACTGCAGGTGTGTGCCACTGCACCTGGCTACTTTTTTTGTATTTTTAGTAGAGACAGGGTTTCACCATGTTAGCCAGGGTGGTGTCGAACTCCTGACCTCAGGCAATCCACCAGCCTCGGCCTCCCAAAGTGCTGGGATTACAGGTGTGAGCCACCACACCCAGCCCACTCTCCTCTTTTCACTCTCTGATATGGGTATATATCCCTGCCCAAATCTCATATTGAACTGTAATCCCCAGTGTTAGAGGTGGGGCCTGGTGGGAGGTGGTTGGGTCATTGGAGTGGATTTCTTATGAATGGTTCAGCACCATCCCCTTGGTGCTGTTCTCACGAAATATGGTTGTCTAAAAGAGTGTGACACCGTCCCCCTCCCTTGCTCCTGCTCCATCTTCACCTTCTGCCATAATTAGAGGCTTCCTGAGGTCTCTTCAGAAGCAGATGCCAGTCTATACAGAAAGTTATGCTTTCTGTATAGACTGCAAAACCGTGAGCAATTAAATCTCTTTTCTTCATAAATTACACAAGTTTCACGTATTTCTTTATAGCAATGAGAGAATGAACTAATACACTTTCTTTGAGAGCCACCTGTCCACAAGACAGACTTATTTTGATTTGCTTTTTGCTGTGTACAATACGGCCTGACCAGTCAGGGAGGCCTCCCTTTATTATTATTATAATAAAGCTATCTGATTCCTTTTTTTCTCAATGTTCTAAACTATTGGCCCCTGGTTATCAAAATCCCAACCTAAAATGGGATTCATTTCCAAGGAAAGAGAAATAGAATCTTTTCCTATAGGAACGTTTAAATTTGCTTAACAAATATTTATTGGTGAATACTAAGAATATTTATTGGCTCTAGGTGCTGGATATATTGTGGTGATCAAATCCAGCATTATGGAGGTAATAGTCCAGCATTTGTGTGTGTGTGTGTGTGGGTGTGGTGGTGGTGCTGGTGGTGGGGGAGGAGGGGAGTTGGTAGCGGGTGATTCCCCAATTAATTCATTACAAATGTTAAAGAATTTTACCATGGAGGAAAAGTGCTACAAGAGTCATTGTTGCTACTCAGCCAGATTAGCCTGCTCTCATATAGCCTTCCCACACCCCATTTCCCACAAGGCCTAGGGTACGCATGCAAAGTGAGTCTGAGCAATATCCTTCGTCACAAGGGAGATAGGCTAATAGTGATTCTCGGTTACAGAAATATCTTTAATGAGATATGTCAAATTGTCAAAATTAAGAGATGAGGGAACAACTGCCAAAGAAAAATTAAAAAAGAAATTGCATCAAGGAAATAATTGCTGAATAACCCCACACTGTCCTATTCTTTTAAGAATATGAACAGAAACACTGTTTTCGGTCTTTGAGAGTTTGGAGTGGGTGTTGGACTCCTCTCAGAAGTCTGGAACAGTTATTGAGCAACTCTACAACACAAGAGTGTGGAAAGAGGGACCAAAGAGCCAGGGAGAACCCCGTGTTCAAGAGTATTCTTACAATATCTCCAGTAATTAGAGATTTGTCTTGTTAACAACCTATTATTAGGGTTAAAGCTGTTAGCAATTTATTTGTTTAGGGTAAATTGCAGGTTTTGAAAGGTAATCTCTTTCCAAGTCCTGGAGAAGATAATCAGCATTGGGATAACAGGAATTTGAGTTGAGGAATTGAGGAGGTCCTATTACTATTCCATGGTATTTAGAGGAAGGACACGACTGCTTAAAGTTGTACCCCTATTAGTTGGCAGAGTTGGAATTGGAACCCAGGATGTTCTGATTGCAGAGTTGATGCTTTAGTTTTATGGAGCACGTCTGGAAAAATAGGGCTGGTGGTATGGTGCAGGGGGAGGAAGACCCAGAATCTGGTGAGAGTGGGATGGAATAATAAAGACACATTAATGTTATAAATTATTATTAGTATACAGATAGCTATAGTATATTGGGTACCTACTCTTTGCAACCTATAGGAGAAGAAAAATAATTTTCCCTCTACCTTTCTAAATTCTCAGCTGGGCCCCTGTAACAAAGGACAGATTGATAAGAGAAAAACAGCAGTTTATTAACATGTATATCACATATGTAACCCATAGGAGTACCCAGAGATGAGTAACTCAAAGGTTTGGTTAGAACTTGAGTTTTTACAAAATCTTAGCAAAAGGACAACTCATTTTTAGTGATAGACAAAGGAAAAGGATCTTGAGTCTCTAGGGGAAGCAAATTGTGGGATGGCAAATATATGGTAAACTAATAGCAGATGAAGGCTGGTTACTAAAATTTGTTGTATAGATTCCTCTGGTGCCATCCCTAGGCTGATAAAAGTTTAAATTTGCCCTCTCTGGGAGAGAGGGGAGGAGGGATACCTTTGTAAATTTATGTCCTGCTTTGTGGCAAATAGGAGGAGGGCAGAGAGCTTTTCTTGTGTCTGTTTCTTCTCAGCTGCCTTTAGCTCAAAATAATTCTTATGCCAAAGTGACATATTTTGGAGAGGCATATTTTGATCTCCTACAAGCCCATCTTATATATATCATATTATTAACCCTCTCAACAACTCTAGGAGGGCTGTATGATCCCCATTTTACAGATGGAAAAAGTAAGGCTGAGAGAAGTTGCATGAAATTCTCTTAGCCACACATCTCCAAAGTCCAGAAAGCAGCCTGATTGCCAGGCAAAGTAAGATCACCTGATTTCCTTCTTACCAGGGCCACAAATTGCTGGTGCTGTTTAGAGAGGGACATGTTCTTAGAACTAGAAGTTGCTTCAACATTGTAATTCTGTCAAAAAAAAAAAAAAAACTGCCTTGGGAAGCAGTTGAGACTCCAAAACTATAATTTTATTAGCTTATTTTCCTACTTTGAATTTGTTACATTAATATGTCGAATTAACCCAGAGCCACATGTAGAGTTTAATTTGTATGTCTTCCTTGGGGAATTCTGGGCCTATTGCAGAAATTCACTTCCACATGTAGCCCTGGACCCTGGAGGGTAAGATAGGGAGGAGTTGCAGGAGGCGCCTCAGATGGAGTCCTGTGGTCCCTGGGCTTCCTGGGAGTGGCCTAGCCTGGCTGTGCGTCAGTTCTGTGTCATCTTCTCCAGACTCTTGATTCCTCTCAGAACAGCATGGAAATCCCCAAGTCACTTAGTGCTACTCTCAAAGTCACCAGAAGACACCTCGTCCCAAAATCATTCAGGAGCATAAGCCCCTGGAAGGCTGGATGACACTGTAAGGCTGTTTTTAGAAATGTAATAACCTGTTTGCCACTTGTATGTCTTCTTTTGAGAAATGTCTATTCAAATCTTTTGCCCATTTTTTGATTGGATAATTGGATTTTTTCCTATAGAGTTATTTGAATCCCTTATATATTCTGATGGAACACATCATATACCACAAAAATATATATACCTACTATGTACCCACAAAAGTTATAAAAAATAATAATTTTTTTAAAAAATGTGGTAACCTCCTGAGCTATAATAATCTGTGCTATGGAAGCTTTTCAGGGAGACTGAGCCGGGGGCCCTGAGTCTCAGGATGGGCTCATGAGTTTTTTTTGCTGGGGGCTGCGGTGAAGGGGCTCCTAGCACTCTTGCTACTCATGCCAGAGCCTAATTTTCCTTTGTGCTCTGTTTACCACCTCCATTTCTTTTTCATGGACTCCCAAGAAAGTCCTGGTTCTCTTGCCATATTACTCAAGTCCTAGGAAGAGGATTGGGTTCACTATTTTCCCTTGGTGTATAAATATAAATTAAATGCCAAGAGTGATGCTGGGCCATACTCACAGATTTGGTAGCTTAATTAACTGTGTTTTCTGGAAATGGAATTAGGCATGCTAATAAGACCTTAAGTCAAACAAGCCAGGCTGACTGATGAAAAAGGGCTTTGCTGACAACTTCATTAAATATATATAAGGAAGTGAGTTAAGCATTTCAGCAGAAAGGAAATCCAGGAGACAGTGGGCAGGAAATAATAGGAGCACCAGCACGGCTTAGAGATAAATGAACAAGAAAAGCAGAGTTCTGAGGATGAGAATAATTGGCTTTGGCTTGGATGTATGCCATTATAGAGAATTAATGAGGCTTTGTTTATACACTCATTACAAAATATTTATGGAGCTATTTCTCCATCCAGGTGCTGTACTAGACAATGGAAAACGGGATGAAGAACAAGATCTACTGCATACCCTTTTGGTACTTCCAAGTGTAATGGACTAACATTATTGGTATTTTGTAGACAACCGTAGCTGTTTGGCAGTTTGGGCAAATTAAATTACTAATATTTTTATTTTAAAAAATCACTATTTTTGAAATATGCAGTCAAAGGTGTCTAAAACTCAAGCATACAGTTTAATAAAAAATCATAAAACAAATACCTGAATAGCTATGTCTCAGCTTAGAAACAGAATATTACTAAACTTTAGAAGGCTCCTGGGACCCCTGTCCCAGTTTAATTCATTTCCCAGCCCCCACCCAAACGTAACTCCCCTGAAATTTCTGTTAGCTATTCTCTTCCTATGGCTGTTTTCCTTTTGTATGTTTCTCTGGACAATATTTTGGAAATCTTAAAGTACGTAAGTGAATCTAAAGATCATTTTATTAACTTCATTATAATATTAACTCTTTCCGTCCAAGAATATGACAGATCTCTCCTTTGTTTAGGTCTTTCACAAGGTCTTGAAATAAAGGTTTATATTTTTTTCTGTAAAAGGTTTTTACATCTTTTGTTAGCTTTTCCTCCTAGATAAATGTATCTTTTCTTAAAAAAATATATCAAATATATCTTTTAAATTTTGGTTTCTGACTGCTGAGAGTATAGAGCAATATAATTGACATTTTTATATGAACTTGGTAAATAGCAATGCTAAAATTTGTTATTTACTCTAATTTTTTGTACTGGTTTTGGATTTGTATGCAAACAGTCATATAATGTGCAAATATTGACATGTGTCTCCCTTTCAAATCTTCATTTTACTTTATTTTATTTCATATTTTTCTTATCTTATTGTACAGGCTAGGATCTCTAGTACAATGTTAAATAGAAGTAGTGGTAAATGGGCATTCATGATTTGTGTCTAAAGGTGGCTGATAGTACAATGCTGAAAGCACTCCTTTTAAGAATGAAGTTTGCTATTAGTTGTTTTTAGATGTCCTTTAATAAGTTAGAGACTTTCTATTTTTAGTATGCTGAGTTTTATTCTTTTTAATCATGAATATTGAATTTTATTAAATGCTTTTCTTATGTCAAATGAGATAAAAAATTTAGATTAATTTATAGTAATTAGCGCTTAATTTTAAATAAAACTTTCATTCCCGAGAATGAAAAACAACTCGATCATGTTGTATTATCATTTTACATGCTTTGAGATTCAGGGTGCTAATATTTTCCTTAAGATATTTACAGTTGTGTTCCTGAGTAGAGCCTGACTTTGGCGATAAATCTCCTTCGTTGTGCTGTCTTCATTTGGTTTGGGTGTGCAATTGTAACAGTAGCCCATAATTTGAGTTGAATTTTTTTTAAATGTTCTCTGGAAGAGTTTATGTAAGATTAGAATAATTATTTACTTAAATGTTTGCTAGAATTTGCCTATAAAGCTCTCTGGGCCTAGTTTTCTTTGTGGGGAGGTTTTACAATGTTGATTAAATTTGTTTAATGGTTATAGAAATATTCAGATTTTCTATTTCTTTGGTTATTGCTGGCAAGGACTTTTCTCCCTGGGGGTTGATATGTTTCAAATGGCTTTCAAATTTACAAAAAAAATTGTTCACAATATCCTCTAGCATCTTTATGTTTCCTGTCTCAGGCCTGAAATCAACTGTTCTTCCAAGGAGCCCAATTTCCATTGGTGAGGAATAGTATTTACACACCAAAATCAAGGTGCAAGCAGTGTTTATTGGTACTAAAATGTTATTGCCTTTAAGCAATTTCAGGGACACAGCTAAGAAAAATGTGTTTTTTGAAAACACTGCAAAAATTCTGAGTTCAAACTGATGATTTTAATTCCAACTTAACACCCAGTATTTTTACTTCTTTGACTTTTTAAATTGTATATTTAAAATCTCACAGTGAAAATTCTGGTTCCTAATAATATTAATATAAGTCTTTATTTGATTTATCCTATAGAAGATATTAATTAGTTTCAAAATAATAATAGCAAATATTATATTAACCATAAGACTATTGGATGAGGTTAAAGATTTCTTTGCATCCTTATTTATCCTTAGAATATATTCTACTAAATAATTACAATCAAATCAGTGTATTCTAAAGTCACTTGAAATACTTTTCTCTATGTTATGTAACCAACTGACATACAAGTAAGTTCATTTCTGTTTCTATTCAATTTCTAAGGATTGCTCTTTAACTTAATTATGTATTTTACAATATATAAAACAACTATATGATTCAAAAATAAAACCATATAATACAGTATGTTGAGATAAATCTTGCTTCCAACACTGTCCCCTTCTCCTTCCAATAATTAACTACTTAAAAAAAGTTTTGGTTTATCCTTCTTTTTGCAAACATGAGCAAATATGTATAACTTGCATTTAAAAAACAGCCTCAAATCCTAGACAGATACAGTATCTTTTCCCCTGAGCCATTATTCCAGTGAAGCATTTCTTGGTTACCACACTGCTAATTCAACCTTTACTACCAGCCTTTAATCAATTTGAAGGTATTTATCCCTGAATTCTGCTGTCCATACCTTTGTCTGGATTTTTGCCCCCAAACTGAGTTTTAATTGGCCCTTATTGTGCCCAAACTTCTTCAATGTTATCTTTTACTGTTTAAGATTGAGAAGATTGCCTTCTGTACTGTATAAGTCCCAGATCTCTTTTCCTCCTTTCTGCAAGCCAGCCAAATCTGCTGTGAACTCACACCATCCCTATGGCTCCTTGTTGAATGTAGACAATCGTAACCAAAACATATAAATAACATTTTGTTTTCTGAACTCTTCCCCTAGGGTTATAAATTCACTAGACATATGATCTGCCTTCCAGGTTGCTATAATGACAGCTTTATCAAATGCTTCCCACAAAGCATAAAATGAATGGCCACTCTAGCCTCTAATTACAGTTTAACTGCTCCTGACCAATGGACCACTAAGGCAATGTCACATATTGAGGGTTTTTTTGTTATAGCAGAATCCCACTTCTGATACCAATTTTTGTTCCTGTGAAGGTAAGCCTAAGTTGTGCTGCAGAACCAAATGACTTCAAAATCTCCATGGCTTAACACAATACAAGTCCAATTTAGGTCTGCAGAGGCTCTGCTAATTGTTACTCCTTGACAAGTGCTTCCATGAGCGTAGTGGTAAGGAAAAGGATGGCTGTGCTGGTCATTTGGCTTTTTGCTCATGGATCTATTTTTTGTCTCTCCCTTGCCTTATTCTGTAATGTAGGAAGTTGACACCTTGTTTCACAGGTTTCCATGTCAGCTGGCTTTTGGTGGGTTTGCTAATGGGAGGTACTGGTTGGAAATTATTGACAATTTCTGAGATTTGTCATGACTGGGATGACTGTCATACTGTGGATGTTCTCTCATTCCCCCATGTAGTTTTTGCTCTATGACCTGATGCCTATGAAGACTTTTCTCAGTTTCACCAGTTGTTCTCAGGTGTGCTTCCTGGGCTGCCACTTGGGTGGGCTCTTCTTTTGGTAGCAAGCATTTGCCAGCATTTTTAGGCTGTTATATTTGGTTTTCAGGATGAGTTTTGGGAAGCTTCAATAACTTCAGATTGCTGTCATTATTTTTCTTTTAGCAACTTTTTTTTTTTTAAAGAGATAGGGTCTCGCAATGTTGCCCAGGCTGGAGTGCAGTGGCTATTCATAGGTGGAGTCATAGCTCACTGCAGCCTCAAGCTCCTGGCCTCAAGTAATCCTCCTGTTTCAACCTCCAAAGTAGTTGGAACTGCCCATGTCCACCTGGTTGCTGCCATCATTCTTTTCCAGAGAGTCCCCTGGGGCTACTTAAAATTTTCTGCTAGAATTTCTGGGTTGCATAGTTGATATGAATTTAGTCTGTGAACCCCCTGAGAGCCCTGTGTGGCTATGAGAGCTCAATAAAAATACTGTTTTTCCCTTTCATGCATCATTAAGGTGGAGGCAGATTGTCTCTTTCTGCATGCATGGAGGCATTTATATTTCATTACCTTTATTCTCAGAGTATAGACCATTGCAAATTCAGCTCTATAAAGGGGTCTCCCATTTGATTCTCTGCTTTGCATAGTACCTGTGATTTTACCTTTCCTGCCTGTGTACTGTGCAGTTTTTCTAAATGTGTCTCCAGGTCTCCAGGTTTCAGCACAAACTCTCGCTGCAGGGTTTGGTACTTGCTTACCACTCAGGGTTCCTGCTTTCATCTCATTTTTGGATTCTATAGATTCTTTTATACCTGCTCAGTGATGCATTTAAAGTATTTTTTAAACCACATTTTTTTTCTGAATTCTAGTTGATTCAGTTGAGAGAGTTGTTTAGGGTATCTAATTTGTCCATAATGTCAAAAGGAAGACTGTATCTAGTTTACTTTTTGTTCTTTCTGTAGCACAGGAGCAAAACTCACTGGGACAATAGTCCTCTTTTTAAAGTGCTGCAACACCACCAAAAAGACATGGGCAATAGAAAATGTGCTTAGCTGTGGATGACTGGGTTAGTTTTGATTACTAGCTAATAACAAGGTAATTTGATACACTTACCTATTTATCAGTTGTCCAAAATTTCTCAGGTCCTCCTGTCTGCTGAAAGGTAGAAGGTATATTTAATGAATTTAAATACAACTGGCTTGAAGCCAAATTAAAAAGAGAAATATACACTCCCTTCAGTAGAGCAGAAGGTTCTTGGGTGGAGGAGGCTGGCATTTAGAGTTCCAGATTTAGCAAATAAAAATATAATTGTATTTAGCATAAAAACTTATCAGGTAATATTTGGGATGTACTTTATTTTTATAAAAATATTATCTGAAATTAAAACTTAACTAAGGATCCTTTATCTGGCAATCCTATTTGCATTTCTCCTAGTCATCTCTTGCTCACATTTTCTGCTTCCACCAAGTTCTTCCTTGAGGTATTTCATCTTTCATGAATATTTTTCTTACTTTGCTCTTGGTCAACCTAAAGGGAACAGTTTCTTTTTCTTATTTCAATGAAATAAGATGATGATGGTTTGGAGGTTGATGTCAGGTTTGTGTGACACTGCAGCAGAGCCCAGAGAGTAATATGAAATAGAATATTAGCTGTCCCTGTTCATCAAGATGGACCACCATGCCCACAACTTTGAATTTCTCCATAGTGATCTCTTCTCTGGTATCAACCTCCTGCCACTGTACTTGCCTTGTCTCTCTATCTTATCTTCTCCCTGAGTTTCTACACTGTTCTCAGATTCCCTCTACCTCTTCCACAAAAACTTATTTATTATGTAGAACAATTTAGTTATCTCTACTTCATCCGTGGCCTATCCTGAACCCATCTTAAGGGGGATCTTTTTACAATCAAAAGCCAATATGTTACAAATGATCCTTCTGTTTTAAAAGGATTCTGCCACCTAGTTTTTAAAACGATCTTTCTTCTCCCTCCACTCCTCCCCATGTGGTCTTTAATGATTGTAGATGAGAGCATGAAGAAAGAGCAAGGCACGAAAATCTTTATTGGAAGTTCTGAGACTAAGGTGTATTGGAAGGAATCAGGAATACAAGTATTTTGAAATTTAGCTATCTTTTTAAAAATTTATTTTTAAATGGACAAATACAAATTGTATATGCTGATGGTGTTTAACAACAGTTCAAGAAATTTGGCTTTCTTGGTAGAAAAATTATTCAAAGACATTTATAGGATTGGTGAAGCCAGCAAATGTATTCATATTTTTCTTCTAACTGGTGTTAAAATGTTGCTTATGAATACAATATATACCATCAAGTTATACAATTGCTGTTCACATTGTGAAGATCTGTAGTTAAAATGGCATGCTTCACAGTATTGTATGGCTGAAACATTCTTTCTTAGCAATTCTTTTATTTATTGCATCAATAAATCAAAAATTTACAGCACCGTAAATACTTCAGTACTTATGATTACCATTAAGTTATATTTGTGTTTTTAAGACTATCAAACTCACGTAGTAAACATAGTAGCCTCTCTCATAAATAGAACTGAGTAACAGAAGCAAATCGGAGCCTTTAAATGAAAGTGACTGTCACTGAATGCCTGTGAGATTATAGTAAGTGCCTCTCAGGGAGCAAATAGAGCAAATAACTGAATAGATAGTTATTTTTGTCATTGTAATTTTAATAAAACATTGTTCTTAGGTTTCAGATGCATAGCACTGATATTTTCCTTTGGATAGTAATTTTTTAAAAACAATTTCAAGTTTTATTTTAGATTTCAGGGGGTATACATATAGGTTTGTTACATGGCGATATTGCATGATGCTGAGGTTTGGGGTACAAATGATCTCATCACCCAGGTAGTGAGCATAGTACCAATGGGTAGTTTTTCAGCCCTTGCTCCCCTCCCCTCTCCCACTTTAAGTAGTCCCCAGTCTCTATGGTTCTTATCTTTGTGTCCAGATGTACCCAATGTTTAACTCCCACTTGTAAGTGAGAACATGTGGTATTTGGTTTTCTGTTCCTGCATTAATTCAGTTAGGATGATGATCTTAGCCACTTTAATATAACCACCACTCTTGCTATAGTTCTATGTGTTGGCTTAGAGTCCCAAGGGTAACACTTCTGCAACCAGTGGATTTCAGGCTCACCTCAATGCTCCTAGGGTCAATCGTTCACTTCTATTGTTAGCTGACATGGGTAAATGCCTTATGAAATAAGGCAGAATTTTTCAAGGTTGTTGGCACTGAAAATTACAGATTTTATTATGAGCCGACAATGATCTTTCATGAGGGCCTTATGGTAGATTGTATTAATGGATTGCATTATCCAGTTCTTTGCTGCTCCCTGCTTCTATACTCTTGCTATGGCTTCATTGTGGCTGAAATGTATTTCCCTACTCCATGACTTTGGGCTCAGCTTTGTGATCTATTCTTGCTAATGTCATGTGTGTAGAAGTGACAGTGTACTGATTCCAAACGTAGGCCATAAGAGGCCTTGTACATTTCCGCAGGCCATCTTGTGCCTCTGTCATCACCATGAGAAGGACATGCCTGGATTAGCCTATTGGTCCAAGGAGGATGAGAGACATGTGGAGCACAGCTGCTCAGCCATGCCTAGTCTAGGTCAGCCCACTTGTAGATGTGTTAACAATAACAAATGACGGTTGCTTTAAACCACTGAGTTTTGTGTTTTTTTAAAATATAATTTTTTTGTGGTAATAACTGTCTGAGACCAGCAGATGTTATGAAGTCTCTAAATGAATGATTTTCCACTTCAACTTCAATTTTACCATCATTCTGGTTGATGTTCCTACCTGCAGGATGCGTTGTCCTGAAAAGGAATCTGAGGTCGGATCTAGGTATAGCACAAAAGTGATGTGATTGATTACTAATGCCTGCTACAGGACTGGGAAGGGAAGGTAGAAGGATGCACACTCCATGTCTTCCATCGTCACTTAGACTCATCCTACATGTAACTGGGTATTAATGACTGGTAGGGTCAGTGGACCACCAGGAGCTTTCCAAAGTCGCTTATAACTTGTCATTGAACCCGAGTTAGCTCTTTTATTTTGTATTTTGTTTGTTTTTAAAAAATACATGTTTCTCTAAGTATTTTATCTATGCATGGCATGGCAGATACCCCTCCATATCCACTCTAATGTCCTTTTAGTATGCCTTCCTGTACAGCAGGGCCTAGAAAGCTGAAAACCACATTTCTATCACTCCCTTATGGCTAAGGGTTCTGGTTGTAATGTAGGTTTTTCCCATCAGGTGCAGTTGAGTGATGCAGAACTCTGCCCAGCATCTCTTGGGTGGAAAGGGACTGTGATGGAGTACCAGGGGTCTTCGGTCAGCGGTCTACTCCTTTGGCAAGTTTCTTCCATTGGAAGGGGAAGCTTTCTGGAGATTGTTGCAGAGGCAGCATGCTTCTGGAGTTGGGAGTTTTTTCTGGTGACTCAGGTCTTCAATCCACCCATATTTAGGATTTTGTAAGACACCCTAATACTTGGAAATGGCTATCTTTCAGTTTAAATTGGCTAGAGTGTGTCCTGTTGTATACAGTGAACTTTAACCTGATACAAGAAGTCTTATCGGGATATGAAAATATAGTAGAAAGAACACTGGAATTGTAATCAAAAGATTTCAGTCCAAATGACAACTCTTACACTGATTTTTAGGACCTTGGGTAAGCCACTTACCTCTCCATCTGTAAAATGAGATGAATATTATCTACCATGTAGGATTGCTTTAAAAATTAAATAAGAAATGGATAAACATTCTTTTTTTTTTTTTTTTTTTTTTGAGACAGAGTCTTGCTCTGTCACCCAGGCTGGAGTGCAGTGGCACGATCTCCATAAACATTCTTTACAAACTGTCAAATGATCAGAAAATGTTGTGTATTTCCCCCCTCTTTTGCCATAGAGCAGGAGTGAATTATTTTTCTCCCTTGGTTTCCTCCTGCCCCTCGTCCTCAGTTCTGAATGAGTCCACTCCACAACAGATCCTCTTGGCTACTCTAGTGGCAACAGGTGTGTCCCCCCAGCATGCCCTTACACAATGACTGTCTTTGTCACCATTCCCCCTATTCCTCCAAGCATCATCGGTGACAGCATTCCTTTGAAAATATTTGATTCTCATTTTTGGAAGAAATCAGGAGTAGCATAAAGTGCTATGAGTCCCATAGGTGCATGTCTGACAGGGAGCCACACAATTGAGTGCGGTGTTGGAGCGGGAAGTTCCCTGTGGGGCCAAAGATTGCATTTCTCGACTAAGAAAACTCTTTGTAGTCTGATCCTGGGAGTGAATGACCTTATGTAGGTTGAGGGGAAAAAAAATCCAATCCTTATTGCCCAGTTATGTTTGCCATTTAATTAATGGGAAAACTTCCTCCCCCTTTTAAAAAATCAATAATAAAATGAAATATTGAAGATAGAACAATCAGATTGCAGGCATGAGGAAATCATCAATAGCCGCAGAGTAATGGCATGTTGAGTTGAAAGTGACCTCAGAGGTAGTTTAGTCTATACCACTCAATAGAGAAATCTCATATCACTCTTAAGAGGGCTGATCTCTCACTAAACATTCCAGAAAAGGGGGTTGAGAGAAATCACTACTTCATTAGAAAATTCTAATTCAACTCAACATTTTCCAAAGTGTGCTCCAGTTTGGAAAGTGATCATTTGCAGAAAAAGTTTCTGAGGTCAGATACATTAGGGAAATATTTTACAAAACTGTATCCTCTTGAAGAGCCACTGTGTAAATGAGCATAATAAGAGCTCTGAAAAAGCATGGGGCGGGGGAATTTTTCTATTTTGTTTAACCCAGAGTTTTCCAAGCATTTGATTATGGGACATTTTTCCCCTCCACAGAAGTGCTCTGAGGATATATTTGGGAAAATGCTGCAATAATTATAAAACTCTTAATAATGAGTGAAATGTTGTTTTTGTTTCTTTTCTCACATTTATACCAATTAGTATTAATTATGACCCTGTGTCACAGAGAAGAATGACTAATCTCCATTTTTCATAAAACTTGATGTCTGGACTGGGTGTGGGGGAGAGGTAGAGGATGTGGGTAGAAAGAAAGGGAGTCATGAGGGATAGAAGAAAAAAAGTCAGCCTCTCAGTTTGTGTTTCCCTCAGGCTTGTGACACTTGCTATTTTGTCCTGATTGCTTCTTCACTCTGCCCATAGGGTGACCTTTCTCATCTGACCAAGCTGCTCCCCTCAAAATGTCAGTGCTCCCTATCATGGAATGGATAAATCCCAGCTTCCTTGGCACAGCATTTAAGGTGTTGCGGGATCTTGTTCTTTCTTCTTGCATTTTCTTTGTGGGGGTGTGGGGAGTGTTAGGATTTTTTCACCCCATTTCACTTGCACTTGCCTACAGCAGTAATGAATTATTTATTTGCAGTTCTCGGACCCAAAGCACCTTTCACACCTTCCAGGCTTTGCAGATCCTGGTTCCTATGCTGGAAGAATATCTTCTCATCCTCCACCCCCGACCTTGTTCAATGGTCTTCATGCAGCTATCCTGGATGCTCAAAATCAACATTGCTCTATCTGTGAAGTTTTACCCAAATTCTCCCCACCTGGATCCCCAGTAGAGTTAACCACTGCTCTGTACTACCCTTGAATGTTATGCATGATTTTATTTTTTGGTCTTATTACTCCATGTTTGTATGTTTGTCTCTTATTGGACTATAAGTTTCTGAAGTTAGGGACTGTATTAATTTCCTGGGACTGTCCTATCAAAAGTACCACAAACTGGGTGGCTTGAAAGCAATAGAAATTATTGTTCTGCAGCTCTGAAGTCTATCAGTCTATTAGTCTGCAAATACGCTCCCTCTGGAATGTGTAGGGGAATCCTTCCTTGCTTCTTCCTAGCTTCTGGTAGTGGCTGCCAATCCTTGGTGTCCCTTGGTTTGTGCCTGCATCTCTCCAGTCTGTCCTCTGTCATCACATGGTGTTCTTCCTGTGTGTCTCTCTTATCTTCTCATCAGGACATCAGTCAGATTAGATTAGGGGTTCACCCTACTCCGACATGATCTCATCTTAACTGATTACATCTGCAGCCACCCTAGTTTTGAGTAAGGCCACATTCTGACGTACTGGGAGTTAGGACTTTAACATCTCTTTTTGGAGGGCACAATTCAACCAATTACTGAAATTACATCTCGTTTATCTTTTACTACAGAATAGATATTTAATAAATGTGTGTTTAATAGAGATCCATGTCTAAAGTTAGACATTTTGGTTGGAGGATTACCTACACTTTTCTTCCTTATTGTTTAAAATATTGCTATGAACATCTTTGTGCATCTGTTTTTCTTTGTCTCTGCTGAATGAGGCCTAGGATATAAATTCTTGAAACTAAGATTCTTAAATATGGGTTGGGCATTGAATTAGGTCCACCAAAGAAATGACTGCAAAGTTGCAGCCAGGTGGGAACATGATTCATTCACAATCTATCATTCATTCATCAATTTGCCTACTGTCTACTAGATAACTGGGGAGTTACCAGGAATGCAGCAGTGCACAATGGTGCTATGGCCTATGCCTTCATGAAGTTTATAACTCAGAGCCCCAAGTCCTGTGTAGATAAACCTTCATGGAGCTCTAGTCTAGTGGGAGAGATTGACACACTCAATGGTAATTATACTACAGCATTGAATGTAAGAAAAGAAATATGCTGGGATTGCTTTGATGAGGAGCACCTAAGCCAGCAGAGTGGGGAGTTGGGGAGTAAGTGAGGTTTTCTGGAGATGGAGATAGCTCAGGTGAGTGTGGAGTGATGAATAAGAGTTGGGTGTGTTTTTGTGTCTGAGGCTTCATGGCCTGGGGGATGGTCGTCACTGCATCACCAAGGCAATATATGCAAGTTGTAAACAAGAATCAACATATAATTCCATGTGGCGAGAGAATAAATTGACAGGCAGGTAGAAGTGAAGATGATTGGAAAGCTAGAGAGTTTCTAGATCATGAAGGATTTCCTAAGTCATGATGCCCATTGTTTTTTTGCTGATTATAAATATAATACATAGGTTGGTGGTATCCAAACATTAGCAAAATATAATATCAAAATAAATTCCACCAAATCCAACTCCAGAATAACTGTTGTCAACACTTCAGCTCCCATTCCTCCAATTACTTTCTGTACATGCTATAATTTTATCACAATGGGATTATGTTACATATACATTGTTCTTCAGCTTTCTTTTTGAATTAAGTAATAATTCTTGAGTATCTTTCTGCATTACAACACATGGTTCTACTTTTTGAAAAACCACCTGGTGTTCCATGATGTGGATGTACTGAAGTGTATTTAACCACTTCCATGCTGATGAATATTAGTCGGGCTTCCAAGTTTTGCAGTTACAAATAATGTTGTAAAGAAGATTTTAAAATGTGTGTTTTGGGGGGTAGTTGTGGGAATACGAATAAATTTATATAAGTAAAATATGAACTTTTTAAAAGGAAAAATCAAATTGCTCTTCAAAAAGATTATCAATTTGTCTTCCTATCAATAGTATGTGATTACTGATTTCTCCAGGGTACTATAAATTTTTTGAGAATATTTACCTATATAAAGGCAAAACTAACATTCAGTTATAATGTTGCTTAATATAGTGAGAATGATTGTTTTTTCAAATATTTATTCACCATAATTATTTATAAATTTCCTATTTATGTACTGTGTATTTTTCAATTTAAATTTTTTCCTATTATTTAAAGAGCTCCTACATATTATGGATACCAATTATTTGCTTGTTAAACTTGTTGAAGATCTTTACTTCCAATCTGTACTTTTGCCTTTTAACTTTGCTTATAGTGTCTTCTGCCATATAGAATTCTAGTTATATAGTGAAATCTCTCTCTCTCTCTCTCTCTCTCTCTCTCTCTATATATATATATATATATATATATATTTTAATGACTTTTGGGTTTTATATTTTGTTGAAAGAGCCCTTCCACATCTCACAATATAAAATATTATATATTTTCTTGTAGTCACTTATTTTTATGTTTAAGTTGTTTTTTATCAATCTGGAATAAATTCTTGTATATGATGTGAGATGGGGATTTAGTGATATTTATTTACTTGCTTTCCCATTGGATTATTTTTTCTTGTCCCACTGTCTTGAAGATGTTTACTTTTTCATATACGAAATCCCCATATATCTGTAGCTCTGTGTGTAGGCTCTAAATTTTATTCTATTGAGCTTTGTCTATTCCTCCTCCTTCCATCCTACTGGAGTTTTGATGGAACTACATTCAGTTTACAGATGAATTTGAGGACAGTTAATATTGTTATGTATCAGATCTCTCTACCCAGGAGTGTGGCTTGAATCTTCATTTCTTTGGGTCTTTATATTTTTTCAAGCAGTTTTGTGTTTTTATTTTCTCATGCACATTAGGCACATTTGTTTTAAAATTTATTTCTTGATATTTTATATTTTATTTTGCTAGTGTGAATAGTACCACCCTTTCATTATTATTTTTTATATCTGGCTACTACTTGTATGTAAGAAAATTATCAGTTCCTATATATTATGCTTTTAACTGGCCAAATTGTCACTCTTCTTGTTAGTTATAATAGTTCATCAGTTGATTCTATTTTCTTGATAGACAACTGTGATACTTTGAAAGTCACGGTAACTTTTTCCTGCTAATATTTACAATTATTCTTTTTTCGTCTTGTGAGGGTTAGGTTTTCCATATCAACACTGAAGCAAGGAAGTGACATGGTCAGATTTACAATTTAGATACACCATTCTAGCTAACTGGAGAATAGGTTTAAGGGGACATAATGCAGGCAGGACATAAATTAGGAGATTATTAAAGTAGTGTAGGTGAACAGATAATGAAGTCTTAAATTGACTGTATGGAAGTAGGGATAGTGAGCAAGAAAAATTTTAAAGAAATATTTGGGCAGTAAAGCCAGCAGGACTTTGATGACTGATTAAATTATGTTGGTAAGAGGAAAGCCTCTTCTTGAAGGGATTATTTATATGGTTTAACAGAAGGAAGATTGTTGTTAGGGCCAAGGCCCTGACTCCTTGGTTGATCTGTCATCTTGTACCCCCATGTAGTTCTTGGTAAAGATAGGACAGAGGTAGGCTAGGAACAAGAATTTTATTTTGCTAGAGCTTCAGAATCAAATGTGCATTTAGAATATTCTTATTCTTATGAGTGAGTTGTTGAAGTAGAGTGTGAATGAAGGCTCTTACCATCCAGAATCTTAATAAATTTTGAATCTAATGTATGATCACAGGGAGGTTAACATTATTCATGAGGATGACAAAATTCCAAAGTTCTCAATATGAAATTGTGGGTTGGTGATCCTGGCAACAGTAAAAGGCAGTAAGTAGTGAGAGGAATAGAATGCAGTACAGCCGGCATGTATGTCCTGGAAGAAAAAGTTTGGGGAAGACAGTAGAAAGGGAACTGTATGGATGTTGCAGCTGAGAGACAGAAAAGTGTTCTGTGGAATATGAGGTATGGGAATTAAATGACAAGGTAATGAGAAAAGCTGGAGTGTGTAGGTGGATGTGGAGAAGACTCAACAGTATGGGTGCTCTTAGAGCATGAGAACTGATTGCTGGTGGAGGATGCCTAAGAATGAGATGGGAGTCATGGGTTGTCTATTCTATCCTAGGCATATCTATACAATAGATACTATACTATATCTATACTGGACTAAAATAGACTAGACTAGGGGTTTGGCATGAGCAGCTGAGATTGAAAGGGTAACACAGGTTTCACGTTAGCAAAGAGCAGTCTTTGTTGATGAGATGTCTTTCGGTATCCCAGATGATTAAGGGGAAGGATTAGCTGGTCATTGCAACACTATTTCTAATGGAATCACGGGTGCCCGAGGTAGCTGAGAGGCATAGAGTGAATTGGAGGAAGTAACCATTTGCCAGTATTCTCTCCATTTATTTGGGGAAGGGCTTGGTGGAATCCAGGATTCTTATTTGTGTGGAGATAGGCATGGAAGAGGAGTCAGGGTATATGCAGGTATTTTCAGGTTAGAAATTACTCTTAAAATTAGACTAAAGAGGGACAAGTTTTGTGGGCATGAGTACTAAGCCATACTACAGGAAGCCTCCCTACAAGTTGACATCAATCTTGACTTATGCGACAGCTGGGATTAATAGATGAAGAGGAAGGAGCAGGAGGAAGAGGAAGAGGAAAAGGAGGAAAAGGAAGAAAAAAGGAGGAGGAAAAGGAGCAGGAGAAAGAGGAGGAGAAGGAGGAAGGTGGGGGAATGTCCAGTATTAGTCTGCCGTTTCTTCTTTCTCACTCTATGCCTGCCTCTAGCTGCCCACTTTAACGTGTGGCTAGCTGTCCTGGATAAATGAGTAGAAAAGGGTTGTCTTTACTTTCTACATATTGGATTTTCACATTAAGTGCAAAGGAAATGCATATCATTATAAAACATTTTAAAGCAATCCTTGGGTAGGAGTTTTAGTAACACCCATGTGATCAAGACTCGAAATTCATTATCCTAAGAGTTGTGTGATAATTTAGGACCATGCCTGTCTCTTGCATGTTTGGTTAGTTTCATTTTCCAAATTAAGAGGTCACTAGAGTAGTTCTTGATCCATGTGACAAAGTGAAGGTCCTGATCAGCTGACAAAAATCTTAGACATGTGGGGTTAGAAAAAATTACTTGAAAATAATATGAAGGCAACATAAACCTCAAAGTAGAAGTTACGTGAGCAATTATTGGGAGAACAGAAGGCATATCACCACTACCTCTTTTTTTAACTTGTTATATTAAATATCTTATGTTATTGACCTCATGATATAAGAGGAAATTTAAATAGTTGCTTTTTTGGGAAGTGGGAAAATTGGCTACAGTTTATGTCCTACATTTTTGTTGATTTTAGGCAAGAGTTATATGAAGTCAACTTCTAGACATGGGGTACCCAGGTAGAGAAATGGAGCAAGTAAAATTTTCCTTGACACTGTCGGATATTTTTTTGTTTTGTGAGATGGGATATTTCATTCAAGACCTTCCTACTTTGGTTGATAGAGAGTCCTGGGTCATCTTTAGGATATATAGCTTGGATAAAACATATAATACATTTTCTCATGATGATCTACTCCTCTATTCTGTATAAAGTAAAATTAGATTAAAATGAACATTAATAGCAGTGGTAGAGGAAAAAAAACAAAAACAAAAAACAAGAGTATATGATTGAAAACATATATATACACACACACACACACACACACACACACATACATACATATATATTTGTATATATATATATATATATATTTTTTTTTTTTTTAAGACACAGTTTTGCTCTGTCACCCAGGTTGGAGTGCAGTGGCTCGATCTTGGCTCACACTGCAATCTCCACTTCCTGGGTTCAAGCTATCTTCCTGCCTCAGCTTCCCAAGGAGCTGGGATTACAGGTGTGCACCACCAAGCCTGGCCTGAAAACATATTTTTGAAGAAAGAGAGGTAGTTTCCCTGGTGGAAGTAATGTGTACTTTGAAGTCATATGAATATGGCTTCAAATCCCAGCTCTGCTACCTTCTTGGGTGAACTTAGACAATATCTCTGAGTCTCAGTTCTCTCACTTGAAGAATGGGGAAGATAAACATGTATTTCATAGAATTATAAGGATTAAATTTAGAAATATTAATAAATACTGTCAACTCCTATAAAACTTCTACTCGCTCTTTAAATATCAGCTCAAATTCTACCTCCTTTGAGAAGTCTTCCCAGACTGCTCATGGGCAGCTTCAGGCACTGCCTCCACTAAGCCCCCACCATATTTTGTATATACCTCCAAGAAAGCAAGCCTTAATTGTATTGTAATTGCGTATTTGCCTATTAGCCTTCCCAAGTGTCTTGGGAAGAGGTCAGTGATTATATGTTATTCAGGGTTGTATCCTTAGCATCTAACAGAGAGCCTCACATTTGGAATATGCTTAAAATATTTTATTTTTAGTAAATGAATGCATGAATAAGCACTTATTAGGATTTCTGGTACTTGGTAGGTGTTCAGTGAAGATTAATTTTAACTCCCTTCCACTGTTTATTTTTCTATCGGTAGGTATATGATGCAAGGATGGGGAGGGAAGGAGGAGTTAGATGGAGATATGGTTTGGGATTAATTTATACATAAATATAAAAATATTTTGTTTTTCCCATCCTCCCAGCCTGCTTCCTTGGATCACTGTGTATCTACCTGATGAAAGGATGGGTGCCTTGCCACTCACTGTTCTGAAAATAGCTTTGATTTCACTCCAATCTTGTATTCTCTTCCTAAGGAATATTTTCTCATTTCCTTAAAGTTAAATGTTTGTAACAGGAGTTGAATACAATCAAATATAGTTCATTGATCAAGTAATATA
Organism: Homo sapiens; assembly: GCF_000001405.40. Classification (NCBI taxonomy): domain Eukaryota; kingdom Metazoa; phylum Chordata; class Mammalia; order Primates; family Hominidae; genus Homo; species Homo sapiens. Next base: position 108,089,935 of record NC_000001.11, on the reverse strand, counting down.
TTTTGTCCTAAATTCTTGAATTTTTGGAATCTCTTGAATCCCATATTCAAAAGGATATTGAGGAACCTAGACTATCAGGGAAGGAGCATGTAATCCTATTTGGCAAGGGAATCGGGGCTCATGCTGTCTTACATCCTAGACTTCCAAGTGCAACAACCATTTGATGACTTCTTGTCATCAGGCCCAGACCCTACACTGATGTAAAACAGTTCCTTGGAATCTCATTTGTTGATCCAACCTTTGGGCCTTGCTATTTGTTAAAGCAAAAAAAAAAAAAAAAAAAAGTGGTGCAAGTTGTTTCTCATGAGGTCAGTGCACTGGGTTTCTAATATTGAAAACAGCTGTGTTTTCTGTGAACATCTTCCTGCCACTGCATCATCTCTGGAGGATTTCCCATATATCCCAGTATGCCAATATCCAAAATTGTCCATTCATTCTCATTTTAGTTGGTCTACTAAGAGTGAATGAATGTATTTCATTTCTATACATCTCTTATTGTGAAAGGTACAAGAACTTCCTCTGAAATATTTGGCTGTTAAATATTATTTGGGCATGGTCCAATGAGGAATGTATACATCTTTTGCAATAAGCATCTTTCTGCTCTCAGATTATACATACAGCATAGGTTTTAGCTGTGCTTCAAAGCAGTGGAAGGGTTTGTAAGGACACTGGGCTAGGAGATAGGAGACCAGAGTGGTAGCTTTTCCTTTTCATTTAATAACTGACTGACTCTGAGCCACATTTTTCAACCCACTTCTGGATAATACTTTTGTAACTGCCAATATTGAACAGATGACATTCCAAGAGAAAAGTTTTTCTTTCTCTAAGAACTGTCGCTTTGCCACTCAGATATACAACCTATTTCCTAACACATATGAAACTAGTATGCAACATTTTGAGAATAGGGGAGACTCACTGAGATATTAGCATATTATTACTTGCCAAATCTGACATTATTTTAGGTAGAAAAATAACCTTATTTCTTTCTAAACTCTTTTGATAAAGTGTTTCTGAATTAGCCGAGCATGGTGGCTCACGCCTGTAATCCAGCACTTTGGGAGGCTGAGGCAGGAGGATTGCTTGAGTCCAGGAGTTTGAGACCAGCCTGGGGAACATAGTGAGACCCTGTCTCTACCAAAAATAATTTTTTAAAAAATAAGAAAAAATATTTCTGAATAAAACATTCTGAAATATCAGTGACTAAGAGTTATCACGACTAGAAATGTATAAAAACAACAAATATTGGTTTTAAATATCAGATGTCTCTAAGTTTTCTAAAAATAATATCTTTTACCTTGTGTTCTTTGTCCTTCTGCTTGCGTATTTTTAGATCATTTTAATAACAGTGCACATACTGTTTTGTATTCTGCCTTTGTTTTGGCAATAGGAGATAAAAGAACAAGTACTATAATCAAAAATAATTCTTTTGTTGAATATAATTGTAGCTAAAAACATCATCCATAAAATCACACAAGTTGGAGGAAAAACAAAGAAAACAGTGTCTTATTTGTGGAACCTGTCTTTTCTAAGCCACATCAGCAGAATATTCTACCCTTCTTGCACTTTCTGAATCTCCAGCTTGTTTGAAAGAAGCTTACATGTGTTTGCAGAGCCCTTGGGATGTCTCATAGGTGCTTGGGAACCCGGCAGCTTCAGCTATCTCATCCCATATGCCATTTTCTTCTGCTGCTCTGGAGCTAACTTCCCAGGCGCTGTGTGCTGCAAAGGTTGCAGCTGACCAGCAAGTCCTGGGCAGGTATTTCCCTCTGCTGTGGAGTTCTCTCCCACTGATGGTGGTCTATCTCCTTGTGACCATGTTTTGTTGGGCCATAGCCCCTCATGTGCCAGTGTCCTCGATAAGGCATCTGTTCATCTTGTCTAAGATGAAGTAGACAGAATTGCTTCATGGACTGTGGTGTAATATGCTCTTGGGTGAGTCCTAAAGCAATTTTAGGACTCTATCTTCCCTTTGTGTTTGTGAAAGCAGCTATTTCACCTTTTGCCTGTGATTTGTTCTGCCATCTCCCAGTAATATTACATCGATGCTGGTAATATATTTGTACCCTAAGGGCCTGTTATTAGTCCATACTCAGAGAAGAACTCCATAAACACATTGTTGACTCTCAGCTGTGTGTACTTGTACTTTGGCAGCAGGAAGTTTAATTCTGATGAATGTATTGAGTTTCAATCCTGGATAGAATAGTTGGCAAAGGCAGAGCGTGGCTCCTAACCTCTGGAGCTAGGTTAGGGTGTAAAATAAAGAGCTTGAAGGAGATGTGTCAACAGATGCCTGCTCGTGAACTCAGATTTAGGAGTTTGCCAAGGACATGAATGAATATTCAGAAATATTCCCCACAGAGTTTCCAGGAGGTCTGGGGTGACAGGGTTCCTGTAGGATTTTCTGTCCACGGGCTGTCCCTTTTGTCTTCCTTTCTGCAATAATGCCATGGTTCTCACCTGAATACTTCAGTTCAGACTCCTGAACTTGAAGAAGGTTTTGGATCCTCTGCCATTGATGAAACTGGGCTGACAACAATGGCAGAGATACTTTTGCCCCTGCTGCAATTCTGTCTGTCCTACATGTTTTTGAACTAAGGATCTAATAGGGTTGCTGTTTGTCAAGATGTAACAGGAAGCCTGTTTCTCCCAAATGGAGAGCAATTTTATGTTCATGATCCTCCAAGGTCTTGCCAAATAAAATTAGGTCATATAGACAAACTAGCATTTTCATACAATTTATGCCATTAATCATTTTCCCATTGATTTCTAAAATATAACAGTGGCCCCAGGATCCCTGGGGCCATACTTTTAAATTGGACCCCTACAAGACAGAAGAATGCCATCTTTTCTTTATCTTGGTTAGTCCTATATGCATTTGATAATACCCATGTCTTAAAACAGTCACCTAAAACACCTGGCTTCCTAGCATTTAGTCGGGAATATCCTTGACTTGTAGCTTTTTTTTTTTTTTTTTTTTTTTTAACACAGATCTATTTTGGTGCATCTATTCAGAATGCCATAGTTCATATTACATTGAAATTTTGCCTTGTTTTTCTTCCGTAACCCAATAGAAGAAGCATACGAACTATAGGATTTAGAGATGATTAGGTGACTATGCATTTTGGTTGGTCTGGGACAGTCCTGGCTTTATGCCTATTACTCAGGTGTAAATATTAATTAGTAGGACTCCATTTCATGCCTAAGTTATCTTGGTTTGAACAATAAAGCACATGGTCACCTAGAGATGATACACTTAATCATTAGCTCTAATCAGCTGTTAATGTTAAGCAGAGTACTCTTTCTATGGTGTTATTTTCAGGGTGAAGTTTCCTGTCTCTCTATTTTATGCCTTTTCCCTGACACAGACTGTATTACACTTCAGAAGAGCATAATGTTACTCCTTGCTTTGATCTTCTTCCTCAGTTTCTTTTCCCACACTTCAAAATAAAAGTTTCCAAGATTTAAACAAGGTGTTCCAGTTGTGACAGCTTTAGGAGAGGAAGCAGGTTCTGTCTTTTGGCAGGATCTGCACTCAGGACGAGGACAAGAAAAAAAATCCAGAAAGTCCCTAGCCTCTCACCTGCAGTATTGGGCAAGTACTTTAGATGGGCTGAGGTTGTACTCCATTCGTGGGCCACCCCTTACACATCCATCCCCAATCCAGGCATGCAATTGCTGCCGTAACCATCTCTTCCTTATCCCTACCCCTTCTTCAGGAGATTCCACCTTCCCATACCCCAAGTAGACAGAAGCATTTGGACTTGGGCATGGAATCCCAGTCCACATAATGCTTACAAGGGGAGGGGCTCAGGGGACTATCATAAGATGATTTCGGAATTATGGTCGCTTGTCACAATTAAGCCCTCCAGAATACCAGGCTAAATTTGCCTTTTTGTTTCTTTTGAAACTCTTATAAGTAAAAATTTCAAAGCAGTTTTTAATGTCCCTTTAATTTCAGTTTCACTGGCACCCTTTTCTGAGTGCATCCATACTTTTTTCTGTACAATAACAGTGCAGGCCAAACATCAGATAATTTTTGTTCTAGATATAGTACGTAGTCTGTGGGGCAAGTGTGTACTGGAGAAAGATTCATCATCATTCTGGACAGGCTGTCCACTATTTCTCCCCTTCCCCCTGCACCATCCCCCATGCAAGTATAACTAGTGTAGATAGGCAAGTTTCCCTAGACTTGGCCATGCTTACATTGACACTTATGACATCCAGACCTCTCTTTAGCCAAATTAGCAGGAAGGCCAGCTTTTCCCAGCCTCTTTCTTCCACTGGTGTTTCTGAGAATTGCAGAGGCCACTCATTTATTCCTAACAGTTGTCCTGATCTTTGTATCTGTAGGCAGTGTTGGAACTCAGACACCTTCTTGAGGCCACCACTGGTCACGGGGCCAGTTCCCCAGAGAGTTTATCACTAGCTGGGAATAGCTGGCTCTGAAGTTGCAGAACAAAAATGTTGATGTTGTCTATTAATTCCGAGATTCAAATGTCACTCTCACAGGGTGAGAGTGGCTCTTTCTCGAAAGCAAAGCTGTTTGTGCTCCAGTGAGTCTGGTGTCAATGGCGAAGTGGCCCTTGCCCCGACCACTGGGACAAGCTGGTATCACTGCCAACTTTGCAGAGGCCCTGGCATCCCCTCAGGGATCTGGACAGCTGGACCCCACCTCCTGCTGGCCCTATTACTTGCTGCATCGACCACCATTGCTGGGGCAGGCGACAGTGTTGGGACATCTAGAATGAAGGAGTACTTGTCTGACTTACTTTCTGAGCTTCACAGAAATAGGCCCTGGCCCCTGAGGGCCAAAGCTCTTCTGATACAAATCTGTCTCCAGGACAGCTGAGTTGGGGAGAGTTCTGAGAGAGGCCACTATCCTGACCTAGAACCAGGCTCCCTTTGATCCTTAACCCTGAGGCCAAGACCTGTCTACTACTCCTGATTCCTCCTCCCCACAGGGGGAATTCCATTCAGAATTCTCACTACTCTTTTGGTCTGCCCTCTCACTCCAATCCTTCAGACAATTTACAAAAACTTTGAATCTCACAAGTATTTGGGATTTTCTAAAAGTCTTTTCTCTCTTTCTCGATTTAGGGCGCATAAATACTGTGGCCAGAGACTCTGTAATTCTCAAGCTGAAATGCAAATAGGTATATGGTGAGGGGCCTGCAAATCCACCAGCCTCCTGAATCAGGGCCAGCACTTGCCCAGGAAAGCATTTTGTACTCTATGGTAATAATTCATTTAAAAATAAAATTCGGATCATACTAAATCATCTCTTTTATAACCTTCATGTTTTTCCTTAACATCACGAACATCTTTTTATAACAATAAATATTTTATGGCATCATTTCATAGCTGCATGGTATATGTTGCTGATTCTCTATTATGAGATATTTATTTCCAGTTTTGCCACTATCATGAATAATGATGAGGTGAATATCTTACTATAAGCAGCTTTGTGTACAGTGATGATTTCTGTAGGGTAATTTCCTACAAGTGGAATTTACTGGTTTAAAGGGCACTCTGGTTTACACCAACACCAGCAGCCTCTGCGGCTTTGCAAAGGGTTGTCAATAGTTACCTAAAATAATTCAGAAGATGTTCTCCTGTGGCTGTTCTTTTAAATGGTGTGTAAGAGAACACAATCAAGGCTTAGAATTGCTTGAACACTCTACTTTTGAGCCCCTGAATGTCACATTAGATAGGACAGTTTAGTTTTCTAAACTGTTTTTTGTTTTCTCTTAAAATATCTTTTATTAAATATATTTTTCATATTTCCTTTTCAGCAAAACATAATGATAGCTATAATACTAATAATTGCCAGGAAGGGTTTTCCCTAATCCTCTGAGTATTTGGAGGTCAAAGGAAGAGCTTTTATATCCTTTCAAAAGAACAGTAAATATGGTGGGGTGAGGGTGGGGACAGAGTTGTATCTCAAAGGCCCTCCTGTTTCAGAGGAGATGCTATAGAGAGGTTAGAAATTATTTACCAGGGGACGTAGGGTCATTTTCCCAACATTATCACATCCTTAAGAAGAATTCTGTGTCTTACCCATGAGAGATGTTTGTCATTTTGATTTTTTGGTTATTACCTGGGACCCTTTTTTTTTTTTAACCTTCTTAAAGCATCCTATGGTATTTTGGCTCTAGACTTGTGACATTTTGTCTTCTTTCCTAAAGGCACAGGGAGAGTTAGGGAGCCATCTGTGCTTGCCCTCAGTACTGTGTTTAAGAGATAAATAAGCAATTACTTCTCTCCTCAGGCAAGCTCTTTTGTTTGTCAGGAAGTCTCTGTCTTGATCCTGTCTCAGTAAACAGAAAAAGATATGTAGCAATTCCACAGCCATAGAAGACTGTGGCTGGCTTCAGACTACATTCATAGAAATACAACATATGGACTGATTAAAGTACAATCCCATTGTACTCTGCATATCTTCATTCTGCAAACATTTCCTATGTATTACGCAGTGGACACTGGGCCACATGTTAGGATTCAGGGCTAAAAAGACAGTCCCTACACTCTAGAAACTCAGGCAGAAGGGAGAGAGACATGGTGACAAACAATTGTCATAGGATGATGTAATAATTTTAATAGGTATTTGTTCAAAAACAGGAGGTGTGTAGGGGGATGGAACATCTGAGGCAAATAGCCAATGAGCTCTTGGAGGATAAGTAGGTGTTTGCCCAGCATGTGAGTGGAGGGGATTCTAGGCAAGAAAACAGCATGTGCAAAGTCAGGAAACTATACTAGTTTATGGAGTGTAGGGTGAAACATCAAGTATTCTAGTTTTGCTATTAAAACAGGAAAGGTAGATGGGCAGGAAATGAGGTTAGAGGCGTTGGCAGGAACAGGAGATGAGGAATCTTATATGTCATGTGTGGGAGAGACTGTTAATTGTCTCCATTATTTGTTTTCTCCCCTCTTCAATTGGTGATAGACAGGTTAGCAGGGCACAAGGCCGCCTGCATTAAACACTACATTTCCCAAGCTCCCTTGAATGTAGGCATGGCCAGTTGACTAAATTCTGTAAAGGGAAGTGTCACATAGCAGCTCCAGGGAGTCTGCCCTTAAAGACAGACAGCAAGACAGCATCTCTCCCTCTTTCTCTCTCTCTACTCGTCTTTGTCTTTGTCCCCATTTCCATCTAAATTCTGGAAAGCAAATAGTGTTGGCTATACAAAACAAGATAGAAAGATCCTGGGTTCCTGAAGCCATGAAAAACTTTGCAGCCATAAATCACTACCCAGATTTCTACCCAAGAGAGAAAGAAATTTCTGTTTTGTTTAAACAACTGTTATTTTGAGTTTTCTGTCTCTTACAGATATATCTAATTTTAATGCATTGAGCAAAGGAGTTTAGATTTCATGCTGTTGCTGATGGACAGGTGGTGGAGAATTTGATCATGGGCAGCACCATGATCAGAGTTGCGTGTTAGAACCATCTCCTGAAGACACTGGGAAAGACTGATTAGAGTGGGACCAATTACCAGCAGGTAGAGCCACATGATTCAGGGGAGAGACGATGCAGGGAGTGGCTTTGCACTAGGTCAGCTTAGCTAACTGAAAACAGATTTCCCAGAATTCCTTTCCCTGGATGGCTATGGTTAGGATTGGGAAGGGGGAAGTGAGGCAGCAGCCACATTGTCACAGGAAGTCAGCATAGGATCAGGAGCTACTGCAGCTCACATGCATAGTCCAGGATCTGCTGGCTCACCTTCTTGGCATGAGGCAGCCGCTGGGCTTGCAGCTACTGTGACCACTGCCAGCTCTCCTCTTTCAGTGTGTCCAACTCCTGGGCCAGCCGTGGGTTTAGATTCCTGACAAAGGGTGCCAGCATCTTTGGCAGGTCACCCACATCATTGAAATTGAAAGCTTGGAGGCGATGAGAGACCGACACTCATTCCAGTTTGTCCTCTTGGGTTCCAGCTTGTCCTTGCTCTCCCCCACTTCCTGTCCATCTTTCCTTCCTGACTGCCTACCCTGATGACTTCAGGCCAGCACCAAATGAAGAAGCAACAGCTGTACATAAACTTGTTAACCAGCTCCCACGATTGTATAAGGTCAAATCCATATGCCAAACCTCTTATCACTCTGAGTGGTTCTGCTTTTTTGATCAAACCCTGATCGATATTGAGTACGAAGATGGTGAGGGCAAAGTTTCACTTTCTTATTTACCACTCTGTCCAGAGTCTAGAACAGTACCTGGAAGATAGTAGATGCTCAAGAAATATTTTTGAACAATGGGAGATTTTTAGGAGGTAGAAGTAATAGGACTTGGTGATTGGATGTAGACTTAAAAGAAAGGTGAAATTAGTAGGACTCTCAAGTTCTTTGCTTTGGCAAGTGGGTGAAGATGGTGTCATATGCTCAGATAGGGAATTCAGGAGAGAGATTAATCCAAAAAGTCTCATCAGGAAGATATTGAGTTAAATGGACCACAAGGTAGCTCTTGGGCAGCAATGCTTGTGTTCTTAGAGAGTTCTTGAAGCTGTAGGATAAAAATTGAACCAGATAGACTTTGCAGTCCCTTTTGGATTTAGAATTCCTATCAGAGAAGATGATGAGTTCAGTTTTGAATACACTGGATTTGAGAAGAATTGTGGGATATTCTTTTGGAGATATGTATTGAACTGAAATTCAATTCATACATCAGGAAAGGGGTCTGGGCTAGATATTTATTTGGGGAAGTTGCCTGTTAAAAGCAGTATTTGAAGCTATGGGCATGATTTTTAAAAATGTAAATGTCATTATGGGACCACACTGGAGTCTTAGGGACCAGCAACATTTAGGAGTCTGGTGGAAGAAGAGAAGCCTGCAGAGGACACTGAAAAGTAATGATAAGTGAGATAGGTGATGATAGGTGAGGCAGGAGAGTGTGGCTCCAGGAACTGGGTGAGGACATGGTTTCAAGAGAGAGTGACTATATTCAGCACTAAATGCTGTAAAGCATTCCAGTAAATGAAGATTTAGAAGTATCCCTAGAAGAAGGAGTTTTGGTGACAAGATGAGGTGAGAAGACAGAGTGAAGTGAGTTGAGGAGTAGGTGGAAGATAGCAAAATGGGCATTGGAAAGCACCGAAAAGAGTGAAAGCATTGGAAAAAGTGAAAAGCACTCTTTCTTAAAGCTTGACCAGGGGGTAAAAAAGAATGATTGAGATGGAGTAAAAAGAGTGAGAGCTTGACAGAGAATGGTTAGAATGGAACAGTGGGATTTAATATTTCAGAGGGGAAGATGTTCTGAATGATGACAAAGTGTGAGTGTGGTCTTGGGTGTAGGTGTCTTTGGTGGGGTGGTGATGAAGGTCACTGGAGTTGAGATCAAGGAAGTGGAGGCCAGGATGTGGAAACACAGTCTGTGTGGGTGCTGGTCCCCAAGCAGGTGATGAAAAGATGGAGGAGAAGGATGGCAAGCCAAAGTTCATGATGAATATGAGAGAATTGACAAGAGATCACCAAATGATGAGGTTGAAGAAGCAGACAGCTTATCATTCACAGAGGGTGTGGGTCTCAAAGGAACATGAGGCTACTTATTCATTCAATATTTGATATTAAGTGCCTACAGTAATGACCTGGATGACTGAGAAATCACCACTGACTTGGTGATAAGTCGGGCAGGGGAGATAAAACATTTTCATAGCCTCAGGAGGAATCCGGGTTTCCTCACTGGATTTTAACCCTGACTGTCCGTTAGAACTCCCCGGGAGCTTTTCAAAAGTATCATGCCTGGGTCCTACAGCAGCCCAATTCTATCAGAATCTGTGGGTAGTATAGCAGTATTGATATTTTTAAAAGCCCCCCAGGGATTTCTAATGTGCAGTCAGGATGGTGAACTACTGGTGAACAAGGAGCCCTTGGGCATAAGGAGATTTTTATGCTGAAGCTGACATGGGCCTCCAGTTGCTGGGGGTGAGGGGGTGGGTGCTGACTGGCACCTACCTTTGGCACCCAGGGATTTAGGGGGAAGGATGTACAGTGGGGCCCCAGGATCTGAACAGTTCTGATTGTCTGCAGTTGAAGCCCTTGGCTGGAAGGCAGGAAATGAAGCGGGGCCCAGAAGCAGAGCATCTTATCATTGCCTGCAGCTGGGCTCCTGTGCAGGTGGGAGGGGGACAGGAAGGGAGGCGGGCCCCAGTGTTAGTTCCCACTCGGAGGCTACTTCTAGGGTTCTGTCATCAGTCCTCTGCACCACGCTTGAAAGGTACCATGAGAAATTGCAGCCTGTCTTGAGAGGGCAAACAGGATGAAGGCTGAGTTCAGGAAACCATGTCACATTAAGGATGAAAAAAGGATCTGGGGGCTGTGAGAAAAAAAAACACTCGTGTGGCTCTGACGACTGTCATCAAATAGTTAAAAGGCTGTCATGGAGAAGATTGATAAGATTTAGCTCCAGAACACAGACCAAAGATTAGGAATTCAATGGAATTCATCTCAGTTTACAGAAAGACATTTCTAACAATTAGTTTTCACTGAACACTTCAAAGGGTCTTCATATGAAGTAGAATGCTATTCTAGAGTTTAATGGGAGGTTGAATGACCAGATTTTTAAGTGGTTATACAATTATAACCCCACTCCGGGTAAAAGTATGATGATCTTTAAGATTGCCTAGTCTTGGATTCTAGAAAATTCTTTAATGTGAATATTAAAGGTAATTAAAACAAAACAACAAAAAACCAATTTGATGTGTATTGGCCATAGTCTTGGGCAAAATGTAGTCTTAGATTTTTAAAAATCTAGTGTTATACTGGAGTAACAACATTAAACTATTCAAACTAGCATTCTTTTGGAGTTTAAAATCAAGGGCTTGCTTACTTCAACATGTATATTTATAATTTAACTCATTAATAATAATGTTTATAGACATTGACATTTTCAGAACAACCTATTAGTTAATCCTCACAGTGTTTCTATTTAAGTAGGCTAGTATTTTTACAAGGTGAGAAATCTATGAGACTTGAGGAAGATCATCACTTAAGTCAGCATTGCAGCCAAGAATAACCAATTGTCATAATTTGACAGGTGTATATACATCTCTCACAGTGAGCCCAAACTGAATACATAAGACAGATCATATAGATAAATATAGTCCCCATTCAAATGGATTTCCACATAAACCAAGGCCGAAGACAGAAAAGAAAGAAGATTGGTTATCTTCCTTAGGGAAAGGCAGTAGGTATAACCTTGCTTTCCTTTGCTGGATTCTTTAAGACCTTGTGAAGAAACTACATTATAACCCATAGAATGTTTCTATTGTAAACCTATTTAAAATTTTGGAGAGGTTAAAAACAGTTTTTTTTTTTTTTAGGAATTACTGGTCAAAACCTGGAATAAAAACAACGACCCAGAGGTGGTTTTAGGGGAGGGCCAATTACTAGGTGATTTTAAGGAATTAATGTGAAAATTATCACAGCTCCCCAGAGCTGCCAAACATGGGAGATGGTAAGTGAGAGAGTAGGAACTTGATTGCCAAGGATACAAACCCTGTCTTTTTCGGGGGCAGGAAAAAGGCAGTTAATGATACCTGCAGATGTTTAGGTATACATGGTATAACCAGGTGATAATGATGATGAAGATTGTCTGTTCTGAACTTTCAAAGAGAGTAAACAGGAAACATGAGGCAAACAGAACTACTAATCCCCTCCAGAAGGACCTGGGTACATATCAGAGCACCAGGTTGTGTGATCAGGAGAGTTAAGAAGGTAAAGGACCCCTTCTTTATGAAAACAATAAAATGCTCTGAAGCTCCTGAGAAGAGTGTAGGAAGTGATGTCTCCAGGAAGTTGTGGGTTGCACAGGCCCTGAGATTTCAAACATCTGAAGCATGAAGGAAAGTAGAAAGTTTCTTCTTAGAAGAAAAAAGAGAAACAGCATTGGATTCAGTGGTCAATGTCCAACGATTGATGTTTATAGTGAAACTACCTGTTTTCTACTCGAGTTTTAAGCCTTATTCTAGATTGTGTGCTATGCTGTTTACAAATGGACTTAAACATTCTCATTTATTAAAGATCTATAATTTCATAGAAAAATCATGTGTTCTGAATTGTGAATCAAAAGCTATGGCACCCGCTATCCTCACATGGAGAGATCCTGGATAGGTGGGCCAGATGACCATGGCCCATAGAATCAAACTTCAGTGAGTAAGAATTCATCAAATTGTAAAAATTAGTGAGTCCATAAGCTGCAAGTATAAACTTTAGCCCATCCTCAGATATAGGCATCCTCATGTTTACCTCCCTTTTAGGCCTTTGGGAATAGATCACCCTCCTATTCAAATAGATTGCTCATTATAAGTGGTGAAAATTTAAAGACCAAAATGTTTCGCTGTGAAGTGAGGTAAAGGGGAAAGAGTCCCTATTGGTATCTAAGATGCTATAATTGGAGGCAAGTGGCTAAGTTGAGGTGAGTGGCAAATGATGAGTCTGGAATAATGGCCCTTTAATTTTGGTCTTCATCAGAATCATTCAGAAGAATCGTTAAAAAATACAAATTTCCAGACACTACAAAAGTGGATATATGCAAAGAAGTACATAAAAAGATGCTCTAACATCATGCATCATTAGGGAATTGCAAATTAAAACAATGGTATATCACTACACATATGTTAGAGTGACTAATATCTTTTAAAAAACAAACCCAATAACACTAAATGATCGTGAGGATGCAGAGCAACAGAAACTCTTATTGATTGCTAGTGGGAATGCAAAATGGTACAGCCACTTTGGAAGACAGGCAGTTTCTTACAAAGCTAAACATAATCTTATCATACTATTCAGCAATCATACTCCTGGGTATTTACTCAATTGAGCTGAAAGCTTATGTTCACAAACCTGCACGCAGATGTTTATAGCAGCTTTACTTATAATTGTAAAACCTAGAAATAATAAAGATGTCCTTTAATAGATGGATGGATAACCAAACTGTGGTAGATCCATACAATGGAATATCATTTAGCAATAAAAAGAAATTAGCTATCAAACTACAAAAGAACATGGAGGAAGCTTAAATGCATACAGGTAAGTGAAAGATGCCAGTCTAAAAAGGCTACTTTCTCATTCCAACTGTATGACATTCTGGAAAGGACAAATCCGTATAGACAATAAAAAGATCAGTGGTTTGTCCAGGACTTGGGGTGGGAGAAAGCATGAATACATGAAGTACAGGGATGTTTTAGGGCAGTAAAACTATCTTGTATGATACTGTGACAATATATACATGATATTATGCATTTGTCAAAACCCATATGACTTTACAACATAAAGAATAAGCCTTAATGTATGCAAATTTAATAAATAATTTAGGAGGTCAGGGATCCCAGGAGAAAATGCAGACTGTGGCAAGAGAATCTAATTGTATTATAAATGTATAAAATGCCCTCACTCCCAGCACTTTGAGAGACCTAGGCAGGTGGATCACCTGAGGTCAGGACTTCAAGACCAGCCCGGCCAATGTGATGAAACCCGTGTCTACTAAAACTACAAAAATTAGCTGGGCGTGGTGGCAGCCACCTGCAATCCCAGCTACTTGGGAGGCTGAGGCAGGAGAATTGCTTGAACCCAGGTGGCGAAGGTTGCAGTGAGCTGAGACTGTGCCACTGCACTCCAGCCTGGGAGACAGAGTGAGACTCCATCTCAAAAAACAAATAATAATAATATTTTTATTATAATTATATATATAATATTTTTATTATAATTATATATATCATAATAATATTTCATTCCCTGAAGGGAGAAAAGGCACTGACATAGGTAACTTTGGAAATGAATGGGGTGTATAAGGCTAAAGGCACATTAAGTAGTGTATTTTATTTTAAAAAGTTGTTTCTCATGGAAGTATTAACAATTCTGATACTGCTATACATGTCTGCTGGAATTGAACAATTAATTTTTTGTAAAAGAATTTGCAGATGGTGGGAGCCAGGTTCCTTACTGTTTGAGTGGGAGATGATAGGTAAGTGAGAGAATGATCCATGTGGTAATGGAGTAGAGTTGATGACATCGGTAAGAACTCATGTTTAACTTAAAGTAGATACAGGTGTTTCCAAGCTGTATATTTACACACACAGCTTCTTATATGCACATGTATTTCTTTGCTCTGTGAGCTGACAAGGTGTAAAAGAAATGACATCCAGTAGTAAGGAGCACACCAAGCACTCAAATCTTGGTTTCTTATACTATTCTTCAATAAAAGGCGCCAGGGCTATTTGGAGAAATGGTTGATTCTAGGACTGGGGCAGTGACTACATGAAATGACTGTAGAGCATTTTGTAGTGCCAGAAGGTAAGTAAATACTCAACACACACACACACACACAGACACACACACACACACACACAGATGGGGTACGTCAAAAGTGTACATGAGCTAACTGAAAGAGCTCCCACTGGCCAAAGCTAGCATATTTTGAGAAACAACATAAATAAAGTCACTTTAGAGTATAACCCAAAGTATAAAATAAATATCTATGAGTCCATACTGACATAAAGAAATTATTGAATAAAGCAATAAATTATAGAGAGGAGATAAATCTCCTATGCAGGAAAACTCCAAATTATGTAGATTACATCCTAATGGAGGGGGAGCATAACTCCCCATTCCTTAGGTGTGGGCTGCATATAGTGACTTCCTTCCAATGAATACGTTATGAAAAGGGGAAATGAAAGAGTAACGTTACGACGTAGAAATCTGTCTAATACTACTGAAGCCAAATGCTCAAGGTCAACCACACCCATAAGTCATGTGACAACATGTACCCTTTATAGACTATGATGACAGTGGTTCTTTACCTCTGTGATCCTCCTTCCCCAAACTCATAACTCGAGACTAATACATCAGACAAATTCCAATATAGGGCAATTCTACAAAACACTTGAATATTACAGTACTCCTTAAAACTGTCAAGATCACCAAAAACAAGGGAAGTCTGAGAAATGGTCACAGCCAAGAGCAGCATAAGGAGACATATTAACTAAACACACAATATGGGATCCTGAATTGGATTCTAGAACAGAAAAAAGGCATTAGGTAAAATCTAAGGAAATTGAAGTAAACTATTGCCTTTTGTTAATAATAATATATTAATATCGGTTCCTTAATTGCAACAAAGGTACCATACTAATGTAAGATGTTAATAGGGGAAACTCTATGTGTGTGTGTGGATAACCTTCTGTATTATTGCCTTAATTTTCTGTAAGTCTAAAACTGTTCTAAAAAATAAAGTCTATTAATAAAAACACCAACTTTAAAAATACACATTTCCAGATCCACCACCCAGGTAATTCTGATGATATACATCAAAGCATGAAAACTACTTACCTAAAAAATGCTTCAAAAGCAGGAGAAGGGTTAAATTTCAGACCTGTTACTGGACCAATAATTTTTAAAAATCTATAAAGCAACCACAGCAAATATAACATATTGGTAAAATTTTCTGGAATTCTGTATTTATGATTTTTTTTTTGACATCTGTGTCCTCAGCTGAGTGGGTCAGGTGCAAGAAGCTGTCTGACACTGGAAGGCCAAGTAGACACTGGAAGGCAAAGCCCTGTGGAGAGGAGGTGAGGGAAACGTGTGGGTTCCAAATCTCCTGCGGTTGCCTATTTCTTCCTACAATTTAGGGGTTATACACAGCTAGTGGGATTATTTGTTACTGTATGAGATTTGTTTTAAAAACTGTCATGAACAGTATGTAATAATAAAAATACTCCTGACTTCCAGAAGTCAACAATTTTCATTTTTCTTCACTGGCTATTGATTATTGAATGACAAGATAATAAAAACAAAAGCTATTGGAAGAAATAATTGGCTAAGCATCCTCTCTTCCCTTGGATAAAAGCAACCTATACTTTATTCCTCTGAAGTTTAGTAATGGAAGACGATCATCTAAAACTCATTCTTTAAAAACAACAACAACAACAACAAAACAAGCAAATAGGTAAGCTGTGTTAAAACTGTAGGATAGATAAGCATGGGTCCTTAAGGATGGAAACATCTGACTTATGAATGCCTTATCCATACAAAGGTCAACCTATGCTTATCACCAAATCTAAAAGACAGATGTCCCCAAGACAGGGAGTTCTATCCTCTTGCAAACCACGTGGCCTGTGGCCAATAAGCCTCCACAGCAGTGATTCTCAAAGTGTAGTTCCAGGACTGGCTGCCTTAGCATCACCTGGAAACTTGTTAGAAATGCAAATGCTGGGGTCCCATCTCTACCTTAACCACTTCTGGAACTCTGGAGTGGGGTCCAAAATGTGTGGGATAACATCCCCTCCAGGTAATTCTGATGCACTAGAGAACCACCAATCTAACAGATGGGAGTGAAATCCTCTCTGTATCATGAATTCCCTTCTTTCATATACTCCAGACACTGTCACCAAAGTAACAAAGAGAGTTCTAGAGGATCAGGAAAGAAGGTTATTTTCTCTTTGCCTGGAAACAATTTTTTTCACTCAAAGAATGCTTTATAAATAGAGAATAGATAGGGATCTTAGTAAGGTCCACATAAGTTTCTCTTGTCCACAACATGACTGATAGAGAATCAGATAGGGATCTTAGAAAGGTCCACAGAAGTTTCTCTTATCCACAGCATGACTGAAGTACTCATACCGATCTGATCACCATTTAGAAGGTTTGGGATCTTAGAGTTGTGGCATGTCTGTTTGCCATATCAGTAACGCTATCCCTTCTACAGGTTTGTTTGCAACAAGGGAAGTTTTGTTATAGGTGACAAAAATTCAAAGGTAAAAGGAAATCACATTTCCTCAATTTTAAGATGAGTAGTTGTTAATAAGCTAATATCTCTGAAATAAAGATGCACCTTACAATTTGGTGTACTTTCAGTGTGCTGGGTTTCTCACCAAACCCTCTAAAATGACTTTTAGATGAAAAATGTGTCTTGCACTTGACATCTTAGAACTGAGGAAATGTAGTAGTCAGAACGTCATTGAGCAATGGGCTTGCTGTCTGATGCACATAGAAGCCAATGATATGGCACCAGTTTTTGAGGAAAGAAAAGATTTGTTGTGAGGTCCACCTATAAGAAGACAGGAGGATAACTCAAATCTGTCTCTCTAATCTGGGATTTGCAGCAAGTTTTATCACTTAAGGAGGGTAGATTGGTATGCAGAAGCACTGGCAGGGGAGGTTTTTATTATTGGAGGATCTTTAAGTAACTATTTATGGTAAGGCAAGGGGAAGGGTCTTATCAGTGAACATTCCTAGAAAACGAACTGCTCACTTTTGAAAGTGTTTAGGTGCTTGAGTTCCAGCCACATCCCAATCTTTTAGTTCTGCGGTAGGGACTTTGGTTCTAGGTGTTATTTGAGGTCGAAGTTTTCTTCTGTGCATGCTCTGGCTGTGTTAACTTGCCACTTCTTAACTCTGTGCCTGCAAAATAACTAGACATTCTGTTAGTAACAGAGTTTGGCCAGATAAGACTAGCCCAACAGTTGCAAGAACATGCTCTAGGAGGTAAAGGCAAAAGCCTCTGAATCATTTCCCCCTGTGAATCCGGTGAGGACAGTGAGGAAGCAATTTTACTTTCTCATCAAATTCTAAAGATGATACATTTAATATCTACCCTTCTTTAGTTAAAAGACTTCTGCTTTCAGGAAAGACAAAGTAATAAGGACTGTAGTTAACTCCTGTCTGAAGCAACTAGAAAACCAGACAAAATATGTGAAACAGCAGTTTTCAAAATGTTGAGACATCAGGCAACAAAGAAAAGTGATCACTGAGACATGGAAACAACACAGCTGAGCCCTGGGACTATCCCGGTGGATGTCTAAGTGTCTCTAGGCTGCGACACAGGTGCCCAGGAGGGCACAAAACTGCCTTCTGGAGTGGACAGGAAGGTTCCACGCCATGGTGGTGGTAACATGGTGATTTGGAGTTATAATGTGTTTTTGTTCATTTGGAATATATTTAAAATAATTAGGCAACTTGATTTTTAAATGTATGATATAGAATATCAAGGTATTGATCAGGATTAGATGTATTTAAGTATTGCCATTTTTAGGAAAGTGGTGTTCTATCAATGACTTAATCATTCTAGGTTTTTGCCCAGCTGCAGATGGCTTGAGAGAACTGCCTGGTTACAGCTGATGGTGAGTTACAGTCAGTGTGAGTGTGCGTGGGCATGCACACTCAGTAAGCAGGCAGCAGCTGTTTGGTTAGAGAACGAAACTGGCCAATTGGAAACTATGGTATTATTTCTTTATGCAGACCTTACTCAGAACCTCCTGGCTTCTGCAAGATTGGTCTGTGTTGTGAGTGAAGAGGTATGGACAAGATTCTACCTTATGGAAATGAGGCTCTTTGACTTGGTCTCTCCAGTTGGACTGAGCCACACATGGTTTTGAATATGCTCTTGACCTCACCATGAAAGATGTTGGAGAAATGTGGAATGAAGCTGCTACTCAATTGCATCTGCAGCATATCAGGGAGTGGTCACTGTAGAGGGTAGAAGAAAGCATGTGTTAAATTGGGAGTCAGTAGACCCGGATACCAACAATGATCATCACTAGCCTGCAACTAACTAAAAGCTGAGTGATCTTGGGCAAATTAATGACCTGAGACCTGGACCCCAGTCCAAACCTGGTACATCAGAATTCCTTGTTTTGGTACTTGAGTATCAGTAATTATTTAAAAGCATCTAGGTGATTTTAATGTGCATCCCGGAATAGTATCCACTCACTAATAACTGATCTAAAAGCTCCCTTCCAGACCTTGAAATACAAATTGAAGTCTAAATTTTGGCAGATGACAGATCATTGGCTGCCCCAGCTCCTTTCTCTTCCAATGCTTTATTTTTTCCTAATTTCTTTTCTAATCATTATCATTTACTCCCACATTTGCAGACGTTTGTAACCTTAAACCCAAAATGTGGAATGATACATCCATCTGAGGTCAGCACTTTCTACCTCCCAGGACTAGCTGGAACAATATATCAGTGTCTTATCGCTCTTTTCTTATTATTTTAATTAACTTCCTGCTATTTAAAAATTGGGCTGGCAGTGTACCCTCTCTAGGCTCAGTTGCTCATTTCTAACAGCTGGTTATCATCCTAATTAGAATGAGTGTTGGCCTTTTCAGCCCCATAATTTAGGGTGCAGCGGCTGCCAAGTTGAGGTCAGTTTTGTTTATGGGATCTGAAACTTGCCAGAGTAACTTTGATGGCTAAAACCTTGTATAGTTTCCTAAGCCTACTTCTACATTCTTTTTTTTTCTCAGTACTTAGGGGATTGGCTGTAACCAGGTGTATTAAAAGCTTAAAAATTCAGCCAGGTGTGGTGGCTCACGCCTATAATCCCAGCTCTTTGGGAGGCTGAGGCAGGTGGACTACCTGAGGTCAGGAGTTCGAGACCAGCCTGGCCAACATGGTGCAACCCCATGACTACTAAAAATACAAAAAATTAGCCAGGTGTGGTGGTGGGCACCTGTAATCCCAGCTACTCAGGAGGCTGAGGCAGAAGAATCACTTGAACCTGGGAGGCAGAGGTTTCAGTGAGCCAAGATCGCACCACTGCACTCTGCCTGGGCAACAAGAGTGAAACTCAGTCTCAAAAAAAAAAAGCTTAAAAATTCCTCAAAATAAATTACTGAAAGCATGAAAACACGATAACAAATATCCCACGGCAATGTTATTATTACTATTTCATAACATCCAGGGTATAGAATCATAGGCTCTTAGGAGGGGATTTATATGGTCATCTACTTTTTGCCACCTAAAATTCCTTCTATAATATCACCGATGAGCATGTAC
Organism: Homo sapiens; assembly: GCF_000001405.40. Taxonomy (NCBI): domain Eukaryota; kingdom Metazoa; phylum Chordata; class Mammalia; order Primates; family Hominidae; genus Homo; species Homo sapiens. Next base: position 108,070,171 of record NC_000001.11, on the reverse strand, counting down.
CTGTCTTCCAAACAATTCTAGTGACTATAATTTGTGACTATGTTCACTCATTAATGATTTGTTTCTCCTAAGCATTTATTTAAATTTCGATATTTCAGATATTTATGCTAAATTCAAGGATTACACCAGTTTAGGAAAAGAAACCAGGATTTATGTTCCTGCAATTATTGGGGGAAGCAGACAAGATAACAACTATAACAATACAATGAGACAAGTGCTCTTATAGATTTTTCTGGGAGCTTCCAAGCTGGGAAATAATTAATTTGCTTGGGGCTGATGGTGGGAGTGAGAGGGAGAAATTTCAGGAAAGTTTCACAGAAAAAACTTAAAGCATGCATACATTTTCAGGCAGAATATAGAGTGGAAAGAGGGTAACCTCTCACAATTACAACCCCACTTTTATCCTTGGTATTCATCTAATTACTTCTCTTTCTGTCTCCCTAAGACAAAGAACAGTATACATCTTCGTTACTCAAAGTTATGGTTTGTGGATCAGCAGCCTTGACATCATCTGGGAGGTTGAAAGAAATGTAGAATCTCAGATCCCATTTCAGATCTACTGAGGCAGTAGGTGCATTTGAATAAGATCCTCGGGTAATTTATATGTACATTAAAGTTTGAGACACACCAAGCTATGGCTTGTGCCTCTATTTGCTTTCTTCCCATTCAGTCTTTTAAAAATTTTTCCTATTTTATATTTAACTAGTACATACATATGGTTTAATAGTCAATTCTGCAAGGCTCATAACAAAAAATGGCAGGCCCCTTTTTAACTCCTCCCCATCCCTACTAACAAATTCCTAGAATCAATCAACTTTTACATCTTTAACTATTTCTTCTAGTATTTACCTCCAATTCTGAAATAAAAATAATTATATTACTCTTTATATGTTTATCCATTTTAAAACTAACCTGTACTTTTCACAGCAGGTGAGAACTTAACTTTCTTATACTACCACTTTGACTTATCTATCCCCTGTTTCCAACATAATTATAATTTTGATTAAACTAATATTTAGTGTTTTAGTGTTATGACTATAAACCTTAGTCATTAAACCAAGTAGAGTACCCTTTTGTGTTTTTCCTGTAGTTATTGCCTTCCTTTTTTGTTTAGATTTTTTATGTACCTGTCTTTTTTTGTTTGTTTGTTTGTTTGTTTTGTTCTGTTTTTGTATTTTTTTGAGATGGAGTCTCGCTCTGTCACCTAGGCTGGAGTGTATGCAGTGGCACGATCTTGGTTGACTGCAACCTCTGCCTACCGGGTTCAAGTGATTCTCCTGCCTCAGCTTCCCGAGTAGCTGGGACTACAGGCATGCACCACCATGCCCAGCTAATTATTTTGTATTTTTTGATAGAGATGGTATTTCGCCACGTTGGCGAGGCTGATCTTGAATTCCTGACCTCAAGTGATCCACCTCTGTTGGCCCCCCAAGGTGCTGGGATTACAGGCATAAGCCATTGCACCAAGCTGTACTTGTCTTATATCTAATTCTTTCTTATCTTTCCAAAAGAACTATAAAATTCCTGTCAACATAGTCATACTATGTTATCAGTTTCATTTGTTTTCCTTAAAGTCTTCTCTTAAATTTCCTCATCCCTCTGTTCTAATTTGGGTTGGCTGCTATATAGGCAAGTAATATAGCTGTTATCCTAGGACTTTCTAATGTCATCATCCAGGAAAGTTCTTTTGTCTCTCTTCTGTCTTGAATTCTGAGTTTCTAGGATCTCATGATGTCTTCCTTTTTGGTTTAATCTTTCATTTTGTGGAGGATATCCTCCAATGACTTCCAGAGAAAGTGTGTGCCAGGTATCTGTCTACCGGTATTCAGTAGCTTTCTTGGTATTTCCTGTATGATAGAGGCTGGAAGCTTGGAAACTACATTTCCCAGAATTCCTTGCTATCAATGTTCTTGTTTAGAGTAGGTCAATGAAAGATGTTCATATGATACTTAAAAGTAGGAAGCGAGGTATGTTTAATTCTTCTATCAGAAGTAGTGACATGCAAAAGCATGGGCTTTTGCAGTGGCTGTCTTGTGTTTCAATATGCATTACTAGCAGCTGTAGCTTTACCAACAGATTTATGTGGTTTCCTGATTATTGTGTAGCATCCTCCTACCCCTCTAGCCATTTCAGCAGTATGAGGTCAGTATAGTAGATTATTTCCTGCTTGGAGTATCTATAATAGATTTTTTTTTCTAATTGAACACTTACCAAGAATGGCTTCAAGAAAAAGATCTTCAAAAATATGAATTTGGCTTAGTTATTGGATACCTCCAATAACTAAGATTTGAAGCAGTGATGATCTCTGAGATATCAGTAGTTCATGGCAAAAGAGTTACATAAATTATTACCTATACTTGCATGGAATTAAGTGCCTAATATTAAAGATATAGTTTTGGGAGACAAAGATGCTGTTGCAGTATTTGCATACTGTTGGAGTGAAGACTACAGAGACTGCGTGGTGGGCTGGATATTTCTGAGTACACTGGAGAGATTACAGAAATGACCTCAGGGTTTAAAAATGTTTGCTTAGACATTATCAGAAAACCAGAGAGCTTCTGTTGTGACTGCCTCAAAATAATATCTTATCTTTTAGAGTTATAGGACATATTAATTAATATGTGACATATTAAGAAAGAAGAGTATGTTGTGGACTGAATTATGTCCCCCTATCCATTCATGTTTTGAAGACTTAATCCCCAATGTGACTATTTGGAGATAGGGTCATTAAACAGGTAATTAATGTCAAGTGAGGTCCCAAGGACGAGGCCTTAATTCACTATTACTGGTGTCCTTCTAAGTAAAAGAAGAGACACTGGGGATGCACATGTAGAGAGGAAACACTGGGTGAGGATTCAATGAGAAGATAGCTGTCTGCATGCCAAAGACAGAGGTCTCAGGGTAGAGAGGAAAGGCTGGGTGAGGATTCAATGAGAAGATGGCTGTCTGCAAGCCAAAGACCGAGGTCTCAGGAGAAACTGACCCTATCTTGATCTTGAACTTCCAGCCTCTAGAACTGTGGGAAAATAAATTTCTGCTGTTCTAGCCAACCAGTCTGTGGTATTTTATTATGGCAGTCTTAGCAAACTAATACACACTCTTACTCATCTCATCAAAGATATCAAAGGATACTACCTTTATCAAAACATAGGGGAAAACATTAGTCAGAGGAACTCCATCTTTCTTGGAAAGCCCTCTTGTGTCTGTCCTTCAAAGCTGAGGATGATGACTGAAGATGCTACTGTAGAAATAGGCTCCTTGATTTCAGTGAGGATGAAGGATTTCAGAGTGATAGACGGTAAGTGGCAGCAGATACTGACAAGACAAGGTGGGGTGGGATTGATTAGTGATAGTTAGAAAAGTTTACCCCACACATATTTTTGATTATGGCTAATTGATCAGAGTGTCCTTAAGACTGAAATAGATGGGCAATTTTATATTTATGTAATACAATTTTACTTTATATATAAAATAGAAAAAGTTCTAAGTCATGAGTACAGGCTTAATTTTAATCACAATGGAGAGTTAATACTGTTCACACCATTTCCAGACCTCAGCCACTTCTCAAATCTGGAACCCTAGAATGGGAAGGAAAGCCTATCTCCTGGAGGAAGAATCTTCTGACATTGCTACAAGTACATGTTTTAAATATTCTACAGAGGAATTCCAAGATTTTTCTGGACTTACTGTATACTGCCTCTGAGATGACATTACTCCATAGGTCTCCAACATGTCGCTGTGGTCCCGCAGTCAGGGTGGAAGTCCATGCAGGTCAGACAATGCAGTAGATCCTATTACTATTTGTTGAATACTCCATTTTCTTTCTTTGCAGTGCCTTCAAGATGGCAGGATTCTATGATGCCATTTTGAACTCAGGAGTGTATGTGTGATTTGCTTTGGCTGATAACATGTGGGCATGTGTCATATGTCACTCCTGGACAAAAGCTTTAAGACACAGTATGTTTTCCCATGTTTCTTTTTCTTTTCCCACAAGATTAGCAATGCTCCAGATAGCAGCTACTAGCCTAGACCCTGGAGCAAAGAAGTGTAGGATAGAGCCATATCCAGCCCATGATGGACATGTAATATGGACAAGAAATTATCTTCTGTTTTTATAAGTCACTGATATTTGGAGTTATTTGTTTTTCTACATAACATAGATGATTTTGACTAATGCAGGTGTCAATTGCCCCAAGCCTCTATCATGGTGGGTCCAATAGGTTCACAGATCTAACTAGTGGTTTTTCCCCAGGACCTGAATGGAAAGTTAGAATAGGCATACTAAGCAACTAGCAAAATATTCACTCTGACTTGTAGTTTAAGATTTATTATAGTAGAAAGGACAAATTTATAAACCAAAGCAATACTGAATCCTCAAGAGAATAGCAGAGATTAAGGTTGCCATTAACGATGTGCAAGATGCATGGCTGGTGATTCCTATTCTTCATTTATTGTCTGTTTGGCCTGTGCAAGAAGACAGATGGATCTTGGATAATGACAGTAGGGTATCCAAAATGTAATCCGATAGTGACTCTAATTGCATCGATTGTTCCTAAAGTCTTATCTTTGCTAGAATCAATTAGTATAGCCCCTCACATCTGCTAGTGATCTGGAAAATGCTTCGTTTCTCCAAACCGAATAGCAGAGACTAGTAGAGCAGTTGGCTTTTACCTGGCAGGGACAGTAATGCATCACTCTGTCTTTTTTGCTGATTGCTTCCCCAGATCCAATGCTGCATTCTCTACCTTCCAATCTTGAGTCTGGACCTCTCTTGGTTCTCTAAAGAAGAATGACTCTGCCTCTACTTCTGCTGCCTCTGGTATTCCACTTCTGGGAATTTTCTTTGTTCATCTATTGTTTCCTAACTCTGGCTATATGTTAATATGATTAGACTCACTTTGTCAGAAACTCTATCAAAAACATCTGTCTGATGCCACATTGTTTTACTTCATCACATCTATAAATTTATTCTTTTTGGGGTCATGTGGTAGAGAATTTTGTTCACCAGAAGTTCTCCAAAAAGATTTGAAAATTTGTTAGAGTGAGAAAATTATACTTCCTAGGAAGCTCCACACATTTTCTTCTTGAGGAGAAAAGTGAAGAAACATTGTATTTTCCAGAATTCTGAAGCTATCTGATGCAGCTCACGGAGAAGAATAAAAGTTTCTATTTGTAACTGTTGCTACTTGTAAGTGTATAGTAGGGAGATATTATAGTAGTATGTGGGGAATGGAGGAAGGATAAGAATATGAGGGGTAAGTATCTGGGAGATTTGGGACACACAAACACACACACACACAGAGTACTGCTGCTACAGGGGAGAAGATATAGAAGAAGATGGAAAGAGGTTATTGCAGGTATTTGCTGTGACCTAAGAATGCACTTCTTACTATATGGTTGGGATTTTTTTTTCATTAAGGAAGACACCATGTTAAAGCTATAATTTGGGGCACAGATGTTTATTTGGGTTATATTTGTATATCTTTATTCTATATCAATGGTATCTGATGGAGAGGAAATCAAACATGTGCCCATTCTGCTCTCTTGAACTATTTTACTTTGAGGACCACTCTCCTTTATTATAATATTTAACATGCTTATCTTAATTTAAAAAATTGAACATCATTCTTTATAATGAATCTGGAAGCAAAAATGGATATGTCTTCTATCATCTATTGAGATTATACCATATTAATCTCATATAGCGTATCAATATATGATCAATAATCAATATGCTATATCATATATATCAATCATACTTAATTAATTAAATATTAGTTGCCCTTAAAGTTTGTTAATTACCTATGGAAGTTTTTTACTTTCTGACACAATTTTTACAGATACAAAATTAAGGAAAAAAGCTATTTCTACCCTCACAAAGTCTATACTTATAGGTGGTTATTCCTGGTTTTATGCCTATCCTTTTAAAAAAATGTATAGTTTTGAGTCTGAGCTAATCAGACAACTTCTGTGAAATCTTTTATTTCTTTAAATGCTACTCCACTTTTCTTCCAAAAAGGATGGGATTGTGACAATTTACCTAGAATTTCATACTTGTAAAATATCTGAACCCACATGTGCCAAATTCCTTTTCAAGATCTCCAGTCATATCTATCTTTTCTCTAAAATAAAGTGTCCTGTTGTCTAAAGCCTATGGTACATGTCCAACAGTTTGCAGCTATCCTTTCTTTCACTATTACAGGCTCCAAAATGACATCGTCACTTCCTGTCACATTCAATCACCAACCACATTTCCCTTATTTCTTGGAATTAGGTATGGAGTATCAGTTCCCTTTGTGGCTTCCTGTGCATCCCAAGAGATGATATTACCAGCAGGGCAAGTAAAGAATGAGTCTGATACTTGGTTTTCAGTAGAAAAGGACTTTTAGAAACTGTTGATGTCATTAGGGTTCATTAGTACAGTTGAACTCTGCCATGGATTTTTTTCTTTTCTTTTTAACTCATATTTTAGGTTTAGGGGTACATGTACAGGTTTGTTATATAGGTAAATTGTGTGTCAGGGGTTTGGTGTATGGATTATTTTCTGACCCAGGTAATAAGCATAGTACCCAATAGGTAGTTTTTTGATCTTCTCCCTCAAGTAGGCTCCATGTTGTATCTGTTGTTCCCTTCTTTGTGTCCATGTGTTCTTAATGTTTAGCTCCCACTTATAAGTGAGAACATGTGGTATTTGGTTTTCTGTTCATGCATTAGTTTGCTTAGGATAATGGCCTCCAGCTCCATCCATGTTGCTGCAAAGGATAGGATCTTGTTCTTTTTTATGGCTGCATAGCATTCCAATGTGTGTATGTATCACATTTTCCTTATCCAGTCTACTATTAATGAAAATTTAGGTTGATTCCATGTCTTTGCTATCGCGAATAGTGCTGTGATCAATATACATGTGCCTGTGTCTTTACGGTAGAATGATTTCTATTCCTTTGGGTAGATACCCAGTAATGGACTTACTGGGTCAAATGGTAATTCTGTTTTACGTTTTTTTAAGAATTCACCACACTGCTTTCCACAATGGCTGAAATAATGTACACACCCACCAGCAGTGTATAGCATTCTCTTTTCTCTGCAACCTTGCCAGCATCTGTCACTTTTTGACTTTTTAATAATAGCCACTTTGACTGGTGTAAGATGGTGTCTCATTGTGGTTTTGATTTGCATTTCTCTAGTGATTAGTGCTGTTGAGCACTGTTTCATATGATTGTTGGCTGTGTTTATGTCTTCTTTAGAAAAGTGTCTGTTCATGTCCTTTGCCCACTTTTTAATGAGGTTGTTTTTTGCTTGCTGATTTGTTTAAGTTCCTTATAGATTCTAGATATTAGACCTTTGTTGGATGCATAGTTTGCAAATATTTTCTCCCATTCTGTAGGTTGTCTGTTTACTCTGTTGGTATATTCTTTTGCTGTGCAGAAGCTCTTTAGTTTAATTAGGTCTCACTTGTCAATTTTTGTTTTTGTCGCAATTGCTTTTGGCCTCTTTGTCATGAAATCTTTGCTAGGGCTGTGTCCAGAATGGTATTTCCTAGGTTATCTGCCATGGTTTTTATAGTTTAAGGTTTTATATTTAAATCTTTAATCCATCTTGAATTGATTTTTATGTATGGTGTAAGGAAGGGGTTCATCTTCTGCATATTCCATTAATTTTTAATCTCTGTTAGGAAAGCAATGACTTTCACGTAGCTTGGTGTTCTATGAAGCTGCCCACGGACATTTCATTTGTATCCTTTTTGTTTTTATCCCCACCTAAATATTTCCTAATTTGTGTGTATTATCAGAATCATGGATTCCCAGATGAGGTTTCACCAGTTTACCCTAGAGTGTTGCCATTTCTCTGCCTCTTTGCTTTTTATTAATAAGATATATCCGTTCAATACTGGGTTATGCATTTCATCTCTCTAAGCTCAAGAGCCTCTCTAGTCTCTAAAATCTGTTAATATATTTCACATATCTCATTTCTCCCATGAAGACTCCTTTATTTAATATATATTTATCTCTTTTCTAACCTCTACAACACCCTCACTTATAATACACTTTATGTTTTCTAACCCTGCTGTAACAAATTACCAAAAATTTAGTGGCTTAAAACAACAGAAATTTATTGTTTTACAGCTGTAGAACTCAAAAGTCTGAAATGGGTCGGGAGGGCTATGCCTCTTATGGAGGCTCCTGGAAATAATCCATTCCTTTGCTCTTTCTAGTTTCCAGAGGCTGCCCACATCCTTTGGCTTGTGGCCCCATATCATTTCAACCTCTGCTTCTATTGTCACATCTTTTCTAACTCCGATTCTCCTGCCTCCCTCTTTTAAGTACCCTGTGAGTACAGTAATCCCACTCAAATAATTTAGAGTAATCTTCCCATCTCAAGATCTGTAACTTAATCATATCTATAAAGTCCCTTTGGCCATGGAAAGTAACAGGTTCTGGGGATTAAGATGTGGACATCGTCGGGGAACCATTATTCTGCTTACCAGAAATACTCTATACACATGTATCTATAATACATTTTAATCCATAACTGTATTTAATTTAGCTCCATTCTTTATATAATTTATAATTATTTTGGGTATGGAAGTGCCATTTTTCCTTATCAAGTATCAATCCCCTGGGGGCATATATCTGTCAGACAGCTGGGTGCATATTTACCTATTGGTTTTAGAATTTCATTCTCTTCATTGACAAATATTGTATATTTCTTTGATGTAAACACAAACACCAACACATCTTTATGTTTAATTGACTACAACAAGAATTTATTCACTCCCTTTGTTTCTCAGGTGTCTTAGTTCTCATCTTGTGATAAAAATATATAAAATCTTATAAGCCTAAGATAAAAGGCAGTCTTTATCTTTTAATCATGTTTTAGGAAAAGTCTTAATAATATTTGGTCCTTTTTGGCAACAGCTAATGGGATATTTGAATTCTGTAGCCTTTCTACATTTTGTTTTTAAACGTCTCTTGTTTGATTAACTAATTTTAGACTTTTTATTGTAAAAAACTTTCAACATATAGAAAAGTAGAAAAAATATTTAGTGAACATCCACTTATTCACAACCTAGATTAAGCAATGTATGCATATCTACATGATCTTTTTGCCAACGTATTTTAAAGTAAATTACAATTAAATAATTTTTATTCAATGCCATAAAGAAGTGAGAATTTATGTAAATTTCCTATGTTTCTTGAGACTTGTCAAGTGATGGCTTGGGTAGGAGGACACCTCAGTATATTATAAGTTTTCTCTTTTTGTAGAAGACTCTCTGGCCTTCTTTTCACCTACTAAAACAGCTGTAAACAATTTTTTTTCTTTTTTTTTTTTTTGAGATGGAGTCTTGCTCTGTCGCCCAGGCTGGAGTGCAGTGGCGCAGTGGCGCAATCTCGGCTCACTGCAAGCTCCGCCTCCTGGGTTCACGCCATTCTCCTGCCTCAGCCTCCCGAGTAGCTGCGACTACAGGTGCCCACCACCACACTCAGCTAATTTTTTGTATTTTTAGTAGAGATGGGGTTTCACCATGTTAGCCAGGATGGTCTCGATCTCCTGACCTTGTGATCTGCCTGCCTCGGCCTCCCAAAGTGCTGGGATTACAGGCGTGAGCCACCCGCCTGGCCTGTAAACAATTTTTTTTCTTTTTTAAACACATGACTGACTTTGACTAAATTTTATTTTAATAACTATGCCTTTAATATTCCTCTTAATTTTTAAACTAGTTTCCTGGAAAAAAAAAGTCACCTAATTCCATTTTATTTGGGGTCAAATCTCCTTTCAACTCACTACAACAATGCTTCATGCTAGAAGACTAAAGGGATAATTGCTTTGGTCTTGATGTTTTCTATGCTGTCACTTTTGTACCACATTTATACAAGTTTTTGGTTGCTTTATTTCTTTCCCAGAAAAGAGAACTTGAATATAATTTAACATCTACTTATGCAATTACTTTGCTCTTGTTTCTGCTAAGGGAATCGTGGGTGTTCCTCACAACTATCTCCAAGAACTTTTGGCATTATTAGAACTACTCAAAGCCAACCGTATGGATGATGAAAGTATCATTTTCTAAGTAATGAAAGCCTACTCTACTTTTACTCTATTTTTTGCTCTACTTTCTCCTTTCATAATAGCAACAAATCATCTCCCAAACTTATGTATCTTTCACTTGAAAATTTAAATTCAGCAAAAATCTCTAAGAGTTACTTTGGCTGGTAGTATGTCAAATTGTTGCTGTTACCAAAGATTTAGGTTTTCTGAATGAGCAAAGCATATTGCTTATGAAAATATCTGGGAGATAGAACTTGGCTAAAATTCTCTCTCTCTCTTTCTGTTTTTTGTCTGAAGAGCCTTGAATAATTTCAGAGGAACATTTCCTCTAAGAAAGGAATGTTTTACATTTGGGATGGTAGACAAAATGCCTTGTGAAAAGAGTTCAAACTACAGGGTTGTCAGAAGAATCTTATTGTTCTGACTCCAGTTCCTTGACACCAGCTGGATGTCCTGCAATTCAATTCCATTCTGACACCAACTACCCAGAATTAGTGTGACTCCACAATTTAAAGGTTCAGTCCCACAAAACTGCCCTTACTTCAGATGCCAGCCAGAAGCCCCGGGAGCCATCCCTATTTCTGACAACCAGCTATATATTTGAAGGGTCCCACAATCCTCCCAAGTTTGATAATTTGCTAGAACAACACACTCAACTGACTAGAAGCATTATACTTACGATTTTATTATGAAGCATACAGATCAGGAACGACAACTAAGAGATGCACAGGGCAAGGTCTTGAGTGGGGGCCAACGCTAAGTTTCTATGTCCTCCCCTCATGAAATCCTGGTGTATCATCCCCCGGCTCATCAACGTGTTCACCAACCAGGAAACCCCTCCAAGCTTGGGTCCAGGGTTTTCACTGGGGATTCATTACTTAGATGTCCTTGATTAAATCACTGGCCATGTGATTGAACTTAATTTCTAGCACATCTACTTTTCCTGGAGGTCCAGTGGGCCCAAAGTCCCAATCCTCTAATCACATGATTGGTCTCTCTGGTGACCAGCCCCCATCCTGAAGCTATCTAGGTGCCTACCAAGAGTCCCCTCATCATCATAACAGACACTCCTGCTACTCAGTATATTGGTTTGCTAGGGCTGCCATAACAAACTACCACTGACTGGATTTCTTCACTAATAGAAATTTATTTTCTCACAATTCTGGAAGCTAGATGTCAGAGAACAAGAGGGTATGGGAAAGGTTGGTTTCTTCTGAGGCCTCTCTCCTTGGCTTCAGATGTCTCTTTTCTCCCTGTGGTTTTACTTGGTCTTCCCTCTGCGTATGTCTGTGTCCTAATTTCCAGTAGGACATCAGTCCTATTGGATTTGGGGCCCACTCTAATGACCTCATTTACTTCATTAACCTCTGGAAAGACCCTGTCTACAAATACAGTCACATTCTCAGGTACTGGTTAGGACTTCAACACATGAATTTTGTGGGGTGGGGCGGGGACATAACACTGGGGAAATGCTAAGGGTTTGCAAAGCTCTGTACCAGAAACCAGGGACAAAGGCAGGATATCAGCTTCATTATTCCACAGTATTCTTCACACATTCCATTTGCACATCTCCTTCTGAGAAACACCCTTACAATTTGGCCAGTAATGATGTGCTTGAGATGAATGCAAACCAAGTGGTTGTGTTTTGCTGCCTAGGGAGAGGTGGGGCAGACCACCTCTCTGGAGGTGACACGTTGCCTGCTCCTGTAACTCATATTCTGAAGCCCCTGAGAAGCATCACATCTAATTCCATGAACAGGACCATACTGAGAGGCTGCTGAAGCAGGGACTCTTTTGTTTTGGGATCCTCTTTCTGCTGTTCATTTCTCTACTTCTCAGCATTTACACATCCTTTCTCCCAACCCAGACTTTCTCCTCTCCCCACTATTTAAACAAAGGTTTAGGAATAATCTTGTTCGTATTTAATCTGAGCATGCATTTAAATCAACATGTTACCTCTCCCTAAGATATTTGTATTAAAATCTTATTTTCTTACTCCTTGTATGCTTGAAATTACTCCCAGGTGAACCTCTTGTGCGTAAGGTTTGTGCTCCCTACAAGGGAAGTAATAGATAATACTAGGATTTTATTTTCTCCCATCAGAAGTTATTTTGAATCTGAACCTATCAACTGTAGGATCAAAAAACTCCTTAAATTCATTTCAGCTTTTCAGTATATCCATACCTTGTCAAAGTACAAATGCCATTCTTTTGATAGAAAATACGTCCATGTTGTTTGTTACAAACTCTGAAAACCTTAGTTAGGTCTTGCTTTCTCTTCAGCTGTTGACACTTTTGATTCCTGAGGGCAGACAGCTTGTTGGGAAACAGCAGAGAGGAGGAGGCAGGAAATGGGGTTGGGGGTGGGGCTGTTCTCTTATTAGTTTCCCAGGGTGAGACAGGCAGCTGAGCTTGACTTAAAGAGTGTCACGGGATCATTTCCTTTTAGAACTGGGAGAGGAGAAGGGCACACACACTCCCCAGTGCATGGGGTCTAAGTAGTAAAATAAAAGTAGGAATACAACATTCTAATATGGCTAATAAACATATACTTACGTGTCTATAAGATCCTAGAGGGAAAGGGGTAAACTAGTTCTAATATGGCTAATAAACATATATTTACATGTTTCTAATATGGCTAATAAACATATACTTACATGTTTATAAGATCCTAGAGGGAAAGGGGTAAACTAGGCCTAAATGCAAATTTAGTTTATTCATTCTGGCTTAATTATTTGAAGGAATAATTTTATCTTGATGCTAATTCAGAAACGTGGCAGCCCATGGTCTCTTTCATATAACATCTTGAGAACGCAGAGAAAGAAGCCAGATTATTTTTCTTTTGCATGAGTTCATTTTTTTCCACCTAATTCAACAAACATTTATAAAGAAAATTCTGCATGCCAAGCACCTGGTAAAAGTAAGCTGTCTTGTTTAAAGTAGATGGTCTAGAAGTTATTGAAGAAATTCTCTCTCATCATAAAAAGTGAGCGTTTTATTAGTTTTAAGGATCTCAGTAATTATCCAGAGGAGATAAGTCATGTACTTCTGTCCTTATCTATAAAATCAAATGTTTTATCTAGATGATCTTCAACTTTTTTCCAATTCTAAAATTCTAGGATTCTGTGGTCTCTGCCATGATTTCTATACCCCAGAGAATGAAGTTCAAATACAACTGATGCTTATAGGGTGGAATTCTTTCCCAACTGAAAAACTCATAAAACAAGTGAACCTGATTTTTCAGTATTGCACTGAGTTGTAAGATGCTGGTCTTAGGCAGCATCTTAAATCAGGCGGTAGCTGGTCATAGTTACTGTTTCTTAATATAGATGTCAAGACTTTTGGTCATTTCTGCAAGATCATGGAGGGGGCTAGTCTTAGGATGGCTTTCTTCCCCAAACAACTCTTAATGTCTGCCATGAGACCAGAATTGCCATAATTAGAAAGGTATTCCTGTTGCTGAAAGCATGCCCTCTATACAGCCCATATCAAGATATGAGTAACAGACTAGAAGTTTCTGGGTTTTTCCATTGAATCAGTGAGGATGCTTTTGGCTGTAAATATCAGAATATCCAACTAAAAGTGACTTAACCAATAAAGCATTTATTTTCTCCCATAGTGCCAGAATTGGTTAATTGGACTACAGGTCAACTTCTTTCATATTTCTTGATTTTCCCTTCATGGGCACAAAAGGGAAATCTGCTACAAGCATTGCGTCCTCCCATGATCATGTCCAAAGAAAGAAAGGACAGTTTGTCCCCATGCAGCTCTTTTTTTTAACTTTTATTTTAAGTTCAGGGGTACAAGTGCAGGTTTGTTACATAGGTAAACTTGTGTCATGGGGGATCGTTGTACAGATTATTTCATCCCCTAAGTATTAAACCTAGTACCCATTACTTGTTTTTCTTGATCTTCTCCCTCTTCCCACCCTCTACCCTCCAAAAGGCCTCCATGTGTGTTGTTCCCCTCTATGTGTCCATGTGTTCACCTAATTTAGCTCCCACTTATAAGTGAGAACATGTGGTATTTGGTTTTCTGTTCCTGCATTAGTTTGCTAAGGATGATGGCCTCCAGCTCCATCCATATTGCTGCAAAAGACATGATCTCATTCTTTTTTACGGCTGTATAGCATTCCATGGTGTATATTTACCACATTTTCTTTATCCAGTCTATCACTGATGGGCATTTAGGTTGATTCCATATCTTTGCTATTGTGAATAGTGCTGCAATGAATATTCATGTGCATGTGTCTTTATGGTAGAATGATTTATATTCCTTTGGGTATATACCCAGTACTGGGATTGCTGGGTCAAATGTTATTTCTGTCTTTAGGTCTTTGAGGAATTGCTATACTGTCTTCCACAATGGCTGAACTAATTTACACTCCCACCAACAGTGCATAAACATTCCTTCTTCTCCATTACCAGCTCCTGATTTTTTTTTTATTTTTTCCATAATAGCCATTCTGACTGGCATGCAACTCTTTTTATTAGAAAGGAAACCTTTCCTTGAAGCCTCCAGCAGACTTCCTCTAATTGACTAGTAAGTACTATGTCAGATTCCTGAGCCCAAGGCTGAAGGGGCATTCTGTTAGCCACGGAGGGAGTGGAGGGAATACATCGAGGAGGCAGTCAATCATCTTTGCCTCATCTGTTGTGGCCAATATCTTGAGAGCAGATCTAATTGGAAGTGAGGGTTTGCAAGGTATTTTGTCCATATGTATAGATGTATGGGGTTCCCCCTTCTTCACACTTTTAACCCACTACCCTTAATTTTCAGGGGTCCTGGGTAGCCACTGGTAAAGCTGAGGTTAAGCCTGTGGATGGTGTGATGTAAAAGCAAGGGACCGGGATTCATATGGAGGGAACTGGACTGGGGAGGCCAGGTGGATGTTGGTAGCGAGGCTGAGGCTAATGCCAAGAAAGGCTGCAAGCCAAGCGGCATCGGTGAGTGGGAGTTCTGTGGCCCTCCATTCTCTGATAGACAGTCCATGTGACTCTTGCTGAGCATCAAGGACATTTTTAATAGCTTCCTGTGAAAGCCTGGACCAGATTGCAGCTCCACTGACATATAACACATCTATAGAATATTTCATCTCAGATAATTAACCAGAAAGTATGTAATTATCTTAATTCTCTGATCTATCGCCCTGGGTGGATGATCCAGATACAAATAATGGTCTTTTGACTTCTGATGTTGAACTTGCTCTCTTGGGATTAGAGATCAGCAGAATGGGTGCCATTCTATTTAAAAACCTATTTTAGTATTACTATAACAGGTAATTAACTTGCTCATATAATTTGGTCAAGTTCAGTCAAGTTTTTGACTTAAAGTTATTGTACAGGTTAGTATAAGAGTGCTTTAATGAGAACACAAACATTCCAGAATGAAAGGTTGGAAGGATTAAATGCAATATGCAAGAGAGGCTGCTTAGCGTATTTCCTGCCGCATAGTGGGACTCAAGAAGTGTTAGTTTCCTTCTCCTAGTTGGATTTCTTTCCTAATTACTATTTCCCCAAAATAAAGCAACATTGTTTCCCCTTCTATTTTGGAGCTTCCCTTACTCCCACCTCAAAAGAGCAGGAAACATATACCCAATATTCTAAGACAAGGTAATATAAAGTGGAAATATAGAGGGATGGAAATGGTTCTTTTATCATGCACTGAACACATGTAATGCATGTGTCAGGGATTCCAAGATGAATTAAGACACAGCTTCCTATCTGAAGGGAGGTCACAGTCTAGAGCAGGAGACCCAGAGAGAACTAATCTGAGGACAGAAACTGCACAGGGTACAGCTGAGCACTTAGAAGGAGCACCTAATTTACACTGGTGGGGGCGGCCAGGGAGACACATAAGGGACATCTTCCCTGAGGAAATGATTCCTAGCAACCATGCTTGCCCCTCAGGACAACTGCTGACCCAAAAGGGAGGCTGAAATAGAAGATATCTATTTTTCTAGGAGTCTTGAAAATATAAAATCCAAACTATAAAAACCCTAGAAGGAAATCTAGGCAATACCATTGAGGACATAGGTACAGGCAAAGATTTCGTTAAGAAAATGTCAAAAGCAGTTGCAACAAAAGCACATTTTATTACATTGCTCTCTGCTATCATGTTTAGTTGGTAATATTTTCCAAATTAAATTTAGGTTAATGTCCTTTGATGAACCTATTAATCAGTATAGGCCTAGAGGATCTCAAATGCTTTGAGAGGAATTAACCCTAGAAACTCAACTTCAAAACTCATAGATTATGTATACAGGGCTGTTTTGGAACATCTGACCATTTTAAGGGTGGAAATGATGTGTGTTGTAGGCAAGCATGAGTCAGATAAATGACAATAGGACTGGGAACTGGCTGCAGAGGCTTCAATAGTACCTGGAGTTCTGCAGAGAGAGATCCCCTTGCCAAAGTTCTGTTTGGAACCATGAGCCCAATTAGTTTCCTTCTTCTCATCCCTGTGATACCTGGCCAGCACCAACAATGCAAGCCATCTGAACCCGCATCCTCTCATGTACTCTTATTCCCATGTTGTTTTGTGCATTTTAGCGCCTGACTCATCCTCCCACTGCTTTGCTTTCTGCCAGCCTTTCCAGTGCGTCCTCTGGGATCCCATTCAGTTGTAAACTTCCCACCCCCACATATACTTGTCACAGAACATTCCCTCTACTTCCTCATCTTAACTGAAACCCAGCTCTTCCCCAGGACAAGGTTCTCAAATAGAGGTTGCCCTTTCTTCCAGGTCCCACAGACCAAACAGCTGGGTAGTAACGGCAGCATTCTCCTAGCTTCCCTCTGCTACTTGGCATTTTTCCACAGTTACTTGCTTGCAAAACCTTCTCTTTCACATACCCACACAGACACACAATATAATAATAAATAGAATTACGAGAGCAAATAATTTCCAATTCCAGGACTATATCCGATATATAAAAAGGGGTATGTATGGTTGCCTTAAATGGATTTCTTTCCAGGGTTCACAAAGTGTTCATTGCTGAATTCCAAGGCAGGTGAATGCAGAGGTGAAATTGCCTTATCCATTATTTGTGACCTTGGACAGGTAACTTAACCTTTCTTAACTTCTTGTAGGGGTTTTATGAGAAATAAATGAGACACTGCATGCAAAGGGCTTAGCACAATGCTTGGCAGTCATCACTCCATACATGATCATCGTCATCGTATCTTCATATTATTTCTCACATGTGTTATAGCTTCCTAACTGGTCACGCTCATTACTTCTGCCCTTCCTCTTGCCCCAATACGTTCTCTATGCAGCAGCCAGAAAGTCAAAAATTCAAACCAGATCCTGTCACTTTCCTGTATAAGGCCCTTTCCCCATCACTGCTTTCTCATTGCACTGAGGATAAAACCAAACCCAAACCCCTTGCCATGTTCTACAAGGAAGGTCTTTCAGACTTGGCATTGCCTGCTCCATGACCCCCCTCCCTTCACCTGCACTCCTTCCTATGCCCAGTCCCACTGGCCTGCTGGCTGCTCCTTGAATTCCCCACTCTTGTTGCTGCCTTACCACTGTTGACCCTGTTTGTCCCCACCTGGAATGTTCTGCCCCTGATCTCTCCATAGTCAATTTCTTCATATCATTCATGTCTCAGCTCAAATGGCATCTCCTGAGTCTTCCCTGAACACCCAATCGAAGTGACACACCTGGTAGTTATAATTTCATCAGCTTGTTTTATTTTCTTCATGGCACAAACTGTGTATTTATTGGATTTCGTGTTTATCATCTCTCTGCACTGGCATATGATCTTCCTGAGAGCACACATTTTGTGTCTTGTTTAACACTAATTCCCAATGCCTAGAGAAGAGAGCAACACATAGTATTAGGAACTCAAGAAGTATTTGTAGAATGAGTAAATGATTGATTGAATGGGCTTGATAATTACACCCTATTCAAAGACAGGCCAGGCTCCTTCCAGAGTTCAAAGTGCTTTGGTTGAAAAAAGGCCCAGAGTGCTAACAATGAAATTTGACACCATTAGAATGTTTCGGCCTGCCAATTTCTGAGCTGATTTTCTTTACACTTAAAGAATCACAGATTGAATGGCATTTCTCTGGGACTTGTGGGGTCTTGAAAAACTCAAAGGGGGCCATAGCTTGATGGGACATCAAAAATAACTACATCAAAGAAGCAAAGCAGAGGCACTGTGCAGCAAACACAATTAATGAAGAGCCATATAAACCACTCTAGGGAGAAAAAGGGAGGGGAGAGGGTCTGCTCTCATTCTTCCTGTGCACGCATCTGACATAAGCGTCACTTGTAAGTCACTTGTGGAGCACTCGCTGCTCTTTCAGAAGCCTAGGGTACTTTGCTTCCCAAGGCAGCCATTCCTTTCCTTCTCAAATTCAATTAAATCAGCCCTAATGAGTGGCTGCACACAATGAGAGTTCTTGTTTACATAACGCAGGGAATAATAATGAGCCAACATCAATTAGGATTGTTACGGCAAATCAGAAAAATTGATTTGCCGCCTCGACAGCAGGCAGATTTCTGCTTTCAGAAACTAAGTCTCAGACTTGAACCTCAAGCTCCCTCTTGCAGAGAGAGAGGCTGTGGTCTCTGTTCATTGCTGTGAAGCAGACATTTAAGAGCAGAGTACCACTAAGTTTTTCCTTTGTTCTACTACTGGCTTGTTTCAATTTAGCCAATCATGATTCACTATTTTTCTGGCTGTTGCCACTACTGAGTTTTCTGAATAAACACAGACAACCAAATTTTAACCACATTGATAAAATACTGCTTTTTTTTTTTTAATCTGTAGGCAAAGGGCCATGGCAGTAGTCAGAGGGTTTTACATGCAGATCATGTTTATCCTTTGATCATCTGTCATTTTGTTAGAAGAAAGCATATGCCATCCTTTGCTCTGTTTTTAAAATAGATTCGGAGGAAGTGAGGAATTAATCTTAACCTTAAACACATTGAGCCCAGTATTTCCTATCCAACTGTAGAATGCACTATCTAGTTTCCTACACCTCGCCCTTGCTAAGTTTAGGTTCTTCGGGCCAGCTGTTAAGAAGGAAAAGAAGGGGGAGGGGAGCAGTGCTTTAGATGGGCAAGGCATTTCACTGACCATTATCAATCCTGGCGTATTTCCTCACTCCTCCATCCCCCATTCCCCACAGTGACAGAACCAAGCGAGACCAGAGCCAGTGACCCTTGTGATTTTTCAGACATTTGTTCCCAAAAGGGATTGGCATGAATCTCTTTCTCACTGTGTTCCACTTTGGCATTATGTGCTGTGCTATGAACACTGAAAATTAGCCCATCAACAGTGCATATCTTGACCATCTCAGTACTCTCTAGAAAAGCAAAGTCTCACCTTACTTTTTAAGTGTTGTTGCCACGAAAGGAAGCTGGGTATCATCCACTCACCTCCTCCCCACAGCAGGTAGAGCAGCAGGATGCAGGAGCAGCAGCATTTGGAGAATTTGTCTTTTAAGATTCTTCTTCATTAGATTAACACTACTCACATGACTGATTTGCAGACAATCCAGTCAACATTCTTCAACTTTTAAGGACAATTAAACATTAGCTATTGTAGATGGTGGACACTTAGAGGCTATGTGTCTTCGTCTTGACACGCTCAGTGCTGAACACCCTGACCTGGCTCATGAGGACGGTTCAATAAATGCTTCTTGAATTGAACTTGTGTTAGTATCTAAGTCCCCCTTCCCAGTGCATTTCAGTGGAGGGGTTGCTCTTGCCCTGTTTTTTTTCACCCTCTTCAGCCTGCTGCCTACTCATTTCCTATGCCTATTGCCTGGACACCGCCCTTCCTCTGCCAGAGCAGGCTTCTGCTTTCCACATAAGTACAGACAGAATCAGAGCACACTTGGCAATATCTGCATGCTGCTGGGTCCCACGACACAGAGACATGGTGAAGCCTAGTGACAATGAAATGAACAGTGTAAAGGAAGACTAACTAGGGAAAACATGTATCCAATGAAATCAACATTTACATTTTCCCTTTTTAATAAAAATTTTAAAACAAAAGGTAGGAGAGATTAATACAATGAACACTCATGTACCCATCATCCAGCTTCAACAACCATCAACATTTTTGCTAATTTGTTTTATTTATGAACTCTTCCAATTCTGTGTGTGTGTGTGAGAGAGAGAGAAACCAGTGAGACTTTGCCTTTACAGTGTCCTATATATTCCCCTATATTTAAGCAAAAATAAAATTTCATAAGGAAAAACGTTATTGTTGAGTCTTTTGTTGTGATGCCCTATTTTTAGGTCCTGGGACTACAGGTTCCAGAATGTTTCAATTAAATGCTAGTAATGCTGAAAACAGCCTTTTCCAAGGCCTCCTGTCCCCTGCATCAGTGGAGTTCAGCCACTTCCTTCTGTTTGATAGAATTCTTAGACGTGTCCCTGGTGGCTGCTGGTGGAACTCCTGCTGCTTTGTTGGTCTGCCTGCTGCTGGCACCCACACGCTGCAAGTACAAGCTTCCTTTGGTCATTTGAGACTATTGGAGCTCAAATTTTTCTTAATTGCTGTATTTTCAATGAATGTCCTTTTGTCGCAGTGCAATGACCCATTTTTTTTCAACCACAGAGCTGATGGAGCTGGGCTGCCAAGTCACATCGGGGAATGACTCAGAGAAGGGAGTAGTGGGCAGCAGCCCGCACACACTATAACTTGGGCAGTGCTCATTTTTATGGAGCACTTTCATTTGATTTTGTTCTGTTACTGATGCCATTGAGAAAGATGAGGTGATATCATCTGTTTTGATTTACATGCTCATAAAATAATGAAAAATAAAATGAAGTCCAGAAAATTACCAAACCATCTCATGAAAATTACTCCTTGACCAAATGCCATTCCATGATTCCCATGATTAAGCAACGGAATTTGAATGAATCAGAAGAGAATAAGCCTTGTTTTCATTATATACATGGGGGCATGTTTGCCCCCAGGTCCTTCCCTTGTCCTTCTTTGCAGGCTGTATTTCCCTCACTTCTCTGCCACTTAGCTTCCTGTTGGGTTCAGCTAGTGGCAAGATTGAAGTACAGGAGGAAGGGGTGAGCCGGATGGATCCATTTCCTATTGTTGCTGTACCAAATTACCACAAACTTAATGGCTTAAACAACACAAATGTATTATCTTATAGTTTTGGCAGTCAGAAATCTGAAATAAGTCCTATGAGACTAAGAGTGTCAGCAGAGCTGCATTCCTTCTGGAGGCTCTAGGGCAGAACCCATTTCCTTTCCTTGTCCAACACCTAGGGGCTGTCTGCATTCCTTGGCTTGTGACCACATCACTCTAACTTCTGCACATTGTCTTCTCTAATTCTGACCCTCCTTCCTCCCCTCTTATAAGGACACTTGTGATTACATTGGTCCTACCCCAAAAATGTGGGATAAGCTCCCCATCAGAAGAGCCTTAACCTAATCACATCTGAAAAGCCCCTTTTGCCGTGTAAGATAACATATTCACAGGTGCCAGAGATTAGAATGTGGACGTCTTGAGGGGGAGATTATCCTCCTTACCACACCAGGTATTTCTCCTCCTCCATGTTCAATGTCACCTGGGCCCTTGGTCTCTGGTAAGTCTCCTCCTTTCTTGTGCTTATAGCCTAGGGGTGGCAGTGGCTTCCTACTATTGCCAACCTCTGGGTTGCCTCACTGTTCCCAGTTGGCTAATCTGCTTCTTTTGTCACCCGTGTAACAAATTCCCTGCATCACATTTCCTTTGTTTGAAAGGCTGAAAGTTTTCTGCTTTCCTGGTTTGGCTCTGATGAGATGAAGTGAGGTGATGATGCCGGGGTACTGGTGGTCTCCACTGGAGATTGGGGAGGGGAACACATGTGGCACCTCAGACTGTTGGGAAGTTATGTCAGGATTAACAGAGGCCCAGCCCTCCCTTTGACAAGAGCTCTTTCCCTCTCTTGCCCTCTCAGGCCAGGATGTACAAGCAAGGCAGAGCTGTCAGAAGGAGGGCTAAGGGTGAACCATCTGAGGTACACCACGACTCGAATTTAGACCTGTTCAGCATCTTAATGCAGGTAGAAATAATTCTCTCACTGAAGATTCTGTACAATGCTAAAAGACAATTAAAGAGAACCTGGCAAAAGCTTTTGTGGGAAGAGGCTTGACTTCCCAATGGAATACTTGAATTTAAGTTCTTCCATTTACCCTCTGCATGGTCTTGAACAAATCGTCTAGTCCTTCAGCCTTGAGTCTTCATATGTTAAAATAGGACAATCATACTTAACTTAAAGGTTTGATAAAGATTAAATGAAGACTGCATAAAGATTAAATGAAGCAATATATGGGGAAGTACTGAACAGACATACATCTTCTATTGGTTAAGGAATTCTAGAAATACTTATTGAGCACCTAACCATGGGCTGGATACTGTGCTAAGTCCTTGCTGTCCTGGAGTTTTTAGTCTATTGGGAAGACAGGCATTATTCAGAGTCACTCTAGTGCATCGCCATTACAGACACAGCTTCAAAGGGAAGGCTGTTTGAGGATGTATGAAAAAGGAAACCTGACTTTAGCCAGAGGCTCAGGAAAGCTCGTGTCCCCCTCCCCAGTCTCCGGTGGAGACCACCAGTACCCAGGCATCATCCCCTCACCTCATCATTCGGGGCCAAACCGGGAAAACAGAAAACTTTCAGCCTTTCAAGCAAAGAGAATGTGATGCAGGGAATTTGTTACACAGGTGACAAAAGAAGCAGATTAGCCAACCGGGGGACAGTGAAGCAACCCAGAAGATGAGCGGGACTTATCTAGGCAAAGGGATGGGGAACAGCAGGTACAAAGGACGGCTCATGTTGTATTAAAGATCTGAAATAAGCTGACATGGCTGGATCCCAAAGAGCAAGAAGAAAGCAGTGCAAGATGAGGCTGATGGGGTGAGCAGTGCCGGACATGAAGGGCTTTGTAGGGAGTTTGCTTTTATGCTAAGAGCCAGTGGGAGCTGCTGAAGGATTTTAGGGAGTGTGTCCGTGCATGTGTGTGTGTGTGTGTGTATGTATTGGTGACAGGAGATACACTGTCACTGTGACTTAGCAGATCACCACTCTGGCCACTGCATGGAGAACAGATTGGAGAGGGGTGAGAGGATGAGGGAGACCAGGTGGGAAGGGCTGGCTGTGGCATTGGTTGGAGCCTGGATGGTAGCTCGAAGTAGGGAATGTGGAGGCTGAGGGTGAAGGAGAAGGCTATCCAGGGTGAATAGTTGTGCTGTTCTTAGAGGAAAAGAGCATTGGAGAGGACCTGGATTGGAAAGGGACAATCATGAATTTGGTGTTGGACATGCTGAGGTTGAGGAGCTTTAGAGATACCCAAGGGGAGATGTTCCATTAGGAGAGGTCTTCCCTGCAGTTAGAACTTTGTACATCATGGGCTTATCCATAATAACTAAATACTTGGGTACAGATGCGATCATCTTCCAGACAAGCTCATGTGTCCTGAAGGCATATTCTGTGCCAGTCACAATTCTAAGTACTTTATTTGCGTTAACTCATTTAGTCTCCATAACTAGCTTTTGAGATATTTCCTTCATTTTGCAGATGAGGAAACTGAGACAACAGAGAGCTTCCATAACTCACTCCAGGTCAAACCAGGATCCAAACTCAGGCTGGCTCCAGGTCCCACCTCACCACACTCCCTGTCTGTTTCTCTGTCAGGGCTAATAGCTCACTCCTAGGACACAGGCAAGTTCTAATACATGGACTTTGTTGCAGAGCTGTGCCATTCATTTTCAGGGGTTGCAGGAGATGTTGGTGTTTCTAGTTGCCATGGCTTGCATAATATACATTCCTCACCTGCTGGAATCCTACTGCCCTGAGTTGCAGCTGCCAGCAGCTGCAGAATGAACACATACCAGCAGCAAGGCAAAGCACATGGAGAAGAGAGCAGGAATGAAGACAGGCACGCAGCGATGATCCTTTCAAGCAAAAACATGTTTGAAATGCCTTCAGGTGACCAGAGGGTTCTGTGTCTTTCCACAGGGAGGCTGACCCCACAATCAAGGTAACCACTGTTTATAATAAAAACTGTGGTCATTGAAGTTTACAAAGCAGGGATACTTAGCTTTAAAGTCACTCAGTAAGCTGTCTGCATTTAACCTAGAGGCTGGGAAAGTTGTGTTGCCACAGGGAAAAGTCTCACCAACTTTAAAACCCTAACAATGTGTTAGTGCAGCACGGCACCTTCAATAGGCAACTGCCTACAGCTGAATGAGTGTAGGTCCACGCCCCAAAGGGAAGGTGGAGGATGAGCCTAGGGTAAATTATATAAACTGTGAATCGGAGATTCATAGAGACGGGTTCCATGAGTGTAATGTGCTTTATCATAAGCAGGGTTGTGTCCTTTCCTGGAGTGTTGTTGCAGCTGGTAACCGTTCAGGCAAAGGCAGCTTAATGCCCCATAAAATGATTAGATAAGGATGAAGGTGGGATCAGTTTTGTCAGTCCTGTCACACAGCTGAAGAACATTAAATACAGCACACGGTGTGCAGGCTGCCGTCGCAAAGCATTCCATTTGCCCTGCATGCTTAGAGATGCATAGTGAGCCGCCTAACTTTACAAGGAACAGAACTGTGTCACCCTTTTCCTGTCTGTCATATGCCCTTTATCTTTGCCATTGGTATGTCTCACTGCCTTACAGCTACCTGCTTTTTTGCCATTGCTGAGCCGTTTGCTTAAGAAATGATTCCAGGGCCCAGAAGGCAGTTGGAACACAGGGAGCTCATTCATTGCAACAAAAGTTGAACACCTACTATGTGCTCATTACAAGAGGAACTTCAATGAAGAAGGGAGAGGTCTGCCTTCCTGGGCCTGGGGTCTGGTGGGGGAGATTGTCAGTGATAAACCTAAGGTGCACTGTGACTGGGGACATGACATACTAAAGTGGTGGCATTTCACATGCGTCCGGAAAAACAGGTAGAATTCTGAGAGGGGACACCAGAGGAGGTGGATATTCCAGGTAGAGGAAAAAACTCAGTTGGTTTCTCCCTAATAGAGGAAAGGTCTTTCCGATAACATGAGCTGTCCCTAGACAAGGTGGGTTGTCTTGTGAAGGAGTGAGTTTTGGTGGCATTTACATAAAGAATAGAAGACCACATGTTAAAGGGACTGCCATTCTGAGATTTGACTTTATAGACTGCAGAAAGTTTCCTCTTACTCAAAGGTTGTATTTTTCAAGCCCTTCAAATGGATTTTTTTTTCTTCTGAGGATTTTTTAGCTTGCTAAGCAGTTGTTGAAGATAAATATGCAGACAAAGATAATTTAAGAGTTCAAAAGTTTTCTATTCCGTATTGGGAGACTACATGGATATTTAGTAGCCTCTAAATATAGTGCTCTATCCTCCTGCTTGGCATGAGAGTAACATCAAGAGAAAGACTGAGATAATATTTAGTTTCTGACATGTAAATAGGATCCCAGCTGCAGGAGAAAGGCTTTGCTACGTTCCTTTGGCTACTGCCCTCTCTTGCATATTACAGCCAAGCCTGGATGACCTCCACCATAGAGTTCTCTTTGGTGTAGAGAAGATGCTCATTCCGTCTTTAACAGCAAAGCATGGAGACTGTTGCTCAGCAGGTGCAGGGGTATGTATATGACAAAAGGAAGCAAAATAAAAACTCACTCTCTGTCTCAGAGGAAGTGGGACAGAGAGGAGAGGGAAAGGAAGAAAGTGAAAGAATTAAATGTAGGCCCCAATTTACTGTGCATTTTACAAGTTGAGGGAGCAAACAGCCTCCAGGAAGCTTTTACTCCCCACCTCCAACTCTCATTTGGGAACCCTGGGAGGACACTTCTGTGCACAGTGGGGCAGCCTAGTGATTAGGAAGGGGAAGCTGAGTGGTCCTATGAGACCCAGAAAAAGGTCTGGTTGTCATTTTCTAGACACCCCTCCATTCCTAAGGTGTTCATACTGAGTTAAAAGCCGTCAAGTCTGTAATAGGGTTTGTAATGGTGGGTCAAGGTAATTTGGCAGCAAAGCCATGGGCAGGCTGTAGGCCAGGGCTGAATGGGGTCTGTGGCAACTGCATAGGGGTAGTTGGCCATCAGAAGCTGAGTCAAAGCCTCGAGGCCTATTTAGTCAAGGAGGCTCAGGATCACCGAGCCAAGAGATGAGATTGAGCTAAAGTAGTGGTATCCTGCATCAGTGGATGCTAGCAAGACAGAGCAGTTTGGGGTTTACTCCAGAGACCAGAGGAGGAGGCCATTACCATGCTTGCGAGCACTTCCTCTTTTTTGCTGCCAAAAAGTCATGCGGGATGTCCTGATATACCGCACTGCCGTTCTAATGACAAAAGCAGGGGAAGGGGAACTATGTGAGAGATTTAACACTTTTATTTAAGAAGACTGAATATTACCTAAATTATGATTGCAGACTAATCTTTAAATCGATCGAAGAGTAAGTTAATCTTTTCCCCACTAGTCAGTATAGTAAGACTAGAGGATTGAGAGGCTGAATGAAGCCATTAGAGTTATTTGTACATACGAGTTGTAAAGTGAGTTAAAGTTTGTGATCCCTACTGAATATAATTTTCCATTGAGTGACTAAAGCATAATGAATTTACCTATTTCCCTCTGGCTGAAGTATAAGGTTTTCTAGTTTTTTGATTATAAGGAATTTTATATGAACATCGATGTACATGTTCACACAGTACACAGTAGTCACCAAATAAATAGCCCGTCAGTGAGATTTGAAATGAAATTGTCACTGGAAATGTGGAATGGCTTATGTATGTGATCTGAGCTTCCATATAGCAAGGCAGTACTTTGCTTCTTGTGGCAGAAGATGTGCCCCTGATAGCATGGATTGGTAAGAGAAAGCGTAACAGAAGAGATCATCAACTGTCTCTGCATTCGAAATCAACAGAAAGTTTGAAGTGTAGGAAAAAGAGAAAAGAAGGAAAAGTTCAAAGAATATGGTGGAAGACTACAGTCCACATCTGAGAAGTGACCATGATATTTTTAGGAATGGGGATATCAATCATGGAATTTTAAGTTACATGTGATGTGTACCTTGTCATTGCCAATCTTTGAGAAGGTCTTCTATTCATATAAATACCTCAGAAATTGTTTCATTTTGTTGGTTTGTTGGTTGATAATGGTGAAAATCAGAAGAAAAGGCTGAATTCAATATTCAGGTCAATATGATGAGGAATTTGAACCACACAATGTGATGATCAATCATGATCTCTAAAACAAGTATTTCAGTGTAAGCGAGAGCTCAGAGCTGAAAGTGACTATAAGAGGTTCAAATCCCTGTGGCCCCAGGAACTCATCATCCAGTGGAAAAGGAAAAGGGGGCTTCCCCTCACTTGTTTTGGAGATCCCCCACCCTCCAGTGTCCTCTGTGGTAGAACACACACATCATCCAACTATAGAAGGATAAAAACAATAGCATAGTGGAGAGAGCTCATGGGAGAAACTATGTACTGTATAAGGATAAAATTACAATATCTTATATAATTTATTTTTGGTAGCATAACTTATTAGGCCTTAGACTGGGCCTGGTGGCTCATGCCTGTAATCCCAGCACTTTAGGAGGCCGAGGCAAGCAGATTGCTTGAGCTCAGCAGTTCAAGACCAGCCCGGACAACATGGCAAAATCCCATCTCTACAAAAAATACAAAAATTAGCCAGATGTGGTGATGCATGCCTGAAGTCCTGGCTACTCAGGAGGCTGAGGTGGGAGAATCATTTGAGCCCAGGAGATCAAGCCTGCAGTCAGTGATCATACCACTGCACTCCAACCTGCGTGACAAAGAGAGACCCTGTCTCAAAAAAAAAAAAAAAAAGAAAGAAAGAAAGAAAGAAAAAAGAAAATAAAAAAAAAGTTAATAGGCCAATTAGGTCTTCCAGGACTGCTATTTTCTCCTTATTTCTGTACCTAGTCTGGGCTATTTTAACCCATTCTCCTCAGGGAAGAGACATACATTTTGTGGAGGTCTTGGATCTACTTCTTGGTTCTAGATCGAAACTGGTCTCACAGATATTCAAACCTCACAAAATTTTCTCAGTTTAGAAACTTCCCTTAACAAGTTATTTTCTTTCCCATCACTCACCCTATATTTGACAGAACAGCCCCATGTGATCTCTATCTTATGTATTTGAGCCCTTTCTAGAGGTTTTGCTTTGGTCACTTAACATATCCCTTTTATGGTGGCCCCATGAATCACTTGCCTGCCCTCCCACCCTCTATTTTCTCACCTTTCTGTTTCCTCTTTGTGTTTCATTTCCTCTCAGTTTTGCTTAGGCTCTTTGCTCACCATCCTCGAGGCAGGAGCTCAAGTCTGCTTGTCTCATATCTGTGTTCGTTATCAGCGCAGTAAAGCCCGTAATTGAGCTTACAATCTTCTTCATAGTAAAAATGGCTTACAATGTAGTACGCAAGTGTCTGGGGAGACAGATTTCCCTTGAAGCATCTTAAAAATCGAAAAGTAGGGAAGTCATCACATTCTATGATTAATGGAGTCTGAACAGGGCTGTCAAAGCAGGCTGAAATATTGCCCAAAAGAGGAGATTACAGATTAGCACACAAAAAGCAGTAAGCTTAGTTTAAAAAATGACTAAATTTTATTAACTGCTGATGTTCCTTAAGCAGAATTTCTGGAGCCAGAGTAAACTTCAAATTCCTTTCCTCTTGCCTGAAGCATCAACTGTACTTGGCAGAGCAGGCTGCGAGTTAAAGCCCCTGCCTGGTCCAGCCAAATGCCTTCCCTGTGCCAAAAGCCTGGAGTTGAAAGTAACCTGACAACTCTACTGCAAGCAATCCGAAGCTTGGCATAATTGTATACCACGGGGCTCTTGGGAGACTGATGATAAGCCCAATGGCAGACCACCCCTGCCTTCCTAAAGGGGCAGCATGGAAAGAAAGAATATGTAAAGGGAGGTGGGAAAGGAAAACACAATATAAAGCCCTCCTTGTTGCTTTCACCTTCAGAAATCAGCGCTTGGTGGATGTTTGGAGGGTGGGAGTGGAGAGGTGGACAGAAAAAACCCACAATGACTCTGTAGAGCAAGAATCCATAGGAAATTTTCTTGCATTGAGACCCCTCTGCTATGTTAAATTCAAAGGAGTGTTGCTCAACTGGTGAACTTTTTTCCCTTCTTTCTTTCTTCTATCCCAGTGCCCCATATGTTTAGTGAATGGAATGAAACCTTTTTATTTCACTGTACTTTAGTGTTTTAGGTAATGTTTAATATCTGATGATAATAAGATCAAGCTGTAGACAGACAGGACATGATACATTAATAATCTATTTTATGGCACACAGCATCTCATGTTATCACAACCACCAGTTGTGAGGTAAACAGGGCAGATATTATTCCATTCCATTCTACAGATGAGGAAACTGAGGCCCAGCGACTCACTTGCTCAAGTTTAAACAGCCACAAGCAGTGAAATTGAGGCTCACATTTTCAGATTTGGAAGCACTTGCTTTTTCTACTGTTAAATCTCTGTTCACATAGGCTTTTAGCACCATGTAACAAGGATTTAATTATATGAACTCTCTTCTTAACCTTAGTTTGTATTTGTCTTAGTGTAGAATGTATACATGTCTGGATTTTTTTCCTGTGAATGTGAAATTGGCATTGAGCAATTATTTAATAAACATGGCAAAGATCTGATAGGGTCGGACATTAAGCTTAACCCTGGAACTACTAAAGACCAAAAAGATGCAGCCTCTGACATGAATTTTGTTTATCCTAGAAGATATGGCCATAGAAATTATAAAATAATTCAATGGGTACCTTAGACACATGTGAACAAGAAGATGTGGAAACATTGAAGAAACAGCATCTAGTTCTGCTTGAGAGACTTGAAGGTGGAGTTGATATCAACACTTTGTCTTCAAGGAGAGAGGTCTACCAGGCAAAGGAGGGAAAAAGTATTATATTCCAGGGAAAGGACCCAGCATATGCATAACACAAAGTGGGCAATGTGCACTGTGGGTGTGGAGCATGGTGTATGCGGTAGGGAGGCGGGGCTGGGTAGGGGCTGGCTTGTAAGTTCTCTGTAGACCAAGCTAAGCAATTTGTTTTTTGTCATGAAGGCAAGAGGGGACCCCCGGAGGATTGTAAACAGGTAATTTGACATACAGAGGAAGATTCAACAAAAGGAGTACTTTGATATAAACCTTTTGGAACTCAGTGTTAACTTGGAAAATGAGTTTTCATACATCTGGATCAATGGTTCTCAAACTTCAGTGTGCACCAGAATTACCTGGAGTGTTGTTAAAACACAGATTGCTGGACCCCGTCCCAGAATTGCTGATTCAGTAATGCTGGGGTGGGGTTGGAGAATTTGCATACCTAACAAGCTCCCAGGTGACACTGATGCTGCGAGTCCAGGGTCACATTTTGAGAACTACTGCTCTAGAGCTTTTGGGAAGGCCTCTGCCTGGGCAGGACATAGAAAGAGCGGCTCCACAATGAGAACACCTGGACACAGGAAGGGGAACATCACACACCGGGGCCTGTGGTGGGGTGAGGGGAGGAGGGAGGGATAGCATTAGGAGATACACCTAATGTAAATGACGAGTTAATGGGTGCAGCACACCAACATGGCACATGTATACATATGTAACAAAACTGCACATTGTGCACATGTACCCTAGAACTTAAAGTATAATAAAAAAAAAGAAAGAGCATCTCTAAATTATTAATAAAGCAAACTTGACACAAGAGGTTTTAGGCATTTGAGATACGATAAAGCTTTTCTTTAAAAAGTCTTAACAAAGGGTTGTAATCATCATCTAATAATATGAAAAATGTATGTATTTGTGAGGCACTGTGCTAACAGCTGTGCATAGGAAGCTAACTGAACATGGCTCGTCACTCAGGAGCTCCTGATAATGCCCTGGAGAAGGTTGGGACAGATAACTGGCCATTCTGCATTTTACAGCTAGTGGGGCTTCTACTGTTTTTGTTCCAGAAAAGACAGAAAACAACTGCTGCTGAGACAGAAGTGGTCATGCATTCTAAGATTTTCACCAAAATTATTCTGTCATGTTGGTACAATTTTGGGAGAAGGGAGGAAGTATGCAGCAATCACGGACCATCTCATTATGTGACCAAATCGTCTCATGACTGCGAATCATCTGACAATTAATTGGGTGGAAACAGAAAGAATACCGGGAGCTGAGTAAAAATAGGAACACCGTCTGGAGTGGGGAACGGAATCATGTCATGAATGTAAGACAATGTAGGGCCCTTTGTTTGTTTGTAAAGTAGTTGTCTCTGTAGAATCTTCTCTTTAAACCCCTTCTCTAGGATGTAGCATCCTTTGTCTTGGCTGTAGACAGCCTCTGAATGTGACATCAATGAGTTTCAGCCAAGCCTTCCAACATCAGCCGTGACTGACCGTCTCTGACCTTCAGTCTGCACTCCCATTCTGGGGAGTCTGTTTCATGAAATATTGATAGAGGAGTTTACTCCAGAGCAATGTATACAGAATGAATGATGTTTCTTTGACCTGTTAAGCCATCTTCCTGCTTTAAAGGTTGTGAGGCAAAAAATAGCAAATAAAAAGGAGCTGTTCTTAGGAAGAGTACTCACTTGATTGGTACTCGTGCTGAAATATGCAAGACAGATTTTAGACCTCTCTTCTGGTAAGTAGTACTAAACCAGCACTTCCCAATATAACACCTCAAAGCTCTGGCCTGGGCTGTGTTCTATTTTCACTACATAGGAAGACACCATTTTTCACCTGGATTACAGTCAGTTAATATCTAATGCATCTGTCCCTGTTCACCGTTGTCTCCCTTCCATTCTTTTTAGAGCAGTGGTTTTCCACTGGTGTGCTCAGGCATACAGGTGGACTGAAACCCATTATGGGTATAAAGCCACATTTTGATTAGCAGATGAAAATAGTTTTGGCTACAACTAAGTATAATGGTAACAACAGCAGCAGCGGCGGCAACAACAACTAACATTTATATAACCTTTACTGGGTGCCCAGCACTACTCTGAGCACTTAGCCTAGATTAATGTATGAAATCCTCATAAGGGACCTAACAGAATACATTCTGTTGTTAGTCCCATTTTCAGATGAGAAAACTGAAGTGGCAGAGAGAGGGCAACTAAGTTGCCTAAGGGTCCAGGAAGAGTAAGTTGCAGAGCCCGGCTTCAGAATTTGTGCTCTGGAGGCACTCTTAAAATGAAATCAATGCTGTTTCATCTCCATGTTCACTGAGCCAATTGCAGCTCATCCTTCAAAGTCCAGCTCAACTGTCTTCTTTGCAACTTTCCCTGCTTCCTTCAACTTCTCTCCAGAAGAAGGAATTGCTCCTGTATCTGTGCTCTCAAAGCACTTCATATACACCCTAATCATATGCTTATCCCACCACCGATGTTGTTGATGTATTAATCTTTCTGCTATTTTGGGAGCTCCACAAGCCTGTGATTTATTCATGCCTATGTCCTTCCATCTCCTATAAGGTCTAAAGGACCGGTGTTATGTAATTTCTGTTGTTGAATTGAAAGTAGAAATTATGATCTTTTATGTATACTTTGTAGAAGAAAATTATATCTCATTTCAAACATATTTGAAATCTGACCACTTGAATTCTGAATTCTATTTCATGCGGTTATGCAAAAAATATTAACAGAATGCCTAAGATATTGTTGGATGCTGTGCTAGGTCTAGGGATACAACAGGGAACAAGGCAGACAGAGTCCCTGCCTTATAGGCCTCAGAGATTGGTGAGGGAGGAATATGGTGCCAAGTACTGAATATGGTAATAACACGTAGTTTAGGAAATAGCCTGGCCTGAAGGGCTGAAAAGATTTCCCTGAGTTAATGACATCTAAACAGAGAACAAGGAGTGACTAACAATTAGTCAAGTAAAGAATGGAGAGAATTATATTCTGAGCTCTGACTTGCTTATAAAAAGGCAACATTCTCACCCATTCTGCAGATCCTAATAGTTTTTCAAGCTTCAGATAAAATTCTGCTTTCTCCAAATACTTTATCTGAATATTTTAGCTTTATAACATCTTTTCTCTTAACAACTGCCTTCGATAATGTTTTAAAAGAAGTGTGAACCTCAGGAATGTGTCCCACATTGAGAACACTGAGTTATTTCATTGAATCTTGAAAACAACCTTGTGAGTTAATTATTAGTATCTTGCCTTTCCAGATGAGAAAACTGAGGCTTGGTGAGCTTGAATGCTTTTCCTAATACCTCATAGCTAGTGAGAGCTAAAGGAAGAGTTGGATTTCAAATGTAGGTCTGTTTGCCTGGATTTAATCTTCACAACAGTTCTAATAGGTATGATCAGCCCCATTTTACAGATGGAGAAACTGAGAGCCAAAGGACAATTGACTCAAGATCACAAAGCTCCTGGTGTGGCAGTATCTAGATTCCAATTCTTGTCTGTTGGGGTCCAGAGACTGTGCTTTGAGAGGCTAATACTAAGACAGGAAGTATTTCCAAAGACTCCCTCTCATCTGAGCCCATGCGGTGCTCTGTGATTGCTATTCTGAGGCACTGTTGGGCTCCAGAGACTCCAGACTCGCTACTCCAAGTTGGCGCCTCCACAGACCAGCAGCATTCTCATCATCTGGGTGCTTATTAGCAAAGCAGAGTGTCAGGCCTTACCCTAGACCTACTGGTTCTAAATGTGCATTGTAACAAGATTGCCAGATTATCCTAGACAATTCACATTACAGTTGGAGAATCTCATCCAGAGATGAGATTGTGCCCTAGAATCATTCTTGCAATTAGAAACCATGAAATATTGACCTTCTAGGCTTAGAGCCCAAGGCCAGTCCAGTTTTGAGACTCTCATCTTTCAGGGAGATACCTAGGGCTCTGTATTGGGCTGGTCTTCCTTACTGACATCCAGAAGGTCCTGGGTACCTGTGGAGACTGAGTTTGTAGTTGGGATCTTTGGTCTGGTGTCCAAGATACAAAAGGCCCCTCTAGGGTTGCTATTCCCCAGGAGCTGAATTTTTTTTGCTGTGAGCTTTAAGTTATAGATTGCAATGAAAAACATACAAAATTACACGATGATTTATAGCATTCTTGTGAGGAATAAGGTGATAAATACCCTTCCCAAATTATAGAAAGACCTAGAAAAGCCAAATGACATTTCCCATAAATCTTTGCAAATTTGTGGCAAATCTGTAATGATCCTGTTCATGTGACTCCCTTGTTTGCCTTCCAGCCAATAGAAGTCTGTAGTAACATTATTGTATTTTTCTTAAATCTGTCATCTTTCTCTTTATAGTTGACCATTCTTTCTCTTTTGTTCGTATATTCATTCATTCATTCATGAACATTTATTGAATGCCTACTTTGTGCTGGTACTTTGTGCTGGTACTTTGTGCCAGGTACTTTCTTACTCTGTGGCCAGGTACTAAAACTTTACTAAAGTTTTAGTAAAACTTTCTTGTACTAAGAAAATTATATTTTTTAAGTGGTCACTATAGCAAAGACTCCAAAGACTGAACAATTGCTACATGATGTGGTAACTGGATGATTTAACTTACTTAAAAAAAAAAAGATATTGATCCTGGGCCAACACTTATTTCAAGTTTAAGACCAGCCTGGGCAACAGAGCAAGACCACATCTCTACAAAAGAAAAAAAAAAAATAGCCGGGTGTGGTGGTGCATGCGTATAGTTCCAGCTACGTGGAAGGCTGAAGTGGGAGGATCACTTGAGCCCAGGAATTCAAGGCTGCAGTGAATTATGATGCACCCCAGCCTGGGTGACAGGGAGAGGAGTGAGACCCTGTCTCTAAGTATATATATATGAGAGAAGGTTCATTTTTTTTCAACTGGAGGGAAAGGACCTCACAAATAGTGATGCTTATGGCACTGTGTATATTAGTATTTCCTGCTGGATGTAGTACAAGCAAAAGAGATAAAAATTACATTAAATAAAGCAAAGTCCTAGAGACTCAGATTGCCTTTTTTCTGCTTTGATCAGATTTTCAGTCTAAATGTGAACCTGTTCCATTTAGGAATCATGGTGTTGAGTGTGTGTGTGTGTGTGTGTGTGTGTGAGAGAGAGAGAGACAGAGACAGAGAGTGTATGTGTGTGTGTGTGTGTGTGTGTGTGTGTGTGTGTGTGCATGTGCTCATAAGTCTGTATGAAAGCCAAAACTGTCTAAGTGGCTTGTTTTTATTTCTATTCCTTATGGGAAACAGACTAACTTCCAGCCTCGAGTGCCAGAACTGACAGCAGGTATTTAGCATTCATTTATTTCTCTCCAGAATTTAGTCTATAGGGATGAAAACTGTGGTTGTAACATTAAACAGTTTAAGTGCACTATCCCTGTGCCAACTAATATGACAGAAGGACTTTTCTAGTATACATCAGGGAGGCATGGGATCCAGCAGAACTTTTCTTCCTTGTTAAAATTAGGTTATAACTAATTTAAGAGTTTGGGTGACTTCGAGTTTTCTAAATTGGCATGATCTATGGCTCTGAAAAGACAGCTCAGGGACTGTCTATGCAGTCTGTCTATGAGTTGTTTACACAGAAAGCAAGCAAACATGGAAATAATAAGTTGGTTTGCAATTTGAGCTGTGCTAAGTTTGTTTTGTTTGTTGAGGACAACTCCACCCATGGTGGAGGGGCCCTTTGAGCTGAAAGTTACAGGATGAGTCTGACTTTGCTAGTCCAAACAAAATCCTTTTCTCATTAGATGACTTCACTATGGTGGAAATCATGCCACATCAGTATATCCTTGTATCAGGCTTTCTTTTACTCTTAGCAAAACATCTCTGCTGCCCACTATAGAGACCCTTGATGAGTAATTTCTCTCTTTAGAGAGTCAGGAGAGTATAGCAAATTAGTGGTCAAAAGGATAGGCTTGAAAGTCAGAGAGACTGGGAATCATACATAGCTTTACCCCTTATGTCTCCATGACTTTAGGAAATTGGTTTAACCCCTCAAAGCCTCATTTTCCTCCTATAGGATAATAACACATATCCCATGGGATTAGTGTAAACGGTTCGTGAGATAATTAATGGAAAGGATTTAGCTTACTGGTAACTAGAAAGCCTCAATAAATGCAGCTATTATTATTCAGATATGAATTCAGATACAAAACCTCCTCCCTACCTACTTCTCTAAGCACTCAGTAGTGAAGCAAGGAACCACCTTCAAGAACAGCCCATTCTTGACTAGCTTGTAGCCACCAGTTGGTTGATAGGATGTACCTGAATTTAATGATTTCTAATTTTAATATGTAGTAGGAGATTTAAACTTTGGAATTTTAACAAATTGGATCATTTCGCAATAATTCAATTTATACCACATGGACAAAATCAGAACAGATTTGCTAAGTACTCAAAGCAAACATATGTAGCTCATCATATCACCACAAATAGGCTACATGAATGTAAACTGAGCTGTTGGCAATTCTCATCACTTGGGGAGTTAGTAACTGATTGATGGCCAAGGCTAACAAGTCTGTGTTTCAGTCCAATTATTTAGCCTCTTGGCCTTCGGTCAACTTCTTTTTGTATTTGCCATGTTATCCTTATTGATTTCACTCACTGAATAGACAATCACCTCTTACAGTAGCAGCAACAGATATCCTCTGCATATTGCACAAACCTCATAAACAGCTTCATTCATTCATACCCTCATTCAACCACTATTTAAATATTGAATATATAAAAAATACCTATTGCAGGGGAAGCAAATAGTTCCTTGCCCTTAAAAGGCTCAGTTTGGTGGAAAAACATATTTAATAAAAGCTACCCAGCAGTTGTAACACAGTGTGGTGAGTGCTCTAATAGGGGTGAGCAAGAGGTGCTAATGGAGAGAAGAGAGACACCTTACATGGCCTGAGAAGTCAGGAAAGCTTCCCCGGCAGAGCACTGAAGAAAGGAGGAATAAGGACCAACCTGGCAAGGGAGAAACAAGGACATTCCAGGCAGAAGGAACAACATGGGTAGTAGAGGTTTGGAGTCAAAGAAATTTTGACCTGTACATGAATAGCAAGTAAGTTGGCCTCGTTGACCCATGGCATGTGCAGAGGAATGGTGTGACTTGTGTATGGAGAGGTAGGCCCAGGAGAGACTCGAACACACTAAGTTTTAACTTTATACGAAAGGCAATAAGACCCTTCTGAAGGATGAGAGAAGGAGTCCGTTTTCTGCTTGGGAAAGATCACTCTGGCAGCAGTGAGAAGAATGAATTAGATGGGAGCAGGACTGAAAGGAAGGAGAGAATTTGCAATCATTCAGATAAGGAAATACAAAGCCCTGAGGACAATAGGGAGTGAGAGGCAGGGAAGGTTTGAGAAGAGGGAGAATGCACTGAGGTTGCTAATTAAATGCTAGGGGATCACAGTGCCATCAAACAAGAGTGAAAACAAGAGGCACGTTTGGTGGGGCGGAGAGAAAAGACAGGATTGCCATCTTTCTTCTTTCCCAACTTTCTGTTTTCAGGATGCTGTTGTCTCTTTTTTTCCACCTTTTCTCCTTGAATAGACTTTCTTTTCTGTACTCTGTGTACAAAAATTAGTATAATGGAAAGAACATCAGATTTGGATTGAGATAAATCTGGATTAAAATGTTAACTTTGCTACCAGCAGCTTTTGGTTTGTGTTTTTGCTTTAGAGACAGGGTGTCACTCTGTCACCCAGCCTGGAGTGCAGTGGTGATCATACTTTACTGCAGCCTCCAACTCCTGGTCTTAAGCTATCCTCCTACCTCAGCCTCCTGAGTAATTAGGACTATAGGTGCACACCACCACAACTAGCTAATTTTTAAAGATTTTTTTTGTAGAGATGGGATTTTGCAATATTGCCCTAACTGGTTTTAAACTCCTGGCCTCAAACGATCCTCCTGCCTTGGCCTCCCAAAGTGCTGGGATTACAGGTATGAGCCCCCACACCTAGCCTACTACCAGCTTTTTAACCCTTGGTGAGTTATTTATCTCATTCTTCCTTGCTTCTTCTGAAAAACAATGTTGTGTAGAAGAAGAAAAAGCTGCAAGTCAAATGGAAAAATAGTTGCCAGAGGAGCAGTTTTGTCAGAAAGATAGGAATCACTTTTGGTATTACAAGTGGTAAGGGGCTTAACAAGGAGACATTTATGAAAAATTAGGAAGGCCAGAGGAGCAAAGTCCACTCACCGAAGCACCCTCTCCTGAGCACTGGAGACACGGCCTTTCCTACCTTTGCTGGATGGCGTTTTTATTATCATTATTGTTATCGGTTTTTGTTCGGCATACAACCCCATCCTTTTCATGCTCTCCCTTCTGGGTAATTAATTTCCCAGCATCCCTTGCCAGCAGGTTCCTGCTTTAGGTCCACTAATGAGAGGCATTTGTGTGAGCTTTGGGAGGCAGAAGAGAAGCAGATGTTATTACTTCTCCTCCAACAATAGGCACATGGGAGGTTTATAGCCACCTCCAGCATTCTCTTGCAAATCACTATCTCCAAGTAGCAGGTAGGTGTGATCACTGAAAGTTTTTGCAATTTCTTGCAATTTTTTAATTTTCTGGAAGTTAGCAGTAAATCTGAGAGCAGCGTTCTCTGCTCTCTGTATTTTCCAGTGGATTTGTGAATAAACTTCCTGTATAAATACCATTCTATTTAAAAATACCTAGGCCAGGCGCTGTGGCTCACGCCTGTAATCCTAGAACTTTGGGAGGCCTGGGAGGCTGAATTGCTTGAGCCCAGGAGTTCATGACCAGTCTAGGAAACATAGCAAGATCCCATTTCCACAGAAAAATAAAAATAAAAAAAATAGCCAGGCATGGTGTCATGCACCTGTCGTCCCAGCTACTCAGGAGGCTGTGGTGGGAGCATCATTTGAGCTCAGGAAGTCAAGGATGCAGTGAGCCATGATCACACCATTGCACTCCAGCCTGGGTAACAGAGTGAGACCCTATCTCTAAAAACATTAAAAATACTAAAGTGGTGTCTCTTTTCCTGACCAAAACGTCAATGGAAATCTTTCTGGCAACTACTTTTCAGTGTCCTTTGCCACCTTTCCCCAGCCATTAAAAGTTGAAGACTTTTGGCCAGGTGCAGTGGCTCACTCCTGTAATCCCAGCACTGAGGCAGGAGGATCACGAGGTCAGGAGTTTGAGACCAGCCTGGCCAGCACAGTGAAACCCCGTCTCTACTAAAAATACAAAAATTAGCCCAGCGTGGTGGTGGTGGGTGCCTGTAATCCCAGCTACTTGGGAGGCTGAGGCAGGAGAATTGCTTGAACCTGGGAGGCGGAGGTTGCAGTGAGCTGAGATTGCACCACTGCACGCCAGCCTGGGTGACAGAGCAACACTCTGTCTCAAAAAAAAAAAAAAAAAAATTGGAGATGGAGACTCTCAGGGCTTTGTTTAGACCCTTTTCAAGCTACACTCCCTTGGTGAACTCATTCAGTCTTAAGTCTTTAATGTATTTCCTATGGTCCAACAATTCCCCAAATTATATCTCAAGCCCAGAATTTCCTTTGAGATACAAATCCATATATTCAACTTTACCTAGTGTCCACTTGACTGGTCACAGAGTCCTCAAGCTCAGCTTGTATGAAATTGAACTCGTGGTCTCCCTCTCTCCTGTTGCCCTGAACCTCCTTCTCCTTCAAGGTTCTCTTTCTAAGAAGATGAACTCACCCTTCTCTCTGGGCCTTAGACTAGAAATCTGAGAATCCTTCTTCTTCTGCTTCTTCTTCTTTCCTTTTTTTTAATTTTTATTTTTATTTTTTTTTTATTTTCAGATGACAGACAACCTCTCACTCTGTCACCCAGACTGGAGTGCAGTGGTGCAATCTGGGTTCACTGCAACCTCCACCTCCCAGGTTCAAGCGATTCTCCTGCTTCAGTCTCCCGAGTAGCTGGGATTACAGGCGCCCGCCACCACACTCAGCTACTTATTGTATTTTTAGTAGAGATGGGGTTTCACCATGTTTGCCAGACTGATCTTGAACTCCTGACCACAAGTGATCCTCCCGCTTTGGCCTCCCAAAGTGCTGGGATTACAGGCGTGAGCCACTGTGCCAGGCCTGAGAATCATTCTTGATTCATCTCTCGCACTCACCCTCTCATGCAATGAATAACCAATCCTTACTGATTCTGCCTGCCCACATCCTGAATCTGACCACCTCTCTCTGTCCTCACTGCCACAACCCTCTTCTGATCCAGCAGGCTTGATAAGGGGAACACCAGGCTTGATAAGGTGCGCAACCTCACTGGTCTCCCTACTTCCACATCTACCCATTTGAGTTCATTCTTCACAAAAGGATCTGAGTGATCTTTTGATAATAGACCATGTCATTACTCTGCTCAAGGCCTTTAATAGCCTCCAGTTGCTTTTAGGGTAGTTGTACATCCCTATCCTGACCTGCTTCATCCTGGGACATTCCTGCCTCCTGCCCAACCACCCCTCCCATCGTCTCTCCCTTTCTGCTGCCTTCCTGCTGTTCTCTGCCTAGAGCGTGTTCTCCTACTCTTCCTCCACCGAATTCCTGATCATCCTTTGGTCTTTTTTACAGATCTTCTTCAATTCACTGAGTTAGAGTAGATCCCTCACTATTCACTAAAATGGCAATATATATTCCCTCTTAGCAGTCATCACATGTGCAGTAACTTGTTAGATGTCTTTTTTCCCCCCCCAGCTAGAATGTACACTGCATGAGAGCAGAAAACCCTTCTATCTTGTTCATGATCGTAGCCTCAGTTTCTGGCACAAATAAGGCATTTAATAAATATTTGTGCAATGAATTAATAGTAGGTAAGCAATGTTCATTCTTTCTACCTTCCCCTTCCCTCTTCTTCTCCCCTCCTTTTCCTTTGCATGCTAGTGCCACTCTGCTGCCACTCTTGCTATTGTTTTTCCACATGTTCTGTGTCTCCCTCCCTCCTTTCCTGGGGCAGCCAGTGTTCATGCTGACAGCATAACCCTGTGTTAGCTCAGGTTCTATTTGTCTCCCTGTGGTTCTTCTGCCTTTGGGGTTTTTCTAAAAGGGGAACCATTTGTTAACCTCTCAGGACACCTCGTGCTTGGGGTTGCAAGGGACCAATTTCCAGCAGAGCACAGGATAGTTTTCTCAGAAATAATCAACCTCTGTCTCCTGTTGCTTTGCCTTTGTCCTGAAATGGCCACCTCAATGCCAGGAACTGGTGATTGATGAGGCCCTTGATGTTCACTGTAGAACAAGGAGCATAGTACAGAAATGTACTCTGTGTCATTTCCAAAATTATATTAGGCAACATTATAAGATTAATAAAATAGAAAGAAATATTGAGACTCTTCAAAAAGAGAAGCATGCAAATATACAGAATTGCCTGAGAGCTAAAATAATTAGTTGAGGCAGTTGTCTCAACTAACTGGCAGCCAGGGCAAAAGGAGAAACTACATAAACAATAATCCTGTCAGAAAATGAGCAAGCATAGCTGTTCATCAGACAAACACTTTATGAAATACCACCTTGAGCTTTTACTTTCTTATTATGTATTGTATTTATTGCATCCTGTGTGTTCAATTCAATTCAGTATGTATTTACTATATACTATATATCCTATTCAATTCAATTGCACATCTTTTCAGCACTTACTGGGGGTCAGGCACTGACCTACGTACTGAAGGTTCAAAGACAAAGAAGATATCATATCTGTTCTTGCAAATGTAATCTGAATGATTTAAAATTCAAGTCTCCCATGGCTTTGTCTTGTTTTACAGTCTCAGATTTTCCTCTTCTCCTCATAGTGGCCAGCGGGGTCTTTGTCTTCACCCTCTCACAGCTCAAGGCTTTCATCGTAGTTCTTACTCTGAGTAAGACACAGCTCAGATCTTAGTGAATCTTTTAGTGACCAACCACAAAATTGCATTCTACATTTTCTAATACCAGCAGGTAAGCTGTAACCTCATGTAGTTCTTTTCTGATTCCTTCTTCAGGAATCCAATACTATAAATCTGGGGAAAAGAGTTCTGAAGGAG
Source organism: Homo sapiens (assembly GCF_000001405.40). Lineage (NCBI taxonomy): Eukaryota > Metazoa > Chordata > Mammalia > Primates > Hominidae > Homo > Homo sapiens. Next base: position 108,028,218 of record NC_000001.11, on the reverse strand, counting down.
AGAGTTCTTTCTCTTCTAGGGTCCTGCTTCTACAGAATGAAAATCTTATCTCCACTCACTCTGCCATCTGTGACTTCTCAGTTACTTTCTTACACTCACGTGCAGCAGAGCATTAAAATGAGACACTCTTAGCCTCCGTTCACACTGAAGATCCAAGACATGTACTTGCCCTGCATAGCAGTTTAAGGTGCTTGATTCCCAAGCAGGAGATGCAGAGAAGGATCGAGAACCAGGTTTGCAGCCCTGAGAGGATATCCAGCTCCAAGAAGGAAATGGTATACTAGAGGGGGCATCTCTTTGGAGAGAATTGTTAGTGTACCTTGAGTCTTAACCTTCTCCATGGAGAAAGATGGGAGGGAGTCCCCTCTCCTTAACTTGGTGGGACTAGCTTCAAGAGAATGACACAAAGAGCTTTTCTATGTCCCTGGAGTCTTTGGGGAAACCAAGGCTGGTGCTTAGAGGGCACTTGTAAGCATAGCTGAAGGAAGAACAGTTTTCCATAAAGAGACTGGAAGTGACAGGAAATAAGAGGAGGAGGCAAATGTCTCTGAAGAAACCACTAATGTGTTCCTGAAAGAGGCAACTGCCAATACTCGTTGGCTTTAAATATTCACCAGATGTTTAAACATTAGAGAAAGCCAATGCCAGTTTCACTGGTGCAGGTCAAATAAGGTCTTGCCTGCCTCCACATCCTCCTTTGCCCCTTGCTACCACTTCCATTCTCAATAAGCCAGGAGCAAACTGCTGAGTGTGGGGAGTAGGCAGGGAACTAGGGAAGGCAACCCCACTACTCTTTTCCATCTTCAGCAGGTCTAAACTGGGAAGGAGAGAAACTTGAATTTTGAATAAAATGGGGAGTTTTGATTATGACATGAGATTGTACATATTAATAACTAAAAATCAGACTTCTTGCAATTAAAACAAACAGAGGACTTCGTTATCTAATAATAACTGAAAAATTTGTATCTTAGATTTCATAAAGGGATAGGGGAAAGATCCAGCTCCACAAAACATGTTTGCATGGGCTGTGTGGGAAGGAAGACTGTGCTTAATTGCCTCTACAGGTCCTACTTATTCAGTGTATACTTGGACAACCTTAGTGTCTGGTTTGCTGTCCTCTTCCCCGTCACTCATGGCCCCATCCTGGTGTTTGCAACATCTATGTTATGACAGTTTGGATTATTGTTCAGAAAATATTCACTCTCTTCCCACCCCCACTGTGGGCAGAGCAAACATCCCTGAACCATTGGTATTGGGTTTGGTACCATGTGACTTGCTTGGGCCAGTGTAATGTTAGAGGACCTGGGGAATGTGCTTGCATGATTAGGCTTGGCTCTTACCACGGTAATCTACATGAGATGAACATGCCCCAGGTAGTTAGTGCCCCTTTAGCCTGGGTCCCAGAACAAACCCGTGTGCATTACATGGGAACCAAACCCAATAAGCTATGCAGCTGAGACCAGCCGGGATTAGCCAGCTGATCTGCAGACCTGTGAATGTCACACTAAATGTCCGCTGTTGCATGTCATAGAGTTTTGTGGTGGTTTATGATACAGCACTATTGCAGAAATAGATGAATAATTCATATGCAGATAAATACTATGACCTCTTAGATCTGTGACCTCCTTGCCTCTCGTGATCTTTTATTCTACCTTACCTTAGCCACCCATTTCCATGGTCATATTCTAGACTATGTCACCATCAATAATTACACCATGTTGATATACTGATTTCAAGAGTCTCACTCTCTGGCTACCTTCTTTCAGCTCACTTGTTTCGTTACCCCCTACTCACATAACAACACCTTATGTGACCTCCAATCCCCTGGTCCCACCACTTTCTCACTTTCTAGTATCCTTATCCTTTCCTTACTTCCCACCTAACTCAGCTTAAGATTTATGGCCCATCACAATCATCATTCCCTTGCAAAAATAATAATAGCTAGCACTTACATAGTGCATACAATGTTCCAAGCGCCGTTCTAAGCACTTTACATGTGGTCTTAACTTGAGCTCCCCCGAAAACTGAGCATGAGTCAAAGGCATTCACATAAGTAGTTTATTTGGGAAATGATCCCAGAAAGTATGTGTAAGAGACAAAAGCCAATGAAATATAGAAGGAGGAAAGCAATACAAGGGTGCCTTATTTGGGGGCTACCACTACGGGCACGTGGTGCTTGGCAGGAAGCCTTATAAATGCTTTCAGAACTATCTGCCCAACAGAAAAGAGGGGAATATAACCATGACTCCTATTCCTCACAGGCCAAGGGTAGGCACATGGCTTTAGTTCCCCTACATTGCTAGATTGTTCATGTCTAGAGCTCTAGAGTTCAGAGTAGGTTCCACAGGTGTCCTACGCTATGTTATCAGAGAGGCCCTGGGCAGGAGGCAGCAGGTACGCAAGGAGGGCCAGCAATGAGGCACTGTCAAGTTGCCCCTAGGGAAAGCTGGTCAAAGCCCGAAGAGAATTGATCACTGCAGCCACAGCTGGAGCAAGGGGAAGCCCCAAAACGACTTGGAGAGATGCTATAAGATGGTGGAGACATGCACATACTCATTCAGTCCTCACAGCAACCCCATTAACTAGGTACCATTGTTAACCCCATTTTTCAGATGGGAAAAGTGAAACACAGAGGTGTTCAATAGCTGGCTCCAGGTAACACAACCAGTACAAAGCAAAGCTGGATCCAACTCCAGGCAGCCAGACTCCAGAGTCTATGTCCTTAACCTCCACTCTGTATGTCTCTCAATGTGTGCAAACCATTGACTTCTTTGCCCTTTTTTCTCTCCCTTCTCACTTGTCAGTAAAATGACCTTACAAGTTTTAACACAAAGTCAGATAAAGCCATTTGAGGCATGCAAAATTCAGTGGGATATCATTTTAAATATTGATAAGATGTTTAATATCATCAAAAGAATATGAAAGTTTGCAAGATTCTATCAAGTTAGAAAGAAAGTATATTTATGTAACTTAAGGTTCCCTGCAAATTCAAGTCTGTACAGTTAAAAGAAAAATAAATATATATATCTCAAGATCTTAATTAAATGATTACCAGAGTGGAATTACAGACCTCTGGAGGAGACAGAAAATTAGTTTTCTTGGCCATGAAACTGCCTCTGAGATAGCTCTTAACTCCTGCTTCTCTTTGCTCCTCTCTGGCACTAGGCAATTTTGGTTCTTTTAGAGAATTCTTCACATTCCCACCATCAAATCTACCAACCTATCTACAACTTTACCTGTGTAGTCTGTCTTTCTTTCTCTTTTCTTTTCTTTTTTTTTTTTTTTTTTGAGATTAAGTCTCGCTCTTGTCCCCCAGGATGGCACAATCTCGTCTCACTGCAACCTCCAACTCCTGGGTTCAAGTGATTCTCCTGCCTCAGACTCCTGAGTAGCTGGGATTACAGAAGACTGCCACAACACCCAGCTAATTTTTGTATTTTTAGTAGAGATGGGGTTTCACCATGTTGGCCAGGCTGGTTTCGATCTCCTGACTTTGTGATCCACCTGCCTCAGCCTCCCAAAGTGCTGGGATTACAGGCGTGAGCCACCATGCCTGGCCTAGTCTGCCTTTCTGAAATGAACCAAATCTTGGCATTTGGAGTAAATTCTGACCCCTGGTTATCTCTCTGATCCCTTCTCCTATCACCACACCATGCTCCAGGAACAAGGACATTTTTTCTGTTCCCCAAACACCCAAACTCATGTCAACCTCAGATTTTCACACTTGCATTCTCTGTGCCCGGAAGGCTTTACCTAATAATCACCAAGCTGACTTTTAGCATTCAGCTCTCAGCTCAGATATCACTATCTCAGACCTTTCTCTGACCACCTATCTAAAGTAACATCTCTGTTCACTCTCCTGAAAATACAGGGTTTGTCCCCAGCTGAGAACAAGGCCTGTGGTCATTGAATCGACCCATGCCTGGATCCATGTGGGCTTTATTGTTTCTCTCAAGGCGCTGAGGTCTTGCTTGGAAGACCCAGAGAAGTCTGTATGTTTCCCTTAATTTAGTTTCTAATATAATACAATCATACTATTACATAATAGTTTTGTGATGGTTAATATTGAGTGTCAACTTGATTGGATTGAAGGATGCAAAGTATTGATTCTGGGTGTGTCTGTGAGGGTGTTGCCAAAGGAGATTAACATTTGAGTCAGTGGGCTGGGAAAGGCAGACCACCTTTAATCTCGGTGGGCACCATCTAATCAGCTGCCAGCATGGCTGGAATACACAGCAGGCAGAAAAACCTGAAAAGACTAGACTGACTTAGCCTCCCAGACTACATCTTTCTCCTGTGCTGGATGCTTACTGCCCTCGAACATCGAACTTCAAGTTCTTCAGGTTTGGGACTCAGACTGGCTTCCTTGCTCCTCAGCTTGCAGATGGCCTATTGTGGAACATTGTGATCATGTGAGTTAATACTACATATATATATATAGTATACATATATAATATATATATTACATATATATTATATATAATATATATATTATATATAATATATGTATTATATATAATATGTGTATTATATATGTATTATATATATTTATATTATATATAATATATGTATTATATATAATATTAATATATATAATATATTAATATTATATATTACTATTATATAAATATATTAATATATAATATATAATATATATGTATTATATATAATATATATTATATACATGTATTATATAATATATATGTATTATATATAATATATATTATATACATGTATTATATAATATATATTATATATGTATTATATAATATATATTATATATGTATTATATATAATATATATTATATATGTATTATATATAATATATATTATATATGTATTATATATAATATATATTATATATGTATTATATATAATATATATTATATATGTATTATATATCATATATATTATATATGTATTATATATCATATATATTATATGTATTATATATCATATATATTATATGTATTATATATTATATATTATATACGTGTATTATATATAATATATAATATATGTATTATATATAATATATATAATATATATGTATTTTATATATATATTATATATGTATTTTATATATATATATAAGTTTATTATCCTATTAGTTATATCCCTCTAGAGAACCCTGACTAATACAGATTTTGGTGCCAGGAGTTGTTCTAGAGGAACAGAATATTAAGGATGGAGTTCTTTCATTGGTTTTGGGGTTTCTGGAGTTGTCTGCTTAATATGATTACATCCGAAAATGCTAAGGACTCTACTTCTAATAGTATGGAGAATGCTGATAGCCCTTGTCATGAACTGTTTAGAGAGTTACGCAAAATAAATGCATTTGACACTCCTAATTTATTGCTTATGAGAGGCAAGGAGTTTAGTGACTCTATACGTAATCCCTTTGACTATATGTGGAGAACCAAGGAACACAATGAAGCTGGTTGGTTGCTCCTAAGTTCACTAGACAAGGTGATGAAAGAAAATGATGAACTCAGGGATTCTCACTCCCAGATTCAGAAGCAGATACTGAGCCTCAAATCTGCTAAGATTGCCCTGTGTGAGAGTCTTATTTCCTGCTGAGAAGGAGCTGAAATTGTGGAAAAACAGACACAAGCTCTTATCATGCTAGTGGCTGACCTGAAATGAAAGGTGCATGCACAGCCTCGCCAGGTGTCTACTGTTAAAGAGAGGGCATTGATTGGAAAACAATGGGACCCTGCAACTTGGAATGGGGACATGTGGGAGGACCCTGATGAAGCTGGGGACGCTGAGTTTGTAAACTCTGATGAACCTTTTTTGCAAGAAGAAACAGCTTCCCCACCCCCAGTAGTGGCAACATCCCCTCCCCGACCCATGCTGCCATCAGCCTTTGTCTGAGGAGTTAGACCCTGCACTGCCTGAGACAATAGTGATGGCCTCCGCTGTGGCAGTTGCCAGGAAAGATAATGTCGATTCTCCTCAGAAGCCACCCCCAACATCCCTGTTTGCTTCTAGACCTATAACTAGACTGAAGTCGTGTCTGGCCCCTAGAGGTGAGGTTCAGATTGTGACCCATGAGGAAGTGCACTACCCTCGAAAAGAACTGCTTGAGTTTTCTAATTTATGTAAGCAGAAACCTGGAGAACAGGCATGGGAATGGATATTAAGGGTGTGGGATAATGGTGGAAGGAATAGAGTTGGATCAGGCTGAATGTACTGATTTGGGCCCACTAAGTAGGGATTCTGCATTTAATGTTGCAGCTTGGGGAGTTAAAAAATGTTCTAATAGTTTATTTGCTTGGTTAGCTGAAATGTGGATTAAATGATGGCTCACTGTAAGTGAGCTGGAAATGCCTGATTTCCTTGGTTTAATTTAGAGGATGGGAAATTAATCTGACAAAAATTCAGGGACCTTCTACTTCAGTAAAATTTCTAGGGGTCCAGTGGTGTGAGGCCTGTTGAGATAATCCTTCTAAGGTGAAGGATAAGTTCCTGCATTTGGCCTCTCCTACAACCAAGAAAGAGACACAACCCCTAGTGGGCCTATTTGGATTTGGGAGGCAACGCATTCTTCATTTGGGTGTGTTACTCCACCCCATTTATCAAGTGACCTGAAAGGCTGCCAGTTTTGAGTGGGGTCCAGAACAGGAGAAGGCTCTGCAACAGGTCCAAGCTGCTGTGCAAGCTGCTCTGCCATTTGGGCCATACGACCCAACAGATCCAATGGTGCTTGAGGTGTCAGTGGCAGATAGGGATGCTGTTTGGAGCCTTTGGTAGGCCCCCATAGGTGAATCACAGCAGAGGCCTCTGGGATTTTGGAGCAAGGCCCTGCCATCTTCTGCAGATAACTACTCTCCTTTTGAGAGACAGCTCTTGGGTTGTTACTGGGCTTTGGTGGAAACTGAACGTTTGACTGTGGGTCATCAAGTCACCATGCAACCTGAATGGACTATCATGAACTGGGTGCTTTCTGACCCATCTAGCCATAAAGTGGGTCATGCACAGCAGCATTGCATCATCAAATGGAAGTGATATGTGCATGACCGTGCTGGAGCAGGTCCTGAAGGCACAAGTAAGTTACATGAGGAAGTGGCTCAAATGCCCATGGTCCCCACTCCTGCCACTCTGCCTTCTCTCCCCACAGCCTGCACTGATGGCTTCATGGAGAGTTCCTTATGATCAGCTGACAGAGGAAGAGAAGACTAGGGCCTGGTCCACAGATGGTTCTGCACGATATTCAGGTACCACCCAAAGTGGACAGCTGTAGCACTACAGACCCTTTCTAGGACATCCCTGAAGAACAGTGCTGAAGGGAAATCTCCCCAGTGGGCAGAATGTTGTTGAGTGGTACACCTGGTTGTGCACTTTGCATGGGATAAATGGCCAGATCTGCAATTATATACTGATTCATGGACTGTAGCCAGTGGTTTGGTTGGATGGTCAGGGACTTGGAAGAAGCATGATTGGAAAATTGGTGACAAATAAATCTGGGAAAGAGGTATGTGGATGGACCTCTCTCAGTAGTCAAAAACTATGAAGATATTTGTATCCCATGTGAGTGCTCACCAATGGGTGACCTCAGCAGAGGAGATTTTAATAATCAAGTGTATAGGATGACCCATTCTGTGGACACCACTCTGCCCCTTTCCCCAGCCACCCCTGTCATTGCCCAATGGGCCCATGAACAAGGTGGCCATGGTGGGAGGGATGGAGGTTACGCATGGGCTCAGCAACATGGACTCAGCAACTTACCAAGGCTGACCTGGCTACGGCCACTGCTGAGTGCCCAATTTGCCAGCAGCAGAGACCAACACTGAACCCTCAATATGGCACCATTCCTCAAGGTGATCAGCCAGCTACCTGGTGGCAGGTTGATTATATTGGACCTCTTCCATCATGGGAAGGGCAGAGGTTTGTCCGCCAGAATAGACACTTACTCCAGATACGTGTTTGCCTATCCTGCACACAATGCTTCTGCCAAGACTACCATCTGTGGGCTCATGCTCATGCAATTCACTGGTCTTACCATGTTCCCCATCATCCTGCAGCACCTGATATTGATAGAACAGATGAATGCCCTTTTGAAGTCACAATCACAATGGCAACTAGGTGACAATACTTTGTAGGACTGGGGCAAAGTTCTCCAGAAGGCTATGTATGGTCTGAATCAGCGTCTAATATATGGTACTCTTTCTCCCATAGCCAGGATTCATGGGTCCAGGAATCAAGGGGTGGAAGTGGAAGTGGTACCACTCACCATCACCCCTAGTGATCCACTAGCAACATTTTTGCTTCCTGTTCTCTAGACATTAGTTCTGCTGTCCTAGAGGTCTTAGTTCCAGAGGGAGAACGCTACCACCAGGAGACACAACAATGATTCCATTAAACTGGAAGTTAAGATTGCCACCCGGACACTTTGGGGTCCTCCTACCTTTAAGTCAACAGGCTAAGAATGGAGTTACAGTGTTGGCTGGGGTGATTGACCTGGACTATCAAGATGAAATTAGTCTTCCACACCACAACAGAGGTAAGGAAGAGTATGCATGGAATACAGAAGATTCCTTGGGGTGTCTCTTTGAATTACCATGCCCTGTGATTAAGGTCAATGGGAAATTACAACAGCCTAATCCAGGCAGGACTAAAAACGGCCCAGACCCTTCAGGAATGAAGGTTTGTGTCACTCCACCAGGAAAAAAACCACGACCTGCTGAGGTCCTTGCAAAGGCAAAGGGAATACAGAATAGGTAGTAGAAGAAGGTAGTCATCAATACCAGCTATGACCACATGACCAGTTGCAGAACTGAGGACTGTAATTGTCATGAGTATTTCTTCTTTTTGTTAAAAACATGTTAATGCATGTAAACACTGTACTAAGAAAATATCTTCATTTTATTTCCTTTTCCTTTATCATGTGACATAGATTTGTTGACTTCGTATCAGTATTTAAGTATTGTTAACTTATGTAATAACATTTGGGTTGGGGATTTGTGTATTTCCAATGGATGAAGGACAGTTGTATGATGTTGGGCGTAATTATTACATTATTGTCTTTATTTGAAGATTATGTATGATCTCAGGAGATGTGTGTGGATTCATGCTGACAAAGGATGCACTTGTGATGTTTAGTATTGAGTGTCAACTTGATTGGATGGGAGGATGCAAAGTATTGATCCTGGGTGCGTATGTGAGGGTGTTGCCAAAGGAGATTAACATTTGAGTCAGTTGGCTGGGAAAGGCAGACCCACTCTTAATCTGGGTAGGCACCATCTAATCAGCTGCCAGTGGGGCTAGAATATAAAGCAGGCAGAAAAATGTGAAAAGGCTAGACTGGCTAGGCCTCCCAGCCTACATCTTTCTCCCATACTGGATGCTTCCTGCCCTCGAACATCAGACTCCAAGCTCTTCAGGTTTGGGACTCGGACTGGCTTCCTTGCTCCTCAGCTTGCAGACAGCCTATTGTGGGACCTTGTGATCATGTGAGTTAATACTACTTTATAAACTCCCATATATATATGTGTGTGTGTGTGTGTGTGTGTGTGTATATATATAAACTCCCATATATACATATATATATGTGTATATGTATATATATATATATATATATATGGGAGTTTATATACAAGTTTATATATAGATATGTACATATATATGTATCCTATTAGTTATGTCCCTCTAGAGAACCCTGACTAACACAAGTTTATCTATATAATAGTTTATCATACTATTATTATAGCATATTTTCATATCAGTAAGTATGAAGAAATGGTCATCAATACTTGAAAAGCAATTGAACATAACCTTCACCAGGAGGCGGGAATTGAAAGTAGAAGATAACAGTCCACTTGTACATTTTGGGTGAAAAAGTTCGAAGCAAGTGGCTTCATTATTGTACGATTGAATAATACCTTGTTATAATTAATATATATTATGTAATAGAATATTTCCTAGATAAACAAACTAAAATGCACTGTTTTAAATGTGTAATTCTGATAGGTATCTAGGCTTGCTTTATCTCATTTAATCCTCCTAACAAGGTGGTTATTATTATATTAACTTTACAGACGAGGAAACTGATGCCACAGCTAGGTCCAGCCACGGGTCTAACAGGACAACTAAGAAGATTTAGTCAGACACTTGGCTTTCCTGTAGCTCATTCCCTAGATTGTTTTCACCCAGTTCAAAAGCCCTGGTGCCTGTTCTGAAGGAGGCTTATATGGCTTGGTAACTGACCTTTACTGACTCCTGCACTCTTCACCTGGGCTCCTGTACTGAACCCATACAATGCATTCTGCTACCAACTCTGCTCAGCCCAGCCCCTAGTTTCCATCCTGCTCAACTCCACATTGCACTAGATGACAACTGTAGATGACCAAAGCCTGACTCACACCTTTCCAGTGTGTTCTTTATGTTCCTGGTCTCCCCTTCGATTCCAAGGGGTTGCTTGACATCCTTTTTACCCCTTCTCACCTCTGTTTGACTGAAATTTGAGCTGTAGTGGCTGGGGAGCTTGTCTAGAGATCCACCACTATCTCCTCAGAACCTAGAGCATTGCTGGCCCGTGATTCTTTAGGTAAGTTCATGAGAGAATGAACAAATGAGTGTTGTGGGCTGGAAGGGGCTGCTTGTATCATTGATGTTTGTGCTGTGGGTTGCCCAAGGACAATGGGCAGGTCTGGAGAACTTTACTAGTTCTGGAGATAGAGAAATTAAAATAAAGTTGTAATTAATTTGCTTTTTCTCAGCAGTTGACTTTTAGAATAAGGAGATATGAGTTGTATGAAAACAACCTGAATGAGCAAATATTTATTTTTAAAAAACCCAAACTCCAGAATATGTTTTAGACAGCTTTGTTGATACATAATTCACATATAAACAATTCACCCACTTAAAATGTACAATTTAGTGGGTTTTTAAAGAATATTTATAGGGTTTTGCAACCATCCTTACAATCAAATTTTGGAACATTTCTGATTCCCTTAAGAAAAACCTGAACACAATTAGCAGTCACTCCCCATTCCCACCTCTCCCCAGCTCCTGAAAACAATGAATCTGGCCGGGTGTGGTGGCTCATGTCTGTAATCCCATCACTTTGGGAGGCCGAGGAGGGTGGATCACCTGAGGTCAGGAGTTCAAGACCAGCCTGGCCAACATTTGATTTCTTTTGTTTGCTATCCTGTCTTCCCTCAATACTCTAATCTCAGTGATGTCTGTCTCTGTTAAGCATCTATAGAGTCTAAGCTACCTATTTTTCATTTGCTGGGTTATTATATTAACTTTCTCAATCTCTCCCTACTACATTATTATGCCATTCATATCCCCACCACAAAACAGAGTTTGCCCTGTGTAGCCCCTGTTGACAGTGTGCATTGCTCAGTCATCTTCAACATGATTTCCCTGCAGTGGTATAAGATTCAGAAGCCTCCAAAGAGAGTTACAGCTCTCAAAAGCCGGATGTGGATTGCATTCCAAGTTAGAAACTTTTCAGGTGCTGAAATGCCAGATGGAGGAAGCCAAGTGGAACATTGGTGGTGTCAGAAAGAAATAATAAGCACTCCCAGGATGACACTTGGGTTTGTCTCTGTAGCAGGACGCTTATCTCTCGGCAGTGGTGACTCACTGGCCATAATTGACAGCTGGAACAATTGTGGGTAGGAGAGATAGGCTTGCCACCCAGTTAGAGACTAAGCAGCTGGGTTTTGATTATTTTCAGGGAATGTGTGAGCAAATCTTATGGTTTGGTGAGTTTTATCATCAGTGTTTGTCGGCCTTTCCTTCTCTGCTGGGACAGTGAAGCCGCAGCTGAAGTGGTTGTGAATTGTCAGCCATCACTTTGGTCACAGTGTAGAGAACCATTTTCTTTTTCTTTTCTTTTCTTTTTTTTTTTGAGATGGAATTTTGCTCTTGTTGCCTAGGTTGGAGTGCAATGGTGCAATCTCGGCTCGCTGCAACCTCTGCCTCCTGGGTTCAAGTGATTCTCCTGCCTCAGCCTCCCGAGTAGCTGGGATTACAGGCGCCTGCCACCACGCCCAAGTAATTTTTGTATTTTTTTAGTAGAGACAGGGTTTCACTGTGTTGGCCAGGCTGGTCTTAAACATCTGACCTCAGGTGATTCAGCCACCTCAACCTCCCAAAGTGCTGGCATTACAGGCGTGAGCCACCGCAGCTGGCCTGGATAATCATTTTCTATTGAGAATGACCACTGTACTTTCAGCAGAGTCCTGAGTGAGCACTTCTGCAAGAATTGTTTTGTGGCTTAAGGCATGGTTTGTTTGGGCCATTGTTTCTCCATTTTGAGGGCTTCAGATCTCAAGGATTTAGGTGTCTCTACCAGATAAAGCTGAAACCAGTGACTTGATAGAGTTGTTCTGGTCTCTCATGTGTCACCGTTTTGAATTTTCCCTTAAATCTTCTCAGTCCCCTCTCTTGGCGATGGATACCTAAAGCTGACCAACCATTCTCACCATTGGATTATAAATATTTGTGTGTGTGTGTGTGTGTGTGTGTGTGTGTGTGTGTATGTATGTGTGTATATGTATACATTGTAGCTATTATCCTTGCAGATGTAGTTGCATATAATTTTTTTTTCTTAGAGTGAGGAGATGAAGAAAGTGAGATCTAGGACAAAGCCTATTTAAAGACCAAACACAGGCAAATTTTTCAATACCATGAGATACTGGGTATTTTTTTTTTCCTTGGGTGGACCAGGCTGAGGGTGAGATAAAGATGGAGACAGAAAGGAAAGATCCAGAAGGACATTGCTGTGGAGCTCTAGTCAGTGGGGCCATCATGGATATCTATCATTTTTGCCTGCCAGTATCTATTCTAGCTAGAGCACTCTGATTTTACTTTGGGAGAAACCACTGCCTCTCATTGGATTTATGTCTGGCAAGAGTCAATCATGGTGCCTGTCCTTCCCTGTTCAAAGCTGGAGCAACTGAAAACACCCTCCCTTTGCTTGAATCCTGGAACAGATGCAAAGAATCATCTAGGTCCCATTATCCCAAGGGCAGCTCCCTCTAGAGCTTCTTCATTAGGTCCTGACACCAGGATTTCCAGGGTTGCTCTGATTCCTGTCCATTCTGAAGTCCAAGTGTCCAACTTTTCTTTAATTATGTGAATTACCCCATATCCTTCTAGTTGGTTTTTTGTCTAAGTGGGCCTGAATTGGTTTTTGCCAGTTGCAACCAAAGGATCTCACTGATACACTGGGGTGCATCTGTATGAGGTCTTGGGTGGGCAGGAAGCAGTAGGCTGGACCTGAGAGACTAAGGGCTCGGGGTGAGACACCCTGGGAGAAGGGAAAGGGCACTAAGAAAAGAAGAGGGAGGCACCAACGGCACCCTTGTCCACCTAGAATTTGTTCCAGGTGACAATCTCATTTGCTTTTTAAAGCTTCCTCTTTGTCAATCAAGGAATCACTTCCATTTCTTCCTGGCCTGGAGGTTCCACTGTGAAAGTTCATCTTTTGAGACAACAAAACTGGGATTTCTACTAAAATCACTCATTCCAAAAATATTCACCCGGCACCTACTGATTGCCCACCCCTTGGCTAAGTACGAATGATTCAAAGGTGAACAAAACACAGCCCTTGTGCTCAAGAGTTATAATGTCTAGACCTGCGTGGTCCAGTATGGTAGCCAGTGGCTACATGTGGCTTTTATATTTAATTAAATTTAAGTATTATAAGTTAAAGTTTACTTCCTCAGCTATACTGTCCATGTTTCAAATATTCCAATAGCTCACATGTGGCTGACGGCTACCATTTTGGACAGTGCAGATATAGAGCATTTCTATCATTACAGTATTTTCCATGGGACACTGCTGGTCTAGACAGGTGCAATAGAGAGAATGATATAGATGATATAAGCCAGGGCATTAGGGATCACATAGGATCTAACTCGGACTTTTATGGAGTCAGGGTAGACTTCCTGAAGATAATGACATCAAAACAGACCTGGAGGATAAGTTGGAATGTCCAAGCTAGGAGAAGAAGAAGAATTCCAAGCAGAGGAAACAGCATGTACAAGGACCGTGAGTTGCCTGAGGACAAGCTGAAGTGCACTCAAGTAACCAGATGAGAAGAGAAGGCCTTTGCACCATCAACTTTCTCATATGCTTTGTTACTAAGATTACATTCTCTTGATTTCAGATGTCAAGGGACAGGGTCCTAAGGGGACTGGCTATAGGAGCCACCTATTCTGACCTGCTAAATTAAGAGAGCTGATGCCTCAATTTTGGAGCACTGAGGTCATATGAAAGGTATTTGCTGGATGAGAGAAGCCAGTGGATTTGGAGAGAGGCAACAACACATGAATAAAGGGGTCTAATTTAGAGCTCTGAAGACTGATGCCTGTGACCCCAGGTAAACCATCTCTCACATCTCAATTCCTTTTATACCTAAAATCAGTTCATCTTTTTGATCAGAACCCAAGTTAAGGAAGCCAAGAAGTGTGTTTTACACATGGTGGTTTTCCCATTCCAGTTGAGAGTACATATGTTGAACATAATTGCAATCATATTTGGAGACAACTAGTCAAGTCTGGGCTAATTTGACTGCTCCATGTTATGTTTAAAGTGTAATTCTGTGCACATGGAAATATTAGATAAAAATGTGTGTCTCAAAAACTAGCTTCTGATTAAATAATACTCTCTTTAGGAAAGACTACTAAGAGGAAGACCCCCTGAACCCAAGGGTTGGGGCCCCTTTGTCAGGAAAGGATAAACTGACACTTGTTGGGCACCTCCTGTGCCCCCAAAAGCTTCATCAATTTTCTCTCTAATCTTCCCAAAATTACCCAGGGAGAGGAAGATACAGAGGGACTGAGTGGAGAGCTCACTTCTTCCTGCTATGTGTTAATCTTGCAGCTATGAGAGGATCAGAGAGAACCTGATTTCAGAGACCTGCTTTGCTTGGGAGAACCAGAAGGCTGCCAGGGCAGTGGTGAGTGATGGGAGGACCTCTGTAAGTGACAACAGAAGGAAAGTGTAATGGTCAAGCTAATGTGTCAACTTTACCAGGCTAAGGGATACCCAGGCAGCTGGTATAACATGATTTCTGGGTGTGTCTGTGAGGGTGTGTTTCAGGAAGAGATTAGCGTTCAAATCAACAGACTAAGAAAAGAAGATCTGTCCTCACCATTGTGGGCAGCCATCATCCAATCCTTTAAGGACCCAAATAGAACAAAAAGGCAAAGGAAAGTCCTCTCCATCTTTTTGAGCTGAGACATTCATCTTCTGTCCTTGGATATTGGAGCTCCTGGTTCTTGGGCTTTCAGACTCTGGGACTTACACTAGCAGCCTGCCTGATATTTGGGACTTCAGCCTTGGACTGTGAGTTACACCATTGGTTCCACTGGTTCTCAGGCCACCAGACTTGGACTGAATTATACAAGCAGCTTTGCTGTTCTCCAGCTTGCAGACCACATAGTATGGGACTTCTCAGCCTCCACAGTCACATAAGCCTATTCCCACAATAAATCCTCATGGCTGTGTCTATACATTCCTCTTATTTCCATTTCTCTAGGGATCCTACTAATACAGAAGGGATGGAGGCCAACCTGGATTTACAGATAAGGATCTTTCAAAGAGCAATTAGAGCCAATGCCTGACAGAGCTCCAGCTGAAGAAAATTGTTCCTTAAGCCCTGGGGCTTTTCAACATCCCAGAGACCTTAAGTTAAACAGTTAATAGTCTTTTCTTAGAGGAGAAAAATGGAAATGAAAGATACATTATGTTATATGATGTATATATCTGGATCATAGAATTTTAGAACTGGAAGGGGTATTAGAGAGAATCTAATTTGAATGTTTCATTTTGCAATAGAGGCCTTGAGAGGTGGAAATAAATTGCCCAACATAGATTGTCAATGGTAGAATTAGACCTAGATTTATTAATTCCTGATGAAATGCTCTTCCTATTGACCTTACTCTAGGTGTTTGTTTTAATTTCAATAGGATTTTATGGAACAGGTAGTGTTTGGTTACATGAAGAAGTTATTTAGTGATGATTTCTGAGATTCTGGTGCACCCACCACCCAAGCAGTGTACACTGTACCCAATGTGTAGTCTTTTATCCCTCATCCCCCTCCCATCCTTTCCTCGAGTCCCCGAAGTCCACTGTATAATTCTTATGCCTTGGCATCCTTGTAGCTTAGCTCCCAAATCTAAGTTTTTTAATATTATATTTTTAAATTGTTCCCTTATTTAAAGGGTAATATCAGGAAATCACTATTTTTTTAATTTCTAGATTAAACCCAGGGAGACCTGAGAGCTGCTCTTAGTTCTCTACCCCCAGCAGGTGGACTGGCTCATCTGATGCTAGAATAGCAGGTAGAACACCTGAAAAGAAACAATCATGGATTGAAAATCTTGGCCTCTCTGAAATGCAACCCACCACAGTGTATTTGCATGCTTAAAGAGGCCACACTGTTCAGTGGAAAGAGCAGGGGATTTAAAGAAATCCCTGGTGTAAATACTTTCTGCTAGTTTTGTAATTTTAGACAAGTTATTTAAATTCTCTGTTTCAAAGTATCCACACTGGTAAGATACAAAAAATATGATCAACAGCCTTCTCCAGAGGTGGGTTTTTAAGGTCAGAAGGTCACTCTGTGGCTGGAATGGGAATCCTTTTCAAGTGTGAGCTAAGTGCACATCTGAAACCCCAGCCCTGGCACCCGGCATCAGTTAGTGTTTGTTGAGTGACTGACCGAATGACTGAAAGATGCTAAAACACCCACTGCAGAACCTGGCTGGTAGGCGGAGGCGTGGCTGTTGAGAAAAGAGGAAGCCAGAGAAGGCATCTAGCTCCCTTTCTTTGGGGTATGGCCTTAACACGAGACTAAGCCTCTTTCTTTTTCCCCATTTAAAAGAGTAAAAAATTACTGAGGAAAGAACAGACAAGTTAGTAATGAAGCGAAGTCAAGCAAATACAACAAAAAACAAAAATGGTAATAAATATTCTGTTAAATGATTCAATTTCTTTACAAAGGTCACTCAGATCTGTTTATGATAATGAAGATGGATGAAGCGTGCCTACCATGACCTGCTCAAGCCACGTGACTGTGTTGGAGTTCTGGAGAAGGGTTACTTCTGAGGGCAGCACTGAAAGCCCAGAACCAACTCTGAGGTGCAGCTCAGTTAGGAGAGCTGAGGTCAGGGGTCCTGGGCTCCTGTTGGGGCTGGTCTGTTGGGGGGAAACCAGCAAGCTACCATAAAGGAGCACATACTTCACTGATTTCTCTCCATCCCTATTCCATTCTACTCCGTTTCCCTCCTACCTCCCTGCCAGCCAGTCCCACAGCTAAATCAGCCACCTTACAGCCCTGAACAAGCTGCCTGCCCCACCGGACATTCTCTCATGTCGCTGCCTCAAAATTCCTGCAGATTTTGATGAGGTATGGACATTCAGAAGCCTGAGAAACTGCTGCTTCATCAAAATTGTATCTCCTACTTTAGTTTGCTATTGTAGACTAGAGTGAAAATGACAGAATTTATATACCTGAGTCATCAAGCTGGGACAGTTGGTCTGGAAGGGCTGTTGCTCTAATTGTTGGCCTCTATAGACAGCCCAAGCTGAATGGGACATAAAAACGTGTGACCAGCCAGAAAGTGAAGGCTAAAGGCCAGGGGAAACATGGGGGCATGGTTTGTAGTTCATGTAATTGACAGGGCATAAAAAGAAGAGAAGGTTGGAAACTAGAGTGAATAGTGGTAACTATAGTTGTCGCCTGTTCAACGAGCTTTCCTATCCTCTTCTCCTGCTTCCTTTGTTGAACTCCTCCTGTACTCCACATAGTCTGAGTAAGGCTATTAATCAGAGTATATCTCTTCCATACTCCATCCCCACTCTGCAAAACTACAAAGCTCACAGGGATGGGCACATGGCTGTGCACCTAGGTCAGGCCAATGTTCTCTTTGGAATGTCTCTGTGGGAGCTAGCACAGAAGGCTGCTAGGAAAACATCATGAACAGCAGAGACAAATGGAAGAAAGAGAAATAGGCGGGTGGGAAGAGGGAGAGAGGAGACAAAGACTGAATTGATATTGACATTGTTAGAGCTTCTGGATCCAGCCATGCTAGATCTACCTCTTGACTTCCCAGTTATTTGAATCAATAAACTTCTTTCCCCTTGCATAAGATAGATTGAGATTGATTTGGACAAAATGTGTCCTGATGAATTTACCAAGGTGGGCCAGAGGACAAATGGAGCAAGATTAGATGATTTAGGAACTGATGAATCAAATACTGGGCATGTTTAGGAATCTCTCTACTGTGAGTCAGAGATAACTCACCAAAGGAGCTCTACTTTCTTAGACAGAAACAGAGCTTGTAAAACCCAAGACTGTGAATAGGAAAAAAAAAAAAAAAGAGAGAGAGAGAGGTCTTCAAAGCTCATTCAACTTTTGTTTAATTATTCCAACAGTGAAATCTATCTACAACTGTCTATGTCATATGCAAATGGTGATCACCATAGGACATTGTTTAGACCTATCATACTGAAAAAGACCCAGCAAAAAAACTAGGGCTGGTGTGGGGCATCTCTGGGTGAAGTGGGTATCATGCACTGCTGCTAGAATAATCAACTGGCTCACTTTCTAAAAGAGCATTTTGTACTATGTACTAAAATCCTAAAAATATACCTATTTTTGACCTAATAATTCTGATGTTTCAGGTCTAGTACAGGCTCCCATCTGCCCAAGAGGGACTTTGAAGAATAAATTTCCAAGTTAAAAGAATCCATTTACATAATGATAAGAAGAATACCTAAGTTGAGAGCACTCGTGCCATTTGTTACCACAATTCCGCTTCTATGTTGGAGGGATCTAGCAAGCACTACTCCTTATTATTATAGCAAAGATAATTGCTTTTGTATTTTTGGCTTGCACTTTAAGTAGTAAATGTACTCTGGAAAAGGTATACATTGCAATCAAATGAATAAACTACATCCACCTCACCTCCACTGACTATACGCTCCTCAAGGGCCAGCATTTGTGTTTATTTTGTTTACTATTTTGTCCCTACTACCTGGAACAGTGACTGCAATAAATACTTATTGAATGAACTAATGAATAAGCATTTTTAGAAAATGACTGGGAAAGAAGAAAATCACTATTGTACTTCCTTTTTCCTGTGAGTGTTGTGGCTATAAAGATTAGTGCTTTATACATTTTATACATTTTATTTATTTATGCTTTATACATTTTAACTCAGAATTATGTATATGGATTAATAAAGTAACAGTGGGAGGTTAGAATGTTTGAACTTGAACATAATGTTTCTGGAATGTTTACAGTTACTTATATGTTCACAATTTTTAGGAAAAAAATAAAACTCTTCCTCCACTGTAAACATTTCTAGGAATATTACATTGGGTTAATAAATATGAAAGGTTATTGTTCTTGATTGTAATTAGGGTATGTGAGTCAGGTTTTGTGCAGGTGCTGATCAGTCAACAGAAGGTAGACAGTTGGCTCATTATGTATGCTCATTTCAGGGGAGCTGCTGATATTTCATAGGAGATTAAGGATCCAGTTTTAGGTGTTATGGATACCTAAGCCTTTTAGTTAAAGAAATACACCCTTAATGGCAGGCTTTTAGGTAGTCTAACTCCAATTCCTGGCAGAACTCTCTATTAAATTTGAATGCCTACATTTATTTAATTTCAGTTTCAAATCTGCTTGGGCACAGAAAGTGAGATTCTATTTCTATTTAAGGCCTCTTCCACCCTGGTTCTATATATACAATGAGCTCTTAGTTTTAGGGGGTAATTTTACTTTGAAGCTCTATGATATTACAGTTTTCTCCACTTCCCAGACAGCTCTTAGTATTAGGTGTAATTATATATTCTATATTTTGGGGACAATCATCAATAAGGTTAAAGTCACTCTCTTCCAAAAACAAGTTACTGGGTGGTGGAGTTGAGAGTGGGGCTGACTTTACCCTCCACTGGGGTGATTCGACACAAGGAACCTGTTGCCTTGGCCTGGCACTATCTGTGGATCTGAAAATCCAATACAAGACATTTCCTGGCACTTTACCAAGGATGCCTGTTACCTTTTGGACAGAAGAAATTTGAAAAATCATCCCATAAGGGGTAGAAAGGAATGACATAAATGGTCCTATTAAAGGGAAGTCACTATCTGAGACGACTGCAGAAAAACTACATGCAATCGCTGCAGAGATTAAACTCCTGAAGGTATAATACCACCAACCTCTTCACGAGCTCCTCAGAGTAAACAACCTGCCTACCTCTTCCTCCTCCTCCAAATGTGTAGTGTGTGCAAGATACATTTTAAAAGACTGCAGTATAGAGAGAACTTCAATGTGATGGGGAAAAAATCCGTTCAGCACCTATTCTGCAGATGAAGACAGCATTAGGCAGCAATTCTTTACTTACAGAAATAGTTGTTTCAATCTTTCTTTCAAAATGTTGAGCAAAACATAGGTAAAGTCGTTCCTTTCTGGTGACTCTACAGTGAACTGTTGGAATCTTGCTTGAGGTAGTGCAGCAAGAAAAACAAGTTGATCATCCCCATCTGTTAGGCAATCAGACCTGGGGTATCTGTAGCTGTCATGATCATTAGGCATTCAAAGATAGCACTAAAATAGCACTAAGAAATTATTCTGCTGATTCAAAAAGAAGCTATTTTGTAGCCCCTCCATCAGCACACTCCACATTCACCAGGGCCCCAAATGCATCCTTGAGTCTGGAGCCTCATAGAGACAGTTTTGTGAGTCTAGTTCAGGCTATTTTTTATTTTATGGGGCCCCCATACTGATTCAATCTTATTCTCAGCTGT
Source organism: Homo sapiens (assembly GCF_000001405.40). Lineage (NCBI taxonomy): Eukaryota > Metazoa > Chordata > Mammalia > Primates > Hominidae > Homo > Homo sapiens. The sequence goes on along the minus strand of NC_000001.11, from coordinate 108,007,442 downwards.
ACTGATTGACTTGACTGCACTATTAAGGCTTGTTGAACTGTTTTGATATCAACAATTCTCTCTTCTCAGTAGAAAGTCCGAGGTTTTTATTTAAAGCTTGCTTTCTATATCTGTCAGAGATCACCTGAAATATTAGGCTTCTTTTTTTCTTTTTTTATCTTATCTAGTATCAGTTCCCTTGTTCTTCAGATAGCTGTAGAATCAGACTTAGCCTCACACAGACCCAAATTCTTGCCCTTATAGTAAATAGCATATTAGGAGCAGCCAGCCAGATGCCATTTGCCCTGGTGTCAGGCAGTTTTTGAGGAGTGGTCCTATTTCTATGTTTAATATTTCACTTCCTGGATTCTGGACTCCTCACCAGTTTCTAACATGAATAACTGCTTCCCTTTGGTTTTTCTATTGGCCACCTGAGCTCCCAGGCTGCTCAGATCAATGCTTGATTTGTGCGTAGCTAGGGACTGTGAATTTGTTTACCATCATTCTTTGCATTTATTTGTATATAGTTTACAGTTTATATTCCATTTTAACCGCTTAAGTATTTTTTATTTTATTAAAATATCCATAATATTTAAATTGGCTTAATTGATTATTATCTTATGAACATTTAGGTGATAGCTTTCTAGTTTTTCTCTACATACGTAGTATGAATATTGTACAATGTGAACATGAACTTCATATAGTGTGAACATTTTTGGTGTTAGTAAATGTTAGCTGGATCGTGATTTTTAATGACTGCATCATATGGATGTGACTTACCAGTCTCCAGTGGTTGATATTTAGGTTATTTCCAATTTTTCACTATCATAAATAATGCTATACATATTATACTTACATAAAGTTTGCATTTCATATTATTTGCTTATGATAAACTCAGTTTTGGAATTATTAGGTCAAAGGGCCTAAACATTTTAAAGACTTTTCATACTACATTGCCAAATGGCTTTTGGATAAATTATACATACTTTTGGATAAATTATATATTAGCACTGAATGGTATTTCCTGTTTCATTGTAATCTTACCAGGATTCATATTATTTTGATAATTTAATAAATTAAAACAATATCTAATTAATGTTTTTATTTTTTTCTTATTTGATTACATTGCGAGATTGATTTTTCATTTATTTAATGGATATTAAACTTTTCTTCTGTGAATTGCCTATTTAGATTCCTTGTCAATTTTCTGTAATGGCTTTATGTTTTTCTTTTCAATCTGGATGAAGTGTTTAATATTTTAAGAATACTTCCCCCTCAGCAGCCATTTCACTGTATATTTATTTCAGTTTGTTGTGTGTAGCATCATATTTTGCAATAATGTGTGATGTGCTAACAGTTTGGGTTTTTCCTTGGGTCTATTCTTTGGATTCATATTTCTTCAGTTCATCTTGATTTCTATTTTTTCCTGAAAATAGAAATTTTCCAATTTCATTATGATTTTCAAAAGTTTTAGCAAATAGTTTAGCTATTTTGCATACTTACTTATGATTTCTTTTAAAATGACTTTAAATCTGTCATTAAATCCATATGGTTTTATTTTTCTATATTGGATTAAGTTATCCAGAGATAGTTTGTTCCCTTTCTTCCTCCAAAGAATTATCTCTTTAAATTGATCAATTCTACCATCAGTTGCATTTAAGTGTCTATAGCAGGCAGCATATGCTACTTAGCAAAGTAAGCAGATGGAACATGCCTGCTATTAGAGCCATAGATGCATCAGCTAAATTCCCTTTACTTCTTCCACACCTCCTTTATCTAGTTCTCTACTTACCTCTTTAAATGGAATGTCTAAGAAGTAACCAAATAGATGTCTTCAGTTTGAAATTTTCCATTTTTTAGACAGAATCTGAAGCAAACCTTTACATTTGTATTCTGGAATTTTATGGCAGCATAACTACTTCTCAGAACAATGTGGTATTATGAACATTATAATTAGATTAGAAATTGAATTGCTAGAGTTCCTTTCTAAAATATGTGTATTAGTCCATTCTTATGCCGTTATGAAGAAATACACGAGACTGGATAATTTATAAAGGAGAGAGGTTTAAATGACTCACAGTTCTGCAGGGCTGGGGAGGCCTCAGGAAACTTACAATCACTGTGGAAGGGGAAGCAAACACGTCCTTCTTCACATGGCGGCAGCAAGGATAAGTGGCAAGCAAAGGGGGCAAAGTCTCTTATAAAACCATCAGATCTCGTGAGAACTCCCTCACTATCATGAGAATAGCATGAGGGTAACCACCCCCATGATTCAATTACCTCCCACTGGGTCTCTCCCACGACATGTGGGGATTATGGGAACTATAATTCAAGTTGAGATTTGGGTGGGAACACAGCCAAACCATATCAATGTGTGTGTGTTTGCATGTGTGTGTGTGGGTGTATTGCCCACACCTCAGGCTTCAAAACCCATTAAATTTGCCACCAAATGAACAATTATTTTTCCCACTTATTGCCTGTACTTTTTCAATGAAGTCTTGACAAAGTGCAAGTTATGAACATTGGGAATGGCACACTAGTGATGGGTGTGCTTGGGTGATTGCAGTTGCCTGCAACCTAGGTTACAACCAACACATAGATACGTGGAAACTGTGGTTGTCCTGCTTGAAACAGTGAAAACTCCCCATCTTTACTAAGATTCCTGATATATTCCTATGTCAAGTACATGCCGAAGATCCTATTTATAATGCTGGAATCTGTGCTGGGCCATTCTCACTCTCCAGAGAGTGAGAAATGTATTTCAGATGCTCTTTTTTGCTGACTATCATTTAGAATAATTTCTCCATCTACAGTTAAAGAAATTTTCTAGGAACTCGACAAAGGAGCAAAGATCAAATTCCCAATTATACTGCTTCTGTCTAATTGAGGCCATCACCCAACTGGGTTACAGATTGCTAGAGAGAGCAATTCTTGTTTTATATATATTTGTTTTTCTAATTTTTCTTGCCAATCAATAAAGTTCTTTTGATTCTTTTAATTGAATGGTAAATAGTATACTTTGGAGCATATATGCACTATTATTTCTAAAACCTATGTATTCCTATTTTGCCTTCTTAATTTTAATTTTTGGTTCTCAAATATATAGGAAAAAATATGCCAATGCTATTGTTTAACATTTTCTTCCTCATAGCCTAGCCTATTAAGCATGAGGCTAACATTTTCACGCTGCCATTTTACTTATCAAATCCAAACCCGAACTGCAAAACAATAGAGTCACCAAGACGGTAAAATATAATCTCTAGGACAGTGGAGCATTATGGGTCAAAGTAGGTGATATTCACAATGGCTCTTCATCATTTGGGCTACATGAAACTGTGTGGTAAACATCACTTGCTTAGCTTTTCTTATTCAATCTGCAAAGGGAAGTTCAGACTACGGAGTCTGGAGCTCTCTGACTTACAGAAGTATCTATACAATTTACATAGTAGTGTGTCAGTTGACACAAGCTGGTATTTACATTTACAGTTTAAATGAATAACTTCTATTTCCTATAATAAGCATCTATAGATTAAATGCCACAATATGTTTTACAAACTTTGTTATTATGTATGTTGCAATAGAAGGTTCATCCCTGGAAGATTAAACACTACTTTTAAAAGTTGATGATCTCAGGAGGTCTCTTGCTTCTCCAGGAGCATAACACAGTGATAGAGTTCCTTCAGGTTTAAACTGTTTCCTCACCTGCCCAGTTTCTGAACAGGGCTGTTTGTTTCCTCTGGTTTGGTATGCAAGGGATGTAAATATTATCTAGCATTCTATTTGTTTTCTTCTGAGAACACAGCTAGTATACTTCCTTGAGAATTTAAAGTGCATGTAGCAAAAGGAGATTTCTCTCCTACATTTTTTCAAATATAACTCTGATTTGCAGTTTTAACACAGATGGAATCAGAGAATATATGTTTTATTATTTTTCTCTAAAACCACAATCGCCCAGTCTCCAAAAAGGAAGGGCTTCTCTTTTTTTCATCTACTTCACGGCCTCTTTCGCTCTAACTCCAGCTTTGTGGCTAAGTTTTGGTGAGAAGAATCTCATACACAGCTGGGAAAACTGTATGATCTTATTCTTCCAGGTTTGGTTTTTCATTTGTTTGTTTTTGTTTTGAGATGGAGTTTTGCCCTTTTTGCCCAGGCTGGAGGGCAATGGCACAATCTCGGCTCACTGCAACCTCCGCCTCCAGGGTTCAGGCAACTCTCCTGCCTCAGCCTCCCGTGTAGCTGGGATTACAGGCTCATGCCACCGTGCCCAGCTAATTATATATTTTTAGTGGAGACGGGGTTTCACCATGTTGGGCAGGCTGTTCTTGATCTCCTGACCTTGGGTGATCTGCCCGCCTCGTCCTCCGAAAGTGCTGGGATTATAGGTGCGAGCCCCAGCGCCCAGCCCCAGGCTTAATTTTTAATATGTTAAAGAAATTAAAGATATATTCTTCTGCCAAGGACCATTTTTAAGCATATGATCTTGCTTGGGCATGAGAGAGGATGTCTAAACCCTCTCAGCATACCTACTTTATTCTGCGCTGGGTCTTTTATGACTTGGAGTCAAAAGTGGAAGAATGAAGTGAAACACTTTTTTGAGAGGTAAAATTTATTGGTCTATTGTTTGCTAAAAGATTCTTCTCTCAGTAATAAATGCTGGTGGTATTTTCACCTTGAAGACCTGATAAACATCATTCCTCAGTTCATCCCAATAGCTGTTTGGATTTTCATTGGAACTGTGTGTGCTAGGGAAGGTTGTGCATTTGATTGATGCAGGCGGCCCTTCTGTTCTCTTAATTACATGTAGAGCAGCTCTGAAGAAGGAAACATCACTTGGGAGATGTGGGTGAGTCTAGGCCCATTTTACAAATTAGTGATCATTTTTGGTCCCCTAAGAAATGTTTTTATCCTCAAGTTCTTTGAAATGTCAAATCCTACCATGATTTATATTAATATAACACTGTTTTAAGACTTTAAAATTGCCAAGCACAGTGGCTCACATCTGTAATCCCTGAATTTTGGGAACCAAGGCAAGAGGATTGCTCGAGCCCAGGAGTTTGAGGATACAGTGAGCTATAATCATGCCACTGCACAGCAGCTTGGGTGACAGAGCAAGACCCTGTCTCTTAAAAGGAAAAGTAAAAAATTCAAAATTACAAAATAAAAATAGAGGAAAAAGAATAGTCAGAAGTAGTGAGTATTTCTAAATTATAGTATTCATTTCTAATACTATAATATACATTTCTAAATTAGATTAGTGTTAGAAAAACCACACATTTGAGTAATCTTAAGCATCCATACTAATTGTGGCATTCTAGTTTACTTTATGAAGTGCTCCTTTACTTGTTCATTACTTGGAAGACCTTTGGTATGATTCGAACACTTTGTTTCCTCCAGAATTAGAGTATTCAAATAGGAACCATTTTGAAGAGCTTATCTGTGTCCATCTTGGGACATTAGTATAATATCCCAAGAGTAAATATAATATTTACCCTAATATATAGGGTAAATTGTTATACTTTAAATATAACAATTTATATATAACAATTAATTTAATACAACAATTTAATTTAATAACAACAATTTAAATATAACAATTTAAATTGTTAAGGGTAAATTTTGTTATATTTTAAAAATACTTTAGTTTGAGAGCACATGTGTCTAGAATATTTACAGTGAGCCATGCCACAGAGGCTGAGTAACCTGACCTTGTGACAGAGTCAAAATTCATATTCACAATTTGTTAATCATGCGGTATAATTCAATTTTTGGCTGCTTTTGGATTTCCGGTTATTTGGAGGCTGTTTGATTGTTACTGATGGCTACAAATTATAGACTGCTTTCATGCTTGACTATTAATCTGTATATGCACACAAGTGATATAATAAATCATCTATATCTGGAAGAGATAAAATAATTTCTCCAAGTCTTTTATTTTCTAGGTGGGGCTGTTGACCTGCAAGTGGTTAAATGAGAAGTCAGGAAGGGACTGAGCCAGGACCAAAACCCAGATTCCTGATGTCTGGTCTTCATTCATGTACTCCATTCCTTCGTGGTATAGTCTAATTTCATTTGTTCACTCATCCATCCCTTCATTCCAGTGCTCTTTGTATCCAATCTTGATTATGTGAGTTCAGATTTTACTGTGAATTATTGGCAAACTGAGTGTGAGTTTGCAAAACATTTCTAAAGCCTTGCAGTGGGACACCTTTCTATCTCAATACATACAGGCAAAAGGACAGATATTCTTATGTTAAGGTGTAAGTATAAAATGCTAAGCTTTTATCCCTAGAAATTCAGCAAAAAGATACAGGACACCTTTGGCAGCCCTGGGAACAGGCCAAGTCATTCTGCTCAGCTATGAGGCCCATAGGCCGGGCCTTTCTTGAATGTCTCCTGACCCAAAGGGCAGCATGGCTCAGTGCCAGCTGATCTCTGCTCCTCCAAGGGTAATTCCCCAGCTTGGGGCAAAGTGGAGGGGAGGCCAGCTTCAAAGCCTCCTTTGGCTTGTGGAAAAGCACAGTCTGGAGTGGGACAGCTGCCAAGTTCACCATATGAACGTTCATTTTGTTTGGCTTATAGTCAAGCAACAGCAAAAAAAAAAAAAAAAAAAAAAAGCCCACAACAGCTTGGGAGTGAGTAATGGGTTACCCTGGCTCTTGGAGTTTGTCATCAGACAGGGAGAGATCTGGCCTGGAGTGCTCCAGGGGAGGCCATAGGGTTCTCAGTTGTGGATTTGTTTTCCAAGCCAACTTGTGACCCTGAACATGGATGCTTTATTGATTCCTATCTGCAATAGATCTAAGGGAATGGTTTTAAACAGGCCCTTGATTCCTTCCCTTGTGCTACTGAAAGATCACTTAATTAATATTCAACTGCAGTGTTACAGGCTGGCCATCTCCTCTGCGGGCTAGAATGGACTGAAATTTGCGATGGCAGAATAGGTCAGGATGTTATTATTATTATTAATTTCATTACTGATAGCGGCAGTGGCAACTGCAGTAGCAATAGTATTAAAGAAAACACACGGTAGTGACAAGTGAAGGATGCCAGGGAAGAGACTCCATCTAGCACTGCACAAAACCACGAGGCTCTGTATTTTCAGGCGCTGCAACCCAGGTGATCACTCAGCTGGCTTGCTTTTGCTGCTCCCTTTAAGGAAACCTGGCCTGGTGTTAACTCCAAGCTGCCCATCTTCTCCTATACTCCCTCACAATGCAAATTTAAACTTAGGGTAAAAAAAAATTGCCTTCTTAAAACAAATGTGGATTTGAGAGGTGCTCACACATGGCTGAGGCAAGATAGTTGAAATCTAAACTTGGGTTTGTTTATTTATTTATTTGCAGAAAGGAAAGAAGTCGGGTTTTAAACATGCTGACATTCTGTACTAACTTTTATGCTAAGATAATGAGGTCTGGAGAGGTCTATTATGAGAAGGGTAGGAGTTAGAAGCTCCCAAACCATGACTCTGAAGAAAGAGAATTCCTTTTGAAAGAGACTTTGTATGCTTTGAGGAAACAATGAAATCCGAAACAGAATGTGTGAATGTGTAAAGGAAGTCAAAGGAGTAGAATGAAGGAGAGGAGTGGCTTCTCTTAGCTCTTTTTGAATACCAGGAAAGAGGAGTTTTTCAGACATTTTTGTGACTAGGGTGAAATATGGGAAAACCATAATTTGGGATAGATTTGGTCCCAAGTAGGAAAGACTGTTTCCATAGTGTCCAGGTGGTTAAATGAAATCACTCTGGTATCAGCATGGAAATAACAGTAAAGGTAGATTTGCAAGGCAAGCCTTCCCAGTGAAATCCTCCCTTCTTTTCCACCCACATCCTCCTCTGTATTCCTAGAGCATCTTTGGTGTACCTCACTTATTAGAGGATATTATACTTAATTAGAGTCATATAGTACGATGTTGAGAGCATGCTCTGCAGTCTCACAGTCTGGGTTCAAATTCCAGTTGTGACTTTCAGGTGTTGATTTCTAAAGACCATTGCCTACTAAAGGGAGTCAGAATTCCTTGGGGGAAGTGGTCAATTCCAGGTGAGGAGTATATAAATATGCTTCTGGAATACACTATTGTGCTGGAAAGCAAGACATGCTCAGAAAATCATGAAGCAATGACCAATGGATAAGGAACTGTCTTGGGCTCCCTTGGGTTAAATTTGGGAAACATTTAAGCATTAAAATAATAACAATGATGAATTATAATATATTGATTTTTTGTTTGTTTGTTTTTTGTTTTTTTAGTCTTGAAACGGAGTCTTGCTCTGTTGCCAGGCTGGAGTGCAGTGGTGTAATCTTGGCTCACTGCAACCTTTGCCTTCTGGGTTCAAGCGATTCTCCTACCTCAGCCTCCCGAGTACCTGGGACTACAGGTGCCCACCACCATGCCCAGCTAATTTTTGTATTTTTAGTAGAGACAGGATTTCACCATGTTGGCCAGGATGGTCTCTATGTCTTCACCTCATGATCCACCCGCCTCGGCCTCCCAAAGTGCTGGGATTACAGGCGTGAGCCACCGTGCCTGGCTGGAAGCATGATTTTTAAACATCTACAACATGACTGTATATTATATAATTTCATCATGTACAGTATACATACATATTCATAAATGTATACATAAAATCTAATTTCTTCCTAGTTTGAGCCTTAAAAATAAATTTAAGAGGTACAAGTGCCATTCCATTACATGAATATATTGTGTAGTGGTGAATTCTGGACTTTTAGGGTAGCTATCACCCTCTAGTTTGAGTCTTTATAAAGCAAAATAAGAGAGAAAGAGAGAAGGAGAGAGAGAGAAAGAGCGAGGAAGAGAGACAGAGAGAGAGAATTACCATTGGTGACTACAAGAATATTACCACAATAGTAAATTCCCTGCATTAATGTACACTTCAACAGAGAGAGAAAACCAAGCTCAGAGAAGTTAGGACTATGATGTGGCCCAGAGAGCAGAAAACTAGAAAAGAATACCAGTTGTCTGGGTCTACAACTAGGTCACACTGCCTTGCTACATTTCCTGGAGTGTGATGGCTTTTGCGCTTCGTTTCCAGGTCTTTTTCAGTGCATGGAATAGAAATGCTGCCCTACTTTTTCTCCAAACCTGAGAATATTGAGCAGAGTCCATAGTTAAAATTAATAAAATTCAGAAATTAATTCTTATTGAAAATGCGATGATGAGAGTAATGAGATTTTGATTTTGAATTGTATAAAGGAGTAGCCCTTATGAATTATAATACTTGCATTTACTATTCCTCAAAGGAAGGAAAATCACCGTTTTACAGCCTTCCAAGACAATTTTAACTTAAACCTCTGTTTTCTTGCTGTTTGTAATAATGACCTTTCTCCTTAAGGTTTGTAATCAGTGAGTAATAGAATAGAGGAACAAAGAGTCATGTTCTAATAATTAATGCAGTGTGTAGAATCCCTTTAAGCCTGTTGCTCCCAGTTCTCCTAAGAGGGAAATGTCCCTGGCATCTCTTAAAAGAATTATGTGTTCCAATCTGGCTAGACATCCAATGTTCTTTCCTATGAGCCCTAATTTTTATTTTCTAATACACTAGTATTTTCTAAGAAAATCTAATAAAAATCATGAAAGAGTAAATAAGAAATGGAATGATCATTTCATATGAAAGCATGTACCTACCATGAGTATTTTAATGAAAGGAAATGTGCCTTCCAAATCCCAGGAGTTTCTGAGAATGTGAACCATCGTCCATGGTCTGTCTTTGGGATCTGGACAACCTGAGAGCTCCCAAGACTGAGAACCTATCATTACTAATTACATAGATGAAATATATATTCCTCTTAACTTTGCAACACAATGACAACCACAAACTCCTTTTTCAGCTCCTAAATACAGCCTCCTTAATATAGCACAGTAAGGAAAACTATATAAGTAGACCAGTTAGGTCACACGCTAATTCCATTACCTTAATTGCTTCCCCATTGTATATTGAATACCGAACTTATATATGGACTTTATTAAATACTAGGCACTGTTTAAAGCATTCCCACACTTCAACTCTTTTTAATGTAACAGAAGAGGCTAAGTAACTTGCCTAAGTTCACATGGAGCCAGGATTCACACTCAGGAAGTCTAGCTCCAGATTTCATGCTCTTAATTGTTACTCAATATCAGAGTGAAGTTCTGTGGCTTTGGTGTCTCCTTCTTTTCTTTCTTTCTTTTTTTTTTTTTTGAGATGGAATTTCGCTCTTGTTGCCCAGGCTGGAGTGCAATGGTGCAGTCTCAGCTCACCCTCACCACAACCCCCACCTCCCGGGTTCAAGCGATCTTCCTGCCTCTGCCTCCTGAGTATCTGGGATTAGAGGCATGTGCCACCACGCCTGGCTAATTTTGTATTTTTAGTAGAGATGGGGTTTCTCCATGTTGGTCAGGCTGATCTCAAACTCCTGACATCAGGTGATCCGCCTGCCTCGGCCTCCCAAAGTGCTGGGATTACAGGCGTGAGCCCCTGCGCTTGGCTTTGGTGTCTCTTTCTAACCTTGATCTCCACTACATTCCTCAAAGACCTAATGCTGCACCCATATGGATTTACTGATTCTGGCCCACATGGATCCTATCACTGGGTCTGGACATATTGTTACTACTTAAAAGGTTAGGCCTTCTTGCTTCTCTATACACATTTTCACACACATTGCCCCATCAAAGAGCTACTCTTTCTTTAGAGCTCAGATAAAGTCCTATCTTTTCTGAGAATTCCCAGATTCTTTAGACAACATTAAGTATTCCTTTCCTACACTCTGGAAGTATTACTGTTAGAACCACTATCATTGCCCCTGTTGGAATTGGTTATATTTCCGTCTTTCTTAGTAAATGGAATAAGTGGTGTGCTCCTAGAGGGGCAAGATCCTTTCTTTTCTACCTCTATAGCCCACTCAGCACCAAACACACAGTAAACATTTGCTATAGCACTGAATTGAAGGCAAATATGATGGATATTGATGTATGAATGTTCAGTACATATATGTTCACATTTCCTGTGTAGACTCTCTATGTGCATGTAGCCATTTGCCTATGGTTATGTTTAGTCACTATTCTGGATATATGTGCTTTTCACAACAAGGGAGGACTGCAGAGCAAATACTAAATACAATCTCATGTCCAGTGTGGAGGCTAAGGAGTGTTCCATAGATCATCACTTTTGTCTTAGCACAACTACTGAAATAATGAAAAAATTAAATGATTCTTGGGGAATCCTGTAGTGCCTTGCTCATACTGACCATTGTTGTTTCCTTTGGCTACCTTTGACTGTTGTGTAAATGTCAGATTTCCCCTTGTGAGCTCCTTGGAAATGACTGAGTCTTTCTTTGTAATCACTCTGCCTAATAAATATGTAATGCTGATGAATGTCAAGATGGTATCATAAAACATTGAAACATTGTGTCTATGAAAATATTTATATTTGTTGAATGAATGAATTCATAAATGCACACCCCAGGCAAGGACTGGGAGATTATCTTATTCTAACTCATTATTTCATTGCTGCAGCATCTGATGCCAAAGAGGTAAGGTCTTGCCATTGGTCCCAAGGCTGACTAGTGATGGAACTGGGATTCAAATACAAGCATTTTGCCTCATTGCCCTTGGCACTTGTTTTTATCTACATGGTAGTTTTGGGGTTGGGAAGGAAATGAAGTTTTCTTTTTAAATAATTATATAGACTAACCTACGCAGTCAAGGAACTATGTGATGGAGTTTTCTAGATAGTCCCTTCCCCTCACACACACACAAAAAAAAAATCAACTTTTTTTCAGTTTATTACCTAAAAACTTAGGGAAATGAGTACATTTCCCTGCCTAAGTAGGATATCCTGAACATAATTGAATCTTTCTTCAATAATTTAAAATCTCACAATGCTTTGGGTTTATATCAGAAATCCTTGTTACCACAGTGTAATGGAATTGATTTAGGAAGTTGGGCTAATTATTTTACCTCATGGCACATTTTAAAGATTAAAAACAATCATAGGTCCTAGTTGTTTTGTCCCCACTTGTTATCCCTACAGGCTGAGAATGTGATGGTGGCAGAGAATGGAGATATGGTAGAGGAAGAATCATTTAATTCAAGATTTTAATTAGTTGGGTTCCAGCTAGTTTAAATTTGGTGCTCTGGGGCAGGGGGCGTGGCTTGGAGCCAGTCTCATTCTGTTGCCCAGGCTGGAGTACAGTGGCTCGATCTCAGCTCACTGTAACCTTTGTCTCCTGGGTTCAAGTGATTCTCCTGCGTCAGCCTCCCAATTAGTTGGGATTACAGGCATGCACTACCACACCCAGCTAATTTTTTTTTTTTGTATTTTTAGTAGATATGGGGTCTCACCATGTTGCCCCGGCTGGTCTCGAACACCTGAGCTTAGGCAATCCACACACCTCAGCCTCCCAAAGTGCTAGGATTACAGGCGTGTGCCACTGTGCCCAGCCAAATTTTTTTTCTATAATTTATGTATTACAGAGTAATCCCAGATACAGATCCATGTGAAGTAAAATAAATACATGTGAAATTTGGAGTAGAAAGAACAGAGATTTTGGAGTCAGACAGCCGGGGCTTTGAATACCAGCTTCACACTGTCTGTGAGACAGAGAACTGGTTATCTAATTTCTCTGAAGGTTGTTTTCTTTCATACAAGATGGAGATAATTATAAGAAGCTTGTAGATGCAGAGGAAGTAATATGCTCAGTTCATACTAGGAATTCTGTAAGTTTTGGTTCTTCAAATCCTCCACCCCTTGTCTTCCCAAGTAAAAGATAAGGTAGTTTTACGATGTAATGCCATATACTGTAAATAATAGGAGTAATATAACGTTGATTTTCTATAGAACTGATTGCTCAACTAGAGTGCTCCCTAAATTAATATTGCATTTTTTTTATTTTTAAGGGAATTACAGAGACTTTTAGACATTTGTAGAATTAAGACGAAATGTTAATAGTATATATTCTTTTGGTTCCATTAATATTGTCATTCTTGACTGAAAATGATGAATCTAACAAAATGGGAGATATTGAACAAAATTAATTCTACTTAACTTTTCTTTAGCAGACTTGAGGAGCTGCCCTTGGGGTCATGTGTGAGCTGCTAGCAGAAGCTTCAAAGCTGGATGAAATGAAGAGTGATACATATTTTTACTACCAGGCACAACCATCCCATCTTGCTGTGACCCTCCATGGGTTGCCTCTCTCTGGAAAGGTGTTAAAGGGGCAGGATTCCAGCTCGAGGGTGAAAGAGAGTCATTGGTGCCTAATCCATCCTGGAACAGCCACGTGGAATTTCTCTGTGGGGGAGAGAGGAGTACAGTTTCTATGACGATCACAGCTGCTCTGCCAAGACTGCCAGTCAGGATGCCGGCACTGCTAATTGCTATGCGGACATCCGTTCATTAGACTTTGACCTAGAATTACTGTTGTCTTTCACAAGGTAGGCAATGAATCATTGTGTTTGGCCCTTGCTTCGTCTCCTTCAGCCTAGGTTTGATTTGGATCAGAAATGCAATCTCTGCAGGTCATTACCTATCTTAGGAATGTTCCTAAAGTGCATCTTTTACAAAAGGCTAGGGTTTTATTAGAAAACAGAATATTAGTTACCAGTCTAAGGGCTTAGAGGGAGCTGGTTGTAATCCAGCTCTGCCACTCTGTGGTTCTGTGATCTTGGGCAAGTTGCTTGGCTCCTCTAAGCCAGTTATCTCATCAGTAAAATGGGGATAGCAATATATGTATTCTCAGGGGATTGCTATGAGGTGTGAGCAGGGATGAGTTGGAAAAAGTCTCTGATGCCTGTGTTGGCAACCGGAATGAGAGGGGGAAACTGGATGGAGTGATACCTAGATAACTGGCACTCAAGATCCACTCATGGCCAGCCACGATTTACATCACTTGGCTCTCTCCATTAATGTTGCATCCTTAGTAATTCAGTTTACTTCTCTTCATCCTTTATCCTAATCTGTGAAGAAACCTGTGACAATCAAACAGCAATGTCAATTCAAAACAAGCTTTGTTAGTTCTCTCAGTAACCAACAAAAAGTGTTCATTTTGGCCGGGCGCGGTGGCTCACGCCTGTAATCCCAGCACTTTGGGAGGCCGAGGCGGGCGGATCACGAGGTCAGGAGATCGAGACCATCCCGGCTAAAACGGTGAAACCCCGTCTCTACTAAAAATACAAAAAATTAGCCGGGCGTAGTGGCGGGCGCCTGTAGTCCCAGCTACTTGGGAGGCTGAGGCAGGAGAATGGCGTGAACCCGGGAGGCGGAGCTTGCAGTGAGCCGAGATCCCGCCACTGCACTCCAGCCTGGGTGACAGAGCGAGACTCCGTCTCAAAAAAAAAAAAAAAAAAAAAAAAAAAAAAAAAAAAAAGTGTTCATTTTGTTTTTGTAGAACTCCTATTTTAGATTTCAACCTTACTCCCAGAATTCTAGAGAGAGAGCTACAGATGTGGAGTGCTTTACTTTGGTTATGGAGTTGGAATACGGTAGGAGGAGGTAAATGCAGGTGTGTCCCACTTAAAGAAGTAAAACCAATGACTAAGAATAAACTTTTGGGGGGGGCTTCTAATAATATATGCCAGACACTGTGGACATAGAGACAGTTATAAAAACTGGAGTCTTCATGATGAGGAAACATGCCCGTCTAACTCTATCAAGGTCACCTAAGATTTGCAAAGAAGTGGGTCAGGTTTGAATCCCAGCTTCCCTACTTACCAGCTCTCTGATGTGAACTTCTCCCATGTTTGTTACCTGCAAAATTAGACGACACCTGTAGAGTGCTTAGCACAAGGTCTGGGACTCGAGGTAAACAATATTTTCTTATCCACATACCAAATATAAATATTGTTATTAGATTCATATATGAAGCCACTGGAAATGAGTGCTAGAGTTCCTCCAGGGAACTTTTAAGAGTGAGCTGAGAATTCAGCACCACTAACCTGTGGACCATTTCTGAAGGGGCAGTGTGACAGCAGAACAATTTCCAAGTGGAATTTTGTTGATGTTGAAAAAGCAATTGGACGTGAACATAGAAAAAAATATTTGGAAATTTCTATATTTTAAAAATGTAGTGCAAATACCCAAAGGAAGTTTAATTTTTTTGCTGAAGTTATATTCTGACTTTAAATGAAATGAGTTAATTTTCATTGTGTCCATCATTGTACCCCTGATGCTGGAGCCAACAATGCCATGACTCGCTGGAAGCAGCTGTACAAGTGGAGGGATTGAGCCTTGTGTTGCTAACTGTTGCAACTTGTGATTTTTTTCTCTGTGAACATGGATCTCCTCTAAACATGAGTATTTTATTTTGCCATAATACTATATCTACCTAAATGTCGAATGTATTTTTTTCTCCAGCTGCATCAAAAACAATTTTCAATCTCCCCATACCCCTTTTCTTCTGGTGCTGTTCTCTGCCACTTACGCAAGGGACCAGAGCACAGATCCTAAGAGTGCCAGGAACAGGCAACAAAGTCTCAACATGTTCCTGGTGTGGGAGGAGATTCTATGGGTGAGTTGTCTGCCACATCTGGGGGAGGCCTGGATGATGAAAGATGGCAGCTGTAATGATGAGAGAGGAGCCAGCTTCTGGGAGGCAGGGGCAGGCTTCTCTCTTACTCCTTCCACCTCTATCCAAATACCATTTGTGTGAATCAGCTGCCACTTGGCTTTAAGGGACGTCACTGCCAGATGCTCCCGTTCCCCCTTCTTGAAGCAACAGCCACCGCCCTTCTGACCCCTCCACATGCAGTAGAAGTCTTCTAGGGCCACTTAATGGTCATGGGGTGCAAGCATAGCAGCAGGCTTTTTTCTTCCACAGAATGTGTACAGGAGTTTCATAGTGACAATGAAGGAATTGGAGCAGTCCCTGGTTGCGTCAGTGAGCATCTTTGCTGGCACTCTCTCTAACTTTGTTGAGCACTTCATGTGCGTGGGACTCTGTGCTAAATGCGTTATGTGCAACATCTCATTTATCCTCACAGCAACCCTGTGAAATGGCTACTGGGCATCTCTGGGCTTCGCAGCTGTGGCAAAGGGGAAAGGAATTCAAACTCCAGGTCCACTGTGCTGTATGACTTTCCCTTTATAAACAATTACTCCAGAATGGGAGGTCCTGGAAGATCCTGCTGTTTGTAGGTCTGAATATGGAGGTTGTAGAAGACCCTGAAGAGTCCTGAGATTAGGGTCTCTTCCCAGCTATTGGAAGTGTGAAAGTTGTCAAAGTAATCATCTTCATTTTTCTTTAAGTACCTCTTATCTCCCTGAATACACACATTGTTTACTGTGGCTCCCATACTGCAATGCCCTTTTCCTGAATAAGCACCACTTTCTTTTAGAGAGGCTTTCTCTGTTGGTTATTTAGGTTGACAGAGGGCAACAGCAGTGATACAGAGGAGCCTCTGAGACACCCGGATTTCCCTTAGAACTCTCCCATTCTCTCTGGGGAAACAGCCAGTGAGGACACCAGGTCAGAAATGACAGCCTCCTGCAATGGCTGAGCAAGTAGCCTTCAATTCTGGCACTTGCTGCGGCCAATACTTCCATGTCTTTCCTTGTGGCTGCGGCCGGTTGCTCCAGGGTGCTCTGCCTCATCCATCTGATATTGCCCTAAATATTTCTTGAATGGCACCTTAGTGTATGGACTCCATCTTATTGTTCTGCCGGTACCTGAGTCATGGCGGTGACTCAGCTGGCCCATGGTACTGCCCTCTGACTGCTGTGCCTTGCTCATAATGCCTCTCATAACCTGAATTAGTGCCCAAGAGAGCCTCCATTGGCACATGTTTGCAGGATTTTCCATTCTATACAGTCTTCCACTGTCCCTTTCCTCTTCCTCATATGCCATTTTGAAGCAACTTGGAAATTCTAGTGAGCTTTCTAGAAAGCTATAAACTCGGTATCTCTGTCCAGGTTCCCCTCATCTGTCTTACCCTTGTGGCTGCCCTCCTGACGGTTAAACTAGATTCACAAGATATTGAGATGCATGAACTGCAATATATCATTTGGGATTTTTTTGTTGCAATCAGTGGAAACTATTCCTGGCTAACTTAACACAATGAAAAGGAGACAGATGGAGGGAAGGAGGGAGGAAGAGAGAGAAAGAGTGAGAAACAGAATCAACCCCAACAATTTCCTATTCTTCTGTCATTCTACCCAATATTTAATTTTTAGGAAACAGATAGGTCTAGCTTGAACCGTGTGTCCTTGATAGGAAACTTTTGCTGACTATCCCACCAAGACTGCATGCCACGGGGATAGGACATGGCCTAAAGGAGCCATTAGAAGAAGGGAAAGTGAGTGCTACACAGGGAACAACAAACACCCACCAAAGGAAAGCGGAGGTTCCTTGAGGACCTCCTAAAGCCTCTCTAGACGTCACCGTGAAGCCTTCTCTTAGATTTAGTTTCTTCATAGCCTAGAGTTCAGCTTGGGTCATGAAAATAATTTTCTCTAACAACAAAAGTTTCTCATGAATCATAGTTTTAACTCAAATTTTAATGAGGCCAGACATTTGTTTTTATGTATTTATTTATTTTTATTTTTAACTTTTATTTTAAGTTCAGGTTTACATGTGCAGGTTTGTTATATAGGTAAACTCATGTCACGGGGGTTTGCTGTATGGATTATATTTCATTATCCAGGTTCCAAGCCTAGTACCCATTAGTTATTTTTCCTGATCCTCTCCCTTCTCCCACTGTCTACCCTTTGATAGGCCCCAGTGTCTGTTTTTCCCCTGTACGTTTTCATGTGTTCTCATCATTTGGCTCCCATTTATAAGTGAGAACATGTGGTATTTCGTTTCCTGTTTCTGTGTTAGTTTACTAACGATAATGGCCTCCAGCTTCATCCATGTTCCTGCGATGGACATGATCTCGTTTTTTTTTACGGCTGCATAGTACTCCATGGTGTATATGTACCATGTTTTTTTATCCAGTGTATCATCGATGGGCATTTAAGTTTATTCCATATCTTTGCTATTGTGAATAGTGCTGCAGTGAACATACATGTGCATGTGTCTTTATGATAGAACAATTTGTATTCCTTTGGGTTTATACCCAGTAATGAGATTGCTGGGTTGAATGGCATTTCTGTTTTTAGCTCTTTGAGGAATTCCCACACTGTTTTCCACAATGGTTGGACTAATTTACACTTCCACCAACAGTGTATAAGCGTTTCTTTTATTCCACAACCTCACCAGCACATGATATTGTTTGATTTTTTAACAGTAGCCATTCTGACTAGTGTGAGATAGTATCTCATTGTAGTTTTGATCTGCATTTTTTAATGATTGGTGATGTTGAGCTTTTTTCATATGTTTATTGATCGCATGTATGTCTTCTTTTGAAAGGTGTCTGTTCATGTCCTTTGCCCACTTTTTAATGGAGTTGTGGAACTGTACGGTGGCATCTGTGTTCTGTGAAGAGTCTAGAAGAAGAAGGACTTTTAAGAATCTGTGCACTTCAGGGCCACATGCAGAGGATTTTTGTATATCCTGTTAGTTTAGATAGTATTAAAACGTTTAGACTGACATACTTAAGGCTGAGCCTCTATACCTCTCTTAAGTGTCCATGCACATTCATTTGCATTAGTACTTTTGCGTGGGGGCAGGTATGGCCTTGTGCTAAGAAACTATTAGACAACTGCCCTTCCTGAAGTCTCCAAGGATCTTGGCTATGGGTCTCTCCATCTCTGTTTTTATGAAGGCCCCTGTTTTCCCAAGC
Source organism: Homo sapiens (assembly GCF_000001405.40). Classification (NCBI taxonomy): domain Eukaryota; kingdom Metazoa; phylum Chordata; class Mammalia; order Primates; family Hominidae; genus Homo; species Homo sapiens. The sequence goes on along the minus strand of NC_000001.11, from coordinate 107,988,755 downwards.
TAATTATAAAAAGGTCTCTTTAACAGCTTTTTTTTCCAGCTTTCTTCATCTGAGAAGGCAAGTACAGCAAGGTCTTATGTGCTGTATGTGTTGTCTCCTCTGAGGTAGCTATGGAATCTTGTTCTAACACATTTCATTAGAAAGTGAAATTTAGGCCGGGTGTTATTATACGTGGCTCACACCTGTAATCCCACCACTTTGAGAGGCCAAGGCAGGTGGAGTGCTTGAGTCCAGGAGTTCAAGACCAGCCTGGGCAACATGGCAGAACCCCATCTCTATATAAAACACAAAAAATTAGCTGGGACTGGTGGTATGTGCCGGTATCCCAGCTACTTGGGAGGCTGCAGTGGGAAGATCACTTGAGCCCAGGAGTTAGAGGCTACAGTAAGCCATGATTGCACCACTGCACTCCAGCCCAGGTGACAGAGTGAGACCCTGTCTCAAAAACAAAAAGAAAAAGAAAGTGGAATTGAGCATAAATTTTAAATTCTACTAAGGGTCCTCATTAGTGAGATGTCACCCTACACCTCATTGTAGGGTGGTTTCACCTAACAGGCATGAGCTTTAGGGCAGCCTCCTTGGGAGGCTCTAGGTTCTTTCATGGACCTTTTACAGTCCATCCCTCTCTATCTTTCTGGCCATTTTCAACTGTTAGTTTCACATAAGTCTCTCTCTTCACTTCGTACATCAAAATTTTGGCCCCTCCACAAACCTGACTGATCTCTGACTGTGTGTGTGTCCTTGACCTTCTGACTTTTTGTGTGTGCTGTTCTAATAATACCAATCTACCTACTCTCCCCTGCAGGTGAATACCTTCTTGCACCCCCTGCTTTCTCCCTCCTTGTAATGGTTAATATTGAGGGTCAACTTGATTGGATTGAAACATGCAAAGTATTGTTCCTGGGTGTGTCTGTGAGGGTGTTGCCAAAAGAGATTAACATTTGAGTCAGTGGACTGGGAGAGGCCGACCCACCCTCAATCTGGGTGGACACCATGTAATCAGCCATCAGTGTAGCTAGAATAAAGCAGGCAGAAGAAGATGGAAGAACAGACTTGCTGAATCTTCCTGCCTTCATCTTTCTCCCTTGCTGGATGCTTCCTGACCTCAAACATCAGACTCCAAGTTCTTCAGCTTTTGGACTTTTGGATTTAAACCAGTGGTTTGCCAGGTGCTCCCAGGTCTTCAGCTATAGATTAAAGACCGCACTGTTGGCTTCCCTACTTTTGAGGTTTTGAGACTCAGGCTGATCCACCACTGGCTTCCTTGCTCCTCAACTTGCGGATGGCCTGTCCTGAGGTTTACTTTGTGATTGTGTGAGTTACTTTTCTTTAATAAACTCCCTTTCATATGTACATATATCCTATTAATTCTGTCCCTCTAGAGAACCCTGACTAATACACTCCTTCTCTCCATCCCAGGCAGCAGGTCCTTCCCTCCCTCTGTGCCTGTGTAGCAATCTGAGTCCACCTCTACCCTGCCACTCCTTTGCTTATAATCATGCTTTTGGGCTGTCTTCCCTACTAATGAGCCTTGGCACATAGCACGTGGTCAGTAAATTTCAGTGCCCATAATGAGAAGTTGTTTAGGGAAAATATCATCAGCATAAATTCCTAGAGGTTCTGAAGGATCCAAGTCAATTATCAGAACCTAAAACTATTGACAACAGTGCTTTGAAATAAGATGCCTTGATTATGAAGGGCTTGGCGTTTCCCGTGTTAATTTTTTTTTTTCTGGTAATAAGTAGCATTTATTAAGAGCTCTGTTGGTTTATACCATATTAAATGAGTCTCTTGTCTGATCTGTGCTTGGAGGCCAAGAAACTAATGGAAACAAGTTCTAGCTGTTGGTACCATAAAGGTCATAATGATTATGCTAAAATCACAGTGTACTATTAAAGAAAGTGAACAACATATTGTGATTGTACTTCTCACTTTGCTGTTGGAGCTAACCCATCACTTTGTGGTTTACTACTGTGCTCTATGAAAGGAAAGAGAGCCCCTAAAAACTTGTTAGACAGAGACATCTCAAAGCATGAAACTGCAGAGAGCCTCTGAGTTAAATTTTGAAAACTGCTTCTTGAAATTTGTCAGGAAACCTTAGCTTTAGATGGAAAATTTCAGTATCCTCAAAAAGGAAGGAGAGAGAGCTAGTTTAGGGATTTACTACAGCAAAAGGGAATTCAGAGTCCTGTTTTGTTGTTGTTAATCTCTGATTCTAACATTTCTAAATATGACCTTTGGAAAATATTTTGTTGTCCTCATTTTAAAATGTAACCACTTTGAAAACACTAAACTATACCATTTAAAAAATGTTATGCAAACTAAAAATGCATTTATACTTTTTTAATTCAAATGTAGATTTCCTCCTCAAACTGGGAGATTCAACAATTTGTTAGTTTGAATTATAACTTTTGAGTATTAAAACATCTGATGTGTGGCTTCCATTTGTACTCTTGCTCAGGCCCCAAAAGTATACCAGGCAAGTCTGCTCTACCTAAAAATATTTTCCTTCTAGTTGTTCAGACTATAACAATTTTTCCGTCTCCTGACATGTGAGTTTACTTAAAGCAGGACATCCCAGGATTTAAGAGCAAAGTGGAGGTTTATAAATAACCAGAGTATCTGGATGCTGCTAAACTAATTGTTTTTAAACAATGACTATTGAGACCTTTACATATAAGATACATTAAAAATACAAAATACAACGATTGGTCTATATCACATTAAATGAGTCAAGTAGGTTTATAAAATGAATAGTAAAGATTATAAAAATCGGAGAAAACTATAATGAATGCTAAATGAAAAACTAAGTTATAAAATAGGGTGTATAGTAAAATGCCATTTTTATTTTTAACAGTATATATCACAAGAACAAATGGAAAGAGTACACACTAAAATGTAAAAGGTGGTTATATTACAAAGATGGAATTCCTGGTTATAGATAGATAAAATATAAAACGTAAATATAATTATATATCTTTCTGCATTGAGTGTATGTTACTTTTGTACAAATGAAATTTAAATAATTATACAGGAGGAAAATATTTGATTGCTAGAGTGGTAAGAGGCATTGGATTTCTTTTCAATCTTAATTATATGATTATAAAATGGTTATATTTTGTGCTATGTTCCACACAAAGAAAATATTTTTATAGAGTCAGATCTGTGGGATCCTGGGAGGTTTCTGCTGAGCTTTTACAGTGTATGTTTAATTTAATTTTAATTGTAAGGAAGGTCAAAGGATTAAGTCAACACAAATATGATGGAATAAAGAGAGCTTTTCATTTTATCTGGACCTCCTATATTGGGATGTTTGCTTGCTTTTTGTAAGGAAGTTAGTGGACTCAGGTCGAATTTCACATAGCATAAAGAATATCAAGATTTCCACCATATTTTATTAATTTTGTGGTCATTAAACAAAATGGTGAAACATTTTTAGATGGGCATATTTTCTGTAACTGTTTCACAGATTTTTCTGAAATTTGGGCAAAGGTTATAAAGATGTTATTTATTGAGTTCTGTAGTTCACAGACCCACTAGCATTTTCATGAGTGGTTATAAACAGATTATTCATCAGTTTTCCATTGTTCTTATTAAGGGTATTAAAATACTTAGATTTAAATTTTTTGACTAGTCATCTCTATCAGCCCCTAACAGAGTTCATGCAGCTTTATAAATTAGTGACATCTTCAGTCATTGCATTTATTGGCTAAATAATTTTTTATAAATTGGATTGTCTATGAACGTAAAAGCTTTTGTTCTTAAAAAAAAAAACAAAAAAAACCTGAAAAGTTCTCAAGCTTTCCTGATAGACCCTTACACTGGCTCTCCTGTTAGAGACACCTAAACTGGCTGACACAAGGGAGAGCCAATAAATTAATTAGTTATTTAGTTTATTAATGTTGATCATTCAAAAAAAAAAACACCATTTCCCAACTTCCCCTTGAATCATTGCAATATTTAAAATTGTCAGTACTTTCTTTTTAAGCAACCAGCTCTTTGTGAATATCTAATGTTCCTATACTGGGCCCGGTTGGAGCTCTTGGTAGGTGTGGTGAGTACAAAGCAACAAGAGTCAATCATAAGGAGAAATCACGTGTGTGTCATCAGTTGATCTTAGATTCTGGCATCAGATAGACCTGGGTTTGAATGCCTGTACTGCTACTTACTGGCTTGGGTTCATGACTGTGGCCAATTTAACTAATCGTCATCAGCTTTAATTAAAAAAGCTTAATAAAATCCGCCTTCCAGAATTGTAGTGAGGAATCTGAATAATACATATGACTGCCTGGCATATGGTTAAGGTAAGCCAGGCAGTGGGACCAGAATGAGAATGACATAAAAGCAGCTATGGAGAGGGAAAGGAAGAAGAAAGGCTATGGTTAAAACCTAAGGCAGTTAATAGTCAAATGTGAACAGCAAACAATTACCAGGGAGTTTTCAAGGGCCTTTTGTATTTTAAAGACCTTTATGCAAGTAACTGTCATCTTTTCTTTTCTGGGGTTATTAGTCCTTGTTCTTTAGTCTTTCCTCCTAATCATCACTTTCCAAACCTTTAATTATCATTATGGCTTCTCTCCACAGTTTCATATTTCTCTCTCTGGTTGTAAACCCCAAGAGTTTGAACAGTACTCTGTGCCCATGGAGAGGGTGGGAATAACAGTGGCATCATACTTGTTTTCCCCTTTACTTTCTAACTATTTAAGAGAGATAGAAGCGAGTGGTAGAGACAAGTAAATACATGTGTCTTGGCTGGGCGCAGTGGCTCACGCCTGTAATCCCAGCACTTTGGGAGGCCGAGGCGGGCGGATCACCTGAGATCAGGAGTTTGAGACCAGCCTGACCAACATGGAGAAACCCCGTCTCTACTAAAAAAAATACAAAATTAGCCGGGTGTGGTGGCACATGCCTGTAATCCCAGCTACTCGGGAGGCTGAGGCAGGAGAATCGCTTGAACCCAGGAGGCGGAGGTTGCCATGAGATTGTCCCACTGCACTCCAGCCTGGGCAACAGTGAGACTCTGTCAGAAAAAAAAAAAAAAATACATGTGCCTTAATATATGCTACCGACAAAGCATGCCACAGGGAGCTGGTGTATTGATGAATGCAAACGCTTTCAGCGTGCCTACTGTGTGCTGGGCACTGTTCCAAGTACTTTACACATATTAACTTATTAACCTCATAGCAACTCAATCCAATAGGTTTCAATAGGGGTCTACTTTATCCCCACTCTGTAGACCAAAGCACAGGAAGATGAGATAACACATCCAAATTTCCAGAACTAGCAAGTGACAGAACCAGGAGTTGAACCTAGCCAGAACCTAGGCAATCTGGCTTCAGTAAAGGCATCTGTAACCACTATGCTATGCTACATCATACTAGTTGAAGGCAGGAAGTCTTGAGTACTTGAATAAAGAGTTTGAAAAACGTGTAGAAGTTTATTTGACAGGCTAAGAATGGGAGTGAGAATGAGTAGTTTTAAGATGAAGGACAACGGCAAATAGAAGGTTGGAGTAGAAAAGAGCCAATGGTCTCTGCTGTATTGGAGAAGTGGAAAATAAGGTCGGATTGATGAATTGGAGCCAAGTTATTTCACACAGTGTATTATATTATCATCTTTTATGAAGAGTCTACAATAGGGTAGGCTACGAGGAACCACTGAAGATTCAGAGCTAGGAAATCTGATGAGAAGTAGACAGCGTGGGAAGAATGAATTTAACAAAGTTACAGACCATGCCTAAGAGGATAAGGCAAAGATGAAAACAAACAGACAATGCTTGGTGATAATTTGGAGGAAAACAATGTAGTCAAATTTTCCATAATTTTGAGTCTAATGGACTGAGAGAGAGTGGGAGTGCCTATAGAACCAGAATTTTGCATTGGGACAAACTTTACAAATAATCTAGCCCAATTTACTTAGTAGGAAAACAACAAAACACAACAAAACAAACAAGCAAACAAAAACCCACCAAGATCCAAGAGATTATCCCATGTCATACAGCCAGATGTAAGGGAGGCTGAACTAGAACCCTGGTTTTCTGCTCTCAGTCTCCTGTGTTTACCGTTATATTGAGCTGGTGGACTCTTGCTGGAACTTACGACATTGCTTCAGCAAGCAAACATCATTATGACCAGCTATTTGGCTAAAATGGGAAGGAAATTGAGAAGAGGAGCCATTCCGTGGGAAATTTCCTGGGTCATTTTTGGATGGAAAGGGTAGAACTGGGCTGCACACAATTATTTTGTACTTACAATTTCTCTGAATATAGAAAGGGAATGTCAACTCTGCTGTTAAAGTTCTTTCTCAGAATTTAGCAGATTTGGATGAATACTGATGAAAACCAGTTTATTTTTAATTTTTATTTATTTATTTATTTGAGACAGGGTCTCACTCTGTCACCCAGGCTGGAGTGCTGTTAAAGTTCATTCTTGGAATTTGCAGATTTGGATGAATACTGATTAAAACGAGTTTATTTTTTATTTTTGTTTATTTAATTTTTTTTTTTTTTGAGACAGGGTCTCACTCTGTCACCCGGGCTGGAGTGCAGTGGCAAGATTGGAGCTTGCTGCAGCCTCGACCTAATGGGTTCAAGTGATCCTCTGGCCTCAGCCCCTTGAGGAGCTGGGACTACAGGTGTGCACCACCACGCCTGGGTAATTTTTGTATTTTTAGTAGAGTCGGGGTTTTGCCATGTTGCCCAGGCTGGTCTTGAACTCCTGGGCTCAAATGATCCACCCGCCTCAGCCTCCCGAAATGCTAGGATTAGAAGTGTGAGCCGCTGCACTCAGCCAAAACCAGTTTATTTTTAAGGGAGAGCATTTTTTCTTTTCACTTCCAGAGATTCAGAACTTTAGATATTATGCATGAAATTTCACTAAGAATCGAAATGATAACTATTCACATAGAAACTGTGCAAAACTCACTTTCATTTAGGGAGTATATTAATTACTAATCACTGTATATCCTGATAATTCTTCCTAACTCTCTGTTGAATTTCTGATGCACTTTATATTCTGAGATAATTAGGTAGAGTCAGAAGATAGCAATGTGTAATCTTTGTTCTATTGGATTAATTTATTACTTTCCTTCTACATCGAAGCCTCAGGGTTTAAAAAACTTCATAATTGAATATTTATTCCTTATTTAATTGAAGTTACAAATTCCGCATCTAAAATAAATCAAGATAAGGTAATCCATGTTGACATGAAAGTTTTCTTTAAACATGTGTTGGTGGGAATTTGGGGGCACCGGTTTTACTTTATGGGAAAAAACCCTTTTGATCTCACTCCGTGAACTTTATAAATTGTAATGTGAAACCATGTTCTTGATGAGAGCCTAACTGCTGTAGAGCCACGAGAGCTACAAAATCGATTTTTATGTTTCAGTGAAATGGATTTTACTTTTCTTGACCATTGAGCAAAATCTCTCTGTTCTACATTGAAATGAAATATATTATTCGGTCACTTCTTCTTGCAGTTGAAAACATCTCTGTCTCTTGTTAAAAGCAGTTTTTAATAGCAGAGGAATTGCTTCCTTATTATACAAAATGTATGAAAGATAAGGGGAAGAGAAAAAAGAAAATAAGAGAGTAGCAATTGCCATATAAATTTTTAATAAAAGATTTAAACTTCTGACTCCCTAAAAATTAGAAAAAGAACCAAGCTTCAAACTGAGAGCAGCATTTATTTCTAATATTAAACATAATGACTGTGGGTAACTATTTTTCCCCTGGGAGCCTCAGTGAAGTAAACCATTTACTTTTCATCGGTGCTTCTGGAAAGGAAATATTATTTCATTTGAAATCATTCATTTTAAAATTATTTGACTTGGACTTTAGCCCTGTTATTTTTGTAGCATAAAATAATATTTTTAAAGAAATATTTTTTAGGTTTGATTTGATTCATCATTTTCTTAATTGGAAAGATTCCTTATAATTTTATAATTAATGTTGGTTAAAAAAGAAAAGAAGATGTCTAGATAGGTTAAACAGGGAGTCTTCCCTAAATGAGGCTGAAATTATTAGCTCAAACATTATTAGGAAAATAATAGAAATGTTTATGCCTAAAAGTATATGACTCAAAAAAGTATCCCTACCAAAAATGTATCAGCAGGGCTAGGTAGGTATCCTTTTAAGCACTATACTTTTCTTAAAAAAAAATTGTCTTAGATAAACAGAATCCAATTGAATACAAGTGGGAATATTTCTTTGGTTTTTAAAAAGGAAGGTATAGAATGATTTGCTCTAGATTTTCATACATGGGTGGGGACAGTGTGAGGACCGGAGGACCTGCCAAAATGGAAGCGAGTTCTCTGAGTCCATCACCCTATCTTTCTTGAAATTCTCTCCTATCTTGATTTCTGAGCTACAGTGTAACCTGTGTACTAGAGGAAAGAAAGAAGTATTTTCTGTGCTGCTTTAGTCATAATTTTGATTTTAAATTCTCCTCTCTGGGCTCAGATTTTGAGATGGGTTTAGAGAGAAGTGCAAATGCGTACAGAGATGGGTGAGAGTTTCTTGGAGGTAGGTGTCATTCTTCCTAGTGGCACTCAGAGAATAAGAGGAATTGTTCCAGCAGGGAATAGCATGAGAGCAACTACAAGGGTCAGGGACCTTGGGAGGGAGGAGAGAGCACTGAGGTATAATAGCAATGAGGGGGTTCGTGTCATCAGTCTTAACAGGAAGAGAGGCTGCTCAGGGAACTGGAAATGTGGCTTGTAATGCCACTGACCCTGTGGCCATTTACATAAATGTAGGTGCTGTTCTTACCAGGTAGGGGAGAAAGTGCAGCTTTGGACACAAAGTTCCAATGTGCACATGGCCAAAAGGCAATCACAAGGATAACAAATACATTCTCTACAGCTAGGAATAATAGCATGCTTTATTTTGGATGTGTACTTTCAGAAAGCATTAGATAGTGAACAAAGTCAGAAGGAAATTGCAAACTCTGTGAAGAATAAGATTTTTGTCTGTCTTATTTACCCCTAACTCTCTAGCAATAGAAAAAAAGGGTTGTCTATAAATATTGACCCATAAATGAAGTAATTGTCACAGACGAATTGGAATCCTAGAAGGGGAACGAATGAATTCGGACAAGGAAAATCAACCCTTAAAGCAGAATCAAGACCTGTTTATAGCTGTTGCTATCAGAGCTCTCCTAATCTCTGGGGAGGAGGAATTATACTTCAACAAGACCACAACTGTATGAAACCTATGTAATAGGCCTAAACTAATATTTCATGAAGCAGGTATGGTTTGCCACTAAGGTGCCCCAAATATTTTTCACTTATTTCTTTTTTCCATTAAAGATCAAATTTAAAGAACATTTTTGGGCTCTATAAGTCAGATATTGAATCAGGGTTGGCCCCAAGTGATTATCCAGAAATTGCTACAGAAATGACATGGCAGTGGTTTCTACCCATTTAGCATCAGTCAAAGGCAATTGTATAAAGGGCATCCTCACAGGGACTGACACTAAATGATCCTCTGGTGGGCAGTGATCTGAATTAGGGTGATCCCCAGTGACAATCCCTCTAGGGTTTTCATAACTCCTCTGCCTCCTCTTCTCCTCTCACCCGTTCACTGTGAGCAGTCCTCGGAATCTCAGTTATTATTTTCCAGTGAGTCTTACCTTTGATCACGTGGCTATCACTGTTTCAATGATTTCCTATGCTGACGCCTCTGAACGTAGCATCCCCACACTAACTCTCCCCCAAGCACTGATCTCGTATCTTCCACTATTTTCAGTAAAACTCAGTATTGCTGAATTCTTCTAGCTACCCAGTTACAAAACCACAGTCATTTTTAATTCATTCCTCCCTCTTTTCCCCACCAAGTCCAGTTGATCCTACGTCTCTCAAATCTTGATCCTTTTCATCTTATGGCTGATTTGGTGTAGTCATTTATTAACATATCACCCTGCCTCTTGAATCTCTTTTCCAGATATGCTGTGGCCAGAATTTTCTTCTTCTTCTTCTTCTTCTTTTTTTTTCCTGAGATGGAGTCTTGCCCTGTCACCCAGGCTGGAGTGCAGTGGCACCATCTCAGCTGACTGCAACCTCCGTCTCATGGGTTCAAGTGATTCTCCTGCCTCAGCCTCGCAAGTAGCTGGGACTACAGGTGCGTGCCACCATGCCTGGCTAATTTTTTGTATTTTTAGTAGAGATGGGGTTTCACCGTGTTAGCCAGGATGGTCTCGAACTCCTGACTTTGTGATCTGCCTGCCTCGGCCTCCCAAAGTGCTGCGATTACAGGCGTGAGCCACCGTGCCCAGCCCAGAATTTTCTTTCTAAATTACCACCTTGACCATATTTCTCTCCTATTTAAAAACTCCTGGTGACTTTCTGTTACCCCCATTCAATCTTGCCTTTGAGAATTTAAGTGATCTGATCCCCCAAGCCATCCAATATGGGCCTCTCTTGTCCAGCCAGTCTGCTTTTTATTCCTGAGTTCTCCAGAAATAATTTGTTGATTCTGAATGTTATGTTTTTGTTCATGTTATTCTTCACTTGGAAAGTCCTTCCTTGCTGAAGGCCCAGGTCAAGTTGTATCTCCCCCATGAAAATTTTTAAAACTGTTTCATTCTTTGATCTCCTACTTTTTATACTTATCATCTACTTTTTTTTTCCTTTTTTTAGAGACAGAGTCTTGCTCCATTGCCCAGGCTGGAGTGCAGTCGTGGCATAATTATAGCTTGCTGCAGTCTCAAACCCCTGGCCTCAAGCGATGCTTCCACCTTGCCTCCCAAAGTGCTGCGGGATTGCAGGCATCAGCTACTGTGCCTGGCCCTGCTGTCAACATTTTGGTCCTTGCTCACAGGCCACTTTGAAATATGATTTAACTGGTTCATCTTCTTGTTTTAGTTCTCAGCATAATACTATATGAATACGAAGGACCCCAATAAATATATGTTAATGCAATGAATACAACTATGGTTAAATGGAAAGCAAACCCTACTTGGAGTTACGTATTTCAGATTTGGTTCTCAGCTCTGCTGCTCCACAGATAAATGACAATGAGAAAGTCACTGTTCCTCACTGGTTCTCAATTTTATTATTTTAAAGAATCACCTGGATCACAGGGCAAAGTCTGAACAATTAAAAAGATACTGCAACTTTGGTTGATAACTGTTAAAACTGGGTGATGGTACATGGGGGTTTAGTAACTATTCCATCTACTTTTGTATAAGTTTGAAAATTTTAATAATAAAGGATAATAATAATCACACAGGAGCACTAGTTAAAAACACAGAAATTAGGGTTTAATAGATTCCTAGATATCTCCTGTAAATTCTGATTTAGTGCTTTGAGGTAAGGTTTCAGGAATCTTGTTTTTATAGCTACAGTGTTATAAACGTTGTCTACCTCTCTGAACCTTTTTCCTAACCTGTAAAATTGAGACATCGTATCTACCCTACAAATCTAATGTAAAAGAAATAAGATGTATAAAACATGTAGTTCAGTTCCTGGCTCATAATCTGAAGTCTAATGCATGTTTAAAATAGCAGAAGTCTGATCCCTGCAGAAAAGACTCATGCTTTGATAAATAACTAGTGACCATTTATCCCTGAAGATGAATTTAGACAACCACAGCCAAGAATGAAAAAGAATAAAAGAAGTGAAAGAATTTGATTAAGAGTAGTAGTGACACATCCTCTCTTTTTCATGGTCTGCTAAGTGATTTGACCCTTTCTCGGAATGAACCGCAATGCTATTTAATTTAAAGAGCTCAGAGGTAACAAATTGCCAACAACTAGGGTATTTCATGGATGGTCTCACTAGACTGGTGACTAAGCTAATTTTGAACAGCTGGAAGGGCTTATCCCGCTCACACAAATCATGTATAGTTCAGGCATTGTGGAGAAAATCACTCTGAAAAGTAAACAAAACACACCTCTTCTAAGCAAAGTGTAATTTAGGATTATTGAAAAAGGAATTCTTAGACTTCTAGTAGATATATTTTTGTTTTAAGCCACATAAATATTTGTTTATAGTAATTGCTTATGAATAACTAAATAGATTTAACACTACAATTGCACTTCATTTTCTTTAGAATTTTGAAATGATTTTGTTTTCAGTTGAATGAATCATACCATTCTGAGTTATATCTGTCCCTTGCTTCAACCTCCACCCCCGCCCCCATCCACAGTTTAGTCCTCGTGGGATCCTTCTTTTACTCTTCTTCACACTGTCAGAGAAAACTGTTCCAATAAGGTAAAATCTAGACAGCAGAAGGTTAAATAAGCACAAGAATGCTGGAAATAACGCTACTTAATAAATTAAGCTACTTTATGTAGCTTAAAATTGGAGGTAGCATTGACCATAGTAATAGGTCTGACACCATTCATTCATTTGTTCATTCATTCAATAAATACTTAGTGAGCTCTTGGGAATTCTCAGATGAATTAGACACTGTATTTCCAAGGGATCCCTTTTAAGACCAATACAAATAAGGTAAGGTTGAAAATAACACAGGTGGGCATGGGTGGCTGCTGGTGGTGGTGAAGCCAGCACAAAGTTATCACTCATCAGGATAGGCCTACCTGAGGACGAAGTCTTTTACTTGGGCTTGCAGGAGTCACCGGGGTTGACAGGAGTGGGCCGGGGGAGCTGTCCTAGCCTAGCTGAGCCGTCCCAACTACCCATAGTATGCATTGGCTACAGACATGGCTTAGGTTAGAGCAATATTTTGTAGCTATGGAGAATAGCAAGACTTATATTAGCATGACTGATGTAGAACTGAGTCCACTGGCAACATGTATTAAACAGCTGCTCAAATTTGCCACAGTGTGCAACTTGAATGAGATGCCAATTTAGTTTTTAATCCTGTTGTAAATTGACCATTGCTTAGCTCATTCCTGACAGACCTCTTTGAAAAGCAGAATTCAAGGTTTAGATTTTTTTCTAGTTTATCTGAAGAGTATAGGAATATTGTGAAGAAATTTTGGGTAGAGAATCTGAAGGAAAAGATAGATCAGACACAGACAGTATCTTAAAACTCATATCTTGGATTGGTTTTTCCAAACAGTAAAATATTGCCTGTATCCTTAAATGCAGAGAAGCGAAAAGTGGTAGTTAAAGCTGACTTCAAAAATAATTAAATTATTTTAAATAATATATATGGGTGTTTACTGATACTAGTTTCTGGCTATTTAGAAATTATAACTGTTTTTAATCTGTAATGAAACTATTGCCACATTCAATATATACTTCACAAGACATTAGTAAAGAACTAAGCTTTTAATGTCTGAATATGAAATATGTAATGAGCATTAGAAAAGCAATTATTAGGTACATATCTACCATAAAATGTTCAAACTGGATGTAGTAGCAAAGAAAAGACCTTTCTAATTACCCTCAGTTCAGCATCAGAGACCCACAGGCCCTGTGATAGCAATGTCTGTCTCCTTCTCACTTTTACTAAAAAGTAAACTGTGGTTCCAATGGAGGTGTTGGGGACACATCCAGATCCCAGGGAGCCGCCTTAAGAAGAAATCTCAGCCAGTGGCTGCATCTTCCCAGACACTTCCACATAAGAGATCAAAATGAAAGGAATTGATAGCTGGCCAACAGCAAACTCTCATTCACTTTGACAGCTGTAACTCAATTCCTCATAAGTGTGATCAAGATAGACTGCGAGGCTACAACCCTTGCACTGTGAGTATTGATCATCCGTCTTTCCCAGTGGCTTCTGGCAGTCCCTCTCCCATTGTATTGTGAGACAGCTGAACCACTTGGGAGATTACTTCTGATTAAGTCAAGTGAATTAATACATCCATCATCTTACATATTTTTTGTGTGTGGTGAGAACATTTAGGATCTACTCTTATAGCAATTTTCAAGTATGCAATACATTATTATTAACTATAATCACCATACTATACCATAGATCTCCAAAACTTATTCATTCTGTTACACTGTCACTTTGTACCCTTTGGCCAACATCTCCCCATTCCTGCTCCCACCCTGCCTCAGCCCCTGGCAACAACCATTCTACTCTGTCCCTGTGAATTCAACATTTTTAGATTCCACATGCAATGAGATCAGGCAGTATTTGTCTTTCTATGCCCAACCTCTTTCACTTAGCATAATGGCCTCCAGGTTTATCCATGTTGTTGCAAATGATAGGATTTCCTTCTTTTTAAAGGCTGAATAGTATTCCATTATTATTATAGTACATTTTAAAATCCATTCATCCATTGTTGAACTAGATTGATTTTATATCTTGGCTATTGTGAATAATGCTGCAATGAACATGGAAGTGCAGGTATCTCTTGACATAATGGTATCATTTCCAGAAGTGGGAATACTGGATCATATGGTAGTTCTATTTTTAAATTTTTGAGGAACCTCCACACCATTTTCCATAACGGCTGTGCTAATTTATATACCCACCAACAATCTACCAGGGTTCCCTTTTTACCACATCCTCACCAACACTTATCTTTTGTCTTTTTTATAATAGCCATTCTAACAGGTGGTTTTAATTCCATTTCCTTGGCAATTAGTGTATTGAGCATTTCTTTCATACCCTGTTGGTCATTTATATGTTCTCTTTGGAGAAATGCCTATGTAGATCCTTGGCTCGTTTGAAATCTGTTATTTGTTTTATTGTTATTGAGTTGTTTGAGTTCCTTAGAACATTTTAGAGTTTTCAACTAATGCCTTCAACTCGTTTTGATTTATCAAATTGCATCACTGTTAACATTTTTGTGCCTGGAGCCACCCCAGAAATTATTCCTGGTTCCTGGCACTTAGAGTGATTAAGTAGACAGAATGAAAGGAACAAGAATATGGACATATTAGGATTCTAGAAGATGACAGTTTTCATTTAGCTAGATGCCCTTCTAAGACTACAGTGGACCTTCTGTGTTCTGCCTGTCCAGCAATCCCTCCAGCTCAGTGCTGGTTCATAAGTTTCATTGTCTCAAGTGCCATAAGAAGTTTACACTAAACACTTCCACACAGAAAGATATAGAGTGCCTTCTTCGTGCCATCTTTCCTACTCTCATCTTTAAGTGTTAAATACATTTTCACAGGGATTTAGTTTAGGGACACTGTTTTACTCTCACCCTATAACCCCACATAAAATTTAGAAGAGTGTTTTTGTTCTTTAGAAAGTGCAAAATTAATATTTATTAAATGAGGTAGGTAAATCAGATTTTATAGGTTAGGGCAGATTGGACATTTACATATATATATGTAAATTTTCCTATTTTCTTCAGGCCTACCAATTTCATCCTATTCTCTCTTTAAAATAATCTGAATGATTATTGTTCTCTCAGAGATATCCTCTTTAGACTTATCTCTTTCTTTCTTACACCCCAATGATATATTCTGATTTAAATAGCCTAAGAAATTAGCCCCTGAGAAATGTCAGCAAAAGGAGAAACAAAGCTAGCCGAACATATGAGTTATTCCCTAAATCTAGGAAATTTCTGAAAGAACAGATGAAACGTTGTAGCCAGTGTCAAAACAAACAATGAAGCAGAAAAAGCTACTGTGTTTTCATCCTGACCAGATGAGCACTCTTGGTGTGGCCAGTGAGTCTTCCTTTTTCCATTTGTGTGTGCAATAGAAACCAGTTTATGATTTTACAGGTAACCTAATGCCAAGATTGCAAAATGGAGCATAGTCTGCAAAAATATATAATTGTGTAAGTGTCTACGTGTGCATGTGTGTGAGATTAATATGGCACATTAGGTTTCCATTTTAGTGCTTTTTAGCTTTGTCCTGTCCTTTCCCAGAAAAGCTGGTCAAGCTTTTTTGAATCACTTCTACACTGTTATGATTCTGATGATCAAAAAAGATACCCACAGGTTTTCTAAAGCACAGCATTTCACAACCTTATGTCAGTCTGAAACAAAATGAAACAAAACACAGCAAAATAAAACAAAACGGTTACATTAGAAAAGATTAAATGGAATGCTTAAAGAAATTTAGAAACATTTAAAACTGGAACATTTTAAGAATTAAAAATAAATTAAAATTGCTTTACCAAACAAATCTTGATTCTTTTCTTGCTATTTGAATAGGAATGGGGGGAAGTTTCACTCATGTAAATAAAATGTAAAATTATGTTTTGTTAATGACTTTCTGCAGGGTGTGGAACATTTAAAGTTGGCTGTGTATAAAGCCATCTTGTTGGCATCTGCTCTTAGGGATCCCTCTGTCTTAAATCTCCAGAGAGGCAGAATGACATCATGGTTAAATGTGTGAATCTTGGCATCAGGATGTTCCAGGTCCAATGCTAGCTTTGCTACTTATTGGCTATTTGAATTTAGGAAAGATAGTTGAGCTTGCTTAGAGTCGGTTTCCTCATCTACAAAATGAGGTCAATAATAGTAACACCTCAGAGAGGTTATGAGAATCAAATAAAACCATACATATGAAGTAGGTAGCTCAATAGCTAGTTGTCAGTGCTCATAATATCATCAACAAATAGCTGTTGCTGCTGTTATTATCTGATCTCAGGCATGAGGTATGAATTTAAATATATTGCATTTTCCAGGGAGAGTTTCTAATTGTTCTATAATGAATTTTAATTGTTAAACATAAATCAAGGACTTTTTTTTTTTGGTTTTGAATGTGGATGGAGGCAGGGTGCTTTCTAGTACTCCTGCATTCTCTACATGGGTAAACCCAATCTGTCCTTCTGTATCACTTTATTTTTCCAAGGACATTGTTGGTGGCAGGAATAAATCTGAGTGACATGCCAAAATGGTAAGTGAAATTTTCTCCTCTCTCATCACTACTATAATGACATGGTTTACATCCCTCTTCACCTAATTTATTCATCCACCCACCTCTTCATCCATCCAGTTATCCATCTATCCTCTACTAAGTGCCAGGCATTGGAGTAATGACATGAATAAGGTACAATCTCTGTTTCCAAGGACCTCAAAGATAGTCAGGGTTGGGGTGAAAGGAGGTTGGTGGTAGTTGGGGTCTCAGACACTTAAAGAGATAATTATTCTGCAAAGAACTTAGTAAAACGATTGTGATATACACAGGATTATATGGAAAAAGGGACATCAAGGACTTCCCACAAAAGTTTCTTTGCATTGGATTTTAAAATTCACAATCTCTGTATAAAGAACTTTCTCCCTGGCAATTTCTTCATACCAACATGCAAATGGATTTAAATATTCTACAAATTAGATTAAGGTCCTTAGTTGTTGACAGGAATACACAGAGCTATTTAGCTTTTCCCTGTAAATTTAACCTCCTTAGTTATCTTTAAAACATAACATATATGTGTATCACCACTAATGTTCTGAAAATGGACTAATGTCTAATCATGGCTTGAGAGCTGCAGAATGTTTAATGTGAACCAGACTTTGAAAAGACCCAGCTGAAGTGCAATTAACTCAGTGAGGTAAATCTTTGGAGCCTCATTTTCTGTGTGTGTTGGTGGGGTATATACTCACAGAGTGGGAAGAACACTTGTATTTCCATTTATTTCATTATTTCATTTATTTGGACATTGGTTAGTTAATTGGTCTTTTATTAATCCATCCCTTGTAACACATAGACTTACAGTCATGTTCTAATCCTCCTTTTAAAGCTGCTTCTTTGGAAGCTTTTTTTTTTGATGGAGTTTTGCTCTTGTTGCCCAGGCTGGAGTGCTATGGCACAATCTCGGCTCACTGCAACCTCTGCCTCCTGGGTTCAAGTGATTCTCCTGCCTCAGCCTCCCGAGTAGCTGGGACTACAGGCGCCTGCCACCACGCCTGGCTAATTTTTTGTATCTTTAGTAGAGGTGGGTTTTCGCCATGTTGGTCAGGCTGGTCTTGAACTCCTGACTTCAGGTGATCCACCATCCCTGGCCTCCTGAATTGGAAGCTTTATGTGTCATAAATTACCTCAAGTAAATTTCTTCTGTTAGATGGTAAGCACCATTTAGAGTATGGGTTATTGTCATTGTTTTTGTTACCTTTATTATTATAATCAAGGACTTGAACATGTCAGAAGAGAAAAGAAATCCTGTGATCCTAACAAGACCCTGCTCATTTGTACCTAATTCCAAAATCTTTAAATTCACACTGATTTGGGCACATTTATTAAAGGAACAGTTATTATAGAAATCTTACTCTACCCTCATTCTATCTCCCCAGTGTTTTTCTGGTATTTACTTTAAAGACAGTATCAAATTACCAGAAATGTAAAGCCCACATCCCTAATGTGTATGTGAAACCAAACTACATTTGATTGTAGTTGAAGGAAATTAATCCAGCAAACAGTCTGGATTTCAGTTTGCTGTTTACAATATTTGTATTTCTGCATCTTCAATTCTTTCAGAAACTGATTTATCTTCAATAGGTTATGTACCATCCATGATTTACTTCTCTTATAACATAAAAAAAGAAATACAATGAGGAATAAAGACAAAGGCCGGGCGCAGTGGCTCACGCCTGTAATCCCAGCACTTTGGGAGGCCAGGGCGGGTGGATCACCTGAGGTCAGGAGTTCAAGACCAGCCTGGCCAATATGGTAAAACCCTGTCTCTACTAAAAATACAAAAATTAACCAGGAGTGTGCCCATAATCCCGGCTACTGGGGAAGCTGAGGCAGGAGAAATCACTTGAACCCGGGAGGTGGAGGTTGCAGTGAGGTGAGATTGTGCCACTGCACTCCAGCCTGGGCAACAGAGTGAGACCCCATCTCAAACAAACAAACAAACAAAAACATTAAGAGTTGGAAGAATAATAAGAAAAAAAGTCAGTAAGGAGTGGAGAGACAATACAGATGGAGCAGGCAATGAATTAATGTGGCTTTCAGATCCTTTACTTCAGTTTTTTGGTACATTTGGCCTGATGTAGAATGTCCTACGATGTAGGATATAATTTTGAACATGGCAAGGGACCTAGTATGTGATATCCATCATCTGTCATCCTTGTCTTTCCTGCAGTTCAGGATGCCACTTATCCCATTTCCTGTTTTCATACAGTGTAGGGCTGAAGCAAGATCCAAACAACACTGTGATACAAAAGAGAAACAGAGGGCAGCCTGCTCATCTTGGAGGGCACGGAAAGACTAGCGAGACACACACAAAAAAAGCAGGCCAGGCGCGGTGGCTCACGCCTGTCATCCCAGCATTTTGGTAGACTCTTGTGGGCGGATCACCTGAGGTCAGGAGTTTGAGACCAGCCTGGCCAACATAGAGAAACCCTGTCTCTACTAAAAGTACAAAAATTAGCCAGGTATGATGGTGGGCGCCTGTAATCCCAGCTATTCGGGAGGCCGAGGCAGGAGAATCGCTTGAACCCGGGAGGCGGAGGTTGCAGTGAGCCAAGATCGCACCATTGCACTCCAGCCTAGGTGACAAGAGTAAGACTCTGGCTCAAAAAAAAAAAAAAAAAAAAAAAAAGAAAAAAGCAGATCTTTTTTCATGTGACTCTTATGCCTGTTACAAGTAATGCTGGCAAATCCTTCCTGATCTTTTCACCACCAGAAAGACAGGATAGAAAGGCAGAGAGGGATGGAGGGAGAGCAAGAGGGTTAACATAGCTTGTTCATTTATTTACTCACCAAACTAATATTTATTGTTTGTCATGTGACAGGCACCAAGGTTGGTTCTGGGAATTTGAAGATGAATGAGTTACCACCCTTGCCTTCAAGGTGTTTCAGTCTAGCAGGGAGAACGATGTTTAAACCAGTAATTAAGCTTGATACAGCAATTATTTTAATGCTGAGCCACAGCTCTGAACAGAAGGGGCGCAGATGTGGAGACACAAGCTCATCCTTTTATTGAGTTCCCTAATAAAGAGCAAGATGCTTAACTCTGTTGATCTCTAGCTTCTTCATTAAAATGGGTGGGAGAGCATCTTCTCACTTGCAGACAGTGCATGTAAAGTGCCCAGAAGAGTGCTTGACACATAGTGGGCATTCAGCAAATGGTAGAGTGTGGATGTACTACAGGGGCTATGAAGGACTCAAGGGCAGTAGGACCATAGGAGGGGTCCTGAAGTCACACGTCAGATATGCAAGAAAGAACTTCTTGCACACCGCAAGAACACTAGGTACCAGGATTAGCAAGGAGTTGCCACTGATGAGTTGGTCCCTATTTCCCAACTTGCCTTCACTAGGTGGAACATTTCCTTTAAGGTTGCAAAGGGAGGTCAGTGCGATAGCTCACACCTGTAATCCCTGCACTTTCAGAGACCAAGGTGGGCGGATCACTTGAGTTCAGGAGTTCGAGACCAGCCTGGCCAACATGGTGAAACCCCCATCTCTACTAAAAATACAAAAATTAGCCGGGTGTGATGGTGCATGCCTGTAGTCCCAGCTACTCGGGAGGCTGAGGCAGGAGAATCGCTTGAACCCAGCAGGTGGAGGTTGCAGTGAGCGGAGATCGTGCCACTGCACTCCAGCCTGGGTGACAGGGCCCTGTTCCCTGCACTGGACCCCACTCCCTCTCCCTTGTCCTCCCCAGCCTCTGCCTCCTGCTCTCACTTACTGCTCTGATGACCAGCCAGGGCAGGCCTGGAGGCCGAGGTCAGTGGTTTGTTGGGACAAGGGCTGGTTCCCAAAAAGCCCCACAAAAATTAACCAGGTGTGGTGGTTTGTGCCTGTAGTCCCAGCTACTCAGGAGGCTGAGGCCGGAGAATAGCTTGAACCCGGGAGGCGGATGTTGAAGTGAGTCGAGATCTGCTGCACTCCAGCCTGGCTGACAGAGTGAGACTCTGTCTCAAAAAAAAAAAAAAAAAAATTGTAAAGGGAAAAGACTGTAATTTTTTCCTTTAGTAAGGATAACTCAGGTGAGAAGCCCATTGCATTTTTATTGCACCAATTTCTGACACTTAAATGTCTTTCACGAGTCACCTATTGGCACTTAGCTCCTTGTTTACGTGAAGAATCCCGTGTCTCCACTAAACTCCTTCCCTTCTAGGCCTTCCATATATTTTCCTGTTGCCTTTCTATCAACTCTGTGGTTTACTATATTTGAGAAGCATTATGTTTTGAAGTCATATATTATATACAGAGAAGTGAAATAGAATATTTGGTCGTTGTTGCCACTTGTTAATGAAAAGTGGCTACTATTGGGTAATATTTATTGAGCTCTAATTATCAGGCACCACACATTCTATGCATTGTATCAGTGCTTCTTGGCTTTTGATGGAAATACATGGGATATGGAGATCTTAAAATTCAGGTTCTGGTTCATTCAGTATGAGAGTAGAGGCCAAACGTCTACAGTGCTGACAAGTTCAAGGGTGATGCTGCTGTCCACAGGCTGCATTTTGAATAGCAAGACATTGTACCATTTGATCCTGACAACAACCCTATTAGTTAGAAATTACTTCTTATGGCCAGGCACGGCGGCTAACGCCTGTAATCCTAGCATTTTGGGAGGCCGAGGCGGGCGGATCACGAGGTCAGAAGATCTAGACCATTCTGGCTAACACGGTGAAACCCTGTCTGTACTAAAAATACAAAAAAAATTAGCCGGGCGTGGCGGCCGGCGCCTGTAGTCCTAGCTACTTGGGAGGCTGAGGTAGGAGAATGGCGTGAACCCGGGAAGTGGAGCTTGCAGTGAGCTGAGATCGCGCCACTGCACTCCAGCCTGAGCGACAGAGCGAGACTCCGTCCACCCCCCACAAAAAAAAAAAAAAATTTCTTATTTCGTATCTATGGAAACTGAACTGTAGAGAATTTATCCAAGGTCATGTTGCTAGAAAGCAGTACAGCTCGGGCTCTAAATCCAGATTTGCGTCCTGGGATAGTGTATATAATGTGGATTTTGGAAATATTCTCCAACATCCAAAGGTGATCTGATGCTACCTGAAAAAAATTCATAGTTTTAGTTTAAATTTTGACCCGTTTAATGAAATTTCTTTTTAATTTCTCTTTATGAAAGACTGTGTTAAATGGTGATTCAAATGTGTTGGATTTTGCTTCTAAAGGTATGTAGAGATTAGTATGATTTATTTGCCAAAATTATGGCCTAGAAAATGTCGTGCTATTGATGGAATCCGCATTGAACACAAGAGGAAATTGCTAGGGAAGGATGCGTGTGAGGAAAGGAAATCCTCAGGCTGATTTATTGTTCAGCGCTGAGTGTAAACAGTGTGCTATCCTTGTCACAGCCAAACGAAAAAGGACGCAATCACTATCCTGAACAGATCATTCTTTTAAAAATAATATTTTGGCCTGCTTATAAAGCATGGTTCGTAATAAAAAATTTGGGCTACAGAAATATAATACAATTAAATTATCCAAACTCCCATCTTTTTGTTTGTTTGTTTGTTTGTTTTTTGAGACAGAGTCTGGCTCTGTCGTCCAGGCTGGAGTGCAGTGGCTGGATCTCAGCTCACCGCAACCTCCGCCTCATGGGTTCAAGCGATTCTCCTACCTCAGCCTCCCGAGCAGCTGGGACTACAGGTGCGTGCCACCACGCCCGGCCAATTTTTTGTATTTTTAGTAGAGACGGGTTTTCACCGTGTTAGCCAGGATGGTCTCGATCTCCTGACCTCGTGATCCGCCCGCCTCGGCCTCCCAAAGTGCTGGGATTACAGGCGTGAGCCACCGCGCCCGGCCTATTTTCTAATTTTAAGTGAATGCATCTCAAAAGGGTGACGAAGGACCACATTCCTATCGAACAGCAATAATTCACTGTGGCAATATCTTGCCACAAATAATTTAAACATTAATTGTGGTTTTGAGGGGCAGTGTGCAGTGGGAGTAAAAGGGGTAGGGTTTAGAGTCTCCAAAAGATTTACTTAAGAAACACGAATGCACTGCTTGTGCACTGCGCAAAAGTTCTGGGGTCAAGTTCCAACTTTCACTAAGGATCCCAGAACAGCCCGGCAGGAGCTGCCCAGGGCTAACGCGCTTTGCTCTCAAACCCGGCCGCCAGTCGCCGACGCATGCGCAGTCTAGCACCGTGGCACAGGCCTTTCTCAAGCAGGTTTTTGTGGGGTCAGCAAAAGGGCCAGAACAGCAACGGCAAACAGTTCCGAGCCTGACAGTGCAGGGGCAAACCAGCTCCAAGTGAAAATCACCTCGCGAGGAAATAGGCTCAGGGATCGGGGCGGTTTCCGCAGGCGTCTCCACACACGCACTCTCACTCACTTTGAGGGTGCCAAAACACCACTAGGGGCAACTAGGAGGAATAGGCTGAGGAATCAGCTATAGAGAATGGAGGGGATAGAGCTGCAAGGGGCGAGGGGGCGACGATCTCTAAAACTTTCAGCGCCGTGCTCTACTGATGCTCTAGGCACTTTTTTCATTGCTCTGGGGAGTCTGGGTGCCCCAATTAATCCGTCGCTCCTTTGAGCATTTGTTGTTTAGGGGGTCCTGGGGGACCCCATCGTATTACAGTATTCAGCCACACTCCCCGCAAAGCCGGGAAGCCGCCCCGAGAGAAGACCCCAGGACGCCGGGGGCTGCGTGAGCCCCGCAAGGCTGCAGGCGGGGGCGCGGGATCCCCTTTCTGGCCGCCGCCCCCCTCCGCCGGCCCCTCCCCCGCGCCCCGCCCTCGGCCACAGACCCCAGCCCCGGCCGCCGGCGCGCTCCCACCCGCGCGTCTGGGGACTTGCGGACCGCAGCGAGACCGGCCGGCGTGCTGGGCATGCTCAGTGGCGGGCCGGGCGCTGGAGTCGGAAGCCTGTGCGCGGCAGCCGCCGCCGAGCCGGCCGGGGCGCACGGAGAGCGCGCGGGACTCGCTGCAGCGGCGGCCGGGTCGCGGCGCACCCGGGCCGGGACCGGAGCCGAGCCTAGCGCGGCGCCCGCGACCCGTCAGCCGCGGCTCCTGCTCCCTCGATCCCGCGCGGGGAAAGGGCCGGCGGCTGTTGGCGTCGGCGGGGCGCGGAGGAACCGCGGCGGCGGCGGCGGCGGCCGCATCCTTGCCGCCCGCCCCGGCCCAGCCGCGTCCCGGAGCCGTCGGGCATGGAGCCGTGGAAGCAGTGCGCGCAGTGGCTCATCCATTGCAAGGTGCTGCCCACCAACCACCGGGTGACCTGGGACTCGGCTCAGGTGTTCGACCTTGCGCAGACCCTCCGCGATGGAGTCCTGCTCTGCCAGCTGCTTAACAACCTCCGGGCGCACTCCATCAACCTGAAGGAGATCAACCTGAGGCCGCAGATGTCCCAGGTGAGGAGGCCGGCACGGGCGCCCCGCCTCCAGCCGGCAGCTCCCATTAATCATGCGGCTAATTTCTTTGTGTAAATGCAAACGTCTAGGTGCGCTGAGCTTGCCCTGCTTCCCAGCCTTCTGCTTTGGGACCACTTCGGCACCACTTTGGCGTTTCCTACCTTGGCTTGAAATGGTTTAGCTCCTCAAGCTGAATGCGAAAGCTTTGCGTCCGGAGATGGTGTGAGGATTTCGTAAAGGCTTTCTGTGAGGCGGGAAAGAAATAAGTTGTCTTAGGGTGCCCTTCACCTACTCTGCGTGTGTGTGGCGCGACAAAGGGAATTTGATCAAGCTCTTCTATAATAACGAAGGGGAGGGACGAAACGAGGTGATGGGGTAATTTGCCTTTAGTCTCTTCTTTTGCTTTGCGTCTTGTACTCATGTTTTCCTAAAAGAGGAACCATGACATACATGAGGACTCGAGGAAGTGAAGGGCGTTTGGTCCCGTTATCTGTCCAGGAGTGACATTGGTCAAAGGGAAGAACAGGGAGCAGAACCCGGAGGCCGCCCCCAGGGCCCCTGAGCTGGTGGCCAGCCGGCAAGCTCCCGTTTACAGCTCTTCCTAAGCCATGTGAGAAGGAGCGAGTCCAGCCTCTCTCAGCAGCGACAGGAAA
The DNA here is from genome assembly GCF_000001405.40 of Homo sapiens. Lineage (NCBI taxonomy): Eukaryota > Metazoa > Chordata > Mammalia > Primates > Hominidae > Homo > Homo sapiens. Next base: position 107,964,012 of record NC_000001.11, on the reverse strand, counting down.
TGAGAAGTTTCACTAGAGATTCCGCTTTCCTTCCTGCAGTGCCCTGCTCAGGTGCTGTGGTGCCGGTCGGCTCCTGGGGCTGGAGCTGCCTCTTTGAGGGTTAAGCCAGACACCTCTGGAAGGTTGGGTGCACCCTAGAGTCAGCTCAAAAGTCACAGTTCAGTGGAAGAGTAGTTTATTTGTCCTGTCGGAAAATTTTTGTACAGAAGGATGTTAAACTCGGTTCAGAGCCTCTTTCTCTTTCAGAATGTTAAAACAAAACAAAAAACCAAACTGCTTTCAACTTAAAAGGGAGAGGACAGAGCCCTCTCCCTGACACATTTCAGCACTAATCCTCTATGACGCAGAGCCTCAGCTACTTAGCAACCAGAGCAGCGCCTTTTAAGAAGGAACGGACTTTATATGATTTAATAAGTATGTATTTAAAGTTAGAGCACACACAGTCATCTGTGATTCTTGGTGTCAGTGTTTCATCAGGGTCCCCTGCACTTCAGATTCTGCATTCCTTGCCTGTTTGCCTTCAACCTGCTGGTGGGCAGTCCCTAAGAAAGAACAGGCATGGAAGTGGGGAGAGCCATACGTATTTAAAAGTGAGGTAAATTATTTTATACCCCCATAAACATGCATGGTGATTGCTACCTCTCGGTACCCCTTCAGAGTTGTCTCAACTCTGGAAATTCCTTTGAGGGGTTTGGCAGACTTTTCTATTATGGTGGGAGCTGCAGTTAGCTACTCTCACACATCCCCATTTTCCACTTTGCCTGTAGCCTCAGGAGGCAGCGTGGGTCAGGATGCCTTGGCCCACCAGTAGGGAGTACAGTACTGTGCACATTTCCTGGAACTTGTTTCCTGGAACTCTCAGCAGTTGCTCTCAATAATCACGTTTTCTGGACAGCTGAAGACCTTTTTAAACCTCGAAGCCTTTATTTGAATGCTAACAATGGATGAGAATCGTTTTGAATGTGTTTCACTCTTCTCCTCTTATGTTAGATGTAATTTAATCTTTCTGATGACCAAAGATTGTCATTATAAGCATCATTAATGAAAATTGAGCACATACAATGCTCTAAGAGTTCTGTTCCCTAGTGGGGGTAGCAAAATGAGCACACCAGGATACTTGCCCTAAAGGAATTATTACACTATGCTATCAGATGGTAAATCACTGGGTTATAATAAGGTAAGTAGGACAGCTAATGACCTTCTTTGTGCCGTTGCACTTTTGAGTTCTTAAGTCTGTTCAACCTTGAGGTTTCTGGTTCCAAATTAAGTACAGTTTCTCCTGTAATGTCCTATGAGAGGGTGCTTCCCTCAAATGTGAATCCTAGAAGGCTAGTACCTGAGCCTGGTGATGTCTGTTTTTGCTTTCCTCATGGTTCTTGGCCTCATTGCAGAGAGGCAAGGCTGCTGAACAAGTGGATGCTAGGCCGATGAGTTTGTATCATGCAGGTTGTCATTAAATCCTTTAATGAGACTTATGAAATGATTTTATGAAACAACTTGACGTATTTAACATGCTTATAGTGCCTAGCACATGTACTTAATAAATGTTTACTATTAGCAAAATTATGAAAAACATTTTTTCTGCTATTGTTATATTAAGAGTAATAGGTTCCAATAGAAATTTTAAAACAATTGTAGAGGCCTACCGGTTCCTTTGGGCTGATAACCCTAGACATTTTGCCGCTAACTACTCATCTCTTTCTTGGGAAAGGTTCTAGCTGTAGTGAATACACTATTAACCTGGTACAACCCTGTCATGTCCCAGCAGAATGTATTCCCCTGGAGTTAGAGATGTCATTACTAGTACTTGTGGCGTTTTGGTATGTCTGAGAGTCGTTCTGTCTACTTAGATTCTGTTGAAGATATTAATTTGAAATAGACTATTTTTTATAGCACATGATCTCCTAACCTGAGAAATAACTGGAAGCTGTCACTTCTGACTTTTGTGACATATTGAGACTGTAAAGAGCAGATGTTGACAAAAGAAATTTTAATTTATTGATGTTTTGTTTGTAGCCTGTTTAGCTTTCCTGAAAGAGGCTATAAAATGACCAGCCTTTTAAAATGAGTGTTTATTCCAGTGAGTGGGATGCCTTTCTATTCTCTGTTAGCCTTCTGCCTTGTTTGCATTTAAAAAAATAAATAACTGCAAATAATGACTGCTCAATTATAGGTTTGAATCTTGGAATCTTAATAAGTTAGTTGATTATCTTTCAAAATAAAAGCATGGATGGGATCCCAGTTTTCTTACTTATTGTTCTTTCTGGCTGTTGACATCAGTTTGTTTTTGATCTTGCCATCTTGGTAAGAGGATGATCTTCAGTTCAAAAATAAGTATATTTTTTCATGCTGATTTAGTGTTTGTTTTTATTTATGATAGGTTAAAGAGGTAAACATTAATCATATTTAGTTATACATTTAACATGTTCCTCTTATTATATAATACAGTTAAATAAAATGCAGTTGGCCAGTGAATATCTAAGAAATTTGGTGTCTGTATATGTTAGATTTTAGTGTCTATATTTGAGATTTATTTTTCATCTGAAACAGTATTCTAGCCAGGACACAAAGCATGTGAATGATTCTGGAAGAGAAGAGCCTACTGGTGATAGCTGTACTGGGTGGGCGGCACATGCTGGGGTTGGGGCTGGGGGTGTGCCTGTGGAAGGGCATGAGTTATTGGCTTGATGTCACTTTTAGTGGTTAAGAAGATCTTCATGAATGCCTATAACCACCCCTAGATCTATCATGAATGAGAGTACCTTAGTCTTAGTTTGAAACTTAAAATTTTGCTTTATACTATGCTTTATAGTAGGGGTAATACAGTCAATGAGTTTAGTGGCCACTATGGACAGTGTATGTAAACTTTGAATTGTTTAAATGAATAATTCAGACTTCAAGGATTCCTTCAATGAATATTTACTTGGTCCTACTATGTTCCAGGCGCTGTTTTAGACACTGTCTTGGACAAACTCAACAAAGTCCCTGCCCTAAAGGGGTTTGGATTTTAGTAGAGTTGAACCATAAATAAATGACTGTATAATTTATTTATATATTTATATTTTTACATACAATTTATTGTATATAATTATTTATATATTTATCTATAATGTGCTATGAACCCATTTGAAGCTGAGTTAGGAACTAGAGAGAAATGTAATACAATTTTATAGAAGGTAGTCAAGAAAGTCCTCTCCAAGGGAGTGACAATTAGGTGGGACCTGAAGCGAGTGAAGGAACACAGGAATGTCAATGTTTGGAAAAAAGAATATTCCTGGTGGAGGGAATACCAAGTGCAAAGCTCCTGAGGTCATTAAGTGGCAGGCATACTGGAGGAACAGCAGGGTCAGTGTGGTTGGAGGAGAGTGAGTGTGGGAAAGAGTGGGAAACGTGAAGTCAGAGAGAAAATGGAAGCTCGATTTTTAGGACTTGTGGGCCACTTTAAGGACTTTGGATTTCACTTTGAGTGAAATGAGAGGTCAACAGAGGGATGAGGAGAGGAGTGACATGGCCTGATTTACCTTTCTTTTCTTTTCTTTTTTTTTTTGAGACGGAGTCTTACTGTGTAGCCCAAGTTGGCGTGCAGTGGCCTGATCTCAGCTCACTGCAACCTCCGCCTCCCAGGCTCAAGAGTTTCTCGTTCCTGAGCCTCCAGAGTAGCTGGGACTACAGGCACGTGCCACTACTCCCGGCTACTTTTTTGTATTTTAGTAGAGGGGGTTTCACCATGTTGCCTAGAGTGGTCTCCAACTCCTGAGCTCAGGCAGTCCACCCGCCTTGGCCTCCCAAAGTGTTAGGATTACAGGCATGAGCTGCCACGCCCAGCCCTGATTTACCTTTCCTACAGTTACTTTGGCTACTGCATTGAGAACAGACTGGAGAGCAGCAAGGATAGAAGTGGCCAGGCTAATACATCATTCAGGCAAGAGATGATGGCGGCTTTTACCAAAGCAATAGCAGGGCAGATGGTGGGAAGAATAGGCTCTGAATATATTCTGAAGATGGAGCCAGCAGGGGTTTATTGATGGACTAGATTAGGGATATGAGAAGAGAGGAGTCAAGTATGTCTCCAGAATTTTTGCCCTGAGAAACTGGATGATGAAGTTCCCATTTACTGAAATGGAGAGGACTAGAGGAAGTATGGTGTTGGGGTGTATGTGGGGAGAGGGGAAGGAATATCTGGAGCTAGTTATGATTGAAGTGCCTAGTAGACATCTAGATGGGTACGCCGAGCAAGTTGGAGGAGTTGGAGATGTAGGTATAAAGTTTGGAGTCATCAAGGTGAAGATGGTATTTAAAATCATGAGACTGGGTGATACCACACAGGGAGTAGTGAAGAAAGAAGAAAAAGTCTGATGAGCCATTGGAGCATGCCTGTTCTCGAGGGCAGAGAGATGGGGAGAACCTGTGAAGGAGTTGAGAGGCAATGGCCATGAGGTAGGAGGGAAACCAAGTGAACAGAGTATTTTTGGGAGGAGCGATGACATGTCAAATGCTGCTGATCAAGTGAAATAAGGACTGAGGATAGAAGATTTAAACAATATAAGTTTCCTTGGTGACCTTGACAAAAACAGATTTGGTGATGTGGTGGGCAAACACCTGATAGTAGGAGAGGGTTGAGACAGCAAGTATAGACAGCTCTTTAGGGAGTAATTTTGCTGCAAAGAGAACAGAAAAATGGGATAGTGGCTACTAGGGGAAAAGAAATCAATATATGGGTTAATTAATTAATTAATTAATTTATTTATTTTTTAGACAGAGTCTTGCTCCGTCACCCAGGCTGGAGTGCAGTGGTGAGATCTTGGCTCACTGCAACCTCTGCCTCCTGGGTTCAACCAATTCTCCTGCCTTAGCCTCCCAGGTAGCTAGGATTACAGGTGTGTGCTACCACGCCTGGCTAATTTTTGTATTTTAGTAGAGACGGGGTTTTACCTTGTTGGCCAATCTGGTCTCAAACTTCAGACCTCAGGTCATCAGGCCGCCTTGGCCTCCCGAAAGTACTGGGATTACAGCTGTAAGCCACTGTGCCCGGCCTAGATATAGTTTATTTTCTTATGACACAATTCTTATTTTATACCTATTGAAAGAGCTCTTTAGATGGACAGATTTTCTCATATGGTACTCTTGTGTATATGTATTTGTATGTGAAAAGATATATCTATATATGAAGAATGAGAACATATGGGCACAGGGAGGGGAACATCACACACCGGGGCCTGTCGGGGGTTGGAGGGCAAGGGGAGGGATAACATTATGAGAAATACCTAACGTAGATGACGGGTTGATGGGTGCAGGAAACCACCATGGCACATGTATACCTATGTAACAAACCTGCACTTGCTTCACATGTATCCCAGAACTTAAAGTATAATGATAAAAAAAAATAAGTAAAATTTAAAGTGTTTTAAAATCTTCTTTTTGTTCAGATTGTGACTATTCTGAATACCACTTGAACTTAGAGTCATTGATTGCCATGTGTTTTCATACAGTGTTGCCCTTTGAACATCTAGTGTTGGTGATGCAGCATTCCTAAAATAATTCATCACTATTGTCTGTGAGATTTCCTTCTAAGCTGAGTTTTGATGCTGCTGTTATTATTTTAAAGAGTTAGTTTCTGCTGTACACAACCATACATTGTTTTTAAAAACTATGATTTAGTTTTAGCATTGAGGCATGAATTCCAAATACATGTCTACACACTCCCTCCTCCCATACAAGGTGGTGTGACTTACAGATTTTTGGGTTATACAAAAGGGAAGGAGGAAGAACTGTTATTTCCCAAAAAGAATGGTGTGCCTAGTAACATTTTTAGTCAGTTCATTCAGAATAATATCATTCCTTAGTCTTCTCAGAAGTCATTAACCTCTTTGCCATTTGTTAGGTTATTCTCTTGGATAATCTGCCAGCATAATTTTAAACTCAATACCAATCAGGATCTTTTCATGTAAAGTAGTTGTGGCATCTTTAGGCATCTTAAGCACTTGTTCTGTCTGCGTGATTGGTGGCTTAACCTAGGTTCTCTGGAAAGCAGAGCCTGGGGTAAGGCACTGAAGTACTGAAACCCTCTTGGTGAGGTACAATCCCATGGCTTGCCAGAGTGAGGAAATGAGATCGTGTCTTTTTTTTTTTTTAAGATGGAGAAAATTATACCATGTTTGCAATACAAATGGGGTTGATCTAGTATAGATCACCACATATTTTCTAATTTTCAAATACAGTGGATTGTTTTTATTATTTTTCTCGAATCCCCTGTAGCAATTGATGTTACTGATCATCCCCTTCTCCTAAAACTCTCTCTTCCCTTTACTCTCACCACACCATATTCTCCTGATTCTCTTGTACCTCTTATTATTCCTTCTCAGTTTTTGTTTGTTTGTTTGCTGGCTTCTCTTTATTGAAACATATCTTAAACATTTTAGAGTTTTCTCTTTAGTTGTGTTTTGATTTCATATTCGCTTCCCTGTAGCATCTCATGACATCTGTGGTGTTACCTACCTTGCTGGATCCCAAATTCATACTGACAGCCTCAGTCTGCCTGTTTTACACCCCTGCCTCTATAATTACAGTGGCTCCATAGGTATGAAGCCTGATCATTGTAGAAAGTTCACTCACAATAGAGAGGGGTGGATTGGATGGGACAAAACTAGGCGTGAGCAGGACTGGTACTGAAGTCATTCAACAGAAGATAAGGCCAGAGAAAGGAGGTGAATAGAGGGATAGAGAGGAACAAAAAAGATTAAAGTGATAATTATGAGTTGGGATGGCTGGGACTTTGCAACCTTTTAGATACAGAGAAAGAGTGGAAAGTATCTAGGTTGAGACCCAGGTTTCAGCATCAGGTGACAGAAGTGTCATAAAGAAGGGGCACATTTTAGTGAGAAAGGGAACACATTCTGTCTTGGACTCTGAGTTGGAAGTTATTACCAGTTACCCTCTCTCTTCTCAGTTTCATGCATCCCACTCTCTTAATACCCCTTTCTTTTGGGTTTGTTCTACTAATACCTAAAACCCAACAATCCTTTGAACTCATTGCTTCTACCACCTCTTAACTTCCTGATTCAGTTTTCATTTCCTTCCTACTTAGCTTAAATACTATAGCCATTATAATTCCTTGACGTCCCTCGATTTGTCCTGCTTGTTTGGATAAACAAAACCCTGGTAAAATTCAACTTGTTACTTATTCCCTGCTTACAACTGAGCTGCTGAATGTAATGGAGGAAAACCCGCACCGTGCTGACTGCTCTCACTTTAAGTTCATGATCCCTAACCTCAAGTGGGCACCTTGGGCCATCCAGTCATCTGATTATATTTCTTTAATGTTCTCAAAGTATGGTCTGGAACTACTGGCAGTCCCTGAAGTGCTTTTACGGGTCCTACAATTTCAAAACTCTCTTTATGGTTTTATTTATAATCGAATAATAATAGATTATTTGCCCTCATTCTCATTTTCTAATGTGTATATAGAGGAATTTTCCAAAGGCTGTGTGATAGTGCCTATACCGTTGCTGTGGCTGACTGTAGCATATATGCTTGTGTACGTTTCAAAGGCTTATCAGTTTAGAATTCTAGTATGTTAAACATTAATAGCTGTGAAACCCCAAACAAAAGCTGCTGAGGATTCTCAATCACGTTTTAAGAGTGGAAAGGGGTCCTGAGGAAAAAAAAGTTTGAGAACTGCCCGAGACCATTTACTTTTTGACTCTCCAGATCACTCTGTACTACCTTTTCTTCTTTCCTTAAACTTAACTTAATCACCCGTTTCTCCCTTCTTTCTCTCAACTCGTAATCTTACTTCCTGTTCCACTGAGAGAAAAGACAAAATTGGAGGAGAGCTTCCTCAGGCTCCCACCTTCCTGCATCTGTGCTCATAGATGATGCCTTCTCTCCTGCACTATGAGTGAGTTAACAGTGCTCCTGGCCAAGGCCAGTTTCTCCTTCACTCTTACCCCGATGCTCTTCTGCATCATCAGTTCTCACTTGGATCTTTCCCATTTGCATGCATGTATGCCGTTGTTCCCTTCATTTGATGTGAGATATATTTTCAGAGTAGAGATAGAAACATGTGGATGAACATTGGGTGTGATGGAGAGCGACTAAGGATGCCTAGGGTTTGATCTGAGCTACTAGGGCAGATGATCAGACAACCTCCTTATAACTTTAGTGGTTCCTGATGGACCATGGGATAAAATCCAACCTCCTTAGTATGCAAGAGCTCATGGTCTTGTGCTGCTTCATCTCTCAAAGCTCTTCTCCACTTTGTACTCCTGACCTTCTTGCAGTTTCTTGAAGACTATGCTGTTAAATGTCTCTGTGCTGTTGCATATACCTTTTTGTCTGCTTGAAGTTCCCTTTTTCATTTGTCTACTTGTAGATTCAGTTCAAGAGTCATCTTTGTATTGTCTTCCCTGACTTTTCTCCCAGGTGTGGCTGAGCACATGCTGCTTTGTGCCACAGTGTCTGGTAGAATGCAGCATTTCTTGCTGTTTTGCAGTTTTTTTTCCTTATCCGTCTCCCTTCCAGGCTTTGGCTTGATTGAGGATGCCATAGGCTAGTTCCTTTATATATGGCACTAGAAATGGACACAGGGAGTCATACCTAATAGGCATACATAAATAGGCATAGATTAAATTCATCAATGGGATGAAAATGGTGACTCTTTACTACCTTTTCAAACATCTACAAATTAAAAAAAAAACATAGCCAGCACTGACTGTCATTAAAAACCAAAAATACTTAAGTGCCATTACTAATAATAGCAGGTAACATTACTTCACCACTTACCGAGTGACTCTCAGAAAGTGACTAAACCTGTCTATCTGTCTGTTCTTTAGCTTCCTCATCTCTAAAATAGACCAAATAAAAGAACCTACCTCCTAGGGTTCTTGTGAGGGCTAGCTGAATTAATTAATGTGACTGGCTTATAACAAGTGCCCAATAGATGTTAACTATTTTTTACTATAATGATTATCACTGCTTCTGTGGAAACATACAAGGCAGTTACTAAAGCTTTCCATGCATTATCTCATCTAATTGTCCAACACCGTGAGGCAGGCACTGTTATTTATCCCCATGTGGTGGATACTCTCTGAAGCTAAGAGGGGTTTAGTAACTTACACCAACAAGTGGTTTGTGGTAGAGCCAAACTTAGAATAAGAACATTAAGAGCGAACTGAATTCTTGTCAGCGAGGCTATCGGCCTATCTGAATGTGAACTGCGATGAGGACTGCAATGAATTTCCCCCCCTCCCATGGTATTTTCCTGTTGTGTGGGGCTCCCTTGGAGGAGTGTTCTGATTGGCCTTATGGCTGTTGTTAATAGCACCTCCTTACTAGTCAGATATTGAGTTAAAATTTTGCCTCAGGACAGGAGAATAGCTTGAACCTGGGAGGTGGAGGTTGCAGTGATCCAAGATCATGCCACTGCACTCCAGCCTGGGCAACAGAGCAAGACTTCATCTCAAAAAAAAAAAAAAAAAAATTTGCCTCAGGATACTGAATCTGGATGATTTCATACACATTTATCACACTATTCAGTATAAAATGGGTGTTAGACTTTTGACAGGTATATAATGGGAAAAGGAAAGGAAATCAGGAAAACTAAGGAAAGTTAATGAGGGGAAGAGAGAAAGTGAGTGTAGCTGTTCCTTTTTAGCCTTTTAATACTGTGCCTTGTGACAGCTGGTCTCAAGCACATGGTTTAATGCTCTGTTCTGGAGTCAGGAGTGCCTACATTTCTCTGGGAAGCAGGAACACTGTTGTTTAAAATGATGTGCTTTGATAGGGCATTTTTTTTCTATTATAAATATTCTTTTTGTAAATTCACAGACAACCTATTGTTAGCTATTATTTGGAGCATTATTTTATCATGTTTTTCATCCTCTGTTAACATAGACCCTTCATGGTGTTAAAGCCAGTCACAAGTTGACATTCTGGTTTTCCTTAATCTTGGGCATTTAGTGGATAGAACCATGAACAGCAAAGTAGTTCCTTTTGATTTCCATGTAAAATTATTTTTAAATTGTATTTTGTGCTGCTGTCTGAATGTGCTTTCAAAATCTGTGTTACAAGAAGTGTATTCAGTTTTTGAGTTGCTTGCTTAACAGGAAGCCAGCAGCACATGCTACTCACATGAGAGTTCTTTAAAGGGTCAATTAATATGGAATATTTAATGATACACTTGATACTCACCTTCCATGGTTTTCAGAGTGCCTGTCTTAAAATAGATCTGTAACAGCTGGTCTGAATAAACAAGCGTCGTGCTTCCCTATGCCTTTTCCTGGGAGCATGGGGGCAGCATGGTTTAATGGGAACACTTAAGGTCAGGAGTCAGGAGACCTGGGTTCTAGTCCCAGATCTGTCTCTGACAGGCTGTGTGGCCTTCATGTTTCCTTCTCTTTGCCTCTGGCTTCTGTACTTATAGCAATAGCAGCGGATACTTACATGTGCAATAATATACTAAATAGCAACTAAAATGTTTTACACATATCAAGGCAGCATTATGGTTTCATGATCAGGGATCAGGCAGAAATGATTGAATCCCAGCTCTGGCACTTAACAACACTGACCCTGGGAAAGTTACTTTACTTATTGAATCTGTTTTCTCATCTGATAGGCAAGAAATTGTGGAATTTCTTTGCAGGATTATGGTGAGAATGAAAATATTTAAATGCCTGGTACATGGTGGGTACTTGGTAAGATTATTTCCTTCCTTCTCCCCACTGCCTCCCCAATCCTCATGTCTATGAGACAGGAAGAATAAGATCTTATCACTGCTCTACAGAGGAGGAAATGGATATGTGCCCTGGCTAAAGGGCTTTTCTCAAGGTCACACAGACAGGAAGTGGTGAAGACAGGACTTGAGTCCAACTGTCCTAATTCCAGATTCGGTGAAGTTTCCCGTTCCTGCTGCCAAATTCAGTGGATAGATGGCAAATTGCATGAGGAAATGACTGGAAAAGTGCTTTCAAAAAACAAGGCAGGCCCTAGAAATGTAAAATGAGATTGTATTATTTTGAACTGAAAGTTGTTCTATTTAAAATGAAACATCTAAAACAACGAAATTTCTGTTATTTTTTAGTCTGATTAGTTTGTGGATTATTTGCTTTTTGGTAATTTTATAGCCCCTCTACTTTCTGTTTGCTTCTGTTTTCATGGAAATTTGTGCAAGTGAAGCAATTATTTAAATCATCACATTGTCTGCTCAATGTTGGACTTTGTAGTAGATGCTGGGTATTCAAATGTGAATGAAACTCAATCCCTGACCCTGTGTTGCTTTTAGTCTATACAGTACGGGTTTTACTTCATATTTTCCCTTATAAAACAGTGGATGGGAAGGGAGCCGTTTGGGTTAGAGTGAATGGGCATGGCTAAAGTTTGGTAGGTGGGTAATGCTTTTCTGGATACATAGTTAATTTTGCTCATGTGTACATTATACCACTAATGTCACAAAATGGATTTATTTATGTGTGTGCATGGCTCAAGGTATTTCTCTCCTGTCTTTCTTTTTTTAGGTTGAATTTATGTGTGTATATATATATATATATAAAGTTTTGTTATAAGTTCGGGGCACATGTGCAGGTTTGTTACATAGGTAAACGTGTGTCATGGGGGTTTATTGTGCAGATTATTTCATCACCCAGGTATTAAGCCTAGTACCCATTAGTGATTTTTCTTGATCCTTTCCCTCTTCTCATCCTGCACTGTCTGATAGGCCCCAGTGTGTGTGGTTCCCCTCCGTGTGCCCATGTGATCTCATCATTTAGCCCTCACTTATAAGTGAGAACATGTGGCATTTGGTTTTCTGTTCCTGCGTTAGTTTGCTAAGGATAATGGCCTCCAGCGCTATCCATGTCTCTGCAAAAGACATGATCTCATTCTGCATAGTATTCCACAGTGTATATGTACCACATTTTCTGTATCCAGTCTATCACTGATGGACATTTAGGTTGATTCCATGCCTTTGCTATTGTGAATAGTGCTGTAGTGAACATATGTGTACGTGTGTCTTTATACTAGAACAGTTTATATTCCTTTGGGTGTATATCCTGCAATGGGATTGCTGGGTCAAATGGTATTTCTGTCTTTAGGTCTTTGAGGCATCACCACACTGTCTTCCACAAATGTTGAACTAATTTACACTCCCACCAACAGTGTATAAGTGTTTCTTTTTCTCCATAATCTTGTCAGCATGTTTTTTTTTTTGACTTTTTGATAATAGCCATTCTGACTGATATGAGATAGTATCTCATTATGGTTTTGATTTGCATTTCTCTGAAGATCAGTAATGTTGAGCTTTTTTTCATATGCTTGTTGACTGCATGTATGTCTTCTTTTGAGAATTGTCTACTCATGTTTTTTGCCCACTTTTTAATGGTGTTTGTGTTTTTCTTGTACATTTGTTTAAGTTCCTTATAGATGCTGGATATTAGGCCTTTGTCAGATGCATAGTTTGCAAAAATTTTCTTCCATTCTGTAGGTTGTCTCTTTACTCTGTTGAGAGTTTCTTTTGCTGTGCAGAAGCTCTTTAGTTAATTAGATCCCATTTGTCAATTTTTGCTTTTGTATTTCTCTCTATAGACATTTGTACAGGGCACAAAGGCATAGAGATAAATCATATGAAGTTCCCACTTTTAGGGGGCGAAGAGAAAATGGAGTTGATCTGGGAGTCAGGCTTTTGCAAGAATGCAGAAATAAAGTTATTGGATGTTATAAGACTGGTGCAAAAGTACATGCAGCTGGGTGAGAGAGATGAGACCAAGAAGAGGACAGAGACATGAATGGTTACTACAGAGGAAGAAGGTTTGAGAAATAAAACTGAGTAGAGAGAGAGTTATGTGAGATGAAGAATGTGCAAAGACATTGAGATCTCAGTGATGTCTCTAACAAAAATCTATTCTGAACGATGATGTAGGACCCTTAATAACATTAGTACTGGAAATTTGGCCATACCATTTGCATTTGTCAGGAAAGACATTGAAGTACCTATCTTTGGTGGATAGGCTGGAGCATGAGATGATGGTCTATTCTCTTGAATATCTTGAAAGTTCAGGGAGCAAAAACTATAGAATCAAAATACTTAATGGACATCTAAAGTACTGAAAGTAAAGAGGCTTGCTCTCTCTCCTCTCTCTAACCTCTAGACTTGCTACTTCTCCCTCCCTCACATCTACTAAGCCATTATCCTCCCTGTGCTCTTTAGTTGACTGATATCTCCTCCTTTCCTGGTCCATCTGGTCTTGACTGTGTACTCTCGAGTCCTGTCAGAATTTATGATCAGCCTTTCCATTTTTACTCCAATTCCCTTCACCTTCTGTAACATGAGATATGCCAGTCACCTGACTCCTAGAGCACCCTCCTTCTCAGGCTTTGCTGCCCTTGCCCGTGAGCAGCAGAGAGCTGTTGGAGAAAGTGGCTTACCACCTTGCTTTTACTGTCTGTGTTCACTGCAACTTGCCCCTGCTTTCATTCACCTCTTTGCAGTGCCTCATAACAACACCCTCTTGGCTTTCTGTCATTCCCCTGGTCATGTTCCAACGCTCCAAATCCCAGACACCCTGAATCCCTAACTCTCGCTTAGTACCAGCAAGCTCAACTAGTCCTCATCATTACCACCCAGTCCTCCTGAACCCTGACTTGTCCTCAGTCTGTCCCATTCCACACACTACAATGGTGACTATTATTATTGTTACTAGAAGTAACAGTAGCAACTGTGCCAAACTTTACAAGTTACATTTATATGCACATTTTTGCCTTCTGATTCCCAGAGAGAGTTTTGGGTCTTGAAGTAGATGTTTATAAAATTAGAATCTCAGAGAGAACCAGGTGCTGTGAGAACTTTGATTCTGAGAAGTTGGACACTATACAGTAGAAGTACTTTTTTTTTGTTTTGTGGTTTCCAGAATCCAGGGGTGTGCTTGGAGAGCGTTATCGATGAACCAGAAGCTCTCAAGTCACGTTTTTCAGTTCCCAGCAGCACCCAGGCTGTTTGTCCCCTCTTGCAACCAGCTCACAGCATCTGCTTATTTTTGCAAGCCTGTTTTCAGTAATGTTATGATTCAGTAGTACAACTTTCTTTTAATCATATAGGCAATACCTGATAGAAAAAGTTGGTCTAGAGTAATTCTGTCACTTATCAATACTCCACAATGTAGGTTTAGCAGAAAACTTTCAAATATGAGAAAGCATTTGTTGGCTAAGGAAAGTTAGTAAACTTAGTTCAGTCAGCCACACAAGAAATGCATAAGTTGAGATTATTATGACAAATAGAACTGTGTGTGTACATGTACTTTGGGATTCTGTAAAATATAGCAATTAATTCATCCTCACTAAGGAGGAAGCAGGAACTGAGAGCTCTGGAGCTCAGAATGAGTGGTAACACAAAAGATTTGGGTACTTCCAGAGACACTGTTTAAGATGATAATGTTCAGGCCTATAATCCCAGCATTTTGGGAGGCTAAGGTGGGAGGATTGTTTGGGCCCAGGAATTGAAGACCAGCCTTGGCAACATAGAGCTTATCTCTACAATTATTTTTTTAATTAGCTGGGCACTGTAGCACATGCCTGTACTCCCAGCAACTTGGGAGGCTGACGTGGAAGGATCTCTTGAGCCCGCAGGGTCAAGTCTGCAGTGAGCCATGATCATGCCACTGCACTCCAGCCTGGACAGCAAAGCAAGACCCTGTCTCAAAACAAACAAACAAACAAAAATAAACAAAAAGAAAAAAGATTGTTCATAAGTAATTGTTGAAAAATAAATGAATTATATGTAAAAAAAACCAGAATGTGACATAAAATGTTTCTTAAACTACATATAAATGCAACAAGCTAAACTTCATTTATGCAAATATTTGGAGAGTTTCTAGATTCTGACTTTGAGCCTAAGGGCTTTTAATTAATACACTATTCTAATAAGCTTGTGAGGCAGCATGGTATAATAGAAATTGTAGTTTCCATTCCTTTTCATTAAGCCTGTTTAAGTCTAAGGGGATATAGGTTGTAAGTTAAAATGGGAATGAAGCATAGTTGAAAGTTAAATTTGCAGTAGTAAACACTGTAAAACATGGATTCAGTAATTAAAAAACCATATTAATCTTGGACTAGAATGGTCCTATTTGAATGAACCATTGTGGCAATTCAGTTTATTGTTTTTGTTTGTTTGTTTATTTTTTTTTTGAGATGGAGTCTCTCTTGCCCAGGCTGGAGTGCAGTGGCATGATCTCAGCTCACCGCAACCTCCACTTCCTGGGTTTAAGCAATTCTTCTGCCTCAGCCTCCTCCTGAGTAGCTGGGATTACAGGCACATACCACCACGCCTAGCTAATTTTGTATTTTTAGTAGAGATGGGATTTCGCCATGTTGGCTAGGCTGGTCTTGAACTGCTGACCTCAGGTGATCTGCCCACCTCGGCCTCCCAAAGTGTTGAGATTACAGGCATGAGCCACTGCGCCTGGCCAGCTTTATTGTTGAAAGAGTTATATACAATTATAGTGCTGAAAAAATTGTTACAGATAATTCTAGTTCAGCAACTTGGTTTTAAAAATGAGCAGTCCAGGTCCTCTGATATGTATACAATGGTTTGACCAAGGTCACTTGGTTTGCCAGAACCAGTCTAAATGCAGGTTTTCATTACAGAACACTAATGACCCTCAAGAGAAGTTTAAATCATGTTTATTCTCTTACAATTTTTTTTTTTACAATATCAGGAAGTACTTCAGAATTTCTCATGTGAAGCACTTACTATGAAGACCTTATTTTCTCTCATTCATGTATGTTTTTCATTTTTTGGATGCAGTAGTTTAGGGGAATCCGTAAAGGTGAGGGTACAGAGTCTCAGACTTTGGAGCTTAGAATGTTCTGGGAGAATTGAAAAAGCATTGAAAAATGATTAATGAAAATTATAAAATCAAAGATCTGATGCTTAAAGGAGTAAATCCACAGCTATCCAAAACTTAGCCATTCAGCATTACTCAGTTCCTAGGAGAGCAGTTTTGCTATTTTAAGCCAGGTAACAAAAATGTGTCCCAAATTCCCAACGGTATGAGTATTCATGTATGTTTAGGCGTCACCATAAGTTATTACTCCTAGGTTGTGAGTTCCATGAAATTAGGGACCATTTGTTTGTCAGTTTCCTGTTCTTGGCTCAGTACCTGGCACAGGGTGACTGCTCCCATGAATGGTCATTGAGTGATTATTTAATGAATCCTTCACATTGGCCTTAATGTTGGTTAGATGAGAATGCTAGATATTTTTTAATCCTAGGATGAAAAAATTATAATATTCTGCCAGTAGTTCTGCAGTGGGAGGCAGCATGTTATATTGAAAGAATATGGACTTTAGCATTGGCCAGACCTCGGTTCAACTCATGCACCATTAGGTGAATGGCTGTGGGCAAATTCCTTAATCTCTCAGCATATTAATTTTCTTTCTTATGGAGTGGGGATAATTCCTACTGCAGAGTATTGTGAAGAGTAAGTGAACTCAGATGGGCAAGATACCTAGCACAGCACCAGAGATGTAGTGGACAGTTGGTAATCATGTGAGATTCTTTCCCTTCTCCTGTCCCACACCATCCTCTGATCTTCTCATGGTATAGGGCTTTCCTCACAGTTCTTTTGGAACTCTTAGAACTCTATAACTTCGCTTGTCTATGGCAAACTTTTCTTCTCTGTTGTAGTCATCTTTGTGCAGATGTTTTATTTAGATTCATTGAATATAAGACTTGGAATATTGTGGCTTTCAAAAATGATATAATTGGCACATTTGAATCTGTCGATTTGTCTGTTGGCAATTTCATATGTGTAACACTCTACCCAGAATTGGGAGACCTGCATTCCACATGACTCCATTGCTGATAAACTCAGTGATCTCTAAGTCTCCATTTTCTCTGTGATCACCAGTGGGTGGCATTTTATAGCAAAAAGGTTATAGGCTCTAGAGTTCAAATTTTGGATCTGCTGCTAATTAGCTGGATGATCTAGGGCAGGCTCTTTTCCCTCTGGGTTCCCTTGGCTTCCTCTGGAGGACACCACTGTCTGTGCTGTAGGCTGCTGTCATGATTTGATAAGATAAAGTATGACAAATTCCTGCCTCAGAGCTTTGAATGTTGTAAACTCTTAATAAAAGAGTGGCAAAACACCTTCCACTAAATACTATTATGGTTGGTGTTATTAATGTCTATTTCCCTTGGGTAGTTGAGGGATCCAGTAATAGAACATAACTATTATAGCTGAAGAATTTTAGAAGACACTGAGCAATTTCTTCAAGGTCACATAGGAAGTGATAATGGAATAGCATGTAGTTGTGAAAATGAGGAATAGTCCATCTTATTAATATGCTCCTTATTTGTGGAATCAGTTATTTGGATTATTTTCAGTCCTTCTCTTTTATGGATAGCATGACTGTCCATGTCCTTGTGCAGATTATTTTCCCCCTTTGGATTTTTTCCTTCAGCTTTGTTTTCCAATGCGAAATTTCTAGGTCAATGGTCATAAACATTTTTGTAGCTCCTGTTAACATATTGCCAGATAGTGTGCAGAGAAACAGTTCTAGTGGACAAAAAGCACAGATTTCCAAAGTCTTGGTTAAAAACAAAGACTTGAGTGGCATGTAGATTTTATTCCAATCTCAGTCACTTATTTGTGAAATGACTTTGTACGGATTACTTAACCCCTCTCAATCTATTTTCTCATCTGTAAAATGGGATAAAAGTAGCTACCTCATGATACTGGTCAAGCTATTATTGCAGGGTGTTTATAGTGCTCAGCCTTCATTATCTTGAATCCATGTCTGCTCCTCTCCACTCTCCATCTTTCACTTGGACCACTGCCTCCTAATTAGTCTCCCTATGTGTATTCTACCTCATGCCAATCCATTATCCCATCTACATTGTCAGTAATCTTGATAAATAGCCAAAACATTAATCTTATCGAGTGAACCCCTTTGTAACCCTTAGAATGCTTCCCCATGCTTGGAGTATGGACCCTGCTGCCCTCCCCAGCCTCAACTCCCTCCTCTCGCTCATTCCATAAACAGCCATTCCCAGAATTTATCACACCATTTTTTTCTTCTGGAGTTGGAACTTGCCATTTTCTTTTGTTTCTTGGTTTCCAAATACCCCTTGTATACATCTTATCCTTTTAAATATTATTTTTGTGACTGTTTTTCTTTTCTTTCTTTCTTTTTTTTTTTTTTTGAGTCGGAGTTTTGCTCTTGTCGCTCAAGCTGGAGTGTAATGGCGCGATCTCGATTCACTGCAACCTCTGCCTCCCAGGTTCAAGCGATTCTCCCGCCTCAGCCTCTTGAATAGCTGGGATTACAGGTGCCCGCCACCACGCCTGGCCAATTTTTGTATTTTTAGTAGAGATGGGGTTTCACCATGTTGGCCAGGCTGGTCTCGAGCTTGACCTCAGATAGTCCGCTCGTCTCAACCTCTCAAAGTGCTGGAATTACAGGCATGAGCCACCGCGCCTGGACGTGACTGATTTTTCTACTAGATCTAAGCTTCACGATGGCAGGGGCCACTTATATTTTTATTCACTGTTGATTCCTGGGGATCAGCACAATGACCAGCACTAGTGCTCAATAAATATGGAGGAATGTATAAATAACTATATAATAACTGTTATTAGTAGCAGTAAACAAGAGGGAAATAATTTTAGATATTTGTTAAATGCCTTTGTAAGTTTAAATTGCTCTGAAATTAAATATGTAGGTGTTTTTCAAGGGCCTCTAAAAAATTCAAATGTATCTTGTAATTAAATAAGATCTTGTTTTTTTCTTATATAATCTTTCATGTTAATGAGGGAAAGTCTGAAGAGAGGGCAAATAAACATAGTTTAATATCTATCAGCTTTTCATCTTAGCCAGCATTCTTCACCCAAGCCCTATAATAACATTACCTAAACCATCCAGGTGGCTGGGCATAGAATCATCTTGAGCCAAATAGCAGAAGGATTTAATGATGAAGCTGAACATTCTTAAAAGATTAGATTATGCCTGGTACATTTCCTTTCATCCGAGACCTCCTGCCATTTTGGTTTGCATATCCCAAAAGTGCAAGCTATTTCATATTACACTCTTAACTTCCGCAGGTTCAAAACTGCATTTTGTGGCTGGGCACAGTCGCTCATTCCTGTAATCCTAGCACTTTGGGAGGCCGAGGCGGGCGGATTGCCAGAGCTCAGGAGTTCGAGACCAGCCTGGGCAACATGGTGAAACCCTGTCTCTACTAAAATACAAAAAAATTAGCTGGGTGTGGTAGTGGACGCCAATAGTCCCAGCTACTCGAGAGGCTGAGGCAGGAGATTTGCTTGAACCTGGAAGAGGGAGGTTGCAGTGAGCTGAGATTGTGCCACTGCACTCCAGCCTGGGTGACAGAGTGAGACTCTGTCTCATAACAAACAAACAAACAAAAAACTGCGTTTTGTTCATTCAGAAATAGAGTTCATTCTTTCATTCATTCAGCATTTATTTCACCCCTACAATATTCAAAGCCCTCATTAGGCACTGAACATATAACAAAGAATTCAGGTTATAAGAGAGGTATATTTTGGAGGATACACACTCTCCCTGTATCTCATGTTTACCTGTGGAAGAACTTTTGTTAGAATATTAGCATATACCTGGGTATGTATATGTAACTTAGTTTCTTCTGGGTCTTCTCTTTGAGACTTACTTACCTGCAAAGATGGCAGTGGTTTTACAGTCTATTCTCATTTTTATGACAAGCTAAGCAGAGTAGGTCATGTCTCCAAGGGAGAGGCTTACCACATGGGGAGAGGGTAAGTAGAAGATGAGAGGGGGTCCGGCATCCTTAAGCCACAGTTTCCAATATATGTTAAGTTTTGTTAATAAAAACACCTACATTTCGATCTGTTTTCTGTATCTTTGCTCCTTGGGTTTTTCACTCAGTAGGAAAGAGGAGTATTTATTATTTTGACCTTGGGAGACTGTGAAGCTTATGGCAGCCTAGCCTACAGGCAAATGACTGTCAAAACCAGGCACAGCTGTTTGTGATGGGTGTTTAGGCCTTAGCAAGTGCAGGATGCACTGGTCCTGGCAAGTGGAGCCATGCTGGGCTTTGTGGGTGGGCTTTTTGGGTTTTGTGGGCACAGCTTGGACTCGTGTTGCAGGTGAGGCTTAGGAAGGGGTTTGACATTTTTAGTCATTTGGGGTGGAATAGCATTTGCTGCTTTTACTGTATTTCAGTCAAGGCTCTAGGCCACGACTTCAAACTGTAAAAGCCACAGAGTTTTGTTTTGTTTTGTTTTGTTTTGAGACGGAGTCTCGCTCTGTTGCCAGGCTGGAGCACAGTGGCACCATCTCGGCTCACTGCAACCTCTGCCTCCCAGGTTCAAGCGATTCTCCTGCCTCAGCCTCTCGAGTAGCTGGGACTACAGGTGTGTGCCACCATGCCCAGCTAATTTTTGTACTTTTAGTAGAGATGGGGTTTCACCATGTTGGCCAGATGGTCTCGATCTCTTGACCTCGTGATGTGTGTGCCTGCCTCGGCCTCCCAAAGTGCTGGGAAGTTTTAAGAGTGCTATTGTGTGAGGTTCTTTCTTTAAATTGTGAGAGACAAGCCAAGGAAATGATAAATTGGCTTCACCACATTCACTTAATTTTGTTCTAGGCCAAATGAAGGCCCTGGAGGGACTAATCTTATGTAATTTTGTAGTTTATCTACAAATCTTAATAGGCCACCTGTGATATGACCAACCTCAACTGACTAATCAAGAGCAGACCAAGAAAGCATCCTCTGTATACGTATATCAAAACATCACTCTATATCCCATAAATATGTAAATTTATTACATATGAACTAAAAATAAAAAGGAAAAAAAGATGGCCAGAAGTGACTGGCCACCAAGACTCTAAGAGTAGGAGATCTGGTGTGCCAAGGAAAAAGGAATTGAATCAGAACTAAGTCAAAAAGGAACACATCCTCTCTGCAGAGAAGCAGGTCTCAAAGACAAGACCTGTGAGAAGCTGAACTCTACACTGCCTAGGGGGAAGAAGCATTGTTCTAATACCCCAACAGAAGTTCCTCTACAAGAAAACGTGAGTTTTGTTTGCTCTGGATTTCATAATTAAGTTCTGGCCATTAGGTCATGGAACTGTAGCTGTAAAAGATGTTGGATTTTGTTATTTAGCAGATAAAAAGGAATGGGGGTGGCCCTTAAGAAATATATGGCATATTCTTGGGTTGAGATAGACAAGCAAGTCAGTAATCTTATTGCAAACCAGAAAGTTAAGAAGATGATTACAAAGGCCGGGGGTTGGTATGGATTCTAGAGATCAGGTTTTCTTAGAATATCAAGGAGAAAGTAGAATTGGTTTGAAAAATAAGTTTTGTTATGATCAGAAAAGAAGCAGTAGTAGACTGAAAAGACTAAGCTAGGAGAAATGTTCACATTTCATGAGAGGTATGAAGGGAGAAATGAGATCTTAAGTCAGGATACACAGATATAAAAAGGAAAAGAGATCACTCTAATGATTACCAATTAGAAAGTGTGGTGGGCCTGAAGAAGTGAGACAAGATCTGAAATTTTTTTACCAGGTTCAGAAAATGTTGCCAAGTGTCCCTTTAAAGATGTAGTGAGAGTCTGAAGTATGATTTGTAAGGCCAAGGGCTGGATATGGTCTTGCATTTTGTACACTGAGTAAAGATTTCTGCTAGTAGAGGTTGAAATGCAACTGCTGTCTTCTCGCTGTGGGATCTCACCAGGGTTTACATCTGTCCTGGAGGGGTACTTTCTTCTAGTTTGTATAAAATATTCATCATCTCACTAGGCTAGTGTTGGTGACCCTGGGATAGCAATATCAAGTGGTTACAGAAAAGTTGCATTTGCAGGGGAAAGCCCAGCGATGCCAGCATAACATACTGAAGAATTCACTGAGTTTCAAGGTGTTAACATTACTGTGATTGGGCAGGCAGGTATCACTTGCACGCTGAAGGAACATTCTCAAAGTTTTTTGGAGTTCAGACTCTAAGGGGAGGCAGGAAAAGATGAGGGGTATTCTAGGAGGAGACAGTCTAGGGCTGGCTGGATGTGGCCTGATGAGAGTCACCTCCTGACTGGGATTATGTAACTTGGGAAGTGAAGGTTGACAAGATTTATTTAAATAATGCATTTTTTTTGGTAGGGGAGATCATATTCAGAACCTTAAAATTCTCTGTCATCTGGGAGATTTTATGATAAAACATTGAGGAATATGTTAGAAAATCAAATATCTGGTGCAGGAAGTTAAAGAGAAAGTAAGCCATTTATTTCTACCCAACAGTGATAGCTCTAAAGAGGAAGAGACAGGAAGATGGGAGGAGCCTCTGAAGTTTTCTCAAAAGAAAATGGGATCAGTGTATGAAAATTTAACATGAGGGATATACCCTACTTCTGGCAAAACAAACAAAACAGAAGTACTGAGGACCTGGTCATTAAAATGTACAGAAACTCTAATCTTTTAAGTGTCCATAAAAAGGTGTAGCTCGTCACAGGCCCCGAAGGATGTTGGCCTCGGAAATGGTTCTGGAATCAAAAGAAGTTCTCGAATCTTCTAGAGTTCACTTGGAAAAAATGAGAGGACTAAGAGATGACCTTCCTCAGGAAGCAGTTTTTACAGCCCAAAGCAATTACACAGCAAAAAGCCGTTGCAACAGATGCTGTTGCCCAAGACTAAAAATTTCTGCTTGTAAAAGATTGTGAAGATGATGACTCTACTACGCAGAGACCACATTCAGTTTAGTCCTTTAGTACTAGAAACATGGGACTCAGAAGAAGTAGAAGATAGGAAATTTAGAATGTGCGGGCTGGGAAAGAAAGGTTCTACAAATAGGGCCTGGAGGGACTACGGTTGCCACCACTGCAAATTTCTGAACTTTGAAAGAAGTGAGTGATGCTCCAAATGCCAGGCTTTGAGGGAGAAGACACTTTGCAAAGTCAGATTTTTTCCTGCCAGTATGCATGGGGCCAAAATTAACCTCCTGCTTGAAGATTTCTTCTAGTTGAGGGTTTTTTTTTTTCAATTGTGCTAAAATATACATAGTATAAAACTTACCATTTTAACCATGTTGAAGTATATTGTTCTGTGGCATTAAGTACATTCACACTGTTGTGCAATCATCACCACCATCCATCTCCAGAACCTTTTCATCTTCCCCAACTGAAACTCTATACATTAAACAACAACTCCCCCTGAAGCCCCTGGCAACCCCCTTTCTACTTTGTCTCTCTGAATTTGACTACTCTAGATACTGCATATAAATGGAATCATACAGTTTTTGGCCCTTTGTGACTAGCTTATTTTATTTAGTTTAATGTCCTGAAGGTTTATCCATG
Organism: Homo sapiens; assembly: GCF_000001405.40. Classification (NCBI taxonomy): domain Eukaryota; kingdom Metazoa; phylum Chordata; class Mammalia; order Primates; family Hominidae; genus Homo; species Homo sapiens. Next base: position 107,940,679 of record NC_000001.11, on the reverse strand, counting down.
TTGTAGCCTGTGCCAGAATTTCTTTCCTTTCTAAGGCTAAATAATATTCCGTTGTACAGACACCACTTTTTGTTTGCTTTTTCATTCATTGATGGATACTTGTCTCCCAATCGAGTTTTAAGCTTTAGAAAATTGGCATAGTTTCGCAGGCATCCTGGCAAGGCTGAAACCAGGAGGACTTTGTTTTTATTTGTAGAACCTTCTCTATCTTTCAAATGTCCTGGAGTTTCTGCTGTTGTCTTTGGAAGCAATTACATGGCTCTGGGTTATGCCAAATTCTGGATTCTGGGAACACTGGCTTGCTTGTTGTGGTAGCTACTTCATGGCCTGAGGATTAGCTTTCCTTTTAAATATTGTGGGTGTGGGGCAGATGATAGTCTTGCCTGACCTTATAATTCTTTGGTCTCTTTAAAAGTGGAGGATGTCAAAGATTTGAGATAACGTTGACTCAACATCTGAGGCTCTGAAGGAACTATACTTTCTTCATTACAGCTTGAAGCTGTTTCAAAACAAACAAAAACAACAAAAACCTCTACAATTCTACCCAGGCATCAAGAGCTCCTCCAGCTGGTAATATAGAATACGAAATTTGAGAGGATGAATTTGACCTTTAATATTGTTGGACTTTGTATTGGATATCTTTCCTCCATCACTTCAAAATCGTCTTGCTTGGCCTCTTATTGCAACCACAGCTGCAGTAGACAGTTCCATACAAGCTTCCAAGAACTTCATGGGTACATCTGGAGAGCACCTCACCTGGGGCCACATTCTCTACCTGTCCTGTCTTACTCTTCCTCCTCTGGGCTTCTTTCTGGTGCATGGGGGTGGGGGGAGATATTAAGTATTCCCCAAGAGCAATGGTCAGTTTAGTAATTCGTCTTTGTATTTTTCTTCCTTCCTTCCCCATTTTTAATCTGCTCCTCAGGATCACTTCACCAACTAAATCCTGCATTCAGGATTTTGTCTAAACTTCTACTTTCTGGGAAACTCAGGCTAAGACAGACTATATAAAGATGCTCCATGACTTAGATGGGGTTATGTCCTGAGAAACCCATAAGTTAAAAGCATTGTAAGTCAAGACTGGGTGTTTTGTAGACATGATGGGATGGAAAACCAAAAAACACTATATCCAAAAAATGCTGGCATCACAGTTACATTGTAGAGTATTGGTTGTTTACCCTCATGATCACTTGGCTGACTGGGAGGTTTTGCTTGCTGCCGCTGTCCAGCATTTCGAGAAAGTACGGAACTGCATATTGTTAGCCTGGGGATAGATCAAAATTCTAAGTACAGTTTCTACTGAATGTGTACCTCTTTCACATCATCATGAAGTTGTAAGTTGAACCATAGTAAGCCTAGGACCATCTGTGTAAAGGCAAGAAAATTTGAGTCTAGAATTTAATTCCTTTAGAATTTAACATTTTTGGACTTGCAAGGAGATTTAGTTTCTAGTCTTTAATATCTTAATGGAAAACTAAGGTTTATATTTAAAATTGGCGCTGTTATCTTAGTGTTTAGAAAAAAAAACTAGACAAATTTAACACAGTTTAATGAAGCCAAGAACGATTTGCAAATTGGGCAGCCCCCAGAACCAGAATAGGTCCACAGCGATTCTGGGGCTGCCACATGGGAGGATAACATTTATGGTCAGAAAAGGGAAAGTAACAGAAAATGGAAGTGAGGTACAGAATCAGCTGGATTGGATATAGCTCAGCGTTTGCCTTATTTGAACACAGTTTGAACAGCTGGCCACCTGAGATTGGCTGAAACTCTGTGATTGGCTGAAACTCTGTGATTGGTACAAGAGTAGGTTATGGTCTATTTACACATCCCATTAGGTTACAGTTCACTGTGTCCATATGTGCAGATAAATCTTTAGGCCAAAATTCCTTTTTCATTGTTCTTTTGTTCTGTAAGTGCTCATTAAATGCCCAGTACATTAGGAGCCTTTGAGGTAATCAAAGCTACTTGTTGACATGAGAATATTTGAGTACTTCATGGGTTTAGTGTCATGAGATAATATCACATAAACCCTTTGGGTTTACCAAAACAGGAAACATGGAGAGAAAGGACAACCAAGTCATCCACTGGGCACTTCTGGATTGTTCTGACATCCTAATTATGTCCCTAGGCTGCAAGCTCTTCCCTCCATGCCTGCTTCCTCTTCCATTTCTGCCCCTTTCTTATCTACAGACCTGTTTCTACAGGGAACAGATATTTCAGTCTTTGGGAATTTATCCCTATTCCCTAGCCCCCCAAAAAACCCACCCCTGTGGTCCTGATAGTTTCCTCCCTTGAGAATCTAGATCCCTAAGACACTCCTGCCTCTCGCCTTCTTGGTCCCATCTGGCGGCTCCTTCCTCCTCAGCTTTCCTTGAGTTTAGGGCTGGCCCTTGACCTTAGTGCCTGAAGGATAGAAGGTGGGGACATTTCTCGAAGTTGGTTAGCCTGTTTTCTGGCTCGGGGATCGCCTCCTCTTCTGTAGGGTAATTGTTTCCCATTTTCATTCTTACCCTTCCCACCACCTGTTTATATATGAAGGGTCAAGAATACCTATAGCCCTGAGTCCATCCTCCCTGGCTCCCCAAGAAGGTTAGGCTTGATTCCATGCCAGGCATGTTGAGAAGACTGCAGACATGCTCTGTGTGACAGAGTGCATTTTATGATGCTTCAAAGCAAGGAGGCAAAGATAAAATGATTTCATTTTTCTATTTTCAGCTTTTTTGAGTTGAGGGTTGCTGGCCTATGAACTTGATCACAAGAGCCTTATTTATTTGGAAAAATGTATTCTAAATTCTAAGGACTAGACATGTTAGTGTACTACATTCTAAAATTTTTCTTAAATTGGGGCCTACCTATAGTGTATAGATATTAATGCAGTCATTATATTGTGTTAATAATTGGGACTACAAGCCTTAACCAGAGTCTTAGAATTTTATGAATTTTAATTTATAATTTTATTTTAAGGGTGCCACTAGAAACCTTGTGATTAACTTTAAGGGCTTTTTGGCTGTAATGACTGTAATTAGGATAATTATGCATACTTTCTTTAGCATTGTGTCAACATGATAGTGAGGGCATAAACAGCCAAGAAGCAGTTATAGGTATTCCCTGCTCATTTTGCATTCATCACACATTCATTGAATGTTTTGTACTTATCTCAAATAGTAGAGGATACCAATGGTGTAAGTTTAAGAATTACATGGTTCTTGTCCTCCAGAAACCATGGAGTCCAGCAGGAAGGAAATGACATACTGGTATTTGGCAGGCAGAGATGGAAGTTTGGTTTGAAGAAAACCTTTTGTGCTGATGTTACAGCTGCTGCAGTCACTAGCCACATTCATTGTGCAAAGGCTGGAGGATTCCACAGTCAGCATGGAAGGGACCAATTAGTCATGCGTGGGTTTCATCCTTGCCTCTATAAGAAGTAACATCTCAATAGTCATGGTGGTGTTTTGAATTTAAATAATCACACATTATTTCTTGGTATGTTTTTCAGATCGCCAAATATTGTGGTTTTGTGTCACATGTGCATTATTTGTTAAAACAGGATTATGGTGTGAATGATGGAGCTGTTTTTTTGGGGTGGCGGTGGAGGGTGTTATGTTTAGACTGTCACTCTTGCTAGGCATCCTTTGCCTGACTGTGTGTAAGGTGTGGCAATCTCAGTAGTCACATTGGCCCTCCCATTTCCCGTAGTCTTTGGAAATCTGACCGGCAGCATTGAGAAGTAAGTAAAAGGGGTGCCCTCTCAGATGTCCCTTCCTTTTAAGGAATGATGTGTATCAAATCACAAGATCGGTCGGGGAAGGAGCAGCGTGACACAGGTGTATCTTTTCTGTGGTTTGCGATGAGGCATAAGTGCATAAATTCCAACCAGGAAAGGAAGTGCAGGGAATTCTACTCTCAGGACATCCTTATGGTCCTGACAACTTCTTTGGCAATGTCAGCAGCCCTTGGCATTTTGTCATGCATTCTTCTCCAACTTGAAATTCAGGCTTAGTGCATGCAGTATGCCACAGTCAGGCTTGTGGCTACTCCAGGAGGGGAGCTGTGACTCATTCTTGAGTCACTTGGCCAGCTTTGGTTTCAATTAAGCAAATGAATGAAAACAATTAAAAACAGAAGTTGCCGACTAAGGCTAATAAAAGGGCAGCAGTAATTTTTGTCTACTGTCACTGTTGTTTCTCTAGATTGTCATATCTTTAAAAACTCGGTAAGACAAATCTGTTAGTGTTTGATTTTAGATTTCTTGTTTATAATCTAAAAATCAGACCCAGAATCTGATTTACCTTTTTGGTTCTAATCTAGTTATATTGTAATTCTAACACTATGCACAACTAATTTATATATTAAATATAGAATTTTTCATTGGCTAAATGCACTTTCCTCAAATTTGTAAGAGGTTTTCCACTATTCAAAAGTGTTACATGTTGCATTAAGTCATTGTTGATTATTCAAATTATTTTCAGATTTATTTTCCAAGTACTAAAAAAAATTGTGGGTGTATTTTCAGGATGTTTTATCTATCAATTCATATTTTTGAGCCCCTCCTCTCCCTTCTCAATTCACATTTTAAAAATTATTAGTTCATCAAATCTAGGAACTGTAATAATGTCCTACGTTTACTTTTCTCCCCAAATCATAAAATTTCAGTAAAGTTTCCAAAAGGGGCATAAATGTGTCCTCATCTCTCACACACTGAAAAGCAAAATTCTTCAACTGATGGGGTATTTTCACCTCTTTGATGTCTGTGTGCCTCTGTCATCGGTGTAGTTCAGAGCCTTATCTCCCTTCCATTAGACCATCACCTGATATACCATGGTTTCTTTCATCTCCTTGTCATTGTAATAGGAACACCTTTCCCTTTGCTGGTTAACTCCTATTTCTCTGCAAAATACAGCATAGGTAATGGCCTTGGTTGGCCTGTCTGTTTTTGGTGCCTCTCCTGTGTGCCTCCCTAGCACTTCCCCTTTGTCATGGTGCACACCACTGCACCCTATTGTCCCTTTGCCTCTGCCTACCTTGCTGTGAACTTATTCAGGTCACGGATGGTTTCTTACTCATTTCTGTAACTGCAATGAGTAAGTGAGTGAATGAAATGTTCATCCTCATTCTGATGGGGAAACTTATTTCTAATTTTAGGGACTGAGGACCAAATTTGTGTATTTGTCAGACCTGGCTTTTCATTTTCTCCAACCACTGAACATTTCAGTGCTCGTAACACTGTAGGAGAGAGTAGACCCTGTGGTCTCTGTGCAGTAGGTGCTGCTGCTCCTTTCTTCCTGGAGAATTATATATTTACTTCTTTGATATACCTTATCACTGTGAATTTTATTTGCTGACTGGCAGTGTAAACTCTGGCTTTCTAGAGGTTTATCTTAGGAAGAACTCAATATTTATTCACTTGAATGAAATCAAATAACATTTGGCTTAATTGCTTTAAAATGAAGGAATAATTAGAAGCAACTGCTTTGCTTTGGAGAACTGTAGGAAACTGTAATCTTACAGCTGTAATTGCCCCCAAATGGAGAAGACCTTAGGAATTTATGTTGAAAGTAGAACACTGCCAATTGTTCTCATTGGCAAATTGGCTGATATGAATGTTTGCCAACCGGAAACTTGCCCCATCAGTTCGCGTAATCTGTGGGAGGTGAATATATTTTATGAAGAAAAGTGATAGAGGGAAATTAGAGGCTATTGTTACTAGTGTGTGATGGGTTCATGTACTACCAACTCTTCTCCTCAAAGCTGCAGATAGCCTGGTCGTGCAAGAATTTGTTTCTTGTAGCACGTCTCCTCTCATTTGCCTCGCTGTGCCGCTATATTTTGTTTAGCATGTGCTTTTCTCTTAATAACAACACAGTGATTCACAAAATTCCCCAGAGTGTGTGTTCAGTCTGAAATTTTCTGAATGTGATATTTGAAAATGCTAAATACAGCATATAATTAAAATTTCAGTGGTTAAGTTTTCATCATAACTTATTTTTGGAACTAAGAGTTTCCTTTTCGAGACTTTTGATGTGTAAGAAGGGTACAGTTTTTAACAGAGCTACCTGTGTTTGTTAGAACTATACTTTTTTGGTTAGAACTATACTTTTCATAGGAGCCGTTCCTCCTGGAGACACATCTTTGTCTGAAATATTTAGGAATTCTTAAGTAATTGTTGCTAATACTCATCTTAGTTAAATGGCTTAAAAAACAATTCCACATATGAAGGATGCACACACACATACACATAGCCTGTTTTGTTCTGTTTCTGTTTTCACAGGAAGAAAAAGAGTGGCAAAATATATCTTCTGCTCTGTTCTAAGGGTTTTGGTCCAGATCACAAGTCTCAGGATTCTTAGCAGCAGAAGAGTTTATGATTCTAAGTAGAGGTGCATCTGTTTCTTGTTGTAATATTAATAGATGACATCCAGGAAAGTCTTGGGTTTTGCAATATTTTCATCTAGCCATTTCACAGAATAGAGAATTTATCCTTATTCTAAAGGATATAATTATTTAAAGAATAAACCATAGAGTTCTTATAATTCCAAGATAATAAGAATAGAAGGCACTTTTGAAATTTCCTTGAATAAATCCTAATTTCTTGGATTAGAATTAAACAGCTTTTTGAGTATGGTCACTGATAATGTCAGAAACTGTTTTGCATTCAACAAAGCTGGCCAGAGACCAGTGGTAGTGCTTTCATCTTTTGGTCTGATCACTATTGTGAGCCAAGCTCCTGCTAAGGGCCAAAGAAGAAACTGTAACTTCTGTACTCCTCTTATGACTGTGGAAACATTGCTTTACCTACAGATAGCATGCTTTTTAAAATCGCAATTTTCAAGTAATGAGATTTAATTTTTTTTTTTTTTTTTTTGAGAAGGGTCTCATTTTGTTGCCCTGGCTGGCATGGAGTGGTGCAATCATGGCTCACTGAAGCCTTGAATTCCTGGGCTCAAGCCATCCTCCCACCTCAGCCTCCTGAGGAGCTGGAACTACTGGGTGTGTGTCATCATACTCAGCTAATTTTTAAATTTTTTTGTAGAGATGGGGTCTCAGTGCATTCCCCAGGCTGGTCTCTTAACTCCTGGGCTCAAGTAATCCTACTGCCTTGGCCTCCCAAAGTGCTGGGGAGATTCAATTTTCATATGTCAATTAAATTTACAGAATTTGCAAATCCAATTGCAGGAAATGGGTAGATGAGCTTTAACTTTTTTTCTCCTTCTAATTGCTAACCTTGAAGTGAGCTAATTAATGTAGATGGACTCTGAGGACATTTATATTCAGAATTTGAAATGGTCAGATTTTCAAGAGCAATGAGTCTAAGATATCCTTTGCTTATAAAGGGTAGAGGAGGACCAAATAGTTTCTGGAGAAAGGTTATCTTTTGTACTGGAAAAAAAAAAACACAAAAAAACCACCACACCACCACCAACCAAATTAAACCTAAACCTCTGGCAAATATGAGTATTGTAAGCAAAACAAGACAATAAAATAACCACAAAACTGAATAATTTAGAAAGAAAATATTTACACTGTACTGTCATTTAGGCCTCGGAATAGTAAGAGGTTTTTAATATATTCACACACGTTTCATTATTTGGCATAAATTTCTTATACATAGGCATATTTATTGGGGAGATATATTCCTTAACATTGGGATATGTATTAGTTTCCTATTGCTGCTGTAACAAATTATGACAAATTTAGTGGCTGATAATAACCCAAATTCAGTATTTTAACAGCTCTGGAGGCCAAAGGTTCAAAATCAGTTTCACTGGGCTAAAGTCAAGATGTTGGCAGAACTAGTTTTTTTAAGAGGCTTCAAGGAGGAAATTAATTTTCTTGCTTTCTTCAACTTCCAGAGGCCACCTGGATTCTTTGCCCTGTGGCCCCTTCTTTATCCTTCAAATCACATCACTGTAATGTCTGTTTCCATCACAACATTGCTTTCTCCTGTTCTGTGGTCAAATCTTACTCTGCCTCCTTTTTATAAAGACAGTTGTGATTATATTTAGGACTCACCCAGGTAATCCAGTATAACCTCCCTATCTCGAGATCTTTAATTATGTCTGCAAAATCCCTTTTACCATAATAAAGTATTATTCATTGGTTCCAGGGTTTGGGATGAGGACATCTTTGGAGGCTATTATTCAGCCTACCAGCATACTTACAGGTCCTTGCAGCATAGACCCTATGGAGCTGTGTTCTGTAAATCATACTGCATAGTTATTGCTTTGTTCCCATCAAATCACCTGAAGTCTCACATGTTTCTGCATAGTCTCTTTCAGGTTTTGTTCATGCAAACTAATGTCACTCACTCCTGGGCAGAGGACTTCTGCCAGTTTCTCCATGACTGCTACATAAATCACTGAATTATAGTCTCTTCAGCTACCACTTCTAAGGTGTCATTCACCTTGAACTCCTGAGAAGTATGTCTTAATGCCCGCTCTTGAACTTGTGTGGCATCTCTCGTGCTGTGATTTGGGTACCTTTTGTTAGCTGTTGTGATGAATTAACATTATTACCAGCACATAAAGTAACATCAGATAAAGTAAATGAACCAATTGACATGCCACTGAAGCCGGGGAAAACACAAGTGTGGGCACCAGGAATGCCCAGTGCAGTGTGCCAGGCTGGCTCTTGTTGCCTGTATGGGTGTGAGAGCTATCGTTGTGCTATGCTGGTTGGCCATAAGAAAAACATTTATTAGCTGTACTGTTAAGAATGTAATAGATTTCTATATTTTTTCATATAGAACTGTTCTCAGATTAGTTTCATAAGGACCATGCTTAATGTTCAAAGCACAAATTTGAAATAAAATGGTGAGGTATTGAATTACTGAGAGTTAGTCCCTTTGCTAAACCCCCAAATCTGTGGTTTGGAATTAGGGCTGCTTCCATAGTGTAATGCTAGTTGTTGTTACTCTCAGCATGAGCTGACTGTTAATAATGGCTGTGTAATTTTGAGCAGACCACTTAAGTTCTCTGGTCTTCATTTTCTTTATTTGTTAAGTAAGGAATAATTTGACTACAATTCTTTATGACAATATTTCAATCACGTGTTTTAATATCCATGGATAATCTAAAATATGTAAAGTATAATCTGTATCATTTGAATAGTCTAAAACTATTTATGTTGGAAAATTTTAAACATACACAAAGAGAATATGAACTGTCATGTACCCATCACCTGGATTCAACGGTTATCTAGGTTATCACATTTGCTTCAACTATACCCCTTTATTCTTTAAAAATGTATATTTTTTATTTTTAATTGGCATATAATAATTGTGCATACTTATAGGGTACAATGTGATATTTTGATACATGTATTCAATGTATAATTATTATTCTGCCTAAGTATTAAAGCAAATCCCAGGCATCATGCTGTTTTTGTCCTTACACGCTTTGATATGCATCTTTAAATTTTTAAAGATTTTCCTAAATAGTCAGAATGCCATTATCACATCTAACAAAGTGAGCAATTTCTTATTATAATCTAACATACAGTCCGTATTCAGATTTCTTAGATTGTCTCAAAATGTTTCCTCTACACTTGGCTCCAAAGAAGGATCCAAACAAAGCCCATTTGGATCCTTACTGCATTTGAATATTACCTGTGAGTCACTTTTAATTTAGTGGTCCTTTTCTCTAGGTAGTAACGAGATCAGGAAACCTGGTCACTTGTCTCGTAGACTATTTCACATTCTGTATTTGTTGTCTTGCTTTCTCATGGTGTCATTAACTTGTTCCTCTATATATTATAATACCTTAAAATTGAATATTAGCTCTGAAGGCATGAACAGATTAATATTCACCTATTTTTGCTAAGATACATCATAGCCGATGCAGTGTACTTCATTTTGTTCCACATCAGAGGTAAATAATGGCTGGTTGCCCCACACGTAGATTTGCTAAGATTGATCGGTGGGTTTAGGTGGTGACAGTATCATCTCTTCAATATAAAGTTTTTCATTGACTTTTCATCAATCATGTCATTTATTATTAATCTTTGCCTAAAACAATTTTTTAGGACTTGCAAAATGGTGGTTAAAAAAATGTCATTAGTTCTTTAACATTTTTTGACTGGAATTCTTTTGTAAAGAAGAATCTTTTCTTATCGACTAGGTAACCCTGAAAGTGTAATACATATGGGAAGGGCAGAAGTAGTTAGGTAATTATTTTCCTTTGATTACCAATTTTCAGAGTATGTCATTTCTAGTAATGACTAATTGATTTCTTTTTGGAGGGGAGGGGCAGACTTTCTATTGTTTTAAGTCTCATTCTGAGCTAGTGGGTCTTTATATATATTCAATGTGTTTTTTATCAAGGTACTCATAATTCTTTAAAAAAATTTTTTAGTTTTAATTTTTGTGGGTACATAGGTATACATATTTATGGATTACATGAGATATTTTGATATAGGCATGCAATGTGTAATAATCACATCAGAGTACATGGGGTATCCATCATGTCAAGCATTTAAGCTTTGTGTTACAAACAATCCAGTTATACTCTTTTAGTTATTAAATGTACAATTATTTTTTACTACAGTCACCCTGTTGTGCTTGCAAATAGTATATCTTACTCTATTTTTTTTTGTACCCATTAACCATCCCTACTTCCCCTCCAACCACCCACTACTCTTCCCAGAATCTGGTAACTATCCTTCTATTCTCTATCTCCATGAGTTCAATTATTTTAATTTTTTAGCTCCCACAAATAAGTGAGACCATGCAAAGTTTGTCTCTCTGTGCCTGGCTCATTTCACTTAACATAATGACCTCCAGTTCTGTCCATGTTGTTGCAGATGACAGGATCTCATTTTCCTTTATGGCTGAGTAGTACTCTGTTGTGTATAAGTACCACATTTTCTTTATCCATTCATCTATTGATGGGCACGTAGGTTGCTTCCAAATCTACTTTAAGCTGATAACAAAACTGTTTGCACAAGCAAACAAACAAGCAAAAAGAAAACTAATAAATTTCTACACTTTTTAACTTCGTCCCTCCACTTTTTAACTCTTTATTATTTCTGTTTATATCTTATTGTACTGTCTGTCTGGAAAAGTTGTAGTTATTATTTCTGATTAGTTCATCATTTAGTCTTTCTACTTAGGGGAGTTTACTTACTATAGTTACAATGTTATATAATATTCTGTATTTTTCTGCGTACTTACTATTACCAGTGAGTTTTGTACCTTCAGATGATTTCTTATTTCTCATTTATGTCCTTTTCTTTCTGATTGAAGCTTTTAACATTTCTTGTAGGACAGGTCTGGTGTTGATGAAATTCCTTAGCTTTTGTTTGTATGAGAAAGTCTTTATTTCTCCTTCATGTTTGAAGGATATTTTCACTGAATATACTGTTCTAGGGCATAATTTTTTTTTTTTTTTTTTTTGAGACAGAGTGTCACTCTGTCACCCAGGCTGGAGTGCAGTGGTGTGATCTCGGCTCACTGCAAGCTCTGCCTCCTGGGTTCACGCCATTCTCCTGCCTCAGCCTCCCAAATAGCTGGGACTACAGGCGTCTGCCACCACTCCTGGCTAATGGGCATAAATTTTTCTCCTTCAGCACTTTAAATATGTCATGTCACTCCCTCATGGCCTGTAAAATTTCCACTGAAAAGTCTACTGCCGGTTGTACTGGAATTCCATTATGTGTTATTTGTTTCTTTTTTCTTTCTACTTTTTGGATCCTTTCTTTATCTTTGATTTTTGGGAGTTTGATTTTCAAATACCTTGAGGTAGTCTTCTTTGGGTTAAATCTGCTTAGTGTTTTAGAACCTTATTATACTTGGATATCGATATCTTTCTCTACATTGGGAAGTTCTGTTTTATTATCCCTTTGAATAAACTTTCTTCCTTATCTCTTTCTCTACCTACTCTTTAAGGCCAATAACTCTTAGGTTTCCCTTTCGAGCTGTTTTCTACATCCTCTAGGCATGCTTCATTGTTGTTTATTCTTTTTTTTCTTTTGCCTCCTCTGACTGTGTATTTTCAGCTAGCCTGCTGTCAAGCTCACTAATTCTGCTTAAACAATTCTGATAAAGACTGTTGCATTCTTCAGTGTGTCATTGCATTTTTAAACTTCATAATTTCGACTTAACCTTTGAAAATTATTTCAATCCCTTTGTTAAATTTATCTGATAGAATTCTGAATTCCTTCTTTGTGTTATCTTGAATTTCTTTGAATTTCCTCAAAACAGCTATTTTAAATTCTCTGTCTGAAAGGTCACATATCTCTGTTTCTCCAGGATTGGTCCTTGGTGCCTAATTTAGTTCATTAGGTGAGGTCATGTTTTCCTGGATGGTCTTGGTGCTTGTGGATGTTTGTCTGTGGCTGGGTATTGAAGAGTTAGGTATTGTAGCCTTCACAGTATGGGCTTGTTTGTACCTATCTTTCTTCCAAAGGCTTTCCAGTTCCAAAAGGACTTGGGTGTTGTGATCTAGGCTGTATCTGCATTAGGAGGCACCCCAAACCCAGTAATGCTGTGGTTCTTGTAGAGTTGTAGAGGCACCGCCTTGATGGTCTTTGATAAGATCTGGAAGCATTCTCTGGACCACCAGGCTGAGGCTTTTGTTCTCTTCCCTTACTTTATCCCAAATAGAGTTTCTCTTTCTGTTCTGAGCCACCTGGAGCTGGGGGTGGAGTGACACAAGCACCCCTCTGGCTACCACCACCGGGACTGTGCTCTGAAGCCAGTATAGCACTGGGTCTCACTTAAGACCCACTGTAACCACTCCCTGGCTACTGCTGTGTTCTTTCAAGGCCCTGGTGTCCTACCATCAGCAGGTGGTGAAGCCAGGCTTGTATCCTTCCCTTCAGGGCAGCAAGTTCCCCCAGGCCCCAGGTGGGTCCAGAGGTATCATCTGGGAGCCAGGGACTGGAGTCCAAAATCTTAGAAGTCTACCTGTGTTCTATTGTACTGTGGCTGAGCTGGCATACAAACCACAAGACACAGTTCTTCCTACTCTTCCCTCCCCTTTCCACAGGCAGAGGAGCCTTACCCCATGGCCAGCATCACAGGCCCACAGGGAGTACTACGGGACTACCACCAATGTTTTCTTAAGGGCCAAGGGCTCTTCAGACAGCTTGTCATTAATGCTACCTGACCTGGGACTCCCCTTACAGGGCAGTGGGCTCTCTGTTGCTGGGCAGGTCCAGAGCTAAGCCTGTAATTGGAGACCCCCCAGAGCCCACTTGGTACTATATCCCCCTGTGGCTGAGCTGGTACCTAAGGTACAATACAAAGTCCCCTTTGCTATTTCCTCTTCTTTTTTCAAACAGAAGGCATCTCTCTCCATAGCCACCACAGCTGGGAATGTCGTGAGTCTCACCAGAAGCTAGCAAGTCTCAGAGTCTGATCTGAGGCCCATGGTGTACTACCTGGGTATTGATAATGGTTATTCAGGGACCAAGGGCACTTTAGTCAGAAGGTGATTGGTCCTGCCAGAACTGAGTCCATCGCTTCATGGCAGTGGGTTCCCTTGTGGCCCAGGGTGTGTCTAGAAATGTTGTCCAGGAGCTAGGGCCTGGAAAGGGCTCATGACTGTGATGTCCTATCCTGCTGTGGCTGAGCTGGTATCCAAGATGCAAGACAAGGTCGTCTTTACTCTTCCATCTTCTCTGCTGAAGCAAAGGGAAGGATTCTCTTTTGGAGCTGTGAGCTGTGCAGCATGGGGTTAGGGGAGGGGTGTGGTACAAGCACTCCCTTAGTTGCCCAGCTGGTGTTTCAGTAGGTTGTGTTCCCCCACAGTCCCCTGGCTCTGAGCCCAGTTCAACACTAGGAATCACCTAGGAGTTGCAATCCCTGTGGTCTAGACTGCCTTTCAAGTTTATGTTGGGCCCTAGAGCACTTTAGCCTGTGGTGGTGAGGCTTGTGGGACCTCAAGTTCTGACTGCTGAGATGGAAAATTCCCCTCTGGCCAGGGCTGGTTTAAATACTCCCTTCATGGGCGGACTTCAGCTGAGTTCAGCCTGGTTTGGATTTCTGCTGTGATGGGGCAACACTGAGTTAAATGCAATGCCTCGCGCTTGCTGCACTCTTTCTCTACCATGTGCACAGATTCTCTCTCTCTACCACACAGCTACTACCAGGAGATGGGGGAGGGGTGGCATCCATGATTCAAGACTGTCTTTCCTATCCTCTTCAGTGCTGCTTTCAGTGATGAAGTTAAAACCAGGTACTGTGAGTGCTCACTTGATTTTTGGTTCTTATGAAGGTGATTTTTTGTGTAGTTAGTTGTTAAATTGGTGTCTTTGAAGGAGACAATTGGTGTAGCCTTCTATTCCACCATCTTGCTCTACCCCCTACCCATTATTCTTTTTGAAGTTCAACTTGTCCTATGTTTGGCCAATGGGAGCCCCTTGTTGATTCTTTTTGTTTTGTTTTGTTTTTGTTTTTGAGACCCAAGTCTCGTTCTGCCACCCAGACTGGAGTGCAGTGGCACGATCTTGGCTCACTGCAACCTCCACTCCCGGGTTCAAGTCATTCTCCTACCTCAGCCTCGCGAGTAGCTGGTATTACACGCACCTGCCACCATGCCTGGCTAATTTTTGTATTTTTTTAGTAGAGATGGGGCTTCACCATGTTGGCCAGGCTGGTCTTAAACTCCTGACCTCAGGTGATCTGCCCGCCTCGGCTTCCCAAAGTGCTGAGATTACAGGCAGCCACCGCACCTGGCCCCTTGTTGATTCTTGTAACAATTTTTTACATTAGTTTTTAAAAGATGCAAGAGATACATCTCTGTTTATATATACGTATGTTATATATGTAACATATATATCATATATGTTATATATTTATATGTGACATATCTGTTTATATATACATATATGGTATATATGTAACATTTTTTCTTTGATTTATTTTTAATTACATAGTTCAATAGCATTAAGTATGTGTCCACATTGTTGTGCAATCATCACCACAATTCATCTCCAGAGCTCATCTTCCCAAATGTAAACTGTGATTCTGTAACATTAAACAGTAATTTCCTATTCCCCCTTCCCCTAGCCATTGACAGCCACCATTCTACTTTTTGTACCTATGCATTTGACTACACTAGATACCTCATGTAAGTAGAATCATACATTTGTGCACTTGTGACTAGCTTATTTCACTTAGCATAATGCCTTTTAGGTTTATCCATGTTGTAGCATATGGCAGAATTTCCTTCCTGAAATTTAAGGTTGAATAATAGTCCATTGTATGTATACACCATATTTTGTTCTTCCATTTATATATTGATGAATACTTGAGTTTCTTTAATCTTTTGGCCATCGTGAGTAATGCTGCTCTGAATACGGGTATACAAATTCAACTTTTAAATTAAAGTGTAATATTGGTTTGTACCTTCTTTAAATAATTATACAGCTTACTGAATATTCACAAACTGACTCTCCTATGTAGTTAGCATAGGATATTACCAGCACCCTAGAATCTCACTTTGGTCCCTCCCTCAGGCCTCAAAGGTACTTCTATCTTGACCGTCAACGCTAAGATTAGTTTTTCTGATTTCTTTTTTTTAAGTGTACGTAAATAGAATCACACATAATGCACTCTTTTGTGTCTGGCATCTTGTGTTCAATATCATGTTTTGAGACATATCCACATTGTCCCATGCAGCAATATTTTGTTCATCTTATAAATGTACCATATTTTATCCATTTTTCTGCTTCCAAGTTTTAGTATTACAAATATACTGCCTTGACCATCCTGTACATATCTTTTGCTGAATGCGTACATATCTTTTGGGACACATTTCTGTTGTGTATAGAACTAAGAGTGGCTTTTAACTGTGTCGCTCTAGCTGTATTACACAGCATTTGCCAGAGTTTCCCTAAATATTCTTAATATCGTTGTGTTGTTCTATGTTTAATATTTAATATGCCAAGGGTTCTCAGGGAACATATGGTCACAGTTTTTTTTCCCCCAATGGTGTCTGTAAAGAAACAGGATAAACATTTCACCATAGCATCAACTTTCCAAATAGATATGAAGGCACTGTTTTTAGCTACTGTCAGTTAAATCAGTTTGGTCATGTATGCAATGCATTTACAGTTTCTTAAATTTTCTTAGTGTGTATTGTATTTGCATGATCAGAAATTCTAAAGCCATAGATATTTTTGGTGGTGGTATGCTGAGAAGTTGACAAAAGTTGAGAGGTAACCAGGAGGTAATATTTCCTTTTTGCTGATGTGGCCACTTCTATGTCATTAAAGCCCTGTCAGCCACCCAGAAAACCAGCTATTTCTTTTAAATTGAGTGTTTACAGGGTTTTTTTTTTTTTTGTCATAATATCGACTGGAGGGTAAAATTTGTTATCAAGCTGACATCATTTAGTAACATTCAAAATTCTTTATGTGGAAACAATTTATAACAATTGATTTGTAATTTAGGCATGGACATTTAGTTTTAAAATAGCGATGACATAGATTTACTTATTTTTAATTCTTTGCCTTCAAAACTGCAATGGGTTGTTGACAAATTTCTGTCACTTCTCACCAATAAGATTCTATAGGGAACGGGAGAGAAGAAAGAGGTTGTATCCATGGCCATGTCCCTTCTCCAGAATATGGAATTACATGTTCTAAAAACTGTTCTAAAAGCTCCAGAGTGAAAAGTCCAAAACAGTACTGTTTTGGTTGATTTGGGCTGCTATAACAAAATACTGTAGGCTGGGGAGCTTATAAACAACAGGAATTTATACAGTTCTTGAGGCTGGGAAATCCAGGATGAAAATACCAGCAGATGTGGTGTCTGGTAAGGGCCTGTTTCCTGATTTATAGATGGCACCTTCTCATTGTGTCCTTACAAGATGGAAGGGCAAATGAGTCCCCTTGGGCCTTGATATGGTTAGGCTTTGTGTCCCCACCGAAATCTCATCTTGAATTGTAATCCTCAGATGTTGAGGGAGAGACCTGGTGGGAAGTGATTGGAACATGGGGCAGTTTCACCCATGCTCTTCTCATGATAGTAAGTGAGTTATCATGAGATCTGATGGCTTTATAAGCATCTAGCATTTCCCCTGCTTGCACTTATTTTTCCTGACACCATGTAAAGAAGGTTTTTGCTTTCCCTTCACCTTCCTCCATGATTGTAAGTTTCCTGAGGCCTCCTCAGCCATGCAGAACTGTGAGTCAATTAAACTTCTTTTCTTTATAAATTAACCAGTCTTAAGTATTTTTTTTTAATAGCAGTGTGAGAACGGACTAATACAGGCCTATTTTATAAGGTCACTAATTTCATTCATGAAGGCTCTGTTCGTATGACCTAATCACCTCCTAAGAGGCCTCATTTCCTAATACCATCACCTTCAGGGTTAGGATTTCAACTTATGAATTTAGGGTGGGAGGAAGACACAAACCTTCAAACCATAGCAAATTCTGTGGGTAGGAAGATCAGGCCTGATGCAGTGGGACTCATTATTAGTTGGGGGTTAAGCAATTCCAAAACAAAACCCAAACGCACAGAAATATACCATATGAGTCCATTTATATACAGTTTTAGAAAAGGCAATTTAACTTATAATGACACAGAGCAGATTGGTAGATGCTAGAGACAGGAAGGGATGGAAGACAGACATGAAAAAAGAGCATAAAAAAACTCTGCAAGCTGTTGAGGGTGATGGAAATGTTCACTCCCTTGATTGTGGTGGTGGTTTCATAGATGTATACACCTGAGATAACTCATCAAATTGTGCTCTTTTTTTTTTTTTTCTTTTTTTTTTTTGAGACGGAGTCTCGCTCTGTCGCCCAGGCTGGAGTGCAGTGGCGCGATCTCGGCTCACTGCAAGCTCCGCCTCCCGGGTTCACGCCATTCTCCCGCCTCAGCCTCCCGAGTAGCTGGGACTACAGGCGCCCGCCACCACGCCCGGCTAATTTTTTGTATTTTTAGTAGAGGCGGGGTTTCACTGTGTTAGCCAGGATGGTCTCGATCTCCTGACCTCATGATCCGCCCGCCTCTGCCTCCCAAAGTGCTGGGATTACAGGCGTGAGCCACCGCGCCCGGCCAAATTGTGCTCTTTAATATGTGCAATTTATTGTACATGAGTCACACCTCTGTTAATAAACAGCAATGATGTAAAATGTTTCCTCTTAATGTTCTTAAAAATTAAGTTGATGATGGTTAGGAAATTACTATTTTTTAGGCCATGTTGCAAGAACAAAAAGCTCAGCTAGTATACTTTATACAATATAACTTGTATAGATATATATTCATATAAAACTTTAAAAAGTGAAAGTCACAATATAAATCTCACAGTGTACTCAGGATATTGCTATTTCTGTTAGATAATAGACTTTCAGTTTTTAACTTTGGTAAAATATGCCTAAAAATCCCTTCTACTGCCTGGATAAACTCAGTGATTTTTTTTTTCTGGATACTGACACAAAACAAGACATTAATTTCCTCCTTATGGAGGTTTTTTTGGCAGTCAGTTATATAAATATATATTATGATACAGCTTGATGTGGACAGCACTTGAGGTGTGTGCAAGGTAGAGTGATAGATGAGCCCAGTGGAGGCAACTGTCAACCCTCTGGCTGGAGTGAGGTGATGTGATATATGAGGGACTGGTTGTTTTCCTGAATACAGTTTTGACAGATCAAGGAGATACATAATCTAATTCATGCATTTCACAAGCACTGAATCTTCCTCAGAAGAACTTAGTGTCTATTCCTTGGGTCATGTTTGTGAGGCAGGTTGAAGGCCTGGTTTACACAAAAAAGCTGAGAAGACATTAAATAACTAGGTTAAGGTTATCCTCCATGAACTAGTGTAATAGCAAGGAATAGCACTAACATTTTAATTTCTCATACTTTTAATACCTTTTTTCCTGGTTTTTACAGATTAAGAAAATCAAAACGATATATTTAATGCCTTCTTATTTGCAAATTTTCTTAGAATGTTACAGTAGATAATTTCACTTTAGAACTAAAGATTGGGAGGATTTTTAAATAATAAAATAATTTCAGATGTTAAGAATGTTTACCACCATAATTTCCATTTAAAACATTTTCCTCTGGATGCTTTGTTGAAATTAGGAAATGCATCTCTAAGGGATGGCTGGTTATGGAGTGATGACTTGGCTGTCAGGCAGGTTTCATGTTTGAGTAGAATAAACTTTCCTACCACTTTCCAGAACTTTACTGTGTCCAGGCCGTATGTGTAGTTCTGGGATTTAGCTTTTTAGGCAAACATTCTTACAGGTGGTTTCTAGCTTTTTATCACCAGGAACCTTCTTACAATTTAGAGGGGGAAAAATAGCCATGTTTACCTTTCCCCAGTTCCTTACCCTCTGCAATATGAGAAGTGCTGTAGGGAAGGCATAAGTGAAGTATTATGCAGTGTGTTTCACTAAAGTATGTGATGCAGTTTAAAGACTGGAGTAGAGTGTTGATACCTGGCAATTAGCCTGGTGGATCAGGTCGAGAGTGAAGGCCCAGAGGAAGGATACATAGATCCTTAAGGCCAGGCTTTCGGATATCTGCAGCAAGCGATGAGAGAGCGGATGGGATTGCAGTAGCCGTGTATGACACGCAGATGAACTTGCAGGAAGCCACTGAAGGATTTTAAGTAGGAAAATAATATAATTGGAATTTTGTTTTGGAATAATCTTGCAAGGAGCAGAGTGAAGGTGAATTGCAGTAGAGAGGGAAACCAGTTAAAAAGCTTTATGATAGTATCTGTACAAAATACAATATTAATTAAAATACTAATAAGTTTTATTTTATGCTATTTGCTTATTTTGTATATAACACATGTGAGATGTGAAGAGAATAAAGTATAAATAAGGCTTTTGTCTGTTCTCAGCTAGCTTAAAAGCTACAAAGGAGATATATATATGCCTCATTTATACACACACACAAATAATCGTAAGGGAAAATGTGCTGATCACTGTAAGAGGTACAAACAAGGTTCTAGGAAATTCAGTAGGGGGAGGATCCCCTGTCACTGGAGGAGAAGGAAATGTTTGTATTTTCTTTGAGCTCACTTTAATTTTTTAAAAAAGTATTTAAGAAATTACATAAAACAATTTTGCAATAAAATATAAGGAATAGGTGGGGAGCTTTTTCATCAAAGAAGTGGTTTGGAGAGTTCAAACTAGTTGGGTAGAATTTCCTGATTTGGAAACAGATTATCCAGAGATATACACATTTGTGAGATATCATCATTTCATATTGTTTTAGATGAGCAAAATGCCCTGTCTCTCCCTCCAAGGCAATATTTGGTGGACCACCCGTAAGTTTTTGTTTGGTTTGGTTTGGTTTTAGCCTCATCATTTAGGGGAGAAGAATTTTGTCCCTATTTGCCCCGAAGTTTCATTAGTGGATGGCCGTATTTATACCCTGTGTGTGGTAATGATGAACTCCTATGCATTTTATCTAGCTTTTCAACTATTAAGTGAAGCTTGGTTTAAGCAAATCTTTAGATGGTAGCATTGTGCCAGTACTGTTCCCGTTTTATCACATGCTATACGTTAGTCTAGTTCAGCAGAGCATTATGCTACATTCCCTTCTCAGTGAGTTATAGATCTTGAAGTTTTCACACACTATGTTCTGGAAAGAAAGTATAACTGTTTCCTGTGTGGTTGAAATGCAAACTAAAGATATTTCAACTGCTTCTGTAATAAGGAGATAAGGTCAGACATTATGAAAGAAAAGATTACCACCGATTTTTTTCCCCTTTTATTCAAGTGATTTCAAGGAATTATTTTGTAAGAAAGTCACCTCAACTGATGAAAACCAGTGTTAATTTTCTCTTTCATTTTTTTTAAGTTACCTTTATTAAGGTAATGTTTTTTATGTTTCTGAGTTCTGTTTCTGGGACATTGATTCTTTTCTTTAATTAATTTTCTTTCTGTTCTTATTAAGATACCACATGGTTTATGGTGATTTCATAAGATAGTTTAACTGTTAAGAAATTGTTTTTACATATTTATGGAAATATTCTATAGGTCTTTATATAACATGTTAGTATTTATATGTTTACCTGTATAACTGTAATAAAATATAATGCTTACAATGGTTTATAATACTTAGAGGAAATTATGCATAATATATATATTCCCCTCTCTATCCTCCTACCGGTCCCTCCATCCAAAGTTCAGGTGTGTCAGCTTGGGCAAGCCATTTAACTTCTCCTGGCCTTACTTTCTCATATTTAAAACAATAGTCTTGTAGAAGATAAATTCTTAGACTTTTTGTACTTGTCTGATTTATCCAGGGTTTTAGACAACTTTCCAGTTTATATTAAGAATAGGCTAAAACGTAAACCATCAGAACTTATCAGCCACATGGAAATTTCATTAAAATAGGCTCACTGGAGCCATGTAATAGAATTAGTCCAGATTCAATACATTTATATTACTTTCCTCTAAATGTAATCACATGCTTAAATTGATGAGCAGTAGTATAATAGTTCCATAGTGAATTTGATTCAAGCAATAGTTATATTAAATTTCTCCACAAAAATTTATAACCATTCAATAAAGCTTTAATATATTGTCATCTAAAGGTAAATGTAAGTTTTGTTTTTAGAATAACTATTGAGTATATTTCAAGTCATTGATTTGTTTTTTAATTATAAATTTATAACCAATGACTAATTTATTAATTTTATGAATGGTAAATAAAACATACATTGGAGAATAACTTGAGTGGTAAAATATGCCTTGGTCCAGCGGGGTGGCTCGTGCCTGTAATCCCAACACTTTGGGAGGCTGAGGCGGGCGGATCACCTGAGGTCAGGAGTTCAAGACCAGCCTGGGCAACATGGTGAAACCCTGTCTCTACTAAAAATACAAAAAATTAGCTGGGCATGGTGGTGGATGTCTGTAATCCCAGCTACTTGGGAGGCTGAGGCAAGAGAATTGCTTGAACTCGGGAGGCAGAGGTTGCGGTGAGCTGAGATCGCACCATTGCACTCCAGCCTGGGCAACAAGAGCAAAACTCCATCTCTCAAAAAAAAAAAAAAATATATATATATATATATATGCCTTAAAAATATATATATATATGCCTTAAAACTACTTTTTACTTTATGGTTCATTTTCATGGAGTGGTTTATTTTTTCCATCAAAATACCCAATTAATTTGGATACAGTGAGCAAATGCTTCTGAAATAGAATGTGTCAAAATATTCTTGGTTTCTTTGGCCTCTTTCATCATTTACCCACAGCCCCTCCCCATTCCCCTACCTTCATTGACCTCGGCTTGGTTTGCAACAATCCAGGTTTACATTTTTGAAACATTAAATACTCTGAGAGAGTTAAAGACTTGTCTGTGTTGTGTTCAGATTTGTAGGGACCTCCTGAGCTCCACAGTCCCATTTACCAGGTCTGCTGTTGGTAAAATAATTGCCACCTGCACTCTGGTTTTTAGTTCCATTGCTTTGTTGAAATCATGATATTTGGGTTTTTCATCTCATTCTGTAATATTTTCATTTCCAGCATGTCCCTTTCTTACTGTGCTATCTTTCCCAACCCTGCCTGTGTGTGTTCCTGTTCCCCAAAGGTGCTTTTCACACTGTATGTTCGGACCTGGACATACATGAATACCCTTCCTTTTGGCCAGTCTGAAAGCTATTGGAGAGCAGAAACTTTGTTTTATTTCCTTCTGAAGTTAGCTTTGTGGTTCCCATAGGAAAGGTATTCACAGAATATTTGTCGATTAAATAATTAACTGTTATTCTATTCTATTACTACCCTTTTTCAGTTAATTCCTGGGTCTGTGCATCTCAGTCCTTAATTCATACAGGTTGAGCATTCCTCATCTGAAAATACTCCAAAATCTGAAACTTCTTGAGTACCAATATGTGGCTCAAAGGAAATGCTCATCAAAGTATTCTGGATTTCAGATTTTTGGATTAGGGAAGCCCATGCAGTATGTAATTTGAAAGTATTCCAAAATTGAAAAAAAAAATTCAAAATTTGAAACATTTCTGGCCTAAGCATTTCAGATCAGGGATACTCAGCCTATATTCCAACTTTGATCTTAGGCTTTTTCATTTTTGACTGTCTGCTGGGCAATTCTCCTTGACTGTTCTTCTGTAACTTCAAACATAGCATGTTTGAGACTCAATGTCTTTCTTGTGTTCTGTTTTTACCAGTGGTATCATCATTCTTTTAGTCAATCAGGTTTGAAAATGTCTAGTATTTTTTTAAAAGTTGTGGTGCCCCTTTATGATCCAGGAGTATGGTGGGTCAGATCTGTAAGCTGAGTCAGATAGACCAATGGCTAGAATTCTGGCAGTTACCTAACTTGTTGAATCTTAGTTCCCTTATCTATAAAATTCCTACTTCTTGGACTTGTTTTGAGGATTGTGTCAGAATGTCCATGAAAGTGCTTAGCGTGGTCCCTGGTATGTGGTGAATGCTGAGTGAGCTGTCTGTAATTTCCAGTGTGTCATGAGGGGCTTCTGTGATGCTTTTCAGCTGCCTCACTACTTTGGTGAGGCCGCTGCTGATGCTTGAGTACAGGTTCTCATCTCTTGCGTGGGTTCTTGCAGCAGTGGCCTCTGCTCTGGCCCATGCAGGACTCTACCAGTAGATTTTGATTATTTCCTTCTCTTCAGAAACCATGATGACTTTCTGCACCCAGCTTGATCAGGCCTGTGCACACCTCAGTTTGATATTTAAATTTTTGGACAATCTGATCGTCACCAACATTTCTAGCCTTAGTTTGGTCTCCTCTGCCCGAATTTCCAGTCACTGCCTTCACACTTTACATCCCCTCAACTTGTCTTGTGCGTCACACAGTTTTCTCCCCTCTCCTTTGTGTCTAGTTTTCCCTAACCATCATTTGTGGCCCCTGATTCTTGCTGTCCATGATGTTTCTCCTGAATCCTTCTTGTGACATTGTTCTTCCTACTTAATCCATGAATCGTATTAATTCATTCATTCACTCACTGCCTTGTAAGGTAGTGATTCTAGACACTTGTTCTAGTTATAGGTACTTGAATACACTGGTGATCAAAAAAGAGACACTCCAACCATCCCAGAACTTATGTTATTTATCAGTATTTATTTTACAGGGAATCATGTGTTGTGACATCTTTGTATAATTTGCATTTATTTATTGAACTCCTGTAAAATTTTTTCCCTGTACAAATTGTAAATTACTTGATAGGTATTTTAAAGCTTTTAATATTTCCTTTAATGTCTTATTTGATATTTTACACAGAGAAGGAACTCAAATATTAGTTAACTTTAGAGGGTCACATTCAGGGCTTGAGGTTTGAAACTACACCTTCAAAATAAAATATTACTTGCAATATATTTGAAACCAGATTTGTACGTTATGCTTCAGGTATATGTTTCTTTTTAAGAAAGGTCTGTAACAGCATAGATTGATTGTAGTAATTCATATTTTTCTGATAAAAATTTGACCATGAGTGAACAGTATGCTTCTATTCTTACCAGTGGTAGGTAGAACACATTTGATGTCACTTGAACTTACCAGGAAGTTTTTTTCTTCTTTTCATATATATATTTTTTTGTGTGCAACACTCCCCTTCCCTTTTAATGTGATGTCTGGATCAATGTTTGAAAAAATTCTATATTTAGAGCAACAGGCAGTTAAGTATTAATAGTTTTTGTTACTGTGGACAATAATAGAAGTAATTGATGATTGTCACTTGCATGGCTTGAAGGCCTTCTCTGAACTTCTACGCTGAGTTAAATGCTCCCCTCATTGCTCTCAACATGCACATCCCCTGTGCTTCCTTTTTTTTTTGTGATGCTTTCCAGTGTTGTTATTATTTGTATAGTGTCTAATTTTCCTACTAGACCACATGCTTCATGAGGGCAGGAGCTCTTTCTGTTTTCTTCACAACTCAATTGCCCGGACCTAGTAAGTCCACAGCACATATAATGAGTGCTCACTAAAGATGCATTGCAGTAAATTTGACATTCATTCACTAATCAAAGACTTACTGGATTCCTGTAGATGTCAGGGACTGAGCTAGGCTCTGGGTTTGCACTGGAGAATAAAACACAGCCCCTGTCCACAGGGTGCTCATCAACTAGCAAAATGTGCTAAATTTGCCTTATTTAACTGACATTTATATATGGCTTAAAGTTTCTAGATTTTTTTTAAGCCTCAAAATAACTCTGTGAAGAGGTATTGTTTCCCTCTATAGATGAGGACATCGAGGAACAGATCAAGTAACTTACTCAGTTTCACATAGGATTGGGACCTGCCTCTGTCTGGTCTCCAAATCCTTCACCTGAGACCTGTGCTACTTCCAGCCAGTAAATCACATGGGGGTGATAGTCATAACTTGCACCTGGTTTATCAGAAATTAAATTTGTTTCTCTTGGCTCATGTGTTTTTGGGTTTGCATTAAAAGCTGGGGCAAGGAATTATGATGTGGAAATGAGCCCACTACTGATTGAGGCTTTTGCATCTCATTAAACCTTTAATAGTCTTATTTTCTTTGAGACTCTTTTCCCATTACCACAATTTTTCATGGTGATAATTTTGTTTGACTTTGGAAACTGACTAGTCTACATTTTGGGCCTATTGGATTAAGTTTAAAAATCTTTTCTTGGTATTTGGGTTCTCCATAGTCTGAAAAACTTCTGCTCCTTTTAACCCCTCACTATTCAAGTGAGTCCCTAGTTGGGCCTACAGATACATTCCTACCTTTATACCTGTCTTTAGGCTGTCTCTCTCTCTAATGCCTTCCACAAACTTTTGGCCAATTAAAATAAAAAATGAGTTCTTCCCTTTAGTTTTCAAAGTAAGTTCCACCTGCAGGGTTTGCCCTTCAGTCCTGTGCTAGCCTCCAGGCCTTGCTGCTGCTTTATGTGTGCTGGTTTTGTTCCCTAGTGAGACTTTTAATTTCTGGAGCAAAAGGACCAAATCTTGTTTTTCTTTTCTGTCTCCCACAGTATTTAGTACAGTGCTGGCTATAGGACCATGCCTACTAAGTAAGCACTAAAATGAGCCCATTACTGATTGAGGCTTGAAGTAAATTTAATTATAGAGTTTGTACTTCCTAATTATAACTGAAAACCTCAGTGTTTTCCAAACATTATGGCACACTGGAGAAAGGCAGATGGAGGAGGCACAGTCTTTTATAAGAACAGAGATACTTCCCGTTTGTATTTGTGCAAGACAGGTTACGGATTGCTTTCATGGGCATTAGCTCACTTAATCCTCAAGCTAATTTTATGGGAGAGAAATTGTTTAATCCTCACTGGGGAGTGATGGCATTAGGACTCAAATAATTCACCTATAAATCACATGGCTGAAGCTAGGACTTGGTGCCAACTCGTGTGACTCTAGTGCCCTGCCACAGGAGAGACAGGAGCAACCAGGCTGCGAGCTCCAGAAGGCAGGGCCCAGTAATGTTTATTGCACGTCACTGTTGCGAGATAAAACTGAGGTTCTTGCGTCAGCTGCCCTTTGAATTTTCTCATGGGTACATTTCTGTCTGGCTCTGCTGGCACAGTTGAGTTTGTCCCCTCTATTGCTGGGATTTCTGTACTCATTAGCCATTTACATTCATCTGTCTGTCATCTATCTGCCTATCATCTCTGTATGTTTGTATATAAACAATAAGACATTTGCAGTTATATAAAAACCAACCATCTGAAGTCTTAAAAATAATTTGTGCACTTTGGGAGGCCAAGGCGGGCAGATCACCTGAGGTCAGGAGTTTGAGACCTGCCTGGCCAACATGGTGAAACCCCGTCTCTACTAAAAATACAAAAATTAGCTGGGCGTGGTGGCAGGTGCCTGTAATCCCAGCTACTTGGGAGGCTGAGGCGGAAGAATCGCTTGAACCTGAAGGCGATGGTTGCAGTGAGCTGAGATCATGCCACTTCACTCCAGCCTGGGCAACAGAGTGAGACTCCACCTCAAAATAATAATAATTAAAAAAAATAATAATTTGTGAAGTTGTAAATTAAAATTTTTGTTAGTGCCTCCTTAATACTCCACTCTGCCAAGGTTGATGATTCCTGTGTATAGGTTGGTGCATAACTGTATTGACAGCATTGGGCTGGAGAATGCAAATATTATGATTTTGAGAAAGAGAGATTATTTTGTGTACTTATGTATTTCATGATTGTTTCAAAGCCCTGATCATCTTTGGAATTTGTCCTTGGAAATTTGTGAATACTTTTAAGGTCAATGCATTTCCTTCCTTTTGCCTCATGAATTGAGTTCTTGCTATGGGAAAGGAACATATTTTTCCAGTTATCTGATTATAATTTAGAGCATTTAAAGTTTTTATTGCTGTTGCTGTGAGCGATTAGCAGTGTACTTTCAATTTTGTACTCTTGGTTGTGTATACACTCTGGGCACAATGGCATGCCAGAGGATCATCAAACTGGATAGTTCACACTTAAATTGACTACATCTTCCAAATGGGCATTTTATGTCTGTGGCCTTCTGACATTTCTCTGGCAAACATTAGCTTGTGGAATTCATCTTAAACATTTCCTTTGCTTTTTGTCTGTATAATCTGATGCCAGAACCATTTAAAATATGATTAAAAATTTAAAACATTAAATATAGATATGGATTGCTGTCGACAGTATGGACTCTATAAAGAAAAGACAGTCTTATATTTGTGCTCTTGATAGGATAAAATCTATATAGTTTTTAAAAAACCTACATGAAAAAGATTACAATAGCTTAGTTTAGAGGTAGTATAAACATGAGATTGCCATCTTCATATTAGACCTGGAGAGAAATAAACGAGAAATAGGCATGTTGACTTCCTTGATCCTAAGGATATGACCACTGTACCAAGTGGTTTTGATGCTGTGGAAAGTGTGGTTGTGGAAAAAGTGTCTGAGATTTTTCTTTCAGTTCAACCAGAGATGAGTAGTTGAGACTTCTTTTTCATAAAGGAATCTGCTAGAGAGATGTGGTTCCTAAGGGTCAACCAAGTTTGCAGTTGCCTAGTAGTGCACCTGCTGTTCCAGAAGAGGTGCAGATGCAGGTATCTAGTCCCTGACCTGGAGGAGCTAGTTAATATTTTGGTAAGAAAAAACTTAAGAAAATTAGATCTAACTTACATGGTGCTTAATATTTGTGAAGTGAGAGATCAGAGAAGGGAGAGAGTAGTGTAGGTGGAGAAGCCAGAATGATAGGTTGGGAAATCGGATCTCAGGCTTTTCTCTCTACCATTTGTCCCAGCAGGCCAGAGTCCTGGGGTCCTGTCCACTCTCAACACATGCCTTTAATACTCTTACAATTTTATTTTCTAAGACCTTTTTAAAAATCAGAGGATAAGCCTTTAAGTTGCTGGTATAGGGTTGTTAGGGAAAAAATCAGTGATGCAAATATTAAATATTAATCACTATCTGCCCTTGGTGGTGTTTTCTTATGCATTTTTAAAACCTGAGCTTATTGGAGGTTTCTTCCTCAAAATTACAAAGCAACAAAGCATTAGTTTTGTTTAGTATTTTTTAACTGATAGATTCTCTTTTGAAAACATTAGTCTGCCTTTGAAGTTGTTATTTTTTTGTGTCAGAAAGAGATTTTTGTCAAATGTCTGCTTTTTAGAAAATGATAGTCATAGGTGTGTTTTCTGTATGTGCTACAAATTTCACAAAGCTTTCATTCTTCATAGGAAACTAACGTAAACACGCACACACACACACAAACAAACAAACAAAAAACACTTGGTATTTACTTTCTTTTAAACTTCCAAGTCATGTAGTCCCTGCCTGGCTGTTCTGTGTCATTACTACATCATGGCACTTGACACCTTTATCTATATTCACTACATTTTTGTTTAAATCAGCGCTGTTTGCAGTAAGTCTATTGTGTTTGCCTCTAGATAATGTAATTGATGGACAGAGGAATCTAAAGGACCTGTCCAATTGTCTGTGCTAAATTTGTGGGTCAGAGTGTTTAAACACAGGCTGATACGAACTCTCATTTTTACATTCCCCTTGATGTTATATCCCAGTTGAGAACCTGTTTCTTTCTCACTTGGCCAGTTTGCTAACAGTTAATTCTCCCCTGGCAGATAATAGTGCTACTTTTCTTGCTCTAGCAGCAGTCTCTATGGTGGCCCATTTTCCCATAGAACATTTTTTCTTTAAAATAGAATGAAAATACTGAGCATACCTTTAAATGACTTGATTTATGTTTTATTTATCTGTCTTAATTATTCTGTAGATTTAAAAATGATTTAAATCATTTTCAGAGTGGGTTAATACCCTGCTATATAACACATTCAAAATTTATCTGCCTCCAGTTGTGTTTATGGGAGACACAGCATTTTTATTCTATTAGGCATCACTACATGGGTGACCTACTATCATTTTGAATTTTTCTCCTGTGTTGAACTCATAATTTCTTTGTCTGCAAGTTACTTGTATTAAGCTTATGTTTTATACATAGCTCATAAGAAAGAAAAAACAAAGGAATACAATACACAGATATATACATGTTAATGTTAGTAAGGTTGCAGGTAACTTTTATTTTCTAATTTATGCTTCTTTGTATTTTCCAGCTTTTAGAAGCTTGGAAATACTCTTTTCGTAATAGGAAATAACTGTTTAAAATTTCTAACCTTATGTGCTATTAGAAGTTGGGAGGCGAAGGGAGTCTGCTTTATTTTTAGGATAATAAGCAATTGAGTAACATTTTATTTGTCTGGTGGTGTTGAATAGAGAGAGATTATGACTCAAGCCTACCTTGCTTTTTTTTTCTTTTTTTTTTCTTTTAATGAG
Source organism: Homo sapiens (assembly GCF_000001405.40). Classification (NCBI taxonomy): domain Eukaryota; kingdom Metazoa; phylum Chordata; class Mammalia; order Primates; family Hominidae; genus Homo; species Homo sapiens. Next base: position 107,910,980 of record NC_000001.11, on the reverse strand, counting down.
ACTGAGTCTTGCTCTTCAGATGACCCAGCCCAGAGTGCAATGGTGTGATACCGGCCCACTGCAACTTCCGCCTCCTAGGTTTAAGCGGTTCTCCCATCTCAGCCTCCTGAGTAGCTGGGATTGCAGGCATGTGCCATTATGCCCGGCTAATTTTAGTATTTTTAGTAGAGATGGGGTTTTGCTATGTTGCCCAGGCTGATCTCAAACTCCTGACATCGGGTGATTTGCCTGCCTTGGCCTCCCAAAGTTCTGGGATTACAGGCATGAGCCACCACGCATGGCCTCAAGCCTACCCTTTAAAAGCTGAGATTTTAAAGTTTTCAAACTTGAGAAGAAAACCTTATGTTATTAGTATTACATGTTTTAAAATCCATTGTGATGAAATACAGCATACTGAATTGATTTTGACCTTATCCTGGAATCAGGGTCATTACTGTGACCTTCAATTATTGTACTTTTGGCCTTTCCCTTGCTGTCAGCTGTCACTGCAGCAATGCTAATTGGGGCTTTTAATCATGTAGCTTAGTGAAAACAAATAGCATATAATATTTTATGTAGATAGACTTACTAAATTCTGAAGAATCGTCTGAAAGCTTCCTTCTTGGAGTGAAAAGTATGTGATTGTCTTCTTCAGGACACGGAAGAGGGGATTTTATCACTTATGTTCCTGTATTTGTTTTAATAACTGATGACCCATGGCAGATGTTTATTTTTGCTTTTATGTTCTTATCCGTGTATGGAAAAGCTTAGATTGGGTATTGGTAAGGCCTTGGAATTAGATAGGCCTGGATACAAATTCCACTGATATCTCTTAGTAGCTGTGTAATCTTGGGCATTCAGAATAACCTCTTCAAGTTCATTTCCTCTTCTGTAAAATGAGGATAATCATGCTTTCATCGTAGAGTTGTTGTGAGGATTAAATGAAGAATTCATGCAGTGTGCTAGCATAGTGTCTGCACATAGTAATTGCTCAATATTATCAATAATGATAACTATTTTCATTACTAATTTGGATTTGACTGATGTCTGCCACTTCTTAATTTCATTGTTCAAATAACCTGTAACCGATTTGGAATGTGAAGCTGAGCAAGCTTGATAGTTGAAAGAAAATATTATTATGAAATATTTAATGTATTCTTCACTGATTAGAAAGATTTTCTCACCTTCCCATAAAGAAGATAACACAATTAAAGAACATCTATACATGGCAGAGTCTGGATACCTGCATTACATTATGATATTTAAAGGAATCATTGCAAACTACCTCAAAGAATCCTGAGAGGTTAAAACTGAGTTTATAATTATATAGACTTGGTAATTTGTTAAATGCAGCAAGAAAAATAAGATTACACCATAAGTTTTTCGGAAATTTCCCATTTTAAATAAAATTGTCAATTCTATGCTGTATGTGATGGGTATGGAATTTGTGATTAATCTGTACCAATTGGATTAAAATGGGTTCAGCAGGTTTTTAAACTTATTGTTGATAATGGAAATATAAAGCTCGGGAAAAATTGTGACCATTTTTTTTTCCATTGTCTACTCATCTTTCATTTAACTTTTATTGATTTAAAATCCTTTAGTGCAGTTAACTGCTATTATAAAGTCTATTGAAGTAAATACTCATATAACATTTTTTTACTTATATGACAGTTGCTTTTGGAGTAGCTGGAAGAGCTGTGAGGTACTCATATTTCATTTTTAACCATTTGGAGAATAGTTTTCTATGTGTGAAATGTCCACTTAATCAGCACCATAGCTCTTTTTGCTAAGAGTCTTAGAAATGAACAAGATAGTATAACCACTGAATGAAAAATTTTAAAGATGTTACTCAGTGAAAAGTTTCTAAAATAAAAGGCAACACATGAATTACTCTGAAAAAGTTATTTTTAGATAGCAAATAAATATTTTTCTTTCAGTTATTTGTAGGAACATCAATCTATCAAAACTTTTCCCTCATGTCTTTAACAGGATGTAAAGTATATAATTTAATGGAATAATTAATATGAATAGCAGTTGTTGTACTTATGTAGCAAGTATTTGTTATTTTGCTGAGGTAGAGAAGTTTCTCCCTATACTGAATGCTTCCAGAATATGTTTTATATTGTGTGTGTGTGTGTGTGTGTGTGTGTGTGTGTGTGTGTGTGTGTGTGTGTGTGTTTGAGTGGGGCGGGGGTGTTGGGTGATGGTGATGTAAATTTTAAAAAACAACTGCTTTTTCTTACTCCTTTTCTATCAGCTGTCACATCTTACCCCTGTTGTTACATTTTCTTCAGTAGTCCTTTCCTTTTAACATGGAAAACAAGTAATGAAGGTTTTTAAAATTGTGCAAGAAAAGTATGCATAATTTAGTTCTCACCAAAGGCCCGAAGAGTGAACTAAAAATCTCAAAACCTCCTCTCATGTTACAAATGCAGTACACATTTATTTTAAAAAGCCAGAAAATGTTAATAAGAATAAAAAGGTCACTTATCATCTCACATACTAGAGATCATTTCTTTTTTAAGCTAAAACAGGAAAAGATAAATTGCTACAGGTATTTTAGCAGGAAGAGCATTGATATAGGGAAGGAAGATTGGTAATAACCGATCTTACTTTGAGGATATCAAGAAATGAGAGAATCATAGGAAGCCACCACCTATGATATCAGCCACCTATAGCCCTACAGTGGGTGATTATCAGGAGCTTTACCCAGAAGCCATGTATACATCACCCTAACATCTATCCCCACTTCTACCAGCCACTGCTGGGGGAAGAATATGGTTGCTTCTCTCCAGTGTTCTTACTTTCACATGAGTGCCTTTCATCCACAGAACCTAAGCCAAAATCCTGCCTACAAGGGATCTGGGAAATGTAGTTTCCAGGCTTCCAGGCACTGTGAAAGAGCTTGAAAGTATAGGGATGATGTTGAAAATTCTGTCATCAACAGATAATATACCCTGCAGCATCCTTCCGAATTCATTCCTCAACACACGTATGCTACTTACAACTGAACACTTAATCAGGACCATAGCTAGATATATGCTGTTTGGTAATTTGCTTTTATCACTTGATTTAGTATAACGCATATCTTTCTAAACTCTGTTACTGTCTATGTTTGTTTTCTGCTGCTGTAACAGAATACATAGACTGGGTAATTGTTAAAGAACAGAAATTTATTTCTTATAGTCTAGAGACTGAGAAGCCCAAGATCAAAGGGCTGCATCTGGTGAGGACCTTCTTGCTGCATCATACCATGGTGGAAGGTGGAAGGTGGAAGGGCAAGAGAGTAAGAATGAGAGAGAGAGAGAGAGCGCGTGTGTGTGTGAGAGAGAGAGAGAACGCACGCACACGAGAGCAAGAGGGGTCAGATTTGCTTTTATGACAACTACTGTCGTGGTAATGAATCCACTCCTTTGATAACAGCTTTAATCCATCCATGAAGGCAAAGCATTCATGACCTAATCACCTCCTAAAGTTCCTACTTTTCAGTACTGTTGCATTGGGGATTAAGTTCTCAATACGTGAACTTTGGGGGACACATTTAAATGATAGCAGTTATACATATATCTTAAAATTTTTGTGTTAAAAAGGAATATATTAATATTTTTGGTAAGCTGCTTTTATCACTTACGATATTGTCAACATCTTTTTGAATGGCTCTTTAGAATTCTGTTGTTGGATTTATTAAATAAGCACCCAGTGCTAGACAATTTAGATAGTTTCCAACTTCTTGCTCTTATATCAGTGATTTGCTCTGCATCTTTTTGACTAAAACTTTGTATATGACCATTTATTCTTCAGGGAAAATTCCAAGAAATGTAATTTCCGAGTCCGATTGTGTGGTCCATGGCCTTTTCTGACTTGTATTTTGCTTCTTCCTAAATTCTTTTTGCTTACTTCCATTTCTCTGGTAACTGGATGCCAGAAAGTTGTTGTGGAGATATAAAAATTCAGGATGGTTTTAACACTTAGGCCCTTTTGCATTGAGAGTCCTTAATCCTCAATCATATAAGATACTTGGACCTCCACCCATGCTTCATATAAACACTAAATGTGCTTTAAACTAAGAAAGCCTAAGAACTTCTGCTAAAGATTAATTCTAACTTTCCAAGCCAGGGAACAGTAGGTTGGACCAAGGGTCTCTAGAGACTTTACCTCTTTCATTTTACACTTCCTTCTTTCCTTCTTCCTTCTCACCCTGCTTTTCTCCCTTTTTCATTCCATTCTATTGTGATCATAAAAAGTCATTAAGGTATTTAGTATTTAGAGATGATCTGTTATTTTATTTTTATTTTATTTTATGTATTGTATTGTATTGTATTTTAATTTTTTTGAAATGGAGTCTTGCTTTGTCACCCAGGCTGGAGTGCAGTGGCGCGATCTTGGCTCACTGCAAGCTCTGCCTCTTGGGTTCACGCCATTCTCCCGCCTCAGCCTCCCGAGTAGCTGGGACTACAGGTGCCTGCCACCACGCCCGGCTAATTTTTTGTGTGTTTTTAGTAGAGACGGGGTTTCACGGTGTTAGCCAGGATGGTCTCGATCTCCTGACCTCATGATCCGCCCACCTCGGCCTCCCAAAGTGCTGGGATTACAGGCGTGAGCCACCGTGCCCAGCCCGATTTGTTATTTTATACAAGACTTCCCAGTTGTGAAGCTTATGTTGACATGTGTTCCTTGCTGGCCATTTCAGCCTGGGTGACAGAATGAAACCCTCTCTCTTAAAAACAAAACAAAACAAAACAAAACAAAACAAGCCTTGGCTTAGGGTTGTGGCTTCTGGCTACAGTTACAAGCCTTCTGCATTTCTGTAAGTGGCTGTGATAAACAGGGAATGCTGGAAGATCTCCTCCTTGGGGGCTCATCAGTGGATCTGCCAGTAATAAGGATTTCATCACTGGCAGGAAGACCTTAGGTAATTGGAAAATGATGAGCAACTTTAAATTTAGGAGATTTTTCTTTTACAATATAGGCACAGTTCCTTGGTAATCTCAACATTCTGGTGGTGCCCTTTGCTTCTGACCTTATTTAATAGACTCTTCACTTGTGTTGAAAGCAATTCTACAAATACCAGCTTTTATCTAGTGTTTACATGGGCAGTCCTGCTTGACTTTGAATTTATTTGTTAGTTTTTTGATTATTACATGTATCTTTAACATTTTCTAACTAGAATAGAATACTTTTTTCTTTTAGAAATGGCTTAGTTTTATTAGGAAGATAAAATATTCTATGTCTTAGAAAGCAATATTGAAGCCAGCAGCAAAACTTAATTATCTGAAATGAAATACAGATGATTAAATTATTTCCTAAAATCAATAAAATTGAATCAACTGAAAAAATCAATGTGCTATATAAATAATGCCTTTTAAAGTATTTCCCATGTCTTTGTGGAATATTGGCTCAGAGGTTTGCAATCTGGGCAGCAATGTAAAGTTTCATTCATAAAAAGTATTCTAGATTTTTTTTTTAAGATGTCAGAGGTCTTTAGCATTGGCTTCCATGAACAGTTACCATGGGTCTACTATGTATAGGGCATGTTGACAGGCACTGGGGAAGCATTATGGCTCTAGAGAGATTTCCAATTTGGTCAGATATACAAGGAAGACACATAGCTAGAAAGAACAAATACATGTAAATATATGGTCGCATATACCAGTCTTTAACCATGTGCAAACAGGAGTTTAGAGAATTTGATGATGGCCATGATTTGGGATGGGAAATCTTCCTTGAGAAAGTGTTGTATGAAGTGAAGGGCAACCTAAGGCAAGTATGGAGGAGCAGGAATTCTAGGTAAGGCTGACTTATCAGGTTGTGCAATACACAAAGGTCCTGTATAAAATATGGAAATGTTCTCATTCTTGCCAGATGCCATAGACTTGTATACATTTTATAACAGTTTCGGATAGATAATCTGACTTCTCAAGCCACCTTGGCTCCTTGATATTCCTTGATTATCCGAGGAAGATTTCTTCCTTAAGGCTTTGCACTGGGTTGTTCTTCTATCTGGAATGCTTATCCCTCAGATATTTCCTATTTACTTCAAGCATTTGCTTAAATGTCACCTTCATGATGAAACTTAACTAGTGTACCCTATTTAAAATAACTATTTCCCTCACCTGCATATAACCATGCTATAGCATTTATCAATATTGAATATAATGATAATTACATGTAATTAATAAGTTCATTATTGTGTGCCTCTCTCTCCACCCTCTTACCCCAAAAGAGAAAGTCTCATGATGGTAGAGAAATTTTTCTTCTATGCATTTTTAGTTTACTGATCTATATCCCAAGTGCCTAGAATATCACCTTGCTATGTAGTAGGTACTCAGATATTTGCTGAATGAATAAAGGTGTGCATGAATGAAGTTGAGTAACATTTATAGAACAGAAAGGGCAGGAGGCAAAACTGTTACACAGTGGTTGGGGGCAGAAATAAATGCAGGAGAAAATATTATCTGAAGACTGTGGAAAAAGACAGTGACCACAGTGCAGAAACATGGAGCAGTCAAATAAGAAAAGAAATAAAAAAATTCAGTCATCAGATTTGGCAGTTGAGAGGTCGTTGGTGATTTTTGTTTCAGTTGGATAATGTAGATGGTGAGATGCATACTAGAAAAGAACCAAGGAAATGAAGACATCATTCTTATGTAAGACTGTTCATGTTTGGTACCCGCCTGCTGGACATCATTCAGTCACATCATACGTATACATTTATCTAGAGTGACAGCTTGGCATCTAGCAGTAACATGGCATTCTTTAACAAAATCAGCATTTTAACTCAATTGAGGAAGGAAGGAAGGGTGCCTTTTCTGATTGATACCAAAGGGTCATTTGGCCAGTGTCTACGTAGTGGCCCTGAGTGGAGGCAATTCCACAAGCTCTTTTGGGAACTGATGTTTGATGGAGGAGGAAGAGGAAATGATGGAGCACGTAAGGTGGAAAGTTATAGAACAGGTAATGGGTAGGATAGGTTAGCCAGGAAGAAGCCAAGGACAGAGAGACCAAGTGTTAGAGTATCCAGCTGCAGATCGATGAGGGCATGGGAGTGGTAGGCAAAGGAGTAGTATGAGGCAGGCGGCAGAGGGTTGAGAGGAGCTGCTGATGGATTGGGTGTGACCAAGAGAACAAGGGGTCAAGAATGACTTCAAGGCCATAAGTGTGGGAGGTGAGGCAGATTAATTTATTTACACAAATGGAGGTGTCAGTTCTCAGAAAATATAAATTTAGTTTTAGCCATGCTTAATTTAAGATGGCTGGGGAATGTTAAGATAGGAATTTCTGGTAGATGGAGTTTTTCAACAAATATAAAGGGGAGGACTCAGTTTTGTTAGTTTTTAGTGAAAATCCTGCAGTGGGGATAAAGATGCATACTCAGCTTCTGTAGTGAGTATCTTAGGTGAATGCCCTTATTACTGTCTTTGCCACACTTTGAGAATGGTATTCTTATCATTTCTACCTGAAGTTAGAGAGATTTTATCATTTATCTGGCATCTTGCAGCTTATGAATGATAGAGTTGGAGGTCAAATGCAGGTCTCTCTGCTGCCACAGCCCTCATATTCCATTCTACTTTCTGCTTGTACCCTCAGAGGTCACATTTGGGGATGCCTAGGAAGTCTGGGATTGAGTAGCGCATTTCTGGCAAATATGATATTTTTTATAGCTGTGTTTTACATTCATTACTTCAAAGATTATTTGGTCTACTTGGATCAAATGTTTGTTACAGCTGCAGAAGCTTCCTGCTCTCTGAATCCTTTTTGGAGGTGCTGGTTTTCTTCTGAAAGTTTTAAGGTGCTTTTTTCTTATGAACCAACTGCTCAGATTTTTTTAAAAAATTAAATATCCTGCTACCTCATTTTTTCTCTATAGCACATTCCCATGTCTTAACTTCGATTTTTTTCTTTTCTTTTTGTGTCACCTGACTTTGTTGAGAAGGCTGGAGATACATTTCAAGCCCTTCCTAGTCCTTAAAATTATTTCTTTCACACTAGCAGATTATCTCATTTCAATTCTGCCTTTATGGTTTAACGAAAACCTGGTTTAATAATCCAGCAATGTTAGCCATTGGGATTCATCCTTTGGTATAATAACATCAGTATCCATGGCTGGGAAATTATTAGGTTCTCTATGTGTTATGGCAAATACGGGTATGGATATAGATAAATGAGTTGCCTTATATCAAGAGACTGCACAAATAAGTCTGTAAGCTTTTTTTTTAATTCTTTAATTTTATTTGTATCCTACTGGCCTTCGCTCTCCTTCCCCTCTCTTGTTGATACATAGATATGATTTATATCCTCATGGCAGGTGTCATACTTTGTATAACTTCATAAATATTTTCTTAAAGGTTTAAACATGTAGGACCTCAGGTTATTCTAAAATACGTAAAAGAACAAAACAAAATCATAAATCAATGTAAAGAATAAATGCATATTATGGAGAAAATTACCTAAAAAACTCCTACATAAGACTATCTAGCGGTACTTAGGTGCATGGCAATAGTGAAAGGGCAGAAAACAGGGGATGGTACCAAAAATAGATGCGTTATTCTTCCAGAATGTGAAACATTATATAATTGCTTACAAAGCAATCATCATATGTAGACAAATGACACAGAATGGAAGATGAATAAAGTCAATGTAAGATTAAAAAAAATTGAAACAATTACATCTCCATCTGTTACACTGATAATGTAAAAAGATATTGTACATTCAATCACAGATGGCCTTTTAATCACTTTAGAAACTTAGCACAGAAAACTAGGCAAAGTCTGTAGAGACCCTTGGTCTAGCCTCCTGTCCTTTAGCTTGGAAAGTTAGAATTCATCTTTAGCAGAAGTTCTTAAGCTTTCTTAGTTTAAGGCATGCTTAATATTTCTCTGAATTTTTTTTTATTTTTTTATTTTGCAGGCCAAAACAATAACAGTTTTTGTTGTTGTTTTTTTTGTTTTTTTTTTTGAGATGGAGTTTTGTTCTTGTAGTCAAGGCCAGAGTGCAGTGGCACAATCTTGGCTAACTGCAACCTCCGCCTCCTGGGTTCAAGCGATTCTCCTCCCTCAGCCTCCCGAGTAGCTGGGATTACAGGTGCATGCCACCATGCGTGGCTAATTTTTGTATTTTTAGTAGAGACGGGGTTTCACCATGTTGGCCAGGCTGATCTCGAACTGCTGACCTCAGGTGATCCACCCGCCTTGGCCTCCCAAAGTGCTGGGATTACAGGCGTGAACCACCCTCTCCAGCCCAGTTTTGTTTTTAAGTAGTTATCTCTAAGCAATTTAATAAATATTTATGTCCCAACAACATAGTAGTTGGTTGAAAGAAAATAATACAAGTACATTGAAAGGAAAAATATTTTTATTTTTATTTTATTCTTAAATACCCACAATTATTACTAATGGGATGTGTGTGCCTGTTGGGCACTACATAACTTCTCAAATCTTGGAATAAGATTACACACCACCACACCCTCATTTTTTGTTTTACATTGATTGTTGTACCATGTTTAGTTGTTAACCACTGCATCTGCTGAATATCCAGCTTCACAAAGATACACCATTAAAAGGAACTTAGTGGGATCTAATGTTAAAACTACACAGTAATTTGAGCTAGTAATTCATGCAGTATCAGATGCTGAATATTCTTGTGATTTTTTTGGTGAAAATTTAAAATATCCTGCAGTGTCTCTGAGTTTGCTGTGGTGTTCCAGGATACCTTGGTGTATAATTTAGGAACCACCAACCAATAATCTTAAACTAGTAGGTTATGGGACACAGGCCAGAAATTATTTGCTTCCTAGTGCTTTTTAATCACATAGGTAAATTGTCAGCTACAATACCTGGGACATAGCAGCTCCCCAGCTGGTGTAAATTATTTTTCCCTTGCTATACTGTCAGCATTTATAGCCATATCTTTCCATGGTGGTCCGATTTATATTTACAGTCCAGTAATCTTTAGTAAGTACAGTCTGGCATATCTTATTGCCAATTGTTTGATTTTATGTGGAAGTGGGTGACACAGTTATTACTGAGTCTCTTTATAAAAATCTTATTTACGTAAAATATACAAGGTAAGGAAATGCATTCATTAACAACTGAAGACTGAGTGAGTAAAAAAATAACTTGTGGACACTATTTTCTTGTATAATTGAAAATTATGCACCACTACCACCACTACCACAAATAGTTTTGTATAAGATATGTCTGTTAAGTTCAGAGACCACAAAGTCCCTATTGTGATGCAATAACCTCGGTTAACTGAGCATATCTTCTCCATGTCCTGGTGAGGATAGCTATTTCAGAAGATCATTTATAGGACCATTTACAAAAATACAGTATCAATCACACTGCTTATTTTAGCATGCTTCAGTTGTGGTTTACAGGCAGTGATCCCTCTGTAAATGGACTGCACTTATCAACATGCTCTCATGGTTTACAATGATCTTGACAGCAGATTTAGTGGATTGAATATGGGTCTGATATGGTATGGCCTTCTCAAAGTCTAGACTTTATAAGGTGTAACATTTCACTTTGCACGTGGAAGAGAAACTTCTCATGTTCTCCCTGTTAAGAGTTGAAGGCCTAAAAACAATTTGCAAGTACTGTGTTGATGATTTAGTTATTAGCACATTTTCCAAAAGCATGTAGAGAAAATATCAAATTTGCATGCAGTGGTAAGGGGTGCATAAAGGTAACTTCCTCCTGACGTGTGGCTACAAAGTATACTATGGATATACTTTGCGGCTACACTGTACCACGTTTTCACTTCTCATATCCTGTTAATTTTCAGTAGGTTTCCTAAGTGTCGAAGCTTGTAGTCTATGTAGCAAATGTATTTCTATCCATGTGTAACTGTTTCAAATTATGGAAAATATCACACCTTGAGCCTTGAGCTTTACTTTGTAATGTGTTTAGTGCAGGATTGAGTTCCTTGAAAAGTGAAGAAGAAGAGATAATTTTAGTGAGCTACAAATGCCTGCTGATATATATTAAGTATGCTGAAAGTGTATGAATATAAAAAAAGGAATTTTATGGAGAAAGAATAGTTGAAAGACCTAAGGAGATTCTTGAAGGGGTCAGGTTTCAGGAAACTAAAGAGCCACCCAGCTAAGATACAGATCAAAGTAAGCCTTATGTTTATTGCTTATCTGTTCTGGGAAAAGCAGAGGCAGCCAAGTAAGACTTCTGATCTGCTTTCAAAACCTAATTCACCAGTTATTATTAGTTTGGCTTTAGGCATGTTACTTCATTCTCTAACCACACGTACCTCACCTAGAACAATACCCAGGCGGGAATGGGAACAATACCTATTTCATAAAATAATCCTGAAGATTAGATGAAGTAACACTGCAAAGGACTTCACTCAGCCTTGATACATCATTCTGCCTTAGAAAATTCCAATGAATTCATTCTCTTTCCTGTCCTACGGAGCTCACATGTGGCTGGCTCCTTGTTTCTTAAACCTTCCCTCAATGTGTAGTTAACTGTGCCATCATCTGTGCCTTTGTAGCCCTTCACAATGCATCCCATTATAGCACGTATCAAATTGTATTATTTATTCCTGCTTCTCTTTGCTAGTGGGCTGTAAGGTCGTTGAACATGAGGGACCACATCTTATTCAGCACCTTGCGCAGAACCTAATAAGTGCTCAAAAATGACATGCAGTGAATGAGATGATTGGATGGCCGCTTACCGCTGTTGGCTCAGCCCAGACATTTTTTTATTAATATATCTCTATGACTGTGCCCTTGACACTCTCTTCTATATTTCTAGATGCTTAGTAAAAGAAATAGATACTTTCATAATTTATTTTTAGGAAATAATAACTGCATTGTGAAAAAAGTCATCTAGGAAACTTTTCTGCCCCCACCCTTGTAGGTAGGACAACCATTTTTATTCTTTGTGCCCTCTCAGAACCACATACATACTTTCATCATCTTCATCATATACTTGAACCATTTATTGAACTCATTTGTTTGTTTTTCTAATGTATAGTAAGCTTTTGGAGAGAAGGCATTGCATCTAGTTCATCTCTACATCCTTAGTACTCAGAGGGTATTTGTTGACAAATGGACTGAGTGTATCCCTTTCTTAGACTGAGACATTATTATTTTTTTAGAATGAAGAACCTTCCCATTACTTAAAATACTTTGTTTTTAAATGGAACTACATTGCTTAGAATAGTTTAAAAGATGTTTTGTTTTTTATGTTCATGTATAGTATATAATCTGTTGCATGAATATTTTACTTACATATTTTATGGGATATGTGTTTTCAGTAGATATATTTTTATAGGAGATACATTTTTAAATACCTACAAAAATCCCAGTACTGTGAAGTATCTGTGTCATTAAGTGTAATAAAACATATTACAGTAACAGTAATCTGCTGAATGCTTCCTATTACCCTGCAGGGACCCTAGAGATTGAAAGCTTTATTTTGGAAAAGTCATCTTTATGGTAATAATGTAAATGGATGTATTAAGTAACAGAGCACTTATAAAGAGATCCTTGTCTAAAGGCTTGGTATGTAGGGCAGAAAACCATGCTTCACTCAGAAGGCCACTGGCTGTGGTGGAAACTTGCTGTTTCTTCATGGAGTTGATAACAAATATTTTTTCATGTTATTTTTTCTCACATTTATTTTTCAAAGTAAAAACATTTATTTTTCATATTTGTAGAATTCTTCTATTTATAAAAGTAATTTCTACTTATGAAGAGAGCAGAAATAAGAGGAACTCTCACTACCCAGAAATAACCATTGTTAAATTTGTTGTGTGTAATTCCCTACATGTATACATGCATTATATATATGTATTCACGTGATGATACTCGTTCCCCCATATTTTCCAAAATGAGGTCATAGAACAGGTGCTGAGTTTTGATCTGCTTCCTTTTTTTTTTAATTTAATAATGACATTCTTTGCCCAAAGGAGTAATAAAACCTATTTTTATCTAAAATCTCTGGAGAACAAAACATTTTACCTAATAGTTTTCAAGTTAGGTAAGGGTTTTCATACTCATATTTTAAACTTTTTAGCTTTTCATAAAAAATCTTTTAAGATGTGGCACACTCTAGTGGTTATGAGACTTTGGGTTTTATTGAACAGTGTAGGGAAAAGAGCAAGAGGGGATTTTAGAAAGTAAGGTACAGCAATAAAATTTCATAAAATATGTCTTAATGTGTACTATCCCTTTCATTTCATAAAGGAGAGGACCGATTCTAGCACCATACATGAAGGAAGAGTATAATCTCAGAATGCCAGGCTGCCATTCAGGAAGTACCAGCATGCTGTCTCAGATAAGCGGTTCTGAGGAACTGCAGTCTATGGTTTATGCACTTACTGAGTTACCGTGGTGTCATGGGCAGGGTGAATGCACCTGAGGTGGTGCAGGACGCCAAATAGTGTAACTAGAAGTCCCAGAGGAGGCTAAAGCCTTCTTGACTAAACTGCGACCCTGGTGCTGTGTGGGTAGCTCCTTTCCTGCCTCACTTCCTCCTTTTCCTTCCCTCGTGGCATTCTCAGCTTTCCATATGCCCTTTCTGGGTCCTGGTTGCTCCTGTTCCCTCCCCTGTTGCTCCTGATACTCACCTCTTCTTGTCTTTTCTCTCTTTCTCCCTCTACTTTTTCAATTCTCATGGTTTTCTCTGTAGAGAAAAGCTGATCTTTTAAGACACAGTGGTCTTTTTGTATGAAGTATGTAAATGCCTTTGACTACTACATACATATGCCTACATATGAAAGTAGTAGTAGGCATATGTATGTAGTAGTCAAAGGCATTTATTAATTTAGTTGTTCAATATATATTTACTGCTGTGTCTCTAGGCAACAGAGATGCAAGGCCAAGCCAAACCTCCTCCCTTGGGAATTCTCAGGACAGTGGCAGTTACTTTGGGTCTTTAGCACTTATGGCAGGTGTCAGTGCTGCTCCGGCTCCTTGTGTTGCCATCTGGGTACTGTTTAAACCTTATTGTGGACTGTGGATTTCTTTGGGTGAAAGTCTGTTTTTCTCACCCTTCTATCTGTTGAGTGCTGTGCAGTGTCTTGTACAGAATAGATTTATTTTCCTGTCTATTTCTGGAGAGGGGCTTTTTTTGAAGATCTGATCAATGATTGGAGTCAAACTCTTTAGTCCCACATGTGATCCATTGTAAACTAACTGGCAAATGTTTCATATTTCCCCTCTAATACATAACAAAAACAGTTTAAGTCTGAAAAGTGGTATAAATGGAACGGAACATGACATTCCTGTAGCCATTTTTTTAATACAGATTATATCCCTGATTAATAACAAAATTGCCAGTCTTTTTAAATATAAAATTACAACAACCATATAGAATCACACACCTCCAACCTCTGCTGATCTTGATCTTAGTACATGAGGCTTGGGTTGCGATTAGATTTATTGTGGCAGGAGGTTTTGTGTTTGAGGAACTAAAGGACTTTCTAGTAAACATAGATGCAGGAGAGCAAATTTGTGAGTAAATACCTTAAAGTCTTTATATAAGTTTTTTGTAGTTAAAGTCACTAACACAGAACAATAATAACAGTACAATAAATACAGAGAATGTACGTGGCATTTTAGATATCAAGTTGGTAATAATGGCTGCTGTGCGATTAATTTGATGAAAGAGGACAGTGATGATCCTGATTGGAAGATTGATAGCTCTTGGGTGGGGTGGGGATGGGGAGAGGCACTCCACTTGCTTTTCTTAAGGACTTGCTCAAAGTAAGTCTGTGTCTCTAAGTGGAGAGCTTTATCAATTGATTTCTTTTTAACATTTGATATATGTCCAGTATGTTCTGCCAAATGCAGGTTGCCAACCAGTAAGTTACAGAAATGGCTCCATGGTTCTGCAGTGCTCTGGCTGCCTAAATTGAACATTATGTATCTGTGTTGTTCTGATGGAATTAGAATCCTGCAGGTGCTTGTGGCCATGGGAGAAAGTGTGTGGCAGCACCTCTGGCACGGAGAGTTACTTCCTGCAAGAAGTCCAAGCTGAAAATGGATCCCCGCTGGGCCACATTTCTGGTGCCACTTCATTGAGCACTTTCTGTGTAGCAGCAGTTTCCTGGTGTTACTGCTGAATTGTTTCAGGGGTAATTTCCTGTGAGTTCAGTATGCATAGTAACAATAAAGAATTTTCATATTGCTATGTGATTAATGTTTATTAAGTATAAAATTTCACAGTTGTGTAAAAATATGCAAAATTTATAACTAATTCATTTTTGAGCAAGGACACATGATTGGGGTGGGATTACTATTTAATAAAAATGCTACTCTATTATTTATTGTAAGTCTTTTACAAGTGTACAGAAATCAGTGACGTGGCCAATAATACCAGTTTTTCTTTCCTGTGTCACTGGGTAGTCTAAAGGCATAGTGAGGTGTTTAGTAACTTCATAGTTTAGTAACTGTGAAGCCAGGCTGCCTCAGTTTGAATCCTACCTCCTCTAACTATTGGCTGTATGACATTGGGCAACTATTTAACATCTCTCTACCTCTGTTTCCTCATCTGTAAAATGGGGGTAGCTGTGAGAACTGGATAAGATTGCTTAGGATAGTGTCTGACAGAGTAAGACCTTTGTAAGTGTTAGTTCTACTAATTATTATTTTTCAGATTCCTGCATTATTTTTATAACAGCAGATGACAAGCAATGTGAAAAAGTACCATTATAAGTACAATGTAAGTGGAATACAAATGTTAGCCATGGTTTTCTACACCTTTGAGGAAATAATATTGATTTTTGTTCCCCACTCACGTCCCATGGGTGAGAGTCCGATTCCTTCTCCAACAAGTTTCTGAAGCCTTGGGGCTTAAGTTCTCATGATCATTGCAGCCCTGTGTTCCTGCTCCTGCTTCCCATAGCTCTTTTTTTTTTCCTCTTCGTCCCAAACTGACTTGGACAAGAAACTCAGTCCCTTCCTCTTGATTTCTCCTCATTCCCCCAGCTTCTCTCATTAAGCATTTGGGTGGGCAACAGACTTCATGGGAGGCTTTGGCAGTGGAGGTGAGAGGGGCTGAGATCTGTTGTAAACAATTTATAGCACCTTTTGTGTTAAAGCAAACATGACTGCCTGATAGAATAGAAAGCAGAATTTACATATGATAAAGAAATTCTAGCTGTGTGGTAGACTGGGCCACTTCAGGCAACCAGAACACCAGGAATGTGCATTTATTCTCCTCTGTCATTAGGGGTACTTCTATGGGGGAAATGTTTGGGGAAGTACATTTGATAATTGCATCATATAGTGAGCAAACAGTTTGAAATTTGTCTTTCAGTCACTGTTCTACAGTTTGCAGGTAACACCCTATAATATTTATATCTGCCGTTTTTAAAAGTTAAGAATTATTAGGAAAGCATTTATTGTCTTTAATTATAGAGAGAGTAATGTAACCATATTGTCTCTTTATCTTTTTCTTTTTGGGAGCTGCCTGCCAAGATTTAGGAATCATTTTGTTTTTCTAAACACTTAATTTCATCATAATGAAATTTCTTGTCTAATGAGATTTATATCACTTTCCTTATTATGAGAGTTCAGCTTGTTTTAATTGTGATGTCTGAGAACTTATACTGAAACTTGCCGTAGTCAGGAAGACACCTGTCCTAATAGGAAGACATTTTACTTAATGAGTTGATGCCAGTTTAAATTTCTGCCTTGTTTTACTTCTACCTTTTCTTCTTTGAGTAGTGAAAATTGCATTTTTATCTAGCTTTAAAATTTGCTCTCTGCAGTGAGATCTACTACATGAAATCTTTTCTCAAAGTGATCTGTGTGAAAATTTAAATTAATAAACATATACCATTATTTGGAATATGAGCTTTAATGAAAATTCTTGCCCGAGTAAACAGTGTCCATTTACAGTCAACTATAGGAAATAATTTAACTATTTACAAGGATGCTTTTGAGGGATGACATTGGTAGTCATTGATTGTTGCAGCCCCAATCAGTATTCTGTGTGTGCTTTGACTGGTTTGGTGCTACTTACCTTCACATGCCAGGGGTCTTTCTTTACAGAACCGATGTGTTGATGGTGAATCATGATGCACTGTTCTTGCACAGAGGTAGCCCTGACATTTATTTCATGAAAGAGTTTTCCTATTTTGGGATCTTGTGGGGATATTCATGAACATAATAGCCTACCCAGGAAAAAAGTTAGATATGGTGAAGAAGAACAATGCCATATTTAATGCTTGATCTTTAAAAAATAAGTTTCTTATAACTTTGGTCAGAAGAACACTGATATAGTTTGGCTGTGTCCCCACCCAAATCTCATCTTGAATTCCCACATGTTGTGGGAGTGACCTGGTGGGAGGTAATTGAATCATGAGGGCAGGTCTTTCCTGTGCTGTTCTCATGTGAGTGAATAAGTCTCATGAGATCTGATGGTTTTATAAAGGAGAGTTTCCCTCCGGAAGCTTTTTTTGCCTGCTGCCATCCATGTAAGACATGACTTGCTCTTCCTCACCTTCCGCCATGATTATGAGGCCTCCCCAGCCACTTGGAACTGTAAGTCCATTAAACTCTTCTTCCTGTATAAATTACCCAGTCTCAGGTATTTCTTTATCAGCAGCATGAAAATGGGCTAATACAAACACACAGGCTTGTAAAAGTAGATTACTTTTAAGTAAACACTTTTACCCTGTGATTTTTATTATAAAGTTGGAGATGGGTACTTTTGGGAAAAGTATTTTCCTAGATGTGTAAAAATCAAACTTTAAAAAGGAGCAAATGTTTAAAATTGAGTCTAGTAAAGTATTTATAGAAATAATTTTAAATGTTATTATATAATCTTGCTGAAAAATAAGTCACTAAATAAAGTTATACTACTAAAAATGAAAATGTTCGTGACAGAATAACTGGCTGTAGGAACATCTCACTGAGGATTATTATTTTTGTAAGTTGACACTGGAGCTTTAGCAACTTGACCAAGTTTTTTACTCTGTGTATATTTTTAATTCTTTCATTCTCTGATTTTAGTTGACCTCTTTTAGCTGTTTCCAGAATCATCTAGAAGATCTTTTGTATTAGTCATGAGCTGGAGGCCAGGTAGTGCTCAGCCTAATGTTAAACCTCATACAAATGGGCACATGAGAAAGGAGTGGGCAGTTATTGTTGAAATATTATTGCTGACATTTAAAATGGTTATAGGGATGGGGGAAATCTAGGCCAAGAAAAAGGTTATCTTTGTCTTCTTCAGACTTGAGGGCATGGAGAGTATGACATGAGCAAACCTAATACTTGATTTTCAGAAATTCAGGGGAAAATATTCACTGACAAAATAATTTTAGAATGTCTATAATTTTTAGTGAATATATATTGATGTAGCAAATTTATTGTAGTCTTTATATATAGATAGAGAGGAGTCCACATCATTTTTTTTTGTAACTAATTTTTTGGTTTTTGCCTAAATTCAGGTAGCAAAGATGAAATGTTGGTTAAAGAAACTAAAAATAAAAAAATAGAAAAAAGGGGAAGGAGAATTAGAAAAATCAGAAAAGGAAATTTACAGGGGAGTGAAGAGATGGCAGTGATACGTGCATTTGTACAACTCCTTCAGGTTAAAAGCTGCTCCTTGGACTGTGAACTCCTTGGGAAAAGGCCTGTCTTCTCTTTGTATCTTTAGCATCTAATCTTGTACTCAGCGTGTGCTTAAAGTGGTACCTAGTACGTAATGGGCACTCAGTCAGTGCTTAATGAATGAAATCAATTAATGAAACTTAGATTTCTCATGGGTTATTTCACCTGATACAAGTCCTTTAAGGAAAACGTAATTTTCCCCATATTATAAAAGGACAAACCAAGACTCTCATGGGTTAAATGATTGCCAAATAATGACAATTCTGCTAACAATGACATGCCATTATGACATATTAATCACATAAAATTAGGGATATATTTGTATTTCATGATTTATAATTTCATTATTATTAGCAGTAAGTAATATTTAGTGAAAGCTTATTGCTTCCTAAAATTATGCTTGACATGCAAATTTCACTAGACTAAATACTATCCTGTAAGGAAGATAGAATCATCTACATTTTATAGTCTGGAGTTTAAAGGGATAGGTTACCTTTCAAGTTTACCTAGCTAGTGGATGGGTGACTTGAAAGCAGCCTGGTCTGACCCCTGAGCTCTTTTTTTTTTTTTTTTTTTTTTTTTTGAGACGGAGTCTTGCTGTGTCCCCCAGGCTGGACTGCAATGGCGCGGTCTCCGCACACTGCAACCTCTGCCTCCCGGGTTCAAGCGATTCTCCTGCCTCAACCTCCCAAGTAGCTGGGATTACAGGCATACACCACCACATCTGGCTAATTTTTGTATTTTTAGTAGAGACGGGGTTTCACCATGTTGGCCAGGCTGGTCTTGAACTCCTGACCTCAGGTGATCCACCCGCTTCGGCCTCCCAAAGTGCTGGGTTTACAGGCATGAGCTACCGTGCCCACCCCAACTGAGCCCTTTCTTAATGACTACACTAAGTTACCTCCTTCTAGTCACACAGTTCTTGATGGCAGAGCCAGGATTTGCATCCAGGTCTTTTGTTCCTAGTTTTCTTCCCCTGTATATCGTGCGTGTGTGTGTATTTCATTTGCCTTGTAGTAGGCCATGATCAGGGCATATAATAATGACCAAAAACCTGAATTCTGTTAGTATAGAATTTGGTAGATTTTCTGAAAGATATTTGATTAAAATGATATAACATCTGAGAGGAGAGAATGACTATCACTACCTGGAGTTGCCATGCAAGGCTTGACACAGAAATGTAATGGCGTGAAGAATGAGGAATACTCCAGGTAGAGGAAAAAGATGAATGACTATGCAATTTATTGTCCAAATCAGATTTTTTTTTTTTTTAAAGAAAGGGACACTAGCAATAATTGTGGTAGGACATCAGGGCTTGAACCAGGACCATCTGTGGAAACCAGGCCAGTGGTCTTTGTACAGAAATTCTGTTTTAGGCAGAAGGAGCTATATATACAAGTGGCTATTTAAAATTCACATAATATTTCAAACAGTGTTAGATTAAAAAAACCAAAATAATAAAACCCTACACCACATCTGCCTTATAGGAGTAAAGTGGCAATGAATAACTACTGAAGAAACAGCTTATAAATACCTAATTAGGGAGAAGAGAGTTCTAGAATGATCTAGCACAGTCTATTCAGGAAGTTGTATGATCTGAAAGTGTCTTCCATTTTTGGTAGAAAAATGGCTAAGTTTGGTGCAGATTTGCAGAGCACAGAAATTAAGGTATTTACTAGAGTTGGGGGTAAAGAAGGATAAAACATTTAATTCATTGAAATTAATTTCACTGTGAACATATGACTCAAAGAAGGCAGACTAAAGGTGTCTGGTTGTGGGAATTAACAGAATTCGAGTTAGTCTATCCATTTATGTTTCCTTGTTAGATTTTTCTCTTCCCACTGGAAGTGAAACACTGTTAATTCACTATTGAGCCCCAGACAGAAATAGTGTGTATGGTGAGAATGTGGTGAGGGGTAATAGAGATTGTTTGGATTAGCAAGTTTCTGAACAGAATACAAACTCCTTTTGATTTAGAGATGGCAGTGTTTATGGGAAGGCTAAGACAAGGTGGGAAAAAGAAAAGACCAAGAAGTACTTTGTATACTTAATTGGATATACTTCAACCTGGTTAGTATTCTATATGGCTAATATTTTCAGAAGAAATACTACATAGAAGTAGTGGTATTTATTAAGAAAATTACATATGTTTGTATGTGTAAACATACAGATAACAATATATATGATATATGTACATGAGCCATAGTGTAATGGTTAGCACTGTGGACTCCGATATATGTACACAAATCTGACTCACAATTTACTACTTCTTGCTGATACGGTGATTTTAGTGCAAAACCTAAGCATTGATACTAAGAAAGAATAAAATTTTATTTTTATAAAATTAAGATTGTGAAATAGTGAGCAGAGCTAAAATCTGGAGTATAAGCCGTAAATAAGTTTCTCAGGTAATAAAATCAAAAGCAGGTAATACAATAAAGAAAAAGGATAGATTATCTCAAATTCTGTTAATTTCCACAGCCAGATGCCTTTAGTCTTACTTCTTTGAGACAAATGTTCACAGTGAAATCGATTTCAATGAATTAAATGTTTTATCTTTATCCCCAAGTTTAGTAAATACCGTAATCTCTGTGTTCTCCAAATCTGCACCTAACTTAGTCATTTTTCTGCCAAAAATGGAAGACACTTTCTGATCATACAGCTTCCTGAATAGACTGTGCTACATCATTCTAGACTCTCACCTCTCTAAGTAGGTATTTATAGGCTATTTCTTCAGTAGTTATTTATTGCCACTCTACTCTTGTAAGGCAGATGTGGTGTAGGGTTTTATTTGTTTATGTAAAATCTAACACTGAAATGTTATGTGATTTTTAAACAGCCATAATAGTATATATAGCTCTTTCTGCCTAAACCAGTTTTTTTTTTCTGTAGGAAGACCATTGTCCTGGTTCACCACAGATGGTCCTGGATCAAGCCCTGTTGTCTTACCACAATTATTGCTAGTGTCCCTTTCTTTAAAAAACATCTGTTTTGGACAATAAATTATATATTCATTCTTCATTTCTGTCTACCTGGAGTATTCCTCATTCTTCATGCCATTACATTTCTGTGTTAAACCTTGCGTGGCAACTCTGGGTAGTGATAGTCATTCTCTCCTCTCAGATGTTTACTATTTTTATCAAACATCTTTAATAAAATCTACCCAATTGTATAGTATTATACAATAACAGAATTTGGAGGTTTTTGGGCATTGTTATATGCCCTGAAAATAGCCTGCTACATGGCAAGTGACACACACACACACACACACACACACACACACACACACTCTACACAGGAGAACTTGGAACAAAAGTCCTGGATGCAAATCCTGGCTCTGCCATCAAGAATTGTGGGCCATAAGGAGATAATTTACTGTAGTCATTAAGAATGGGCCCAGGAGTCAGACCCACCCACTGGTGCTGGGTAGGTGAATTTAGGAAGGTTACTTACCTTCTCTAAGCCGCCGATTGTAAAATGTAGATGGGCCTATCTTTAAATTTATGTAAAATTTGGAGATGATGCTAAATTCAGAGGAGTGTGCGTGCCGAGAAAGAATATCAATTAGGTAGAAATATAGACAGAAAATAGAATGTAATTTAGTACAGAGAAACAGTGACTGATATATATGAGAATAATTTTGTTTCAAAGTGAGTCAGGGTAGGCCCGGCCCAGTGGCTCATATCTGTAATCCCAGCACTTTGGGAGGCCGAGGCGGGGGGATCACTTGAGGTCAGAAGTTCGAGACCAGCCTGGCCAACATACTGAAACCCTGTCTCTACTAAAAATACAAAAATTAGCCAGGCGTGTTGGCGGGCACCTGTCATCCCAGCTACTTGGGAGTCTGAGGCAGGAGAATCGCATGAACCTGGGAGGTGGAGGTTGCAGTGAGCCTAGATTGCACCATTGTACTCCAGCCTGCGCAGCAAGAGAGAAAGTCCATCTCCAACAACACAAACAAACAAAAAGTGTCTCAGGGTAGAGAAGAAGCCTGCTGAAAGGCATTGAGAAAGAAAGTGGTGTTCTCCTTTGTAGTTGGGGAAAGGAAGAGGGGAGAGTAGGTTGCCTAGTCTAGCGCTACGTGTTTTGCTGATCTGAGCTACAGTTTAAACACTGGGTTTGTTGGTTATTGCTACATAGAAATTATATAGGCCAACTTTTTCTGAAGTTGAAGTCACTTGTGGGGAATGTTGCACTTTGTTTTTAGTTGCACTACAGATTACCTCTTTCAATAAAGAAGATATCACAGTGTGGGGTTAATAACAGTGTTCTCTGATGTATTTTATTATGCCAGTAAGAATAATAATACAAGATTATAAAGTAACCATTAATCCTTTCTTTTTACTTTATGTAGAAGAATTAACACACTATTCTTAAGTCTGATCTTAAAGATACTTTACAAAATAACCCCCCCCCCAAATTTTTGGATAGAACCAAAACAGCCTGGTTGGAGGCCAGAAAAATTGTTATTTTGTAAAATTAATAATTATTTCAAGTTTAATGATGCATATTTCCTACTTAATTGTCACAAAAATGACAAAGCAGAAAATGAACTGGAAAAATTAAAGAGGTGCCAGAAAAATTATTATGTATTTAGTTTGGGTAAGGAGATCAAAGCACCTGTGGGTCATGAAACATCAGAGAGGGCCAAATATCTGAGCAGGGGGTTGTGTTGGTGTATGGGTTGGGGTATCGTAGTGGTACCATTCAGAAGTGGCACTTATACACCCTGGCTTTCTGTGAACAGTAACCAAGGGTTTAGAACTGAAAATTAAGACGCATGCATTGTAAAAGATTTTTAAAAACTTTCTGAATATGAAAGGCAATATGAGGGATGTAATTTGGATATTCAAATATGGGTATTCTGGGGACATTTATCACGGAGATAGAAGGACAAAATAGTGGAATTTACATTTCATAGAAGATTCATAAAAAGCCAGAATGAATGGTTGCAGATTTTATGTGTTGGGCAGATTTCTATCCCAAAGAATAATTCTTGTGATATTTGATACAATTGTGATACAATGATTTAAAATCAGATTACATTTATTTATGAGAGTATTATTGATATTGCTGTTTTTAACAACATGCACTGGTGGGTCACTGTAGTCAAAGGAAAATACTAAATTCAATCCGTGATTGAAGCCATTAAGATCAAAGCTGACTTCCTGGAGTTTGACTGAAGTGTGTCTGCCATGCGGGTAAGAGCGCAGTCCTCATGGCTACTGCTCGCTGCCAGGTTGGACGGAGCATTGGTGGGTAAAGGGTGCAGCCTGGGGCTTGGGTTGGCCCAGAGCCTTAGGGTTGAAGCAAACCATGGAGAAGTTCTCTTTGACTAGTAAAAACATACTAACAAGTGTTTCATCTATTTCTAGTTTAACTTAATAACTTATGTTTACTTTCTTGTTTTACTTTACAGACTTTCTTTGTTTCCTTGCTTTTGAATAGAAATACAATTGGTAGAACATTTGTTAATGTAATGCTTTTGGATGTGTTTTTGTTGTATTTTTTTTAAACTTAATTTTTCTGATAGTTTTTCTTTCCCATGGCAAATGCAGGTTTTTTTTTCATTTTTATTTTGTAAATTTGAGTTTATACTAACCACTGCAGAGCAGCAGCAGATATAAAAGCATGATCTCCTGGGTGGGGGTGTGCTGCTTGGGAGAGCAAAGGGTGAGGAATGGAGCAGTTTGATGGAAGTTTCCAGCATGGGTGGAATTGAAGGAAGAAAGTACAAGTTTGTACAAACCTAGATGAATAAGATTCATAAGAAGAGGAAAGCTATTTTGGAAACTACCCACTATACAAAACCTATCCACTTAGATTTCTTGAAGCTTTGGGGGTAAAACCAAATGAAGGAAGTCCTCAACTTTGTTTGTTCCAACAATTTAAGTTGGTTGTAGTATGTTTTCCTGAGGAATGACATCCTGCCAGGCATTCCTTAGAATGGAACACAAGTCTAGATAAGTGGCAGGTGCCTGCAGTCCAGTCCTAAGGCTGCTGTAGAACCCCTCCCCGAGAGGCTGCGTAGCATGGAGGGGAAGGGTGCTGGCAGGGGCTTCAGATTTGACTCTATACTTGTTAGCTACCATAGCTTTGGTTATTTGTGGCATCTCAGTTTCATTATGGATAGAATGGAATAATGGCATCTTCTTCATCGGGTTATGTGTATAAACTGAGATACTCCATGGCAAGTTCTTAGTGTCATACCTGGGACATATGTCAATATTGTAAGTTGTTTGTAGGAGGCAGGGTCATGGCCGTGAGGCATTATCTTGTCCTTATGGAGAAATTAATTCTGACTTCCAGTTGAATTCCTGCATTTCCTCCAAAATTTTGGCCAGGCCTTTTCATATGCTAGTCCCCTTGCTTCTCACCATACTGTTTCTCATGACCTTTTTGTTCATCCTTGGATGTTCAGTTCAGCCACTTCCTTGGAGATATGAATCTCCCTTCGTTGGAACTAAACCTAGTGGGATTGACATGTCCTGTTCATGTGTTTCTCTCTTTCTCAAGATTATCATCCCCTTCAGGAAAGAACCTGTAGCTCCCAGCTCCCTAGTTTGGGACAGTCTGCCATATAAGAGACAGAATATTATGGTTGTTAAAGGCATGGTTTGGGAGCCAACAGTGTGGGTTAGAACCTTGCACCATCACTTACTGGCTATGTGAGGTAGGGCCAGTTGTTTTACCTGTCTGTGCCCCAGTGGCTTTGTCTGTAAATGGGAATTGTAACAGTACTTACCTGTATCAGGTAAGTACTGTTACAAGTCAAGGGCAGGTTAAATGAGGAGGAAGAGACTTAGGCTTGAAGAGGTGGGTAGGCAGGTAAATGTACCTCCTACATTTGTAGATAATTATCTTTCTGTAGGTTTGTTATGCTTGACTATTCCATGTTCTCCCAGTGATGATTTTCCAATTACTTATCAATTTACTCCTGGGGAATTAAAATGTAATGTTTTTTGACTGTATTTTTCTTTTCTTTTTTTTTTAACTGTTGGTACTTTTAAAATAAGTTGTGGTGAGGAGAGTTCAAATTACAGCATAACAGAATTCATTTAGTGAATTGATGTAACATTAGCATTAGTCTGCCATTAGCATATCATATAGCAGTATTATCCAGGTAAGGAAAAATATGCCATCTCAAAAAAATAAAAATAAAAAATAAAAGCGACAGACTTATGTGTCACCTTTTCCCTCATTTTGAATGTTGTACTCTAATGAGGAAAAACCCCAGCTCCCCTCCTTCTGGGGCAAGGCAAGCATGGCGATTCTTGTTCCCTGCTTCACAGGGAGCTGTTTTCTTGGCTGGTGTGCCGTTCTGAAGCTCCTCTGCCTTGGAAGGGCAGGCAGTCCATTTCTAGCCTAGATACCCTCCATGCTTGTGTTAGCAGCTGCTACGACCACCACTGCTATTCCAATTATTACCACTACTTCTATTCCACTGTTATTTTTACTGCTGACATTACTATTGCTAAACCACCACTATTTCCATTGATACCAAAATCCTGACTTTAGTTACTGTATTCTACTACTTCTTTATCATGTGTGCAGAAAGAAATGCTTATTTTCCATGCCCTAAGTAGAGAACCTTGCAAGCTTTCTTTGGAATGTAGATTGTGCCATATTTTTAAAAATTTTTATATTTTAAAAAATTGTTTAATTTTTTTTTGGGCCAGGCATGATGCTTATGCTTATAATCCCAGCACTTTGGGAGGTTAAGGTGGGAGGATCATTTGAACCTAGGAGTTCAAGACCAGACTGGGAAACATAGTGAGACCTCATCTCTACAAAAAAATAAAAAATAAATTTGTGAGGCATGGTGGTGCCTGCCTGTAGTCCCAGCTAGTCTAGAGGCTGAGGTGGGAGGATCACTTGAGCACATGAGATCAGATTGAGGCTGCAGTGAACTGAGATTGCACCACTGCACTCCAGCCTGGGTGACAGAGCAAGAAAGAACCTGTCTCAAAATAATAATAATAATAATAATAATAATAATAATAATAATAATAATAAATAATTTATTTTTAATTTTGGGGGTACATAGTAGGTGTATATATTTATGGGGTACATGAGCTATTTTGGTACAGGCATGTAGTGTGTAATAATCACATTATGGAAAATTAGGTATCTGTCCCCTCAAACATTTATCCTTTGTGATATAAACAACCCAATTGTACTCTTCTAGTTATTTTAATATGTACAGTTAAATTATTATTGACTATAGTCTGCCTGTTGTACAAATACTAGGTCTTATTCTTTTTAACTTTTTTTTTTTTTTTAAACTGGGCCCCATCTCTGGGTTGCTTTGAGCTAGCTGTCTTCTGGCTAACAAAATAGTTGAGTGCTACTTTCTTTCACCAAAGGCAGCGACATGCACCACTTTCATTAGCAGGTTAATTAACTTAGGAAAATAGATGATCCAGGCTAACTTTGACCTCTGCACTTCCAAGGTATTCAGTTTTTTAGTGCAAAGACTAAAAACACAAAAGGAGGAGTAAAGATGCTGCTTGTCTTCCTTTTGTATGTCCAGGGACTAATGCAGGTGTTGACAGAAAAACCTTTGAAACTGAGTTTCTAAGTCTAAGTTTCTGCCAAGGGAGAGGGGTGCAGTGCTTCCTCTTATAAGGACAAGAGCTGTTGAAAGCAGCAGAGGGCTTGTGTGTGTGTGTTATGGTGACTGCTGGCCAAGGGCCCCTGAAAATCAGTTGGCAGCTTCCCATTGAACACACACCAGAGGCAGGAAACACAGACTAAAGATCATGCTTAAGAATGTAATTGCCTAATAATTTAAAATCTTTATTGATATTATTTATAAATATTAATATAACTTCTAAAAATGTTCTTAGGTAAGTTTAAAAAGACACATTGCTACATTAACATTGAAATAAGAAGATATGATGACAATTTAATGTAAAATTTTACTGAGTTCCCTGACTACTAAGGAATCGTTGCATTTAATTTTTCCTAGAGATAAACTGCATCAGGATTCATTCATCAATTTATTTGAAAACATGTATGTGCTATAAAAGCTTTGGGATACAAAGACAATATAGATGTATTCTTTACTCTCAAATATTTACTATTTCTTAGGGCACTAGGTAGTCAGACAGATATATTATAGTTAAGCACAGTTATTACCATAACAGATGTGAGCCGGGTGCTGCAGAGCAAAGAGGGTGCATGTGTTTTTACAATTTAGCCCTGCATTTATGAGCTTAGCCATTTCAATATAATTACATATAACTCATGAAAGTACATTATCATTGAATACTGTGAAAAAAAACCTGTTAACTTTAAATGGTAAATTACTGTATTTTTGAACGAATGACTTAAAAAATTACCCATTAGAAATGAGTTGTGGCCTGGACAATAATCAAAACAGAAATATTGGCTTTTAAATTGCTGAGAATAGGGAGGTTTTGGTTTAGTGAACTGATGACAAGATTACAGCTAAGGAACAACCCTTCTCCATTTATGTCCTCTCTGCATGTCCTTTAGGGTCATCATTTACTGTGATATTAGCATCAGTATGAAAATAATTTGAAGCTTCATATTGTGCAGTCCTAAACTGATACCACATGTAGCATACTTATTTTGTAATTCAGGGGATATTTGAAGGTATGATTTCTTAGAATGAGGATGATGATGCCCCTTCTGTTGGGACCCACTGATACACGGGGGAAAAGGACAAATAAGGTCCTCATACAAATAAAAATTATTCTTTTATTAAATTTCTAGGAGATGTAAGATTTAGCTCACCTAATTTTAAAAGAGAGATATAGAGAAGATATGGTGAAAGGGACAGAAATAGGGAACTCCAGTAAGAGAGAAGCTTGATATTATTATATTCCTTACACCTCTTCCTCCTTACCAGTTAAAAAAAAGGATGATCTGAGACCTTTGGAGAGGTATAGAGGAGGAGTTATGATGAGAAGAGAAGGAGAATTCTTCTTGTACCTTAATGTTTGTAAATCGGTTTCATGGTCGTCTCTTCTGTGCCTTTCGAAACTGCCAATCATCTTATTATAATGGCCACTCATAATTTGAATTATGCCAGACCCTCAAATTCAGGGCCGATCTTTCAATAGCAAGTGTCCTACTGAGAACTTCTTTATTCTGAGATGCTGAGAGCTTCTTTCTTCAACACACAGGTTGGCTCTGGGTGGTCCTTGCCTCATCAAATATAAGTTAGAAAATCTACATTGTGTGAAGGTCTATTAGCACTCACCGACCTTCTCATGAAATGTCATTTCTCATTTGGGACTGAAATAACTCATCTCACAATAAGCTGTAGAGATTTTTCCTCTTCCATTGCCTCAGTTAACACCACTAGTCCATTATTCCTAGCAACTTTGGAGAAGTCGGTGTTTATTTTTTCAAATAAAAAGGGAAGCCATCCTGTTTGCATTCATATCTTTGAGAAAAGTCAAGATGGCTTTTACACATAGAGAAAAAGGAAACCATACACTTTTAAGGGGTAGAGGAAAAGGAGCGATTCAGAGTTTTGTAGTGAACTTTAGCAGTTTGACCTTCAAATGTTTCCTTTTTTAAGCGTCAATATTGCTAACATTAAAGTGGTAACAGGAGGCTGCACCTTGAAAAGCCACTCATGCCTTGTCTGTTGTGGTAGCTACCTGGTTATGAAACATTTTCTAATCCAGAGAGCTTTGGCCTGATTTATAATTTTAGGATGTTTTAGACCTTGATGGTGTTAAACTTTCTTCTTCGGAAGTTATGTGCATTGATATTGAGTGCTTTTCTACCATTTTCCTTCCTCACCTTGAAATAAGCGAGCTATTCATGCCCTTCTGAAGAGGGAGAGAGGCTACGCATGGTTGTTGAAGACACATGGCTTTGTTGTTAGAATACATCACTTTTCACTGGATATACCTGAGAGAGAGGCTAGGCAGCATCTAATTACTGGGAGTTTTTATATGTGAAGACAAGAATTAACTGACTCCCTGGCCTCCTTTTCACATACTATGTCCCCCAATTTGCTAAGTTACCATTTTCAGTGAATGCCCTGCTATCCTTCCAGTGCCCAAGGCAGAGAGAGGTACAGTTATAATTCTGAGGTCTTCTCTTTTCTCTCCCACTGCGTCCCCACACACAGTCAATCAATTACCAAATATTTCTTTTCCATGTAATCTCCTGGAGTTCTTCCCATCTCTCCTTCTACTATCCTAGTCTAAATCCCATTATTTCTTGTTAAATTATATGATAATGTCCTGGTTGTCCTTGTCTTGTCTTCCTATGCCACATCATCTCTCTAGTAAGAAGAAAAACATTTAATTCTATAAGCTGCAAAAATGGAGTTAATATAACATAGTAGTTAAGGATATGGGCCCTGTAGCCAGAATGTCTGGATTTGAATCCTGACTCCATTGCTTTGGCAAAAGCAGTTATGTAAATGTTGGTAAATCTCTAAGCCTCAGTATGTGTTTAAAAAAAAATTAAAACTTTTCTGATTGGATTGTTGTGAGGATTGAATGGCATAAACATTTAGCATAGAGCTTGACACATAGCAAGCACCGAAACATCACTACAACACCAATAATCATAAATGCAAAGCTGAGTATTCCGCTTTCCTTTGGTGCTTTTTTTCTTTTCTTTTTTTTTTTTGGAGACAGAATCTCACTTTGTTGCCCAGGCTGGAGTACAGTGGGGTGATCTCAGCTCACTGCAACCTCCATTTCCCAGGTTCAAGGGATTATCATGCCTCAGCCTCCCCAGTAACTGGGACCATAGGTGTGTGCCACCACAGCCAGCTAATCTTTGTATTTTTAGCAGAGATGAGGTTTTGCCATGTTGGCCAGGCTGGTCTCGAGCTCCTGACCTCAGGTGATCTGCCCACCTCGGCCTCCTGAAGTGTTGGGATTACAGACATGAGCCACCGCATCTGGCCTCCAGTTTTCTAATTAAGACCTTTTAACCTCATCACTTCTAGGACAAAGCCAAGATCTCTTTGGCATGCCATGGACATCCCAGCTCCCCTCTTCTGTTCCTTCTGTCAGCGCTCTTGTCCAGAGAAGTGTCCATCTCAACCGCTTCCACTGCCCCAAGTGGTCCATGCTTTCATGCACATTCTTTGCCGTTTGACTGGAGCATCCTCTCACTGCAAGTCTGGAAATTGCCTTTCTGCCTTCTAAACACCAACCACTCCTTCTCTTTATGTAGGTGACTCCCACTCATCCTTTCTTACCTCATGTATCAGTTATTCCAGAAAGCTGTCCCTGATACCCTAGGGCTCTCAAGGAGCATCTGAATGTATTCTTCATTGCACTTGCCAAACTATTGTGCAACCGTGGACTCACTTGTCTGTATGTTCTGTCTCACTATAATAAGCCTTTGAGTATAGAGTCTGGATCATGTTTGCTTTTCTTGTACCCAGCTCTTGGCATTTTTATTCAGTTAACATTTGTTTAATATATTAATAAATCACTACCCAATTGGGGATTTGTTTTATGGAGTTTCATTATGCCTAGTGCATAAGAGGCACCTCATGAATATTTGTTAAATGAGGATGCATGGCTATTTAAACTTTTGTGTATCCTTACTTGGCAACTCTTATATGGATACACTGAATATTTAAAGAAATTTAAAGTTATTTAATTCTAAGTCCTGAAATTCTAAATTCTAACAAATTGTTAAGTTAACTTATGTAAATAAGTTAGATGATTTAGCAAAGTTGTACAATTTTTTTTTTTGTCAAAAATAGGTATGGTTATGAAACAGTGAGCTGGATTTGCCCTTCTGACTCATAAAATATCTCTGAAGGCAGTATATTTGAAGCTGCTTCAGATGATTCAAAGGTCTAGCAGATAACTTCTAATCTCAAAGAATGAATAGACTGGGAAAAAAAAACACTCAAGTAATGTTGTGCCAAAACACCCTATCTCTAGCCATAAAATCATACATTCATCAGTTTTCTTCAGTTATCTCAATTTTCTTTTTGTCTGAACACAGTGAGATAAGAATTGGCTTATTATGCACTCCACAAAGAAAATTATAGAATTTTCTGAGAGGAACATTAGAGGCCAGTTAGGCCAATCCTGTGTATATGAGCCGTTCTGTTGCAAGTGATAGATTGCTTAAGCAAATGGTGGAGGTATTTGTTCTTCTCATGTAATTGGCTCTTGTATTCTAGGAGCAGCATGGTGGTTTCCAAATACTATTTATTGTATAAATGAAAATAAGACTTATTTGGAGAAATGGCTGATTCCAGAGCTACAGCAGTGAAAATGTGAGATGGACCTGGGACAACTTGATATAAGAAAGCAATGAAACAAATATTATTGTAATTATTAATTATGTTGAAAGGAAACATGAACCAATTTGAAGGGACTCCCAGTGGCCAAACGTGGGACAATATGAGCATTAAAAAAATAATGATGGCAATTGATTATTACAAAAATAGAAAAAAAGGGAGGTCAGGGGAAGCTTTTTTTCTGTTTTTTGACAAAAGAATACTAGCGTGTAAGTAAGAAAAGAATGATAGAGTTAGAAAAATCACTATTTTAAAGTCTCATATGGAATAATTAAAGCAAGGATGATCAAGGAATACTAATCCCATTGTGAAAAATTATTGGGAAATAGGACAGCCACATGGTACCACATCTTCACCCCTGGGTTACTTACTGCTATAAAGGGGGGACATGTACCTTTACAGTAGAGAGATGTGGCAGTAACCATCTTAACTAAATGATTGAGTTTAGCCTCAGTAATGATGGGACACCCTAACATTTTGTGTCTTCTGATGTGATGAAATATGAAGTTCACAGTATGAAGTACTTTTATCAGAACTGTTTAATTTGAATCTAGATTTAGCTTTCAGTTCACAGGAAATACAAGTGAAAGAATAATAGGTTTAATGATACCATGAAGAAACAACCAAACAAATGCAGAATTTAGGACATTTTGTAAGACAACCAGCCTGGACTCTTCAAAAAGTCAATGTCATTAAAGAAGAATAAAGGCAAAAGTATTTTTAGATTAAAAGATACTGACTAAAAGATAAAACTGCCAAATGCAGTGGGTAAAACATGACTGGATCCTAGTACTAAAAGTGGGCAATTGAGGAAATTTGAATATGGAATGGATATTAGATAATATGAAATTATTGTTAATTTTCTTAGATATAATGGTATTGTTGATCTGTAGGAAAAATGTCCTTATTCCTGGGAGTTGCAGGTAGAGTCAGAGTATTTAGGAGTCAAGTGTTATCTGTAATTCATTTTCAAATAGCTGAACATAATACATTTATAAATATATAAAGGGTATAGGTGCAAAAGCATATATGGCACTATGTTGCAATTGTTGCATGTAGATGGAATGTTCATTGTATTCTTTCAACTTTTGTTCTGAAATTCAAAAAAATAAAATAAATAAACTGGAAAAAAAATCAGTTTGGTAAAAGCAAAGCAAAAGTCCTGGAGTGGACTGCTGGCAGGCTGGCAGCCTCACTTCCTCTATTCCTCAGCTCTGTTCCTATATGTGCACAGAGCCACACACTTGTGAGCATTGAGTGAAGTGTGAGCCTAGTGAATAACACTAGGCTCGCACTAGACTCAGCACTAATTTAGTCAAATTTTGGAGCAGTGGGAAAATCTCCTGATAAATTTAACAGAGAAGCTTGAGGAAGAGCTTTGTCTTGTTCATTTTTAACATTTCCAGTATGTGTAATGTTGTAGGAATTCAAAAACTGAAAAATACATAAATAAAGGGGTGACCAAATTTGAGGATTGCCTGGAAAAGTGAGAGTATATAAGTGACTTTCAAATTCAGTAAATATTTGTGGAATTTAGTAGATCTGAACTAGTTAAGGGACAAGTAAGTTTAAGATGAATTCCAGAAGTAAGGGGAAGGCCTCTTTTTAAATCTTCTGTGCATGCAATATTTCATATTGTTTTAACTTTTAGTAATAATACTTGCTTTTCTGAATTAGTGATCAAAGCACTTTATGGAAGTCTTCTGCAGCTTTCCCTACAGGTGGGGAAAGTTTGAGTTTGGTGGGAAATCTTCAGAGCGTGGTGTGTGCAATTATGCTTTGTTCCTTGGTGAGCTATGAGTCAGGCACTTAATTATGTAAACGATATTGCAAGAGAGCAGTTGCATAATCCCCAAGAGAGTAATTATTATCTGTCTTGGTAGAATACAAGGCTTTTAATCTGTAAATAAGCAATTCTATGTGGAAGAGCTACATGCAGAGTGATTCTGTGTCTTAAAGGTCTCTTATGAATTTTTTAAAGTGAAAGCAGTAACTGCATGTGCTGATTACCTGCTGCCTTTGTGTTTCAAAGGGTTTATGATGCTTCCCTTGTGGTTTTAATCCCTCCTGAAATATTTAAGCCTCTGAGAATGATTCCCGTGAAGGGTAAAGTGTGTCTAAGTTAAGCCTATGAATAATCCAAATGTTTCAAATGTATTAATAGATGAAGTAAAAAAAGATATGCTTTCTGCAAATTAAAAAAACAAACCAAGATAAACAAAACAATGAATTAAGACATTGGCAACACTTTTAAAAAAGCAAAGATACAATAATTAGCTAATACGTTGCTCACTTTTTGATGGTTAGTAGGTTTTTTTCCATTTTTTTAAACTTTATTTTGGTATAACTTACATATAATAAAATGCATCTATTTAAAGTTTTCACATGTATATTTTTAAAAAAATATGTGCCACTGCAGTTAGGGTATGTGTGTATTTTGCTTAGGTGGATCTGAGTCTTTTAGACACTGAAAGCAAATTTTAACTTTTGTTTTTTTAAGTAGTCAGTAGTGTCTGCCTTCCCTCCTATCTCCCTGTTATAGTGTGGATGAGTTGACCATGCTCTTCTCTAAGGTCAGCTGCTGCACTTAAACACTTGATCTCTCCCCACTTCACCTAATCAGGACTACATTTGGGGAACTGTCCTTCTCTGCTTTGTTACCAGCTTTCCCCTCTCTATCAGGTTATTCCCATCAAAACAGAAACATGTCTCGACATCTTCTGCTGTTTCTTAAAACTCTTGACCATTTCTCTGTTCTCCTCTGCAGCAAAACTCAGGAGTCTATATTCTGTCTTCACTTCCTTTTCTCTCTTTGTCTCTGAAACCAACTCCAAGAGGCCTTTCATCCCACTCCTCCATATAGAGCCTGCTTTTGTCAAGGTACCCGTGACTTTCACACTGCCAGAATCCATGGGCAGTGTTGACCAATCCGTTGGTCTAAATCCTATTTGGCCGTCTGCAGCATCTGATATAGTTTTTCACTCCCTTCATCTAGAAACACATTCTTTACTTGGCTTCAGGAAAACCCTATCTCCTGGTTTTCCTACTTCCTAACTGGTCACTCTTACTAAGACTCCTTTGTGAGCTCCTCCTCTTTTCCTGATCCTTTAAAGTTTCCTGGCTCAGGTACTCTCCTCTTCTTTGCTCTATTCCACAGTCATTTCAGCCAGTGTCATGGTTAACAGTCCTCTGTACACTAAAGACTCCCATATTTCTGTCTGAAGTACACACCTATCCCCTGGACTCCACACTTATTGGATGACTAATAGGCCTCTCAGATTTAACACAGTCAAAAAGTGACCACACTCTGGTCTTCCCACAGTTGTCTCTCACCTGGGTTATTGCAAGAGCCTTATGTCTGGTTTTCCTGCCTCCACCCTAGCTCCGGCCCCTTTCACTCTATATTCAGCACAACAGGCCAAAAAGACCTTTTTAAACCATCAGATTATGTCCTCCTTTTGGCCAAGGCCTCCAATGACCTCCCATATCAGTCAGAGTAAAAACTGTCCCATAAAGATCTTCATCATCTGACCCCACTAGCTTTCCATCTTTCCTCCTTTTCCCCCCATTACTCACTCTGCCTTGCTGCACTGACCCCTTTCTCAGACACGCTCAGAGGCCTCTATGTCAGGGCCTTGGTATGGAACACTTCTTTAGTCTGGGCTGTTGTGTGCTACGGTTCTCCATGGCTTGCTCCTTTTGCACCTCAGATCTCTGCTCCACCATCCTCTTCTCTGTGAGACCTTCTCTAACCATCCTGTTTAAGTTCCCCCACCCAGCCCCACCAACTCTCCTGATCCCTCCTCCAGGTTTTATTTTTCTCTATTGCACTTACCACCATATGAAAGTAAAAATACTTGCTTATTTGTGTTTGTTGCTTTGTCTGTTTTGTCTGTCTTTTCATATTAGAATGTAAGTTTCATGAGGGTAGAAATTGCCTTGGTCACAGCTGTATCACCTGTGCCTGAGAGAGACTGCAGGCTCGGTCAGTACTGCTGAATGAGTAATTGAAAAGCAACTTCAAAGGCTGCTTGATGCTTTCTTGTCATTTTTAGAGCAGTCTTGAGTGTTACAGAGGGTGGATAGCATTCAGAATAATTAACTTTATGCTAACAGCTCTTTTCCATTCCTCAGTTTCTCTGTTTGAAGAACATAAGGACATTTCTCACGGCCTGTTGTGAGACGTTTGGAATGAGGAAAAGTGAACTTTTCGAGGCATTTGACTTGTTTGATGTTCGTGACTTTGGAAAGGTAATTATACTTCATTTTTAACACTACTTTTTAACTGGAAAGCATTTAAGCAAATTGTTTCAAATCTTGAAGTAGGGCATGTGACTTAAGTGGTTTATGTATCTGCATTATATAGTTAAATTTCACATGTAGATGGCTTAGCAAAACCAAAAACCAAAAAACAACAACAAAAAAGAAACCCCACACATACAACAACAACACCAAAAAATTAGCATCAACTTTCCAAATGAGATTAGAATTATTTTGTAATTAAAATAGTATACAGGGAGGGAATCTTTTCTCCAGAGATAATTTTTTTTCTGCTGGTCACCTCAGAGGTTAGGGTTACTATTATCTGCCCTTTAGGTTGATCACTGGGCACTCAGGCCTGAGGACCAGTATTCTTTTCCTCCAGTCTTCTCTATATCTGAAAGCTGCTAATTTTTGGAAGTTGAGAATGTTCTGTTGTCCTTTTCTCTATTTTGATACTTGGTTGGGTGACTCAGAGAAGACATGAATCACAAGTGTTCAAGATTGTTGAATAATTTCTGTTGCTTGAATTTCAGCAGATATTTGTTGGATTTCAAGGACATTTTTCACATGGAAATTGTTTTAATATTTACTGTTATCCGTATGCACACTAAACACATGTATAATAAGTGAAACAAATCATCATTTCAAAAATTATGGTCATTTATTATGAAGTGAGTGGACATAAACCTCTCACAAGTAACTAGCCATAAAAGAGTCAGGTAATTAAGGTGACAGGACTTTAGCTTATGCTGATGTAATTGCATTATGAAAATAAGCAAATAAGGAGGAAAAAACTAATGCTATTGAGAAGTTTGTCCTTATTCTTGTAATTCAGGTGCTAGTATCTTATCAAAAGGCTGTTTGAGAGTATACATTGTTTTAACTCTGAGATATAATATTTTCATTAGAAAATAACCAATGGATTGCTCTTTGCTAAACAGCATAAACTTGAGACAGAAATATAGGAAATTTGATGCTGAAATACAGCGCATATGGGGAAGCCACTCTACCTGGGGTGGGGGAAGGCCCTGGTTCTCTCTCCGGTCTTAACCCATGGTCATTTTGTGATCTAGAAGGCACCAGCCTTCTCAGGCATCAGGCTGCCTGCCAGCTTGGAAAGCTGTACAAAAGGAAGGGGGGATAAGAAGGTGGTTTCTAAGATTCCTTTAATCTCTGGAAAGCTGTGATTTAACTGTCTTGAGGTCCAAAAAGTGATGGAGGATAAAAGATGATAATTTGTACAACGAACTGAAAGCCAAGCCCCTAGTAAGGAAATGGGAGCGCATTTGTCTGTGGCCATGAATCACAGGTGAGGTGGACACTTCTCTAAGCTGTTGGCCCTGAAAAACACCAGAGATATTTCTGGTTTTATTTTTCTTTTATCCTTCCGCCTGTTCCTCCTGCACCTTTAAAAAAATCTTCCTTGATTTTTCTTTATTTTCACCCTCTCTTTTGGGGAAATGAAAAATGAAAATGAATTGGGGAAATGAAAAATGAAAAAGTCTTGACTTTTTAAAGCTCATTAAGGAACTATTTATTTTTCATTTAAGTTTGCAAGAAATGGTGTTGATAAATGTTGGAAAAATATATAAATACTTTAAAATGCATGGTGGTGTTCTACTGGAATGAGATTGCATGCTAGATTGATTAGACAACGGAAGCTTTGTAGGAGAGTTGATACTACAAAAAATTGAATGTGAAAGCATAAACTGTATGCTTCTCAAGGATAAATGTATTTTTGACTGCTTAAAATATTTTAGCAGTGGTAGATCTGAAACAGAATTAAACATGAGATTGTGGTTTAGAACTTGAACCTACATTATAGTCACTTACATTTTGCTACTGCCAAGATTGGAGTAGCTATCTCTTTAGAACTGTATGATCTAAAGAAAACACTGAAAGTTAAAGAATTTGTGATATAGCTTCATAATTTACCAGTACTAATAGTATTAAGCATTATATACTCTAAGTAAAAACTGCCAATACCACCAGTAGTTGAACACTTAAAATATGCAGTCTGTTCAGTCTTCATGTATAATTTGTAAAATTGTAACAACGTTAAGAGGTTAGGTACTACATTTTTCTCTTCTGCATCCCAAATCACATATCTATTTGAGATTGAAGCAGCAGTTTGAACTCAGGTCTAGCTGATTGTCCACTACTGTACCATAGTGCAAACATTCACATAGCACATAACGTGTACTTTGCATATATTGAGGGAATCAGCGCATCAATCCCAACATGTGGATACTATTATTTTTCCCATTTATAGGTCCTAGCTTGTGGGTAATGGAACTGAAATAATTCTTGTAGTTTTAAGTTGAAAAAATGTGAATAGTGTTAATTCAGAAACAAAATAATTTCTGATGTCGTGAATATATACATTTTAACAGGATGTGGATAGGTTGTTTTCCTCCATTCCGTAGGATTTAATTAAATGTTCTGTTAACTTAAAATGAATAATATCTATGTGTGCTCTCCTGTCTGCCTCATTTCCTACATTGGTGAATCTGGAATTCATGTGTATTTGGCATCTTTTTGCCAAAGAATGTATTAATTATGATAGCAGCACCTAGTGTTTTTATAGCCTTTGAAGTTTTCAGAGTGCTTAATATTACTGACTTCATTTGATTGTCATAATACTCTTGTGAAGACATTCTTCAGATGAGGAAGCTAAGACATGGGGAGGTGCTTGGATAGTGATTCTAGGGTCTCCTTGCTTGGGAAGAGGAACAAGATCTGGAGCTCAGGCCTCTGGCTTCTCAGTCCTGTTTTTCTTGTCCACTGTCTGTGTTTTGGGTCTCACTGCTCTGTGGATGGTCAGGGAAAAGGATGAACTTATAGAAGAAAATTAAAGGAATTTATAAAATTAAAAAACACAGGTGATGTGTTACTTGGCATCTACTTATACTTTAGAAAGAAAGGAAAGATTTAGGATACTGCATGAGTCTGCAGCCCAGTGGTGGTTAAAGTTGTTTACTCTAAATAGGCATGTGATTCACTGATTGTACACATGCAGTCAATTCTTAGCTATACTCTCTTACCCCTTTTCTCATTGTGGTGTTTTCTGCTCACTAAACTTTGTCCAAGCTCTCCCTCTGTTTGGGGTTTAGGAGATTTATTTTGAATCTTAGGCTTGATATGGATGTGTTTTCTTTTGGAAAATCCTGGAAACAGTGTTAACACAAATGATAATTTGTATTTTGTGAGATGGTGAAGAGCATCTATTTGGGCTTCTCTAGAAGGGCTTATGATAATTCTGCCTTTCAGTGCTACCTTTATTCTTAGAATTGAGCTCTTTCCTCAGTAGTAATTCACTTCAAACTCCACCAACATCAACAAAAATTAGAACAGTTTGAAACGCTTTCTACACTTTTTTTTTTAATCACACAGGAAAGAGGAGTGAGTTTAGTAACTTGAACTCATTTAAGAGTCAGCAGAGGCCTTCAGGTTAGATATGACTCTCACTCTTCAGGGTTGTTAAATACTGAAAAAAGCTCCTGAAAGAGGGAGATTTCTTTTCTAAGACTGCTGAGGTCTGGTGGGGGGAGAGGGGGGGAATGGGGGACGTTGAGGGTTTATGTTTTGAAAAACCATTTACTTTCTTACTTTTGAAAAAAGATGAATCTCTTTCTGGCTTTCTGATAATAAAAATAAGTAAAATCTTGTTAGTTAACTTCTTTGCTTAAGAAATGTAATTAAAATGTTTCCCCTGGCATAATATTAGAAATTACTATATTATTTTTTGACATCATGACAGTATCTGTAACTTTGTTCGTTTCCGTACTGTATGTAAAGAATTTTCCATAACTGTTTCAATCGTCAGTTTATGATTAACTCACTCTTTGGAAATGTTTCCTACTGAGCTGTCTGTTGGCACATTGACAGTGCAGAAGCACATGGGATTTTTTCTTTAATGAGACAATTTCTAGAGCGTAATAGAAGTCAGGCTGCCACTGTCCAGATGAGTGACTAAAGTCATCTCCTTACCCTGCCTCTGGGTGAGTGTGAAGGGCCTGCTTCCCATGACACACAGTGTAAAGTGATATGTTTTCTTAAAGAGTATCCATACCTGGCCAGTGGTAGGTCCAGTTGATTTGAATTGCAATAGGATAGTTTCATCATGTTCAGGTTCAGGACAGGCACCGTCAAAAGGAATTCAGAGCATCAGCTTAGGGGTGAGTCAGGGATACAGGTAAGAACATTATTGGGAGAGAGAGAGAGAAAGAGTTGTATTTTAGTTAAGAATTAAACTAAAGAGCTTCTTCACAGCAAAATGAACAGTCAGCAGAGAAAACAGACAACCCACAGAGTAGGAGAAATTCTTCACAATCTATACACCAAACAAAGGACTAATATCAAGAATCTACAAGGAACTCAAATTAGCAAGAAAAATAAAACAAACAGTCCCATCAAAAAGTGGGCTAAGGACATGAATAGACAATTCTCAAAAGAAGACATACAAATGGCCAACAAACATATGAAAAAATGTTCAATATCACTAATGATCAGGGAAATGCAAATCAAAACCACAATGGAATACCACCTTACTCCTGCAAGAATGGCCATAATTAAGAAACCAAAAAATAATAAATGTTGACATGGATGCAGTGATCAGGGAACACTTCTACGCTGCTGGTGGGAATGTAAACTAGTACAACCACTATAGAAAACAGTGTGGAAATTCCTTAAAGAACTAAATGTAGAACTACCATTTGATCCAGCAGTCCCACTACTGGGTATCTACCCAGAGGAAAATAAGTTATTATACGAAAAAGATACTTGCACACCCATGTTTATAGCAGCACAATTCACAATTGCAAAAATGTGGAATCAGCCCAAATGCCCGTCAATCAATGTGGATAAAGAAATTGTATATATGACGGAATACTACTCAGCCATACAAAGGAATGAATTAATGGCATTTGCAGCAACCTGGATGGAACTGGAGACTATTATTCTAAGTGAAGTAACTCAAGAAGGGAAAATCAAACATTGTGTGTTCTCACTCATATGTGGGAGCTAAGCTATGAGGATGCAAATGAATAAGAATGATACAGTGGACTTGGGACTCAGGGGAAAGTGTGAAAAGGAGGTGAGGGATAAAAGACTGCAAATTGGGTTTAGTGTATACTGCTCGGGTGATTGGTGCACCAAAATCTCAGATCACCACTAAATAACTTACTCATGTAACCAAATACCACCTGTTCCCACAGAACCTATGTAAATAAAAAATTGAAAAACAAAACAATACATGGTTTCTGAGTTAGATCTTGGTTTGGATTCCAGTTAAGCTCCCTATTAGTATACAGTCTTGGGCAAGTAACTTGACTTCTTTGAGCTTCAGTTTCCTCATCCATGTATTGAGTTTAGGTGAGTATTAAATGAAATTGTGTATGTCAAGTGCTTAACAGAGTGTCAAGGTCCAAGGTAAGTACTCTTATTGTTAATGTTATTATCACTATTATTATTTTTAATGATTGTGGGATTCATTGGTAAACATAGGTGTCGAATTTTGAATTAAGTGCAAGAGAACTAATGATATTAAAAGGGTGAGATAAGAAATAAAATTCATTCTTTCTAATGTTGTATAGCACTATTTTATTTTATTTTGCACAGCCATCGTTTCTCTTTCCTTCTGTGGCCTTGGATCTCCTTTGAGAAACCACACTTTCCTCTTTCTTAATTACAGAGTTTGGATGGTTTCATCAATTATATCCCATGCCTTTGACCACATAGTGATGGTTCAGGAATGGGGTTAGTCACTCAGTTGGGACCAATAAGACATTTGCAAGGGTAGTTTTATTTTTCTCTCTTCCTGATACAGAAGAGTGTAGATGTGAGTCTACACAAGGAGCTATAACCATCTGGGTACCACATGGAGTTTCAAAATGGACCCAGTTCAGAGGGAATAGAGTTGAAGATGAACCTAGTGACACCCTGTGAAGTGGGAATCAGTGCTGTGCCCAAAGCTAAATGTATATCTATAGGTTTTTCCATGAACCAATACATTCCTCCTTTTCTCTTTTTTGAGCCAGTTTTCACTAGTTCTTTCAACCAAGAGTAAGAGAAATCTAAGTGATTCACTGTGTTTCACCAGTTAAATGATTTCAGGTTTGTAGATGTGTTAATCTTTATTACCGAAGTTCCAAGCAATTTGGAGACCATTTGTTAAGCCTCTACATCTCCTATCGTATATGCAAGAGGAGATATAAAGACAAAGTCCCAGAACCTATTTTGCAGCATGTAAATAATAAAATAGAAGTACAGTCCCAGCTTCATAGTCAATGCTTTCTTTTCCTTGCCAGTGATTCCAGAAATATCATCGATCTTGAGGTTTAGAAGGTCACCACAGGCATCCCGACAACCTACTTGAGAGCCTGCAATGGTTTACTACTACCTGTCTATCTTTGTGAAATTCTGCCTGGCTTTCCCTGTCACAAGAAAACCCTCCCAAGCAAAGGCTTCTGAGCCTTTCTTGGCTATAGGTGGCCCCAGGGACCTCACCTTGGCATGGCTTGAAAGAGCCTTATTATCTAGTGCATACACGTTAATCAACACCTGAAAACATTTTTTCATATATACATATGTAAACAGGAAGAATTATTTTAGGGTGTAAATCTTTTTAGGTACTTGTTTGACATAAAACACGTTTGATGTTTCTCTCTTGAAGTATTTCCCACTCAAATTATCCAGAAATCTTTGGGCTTTATGTCATCCATGGGACTTAAATCAGCCTTGCTTCAAAGCCCCACAGGAGCTTGATCTCTCTGTCTGCTAGTGTGGTGCTATTGCACAAGACTGGTTCTGTGTGGTTCCTGGGACAGCTTTAGTGCTCTGATGCTAGCAATGCCCTTGTATTTTCAGCCCTTCTCAACCCCATACTACCCACACAAGTTTCCTTCATCCCTATAGCATTTTAGCTTTTGCATTGAGCCTGGCCAGGCCATATCTCCCTAACTTTGTGATGAATTCTTTTCAGGGGCTCCTTGTATTCTGTCAGCAAGCCTGGGTCACATCCTCCTCATTCAGCCCTTACAGGGTACCAACTTCCAGTCTCAGAGCGGCATTTGGGATCCTGAGTATTTTTCCTCCCTCAAGGGTCTGGAATTTTCCCACAAATTAGCCAGCTTCCAGCCTAGAGCTGGCTCAGCCTGGCAAGGAGTACTGTCAGGAGTCAACCTCCACTCACCAAGGCCGCGTTTGCTTTGTCCCCCTGAGCAGTAGGAGGCTTGCCTGTAATTACATAACTAAGGGGGAGCTCTGCAGTGATTCCTCCCTGAACAAAGATAGCTTGTTCCAAGGCTACCTTTTTTTAGGCAAAGGAGGAGGGAACAGCTTCTAGCCTTCCCTAATGTATGTGTCTGGCTGGCTGTTAACACAATTCCCAGATCATTAGCACTATTGCCCTCCTTTGTTTTTGGATGGAGTTGACCTGTTTAACAACCTTCTCATCTTTTTCCCTTTTGTAGGGGTATTTAATGCTTGGCAGATTTTTCCATTCCTACCTCCTCTTATAGAACTTTAGTACCCGAGCCATGCAAACACATTTTTTACACCTTAGTGATTATTCAAGTCCAGTTTTTAGTCTGCTCCTAATTATTTTTGAGTCAGTTCAATAAACTCTTTACTCTTCTGTAAACTAAAGACTGTTGAAAACTTCTGGAATAATATTTCCCAAATAACTTTGCAAAGAATCCCATTGTCCTAAGAAATGTTAATAGGAAGACTGGAGAAAAATATTCTTGTTCCAATGAGTTTGGTAAACACTGCATATTGTATTTATGAGATATAGCATAGTAAAGGAACTGAAAAGTCCTGCAGTGAGGAAAACAAACTTTTGTTTACTCCAGAATTTCTCATATTTGCACATGATATTAGGTATTTAGATATCATGCTATTTAGGTATCACACAATTGCTTCAAACTCATTATGTATAAAACTGAAGTACTTTTTTTTTTCCTTTGGAGACATTTCTATTTTGGTAATGTTTCTTGTTTTGTTCACCCTGCCAGGAGCTAAATGGTTACAAATGCCCTATTTTTTTTTTTTTTTTTTTTTTTTTTGAGATGGAGTCTCGCTCTTTTGCCCAGGCTGGAGTACAGTGACACAATCTCGGCTCAATGCAGCCTCCACCTTCCAGGTTCAAGTGATTCTCCTGCCTCAGCCTCCCGAGTAGCTGGGGCTGCAAGTGTGCACCATCATGCCTGGGTAATTTTTTGTATTTTTTAGTAGAGATGGGGTTTCGCCATGTTGGCCCAGCTGGTCTTGCTTGAACTCCTGACCTCAGGTGATCCACCCGCCTCTCCCTCCCAAACTGCTGGGATTATAGGCATGAGACACCATGCCAAGCCAAAATGCCTTTTCTTTAACCCTCCTTGCTTTTGCCTTTAGTTGAGGTACTCATCACTGGGATTATTGAAATTGTCTTCTAGGTGTTTTCTTGCCATCAGTTTTGAATCGTTTCAAGCTCATCTTCAACATAATCTTCCAAAAATGTAGATCTGATCATTTTACTCATGGGTTTATCACCAGGGGAAGGTATCTGAGTTACCAGTGGCGAATCTGTACAGGTCTACAGGAATCTCAATTCTTGCCTCCTCAGAAGAAAGAATTCGACTGAGGGGCATAAGGCAGAA
The DNA here is from genome assembly GCF_000001405.40 of Homo sapiens. Taxonomy (NCBI): domain Eukaryota; kingdom Metazoa; phylum Chordata; class Mammalia; order Primates; family Hominidae; genus Homo; species Homo sapiens. Next base: position 107,866,249 of record NC_000001.11, on the reverse strand, counting down.
AAAGAGACCGAGGCAAATTTCAGAGCAGGAGTGGAAGTTTATTTTAAAAGCCTTTAGAACAGGAAAGAAAGGAAAGTATGCTTGGAAGAGACCCAAGCAGACACTGAGGTCAAGTGCAGTGTTTAACCTTGATCCTAGGACTTTAGAAGCTGGCCCCTTTCCCATGATTCTTCCTTTAGGGTGGGTTGCCTGCAAGCCCAGTACCCTCCTTATCCTTGGGAAGTGAGCACACACAGTGTGTTTAGTATGTTGTATGCATGCCTATCTGAGACTTTTTCCCTTTTTCTGGTGGAGTGCCCCTGGAAACTCATACTCTGCCATTTTGTCTCTTACTGTGTACTCCCAGGAAATTGCTTATCTCTGGTGCCTGCATTCAGTTAACACTTTAGTGCAACAGGTGTGGACCATCAGGAAGTGGCTTTTCCCTTGCATCAGCTGCCAAGTTATCACTTTTAGAGAGGCAGTGTGATAATTGCCAAACCTTCACCTGACAGTCCTAGTGGCTGGGAGAACCCTTTCCTGTCCACTCTTGCCTATCTAACTAGCTGTAACAGGTTTAAAACTTGATAGTGGATCCCTGTTGTTTATAAGAGAATAACATCTAAACTCTTTTACAAGCCGCACAAGATTCTTCATGATCAGGCCTCTGCCTACCTTTCTAACCTTATTTCTCACTTTCCTACTCCCATAAACTCCCTCGCTTAAGTCCTTCCAAATTATAAATCATCATGACTCACCAGATTAATATTGATTAATATTGTTTCCTTTGCCTGGAATGCCTTTTCTTTTCATTCCCTTTAGTCCCTTGTCTGCGGTGACTCAATTCAAGATCACATACACTCATTACACTCATACACACACTGCTTAAAATCTGAAATTATGTGCTTTATCCAGAGCTCTGGACTTAGTTGGTTCTTGGATATATTGAGTCTTCTGGGCCTGGCTTTGCTACTTGTCTCTGCACATTCCCTCAGTTTCAACTGGGACCTTCCCCCTGCTTCTCTGCCCCACAGAAATTGGACCTTGACACATTACATTGGCTCTTTTCTTCAGCTCATCCTGAGACTTTGAGATCAAGTAAAACTGACTTTCACCCTACCCTGCCCCCAGCCACCTGTGTGCAGGAAAGTTGCTCAGCCTCTCAGAGCCTTCATGTTTTGATCTGTAAAATGGCCCTGATGAGGATCCCTACTGCATGGAATTGTGGTGAAGAGTGTGAATTGAATTCTGAGGGAAAAGCAACCAGTGCAGTGTGGGGCAGGGGGTAAGGCTCAGCCAGAGGTAACTCCTGAGTAATTCACCCATCATTTACTCATTGGGAAGTATTTGTATGCCATGTGCTCGTTTATCAGGGTGGAGGAGCAGGTAGTCAAGACCCCCTGCTCTCAAGGCACTGTCACTGTCCATCACTATCCAAGTTAAGGAAACAAATTGGTAAAGCATAAACAAACAAGATAATTACAACCAGTGATAAGTGCCACTGAGGAAAGAAACAGAGAACAATGATGAGCAGCTGGAGGAAGCCACTTTAGACAGACTGGGAAGGAAACCCATTTGAAATAGTGACAGCCCAGTGAGAAGGGGATGCTAGTACTCACACATTTACTTATTTATTTATTATTTTTTGAGACAGGGTTTCACCCTCCATGCCTAGGCTGGAGTGCAGTGGTGCAGTCTTGGCTCACTGCAACCTCCTTCTCTCTGACTGAAGCAATCCTTCCACCTCAGCCTCCCGAGTAGCTGGGACTACAGGTGCATGCCACCACAGCCAGCTAATTTTTGCATTTTTTTGTAGAGACAGGGTTTTGCCATGTTGCCCAGACTGGCCTCAAACTCTTGAGCTCAAGTGATCCACCCACCTCAGCCTCCCAAAGTGCTTGGATTATAGGCATGAGCCACCACGACTGGCCCTTGCCCTCTTATTTAAATTAAGTTTTATATAAGTTATAAAGCACATTTTAACTAGATTCTATCCTACCTCTTTCAGTAGATCCCCTTGGGCTACTCCTTCAACTTGGCCTCAGTTTGTTCAACTCTGATATTCTCCTGATTCTAAAATGCCACTTATTGGTAGATGTAATATGTATACATTGCATTTTGTAAAGTAATGTTTTGCTTTGATGATTCTTAGTTGTGTAATCCTCTCTGAAAACATCAAGGCTTAGGCTCTCTCATACCTTTTGTTTATATATAAGCTCTTCTGCAGAGGCTTTTAAACCTGGGTATACTTCATTTTTGGTAATATTGACATTCCCTTAAAATTTTAAACTTTTAGAGAGAAAACTTGACTGTACATACACTTCTGGAGAGAGAAAGGCATTATAAAGAGCTAAAAGCATGATAAAGATATCACCTAGATTTTACGTCTGCATTTGGCATAGCTACTGAGAATGTTTCCAAAACTGGAAATCTGGTTTGAGAACTGAAATCAAACTTCTCTTTGCTGTTTCAAGGATTCCTCTATAGATCAAACAGTGAATCTTTCGGGTAGTTTTTTAAAAAAACTCTATTTCCTTCCTAATATACATGTAAATATGCACACAGAGGTTTACAGACATACCAAGATATACGTATCTATATACGTAAGTAGAGGGAAAGTTATTTAGGAAGGTGCCGAAGTGGTAATCCACATGGAATTTTTGGATTTCGCTGATAGTCCTCACAGCTTGAGTGTAAGATGCAACAGGGGCAAGCTGGATCTTGAGGTCCAGCAGAGATTGGGGCCAGAGTATGAGGGCCCTTGAGATCTTGCAGGGTCTGCACTGATTCTGACAAAGGGCCAGTGAGTACTTTTTAACAGATAGACAGGAGATGACCATAGACAGGAGATGACCTGCTAAGTGCTTGAGCTAAGCATTCTGTCAGTGGGGGAGGCTGTAGTGGATAATTGTAATGCCAGTGGTAGGAGGAGCAGACTTGAAACTGAGGCAGTCTGGTTAAAAAATGATGCAGACCTTTACTAGAGCAACTGTAAAAGAGGCCCAGAGTTTGAGAGATTTGGGATGTTTAAGAATTGAAGTGAGTGGTCAGAGGATGAGAAGAGAGAATAGTGAGCCTTGGAAACCTGGCGAGGGGAAAAGTAGGGTTTATTGCAAGGGAAATAATGGAGCAAGAGCAAATATAACTTACAGTGGGTTTCAAATTAATGTAGGAGAATTCTAATGGCATTTACCCTTAATTTATGTATATTTTACAACCGAGTAGATATGTTTTATTTTTCTATGATTTTTGCTATATTGTGCCATCCTAAATTTTCCCTTTGTTCCTTTTTTTGATGTTCAGTTGGTTGCTTGGTTGGGTTTTTTTGGTATTTACTGATTATCTAGTGGAAGCTTGGTCCCTGGTAGAACACTTAGAAATTTGGGGTTTATCATTTCTATTAAAAATGGAAAATATTTTCTTTCTGTGTAATAGGAAACCTTCTAGGAATATTTGTCTGTATTTCCAAGGCTATGGCACATATATGCTCACTAATGCACGTATTCTAATTCCTAGCCTTAGTTGTTGGGCCGTATCCTATCTGAGCTGTGTTCAGAAATCCTTGACCTTGTCACATTGGCTTAAGGGTAAGATGTAGTTTATCCAAGTTACATATGGAGGTCATTGAGTCTTCATTTGCTTACAATAAATTGTAAATATGATGGATGAGAAATATGTAAGGAGAATTGGTTAATTCCAGTGGGTGATATATTAATAGTCAATTTACTTGTCTACACAAACAACAGTGAGGCAGAACTCTTGGCCTTTGACTGTTGTGCCTGTGTATTTCCTATCAACAAGATCTCCTAGAAAAGGAGGATGGCACTTTCCATGTTTATTTTCTGTGTCTTCTTTTTTTTAATGGCTTATGCACATCTGTAGGAATAAAGGAGGCTGGTGTTTGCTTCCCATGCTCAGTGAGAGGGGTAGTGTGGGGGTGGAACTGGCTGAATGCTCTCATTTGCACAGGATTAGGCAGAGGAAGTGTGCACCAGTAGTGGTATGAGCACCAAACAACTACAGGAAACAATGCTTGGCAGTCACTGCAGCTGTGTGGAGTCCGGCTGCGCAGGCTTCCTCTGGATAGAGTTTAGTTTCTGAGTCACTTGTTTTCCACTTAAAGCACCTGTGTCTTTGGAGAACTCCATTGAAGAAATATTAGTTGAATATGGGCCTTTCTCTGGTTTGCCTCAATGCCAATTATAATGCTCTTTGGACATGAAAAGTTCTGCTAAATCAACATAGTGTCTGAGGACCAGTGGTGTCAGGACAGGCCAGTGCGTAGAGCAGTCAGAAATCATTAGGTTAGAAAAATGAATGGTTTTTAAATCTTTCAGAACACTCCCCACTGAAGTATGTATGCATGTGTATACACAATTAATTTTGCACAGAGATGTGCTTGGTGACCTTAGGTATAGGCTTTACCTTGCTACTCTCATTCTTTGTTTCTGTGTAGAGGAAATGAAGGATGCTGCTTGCTGCTTCTGAGTAAGCAGGTGCCTTATAGATTGTGTGCTGAATCATTTACACTCTTTGAGTTGTCTTTTAAAGTAGCTGCATATTTATAATTCATCTTAGACAAGATGATCAATCTAGAATGGTTATATTCGGATATGGGTGGACACTGGACACTATTTTTATTGGTCAGTCTAGGTCAAATTTTAATGATGATTGATAGCATTGGATATGGATTGGGTAGAGTAATAAAAACATACATAGAAGGCTAGATTCATGTTAGAATTAGCTATGCATCTGCTCCTTATATCTATAAAGTTTAACAAGGATTCTTTACCAAAATCACTGCTGATTTTTCCTAATAGCCTTAGGCTTTTGGGAAGAAGCAGCAGAAAAATTAGAATTTATTGGCTGCCAGATGATAAAGTACAGTTTCTTGGGGAGATAGCAATTTAGAATTTTAGCAAAGTTACTATGAAGTATAATGATGAAAGGGAGATGATATTAATTAGCGTTGGCTTTTACAAAAAAATTGTTGAAGTATTTTTAGCTTTGTTTACTTGGAATTTGGTCAGTTGACTGCACCCAAGATTCTCCAAATACATAGACGTGTAGAAAGATAAGCAATCAAAAGCATATATTCCTTTTTTTCTATACTGTTTTGGATTCATGGTTGGAATCCCTTCTGCAGTATTTGAACAATTCCTAGAGATGTAACAGAAATTTCTTAAGTAGCAACAGTTCCAATTATGGATCCAGTTATGGATAATGAATTATCTAGAGATTCATCACTAATAATAAAGCATAATCTATCTTTCTAAATTTTCTTCCATTGGTTTTAGAGCAGCACAGAATTAATTTCTACACCTTCTGTAGGACAATCGTTCAAATATTTGAAGATTGTTATGTTTCTGTAAGTCTTTTCTTCTTTGTTGTCTTCTTTTTTTGTAAAAGATAGGGTCTCACTGTGTTGCCCAGGCTGGACTCAAAGTCCTGGGCACAAGCAGTCCTTGTGCCTCAGCCTCCTGAGTAGCCGGGACTGCAAGTGCACGCCACTGTGCTTGGCTTCTCTTCTTAAAATGAAATAAACGTCGTCTCCTCAGTTCTTTCTTTTTTGATTATTTCTTTCTAACTTCTGTGGGTAATTTGAAATGTCTGATTAGGATAACACATATGAAACAGCACAGTTAAAGGTTAAGAAATTTAAAATCGAAGGAGAGAATAGAAGCCATTTAAAGAAAGGGACACTATCATCATACCAAGTGGTTTGAGGATTACAGTGATCTCTCAGCAGCCCTGAAGTCAAGTAAAAAAGAAACCCAATAGGTTAATACAGAAATGAGTTCATGAACTAGCTTAAAGCCTTTGTTCCCAGTGGTAATTTGGAAAATGCTAAATTAAAAGCCCAAGAACTTAAATTATTATAGAGATAACCAAACATATAAAACCTAGAAAACTACTACAATCACCGCTCATATATCTACTATTGAAAAATTATCATTTCTGTCTCTACAAAAAAATACAAAAATTAGCCAGGTGTGGTGCCATGCATGTGTAGTCCCAGGTACTTGGAAGATTGAGGTAGGAGGATGGCTTGAGTCAAGAATGTGGAGGCTGCAGTGAGTCGAGATCATGCCACTGCATTCTCGCCTGGGTGATAGAGTGAGACTCCCTGTCAAAAACAAAAACTAACATTTGACCATATTTGATTCATCTACTATCTATTATAAATACTTATATACCGCTATTTTTGCTGAACAATTTAAAAGTAAATATAGATAGGCATCATGACATTTGTCCCCTAAATACTTCAAATGGTACAGCCGTCAAAATAAGGATATTTTTCTATATAACCATAATATCTTTATCACATATAACAAAGTGAATAATACTTCCCTGGTATTATTTAATATCCAGATATTTAAAATATCAAATTTTACTAGTTTTCTCCACAATGGATTTTATAGCTAGTTTCTTTGAATTTGACATGATTGAATAAAGGTTCAGACATTACTTTTGGTTGTCATGTCTTCATGAGTCTAAGAAAAATGTTTTCTTTAGCAGTTTTATAAATATCTTGATTTGAATTTAATTTTCTGATGATCTACCAAAGGTGATTATCATTTTTGATGTATTTATATTGAATTTATACTGCTCCTCTTTGAGTTTGAATAAAGCTTTAGTTTTCTGTAATTTAGGGGATTTTTAAAAGCCTTGGCTTGCATTCAGTGTGGAAGGGACTCAGTAAATATTTTTGTTAAGATTTAAATAAGTAGTATAATGTTAAACAGTTTACAAGTATTTTAGGACTATTATCAGCTAAGCACTAAATCAGTCATCGAGAATTATTCCATGTTTTTATGCAGAGTTTAAATACAAGGAATGTACTCTTTTAGATAAATAGATCCTAAAGCATGTTTTCTAATCAAGAAATGTCTCAAGGGGCTAGGTGTGCTGGCTCAACGTCTATAATCTTAGCACTTTGGGAAACAGAGGGTGGAGAATCACTGGAGCCCCAGGAGTTCAAGACCAGCCTGGGTAACATAGTGAGGTTTCATCTCTACAAAAAATAAAATAATGAACTGGGCTTGGTGGTGTGCACCAGTAGTCCCAGCTATTCAGGAGGCTGAGGTGGGAGGAGGTCAAGGTTGCAGTGAGCTGTGATGGTGCCACTCTACTCCAGCCTGAGTGACACAACAAGACTCTGTCTCCAAAAACCAAAAAATGAAAAAAAAAAAAAAACTCCTCAAGAATCTTTCAGAGTTTTGGAGTCTTAGTTGCTTGAATGCTAAGATTTTTATCTGGCTAAACAACAACAAAAAAGAGAAAACAAAAACACCCAAACCCCAAATTATTTAGACAGTATTTAAGCCATTTACACTTTGTCAAAAATGTTAGAATTCTGATTTATCCCTGCCTAAAACAACTGTATAGTTTCAAGAACATTTGAAGAATGAGATGTCATATTCTTGCCCATGGGATTTCATTTCTATGGAGCATTTACCCAAATATTTGCTGTGACTCACACTTCCAGGATACTCTCATCTAGAGCATCAGTCCCCAACCTTTTAGGTACCAGGGACTGGTTTCATGGAAGAAAATTTTTCCATGGACCGAGTACTGGGGGAATGGTTTGGGGGTGAAACCGTTCCACTTCAGATCATCAGACATTAGATTCTTACAAGGAGTGCACAACCTAGTTCCCTCGCTTGCACAGTTCACAGTAGGCTTCATGCTTCTATGAGAATCGAATGCCCTTGCTGATCTGACTCTAGGCAGAGCTCAGGCAGTAATGCTCACTCACGCACTGCTCACCTCCTGCTGTGTACCAGACTGGTACTGGTCTGGGGGTTGGGGACCTCTGTTCTAGAAGTTTCACTCCTTTTTAAAATTTTCTTAGATGGTATCTGACTTAAATTTTTCTTAGATTTTGGTTCTAAGAAATATAATAGTTAAAATTTCAAAAGCAATAGTTTTGAAGGAAGGTTTAGAAGAGAAGAAACTGTTTTTAGAAAATCTTGTATAATTTCAGTGCTGTCAATATGTTAATCTCAAAATGAAGATCACATTTTTAATCTTAGCCCTCTAATAGCAAAGAAATGGGAAGAAAGCAAGGAAATTTTCTTGTAGTTAAGTGGATTTTCCTCCTTTAGTTTAAATTCTGGTGGTGGTATATCTTTAAGAGTGGTTAACTCACTTAAGAGTGAAAAGAATTCCCTAAACTCAAAAAGTATAAAATGTATAAGCATATTCTTTATTACATTTATTATTGCCAGAGTGGTTGTAGTTTGTTCAGGATTAACATTTTCTTTACCTATGTTGTTACTATATATTACTTGTTACATAAATAAAATCTGCACCAAAGTTGGGTCTTATAAATAATATAACATTTGTATCCTCTTTTTAATGAAAAATTTCCCATGTAGTCCATATACCTTTCTTCCACATTTTTTCTCTCTCGAACTCCAGCTGATCTAAAAGGAATCTAGGAAGCATTCTTCATTCAACCTTTAAGAGGCCCAGCAAAGTCTTTTGGTAAAGTTGACAATTCTTTTTCTGAGACAGGAATCAGGCACAGTCAGTCGATAACTTCCCCCCCTTTCATTCTGCATTCATTCTGAATATTTTATGACAAAAGCTTTTAGTTTTGTTACAGAAAAAAAATACAAAGCCCAGATTTGTCCAAAAGAACATACCCGCAAGAAGGTCTACGGCAGTGAAACAGAAATTGAAAAGAGTTGAAATGGAATTTTTTTCCATGTTTCATATCCTCCATTGTTCCTAAACCTGTACCATTCATTGTCATGGAAAATGTTACTACAGTCTAAAAAGTTATAACAAAGTTCAAAATTTATAGTTAACTTAGGATTTTTAATAAGAATAGAATATATATCATATATATGAGAATTTATTAGGTAGTTTTAATTCACACCACCACAAGGTCCCACAATAGGCTGTCTGCAAGCTGAGGAGCAAGGAAGCTAGTCTGAATGCCAAAGCTGAAAAGCTTGGAGTCTGATGTTTGAGGGCAGGAAGCATCCAGCATGGGAGAAAGATGTGGGCAAGAGGCTAAGCCAGTGTAGCCTTTTCGTGTTTTTCTGCCTGCTTTATATCCTGGCCATGCTGGCAGCTGATTAGTTGGTGCCCACCCAGATTAAGGGTAGGTCTGCCTTTCCCAGCCCACTGAGTCAAATGTTAACCTTCTTTGGCAACACCCTCACAGACACACCCATGAGGAAAACTTTGCATCCTTCAATCCAATCACATTGATATTCAGTATTAACCATCACACCATGTCATCCACAGTGGAGTGAAATGGTGCAATCCTAACTCACTGTAACCTCAAACTCTTGGGCTCAAGCGACCCTCCTGCCTCAGCCTGCCAAGTAACTAGGACTATAGGCACACACAACACCACACCCAGCTAATTTTAAAAGTTTTTGTAGAGATGAGGTCTCACCATGTAGCTCAGGTTGGTCTTGAACTCCTGTGCTCAAGTGATCCTCCAGCCTCCGCCTCCCAAAGTGCTGGGATTACAGGTGTGAGCCACCATGCCTGGCCTTCCTTCATACTTAGAAATTGCATGAATCATTAGATTTTTGTAGTAAAAAACAAAAATCTCATATTTGCTCTATTAGATAGGTTTCAGCCAATTTTCGAGAAGCTGGTTACTAAACAAGAGAATTAAACTTGAGAACAAAATAAAGTGCTATCAATTAGTTATCATAACTTTGATAGGCAATTTAAATTAACTATTATAACAGTAATGTTGATTTTTTTTTTAATATTTCGGTCCTGGGGGAAAAGTACCATTTAAAATTTCATGTGTCTTTTGATCAGTAAATCAGCATATTGGATAGAAATTTCAGCTATCTACTCATAAAAAATGTTATATTCTGGTTTGACTTTGGCTCAAATCAGAAAATTGCTATGTAAAAATTTACAGAATAATGCAATATCCTCTACTCAATAGCTCCCAACTACTAAGAATATTATAAATGTAAGCAGTTTTCAGGAACATAGCAATGTGGGATATTTCACTGGAATGATGTAAACCGTAATTAATCACATTTCTGTGACTGCCATCAGTACCATCACCTTCCTTCAGTGTCTCTCCTTGTATTTGGGAATCCCAGATTTCATGTCGGCTTTTGAGTAGTCCTGCTGCTGACCATAGGCTTTTCTCTCATCTTGCTTCTCACCCACTCCACCTGTGTCACAGTGTCATTTGTGAGCTTGCTTATGAGTGTGCATGGGGTGGTCTCCTACTCAGAACATGCCCAGCTGTGCTTCTGTTGCTTCCTAGCTGCCTCTGCAGCTTCTGTGAGGGAAGACTGTTGGGCACCAATGGTAGTGAAGCCTTTGGACCTCAAGCACTGCACTGTTTTCTGGGTAGAAGTGGAAGGAGCCTGTGCTCTCAGCTTTCTCCACACATTTTCCTTTCTCTGGACTCAGCAGGTATTTTTCTAGAGTTGACACAAAGGAAGAGCTGTGAGACATCTTCCTGTATCTTGCCTTTGAGTCCTCTTTTATTCCCCCTGGCTGCTTTGTTATTAGGCTGAATTTTTTTTCATTAGGTTTTGTAGTCCTCATACTATTAGATTTATTGTGGGTCACCCTACCAGTCCTAACAAGGACATCAGTCATGTTTGAAACTCATAGATTTGGGGTAAGCTCCAGTTGTTACACAATTCCTGCCCCTGCTCTTAACAAATTTAACATATAAATGAAGTTAACAGGCCTGGTGGGGTGGCTCACACCTGTAATCTTAGCACTTTGGGAGGCCCAGTCCTGTTGATCCCTTGAGCTCAGGAGCTAGAGACCAGCCTGGGCAACATGGCAAAACCACATCTCTACAAAAAAATACAAAAATTATCTGTGCATGGTGGCATGCAGCTGTAGTTGCAGCTACTCAGGAGGCTGAGGTGGGAGGATCGCTTGAATCCAGGAAGTTGAGGCCGCAGTGAGCCATGATTGTGCCACTGCACTTTAGCCTGGGTGACAGAGCAAGACTCTGTCTCAAAAAAATAAAATAAAATAAATAGAGTTAAATACCAGAGATTTCTTGAAGAGCCTTTTTTGTGACAGACAGTAGAATGCTGTTCACCAAACCCATTTCTTCTTGTTTTGGGGTACATAGGCAGATTATATTTCCAAGCCTCCTTGCAGTTAGACTTAGCCATGTGACCAAGTTTTAGCCAGTGGATTGTGTGCAGCAGTAATGTGTACCATTCCCAGACCTGGCCCATAAAAACATTCGATGTGCTATCTTCCATGCTTTTGTTTTTGTGTGTTTTCTCTAAACACCAACTGAGTACAGAGGTTTTGGCTTTAGAAGATGGCAAAGGCACAAAGGGATGGATGCTCGGTCGCTATGTAGGGGAAAGTCATCTGCTAAGCAGGAACACCATTGTGGGATTATTATGTGAATGAAATTAAACTTTAGCATGTTAAAATACAGAATTTTAGGGTTTGTTACAGCAGTTACTGTTATGCTTTCACATCATTTTTCAGCAGTTCTCAACCTTTTTCACCTTCACATACCTGAGAGAAGAGACCCTCCCATCATATTCGTGATTCACTATGGCAGGGAAAGATAGTCTCAAGGTCAGGGAGGTCATTATGACATACTGCAAAAGTGGTCGAGCAGGAAAATTGCAGAGAAATGTCATTAGATTTAGCAACATCTAGAGCACTGTTAAACAATTTCAGTAGAGTGGAAGTAGCAGGAGATGAGATTGCAGAAGCATGAGAAATAAATGGTAGATGAACACATGGAGTCAGTGAATGAAGTTATCTAATATATTAGATTCCATCAACATAATCATAAGATTGCAAAATTTGTGGAAAACAAGGGAATTGTTTTTTGTTGAAGCCATTTGTTAAAAGATTTTAAGGTGAAGATCTTCAGCAAGGTAGTAATAAGGTAAATATGTATCTGTTTGCCCAGGGTGGTGTCGGCTTATGTCTGTTAACCTAGCATAATTTTATTTTATTTTATTTTTTTAGGCAGAGTCTTGCTCTGTTGCCCAAGTTGGAATGCAGTGGTACAATCTCGGCTAACTGCAACCTCTGCCTCCCAGGTTCAAGTGATTCTCATGTCCCATCCTCCAGAGTAACTGGGATTACAGGCGCACGCTACCATGCCTGGCTAATTTTTGTATTTTTTAGCAGAGATGGGGATTTGCCATGTTGGCCAGGCTGGCCTCGAACCCCTGGCCTCAAGTTATCTGCTGGTGTCAGCCTCCCAAAGTGGTGGGATTACAGGCGTGAGCTGCCATGCCTGGCCCCTAGCATAATTATTCATAGTGACCTTTCACTCTTAGCAATATCCCAACTTAGAAAAAAAAAATACAGTTACCCTACACTGTGACAACCTAATCGGCATACACAGGGGGTTCAGATCTGAAAGAGTGGCTGTTAAACACATAGAAAGTTAGCTCATAAATAAGTTGTCTGTGGAATATTCTTTAGTTACCTCTTATAAAGGAGTTAAAATACTGTTTCTTGGTTTACTTAAGGACATTGTCAAATTAGCCCTAATATAGGATTGTGTTTAGGAAATAGAATGTTGGATAACCTTCATTGATCTGGGTTCTCTTTTGATCTATTTTTGTTTCTCTGGCTTTTCTCTTTCTGTGATGGTCTTTCTGTGTCCTGCTTTGTCATCAAAAATAACTTTTTTTTTTAAAGACATTAAAAGAACTTGCAGCACTATAAATGAATTTTTTTTTTTTGGTTCTTGAGGGATGGGGGAGGATCTTTCTGAGTATAGAAACAAGAACTTGTACAGAAGGTGATACATTTTCATTTATGAAAATGGAAAACTTGTGTATCTCAAAAAGTACCCCCAAGTAAAAGGCACATATGGCAAACTCTGACAAAACACATATTATTTATGGAAAATATAGTGTTGAAAGTTTTATTCTCCATAAAGGGTAAATAATGGATTACAATGGAAAACACTTGTCTCCTATGTTGCAGCATAGATGATTGCATTTAATATTCCCAGCTCCATTCTGTTATTATCTTGGTTTCACAGATGATGGTTAGGTAACTTGCCATAGCCACATGACTAATAAGTGGTAGAGAAGGGATTTTGAACCCATGGGGTCGGATTCCAGAGCACGAGCTCTTAACTGCTGCTCTCCTAGATCAATACATAAATGGAAAACTCAAAAGAAGAATGCTCAAAAAACAGTTTTCACCCACATCCATGTGCACATACTTGCATACACTTATTAATATGAGTGACCAGTAAACATGCTTTCAAACCTGTTGGAAATGATGGCAAAAATCAATACAAATTAAAAAAAAAACCTACAAGCCTTCATTTTTGTCTATTAGATAGGCAAATCTTTTCTTTCCTATGAAAATACTGAGAATTGATAAAGGTGGTGTGAAATGTTGGTGATCCTATCCTTTGAATAGCATTTGCCTGGTGAAATGCACTCTTTTAGATAGAGTGGTTGCTGATAAACCATTTTTGGTTAGGATTTGTCATGGTCTATCTAAAATCTTAAAATTGTTTATGGTCTTTGACCTAGTAAATATACTTTTAAGACATTAATAAAAATAAATATTCAGAGAGTCTTACATACTTAAGATACCAGTTGATATACATAATGTTAATTTAATAATTTGGAATAAAAACTAACAACCATTCAATAGAAGAAAGTTGGTTAAATGAGTTTTCAGAACTTCATAAAATGGAGAACTCTGCAGCCATTTAAATATTTTAGAAGAAAAATGGAATGAAATAAATCCTCACAATTAATGAAAAGTATCTAATAAAACAGTATGTAAACCATGATCCCCAGTTTTATTAAGATTATATATGTAAGCCTGGAAGGAAGCTTGCCAAAATGTTAACTGTGTTTGTTTTTCAGTGGCTAGATTTGAGGTGGTTTTTATTCCTTTTCTATTTTACAAATTTTTGTATGCAATGACTTTGTCTTCCTTAATTGGAGACTCATTTTCTTTTAAAAATACTTAAGACTTTGAAGAGTCCTTTAGGAACATACCTGAGTCTTCAAATTATTTTTTTGGAAGGTTGAGAATTATGCATAGAGAGGAACAGGGAAACTAAAAAGGGAATTTCATCATCCTCATAAGGGAAAAATATATAGTCCCATTGAAAACGTTTATTAAAGGTATAGGTACAGTCTTAGTTCCATTTTAATAAACAATTCAAACTTCTAGTAGTCATTCCTCTGGCCTCAGTTGCTTAGCACCAGAATCCTTAGTTGGAGGTATGATAACTTAATTGTACCTCTGAACATAGCCTTTCCAGGAATCAGTTCTGCCTCAATGAGGATTACAGATTAAAAGCAATCTCACTGTATTGTACTTGAAATTGAGAATTATGTTTCCATTTTATTGTATCTAGTAAAACCTGAAACTCTTGAAAAACTTTTTTAAAAAAATCAGCAAACTCGTAAAATAGCATCAGTTACTGTATTTTCTCAAATATAAACAAGGCGCTATACTGAATCGATCACAAATTTTTCTAAGTGGGTAGATTCATATATTTGCTGAAACACATTTAGCTGATGCTGCCTAATGGTGACATTAGATGCATCTTAAAAAATCTTCTCTATTATATGTTTATTTCCAGCAACATCCTGATTTGGCAAGAATTATTTTTCAGAGCCTGTTCCCTTTGGGGACAGCATCCTGTGGGAGCACTTCTGTTTCCCTTTGACTTCCTGTGTATTTAAAGAGCTCTTAACAAGTGTAGGGTATGTGGTGACTTTTTTATCTTGCAAATAAATATGAAAATCTTGTTCTGTGGCTCAGTATAAAATGAATAAAGGCTTTCCAGCTTAATAGGCAAGAACATTTAAGATTAAAGGTAAAATGAAAATAAAATGAAAATTCACTATTGAAACAAAAATTTGCTTTTTTTTTTTTTTTTTTCTGAGTGTTTTTCTAGTTCAAGTATGCTGGGTGTTAGCAGCCAAATTAAAACTGAATAGATATGACAGTGACCCTTTTATAACACATTTGTTTAAGGCCAGATGATACAGATGATGACAAATGCTTGTAAGCCAAGTGATAGCTCTTCTCCTTTCCCTCTTCTCATGAGTCCCCTTCCTCTAGCTTTGGGAATGAGGGCCGGCTTCTTTTTTTTTTTTTTTTTTTGAGACGGAGTCTCACTCTTTCTCCCAAGCTGGACTGCAGTGGCGCTATCCCGGCTCACTGCAAGCTCCGGAGGGCCGGCTTCTTTGTTCATGTGGCAGTTGCTTCTCTGCACTTCTTCTCAGCTCTGTCTTGTTCCCAGCCTTACCTTGGGCCCCTGCTGCTCTTTCTGCTTATTGCCACCTAGAATTCAGGATAACTTTTCTTCCTTCAAGTTCTGTTGCTGTGGAGGGCAATGCCAAGGGCACACTTACCTGTACTGTTGCTTGGTTTCCCACTATGCAGCCATACGAAAGGAAATATATATATATATGTGTGGTAGCCTTTATTAGATGTTTGCAGATAATAGGGAGGAATGACAATTAGGAAGAGAAACCTTAAAAATAGTTGATCAGTCTGGCTCTACAAATTAAAAGGAAGAAAACTTTATTTTTTCTTTCTTTTTTTTAAAAAAATTATACTTTAAGTTCTGGGATACATGTGCAGAATGTGCAGGTTTGTTACATAGGTATACATGTGCCATGGTGGTTTGCTTCACCAATCAACCCATCATCTACACTAGGTACTTCTCCTAATGCAATCCCTCCCCTTGCCCCCCACCCCTCGACAGGCCCTGATGTGTGATGTTCCCCTCCCTGTGCCCATCTGTTCTCACTGTTCAGCTCACATTTATAAGTGAGAACATGCCATGTTTGTTTATCTGTTCCTGTGTTAGTTTGCTGATAATGATGGTTTCCAGCTTCAACCATGTCCCTGCAAAGGACATGAACTCATTCTTTTTTATGGGTGCACAGTATCCCATGGTGTATATGTGCCACATTTTCTTTATCCAGTCTATCATTGATGGGCATTTAGGTTGGTTTGAAGTCTTTGCTATTGTGAATAGTGCTGCAATAAACATACGTGGGCATGTGTCTTTATAGTAGAATGATTTATAATCCTTTGGGTATATACCCAGTAATGGGATTGCTGGGTCAAATGGTATTTCTAGTTCTAGATCCTTGAGGAATTGCCACACTGTCTTCCACATTAGTTGAACCTAATTTACACTCCCACCAATGGTGTAAAAGTGTTCCTATTTCTCCATATCCTCTCCAGCATCTGTTGTTTCCTGACTTTTTAATGATTGCCATTCTAACTGGCATGAGATGGTATCTCATGGTTTTGATCTGAATTTCTCTAATGACCAGTGATGATCAGCTTTTCTTCATATGTGTGTTGGCCACATAAATGTCTTCTTTTGAGAAGTGTCTGTTCATATCCTTTGCACACTTTTTGATGGGGTTGTTTGTTTGTTTTTTCTTGTAAATGTGTTTAAGTTCCTTGTAGATTCTGGATATTAGCCCTTTGTCAGATGGATAGATTGCAAAAATTTTCTCCTATTCTGTAGGTTGCCTGTTCACTCTGTTGATAGTTTCTTTTGCTGTGTAGAAGATCTTTAATTAGATCCCATGTGTCAATTTTGTCTTTTGTTGCCATTGCTTTTGGTGTTATAGTCATGAAGTCTTTGCCTCTGCCTGTGTCCTGAGTGGTATTGCCTAGGTTTTCTACTAGGGTTTTTATGGTTTTAGGTCTTATGTTTAAGTCTTTAATCCATCTTAATTTTTGTATAAGGTATAAGGAAGGGGTCCAGTTTCAGTGTTCTGCATATGGTTAGCCAGTTTTCCCAACACCATTTATTAAATAGGGAATCCTTTCCCCATTGTTTTTTTTTGTTAGGTTTGTCAAAGATCAGATGGCTGTAGATGTGTGGTGTTATTTCTGAGGCCTCTATTCTGTTCCATTGGTCAATATATCTGTTTTGGTATCAGTACCATGCTGTTTTGGTTACTGTAGCCTTGTAGTATAGTTTGAAGTCAGGTAGTGTGATGCTTCCAGCTTTGTTCTTTTTGCCTAGGATTGTCTTGGCTATGCAGACTTTTTTTTTTTTTTGGTTGCATATGAAATTTAAAGTAGTTTTTTCTAATTCTGTGAAGAAAGTCAATGGTAGCTTAATAGGGGTAGCATTGAATCTACAAATTACTTTGGGCGGTATGGCCATTTTCACGATATTGATTCTTTCTATCCATGAGCATGGGATGTTCTTCCATTTGTTTGTGTCCTCTTTTATTTCGTTGAGCAGAGGTTTGTAGTTCTCCTTGAAGAGGTCCTTCACATCCCTTGTAAGTTGGATTCCTAGGTATTTTATTCTCTTTGTAGCAATTGTGAATGGAAGTTCACTTATGATTTGTCTCTCTGTTTGTCTGATTGGTGTATAGGAATGTTTATGATTTTTGCACATTGATTTTGTATCCTGAGACTTTGTTAAAGTTGCTTATCACCTTAAGGAGATTTTGGACTGAGACGATGGAATTTTCTAAATATACGATCATATCATCTGCAAACAGAGACAATTTGACTTCCTCTCTTCCTATTTGAATGCCCTTTATTTCTTTATCTTTCCTGATTGCCCTGTCCAGGACTTCCAATATTGCTTTGAATAGGAGTGGTGAGAGAGGGCATCCTTGTCTTGTGCTGATTTTCAAAGGGAATGCTTCCAGGTTTTGCCCATTCAGTATGATATTGGCTGTGGGTTTGTCATAAATACCTCTTATTATTTTGCGATATGTTCCATCAGTACCTACTTTATTGAGAGTTTTTGAGGTGTTGAATTTTATCAAAGGCCTTTTCTACATCTATTGAGATAATCATGTGGTTGGTTGTTTTGTCATTGGTTCTGTTTATGTGATGGATTATGTTTATTGATTTTCATATGTTGAACCAGCCTTGCATCCCAGGGATGAAACTGACTTGATCGTGATGGACAAGCTTTTTCATGTGCTGCTGGATTCAGTTTGCCACTATTTTTTTTTTTTTTTTTTTGAGACGGAGTCTTGCTCTGTTGCCCAGGTTGGAGTGCAGTGGCATGATCTTGGCTCACTGCAAGCTCCGCCTCCAGGGTTCACGCCATTCTCCTGCCTAAGCCTCCCAATTAGCTGGGACTACAGGCACCTGCCACCATGCCCAACTAATTTTTTGTGTTTTTAGTAGAGACAGGGTTTCACCGTGTTAGCCAGGATGGTCTTGATCTCCTCACCTTGCAATTCACCCTCCTCAGCCTCCCAAAGTGCTGGCATTACAGACGTGAGACACCACACCTGGCTGGTTTGCCAGTATTTTATTGAGGATTTTTGCATTGATGTTCATCAGAGATATTGGCCTGAAGTTTTCTGTTTTTTGTTGTGTCTCTGCCAGGTGTTGGTATCAGGACTGGCCTCAAAATGAGTTAGGAGGAGTCTCTCTTTTTCTATTATTTGGAATAGCTTCAGAATGAATGGTACAAACTCCTCTTTGTACCTCTGGTAGAATTCAGCTGTGAATCTCTCTGGTCCTGGGCTTTTTTTAGTTGGTCAGCTATTAATTACTGCCTCAGTTTCAGAACTTGTTATTGGTCTATGCAGGGATTTGAATTATTCCTGGTTTAGTCTTGGGAGGGTGTATGTTTCCAGAAATTTACCCATTTCTTCTTCATTTTCTAGTTTATTTGCGTAGAGGTGTTTATAGTATTCTCTGATGGTAGTTTGTATTTCTGTGGAATCAGTGGTGATATCCCCTTTATCATTTTTTATTATGTCTATTTGATTCTTCTCTCTTTTCATCTTTATTAGTGTGGCTAGCGGTCTATTTTGTTAATCTTTTCAAAAAACCAGCTCCTGGATTCACTGATTTTTTTGAAGGGTTTTTTGTATCTCTATCTCCTTCATTTCTGCTCTGATCTTAGTTATTTCTTGCCTTCTGCTAGCTTTTGAATTTCTTTGCTCTTGCTTCTCTAGTTCTTTTAACCGTGATATTAGGGTGGCGATTTTAGATCTTTCCCACTTTCTCCTGTGGGCATTTAGTGCTATAAATTTCCTTCTCAACACTGCTTTAGCTGTGTCCCAGAGATTCTGGCACATTGTTTCTTTGTTCTTATTGGTTTCAAAGAACTTATTTATTTTGGCCTTAATTTCGTTATTTACCCAGTAGTCGTTCAGGAGCAGGTTGTTTGGTTTCCTTGTAGTCGTGTGGTTTTGAGTGAGTTTCTTAATCCTGAGTCCTGATTTGAGTGCACTGTGGTCTGAGAGACTGTTTTTTATGATTTCCATTATTTTACATTTGCTGAGGAGTGTTTTACTTCCAATTATGTGGTCAATTTAGAATAAGTGCAATGTGGTGCTGAGAAGATTATATATTCTGTTGATTATAGGGTGGAGAGTTCTGTAGATGTCTATTAGGTCCAGTTGGTCCAGAGCTGATTTTAAGTCCTGAATATCCTTGTTAATTTTCTGTTTCGTTGATCTGTCTAATATTGACAGTGGGGTGTTAAAGTCTCCCACTATTATTGTGTGGGAGTCTAAGTCTCTCTGTAGGTCTCTAAGGACTTGCTTTATGAATCTGGGTGCTCCTGTATTGGGTACATATATATTTAGGGTAGTTAGCTCTTGTTGCATTTATCCCTTTACCATTATGTAATGCCCTTTTTTGTCTTTTTTGATCTTTGTTGGTTTAAAGTCTGTTTTGTCAGAGACTCAGAGACTAGGATTGCAACCGCTCCTTTATTTTTGGTTTCCATTTGTTTGGTAAATATTCCTCCATCCCTTTATTTTGAGCCTATGTGTGTCTTTGCATGTGAGATGGGTCTCCTGAATACAGCACACCAATGGGTCTTGACTCTTTATCCAATTTGCCAGTCTGTGTCTTTTAATTGGGGCATTTAGTCCATTTGCATTTAAGGTTAATATTGTTATGTGTAAATTTGATCCTGTCATTATGCAGTTTCTTCACAGTGTTGATGGTCTTTACAATTTGGTATGTTTTTGCAGTGGCTGGTACTGGCTTTTCCTTTCCGTATTTAGTCCTTCCTTCAGGAGCTCTTGGAAGGCAGGCCTGGTGGTGATAAAATCTCTCAGCATTTGCTTGTTTGTAAAGGATTTTGTTTCTCCTTTGCTTATGAAGCTTAGTTTGGCTGGATATGAAATTCTGGTTGAAAATTCTTTTCTTTAAGAATGTTGAATATTGGCCCCCACTCTCTTCTGGTTTCTAGAGTTTCTGCAGAGAGATCCACTGTTAGTCTGATGGGCTTCCCTTTGTGGGTAACCTGACCTTTCTCTCTGACTGCCCTTAACATTTTTTCCTTCATTTCTGCCTTGGGGATCTGATAATTATTTGTCTTGGGGTTGCTCTTCTCGTGGAGTATCTTAGTGGTATTGTCTGTATTTCCTGAATTTGAATGTTGGCCTGTGTTGCTAGTTTGGGGAAGTTCTCCTGGATAATATCCTGAAGTGTGGTTTTGAACTTGGTTCCATTCTCCCTGTCACTTTCAGGTACACCAATCAAATGTAGGTTTGGTCTTTTCACGTAGTTTCATATTTGTTGGAGTCTTTGTTTGTTCCTTTTCATTCTTTTTTCTCTAATCTTGTGTTCATGCTTTATTTCATTAAGTTGATCTTCAATCTCTGATATCCTTTCTTCTGTTTGATCTATTTGGCTGTTGATACTTGTGTATGCTTCATGAAGTTCTCGTGCTGTGTTTTTCAGCTTTATCAGGTCGTTTATGTTCTTCTCAAAACTGGTTATTCTTGTTAGCAATTCCTCTAACTTTTTAAAAGTTTCTTAGCTTCCTTGCATTTGGTTATAACATACTTCTTTAGTTCGCAGGAGTTTTTTATTACCCACCTTCTGAAGCCTACTTCTGTCAATTCGTCAAACTCATTCTCTTTCCAGTTTTGTTCCCTTGCTGGCAAGGAGTTGTGATCCTTTGGAGGATGAGAGGCATTCTGGTTTTTGGTATTTTCAGCCTTTTTGTGCTGGTTTTTCCTCATCTTTGTGGATTTATCTACCTTTGATCTTTGATGTTGGTGATCTTTGAATGGGGTTTTTGTGTGGACGTCCTTTTCGTTGATGTTGACGCTATTCCTTTCTGTTTGTTAGTTTTCTTTCTCACAGTCAGGCCTCTCTGCTGCAGGTCTGGCTGGAGGTCTACTCCAGATTCTGTTTGCCTGGGTATCACCAGTGGATGCTGCAGAAGAGCAAAGATTGCTGCCTGTTCCTTTCTCTGGAAGCTTCGTCCCAGAGGGGCACCCACCAGATGCCAGCCGGAGCTCTCCAGTAAGAGGTGTCTGTCGACCCCTGCTGGGAGGTGTCTCCCACTCAGGAGGCACAGGGGTCAGGGACCCACTTGAGGAGGCAGTCTGTCCCTTAGCAGAGCTCAAACGCTGTGCTGAGAGATCTACCACTCTCTTCAGAGCCAGCAGGCAGGAAGCTTTAAGTCTGCTGAAGCTGCGTCCACAGCTGCACCTTCCCCCAGGTGCTCTGTCCCAGGGAGATGGGAGTTTTATCTATAAGCCCCTGACTTTGGGGGCTGCCTTTCTTTCAGAGGATGCCCTCCACAGACAGGAGGAATCTAGAGAGGAAGTGTGGTTACAGGGGCTTTGCTGAGCT
This sequence comes from Homo sapiens, assembly GCF_000001405.40. Taxonomy (NCBI): domain Eukaryota; kingdom Metazoa; phylum Chordata; class Mammalia; order Primates; family Hominidae; genus Homo; species Homo sapiens. The sequence goes on along the minus strand of NC_000001.11, from coordinate 107,844,715 downwards.
GTGGTGGGCTCCACCCAGTCCGAACTTCCTGGAGGCTTTGTTTATACTGTGAGGGGAAAACTGCCTACTCAAGCCTCCCTCCCCCACCAAGCTGGAGCATCCCAGGTCGACTTCAGACTGCTGTGCTGGCAAGGAGAATTTCAAGCCAGTGGATCTTAGCTTATGGGGCTCCATGGGCAGGGGATCTGATGAGCAAGACCACTCGGCTTCCTGGCTTCAGCCCCCTTTCCAGGAGAGTGAATGTTTCCGTCTCGCTGGTGTTCCAGGAACCACTGGGGTACGGAAAAAAAACTTCTGCAGCTAACTCAGTGTCTGCCCAAATGGCCACCCAGTTTTGTGCTTGAAACCCAGGGCCCTGGTGGTGTAGGCACCAGATGGAATCTCCTGTTCTTTGGGTTGCGAAGATAGTGGGAAAAACATAGTATCTGGGCCGGATAGCACCGTCCCTCGTGGCACAGTCCCTCAAGGCTTCCCTTGGCTAGGGGAGGGAGTTCCCTGACCTCTTGCACTTCCTGGGTGAGGAATGCCCCACCCTGCTTCTGCTTGCCCTCGGTGGGCTGTACCCACTGTCTAAGCAGCCCCAATGAAATGAGCTGGGTACCTCAGTTAGAAATGCAGAAATCACCCGCCTTCTGCATTGGTTTCACTGGTTGCTGCAGACTGGAACTGTTCCTATTCAGCCATCTTGCCCAGAATCCAGGAAGAAAACTTTAAAAGTTAAAGTCTCTTATAGGTTAGTTAAAGTTATGTCTTATATAAGATAGTTTCATCATGAATACTTCTCAGTTTCCAGTTTTGTTTCTTTGTCATGAAGTTCATTCTCTTCTCCCTTTTCCAGGAAGAATCATCTTCTTTGAACCCCCACAGTGGAAAGCTCCCCGCTCTGTAGGGGTACGTTTTATCCTAGGATTATCTGTCACAACTGAACAGGCAAAAGACTCCCCCAAAAATGCATTTTTCCGTGTCTGATTTTATCAGTCTGGAATAACCCCATGGGGGGAGAGGGTGAAAAAACTTGGTGCAGACAGTGTGGGATGAAGTTTGGCTTTCTATGTTCCAGCCCCTTCTGAATATTCCTCGGTAATGTGGAGGTTTAAATACGCCTGCTCATACTTCAGCAGATGGCTAGTGAATTGAACCACCTTCCTCATATATATATATATAAATATATATATATACACACACACACACGCACACATACATTTTTAATCTCAACAGTGTAATTCTAAGACAAAAGTCTATAGATGATTAGTGAACATTTAGAGTTGTGATAGAAATCCAATTTGAGCTACCACTAGAACTGATAATAACTAATGTTTATTAACTATATATATATATATATATATATATTTGTGTTGTGCTAAGGGCTTCACATATCTAGTCAAATTCTAATGACAATTTTATTAGTAGGTACTCTTATCATCCTTATTTTATATATACAAAAACTGAAGCACCAAAGGTTTATAGGAAACTTACTCAGGATGTGTGTTTAAGAGTCAGGATTTAAATCCAAGTAGCCTGATTCCAGAGCTGTCAGTTATAATGCCCACCCAGGAGCATTATGCCTTAGGTTGAGCATAATGTGGAGAATTTGACTCATAGGTTTCACGATAAATTGGAACAGCCAAACTATTGGGAAGGGCGGAGTAAAGGTGGACTTCAGGAACAAGTGGAACCAGGAATTCAAATAGCATTCTCTCTGTCTGTCTTTTTTCTCTACTTTTTTCTCAGTAGGTCTGCTTCTGCTCTCATCATAGATAAAGTTCCTCATGATAGGAATATGAACACTTGATGTTAATATTTCCATATTAATGAAATTAACCATCATTAATTTCCATATTATGTTAATATTTCTCTCATTGGAGAGACTGTTTCTTAGCTATGGTTATAAAAATCGGGAGAAATTTCTAGACAGATAACGATATCTGCCTAAGTCTGTGCCCCCTCCCAAAATATCCTACATATGATAGAGAACAAGAAGAAAAATTAAAATGCGTAAAAATGACACCCCCTGCATAACCAGAAAACCAAGGACACCCAAACTTCAAATTAACTAAGTTTTAAAAAAAAGAAGAATGAAATCTCATTGAGCTATCTCTCATACCTTGCCTCAAACCTTTGCTGTGAACAAGAACAGTTTAAAAAGCTGCATGGGAGAGAAAAGAGATGCCAAAGATTAAAGTGAAACTACTGCCACAGAAGTTCACCAGATGGGTGGAAGTACCGAAACAATTTCCAGTTTGGCTCACAAAGGCCCAACTATACACTGTTTATAAGAGACACACCTGAAACAAAATGATTCAGAGGTACTAAAAATCAGTGGGAAGGACTGCAGTTGCCTCACCTTGAGTCAGCTGTTCACTCCTGGGCCACTCAACTGTGGCCAACAGTGCAGAGTGCTTTTTATTTTTAGCTATTCATCTCGCAACTCCCTTCCCTTGCCATTCAGCTATGTCCAAGGTAGTGGACTCATTTTAGAATTTGGGAACTAAATGTTTAAAGCAATGTCTTAAAGAAGAGGGGTTCCACACTCAGAAGAGGGAGGTACTAGGTAGACAATATAAGTATGAAGGTAAACATTTGCTAGAAATTGTTTTTCAGTATTCTCTTTAATATTCTTATTAAATTGATTTTTGTTTTTGAGTAATTTGGGGCATGAGCAATGGTAGTATAGAAAAATTTATTACTAGGTAGTGAAACTAGAATAATGCTGTCTAATAGAAATATGAGAGCCATAAATGCAAGCCATGTAATTTTAAATTTTCTAGTTGCTACATTTAAAAAGTGAAAAATTAATTTTAATAATACATTTTATTTAACCCAACGCACCCCAATTATCATTTAAACATGTAATCAATACACAAAGTATAATGAGATATTTTCTGTTTTTTTTCCTTATTCTTCCAAACCCAGTTTGTATTTACACTTACAGCACATAGCAATTTAGACTAGCCTCATTTCAAGTGTCTAAAGTGATGGACAGCTCAGACCTAGAGAGAGGAACAGTCATTTAGTCATTTTAGCATAATAAATGAAAAATAATACTTGAATCCTAAAATGTGTTTTATTTCTACTTCCCATCGCAGTTAAAGTGTGCCCTATCTAATGCTTTTACTTTGTGTTTTTGTATGTTAATGATACCTATTTTAAATTGGGGCATGTTTATAGCTTGATCTATGGCACCCACAAGCAGTGATGGAGTGGAGAAAGATTGTTTTCTCACCTCCTTTAGATCTCTGTTTAAATATCCTTGTTATAGATGCCTTTTCTGAACATTTGAAACAAAATAGCAACCGCTACTGTTTCTCCTCAGCCTTCTGACAATTTCTGTGCCCTTTATATTGCTTTAGTTTTTTTCCCCATATTTCTTATTACAGCTGATATACCATTTATACTTTTAAAATTGTTTCTTTTTCTACCCCCCCCTTTCCCCTAAATACACCAGAATATGAACTTTGTTGAGGACAAGAACTTTGTGCTGTATTCACTGCTATGTTACCATATCCTAGAACAGTACTGCACATAGAAGATGCTTAGTATTTTCTGAGTGTATGAATGAATGAATTTAAGACCATATGGCATTCACTATTGGTGTATATAATGGAACTCCCATCATCATTCCCCTGAGTGGTCTCCCTTTGGTACTGGCCAACTCTGCCCTACCACACTGCTGTCAGTCAGCTTAAACCTCAGTTCTTCTAGCTAAGACCATGGCAGTAGTCTCATTGTGGTCTCACTGCCTCCAGCCTTCCCGTATAAGCTATTTGATTGCCAGATGAATTTTTTTTTTTTTTAAAAGCATCTCTGAACATGTTGATCCCTTGCTCAGAGTTTTCACTTCCTTCCAGTGGTTTATAGTTCTTCACACTTGCTTTTAGGAGTCTCTGAAATATGCTGTACTTATATCTTGGTCTGTTGCCAACTAGACAGTTTGCCTTTTATTTTTAAAATGCTTTCAGTGCTTTCTCCTCTTCTTTTCCTTTGTATCAACTACTTTTTGTTCCTAGTCACTTTTTTTCCTTTCCTGCCTTGACCAGAACCCCTGACTTAACTTTTGTTGCTTCCTTTACGTTTCTTTAGGGCACGTTAAGAACGTTAACTTTGAGCACTTCCTGATGGATTGATCATAGAAAGGCTGTGAAATATGAATAGACAATGAAATGTCATCAAAGCAAGACCCTTGGCATGTGTGCCAATGGTTAAATGCTCTGGAATGGAGCATTTGTGGCTGAGAGGGAAATGTTTATATCTGTTAAAGTGCAGGGACTGTCTAGAATAAGGCACTTTATTAATGAACATCCTTTGATAACCTATTCCTTTACTACCTTGTCTTTAAGTGGTGCCAATCAAGAAAGGTCTTTGCACAACTTTAAAATATACATGTTGTTTTGTAGCAAGTAAAAAGTGACCTAAATGCTTTCTAGCATATTGAAGCACCAACTTTTTATGTATTGAATTTAAAGCAGTGATTTACACTGCTAACACTGTAACATTTACAACATTTACAACATTACATTTACAACATTACAACATTTACAGGCTAACAGCAAAACATTTACAAGTTTCTATAGAGAACTTTAGGAAGTATTCTTTCTATTTTCTGGAAGAAATTGTGGATTATATTTTCCTTGAACGTTTGGTAGAATTCACTAGTGAAACCATCTGGGCTTGATGTTTTCTTTTGGAAGGTTATTAATTATTAATTCGACTTCTTTAGCTGATACAGGTCTGTTGGTATTATCTATTTCTCCTGTGTGAGTTTGTGTCTTTCAAGGAATTGGCCTGTTTCACCTAAGTTATCAAATTTGTGGGCATAGTGTTGTTCATTGTATTCCCTTGTTATCGTTTCAGTGTCCATGGAATTAGTAGTAATGATCTCTCCTTTATTTCTGATATTAGCAATTTGTGTCATCTTTCTTTTTTCTTGGTTTGCTTAGCTGGAAGTTTATCAGTTTTATTGATCTTTTCAAAGAACCATCTTTTGGTTTTATTGGTTCCTCCTATTGTTTACCTGTTTCCAATTTTGTTGATTCCTGCTCTAATTTTTAGTATTTCTTTTATTCTGTCTGCTCTAAGCTTAAGTTGTTCTTTCTCTAGTTTCCTAGGGTGGAAGCTTTAGATTATTAATTTTAGATATTTTTTCTGGTTTAATATATGCATTTAATGCTATAAATTTTTCTCTAAGGACCAATTTTTGCTGCATCTCATGCATTTAGACAACTTGTAGCTTGATTTTCATGTAGTTAAAATATTTCAAAGTTCATTTGTGAATTTTTCGACTCATAAGTTACTTGAGTGTGTTCTTTAATTAACAGATATCTAGACATTTTCTAGCTATCTTTCTGTTGTTGATTTCTAGTTTAGTTCCATATTGTCTGAGAACATACTTTATATGATTTCTATTCTGTTAAGGTATGTTTTATTCAGTAATTATTTTTATAATAAAATAGGTTATCAGTTTTGTATTTGGTCATAAGCTTGAAGAAGACAAAGTCAGTTTACATGATGAATTAAATCAGCCTCTGCCCTATAAAGCTGAGCAAATTGGCAAGAAATGCTAACTTATGCATTTGACTACTACAGTATTCTTTTAATTTTTCCTTTTCTTTCAAACTTTTATTTTAGATTTGGGGGTACATGTGCAGGTTTGTTACAGAGGTATATTGTGTGATACCAAGATTTAGAGTACAAAGGAATCTGTCACCCAGGTAGTGAGCATAGTACTCAATAGGTAGTTTTTCAGCCCTTGCCTCTCTCCTCTCCTTGCTCTAGTAGTCCTCAGTGCCTATTGTTCCCATCTTTATGTCCACATATACCTCATGTTTAGCTCCTACTTGTAAGTGAGAACATGCATTATTTGATTTTCTGTTTCTGTGTTAGTTCACCTAGGCTAATACGCTCCAGCACCATCTATGCTGCTGCAAAGGACATGATTTTATTCTTTTTATTTTAGGGCTGCACAGTATCCCATGGTGTACAATTTCTTATCTGGTCTACCGTTGTTGGGCACTTGGGTTGATTTCATGTCTTTGCTATTGTGAATAGTGCTGCAATGAATGTACGGATGCATGTGTCTCTAGGTAGAATGATTTATTTTCCTTTGGTTGTATACCCAGTAATTGGATTGCTGGATTGAATGGTAGTTCAACTTGACTCTTTAGTTCTTTGAGAAATCTCCAAACTGCTCTCCACAGTGGCTGGGCTAGTTTGCATTTCCATCAACAGTGTAAAAGTGTTCTCTTTTCTCCACAGCCTTGCCAACATTTGTTATTTTTTGTCTTTTTAATAAAAGCCACCCTGACCAGATGTGAGTTTGTATCTCATTCTGGTTTTGATGTGCATTTCTCTGATTAGTGATGTTGAACATTTATGTTTGTTGGAGACTTGTGTGTTCTCTTTTGAGAAGGGTCTGTTCATGTCCTTTGCTCACTTTTCAATGGAGTTCCTGTTTTGTGCTTGATTTATTTAAGTTCCTGATAGCTTCTGGCTATTAGAGCTTTGTCGGATGCATAGTTTGCGAATATATTCTTCTTGATTCATTTAAGTTCCTGATAGATTCTGGTTATTAGAACTTTGTCGGATGCATAGTTTGCGAATATATTCTTCCATTCTGTAGTTTGTTTACTCTGTTGATAGTTTCTCCTACTGTGCAGAAGCTCTTTAGGTTAATTAGGTCCTATTTGTCAATTTCTGTTTTTGTCACAATTGCTTTTGAGAACTTGACCATGAATTATTTGCCAGGTCCCATGTTGAGAAGAGTATTTCCTAGGTTTTCTTCTAGGATTTTTACAGTTTGAGGTCTTACATTTAAGTCTTCAATCCATCTCGAGTTGATTTTTGTATATGGTGATAGGTAGGAGTCCAGTTCCATTCTCCTGTGTATGGCTAGCCAGTAATGCCAGTACCATTTATTGAAAAGGGATTCTTTCCCCCTTTTCTGATTTTCACTGACTTTGTCAAAGATCAGATAGTTGTAGGTGTGCAGCTTTATTTATTGGTTCTGTATTCTGTTTCATTGGTCTATGTGTCACTTTTTGTATCAGTACCATGCTGTTTTGGTTACTGTAGCCTTGTAGTGTAGTTTCAAGTTGGGTAATGTGATGCCTTTGGCTTTGTTCCTTTTGCTTAAGATTGCTTTGGCTATTTGGGCTCTTTTTTGGTTCCATATGAATTTCAGGGTAGTTTTTATCTAATTCTGTGAAAAATGACATTGCTAGTTTGATAGGAGTAGTGTTGAATCTGTAAATTGCTTTGGACAGTATGGCCATTTTAATGATACTGATTTTTCCAATCAGGAAATGTTCCTTCAATGCCTAGTCTATTGAGAGTTTTTATCATAAAAGGATGTTAGATTTTATTCAAAGTTTTTTTCTGTGTCTATTGAGATGATCGTATGGTTTTTGATTTTAGTTCTATTTATGTGGTGAATCACATTTATTGATTTGCATATGTTGAACCAACATTGCATCCCAGGAATAAGGCCTCCTTCATCATGGTAAACTAACTTTTTGATGTGCTTCTAGAGTTGGTTTGCTAGTATTTTGTTAAGGATTTCTGCATCTATATTCATCAGGGATATCAGCTTGAAGTTTTGTTTCGTTTTGTTTTTTTTTGCCCATTGTTTCTCTGCCAGGTTTTGGTATTAGGATGATGCTGGCTTTGTAGAGTCAGTTAGGGAGGAGTCCTTCCTCTTTGATTTTTTGGGAACAGCTTCAGCAGGACTGGTACCAGTTTTTCTTTGTACATCAGGAAGAATTTGGCTGTGAATCCACCTGTTTTTTTTTGTTGGTAGGTTTCTTATTACTGATTCAATTTCAGAATGTGTTACTGATCTGTTCAGGTTTTCAATTTCTTTCTGGTTCAATCTTGGAGGTTGTGTTATTCTAGGAGTTTATATATTTCCTCTAGCTTTTCTAATTTGTATGCATAGAGGTATTCATAATAGTCTGAGGTTCTTTTATGTTTTGGTAGGATCAGTGGTAATGTCATCTGCCATTTTTGATCATGCTTATCTGTATCTTTTCTGTTTTTGTTCATCTAGACAGTGGTCTAACAATCTTATTTATTCTTTCAAAGAACCAACTTTTGTTTTTGTTGACTTTTTAGATGTGTATTTGCATCTCAGTTTCATTTAGTTCTTCGCTGATTTTATTTCTTTTCTTCTGCTAGTTTTGAGCTTGTTTTGTTCTTGTTTTTCCAGTTCCTGTAGGTGCAGTGTTAGATTGTTAATTTGAGAACTTTTAAACTTTTTGATGTAGGCATTTAGTGCTATAAACTTTCCTCTTAAAACTACTCTCATTATATCCCAAGTATTTTGGTATGTTGTAATTCTGTTTCATTAATTTCAAAGATTTTTTGATTTCCACCTTCATTTTGTTGTTTACCTTAAAATCATTCAGGAGTAAGTTGTTTGAATTTATTGAGACTTGCTTTATGGCTAAACATATGGTCAATCTTAGATTATGTTTTGTGTGTAGATGAGAAGATTGTATATTCTGTGATTGTTGGGTTGAGTATTCTGTCAATGTCTATTAGGTCCAATTTGTCAAGTGTTAAGTTTAAGTCCATAATTTCTTTGTTAGGTTTCTGCCTCGATGATCTGTCTAATGCTGTCAGTGGAGTGTTGACATCTTTCACTATTATTTTGTGCCTGTCTTTTCGTGGGTCTCTAAAAACTTGTTTTATGAATCTGGATGCTCCAGTGTTAGGTGTATATATATTTAGGCACCATGCCTGTGTTTCCCTAGCCCTAAGGAATGTCCTAATGGGCTGTGCTTCCCCTTCCCTTAGGGGCAGCCTGAGCTGAAGGTTAGATTGCCAGAAACCTGCAGAATTCCGGAGGTCTGCTGGTCCTCTGTGCTTGGCACAGTCAGAATGGGTTGTGGAGTATGTCCATAGGTGGTCTGTTGATGTAAGAGGTCAAGGGTGGGGGATCTTTGGGCAGAGCAGTGATGCTGTGGCTGTGCAGATGGTATGGTGCCTATGGGCCGGGGTTTTTTGCCCTGCAGACAGCTGTGGGGACCTCCAGCTTGCTCTCCATTGACTGATCTCCTTCTGGTGGCTACTGTAGAATCTGTCCCTACCTGCTAGTTTTTTCCCAAACTTTCTTTGCCCAGATCATTGGGCTGTTAAGTGTTCTAGGCCATGAGGCTACATTGGGCAGAGGCTGCAGCTAGCAGATAGACCACACTGTTCCCAGACCAGCCCCGCAGAGGGAGGCATGCCCAGCTCTCACACTGGCCCACAAACCGCACATCTCACTCTTCTCAGTGTTCAGAGTGGGTGCTCTTTCCCTGCTTGAGGACCAGCCATAGATCTCAGCTTGTCACTCCTGAGCCATCTGCTCTAACCTGGGGGGTTGCCACAAGCCTGAGGCTTTGTCCTTTAGCTGCTTGGCACCAGCTGTGCTAGGGTAGCCATAGTGCTCCTAGGCCTCCAGGAAAGCACTCATGTGGGGCCATGGCAAGGCACTGAGGCTGGGTAATGGAACCTGTGCGGTGTGCATGCTCTTGTGGGAGCAGCCAGGCAGGGGCCTTGATAGCGGCTGGTGGACAGGGGAGCATGCAGTACAGATGTGCCCCAGTCCTGCAGAAAATATAGCCCTACTCTCTCCTGGCCTAGCAGTCAGCAGGGGTTACAGCTACTTGGAGGAAGATGGAGAGCCTTGAATGATGGGTGCTTATTAGAGCATTTTGCTGTAGCTGCCCTATGTGTAAAACCCCTGGGTTCCATGCAGGCTGGAGCTCTGTCTCTTTCTACTCTCTGGACAGATGCCCCTGTCAGTTCAGAAGCCTGTGGGGGTCATGGGATCTCCTGTAGCTAGGATCCCAGAGGTCCATGGTGAGAGTAGGTTGTCCCACAGTCACTTCACTCACTTCTTCCTTAGGAGCTGTTCAAGGCCAGGAACTAGTCCTGGCATTCAGCAACCCCATGCAGAGTTCCCAGCTTCCTTCCTCATCAGCCCTGGTGTTTGCATTGCCTCTCTATTGACTCTCATTGCTTTCTCTCCAAAGATCTGTTCAAAGTATGTTGGTTTACTCAATATTTTGGTCTCTCTTGGTGGGAGAGGGGCTTCCTGGCTGCATCTAGTTGGCCATCTTGTCCCCATTCCTCCCATTAAGGTATGTTTTGTGGCCTGGAATGTGGTCTGTCATGATGACTATTCCATGTGAGCTTGATCAGAATGCGTATTCTGCTATTGTGTAGAGTTATCAAATAACTTGATCTAATTGACAGTACTCCAGATTGTCAATTGAATATTCCAATTTCCTGTAGTTATTTTCCTGTGTCCTTACTGATTTTATGCAATGGAACATTTTTAAAATTCCTGCCTTAGAGCACTGCATGGGGCCCAGTGGTTTAAGAGTTATGAGAGCTAATCCTGAAGGGGGCTAATTTATGACTTGACAACAGCAGAGACATTGGGTACTAAAGACATTCAGAACAGGTATATGTGGTTTTGGAATAATTTACGGGTGTATCATGCATTTATTTCCCTTTAAGAGATGTTTCTTCTGTGTGTGTCCATAAGGGTGCAATTTTTAAATGTAAAATGGGTTTATATATGGCCACACAAAATTGCATAATGAGAAAACAAGAATTATTTACAGCAAATTGTTGACTGTAGTTAAAACACCTGGTTCTGCTTTACAGTTCTCTATAGTTTCTAAATATCTTAAAGTGAGTGAAAGTGTTTTACTTTTGAAAAAGAACTAAAAGTATGTTATGGTTTATTGAGATCTGATACTGTCTCATGTGAGCAATGAACCTAAGGAGTGGACACTGTGAACAAAATTGCATGCGAGTAAGCATTGCCATGGCTAGTGCTTGATTACTTGTAGTAGTCAAGGAAGAACTTGAATGGAATTATTAATTACGATTCATGTAATAATTTTAGCACCATTTTTGAAGCCACCCTTGTCATCCAAGTGACTCCCTAGACCTTTGCTAGCTTCACAATAACAAGAACATTTCACTATTGCTTGGTGGGGTTACAGGGAGTGAAATAGGCACTGACCACACGTCATAAACACACTGTATAATTGATTCCTGAATATTCAGAACTCATCCCTTGAAAAAGAGTATGAACTTTTGGAAAAGATAAACCTAGAATGTTGTAGGTAAGTATAGACATACATAAGTAAAAATTAGAAAAAAAAATTTCTAAAATTTTGTTAGTCTCAGTTATAAGTGAAAAAGTATAGAAGAGAGATTTGAACAAATACGTGATAATATTTTCTTTAAAAAGGATTGGTCTAACATCATTTTAAAATTATGTTATGAAGATGACTTCTTTCTTAAAACCTTATGAACCAACCTCTGTTAGCTTCAAACTTTTCTTCTACAGTTTCCTCACCTTTCTCAGCCTTCACAGAATGGAAGAGAGTTAGGGCCTTGAGTTATGTTTTGGCTTAAGGGAATGTTGTGGCTGATCTGATCTATCCAGACCACGAAAACTTTCACTGTGTCAGTAATAAAGCTGTTTCACTTTCTTATCATTTGTGTATTTACTGGAGTAGCAGCTTTAATTTCCTTCAATAACTTTTCCTTTACATTCACTACTTGTCTAACTGGCACAAGAGGCCTAGTTTTTGACTTGCCTCAGCTTTTGACATGCCTTCCTCGCTAAGCTTAATGTAAATGTTAATGCTTGATCTTCATAATTATTTTATCTTTATGATTTTTTGCTATGATTTTCTAGTTGCGAAAAAAATCATGTATTTCTCATTAGATTTTCACTGTTATATCAAACTTTTTAAAACTTTTGATAGTGAAAATTCCAAGCACACAAAATAGAATAGTATGGTTCTTTGAATCATAGACCTTTTTCTAGCATGAATGCATTCAATTAACAATGTGTGTATGTTATTTGCTCTTCCTAACTTATGATTCAGCAGTTTACATTTTGTACAATGTAATCAATGGCTTACATTTTCTACAGCGTTACTGTTTTTAAAATTTCCATAGCTTAAATATGAATATTGAAGCATCAACACTTTGGAAAACATAAATTAATTGCAAGGTAGACACAAGGGGAGCCATTTCTACCGAGGTGTTAAAGACACCTATTATACTACATCCTGGATATTAGACAGTTGGAAGAGTTCATAAATTAAAAAATAAGCTTTAGTAATTTGGAGTTTGTGTTTTAAATTATTTTATAAAAGACTCAGATAGAAATGAAAATGATGATTTTGAAAATGCTGCCATGAAGAAATAGAAGGCAGTCAGTGGGACTGCCTTTTGGATTGCTGTGAGACTCGCAGGTCATTGTTCAGACTGTTAAAGACCCGGTCCACGAATTCCAAACATTTTCGAAGGTTCTTCCTGTTCTTATCATTGTAACTGCTCTGCCGATGCATTTGCTGACTCTCCAGGCACCTGCTTGTTCACAGTGAGTCTATATGCTTCCTCCGGCATTATATTTAGAAGCTGAAGGAGAGAGACATCTTTAATTACCATCTTCTAATTTCCAAGAGGAGAGAACTAAGGTCCATTAGTCCATTAGATCATTAGCAACGTTTCCCTGGCCATGTTTGTGTTGCTCTTATAACCAGATCAGTCCCCATGGCTGCCAAGTCCTTGCCATCCCTTCACTGCCACTTCCATGGTTACTTGCCAGATGAGACTGACTTTACTTCACACCTGGATGATTGCATTTGCTTCCAAGCTCATGCTCATCTTGTTGTTTTAAGTCAATCCTGTGATCCAATTCAGTAAGTTCTTATGGGTTGAATAGATGTTGTAGGCAAGGCTGTGGTTTAGGTTCTGTATCAGTGACTGGTCAAGATTCCTCAAGGAGCTTTTCCAAATGTGGTGCAATTTTACATACCTAATCTCAGCAGAACCTTTCTACTGAATTGTGGAAAAAAATTCTGGTTTTTACTATGGTTACATGAGAATATGTCTAAAACGAATGTAAAGCTATTAAGTGTATATTGAGTCTATTATATACTAGCATGATGCTGGGAGCCAGAATATCCCAAAAATAGAGGTTTAAAACATAAGCTCTGCTCTGAACAAGTGTACATTCTCATTGTGGATAAAATATACTCATAAATGTGCAAGGAAGGATATATCCAAATACTCAAATGAGCAACATGAACAAAAGGGCAGAAAATCAATGGAGAGAAAACTAGTTAAGAGATTAAAGATGAAGTAAAGCTTGAGATGAACTATTAAGGTTAAATATGAATTGTGAGGAGAGAAAAGATCATTCCAGAGAATAATATTGGGAATAAACATTGCAATATATATGGAAGAAAAATTTCTACTTATTTGAATTTGCCTGTAAAACTATGCTTATCTTTGCTCATTTTGCATTTCCCTGTCAATTTTGATAGCCTTTTCTTTTCTGAAATGACACGAAAACAGTTTTAATTCACTCAGTTCCATTAACCTTGAGTTGGTAATATCAAATTGGTATTATTGTATAGAGATATATGTCATATATTATTTTAAAGTATTTTCCACATATTTTTTCATGTATTGTTTATAAAAACAATTTAAAAGACTATACTGAAAAGTCCTAATATTCTTTTTTTTTTAAACTCACAAAACCCGAAAATTTTTGCTATCATTTACCTACTGTTTTAGCAAGATCTTATTACTGGTTGAGCATCTGAAATAGAAAATCTGGAATCTAAAACACTTCTGGTCCCAAGCATTTCAGATAAGGGATACTCAACCTGTAGAAGTATTTGTGGTTATTCCCCACATCTGAGCTTTACTTATAGTGAGTGAAGATTTTAAGTGGAAGTCACTATCACAAGTTTTGGAATAATCAGCTAGTTTTAAACTAATACAGATATAACACGATATACAAATTAAACTTAATTTTTATAAGCCAGCTGCGGTGGCTCACACTTGTAATCCCAGTACTTTGGGATCCTCCCAAGGTAGGAGGATTGCTTGAAGCCAGGATTTCAAGGCCAGCCTGGTAACATAGTTGTCACCCTGTGATTGCCTGGGGCCAGCATTGCAGATGGTAAAGAATTTACCAAGACAATCGTAGGTAAAGAAAGGCAGATTTATTAGAGAATGAGCAAAGATATGTTGGAAGGGTGTGACAGGCAGCACAGCAGAGAAGGGGATGTCTGCAAAGAGGCAGGGGCTGGAGGGATGTTTTATAGGGTCATGCTGGAGGGGGCTATGTGCAGAATGAGGTCATGCTGCTGGGGCTACCTGTGAAGTGAGAGGTAGTTGTGCCAGCGGGTTGTTTGTGATAAGTTGTCTCTCAGAGCAATTGTTCTCCCCCACCTGGAACCCCTACCTCATTTTTGCTTACTTACATTATCAGGACTCCACAATAGTGAGACCCATCTCTACAAAAAATTTTAAAACAAATTGGCTGATCTTGGTGGTCCATGCCTGTAGTCCCAGCTTCTCAGGAGGCTGAGGCACGAGGATCTCTTGAGGCCAGGAACTGGAGGCTGTAGTGGGCTATGATTGCATCACTGCCCTCCACCCTGGGTGATAGAGCAAGACTTTGTCTCAAAAAAAAAAAAAGTGTGTAATTATGTCTTATTCACTAAATAGTGCATGATCTTATGTGCATGAGAAACTCATAGTTTCTAGAACCTGTTTTCTGGTTCTCAGACTTTTCTGACAATGGCCTTTAAAGCCTGCTGAATTTTAAAAGGTGAAAGGAACTTTTCTTCAAAGGGGAATCTAAATCTTTGGTTAAGGAGTTTTAAGTAGTTTTGCTCATTAACATGGAGTGCTTCTATATACTGTTTCACTTAAATTTAGTTCTTTAAATGAAATAAAACTTGTATATACTGAGTAAAATAGCAGATATCTTATCTCTCGGTTGCTTGTGGGAAAAATCATTCCAAAGGGATGTATGAAAGGCTCCTTGTTTGTTCTGATTAAATGATATGGAGCAAATCTGCGATCTCTTTTGACATTGAACATGTTCCATAATTAAAAGCAATGTAAGCTAGACTGACATTGTAAATATTGTTTTTAAGATTTAAAAATTGAAGTTTCACATTTTTTAGTTCTCATATATGCATTTGAGTTTCTAGGTGGATGTCTTAGGCTAAAGTAAATAAAGTCAACTTTGTTAAGCTACTTGTGACTGCAGCTGCCAAATGCCCCCATTATGAGAAAAAAAATACTGTGGTTATTTTACAGGAAATACTGTACAGGACTGTGGTCTGTGCAAAGGAAGTGCCCACACAGAAACTAAAATACTGTTAGTACTTAATGGTGTACTTTATGCTTGAAGTAAAAATGAGTTGGTATAAATAAACTTTAATCTCCTAGGTTTTATGTTCAGAATTAATTCTAATACACTTTAATGTAGAGCATGGTAATGACTTTGTATTTTTACATGGCTTGCTGACAGAATGCAGCTAGGAGAGGAGCCCACATAAAAGCTATATAAATCAGGGGAACAGATGGTTGAGGGACAATTGTTTGACTTTAACAATATCATACAGTGAGTCAACCCAGATTTAAAATACAATAGTGCTGTAGTAAGCAGCACTATCATCCCCTTTCATTTGCTCTGGAGACTAGCAGTAGATTTGTAATTGTCCTATTGTAATTCTTTTCACAAATCATTTAGTTTATTTTACTAACATCTCTCTGTGTAATTGGCTCATCATGGCAAATGGACCAATTTACATGGCTGGAAAGGAAAGCAGAGTGTGCATGCTGCTTTCCAGCATCCGTAATTTGTTATGTGAGAAGCTTCTTGTTAGAATTCTTGACATTTACTCACCTGCATAAAATAGGGCTGAAAGGGGCTTTGCAAATGATGTAGTTCAGACTTCTCATTTTGCAGGTGTTATCACAGAGGTAAGTTGATGTTTTCAAGATTGATCATTTGTAGACAGGATAATGGCCTCCCTAAGATGTCCATATCTTAACCTTGAAACTGATGAATATGTTACCTTACATGGCAAAAAGGACTTTGCAGATGTGATAAAGACAAGGACCTTGAGATGAGTAGATTATCTTGGATTATCTGGGTGGGCCCAATGTAATCATATGGGTCCTGAAAAGCAGAGAACCTTTTCCAACTGGCTTGGAGAGAGATGCTCCACTGCAGGCTTTGAAGATGGAGGAAGAGGGCTATGTGTCCATAATATCTGGATTGTGGGCAGTCTCTGGAAGGTGGAACAGGCATAGAAAAGAATTATCCGATAGAATCTCCAGAAAGGGATACTACCCTGCCAACCCCGTGATTTTTGTAAGTCAAAAATTCAACATGCGTCTCACTGGCTTAAGTGAGATGCATGTTGATTTTCTGACTTACAGAAATATAAGATAATAAGAGTTGATTTAGGCCATACATTTGTGGTAATTTGTTACAGCAGTATAGAAAACTAATATACTCACTATGTTAGAGGATAAGCCAGGCCTAGACCTCAGGCCTTCTGCCTTACAGCCTAGGTCTTTTTTCAGGTGGTAAGTGCCCTTTATATCACTGAATCTTGTACGCTTGAAAGGCAGAAACAACTTGACTCTTCTTCCTCGATATTTAACGCAAGAACAGGTAAAGAGAGCCACCCAGAGAGAGCTTTTTAACTGATGTCTGAGCACCAGATGTTCCAGAGAGGAGCTAAATGCCAGAATGAATCTCGCTGTGTACTATTTAGCCCTTCAAATTCACTCACCAAAACTGTCTTGATTCAGGAGTATCCAGAATGCTGCCCAGAATGCTTAGCAATTTTGTGACTGCATGTCTTGGGGTGTGTTGAGTCTGGTCTTGACTCCCATGTCCCAGATCATCTGTGGGTGGATGTATAGTTGATAGGCCCTTCCAAGTAATTCTCAAGCCTCTAGTTGGTCTAGAATAGGAATTGACCATTAACTAGTATGAAATAAATTCAAGATACTAATAAAATATTTTAGCTCCCATTTGAATTTTGATTCTGACTTCTCATAAGGTCCTTTATTAAAAATTTTAATCACTCACAGAAATAAGACTGTTTCAAATAAAATCAATGGTTAAAAAACCTCAAATTGGATAAAAGCAAGGACATAATTCCTCAGAAAACCTAATCCAGGAACTTCAGATATGTTTGATGTCATCTGCCAATGCTATTTGTTGGTAATAGCTTTCTGGAACATTATTGGAAAGGATTCTGTGGCCAGGTCCTTGATCGAGTTAAATGAGTTCTTTGATCATGTCTGACTTGGGCAGCTGGGGCAATGCTAATCTACTTCCTAGAGTTTTCTCTCCTTGTATCAATCAATTGTTAATCACTGTTTCTTGGGTGTGATATTTCAGCCAGTTATAAATCCATCTAAATGAACTATATCCCACTCACATTTCTTCATAGGATCTAGGTGGGAGAGATACACCCTGATGAGTGTGATGAGAGTTTGAAAATGTGAAGTACAAGGAACAGTGACCTCATTTGTAAGTTGTTCTTTAAACTCACACCTGGAGAATAAGGAAGGAAGAGGGATTTGAGAGAAGGGAAGAACTAAGTGTCAAATAGTGCTGTCCTTTCCATTCCTTAATAGTAGTAAGTAGTTCTTTCATGTTACCTCTGTCTGGCTTAGTCACAGAAAATTTTATTTAGCTCAGAGGACCCTTGACTGAATGTCGTCATAGGTAGTTCAGGGTAGAAAACAGGTAGATAAAACTAAAAATACATGCATATTAAAATTTTGTGGAGAAGACAAAAAATACATGAAAGAAAGTATGAGAAACTATTACAGCATACTAACTTTTAGGTCATTCATATTTTTTTACTAAATATTTTTATAAGATTTATACAGCAAATGGTAGATACTATTAAAATATTATCTTTTTAATATAAAAAACTGAAACAAGTGATAATATTTAGTGCTTAGATATTAAGCTGTTTATCTGCTTTAAAAAATATAGACTCGGGCTGACATTACACCCTTTATTTTCCGTTTGTTTCTTTCTTTACATTAATACTGGTTTCAGATTCTATAAGCAAAATCAATTTGATTACTGCAGACAGGAGTTCGAAGACTTCACCTTCGTAGCCTCTGTAACAGGGCCTTTTGTGAGAGCACTTTGGCTGTAATGATCAGTTGACCTGTCTGTTGAGTATCATGAAGCTTAAGTGCCTGGAATAGCCCTTGACTTTCGCTAACATTGGAAGTTCATCAGTTTGCCAACTGTCTGCCAGTGAACTGCAGTACACTAGAGCAGTAATGAAAGTATGACCTCATACCTTTTGTGGCAATTTTCATTTTTTCCAAAAACGACACTTACTTTATTGCATTGAGCTCTACTGTGAACTATAATGCAGGAGGGCTCATATTCTTATTATCGCTGTTTACAAATATAAAGCTCAACTTGGAAGGGTTGATGACTCCCTAAGGCTAGTAAGCAATGAGGTAAAGAGAAACAAATATTCAACCTTAGAAATGTGAGTTATAACTTACAGTTAAATAAGAATTTTCAATCTTACAGGTTTCAAATCTGCATAGCAAGTAGCGTAATGGAGCAAATGATTCTTTTCCTCCAGCTTGCCTATTATAACCTAATCGTGTAGATAGGGATTTACAATATAGTAAATGTGTAGACAAATTTACAACATTGCAAGGCAGTATTTGGTAAGTAGTAGAAGTTAGTAGATTTAGCTCCTTAAGTTAAATCTACTAACCTTAAGACAATAACAAGATAAACTTGTACAAGTGGAGACCTTGTTATTGTTGATTCCGCATTTCATTAAGAGTACATATGCCTCTCTGTGCATTCTCATCTATTACTGTTGCTGAAGGGGATAAAGGATTATAAGAAATGATTCCTTTCCTCCAGGTTGCCTATAACCTAACTGTATAGATAGGGATTTACAATATAGTAAATGTGTAGATAAATTTACAACATTGTAAGGCAGTATTTGGTAAGTGTCTTGACAGTGTCAGACATAATAACCTGATTTGTCCAGATAAATCCAAAAGTGAGGGTCAGCTTTGGCCTGAATAAGCAGGAAGAAATTCAAGTAGGAAGTGACTTTTAAGCTGAGCTTTGAAAGGTGACAGATTTGGATAGGCAGATATTTTGTGAGAGGCTATTTTATTTTGATGGAAAGCAGAGGATTTTATTTGGGCAGAGGCATTGGGGTAGGAAAGGTCAAAGCATTTGCAGGTAGGGGAGTAGACCAGTTTGACAGAATATTTATGTAGGAGAGTGGTTATAATCATTACTTCATATGGGAATGAGAAAGTAGTAGATTTTTCTCTATCATGAGCCTGCCTACATTTCCTTCCTCTTAAATTTGTTAAGGAGGAATAGGCTTAGGCAGTTTTTTTTTTTCCCGCGAGGGTACTATCTTTGACATTAATCCAAATATTTGGTAAAGGGTAATCATATAGATTCTCATTTTTGTTTTTATCTTTTTTCTCTTTGTTTCTGCATTCCATGATTTTATTAAACAAATTAAAACCTGTAGAAAAGGTACAAGCATATGCAATAAAGACCCATAAGTGTGATGATACTTGCTACACAGTCATTTTAGACCAACCTATCTGTATGTGGCAGCCCCTGTTTGCATATAATCTAGATCAAGGGTCAGCAGACATTCTCTGTAAAAGATAAGAAAGGAACTATTTTAGGCTTGTTCGGCCATATAGTATCTGCTGCAGCTACTCACATTTATTATTGTGGTAGAAAGGCAGCCATAGACAGCACATAAGTGAGTGAGCATGGCTTTGTTCCAATAAAACTTTATTTACAAAATGTTAAGACAGACTTGGACCACCTGTGGTAGTTTACTGACTTTTAGTTTAGAGACATATGGGATCACCTCATTTCGAATAATGGGACCCTAGATTTCTTACCTTCTTCAGCATCTGTGGGTTCTTTTACTCTTAAAATAGTGTTCCTGTTCTTCTATTTCTTTTGGTTAATATTGCTTTTTATATTTTTATATTATTTCTAATTCTTAATAAGATTCTGCATGGGGCCTAGTAAATCATTGTGACTAACCACTTAGTTATTACTAGTGATTATAAGGAATACATTATATATGTTTATAGTTGAGCCATACTACCTTTTACAATTAATATATTGAAATATTTTAACTGAATTTAACATTCAGTTAAATGTTTTATTTAACTGAAAATGCTGCATACATAAAATGTCCTCTTGCTGGAAGTACAGATATAGATAGTGTATATGTTCCAGTATTTTTAATTAAGGAACACCTGTAGGTTGTTTTATTTGTTTGGGGTTCTGCTTACTTCCTCAGAAGGCTGGCCGTATTTATCTGTGGATCCTTTTCAGTACTGAGCAGAATACCTTGTACATTGGTTCTGAAAATGTACATGTCATTATCCATTTGAACCTCCGTATGGGGCCATCCTCATCAATATACACATGTGTTAATAGTTTCCTTCACTGTAAAACAAACAAACAAACAAAGAAGTTCCTTGCTTCCATATTCCCCCGTTAGTTATCACCTTATTCTCATTTCCCTTTCTCAGAAAAATTTCTTGAAATAGCGACGCTATGTGCATCTTCACTTTATCCCATCTCTTTTGTTTTTCAGTCTATTCCAATCTGGCATTTGTTCCCATCACCACATTACAATTACTTTTATCAACATCACTCATGAAATTTATATTCTGTATACTGGGACACTTCTCTACCCTCATCTTAATCAGCTGTTTGCCAGTTTTCTACTCAGTTCACGTCTCCCTGCTTCTTGAAACCTTCTTCCTCTGCTGCTTTGCAATGACACTGGTTGAGTCTGTTTGGACTGCCGTAACAAAATACCACAGTTAGAGTGACTTAAACAACAAGAATTTATTTTCTCACAGCTCTGGAGGCTAGAAGTCCATGATCAAGGTGTTTGCAAATTGGTTTCTTGGAGAGCTGTCTTCCTGGCTTGCAGATAGCCACCTCCTCACTATGTCTTCTCATGACCTTTCCTCAATGGATGGGCATTAACAGGGAGCAAGCAAGCTCTCTGGCTTCTCTTCTTATAAGGACACTAATCCTGTCAGATCAGGGCCTCACCCTTATGACCTCATTTAACCTTCATTACTTTCTTAGAAAGCCCATCTCCAAATACAATGGTACTGGGGTTTAGGGCTTCAACATAGGAGTTTTGTGGAGATACAAACATTTGGTCCATTAACAGACAGTCTCGTGACTTTCCTACCACCTCACTGGCCATTCTTCTGTCTCTTTGCTCAGCTTTTCTTCCACTGCTTGATCTCTAAAATTTGGAGTTCCACAGGCTCTATTCTAATCTTTATTATTTTTTTTTAATGCTACCCAGCCCACGTGGGGAGTCTCAGCCATTCCCATTGCTTCACTTATCATTTCTCTACAGGTTCTCCCAGATTTTAATCTGCACAGTAGGTCTCTTCCCTAAGTTTCAGACTCACAGTCAATGCACATCTCATCTGAACTCAAATTTAGTAAGTCTAAAATGGAACACTTAATTTCAAAATTCATATATGTGCTTCTTCCCCATCCTTCATTTTAGAAAATGGAAGAATCATTATCTGCAGTTTCTAAAATCATAAACCTGGACACTATTCTTGATTCCCTCATGTCTGTCATCACTGTTGTAAGCAAGTTTTTCTGATTCTGTCTTCAAGAGTCATCTTGAATTTTTCCATCTTCCTCCTTCTCCTTTGGACTTTGAAGCGCTTTCTCATCGATTGGATAGTGGGTAAAATATTACTTTTCTTGTCTCTTCAGCCTAAGTAGCAACTCTGAATATCCATTCCCACAGTCTTCCCTATTATATCAACTTGTTTTATTGTCTTCCTAGTATTCTCTCATCCAAAATTTTATGGCCTGTTTATTTGCTTACTTGTCTTTTGTCTCTTCCTTTGAGAATGTAATATTAACAGAACAAGGAAGGGTCTTGTTAACTTCACTCTTCACATGTCCATATTACCTAGAAAAGTGCCTGGTATGTAGTAGGTGTTCAAGACATAATTATTATAGAAGGAATGAACCTCTTTTGCTACTATTTTAGTTCATGCCAACATCATCTTTTGCCTGGACTATTACAGTAACCAAGTACCCCCATTTTTTCGAAGAGATCATTTAATTATTTTTTTATTATTTATTTATTTATTTATTTATTTATTTATTTTTTTTGAGATGGAGTCTCGCTGTCTCCCAGGCTGGAGTGCAGTGGCACGATCTCGGCTTACTGCAAGCTCTACCTCCCAGGTTCATGCCATTCTCCTGCCTCAGCCTCCCAAGTAGCTGGGACTACAGGCACCCGCCACCTTGCCCGGCTGTTTTTTTTGTATTTTTAATAGAGACGGGATTTCACCATGTTAGCCAGGATGGTCTCGATCTCCTGACCTCGTGATCCGCCTGCCTTGGCCTCCCAAAGTGCTGAGATTACAGGCATGAGCCACCGCGCCCAGCCCATTTAATTATTTTTTTTTCCCCTCTTTTTTCTCATTCCTCCAGTTCCTTACTTCCCACTTATCCCTTTGGAAATGCAAATATAACCCTTTGCCTTCCCTTCACCATACATTCCCTACAGGGCAAGTTCTTCTAACCATGGGCTCCAAGATTGATCTCTCTTCCAGAGTTAACAATTTACAAACCAAAGCATGCCCACTGTGGAACTCTCACCCACCAGGAGTTTTGCCTCAAGAGATAACAGTCAAAAAGTATGCCTGCTGCTCTCTCCCACCTGGTGAGTTTTTGCCCTAGTCCTGCCCACAAAGGCACCAGCAGTCACCAGCTCAACCAGTCAGTAGATAAGGCACTGAAGCTGGCATAAGGACCCCAATCCCCGGCTTCCTCCCCTGCATGCAATTTCTCTTTAAAAGTGCCCACTTTCTGCTCCAAAAGCAAAGCAGTACACTTAAAGGCAGGCCACCTGTACTTCTTCCCCTAAGATAGCTTTGGAATAAATCACTTTCTTTATACGAGACCTTGCTCTTGTTAATTGGACTCTGCAAGCGGAGAGTGAGGAAACCTGCATTTCGGTTACATTACTAACTAATCAGGTCTCCCTTTCCTGCTCTTGCCTTCCTGCAATCTATTTCCATAGAGCAGCCAAAGTATCCTCTAACAGTTCATCTCACACTGTGCACTCCCCAGCTGGAAGCTTGTCTTTGGCTTTTCCATGCATGTCCTGGCCCCTCCAACCTCCTCTGTCTTCCATTTTACTGTGGACGTGTCAGCTGTCTACCAGCTCCTAGAACACGCCACACACTTTCTCCCACCTCTGAGTCATTTACTTTGCTGGTGCTCTTCCTGGATTGTTCACGATCTTCACATGACTGGCCCCTTCTCTTTGAAGGTTTTATGTCACAGTGTAAATGACACGTTTTTAGAGAGGCTTCTTCTATCTGAGTTGGGTTTTCCCTCCTTCATTGGCCCAGCACCAAGAAGAATTTCTTCACAGAACTATTGTCTATAATTGTTTTATATCTTTGTTTACTGTCTTTCCCATTTTTGGCTTCATGAGGAAGGACATTCTTACTCTTTTTTGTATTTTAATGTCTATCATAGTTCTGAACAATCAACACTTATTTGCCAAATCAGTGAATACACATGCTATAACATTTATGTTTTTCCTTAGGTGTCTGAAAATAGTTTGTCTTCAGGATTTTGTCTTCTAAGGATATGATAACAACAATGATTATTTAAGAAACTTGAATAACAAGATTAGTAATGTTTCTATAATATCTTCTTCTATAGTAAATCTAAAGTGAGGAGCTTGCTTTTTTATATTGTATTTTTCCAGAGACAGCTTCATGAGTCAGAGGTACCTCTCAATATATGACTCACATAAGACAGTGGATTTATACTGTCAGCTGCCTTTTTATACCTTCAGTCATCTAGGTCATTAGGCAGTTTGCATTCTTTTCTCTTGGTTATATAGGTATTAAAGAAACTTGCCCCTTATTATACATTAAAAAAGTGGTAAGCTCCTATTTTTTCTTCTAAGTATATGGATTGGAAAGACTTTTAAAAATGGGTGATCAGAGAAATGAAGGTCAGTTTTTTCCTAATTTTTAATTTTTATGAGTACATAGTTGGTACATATGTTTATGGGGTACATGAGATATTTTGATACAGACCTATAAGGCTTAATAATTACATCAGGGTAAATGGGGCATCTGTCGACTCAAATATTTATCATTTCTTTGTGTTATAAATATTCCAATTATACTTTTAGTTATTTTTTAAATGTACGATGAATTTTTAGTAACTGTAATCACTCTGTTGTGTTATCAAATACTAGATCTTATTCATTCTATCTAACTCTATTTTTGTAACTATTATCCATCCCTACACCCTACCCCCCCACTCCCCTTCCTAGCCTCAGTAACCATTCTTCTACTCTCCATCTCCATGAGTTAAATAGTTTTAATTTTTAGCTCCCACAGATGAGTGAGAACATGTGAAGTTTGTCTTTCTGTGCCTGGCTCATTTCACTTAGCATAATGTCCTCCAGTTCTATCCATGTTGCTGCAAATGACAGGAATTCATCATTTTTTTATGGACGAATAGTACTCTATTGTGTATATGTAGCACATTTTTCTTTATTCATTCATCTGCTGATGGACATTTAGGTTGCTTCCAAATCATAGATACTGTGAACAGTACTGTGATAAACAGGGGAGTGCAGATATCTCTTTGATATACTGATTTCCTTTCTTTGGGGTATATACCTAGCAGTGGGATTGCTGGATCATATGGTAGTTATATTTTTAGTTTTTTGAGGAATCCTCTTACTATTCTCCATATTGGCTATACTAATTTACATTCCCACCAACAGTGTATGAGGGTTCACTTTTCTCCATATCCTCGTCAGCATTTGTTACTGCCTGTCTTTGGATAAAAGCCATTTTAACGGGGTAGAGATGATATTTCACTGTAGTTTTGATTTTTATTTCTCTAATGATCAGTGATGTTGAGCAGAGGTAAGTTATTTTTGTATGGCAACCCCAGACTTCAGAAAAGAAAAAAGCAGTTGTTATTTATAACAACTGTTATCATAGATTTTAATCCCACAATCATCATACTTCCTTGATGATAAAACAGTTTGAAGGAAGAGTATTTGGCGGTGTATATATTTTTAAAGGCATTATGAAATCCTACATAAATTCCCCCAATCGAATTTTTCCATTTAAAGGTTTAAAAAGTGATATATTTTCACTTTTTTGAAAAAGTGCAATTTGAGGCATTCCTGTTCTCATCACCAAGATTTAAGAGATATTAACACTTTGTCATATTTGTGTCATATCATTTTTGAATTTTTTTTTTTTTTTGAGACAGAGTCTTGTTATGTTGTGCAGGCTGGTCTTGAACTCCTGGCCCAAGGCAATTCTCCCACCTTCAGCCTCCCAAGTAGCTGGGATTATAGCCTCAAGCCACTGTGCCTGTCTCTAATATCATTTTCTCTTGTTTTTGAAATAAGAATTAATATATTACATATGTAACTGAAGCTTTCATTTGTTATTATATGAGGTTTTGACCCATGATTGTTTCTTCTCTCCCTCCCCAGAGCTGAATATATATGTATTTAATCTGCATGATAGCAAGGGAAGAAAGAATTTCTGTTTCTAAGAGGTTGATATTGATATAATTGGAAGGGGAAAAGATAGAATGTTGTTAAAGACAAAATACTTGGTTTCCTGGAGGCAATCTATTTTGCTGTTTCATCTGGAGCCCTGTATGAAAGGTTCAGAAAAGTTCAAAGCTTATATTTTTTTTCCAAACTTGAGTTAAAAACAGGGATCACTAATATTTAAGATAACAAACAAAAAACTCTACAAATTGATACTTTTTTCTTTTCAGCAATTCTTGTGTCGTAAAACTGAATTGAATAAAACTATATATTTTGACTATGAGAATCAAGATTCTCAAGAAAGTCAGGCAATTGAGTGAGGCCTATAATGTTATGTTTTTAAATTTGCTAAATGATGGTAGCATGTCGAGAGGGGAGGGCTGGACCTGGTGGGGGGACTGAATAACCAGTTATCTAGAGACCTGGCATCATGAGAATGTTGTCAGCTTTCATCTACATGATATTGGTTTATATTTTTACTACTTATGTATATAGTCTTAAACATTATTTATACCATTTGTGTGTTTTACATTCATGTGTTATTATTTACATAAATGACAAAATCCAGCTTGTTTTTTAAAAAATGTTTTTGAGAGTAATCTCTTTTGGAGATGAATCCCTGGGGGTATGTATACCTTTAGTTTATTTTAACTGTTCTAAATAATACCATCATATTATAGTTTGTTTTTCTAATATGTGTTCCTCCCTCCTTTCCCTTCCTTTCCCCTCCTTTCCTGTTTCCTTTCCCCTCCTTCCCTCTTTTCCGGAATTTGCGTCTGTGTGATTCCTAGGTAATCATTACTGAAAGCATGATCAGCATTTTATGGTTTAAAAAAAAAAAACTGCACTGGGTGCATTTCCACTAAACGTATAGAGAATATATCTGAGGGAACACAGTAGAGCTCCATGTGGATACTGATTGATTAGTATTGGGCCCGTGGAGACTGCTAGATTAAACAGGAGGCAGATAGTCTTTCCTCTGGGAGTCTTGCCTCTGGGTGTGTCCATCATCTGCTGAATTAGCACTGCATTCAGATCAGCTCTAGGGGAAGGTTGCTTCTATCACATGGTGCAGATGAACCTGCCCTGCTCTCCTCACTCTGGAAACTTGGCTGAGGTGGGAATCTGATCAGAGCAGTTGGCCCAGTTAGGAGTCCCCATGTGCCATTTAATGACAAGTGTGCTCCCTGGTGTTTGTTCCGAATTAATTTCCTCTGTGTGAATGGTGTCTACAGCTTGTGGAGGTGGCCTTTGGGGAATTAGTCTCCTAAGTCTCTGGTTGCCAGATGAAATTGTGAAGTTGAGTCCAGAGAGCAAACTCAGAGCAGTAAATTGCATTTTTTTCCGCTCTGAAAACCACTTGTCTACTATGAGTTTCTTGCCTTTTTTTTCTCTTCTGTCTTGAGTTTTTGGCCTTGGCACAACTATAGGTTTATGCTAGCTCTGACTGATGTGGTCCTGTCTGGTTGTCAGCATCCTCTCATGCTCTGCCAGCCACATGGGAAGGGCTCTCCTCCTTGCCTCCTCACCCCCCTGCCTATGGATCCCTCTTCTCTTGCAGTCTGGGCCATTGCTGGGCATCACTTAACTTGTTTGGTTTCCCTGATTCCCTTTGTCTCCCTTCCATTTGAGTAATTTCAAAGCTTAGCTCTGATTCTGCCTCTCCTCTGCTCCTCATGAGCTTTTGATGGCTTTTCATGCTACAGAGAAAATGGCTCATTCTCCTTAACATAGCCTGGAAGATTTTTTATAATCTGACTCTAACCAGCTTGTCCAGTTTCATGTCTTATCTTTTCCAACACTCAGCCTTGCTGTGGTTGATGATTCCCTGTTACCCAGACCTGCTGTGCACATCTCATGCATCTAGTTTTGCCTCTACCTGTACACCCAATGCCCTTCTCTGATAATGGAAATCCTCCTCTCTCTCTGCAAGCCCAGCATGCATGTTCCCTTCTCTGCGAGGTTCCCCAGTACCATCTTTAGGAGTTAACCACCAGCCCAGTTGTGTTCCTTTAGATCTTTAGAATTTTTTGTCTGCCTACTATCATAATGCGTCAGATATGTGTCTTTCCCCAGTAAGTAGTGAACTCCTTCAGAGCAAGAGCCATGAATATGTCCTTGGAAAGATACCTTAGCACCTCTAGAGTCTCTTGCATCTTTTAGGATTGAATAGCTGTTATTGGAGGAACACTGTTGTGGGTGCTTGGTGTGAGGGTGTGTGGTATACTGAACTGGAGTCCAGAGACCCAGGCTAAAGCCAAGACTCTGGCCGTGTTCAATGATGCTTTTGCCTACCAATGATCAGTAAAGGCTTATTAATATATAAAATGATGAAATGGTGTTCTGTGTGATTTGGGGACCATCCCTGAACCTCTCTGTGTTTTAGTTAGCTCATTTGGAAAATAAGAGGGTTTGAATAAACATTATTATAGATTTCTTTTAGCTCTAAAAGGTTCATATATTCCTTCTTTTGTGTACATTTTATATTTTCCAAATTATCTACAACGAGAATTTATTACTTTAAAAATTTGAGCTGTCAGGTTAAAGTTCTTATAACTCCTAGCAAAAATAAATGAGTCAAGAGACAAGCATTAAGCCTAAATACCAATGAACCCCTATAGGCAGGCCTATTTAGCATTGGAGTGAAATATATTAGTGACTGATTTTACAGTGCTGGGAGTTTTGCAGAATCAAGGTCAGAAATGAGATTGTGTAAGCCAGGACTGCTCAAGACTGTATAAGACTGCATGTGGCCAGTATTAATCAATTAAGAAATCAATAGTGATTTAATTGATCACCACTATATGCTTGGCACTAGATGAGAGCTTTTTCATTATCTATCTCATTTAATCTTAAAAATCACTTTGTGGAATTGGCATGGTTATTTTATCACTTTATATGAGAAAATAGGCTCAGAGAAGTGAAGTAACTTGTCCAAAGTCATCCAAGTACTCAATTTTCAAGTCATTATTCAAGTATAGATTCATCAACTTTTAAAGCTCATGATCTTTTGTTTATACATCACATTGCCTTTCTGTTAGGCCAGAGGTCCTCAACCCCTGGGCCACAGACAAGTACCAGGTCCATGGCCTGTTAGGAACCAGGCCACACAGCAGGAGGTGAGGGGTGGATGAGCGAGCATTACTGCCTGAGCTCTGCCCCCTCTCAGATCAGTGGCAGCACTGGATTCCCATAGAAGTGCAAAGTGTATTGCCAACTGCGCATACAAGGGATGTAGGTTGTGTACTCCTTACGAGAACCTAATGCCTGATGATCTGACGTAGAACAGTTTCATCCTGAAACCATCCCCCCATGCCCCCTCCACACCCCGCCACGGGTCTGGAAAACTTGTCTTCCACAAAACTGGTCCCTGGTACCAAAAAGGTTGGAGACTGTTGTGTTAGGCAAAAAAATTTGTGCATATATGTGGCTAAAGAAGATAATGGGAGTTGGGAGATATTGCTACTAGGTACCTCATATTTTAAACAAATAGTGCCGTAATTATTGATAGTGCTTGAATTTCATTCCAAATATCCTATCTTCTTTAAAGAAGCAGTTTACTACTGTTTTATAAGCCATTCTCATTAGCATCTCTATCAATAAGGATTCTTATTTGTAAGCCACAGAAACAGACACTGGATGATTTAAATTGGAAAGGAATAATTTAGAGCATATTGAGCAATTTACAGAATCTCTGCAAGGGCCTTAGAACCAGGCAGCCTGGAACAGTGCGTAAAATCACATCATTGAATTTGGTGATGAGAGTTGGCCAGGGGCACTGTCCGTGTCACTTGGCAATTATCCTGTACTTCAGCCTCCACTCTGGAACTCTGATTTAGCTGCTGCTGCCAGTTGCTGTGACAATGTGTCTACATCCCTTTCCCCTCACTAACTCCCAAGTTAGTCTGGGGCTGGTATGCCTGATTGACAGAAAGCAGGTCTTGAGTCAAGGTCATAGCTACAATGGAGGCTAGAATGTAAATGTCGGATATTTTTATTTTTAGAGTGGGATGTGGGATTTTCTTCCTAAGAGAGACACTATTCATGCATGGGAAGGTGATTCAGATACACAGCAGCCGAAGTGAACGACAGATACTGCAGCATCTATGTATAGATTGTAATTCATTTCAATAACATGAGTTTTCTCATTTTAAAAATAAGAAAACTGATATGGAATTTTCCATTCCCTTGGGCTAGGAACTTTTGGGGGCTCTCTCATACATTTTCTGGAATCAATTGTCACCAAGTTCTATTGATGCTTATAAATCAGGCTCAGGTATACCACTTCCTCTCTATTACTGAAGATATAAACCCAATTTGAGTTTTCAAGATGTTGAAATTGGAGTTTCTCAATAATCTCTCTTTCCTTGTTCTCTCTGAATTTCTTCTCTTGGATCTGTCCTGCAAATTGCTGCTAGAATATTCTTCCATAAGCACTGTTTTCATCATACCTCTGCATTGCTCAAAATTATTATGGTTTAGGGGAAATACTGTAGGCCACTAATCTTGCAAAAATTTTATGGCTAAGACATCAGAAGCACAGGCAACAAATCAAAACTAGAAAAATGGGATTATATTCAACCTAAAAGCTTCCAAACAGCAAAGAAAACAAAGTGAAGAGACAGCTTGTTGAA
This sequence comes from Homo sapiens, assembly GCF_000001405.40. Lineage (NCBI taxonomy): Eukaryota > Metazoa > Chordata > Mammalia > Primates > Hominidae > Homo > Homo sapiens. The sequence continues at coordinate 107,814,573 of NC_000001.11, read as the reverse complement.
TGGGAGAAAATATTTGCAAAATATATATTCATTCTACAAGGGACTAATATCCAGAATATACTGGGAACTCAACAGTAAGTAATCTCATTAAAAAGTATGTAAAAACATGAATAAACATTTCTCAAAGGAAGACACAAATGGCCAACAGGAACATGAAAAAATACTCAACATCACTAATCATCGGGAAATGCAAATCAAAACCACAATGATACATCATCTAATCCCATTTAGAGTGGCTATTACTAAAAAGACAAAAACTAATGGGTGCTGGCGAGAATGTGGAGAACAGGAACTCTTATACACTGTTGGTGGTAATGTAAATTAGTATAGCCATTATGGAGAACAGTATGAAGATTTCCCCAAAAATAGAACTATTGTGTGATCCAGCAGTTTTCGCTACTGACTGGGTATTTATTCAAAGGAAAGAAAAAAAGTATATCAAAGGAATACCTGCACCCCCATGTGTATTGCAGCACTATTCACAATTGCCAAGATATGGAATCAACCTAAATGTTTACCTGTCAACAGATAAATGGGTAAAGAAAACATGGTGTGTATACACACACACACACACACACACACACACACACACACACACACACACACTGGAGTACTATTTAGCCATACAAAAGAATAAAATCCTGTCATTTACAACAACATGGTTGGTTCTGGAGATCATTATGTTAAGTGCAATAACTCAGGCACAGAAAGACAAATATCACATGTTCTCCCTATTATGTGGGAACCAAAAAGTTGATCTAATGGAGGTAGAGGGTAGAATGATAGTTACCAGATGCTGGAAATGGTGTATAGGGGGTGGGGGTTGAAGAGAGGTTGGTTAATGGGCACAAGCATACAGTTAGATAGAAGGAGTAAGTTCTAATGTTCAATAGCAAAGTAGAGTGAGTATAGTTAATAATGCATTACATTTTTCAAAATAGCTAGAAGAGAGGACTTGAAATGTTCCAACACATAGAAATTATAAATGTTTGAGGTGGTGGTTATTATAAATACCATGGTTTGATCATTATCCATTCTATGGTGGTAACAAAATATCACATACATAAAAATGTAAAAATACTATGTATCAATAAAACATTTAAAAATTATTATGGTTAACCATAGCAATTGGTTTATTCAGGAATTAGTGACCTATAATAACTAATATGCCAGTATGCCAATTTGGATCCCTTTGTTGCTAAGAGGCAATATGGAGGAGTAAGTTTGCTTTGCTCATGCTGTCTCCTGTCTAGAAGGCCATCTCTGTTCTTTCAGATATCCAAATTCTACCTTTTCTTGAGTGTAGCTTGTCTCTCCTTTTCCATGAAGTCCCCATGCCTTTCCAGACTTACTTACTGATTTTTCTATTTGATACTTAATTATTTGTAATATGCATTTCATAGCTTATTATTTAGTGACATTTTCTAATTTTATCAAGAGTTTTTTTTTTTTTTTGAGACGGAGTCTGGCTCTGTCGCTTAGGCTAGAGTGCACGCAATCTCGGCTCACTGCCAGCTCTGCCTCCTGGGTTCATGCCATTCTCCTGCCTCAGCCTCCCAAGTAGCTGGGACTACAGGTGCGTGCCACCACACCTGGCTAATTTTTTGTATTTTTAGTAGAGATGGGGTTTCACCATGCTAGCCAGGGTGATCTCAATCTCCTGATCTCGTGATCCGCCTGCCTTGGCCTCCCAAAGTGCTGGGATTACAGGCGTGAGCCACCGTGCCCGGCCTTATCAAGAGTTTTTAATTCCTGTATTCTTATATCTCTTCCTGCTTCAACCCCCATGCCAAATCCTTAAGGGAAAAAAACATGACATAGACTTATTTTTATCCTATTCCTAGTGCTTGACCCCTAATAGGTTCTTGGTTGATGATTAACTGAATGGGAAATAAACCTTGGATGTAGATTTCTAGTAGGTGTTATATTTTGCAACGTGATTTAACAGTTCTAGACCAATTGTTACTTGGGCTTCTGAGCACTATACATTATTCACCATACGGAATTGAATGCCATTGAGTACATTAAAAATAGTCCTGTATATATGACTTGAACCACAGCTGTTTCCATCTAGTATTGAGTAGGTGCATAGTTAACCTCCACTATTCCTATTCTTTGGAAATCAGCTTAAAAAATGATAATAAATAAAACTGCAGTTATCAGAGTTTTTTAGGTAATGAAAACGGGCACACGTGTGACACAAATAGGAGTTAGCAGGATACTCTTCGTAATATTTTTTTCCTTGTGTCTATTATAGGATTTTCCATTATATATTTCTGTGGCATCTCTCCATCAGGATTCTCATTGTGCATGAATCTATCTATGCACAAGAGTGTCAACTCTGCCAGCAGTATCTGACAGCATTGTAATTTAATGTATTCAGCTGCTGTGTTAAGTTTCAGGAAGTTTCCTGTAAGCCAAAACTTGTAAAGCTTTGTCTCCCTTTAAACTTTTGTTAATGATATTATTTAAACATTTCTTTTTTAAGCCTAAATTTTCTAAGAAAATGTGATTTGTTTACTTCAGTGCTTGCTGTTATAGAGGCTGTCATTTTTTCCCAAACTAGACTTTATTGTGAGGTGTGGCATGCTTAATTTGTCCACTTGTAGAAAATGATGTGAGCGTATGGCTGCCTGTTGCAACTTGAAAAACCTTAAAACCAAAATCTCAGGCCATATTATTTAATCTGTCAATTTTCCTTGTTACATAGAAATTCCTACTAGAAGTCCAAAGATAGTTTTCGGAGGAGCCCTGAGTTGCAGGATGTTTATCACCTCTTAGTGTTCACCTTTGATTTGTTCTTTTTCTTCTTGCTTTGCAGTTGTTTGATTTGTAAGAATTATTTAGATATTAAAAGCATGAACTGTTTTTAATATGTTTACTTTTGTTTATTATGGTGCTATATAATAGTTCTGCTTTTTTATGAATTCCAGTTATCGAAGTGGTCTATTGTGTTTTCTTCCCATATTTTAAATCTTATAACTTTTGAAAAATTTTTAATAACCTAGAATTGTTCTGGTGTAAGGTAAGGAAATAATTAATTTTAAAAATGTGATAATTTCAGCCAGTTTTGGTAAGCATTACTCCCAGTTCTCTTATTTTGTATTAATGCCTAGCCAGATTTTTCCCTCATTTGCTTTTCTATGTGAGGCTTTTCCAGAGCGTCATCCTATTTTAAAATAAAATGTCAGCCTGCTTCTTTCACTTTGCAGATTGCCAGTCATGCCCAGTATCTTACCCTGTGCAGATCTGGTGGTCAAGCTCATTCTTCCTTTCCCCAGGTCATCTGTGAGTGTAAAGCATCGGAGTCCTGTAGGCATCACTTGAGGTGATCCTCTCTAAAAGATACCTGTTCAACTTCTAACCAGCTTCAGAATGATAAGACTTTTTTTTCTGAGTGTGGAAAGTGATTAAAAACCAACAAAACCTGTCAATGTTATTTCTTTCATCTTCTCTGTGCCTTCTGTGTCTGTTTTAGAAGGAAATTAGACTGTCTGTTAATTCAGAGCACCTTCATGAGTAGAGAAAGGACTTCTGAAAGTTGAACTATCCACATGTCCCCAAAATGTAAAGACCGTTTTGAGAGTATCTTCTAGTCTGTTATTTTTGTTTCTTACCACTTTTTGACCTTTAATGTTTTCCTTTTTCTTTTAATTTTCTTCCATTGTCTTGGTGGTTCTCTATGCTGCCTTTGCCTTATTTTCCATCTTCCTTTCCTTACAACTGGTCCTGTCGCGTATTGTTTCTGTTTTTCACCCATTTTTCTGCTGTCTTCTTACTGTTCATTGTGGGATGATCTCAGGATATCCTGGATGAATGGAAAAAGTGTGTTTGGAGCCTTGCTGTAACATGATTACCTATTGGGTGATTATGCTTGTATAGAAAAATAGGATTGTTCAGCTCAAACACTGAGGGAAAAACTATCTCCTAGATTTCCTTACTGAAAAATCCCAAATCATAAGAGACAGATTTTAGTCTTGTCATCAGAACATAATGACTAAGGGAAAATTCAGATGGGACTGTGATGTTTTATAAATTTTTGTGAAATAGTAAAACTTCCATGTCTCATAGCAATTTTAAAAATTATCATAATTTCTTTAGTTATAGATATAAATAGAGTATGTGGAATTGAAAGTATGACTGGAAAGGGACTTGCTCAGTTCCCTGGGCAAGAACTTCACTTTCTTCTGGTTCCAAGAAGAAAACATACAACTCCTGTCACTCCTTTCTGTGTATGTCTCTTCTGTCCTCATTGCCTTGTGGTCTTCTGTGGCTCTGAATGTGTAGAAAATGCTGATGGAGAGATGTGAACTCTCCCATAAGAGCAGTAATGCCTGAGTGACACCCCACCTCTGTAGTGAATCTTCCCAGCCCCCAAAGGCAAGGTTGAAAATCCTGGTCTAGGCTGCTGCTGTTCGAGTCCAAGTATCTCTAGGATTTACCCAATCAGTGGCAATTTATCAGCAGAATTCTAATCAGTCTTTTCTTTTGTTGAAAATTGTTTGTTAAAAAAGGAAGAAATTATTTCAAAATATATGGTCTTTATAAACACATAAACTTCTAGAAACATTTATAACTGAAAATGTGTTGTTTTTACAATGTATCATTTTCTAGTAGCAGTAAGTTATGCTGTAGCTCAACTATTCTTAAAACCTTCCTGGCAACGTTTCTCTAGGAAATTGAGATCCTTAAAATTTTTAGTTCTCTTTGCTATAATGTACAAAAAGAAAAAGTTGTTTTGTAAATTCTGTCATTCTCAGTGTCATAATGTTTGGATTATTTGAGAAAGAACTACAGTATGAGTGAAAATTTGGTATTCTAAGGTATAGAATAAAATGGGATTTGCCTACAAAAATGCATTGTAATTTGCACAGTGTAGTGCCTTTGCATAGTGATTTTATGCTATTGTTTTGGAATGTTGTTTGAATATCTTCTTTCATCTTTCAGTGCATTTTGAATATATTTTCTGGTCCTTTCCCTTAATGTATAAGTTCATTGGTTTACAAATTTTAGTTTTCTCAAAAATATTTATGACAGGGTTTTGCACATTATAAACGCTCATAAAATATTTGCAATTTGACTTGGCTATAAGTTAGAGCTATATTAAGGATTTCCAGAATCCAGATGATGCCTGTGCCATGCTGACTGTACTATCCAAGGACAAAGAAATGGGTGCTGATACAGTAATGCTCTTTTCTTTCTGGAAATGTGATCTTCCTTGTTGAACATGTTAAATATTTTATTCATTCTGTGTTCTTCTTTTCATTGGGAGTTAGTGTTGATTTCTCAGACTCTTAGGTTGTGTCTAATTATAGTGCTGATTCCACCTCAAAATATTGCTGAACTGACAGTGGTCAAAGGAAACCAAAAAAGTAGTCCAAAGAAAGAAATGATGAGGCTTTGCTTATTTTTCAGTTGCCAAGAATAACATAAAAATCTCTTTAGGTGGGAGAAAATCACAAGAGCATCTCACAATACTTCTTAAGGAGCAGACGCATGATCTGATAATATAATAATACCCTTCCTTTTGGGCAGGTTGCGCTCAGCCTTGTGAATAGTTTAGAATAGCTTATTTCTAGGGAAGTTATAAAAAATGCCTTCATCGATTGGCATTATTTATCAGGAACTTCAAAAATGTTCTTACTCTTTGGTCCAGAAAATTATTCACTTCTAGGAATTTATTATCAGGAATAATTAGGCATATGGATAAATATTTTGATACAGCAGTATTATTTTCATTGATTGTAATTGTTAACAGTTGGAAAAAAACTTCATTTGTTCAATAACAGGGTATTGACTAAATGCATTGTAGCCTCTTATACTATGGAATATTGTGGAGCTAGAAAATCATCTTATGTGGCAAAAAATAGAGTATATACTCTGAATCATTGGGGCAACACTTCAGATTATAGAAGATTTAGTGTCTTGTCTTACATTTTAGTGTTTTGGAATTGAAGGTGACTTGTGAGGGCAGCTGATCATTGATGGGTATTTGAATCATGAATTGAGATTTAGGGTCAAAAGTAACCTTCCAATTTAATTAAAATAATAGATCATTTGTTAGTTTTTATACTATAAAATTTCCTTTTTTCTAGTAGTCTTGAAAAAATATATACCAACAGAAATATTATGTTGTAAGAAAATGATGTTTGGAGTTTGAAAAGCAATTTGAAAAAGGGTGTGACTCTTTTGAGTTTTAGTATTCTATGCACATTCATTACTTTTGCCTTATCTTTCCTAATCACATTTCATTAAAAGAACTTTCTTCTTAGGCCTGTCATGTTCACTTCATTCATATTTGTCATTTCTGTGTTCAATAATAGCCCATGTTCATGAGCAGTTTCTAAGCATTAGCATTTCTTAGCCCATATGTATCCCGTATTTCTACTAAAGATGGAAATGTTAGTGTTAAAACCTTGAGAAATATGTCAGCAAAGCTTCCCAGGACATTGTATAAAATATCTTTGTTTTGAGACTTAATTAAATATGTATGTAGAAAGCATCGTTTCTATGCAAGAATTTGGATTCCAAAATCAATCATCATTGGTCAGGTTTATGAAAATAGCCGCAATTATTATGTTTTGCCTGATAATCTGAGCATTTTATTTCTGTAAATTGTTAAATCTCAATACTTGCTACTTATTTGTAAATGTACAAGTTTCTTTAGAGAAACAGTACCATTTGATCAGTTTCTGTTCCTGCTGGTCCTGGACTTGTACACTGAAACATATTGCTGCCTTCACTGCAAAATAGGAAAAAAGATCTAACAAGCATGTTATATTGCTTTTAAAGTAACATGCCATAAGTTACATTGAATTTCAAGGTAAAGTTAAAAGGTCAAAGATGTATATGGATTGCTAGCATCTTTTTGGTCTCAGATGTTTGCAAAGCTGAGTCAGACTTAGGAGGTAGGAGTGTGTATGAAGCAGAGTGGGGCTGGGCTATGTGCTGGTTATAAACTGTGAAACTCTAGGGGTATGCTGCACAGGGATTTGCTATGTGCACATTGCACAAGGCCAAGTGCAGTGGCCCTGGAGCACTACGACCCTGCTCTTGTTTCTGGCTTGTTCCCCTTGAGTAGCAAGTGTGTTATGTGGAATCAAATCAGTGCTGCTAATCAAATCTTTTAAGAGTATCTCTAAAAGTCCTGTTTCCAATATAAGAGCAAAGGATAAATCAGATTCTTTTAATGTGGGGAGTAATAACATTTTCTACTATATAAGGGGAGAAGCAGCAGAGTTGGGTTCTAAATACTGAGCCTAACTGCAAAGAAAAGAAAGTTGCTGTGGCTTCCAGCTCTACTCTTTCAAATATCTATTTTAAATGAAATATTTGACAAAGGAACACGAGGAAAGGGTTAGAATTTGCAGTGGAATGACCTTTCTTAGAGAAGTACCCTGATTTGAAATGATCATTTTGACACCTAGAAACCAAGAATTTCTGTGGCTTTAATGTACAGTCGTCCTTCTGTACTGAACTGTGGGTTTTGCGTTCTTGGGTTCAACCAACCAGAGATGGAAAACATGAGGAAAAAAGCATCTGTACTGAACACGTACATCCTTTTTCCTTGTCATTAATCCATAAACAATTCAGTATAACAACTATTTACATAGTATTTACATTTACATTGTATTAGGTATTATAAGGGATCTAGAGATGATTTAAAGTATATGGGAGTATGTGCTTGCTTATATACAAATATTATGTCATTTTATATCAGGGACTTGAGAATCTGTAGATTTTGTTATCTGAGGGAGGTACTGGAACAAATCCTCCATGCATTCTGAGGAATGATTGTAGTTCTTTTTTTTGGGTGATGAGCCTAGAAAATAAAATGCACTGTACATTATAACATTTGTGGTTATGTTAGGTTTGGTCTACAATGTTGGACTGAGCAACACCTCATTTGAAGAAAACTGGTGGTTAGGATTGTTCACTGTGCTTTATTATAGAGGATTTACAATAAAAATATTGGTATTTTCACAGCAAGAAAAATTGTACCAAATATTCCAACGTATGTTCTTACCCTCAAGGGTTGAAGATAGTAAAAGCCATTATTGGAGACTTAAATTTCAAAATGGTGGCATAGAAGCAAGCTGGCTTCAATGGCCCCCACAGAAAACCAAAATCAAATGTACAGCAGCAAGACTAACAATATCCCAGAACTCAGTATGAGGATGAGTGAGTTCCTGGGGCCACAGAGAAGTAAAGACACTCCAAGCAGATGGTAGACTATAACTTCCATATCTGTGATGCCTTTTCCCCCAGTCAGCCCAGCAGCAAGCACATGGAAAATGTTCCACAACTCATGGTTTCTAACACTGGAAAAAGTGAGATTGAGGTGGACAGCCATCTTCCCCATTGTCTTGTGTTCCCTCACAGGAGACCTGCCCTGCCTAAACCCATAGGAAGCAGCACAAGGGCCTGAAGGGAGAAATATCCCTGAGGACAACTGGAGACAAAAGGCAGAGGCAGGGCTACCATCTGTAGCCCTGGAAACTCTGCTTTGTAACTTGGCCAAAGGAGATGCCAAGTCAGTGGCTTTTCAGTACCATGCTATAGGTGGTACATTCCACAGATATCCTGGGCACAAACCCTGAGCCAGCCTCCCCACACTGCTAGTATCCCTTTTGAGACCTCCCTCATTTGGGACTAGTAGCACACTAATTGTTTGCTTGAGCCAAGGAAAACCTGGGTTTAAGGTTCCATCTAATGCTGGAAAGGAGGCCACAACCTAGCAAAGAAAAAAGAATGTAACAGGTAAATTACAAAGAATCTATAAGCAAACATACCCAACAAAAAACAAAACAAGCCAGACAGAGAAGACTGGAATAAAGACACGGAGATGCATCCACAAGAAACAATAGTAAACAGGGAACCATGACCTCCCCAAATGGACAAAGAAGGGAACCAGTGACCAAACCTAATGAAACAGCAATATGTGAGCTCTCTGAACAAGAATTCAAAATAGCAATTTTAAGGAAACTCAGTCATCTCCAAGATAACACAGAAAAGCAATTCATAAATTTACCAGAGAAATTTAACAAAGAGATTGAAATGATTTTAAAAGATCAAACAAATTTGGAACTGAGAAATACATTTGCTGAGCTGCAAAATTTATCAGAGAGAGACTCAACAGCACAATTGCTCAGGCAGAGGAAAGGATCAGTGAGCTTGAAGATGGGCTATTTGAAATTACACAGAGGAGAAAAAAGAAAGAATGGAAAGGAATGACAGGTCACGTATGAGATATAGAATATTAGCTCAGAAGATGAAATATAAGAATTATTGGTGTTTGAGAGGGAGTTGAAGAAGAGCGAGGAGTAGAAAGATTATTCAAAGAAACAGTAGACAACTTTTCAAAACTTGAGAAAGAGGTAAATTTAGGCACAGAAAGGTCAGAGAAACAGCAAACAGATTCAACCCCAATAAGGCTTTACCAAGAAGCATAATAAACTCTCAAAGGTCAAGGACAAAGAAAGGATTTTAAAAGCAGAAAGAGAAAAGAAGCAAATAACATATAAAGGAACTCCAGTTGGTCTGGCAACAGACTTCTCAACAGAAAACATACATTTTCAAAGTGCTGCCAGGGGAATCAAAAAAAAAACCCAACCCCCACCCCACCCCTGCTGCCATCCAAGAGTATTGTTTCAACAACGCTATCCTTCACATATGAAAGAGAGATAATCTTTGCCAGACAGACAAAAGTTTAGAGAATTCACCACCACCAGACTTGTCTTACAAGAAATGCTAAAGAGAGTTTTTCATTCTGAAAGAAAAGATTAATGTGCAAAACAAACAAACAAAAAAAACCAAAAATATTTGAAAGTATAAAACCCACTGGTAAAACTGAAGTTCGGATACAGCCCCAGAATACTTTAATACTGCAATTATGATGTACAATACACTCATAACTTTAGTATGAATCCTAAAGCACAAAGTATCAAAAAGAATAATAGCTACAGAAACCTGTTGAGATAGTCAATACAAAAATGTGTAAATTGAGAAAACAAAAATGTGGAGAGAATGGAGTTAAAATAAAGATTAAAGTTCTCTCTTGTTTCTTTTTTGGGGTGATCTGTGATAAGTTGTCATCTCTGTAAAATGACTTGTTATGTCTACAAGATTTTTTTGTAAGCCTCATGGTAACCTACATGTTAAAACCTATAATAGATATGCTAAAATTAGAAAAAGCAATGAATTAAAACATGTTACCAGAGGAAGTCACTTAACCACAAAGGAAGACAGTAAAAAAGGAAGAACGGAGTTACAAAGCAACCAGAAAACAAGCAACAAAATGACACCAGTAAGTCCTTACCCATCAGTAATAGCACTGAGTATAAACAGATGCAGTTCTCCAATTAAAAGACATAGGCTGGATGAATACATAAAGAAACAAGACCTAACTATATGCTTCCTAGAAGAAACCCACCTCACCTATGAAGACACATGTAGGCTGAAAGTAATGGGATAGAAAAATATATTCTATGCAAGTAAAAACCAAAAAATGGGGGGAATAATTATACTTAGATAAACAGATTATTAGTCAAAGACTTTAGACTCTGCCTAATAGAGAAGGTGACTATATTAATAATATAAGGGGTCAATTCAGCAGGAAAATATAACAATTATAAATATGCATCCAACACTAAAGCACACAAAAGCAACATTAGTAAATCTGAAGGGAGAGATAGATTGCAATAAAGTAACAGTCATGGACTTTAACACTCCACTCTCAATAATGGATTAATCATCTAGATAAAAAAATCAACAAAGAAACAGCAGAGTTAAACTACTACACTAGACCAAATAGACCTAAATGACTTTTACAGAATGTGTCACCCAGCTGTTGTAGAATACACATTATTTTCATTAGCATATGGAAGTTCATCCAAAATGCACCGTATCTTAGGCCAGGAAACAAGTCTCAGCAAATTTAAAAGAGCAATATATCACATGTATTTTTTTACCACAATGAAATAAAACTAGAAATCAATCACAAGAAGAACCTCTCTGAAATGAGACAAACACATGGAAATTAAACAACATGCTCCTAAATGACCAAAGGGTCAATGAATAAATTAAGAAAGAAATTTTTAAAATTCATGAGACAAATTAAAGTGGAAATATGACATACCAAAATCTGTGGGATACAGCAACAGCAGTACTGAGAGGGAAGTTTATAGCAGTAAATACCTACATCAAAAAATATAAAGACTTCAAATGAACTAATGCACCTCAAGGAACTAGAAAAGCAAGAACAAACTAAACCCAGCCTTAAAAATGAAAAGTTGGTTTTCTGAAAAGATAAACAATATTGACAAACCTTTAAATAGACTACCAAAAAAGAGAGAAGGCCCAAATGAATACAATCAGAAACAAGAAAGGCGACATAACAACTGAGACCACAGAAATAAAAAGAATCATTAGAAACTATTATAAGTATAGGCCAACAAATTGGGAAAACTAGAAGAAACAGATAAATGCCTGGACACATACAACCTGACAAGATTAAGCCACGAAGAAATAGAAAACTTCAGCAAACCAATAAGGAGCAACAAGATTGAAGCCGTAATAAAAAGTCTCTCATTAAAGAAAAGCCCAGGACCTGATGGCTTCACTGCTAAATTCTACCAAACATTTAAAGAACTGATACCAATTCAACTCTAACTCTTCAAAAAAAAAAAAAACTGAAGAGGAAGAAATACTTTCAAACTTATTCCACAAAGCTAACATCACCCTAATACCAAAACCAGACAAGCACACAACAGAAAGTAGACTACAGGCCAATATCACTGATAAACACAGATACAAAAGTCCTCAACACAATATTAGCAAACTGAATTCAGCAACACATTAAAAAGACCATTCACTATGATCAAGTGGGATGCATCCTAGGATATGATAGTTCAACATATGCAAATTAATAAATGTAATGTATCCTCTTTACCTAACCAAGAACAAAACTATAAGATCTTTTCAATAGATGCTGAAAAAACGTTTGATAAAATTTAACATCACTTTATGATAAAAATCCTCAACAAACGTTAAGAATAGAAGGAACATAATTCCAAATAATAAAGGCCATATATGACAAACCCATAGTCAATAGCATATTGAATGGGGAAAAATTGAAGGCCTTTTTGCTAAGATCTGGAAAAAGAGATGCCCATTTTTATTCAACATAATACTGGAAGTCCTGGCCAGAGCAGTGAGGTCAGAGAAAGAAATAAAGGCCATCCATATTGGAAAGGAAGAAGTCAAATTATCGTTATATGCAGATGACATGAACATTTATTTAGAAAAATCTAAAGAGTCCACAAAAAAAACCCTGTTAGAACAAAAAAAGAATAAGTAAAGTTGCAGCATACAAAACCAACATGCAAAAATCAGTACCATTTATGTAAGCCAACAGTGAACAATCTGAAAAAGAAATCAAGAAAGCAATCTCATTTGCAATAGCTACAAAGAACATAAAATAACTAGAAATTAATTTAAAGAAGTGGAAGATCTGTATAATGTAAACCTTAAAATGCCGATGAAGAGATGGCACATGTATACCTATGTAACAAAACTCCATGTTCTGCACATGTACCCCAGAACTTAAAGTATAATAATAAAAAAAAGAAACACATAAAAAAATGCTGACGAAAGAAATTGAAGAGGCACATACCAAAAAAAGGAAAGATATTCCATGCTCATGGATTGAAAGAATTAATATTGTTCTGTTAAAAGAAAAACTTCAGGTGAATTAAATTTAAATGAGTTTAGTTGAGCAATGAACAATTCATGAATCTGGCAGCCCCCAGAATCACAGCAGATTCAGAGAGACTCCAGGGGTGCCTTGTGGTCAGAACAAATTTATAGACAAGAGAAGTAAAGTGATATACAGCAATTGGAAGTGAGATACAGAACAGCTGGATTGGTTACAGGTTGGTGTTTGCCTTATTTGAACACAATTTGAACACTCAATAGTCTATGAGTGGTTGAAGTGTGGCCTCTGAGATTGGCCAACACTCAGCTATTGTTACAGGTGCATACTTCTAAGTTAGGTTTTCCATCTCATCTACCTATTAATTCAGGTTGCAGTTCATCCACAAGGACTCAAATATAGAAGTATAAAGTCCTTCTCAGGCCATACTTAGTTTGCTTTAACAGTTCAAATGACAGTGCTACTCAAAGCAATCTATAGATTCAATGCAGTCCTTATCAAAATATCAGTGATATTCTTCACAGAAATAGAAAAATGTTCTAAATTTTATCTGGAACCCCAAATGACCTTGAATAGCTAAAGCAATTCTGAGCAACAACTACAAAGCTGGAGGCATCACAGTATCTGACTTCCAAATATACTACAAAAATATAGTAACCAAATCAGCATGGCATGGAAACAAACATGTAGACCAATGGAACAGAATAGACCACCCAGATATAAGCCTACACATTTACAGCCAACTCATGTTAGACATAGGCTCCAAGAACATACAGTGGGCAAAAGGTGGTTTCTTTAATAAGTAGTACTGGGAAAACTGGATAACCATATGTAGAAGAATGAAACGAAACCCCTATCTCTCATCATATACAAAAAGCAAAATGGATTAAAGACTTAAATCTAAGACTTGAAATTGTGAAACTACTCGAAGAAAACACTGGGGAAATGCTCCAGAACATAAGTCTGGGCAAATATTTTTTGTGTAAGATCTCAAAAGCACAGGCAGCCAAAGCAAAGATAGACAAATAGGATTATATAAAGGCAAAATGTTTCTACACAGCAAAGATAACAATCAACAAAGTGAAGAGACAACTCACAGAATGAGAAAAAATATTTGCAAACTATCCATATAACAAGAGATTAACAACCAGAATATATAAGGAACTCAACAACAAAAGAACAATTACTGATTTAAAAAATAGGTAAATGGGTACTATGCTCACTACCTGGGTGGTGGGATCATTTGTTCCCCAAACCTCAGCATCATGCAATATTCCCATGTAACAAATCTGCACATATACCTCCTGAATCTAAAATATGAGTTGAAATTACAAAAAATAGGTAGAATATCTGAGTAAAAATTTCTCAGAAGACATACAGATGGCTAATATTTATACGAAAAAATGTTCAGCATCACTAATAATCACAGAAAAGCAAATTAAAACCACAATGAACCATCATCTCACTCCAGTTACAATGGCTTTTATAACAAGGGCAGGGAATAATGGATGCTGGTGAGGATATGGAGAAAATGGAACCCTCATATACTGTTGGTGGGAATGTAAATGGTAAAACTAATATAGAAAACTGTTTGGAGATTCCTCAAAAAATTAAATATTGAATTATTATATAACCTAGCACTTATATTACTGACTATATATCCAAAATAGTGGAAATAAATATATTGAAGAGGTATCTATCTGCACTCCCATGTTTAGTGTAGCACTATTCACAAACACCAAAATATGGAATCGACCTAAATGCCAACAATAGATGAATAGGTAATGAAAATGTGATATATGTACACAATGGAATATTATTCAACCATAAAGAATGACATCCTGTCATTTGTTGCAACATGGATGGGACTGGAGATCATTATGTTAAGTGAAGTGAGCCAAGCACAGAAAATCAAATATTACATGTTCTCACTCATATGTGGGAGCTGTAAAAGTGAGTCTTATGAAGACAGAGAGAGATTGGTGGTTATCAGAGTCCAGGAAGGGAAGGAGGGAGGGAGGGATGAAGAGAAGTTGGCTAATGGCTACAGATATACAATTTGATAGAAAAAATAAATCTTAGCCTGTGATAGATCACTAAAGTGACTGTAGTTAGCATGACTCTATGTACATTTCAAGATGGCTGGAAGAGAATAATTTGAACATTCCCAGCATAAAGAAAAGTTAAATATTTAAGTTGAGGTATATGCCAATTGCCCTGATTTGATATTTACAAAGTATATGAATGTATCAAATTACAGCATGTACTCTGGAAATATGTACATCTAGTATACATCAATAAAAATTTTTCAAGGAAAAATTATTGGTGGAAAGTAAGTTACTATATTAATTTACATATTATTCTATATTTATGCCAGACAACAATCACCCACCTTCTTTTTTGACTTGGTTCATATTTAGTTAAGTTACCATTCTTACAAATATGGATATGAAAAAATTAAATTGGGGAACTTCGTAAGTTATGTTTTTGTTACTTCAGTTTTAGATATTTTTTCTACGTGATAGAACCTGGTGTCTTTTTTTTTTTTTTGATAGGTGAACACTAAAAACAGAAAAGGCAAATAAAGAAACTGATTTTGAATTAGGAAGCTTCTTACAATTAATTGAGTTTTCAGTATATGCCAGGGGACTACCCAAGGTACAAATATGAAATGAGGTAACTAAAAAGTGAAATCCACAATTTACATAGCTAAATGAAAAGTACTCTTTCAAAGTTCTATAATTATCATAGGAAACAGTAAGGTTGTGATTGCTCAAAGAATTTTTGGGTCTCTCATTTCTATATTACCACTTTTTCCTGATAAGCTGTGCTTTCATCACTTTTAAGTTTTGGACTTCTGATAGTATTTTGTTTGAACAAAAGGCTGGTTCCACAGAGGAATAAAGAAAAAAATTTGAAAATCATTTCTGCTTGTTGTACAACTCTAAAAGCATCTTTGCATTAAAAAAATCTTCTTCTGAATAAAAGTTTATGTATACCTATCAGTAAAATTTCTAACAGTATAGAAATGTTAAAAAATCAATAGAAAAGCGCAATTTCATAGCAGTTTCACCTCCTAGATAGTCACCATTGTTGACAGTTCGGTGCATGTTCTTCTTTTTTTTTTTTTTTTTTTTTTTTTTGAGAGGGAGTCTTGCTATGTTGCCCAGGCTGGAGTGCAGTGGCGTGATCTCGGCTCACTGCAACCTCCGCCTCCTGGGTTCACGCCATTCTCCTGCCTCAGCCTCCTGAGTAGCTGGGACTACAGGTGCCCACCACCACGCCCGGCTAATTTTTTGTATTTTTAGTAGAGATGAGGTTTACACTGTGTTAGCCAGAATGGTCTCGATCTCCTGACCTCATGATCCGCCCACCTCAGCCTCCCAAAGTGCTAGGATTACAGGCATGAGCCACCACGCCTGGCCTCGGTGCATGTTCTTCTTGAACATCCTGCTTATTGGAGGCACAAACAGCCACCTGCCTGGGAATTGGGAAGGGGTGTGTGGGAGCAGGAGCCACCTTGAGCAGTGGTCAGGTGTGAGAACACCCCTCCTATTTTTACACAGGCATCGTCCTTTGTACAGAGTGGGGGAAGGCCAAGAGACCATCTTGAACAATCTAGCTTTTGGATGTTGAAATTAGAATAAATATTCAAAAATTCATGAATTATGAATTCAGCCTCGTTAGAATTTTCCCTTGTTGGTTTGTGTTCATTCCACAAGACTACATCTGATAAACCTGTATGTATTATTAGTTACTCTTTATTTTTTTAAAGTCAAGATATTATCTAGATTAATATTTAGGGGAAAGCAGAAGGCTAAAAGTAAATAAACTTTGAAACTATGGTCTTGTGTTAATCTCTTCATGGCTTATCGCTCTATGTCAGTGGTTCTCAAATATGGTACCTGGACCAGCAGCATCAACAGCTTCTGAGAACTTGCTAGAAGTACAAATTCTTGGTCCCTACTGAGTTGGAAAATCTTGTGGTGGTGAAGCCCAGCAATCTATTTTAACAAATCCTCCAGGTGGTATTGGTGCAGGATAAGGTTTGAGGACACTGCTCTATATAAAAGCCAAAGGTTAAAAATAAAATCAACTTGGTATTTCTCCTCTCTCATTCTCCA
The DNA here is from genome assembly GCF_000001405.40 of Homo sapiens. Taxonomy (NCBI): domain Eukaryota; kingdom Metazoa; phylum Chordata; class Mammalia; order Primates; family Hominidae; genus Homo; species Homo sapiens. The sequence continues at coordinate 107,797,737 of NC_000001.11, read as the reverse complement.
CTAACTTTTACCCCAACCTAAAGGTCATGATGTTACTGAGGCATAACATGATTTTTCTTAAGAGCTGAGATTTTTTACATCTCTGCTGTTAGAATGCCATTCTCCACCATTGTCTACATAACCCATTAATAACTATTCTTTAAAATTTTATTCTAGCATAACTCACTGGAGAACCTCCCTTGACCCAGAAATCCAGCTGGACTTGACTCTTATGCTTTTTGGAGCCCTATGAATACCTGTTTGTAGTTCTTCAAATTTGATTGCAGTGATTTGTTTACATGCCTCTCTCTTTTCCAGGGTATTGATAACTCCCTAAGGAAAGGGATTACATCTTTCCCTTGCCCTTTCATCCCTGACACCTAGTAGAATTTATGGCATATGCAGATACTCAATAAATATTTAAGTGAAGGATGAAATGAAAATAAAATCATAACTTCTCCAAGATTAAGAATTACTAAGAGGCAAACTAGTGTTATAAGAAAGCTGAAGTGACTTGAGTTTGAATTATACTGACTGTATGTTAGACTGCTTGGGTAATTTCTCTGACACTATATAGTTTATATAGCTTTTTACTATATAAAATTGACATAATTCCTACCTCACAGGTTCACGTAGAATTCCTGACACACAGTTAACACTGAAAAATGGTAGCTGATAATCAAATAAAAAATAGTAACTTCTTACATATTGTAGTAATTTGAGGACTGCTATCTTATTTTGAAGTCATATAGTTATTATAGGAGTATTTTCACTTATTTAAAAAAATTATTTTACTCATTAGAACCAAAACAAACTTGATTGAATTAAACTATTTAATATTTTGAGGAGAAAGTAACAAAATGATTCAGATATATGGATGGCAAACATTTTAATCAGTATGCACTTATGATTTTAAAAGGTCCTTGTATGGTAAATTTGCATATATATATATATTTTTTTTTTTTTTTACAAATAACAGCATGTCTATTTCTTGAACTCCACTTGTGAGACTACCACATAACTTATTGACTCTGTCATGATTCCCAGGAATTTATTTTGTGAGTTAAAAGAATTTATACCTGTGAGCATAATAAGTACTCTTACAAATATTTGATCCTTATTTAGGCCCCAAACAGATTCATATATTTTTAAAGGAGCCAGGTGTCAGAAAATTGTTGCCATCATATATTGAGAAAATTTAATATTTATACATTTTAGTAGGAAAAAATATAGTGCCTGTCCATCATATTAGGGATGGAATCTATAATCTATCATCAACTTCTGGAATATGAATATATATGGACAGTCAAGTACATTGGCCCCAGTATACATGTCTTGTTTTTTCTAAGAGAACTGATCCCTAAAAAAAGGAAAAAATAACCAATGAGACTGGTTCGCTGTTTGCTCACTGATAGGAGTTGGAAGCCGGGCAGCTTGGTTGGGTAGAGTTGAGGTTAGAGATCCAAATAACCCATGCCACTCAGTTTAGAGATGAGAGCCTGGGGCCCAGAGACCATGTGACCTGGCCACTGTCTCACTGAAAGTCAGGGCTGCAGCAAAGATTAGAAACTCTGTGCAGTCTCATGCTGGTTGCATGGCATTTTGAGGCAGTCACATTGGCAAAGCAGCTGTCCAAGGAGTCACTTTGTTATACTGTTTGATACTAGGGACTTTTTCATGTGACCTGAAAAAAAAAAAGATTAAGCTTTTCTGTTTTACTTTGCTGTAATTCAAGTAATCAGTCACCCCACTCTTGAGCTTTTACCCAATCTTCTTCAACTCTGAGAATTAGGATTTAATGGGATGGGCGTTAGCAATGAGGTGAGATCAGTATGGGAATCAGGAATTGGATGGGGGATATCTTTCGGTCCATTACTTTCTAATAAGCTCAGCACTTTTGACCTGGCCTCATCAGAATGGTTGTTTTGAAACAGGAAAGTCAAAATGTCCCTCTGGCCAAATCAAAAGGATTCATATATTCTTTATATAGGGCTCTTCACATCAGCTCACATTTCTGTTTCTAAACTATTAAAGCCCTAACGACTTATGCAAATGTTTATAACTGGATATAAATGTTTGAGTCTGGGCTGCCCCTGTAGGGGGTTTTCCCTCTTGATTCAGGTTGTTATCAAGTATTCTCTGGGGGAAATAACCTTAAAAGATCATTCAGATTCCAAAACATCTTACATATGCCATATTTTGACAGGGCATTCATTTTTTTTCCTGGGGGGAGGGGAGATAGGTTAAGAGAGAAGATAATAAAAAGAAAACAGACAATAGTACCAAAACAGAAACATTGTATTACAATTAGATCACAAATACCATTGCACAGAAGCCAATATAAGGTAGATCTACCCTGGTTCTTTCTGTCCAAAGAATTTCATTGTTTGATAGTCCTGTAAGAGTTTTTATATAGCACCGAGGATATGTTAAGGTTGCCATTGTGGCAAGGGTTTAAAGGACATAGTTTACTAAGTTATTTAGATGCTAGTTATCTTGGTAACTTCGTCCATTTAAAAATATTTCTTCATTCAGGATTTCTGTTCCATTCCTGGAGACTGGCAGGAGGAAAATCAGCTTGGCAGATGAGAACAAGCATTGTTGTCTGCCTTCAGAGTGGCTGGCAAGAGTATCTCAGAAGCAGTTTCTAAAGAAGGGGATGGTGGCCCCCAAATACCTCTGATGAAAGAATTTGGGACTTCAGTGCCCTCCTCTCTTTTTGTCAAGTAAACTATATCCATTCTTCTAGGTGCAATACTTCATCTGAGGTTAAGCTGAAATGAAATAACAATGAAAAACCGTCAGAGAACAATGCTGAATACTCTTCCCAACCTAGTGCATCAGTGGCACACCCCACACTCACTGGGGTCATTTTGCCCATTAGGGCTGAGCTACTTATCTACATCCTTTGAGAGGATTATTTTCTCTGTGCCAGTTCTTGGTAAATACTCAGACCCTAAGGGAAATTCAAATTATCCTGGATTAACCACATACAGTCAGAGGAGCTAATGACTGAAAAATGCTCCTTGTTCGTTGCAAAATACCCAAGACCCAGAAAAAGAAGTCTTCCAGGGCTCCTAAGGTGGAAATTCCTTTTAGGATTTTAAGGCCACAAGTAACAGAGTCCTAAAGCAGTAGATTTTATCACAGTTTCAAAAAATAGCTATGTAATTCAACTACAGTTGCTCCTTAAGACAGCAAAGACTTAGAATGAAAGAGAGAAGGGAATCTCAAAATGAAATTAATCAAAATAAAAGTCATTCTTAAGCTTTCTTCTTAAATCAAAATCAAGAGAATTTTTTAAAGCTGATTAAATTTAATGTATTTAGGTCAAAAGGAAAAAATGTATCATAATCAGACATAGTCCTCAGCAAAGGCTGAAAAGGGCAAAAGCAAGATGAAGGGAGAAAATGATGAATCAAGCTAATTTCCATAATCCTGTTTTATTAGTACTGGCCCATGGGTGGTACAGCACACACAAACCACAAATAGTGTCAAATTCCTCAGTGGAAACCAGGCTACTCCTGGGCCAGCCCAGATTTGTGGATCTTGCCTGATACCAGTTCAGGGCAGCCAACTTGATGTGGCATGTCCTACTCACATGGATCTTTGAGATTCTTGACAGTTCTGGGTCAGTTTTCAACCATTGTCAGCCAGAGCTATCTTTGGTCCCGTCTGGAACAGAATGAAATTTCTAAATAATGCCCGGATTTAATCCTCCCTGTGAAGCGCCTTCTGCGCAGTAATTAACTAGAGTCAGATCAGATTTTCTAAAGTTTGCTCAAGCTAGATCTGCGTCTCTGGGATTTGGCGTGTCCAGCAGTACGCAAGTCAAGTGGATCCCTGTTTTCATAATGCTTGTCCTATCTGCTTCCTTTACTATCTCCCAGATTTACTCCCTAATCAATTCAGAGCTTAGGCTATTGTTAAAACAACTTTCTCAGTTTAGGCTTCTTTCTCTGATATAGCTACTAGATTAGGGTTCTTAACATACTCCTGTTTGACAGTTCATTCTCCAGCTAAAAATATCTTTATTGGCTTATCATAATATAAATAACAAAATCTAGACCCCTTAGCCTGGTGTTTAAAACTGTCTACCTCCAACCTGCAACTTCAACTGTATCTCATATCCCTCATCCTGAATCCAAGCTCCTCACCTCCAAGTGTTTGCTTGCATTGTGTCTGCCACTCAGCCGTTCCCTTGTTCAGATGTAGTTACTGAGCATCTGTGTGCCATGTGGTGGTCTAGGTGCTGCGGATACTGCAGTGAATAAGGCCGACACACTCCCTCCTCTCATGGAACCTGTGCTCTCATTCTGGGAGACAATATATAAATAGGTGATATTTCAAATGTCAGAAATTAGGACAAGTATAAAAAGGTGACGGAATAGAATGCAGACACCCTTTCAACTCTCATAGCCCTACCTGGCTCTACAATTTATGTAGCGTTCATGACAGGCTGTTTTGGTTTTTGTGGTTTTAGTTACACACTCTGGGGCAGATCACCCATGATGAAGGTATTGACCCTACTACTCACTGCCTCAGTGACCATGGGCAAGTTTCTTTTCTCTTTTTCAGTTTAGCCGTCTCTAAAATGAGGATAATATCATTATTCTGTTCATAAGGTTGTCTTGAGCATTTTATAGTGTCTGCAGAATGCTCAGCACAGATTCTGGTATGTGTGTGTACATGTGTGCATGCATATGTATAACATATAATGACACTTATTTATCGTCATTTTTGTTTGGGTGAGGTAAATTTTAAATAATATAAATATTTATACTGATAAACAGATAACTTTTAAACCAGAATATCATTACAGTCCTGTAATGTCCTGTATATTATTATAATGTACGATTGAATTATACATTACTGTTTCCTTACAGTCTACTTAATTGCAAACCAGAAGGAGGGTACAAGCTGGTAGCCTCTAGGAGCAACCATGCATTTCTGAGTCTGGTTGTGTTAACTGTTTCTTTCGTATTCAATTTGATAGTACAAAAATATTTTACATATACATTAATTATTTCTCCTAGCTAAACACTAAGTCCCTAAGTTTCAAGCGAATACAATGTGGAAATAGATTAGAATTAACTGAGATCATGGTAATTTTTTGACATTTTATTTTACATAAATTTGTACCCAAATGCTACAGACTCAACTTACTAGTAAAGTTTTCTTAAGTAATTAACACTATTATGTAATGGGCCTTCCCACTCTAGTAAACAGTACTAGTGGCTTTATTACCTGTTGAAATTTATATGCATAGTTGCTGGTAGCTGCAGTAGTATCTGTTTCTGGTGCACACCTGTAGTCCCAGCTACTGAGGAGCCTGAGGTGGGAGGATCACTTGAGCCCGTGTGTTTGAGGCTGCAGTGTGCCACCGATTTGAGCTGTATTTTTAAAGGAATTATTTTAGGCTATGAATAGACAGCATCTATATTTCCATAATACTTAATGTATTTTAACACTGAAAAGTTTTCTTGTAATAATACAGTTAAGGTTTCTATTTTGGCAAAATGTAAGAAAAAAAATACTCAACACTTGCTTTAGCAGTGTGATGGTGAAGTGAGTAACAGATGAGTTTAGATGCTGTAGTTGTTCACAGGGCCTGAGACCCAGCAGAGGGTTCAGTGGAACAATGGGGAATGTTAGCTATTGAAGTACTTACATTCCTTGGAATTCAAGATATCCAAGGATTAATGAGTGCTATAAGTCAAATTGTAATTAAAGATTCAAATCCAAAGGTGCTGGCAGCATTGCCTGCTTTTAGCAGATCTGAATATTGAAAGCTGGGTTCAAATGTAGGTTGTCATTTACCTGCCATCCTCCTAGAAGTCACTTTACTTCTCTGACCCTTAGAAGGTTCTCATTTCAAAATGAAAATACAGAAATCATGGGTTTTGTGAGATTATATAATACTAATCACTTAACCTAGTGCCTGATAATCATAAGCACTCAATAATTATTTGCTGAGTTAAAGAATGGAAAAAAACAAGCTGATTCTCTTGGACCTCAGGGTTTCAAAAAGCTATTCTATTTAAGCCTGTGATTTTCAACCCTGGCTGCATACTAGAATCACTGGAAAGCTTTAAAAAAATTCTCATGCTAAGGCCCCATCACAGACTATTTGAGTCATATTCTCTGAAGGTAAGGTCTAGACATTAGTGTTTTTCAAAAGCTCCACAGATGTTTCTAACATTCAGCCAGGGTCTCTGCCATCTGACAACCATGTTTGTGCAGTTGTCTATCTTGCCCTAGTTGAGTATGCTCTGAAATGCCCTTGAATGTATTTCCTCCTTTACATTGTGGTGCCTTGGGTTCACATGTGTACTCTATCACCTGAACTATTGCAGCAGTCTTTTTTTTTTTTTGATATCACCAAAAAAAACTTCCTTTTAGTTAATCTATTGAACTGCCAGCACAGTTCTCCTAGAAAACAAATTAGAATGTGTTACTACCCTCCTTAAGAACCTTACCCGTAGCCTGTTGAATGAAGTTCTGAGTTTAATGGGGCACACAAGGCTATTGGCAATCTGAATCTACACCATCTTAAGATACATGGGAAGTCATTACTGTAACTTGTCAAGTTTGATAAATGCAGCCAAATCACAGCAAACATGCCCAGAGTTAGGAGGTATATATTTTGGTGTCCATTTTTGCCACACACTGGCCCTCAAACTTTGGTGAGACTATCGATGTATAGAACTCAGCATCTTTCCCTGTTTGGAAGAAAGAACAAGAAGAAATACAGCTTAGAAATAAGTGGAAGGGGCCAGGTGCAGTGGCTCACTCCTGTAATCCCAGCAGTTTGGGAGTCCGAGGCGGGCAGATCATGAGGTCAGGAGTTTGAGACCAGCCTGACCAACATGGTGAAACCCCGTCTCTAGTAAAAATACAAAAATTAGCTGGGCGTGGTGGCAGGTGCCTGTAATCCAAGTTACTCAGGAGGCTGAGGCAGGAGAATCGCTTTAACCTGGGAGGCGGAGGTTGCAGTGAGCCAAGATCATGCAACTGTACTCCAGCCTTGGTGACAAAGCAAGACTCTGTCTCAAAAAAAAAAAAAAAAAAAAAAAAAAGGAAGACATTTAAGGAAGGAGTGATGTAAGACACTGGAAAACATTTGTACTTTTGTATGAAAATGCTGTAGCAGAAGGCTTAATCACCCCATTTGTCATTCAGACCTCAATTCCCCTGTCCCTCAGAGAACTTACCTGGAACCCTTAGATGGAGACATATTCCTTCTTCTCCTCTCCTCTGGCACTGTGTGCCATTCCTCTGTAACCCTTCTCACCTGTGTAAACACGTATGTGCATTTTTGTGACTATTTGCTTGTCTGATTCCCAACTCTGCCATGAATACTTTGCAGGCAAGGTCTTGTCCAGTTTTCTCAGTGCATGTCTACAGGGCTGGGCCTGGCATGTGGTAGGTGATGAATTTCCAGGTGGGTGACCATTGGGTTGACTGACTGAGAAAATAATCAAACAGTTGATGTGTGTAGGCAGTGGGGAAATGGGAAGCACATAAGGCCTGTGTGGAAGGATATTTTCCTCTTCCCTCCAGGGCTGGCCACCTTTTCAGGGTCCCTTTACCTTTCTTCTGGTTCCACTGAAGAGGCCATGGGCTTCTAGAAGTGTAGGCTTTTCTCTGCTTTGCCCATATCAAGCTGGGGGGGCTTTGGGATGGCATGTCACGCTATGCTACCACCTGCGTCTGTGGAGTCTTCTAGCCAGTGTGCATCTGTTTTGTTTCCCATTGTGTTCTGGGTGCTCTGAAGGGTTTTGTGTAGACTTGTACCACTCAGTATGGTTGCTATTAACCACATGTGGCTACTGAGCACTCAGGTTGTGGCTAGTCTGTATTGACATGAGCTGTAACTGCAATAGACACATGGGATTTTGAAGAGTTAATATAAAAAATACTAAAACATCTTGATTTTATATTGGTTACATGTTGAAATGATAATATTCTAGGTATCTTGAATTAAATAAAATATATGATTAAAATTATTTTTACCTGGTTGTATATTTTTCTAACATGGCTTTTAAAATATTAAGTTATGTATGTGACTTACACATTTCTGTTGACTAGCTCTGGTCCAGAAACTACATTTCTTACATCATGAATTCATTTATCTGCATTTCATTTGTTCAGGCACATATGAAAATGAACACTTTCAAGCAGTGTATGAAATGACCACTGTTACCAAACCAGCGAGAACACAGACTTTAAGGACTGTCATTTTATTCTCCTAGTCTGGTAGGCAGTCATAACTTCTGTTAGATGGTTTGAAACGTTTACAGATGCTTCATGATTTTCTTTGAGCAGTCCTGAGGCTGGGACAAAAGATGGAGCATCTTTGGGCTGGAAATCCATGGCATGTTCCCCACGACGAGATCCTATCGTTCTGGCCTTTTCTTTCTGAGACTTTCTGCATTTCATCCTTTGAAGTGGTAATAGCTACGGACAACATTCAGGAAGCAGTGATCTTTGCCAGTGAGTTGTGTGACTTTGACAGCGAGCTGAGTTTGGAAAATGTGTTGACTTTGTCCCAGCTGTGTGATTGTGGGCAGCTCTGAGCATTCGTTAAACTTTCTAAGTCCTTTAGGTCATATGGAACTCTCCAAGTCTATTTCAGATCACATCAACAGTTTCTCCTCTGGCCTGACATGAGCACATGGGGCATGTCCATTCAAAGGGAGTTCATGTGAAAGTTACAGTGGCTTTCCAATCAGCTGGTGATGATGCTGTCTGCTGTATCCCCAGCCACTCTGCTGGAGTTGCTACTGTAATGGTTCAGTGACTAATTGGTGTTTACCTACAGAGTCTGTAAATACATTCCCATTCTTGGTATTGAACATATTAAAATTGCCATGTAATCTTTGTAGCTTATTCTCTCTACTATCTGCTTAAAGGCAGAGAAGGATTTGCAAATATGATTACATTTTCAAAATGAAAGTGTTTCTTTTACGGTTGTGTACTAACAATTCTTTATCATTTGCGTACTAAGTTTAACACACTCTAACAGACCAGCATAAATTTAGGCAGAGCAGGGAATATTTCTATCTAGAAAACTGTGCTTTCAGGCAGCTAACTGCATGGATGAGTTCCAGGTTTTATCTACTTTGCTATTTGGACCGGGGGATGGTAAAACAGTGTATGAGGAAAGTTTCTTACTGTCTTTCACTTGGTGAGAGAAAATTAGTATTGCTGGTCCCAGTTTGCTTTTTTCTGCTTGCTCTTTAGTGGGAAAGTGTTAATTTTGAAATTGCATCTGTAAATTATAGTCATGTGAATTTTGTGCTCTGCTGGAATTTCTATGTGTTGGCCTGGAGTCTGTCTGGAGCACAGCAGGCAAAGCAGTTGGGTGTGGCTGAACATGGGAGTGTGTGGAGAGTGGGCAGAGTGAGGGTGGAAGGGGCAGGGCAGCAGCTCCTGGGGACTTCTCTGAGTGTACTGCTAAGTAACTGGCACTCTGCATTTAAGAATTTTGGGGCTGGCATGGTGGTAATGGTGGTATGATCACATTAATAGTTTTGAAATGTCATACAACCTCTATGGTAGCCAAGTAGAGGATGAAATTGAAGGGAGTGAAATTGTAGGCCTGGAGACATATTGGAAGCTATTCCAATAATTGAGGCAAGAAATAGAGAGGGCCGAGACATAGCAGAGGCATGGGAGGAGAGAAGGGATTGGATCTGAGAGAGTCTGAAAAGGATGAATTGACTGATAGGATTTAGACCTGGCACTTACTTCCAGAAAGTTTCCCCAATGTCTGGCCAGGTGAAGGAGAGGAGTGGGATTGTGGGGTCATTGGGAATGGGGAGGAAAAGCAGGCTAGGAGGAAAAGATGCTCTGTTTGGGGTCTTCAGAGGCAGAGTGTTGAGGTCAAGAAGGCAGAGACGGCAGGACCATAGTGGTGCGGAAATGCCTAATGAGGCAAGTGCAGTCCTGTTTGCTTTAGAAAAAATTTGCTCAATGACCTTCTTTCTCTCAGAATCTGAAAAATATCCACTTTTAATCAAATAAGAAATATATCATTCAGAAAATGGCAACCACAAAAAGCTTCTCAGAGAATAAGGTGCAAGTGAATCTACTTAGAATACACAAGTATTCTCACTGGAGTACGATGTGATGATGAGAGGGGTGGGCCAGAGACTGGTCATTCTTGCCCATCAAACCTGTATCAACCTGAAGAAAGAGAGTCTGGCAAATGTCCAGGTGCCCATCAAGATGCAGACTAGGATCACCTCTTTTAAAGATGCCTTTGAACCCCTCTAGCTCCCTCTGCCCACGAAGGGGTGCAACTGGCCTTGCTGTCTCCCCTGGGCTTCAGATGTTGCTTGTCATACTAGTCTGTGTTTTCCCTCAGTACCCTTCATTGTTATGGTCTTTCCTAATAGACTGTTGGTTTTTTGAGAGCAGGAAGCATTGTATCCTCATTTTGCTCCCTGAAGCTTTTGGAGTGTGTGTCTGGTGTATCTAGCACAGAATGAAGTGTTCAGTAAATACAAGAAACTTATAGAAAGGGTAGTGAAGTGGAAAGAGCAATAACCAGGACAGAAGAAAAGGGACCTGGTACTAACCCTGCTACTATTAGTTGTTTAACCTGGAGCAAGCCAGTTTTTCTGGGCCATGGTATTCTGATAGGCAAAGGAAGAGATTTAGTGAGAATCTGGAAAGTCCATAAATGGTCCTTCAGAGGTCCCTGGATTTCTTGATATTAGATGCAGACTTTATATGTGTTTTTGTGTGTGTATGTGTGTATGTGTGTGTGTAGATAGGTGGGTTTAATTTTTTGAGTAAATGAGTGATAGCTTTCATCATACTCTCAAAGGGATCTATAACAAAATAATAACCACTGAATAAAACATGATATCTCTAGAATTTGTAAGATAGAGTTGTGGGGCCTGGGTATAGGCATTCAGCTAAAGGACTTGTCTGGAAATTGCTATGAACAAACACACCCTAGTTACACAGATTTTTGTGTTTATTTGGAGTAGAGAGGTGTGGCTTCTCTGAGCCCATCCTGTGTACTATCCTTTCTTAGAACTCTTTCAGTTCTATGTGAGGTCACACTCACATTTTGTTTTCTGAAGTACTTTACAAAGACCAAATCTGACTTTACCGATGATGATGAGGATGATGACAATGACAACAAAGGTGATGATGACGTTAGAAATAGCAGCAGAAGTATAGGACATTCTTCTATGTGCATATATCTGTCTGTCTGTCACCTCTTTAACGCTGAAAGTAAACTTGTTTGATAAGTGATGTTTTAATTGTAATTTCGTAGGTAAGGGAACTAAGGCACAGAGCCTTGATCATCTTGACTCCCGTCCTTACCTTGCTAGTAAGAGATGGAGCTGGTCTTTGAACCCAGAAAATCTGACTTCTGAGCCTGCACTTCTAATCAGCCCAGTATATGGCTTTTTTTTTAAAGGAAGTTCTTGTTCTCTGTAGTTTCACTTTTGAAGATTCAAAAAATAGTAAGTATAGAATACTTCTTAAATTTATGATTGTTACCAAGGACAGCACAAACTATAATTTGGATCCATTTAACCTATATAGATACTCTACTCTCTTGAACAATGGAAATGTATTTCCCATAGTTTACAGTCTTCCTGACATAGAAATGTTTTGTTGATCTTATCTGGCTGTACTGCTTTGCTTTGCCCATAGAGGAGGTGCTAAGGACATTTTTCAACAGCATCCCACAGATCAAAGCAACAAGCAGGTGCTTCAGGAAATCCCTAAGATGTGTTGCTGGAAGTGACACTAAGCTGTAGTGTATCCTAATGGGGGTAATTTACTGTGTGAAATTAGAGTTTCGAAGAAAATTATGATAATGAGTTCTGTTGATTTCCTGGGAGAGTTAAGGTGAAACATGTTGTTAGTCTGAAATTTACCATCTGGTCTGGTTTAGAATTAGACCTAATTGTCAGATAACCTGGTGTCTGGGATGCCTGGATAGTATCAGGTCTCTGGGGTGCCTCTAGCTTGCAGTTGACCTGGTCTACAGACTATGCTTCTGTCTGAATTTCTCCACCCAGCACTCATGCCCACACTCCCAGTTCCCTCTTCTGGGGCCCAAGTTTTTCTCCACAACCCCACAGGGCACTTGCTCTGATCCTTCAGAAACCAGGATGCAACATCTGTGCCTTGAGCCTCTGCTGCTAGATAGCAACCTAATGTTGTAGGGGTGTGATGCCGTGGACCCCTTCTTGAACCCCCAAGCTCGTCTTGCATTTGGGGCTCTAGCATGCAGCTGCCTGATTGCCCTTGCAGAGCCCACCTCCCTGTAAGTACCCTTTCCCTCGGAATTCCTTTTGAACCCAGGTTGTTGTTACTGAACCCGGCCTTTCCTTTTGGGTCTGGTATGGGTTAAGTGGTGAGATTTCAGAATAGAGAACTCAAGAAGATAAATCCATAATTAATTAGCAACTTTTTGGCAGACCTACATGTTGGTCTCATGGCTTCCTCTGGTTACTGTGGCTGTGCCTTTCTTAACTCAGGACCTTAAAGGTAGCCATAACATACTGCTCCTGCTTAGATGACTTGTTTTAATTACAAATAACATCAACAGCACTAATGTGCTAGAGAAGCAAAGAGTGGACATTTGCCCGAATGTCTCATGAAGAGAATAGTTTAAAATGGGTAGTTTTATCAGTGTACAATATCACCAGTCTGTTTTCAAAAGCTGTTTTATTTTGTGGTTTTTAAATTAACTAAGGGATGAAAAAAATAAAGAGCTAAAACAAAATAAAAATCATCATTGGTTGAAAATGTTTCATAGGGGAACATGTCAGTATGTTTGTTGGCTCTAGGTTTGAGTAAATAGACAACACTGTCTCATATTTAATGTTTAATTTTCACAATGGATTCTTCAACTATTCATTCTCCACTTGTGCCAGGTTGAGCCCTTTACATATCTGGACACCTATTATCCCTAATCTTTAAAACAATTTAGCAAGGTATTACTCTTTTATTTGTTTAAGCCAGAAATATTTTTGTGTTAAGTGGTTGCTGTGAGCCTGTCTGTGAACTAGGTGATGGAAATACAACAGTGAAGAATCACTTTGATTCTACTGCCCTTAAGAAATTTTCCGTTGTCAGATTGAAAGACCAATGAACAGATCACTGGCACGGCTTATGTTTTTATATACTCTTCAGGGGTGTCTAAATTTATGCAGATATTTTTCATATTGAAGCAATATTTATGCAAATATATTGAATATCATGCCTTTTGTCCTAGTCATCCCATTTAAAAATCTTTCCTATAGCAAAATCTGCACATAATTGAAAAGATCTTTGGCGAGAAAAATAATTGCAGATTTTGCAGAAAAATGTTGAAAAAGCTCATTGACAAGAGAATGGCTAAATCATTGCTGTTTATATACACTGAAATGTTACACAGCACTAAAATGAATAAAGTAGATGTATACATATGACATGACTCTGCTTTATTGTTAATGACAAAAGCATGCTGTAGAAAAATCTGTATAATAGGAATACATTACTTAATAAAGCAAAGGAAAAAAGAAAAACTCTGCCAGAGTCATACCAGATTTTTAGCTATGGTCCCATTTAGGCAGAAGAGAGAGGAGAGGTGTGAAGGGCATCTTTTATGTATTACTGTATTATTTCAGCCTGACAAAGTAAACATGTATTCTTTTGAAATATATATATATATATATTTGAGATAGGGTCTTGCTCTGTCACCCAGGCTGGAGTGCAGTGGCACTATCTCAGCTCACTGCAAGCCCCACCTCCCAGGTTCACACCATTCTCCTGCCTCAGCCTCCCAAGTAGCTGGGACTACAGGTGCCCGCCACCATGCCTGGCTAATTTTTTTTTTTTTTTTTTGTATTTTTAGTAGAGATAGGGTTTCACTGTGTTGGCCAGGATGGTCTCGATCTCCTGATCTCGTGATCTGCCCGCCTCAGCCTCCCAAAGTGCTGGGATTACAGGCGTGAGCCACCAGGCCTGGCCTGAAATATTTTTAAAAGCCAATAAATTTTCATTTTAAATGAGGTGATAGATGCTACGGTGGAGTTATGTCCGGGGTCCTATGGGGACACAAAGGGGACACAGACCATGGGCCAGAGAAGGCTCCGTGGAGGAGTGGGTGGCCTCACTGGGTTCAGGATGGTACATGTCCACCATGTAGAAGACACAGAGAGAACAAGGGCTTCTTGCTTGGAAGCATCCTGGAGGCTTTTCTGGTAGGCGGCCTTGGGGCTGTCCACCTCCAGAGCCTTAACAGCTAGCCCAGGTCATCCTGGGTTCTTCTTCCCTTAGCCCTCACAGAGCATCAGCTACTATTCCTGAACACTCCTCCCATTTCCACTACTTTCCTGTCTACTGCAGCCATCTTGGTTCCAGTGCCTCACCTCTCACTTGGGTGGTTGAGACAGCCCCCTCAGTTGGTCTCCTGGCCCCTTCTCTGTTCCCTATGTCCTCTACCCCAGTCTGCCCTTCACTTTGCTTTAAAAAGGCAGTTTTGACCCTGTGATTGTCCTTTCCACACTTTCTCAATGGTCCTTCCTAGCTTCTGGAATATAAGCCACCCTTCTAAAGCAGATTTGCAGAACCCTTTGTCTACCTTTCCCACCTGCCTCACAAAGTAGCTCTTATTTATGCTATCCAGGATGATTTTCATTTCTTTACAGATGCCACTCTTCTTACTCACCAAAGGATAGACAAAGGGAAAGAAAGAAAATTCATGACATGGATTTACTCTAGTTGATTGTTGGCCTATTGACCTGCAGGTATTGTTACTAGCTATGTCTGTTTCTGGGAGTTAATGTATCTCAGAATTTCCTATTATTTTGTGGTAACAAGTTAGAAATTAATATATTGCAGGAAAACAGTCTTCTTAGTGTCCTTGGAGATGTTTTCTTTTGTAAAAATTCTTGAATGGATGTTTCCAGTGGCAGGTCAGAATCCCCACAAAGAGGATTTAAGAATCTGGCATTAGTTTGTATACTTGTCTATTCCAAATCCGGATACGCTTCGCCTTTATAGAATACACATTGTTCTAAAAACACCGCATTGACTAAACAGTCTTTATTTGCTTTGGCTAAACTTAGAGTTAACGGATGGACTCAGTGTACAATAGCATAGACACAAAACTGAGTGCCAGTTCTCACTCACTTTGGGATACACTGCATGCTGTCTTTCCATTCCTCCTCATTTGCTGCATTTGTATATTTGTTATTTTTCTGTTAGTGAATAGTAATAAATAACTCCTGTTAAGCAGAAAATAGGAGTTGGTCTCAGCTTGTTGATTTTCAGAAATGTTTGTCCTTATAAAACACATTCAATTCAGGACTAAACTAATAGACTATCATCTGGCTCCCTCTGGTGGACACTCATGAAAAAAATCAAGCTATAGTTTTCTGAAAGAGGCGGTGTGTAGGGGAGGGGTTGTCATTTTTCTGGTTTTTGGTGGGGGAAAAGGAATAGAAAATGCATTCTGATTTTGTAGATACATCATAGTTATTATAGAAAATATCCTCAAGGAGTAAAATGCATTGCTATATAAAATACATAATAGAATAGCAATAATAAAAGACATAACCGTAGTACTGCTATTGCTATTTTTCTTGTTATTAAGTAGTGATATATGCTGGGACCACAGTGTAAAGTAGAATCAGAGGCAGATTTCACCCCATAGCTTTCTAACAGTGATATATTAGGATAAGATGCATGCTAAAGTAAAGCAATGTAGTTAATTCAAGGGTCTGGATACTGTACTGATTATTCCAGAACCTCCCCAAAGTTAGACTTTTCGCTTAATAGTGAATAATTTTGGTATTTTAGCAAGTGACTATTTTTATTTTGAATTAGTTATTTTTGATAAATTTATTAGTATTTGTTCATTCTTGATCTTCTGAGTTTACAAACTCACTGACAATGTTTTATCTTTATTATGGGGAATTAATCAATATCAAGTTTTATCTGATTGGTTGTATATGTTTTGACATTAGATGTTCGACATAGTTGACCAGGAAGAAATTGCATGAAGGGTTTCAATTGTATTTTCTTTTCTTTTTCTAGTCTCACAGCAGGGGGCTACGGTTAGAATATACAATTTTGGGGTCAGTAAATTAGCTCATCTAGTCACCATGTCCTTTGCTTCTTTCTAACCCTTTAGAACTATCCTAAAGAGTTTTGCTCCCTTCTCTTTTGTTTATGTAACAAATTTTCTTAATTTTTTAAAAATTAACAAATAAAAATTATATGTATTGATCTGTGCAACATGTTGGTTTGAAATATGTATACATTGTGGAATGGTTAACTGGAGCTAATTAACATATGTATTGCATCACATCTTTTTTATTTTATTGTGGTGAGAACGCTTAAAATGTAACCTTTTTGCAGTTTTCAAGAATGTAATACATTGTCGTCATCTATATGTAATTCAATTAAATGTTATCTTTGTATAATAACTTTATTTTACATGATAATAAAAATTCACATTTACTGAGTTAAGCATATGATAGGCATGATCTCATTTAATTCTTTTAGTAACTCCATGAAGCAGTTAGCTATTATCTGCATTTTACAGAGGCTAGTAAAGGTGAGCATAGCTGAAAACTTGTGAGTCAGGGCTCCAGGTATTCTTACTCCAAAGCCAGGAGTTTCTAACTACAACCATATATATATATGGTACCAGTTCCTGAAGTGGGTGAGATATAAGTGTATGTGTGGCTGGTACTCTCATGAACCTTCTACAGAGTACTGGAGAGACTTCATTTTTATGTTCCTGTCTCTGAAGTAAGGAATTAGATTACCTTAATTTAGAAACAGATTTTTGCCTTTTCTCGCTTTTTACTATCATTCTGAATAAGCCTCATGTAGAACCTCTTTAAGTTGTGTTTGTTAAAATTTTGAGAGTTAGGATGCATTATATCTATTATCATAAAAATAAACTTTATGGCCGGGCACAGTGGTTCACACCTGTAATCCCAGCACTTTGGGAGGCCAAGGCAGGTGGGTCACTTGAGGCCAGGAGTCCGAGACCAGCCTGGCCGACATAGCGAAACTGCATCTCTACTAAAAATACAAACATTAGCCAGGCATGGTGGTGTGTGCCTGTAATCCCAGCTACTTGAGAGGCTGAGGCATGACAATCACTTGAACCTGGGAGGCAGAGGTTGTAGTGAGCCAAGATCGCACCACTGTACTCCAGCCTGCACAACAGAGTGAGACTCTGTCTCAAAAAAGAAACAAACAAGAATAGACTTTATGAGAAAAATACATTTTAGATAAATGGCTTTCTCACTAAGTCTTCGAAAGAGACAATCTTAGGACAAAAGATTGAAGGAAGGGTAAAGTTGCTAGCAGAGTATATTTAACATTTAGATTTAAGTACTGAAGATCTTTATAAGGAATCTTTGAAACATAATTAAGGTTAATTTAGAAAACTTTTTCTGAAAACACTCAGAATTAAATTAAGGCAATTTCCTTAAAGTTGGTGATTATACAGAATAGCTACTATTTAAATAGTTTACGTGCTAGCTTATTTAATCCTCACGATAATGTAATGATTGTTAATAATCTAACTATTATTATAGGCATTATCTAGAAGATGAAACAAAAGCTCAGAGAAGTTAAGTATTTTGCCCAAAAGTACTTGGCCAATAAATGGTAAGCTGAGGATTTAGACTCAGGTGGTCTGGCCCAAGAGCCCGCCCACAGTCTCACCTGCTTTGCTATATAGCAGGACTGTCCAATAGAACTTTCTGTGATGATGGAAATTTTTTGATAACTGTGTAGTTCATTACAGTGGCCACATGTGTGTGGCTACTGAACACTTAAAATGTGGCTAGTGCAACTGCAGAACTGGGATTTTTGTTTTTAAAATTTAAATTAATTTAAATAGCCTCATGTGGCTAGTGGGTACTATACTGGAGAATACAGCTTTCCAGAATCTTTCAGATTCTGTAAAAGTAGAGATACAAGTTGCTTGGGGCCACCCAGGCTAACTTTGTGTTATACTGATATAGAATCTGCAACTCAAATGGGTTAGTAATCTACTTAAAGTAATAAAGTAATTTATTACTTTAAGTAATAATTATAAAATTATAATCCAGGTGTTTATACTTCCCAATCACAGCCCTTCTCATTCTGCACATCTTTGACACCTGCAAATTTATGTTTCTGCTGCTATGGTTAATATTAGATTGAAAAAATTTTGGAAAAAGAAATCTTATATTTTCTGAACTACATATCTAATTAGTATTTTCCTCTTTTCTCAGGTTATAGAAACATTATCACGACTTTCTCGAACACCTATAGCATTGGCCACAGGAATCAGGTAAGCTCTGTTTTCGTTGTTCATGTGTCCCATTGAGTTCAGTGTAATGATTCTTTATTAAATGGTTACTATTTGTGAAGCATCTTGCACACAGGTACTATGTCTCATTCATGAAGAGTGCCTGGTATGTAAGTATCCCGTACACGTTTGAAATTAATTGAGCAAGGTAGAACTTATTGATAGAGTTGAATAACACATTGGCTAAACATTGTTCTCAATTCACAGGTGACTGTCACTGGTGTGGTTCTTCTTTTTTTTTTTTTTTAACTTTCCTCCAACATTTCTGTACATATGATTCATTAAAGTAAACACAAATGCTTAAGTAAATAAATATTTATAAGATGTTGTAATATGTTTATTTCCTATAGAGTAGATCATAATAACTCATAGCTTTTAGGAGTTTAAGAAATAATCAAACAAGTATAAAACATGTGTACAAGAATGTGTATTGAAGGTTCAGTAGTAAATTAAAAACCTGGAAGTAAATTGGTTAAATATAGTATGTCATCTCCTTGCAATAGAGTATTATGCAGTTGATAAGCATAAAAATATAGATGTGTATGTTGTGTTGAGCCTTTTCTGTTTCAGATACTACATACTTAAGTTAGATCAGTCAGCAAAGATGTATTATATAAGTAACATTAGGAAATAAAGCAAAACAGTCTCTACTCAGCCTGGTTTCATGGAAATGGATCAAATTTGTTTTTTACCTTCTTTATTCAGTGCTCCATATTTCTGTCTCTGGCCATCACAGCCATTTTTCTGTGTCCAGCTCACATTCACATTCTAAGGGAGAGAGGATCCAAGCAGGACTTAGTGGGGTTCTCTGCACTGGCTACAAAGCACAGTGAGCTCAGGAAAAATGCCCTGCTGGTACAGGACCTTTCTCAGAAATGGGCCATGAATTTGGCAGCTTTCTATGTATATGGTCTGTCGGCTGGATAAATGTTTAACTCCTAATTTGCTCTTCAATACATGCATACCTTTCATGTCAATATATATTTTATGTTATTATATGTAAAGATTTTTTTAAAGCATGATCAAATTTTTATGTATTGATTCTGAAAAAACGTAAGTCAAAATTTTTCTCCTTTTTTTCTCATCTATATTTTCTACAATGAACTTGCATAATAAAATGTGCCTTAATTTATAAAAAATGATTATGAGACTACATTTCTCACACACTGATTTATTTGAAAAACCTAGTCTCCTCAAATGTCTTCAGTATTAAATTAATCCATAAGTCAATGTGAAACTCTGCTTTTAATATAACTAGTAATTATTTAAAGCTTATTTATTATTTTGATGGATCCTCTGGTTTTTATGAAACATGTGATATGCTGGCTGCCTGAAAAGAGTAGAATTTTTGGCACAGTATGCTTACTGTGATTTTGTTAGACATAAATTTAAGGCAGTTATGAAAAAAGGACATAGTACCATGATGCAAACAAGGAAGCCACACAGTGGGAATAGGAGATACATTAAAGGTGATTTTCTTGAATAGGGAACAAAGAAAACACTCTATTCACCCCAAGGTCTGGTTGACTCATTTGTCTAATAAACGAAAATAAAACATACAGCTTAAATACCCTAAAGTCTGAGCAGAAATGTCAGGGTCAATGACCGTATATGTAAAGGGCACAATGTTTTTGTCTTCTACTAGTTTTCATCTACACTAGTGAACGGAGCCATGGAAGGATGATTGCTACCAAATTATTTGTTATCAGATCCCACAGCTGAAAAGAGAGGGTGCTGAAGGCAAGGGTACATGCACAGCTGTTTGTTGTCTGACTTGGGGTGCTGCAGTGGGTGAGGTGACCCTGCAGGTATGTGGCAGGTGGGAGATCAGATAAGCACGTTATTATGACCCCCTGCACATGTGACTGTGGTGACCAGCTGTAATTGCTTCAGATGATTTCAGGTGGCAGGTGTTACAGCCTCCCTAGGGGAACCCCAGACAAAGCCACTGAGCAGGCACTTTAGGGAAAGCCCTAGATATTGTTAGACATGGTGACTGATCTGACCATTTTGGCAGCAGACAACTTACATATTTAGTGAGGGTTAAGTGCGCAGCCTGATTGTTGCTCGTTCACTCATGGGTTTGTTTTTTTGTTTTTGTTTTTTCTCCTCTTCCTAGGCCCTTCCCAACAGAAGAAAGCATTAATGATGAAGACATCTACAAAGGCCTTCCTGATTTAATAGAGTATGTTGAAAATTTCAAGCAAAATTTAGCCACTGCCAATTTATGTGTCCATTGTGGGTTTTAACTGTGGATGTTAAAGTAAGCTATCTGAAGGAGGAAAAGTGGCTTAATTACTGATTAACCTTAAACTGGCGATGGAAAGCTTTACAAGAAAATGTACTTCAACTGGTTTTTAGTTCCTGTTTTGTGTCCCCATGAAGAATAAAGAAACTTACTCTAATGAAGTAAAATTTCAAAGTTTCTCAAAGGCATAACAGAAGTAGTAGATAAAACTGGAGTTAGGGAACAATTTAAAAGAAATAGAATCTGCTGCTGGAGTTGTGGGACACATAGTGCATGCCTTATAAGTTCAAGGAAGGGAGAGATAAGTGTGGGTTGGAGCTATTCGGGATGTTTTAGTAGGCGGTGTTTGTTCTGAACAGAGAATCTTTTTGGGCTCTATTATTTAATAGTCAAGAGAGGCAAAAGGTCCTTGCAGCCGATTATCTTCTGCTGATTGAGTGACTTGTACAGATTACAAATAAATATATGCGTGATCGTTA
Organism: Homo sapiens; assembly: GCF_000001405.40. NCBI lineage: Eukaryota > Metazoa > Chordata > Mammalia > Primates > Hominidae > Homo > Homo sapiens. The sequence continues at coordinate 107,776,688 of NC_000001.11, read as the reverse complement.
CTCCTCAAGGAACTGATGACATGGATCAGGCATGTTTGCAAAGAATCATAATAAGAAATAGATTATGCCCCAAGACAGATTCAAATGCTATGGAACTTCATCCATTCATTCATCTATCCTTCCTCATACACCCAACACACTGGGCTTGTTTTAGCCTTGTGACCTTTACACCTGCTATTCTTTCTGCCTGTTTGACTGATCCCTCAGCGTTCAAGTTTTTGCTTAGATTTCCCTACAGAGAGGCCTTCTCTGACTATCCTGTCTAAAATTGCCACCACCCCCTTACATTGCTGTGTTTTTACAGCATTTGCCAATGCCTGAGACAGTCTTGGTTTGCTTCATTTATTGTTTGTCTCCTCATTAGAAGGTACACTTTTGTGAGGTGTGGGACTTTGCCTTGTTCATGGCTGTATTCCTAGAACTTCACAGTGTCTGGCATATAGTAGGTACTCAATAAGTATTTGTTTTCCAAATTAATAAGTCAAAACTGCATCTAGCATCTACTGTTTGCCAGGTATTACACCTGGCAATAATAATAAGAGCTTACTGAGTTTCCATTTGTGTGCTAACCAGGTTATATGCACTATCTTATGTAATACCACAATATTACTAGGTTGTTATTATATCTTCACAGTTTAAAAGTGAGAAAACTGAATTTTGAAAAGCCTAGTTACTTGCTGAGGGTAATATTGCTAGTAAATTGTAGTCTTTGGATTTGAACTCAGACACCTCTTATTCTAGAGCAGAGGTTGTTAGTCACAGCCCCAACTTCCAGATCCCTCTCAGAGCTTTTAGTAGAAGAGTAGAGGGGGTGAGCACACCCACTGCAGTCACACGATGGATGGCCAGCAGCTCTTTCCAGGGTAGGTGGCCTTGAGAATGATCTTTCAGTCTTATATTTTAAATATCTATTAAGAGTAGTTTCTTATCTCTTAAAATCTCTAAGAACTCACCAACAGTAAGCAAGATAGTGCCAGTTGTTTTATTGAATTGGTTGTAATCTTCATAAAGTGACTAAGATTATTGGTAATGTACTCAGATTGTTTAAGGGGAATATTTAATTTCTAGTGCCGTGATGCTATTCTTTTTTTTTTTTTTTTTTTTTTTTTTTGTGACTGAGTCTTGCTCTGGCACCCAGGCTAGAGTGCGATGGCACGATCTCAGCTCACTGCAACCTCCACCTCCTGGGTTCAAGTGATTCTCCTGCCTCAGCCTCCCAAGTAGCTGGGATTACAGGTGCCTGCCACTGCGCCCAGTTAATTTTTTATTTTTAGTAGAGACAGGGTTTCACTGTGGTAGCCAGGATGGTCTCGAACTCCTGACCTCATGATCCACCTGCCTTGGTGTCCCAACGTGCTGGGACTACAGGTGTGAACCACTGTGCCCAGTCGATATTCTTTTTTAACCCATACCAGTGGTGACTTACACCTATAAATTTTTATAGCTTCCCCATTTTGTTCTTTTCACTGTTATTTAGGCAGACATGATGTCAGGATAAATCCAGTGAGGATGCATTCCTAGCTAAATTTGGAGAAAACCTTGGTTTCCTGAATTGGCTGCTCTGAGATGCCAGCCCTTGCTCTGTGAGAGGCAGTCTGCTTTAAATTTCTACCTGGTGGCCGAAGGTCCGAATGTATTTGCAGGATTAAAGAAATTATTTATTTAATATGCCCAGGCTGGTCTCCAACTCCTGGGCTCAAGCAATCCACCCACCTTGGCCTCCCAAAGTTCTGGGATAAAAGGTGAAGTAGGGTTATCTTAAAAAAAAAAAAAAAGCAAATGTATTATCCCTAGACATGCTTGGTTTTGAGTTTGCTGTGACAGCTTGATTTTTATTCTCAGCTTTATTACAATTTCTATGGGTAAATATACTTAACTCTAAATTTTGGGGCTGCATTCACCCAAACGGAAGCCCTTGGAATAAATACTGGCCTGGTCCCCACTGTGGAGGCAATCATTGTTTCCTAAGTTGGGGAGAAAGCCACAGGATGGAGTGGAGAGGGCAGGTAATGGCTACACTGTACAGTGTCCTTTTAGTATCAGGGCGCCAGACATGCCCGTATGTAGGTGGCCTTACATGTCGATTGTTTTTGATTTATTGACCATTTGAAAAATATCACAGCTTTTTTCTTTCCTGGCTCAGAAATCAGGAATTGTTGACTAAGCTGTTAGCAAGAAAAGCAGCTTTAGTAAAGGATTGAATAACAAAAGCCAAACAGTTCTAGACCAGTCTTGTGTGTGTGTTTGCGTTTGTGCACTTGCATGCACGCATGCACTCACACATGCATGTCATTCTTACAGGTCTTAAAATAGAGAAAAGTCAGCCAGGCGCGGTGGCTCATGCCTGTAATCCTAACATTTTGGGAGGCTGAGGTGGGCAGATCACCTGAGGTCAGGAGTTTGAGACCAGCCTGGCCAACATGGTGAAACCCTGTCTCTACTAAAAATACAAAAATTAACTGGGCATGGTGGTGCGTGCCTGTAATTCCAGCTACCCAGGAGGCTGAGGCAGAAGAATCGCTGGAACCCAGGAGGTGGAGGCTGCAGTGAGCCAAGACTGCACCACCGTACTCCAGCCTGGGCAACAGAGTGAGACTCTGTCCCCCAAACAACAACAACAGCAAAAATAGAGAAAAGTCTGTGCTAATTTATATGATTCATTCCTTTACTGTCATGGGAAATAGTGAAATGTAGGACTTCAGCAAGGTTGACTTTTTTGCAGGGGTGGTGATGTTAGGGATGACAAGCAGGAGTTCTGGGATTAGGAGTGCCAGGGAAATGAATTTCAGTCCATTTTGCTTCCAAACAGGATCCCCTCCAATGCAGAACCTGTTTTTTCATCATTTTATATCTCAGCTCCTTCATGAACTCACCAGACCTTCCTATCCTTTGATGTGGTACAGAGAATGTGCAAACCGATTTACCTGCCCTAATGTTCTCTGGCCAGATTGCCGCCTAAACCCCTCAGTATGGAAATTATGTTACTGCCAATATGGATCACCATCTCCCTGGTGTCCCAAAGTAGAAAGCTCCTTCCTCTTCCTTCCTCCTCCCTCCCTTATTCTCAGTGTTCACCAAGTCTGGTTGTCCCAGTCTCCTATCTCTGTCTGTTCCTCTCCTCATCTGTCTTTATGTTAGTTATGGCCCTGAATATAAAACAGATAAAGGAAGGGTCTGGTTGATGGGGGACTGGTGGGTTTCCTCTGAATGGGCTTGAAAGAGCATGGGTTGAAAACCACTGGATTAGATGCTGATTATAACACTGCAGTAACTGATGCTTTTATAAGACCACTTATGACATATTAGATACAATTTAACTCTCCTATCTTCTCCATATTATACCCATTAATACAGTTGATGAAACTGAGGTCTTGAAATATGAAAAGTGGGAGGCAGTATGATAGAGTGGGTAAAACACTCAGCGTTAAGACAGACTTGGTTTTAAATATTGGATCTGCCAGTGACTACCTGGGTTATTTGTAAAGTCAAATAGCCTTTTGGTCTTTCAACTTCCTCATCTCTTTAATGGATTAAATAATAATGCACACCTGATCATTAATGTTGGATGAATTATGTAAGATAATATATGTAGAATAATTATTTTTGTGCTTATACATAGTAACTACCCAGTAAATGATGGCTGCCACTGCCCTCGTTATTGGATTCTGTAGTTGTCATTGTACCTATTAAGAGGGACAAAGTTGTAATGTAAACCTTTTGAACTCTTTCCACTAATTCCATTTTATTTCCTTTCTGGATTTTTTACTAAAATCCAGTAGGCTATTTGTAGCTATTGCATTTACTGCATAATAGAAAATGACCTTATATGATATCCTTTGTTGTAGTGAAACCCTTGTGGAAGATGAAGAAGATCTCTATGACTGTGTTTATGGGGAAGATGAAGGTGGAGAAGTCTATGAGGACTTAATGAAGGCAGAGGAAGCACATCAGCCCGTAGGACTTTTACTTGTTTTTAAAGTTACTCTGAATATTTTATTAGGAAAGGCTAATTAACATAATAATTTATGTAACATCTGCTGGGATTTTTTTTAACCTTTGCTTGCTTATAACTATATAATTATGACTTGTTACTGCATTTGGAGACATATGCATGACCTTTCAGAGTTCAAAACAACCATAGGGAATCTTTTGTCTAGTCTTTTCATTTCGCTAGTAAGGAAACAAAGTCTGAGAGAGAAATGAAGTGCCACCCAGTTAAATAATGGCAGGGTGGTAGTAGAATAGAATTTTAGGGAATCATGAAATTATACTCTTATAAAAGTAAATTTCTTACAACACAGGTAAATTTTTCCCTTTAAATTTGATATAAGATAAAATATATATTAAAGAGTATTTCTTCACATTTGTTAAGTGTTAATATGAGGTACCATTTTTCTTTTGTTTCATGGTAAGTCTCCTGGCTTTCCTACTCATTTATAAATTTAGTTTCAGATATTGTCATAGCCAATATGAGCCCTCAAAACCTTATCTGCTATTAATATATCCAGAACATTCAGAAAGGATTACTTTGGATTATTTTCTCATTTACAATTTGAAACAACAACAGAAAAAGTCAGTTGCTTAGGTTCTTAATAACTTTTTCTTGTATATTAAAGACTTTTCTTTACCAGCTGCTTGGTAATTTTTGTTTCCACAGTGCTTTGATGAATGCGCTTAGCTCTCTCTATGTTCCTACTGTTAATAAAAGGCTGATGGGCTGTCCAGTAGCTTCTGTGGAATGGAAACAAGTTACCTGCCTGTGTTTGAGGAATATAACGCAAGTGTGGTTTAACCATTGCATAGGCTGACAGCCCATCTGTGGCAGCATTTTCAGAACATTTTTAGGTGACCGAATATCATCTGTGCCTCCTGTAATTGTTAACTGCATTGAGTGCTAGTGCATTCTTCACTGTCTCCCGCAAGGGCAGTCCTCACTCAGCTGATGGGGTGAACAGTGATAATAATTTAGATGGGTAGGACTCTTCTTGCGCACTTGGAAAAGTGCTAAGTGCTTTATACTGTTTATCTTATTTACCATTCCTTGGGGTTGGTACTGTAATTCTCTCTGTTTGACAGATAAGAAAACTGAGTCAGAGAAATTTAGTGATTCATTCACAGTTAGAAAAGCTAACAACAGGCCGGGCGCGGTAGCTCGCGCTTGTAATCCCAGCACTCTGAGAGGCCGAGGCAGGCAGATCATGAGGTCAGGAGATCAAGACCATCCTGGCTAACACGGTGAAACCTCGTCTCTACTAAAAAACACAAAAAATTAGCTGGGCGTGGCGGCGGGCACCTGTAGTCACAGCTACTTGGGAAGCTGAGGCAGGAGAATGGCGTGAACCCAGGAGGCAGAGGTTGCAGTGAGCCGAGATCGCGCCACTGCTGTCCAGCCTGGGCGACAGAGCGAGACTCTGACTCAAAAAAAAAAAAAAAAAGCTGACAAGAAAACTGGTGTTGAACCCAATTCCATCAGATTCCAGAATCTTTGATTTTAGTGTTGTGCTCTATGACTTCCAATCTTAAATACTTAGTTAAAAAGTCAAGCAGTAAGATGTTAATGTTGGAAAAAATATTTGAAGGTCTTTACTTACTTTGCCAAATACCTTTTTATTGTTTTTGCAGTTATTTCTATAGTATTTGTTAAGTGTGCTGTACATTAAGGAAATAATCATACACCATTTATGGTGTTTCCAACTTTATGAACATTTTAGTAAGAGATATTTTAGAGTGTCTACATTCAGAGGCTTATTTTTTAATCATCTAAATCTTTGTCATTACATTGTTCACGATTTTTATAAAAACAGCAAAGATGCCTCACAAATGCAGTTAGATGTCTTTCAATTATGTGTTGTATTAGAAAGGAAAGTTTAAGAAAGTCAGCAATGCTTTTGATCTCTACTTCCCGATAGGTTAATATATGATTTTATTAAATCATTTTATTTTGATAATTCTAACTGCAGAAATGTCCAGAAAATGATATACGAAGTTGTTGTCTAGCAGAAATTAAGCAGACAGAAGAAAAATATACAGAAACTTTGGAGTCAATAGAAAAGGTAAGTCATCAGGTATTATTTTTGATGCCCAAATACTGCCTAATATAGTTAATATATTAGACTCACTGTTTCTTCTGAAGGTGTGTATGTGTATTATAATTTTTAGGAGAACTTTGTACTTAAAGATCTCAAAGCAGATTTATTCATTTTACAACTATTTATGGATGTCTTAGTACCTGAGTGGCACTGTTTCAGGGACTAAGGATATAGTAATAAATACAACAGTATTCTGATTCTCATGACACTTTTTCCCATGGGAGGATTAGAATGTAAGCAAATAAATATGCCAGATGGTCATAAGTTTTCTGAAGAAAAATAAGGCAGGGGCATAAGATAGAGAGTGATGGGGGGGGAGGGCTGGTGGCATTTTATAAAGAGTGGTAGCAGAAGCCCTCTGTGACAAGATTAAGTGGGCAGCTAAGTGAACTGAGGGTATAAGCCGTGTACATATGCCAATGAAGATCATTCCCGAGAGAGCCCCTCTGATTGGAAAGTGTTCAGCATGTGCTTCAAGGGCAGCAGCAGTCCAGTGTGGCTGGAGCAGAATGAGGGAAGGGGACTGAGCATGAGGTGGGAGAGCTGGTGGGCTTCTAGGCCATGCAAGGACATTGGGAAGGGTTGTGAGCAGAAGTGACATGATGTGATTTAAGTCTTTAACCTCTCATTCTGGCTCTTCTGAGGCAAGAGTGGTAACTAAGAGAAGAATTAGAAGAAAATTGTGTTAATCGAGATGACAAAAATGGTGGTATAGGTGGTCAGATTCTGAGTAAATTTTAAACATAGAACCAACCGGATTGGATGATGAATTAAGTAAAGGATGTGAAAAAAAGAGAGGAGTCAAGGATGACTGTAGGTTTTGGCATGAGAAACTGCATGAATGGTGAAGATTACAGGGGTGGGGAAGGACAGGCTTGGGAATCAGGAGTCTGTTGGAACAAGTGAAATTTGTGATACCTATTAGACTTTGAATGGGATTTGTTGAGAAAGGTGTTAGGTATATGAATCAGGCATTAAGGGGAAAGACTGAATTGACAAATAGATTGGGCCATTATCATCACACAATGGCATTAAGGCCCTGGGACTAAGTGAGATCACCCTAGTGAATGCATGTTAGGGAAGAGGTTTGAGGCCAGCTCTCCAGACTCTCACATTTAGAGGTTAGGGAAAGAAGTGAAAGTATGCAAGCATTATTTAGAAGAGTAGAAGAGTAGATTGACTAGGGAACTGTAGTAGCACTATGTAGCGTTACAGGCCCAGTTGAGTTTTGTGGTCATATTGAAAATTAGACGATCGGTAATGTCCATGCTTAACTTCTTAGATAGAGTCACAAAATATGTGGCAAGTTAGACTTGATCAGGGTGTTTGTTTTTCTAGAAAAGCACAATGGAAGAAGAGAAGGTAAGGGGATTTACAGGGAAGTGATTCATGGAGTATAAACTCGGTTAGGAGGGAAATGAGGATATGATGGAGGTGGGATGGTTAGTGGACTGGCTGACCCAATTCCTTGAAATTAGTGCTATGAAGCATATGAAGTTGTTGATAATGACAAGGTCTGTGAGTATGGCCATAAGATTTAGGAGTTGAGCTAGAGTGGAGCACAAGATTATTTGTGGTCAAGGAACTGAGAGACCAGTACTAGAAGGATCCTCTGCACAGATACTGAGAATGCCGAGAATGAAAGAGATATGGTAGGCCAGAAACTAAAATTCTCAAGGAATAATTCATAAATTGCATACATAGATTATTGATCTCAGGGATCTAGAATCTCCACAAAACATTTGGGAGATATTACTGTGTAAGTCTTCATATACATCTCCAAAATGTTGCCATTTTTTGGCAACTCAGACAATAATGTTCTTTTCTTCCTTCCTTTTGGAAGCATTTATTGTCTAAACCATTTTATTTTATACTTTAAATGTATTAATATTAGCTCGTATTTATGTTTTTATATATCTATTCAAGTGTAAAGTCTTTAAGTTAGAGAAAATAGTTTCTACAATTTTGGTGTTTATAATGCTGATCAACAATTGACTTTCAAAACGTATTTGTTGTTTGTTGATGAAAAACTATTATATAGATTAGGACAAGTTATACTTAATTACTATTTTCTTCTTCTTTCCTGGTAGTATTTCATGGCACCACTAAAAAGATTTCTGACAGCAGCAGAATTTGATTCAGTATTCATCAACATTCCTGTGAGTAAAAATATGCTAGCTAAAATTGTGGTGTACTTCAATAAAATCTTCATTTCCTTAGGGGGTTCCAGATCCCTATTTTAATACTCTTTTGTATTATTTAAGAATATTGGCCTTATTTATTTATTTTTTGCTTTTCCAGTTTTTATATCCTTATTTTCTTGAAATAACTGATGTATCATATCTTCAACCAAAAGTCAGTCAACATGTACGAAGAACACAAATGGAAAAATAACTTTCATGTGTTATTCTTAACTCTTTGTCATGAAGAGGTAGTCTCAAATAATCTGGGGATCCACTTCCATCCCCACACTTCCCTGCGGAGCTCTGTTGCTCTTCCAGACCCTCAGACCTTGTCTTGTAGGTGATGTCCTCACCATATCAGTTTCCCCTACTTTCCTCCATTCCTCCACATCTTTGACTTCTACTATTTGGTGCTTTCTACTTCCAGTTGTATCATATGTAACTCCCATTTATGAAATACCCTACTTCCTTATGATTTACCAGACTATTTTAATTGTAAAATTTGAGGAGATATTTTTCGTTTACATTTATGTAAGCATTTCAAGTTTCAGGGCACCTTACCAGAATCTTACAATCTTAAAAGGATATTTGCCCAGAAATCTAGAAGCAAGCTAAATGTCATGCCAAGTGAGGTAATGCTAGGCAAGATTCAAGTTCTCAGACCTCTAGGACTTGCTTTGGTTTATACATCCCCACCCCCATGCACGCATGTACACATACACTGATAAATGTATATAAGCTTTTATTCACAGACCTGCTTGTATTACCTGAACAGTTCTTTGTGTTTTGATTCTATTGTGTTCTGTGTTGCTGAGTAGCAGTTGGTAAGCAATGGCATGTCATCCTTGTCCCTGATTTTGGCCGAATGAGGACATTCTTGTTGATTTATAACATGCACAATATCAGCTGAAGGTTTAGCACTAAATAAACTGCACATTTGGGGAAGATAAGGATCTTGAACCACTTAAGTATGGTCTTTATAACTTAGAGCCCACATCTTCATGTTTACTTTCTACACCACTAAGGAGAGAGCATGCTGTGGAGTCAATGTGTGCTCCAAGGTACACAGGATGAGATAATGGGAGAATTGGCACCTAGTTCAAGTTGCCTCATATCCTGGCTATGACATGTATTTACTGCCTGACTGAAAATTAGTTGCTTATCGGGAAAAATGTGAAATTCTGACATTTTGAGTTGCTCTGGTAAACTGTCGAATACAATTTATTTGCTCCTTATTTATGCCATTAGTTGCCTGATTTCAAGTAATTTAGTCTGATTATTGTTAGCTTAGCACCAGGACACCACTAATTGACCAAAGTACAAATTTACATGTTTGTGTCACAAGGACATGAGTCATTATTTTATCCTGTCAATAAAACATTAGGCACTTGGACAGTTTTATTTAAAAAATTTACAGTGATTATAAAACAAAAATAAGCTATACATATTTTTACACAAGGAATAAATTATCCTTTAATAACTAGTGAGATAATTTCTTTTTTCACAGGATGCTGACATTTCAACTGAGATCTGAAATTGCTGTTTCCCATCTGCATGGCCTGTCTCCTTCTCTTCTCCTCCCTCTCCTCTGCCTTCCCCTTATCTTCCTTCTTTTTTCTCCTTTCCTTCCCCTGCTCTCCCTCCTCCTCTTCTACCCTGTCCTCTCCCGCTGCTTCCTCCCCTTCCTCCCCCTTTCTCTCCCCACTCTCCTTTTCCCTCTCTCTTTATTGGTGGAAGCAGTTTTATATATTGAGAGCATTCAGCATATCCTGAGTGGCAAGTCTAGCAACTAAAAGGATTCTGGGTTTGGGGTGTATTTTTTGGTTGTTATTCCTACTTTCCTTTCACATTGTTTTCTTTTCTTAGGAACTTGTAAAACTTCATCGGAACCTAATGCAAGAGATTCATGATTCCATTGTAAATAAAAATGACCAGAACTTGTACCAAGTTTTTATTAACTACAAGGAAAGGTAACTTTTGAAGTTTAAGTTTTGTGGGTCTTAGCTTGTAATTATAGTGAGGATTAGTATTAAAATAGCTAACAAATAGCTATTACTGCTGTTTATTACATTACTACCTGAGCAGTAATTAGAACGTGGGACAATTACTTTCAGAGTAGTAGTTTGAGTTCTATATATGTAATTAAAAAAGAAAAAAAGAAGAAGAAGAAGGAGGAGGGGGAAGGACCCAGTATGGTGCTTATTTTTTTGCATCGCAAATCAAAAGGCTAAGTTTCTTTTACAGGCTTTATCATTACTGAGCGATGTAATCTTCAGTAAGTCATTTTAACTCTCTGAGCCTCTGTGTCCCCATCTGTAAACACCGGAGGTAGATTAGCTGGTACTTAATGCTTCTTCCACTTTTCTTCCAATTCTGGTATTTTATGACACTCTATTTTGGAGTATTAGATTCGCAGAGTCAGTTTCCCTTTCTAAGTTAAAAAAAAATCTCCTGACAACCTATAGGAATTGGAGTATCAAGAAATTTTGCTTAAAATATAATTATCTCTCTTTTCAAATCAAGCAACGTATTTCCTAGTACTAAGAAGTGGCTAATGAATTACTTTGCATCAAGTCTTCGATAAATATTCACATTTTATTAGTAGTGTCTTTTTTCCAGTGGAGAGTTAAGAGAAGCAATAAACCAACTGACCTCTTTGCAAAATATTTGTGCTACAGAGATACCTTCCCTGAAGTGGGTCAGATTCCATGTGATATGAGTTATCTTCTGTCCAGAACAGTTCAGGTCTCTCGTTTTCCTCTCTTCAGATGATTTATGTTCCTTAATTAAAAAGTAGCAAGGAGTAAGAGGTTTAATAATGAAGGAGTTATATGTAGTGATTGGCATAAAATTGTAATAGAGAAAACTTTCTGAGTGTTTAGAGACAAAGTTTATCTCTTGTAAGAGCTTTAACAGAAATTTTTAATTTTGTTTTTGGAATGCATTTATGTCTACTCAAATAACATTAACAGTCATCAAGCCAGTTTGTAAATTCTGCCTGCTATAAAAATTTACATAGAATTAATCTCATTCAAAGTTGGAACTACAAATTAGTCATTACTATAAAAATGAGTGACCCTTATTCTATGACTGTGTATGTGGTATGTATTAAAAATAATTTCTACTGCTATTTTGGTTATCCCTAACAATGGTTTTAAAGAGATGAAGATTCTGCTTGTTTCCCCCTCCAGTTCATTCTTGGTTTTTGTCTTAGAGATTTCTTGTCTTTTTTCCCTTTCAGATTGGTTATTTACGGGCAGTACTGCAGTGGAGTGGAGTCAGCCATCTCTAGTTTAGACTACATTTCTAAGACAAAAGAAGATGTCAAACTGAAATTAGAGGTGCCTATTTATTTTTAGTTTATGACATAAAGCAAAATAAACCTAAAAGCAATGTGTTCCTCTTTATGATCAGTGAAGCAGTACATTTCCCATTATTTTAAATATAATTTCATGTCAATTTTATAAAATATTTAAACAGCTCTATAAAATAGTAATATGGTAGTAATAGTAACAGTCGTTAAAAATCTAACATTTATGGCCCTGTGTTTTACATGCATTATCTCATTAGGTCCTTCTGACTCTGTGAAATAGGTACAATTAATTTTCTCATCTTATGAGAAAGCTGAAGTTCAGAGAGATTATGAATAACTTGCGTAGATAGTAAGAAGTGCAGGACGAGTGAGATACGTTAGATAATGTATATGTAGATTTAAAATGTTTACTAGTTAGCTGGGCAGGGTGGCTCATGCCTGTAGTTCTAGCTACCTGAGAAGTTGAGGCCAAGGAGTATGCACTTGAGCCCGAGAGTTTGAAGCTGCAGTGAGCTATGGTTGCACCATTGCACTCCAGCCAGGGTGGCAAAGCAAGACCCTGTATCAAAAACAAAATAAAAAAGATGTTTACTAAAAATATGACATTTAGAATCAGATGTATTAAAAGGCCATGCATATTGCCCACAGGAAGGAAGAGAAGACGAACACAAATATGGTAGGATTAAATAACATGTGATAAGCACTGTATAATAGGGCTCTGTAAGACTGAATCTACCCACTTCAGTGTGGGTAGATTGTAGAGGATTCATCTGAAGAGGCGCATTTGAGTTAGGTCACCAAAGAATGGGATGAGCTTTGACAGATGAGATTCTATGGAGAGCATTCCTGAACAATTGGTATGTATTGACCAGAACAGTTGGGAAAGTTTGAGAGGTGGCACGTAGGCCGATATAAACAGAGTGCATGATCACAACAGTATATAAGTCTAGAAACCTAGGTTAAGTCGTGTTTTTTTGTACATCATGTTTTTTTTTTTGTTTTGTTTTTTGTTTTTTGTTTTTTTTTTTCCTGAAGAGGAGTTCGAGGACTTCATGCTTTCAAAGAACTTTTGAACAATGTTTGTTGTATCAGTCACTGTATTATCCATGTATTTTGAATTTTATTAAATTTCAGGTAGAGATATATAGCCAGCTCTTAAATTTAACAGCGTGTGGCTTATTTGCCTGTTTAATATCCCTTTTCCTTTTCTTTGTTCAGTGTAGCACTGAGGTCAGGGGAGAAGGGGCAGGTGATTTTCAAATCAGAAGCCCTTCACTGTTTTGCCTCTCTGGCATGATTTCATAGCTCACAACTCCCACAAAGGGAAACTATTGCTTAGACAGTTTGCACGTTAACAGGCCACCAAGTAACTGTACTAGATACGTGATCTTTTTGCTTTATATCTTAATATTCCTTCATTATGTTGACTTTAAGACTGGAGGTAGTTTGAGTCACCCCTAAATAACATCCTTGTAACATTGTTAGTGCAAAGACTTCCTGCTCCTCTTTGCAGAATAGAGCCTCCTAAGTGTAGAGCTGGGAGCCACTGTGACTCAAAATATGATGATAAAATTAAATTTTACAACTTATACACCTACTTCCTAGTAGGGCAACATTAAAGCAGTTTTTCTTAAAATAAAGATATAAAATTGTGCTCCCAGATAGTAGTCAGCAAGTTGTCAATCACACCTCCATTATATTCTCAGTCTTGTTTGAGTGTTGTTCTTCCTTCTTTCAGAGTTATTGTCAAAGTTTTGCCCAATGACCATACTCTGGGACTCTAAGTATGTAGTTTTTGCAGTCAATGCTCGACTTAGGGAAAGAGAGGACATCAGGCTGAGTTTGAAAGGCACAGGGTGAGGTGCCCCTGCTGTCCTTTCTTCAGCTTAAAAGCCCACACTTCTAACCATAGTCCTGATTTGGAAGTATTAAGTCGGATACTTAGTGTAACACTTCAACAAATACTCAGTGGGAGCTGCGTGCCGCAAGCCCCAGCATGATAGAAGGAAAACTACCTTATTCTTGGTGTCTTTCTGCCTTCTTTGTGTCTTCTGTTTTGTGGTTATTTTTGTTCTTGTTGAGTTTTTTGTCTTTTTCTTCTCTACTTTGGAACCAAGATAACATGGGGTGAAGGGCGATGAATCTCTTTATCTTGCCCTATCAGCCTGGCTCATCCTACCTCATTTTATTTTCCATTACAATTGAATTGAGGCTAAGCAAGTGACTGGATGTTTTGGAAGGATTCTTTCTACCCATTATTTACTTTCAACACGAATAAGCATTTTACATTTGAGTCTCTATCTCCCAGGTGTAGCTAATTCCAGCAATGTTGGTTTCTTTACTTCCTGAGCCTGTAACTTAGAATGTAAAGGAACTGACTTTTTTTCTTCAACATTTTGAAACTAATTTCCATAATATAGTGAATTTTAAATATATAATATTTCTGTTCCTACCACTGTGTTGGGATGGCATAACATAAGAAATATAAGCTACAACCTTAATTCCAAGGGCCTTAAAATGCAGCAGAGGAGATAAGACCTACTAATTATAGTAATATTAACAATGTAACTTTCTGTTTGAGACCCATGATCCAGAGCTCTCTACAATCTGTAGAAGTAAGAAACTGGTTGAAATAGTTATCCTTCTAATGAACTGCAGTAATTGATGACACAGCTAGCATGTCAGGATGTGTCCCCAATTCATTTTGACTGATAGCTGTAGACAGACATACTCATTAAGTCACGGATCATTAGAGTTAATGGTGTTTTTTTGGAGCTCCTCATAATATATCATTCCATGTGCCAGAAAAACTAAGTGTGGGCAAAGAAGAAACAAACTTGTGAGCAACAGTGTATTTTCTTAAGCACAACTCCGTCTATGAACTGGAAAGGTCCTTGTGCTGGGATGTGCAATTGTGTCAGGATTTTGGACTTATGAGGTTGCTCACTAATAATAATATTTGTATGGCCCTTTTTTTTTTTTTTTTTGAAGAACACCATAGTTACGTGAGAAACAGTAAAATCAGAAAAGTGACTTGTCCAAGGTCACACCGCCAACAGTTGCCAAATCTTGGCTTTAAGTTCATTCTTTGACACTTCAAAGTAATTTACTCAAAGTCATAATTATTATCAAAAGAACAAACCAGTCAATACTATTTTAAAATAAACCTTTAGGAAAGAAGAGGGTGAAATTAAATACAATCCAAGGCTTCTAAATCTTGGAGTTTAGTAGTAGGTTTATACTTGAGCAAAGTTTTAAAGTCAAATATTCCATTTCATTCAGTTCAGTAAATACTTATTAAGCAAATACTACATTCTTAGGGGCATACAGCACAAATCATATTGGAGTAGATATTACATATGATAATAATTAAAAGACCCACAAGACAGAGAGAGAGTACACCCAATTGTGATTGTAATTGTTACGAAAGGCCTAGGATTGTAGTTCTTAAACAGGAAGATGTATTTTGCTGGAGGCTGGACAAAGCACATCATAGTTGAGGGAACTGAATAAACCATAGTTGAGGGTGGGAAGACTATTGACACTTTTGATGAGTAGGGATGTGTTCTTGATGCCTGTTCTATAAGTCCACTGGGGGAAATTGGTGGGAAGTACAGCGATAAAGATAAACTGAAGAAGACCCTGGGGGGCCATGATTTTGCACTAGAGAAAATAATTTTCTTTTTCTTTTTTCTTTTTTTTTTTTTTTTTGAGACGGAGTCTCACTCTGTCACCCAGGCTGGAGTGCAGTGACACCATCTCAGCTCACTGCAAGCTCCGCCTCCCGGGTTCACTCCATTCTCCTGCCTCAGCCTTCTGAGTAGCTGGGACTACAGGCACCTGCCACCATGACCGGCTAATTTTGTTTTTGTATTTTCAGTAGAGATGGGGTTTCACCATGTTAGCCAGGATGGTCTTGATCTCCTGACCTTGTGATCTGCCCGCCTCGGCCTCCCAAAGTGCTGGGATTACAGGCGTGAGCCACCGCGCCCGGCCAAGAAAATAATTTTCATACACAAAATAGTTCTCTTTTATTCATGTTTAGAGTTAAAGTACTACAAGATTTGTTTTTTTAAATTGAAGATACTTTCTGTTATTTACAGAGAAGGATTGTTAAGGAAACAAACGCACTCATTTATTGTATAATAACTGTTCTGCCTAGGGCCTTTGCATCTTTTAATGTTTATGACTCCCTAACAAAGTGTTTTTAAAACATTTCATTAGGAATGTTCCAAAAGAGCAAATAATGGGAAATTTACTCTTCGAGACTTGCTTGTGGTTCCTATGCAACGTGTTTTAAAGTACCACCTTCTCCTCCAGGTATGTAACTTAAAACAGTTTATTTATTGTCCATTTATTCACTCAACAAAATATTAATGAAGCATCAACTACATTGCAGATATTCCATGTGTTGGGCCCAATCCCCTTAAAATTTTGAATTATTATTATAGTTAAGTGGGAAATAACAGAACAGCTGGACATTTTTTCTTCCTTTTAGCAGAGATGGTCAGTAGCTGCCATAAATCACATTTTGTGTCCTTAAAACAGGACTGCCTAGAAAATAATTAAAAACAAGTCAAAACAAATAAAAATATTTTTTCAACCAAGTCTTCTG
The DNA here is from genome assembly GCF_000001405.40 of Homo sapiens. Lineage (NCBI taxonomy): Eukaryota > Metazoa > Chordata > Mammalia > Primates > Hominidae > Homo > Homo sapiens. Next base: position 107,760,488 of record NC_000001.11, on the reverse strand, counting down.
TAGTTATCAGTATTTATTTATGAGCACCTCAATATTGCAGTGCACTTGAATTTTGGCAGATTAATCATATTAGACCTCTTCCCTTGTAACAGTAAGCCAAAGAGAATTGTGTGACATTCCATATTGCTTTCTACTATACTAAATTATAATAAGACTACATTTATTTTGAAGTGATTCTTGTTATAGCCCACAAAGCTATGGTTTCCACGGTTAGTCTTCTAAATGAGGGTGGAGAGTCTTATAAATTTAATTTGATAGCTATACCAGGAGACTCATTAGTTCTGCTCCAAAGAAATGTCTTAGTGTATTAGTCTGTCAACTCTGCTGATGCTTGTGAAATGTCATTTTAAAAAGATCTACTACCTGTATGTGAAATACAATTTTGCGTCGGCTGTGCTTTGTATATCTTGTATATTAAATTTCTTGAACTGTAGCTGCAAAATTATTAGTCATCTCTATTTTTGTTCTACTGAGAAATCAGAAAAATTCAAACCCTGATTATTCCTTAAAAATGCATTAAAACATTTATGAGACCTAAACTCAAAGCAACTTAGTCAAATTGGATTTTATGAAAAAATAATAAGGACGACTCAGGCAATCAGTTTCCAAGGCATCCTGGAACTAAATACATGTCCAAAATAAGGTAATAATTTATTTTGTAACTTTGGTGTAGTCAAGTATCGATTGAAGAATTTAGAAGGTACAGCTTTTTAAAAAAATACCTATTTTGGTCCTTACAGGGTTTTACACAGACTTATAAAAGTATAAAATACAACTATACTTTTTTGAAATTTAGTAAACTGTTCCCCCTAATTTCCCTTGGGTTGTTTTATATTTAAAATTTTAAGAGTATGTTTAGTTCCATGATGACTTTTTAAAATAGGGAAAGTTTTATTTGGATACTACACATAGGTAAAAATTCTAGAAATGTTTTTCCCTCTCAAAATTCTATGGAGTAAAATTTATTTGTTGTCTAGAAATTTGTTGAACAAATGTGGTTATCAGTTTAGACTTTTTTACTTACTACTATACTTTAGTGGCGAAATCACTTGAAATGCTTGATGATTTGAAACCACAGATTCACAAAGTGAGAATATTTTATAGTGGGTGATTGGGAACTTTAATAACATGACTTTTATTTAATGAAGTAAAAGTAACTTTTAAGGAATAAAAGAATAGAATTTTTATGGATTTATTATACTTAATAGATTCTGTCTTTAAGTTCTTGTTTATAGCAGAAACACTGGTAGTATTGGATTCATTAAAGATTTTTGTATGGCTTCTCTGTGCCAAACATAGTATTAGGCACTCGTGATATACGACAGACCCTACTCGGATAAAGCTCATAATTTAGAAAGGAAAAATGAAGTATAAGCTGCCAAGTATAACACAATATGATAGGTACATGTAAGGTACAGAACCAGCACAGTTAAAGGCCTAAATAATTATGTATAGGGAAGCTGGGGACCTGAGTAGAGGCCTCTGTCATAGAAGACTCCCCAGAGGAGTAACTCTTGAGTTGGGCTTTAAAGGAAGAGTAAGGGGTCAATAAGTAGATCAGAGGGGAAGAGCTTTGTAAGCAGAAAAAATAATATTTCTAATGGGATTAGATATTAGAACATAATTTAAGAATTGCAATTAATTTAGTATGAATAGAATATAAGTTGTCTGGGTGAAAGTGGAGGGAGAAATTGAGAGAAGTTTGCAGAATTCAGATCATGAGGAGTCTAGGAGGTATGGGTGACAACCTGAAGCTTTTGTGGGGCATCACAGAAGTCTGAGTAGGGTAGAGACAGGATCTGATTTATATTATAGAAACCTACCCCTGATGACAATAGAGTGACTGGACTGTAGTGAGGAGAGACTGCAAGTCAGAAGGCCGATCAGAAGCTCATTATGATTACCTGGTTTTGTTGTTTTTTGTTTTAAGAGAGGGTCTTTCTCTGTTGCCCAAGCTAGAGTGCAATGGTGTAGTCATGGCTCACTGCAGTTGGGCTCAAGCTGTCTTCCTGCCTTAGCCTCCCAAGTAGCTGAGACTACAGGCTCATGCCACCTTGCCCAGCTAATTTTTAATTTTTTTTTGTAGAGATGGGGTCTTGTCATGTTGCCCAGGCTGATCTCAAATTCCTGGACTCAAGTGATCCTCCCATCTCAGCCTGGAAATGTGCTGGGATTACAGGTGTGAGTCACCATGCTTGGCAAATAATTATCTGTTTGAAAAACGTGAGGATCTGAACCTAATTAGTGGCAATGAGGATGGTTCCAAGGGGGCAGGATCAAAGTTAACATCAATAGGACATAGTGAGGGAGAGAGAACAGGGAGAAGTCTGGGACACCTTTTAGGTTTTGGCTTAAGTGATGACACTGATGGAAGTGCCATCATTCAATAAAACAGAAATAGGATCCAAGAATAGGATTCTGGGTGAAGATTGATTAAGTTTGGGGAATGTTGGATTTGAGGGGACTTTGAAATAATGAGGTAGAACCATTTAGTTGGACGGATGAGTCCGGGACTCGTGTGAATTTTGGGTTGAGCACATACATTTCACAGTAATTGGCCCATGAGGTGATAGTTGACATTATGACAGTGGTTGTGATAGAATTTGTAGAGTATGTAAAATCAGGGGAAAAAAGAGGACTAGGGTGAAAACTTAAGGAACAATAACTTTCTAAGAAGCAGATAAAGAAGAAACTATGAAAGACTGAGGAGGAGGCAGAAATTTAGGATGGACAGATGAACAATTTTAACAGCAATAACAACAACAAATAGAACATCCTGATGTCCCTGAAATGAAAGGAGGGATGCAGTTAAAAGAATCAAAAGCTGAAGCCAAGAATAATAAATGAGTAAAAAGTGTGATTTTAATCATTATGGAATCTTTCATAACAATAGGGATCAATGTCAGTGTAATGGTGGTGGATAGAATTCAGATTCATCTTTGAAAAGAAAATATCTCATATTGTGTCTCATGATTTTTTGGTGTCTAGTTGGTCTTCTTACAGTTTGAAATTTTTGATGGAAATGGAGCCCAGACATATTAGATTTATCACATTATAGAGAGAAAACCAATAATAATGGTTTATTTGTAAAAATGTTTTCTTTAGTATGTCTTAGTTTTAATTTGATGAAAGTAGTACTAAACCATATCTTCCAAATAGGAACTGGTCAAACATACCACTGATCCGACTGAGAAGGCAAATCTGAAACTGGCTCTTGATGCCATGAAGGTAGGGCAGATTCATCAGTAATTTGTTTGTATTTTTTATTCTTGCCTAAAGACAATGGAATTCAAATTGCATACACACACACACACACACACACACACACACACACATATACACACATATATATACACAAACATATATATATACACATAAATAAAATATTATGACATGCCTATGTATAATACACATTTGTTTTTAGTGGAGAAAACTGGATTTTTTTTTTTTTACTGGAATAGTTATCCTTGCATGGATTTAATTGTTAGACAACGCATAAAACTAAGAAGTATATTAAAATCACTTAGATACAAGTATAAAAACTTTCATAACCATGGGGAATTATTTAATATCATATTTTTTTCCCATTCTTTTCATGGTGACTAATAGAAAACGTTGGCTTGTGTAAGTCGTAGGCCAGCTGGTGGCTTCAGAACCCCATGTAACTTATTTTCCTCATATGAGGATATCTGCTAGGTTTACCCTTGTGGATGCTATGGCTTCATACAAGTGAATTTCAGTTTGTTCAGTTTTCAGGAAAATACGAAAATTATGAATAGAAAAGACAGACATTTTGAACATACTGGGGAATATGTAAAACCTCAGTTTCCACATTATGTTAAATAAAAATGACTTTGAAACGAAATAATATTTGCCAATAACTTAAAGCGTAGGCAAATATTTGTTCTTTAAAACAAAATGGCAAGGTGACCCTGCTCAGAGCAGTGCATAATTACTTAACTGTGTCCTTGTACCAATTCGTGTTAGCTTCGCTGTTTGGCTGATTGTCTACCACTAACAGGAAACACCACATAATTATTTATTATTATTATTAAAAAGTCAAACCAAGTTCCAAATTTTAAAGAAGTCGTTTATGGATCTATCCTATGAAAAGTCAGACTTCCATTTAGAACAAAGTTAGGAACTGCTTTTTGCAGAGTTCTGTCCCTACTGTTGCAGATGAATTTAAGAGGGTAGAGAAAAAAGAAAAAGAGCTCAGAAAACAGGAAAATCTGGAGCACATGTAACAAAAATAGCTAGTTACAGTATGGAAAGATTAGCTAATGTTTCCTCAAATATGAGAAAAGACATTTTAAAATAGGTGAAGGCACATGGAAAGACACGGCCAGCATTTTATGTTCACTTTAATTCATGAATTAAATTTAGTTCCAGCATGTTGTGCTATTTAGTTCCTCACCTCTCCTTTACTTCTCCTGAATCCATAAACGGGTTAACTCTTTAAAATTGAACCGGTTTCCTTGACCGAATGCTCTCAGGAACCAAGAAGACTAGCCGATTGCAAAAATAAAACAGTCTTGCTAGATTCATTATCTAACTTTTGGTTACTTTTCTCATGCTAATCGTTCATGATTGCCCTTCTTCTAACCTGTGTAAAAATATCATGCTCTCAAGGTCAGTAATTAACGTGCTTGGAATTTCTATTCTTCCGACCTAGTTTTCTTTTTGTTGCTCTATTGTGGTATATTTTGTTTTGTCTTTTAAGGCAACAACATCCTGACTCTTCTCAGTGGTGTGACAAATGACAGCTCTTCAGTCTTCCCAGCTGTACTTCAGACATTTTAAAATTGCCTCTGTGATGCAGCTTTGATTGACTGGGCATTCATTTTACTGTCTTTGAAAAGTTACAGTGGTTACTTTTACCACTAATGGAATTAATGATGTGTTTTCTTTCAAAGCAGTTTGCATCTCTAATCTTAGTGTGCCTTCTTTTTCTACCCTTTTCTTTATTGTCTAGGACTTGGCACAATATGTGAATGAAGTGAAAAGAGATAATGAGACCCTTCGTGAAATTAAACAGTTTCAGCTATCTATAGAGAATTTGGTATGTAATTATCTTTCCATCCAGCTTCCCCTCACCCCCACATCAACGACATTCTAGGAGTTGTTGTTGAAGAAAACATAGTTTACCTTCAAGTTTCTACTGTTGGAGGTTGTTGCCAGTCCCTTTGTTTGGCAGTGTTCATGTGGGTGTCTGAGGGCACCTGCAACCTGCTTGTGTCTAGGGACTTTGTGATGGCTTGTCCCTCTTACCTTAGTCACACTCTGCCTCTTCTCCCAGCAGTCTGAATCTAAATATAGGAGTCCACTTTTTTTTTCTTTTCTTTCCCTCATCCCCCTACATACTCATGGCTGATTCCTATTCATTTATTCATTTTACATATATTTGCTGTGTGACTATTATGACCCAGACACTTTGCTTGGGGCTGGGACTGTAACTGTGAACAAGATGGTCTCAAGATTGAGGAGACAGTTTAAAAAAAAAAGAGTTAAAAATGCCATATTGAGATTAGTGCTGTGAACTGGCTGCTATAACTGAGGATTACAAGGGGAGTCCTAGTTTAGATAAGTTGGTTGGAAAAAGTCCTTTTAAGTCATTTGAACTGAGACCTAGCAGATAAGAAGCAGCCAGCCACACGAAGATCTAGGGGAAAGTGACCCAGGCAGAAGCCGTAGCAGGTGAAATGCTCAGAGTTGGGCAAGAACCAGGTGTATTCAAGAAGCTGAAAGGTAAGAGTGGCTGGAAATGGAGAGTGAAGGGAAGGATGGTGGGCTCTGAGCCATGAGGAATGGGCAGGGCAATTACATAACACAGCCTTGTAGGCCAATATGCTGAATTGGGATTTTATTGTGACTGCAGTGGGAAGCTATTAAAAGGTTTCTATCAGGGAGTATTACAACAGACTGATTGACATTTCAAGAAGACCCTGTGAGCAGGCAGCCCAGCCAGCAAGCTGTTGAAGTGGTTTCAAGAGAGGATGCAGCCCTGGATTAATCTGTGGGCAGTGCAAATAGAGATGAGTGAATTTAAGATACATTTTTGGTAGAGCAGTTTCATCGCTGCTTTCTCTGAAACATTGTGAACCTGTCTCTTTCTTTTCACACATGCAGCCACATACCCATTTCAGGACACCATCATCTGCCAGTTTTCCAGTCACAGTAGCCTCTCATCATCTCTTCATATAGTTGCATTTCCAAAATGTGGATTTCTCAATTTACTCTCTTTCTCAAATTTGTCAAGATTTTTTTGTTGTTGTCTTCAAGATTCAGTCAATATTCCTTGGCATGATATTTAAGGTCCTCAGTGATCTGGACTTAAGCTATTTTCCTGAACCCCTCCAGCTAATAACTGCCCGTAAACTTTACATTGTGGATATTTTGCTGTATTACAAGGTCTCCAATTTGACATACGTTTCTACAGTTCTGCCTTCAATTGTAATCTCAGAGCCTAGAATGTTTTTTTCCTATTCCCTATCAAATTTATTCAAGGTGCATCTAAAATAAATCCCTTTTCCTAATCTCCTATTATTTTTCCTCTTTAGAATTCCATAGCATATTTCTTGGACAGCTGTGTAGCCTTTAAAAAATTGTGGTAAAATATATATAGCATTGGCCGGGTGTGGTGGCTCACACATGTAATCCCAGCACTTTGGGAGGCCGAGGCGGGCAGATCACCTGAGGTCAGGAGTTTAAGACCAGACTGACCAACATGGTGAAACCCCGTGTCTACTAAAAATACAAAAACTAGCCAGGCATGGTGGCACGTGCCTGTAGTCCCAGCTACTGGGGAGGCTGAGGCAGGAGAATTGCTTGAACCCAGGAGGCGGAGGCTGCAGTGAACCGAGATCATGCCACTGCACTGCAGCCTAGGCAACAGAGCGAGACTCTGACTCTGTCTCAAAAAAAAAAGTGTGTGTGTGTATATATATATATATATATATACGTATATATATATATGTGTGTATATATATGTGTGTATATATATACACACACACATACATACACACACACATTAATGCTATAAATATATATAGCATTAATTTGCCATTCTAATTATTTTCAAATTAGAAGTGCATTCATGATGTTGTGTGACCGTCTCCAAAACTTCATCTTGCAAAACTGAAACTCTGTACTCATTAAACATGAACTTCCCATTCTTCTCTTTCCCTGGCCCCTGGAAACTACCAATCTACTTTCTATCTCTGTAAGCTTAACTACTCTGGGCACCTTATATAAGTGAAATCATACAATATTTGCCATTTCATGACTGGCTTTTTTTACTTAGCATAATGTCTTCAAAGTTCATCCTTGTAGTAGTCATGTGTCAACATTTTATTTTTTTGATTTCCATTTGTTTAAAGCTGAATAATACATCATTTTATATAAATACCTCACTGTTTTTCATTGATGAACATTTGGGTTGCTTCCTTCTTTCAGCTATTGTGAATAATACTGTTATATTATTATTGTCACAGGTGTACCAATATCTATTCAAGTGCCTGCTTTCACTTCTTTTAGTTATATACTTGGAAGTGGAATTCTGGGTTGTATGGTCATTATGTTAATTTATTGAAGAATTGCTATACCATTTTCCACAGCAGCTGCCCCACTTAACTTTCCTACTACCAATGCACAAGGGTTTCAGTTTTTCCACATCCTTACCAACACTCACTATTCGGTTTGTTTGGGTAACAGCCATCTTAATGGTTTTAAAGCAATATCTCATCGTGGGTTTGATTTGCATTTTCTTAATGACTAATGATGTTGAATATTGTCTTTGTGTGTTTGCTGGCCATTTGTATATTCTCTTTGGAAAAATGCCTATTCAAATGCTTTGCCCATTTTTGAATCAAGTTGTTTTTTGTCTTTGTGTTGTAGAAGCTCTTTATTTGTATCCCAGATATCAATCCCTTATAAGACATATGGTTTGCAAATACTTTTCTTGTGTCTGTTGGCTTTTCACTCTGTTGATATTGTCTGTGAGGCACAAAAGTTTTTAATTTTGACAAAGTCCCATTTATCAATCTCGAAGAAATAATTGCTGAATCTATTGTCATAAAGTTTTTCCCCATTTTCTTGTAAAAGTTTTATAGTTTTAACTGTTATGTTTGGGTATTTGAAACATTTTTAGTTATTCTTTATTTATGGTGTAAGGTAATGAAGGGTCTACCTTTATTCTTTTACATGTGGATATCCAGTTTTCCCAGCACCATTTGTTGAAAAGGCTATTCTTTCCCTATTTAATGGTGTTAACCTTGTTGGAAATCATTTGACCATATATGTGAGGACTTATTTCTGGGCTCTCTACTATTCTGTTGGTCTATATACCTGTTTGTATGCCAGTGCCGCATGATTTTGATTATTGTGGCTTTGCAATAAGTTTTGGAAACAAGTCAGTAAGTATGAGACTTCCAGCTTTGTTCCTTTTCAAGATTGTTTTGACTATTCAGAATCCCTTGAGATTCCATAAGAATTTTAGAATGGAATTTTCTATTTGTGCAGAAAACATCACTGGGATTTTGATAAGATACATTTATTTTTATATTTATAGTGTTAATCACACATCTCTGCCCTTTATTAAAATGGAATTTCTGAACGTTAGTGATTTTCAGTCAATTCTTTTTTCCTCTAGCGTGTACAGTAAGTGTTCATAAACACTTAAAAATAATTTAGTTATCAGCCTCTGGGAAAATAGCTCATTATTTTAAATAATTAACTCAGAGCTTTTCGTCCTTGAGGTCCTAGCTCAAGAAAGCCAGCCTGGACTTTATAGACCAAATTAGCGCGCGCCCCCCCGCCCCTTTCTGTACTCCTTCATGGCAATTGTGCGTTTGTAATTGCATGCTTCTGTGAATATTTGTTCCTCCACTGCGCAGTGTGCTTCATGAGGGCAGTGTCTGTATCATTTTGCCGTACACCTGTTATGGTGGTTGGCACGTAGTAGATGCTCAAAAAATATTAATTGCCGAACCGTCTCGTAATTTGGACCCTTCCGGTTGAGTCTTTCTTTTCATAGCTAATTTCCCCTTTAAGAATATATACTAATTAAAATCAATTGATGTCCTTGACATACCCCCTGGGATTACAGAGGACAGACTTATTTGTCATGTAGACCTGAGCTTTTTAGAGTAAGTATGCTTTAAAAGTATAAAAAATGGTAACATTTTAATGTAATAAGGTAGTTGTCTTGAGTAAATATCTCTACTAATATTTGTTTTTATTTTCATGTGATTATGAAAAACTCTGACATGTGCATTTTATATTTTAGAACCAACCAGTTTTGCTTTTTGGACGACCTCAGGGAGATGGTGAAATTCGAATAACCACTCTAGACAAGCATACCAAACAAGAAAGGTAAGAAAAGAAGAATACTATTTTCAAAATAAGTAATTAGTGTCAGAAAACTGAGAAAACCTTAAAGACAATTTTTCCAGTGTGAAGTAGGGGGAAAAAAGGAAGAAATACAAGGAGACAGACCAACCCATGATTTCTAAATTTTTTAAATCTAGATTATCTTAGGTATTCCCACCTGGGTTCTGGTATCTATTAGTTTGTCTAAGTTATTAAGAAGGAAGTAACAAGTATAGATGATCAGCTAGGATACATTAAAATGAGAAGAGCGATAAAGTAAGAACAGATAACTACCATAAAAACATAATTGAATTTTTGGAATATATTTTTAAATAACCAAAAATAATAGAAAAATGCCCTAAGAAAGAAGATTAAGTGAGAATCACGTAGTAATATTTTCTTGAGGGAAATTTGCAGATGTAGTTCTTGAAGATTAGTAAGCTTGGCCCGGAGTCCTTAATTATGTATATATGTAATCATCAAACAGAGGTTTTTGTGGTTGACAATGATTGTTTTCTGGAATCTTTGGAGAAGCGAAAGCCAGTAGGGGGCAGCATCAGCTCTTGCTTCTTCCTCGATAACCCTGGCTCCATAGGTCCTTTAAACCTCTCTGGGAGAAATAGACGTTAAAAGTGATGCAAGTGTTACAGCCCTGTGAATGTGTCATTATCATTGTGTATAAAAAAAATGTGTGTTAATCACTGAGAGTTTATAAAAATACACAAGTATTGGTATTGGATGATGTGGTTATAAGGTTTATTTTCTCCCCCAAGTTACGTTGTTCTTAATAAGAAAAAAGAAATATTAACATGGAAATTTCACCATAACGTTTTCAGTTTACACTTGGCTCATATACCATTCAGTTTGGGTTTTTAGGTGGCCAATTAAATCATGAGGAACAATATAGAGGGTAAAAGCACAGTTTCCAAAATTAGACCTGTTTGTGAATCCTGTTACATGCCTCACTAGCAGTGTGATCTTGAGCAAATTATCTAACTTCTCTAAGCCTCAGTTTCCTCCTCAATAAAATGAAGATGGCAATGATACCTTCCCAGCATGTGGTCTTGGGGATTTAAATTGAGTCATGTTTGTGAAAGGGATGAACACTTCTCAAGGCATTCTGGCTGATTCCTAGTAACTTCAGTAGAAGCTGCTACGGATGTCATTAATATTATTCTATAGGTTTTTAGCTTTTAAATTAAAAAAGATAATTGCTCATGAACAAACTTTATGGCTTATCTCACTTGGCCCTTTCAACAACTCTGCAGTGTGCATTTTACTCTTACTATGATTTTTGCCCATTTTTAAAATGAGGGAACCAAAGCACACTGAGGCCATTTACAAGGTAAAGGGAAATTCCACACACAGTTCTTATAACCTCAAATACCCCGTTGTTTTCAGTGTATGATACTACCTGTTGTCTTTAATGCAAAGAAAAAAACATTTGGTTGCTTTATACCCAAAAAAATTAATAACCCATGTTTCTAAACCATTTAAAATCAATCAATCAATCTCTTTTTCCCAGGCATATCTTCTTATTTGATTTGGCAGTGATCGTATGTAAGAGAAAAGGTGATAACTATGAAATGAAGGAAATAATAGATCTTCAGCAGTACAAGATAGCCAATAATCCTACAACCGATAAAGAAAACAAAAAGGTGACTTTTTGGAAACTAATAACTGTAATTTACTTATAATCTTGAACATTAAGGAAAAGTATGATAATACATTAATGTGAGATATGGCTTATCAATCCAGATGTTTTTGTTTCTAGAGATTGATTAGGTACATAACTTTGTGAGAAATAACTGGATAATGCCACAGCCAGATCTGATCATTTCTAATGCCCTAATGATCCAGATAATAAAACGCATTTGGCATAGAAATTGTTATAGATATGAAGTTGACTACAATAAGCTTGATTGTTCAGTTTGTACATTGATAATATTGTGAGGAGTTTTTGGATAGTTGTGGTATTCTTGTGAATTTAGAAACATGTTATTAATGATACATATTAATCTAAGGAATATTAATTTTAACAGTGGTCTTATGGCTTCTACCTCATCCATACCCAAGGACAAAATGGGTTAGAATTTTATTGCAAAACAAAAGATTTAAAGAAGAAATGGCTAGAACAGTTTGAAATGGCTTTGTGAGTATTTCTATTTTTAAAAGTGCTTTTATTTTTACTAGTTAAATCACTTATGAATAATGAACAACCAATAAGTGTACTCTAATGCTTGTAGCATGTATAATGTGTACAGCGACGGGAATGTTTTTGCTGTGAGCAGGAGTGCTACTAGGCTGCTGGCTGCTTGATAACTTTGGTCTCCTAGGAGAGGAGTTTTGTTGAATTCCTTCAAAAAGAAGAAAGAGGGAGCTCTAATCTTCTGTTTGACTTTCTTATAGGCATGTTTTAGTTCTTTAGCTCTCAGCAGCCCAAGAAAATATTAATTATTCTAATGATAAACTTTTTATGTAATAACTATATTTTTAAATTATATACCTTTAAATAGAAATGCCTCCAAGTGTACATACACAAACAGATATGTAAATGCATATATCTTATTTTTAATAGAAAGATTGAATTATTCTGTTTTAACTCGCTTATTTGAATCTTGGCTAAAATGCTTCGTGTATTTAAGGAATGCTTTAAGGGCTTGATTTCTTTAAGTGGCTTTTAGTTCCACTGAGGAGGAAGCTCAACAAAGAGGTAGAAAATAAATCAACCCTGTTTCAAAAGGAATGGCATTCTGAGACGTAATAACCAAGAACAGGTCATTATAGGTGTTTCTTTTTAGTTTTGATGTTTAAGGATTGAAAGGTACACAATGACCCTTTTTGTAGAAATATATAGGATACCCTGAAATAAAACTGTTAGCAAAAGGGGAAATTAAGGAAAACTACATTTGGAATTTGTTTCATTTGGGTTCTAAGATTATATACCATTTGTTGACAAATTCTGTCAGTTTTTTTTCTTTGTTTTAAGAAATGCTCATGTTAATGTAAACTAGAGGTAGGAATAGGATGTTTTATTGTGGTTCTGAAATTAGGAAAATAAAGATTCTCAAGGTTATTTTATCTAACATTTTAAGAGACAGGATTCTATAGCCAAACTATTTACGCTTATAAAGATTATTTACCAGTTGTTGACAAATTCTATCAATTTTTTTTCCTTGTTTTAAGAAATGCTCGTGTTAATGTAAACTAGAGGTGGGAGTAGGATGTTTTATTGTGGTTCTGAAATTAGGAAAATAAAGATTCTCAGGATTATTTTATCTAATATTTTGAAGACAGGATTATATAGCCAAAATATTTAAGCTTATAGTCAATTCTGGGTTCATCTATTATCACTGCCATGAACTGGCTGCATAATGAAAGCTAAGTTATTTAACCTCTCACAGCCTCAGTTTCCTCATCTGTAAAATAGGAATGATATTTATTTCAAATTCTAGGTAATATGTATCAGCAGAGAGCTAGCCAAATAGTACAATAGCAGCTACAGCTATGTGATATTGAACAATAGGTGATACCTATTATTATTGCTATTATTATTAATAATAATTGCATTTGGGATTCTAGTATACTTACAAGACTTATAAAACTACATAACATATTCTAGTATACTATTTTTTCTTTTTAGGAAGTCACTTGGAGTTAAACAATTTGAATTGGAGTGATAGGATGATTGGGTTAGTGGTAATATGCAAAGACAGAGCTGATCTCGAGCCTTTGCTCTTATATGCTAGGCTTTTTTTTTTATGGGTTTCGTTTGGCTATATAATCTTCAGATGAGTGAAGGAATGTCTGCAGAGAAGGAAATTGAATTTCATGTCCTAGAGCAGGCAGGTTCCTTGGACTGTATGACAGGCATGTCAGTTACTATTTTGTTCAGTTGCCATAAAACAAACAGTTAATTTGTGGATATGAGAGACTTGATGGCCAGGTGTGATGGTTCATGCCTGTAATCCCAGCACTTTGGGAGGCTGAGGTGGGCAATTCACCTGAGGTCAGGAGTTCGAGATCAGCCTGGCCAACATAGTGATACCCCATCTCTACTAGAAATACAAAAATTAGCCGGGTGTGGTGGCACATGCCTGTCGTCCCAGCTACTCGCAAGACTGAAGCAGGAGAATTGTTTGAACCTGAGAGGCGGAGGTTGCAGTGAGCTGAGATTGTGCCACTGCACTCCAGCCTGGGTACTAGACTGAGACTCCGTCTTGAAAAAAAAAAAAAAGAGATTTGACAAGATAAATACTATTGTCAGCATTTGACTTCTCTCCTTAAGAGTGGTTACCTTGTAGTCTGAGATAGCTGCTAGAGCTCTAGGTATAAAATTTATGTTCTAGGTAGCAGAAAGTAATCCCACTTTTATGGATTCCTTGTAGAAATACCACTCGCTTCTGTTACATAATACTGACCAACGTATAGTCATGTGGCCGCACCTGCCGAGGGAGGCTGGCAAATAAAACCTTTATTCTAGGTAGGATTCTTCCTGGCTAAGAATTAAGGTTCTTTTACTATGGAAGAAGGGAGGAATGGGTAGTTGTAGGCAACCAGCAGCCACCGCCTTACAGGTTTATACATATAGGGGTATGTACGGATTTAAATTGTTCCACCACAATAAGGATGGCTGCAGCACATGCACAGAACCTGGGTTTCTTAATCTTTGATTGTTTTCCAAGCATCTCAGCAATAAAATAACACACCAGTAGAAGTAGTTTTTGTTGTTTTAGAGTTCCGTTGAATGTCTATGCAGATATTGGGAGGGTAGAAGTATCTTTTTGGAGAATTGCTCAGAGTTGAAGTTGAGGGCTTCTATAAATAAGGGTTATATTATATATGGTTAAATAAAATCTGAGCAGGCATCAGAATATTCCATTGTTTTATTTCCTTCTTCTTTGAAGTTCATCATGTAGGAAAGCCCTGATAATGTCTGCTTCCAGCTTTGTAAGACAGGTTTTGCCTGTCTGATGCTCATAAAAATAGAATAATATAGGTAAATCCTGAAGTTTGATTTTGCCTATGGTTCAAATTTTGCTGCTTATCCATTATTAAATCTGTAGTACTCCTTTTTGATAAGTCATGGAGAATAAAAGAAAATAACTCCTGCAGCATCCATGACAATGCATGAAGAACAGCAAGCCTTGTGTATCTCCACAGGATGGCTTCTTCCCAGTGTCTTTAGTATCAACACGAGTCCCTTGAGTTCCCCTAGAGTGCTCTGGACTATTGCTTTAAGGAATTCTGAAAAGGAAAGGGAGGCATTGGTGAGAGGGTGGAGGGAAATCAAGGGAGCTGATATTTTTAAGAGTGTTGAAATGCTTGCCATTTCTATTTACAGAAGATGGCAATTCTGTTTATAGGATGATTGGATCATTTTTATTTAAAATTATTGCAAATCACTGTTAAGGCACTTAAAATACTATGTTAAGCCTCTAAATTAGGGCTCTTAATTTAGAACATTAAATAAGGCCATGGAAAAGCATGAACACTAATGAACAGTAAGTATCTGGTGAACATAAATATTCTCCCCAGAGGTGACCTAAATCTCAGCCTCTGTCTCTCGCAGTCATGTTCTCTGACCTTCTTTGGCCATAACCACTTCCAGCATTTAAAATATGCAGTGAACCACATTAGAACCTGACAGACCTCCATAGGAAAGGCTGAACAAAGAGAAAAGTAGCAGTGACCCACTTGGATACGGCAGGAGGATTCCCCCCCGCTTTTTTTTTTGTGATAAGTGGTAGCAGGACTGATATGTTCTTGAGGTTGTTGGAAAAGTTATTGAGCCAAATAGACCAAATAGAGTGCAAGGGCTGTAGTTCTGGGGGGCATAATGTAAATAATGTATTTAAATCTTTAAGAGGCTGATCGATATGCATTGCTTACTTTTATTTATTCCAAAAGGGTTTTATTTTTTTTTTGTCACTAACTGTCTCTCACAATTCCATTTAGTCATATGTGAAACAGGACGGCAAATGGTTTTATTGGGTTAAACTGGTTTTCATAATCATGCTGGAAAATATGGATATAACTGCCTATAGCAATGTTCAAAATTTTGTTAAGAAGCTATGGATATGTTTTCCCCAAATCCAATATATCCATTGTGCTTTTATGAATTTTTCTATGAGATTTAAATTAATAAACCTTGTCATACCCGTTTTGTAGCTCAGGAAACTAGCAGTCACAGGAGCATTTGAGCAAATGTGTACAAGTTTGATGCTGTATCATTTACAGTACAGTTGAGGATCTCAGTTCACAGGAGTTTCTTTATCCATAAGGGTGCTAAAGTAAGCAACTGGACTCAGATCTTGGCATCTAAAACTGGAGTCCAGGTTTTTTGTGTTTTTTGTTTTTGTTTTCTCACTGTGAATAGGATCTAGCAATCAGACAGTTTTCTTAAATGTCCCAGGAATAAGTTAAACCTGAGTAAAAAATAAAGAAGTATAATTGTATTTAAGTTGGTGCAAAAATAATTGGGGCTTTGCCATTACTTTTAATGGCAAAAAATGTTTGTTTGTTTTTTTAAAAAAAGAAAAGTTAGCAAAAGAAAAGGTAAAATAAGAGGCATACCATAAGCATCACATGTGGTAGAAACAGGTAGATTCAGAATTAGCCTTCATAGTGTTTTTTGAAGGGAAATGAAAGGTCCTCTTGCCTAGAATTTCTTCTGACCGACCTTGGCCCAGTTTTTGAAATTCTAACAATTCTCATTTACCCCCTTGAATGAAGAAAGACTCTTTGAGATGCATATGCCATCACTACTGTGAATATCTAAGATTTCTCGACTGTGTAATAAGTGCCTGGCACAGTTCTACATGGCTTACCTAAGGGAAAATAGCATAGAGGTCAGGCCTGTCTACTGAAATATTAGCCCAGGATGTTTATCTTTTAAACACAAGGACTAATGGTAGTGGGACGAAGAGAATGAGAATGGGGGATGGAGATTCTAGAGCTCTGGAGGGACTCTGGGACCAGGATGCACTATCCTGTTGGTCATCCGGAGCGGCAGCCCCTGCCTGAGCTTTGCATTTCCCAGAATGAGCCCTGAGAGGACCTTCACTGTTGGGATGGAGCAGGGAGTGAGAATGTAGCCGTTAAGCTCCACAAATCACATTTAATCTGAGGCACAGTGTTTCTTTCTAATTTATTCCCCATCTACTTCCAGAAGGAATTTGAAGTCACTCACAATAAAAAGCACACATGCTGCAGAATTAAAAAGAAAAATTTAAATAATCCGAGGTCAAATAGAACAGTGTTTCCAAGTATTATCTTCAAACTCAGGCTCCACTAGACAAGAATATTTTCTTGAAGTTTACTTTCTGTAGTTTATATGATAAAAACAAAAAGCATGTTTCTCACATTTCAAATCTAGAGTTATATTTCATCAAACATAATTTGTTTTAATCTAAAGATATTGCTCAGATATTTTGAATACCAGAGAGAGAATTACCAGAGGAAATTTTATTCATTCTGCAAATATTTATCGTGCACTTGCCTTGTTGCCAGACACTGTTGGAAGCCCTGGGCAAATAACAATGAGGGAGCCATTGCAATTGAATTTAAGTATTATTATTTCTAAATATAATAATATTCTGTTAATATATAATGGATTAAGTTTCAGGACTGAACTCTTGATATTTCTATTCAAATCATCTCTTCCTTTAACCCCATTTACTTAAGGATCAACATACAGAGTCCCAAGAATTACGCTTGATACAGCCCCCTCTCTCCACTTGTAATCAATCTCTCACCAGTCTCTGCACATCAAATCTGAATAGCTGCCTGAACTCTCCCTTGCCACCCCTGGTTTACGTCTTCTGCATGTCTCTTTAGCTATTCCCTACCTCTTCCCAACCAGTCCTTCTTCACAAGCATCAGAGTGATCTGCCCCTCTTAGAAAGCTCTGTTGGGTGTTTATTGTACTTGCTATAACACCAGAGTTTTCGCTAGGATGGAAGAAGGCCCTGACTGGTTTTATCCCACCCATCTTTCCAGCCCCATCTCCTATCAGTTTTCCCTGTGCTTGTTTCTTTTTTTCTAGTTAGATTGTGTGTTTCAGTTCTTAGAGAATGCCCAGGCCTCAGATATTCACACATAAGCTTTCCCTGCCAGGCCTGGTCTTTCCTCCTGTTCTTTGAGTAGCTGGTTCTATATCCTGCAGGTCTTGGCTGTAAATGTTACTTTGTGAGGGAGATCTCTCCTGACCCCTATGCTAAGTGAGTAATACCACCTTTTCTATATTCTCTCACAATTGTATTTATATTGCCAGACAAAAATTATCCAAGCATCCTGTTTACTGCCTTCTCTTCATCCAACAATCCCTCTGCCTGTTAGAATCTGAGGTCGTTTCAGTTTTACTTCTCTTTTCTCCTAAAGAATAAGGATTCTGTTTTGTTTATTGGAAGGGAAGTTAAGTTGAACCTCATGGTTAGAGATGTGGGAAAGGGGAAAAGAAAGCCTCGTGGATCTGGGAATGGAAAGAAAGTATTGGGTTTGTTTGGTGTGAGTAAGGCTCTGGGATAGCTATGGCATCTGAGAGATTTGAGAAGGGGAAAAGGCCTTTTGAGATGCAGGTGTTTGGAATCTCAATTTATCTTTCCTTTATGTTCTTTGAAATGCTAAGTAAAGAATGAAATTATCTTTTGTTTATTTTGGTGTACCTTTAGTGGCCCAAGGCTGAACTGTCTGGGCCCATGGAATATGGGGTTGCCATTAGATCTGTTTGCCTATTTAATGTCTGTTTCTTGCATGAGGGCAGGGATCTTGTCCCTGTTGTTCACATGCGTGATCTTTCATAGCACAGTATCATATTTTTGTTGTAAATTTGAAATTTTACTCTGTAAGTTTTCTGACAACCAAGACAAGTGGGAAAAAAAAAGACTTGATGAGTTGTGGCATTCTTATTGTGTGGCAAAATATTACAACAGCCCTTTGGAGGAGAGAGTTTTTCCTGTATGGTAAGAAGGCTATATAGTGTGGATCCTTAGGTAGGAGACATTGAAAAACATGTTCTCTACCAGCAGCATTAGATTTTTTGATATTCTTGAAGTTGATGCCATAGATGAGTATTTCTCTTTTATGTAAGCCTTCAACTATGTAATTGCAGTTTTGCTAAGGCATTTTTATAGACACCTAACCTGATGCTAGCCCTTCCAGATGTTTCTTTCTAGTAGTCTGGCTTGCTTGGATAAAATTTTTGGAACCAAGCAGGATGGGCAATTCTCATTTTATCTAGCCTGTCATTTAAGTAGCACTGATCTCACTCATTTGTATATTGAAAATTGTAGAAAATATGCAAGTCATATGGTATTTGGGGCCTCCTTGCTCCTTGGAGATGTAGACAGAGGTTAGCCCAGATTCCAGTTTTAGGGTCTGAGGTGCTCAAGGCCCACCTACATTCTCATATTTCTCTCTCTGTCCATGTTCTTGATTCACTGTGGCTTTTTTGGTTTTTGTGTGTGTGTATATATTTTTTTAATTTTCCCACCTGTCAGACCCAGGAGAAAGGATCTATGCCTTTTCCATTTTCCACCTGAAATCCATTCACAGTCTATTTTTTGTAATGCCAACAGGCGTCACAGTGGGGCTTATGTCATGCATGTGTTCCCTCGGCTGTTTCACTGGTCTTTGACACCCTCAGCAGCACCTGGAGCATGACCCTCCCCACCCTGCACTGCTCCCTGCAGAGGACCAGCACCCCTTGCCTCACCACCCCTTCAGGGAGCGGCTAGTCAGGCCGGACAGAGTGCCTCCCACACCCATCCTGGGATTTAGAGGAATAAAGCCATGTCATGTTACCCAGCAATTCAAAATTAAGCTCTCCAGTGAGTGTTTCAAAAGAAATTGGTCTTTGTTGTTAATTTTTGAAAGACCCATGTTTCTATTATTAAAGGTTTGGCAACAAATTTGACATTCAAATGTGAAAATTTAAAAGATTCACTTTGTTAATATTTTTGCCCAGATGGAGATGCCTACAGTATCTGCATGAAGCTGTCGGAGTTCTAAAGCAGGCCTAAGAAACAGCAACTACTACCGCTATGAGTACTGCTAGTCCTCTCTTCCCTTCCTGTCCCCTCCTCTCTCCTCTTTTTCATTTTCTTCATCAGGAGGTTTGTTTGGATCTTCTCAAATGTTTAAATAAGTTTCTGTTGAGACAACAAATTTCGTCTCTTAGAACAAGGGCCAGCAACATTTTGTTGTAGGGGGCCAGAGAGTAAATGGTTTAGGCTTTGTGGGCCATATGGTATCTGTCAGAGCTACTCAATTCTGTCATAGTTAACTACGAATGCAGCCATAGATTCACATAAATGAATGAGTGTGGTATGTTCCAGTAAAACACTAGTGGTTGTATTTGGCCCGTGGGCTGTAGTTAGTGACCCCTGTCCTACAGCACAAATAAGATGACTTAGGCCTAGAGAATTAGTTAATATATGTTACCACAAAATGATCTCAGCTATAATGAAACCACGCTGTGGCCTTTTGTAGAAGTGTGATTTTTTTTTTCTTTTATTTTTAGTATCAGTGATTCCTGCTTAGGCTATCATGATGATTTAGCTCCAAAATGTTTTTTAACTCCACCAAAAAAAACTATAAACCTGGATGAATTATCTATATTTGTCATTATTATTTTACTGTCTAATTGAATATTAAAAATGTCTGCTCACAGAACAGACTGTATCTATTCAATTTCTAGTTTCATTAAGTTTTATCACATGGTTTATTGAAAAGGACAGGTCCCACGGAGTCCAGGCCAGTAGCAGCCATGTAGTAACTTTTTCTCTATTCAGTAGTCAGCCATATCAACAAGAAGCATTTTTTTTTTTTTTTGAGATGGAGTCTTGCTCTGTCGCCCAGCCTAGAGTACAGTGGCGCGATCTCAGCTCAGTGCAACCTCCACCTCCTGGGTTCAAGTGATTCTCCTGCCTCAGCCTCCTGAGTAGCTGTGATTATAGGCACGCAACACCACACCCAGGTAATTTTTGTATTTTTAGTAGAGACAGGGTTTTGCCATGTTGGCCAGGCTGGTCTCAAACTTCTGACCTCAGGTGATCCGCACATCTTGGCCTCCCAAAGTGGTGGGATTTCAGGCGTGAGCCACCATGCCCAGCCAAGAAGCATTGTTTAATCAGTGATGCTCTTTGTGCTCTTGATGCATTTTCTTCCCAGCAGCAATACCATTTGTGCCTGTTATTTACTCTGAAATTTCCTCCCTGGAGGGCATACTAAGGAAAACCAGAAGGGGTAGAGGAAGCCTGTGGTGGTATCAAGAGTTGGCCAGAGGGGGAGCCTTCCTGGATGAGCTGGATGTGGGGATGACATTTTGTCACCTGCTTTGGCATTTTCTTAGTGTCCAAAGCCCGTCAGTGTCTGTTTGGAAACTGGAGGCCTTACTGGCATAATGGCCAAAATATGTCTATAAACTGTCTGTATATTTGTCAGCCCTTTTGGATTGTTTTTTGTTGAGAAATTATTTTCTCTAAAAACCTCACATTCTTCCTCCTTAAAATGCTTGCATGACCAGTTTTTAATGTGAAGAATTTGTTTATGGGTGCAGAATCCATGCCGGCACCATCAGTTGCCTCTGGGCTGTGCTGAGAGTCTCATGGTGCTGACCTATTCACATTAATCTCCCAAGTTGAAGCCAGCTCAACTCTCCCTGAATCTAATGTATTGTCTATAACCTTTCAAAATTGGCAGTTAAGTCAGGATAGGGAACTATACTGGCAGCAATAAAAGGAAGTAGGACACGGGACAGTGCTCAGAAAAATCACAGCTGTCATGAAATGGAGTCTTTCAATAGCCTGTTTGATCCGGAAACATGCGAAAGTATTTCATGCATGACAAAGGATTAGTAAATATTAAATAGTATTCTTGTTTTGTTATTGCCTAGTGAGGATCAAGCTCTCTCATTTTTCTCTGGTTATGTTTAATATGTATTTGATACTTCTTGGCATTCTTGAACATGCTTATGAGGAAGGAGAAGTCACAGGCAGGAGGAAGAGCAAAGGATGATATCGAAATTTCCATCAGCAAATAAGCATTACCCTGGTTAAAACTAAATGCAAATAAAATTAGTAAGCTGAATTAGTGTTTGTTTCCCTGAGGCTTTATAACAGAGCCTTTCATCTGTTGTTGTTTTTTTCTTTTTCTTTTTAAATGAACAATAATAGTACAGCCAGAGAGTTTAACCTGACAGTGGTGGTTACTGTGCTACTGTCTCCGGCTTGTCTGAGTAGTGTAGAGATTTGCTCAAAGAGTAAGATTGTTTTGGAGTTGTTTGTTGTACTAAGTCAACTTGGTATATGGTTTCCTCCAAGTATATGACAAAGTCTCCACTGCAGTGAATTCTATGATAATAATCAAGCTTTAACCTATAAGTCTAAACCTAACAGTTAGTGTGACATGTACTATTTTTAGGCTGCTTCTTGATAAGAAATGATTAGATCACAAGAATTACTACTTTGGGCTATACAACACAAAATAAGCTGCGATTGGAAACTGGCAATCCTTGCAATGGAAACGATGGGAGAAACTTAGTTTTTTGTCTTTATGGGGCAGTAGACAATAGCAGGCTAGTTGGGGAGATGGCAAGGAAGTCATACTTGAAACAATTTTTGAATAAGACTATGTATTGTGCATTTCACAATACATGCCCAGGAAGTGTTTTACACACTAGGGGTAGAGTGATAGACAAGTTCACTTCTCTTGTGAAGTTTGCATTGTAAAAAGACAATATATTTTCTTTTCTTTTCTTTTTTTTAATATGCTTTAAGTTCTAGGGTACATGTGCACAACGTGCAGGTTTGTTACGTATGTATACATGTGCCATGTTGGTTTGCTGCACCCATTAATTCATGATTTACATTAGGTTTTTCTCCTAATGCTATCCCTCCCCCATTCCCTCACCCCAGATGGGCCCCAGTGTGTGATGTTCCCCACCCTTCGTCCAAGTGTTCTCATTGTTCAATTCCCACCTATGAGTGAGAACATGCGGTGTTTGGTGTTCTGTCCTTGCAATAGTTTGCTCAGAATGATGGCTCCAGCTTCATCCATGTCCCTACAAAGGACATGAACTCATCCTTTTTTATGGCTGCACAGTTATTCCATGGTGAATATGTGCCACATTCTCTTAATCCAGTCTATCATTGTTGGACATTTGGGTTAGTTCCAAGTCTTTGCTATTTTGAGTAGTGCCACAGTAAACATACATGGGCATGTGTCTTTATAGTAGCATGATTTATAATCCTTTGGGTATATACCCAGTAATGGGATTGCTGGGTCAAATGGTATTTCTAGTTCTAGATCATTGAGGAATCGCCACACTGTCTTCCACAATGGTTGAAGTAGTTTACAGTCCCACCAACAGTGTAAAAGTGTTCCTATTTCTCCACATCCTGTCCAGCACCTGTTGTTTCCTGACTTTTTAATGATCGCCATTCTAACTGGTGTGAGATGGTATCTCATTGTGGTTTTGATTTGCATTTCTCTGACGGCCAGTGATGATGAGCATTTTTTCATGTGTCTGTTGGCTGCATAAATGTCTTCTTTTGAGAAGTGTCTGTTCATATCCTTTGCCTACTTTTTGATGGGTTGTTTGATTTTTTCTTGTAAATTTGTTTGAGTTCTTTGTAGATTCTGGATATTAGTCCTTTGTCAGATGGGTAGATTGCAAAAATTTTCTTCCATTCTGTAGGTTGCCTGTTCACTCTGATGGCAGTTTCTTTTGCTGTGCAGAAGCTCTTTAGTTTAATTGGATCCCATTTGTCAATTTTGGCTTTTGTTGCCATTGCTTTTGGTGTTTTAGACATGAAGTCCTTGCCCATGCCTATGTCCTGAATGGTATTGCCTAGGTTTTCTTCTAGGGTTTTTATGGTTTTAGGTCTAACATTTATGCTTTTAATCCATCTTAAATTGATTTTTGTATAAGGTGTAAGGAAGGGATCCAGTTTCAGCTTTCTACATATGGCTAGCCAGTTTTCCCAGCACCATTTATTAAATAGGGAATCCTTCCACCATTTCTTCTTTTTGTCAGGATTGTCAAAGATCAGATGTTTGTAGATGTGTGGTGTTATTTCTGAGGCCTCTATTCTGTTCCATTGGTCTATATCTCTGTTTTGGTACCAGTACCATGCTGTTTTGGTTACTGTAGCCTTGTAGGATAGCTTGAAGTCAGCTAGCGTGATGCCTCCAGCTTTGTTCTTTTTGTTTAGGATTGTCTTGGCAATGCGGGCTCTTTTTTGTTTCCATATGAACTTTAAAGTAGTTTTTTCTAATTCTGTGAAGAAAGTCATTGGTAGCTGGATGGGGATGGCATTGAATCTATAAATTACCTTGGGCAGTATGGCCATTTTTACGATATTGATTCTTCCTATCCATGAGCATGGAATGTTCTTCCATTTGTTTGTGTCTTCTTTTATTTCGTTGAGCAGTGGTTTGTAGTTCTCCTTGAAGACATCCTTCACATCCCTTGTAAGTTGGATTCCTAGGTATTTTATTCTCTTTGTAGCAATTGTGAATGGGAGTTCACTCATGATTTGGCTCTCTGTCTGTAATTGGTGTATAGGAATGCTTGTGATTTTTGCACATTGATTTTGTATCCTGAGACTTTGCTGAAGTTGCTTATCATCTTAAGGAGATTTTGGGCTGAGGTGATGGGGTTTTCTAAATATACAATCGTGTCATCTGCAAACAGGGACAATTTGATTTCCTCTTTTCCTAATTGAATACCCTTTATTTCTTTCTCCTGCCTGATTGCCCTTGCCAGAACTTTCAACACTATGTTGAATAGGAGTGGTGAGAGAGGGCATCCCTGTCTTGTGCCAGTTTTCAAAGGGAATGCTTCCAGTTTTTTCCCATTCAGTATGATATTGGCTGTGGGTTTGTCATAAATACCTCTTATTATTTTGAGATACGTTCCATCAGTACCTAGTTTATTGAGAGTTTTCAGTATGAAGGACTGTTGAATTTTGTTGAAGGCCTTTTCTGCATCTATTGAGATAATCATGTGATTTTTGTCTTTGATTCTGTTTATGTGATGAATTATGTTTATTCATTTGCATATGTTGAACCAGCCTTGCATCCCAGGGATGAAGCCAACTTGATCTTGGTGGATAAGCTTTTTGATGTGTTGCTGGATTCAGTTTGCCAGTATTTTATTGAGGATTTTTGTATTGATGTTCATCAGGGATATTGGTCTAAAATTCTCTTTTTTTGTTGTTGTGTCACTGCCAGGCTTTGGTATCAGGATGATGCTGACCTCATAAAATGAGTTAGGGAGGATTCCCTCTTTTTCTATTGATTGGAATAGTTTCAGAAGGAATGTACCACCTCCTTTTTGTATCTGGTAGAAGTCGGTTGTGAATCCGTCTGGTCTTGGACTTTTTTTGGTTGTTAGGCTATTAATTATTGCCTGAATTTCAGAGCCTGTTATTGGTCTATTCAGGAATTCAGCGTCTTCCTAGTTTAGTCTTGGGAGAGTGTATGTGTCTAGGAATTTATCCATTTCTTCTAGATTTTCTAGTTTATTTGCGTAGAGGTGTTTATAGTATTCTCTGATGGTAGTTTGTATTTCTGTGGGATCGGTGGTGATATCCCCTTTATCATTTTTTATTGCGTCTATTTGATTCTTCTCTCTTTTCTTCTTTATTAGTCTTGCTAGCGGTCTATCTATTTTGTGATCTTTTCAGAAAACCAGCTCTTGGATTCGTTGATTTTTTGAAGGGTTTTTTGTGTCTCTATCTCCTTCAGTTCTGCTCTAACCTTAGTTATTTCTTACCTTTTGCTAGCTTTTGAATGTGTTTGCTCTTGCTTCTCTAGTTCTTTTAATTGTGATGTTAGGGTGTCGATTTTAGATCTTTCCTGCTTTCTCCTGTGGGCATTTAGTGCTATAAATTTCCCTCTACACACTGCTTTAAATGTGTCCCAGAGATTCTGGTACGTTGTGTCTTTGTTCTCATTGGTTTCAAAGAACATGTTTATTTCTGCCTTCAGTTTTTAATTTACCCAGTAGTCATTCAGGAGCAGGTTGTTCAGTTTCCATGTAGTTGTGCAGTTCTGTGTGAGTTTCTTAATCCTGAGTTCCACTTTGATCACACTGTAGTCTGAGAGACAGTTTGTTGTGATTTCTGTTCTTTTACATTTGCTGAGGAGTGTTTTACTTCCAACTATGTGGTCAATTTTGGAATAAGTGTGATGTGGTGCTGAGAAGAATGTATATTGTGTTGATTTGTGGTGGAGAGTTCTGTAGATGTCTATTAGGTCTGCTTGGTGCATTGCTGAGTTCAAGTCCTGGATATCCTTGTTAACCTTCTGTTTCGTTGATCTGTCTAATATTGACAGTGGGGTGTTAAAGTCTCCTATTGTTGTGTGGGAGTCTAAGTCTCTTTGTAGGTCTCTAAAGACTTGCTTTATGAATCTGGGTGCTCCTGTATTGGGTGCATATATATTTAGGATAGTTAGCTCTTCTTGTTGAATTGATCCCTTTACCATTATGTAATGGCCTTCTTTGTCTCCTTTGATCTTTGTTGGTTTAAAGTCTGTTTTATCAGAGACTAGGATTGCAAGGCCTGCTTTTCTTTTGCTTTCCATCTGGTTGGTAGATCTTCCTCCATCCCTTTATTTTGAGCCTGTGTGTGTCTCTGCACGTGAGATGGGTCTCCTGAATACAGCACACTGATGGGTCTTGTCTCTTTATCCTATTTGACAGTCTGTGTCTTTTAATTGGGGGATTAGGCCATTTACATTTAAGGTTAATATTGTTATGTATGAATTTGATCTGTCATTATGAGGTTAGCTGGTTATTTTGCCCGTTAGTTGGTGGAGTGTCTTCCTAGCATTGCTGGTCTTTACAATTTGGCATGTTTTTGCAGTGGCTGTTACCGGTTGTTCCTTTCCGTGTTTAGTGCTTCCTTCAGGAGCTCTTGTAAGGCAGGCCTGGTGGTGACAAAATCTCTCAGCATTTGCTTGTTTGTAAAGGATTTTATTTCTCCTTCACTTAGGAAGCTTAGTTTGGCTGGATATGAAATTCTGGGTTGAAAATTCTGTTCTTTAAAAATGTTGAATATTGGCCCCCACTCTCTTCTGGCTTGCAGAGTTTCTGCTGAGAAATCCACTGTTAGTCTGATGGGCTTTCCTTTGTGGGTAACCTGACCTTTCTCTCTGGCTGCCTTTAACATGTTTTCCTTCATTTCAACCTTAGTGAATCTGACATTGGTGTTCTTGGTGTTCTCTGTATTTCCTGAATTTGAATGTTGGCCTGCCTTGTTAGGTTGGGGACGTCCTCCTGGTTAATATCTTGAAGAGTGTTTTCCAGCTTGATTCCATTCTCCCTGTCACTTTCAGGTACACCAATCAAATTTAGATTTGGTCTTTTCACATAGTCCCATATTTCTTGGAGGCTTTGTTTGTTTCTTTTTACTTTTTTTTCTCTAAACTTCTCTTCTCGCTTCATTTCATTAATTTGATCTTCACTCATTTATACCCTTTCTTCCACTTGATTGAATCGGCTACCGAAGCTTGTGTATGAGTCACGTAGTTCTCATGCCATGGTTTTCAGCTCCATCAGGTCATTTAAGGTCTTCTCTACACTGTTTATTCTAGTTAGCCATTCGTCTAATCTTTTTTCAAGGTTTTTAGCTTCGTTGAGATGAGTTCGAACATCCTCCTTTAGCTTGGAGAAGTTTGTTATTACCAACCTTCTGAAGCCTACTTCTGTCAACTCATCAAAGTCATTCTCCATCCAGCTTTGTTCCATTGCTGGCGAGGAGCTGCGATCCTTTGGAGGAGAAGAGGCCCTCTGGTTTTTAGAATTTTCAGCTTTACTGCTCTGGTGTCTCCTCATCTTTGTGGTTTTTATCTACCTTTGGTCTTTGATGATGGTGACCTACAAATGGGGTTTTGGTGTGGATGTCCTTTTTGTTGATGTTGATGCTATTCCTTTCTGTTTGTTAGTTTTCCCTCTAACAGTCAGGTCTCTCAGTTGCAGGTCTGTTGGAGTTTGCTGGAGGTCCACTCCAGACCCTGTTTTCCTTGGTATCACCAGCAGAGGCTGCAGAACAGCAAATTTTGTAGAACAGCAAATATTGATGCCTGATCCTTCCTCTGTAGGCTTCATCTCAGAGGGGCATCTGGCTGTATGAGGTATCAGTCAGCCCCTACTAGGAGATGTCTCCCAGTTAGGCTACATGGGGGTCAGGGACCCACTTGAGGAGGCAGTCTGTCCATTCTCAGAGCTCAAACACCATGCCGGGAGAACCACTGCTCTCTTCAGAGCTGCCAGACAGGGACATTTTAGTCTGCAAACGTTTCTGCTGCCTTTTATTCAGCTATGCCCTGCCCCCAGAGGTGGAGTCTACAGAGGCAGACAGGCTTGTTGAGCTGAGGTGGGCTCCACCCAGGTCGAGCTTCCCGGCCACTTTGTTTACCTACTCAGGCCTCAGCAATGGCAGATGCCCCTTCCCCAGCCAGTCTGCCGCCTTGCAGCTCAATCTCGGACTGCTGAGCTAGCAGTGAACGAGGCTCCGTGGGCATGGGACCCTCTGAGCCAGGCGTGGGTTATAATTTCCTGGTGTGCTGTTTGCTAAGACCGTTGGAAAAGCGTAGTATTAAGGCGGGAGTGTCCCGATTTTCCTGGTATAGTCTGTCACGGCTTCCCTTGGCTAGGAAAGGGAAATCCCCCAACCCCTTGAGCTTCTTGGGTGAGGCGATGCCCTGCCCAGCTTTGGCTCGCCCTCTGTGGCCGCACCCACTGTCCAACCAGTCCCAGTGAGATGAACCAGGTACCTCAGTTGTAAATGCAGAAATCACCCGTCTTCTGCGTCAGTCACGCTGGGAGCTGCAGACCGGAGCTGTTCCTATTCGGTCATCTTGAAACGGCTGCCCAAGACTTATATTTTCAAGTCAGCATTATAATGTTGATGCAAAGCAGTGATAAATTGCAAGGTATATGAAACAGATTATACTACACATTGTTTTGATCTGTGGAGAATGGGATTAGAAATTTCAATGTAGAAAAGTCCTGTGCATGTGATGCTGATGGACAAATTTTCAGAGTTATTGGGCTCCTGGGCATCTAAGAAAGGCATTTGCAACCAAATATTTTTTCTCTTCACTTAGAAGTAAGTTGTTGTAAGTTAAGTGTATATGCTTTCGCTTCAAATAATTAGGAAAAAGGTGCCATTTGACACCAATATATAATTTAGAAAAACTGATTTGTCATAGTTGTTTTTTCCCATCGATTCTGAATACCTTTTCATAATGGTCAAAATCTTCAGAAACTATACAGTTTTATAAATTCATACATTCTCTGAAGAGGAGATTAAAGCTCCTCCATTTTAACAATTCACTGCTTGAGTCTTTCGTACAACTTCTTTCCAAGTATATGCTGTGCTTGGATGCCTCTTGTGATGAGGGACGGACTGCCTCTGAAATTGCTTGTTTTATCTTTGGTTAGCTTTCACTGTAGAAGATTCTTCCTTATAATGAAGAAGATTTTACTATAGAAGATTCTTATAATAACTGGAGAAGATTCTTCCTTATAATGAGTTTAAATTCTTTGTCTGTTAAAGTATAATTTCCTAATATCACTTCTTGGGCCCAAATAGAACCTATCTAACTCTTCCTTACCTGGAAATCTTTCAGATATATGAAGATTGCTATCCCTCTAAGTCCAGGCTTAAAACATATTGTTTTATGAATAAATGAAAAGAAACTTAATTTAGGAAGATTCTTTCATTAACGTAGCTTACCAGTGCTAATGAGGATCAGGTAAAAGTGTGGATACATTGAAAGTTTCATTTCACCTCAGAATTATAGGCAGGGTACAATGAATGCTAGATGCTGTTGTCCTCACAAAGAAAAGTAAATAGAACAGTTTATCTTTTTGAGATGTTTAGAAGTCAGTTTGGAGACTTCTGATTGAATTGTGCATAGCATTTTAATATTCTGCTTTTGAGTATTTAAAGGATGGCTTCAGATTTTAATACTTTAATGTTAAGAGTATTTAGAGTCTGGGACATGTAGTGATAATTCTTTGCTGTTATATCGTGCTTTACAAGTAGTTTCCAAAGCATTTTTGGATAATGCCCAATCTGATTCTTAAAGAGTCTGGTGAGGTAGCTAAGAAGGTATTATTCCTTTTAAAAAATGAGAAAATAGTAGAGAGATTAAGTATTTTTTCATTTCCTTAGCAAATGACAGAAGCTGAGCTTGCATCTCAATCTGGGGCTTTTTCTCTCATACCATGCTGCCTCATTTGTAGCAAGAACACCTACTGTTGTTTTCTAAAGATGAAAGTTTCCTTTTCAGTTTGTTTTATAAGCAAGAGGTATTCCTGTGTAGCATATTCATTCACTAGATGAAAAATATGATTTAGAGTTTAAATACTTGCACTTATTTTTCAGTGATTGCTGTTGGGTAAGAATTTGATATTTTTATAAAATCAAATAATAAGTAACATTGTGTATATTATTAACAACCATCTGTAAGGATAATTTTTGCTTCAAAGAATTTCCTTAGAGCAAAGTAAACCAAATCTTAATTTACAAGTTAATTTATTTCAAGATTTTTTGATCACTTTATTTTATCACAGTCTAATATGATTTTGAGCCTTATATGATTAATGCAACGGTTTGATTTTATTTGGTTTTGTGGTGTTTTCTTCTCCCAGTTATTTAGATAAGATTTTAGTCTCAGAGTTTAAGTTCTGCTTTTAGAAGTAAAGGAACTGAGAAGGAAAGCCTCATGGTCTGAGGCTAAGCCCTGGCCAATTATCAGGGTGGATTCAGATGATCGTTAAATAAATATGTGTGTTTCTTTCCATCCAGAACTTTGGTAACATTGGATGTTTTTACATAAGTTGCTGAAGGTATGGACACAGTATGATAATGCTGTCATCCTTCTCCTTCAGGGTACACTTTAGACTGACCATTGACTAGCTTCTCCTTCCTGGGGAGAACCAAATTTGAAGTGGTTATCTAAACCATGTGTTTGACCCGTCACTTATTAAAATAGTAGACTTTCTTCTAAAATGTTCCTCTAAGAAAACACTGAAGTTTGGGAGTTCAAATTTTTGCCCTCAAAGTAGCCAGACTATTCCATTGGTCGATGGTGGTCCCTGATTGTTTAGTCCTGTCCACATATTGTTATTTATCTGTAACATCACTATCTGTACAAAGCAGCTGGCTCTTTGAATAAAGAAAGGTAATTTCAAAAGCCACAGTGCCCTACATTAATGATCTCTAAAATAAAATTTTTGACTAAAAACAATACTCTTTATCGTTTGTTATGGTAAACAACAAAAAATAATTTTTGTATTTATTATTTTTCCAATCTTTCCTTGTATCAGTCCAATGAGATAATTCATATTTTCTGACATTAGCATTGTATTCCAAGCACAATGCTATGCTTTGGATGCTCATCTTGTTAAATAATCACAAAATTATGATGGAGCAGTTTATCCTGTTTTAGCAAATGAGAAAATTCAGGACCAGAAATGTAAGTAACTTGCCTGAACCACACAGCTCATCACAGAACAGGGATTCCGTACCCATGCCCCTTCAGTGCACCATGTCGTAGGACATCCTTTTCCATTCTTTTCTTTAGAGAGTTTGTTGTCCAAATTGCTGGTAAGGAATAAAACTCATGTTTTTTTTTAAACTCAGGTTTTCTATCTCCTAACCCCAAACTATAGACTTTCTGCATTTTTCTTTGTTTCTTTTCCCTTGGATAACAACAGCAACCAGAAACACAATTCTCTCATCTATTATCATATACCAAATTTGCCTTATGTAGTCTTTGACTAATGACTTGTTGGTCAGAATGAACTCAGGGATCTGTTCTCTGATAGTACATTAATAATATATATGCATTAAAGCTTCTTCTCGGAGAATATTTGAGCTTTGACATATTGAACACTGGCATTTTAAATTAAAGCTGTTGCTGTCAGTGCATTTTAAAAACTAGATAGCTTCGAAATAGTGTTTCATACATAACAAAATATACCTGAGGTCATAAGTAGTTTGCTAAGGCAAAACTATGCCTGGCCTGGTTAATTGTAGTAGGGGCTTGAATAGAGTTTTCCAATTATCATGACCTAAACATCTTTCAGACTGAGAAAAAAAACTAAACTGTTTTGCAGGGCTTTGATTTACTAGAAGAAACACCATAGAGCAACCTAATGGATTTTCTGCATACTGTCGGAGCTAGGAATAATGAATTTAAAACTATTCTGAATCCTTCAAGACAGGAGAGTATCAAGATTAAAATGATACTTGGTGACAATTATAATTCTATAGTTGCGCCCTCGGCTTGCATTATTGTTTCTTGTCTTGCAAACACTTTTGTATCAGATTATATTAGCTAAGCAGTCTTTTTGCTTGTGGCATTAGACTCATGCAAGTTTATAAGTAGTGTGTGTTAAGCCTTTCCCTTTGTAGAGCTGATTTGGGGACACGGTTTTACACAATACATATACATATACATATACATATACATATACATATACATATACATATACGTATACGTATACATATGACTGTCCTCATGAAGATTTTTTCTGTAGGGCAGTGTAATAGAAAGAATCCCCGATTGGAACCACAGAGGTCATGAGCAACACCCACCCACCCTCACTCCTGCTATTTTATAGATAGATCAATTAACAGATTATTTTTCCCTCAAATGCCACTATACTGGATGGTCTCAGACTTCGTATCCAGTCAGACCCAGAAGACTTCCTCTACAGAGTAATTTGCCCAAAGCCACAGGAGTAGTAAAGAGTGGAACTGAGACTATTAAAGGAACCAGGTCCTTTAATCCCTGGTGATTCCTCTTCATTTAGAACAGATCTTGTGTTAGTGAGTACCTTTCCCTAAAATGGGGGTCTGACTCTTTGCTCTATATCTTTGTCATGAAAATCTGCCAATTCCCTGTCCAGGAGCCAGTGGATTTGGGACAGAGGAGGAAGACTCAACCAACCTCCAGTGGATATTAGCAATAGGACCTGTTTTTCCACCATCTGTTTGACATTAATGTACTGCTCGCTGTTGACATTGCAGATTTATTTCCAGCAGGCCACTCCTGACTCCTGAATACTTGATACTAGCATGAAACTTTCTAATTGCAGGATACAGTGAAATCCAAAGTGAGTTAGAAATTTAATTAAATTTCTTGCTTGTTTAATTGTTTAATGTGTCGCACAGTCCAGCTTGCAATTCCATATTCAATTATAATGAAACTCCCCTTAGATTGAGTTTGTCTTGGGGTTTGATGGTGAGTCTAAAAAGGGTATTGATGCTTTAAGAGAATCCTTGGTTTTATAAAATTTCAGTGTAAGGGATTGAGTGTTTTAGTATTAGGTTTGTATTGACTCTTGATATTGACACAAGTCTAAATGTGCAAAGCCCACAAAGGCTAAATCCCATAGGCTTATATTTAATTTAAAATATGGCTAGCTGGCCATTTTGAATATACTTGCTAGGTTGACAATCTGAATACTTGACTGATTGGGAAATAGTCAAATATTAATTTTAAATGTTCATTAGTAGACTGTTTGTAATTGGTTTTTAAATTCATTTGGCAAATGAGAATTCACATTTATTTAAAATTGCCAATAAACCTGATTTCATAAAGGTGTTTGGAGGTTAAATGCCTAATAATTAATTTATGCCTAAGTAATATTTTTAATAATTTAGAGGAAAGTTAAAGCAGCTGAGAATAATGTTAATGATGAAAAGTAATGAAGGCTTCAAGATTCCAAGATTTAATTGTGGAGATCATATTCATCATCTTAAAAACAGAATAGGAAACTGGATGGAAAAGACATTTTAGTGGAGCTTAAAAAATGCTGGTCAAGGAGAACAAAATTACGAAAGAACCCAAACCCTATCACTGACTTGGCCATGGGACCCAGGCAAGCCTGTCTTCTTCTCTGAAACTTAATTCATCCATACTTGAAGAGGGGTTTGAAAACTATTTGTAATCTATTTTTGTTTTG
Organism: Homo sapiens; assembly: GCF_000001405.40. Taxonomy (NCBI): domain Eukaryota; kingdom Metazoa; phylum Chordata; class Mammalia; order Primates; family Hominidae; genus Homo; species Homo sapiens. The sequence continues at coordinate 107,727,124 of NC_000001.11, read as the reverse complement.
CATGGCAAAAGAAGGTAGAGGAAGTGTGGAGGTTAATTTAATTGTGATACAAAAATAATGATGTAATCAAATCCTCTTTTATTTCTACCCAACCGTTGTTATGATGTTTTTCTCTTGGGCTTATTCTTTTTTTATTTTCAAAAATAATGTTAGATGATTATTACTCATTGTGTGAGTGTGTGTGTATATGTGTATACATGTGTTTGTGTGGATTTACACACTAGACAATGATAGCATGGTCCCTTTGGGAAGATTAAGGTGATGACATGCTTTAAACTTTGTGTACCCACTCTGTAAACCATCAGTAAAATTCAATTAGCAGGCTTTATTCCATCTGTAGAAATATAATGATGCTAAAATAATCAAAATCTATTTAATCAATTTCATTATAAATGAAGGGATTGCTTGCATTCAAAATCTTAATAAAGGAAACGAGGTTGGTAGTCTATGCTGATTCAGTAAAACATATCGTATCTTGCAAAGCCAAAGAAATTAACTGTAAACCCTTGATCAAAAAGCACAGAAAGTGTGTGATCCAGAGAGCTTGATAACTGCTAGCTTTTAGTGAAGAAGGCTTTTTGATGTTACAAGCACAAGAAGCCAGAGCGTTATTATGTAGATAATTGATTGATTAATTTAATCAATGACTTTCTCAAAGATGGTTCTGAGACATGACTGGGAAAACTGAAATGAGCCAGCTGGCCATTGGCGGTCCACACCTCTCCATGAAAAGTATCTGCAGAGCGCCTCTGCCGGAGCACAGAGGACTTTCTGGCGGAATTCCTGTAGCTTGTGTGAGGATCAAACCTAAGCAGAGTTTAATGAAATTCTACTTTGGAGTGATTTGTTTATCTTCTGTGAGCAATTTCTTTCTTTCTTTTTATAGGTTGATTGATTTATCTGTATGTGTATTCCTCAGTGCTTTTCCTTGTCTGAACCAAAAGTGCTTTGCAAATATCAGAGCTCAGATTTTTAAAAGATCATTGATTTTTTTCAAATATCCTGAAGGTAGGCTGTCACACATTATTATTTAATTCTGAGATAGGGATATTGATAGCATAATATTAAAATCTTTCATTAGAGAATTTTTTTTTGGTCTAGCAATAACCTAAATTCGAAGGAGTTTTGTTTTCCTTCATCTATCAGAATTGTTATTTAAAAGTACCCACTACCCAGGACAGTATGGTTACTTTGTTGCCTTCAGGAAAGGGAATATTGTCATTGGCTTAAAACATTCTACTGTGACTGCCAGATATTATAGGTGCCCAGGAGACCCAGGAAACAGGCCTTTGGTTAGCTACTGAAATTTGCCATCTGGGCACGGTGGCTCACACCTGTAATCCCAACACTTTGGGAGGCTGAGGCAGGCAGATCACCTGAGGTCGGGAGTTTGAGAGTAGCCTGGCCAACATGGTGAAACCCATCTCTACTAAAAATACAAAACTTAGCTGGTGTGGTGGCACATGTCTGTGATCCCAGCTACTCGGGAGGCTGAGGGATGAGAATCACATGAACCCAGGAGGCAGAGGTTGCAGTGAGCCAAGATTGTGTCACTGCACTCCAGACTGGGCAACACAGTGAGACTCCATCTCAGAAATAATAATAATGATGAATTTGCCTAGCATAACCAGCTCTTCAAAAGTTTGGTCAAAAGCCGGTAAATGCTTAGTATTGTGTAGACGTTCCACAGTGTCCCTCTCACTCTCTTTACTTTCGGCTGCATATTTCCACTTGTTATCACCATCTCTGTGGAAAGCTCCATTCAGGATCAGCAATCTTCTTGATTCAGAGGACCATTCATGATGTTAAGGATCTGCTAGTGATGACACCAGTCACACAGAACAATCATGAGGAGGAAGAATATGGGGAAGTCTTTACCATTTCCTCCTGGGCTACTGTTAGCTTCTTACCTGGTCTCCCTGCTGCCATTGTAGCCACCTGACTCCCAACTGACTGTTGTAAGAGTGACCTCTCTAAACCGACATGCCCCTCTCCATGGTTTTATCATTTCTGATTCCTTTATTCACTCCTGATGTCACTGTCTTGCTTTAGGTCTTCAGGGTCTTCTACCTAGATTGCTATGGTCATCTCTATAACTGTCTCCCTGTCTCTCACCTCACCCCTTCAGCATGGCTGCTAGAGTTTCCTAAATACAAATATGATCTGGTTATCTGCATACAGTCCTTTAGTAGTCACTCCTTGGCCACAGAACAAGATCAGATTTCTGGAGTATATGCACAAATGGCATTTACTATCTGGCCTGTGCTCAGCTCTAGCCTTTTTTTTTTCCCCCCACCACATCCAGTGTTGCAACCAGACTGAATTCCTTCCTGGCAGCTTCCAGAACATGCCAGGCTCCTTTATACCTCTGCACCTTTCATCATAGTGTTCTTTACTGGCTCGGGATCTGTTCTCTGCTGAGGTGTGCTAGGGAACATCTATTTATCTTTTAAGACTCAGATTGAAAGCAGCTATGCCCTTTTCCTGTGCCACCCCCCATCCTATACTGTAGGATTGTCCAATCTCTCTTTCATTCTCCACCATATCTTACACCTTTGGGAATCACTTTATTAGGTTTACTTCTTTTCATGTCTCTATCTTCATCCTAGATTGAAAGAACTGTAAGGCCAGAGGCCATGTATTTTTTGTCCCAGTACAATGCTTGGTACTCATCAGGCATTTAATAAACACTTATTGAATAAAAGAATGTCTGAAGCAGCTGAATAATAGTATAAGACAACTTTCAGATTGTAAGTGCCATATAACTTCAGAGAAAGGACAGATCATTATACACTACAGTAATCTAGGATGCTCTCAAAGAAAAAGTGGGGACCTATGTTGCAGGGATAGATCACATTTGGAGTGGTAGAGGGAAGGAAGACTATTCATGACTAGGAATAACTGTTTGGGGCTGAGACGGAGGTGAACATTTAAAGAGTACTTTGAATAAATGGGTTTCTTTACTTATGATGAAATACTATGATTGGAGATACCATTTTCCTAATTAAAATGTTGCTGTTGTTCTTCATGACTCACATATTAATTTCTATACTCCTTAATATTGGGTTAAGAGTCAAATCAGAGTTCACTCTGTTAGTCGCTTCACGAGCCTTGGACAAGTTGCTTGACTTTTCTGAGCTTCAATTTAGAAATGAAAAAAATGGAGACATAATAGCTACCTCAAAATGTGTATTGTAGCATTTACGATGTGTTCTCTATTTATCCAATGTCAGATATAGTACAGGACACTTTATGTGTATTAAGTCTTGTAACCTTTATGTCAGCTCCATTTTGATTAGGTTATTGTTTTTGTTCTAATTTACAACAGAGGAAAAACAACGGTACCACCAAGAGAAATATGGAAGTATGGAAGACATCATCTCAGATTGTTTTGGAGGTTGGAAGGAACAGCTCCTCTGTATAGGGTGGCTGGCAGCAGTACTTAATGGTACTAGCGCAGCTTTGAGTTCAAGGGAGAGAGAGTTGGGTCTGCTAAGTTGCGGGTTCATCCATGAAGTTGTTTTGTGCCCTGTGATCTAATATAGCTTCAACTCAGAAGCTGGAAACATTACTCTGGAATCCTGTGTCTGGCAGTGTGTCAAGCAGCCAGGCCCAGATGGAGAATCCAGGTGTATGTTGGCAAAAACAGGGTAGGTCCAAATGGAGGGTGGTGGCAGACTGTGGAGGACTTACTTGAGGGCTGAGCTGGTGGCTGCAGCATTTTTATGGGATGTTCCCTATTTGTGTGGGAAGACAACCCTGAAGGTGAATTTGTGTGGAGAGAAAACACAGAAGGGCAGCAACACAGCATAAGCACAAGTCAGGGGAGGCTGTGACATCAGATGGGCGCTGAATGCTTGTGGCTGGGAGGACAGGCAAGGCCCAAAGGAGTAGCTCTCTTTTTGTTGTTACTGTTGTTTTGCTCTTCATGGATAAATTTGTTCTACAGCAGTTTTTAAGATTCTATTATATGTGGAGTACCATTTATGAGGATACAAAATACAAATAAGAGGATGTCCTCAAGTTGGATACAGATAGTGAAACAAAGTTTACAAATAATTACACAATAACATGACGAAGTCTATAGTGGAGCCAAACAAAAAGGACTGCAGGAACACTAAGGGGTAAGCTAAAAATCCTGCCTGAGAGAATTAAGAAAGGCTTCTCAGAGGAGATAACATTTGAGCTGGGTCCTCAAGAATGAACAGGAATTCTCCAGTGGGAAAGGTCACTATGAATGCAATGATTAGAACTACTTAGTAAGCGTACAAAAAAAAAAAAAAAGAGAGGATAATAGGGCTTTCTGACACTACTTTTCCAGATTCGAGGGTATCTAGTTTGTTTCATCACTCTTTAAAAAGAAGCCCAAGGTATCTTAAAGGATGAAACAGCGCCTCGGTGCTGCTCTTCATCATAGAACCTCACCTCATGCCATGGCTTGGAAAGCTCTGCAGGCCCAGGCGTGTCCTCTTATACTCAGAAAACAACCCTTCAAGGTCATCAATTCCATTTGTATTCTTATTGGACATTGTTTGGAGCATAGTAGGCATTCAGTAAATGTTCTTTGAAATAAGTCCATTTGTTGGAATGTCTTGAAAATATTTTTTGAGGGTGGTTGTATTTTCTTTCTTGAGACTCACTGGCACATGTGTCTGTTTCAAGTCAGCAAGGCTGTTCCAATTTTTGTCTTAGGAGTTTTACTTTCTGTATGCTTTTTTGCCTCATTTGGGAGTTTACATTATTTCAAAATGGATAGAGACTGTAGAATAGAGAATCCCAAAATCACAGGACAATTGAAGTTCATTGACAAGGATAGTGAGAAAAGTGTGCTCTGCAGAATATTTTACTCTGAGTTTCTCTAATGTAATTAGTTTTGAGTGGGGAAGAAAACCCAACATTCAGCAGAAAGGCAGGAATAGAGGATCAATCTAATACATCACAGTGGAGAATGAGGCTGTGTTCAGGCCATTCTGCATACTCCGAAACTCTTAAGCACAACTGACTCTGCAGAAAATATGTCTGTCTCAAACCCCCGTTTACTGTCAGTTCTTTTGGATACCCAGATACTAACCACCAGAATAAAGTCCAGCCCAAATCTCAGGGTTTCTGGACTGTAATACTAGTTAGCTCCATTAATACTTGCCTTCATCTGCCAAGAAGATATTTAAAAGTCATTTGCAATTATGGGTCCATCTCAGGTTTGGATTCATTTTCTTAAGGGAAGTATTTGGGGACTACTGTCACCCCATATTGTAAGGTGAAGACACAAGGCAACAGGTTGAGTGAATGGTGGCCCTCAGTCATGCTGGGTCTGGAGGAAGCTGAAAGCTAGGCTGAGATTGCTACTTAGTTTGTGTAGTTTGATGTTAAAGCATCATCACGTTTTTTTTTCAGGCCCAGGAACAGGATTTAGAAGCTTCAGGTTTTCCCTTCCTGTAAGGTAGCCTTGATACCTAGATGTTGTGATTTCCTTTGTGGAGAGAAACAAACTTCTGGGCCTGTTTCTACCCATCTGCTGTTGGGTTGAAAGCACAGCTCTCATCATGTTTCTTTCCTTCCGAAGTGTCTGATGTGTTTCTCTGCTGCCTCTACAAGCACCCATTTTCTTCTGTATCCAGCCTTGTGGCCCTTATGCCTACCCTGTTTTGGTTCTAAACATGGGAATACCTCATTTTCTCAGTGCTTTTCATCCATTCCTTCCATCTCAAGTGCTGAAAATGTCTCAGAAGTCCTAGACCTTGATAAAGGTTATTGGCCATGTTATTCTCATCTGTCTGCTCCTGCTCTGCTCTGAACAGTTCTGGAATACTAAGACAGCCATACAGTAGCAGCCAATATCTTTGGATGAGTCTTCTTACTTTAATTATTCTGCTGAATGGACATATGCTCCCCTCACTTTCCTCCCCCACCATAGCTGTCCAAATCTATTTGAATTCCGTTAACTTCACGTTTTCTCATGCCCTGATTCAGTCTCTTATGCCTAAATTTAGTCTCGAAGCATGAAACCATAAAGGATTCTCCAGTCCACCCTAGAACTCTGGACATTAACTTAAAATCTGTTCACCCATATCAAGCCTGTGCTGTGCTCAGCTTATACCTGTAAACACTGATCTCTTCTCTCCTACTCTAATACAAGTTTTATTTGTATCAGCTCTGCCCTGGGTACTCCAAGAATAGGATAGCCAATTATCCTCTCATACCTTATCTTCTCTGACAGAGAAATCAGAGTTCTTGCATTTTGGTCTCCACTGAGAAAGGCAATTCTGTGACTGCTTGCCACATGGCTCCCCAAGTCCTGCTCAAGTTCTCACCTCCTTCACAAATTGTTGATGTATGTGGGCCTTGTCTCTTCAACTTTATGGCAGGCTCGTAGAGGATACGTATCTTCATAACCTGTAAGTCCCACTGGGCCTAGAATGTTACTAAAGCACTACACTTTTTCTCTTGAGATGGAGTTTTGCTCTTGTTGTGCAGGCTGGAGTGCAATGGTGCGATCTCAGCTCACTGCATCCTCTGCCTCCTGGGTTCAAGTGATTTTCCTACCTCAGCCTCTCGAGTAGCTGGGATTATAGGCATGCGCCACCCCACCTGGCTAATTTTGTATTTTTAGTAGACACGGGGTTTCTCCATGTTGGTCAGGCTGGTCTCAAACTCCTTTTTTTTTTTTTTTTAGCAATATTAACAGATGGAACTTTTATTTATTTATTTATTTATTTATTTATTTATTTATTTATTTATTTTTGAGACAGTGTCTCACTCTGTTGCCCAGGCTGGAGTGCAGTGGCATGATCACAGCTCACTGCAGCCTCAACATCCTGGGCTCAAGTGATCCTTTCACCTCAGCCTCTCAAGTAGCTGGCACTTCAGGCATGTGCCACCATACGTGGCTAATTTTTTATTTATTTTTATTTTTTTATTATACTTTAAGTTTTAGGGTACATGTGCACAATGTGCAGGTTTGTTACATATGTATACATGTGCTGTGTTGGTTTGCTGCACCTATTAACTCATCATTTACATTAGGTATTTCTCCTAATGCTATCCCTGCCCCATTCCCCCGACCCCACGACAGGGCCTGGTGTGTGATGTTCCCTGCCTTGTGTCCAAGTGTTCTCATTGTTCCATTCCTACTGATGAGTGAGAAAATGCGGTGTTTGGTTTTCTGTCCTTGTGATAGTTTGCTCAGAATGATGGTTTCCAGCTTCATCCATGTTGCTACAAAGGACATGAACTCATCCTTTTTAATGGCTGCATAGTATTCCATGGTGTATATGTGCCACATTTTCTTAATCCAGTCTATCATTGTTGGACATTTGGGTTGGTTCCAAGTCTTTGCTGTTGTGAATAGTGCCACAATAAACATATGTGTTCATGTGTCTTTATAGTAGCATGATTTATAATCCTTTGGGTATATACCCAGTAGTGGGATTGCTGGGTCAAATGGTATTTCTAGTTCTAGATCCTTGAGGAATTGCCACACTGTCTTCCACAATGGTTGAAGTAGTTTACAGTTCCACCAACAGTGTAAAAGTGTTCCTATTTCTCCACATACTCTCCAGCACTTGTTTCCTGACTTTTTACTGATCACCATTCTAACTGGTGTGAGATGGTAACTCATTGTGGTTTTGATTTGCATTTCTCTGATGACCAGTGATGAGGAGCATTTTTTCATATGTCTGTTGGCTGCATAAATAAATGTCTTCTTTTGAAAAGTGTCTGTTTATATCCTTCGACCACTTTTTGATGGAGTTGTTTGATTTTCTCTTGTAAATTTGTTTAAGTTCTTTGTAGATTCTAGACATTAGCCCTTTGTCAGATGGGTAGATTGCAAACATTTTCTCCCATTCTGTAGGTTACCTGTTCACTCTGATGGCAGTTTCTTTTGCCGTGCAGAAGCTCTTTAGTTTAATTAGATCCCATTTGTCTATTTTGGCTTCTGTTACCATTGCTTTTGGTGTTTTAGTCATGAAGTCCTTGCCCATGCCTATGTCCTGAATGGTATTGCCTAGGTTTTCTTCTAGGGTTTTTATGGTTTTAGGTCTAACATTTAAGTCTTTAATCCATCTTGAATTAATGTTTGTATAAGGTGTAAGGAAGGGATCCAGTTTCAGCTTTCTACATATGGCTAGCCAGTTTTCCCAGCACCATTTATTGAATAGGGAATCCTTTCACCATTTCTTGTTTTTGTCAGGTTTGTCAAAGATCAGATGTTTGTAGATGTGTGGTGTTATTTCTGTGGCCTCTGTTCTGTTCCATTGGTCTATATCTCTGTTTTGGTACCAGTACCATGCTGTTTTGGTTACTGTGGTCTTGTAGTATAGTTTGAAGTCAGGTAGCGTGATGCCTCCAGATTTGTTCTTTTTGTTTAGGATTGTCTTGGTAATGCAGGCTCTTTTTTGGTTCCATATGAACTTTAAAGTAGATTTTCCAATTCTGTGAAGAAAGTCATTGGTAGCTGGATGGGGATGGCATTGAATCTATAAATTACCTTGGGCAGTATGGCCATTTTCATGATATTGATTCTTCCTATCCATGAGCATGGAATGTTCTTCCATTTGTTTGTGTCCTCTTTGATTTTGTTGAGCAGTGGTTTGTAGTTCTCCTTGAAGACATCCTTCACATCCCTTGTAAGTTGGATTCCTAGGTATTTTATTCTCTTTGTAGCAATTGTGAATGGGCGTTCACTCATGATTTGGCTCTCTGTTTGTCTGTAATTGGTGTATAGGAATGCTTGTGATTTTTGCGCCTTGATTTTGTATCCTGAGACTTTGCTGAAGTTGCTTATCATCTTAAAGAGATTTTGGGCTGAGATGATGGGGTTTTCTAAATATATAATCATGTCATCTGTGAACAGGGACAAACTGATTTCCTCTTTTCCTAATTGAATACCCTTTATTTCTTTCTCTTGCTTGATTGCCCTGGCCAGAACTTCCAACAGTATGTTGAATAGGAGTGGTGAGAGAGGGCATCCCTGTCTTGTGCCAGTTTTCAAAGGGAATGCTTCCAGTTTTTTCCCATTCAGTATGATATTGGCTGTGGGTTTGTCATAAATACCTCTTATTATTTTGAGATACGTTCCATCAATGAAACAGACTTTCAACCAACACAGACCAAAAGAGACAAAGAAGGCCATTACATAATGGTAAAGGGATCAATTCAACAAGAAGAGCTAACTATCCTAAATATATATGCACCCAATACAGGAGCACCCAGATTCATAAAGCAAGTCCTTAGATACCTACAAAGAGACATAGACTCCCACACAATAATAATGGGAAACTTTAACACCCCATTGTCAATATTAGACAGATGAACGAGACAGAAGATTAATAAGGATATCCAGGACTTGAACTCAGCAATGCACTAAGCCGACCTAATAGACATCTACAGAACTCTCCACCACAAATCAACAGAATATATCTTCTTCTCAGCACCACATCACACTTATTCCAAAATTGACCACATTGTTGGAAGTAAAACACTCCTCAGCAAATGTAAAAGAACAGAAATCACAACAAACTGTCTCTCAGACCACAGTGCAATCAAATTAGAACTCAGGATTAAGAAACTCACTCAAAACCGCACAACTACATGGAAACTGAACAACCTGCTCCTGAATGACTCCTGGGTAAATTAGAAACTGAAGGCAGAAATAAAGATGTTCTTTGAAACCAATGAGAACAAAGACACAACGTACCAGAATCTCTGGGACACATTTAAAGCAGTGTATAGAGGGAAATTTATAGCACTAAATGCTCACAAGAGAAAGCAGGAAAGATCTAAAATTGACACCCTAACATCACAGTTAAAAGAACTAGAGAAGCAAGAGCAAACAAATTCAAAAGCTAGCATAAGGCAAGAAATAACTAAGATTAGAGCAGAACTAAAGGAAATAGAGACACACAAAACCCTTCAAAAAATCAGTGAGTCCAGGAGCTGGTTTTCTGAAAAGATCAACAAAATAGATAGACTGCTAGCAAGACTAATAAAGAAGAAAAGAGAGGAGAATCAAATAGATGCAATAAAAATGATAAAGGGGATATCACCATCGATCCCACAGAAATACAAACTACCTTCAGAGAATACTATAAACACCTCTATGTAAATAAACTAGAAAATCTAGAAGAAATGGATAAATTCCTGGACAGATACTCCCTCCCAAGACTAAACTAGGAAGATGTTGAATCCCTGAGTATACCAATAACAGGCTGTGAAATTGAGGCAATAATTAATAGCTTACCAACCAAAAAGAGTCCAGGACCAGACGGATTCACAGCCGGATTCTACCAGAGGTACAAGGAAGAGCTGGTACCATTCCTTCTGAAATTATTCCAGTCAACAGAAAAAGAGGGAATCCTCCCTAACTCATTTTATGAGGCCAGCATCATCCTGATACCAAAGCCTGGCAGAGACACAACAACAACAAAAAAAGAATTTTAGACCAATATCCCTGATGAACATCGATGTGAAAATCCTCAATAAAATACTGGCAAACTGAATCCAGCAGCACATCAAAAAGCTTATCCACCATGATCAAGTGGGCTTCATCCCTGGGATGCAAGGCTGGTTCAACATATGCAAATGAATAAACGTAATCCATCACATAAACAGAACCAAAGACAAAAACCACATGATTATCTCAATAGATGTAGGAAAGGCCTTTGACAAAATTGAACAGCGCTTCATGCTAAAAACTCTCAAACTCCTAACCTCAGGTGATCCACCTGCCTCGGCCTCCCAAAGTGCTGGGATTACAGGCGTGAGCCACCACACCTGGCCCACCAAAGCACTTTTAAAAGTCTTTACTGGCTGGCTGTTTGGTCACAATAATGTTTATAGTGAATATGCCTTTTTCTTTAATAAACACATTTAACGTTTTAAAGTTCTTTTTCTGAAGAGTGATTTTTGGTTTTGATTGTTGATAGTGGCCTTGATTCATGCCAAACTTATAAAAATCCTGGTCAGTTTATACTGAGCTTCTGCACATAGAGTTTTATATAAAACCAAGACTTTGTATTTGAAGGATGGAATGTTGATTTAAACACCTTTTTTGTACATAATCATTTTAGAATTTGAAGAGGAAAAATTAACAAAGCTTGTCAGATTACCTTTCAGATTTCTTTCTTTTGTTCCCTAATATTACCTTGTAACAATACCATCTCCATCTCCGTATGCTTCTAGATCACATTAATTCCACAGCAAACTTTATATTATCAGACATAATTTGAAATGTGATACAACTTAAATTCACTGTGCCAGCTCAGCATTCCTAATTCATGTTATCTGCAGTGTTTGAATTATAGTTCAGATTTATTGGACCAGAGAATGAGAAAATCCAAATTCTCTAGAATTGATTTCTTACATGGAAAGGCTGACACAGTGGGAGATGTGTTGCTGTTTAAAACAGAACTTTGAGACCTCCCCACCCCCGTTCAGTGATAAGAGAATGAACAATGCATTTTAATGGAAAAATTGAAGTAAAGCAAGATAGTTCAAATTAACTGGAGAACCATGATTGTTGGTTCCAGAAAAATTCACTGTTGTATTCTCAGTGTTTGAAAATGACTGTCACATGATAGGCACTCAATTAATTTGTTGAATACATGACTAAGTGTATTATAAGCCAAGAGAAGTTTTAATATGCTTATTACATGTTTAATACAAGAAAAGCATTATCTCAATTTATTCAGGATATAGTAATACATAGATGATCATTTATACTGCTCTACCTTGATGAGGCCTCTAGCTTTCCACTAAATGTTTGTCACTTATGATAGCAATAACAGTAATAGAAGTAGCATCTAGCATTTATGTAATACTTTTTATCATTTAGTAAGTACTATTTATTTATTAAAATGCACACATATATGTTCTCACTTGTCTTCAGAACAAATTTGAGTGCTCGGTGGAACAGGTTCTAAACAAATGTGAGATCCCTCTTCTCCCACTCCTGGATGTTGGCCTTGTATGGTAGGAAGGGCAGGTATAGTTCTTTGATTGGTGAGGAAACTAAAAATAGAAAGAATAGTTTATGGGCCAAAAGCCACACTTTAATTTTGTAATAAACATAAACCTAAATTACAGATAATCTGACATCTTTTCCACTTTAAATTTATTATAGATTTAACTGACTTTACATTTCATTCAATAATTTCTTTGCAATGTCACTGAAATGCAGTGACAGATGTATATTTAAAATTACTATAAAGCCCATCTTGAATAAAATAAAGAAGTGTAATATATAGTAGATAAGAAAATACTATTTTTCAGAGCTAAGCATGATCTGATTTTTATCAGTATTTTGAAAGTATTTATTCATTTCCCTGGATAAAAGACTGTACGTGATTTGGAATATAAGGAAAGGAATAGGTGAAGATGTCCCTTCTGAACTGTTTTTTTTAAACTTGGTTTTTGAAGGACCCGTTTGTTTTTCGTTTTCTTGCCCTTTCAAATAACCAGCAGCATAATTAGTATGCTATGGTGTTATGGGAACAAATTATGAATAAACAAGGATTAAAAGATTGTATGAATATATCTTTCATACTTACTTGGAGGATTTAATTTCACAATATAAGATATTTTAAAAATAAATACTTGGATTTTATCCTGGAAATTTTCATATTAATGAAAGAAAGAAAAACCTATTTAATGAGAGCTTTAAGATTGTATCTTATGGGAAAGTCTAACTTTAGGTATAAAAGGATCAGTTTTATTTTGAGATTTTTGGCTAAGACTTTACTTAAAGATTGCTTTGTCAGAACTGGAGATTTTAGGAGTGCCTATGACTTGACAGAAACAACTGGGATAGACTATTCTGATGTTCTTTAATGTTTAATTGGTAATTCTAAGGGAAGAAGAAATACTTTGGTAAGTTAGATGCATGGTCCAGCTAGCTTAATTATCTGTCTTGCGTGCTGGGGACTATATGGAGAGTGATTCCTGTCCATCATAGTATTGGTCTCAAAAGGTCAATTTCTAGTTCAGACAGCTTCAGGTCTCCTTTGGTCTCCAGGATTTGCATATTTATCTGTTTTATCTTTAGTTTTGATGGAAAAATAATGCGTATAAGTGAACATCTATTAAGATAATAGCTTTTTGTTTTCGAAATTTCTCCTAAATTATAAGGCCTGATACGTCTAGAGCTAGTATTTGAACATTCGGCACAAACGTTAAATTTCATATGTTTAGAATAATTAGTTCTTAAATTCAAAAGATATTTGACTAGCCAAAACGTGATGTCTGACTTTATAGGAGATGATGAGCATTTAGGTGATGATGTATAAGTGAAATATGTCCTGAAAGGCCCCTCATAGAATTGGTTTTACTGAGTAATACTTTGGTACTAAGTCCTTGGCTCAAATCAAGAAAGGACAGAAAGGGAAGGCACACAGTTGTATTTATAAGGATGTCGTTGAAGACATTGGTTATATATCACACAATTTCCCTTTTATGAAAACCCTTCAGTGTATCTTTTTTCTTTTATCTTTTCCTTTTTTGGGGCCAGTCTGACACGTGAAATGATGTCTTGTTATTTAAATGTACATTTCTTTTGATTGCTAGTACATGTTTTATGTATTGTTTTTATTTTATTTTTTTAACAAATTGCCCTGCTAATTTTCTTGCTATTTTTCCAATTGGGATGTTCATTTTTTTCTTATGGACTTTCAATGGTACTTGTGTATTGCAAGGAGATTAATCTTTTACCATACATATTCTAAACATTTTTCTGCTTTCTCTAATTTTTTATGTGTTTTTTTTATTTAAATAAAAGTTTGGGTTTGTTTTTCTAAGTGAAAATGAGGCCAGCCATCTTTTGTTTGCTTTCATTTCCTTTAAAGATTATATAAGTAGTTATCAATATTTTCTCCAAATACTTGTATTTTTGTTTTTTGTTTAAAATAAATATCAGGTTCCTATCTAAATTTTACATTTAAATGCAGAATATAAGCCTCATGAAGGCAGCAATTTTGTCGATTTTATTCCTTATCGTTGGCTGTATTCATGGCACATCATAGGCATGTAATATGTATTTTTCAAATAGATAGTATAAGTCTTTATCTAAACTTTATATTGTTATAAAAATGTGAATAGAAATCTAGCTTTCTTAACCTTTTTAGAAAGCTGGACATGTACTTTTAAGTCATATTTAAGCCTGCTGTTTTTCCTCTGTCCCGAAATTCTTCCTCTTGCTTTCCACCTATTTCTGTAGAAAATCCTTCTGTGGTAATACACCGACAAGGTCATAATTTACGTTTCAAGTTTTCCTAACGTGATCTTTCTTTGTAGCACTTGTCATAGCTGCAGTTTCATGATTGTTTGTGGAATTATTTAAATGTTCTTCTCCCCGCTTCCACCCTACAAGCCAACATTAGTCAGGGACTTTACTTATTTTTGTTCATCATCATATCCCACTGCATGGCACATATTAGATAATTAATAAGTTTTTTTTAAATGAGCATTTTATTTTTTGAATAGACTAATAAACTGCCACAAAAATCACATACCAAGTCCTTGCACATATTCGGTCCCCTTCAAGACTTTTACATTTTATATTATTGATCTGTCTGTTTTGTTATCAGTCCCATACAAATTTAATAACTATACTTCTAAAAACATTTTAGTATTTCTTAGGTTATAGTGGCTTCCCATATACTCTTTACAACAGGTGTGTCCAATCTTTTGGCTTCTCTGGGCCACTTTGGAAGAAGAATTTGTATTGGGCCACACATAAAATACACTAACAATAACGATAGCTGATGAGCTTTAAAAAAATCACACACAAAAAATCTCAATCTCATAATGTTTCAAGAAAGTTTACGGATTTGTGTTGGGCCACATGTGGCCTGCAGACCATGGGCTGGACAAGCTTGCTCTACACTAATTCACACAGTTTAAAACATTTTCCAACTATTCTCACATATTTATCTTCTGGTTGTATTTTATAATCATTTGTCAAGTTAAAAAAATCTCATTGTATATTTATAAGTGTGCGTGTGAGAGAGAGTATGTTTGTGTGTTGGTTTGCAAGGAAGGATTTGTTTTAAATTTGTAAATCGGAGAGAGGTTGTGTATTTATAATAAAATATTCCATTTTCTTATTTAGGAGCTTGCTATGCGGCTTTTAATTTATTGAATGCGTTGTCGGGCACGGTGGCTCACACCTGTAATGCCAGCACTTTGGGAGGCTGAGGTGGGCAGATCACCTGAGGTCAGGAGTTTGAGACCAGCCTGGCCAATATGGTGAAACCCCGTCTCTATTAAAAATACAAAAATTGGCCAGGCATGCTAGTGCATGCCCATATCCAGCTACTCAGGAGGCTGAGGCATGAGAATCGCTCGAACCTGGGAGGCAGAGGTTGCACCACTGCACTCCAGCCTGGGCGACAGAGCAAGACTCTGTTTCAAAAAAAAAAGACTACTTACGAATTTATTGAATGCATTTATTTCTCTCAGTTAATTTAAAACTTTATTTTATAGAACCTAAACTTTTCATGTTAGGATTTTTCTTAGACATTTTCATGCAGAAACTAGTTAACATAGCAAGCTCGAATTTGCTATCTTTAGAAGGATTTGCTTACAGGGTTGGCTTGTCCTTGGCTGTCATCTGATAACTTGACTTCAGAATGTTCCCTGTGGTACTAAGTGATAAGGTTATTTGGTGTACCAGGGGTACTGAATTTCATTGTGCCAATCTGCCTAGACTTAAAAAAAATGTGATTTATACTTCCTTCTGGGATTTTTTAAAAATATTGTGGCTGAGTATGTAGGCAGAGAGTGTCTGTGTGACCAGTCCCTCCAAAATCTTTGCACTCGGGGTCTCAAGAGATTTTTCCAGACAGAGATGCTACACATATTACTGCATTTCTTTGCTAGAGAGCATTAGAAACTTACACACAGATCTCTTCAGGTGCCACTTGATGTCTTCATCTCTCATTAGTTTTATCACTTTTAAATATCTTCTCTTAGTTTTTCCTGATAGTCCCAATATTGTCATCTCTAAATGAAAATTCTGTGTACTTTTTTACAATATTTATCCTTCACATTCATTTTTCTTGTCATATTACAGTGATTAGATCTTCCAGAACAATATTGAAAAATACAGTTGACTTCAAAAACTTTTATTTTCAATATAATTGTGATAGTGTTTTATATTAGATATGTTTTCTATTATCTTTAGTTTGATATTCTTTATCATAGTAAGAAACTATCCCTTAATGTCTAGTTTATTTAGTTTCATTAGAAGCACACAATGCATTTTAAGTCTTTTTTGATACCTGTTGAGACAACCCAATTTTTTTGTTTCTTTATTAATGTGATAAATTGTTTCACATATTTGAAAAGCCTTATTTAAAAAGAGTCATGATATCGCTAACTATCCTGGCGATAAACTATCCATATTATTTTAAATGATTTTAAAACCTTGCTATGGAAAATAAGATTAACTTAAGTAGTAGGCTTATTGTAATTTATTGCCACTTAAATAATAGAGGTTAATAGAAGGATGCAAGAAGAGAGCCAACTTGTTGTATCATGGAGAAAAATAATTGTAAGTATTAATAATAATAAATAAAAATAAGACTGTTTAGCATATTTCTAAAGGACATTCTCAAATAAGTAATCTGTATTTGGTATCTGTTGGCCAAAATATATATTTTCTGTATTTTAGCAACACACACAAAGCTATGTGTGTGAATACATTTTTATAAATCGATGTATTTTTGATACAAAAAAGCCTGTTGCATTCAGACAGGTGTTTTTGAAGCACTGACATTTGCTTCCAGCTCTCCTACTTTTACTTTCAATGCAATATGATGAAATAAACCATTTTATGTATACTACATAATTGCCACAATGTCCATACTGGTAATACTTGATTGTTAATACTGATAGAGCATGAGACAGCATGATGTCATAAATTGGTTCTCATCTTATTTGCTCTGTAATTGGTCATGATCATTACAGATGATTTCATCTTGCTAGGATTTGCTTCCTTTATTCTATAACTATATTACTAAAATGACATAGTGATTTTAAAATTTACAGTTAAAATAGAGAAAAATGTTCATTTTAAGCATGTATGTTTTAAAAATCATATGTATTATTATTTTACATTGTATTACTAACTACACTGTCATACTTATTACTGAAATATATGTATGAGTACGATTATAGTTTTTTGTAAAAATATTGTATTCGTCTGTTCTCACACTGCTAAGAAAGACATACCTGAGACTGGGTAATTTATTTAAAAAAGAGATTTAATTGACTCACAGTTCAGCATGGCTGGGGAGGCCTCAGGAAACTTATAGTCATGGTAGAAGGGGAGACAAACACGTCCTTTCTCACATGGCAGCAGGAAGGAGAAGAATGAGTGCCCAGTGAAGGGGGCAGCCCCTTATAAAACCATCAGATCCCATGAGAAATAACTCCGTATCATGAGAACAGGATGGGGGAAACCATCCCCACGATTCAGTTATCTCCACCTGGTCCCTCTCACGACACGTGGGGATTATTGGAACTACAAGATAAAATTTGGGTTGGGGACACAGCCAAACCATATCAAAGTTTAAATATTTTCTCACAATAAAGAGAGGATATATGTAAGTAAACATAAATTCTGAGATTTAATTGAAATTTAGTGAATCATGTTTTTCTTCAGTGTTCTTTCACATAAGAGGTAATTTTTTTTGGCTTAATAAAAATGTCTCTTATCTTTCCTTTACTTCTTCCATCTTTCTATCTGATAATGTGGCAAAAGGCAGCTTTTGAAAACAAACAAAATACTACAGTAAAAGCATATTTTTTCTGATTTCTATCAGCTATGAATATCTAGCATTAATTTTCCTGGTAGAATGTTTGATGACTATAAAGAGGAGACTGGTAAGAAGGAGAAGATGCACCCTCCACACAGGTCAGTGGGGAGGCGGACTTACAAGTACTTTTAGTGCTACTTTTAGGGCGGTACAAAGTTACTGAAAGCCTAGGAGGTCTACTTAACTCGGCATCAGATGTTACATAAAGTGTTATGGAGGCTGACGTATCTGAATTTCAGCATTGCTTCCATCTCCTCTGGTAACTGGCCCCAGTAAACCTATCTAACATTATTTTCTAGTGTGTCTATATTAGGATTCTTTAGAGAAACAAAACCAATAGGATAGGGTGTGTGGGGGGGTATGTGTGTGTGGGTGTGCGGGTGTGTATATGTGTTTGTATGGAACCTGAGTTTTTGAGGAGGTATTTTTAAGCTTGAATTGACCGAAATTGGTCATGATTTCAGGGAAGGAAAAATTGAATCACAGGAAGGGTTAAGAGAAAATGTACATGTAGAGGGTGTGAGGGAGAGGGAAAAATTCATTGTGATTTTGAAGTTCCCAGTTTGGAAGATGGAGTAAATGAATCAGATATGTCAGGAAACACATGGAAGTTGAGTTTTGTATATGCTGCATTTGAGATGCCTGAGGAGCAGTTAGGAATGCATATCTGGAGAACAAAGAGGTCCAGGCTAGGGGGAAAGTGAGGTCTTCAACTTAAGGCCTGTGATGGAGCCAGGTGAGAAGAGAACATCTAAGGACAGCATGTAAAGCTATATGAAGCCCTAAGAGTGTCAACATTCCTTGCCCTATAAATGTTTGATTGCCTGATTAGTTATATTCATAATGAGTTCTATGTGAAGCAAAAGAAATGGGAACATTTGATTAATCTGCAAGATTCCATTGACATTCTCAAAAGTAAATTGTCATATGTTAAGGCAGATTACTAAAATGGAATTCTTTATGTGTATCAGCATGACTGAGCGAGTTAACTAATCTGTTTGACACTCAGCACTCATCTATAGACAACCCAACCCCATGATTGGTCCTACTATATCCACGCTTGTCTTACTATAAAGGAAATCTCTATGTAGTAGCAGCAGAACTTTTTTTTTTCTTCCTCAACTAAATGTGATGTCAATCCTGTATAAAATCTCACTTCTTTCCTTGGTCCCTGCCAACCTATCTCATGTCTTTGCTCATTTGACTCCAGCTGAAGGAGGCTTCTTTCTGTTCCTGCCCAAGGGCTTGTGCATATGGTAGTTACTCAATAAATACTTATGAAATGGATGAATGACTCTGCCTTGTAGATTTGTTCTGAGAAGTAAATGTGAAAAAGTATATGAAGAGCCTAGTGATGTATCTGGTACATTAGAGATGTGAAATAAATGCCTCTTTTGACCATTTTAATTTTTTGTTTCTCCAAATCTGTAATCCTGACATTTCTGTCGTCTTCTGCTGCAATCTACTTTCCCAACCCTTCTCATCCAGCCAGCTTACTGTCTTTGGTTTCGGCACCCCCACAGGCCACGGACCATGTATGATCTCCTCAGTTTGTACTTCAGTGTGAACTGAAGAGATCACAGTTTCATACACAAGGTTTTTCATACATGTAATCTCTTGAGTTACCCTCTTACACTTCAATAATTACATATGGATTCCTAGTCCCAAGGACACTGAGCATATAAGTCGTTGTGCTGGAGATTCTCAGAAGAATGGGTGTCCTCTGGGGACTTGGTCACAGACCTAAAAAGGGACTCTTTACCAGTCACAAAGCACTATCATGATCACACCCTTATTATATGGATTTGGAATCAGCACTTCATAAATTGTAGCCAACATTGATTGAACACCAAATATGGGTCAGGCAGTGTTCTAAGCACGTTACATATATCACTTGATGAGTTTGGTTTTATTGGTATTCCTGTTTTATACTCACTAACTTGCCTAAGATCACGCTGCTACTGATTTGCAAGTTAGGATGTAAGCCCAGGTGGTCTAGTTTCAGATTCCTGTCCTTACCTATGCTTTTTATTCAATACTGCCTCAGCAGCAGTTTCAGGGTCATAGAGTTAACATCTGTTCTTTAGTGTTTGATTCTAGATTTTAAAAATAATTTACCATTTTAGTTTTCAAATAATTCTAATAGTTTCTTTCTACTCTTTTACCTACCACTTTAAGTCTTTATTCCCATAGGGCAGCTACTGTTAACAATATTTTCAGAACCTTTTTCATCATAATTTTTTTGTAAAACATCTTAGTGGCTTTGTGATTCCCCCTTTCAGTTGTTTATTTTCTGAAAGTTCAGCTTATTCTTAGTTCATGAAAGTTTTAAATACCAGTGGTCCAAACACAACTCCGGTATGTTCATGTGTGTGCCTGTGGATGTTCCACCTGTGTCCGAGGCAGATTTTTGAAATTAATTAACTTCTTACCTGTTTGGAACTTATTTACATGAGTTTCTGCCTGAAGGAGATGTACTTCTGTTTGAAAACTCCAGGTTGATGAATTTTTCGGGTTGCCAGGACTCAAACTTATTTGACAAATCATCTATGACCCTATCACCTTGATGCTCAGAAACAAATGAACCAACAGCCCTTCCTGACTAAGGAAACAGGTTTTGATGGAGTTTTCAATGCATGGCTTTATGGACTCAAGAATCAAATGTTTTCTGAACAATGTGAAGAAAGTTTTGTTTCTAGATCCTTATATGTTCCTGTGTCTCCTTTTCTGTAGAAAAGCTCTGCAATTTTTAATCAGTAACACAAAAATGCCTCCATGGAAATGTCCATAATTCTCAGCGTGCAGTGGAACATTTTCCGAAAAAGTGAGGTCACCAGAAGCACAGAGCAGAGAAATCCCAGATGGCACTAATATTTGATTTCATTTTTAGCACGCTCATATTCAGCAGATGGATTGGAAGGCTGACCTCTCTGACACTTCTGCATCACTGCCTGCTACTCCAATTGCCTTTGCGAATGTTTTTTCATAAGGCATCTCCTGGTACCTCAGAGATTGATGCCTGGTCGCCTGCCTGTGTTATGCTTCATTTCGCCAGGATTCTGTGTGGTTGAGAGTTGCTGTATTCTATAAAAGGGGAAATCCTGGCTCATCAGTATCTCAAGCTTTTCCTACAGTCTCTCAAATTGCGTGTAACGTCTCGGAGCATATCATTTTAGCTTTCTAGGTGTACCCCTGATTTGTATCCATCTTTAACTTATCCTAGTCTAATTTTCTGCCCTCTTTTGCCATCAAAAATAATAGCAAAAACCTCAATTACTTTTGCAGCAACCTAAATAGCTAAGCCAAGAATAATGTAAAAAAAAAGTTAAATGTTTTCAAAATACCTACTAAGTACAAAAATTTGATTATTTTAATATGAACATTGCTGAATCTCCTCCTTGAGCTATAGTTTCAGTGGCCAAAAGCAAAGACCTGAGTTAGAGTTCCCAATCATGCTGTTTTCTTTAAGGGTAAGCTCTACTTTAGAGTAAGTGTCAGTTTTCTTATTTGTAAACTAGTGATATTATTCGTGCCAGGCAGTTAGGATTGATGTGAAGATTAAATGAAGAAATGAATGTCATATGGTTGTCACAGTCTGTGGCACAGAGTAAATATACAAAGAATATTAGTTTGTGGTGTGCAAAATAACTTTTGTATGTATAATATAAATAAAATATAAAATAAATGGTAAAATTATTTTGTTTCATTATTACTTAGATTGTGAGTAAAGTGAAATGTTAAGAATTTTTTAATGTTCACACTAATGCTTTATTTTAAAACTTTCTATAAAATTACTGTATTCCTTGTTATGGACCATTATGTTGTCCACACATCTATTTAGAGATGACCCTCTTCTCCCTCCTACCCTCACCTGCTAGTTTATATTTCAGTGGCGTGGCTACAGACAAGGAACTATCAGATAAGATGAGTAT
This sequence comes from Homo sapiens, assembly GCF_000001405.40. NCBI lineage: Eukaryota > Metazoa > Chordata > Mammalia > Primates > Hominidae > Homo > Homo sapiens. The sequence goes on along the minus strand of NC_000001.11, from coordinate 107,705,379 downwards.
CCAGTGGGTTTTTTTTTTTTTTTTTCCAGGCAGGTTGACCTATGTGGCCATTTGTTAAAGTTCTCTGAGAATGCTCAATTCTGAGGAGGATTAGGTTGCTATGTCCTTCCAGGTTGCTTGTTCCCACACAGCCAGATTCTGGTACATATTTGAATGCATAGCATACTTTTGGCTTAGAAAACATTGCACATTTAGTAGTCATTTTGCTTGAATCAGATCTCTACCTGATGTCATTTTGATGAATTTAGGGTTTAGATGACTAAATTGCAGCTTTGTTGTGAAACTTTCTATAGAAAGTTATTTTTTTCCTTTTTTTAGGTCTAACATAAGACCAGACTATGCAGACTCCAATTTCCACGACTTCAAGATGCATACCTTCACTCGAGTCACATCCTGCAAAGTCTGCCAGATGCTCCTGAGGTAAGCCTGCTCAGTCCTGGTTTTCAGTTTAAAGGAACTGATATAATTGCTAAGTGTTTCAGACTTTTCTAACCTTCTAGCCAATAGGTTCTAAAGTGGGGAATTTGCCTTAGCAGTCTGGATCCCACAAACCTTTGCCAGGCTTTCTGCCTGGACAGTCCTTTCAGAAGCTCTGGCAAGCTCGTCTCCCTCTACCAAGGGGGTACCTTGAAGAGCACTGTTGATACTTTTTTTCTTCTTCTTGCAGTAATTTCATATGGGCAGAATTTTGCACCGTTTAATATACCACTTTCTTATTTCACCTTTCAGGGGAACATTTTATCAAGGCTATTTATGTTTTAAGTGTGGAGCGAGAGCACACAAAGAATGTTTGGGAAGAGTAGACAATTGTGGCAGAGTTAATTCTGGTGGTAAGTCATGTTTATTGTTGCAATTCTGTTTTTAATGAGGACATAAAATTTGCTAAACATAATTAAGGCCTAATTTACTCTGAATATGTGTTTATTGTAACATATCTGCTTTTGAAACTATTATTTATAAGCACAATTAGAAAAATGCTTAAAATTTACGTGAGTTTTCTGCATAACTTTGTTTTAAATTATTTAAAATTTGTGTGACTTTTATACATATCTTGGAGACAGAGGTCTTCAAGAGGGAGTTGGATGGTTTCATGTCACTCATTTCTTTAAAAGCCCTAAATAAATGACTAAAACCATACAAACATAGCCGAAAAAATAGAGTAACAAAAACAACAGAAAGAATATATTCTTCTATCTTTAGTTCTTAAATTTCCTTTTTATTCTTTTAAATATTTAGCTCAGGAATGCTAATGGCTCCAGAAGTAAACATCACACAGACTAATTCATGAATTAATGAATTGAATACATTGTCATTTTGCAGCACTTAAAAAAGAGCATATATCTTTTGGGTTTTATGTAAATATTTTCCCCTTGGTTTTTAAAAATAATGCTGCATGATTGTTACATGAGCTAGTTTCTAAGATGGCTGGCAGTTATGCATTCAGTAGCCTATTGCCTCTTTCTGCTCCTCTTGGGCTCTCTTCCTTGTCTTTATTTTCTGGCTTCTTTATTCTTCCCTTTCTTCTTTTTTCTCTTTGTCCTTTTCCCCCGAGTTTCTCTGTGTTTTTATCAATAAGACCTTTCAAAATCAGTAAAACTTTTGAACACAAGAAAGGATCTTTAACAGCTTGAGTTCAAAAGGTAGCCATGTCAACCTTTGATTTTCCCAAAGGAAAAGGTGGACATTGAATTATTTTGGATAATGTGAAAAAGAGTGAAACAGAGAATAGCTCATTTCGGAGCTGAGTTCAGAAAATAGGCAATTGTAGAAAAGGTGAATCCTATTAGACGACTGAGATCATAGCACATTCCTCTCAGACATTTTAAAAGGACCCTCTGTGCCATTCTCTGTGCTAGGCATGAGCAGCTATAAAGTGACAGATCTTGGCATGAGTTGAGCACCTACACTGTGCCTGTCCTGCCTGGGTGCTCTACTGGGCATCTTCTTGCATGAGCTCATTCCGTCTTCAGAATGGCCCTGCACATTTACTGATGGGGGTCGGATTGCTTATGCAGTTTACTCAAGGGCTGTTAAATAAACTTACCTCTTACTTCTGTCGGAAAGTCAGAAACAGTTTACAGAGTTGTAAAATATAATAGAAATAAAAATTATTGTTGTTATTCTTTAATTGCCACCCCAATAGAATTTATCACTTGAATTTTTGTTGTTCCATCTTTATATGCCCCATTCTTTAATCTCTTTGGAGACAGTTAACATTTTATTTGCTCATAGTAGGCTAATGTTTATATAAATTCCAAGGCCCTGTCTTGATGAGATGATATCTGTGAAGAATGTAAAATGATCCCATAGTTGGCATGGTTCTAAAGGAAATAGTGTAGGAGAATAGTTTAGAGTCAAGCAGAGATGGTTGAAATGCTAGCTTTGCGCCATTTGTTAGCTATGTGAGCTTGGGGAATTTACTTAAATATTCTGAGCTTTTGTTTATTCATTTTGTAAATTAGACGATTATTATGAGGATACAGTGAGATAATGTTGATTCTTACCACAGTACCTGAGCAAAGTGAGAACTTACTATTTTAATCTAAGGTGATATAGTGAAAAATCAGGTTTTTTTTTTTTTTTTGAAAGACGTGGGCTTATTTAGTATTTTTATTGTTTTCATGATCTGGAGTACACGTGGATGGGAACGTTAAGGAGCACCAAACTTTAAAATAATACGCAAGTATGGCATTAAAAGGACATAAAATTTTTTAACTTTTACGTTATAAAAGTCAATAGGAAATCATTGAAAATTCCTAGTCTAGTCAAATAGAAGAGTCATATATTCTCAGTGTCTGTTCCTAGGTAATTATTTCAATGTACTCTGTCCTTACATAAGTCATTTTGTCTATGGCAGTAAAATCTACAAGCTCTGGAGTCTTGGTCTGTTTGAATCCTAGCTTCACAATTTACTCCTTGGGTGATTTTGAACTCCATTTACTTACCCTTTGTAAGTATTGGTTTCTTCCCTTATGCTATGGTTTGGCCCTGTGTGCCCACCCAAATCTCATCCTGAATTGTAATCCCCACGTGTCAAGGGAGGGGCCAGGCAGGAGGGGATTGGATCATGGGATTTCCTCCACGCTGTTCTCATGATAGTGAGTGAGTTCTCATGAGAACTGATGGTTTCATAAGGCAGTATTTCTTGCTCTTGCTCTCTGTCTCACTTGTCACCATGTAAGATGTACCTGCTTCACCTTCTGCCATGATTGTAAGTTTCCTGAGGCCTCCCCAGCCATGTGGAACTGTGAGCAAATTAAACCTCTTTTCTGTATAAATTCCCCAGTCTCAGGTATTACATTATAGCAGTGGGAGGACGGACTAATACAGTAAATTGGTACCCAGAGTGGGGGGCACTGCTATAAAGATACTTGAAAATGTGGAAGCGACTTTGGAACTGGGTAATGGATAGAGGTTGGAACAGTTTGGAGGGCTCAGAAGAAGACAGGAAGATGTGGGAAAGTTTGGAACTTCCTAGAGACTTGTTGAATGGTTTTGACCAAAGTGCTGATAATGGTGTGGACAATGAAGTTCGGGCTGAGGTGGTCCCAAATGGAGATGAGGAACTTGTTGGGAATTGGAGTAAAGGTCACTCTTGCTGTGTTTTAGTAAAGAGACTGGTGGCATTGTGCCCCACCCTAGAGATCTGTGGAACTTTGAACTTGAGAGAGATGATTTGAAATTGGAACTTATGTTTAAAAGAGAAGTGGAGCATAAAAGGTTGGAGAATTTGCAGCCTGATGATGCGATAGAAAAGAAAAACCCATTTTCTGGGGAGAATTTCAAGCTTGCTGCAGAAGTTTGCATAAGTAATGAGGAGCTAAATGTTAATTGCCAAGACAATGGGGAAAATGTCTCCAGGGCATGTCAGAGGTCTTCATGGCAGCCCCTTCCATCATGGTCCTAGAGTCCTAGGAGAGAAATGGTTTTGTGGACTGGATCAAGGGCCCCACTGCTGTGTGCAGCTTAAGGATTTGGTGCCCTGTGTTCCCAGCTGCTCCAGCCATGGCGAAAAGGGGCCAACGTACAGCTCAGGCTGTTGCTTCAGAGGGTGCAAGCCCCAGGCCTTTGCTTCAGAGGGTGCAAGCCCCAGGCCTTTGCAGCTTCCATGTGGTGTTGGACCTGTGGATGCACAAAAGTCAAGAGTTGAAGTTTAGGTATCCGTCTAACAAAGATCTAATAACCAGAGTCTACAAGGCACTTAAACAAATTTACAAGAAAGAAACAAACAACCCCATTAAAAAGCAGGCAAAGGACATGAACAGACACTTCTCAAAAGAAGACATTTATGCAGCTAACACATATATGAAAAAAAAAGCTCAACATGACTGATCATTAGAGAAATGCAAATCAAAACCACAATAAGATACCATCTCACGCTATTCAGAATGGCAATTATTAAAAAGTCAAGAAACAATAGATGCTGCTGAGGCAGTGGAGAAATAGGAATGCTTTTATACTGTTGGTGGGAATGTAAATTAGTTCATCCATTGTGGAAGACAGTGTGGCAATCCCTCAAAGACCTAGAACCAGAAATACCAACTGACTCAGCAATCCCATTACTAGGCATATACCCAGAGGAATAGAAATCATTCTACTATAAAGATACATGCATGCGTATGTTCACTGCAGCACTATTCACAATGGCAAAAGCACGGAATCAGCCCAAATGCCCATCAGTGATAGACTGGATAAAGAAAATGTGGTACATATATCATAGAATACCATGCCGACATAAAGAGGAATGAGATCATGTCCTTTACAGGGACATGGACGGAGCTGGAAGCCATTATCCTCAGCAAACTAATGCAGGAACAGAAAACCAAACACCACATGTTCTCACTCATAAGTGGGAGCTGAACAATGAGAACACATGGACACAGGGAGGGGAACAACACACACTGGGGTCTGTAAGCAGGGTGGGGGAAAGGAGAGCATCAGGAAAAATAGCTAATGCATGCTGCACTTAATTCTTAGGTGATGCGTTGATAGGTGCAGCAAACCACCATGGCACGCGTTTACCTATGTAACAAACCTGCACATCCTGCACATGTACCCTGGAACTTAAAATAAAATGAAATAAATAAAATAAAACTTTAAAAAATGCTTATTGCTCATGGCCACTTGTCTTCAGGCCATAAGGAAGTTGAAAGTTGACTGCATAGACCATGAAACAATGTTCAATCACTTTGGCTTTTGTAAGCTTACCTTTTTAAGAATACTTACTGACAAAATTTGATTTAAAAATAAGGATTCTTATCTCTAGAGTCTTCCTAGCTGTTTAACTCAGCTTTGGCATGCTGCCTTGCCAACAACTCACTTGCACTTATAATTTAATTGTAGTGACATAGACAGCAGATTTTCAAAGAACTGAAGGTGGATTTTCAAATTCCTCAGCCTCATAACCTTTGGTGTGTGATCATCCTGGCCCACCTTCACCAAGAATCCTATCAAGTCAGTTTAGCCGGAATCGCCCTTATATGTGATGTTTCCTCTCACTAATTTTCCATCCATTGACCTCACCCTCCTCCTTGGCTATAAATCTCCACTTGTCCATGCTGTATTTGAAATTGAACCTGGATTTCTTTCTCCTTTGCAATTGTTCCTGAATAAAATCTGTTATCACAACTTAAAAAAAAAAAGAGAGAGAAAGAATCGAGCTTTGGGAAGCTCTGCTTAGATTTCAGAGGATATATGGAAATGTCTGGATGCCCAGGCAGCGGTCTGCTGCAGGGTCAGGGCCCTCATGGAGAACCTCTGCTAGGGCAGTACAGAAGGGAAATGTGGGGTTGGAGCTCCCACACAGAGTCCCCACTGCCACTGCCTAGTGGAGCTGTGAGAAGAGGGCCACGGTCCTCCAGATTCCACAATGGTAGGTCCACCCACAGTTTGCACTGTGCCTGGAAAACCCGCAGACACTCATTGCCAGCCTGTGAGAGCAGCCAGGAGGGGGGCTGTACCCTGCAACGCCATAGGGGCAGAGCTGCCCAAGACCCTGGGTGCCTACCTCTTGCATCGGTGTGACCTGGATATGAGACATGGAGTCAGAAGTAACTGCCCTGCTGGATTTCAGACTTGCATGGGGCCTGTAGGCCCTTTGTTTTGATCAATTTCTCCCATTTGGAACAGGTGTATTTACACAATGCCTGTACCCCTATTGTATCTTGGGAGGAACTAACTTATTTTTTATTTTACTGGCTCATAGTTGGAAGGGACTTGCCTTGTCTCAGATGAAACTTTGAACTGTGGACTTTTGAGTTAATGCTGAAATTAGTTAAGACTTTGGGGGACTGTTGGGTAGGCATGATTGTGTTTTGAATATGAGGATGTGAGTTTTGGGAGGGGCCAGGAGCAGAATGATATGGTTTGGCTCTGTGTCCGCACCCAAATCTCATCTCGAATTGTAATCCCCATAATCCCCACATATCAAGGGAGGGAGGTGATTGGATCATGGGGGCATTTTCCCCATGCTGTTCTCATGATAGTGAATAAGTTCTCAGGAGATCTGATGGTTTTATAAGGCAGTTTTCCCTGCTCTGGCTTGCTCTCTTGCCTGCCTCCATGTAAGAATTGCCTCTTTTGCCTTCTGCCATGATTGTAAGTTTCCTGAGGCCTCCCCATCCATGTTAAACTGGGAGTCAATTAAACCTCTTTTCTTTATGAATAACCCAGTCTCAGGTATTTCTTCCTGGCAGTGTGAGAATGGACTAACACCTTGTAAAACAGGGCCAATAATAACACTTAGATTTTAAAATCTTTTTAAGCAAATACCCCTATTTAGTGCCAGGTACTGTTCTCAGTACAGCTGCTCCTCCATTAATGATGGGGTTATGTCCTCATTAAGCCATTGTAAGTGGAAACTATCGTAAGTCAAAACTGCATTCAATGCACCTAACCTATTGTACATTATAGCTTTGCTTATCATACTTTAAACATGCTCACAGTACTTGAAATACAGTTGGGCAAAAATCATCTGGCAACACAGTACACTGTATTGTTTGCTTCCCCTTGTGATTTCGTGGCTGACTGGTAGCTGTGGCTAGCTGCTGCTGCCCAGCATCATGAGTGAGTCTCATTGGGCATGTTGCTCGCCCGGGAAAATATCAAAATTCAAATATTAAAGTCTAGTTTCTACGGAATGCATGTGACTTTCATACCGTTGTAAAGTGGAAAAATCATAAATGAACCATCCAAAATTGGGGACCATTTGTACTTTACCATTGTTAACTCATTTACTCCTATATAAATTCTGTGAAGTTGGTATTATTGACATCTTACAGATGAGAAACCAAGGCACAGAGAAATATGCAATCTGTCTAAGTTTCTTGTTCAATACAACCAAGATTCAAATCCAGGCAGGCCAGCCCCTAAGTTTGTTCTTACCACTGGGCTCTGCTACCAGTTACATGAATGATCTGTGATGATGATATGTCAGATGTGTCAAAAGCCCAGTACTGAATCCTAGTAAGTAATCATGTGCTTGCCTTTCTCAGTGAAAGGGAGTGATTTTCTAATGGTTTTTTAGGCAGAACACTTTAATTAAATTAGTAACTACCCAGTGTTTTTAGGTTTGAATGTTCTGTAGTGCTGCGAGAAGACATGCATCCCTGGGGACCATACCTACCTTCTTCCCATGGAAACTCTCAAGACCGGATGGACTTAAGACACATTCAGTTCTAGGGCCTCTTATTTTAAGATGAAGAAACAAGGTCATAAATATATGAAAATAAGATAACTAAGAATAATACTGTTAGTGCCCTGCAGATTGTAGATAATGCTTACTAAGATATCCTCAATTAAAAAGTAGCATCATTCTCTAAACTTTGGTATGTAATTCATTACAAAGCAGGAAAATGTTTTTTTAAAACCTCTGGCTAAATTTGCTTTTTGGAGTTTGTAACATACTCTCTTGCTCTTTTGATTCTTTTCCCTGTTTTGCATATTTCCATTGACCTCCATTCCCCTTCTGTTTTATACGTTGGTGCCCTTTCTCTCCCTCTCTCCTTCTTTTAAGTTCTTTCCTGCTCAAGATTTTGAGAGACCGGTAACACCGAATGCTCATAGTTCATTAGCGGTATGAAATGGTAAGGACCTGCCTAGGAGGCTTCCTTTTTTTACTCTCAGATCGGGGTTTGCTGGGTAGCCCTTATAAGGGGCAATGTCTTTAGGGGGAAGAAGAATCTCTGTATCATTCCATCAGTAGCCTGTACCTTCTGAAAGCTGGAAGCCATGGCATCTTCTCCTCACCCTCATTCCTTCTCACCCTGGTATAGGTGGTAACTGTGGGTAGAGTGTGAGTTTGAGCTTGGTAGGTCTGATGTGAGTGTGGTAAAGTAGGTACTATTTTGAAGTCTTGGGCAAGCTAGACTTTATGAGCTGCTTCTCAGCTTCTCAAGCTCAACATTGACTTAAGTCTTGTGTGATCCTTTGGGCATCCAGGAATAATTGCTTGCTGCAGTTCAGTAATATAGTTTTTCATGACTGGCCTAGGATTTGGAGGAAATGCTGGTGTAGGGGAGGGCAGGAAAAGGGATAAGATATATCCAGGGGATGGAGACTTAGTTTACTTGAATAGGGCTTTTGCATGGAGAAGAGTGTGATATGATTTCAGCAGAACTTGACTTTGAGGGAAATCATTTCAACAGCCAAATTGAAAGCAAGGGAGTACTACTGACTTAAGACAAACTCAAATGTTTACATAGATCAGACCCCCCCTTAATATTAAATCATAGGTGGTTTGAAATTCACCCATACTTTACAGAGCTTTATAGCAATAATGTTTAACATAGTCTAACTATACTCTCAAGCAACAAAAAGAGATCCTGATTGGATCAGTGTGGATCAGGAGTCCACTTGTGATCCAGAAAGCTATGACTAGTAGGAGTTGTTATAAACATTGCATAGTTGGCGTGAAAGGCAATTCCAAAAAGGGGAGTAGGCAGAGGTTGGTTAATGGATACAGAAGTACACCCAGATGGGAAGAATAAATTATAATGTCCTATAGCACTATAGGCTGACTATAATTAACAATAATTTATTGTATATTTTCAAATAGCTGGAAGAGCAGATTTTGAATATTCCCAACACAAAGAAATGATAAATGTTTGAGGTGATAGATATGCTAATTATCTTGATTTGGTTGTAACACTTTGTATACATATATTGAAATATCACACTGTACCCCATAAATATGTGTAATACTGTTGGTTCCCTGCAGATTGTAGATAATGCTTGCTTATACAGATATCATTGATTAAAAAGTAGCATCATTCTCTAAACTTTGTTGTGTACTTGATTACAAAGCAGGACAAAACATTTTAAAACCTCTGGCTTTGAATGTGTCAATTAAAGATAATAAAATAAAAAATTTAAGAGGGGGAGCATGCTATCTTTATTCAACATCAGACTTGTTTATAGAAAGGGATAGTCAAATGGAGAAGAGGTACTAGTTGTACAAAATGACAGGGTAACCCAGGGGCTCAATGAGAGGTAGATAATCTTTTACTCTACCTTTTAATGGACAGATCCATGGCACATCACATTTAGGCCTTACCTTACTTGACCTTTCTCTTTCATTTAACACTGCTAATCATCCTCCTTGATGCTATCCTTCACAACCCATCATGCGCCCATGCCATCTTCTGGAAATCTGATTGACTTTCCTGGTTTAGCTACAACCCACACCCCAGGTAGATAAAGGTCCATCTGTGCATGAAACTTCTCTCCTGAAGTATGAATTTTAAATTACCATCTTCTCCTTACATATCCCCTCCCATGCGTCTTGCATTGACCTCAAATGTCTCATGACTAAAATCAACCTCATTAGTCATTACCGCAAACTTCCCTCTCCTATGCTTTGTCTTAGTTAAAGGCCCACCATCCAAACACTCACATAGACCTGGGTGTCAACGTCTTCCACATCTTGATTCACTTTCCTGTTCTTCTTAGCTCTCCTCCTAAGTCTCTCTAGGATGCATTGATAATGGTGTTGATATACACAGAAAATCTCATTGTCTCTTGCTTGAACAACTCAAAAGTTTCCTAATTCCCTGCTCTTAATCTTATTCTTACATAATTTATAAAATTATCTTCCGTCTGATGGTTTCATTCTTTCACATACTGTACTTTACATTTCTTACAGAATAATGTCCAAACTTTCCAATATGGCCTACAAAGCTCTAAGTAATTTGTACAGCTCATTTTTTACCACTTCCTCCTATCCCCCAACCTATAACACGACTCTCTTTAACTACTCACAGTTCTCCAACCAGTTTTTTTATGTCTGTGTATCTACATGTATTTTGTTTTTCTATTTTACTGTCTTTCCTTCCCTTTTCTGTTTAGTAAACTTAATGTTCATTTTCAAAAAGTCAATGCAGATGTTGCCCCCACTTTGAAAACCTTTTCTGACACTCCTAATGCCTGGGCTTTATTAGTCTGTCAGTCCTCTGTGCTCCCCTGACATCATATGTTTACTTTTATCACATTTATTATAATTGACTCTATGTTCATCTCCTCAATTAGACTGCAGCCCTCTCAATGATAGGAACCATACCTAATTGGTGTTTTGACCTCAAGGAAGTAGTGAGGAATGGAGTGAGTGAATGGATCAACAAATGGACAGACAAATGAGTACCACTGTAGTGTAGCAGGGCTTCTGGGCCCTGAAGATCACTATAATCTTAGAATCAGAAACAGGAGAGTGCAGGGGATTGTACAGTTTTGGTTCCACCTTCGTAGAGACTAGAGCTTGACTAGATTGTGGAAAAGTGGAATAAAAACCTTACCTGAGTCCCTGGCTGGTACTTTATGAATGAAAGGTAGAAAATTAGGTAGACCTTTTAGATTCCTTTCTAGTATTTTTGCAAGGAAAGGCTCATGGCCTAAGCATCGATTGTTAGGCCTTTGAGAGGAGACACCTGGGTTAGATTAATAAGTAGCAAGAAAATGAAGCAATTCACAGAATGCTTGATGACAAAAATGCCTCCCTTTCTGAAAAAATCTACTGCCTGATCCAGTCGATCCAATTGTTAGAGTTCTCACTTGGCTCTTACTATTTCCTCTGCCTGAAACATGCTCCCTTTTCTCCGAACAGTTCCAAGGACCACCCTTTCATTGCTTTCTGTCCAAACTCTTTGCCAATCATTAACCGTACCTTGACCATCCAATGGTAGCCTGAATTAAATTGTTCTCTAATTATTTCTATGTAGGCTTTATGCATTTGCCAAGGTTAGGCTGTTCTGTGGTAACTAACAAACCCCCAGGTCCCATTGGCTTTAAGATATAAAAGTTTATTTCTCACACATGCACTGTTTACTGTGAGTTCAGTGGCCCTTCAGAGTAGCTCCCTTCTAATCAGGGAACCCAGATCAGTTTGATCTTGTGACTTTGCCAGCTTGACACATGGGTTCTAGGGTTGCTGACTTACAGACCCATAGCCTGGAAGTAAGCAGTGCCATTTTTCATCAAGTCCATTGGCTGAAACTAGTCACATGGCTTCAACCTAACTGCAAGGGAAGCTGGGCAATGTAATGAAACACATGGACTATTTGGTGTCTGTCTCTACCCCTGTTAGATTATATGCTCCTTTGCTGTTCGGAATATGTTTCTCATCTTTTGTGTCCACCCCTTAGTACCAAGTTCAGAGGAGTGGCACTTAATATCATGTTGTTGTTGCTTTTTCCCATAATAGGACTATTTCAACCAGAATATAATTTTTAATGATGTTATAGGATGTGGCTAAATATTATTAAGCATTTGAAGTATCTCTTAACACTTCTTTTTGTTCAAGTTAGCCCTTTTTGGATGTTGTCTTCCTTGGGTTGGAAAACCTTCTATATTTCATGCTCTATATCCCTTATATTAATCTAGTCTTCATTCACCCTGGAAATGATAATTACTTGACAAAAATGCAGTGCATTTCTGAATGAAGCACCTCATTTGTATTAATATGTGATTATGACAGATTATTAACTCAAGTGCATTTGAAGTATGAAAAAAAGATGTGTTAAGTTTATTTTGTTAATAAGACAAACTATGCAACTTGGAAACAAATTTGAATGTTGGATGATTAGTTTATGTCTTAACATTTGAGGATGTGCATGGATATAAAGGGCAGGCAGTTCCACTCTCCTTTTCCCTGAACTTGAGTTGACTTCTTCACATTCACTATGGCAACCTCAATGATCAACACATACAGGAGCTCTGAAGTGCATGCCAAAACTTTCCAACGTTAATAATGAATAGGTATGAACTCCACTATGCAAGCTTCTCTGAACGAGTCACTGCAAAGCTAATGTAATTTTAGGGTGTCGTTTCCTTCTCACAGTACACCACCGCGAAGGTCTAATCCCAGACAGCAATCTTTATGGACATTTGCTTTTCCCCCCACTACACTACATGACTAAGCCCCTTTGGTCTCCACTTCTTACTCTGACATTGACCAGTATAGCTTGCTTTGCATCCTCTCAGTTTAAACAAAGTAACATTGGAAGGGAAATACTGTTGGAGCAAACGACTTTGGTATAATGCATCTTTTCCTTTAGTGAGAATGCAAGCCTCAGCTGCCCTAATATTTAACTGAAGCAGATCCCCATTTGCTTATCTGTTTAATTGCACTTTTATCTAGGCCAGCTGCTGCTCCTGCTGCTGCTATAGCCACTCCTAATTGGAAGGACGTTGCTGTGGTATCCTAGTGGTTTAAAACTGAGAGACTGCTACCTAGAACCTGCACCCACATTGGTATCTGAACCGGGCTCCTTTATAAATCATATTTTACATTTTAACATAAAAGATAAGCTTTCAGGATACAATTTTATTTCAGCCTTCTACTGCTAGGCATTTTATCACAGTACTTTTACGTGAGCTGAAGATTGACCATTGATTTCATAACCAAAAATGACTTTAGTTCTGCATAATATTACTTAAAACTCATAAAGACAATTTTATACTTGAGTAGTTATTATTCCTTCCATCTATTTGGGTCAGTTTAATGGTACATTAATAATTATTAATGTGAATTGGAATCTATTATATGGTTGTATTCCTATTAGAGCCCCTGAAAAGACTTGAAATCAAAGCCTCTTTCTAAGTATTATTTATAGTTTATGGTTTGCTTTATTTTCTTTTTAAAACATTGCTGTATATCTGAGTAGTGAACATAGCATTTGTGAAAGTGAACTTTCTCCAAAATTTGATCAGTCCAAGCATTTTTTAGTTGTAATGTCTCACAGAAATAGCACTTTAGTCACGATGATAGGGTACCTTCAAAAACTGTACTGGTAATTACTTTTCTGTGGCCCCTGTTGAGATAGGCAGTCTTACTGGACATTGATGTGTTTAGTCTGAATAGAACTTCAGATAAGAGACAAAGCAAATTGTGCAATAATGTATGAATTGAGAGCCACTTGTATTGAAAAACAAAATAGGACAGAATTTTATATTTAAACAAGTAAAAATTATTTAAATTTTCACTTGAAATTTAAAGCTTCCATGAAAATTGTTTCTCTTGCACCAATAATGCACATTGAACTCTGTGCTGGCATTAAAGATGGAGTTCTGCAAAGGCTCCAAGCACCTCAGCAACACCACTTCTCAGAATTATATTAAGCCAGTTGGGACATGATGAAAGAATGCAAGGTATAAACCCCTTGAGGGCCCATGAGTCACCATCTAGAAAGGTTCTTGAAAGGGGAAGAATGTTTTATAGTTTGATCAATAGGAATCTGAGAAGTAGGCTGCAGGGTAAATATAAGTTGAGGATTAAAAACTTTTGGAAACTTGAAGAATTGAATTACAATCCTAAGAAAGTTCCCAGGAGAAAAAGAGAGATACAGAAAGAGAGACTTTTTCATCCCATCTCAACCAGCAGCCAACCTTTCTTCTAGGTCAGAGTACAGCCAAAATAGATTTGATGATAATCAGCCCTAATTATCTCAGCTCTATTGCAGAACTAAGGCATGAACAGAGTTTTCTAGAGATCCAAGTGCCCACCATAGTAGTTTCAGGTGGATACCAAAAGGAAGTAAAAATGGGGTTGCAGGCTTCAAAACTTAGAGCAACTTTTCCATAGAATACTCCATACAAAAAGGTTTCTTATTCCATTTTTTCAGCCAGAATGAAACTTTACTTTGAAAAATATATGTATTTTCAGTGTTGCAGTTGGGTTTTCCTTTCTCTCCTTACCATTATTTTAGTGTCAGTGAACAGGCTATTGCATTAGTGTGGGTATGACAGTTTAGATTGTGTTTATAAAGGAGGCAGTCTGTTTAATGGTATAGTCACTGTCACAAGCACAAAAGCATAAATACAGGAGCCTGGCTAAGAATTTCTGAACTCAGCAGATTCTAAGAGTTACTGATACTCCTTTGGGTTTTGCCTTATTCTTAGAAAATTTACAGAATCCTACCATGAAACATGATTAAATAAAAACAGACTTCTAGGAGCTGCTATTTATGTGGCACACTCAGCATGATCAGATCAGAGTGCAAACAGCTCTATGCCGTATCCATGAATGCAGCAGGCCTCTCCTTGGCAGAGGGTGAATGTGGTGGCCATGAGGACAGGAAGGGATAGCAAGGAGAAAGGCAAAGGGGAAGCCCTACTAAAGGACTCATGCCCTTGGAGTTGCATCCAGCACAAAGCCCCTTTTCAATTTTTCCTATCTGGGTTACACAGAGAAGGCTTTGTGTAGAGCATTTCTTAAAGCACCCAATCAGAAATGTGAGGAAAGTTGCTTCTCTTGATGAGACACCAGAGGAAGGAAGCAGGAGACAATGACAAGGGAGGAAATAAAGGAGGGATAGCTAAGTAAGGTAGACAGCTAAGTCTAGTTTGTTCCCAGTGTTGTACCAGTCTCATCAGTGCCGTGTCTGGGTCTCACAGCCTCTGGTGTTCTATGATGGATCCTCTCTTCTGCCAAGAGCTGGCCACCTGGCAGCCAAACCCTGCACAAGATATGAAGAGCCTGTAAATGCAGGACTTCTGTTCCTGGATCTGCTCCTCTGATGAAGAGGTGCAAGTGTCTCCGTAGCTACTTGACCACCGTAAATACCATTGTTTCCTCTTCCTGGGGGTCACCCAGAGAACCCTCATGGAACATGGTGTGACAACTACTGACACATGGGGTTATCATAGGTTTTATGCCATGAATAATACATTTAAAGTATGTTGTAAAAGACTTACTTTGCAAGGACCTAAAAACACTTCTATGGGAAGAATCAGAAAAAAATAATTATTTTTGAATTGAAATTCAGGTGCACACTCATTTATGAACACTGAACCCAAAAGAGCTGAGGTTTCCCCAATTTTGGAGCTCGTGTAGAAAGCTTTCCTCAATCTCCTTGGATGGAAAACTTAAACTGCTCCCACTGTTTAGCACTTCCTGCAGTTTATGACTCTCAGTTCAGGCTCTAACTCACCAGTAGGGGAATAGGGATATTCTGGTGTATATGGGTCTTTCTGGGCAAACCAGTGAAGCAAGTCTCACAGCTGTTCTGTCAAGAACCCAAATTCCCCTAACCTGGGTTCTAAGACTGGGCCAGCCAAATGGCACTTTTATAGAACCTCTTCCCAAACCAGCGCTCTTGGGCGATCTTTCTTCTGAAACGTTATGTGTTTCCAATAGGGAGGAAAAGAAGAAATGAAGTAACTTTTTGTCCAGGAATACTCCTTTGTAAAGGTTGATTTCAGGGCTAGCAAAGATGCCTTCATAGAAGGCAGTTATTTGTGAAAGCCAAGGTGATGGGGTTTGAAATTGACAAAGGGATGAGGACTTAGCTTTTCTTCTGAAGGTGACTTTCTGCCCATGGATCTTCCATTTCCATTAATCAGAAGTATTCGTTAAAAAAAGAAAAAAAAGAAAAAAAAAAGCTAGAGAGAAAAGAAAAAACAAACCAACCTCCTGTTCCATGCCCCAGGCAATCTTCTTGTGTAAAGCAATCTGTGGCAGCTAGTCAGGTGGCCTGGCAGGAGTTTTCCCCTTCAACTCTGGCTGGGAGCTTCTTAGAATCTCTTAAAGAAACATCCTGCAGAGCTCCCACTTAGGCCTGCTCTTTCTGTCCTGATGTCTCTCTGTGGCATCTTTTCAGATGCTTCTTTAGAGGATCATTTTGGATGGGGAAGGTATAGGCCTGGGCTTATGATGATGAGGGATTTCCTGTCTGTCTGGAGAAGTTAGAACATGTATAAGTGCTCCTGGGTATGGGGAAAGGAGGCAAAGATGCTGCCCACCAGTTTTCCAAGTGCCGTGTGCGCCCTTATCCCCAGAACGATCCTTTGCTCTTCTACTATAGTACGCATTTGAAGATCTCAGGGCCCTTATAACCATTAGGCATTTGCAGGGCCTGAAATGTAATGAAGGAATTGTTCTTCCTATTTCTGGAGGTAAACTAAATATGAAAAGAAAATTAGCATTAAAATCAATCCTGACTCAGTTTTTTTTTAAGTTCCATCTTTAACTCAAACTGTATTTCTGCCAAAATTAAAAATAAAAGTTATAGCCACTTAACAAAAAACAATTCACACGAAATGTTGTACTATGTATAATTTGCTATTGTTACAAATCGTCAATGCAGTACCTTTGTTAGCTTAGTGTTTTTAGATTCTTAAAACGAGGCATGTTGAAAGAAAGGTTGCATTTAGCTTTCTCTTATGCCTATAAATTTAGTGTAAGCCCCTGTTTTAAGGAGCTTTATGTGGTAGGACTGACATTGCTTAATAAACAATGGAAAAAGTTAAGCATAACCTAGAAGTCATTTAAAACTGTGAGTCACTTTCCTGACAAGCCAATAGGGTAAGAGAACCAAGGTTGCAAAATAATTACTAGCCCAGCCTGAGGGACCGTGGAAATATATTACAGGTATCAGTTAAGAAAACAAAGCAGTGGTGTTTTACCACTCTGCAGAGAAAGCTAAGGTTGCTAACCAAACAAAATAACTTTACACTGACAATGCCAATTTTTACATTTCTTTCAGAACAAGGGACACTCAAACTACCAGAGGTAAGATTAACATTTTAAATATTTTTTATAACCTTTGCATTTCAAGTTGTTTGCTAACTTAACCAGGCTTGGGCTTTTACACTGTTAAATGTGCCTTTTAAAATAAATAGAAATAAACAGAAACAGAGGGAACAACCAAGTGATTGTGAACAAAATGCAAAAGTTAAATCCAAGGAATGTTCACTGTCACTGTCCGAAGGTCTTAGGTAGAGAAAAAATGTGAATATTTAATCAAAGACTGTGTATGAAATGGGACTGTAAGTACAGAGGGAAGGGTGGCCCTTATCGCCAGAAGTTGGTAGATGCGTCCCCGTCATGAAATGTTGTGTCACTGCCCGACATTTGCCGAATTACTGAAATTCCGTAGAATTAGTGCAAATTCTAACGTTGTTCATCTAAGATTATGGTTCCATGTTTCTAGTACTTTTCCATTAGAGCAGAAAGATGATGATTATCACATCCTATTGATCAAATGAAGATCTAGTAACATTTCCTTTTGGTTTAACATAGAGTCTCCTAATGGCTTAGAAGTATGTAATCCATGTTACCTCTCAGAATAAAGTTACTTTAAAAATCCAAAAAAAAGTTATTTAAAAAAATACAGAAGATGATGGGATATGTAGGAAGTAAACAGCAAGTTGCCCATCATTAAATACTTTCCTGTTGAAAATACTGTCAATGGTGTTGTTTGATGTTGTTTATATAGAGTTCCCCAAAATTATAAAATTTCAGACAGAAAAGATTTTAATGGTTCCCAGACAATCATTGCCTTGACCTTCAACCAAAAATAACAGATTTCTTACCTGACTGCCCCTCCCCACAAATGGCCATAGCAAAACATTTTTAGAAATCATAGAAAAATAAAATACAAACTATGTGTGATTAGTTATATGAACCAAAAGTACAGTAATCTGAAAATTTCAAAGTAACGATGAAAATTATGATTTGTAAATTAATATCTAACAATTAAAACCTCTCTTTAAAAGTGATATTAGTATGTTTTTAATCCAACATCTAGTAAAAATAAGAAAAAGTACAGCAAAATATAAGAGGTGCTTGTCTCTACTTTTTGCATAAGTACATAATTTGAACATATAGGATATCAAGAGTGTGATATAAAGAGGCTCATATGCACCTAATCAGTGCATCTGTTGATTATATTTTAAAACCTAAAGTCTAGACCAAAGAATGCATAACAAGGTGATTTTTTTAATAGGCCATATGAGTTTCTTTAGAGCTAAAATAAATTAACCAAAGAGTTCCTTTAGTGTTTCATTGACAGGTAAGATTTTTCACTAGGGCTATCAGGATTCTTCCAGCAGTGCCAAGGATCTTGCAAAGCAGCCTTCTTTCACTTTCTCATTGCTATTATTATATTATTGAGAAAGAAACCTTGTAGAGTTCTGAACTTTACCTCAGTGTTACTTAACACTTATCCTTTTAGATATATATATTATTTTTTCCAAGGAAGATGGTTTCATTTTAATTAAGTAATGTGAAGTGGGTGTGCTTACAGAAAGAAAATATGCCAATAAGAAGTGGGTAATAATTTTCATGTGATACTAAATAATTCTCACAGGCACTTTTATACTTTTTAAATTACATGTAAGCCTATGATACAAGGAATTAATTTTCACATTGATTTTTAAAAATATATAACATCAGTTTTTTAGTGACTTGTTTCACTCTTCAATATAAGTATAATTTTTATTTACTGTGTGACTGTACTAAAAATCTCTGTTTTGTGTGGATGGAGGATTATAGTAAGCTCTGAGGCTAGTCAATCCATTTGGAAACTTGAGTTTGTTTTAAGGGAGAAATACAGCAAACTAATATTAAGAAGCAGCTCTCACCCTATACCAGGTGTGTTCACTCTCCAAGGCAGATGATTGTATGCTGCTCAGGAATCTTCTCATAAGTAAATAGTGAAACACTTTTGTAATTTGTAAGCTCTGTGATTTTTATTTTTTCTCCTCTCTTGAAGACCTTCTTTCTCTCCATGTACCAGTTTATAGGCCTCCTCTGCTTCCCTTTCAATAGTTATGATTGTGAATTTTTTTTAAATTTTGCACTTTATTTGCGAGGTAGGTCAGTTTTCACTAGCCACAGAATCCGTGGGGCGTCCATAACCATACCTGGGCTGTACATCTCACATCCCATTCTGGAGTGGACCTTCGGAAAGTTCCTCTGGCTCCAAGAAGCAAGTTTATCATTGCATACATATTTAGCTACTTTAAATCCCTTTTTTTTTAGAGGGAAAGAAAGATAAGGCAATGGTAATGAGGCAAGAAATAACTGCCAAGTGCTTATAGAATTGAGTTTGGTTCCTGCCCCCCCTCCCCCCCCACCCCCCCAACCAGCCCACCATTGTTAGGTAGATCAAAGGAGACTGAGAAGGTCCTGGAGACTGATTCTCATGGTGGTGTGAAGCTGTAACTGAGAGCTCCAGGGGTGGCTACTAGATGTGTCCTCTCCTCCTTTCCGTTCTCTTCCTGCTGGGGACAAGGGCCTGTCCAGCTCCGTCCTAGACTTTTGAGAATATAGATTGGGGAGGGGAGTATACGCATAGAGATGACAGAATGACAAATGAAATTTGCACTTTAAAATTGTTCAAAATATGATCTGCTGAACATCTCCAGGTTTTTCAATATAAAATACTTTTTAGGTTCTTTTAAAGTATAAAAAAATCTTAGCCTCTCCAAATGCAGTTGGTTTAGGGGCGTGAAAATTCCTCCGATGTTATTTTTTAAATACACCAGTTCATAGTTTATTCCACTGCACACCCTTCCTGTAGAAAGGTTTCTGTTTTCAGAGTGACTGACTTTCAGTGGATTTTCAGGAGGAAGAACCTAAAGTATAAGTAGTAAGGCACCAAAAGAGTAGAAGAATTACTTTGTGTGAATTTAAACATTTAAAATAACAAAAAGCTAATAATCTATCACTTAATAATCCTTACCATGTGGCTGTAACTGTTCCAAGCATTTAAGGTAAATTAACTCATTTAATTCTCACTGCAAAACCTATGAAGTCAGTGCTAGTATTATCTCCATTTTATAGAGGAACAAACAGGCACAGAGATATAAATTTAACTGTTTGTGTTCAAACTGAATTTGAACTTAGGGAGTATTATTCTAGAATCCATTCTCTTAATACTTGCAATGTGTAGCCTATTTTAATTCTAAATTCAAGGTGTAAGAACACAGAGTTGCTCTTGAAGTCAGGGTCCCCTTTTCACATTTTAAGTTTATAGTTCCTACATGGGACTAATTTAGGCATTCTAGGAATCAAACCAAAGAGTTAAATTCATTTTTTTTTGCCTTCCTAGTACTTTGATAGTAGCAGGTATAAAATCAGTAGAAAGACAGCTTCTATTGTGCATTAAGAAGATGATGGGATATGTAGCAAGTAAATAGCAAGTTGCCCATCATTAAATAATTTCCTGTTGAAAATACTGTCAATTGTGTTGTTCGATGTTGTTTATATAGAGTTCCTCTAAATTATAAAATTTCAGACAGAAAAGATTTTTTCTTTAAATTAGTGTTCTTTCATATTATCAGACATGAGTCTGTAACTCATTATGCTTCCAATTTTTGTGCCTTGGCTACCAACAAATCTAGAGCAAAATTTTCCTTTCATTCACAATGACTCTTGTTACAGCTTTTCTAGTGCAGCTATCCATCTTGCTCAACATAGCTTCAATGCTGATTTTAATGATCCTAGCAGTCTTTTACAAATCCATGTTGAAAGTAGTTGGAGTAAAAACCAAAATTACATTTTAAAAATTTCTCCAATTTGCTTTCACCTGAGAACCCTGCAAGTCTGCTGGATATGACTTTGAGGCCCTTAGGAAGGCTGGAAAAAAACCTCATTTCATCCATTTAACTTGTGAATGAAAACAACAGAAAGAACCCTGAGAGAAATCCATGGCTAATGTGTGCTTAGCACAGCCAAGTGTGCTCTGAATGAAACCAAGTCTTCACACACAGATACAAACCCCAACACATAAAAAGAAAATTGCTTTTGTGAAAATCTAGATTGTATGATAGTCATAGACTCAGCATTTCATCCAGTTGCATAATAAAGAAGTGAAATCAAGCCCTTCTTAATTAGTGAGATTACTGTAGTTAGGTGGGAATGAGTTTAATGCTTTAGAAATAAAATATGTAGCCATGCATTTTCATAGATTTAAAATCTCTTGTTTTGTGTTTCATCTGTAATTTTTGTAATGCAAAGTTGTTTTCTTACAGATTCATTTTCTATAATAAGAATTCATTTTTATGATTCACAAGCTGCATGTCTGTTTTGTTTTTTAAAGTGTTCAGATACAACTGGTCTATAATTAAAACACTATTCTCATTTAAGTGTTGGCTAAAATCAGAGCTTCAGATCTTTGTTTTGAGGTTGTATACCTTCTTCAGTCTGGTCTGTGAGGTCCCATAAATAGCTGAGTTAGAGTTTTATGAGATCAGTTTAAGGCTGTTGTTGCTCATATGTCTTGGCTGGGAACATATTCTAACCAAGATGGCTGCTGGGCTTTGTTCTCTCCATCGTCACTATGACTTAACAAATTGAGTCCCAATATTTGGAGTTGGCAACCAAAAAGATTTTTTTTCTTACTGTTATAAGGTACCAACAACTTATCAAGTGTAATGATATACACGTGGAAGACTTACTAGAAAAACAAATAAAACAAACTTTAAAACCATATTCTGATCAAATTTAGTCATACTTTGACTTGGAAAATGTGCAACATTCATTTGCTTTCCAAAGTGCCAGTAGTAATACAATTTAATAGTGCAAAATTACCAACACATATTTGTTTTGCTTTGTTTTACTTTACTGCACAGAAACGGACCAATGGACTGCGAAGAACTCCTAAACAGGTGGATCCAGGTGTGTTTCTGATTAAACCTTCCATAATTATGGCTTCAGCTAAGTGCTTATGAAAGGATATGGGAATTGCTGTGGAAAGTGAGGCATATTGTTGGCCTTTGTTCCTCATAATTTGGTGTATAATGTGTGACCAGGAGGTCATGGTCTAACGTGTAAATCATTCACATGAGTAACTACCAGCAACTACCAGCATTGCACTCTTTCCACAGTCAGCAGTTGAGCTGGTTATTTGCTTACTGAACAGCCTCAGGGTGCCTGGTTAATGCTCACATATCCAGCACCCTCCCTGTGTTCCTTTGTAAATCTAGTAAGAAAACCAGCCAGCTAGCTGCCACTTAAAAATCACTGTTTTCTAAGTAAGTAGGGGAGAGCATAAACCAGACAACTGGTACCCACCCTCCATCAGAGAAAATTTCTTAATTCTATATCCATGCTATTTTATAATAGCAGCATGTTTTTTGGGGACTTTGTGACAAGTTTCCTCTCCGGAGACCAATTATTTGTCTGCAGAAAACGTTCAGTTGTTTTCTATTTAGCATTGTGAGATTTGCCCTGTCATTATGTTAGTATAATTATTTTTCATCCATTATGCAATGCCTTCTTTCCACAGTTTAATTACCAAAGATTTTTTATGTATGTGATCCTTTTGTTGTGAGTAAAAGGTATTCACAGTTAAAGGATTCCAAATACACGAACTTGATGATAAACCAAGGGGAACATGAGAAATAGAGTAGCTTTGCTGGAAAATAATCTGGACTATGTGTTTCATTTTGTTTTCCTATCATAAGTGGTATTCACCTAGTTGTAAAGTTTAGTTTTCAAAGCATTATAGTTTATAACTGAAACCACACCCATGGTAGCATTGCCAGTTTATGAGCTGTTTAAGATTTATAGGAGCTTTGTTGCCTCTGGCTAGAAATTGCCTCACTTGTGTCCTGAGACTAGTTTAAATCTTTTAACTACAGAACAAATTTGAAGCCATTAAAAAAACAGGGGTTCTGGTTTACTTTTTAATAGTTCTGACTTTCCCAAGACAATATCCTTTGCAGAGGACTCCCTGCAATAATATTTAGAAGTGACTTTCTCTATTATTTTCAGTAGGGGTATATGACTGTGAACATAATATTTTTGTCTTATTTTGTGTGAGTTATAGTATTGCTGTTTCAGAAAAATTACTTAACCTTTATAAGTGTTATTTTTTTAATGTATTTTTTCTTTCTTCTCCCCTCAGGGAAATGCATTTTTGTATTTGTAGTATGTCAATAGGAACATATTTGACTCAACCATTTATAGCCAAAATTTTCTAGAATCCCTTACATTATTTAGATTAGTAAATTCCCAGATTAGAAATATGGCAAAGTAGAACAACAATAAAACAGATTTATACTCCTTTATCCTAAAGGTGATGGCTTTGTATAGGTACAGTTTTTTTGTTTTGTTTTTCTATTTGTCCAAAGACTTTAGAACTTCATGAAGAATAAACTTACAAGAGAAGTGCTGTTGTATTTATGTTTGTAAGAACATACGTGGCTGGGTGCAGTGGCTCACGCCTGTAATCCCAGCACTTTGGGAGGTCAAGGCCGGCGGATCACGAGGTCAGGAGATGGAGACCATCCTGGCTAACACGGTGAAACCCCATCTCTACTAAAAATACAAGCAAAAAAAAAATAGCTGGGGGTGGTGGCGGGTGCCTGTAGTCCCAGCTACTTGGGAGGCTGAGGCAGGAGAATGGCGTGAGCCCGGGAGGCAGAACTTGCAGTGAGCCGAGATCGCGCCACTGCACTCCAGCCTGGTGACAAAGCGAGACTCTGTCTCAAAAAAAAAAAAAAAAAAGTTTTCCATTACGTATAATAAATGTATATGAGTGTATTTTTCCTTTTTCCATATTTTTGGAAATAAAAAACCCAAACACTTGATGATCTTGCCTGTTGAAGCTGCTGATATAGTAAGCCTATTTCTTCCCACAGCTGTCTTTTGATTTAGGCTTGACTTATGTATTTAAAGTTGCTTGACTTTTGGATTTCTGCCTCTTTCTGCTGGTTAGTTGCAAAGCTTCTTTGTTCAAAGTTAACCCTTGCTTGATGACCAGCGTGCCTTGATCCTCATGTGGCTATTGTTTAGAGATTTTCAGACAAAATGTTTAAACAAGGGATCAGTAAAGTTGAGTCTGCGTAGACAAACTGCTTCCACAATGCATTATTTGCTGTTAGTATTTCTACCATGGAAGTTCCTTTGATTTTTTTTTATCCTACAGTTAATTTACTTAACATCTCCAAGTGTCAACACATGACTTTGCAGGGCCTCACTTAAAGTGGCTTATAAAAGCAACTGATTAAAGAGTTTAGGAGGCCGGGTGTAACTACTTCACCAGGTCCAAATTTCAGAGCCATGTTCAAAGGTATATTATATATATTCTCTATAGCCCTTTTGCACTGGAAAGGAACTTAATGCATAGTCCAGTGGGTAGTAGGTGCTTAATAAATGCTACATGAATTAATAAGTGATGATACAGTTTTTATGTATGCATTGACATTCTTTCTTTTTAAATTCCTCCTGCTGATATGCTAATGAAACACAGCATAGTCTAGTGGTGGGAAGCATGGCTCTGAGCCATGTTGCCTGGGCTTGGGACTGGCCTTAGCTGTTTACTTGCTGTTTGAACTTCGGCAGTTTGCCTCCTCTCTCTGTGCCATAGTTTCCTCATTTGTAAAAGGAAATGAATAAGAGGACCTACCTTACGTTGTTGTTGTGAGCATTACGTGAGCTAATATATGTAGGCCAGGCGCGTTGGCTCATTCCTGTAATCCTAGAACTTTGGGAGGCCAAGTGGGAGGATCACTTGAAGCCAGGAGCTTGGGACTGTGGTGAGCTGTGATGGCACCACTACATTCCAGCCTGGGTGACAGAGCAAGACCTTATCTCAAGAAACAAAAGAGCAAGTAAAGTACTCTCAAAGGTGCCCAAGTAAAGTACTCTCAAAGGTGCCCAGTATATAGTAAATGCTAAGTATAGCAATTACTATATCAACTAATTTATATTAGAGCATGTTCTTTAATATTGGACTTTTTGTCATGTGAAGGAGAATAATATTAAATAGACCCTGAATTTTATGTTGAATTTCTGTTGAAATAAGAAGCTACATAATCACAGTCATTTTCAGATTTGTTGTTATTCCCCCTTAATCTAATGGCTTTCATGATCTTTTGCTTATCTTTACCAATAAACATAGTCAACTGTGATAGTTGAGAGGTTTTTTTTTTGGTGAAATTATTAGTGTTTGTTATTGCAATAAAGAAGCAAAGAAAAACTCCCAATATTGAAAACATATATTGTGGGGTTTATTCAAATCCAAGAAAGAGTGAACTGTAGGTTTGTGTTGTAGCTTGTTAGCACATTTAAATCATTCACTCCCTATTAATAATTGTGATTAATCTTTATAGACAATATTTGCAAATGGCTTTGCTCTTTATTTTTTCTTGTCTTCTATTGTGTGCTAATAAAAGTATCAACTTATAATCTTGGCTGCTTTTATAAATATAGTAATGTATTAGATGCAAATTCTGGTAGCTCTTTTGAATTTCTTAAATATAGCAGGGAATTTTCATCAGTTTGTACTTTTCTTCCTAAGACAGATGTTGGTATCAGGAAAATAACACTTGTAACAGACATATCAATTATTTCAGGAACACGGAGGTGCTAGGCCTTTTTCAAGAACATGAGATCATAAATCTCAAGAAAATCTGAGCACTGATGTAATATTTTTCACCTAAAGTGGCACTCAAGGTCAAAGTTACCAATTAAATTTTAATACTGAGCTTTAAAAATTTCCTTCTGTCTCAGTGTAGGAGATACAAGATTTATTTCAGTTTGCATGTGGCAAATCTGTATACCAGGGCATGTATTCTTTTCACTGGGTCCATGTTTTTAGATTATTGCAAAATTGTCTTATATTTGTGGAACTCATAGCATCCTGCATTTAAGCCTACAGTCACTAGCTTTTAAACACTTCAGGCGACCATTCTGTGTTGTGCTGCCTAAAGATTATGTGGAGTAGATGGGAAATGTTTAAATAGCTTACACTCTTTCTGATCTTAAGTTATTCTTGTGCTTTGTGATAACCTTGAATAATAAATGAATAGGTAATGATTAAATTGATAAGAGTCCTTTCTGACAACTCTTGTTTCTCAGATGCTCATTGTTAGACTCTTGATTACAAAGAGTTGCATGTGGCTTAGAAAAACTGTCTTTTCTTATTCACCAAGGAGATGTCTTACTGTTTTGTAGCAGAGACATCTTCAAAGATGGTCACTTCCTCTTTCAGGTGGATAGGATTGACATATAACGCCATTCTCATTTGTTATTGTATGAAGAAAGGAATCTAAGAAATCTTTCTTTCATTACCAATTTCATTTCTTATCTGACATTAAGCACAGGATTGTCATTAATTATAAAACATGGCCCCTTTCCGCAAAGAATTTATATTCTTCCTAGGAAAGGAATAGATATAGACACAAAGTTCTGATTGCATAAATGCATGTATATAAATGTACATATAAAATTTTTAAATATTATATACTATTTTTGTGCAGATTTATTACGTATAGCAGTGTCTTAAAAACAATTAGTGAATTGTTTAATAAACATATAAAAAGATCTAGGATTACACAATACATACAAGAAAGCAAAACAAATTGGGAAACACAAATGTCTCAAATTGCTTTTAAGCTGGGTTACATATAAATGTTTTCATTTATATAAATAAAAATTTTTATACTGGTTTATTGTATTGAATTACAATTTAATACTATTGTTCTTAGTGTTTTAATTTCAAAGGATTGTGAAATTTATTCCAAGTCTAAACAGAATTGTTGATTTCTTTTAGATTTGCTTTTAAATGTAATGTCAATATGTTCAATAGAGAAATTTTATATTTTTGTTTCCAAATAGAAAACATTGAGAAAAATAACAACAGAGTGTTTTCAAATGCACTTATCTAAAAATACATTTTATCTCTTTTCTTTTTTATGAGGGAGACAAATGCATATTCCTGAAGGTTTTAGTAAATGAGCTTTTGTCTATAATAAATAGTAAAGTTTCTATAGATTAGAATATTTCCATATTAATCAGTCAAACCTGCTTCTGTCTTTTCTATCACCTCTAAAGCTAATTTCTCATCAAATATAAATCTTAATCTAAATATTGGGAGCATAATTGTAAATGTGTAAAAATATATTTCACATTGAAAGAAATGAACTTGAAAAAACTGGGACAGTAAACCCAGTGATTAAGATTCATTGCAGAGAAATGAGAAATCCAAGCTGTGAACAAATGCTGAGGAGCATGCTCTGGTTTTTAAAATAGCCGACTTTTTTTCAAGCTTCTATGAAACCATGGACAATAAGACTAGTTTTGCACTAGGACAGTTGATCTTCTTGTAGTCATTTTCAGGACTACCTTTCTGATTCCCTTTTCCGTGATAACAGATTTCTGAAATGAGCACCACAGCCTCTTGCTCGCATCTTTCTTGGTTGGAGGAGGATTTATTTCTCCCCTTCAAGGCTCATTCCGAGTTCACAAAGGATCACTACTTCTGTTGTCTGGCAGGTCTGTGCATGCCTTGCCAAGCCTGTCTTTTATACTGGTCAGGCACCTTCAGAATCAGAACAAAGGTGAGGTGAATATCTGGAGATGTGCATGGGGGTGCTTTTAGATGGAAAATATACATCAGTAATATGACTACTGAAATAACAGAATGTTTGAATTATATTTAGAACCTACTCTGGGCCATTTATGCACTTCTAACAATTTCTATTATTGTAGTAGTTATGTTTTAGAAGATAAAGTATATATCTATTAAATATTTAGAAGAAAATCCTGAAAAAGAAGTAATGAACCTAGTGAGCTACTTCGAACATTTATCATCAATAAACTGTTCCTTACTTAGAACGTCAGATATGGAGTGGACTTCCTTTGCCATATCTATGGTTATGCTGGTTGAATACCATTCCATTTCAGAAAAAGAAGGATATGCCATTGTAATGCTAAGTAGATAAAGAAAAGTCAGTAATTTCTTATGGGCCAGCAACCTCTGAGAGGCAGATGATTTTCTTTCAGCACTTAGGTCTGAAGTAACTTAAATGAAAGGAACTAACTGGGTCAAAACATATTGACTTTGTATAACAATATTTGATGCAAATGATATCCAATTGATTTCAGGAGAGGACATTGATAAAGTAATTCTTAATATAATTTATGATCTTATTTATACTACAGTTCTATGTAGAAATAGCAAGATTATTATCAAATTAATTAGAACCCTGGAGTGCTATTTGTGGAATTTCTGTCAAAATGACTCATATTGGCAATTAGTTATCTTTCAGCATATTCAAATCAAGTTGACTTCTAAATTTTTAATTTGAATGAAAATAAAAGCTTATGTTTGGTTCTTATAATTGTTTTTATGGATCGTTTTTCCTTTGAGGCTCATTCATTTTCTTCTATATAGGTATTAGAAACGTGGAAGTTCCTCTGCCTTTGAGGAACTTGGAATTTTGCTGGAGAGTTAAGACATACAAACATAACTTGTCAAAGTAATATTGTAGAGTACATGATGAACTACCAAAGTGTGTCGTATAGGTTATGAATGATCTGGTTGACTGTGAAGGCAGATGAGGGAGAATTTTTTGCAAACTGAAGGACACAGGACAAGGAAACAAAATATCTAAAACAGACATCAGTAAAGGTAAATTTACTAGAACTACATATGTTTAAATGAAGTTATCAGTCTGTTCCTAGGTTTGGGTCAGTTCAATTATATACCAACCAATATGCTTTTGATTACCAAGTGACAAAAATCCATTTCAAACTAGCTTAGGAAAAAAAAAAGTTTTCTGACTTAGGTAACTGGAATTCCAAAGCATTTTGGCTTCAGGCAGAGATGGATCCAGGGACTCCAACTGATATCATTAGGGTTCAGTTTCTCTTTGTGTCTTAGTTCTCCTTTCTCCTCTATTGGCTTCTTGTCAACATGCACCTCACAGAGGTTTTTCTCATGTGGAGGCAAAGTTGTCTGTTAGCAGCTCTTCATGTACATTGTCCCCACAGCTGGTTAATTCAGAGAAAATAGAACATCTTTCTCTCAGTAAATCCAGCAGAATCCCAAGGAGAGCTTTAATTGGCCTAGCCTAGACCATGTGCTCTTCTCTGAAGCAATCACTGCAGCCAGAGTGCTCTGTTGATTGGCCAGCCTGGCTTCTGTGCTCACTTCTCAGGTGGGAAGTGGGATTGAACTAGCTTGTCCACATGGAATTTTTTTTCTATAATTCTGTTTACAAATGAATAAGAGAGAGGAAAGAGAGGCTTGGTTTTAGCAGATTAAAATGTACATCTATTATTGTGTGCAACAAGTTTCAGACAGTTTTCATCCTTGGGCATACTGTGCCTAGGTTTTCCACCTCTCCTACCTTGTCCTTTTTCCATTTGTAGGATCCTCTGTTTGATAGTTCTCTGGTATCCAAAATGGTTGATGTGGAGAAGTGAACCTAAAATAGGAACTGGAGATTCCCAACAAAGGTTTATTCCAACTGGAAGCTTTTTGTTTGCAGTGGTAAAAGAAAACACTAATTTTCTTGCCACATATTTGATCTTCTTGTAGCCCTGTCATGGTACCTCACTGTTTTTAGACAGTGATCATCCTTTTTTCTACTGTTATCTACTGACATGTTAGCATAGATTGGTTTATCGGATTAGAGAACTGAGGAAACAGAACCTAACACAGCATGTTTTGTGGGGACAGAATTGAAGAAAGGTGCCATCCTTAAAGGAAAGGTCAGGGTAAGAATGTGGGAGAGCCAGATGATACAGCTCTTAAGGCATTAAATTTAAGCCACTACCTGCTTCACGGCAATAAAGGAGTAATGAGGAAAGAAAGAGAAGGAGAGATCTTTTTAAATTTTATCTGTATTAAACATATTCATGCATAATAGCACTTTTAATCTCCAACGGTAGCCCTGTGTGGTGGTATAGACTGAGGGTTCTACAGTGGCACAGATCTGGATTTGTGTCCTGCCTCTCTACTAACTAGCTATATAGTCTTAGGCAAATAAACCTGCTTATCATCTCTAAAATGGAAGTAATAGTAGCAGCCATCTCCTAGTATTATTATGAAGATTAAATGAGATAATGAAGTATCAACCAAGTTTAGCACATACTAAGTGCTCTGAAGATTATGATGATAGTGGTGGTTATTGATACATATAGATACCTGTATTTTCTATTGCTATGTAACAATTTACCATGAATTTAGCAGCTTAAAACGACACACATGTGTTATCTCAGTTTCTGTGAATCAGAAATCTAGGCATGGCTTAGTTGGGTTCTGTGCTTCAGGGTTTCTTACAATACTTCACTTAAGATATCGGCCAGGGCTGGATCTCATCCGAAGGCTCAACTGGTGATGGGTTCACTTTCAAACTCACTTACACTGCTTTTCGCGGGATTCCATTCCTTTTGGACTGTGAACTGAGGGCCTTATGACCTGGAACACTTGGCCAGAAGCTGTCTTCAGTTCTTTACTACATGGACCTACTCACCATGGATGCTTGCTTCATCAGAATATGCAAACCAAGAAGGTGATAGGGTTTCCTTGCAAGGTGGACATTAAAATGTATAATATAATCACAGAAGTGACATCCCATCACCTTTGCCATATTCTTTTGGCTACCCACATTCAGGGAAGGGGATTAAGTATGTCAGTACCAGGAGGCAAGGATCATTGGGGTTTTTCAGCAGAGGGAACCAAAGTTCTGAGAGGTTAAGTACTTCAACCAAGGTCACACAGCACTTGGTGGGTGCCAAACTTAATTGCAGCATATTTGGCTTTAGAGACCTTATCCTTCGACATCTTCTGTATATTTTACTTATGTCAAGCTTTGGACAGAGAAAAGCTTATTTCCTGTGGTCTAGCTGTATAGTTCTGTGCAAATTAGCAGTGGGATCTGGTCTGATTTTCAGAGTTCATTAGTGGCTGCTGTTACCAAGCAGATTTATGGGTGATTTTATTTTATGCATTGTTAATTTTGAAAATGTTAATCTGAAATTGCTACAGTATTTCAATTAATTTGGGTGATTAAAACTTAGCACCAGAAGAATCCCTACCAGAAGATAAGGCAGCTAATTAGAGGTTCTGAAACAAACAACTGTAGACACTGGCACTGAAACACGCCATGTGTATGACACCCAGCAGAACTCACTCTGCTTAACAGTTTGGAAATGGAAAGAATAATTTCTGCCAGTCTAAATATTAAACTTGAATGCAGTTGAATTTTTTAAAAGCTATTTTAAGGAGTTAACTATTTGAATCAATATATAGTTTTTAAATATCATGCAGTTCTGAAAAACTACCTTCAGATTATTTTGCAGTGTTGGCTTTTGGATAACTGCAGTAGTGACAGAAATACAATAGATATTTGTTGTCCAAGTATTATTTAAAAATGAGGCAGCATACACTTTTTAAAAAATGACACTTGAGCTTCTTTTGCTAGAGTTTTGCATTTTGTAAAGTTTATCTTAAAATATTCGGAAAATATAAGGAAGTGTAGAAAAAGTTCTCTGGACAAATTACCTATAATCCTCTCACTCAGCTAATCACCCTGTATACTTTTGTTACACACTTTTTTCCTCATATGTTTATTTTTTATGTGCAGCCACATGTTTATTAAATGCCTATGTTTCCAGTTTGGTATTCTCCTTTTATCACTTAATTTTGTTTCATTGAGCGAATTTGTTGATTCATTTGTTCTTTCAACTCTTTGACAAGTATACTGACTTGGTGTTAAGTGTACAAGAATGAACAAGATGTGTTTTCCCTCACACAACTCCCTATGTCCTGGAGCAAAGGTAATGGTGAAGATTTGAGATCAGGGAGATACAGAGGGTATACTTAAAAGAGGCATAGACTTTAGATATGTGAGCATCAGGAAATGATGTCTAACCTGGAATCCAGGATATGAGCAGGGATCAACAGCATCTAAATGGAGAGAAGAGGGTTGCAGGCAGAGGGAACAGCTCCAAGAAAGGCCCTGAGTTGGAGAAGGCACAGGATGGTTAGGGTTGGAGCAGGAGAGCCATTCACAAAGAGAATGGAAGGAAAACCAAGGCAGGATCTTGGTTGATGCACATCAAGGAATTGGACTTTATTCTGATGAACAGATTGAGCCTTTGGAAAGGTTTTATCCAGAGGAGTGACATGGGCAGCTAGGACTGGTTGAAAAGATCACCCTAGCCGCACTTGAATCTTGAGTCATTAAATACTCTTCAGAAAAAAGGAAGTGGGTTTTAGTATAATTTATTGTTGAACATTAGTCTTTCTAATTTTTATTTTTATAAATGCTTTGAGGAACATCTGTGCATGAACATACTTTTCCATATGGCTGATTATTATTTAACAATGGCGTCATAGAGGTACAATATCTGGGTCAAAGCATATGAACTCCTAGATTTTGGATGTAGATGTTGCCAAATTTACCTTTTAGAAATGTTACATTGAATTATGTCCCCACATATTATTGGGGTATGAGAATATGTCTTATTTTATGCCCACCAACCTTGTATTGTTCTTTTCACTATAAGTCATTAGATAGGAAAATAATAGTATCTTACTATCATATCATAGTAGTTGATACCATAATATGAACTTCCTTGATTTTTAGTGAGATAGATTATTTTAATGTTTTTGGCTATGTGTATTTTTTTCTGAGAATTATCTATTATGCTTACTCCCTCTTTCTATTCAAGATTTGGTGCTTTTCTAAATTACTTGTAAGAATATATGTGTGTGTGTGAGAGAGATCAATCTTACATTTATCGAAAATATTTTTATATTTTTTTTCTGGTGTATTTGTTTCTATATAAAGTTTTAAATTTACCAGGAGTCAAAGTTACAGACATTTTATTTATGATCTGTTTTACTGCTTTTATGCTTAGAAAATTTTCCCTCCTCTGACTTATTAAACACCTACTTATAATTTTATTGTTTAATTTTTGTAGCATTTGGCCATTTAACTTATTTTTAAGTAATAACTTATTTAACTTATTTTTATTTAAGGAATAGATTTTAATTCTGTGACTAATTCCAAATGTACATTAAAATGTTTTTCAGGATTTACATTACAAGATTTTACAGAATTTAAATTTATCTTTTTTTTTTTTTTTTTTTTTTTGAGACAGAGTCTTGCTCTGTTGCCCAGGCTGGAGTGCAGTGGCAAGATCTTGGCTCCCTGCAACCTCTGCCTCCCAGGTTCAACCGATTCTTGTACCTCAGCCACCCAAGTAGCTGAGATTGCAGGTGTGTGCCACCATGCCTAGCTAAGTTTTTGTATTTTTAGTAGAGGCAGTGTTTCACCATGTTGACCAGGCTGGTCTCAAACTCTTGGCCTCATGTAATCCTCCCGCCTTGGCCTTGCGGCGTGCTGGGATTACAGGTGTGAGCCACTGCACCCAGTCTAAATTTATCTTTTTTGTTATTGCATAACAACCACAATTATATTGTGTACTTTTTGTTTTGTGCTTTATTATACACATAGCTTGCTAAAATTGTAAGTTATCTTGTGCAAAGCATGTCACAATACATGTTCTGTATATATAGGAAATTACGTTTTAAACAAATATAAATACTTAATATTGAAATAGTCAGTTTTGTTTTGTTTTTTTTGGTAAAATATGACAAACTAAGCCTAACTTCCCCAAGGATTTTCAGAAGTAGGAAGAAAAATATTCTATGGCTCTGCCTTTTGAGTTCAGAGTAGCTCCTCCCGTTGTTCTTATTTCCTTTTGTACATATGTGTCTCCCTTTATTTTACAAATCCTCCTCATCTTAATTTACTCTGCTGCTCCTGGGAGTGAGACTAGACCTATTATTTTAAAAGAGCTTTAGTTTTAGTAATTCTTCATCTAAGTATGAAAATTTCAACTTCTACTTTATTTGAAGTATGCAGTAGATATGTTCTCATTTCAAAAACAGTGTGGAGATTCTACACTTTCAAGTTCTAATTTGGCAAGTCTTATATGTCATCATGAAAATATTAGGTGTTTAATAAATAGACTTTCTTGGAGAAGTCGGTTGTAAGCAGGTAGAATAATGACTTTGGATTCCTGCCTGGCATGTTGCCCCTTATGATCTGTTCACAGAACGTGCTTCTGGATGTCCAGATATTAACCGTTGTGATCATAGCTACCTCTTATATCAAATGCCCCAACAAAATCGTGTGATGTCTTCAGTTCAGGACAGAGCTTTCCTTCTTGGGAGTAAGAATTACTCTTTCAGTTTGTCTAGAGGACGTGAACATGATTAGATAAACAAAACATGAAAGTGTACATATATTTCTCTACCTCCACCTACCATTATAGGCCTAACATTATAGCTTTTCACTCCCAGAGGAAGAAACTTTGCCATTTCAAAAAACTGTAATGCCATGCTTTGGGGATCCCAGATTTAAATATTTTATGCATCTTCCATTTAAATTCAAGCAGTATCCAAGAACAGAATCTGGCCAATGATTTTGAGAAAACGAAATGGCAACACCTTCTTGGAACCTCAAACTGTTCAAGGATTTTTTTTTCTAGCAAAACAGGAAGAAATTGGGGGAAAAGCATATGGACTCAGGTTGAGCATATGATGTATTTTCAACTCGAGTCGGCACTTTACTCATATTTGTAGTGTGACTTAAAATTAATTTGGGTGAAGCACTCAGATTTGAGGGAGGAAAAAAAATCCCTATTTGGGACTAAGTCAACATTTGTGGCATCTCATTAATCGCTGCCTTATGTAACTGCTTTCCCCACCTAAAGAGAAGCTACTGGGATGAGAAAAGTTTATAATATTAATGCCAAGTACAGATCTTGCCTCTCCCAAAAGGAGTTCATTAATCACCATCGAAGCACAAGAACAAACATACTTCATGTCTCTTGCCAGTTTTTTTCAATAACATTTCTGAAAGGCAAAAAAAAAAATATGTTTAATCTTCATTTGCAAAGGTTTTAATTTGGCTGTTATTTAATTTGTGATAATGTTATGTAAATTTAACATGCTCTGAGAATGCCCAGGCATAGGGTATAGAAGTAGAGTGTGTTGGTTAAGAGTTTGGGCCCATGGATCAGAGAGATCTGGATCCAGATTCTTGGCTTTGTTACCTCCTCTCTGTGTGGTCATAACACAGGCAAAGCACTTCAAGCTCAGTGCTTGCTTGGCACGAAATAGCTGGCAAAGAGCCAGCAGTGATGGAAATTCTTACTCTTACTGGTAGGAAGCAGTATGGGCATCAAGTTTGAAAACATGACTTTCAGTCCAAGCTGCTGTGCAAATCTTTGGACAATTTAATAAGCCTCAGTTTTCTAATCTGTAAAATGGAGATGAAAATACTCACCCTACCCACATACACTGGCACAAATGATATAATGTATTAATCAAGATAGAAAACTGAACCTAGCCATGGCATACAAAATCATGTCATATAATTTTGAAAAGTGCAAAGTTGTGAAATCATCTTTATTTTGCCATGTATCTCAGATTCTCAACTGTAACATTATTTGGGTGATCAGTGTGTAGTATTGATTATATTTTAGTGTCAGCCATGTAGTTACTCTCTCCTCTAAGGAGTTTTTTATTACCATTCACTGGAAAATACACAGCTTTTTCTTTGCAATTATTTCTTTACCTCTTTTCTTCTGCCTTCCAATTTAAAATTCATGAGTAATACAGCACCTCACGAATAGATGAAAGGGATGACAATCTAAAAAAAAAGAAAAAACTAATGTAAACCTCATGCTGGAAAACAGAAACACCAATTTAAACAATCATAAATAGGAAAAACAAAAAAACCTGTTGTGCAAGAAAAGGAGGCTCTAGTCTACCTTTATTTACAACCATCAGCTACCGAGTATCAAAGATAGGAATGGATCCATGGTGAAATTTTCAGGCATTCTTGAAAATGTGTTTATTTCTTTCTTGTCTTTATTAGATGTGCCCTGTCTCCTTCATTTCTTTATTTCCATGGCCCCTGCTACTAGAAGCATTGTAAAAAGCCAAAAGAAGAACAAGAAATTCTGAGGACATGGGTGAAAATGCAGCCTTGAGGTTTCTGAAAATAACAGGAGACAGACAAGGCTGGTGTCCAGCAACAATACTGGGTAGCTCTTTTTGTCCCCACTTACACAGCGAAGGATAAAGAAGAGATCCTATGGACACTTAGTAAGGATTACTTCATGTTTTAATTCAAAGTACTTTGGAAAGAAGACTTTGAGCAGAGTGGAATAGCAGGAGGTTTTTGTAAGGTGAAATAGAATGAAAGTGCAGCCAAGAATTTTTCTGTCTTCAATTTTAAAGAACACCGGCATAACTCATTTTTCTTTTTTTCCCCTGTGTTCTTTTTGACCTTCTTAGCAGCTCCTGACTTTCTCCCTTGGGGATTTTTCTCTGTATAGTCAGCGCTGACTCCCTTAGAAATCCTGAACCCCACACCCGTATCGCGAAAGAGTTGAAGAGAATTCAAATAAACACGTTGAGATAAGTAGCTTGTGAACTAACTGTTACAGCATGCCTCTGTAATAAGATACTGCCAGCTAGAAGCTAAAATAAAGTGAAATTCCATTTAACATGTGACAATCAAAACTGTATGTTTCTCCTAAAAATATAAGCTAAAGTTAATGTTAGACATTAGAAATTCATACTGAAACACCTACATTCATTTAATGGTAAATTTCTTTAGAATTGTTAGTTTCCTCCTCTCTAGACTGTCCAAACATAGTTCCTGGGACCACGCCTGTAGTTTCTTTCTCTCACTACAATGAGGAAAAAGTTGATGGTTTGCTAATCTCTTATTCTACACATTTCATTGTACTCCATGACTGCAAATTCATCTTTGTATGATTTATATGTCAATCAGCATGTTGGTGAAGTAGCCATGGAATGAATGTTAGAGTGATATTTGTTGATGTACTAGAGGTTTTACATGCTTTATTTTTAATTTCACAACAAAGCTGTGAGAGGTATTATGCCCATTTTACAGATGAGGAAGCTACACTGAGAGTTGTGACAGGTGTCCAAATTCATGTAAGTAATAAACGCTGAAACTGAGCTTTAAACCAAATCCTTATAAAACTTCCATATATGTGTTTCCATAACTAGAAGAAGCATTGTATGTTTTTAACTAATTTAGCAGTCTTGTAGGAATGCATTCATTAAATCAGTGCACTTTATCAGAAGATTTATTTTTTAGCCAGGCTGGCTACAATTATGGATCATGCCAGATGCTCAATGGAGGGAGGAAGTGAGATGAAGTAGGCTAAAGAGAAATAATCTTGGTCAGATTGAAGAAGGATAAGCACTCTTAATTGTCAATATCAAATGAAAGGAGAAATATGACCTTGATGTGAAGGCTTAAGGCAGGGTTGCTATCATATGACTGTCTGGGTCCTGGATGAGAGAGGACCAGCTGAGGTGATTGGAGAGCCTGGGAAAGAGCTTCTCGGAAGGGCCCAGTTGGGCAAAGGGCAAGCAGACACTGCAGATGGCCCCTCAAGTCTCTGCCAACCTTGGGATGCTACGATTCCAAGCAAGGAAGGAAGCTCATTCCACATAGAGTTTTAGATCTTTCATTAGTGTGCCTTTGATTTTAACGTGATTAGAAAATAAAATCATAGCAAAATATCAGGAAATGACCCCAAACTAATGTAATAAATGCTGCTTCTGTTTGTTTTTTATACTGTCTTTTCCCTTAATGTCTTCATTAAGATTTGTGTAGAAAACAGGGTTTTAAGCAGGATGTTGCTATTTTAAATAATTTATAGAGGATGATTGTTTTTCTGTGTTGTGATTTGTTTGTGTGTGTGTGTGTATAATAATCCTAACATAAACCATCATCAGCGAAACCATCACTAATGATAGCAATAAACCTTATCATAAATTCATTTACATTATTTTGTGTAAAAATTGCATCTCATTTCCTAGGCACATATGGAGACATTGTTGGATTATATTTCCTGCATTGCTACCCCATTACAGGCATGCTCTTACATGCATGTGTGGGTGGCCAGACAATATAAGTGGTTAAAAAATTAGTTTTGTAGTTAGCATTGCACAGCTCAGTGCTTTTTCTCACTACTTAGCAGTGTACCCTAGTCCATCCTTTGTTACTGGGGGTGTTATTAGCATCCACCTTCCAGAATTTCTGTGTATTGATTAACTGAGAGACTATATTGTGGAACATTAGCACAGTGTCTGGCTCTTTGTCCATACTAATAAATGGTAGATATTAGCATCACCTGATTTTTGCCACCATCTATACATTCCTGGAGCAGAGGTATAGAAGGTGAGCTAAAACCTATAGAGGCAGCTTCTGGATACCAGACTCTCGAGGCCATAGCCATGCTGTTGTCTTGTTTTGATTTTAAGTGTCCAGATCCATTAGAGCAGAGGCAGCAGTACAAGCTGCTGGCTCTTACATGTTTGGCTTATGATGCCTTTTTGAAAATCAATGATACAGAAACTCCAGAGCTAGGCTGCCTAGGTTTGAATGCAGTCTTCACTATTTACCAGCTCTGTGACCTTGCTCAAGTCACTTAAACCCTCTGTACCTTAACTTCTTTAAAATGGAAATAATAAGACCCACTTCATAGGGTTGTCATGAGGCTTAAACGAGTTAATATATACTAAGGTCATAGAACAGGGACTGGCACATAATTTATATATATACAAATTAGCTGGGTGTGGTGGTGTGCACCTGTAGTCCCAGCCACTCAGGACGCTGAGGCAGGTGAATTGCTTGAACCCAGGAGGCAGAGGTTGCAGTGAGCTGAGATCGTGCCACTGCATTCCAGCCTGGTGGCAGAGTGAGACTCCGTCTCAAAAAAAAAAAAAAAAGTCTCAAATGATCTTGCCATAGAAGTATGAAAGGGAGTGAGGGATCAGAAGCCACGGTGATCTTCTGTGCTGCTTCTGGAAATAGTGGCTCCTGGTCCAGACATCACAGATTTCACCTACCTGCCATAGTTAATGGCCATCACAGTCCTGAAAGCCCACACACCAATTTCCAAATTGCAGATATCACCTTGCTTCAGGTCACTCTGGCATTCTCCAAGAACTATATTTTTGAGAAATAAGACATTAACTCTTATATTTTTTTCCCTTAAGAGTAAGAACATTGTTCGTTATTCATGAGTGCCAGTAGCCAGTTCTGTGACTTTGGTAGCTCATTTAACTTTTCTGGACATTATTTTACTCTTGACAATTGGTGGGTTGGATTTCATGATTTCAAATACCTGTTCACATCTTAGTATCCTAATATTCTTTCTACAGTGAAGAGGAAGGGTAAGGTGAAGGGCTAAAGGAAGATAATGTGTGTGGTGAAAATACTGGCATAAAAACCTCTATTCTTCAGGCCACGTGGTGTTACTTATGAACATAGTGACCTTGGGAGCATTTTCTGAAAATACTCTTCCCCCTCCCTGTTTTGATTCTGGAATAGTTTCCTTTTTCCTCACAATTCTACCTTCCTTCAACAGTTGCATTTACAGATAATATCCTTCACCGTTTGTTTCTTTATGCATCACTAGTGTGTGTATAAAGCAGAGATGGCAAGAGCTGCCATGCATTTTGGCTGTGTGATTTTGCAACCAGGAGACGACCTAGTAGGTATGCAGCAATACTGACATGGAGAGATCCCTCCTCCCTCTGGATCAGGCTGGGACAGAGTGTTTCTAGTATTGGCCTGCAAGACACTGGCTCTGCCCTCAGCAGGGATGGCTGTGTGCAGTCAGGTATGTAAAACTAGTTAGCTCCCACCCTTGACCTTGTCATATGACCGATCATATGAAAGTGTATTTGTGAGCTATAATTATTGAGGTATCTGCCTTATCTCCCTTGCTAGACTGATAGCTCCTTTGAGGACAAACACCTGGTCTTTATCTTTACATTTCCTAGGGAGATTTAGTGCAGAACCCTTCACACAAAAGTGTTTAGCAGTGCTGTACCAAGGAGGGTGGATACAATGGGAGTAGTCTACCTACTAGTGGGGAAGGATATTTTATCACTGACATTGCTGAGAATTGCTGGCCCATGTGATAAGAAAAACCAAACCAGCTTTGATTAAAAGACAGTTTTATTATTGTTTTTAAATTATCCCCAGACAATGCACCCCTTGTTGTCCAGCCTGACATGAACCACTCTCAACCCCCATATTTTCCCACAATCTAACCCTTCTTCTACACCACTGGTATTTAGTAAATTATTATTCAATTTGTCAGCTGTTGTAATAGTCTCCCAATTGTTCGTCTTGCCTCCAATCCTGACTTCTTTTATTGACTCCTCCAGACTATCAGAAGAATGATTTACCTAAAGGAGAGACAGCATGGCCTCTCCTACTTAAACTCTTCAGCGCATACTCAGAACCAGTCTACAGTATATTAACTATAAAAGGCCCCCAGGAGCTGATTCATACCTAACTTATTTCTACTACTCCTGCAATAGCAGAGATCTGGTAATTTTCCACATGTACTGAATTCTTTCTTGCCACTATACCTTGGGTCATGCTCTTGTTTCTGAACAAAATGACTTGACTTCTCTATTTACTCTACTTCTATATCTGGTTAATTCCTATTTATCTATCATTCATCCATCTAAACTTAATTCCAGTATTCCCTCTTCCAAGAATCCTACTTTATAATACTCCATATCTGGTGTGCATTGTGGGTCCCTCTCCCATGACAACATTGCTATAGTATTTTTTTTAATGGTCTGGGTGCACATCTACTTTCTGCAATCTTTCATAAGCTCCTTAATAACTGGAGCTTCATCTTTTCATATTTATACCCATGGTATCTGGAACATAGCAGGTGATCAGGAAATATATATTGAACTGAATTGGAAGCGCAACTTTATAAAAGGGAACACTGGTTTGTGGTGTGAAAATTCTTTAACCTTTTTGAAAAGCCGACCTATGCTGCTGCTTCTTATACTTTGAAAATTAAGAAAATGGTTTGTTCAAGCACTGTAGTTCTCACTTATAAGTAGGAACTGAACGATGAGAACATGTGGACACATGGCAGTGGCGAGGAACAACACACACTGGGGCCTTTTGTGGGGGGTTGGGGAGGGAGAGCATCAGGAATAATAGGTAATGGAAGCTGAGCTTAATACCCAGGTGATGGTTTGATCTGTGCAGCAAACCACCATGGCAGATGTTTACTTATGTAACAAACCTGCACATCTTGCACGTTTACTCTGGAACTTAAAAGTTGAAGAAAAATAAAATAGGAGGGGAGGGCAAAGAGTGATTGTACAAAACAAGGTGAAAAATTTAGAAAACATTATGTAATAGCTAATGTATGCTTATTAAACCATTAAGAAAGAGAAGAAAAAAAGAAAATGGTTTGTTAATGAGCCAGCAGTCCTATTTTACTAATTGCTTATTTTTGAGACTAATGTACAAAAATAATGAAAAGCATTACATTTGAGTATTGGTGAGCCCATACTATCTTTGTTAATTTTTTTCATATCATAAGAACAATTAATAAAAGATTTCAAACCCACAGCATCATAGAACACAGACATGTCTTATAAAGTGATATTTTGATAAATTTTGCAAGAATCTTCAAGTGAAAATCATT
Organism: Homo sapiens; assembly: GCF_000001405.40. Lineage (NCBI taxonomy): Eukaryota > Metazoa > Chordata > Mammalia > Primates > Hominidae > Homo > Homo sapiens. The sequence continues at coordinate 107,663,828 of NC_000001.11, read as the reverse complement.
TGTCTCTAATATCAACCACTTAGAGCCAAATTAGAACAATAGGAGTTTCATTTAAGATCCATAAGTAGCTGCAGTAGAGTATTACTATGACACTATTTGCTGAAATTATAAAGGGGAATTTGCTGGTACCGAAAGTCAAGGCAATCAGATTTTTCAGCGGAGGTAAAATACTACCAAATGCTTCATTTTGCAAATTGGCATTTTTTTCTTTGAAGCTCTGACCACTTTATAGGCAATTATCTTGAATCATGTGGCATGTAAGTCTGCTTATTACATTCTTCTAGCTATAATATGTTTGGTGAAAGAGCTTATCAAACCATTTTTTTTTCATTATATTCATTTTCGATCCAAAGTTACCAAGGATTCAAAAATCTAGAGAAAGTTTATGGGGGTTACAGAAGACCCAGAGATATTTTCAAAGCCTTTCCAATAGAATACTATGCATATTTATTTTTTTAAGAGTAATATTTGGACCAGAAATACTTGGTTTAGGACAGACATTTCTCATCTTTCTTTCATTATAAAGTTATTTTAATGACCCAGATTTACACAAGCCTGTAAAACAGTGTAGAAGTCTGTATCTTAGAATTCCATTTGAATATCTGCAAAGGGAAAGTATATTTTTAAGTTACTGAATACACTTTGCATTAGGTAATTATCACCCTCAGATGTTTCCAATTAATCCTGACTAACCAGATGAACTAGAGTAACACAATATTCCAGTCTTAAATACGTTTTTTGGTTTATACAAGAATGTGGATTTACCGCATATATTCTTAAAACATAAATTCTTCAACATATTTAAAATATGCTTAGACTTGTAAAGAACTGTAATTGAAAACCCAGGGAAGCTTCAGGAGGACAAGACCAGCCTGGAGCAGCCCGAGAAGTCGATGTGCAGGTCATTGCTGTGGATAGTGAGGGTTTCAGTGTTGGGGAATTTCTGCTTTCTGATTGACACCTGCCCCATTGTGAAAGTGCTTTCAACTGCTGGAGTTGGATAAGGTTACCAACTTTTAGCTTCATTGCTTTGCCCCTTATTCATATGACTAATATGTCTTTTTCTACCCATTAGGCCCACAGAAAGTGTGCTTTCGTTAGCGTTTTTCTGGGAAGTATGGTACCTCGCAGAGCTTTCATTTGGTTAGTAAATGTTCTTGCTAAAACGTCAGCACATAACCTGTCAATCTGGTTGCATTTGGGCTATAAGAAGCTTTAAGACCAGTGGCCTTGAATAAAATCCATTCAACTCTTAGTGCTTTTAATGAAATAGAAAAGATAACTATTGGGCCTCTAAAAACATTGATCATTGAAAAACAGCAGCATTTGTGCTCTGGAAATGCACTGTGTGTGTGTGTGAGAGAGATAACTTATATCCCTGTGACATTATTGTCTCCACTTGAGGCAGATATTTTTTTTTCCCTTATAGAAATCCTTTCAGGAAAAAATCCAAACTGAGCAGAGTAAAAATTGAGACAGTATTCTTTTGTGCATGTTTTTTGAGCTTCCCTAATGTTTTAACTTTATAGTTTTTTTATAAAAACAATTTGTCATATTTTAAAATGCAATTTTAATCACTCGGAGGAAGGGGACTAGGTACATTTGTATTCATGTCGTGTGGGGATATAAGTTTGTTGACAGTCTCATTTTGCAAAATGGATTTAATGCTGAAAAAATCATAGCAATTCATTTTTTAAAAATAACACAGCCTCTTTAAATACAGTGCTCTAGTTTTCAAATTTTAGGTCTATGCCATGTAAACAATTATTCACATTATGAATTAAAATTCTGTTTGCTTACAGAGCAGCTTAATTCTTTTGCTTATAGGCACATAGTGACTTGAAAATCTAAGTAATAATTGTTCATTTAGGAGAGGAAAATACCTTCCTCAACTAATCTGTAATACCAACTTAATTTTCCGTGGTAGGTAGGGAAATTCGGTATCACCAAGTCCTGTAACATGTTAGATATACAACAGAACCACAGTTGTAATGATGTTGTTCTAAGGACTTACAGTCTAAAGCCATTCCTTATTTGAAATAGAGAATTTGACAACACATATACACGCAGAATGGCCCCATATTGTCATATTTGTACAAGCAAAATTAGTCAAGAAATGCAGAAAAATTTTGTTAAAATTATTTTAAAATATATTCTTTAATGATAAACATGCACATATGCTTTCATTTATTTAACAAACTTTTATTGAGAGATTATTGGACACCAAACACTATACTTTGGATAAACAATTGAACAATTTCATGGTCCCTGGCCTTGTAAAGCTTATATTCAAGTGGGGAGAAAGCAAAACAAAATTAATATACAAGTTATGTTAAATAACTATAATAAAAATTCAGAAACACAGTTGAACAAAGGAATGTTCAGTGTATCTGCCTGGGAGGGTTGCGAAGACATTGCAGAGGCGGTGCCCTTGAGGGATTAGAATGATCCGAAAGCATAGCCTTGCACTGTGGAAGTGAGTGGTTTACTTCGCGGAGGATGGTAGCAAGCACTTTGGGTGCATAATGGGTCGTGCAAGAGTGGCACCTCTTGTGTGTACATGTCACAGAGCTGCCCCGTGAAGGAGGCTGGTGGGGACTGAGCTCCAGCTAGCAGATCCTGGCATGGGAAAGTGTCTACCCTGGGGCAGAAACTTTTGTTAAATAATATTATAAAGTTAACTACATAAAGTTTAGAAAATCCATATAAGGAAAAAAGTTCTCATAATTTTACACATCAGATGAAACATTGTTAATATTGTGGCCTATGTCTTTATGGATTTTTTTTCTGTACTTCTTTATGTGTGTGTGTATATAGATATATTTAAAAACAAAAATGAGGTCATCTTGTATACACTGCTGCTTGTAACTTGATTTTTTCCCTCAACCATATGTTTGAACATTGTGCCTTCCCTGAACACTTGATGAGATTATGTCCTTTTGGTTTGTGCTTCCGTAGCGTTTGCAATTTTTCTAATGTAAAACACATAATGCTTTGTAATATTTGCCTGTATAATTTTCCTTTTCCCTGTTAGACTCTAAGTTTTTGAGGATAAGGGAAAAACTGCCTTGTTTATTATGTTGTTCACATTCCAAGCAGAAAATAAGCATTGGGTGTGTTTTTAAAAAAATTAATATGCATAGTGATGAATGAATGCCTTAGGAAAAGATGAACAAACAGAAGCTGAAAGCTGAAATACCAACAAATTATCTCCTAGGATCTCCTTCACTTTGCAGCCACAGTGAATGATGTGTTCCATAAAAGGGAAAATGGGTGTAAAGTGAAAGCTTCAGTCTGTCAGACAGGGAGGCTATAAGGCCAGTGGTCTGCCTTGGCCTGGTGCGTATTTCCGTCTTTCTTTCTGTGAAGAAATAGATGGATGTCTATAGGAGCTGCCACATGAGTTAGTTTCTTTTCTAGTTACCTTGTTTCAAAGCCAAGGGAGCCAAATCTCAAAATGCCTTCCCACTCACTTGGATAATTAAGATGAAAATAACAATTATATAACTGTGTAGCAGAAAAGAAGTCTTTAAGTTTGGCACCTTGAAAGCAGTGCTCACTGTTGCCACTGGTACTCGAAAAGTAATGACTCTGTGGGAAAGGTCTGCAAAGAAAGGAATCTCCCTTTCTGAGCATTGCAGGGTTCAACATGCTATGACCTGAAACTGGAACAAGTGAGAATAAACTGGGAAAGAAAAAAACATGGAGTGGGGAAAGAAGTGAGTAAATTGAAGGTGAATTAGATGATCCGTGGGAATACTTTTTAGATGCCAAGGAATTTTCATTTCAGTTGTAGGAGAGATTTCCCTGATACATCATGGCATTTCTGAAGCTTTCCTGTGTCTTGAGGTGGGGGAAAGGGAAGTATAAATGTTTGCCATTAAGAATTTGGTAGTATTCTGGTGATTTATTCATTAACATTGTGCGGATGAGGGATGGAAAAGGTCTAGTTTAGCCCTCACCACTCTCCCTTTTGTTTCTCATTGGAGATTTTATTACCCAATCAATAGATTTTACAGAACACTATTTGCAGGTTTTAACTCATGTATAAAAAGAAGCCTTCAACAAAAACCAAGTGCGGGTAACAGCATATCCTTAATACCAGCATATCCTTAATACTATACATAATAGCTGATGTATAGTAGAAGCTCAGTAGGCATTTCCTAAAAAATATGACTAAATCGGGATACATTTCTGTAGATTCCAAGAAGGTTATGTAAAAATACAAAATATTTTTATGTTTATCTACATATATAGTTAAATAAAAATAAAAGCACTTCCTCATAAAAAGAACAATCACTTTGTCAGTGCTTCTGCATACTTTAAAGAAGAAACTTTGGAATCCCAGGTGGTTCTTTTTTTGGACATTGTGAAGAGCTGAAGTCTATAGGATTCGTAGAAATGTAAGTAGTTATTTTTAACAGGACCATCTGTGGCCATTAATATATTTAGTAAGGTGAATTTCTTTGATGAATTTATCTAATCTCCATTCGCATTTCCTATGTATAGTTTTGAAGTAACAAGTCAGGCCTTTTATACTTTTTTTTTTCTGAAAGATGGTATTTTCAAAAATATCTTAACATAAAAATGCTTAGCCTCCAGGTCTTAAAAATATAAAGGATTCCCTATTTAATAAATGGTGCTGGGAAAACTGGCTAGCCATATGTAGAAAGCTGAAACTGGATCCCTTCCTTACACCTTATACAAAAATTAATTCAAGATGGATTAAAGACTTACATGTTAGACCTAAAACCATAAAAACCCTAGAAGAAAACCTAGGCGTTACCATTCAGGACATAGGCATGGGCAAGGACTTCATGTCTAAAACACCAAAAGCAATGGCAACAAAAGCCAAAATTGACAAATGGGATCTAATTAAACTAAAGAGCTTCTGCACAGCAAAAGAAACCACCATCAGAGTGAACAGACAACCTACAGAATGGGAGAAAATTTTTGCAACCTACTCATCTGACAAAGGTGTGATATCCAGAATCTACAATGAACTCAAACAAATTTACAAGATAAAAACAAACAACCCCATCAAAAAGTGGGTGAAGGATATCAACAGACACTTCTCAAAAGAAGACATTTATGCAGCCAAAAAACACATGAAAAAATGCTCATCATCACTGGCCATCAGAGAAATACAAATCAAAACCACAATAAGATACCATCTCACACCAGTTAGAATGGCAGTCATTAAAAAGTCAGGAAACAACAGGTGCTGGAGAGGATGTGGAGAAATAGGAAGACTTTTACACTGTTGGTGGGACTGTTAACTAGTTCAACCATTGTGGAAGTCAGTGTGGCGATTCCTCAGGGATCTAGAACTAGAAATACCATTTGACCCAGCCATCCCATTACTGGGTATATACCCAAAGGATTATAAATCATGCTGCTATAAAGACACATGCACACGTATGTTTATTGCAGCACTATTCACAATAGCAAAGACTTGAAACCCACCCAAATGTCCAACAATGATAGACTGGATCAAGAAAATGTGGCACATATACACCGTGGAATACTATGCAGCCATAAGGAATGATGAGTTCATGTCCTTTGTAGGGACATGGATGAAGCTGGAGACCATCATTCTCAGCAAATTATCGCAAGAACAAAAAACCAAACACCGCATGTTCTCACTCATAGGCCTGTTATTCTTTAGCTATATATTGTATTATTGTGTGTTTCACGTTGAACGTACTTTATTGAGGCCATTAATTTGAAAGGAAGTACGGTTTTCTTTCATTAGAAAGAGATATTGAAGTATTGTGCCCAGTAGGTAAATTGAGGCAAAATGGCATTTATTGAAATGTTTACATCCTCATATAAATTCTATGCCAAAATAAAAACTAAAACCTACATTGCAGATTTTCTAGTCGTATTTCCTCTCGTATGGCTGTACTAATAGCAATTAGTTAGCAATTTCTCTTCCATGACTGTACTAATGATTAAGTTGTTGAACATAACATTTTTAACAACACCAGTGAAGCACCTGAAAATGCAACTGAATAACAAGTATGAAAATGCTGTTTTAATATCCAGTTCTGTTTTATGTTTATAATTAATAGAACTTTAATCATAATATGTGTTCTGTGAATCCCAGAGAATATTTTGCTACAATCTTTGCATGGAATCCTGTGTTTTGCTCTCCCTATGGTAGCTGTGTGGAACTTCAGTTGACCTCTGTGGTAGTGTCATGCTAGATCAGAAGTAATACGTCCAAAGTGATATGAACCACTGTGGTGTCTAAGACAATATATACCCAGAGGCAACTCTCGGGACAAAACGTCAAAAAGGATTAAGTTCCTGTGTATAACAATTCTTTCTTAGCCGTCCTTTTCTATAGTGCTCATTATTTCCTGAGATAGCCAGAAAGGGAAAATTAAGAGAACATAGGCCATAACATTTGAAATTCTTAAAAAATAAAAACTGATTCTTATTTGTAGGCCATGATTTAATACATGTGGAATTTTCTTATAAAGTCCCCTTTATACTACATTGACCTAACTGCTGTTAAATTGTTTTGTTTCATAAGCTGAAGTCTTACTTTAATTATTCAAGATACAGAGGCCGGGCGTGGTGGCTCATGCCTGTAATGCCAGCACTTTGGGAGGCCGAGACGGGCGGATCACTTGAGGTCAGGAGTTTGATATCAACCTGGCGAACATGGTGAAACTCCATCTCTGCTAAAAACACAAAAATCAGCCAGGTGTAGTGGTGCATGCCCGTAATCCCAGCTACTTCGGAGGCTGAGACAGGACAATTGCTTTGAACCCGGGAGACAGAGGCTGCAGTGAGCTGAGATTGTGCCACTGCACTCCAGCCTGTGTGACAGAGCGAGACATCGTCTCGGAAAAAAAAAAAAAAAAAAAAAAAAAAGGATTGTCTTGACTGAAAATGGGAAATGTGTAAATGTGTTGTGTGTTGTTGTATATGCTGAGGTCAGAAGTTAGGCTTATATGCAGGAGTAATGTTTACTCTTTTTCTACTCTTGGGAAAGACTGTCATAGGTGGTCAGAGAGGAAAGGACATTGCAGGCAGCACAGAGAGCTAGGATAATTTCCTTTTTTATATTTTTATTTTTATTGATATATAATAGATGTGCATACTTTTGGAGTACCTGCAATAATTTGATACACTGATATAGTCACATCAGGGTTCATTGGGATATCTACCACCTTATGTATTTATCTTTTCTTTATGCTTGGAACATTTGAATTGTGCTTTCCTGGCTATTTTGAAATATGCAATGGATTAATGTTAACTGTAGTCACCCTACTGATCTATTGAACATCAGATCTTCTTTCTGCTAAGTATATATTTGTACCCATTAATCTCTTCATCTGCTACCTACTACCCCACTTCCCAGCCTCTGGTAACCATGAATATACTCTATCTTCATGAATTCCACATTCTTAGCTCTCACATAGGAGGGAGAACATGCAATATTTGTCTTTCTATGCTTGGCTTATTTTACTTAACATAATAACCTCCAGTTCCACTCATATTGCTGCAAATGACAGGATTTCATTCCTTTTTATGGCTGCATGTATGGCTGAATGATGTTTCATTGTGTATATATGCCACATTTTCTTATCCACCCATCCATTGATGGACACTTAGGTTGATTTCCATATTTCGGTTATTATGAATAGTGTTACAATAAGCAAGGGAGTGCAGGTATCAATTGAATATATTGATTTCCTTTCTTTTGGCTATATACCCAGTAGTGGAATTGGTGGATCATTCTGTAGTTGTATTTTTTAGTTTTTTGATGAGGCTCTATACTATTTTCCATAGGGGCTGTACTAATTAGCATTACCACCAATAGTATATGAGGGTTCCCCTTTCTCCACACCCTCACTGGTGTTTGTTATCCTCTGTCTTTTTGATAAAAGCCATTCTAAATGGGGTAAGATGATATCTCACTGTGGTTTTGATTTTCATTTCCCTGATGGTTATTGATATTGAGAATTTTTCATATACCTGTTGACGACTAATATGTCTTTTTTGAGAAATGTCTACTCAGATCTTTAGCTCATTTTTAAATTAGATTATTTGTTTCTTCTTAGTTGTTTGAGCACCTTCTGTATTCTAGTTATTAATTCCCTGTCAGATGAATGTTCACAAATATTTTCTCCCATTCTCTACATTGTTGATTGTTTCCTTTGCTCTTCAGAAGCTTTTTAGTTTAATGTAATCGTGTTCTATTTTTGCTTTTGTTGCCTTTGCTTTTGAGGTCTTACACAAAAAACCTTTTCCCAAACCAGTGTCCTGGAGCATTTCTGTGAGGTTTTCTTCTAGTAGTTTCATAGTTTGAGGCCTTAGATTTAAGTCTTTAATATAGTTTGCTTTGATTTTTGTATGTGCTGAGATATAGGGGTCTAGATTTTTAGTTCTGCATATGGGTATCCAGTTTTCCCAGCACCATTTACTGAAGAGATTGCCCTTTCCTCATTGTATGTTCTTGGCGCCTTTATCAAAAATGACTTGGCTGTAAATGCATGGATTTATATCTGAGTTTCTATCTGTTCCATTGGTCTATGTGTCTGTTTTTATGCCAGTGCCATGCTGATTTGGCTACTATAGATTTGTATTATATTTTGAAGTCAGGTAGTGTGATATCTCCAGCTTTATTCCATTTGTCCAGGATTGCTTTGGCTTTGTGTTATGTTCAGGTGCTTTTATAAACTGTGATTGAACAGTTGTGCATGTGAACTTTGTGCTAAGTGTCACTGGTGTTTTAGTTGAGAAATGAGGCAGAAATAAAAGTTTTATTTCAGTGTGTCATTTCTATGTATAACTCTTAATTTTACCAGTGGACTGCCTACCAGATGATTTATAACTTCTTGGCACAATTTGTTATTATTTTAACATTCTTATTTTTCTTTATAGCCTACAGTTTACATTTTTATTGTTGTATATTTTTATTATACTTTTAGAATGTAGGTACTATTTCATTATTATTTTCATATGATTAGAAGCCAGTGTATATCTAACATTTTCCTTTTCCCTGTTAGACTCTAAGCTTTGTGGGGATAAGGGAAAGGCTGACTTGTTTGAGTAGCTTGTTATGCTACATTTGAATAAGTGAAAACCATAATATAATTTTGGTATTTAAAGTTGATTAAAGAAACTCTTTATGTAGAAAAAAGATGGGAAACTAAAAATTTGGGGAGATAATTAGACTAAGGATAAAGTGAGGGAAAAAGGAAGGAAGGTCAGGGAGAGAGTTAGTAGTTTTCAGATTGATGGTTGGGGGAAAAATATTGAAGTATCAAAGGACAAAGCAATACCAGTACTATTCCTAAAGTTAATATTCACCTACATTTCAAATATTTTACATTGAAAAATTGTAGATGACAAAAGCTTATAGGATAATGCCTTAAATTTTTAGTATTCCCAATTAATTTATAGGAAGGAGACAATATATATTTCCAATATTATAATCCCAGGGTTGTAGAGATTTTGAGACTAAATCTCTGAAATTCCTACAATAATCTAAAGGATTTACTGTTGTCTATAAAAGCTATCATTCTCACTAGAAAATTTTGAGTCTGATTTCTTTTCCAGCTTTCTTGGAAAAGAGTAGTGATGCATTCATTAAGTATTGAAATCTGAAATAAGTACTTGTGACCTTTCTGTAATCTAATCTAAACTTATTTTTCTTGGTCAATCAAAGATTCCACCGTTAGTGGGTAACAAAGTGCTTTTTGGAAAGAACACCACTTTTGCTTTTAGCTAGAATATGCAACTGGACTTAAGTTGCTTCATATGTAAATGAAAATATTTGGCTAAATAAGAACCTTCTTTGACACAGGCACTGTGCTAGCATGTAGTGTTTTCGTGGTCAGAACAGTACTACTTCAAAAGAATACACAACTCAGCATGGTTTCAGATGTTTTCCCCTCTCTTTATTATAGACACTGTTAAGAAGGAATGTTCCTGGGAAGGGAGCAATTTTTTCAGTTAATGTATATTCATAGGTAAATATGTTGGTGGTTGACACTTGGCCCCAGGGAAAGGGAATTTAAAGGAAAAATTTTATCTATTTTCAAAAAATGAAGACACATAGTTAGCCTCCTCCTATGAAACATTGGTGGCTTTGAATAATAGTTATACATTTGCTTGATTTTAAACTGATAAATGTATATATTCACTCTGCTCATGTCTGAATCCATAGGATTGTAACTAAATGGTTCTATCTGACTTGAATTCCTTTTTTCACTTCAGAAAAAGGTTAAGGAGGAAAACTTCAAATAAAAATAAGGGAGGGACTAAACCTTAGAGTTACCTGTTAGATATTGTGGTGATTGCGGATCCTCAGAGTTTGAAAGTGGACTCATAGAAGTTTACAATGACTGAGCAGGTTAGAAATTCTTCCAAGTAAGTATTTTAATTGTAGCACCATTTTATAAATAAAAGACTACTCTTCTGCATTTCCCTTGTTCTATTTCAGAAGTTTGTTATGGAAGAATGTTTGTAAGAAGGGTAGAGAGATTGTTCAATTTATGTGCATTTTTCTGTAGATATGTTGATAGTTGTTCTCTGAGCTAAGGGCTCCATAGCCTCTTTAAAAAAAAAAATCAGCACATCGAAATGATGGTGCAGAGTCATTTGCATTCTCTGAAACTTTGCCAGTCAGAAATACCAATTGCACATGCTCTTCATTTTAGCTTATAAATCAATAAACCCTGTCTGCATGAATCTGAATCTTTTGGGAATGCATCTGAATATGCTCTCTACTACTCAAGCAGAAGATCACAGGAAGGAGGGAGGTCAAGAGAACAGAGAAAAATAAAGAAAAGCAAGCAAATAATTGAGTGTATAGGAAATAAAAAAGTTGGGTGTTTTTCTTTAACATAAATGATGCAAGTCATCTCATTTAAAGTGTATTCAGGATGAGTATAAATTATTAAGAGGGCCTTAGTAAGAACCTTTAAGGAATATATTAGCAGTTTTACATGTCAAAAACAATTTTATTTTTTTGGAAAATGTCAGTTACACTTAGCATATTGATAGTTGGGTAGAAGCACAAATAAATAAAAGTAGTTTAAAAGCAAGTAAAAACTAATGATCAAGTGGCAGTTTGTTTCTATAATACCAATAATAACTGAATATTTGTATCATTAAAAGCTAAATTTGGCTATGAAAATAAATGTTTATCATACAAATTTAGGCAATATAAATATATATATGAAAACAAGAGGAGATAGATACTAACAAGTAAACAGATAACTATGTGAATTGCAAGTTCATAATGTAGACTGCCTTGGCTGGACCTGTTACAGGAAAGGGGTCCCAATCCAGACCCCAAGAGAGAGTTCTTGGATCTTGCACAAGAACTAATTCAGGTGAGTTCATAGAGTAAAGTGAAAGCAACTTTATTAAGAAAGTAAAGGAATAAAATAATGGCTACTCCATAGACAGCGCAGCCCCAGGGACTGTTGATTGGCCATTTTTGTGGTTATTTCTTGATGATTTGCTAAACAAGGGGTGGATTATTCATGCCTCCCCTTTTTAAACCATGTAGGGTATCTTCCTGACATTGCCATGGCATTTGTAAACTGTCATGGCACTGGTGGGAGTGTAGCAGTGAGGACTAGGAGAGGTCACTCCCGTGGCCATCTTGGTTTTGGTGAGATTTAGCCGGCTTCTTTACTGCAATCTGTTTTATCAGCAAGGTCTTTATGACCTGTATCTTGTGCTGACCTCCTAGCGTATCCTGTGACTTAGAATGCCTTAACCGTCTGGGAGTGCAGCCCACTAGGTGTCAGCCTTATTTTACCCAGCTCCTATTCAAGATGGCGTTGCTCTGGTTCACTCGTCTGTGACAGACCTACTTGCTCCAGGTATTTAAGGAACCCTAAGAAAGCATGACTAAAAAGAGTGAGCAAGTGTGAGGCTGGAACAAGATGAAACTGGAGAGTTATCAGGTGCCAGAAAATATATAGGGTCTTGTATGCAGTGACCAGGAGTTCAAATTTAATTTTAAGTGCAGTGAGCAAGTTTTTAATAGGAAACTTATTATATAATTTATTATTTTTTTAATCAGGCTGCTGTGTGTAGGATGGTCAAACATTATAAGATTGAATGAGGAAAAGCCAATTAGAAAGACAGTGCTTGAACTGGGAGGTAGAAATGAAGGTGGCAAGAAATGGTTTGATTAGAGAGAAATTTTAGAGATATAATCAAGTATATGTGCATGTGTGTGCACATGCATATTTGGAAGGGTGGCCTTTGGGAGAGAAAGGGTCCCTCCCTCCCTCCCTCCCTCCCTTCCTTACTTTGTTTCTTCCTTCCTTTTTGAAAAAAAATAAATAAATAATTGAGATAAAGAGCACAACCTATGGCACCATGGTGTTTGGTCACAGTCTAGTAGATATAAACTCTGTACGAAGACACAAAAAAAAGGTGCTATAGTCTGGTACCTACACTTTATACTAAATAAATACTGTTGGTGTATTGAGTGGTACTGAAGCAAGAAGATTGAGTATCTAAAGGAGTGTATGTTTAAGGCACTTAAAATGCACTTAAGGGAATGTTGGTAGGTGTTTTAGTCTGTTTAGGCTGCTCCAACAAAATACCATAGACTCTGTGGTTTATAAATGACAGCTGACAGTTCTGGAGTCTAAGAAATCTACAATCAAGGTGCCAGTAGATTCAGTGTCTGGCAAGGGCCATTACAGATGGCTGTCTTCTCAGTGTTCTCACGTGGTAGATGGGGTGAGGGAGCTCTCTAGGGCCTCTTTTACAAGGGCAGGAATTCTGCACATGGGGCTCCACCCTTGTGGCCTAATTGCCTCTCAAAGGCTCCACCTCTTTCATTCATGTCCCTACAAAGGACATGAACTCATCATTTTTATGGCTGCATAGTATTCCATGGTGTATATGTGCCACATTTTCTTAATCCAGTCTATCATTGTTGGACATTTGGGTTGGTTCCAAGTCTTTGCTATTGTGATTGGAAATCATCATTCTCAGTAAACTATCGCCAGGACAAAAAACCAAACACCGCATGTTCTCACTCATAGATGGGAATTGAACAATGAGAACACATGGACACAGGAAGGGGAACATCACACTCTGGGACTGTTGTGGGGTGGGGGGAGGGGGGGGAGGGATAGCATTAGAAGATATACCTAATGCTAAATGATGAGTTAATGGGTGCAGCACACCAGCATGGCACATGTATACATATGTAACTAACCTGCACATTGTGCACATGTGCCCTAAAACTTAAAGTATAATAATAATAATAAATAAATAAATAAATAATAAAATAAAAATTTAAAAAAAAAGGCTCCACCTCCTAATACCATCATGTTGGGAATTACGTGTCAACATATGTATTTGGGGGTACATAAACATTTAGTCTATAGCAATGGGTTTATTAGTAGAAATTATATATGAGTTTTAAGGAGTGAGAATAGTAGTTCAGATTATTTTTTCCCTTGGGTTGGTGGATGAGCTGAATATTCAGACATCAGTAAGTATATGCCAGGAAGAAGGTAAAGTATGTTAATGAGAACTTGACCTGTTCAATAAATTTCAAGTAATTCACAGAATGAGTGTAGGAAAGGAGTAATAAAATGGGCCAGACCCTCAAGACTGCCTATTATCAAGTTTAAATTTTATCCATTGCTTTCATGCAGTGTCACTGACCTTTTTTCTGTCCCTCAAGTACTTTCAAGTTCTTTCCAGTTTCAGAGCATTCACGCATATGGCTCAGTTTGCCTGTTACATTTTTCCTCCCAAATGCCTACTGTCTTCTCCTCAGGTCTTAACCCTGACCTGATGGCCTACCCTTAAATAAAGCATCCCCCACTCCACACACACCCCTGTCACTCTCTAATCCAGAATCTCTTTCTAAGTGGTTCTTTATGATACTTTTATCTGGTATTATTACATTGATTCACTTGCTTTTGTGTTTGTCTCCTCCACTAAAATATGAGCTTTATGAGGGAGGGATGTAGTCAGTCTTATTTATGGTAGCATTCACAGTGCAAAGCCAATATCAATGCATGAATGATCTGTAAATATTTGCTGAATAAGTGAATGAACCCATAGAACAAAGAAGGAAAATTAGGTTCTTGCAAAGTGCCCTTAATCATTTTTACTTTTACGCTGTTATCTTCTCCTTTAGATATCCTTTATGAGTGGACTGATAATGGTTCATTTTGGTTGCGAGAAAGAAAACATGCTCAGTTGCTCTGGGAGCTGGGTGTTTATGGTAGGAGGTTAACAACAACAAAAAAAAAGCCAAGGGGATCATCTCAATAATCACTCTGGACCTCAGTGCCTTAGAAGAAGGGAAGAGTACAGGAGGCTTTAAGGGAATCTTTCTGGACCAACCATTTTATAAACTAGTGATCTCAGTCATCTTTTGTTTACAGAAGTCAGAAATTGTTCTTTGCTGACTTAGATATCTGCCTCCTGCTTCCATGTTCTGTAAGAGCAAATATTCTTCAATGAGTGCTGCTCCTTTAGACTGTCTCTCTTGGCCTCCTCTTCAGCCGCTGGTGTCTCACATGTTAAGCCTATTTATTGCAGTCTTTGAGTTAAGTTAATCACCAGCCCTGAATTACTTGGGTGTAGTCAGATGAGCAGAATAATGTGGTTTAGGTGATAATAACCTTATGTAGAAAGAACTCCCTGTGGCTGCTAACTCACACGTCCACAGAGCTGCATACAGACGTGTCAGGCTCTAAGAGTTCTACAGATTGTCCAATACAGTGCTTGCTTTTTTTTTGTTTGTTTGTTTTTTGAGGGCTTTTGAGGCTGTTTTTAGAATATATTACTGGGAGTTATTACCTTCCTCCTGGAATTTGCCTAGTATTGGTGAGCTCTCAGTTGTTCACCACTTGAAGAAAAGTTCTACCTCCTCCTTTCCTGCTTCCCAAGATAACACCAGACATGTGGCGGGTACTCAGATCATCCTGAAACATACATCAGCCATGTCAAGTGGCCTCTTTTCTACCAGTCTCATTCCCTGTAGGTTGCATAGAATGACCAACCTGAAGTAGGGAAGCCTGAACTAAGAGTCTATAAATTGGATTTTTGTTCCATTTTTGCTTCTGATTAGCTGTTGACTTTAGACAATTTATTTTAGTATTTAGTTTTATAATGTGACAAATAAGGTGGTTAGACTAGGTGACAATACTCTGTAAAATTGTGTAATTGTGTTCTTTTTCTATCTTTAAAGAAGATGATAAGATAGCTCAGGGCTATGCTTCTGAAACTGGATTCCTTACATCCCTGGGAATAGCTGTTTGCCAGGGGTCTGCCAAGTACATGGCATTTTCTCCTGAAGCTTTGACCTTAAATATTTTAGGGAAACATTTTTTCCAATAAAATGTACATGTATAACAGAACAGAATGTTAAATTTGCATGGATTTTCAAGTAACACATGAAATTTTATAGTTATTTTATATTTGGTAGCCTATAAACACCTTTTTAATAAAGGTGAAAAAAACTTCCAAAGACATTATCATATCTTTCATCCTTGATTCATGATTCACTAATACTCCAGTAGACAGTGCCAAAGAGTGACTAGTCAGTGGTTATGAAGTTGAAGGAAGGCATCTCTGCCTCATCCTTGTTTTTATATGAGCTGTGACAGTGCTATTTCCATTATTTGAGTCATCATTGTTTATAAAAATAATGTAGGCTTCTCTGGTGAAAATTTTAAAAATTATTGATGGGGAGTGTTCCCTTTGTGAACAGTCAGTTCTTTAGACCAGTTTGTTTTCCACCAAATTGCCTGCTTCTGTTGTAGCATGGAATTTTTCCACCAAAATTCTATGCCGTGGTTCCTTTTACTCCTCTCTGAAGACCAGCAGATCAATGAAAAAGTCATGCTTTCTTAGAAAGAGCCCTATAAGCTGTGATGTCAGGGGAATCCCAGCACCTAGCATCCCAGGCTCAACCTGATTCTTAGGACCTGATTCTTAGATTGTGAACTTGTATCAGGAAAGGTCCAGATGTTAATTTATAAAGGGTTTTTTAGTTGGGAGGATGACAGGCAGCACTTATTTCACTGTAATTTTCTCAAAAGCAAATTTGGCAGTGGTAGGTGTTGGTCATGGTGTTTTGCACATGTACCCACAAGAATGTGATTCCCAAACTTGGCTAGAGTTTGGATGTCACACCTAGGAAATTTATAGAAAAAATAATGTACATGTTTTAGGGTCCTACCCAAGAATTATGAAAGGAAAATTTCTGAAAATTTTTATAGATATGAACATTTATTTGTTTTAAAGTTCCCTCTGGATGGAGGTCCATGCCCAGTTGTATTGTTATCTCAGAGTTCACCTGTCTGTCTATTCCATGGACTGACTATAGGCTGTTTGAAGGCAGGATACTTTCCCTTGCTTTCTTCTGAAACTGCCATGCCCAGCACTTATGGAATGCTGAAGTCACATTTGATGAATGAATTAATATGTTATGCTTGTGATCAGTTTCCCAGGATAAAACATCTACATGTTCTGATATCTTGTAAAACTAATTATTTTTTAATGTGGCTGTGTTTAGATTTTAAATTGGGCCTCAGAGGTGAAAGGCTAGCATATTACCTACAGCCCATTTATCTAGTAGGCAGTACTCTCCTCTAAGTTATTGCCTCGGGGAAGCCCATTGCATTAGGGCAGTGATAACAGCATCATGAATAGATACTAATCTATGTTGTAGCAATCGCTCTTCTTGCCCTGCTTGGAAGACACAGTGGTTGATGCTCCTATAATTAGCTGTTCAGTTCATTGAAGTTTGAAAGTTTATGTGAAAATTATCAGTGAAACAATTTATATCTAGAAAATTTTCTAATAGGGTTCTACTTAGAATTAACTTTTAAAAAAAGCACATGTGTCATTTGGAGTGTGTCACTCTTAGCGGTACTAAATTCAGATTTGAAAGGAAATTTTGTTTCAGGTCCCCCTTTTAAAAACACTTCTGTATTGTTTTGGGAAACTCCAGCATTCTGCATACCTACATGTAGCTTTAGTTTTATTTAACCAGAAACACACGACTATTAGTAGAGTGTAACTATCCTTTTAATATTGCTAATTTGTTTGTTAATTCCTCCTGCATAAGTTTGACTTGGGCATTTTGTCTGATGTAAGACCAAGCACAATTACTAATGTGAGCAAAAGTTAATGAGCAAAATTGTCAAGTTATATATTAAGGGCATAGTTAGCTGTACAACAAAGCTTTTGTTGTAGGGGATAAAACAAGGTAAAATAATTAAACATCTGGCAGGAGATCTAATTTTGGCTTAGTATTTTAATCATATTCTCTTGGATAATTATAATTGATTATATAAAAGTTTTAGGAACTTCTAAGATTGCCCAAATACATATGGTGAAAGTACATGTGATTATTTTGCATTTAATGTCTGAAGGTAGTTGCAATATAAATATTCATATTTGGGTGAGCAACACTGTAACTCAGCTAACACATCTGTTGTAAATAAATTCTGGAGTGGAGAGAAACTAAACAATTGTTGGGTCTGTATTTTCCCAAGAAGAGAGAAGCAACTTTCTGAGATTAGTTGTGAGTTTATAATATAATGAAATGTGTATTTCTTGTCATTTTTTAAGGAATATGACTGTCTGTTTCCAATTAATCACTGCCAGTGAGGAAACTTAGAGTTCAAGTTTTGTAGTTTACGCTACTTTGCACCTCAGCATCCTTTGAAGTATGGTAGCCAAGGGAAAATATGGAGTTTTTTAAGGAACTGGTGATTTTAAGCCTGAACAAATTTTGAAAGACTAATCTATGAAAAGGAGATTTGCCATCTTCAGCATAATTCCAGATGGAAGGCAGTAGGTCAATGGAGAGAAGTTACGTAGAGATTTTTAAGTAAGTTTCAAGAAGACCTTATTAATAAACTCTGCAACAATGACTGAGTTGTCATGGGGATGTGTGGTGAATGTTCTGCCCTGGACATTTTTAAACAGAGGTTAAAAACCTATCAGAGGCATATTTTCTAAGGGGAGAAGAAAACCTATATTAAATTAATACTAAATGACTGTTCGAAATATGAACATCTGTAAATCTAATTTATTCTCCGTTCTTGATCTCATTTGTGAAGTGTGATGCCTTCTGTGGCAGTAGATTGTGTTAAGAATTTTATTGATGATTGAATGCTGACGTCAGGTTTAACCCATTTCCTCTTAATCGCAATTTTTTGTCTTCCAGTTAATGTGAGTGTGTTCACATTCTTAGCAATGTAATGGTGCCTTTTTCATAAGTGGAAAGATATTAAAGGGCATTTTGGATAGCAACCATTTATCCCACCTGTATTGTAGAACACCTACTATATGCTAAAATCAGAAGCAAAGAGCAAGTTGTCAGAATTCATTATATCGCTGTGCCCTTGTTTCATTCCTTTTATCCTTTGATCTCTGTACCCCTGACAACAGATCATGCTGAAATTGGAAGTGCTGACAGTAAGAAATAAATTGCCAAAGATAACCCTAACAAATGACCAAAAAAAAAAAAAATACATTCCATTATATCATAAACTCACAACCCATTCCACAAAAAACCATATGAGTTGAAGAAACACTATACTTTGTAAGTTGATTATGGCTGAATAGAGGTTAATGACAATGTCCTAGTGGCTATTTCCTGGGCTTAAGCATAATTCTTGGCAAGGGTTACACATTTTTGCTTTGGGGAAGAGGTCAGCAACATACCTATAGTAGTGTGCTACTAGGTGAACTTCTTAAATGAAGCTCATAACCAAGAAGAAAGCAATACCAGAAAAGATAGAGTAAATAAAAAACTTAGGAATAAGTGGGACTAGAAAAGCTAGAATAGCTAAGTCCTATTACTTGACCAGAGTATACTAGTGTATACTCTGTATACTCGAGTATACAGAGTATACTAGTGTATACATACTAGTGTATACACTAGTATGTACCCTTTGTAATGTTAAATATAATTTTACATGTTATGGGCATGTGGTGGGCATTCCAGTCCATCTACAGAAAGACATATGAGGCAGCATTGCTCCATCCCTAACACCTTACAGCCTCTTATGGAGCCTGGGCATTTCTGTATTTTAATCCCTAATATATATTTGGGTGGTGAAATGTCATCAAAGTTAATTTTTTCCTAAACACTCTGTGAATTTTCAGTTGTTTCTTCTTAAGAATGATTGACTTGGGCATGTTGGCAATAAAGAAACAGCTCTTTCCATCATTTGTCACATGACGCTGCTCCCTTTTTATCCCTGTGGCTCTTGGCAACAGAAAACTGCAGTGAAGTCCACGGCTCAGAACTGGCCCCAGTATTTGAGACCACATCAGCTCTTTGAGGTTTAAAAGATCTTCTTTCTTGACTTCCGCCTATATTTAAAACTGTCAGAAAAACAAAATTACCCAGGGAGTCTACCAAACAAGATGCTTTCCTTGCCCTAGGTATGCTCAATAAAAAGGAGGTGAACTGCAATTCTCTCC
Organism: Homo sapiens; assembly: GCF_000001405.40. Taxonomy (NCBI): domain Eukaryota; kingdom Metazoa; phylum Chordata; class Mammalia; order Primates; family Hominidae; genus Homo; species Homo sapiens. The sequence continues at coordinate 107,644,361 of NC_000001.11, read as the reverse complement.
CTTAAACACGGAGTTAACTATCATGCAAACCAGACTCCATTTAAAAAATTATTCCACTTTATATTACATCCTCTTCCACCTGTTGGAGTTCTTAATCACTTGTGTATGGGATATTTAGGTTTCATTTTAAATTAGCAGTAGCAACTTAATAGAATATGTAAAATAAACTCTCTATACTAAAGGCATTTGCAGTGTATTGAGAGCAAGTCTGTTAAACATTTAACTGAGAGGAGTTCTCTTATAGAGTGTTGTTTAGGGGAAAGTCAATGAAATCTGCTGTTGGTGTTAGGGTGAGACCTTATAACATCTGGTAGGGAAATGCTCCATGAATGTGAGATTAAAATCATCCCTCTGGGGGTTCTGCGGCACAAGAACAGAAGCAAAGGAGGATGTAGCAACTCCTGACAAGCCTCAGCAGTCCCAGCAGCTAAACTGGGGTGAAGGGCACAGTGTTTTTCAACCTCTGCCTCCTGATTGGATTGATAAACAAGTGTTGACTAAAACTTTTCTAGTCTGTTCAGTTTATAGCCACACTTGTTTTTCTCCCTCTGGCATGTTGTTCAAAAGAATTTTGAGGACTTTAATAAACTGTTTGCTGAAGCATTTCATGTAGCTTTTGAGAGTTTTCTAGGTAACTTGGACATCTAGAACTGAATGACAGTCATTCATCCTTCTTTACATGTTTAGTGCAGCATTTTCAGCCAGTTACAGCTTCACCATGGTTAATCATTAGAATAAAAAGTCCTGAAGCTTAATAAAGGCTTCAGTCCTTAAATGTGCAAAAAATATCATGTTTATGAGTGGACCTCTCTTAGTTGGGAGCAGTTTCACCTGTAAATGAATAAGTGACTGTGAGGTTGTCCATTGTGACCAGTATTGCTGCACCTAGACCCATGTTCAATTGAAGCTGCTGTTCTCTCAAAAATGAAATCGTGAACTGAGGCCTTCATTGCACATTCAAAGAAATACAAAGAGAAGGAATGGATCTGTATTTCAAATATCATTGGTGCTATTGGCTTAGACATATTCCCTTTATTGGGTCTGTTTTGCAAGCCTAAATTTGAGCCTGAAGAGTTTCTCCATATGAATGTCTTAAGTATTGCAGTGGCACATCCATCACCTTTTTGCTTTTGAATTACAAAGATAACCTTAAGATATGATCCATATACTGGGCAATGTGATACATACACAGAAAGGATGAGCCTCCTCAGTGATGAAATCAGCCAGTGCCCAAGAGGAAAGTAATAGGCAGAAAGGATAGAGTTGATGAAAAAATTGATTCTTTTCCATTAAACTGTACGTGATGTGTTTTTTATGAAGCAGGCATCAGCTGAAGGAGAAATATTTTTTCAACTAAAAAAGAGATTGATGGTAAGGGAGAGGAAAACTATGTCAGGGATCATGGGATAAATATGTGTCTTATTCTATTACCATCTCATATAATGAGAAAGTTGAAAATCATTCTATTATAGTTACTTAAAATGTTTACTTGGACTTGGTGGTATTAACACTTTTTAATGTTAATAATGACATTTTTTGTAAAGTTCATGTAGACTTCATGCATCATTGTTTTCTCAATTCTAAAACTTGTTTGGCTTATTTTCAGGTTTACCAAAGATGCAGGTCATTAGGAACTATTCTGGAACACCACCCCCAGCTCTGCATGAAGGACCCCCTTTACAGCTCCAGGCCGGGGATACCGTTGAACTTCTGAAAGGAGATGCACACAGTCTGTTTTGGCAGGTACTGTTGTTGCAGGAAAGGGGTCCTGATGCAGACCCCAAGAGAGGGTTCTTAAATCTTGCCCAAGAAGGAATTCAGGGCGAGTCCACAGTGCAAAGCAAAAGCAAGTTGATTAAGAAAGTAAAGGAATAAAAGAATGGCTACTCCATAGACAGAGCAGCCCCGAGGGTTGCTGGTTGCCCATTTTTATGGTTATTTCTTGATGAAATATTAAACAAGGGGTGGATTATTCATGTCTCCCCTTTTTAGATCATATTGGGTAACTTCCTGACGTTGCCATGGCATTTGTAAACTGTCATGGTGCTGATGGGAATGTAGTAGTGAGGACGACCAGAGGTCACTTGGTTTTGGTAGGATTTAGCCGGCTTCTTTACTGCAACCTGTTTTATCAGCAAGGTCTTTATGACCTGTATCTTGTGCCAACCTCCTATCTCATACTGTGACTTAGAATGCCTTAATTGTCAGGGAATGCAGTCGAGTAGGTTTCAGCCTCATTTTGCCCAGCTCCCATTTAAGATGGAGTTGCTCTGGTTCACACGCCTCTGACACTATCCGAATTACAGTTTGTTAGATTTAATGCATGATTTATTACTGCTTAAAGAAAAATGACTCTTGTCTTTAGAAACTGCATGCTTTCAGCTTCAGAAACTTTACATGATATGCGGAAAATATTTTTTATTAACCTTTTTTATATTTACTAATGCCAAAGTTGCAACAAAAATTGGAACACTAGAGAAAAATACTATCAGTGCTGTGGGGTCATAATTATCATTTTTATTAAAAATTCCTACTTTACCAGAGCATTTTTTCCAAACCGAGGACCTCTGGGTATGATCTAATTTGCATGGCTTTAATATATTAACAGTTCACTTCAGGGGAACTACCTAATTAGCTTGCCTGTGGCCATTTCTGACCATATTTGCTTTTTACCTACCCACAGTAATACCTGGAGTTCTCAGAGGTGCTCTGGGCATTATTCATAAAATCTATGAAATGTGAAAAGTAAGTGAGCATGTTGATGTTTGCCCATGATGAAATCTCTCTTGGCCGGTGGACCTTTTTATTTGGTTGAAACTTTTTTTGAACTTAGGTAAATATGGTATTATGTTAAGATTGAGTAAAGCTGTTCATTAAATTCTCGAATTTCATGTGTATGTTAGAAATATTTCCCAATGATGTTGAGGAAAGAATTCGTTAAAAAATCTATTGTGCATTGAGGGAAAAATAAGTGAGGACCAACAGAAAGGTTATCACGAGTGAAATGTGGTTAGAGGTAAAAAGAGAGAAATCAGAGAAAAGACTGTTGGATAATAATCAATTGTGCACATGCAGAAGGGACAGCTATTTTATTTGCTTACATCTATTTTATTGTCTGTCATCTTGTTATATAAGAATGCCCAAAGATTGAACGTTTGTCTCTAACCACCATTTCAATTGTGGTAGCCAGTGATTTTTCCAAAGCTCCACCATTCTTCTTAAGTATCCCACTCCTTCCAAACTTCATCCTTCCCAGAAAAAGAAAAGAGAGAACAACAGACTTGAATTCTACCACCTCTTCAGACCACTTCTGTGTCTGTCAGCTTAACCAGAAAACATACTTGCATTTGTAGCCATAAGGTTCCTCACATTCAAGACTTATCTTTCTTCTTGGACTTTTTATCCCGTATTCCATCAGCTGGCTTTTGACTCCTAAATTTTCAACTTCATTCTCTCCACTGGCTCATTTTCTATAGTATATAAATATGCTCAGTCTCCTCCCATATTAAACACATAACTCAGCCTTTTGTCTGGTCATGCCAGACACTCTTTCACCCTCTTCCTCTCCACAACCAAAGCTAAGCTTGTTGGGGAAGTAGTCTATGCTCACTTTCTACCACTCCATGTCCTATTCATAAGCCAGCCTCTTGCAGAAACTACTCCTTCTTGGATCATTAGTGCAACTTTATATAAAAACAGCTTTGAGATGGATGGTAAACTGTGCATAGTTTAAGTGTACAATTTGATAAGTTTGAACACACACATACGTACATACATATATATAAGTGAAACTATCACTATAATCAGGATAATAAACATATCCAATATCATCCCTAAAAGTTTTTGTGCCCCTTGGTAATCCCTCCATCATGCTCCTTCCTGTTGCTTTGTTCCGCCTTGCGCAACAACCCTCAGCAACCACTGTTCTGCTTTCAGACTGGAGATGAGTTTGTATTTTTTTAGAATTTGATGTGCATCACATAGCATATATTGTTTTTTGTATGGCTTATTTCACACAACATGATTATCTTGAGATTCCATCACGTTGTTATGTGTAATGATAGTTCTTTCTTTTTATCGCTGATTATCGTTCCATGTGTGGAGATAGCACAATTTGTTTACCCGTTAACCTGTTGATGGACTTTCAGGTTGCCACTAGTTTTTGGCTATTGCAAATAAAGCTTCTATGAACATTCAAATATAATTCTTTGTATGGACATAATGCTTTTATTTTTCTTAGATACTAATGCCAAGAGGGGAATATATAGATCATATGTAGATATACATTTAAGTTTTTGAGAAATTATTAAATTGTTACTCAAAGTGCCTATACCATGTTACATTTCTCCCAACTGTATTTGTGAGTTTTAGGTGCCTCTTATCCTTGCCAACATTTGGTGTGGTCATTCTTTTTTTTTTTTTTTTAAATACAGGGTCTTCCTCTGTTGCCCAGGCTGGAGTGTGTGGTACTACAATCGTAGCTCACTGTAGCCTCAAACTCCTGGGCTCAAGCCATCTTCCCATCTCAGCCTCCTGAGTAGTTGGAACAACAGGCATGTATCACCATGCCTGGCTAATTTTTTAGAGATAGTGTCTAGCTAAGTTGCCCAGGCTATTCTCAAACTCCTGGCCTCAAGCATCCCTCCCACTTCAGCCTGCCAAGTAGCTAGGATTACAAGCATGAGCCAGTCTTTTAAATTTTATTTATTCTAGCAGGTATATAGTGGTGTCTCATTGCAGTTTTGATTTGCATTTCTTTAATCATTAATTCATTAATAATGTTGAACATCTTTTTGTGTGCTTGTTTACCATCTATATAACTTTGCTGGTGAAGTGCTTGTTCAAATATTTTGTCAGCTTTTTAATGAGCCATGCATTTTTTTATTATTTGGCTTTGAGAGCTCCCTAGATATTTTGGGTAAAAGTCCTTCATAAAATATTTTATTTCCATATGCTTCTCCTAATCTGTGGCTTTTTTTTTATTCTCTTGATAATGTTATACATAGAACAGAAGTTTTTACCTTTGATGTAGTCCAGTTTGTTAATTTGTTCTTTATATGGATCATGCTAAAGGTATTACATCTAACAAATCTTTGCCTACCCCAAAGTTACAAAGACATTCTCCTTTGTTATCTTCTAGAAGGCTTATAGTTTTAGGTTTTACATTTAGATTTATGATTCATTTTGAGGTTTTTTTTTGTATATGGTACTAAGGTTTTTTTACATGTGGATATCTAGGTGCTCCAGCAGCATTTGTTGAAAACGCAATTATTTCTCCACTGGATTGCCTTTGTAAGTTTGTAGATAATGTGTTGTCCATACATATGTGTGTATATATATCTTTATGTGTATGTGCACATATATTTATATGTACTATATATGTGTGTGTATATATATATCTTTATGTGTATATATGCCGTGTGTGTGTATCTTTATATGTGTGTGTATCTATATGTGTGTGTATATATATCTTCATATATATGTATATGTAGGTCTGTTTCTGGACTGTTATTTTGTTACATTGATTTCTTTGTCCATCTTTGTACCAATGTGATGCTGTCTTGATTACTGTAGCTAATAAGACGTCCTGAAGTCAGACAATGTTAGTCCAAATTTGTTCTTTTCCTTTTTTCATAGGTGTTTTGGGTTTCCTTGGTCCTTTGCATGTCAAATGAATTTTGCGATCACCTTGTCAACTTCACCAATAAAAAAGCTTGTTGAGATTTTGATTGGAATCTCATTGAATTGTAGATCAATATAGGAAAATTGACATCCTAACAAGACTGAGTCTTCTAATCACTGAACATACTATACTCCTCATTTATTTAGGTCTTTAATTCTCAGAAGTGTTTTGCAGTTTTCAGAGTTAAGGTCATATACATCTTTTGTCATATTTATCTGTAATTATTTCATATTTCATTTTGATGCTATTATAAATGAGTTTTAATATTTTAATTTATGTTGTTCATTGTGAGATATAGAAATACAATTGATTTTTGTATGTTGATCTCTTATTCTTTAACTCTTATTAAATTCAGTTGTTCTTGTAGCTTTCCTTTTGTAGAGTCCAGCAGATTTTGTAATATAGACACCATGTTTTATTCTTCCTTTGCAATCTGATTGCCTTTTATTTCTTTTTCTTGACTTGTAGCAATGGCTAGAATGTCCAGTAAAATGTCAAATAGAAGTCATGAGAGAGTATATCCTTGCCTTATTCCAGATCTTAGAGGAAAAACATTAAGTCTCTTACCATTAAGTATGACATTATCTGTAGTTTCTCATAAATGCCCTTCATTAAGTTGAGGACATTGCCTTCTATTCCTAGTTTGCTGCAAGTTTTCATCAGTAATAGATGTCAGATTTTTCTCAAATGCTCTTCTGCATCCATTGAAATGATGATATAATTTTTGTTTTTATTAATGCGGCAAATTTGACTTTCATATGTTAAATCAATATTTATTTTCTATGATTAAATCCCAAGTGGCAATTATATATTATCTTTTTTATATATTGTTTCATTTTCATGTAATACCTTTGTCTGGTTTGGATAATAATGTAATGTTCAAGGAATGAATTGGGATCTAGTCCCTTCTCTTCAACTTTCTAAAAGAGATTTATAGAATTAGCATTATTTCTTCCTGAAGTGTGTCGTAGAATTTACTAGGGAAGCTATCTAGGCCTAGAGTTTCCTTAGTGGAAGGTTTTGTTTTGTTGTTTGTTTGTTTATTTTGAGACGGAGTCTCGCTCTGTTGCCCAGGCTGGAGAGGCTGGAGTGCAGCGGCGGGATCACGGCTCATTGCAGCCTCTGCCTCCTAGGTTCAAGCAATTACCGTGCCTCAGCCACATGAGTAGCTGGGATTACAGGTGAACGTCACCATGCCCGGCTAATTTTTGTACTTTTAGTAGAAATGAAGTTTCACCATGTTGCCCAGGCTGGTCTCAAACTCCTGACCTCAAGTGATCTGCCCTCCTCAGCCTCCCAAAGTGCTAGGATTACAGGCGTGAGTCAGCACGCCTGGCCTAGAAGTTTAAAAAAAAAAAATTATAAAACAAACATATGGCTATTCAGGTTACTTGCTTCTTCTCCTCGAGTGAGTTTGGTAGATTGTGGTTTTCAAGGAATTTGTCCATTTTGTCTAAGTTGTCAAATTTAATGGCATGAATTTTTATTCATAATATTTCTTCATTATCCTTTTAATGTCTATAGAATCTGTGGTTGTATTATCCATCTCATTCCCGATATCAGTAATGTATCTCTTTTTGCCTGGTCAGCCCGACTAGATAGGTATGCATTTTATTGATCTTCTAATAGAACCAGATTTTGGCTTTATTGGTTCTATTGTTTTTTTCCCCTATCATCGATTTCTGCTCTGATTTTTATTACTTTCTTTCTATTCTTTTGGGCTTAATTTGCTCTTCTTTTGCTAGTTCGTTAAGGTAGGGTGTTTGCTCACTGATTTGTGTACTTTCCTTTCTTTTGCTAGTATAGTTAGTTAGTACTGCAAATTTCTTTCTAAGTGCTACTTTGCTGCCTTCCCAAAATTTTGCAAAGCTGTTTATTTTCATTTTCAGTCAGTTCAAAATACAGATGGTCCTTGCCTTATGATGGTTTGATTTAATGATTTTTCAATTTTATGATGGTGTAAAAATGATACACATGCAGTAGAAACTATACTTGGAGGGCCCATGCAACCATTCTGTTTTTCACTTTCAGTACAGTATTCAATAAATTATATCAGTTTTCAATATTTTATTATAAAATAAACTTTGTGTTGTATTATTTTGCCCAACTGTGGGCTAATATAATTATTTTGAGCATGTTTAAGGTAGGCTAGGCTAAGCTATGATGTTCAGTACAGTAGGTGTATTAAATGCATTTTTGACTTATGATATTTTCAATATTCAGTGGGTTTATCAGGGCATAACCCCATTATAAGTCAAGGAGCATCTGTACTTTCTAATTGCTCTTTCAGTTTCTTCTTATAGATTGCTTAGGAATACATTAATTAGCTTTGAAATATTTAGGGATTGCCCAGACATATTTAGAATTATTTTATGGCCCATCTCCACTGTGGAGTTTCTATTCTAATCTGCTGTTGCATGATATCTGAGATTACCTTCTAACTGATCTCACCTCCAGAATCTTATGGTTTATTGTGGCCATAATCCACATCACTGCAAAATTCAAATGCAATTCCATAATTTCTTGTTAAAGTCTTTCAGTGTCTTCCTTCTAACCAGGCAGAATTGCCTCTTATTTATTCTTTCCTTATAGTAATGATGACAACAATAGCACCAACAACTAATGTTCACTATGCATTTTTATGTACAAGGTAGAGTTTTAAGAATATCTTTGTTAATACCCATGATACTAATGAAAATTCTATAAAATGAATTACTATTATTATCCTCAATTTATAGATGAGTGAACTGAGGCACTGTGAGGTTGAATAGTCTGCCCAAAGACACACAGCTAGTAACTTAGCAGAGCTGTTATTCGGACATAGGAATTCCGGCCAAGAGTCCAATCTCTTTACTATTACGCTCTAGCACTTCTTTTACAATCATGTTATTTATGATGAAGCTCATGCTGCCTTCCTAAACTTCATGCACCTTAGGGATATTGGGATGGTGGCTGTCTTTATGCTAATTAAAGAAACTAGTTTTGTGAGTTTCTTTCACTGTCACCATCAAATTTGTGGCAGTGTTTCAGTTTTGTGATTTTTTAAAAAATTTATTTTATTATACTTTAAGTTTTAGGGTACGTGTGCACAACGTGCAGGTTTGTTACATATGTATACATGTGCCATGTTTGTGTGCTGCACCCATTAACTTCTCATTTAACATTAGGTGTATTTCCTAATGCTATCCCTCCCCCCTCCCCCCACCCCACAACAGGCCCCAGTGTGTGATGTTCCCCTTCCTGTGTCCATGTGTTCTCATTGTTCAATTCCCACCTATGAGTGAGAACATGCGGTGTTTGGTTTTTTGTCCTTGCGATAATTTGCTGAGAATGATTGTTTCCAGCTTCATCCTTGTCCCTACAAAGGACATGAACTCATCATTTTTTATGGCTGCATAGTATTCCTTGGTGTATATCTGCTACATTTTCTTAATCCAGTCTATCATTGTTGGACATTTGGGTTGGTTCCAAGTCTTTGCTATTGTGAATAGTGATGCAATAAACATACATGTGCATGTGTCTTTATAGCAGCATGATTTATAATTCTTTGGGTATATACCCAGTAATGGGATTGCTGGGTCAAATGGTATTTCTAGTTCTAGATCCCTGAGGAATCGCCACACTGACTTCCACAATGGTTGAACTAGTTTACAGTCCCACCAACAGTGTAAAAGTGTTCCTATTTCTCCACATCCTCTCCAGCACCTGTTGTTTCCTGACTTTTTAATGATTGCCATTCTAACTGGTGTGAGATGGTATCTCGTTGTGGTTTTGATTTGCATTTCTCTGATGGCAAGTGATGATGAGCATTTTTTCATGTGTCTTTCAGCTGCATAAATGTCTTTTGAGAAGTGTCTGTTCATATCCTTTGCCCACTTTTTCATGGGGTTGTTTGTTTTTTTCTTGTAAATTTGTTTGAGTTCATTGTAGATTCTGGATATTAGCCCTTTGTCAGATGAGTAGATTGCAAAAATTTTCTCCCATGTTGTAGGTTGCCTGTTCACTCTGATGGTAGTTTCTTTTGCTGTGCAGAAGCTCTTTAGTTTAATTAGATCCCATTTGTCAATTTTGGCTTTCATTGCCATTGCTTTTGGTGTTTTAGACATGAAGTCCTTGCCCATACCTATGTCCTGAATGGTATTGCCTAGGTTTTCTTCTAGGGTTTTTATGGTTTTAGGTCTAACATGTAAGTCTTTAATCCATCTTGAATTAATTTTTGTGTAAGGTGTAAGGAAGGGATCCAGTTTCAGCTTTCTACATATGGCTAGCCAGTTTTCCCAGCACCATTTATTAAATAGGGAATCATTTCCCTATTTCTTCTTTTTGTCAGGTTTGTCAAAGATCAGATGGTTGTAGATATGTGGCATTATTTTTGAGGGCTCTGTTCTGTTCCATTGGTCTATCTCACTGTTTTGGTACCAGTACCATGCTGTTTTGGTTACTGTAGCCTTGTAGTATAGTTTGAAGTCAGGTAGCATGATGCCTCCAGCTTTGTTCTTTTGGCTTAGGATTGACTTGGCAATGCAGGCTCTTTTTTGGTTCCATATGAGCTTTAAAGTAGTTTTTTCCAATTCTGTGAAGAAAGTCATTGGTAGCTTGATGGGGATGGCATTGAATCTATAAATTACCATGGGCAGTATGGCCATTTTCACAATATTGATTCTTCCTACCCAGTTTTGTGATTATTATATAACAGTTTATTATTTCTCATAATGCTATGGGTGATAAGGTGGTTCTTCTGCTTCAGTTGATGGTTGGGGTGGTGGGAGCAGCTGTAAGGTCTCGAATGCCCGTGTCCACAGGATTGGCAGTTAGTGTTAGCCTCTGTCTAGGAACTCAGCAGAGGCTTTCTGCACGTTGACCTCTTCAGTGGTTCCTTATCTTCCTCACAGCATGGTGATCGCAGGGTACTTAGACTTCCTATATGGTAGCTGGCTCCCAAGAGTGTAAAAGTGGAAACTGCTGGACCTTCTTAAGCCTAAACACCAGAGCTGGTGCAGAATTACTTTTGCCGCTTTTTTTTGGTTAAAGCAAGACATGGCCAGCCCAGATACAAGAGGAAGGGGACCATACCAATCAAATACCAGGAGGTGTGGTTCACCAGGATACCAAAATAACAGTGTGCCACAGACAGAAAACATTTTGAAGCCGCATGAGCAGCCCTAAGAATAAAATGGTTTTGTGAGCTGTTCCAAGGGCACTGAAAGCCAATCAGTTTTTCACAACAAAGAAAGAGACAGGAAGTAGTCAAGCCAAACACAAAATGTTGAAGATCTTGGTGCGTATAAGTGGCTTGCAAAGTGTGGTGTTTGAGATCACTCTGAAGGTCATGCAGGAGTCCTAGAACCATGCCTAATGTATGCTTAGAGGCATTTAGCTTTAGAAAGATAATTTTGGAATTCATATTTTTCTAACCAAGCTCTGTTTCTTTTCATCTTTTTTTTCTTAAACCTTAGATTTGTAAAACTTAATTATGTATAGTATCTTTTTTCATTTATTCACTAATTTTTCCTATCACAGGTTTAGATGGTGCTTTCAATTATTTTCATGTTTTGAGATTCATTATTTCCTTCATTCCTCACAGCCACATAATGTTAAAAGTAGAACTATAATTGAGATTCTGTGACAACTAGCCCAGTGCCATTTTTTACTAAATACTACTGCCTCCTATTCTTTCTAGACAAAAAGACATTATTAGTTGTCATTTCCTTTCAGCAGCCTATAAACTTGAAGATTTTCTGGTATAGTATTAGAATGGTTTTGGAGACACTTAGGAGAATCATAGGAGAAATGAGAACCCATGGATGACAATATATATGGGTATGTCTGGGGTATATGTAATGATTAGAAACAAGTAAGGCTAATGTTTAGAACAGAGAAAAACAACACATTTATTTCAGATAGCAAGTATGCATTGAGTGCCAACTCTGTTCACTACTCAGACACTGCTAACACTTCAATTATCAGTTCCTATCATTGGTTTGACATTAGGTCTCCTGTCTTTAGAAGAATCATTTTGCTTGCCAGCAGCCAGTAATATGTTTGAGTTTTTGCACACATATTTAAAGTTCATCTAGTGTTTCCCATACAGATGTAACTTGGGTCAGAATTGCGTTATGGATACTTCTAAGCCAATCAAAGAATTTTTAGCCAGCAAATGCTAGTTTTATTGAAATGAACCACTGGCAGTATGAGAAAAACTAAATTCAAGTCATGTATCTGTAGCCAAATAGCTATATGGCTTTGGTCAAGTCATTTAATCATTATGTAGCTTAGTTTCTTCATGTATTACCTGAGTGGGGCTATACCAGAGCAGTGCTTACCACCCTGACTGAATCACCTGGGGAGCTTTGCAATAATGTCAACACACAGCCTCACTTCCAGAGATTAAGACACAGATGGCCTTGGTTGAGCCCAGGCATAAGTAGATTTTATAAAACCCCAGATGAATCTAATGTGAGCCATTGATTTGATTATCTAATTGGTAAGAGACCATGGTAATTTTGACACTATCCCCAGCTCACCAGTTGGTAATTGGTATTATTAAACGTAGCTACAAAATAAGGTGTTACACTTTTACACTGTTGGTGGGACTGTAAACTAGTTCAACCATTGTGGAAGTCAGTGTGGTGATTCCTCAGGGATCTAGAACTAGAAATACCATTTGACCCAGCAATCCCATTACTGGGTATATACCCAAAAGATTATAAATCATGCTGCTATAAAGGTACATGCACACGTATGTTTATTGCGGCATTATTCACAATAGCAAAGACTTGGAACCAACCCAAATGTCCAACAATGATAGACTGGATTAAGAAAATGTGGCAGATATACACCATGAAATACTATGCAGCCATAAAAAATGATGAGTTCATGTCCTTTGTAGGGACAAGGATGAAGCTGGAAACAATCATTCTCAGCAAATTATCGCAAGGACAAAAAACCAAACACCGCATGTTCTCACTCATAGGTGGGAATTGAACAATGAGAACACATGGACACAGGAAGGGGAACATCACACTCTGGGGCCTGTTGTGGGGTGGGGGGAGGGGGGAGGGATAGCATTAGGAGATATACCTAATGCTAAATGACGAGTTAATGGGTGCAGCACACCAACATGGCACATGTATACATATGTAACTAACCTGTACATTGTGCACATGTACCCTAAAACTTAAAAGTATAATAATAATAAAATAAAATTAAAAAAGAGAAAGTATACTAGAGTGGAAGAAGAAAATAAGAGAAAATTTAGATGTCTCCAAATTTCTTATTCTTTTACCAGTTTTAATGTTATATAATCTTACAAATGTACTGTGTAGGGACCATGGAACAGTTAGCTGACTCTGCTAAACATGTATTATGCCTGCATTTTAGTAAGTTTACAATTTTAGTTATAAAGGTTTAGTGATAAAATTGTAATACTCATATTTAAATGTATTATGATAACAATGCATTTAGTATAAATATAAATTTTATATATCTGTAAATAAAACAGTATATTTTATGTCTCAAAAAAAAATAGGTGTTACAATACTTTGGCTTTGATAGTTACCAAATAAGGGGTACCTTTTTGACAAATTAGTGTATGATTTAAAAAATCACTTGCTAAACAGTCTTTGTACCGAACTTGATATAGTCTTCTCTAATTGAAAAAAGCACTTAAGATCTTACAATGTTTCAAGGCTGTCATGATTAAATTAGCTTTTGTTTCATAGACTGGACATATGGAAGGTACATGTAGGAAACTGGGTTGAATCTGTACTTACTCAATGGCGTAATCTGGAATGCCATGTTTTTAAAAAAATTCTGAACAAAGACCTTTCCTCCTTATTGGGTCTAAATGTGGAATCATGTACTGGTTGATCCTTTGAAGCCATGTGTTTTTTTAGGCATGTTTACAGTGGCCCCTTTTATGTTAATTTGCTGATTTTCATACTCAAAGAAGACATGTACTTTATGGCTTGAATCCTAAAATATGTGACTCCCCCACTGGGAATGTGTTTTAATTGTTTTTGAGAACATAGTTTTTAAGCACCTCTTTTTGGTTCCTTCCTAATCTTCAGAGTCTACACACTTAGCTCTGGAGAAGCAAGTTATGTGTTTAGGAAATAATAGCTTATTTTGCTGAGTGTTACTGACTCTGCCATCTATACCAGTGTGACTTTAAATAGATTACTTACTCTGAAGTGGGCCTCAGTTTTATCTGTCAAGTGGAAGTAACAATCACTGCATACAAAATAAAGCAAATACACAAAGGAGTTCTAGCACAGTGCCCATTAAATAGTGGCTCCTATCCATCCATCCATCCATCCATCCATCCATCCTCCCATCCATTCTTCCATCTTTTTATCCTACCATTCATCCATTCATATACTTATAAAGTGCCTACTATGTAACTGACTGTGTTTCATGTTGGGAGAACCAGAAACTAGAGAACCCGTTTCTAACCTGGAGGCCTCCATGATGTAAGGAATGATCAGAACTCAGGATAGGTAATGCACCTGGTTTTCATTTTGAGTTTTGTAATTAAGGTTTTTGTAAATCATATTGTTGCAAATATATCTAGCGTTAAACCTATAGATAAAAATCTAGAAAACTTATCGAGATGTTACAATGGCTTTGTATTTGATTTCAAAAATGTCTTTTGTACTAGTTAGGTGCTTTGGCTTATTTGGAAATTTTTGAGAAGTTATGCTTTCTGACCTGTTTTCTCTGTTTTTGCAAGTTGATGACTTCACTCATTAGTGTGGGAAGTCAGATTTTGTAGTAGACTGTCATGTTTTCCACATACTCTATGTCAGGAGAATACAAATTATCCTCTACTATATATCAGGAACTTTCTTTCTTTGAATAGCTATTAATTTAGTCTGTATTATTATTATAACAACAGTAATTTCTGATGCTATTGAATGAATGGGCTATCTGCATTTTCATTATTACTTCTTTCAAACAATGAATTATCAATTGAGCTGTAAAAATGTACTCTGTTCAGTCTTTGCATTTCAGGATTCCTTTTGGCAGCATTTTCTTTTCTTCTTTGTCTTCTTCTTTTTTTCTTCCTCTTCCCTTGAAAGCTCTATAAAATTGCCTTCAAGTGAAATGAATATAAAATAGGAAATTGGCCATTTGGGGCACGTTTTCTAGTGCAGGTGTAAGGCATAGTTTTTACTAAGCCTAACAACATGCAGGACAATTCTGATCGTGTCATCCAATTGATGATGATAAACATGTTGCTTTTAAGTCTTTGTTGCAATATGTGATAAAAAAGTCTTAGTAACTCCTGAGAATATCCTTCATGCTGGAAGAAATTGTTCATATTACAAACTTTATTTTCCCAGAAAAGATAACTATACTTATCACAAAGGAAGAGAGGGCAAGACAGAGAAACAGGCAAATGTAAAATTAAGCCATGTCATCTATGGTTTCTATTACAATAGAATGCATAGAAAACATAGAAATATGTGTTTTCTTCTTAGAATAAAGACTGTGAAACAGTGAGGATTCTGTGTCTTATATCATGGGGTTTTATTTGCTCCATTGTCATTTACGAATATCCAAATGTTCCACAGGGAGAGTTTTGTAAGCTAATTGGAACCAAAAGGCAATTATAAGCAGTAGAACTGTAATCAGTGCCAAAAATAATATATATTTTTATCCACAATGCAAGTTAAATAACTTAGAAAATAGTTGTGATACTTCATGCTTACTAATCATACATCTACACGATCTTTATTCTAAGAAGTGAAAATGTTTTTACACACATTCCGATTAATTCACAAGGTCTTCATAAAGAGGGTAAATGGAAAATCATGTTACCTTCATTTAGAACTGTGTCTTTAAAGGGCCAAATTTATGACCTGTTTATAAAATTGCAGTTGTAGAGTTAAAACTAGAGTCCTTTTCAGACTTGTGGTCCCCTACTTTAGTTCTATATATTAGACCATTGTACTTTGTTTTAGGAGAGTCATTTAATTTTCTAACACCTCTAAGAAAAACACACTTTTAAAGGCAGTTTTGTTATTTTTTGGTAGAAAAAATAGTAAACAAAACATCACTTTATGTATAACTTTTTGTGTAACAGGAAGAGTCACACAGAAAATAAAAAGTCAGAAAGTAAGTTGAGCTTAGAGAGAACTTGGAGGTTCTCAGGAGGAAGGAAGCATTTCTAGTCATGCTGATTTCAGAGGCAACGAACCTGGGGGCTGGTGGGCTCTTGACTTGGCCAGGGGCAACCAGGTGCTGGATTCCCTGCTACCATCCTCTCAGCCATCCAGACACAATGGTGATGAATGTTCTGTAAGCTGGCCTTTGTCTTAGTTTACCTTGTCAATAATTTTTACTTCCCACAGGACTGCTGTATTTGGTCTTCAAACAGTCCAGGTGACTTGCTTTTTTTTACAGATACTTTTTCTTCATTTTAAGCTGAATAGAAAAATGAAGGGCTGATTAGGGGGATCTTTTTCACAGGAGACCTGTTTTCTCAAACCTCCAACCATTGATGTATATGTTACCCTCTTCCTGGTTTTCCCTTTCACCCCCGTTCTGTCAGCTAAATCCTTCCTTATCATCAAGGCACAATACTGGGTTGCCTTTTCTGACGTCTTCTCAGAACCAAAAAGGCTTCTATCATAACACCCATCATACTGTGTCCTAAGGGTCTTTTTATCCTTCTTCCTGCCTGGTTAGAGCACTCCAGAAATATAAAAGCTATGGGTTTCATTACTTTATCTCAGTTCCTAGAATAAAATAGGCATTCAGTCCATAGGTCTGGAATGAATAAGCCTATTTAGAGTTGTGATCTCCATAAGGTGTTATTTACAAGTTTTAAAAGGAATTGTTTATTAAATTATACTTTATGATGTCATTTGAAAGACCATTAAAGTATTTTTTCATCTGTCAGATTTAAATGTGCCTTTTTTCTCTCAGAATAATTTTAAAACTACTTAACATTGTTTCCTCAAATTTCTCCTCTATAAAATGAGATTTTAATTCTTAAATGACTCATGGAGTGTTGTGAGTCTCATAGGAAGTAAACTTGAAAAGAGATTGAAAAGGAGAAAAAAGTGTATTTGGGTATAATGATTAATGATTTTGAAAGACATGCTTTATTTTCCAGAAATGGAAAAATGATAATCAGGTATTTTTTGTTTCTGGTTTTGTTTTTAGGTTTCCTCTTCCCAATATTTAATGTGAAGAGTCCCACTGGCACATATGGTCTCATAGAAGACTATTCTGCCTTCCCAATTCTCATACCCAGTTTTTGAAATTTCTTTAATCAGAGATTAAACTTTTACTTCATAATTAGACATAAAAATGCAAATGATCAATTCTGAAGAGATTGGTTGATTTAAATAATCATCAGGGTAAAAATCATGAGCCCTTTTCTCAGAGCAGGTTTGATTGAGGAAGACCCAGGATACCTCACAGAGAGTGATGGAGATGGGGAAGGAAAAAGAGAGATAGGGGTTTACAGAAAACAAACGCTGCCTAGGGAATGTGACTGAGAACATAAGTGATCTGTGCAATAACGCACAACCCAGAAACCCTCTGAGCCTGGAGAAGGGAGGTGCAGCTGAGTGGAGTTAGTAGATCTTTCCCTCCAGCACCTCTCCCTGAAACTTCAGAAATCAGTCACTTCAAAGGATTCTTTTCCTTTGCCCTAGATTAAAAGGAGACTTCTAATCCTTTCTAGACCACACAACAATATTAGCTCCAGTAGAATTTTCTAAAGCTGTGTATTTTTCTTCCTGATCTAAAATTCAAGTGTTAGTCTGCATCATCATCAGAGTCAAAGAAGAACATTACAGAAATGTAAGAAAGAATCAGATCTCCTTTGTTAAGAAAACTGATTCCGGACACCAAAAGACTCATTGCTTTGGGTTATAAACCAGAGAGTAAACATTTCTTGGAACTGGTAAGTGTTTTTCCCCTTCAGATTCCTATCCAAGGGCATTTCTTCATGATGTCTCAAACTCAGATTTTATCATGGCAATGATCCTTTTAAGGCAGTGTTGGAGCTTGTTTTCCCAGTGTCCCGCTGTTCATCTTGGCTTTTCTTCTAAACTGCCTCTTACCACTGATTTATTAACCCCATCCCTTGAGTAAAATCAGTAGAAGCCAAGGCAGAATTGAAACTGTGGCCATGGGGATAAAAAGCTATGTGAAAGTGTAGAGGCTCAGTCGGCATTAGTATGTCCTGTAATCATGAGACCTTGATTTTGACAGGTATTTGCCTGTAAATACTGAGTTAAATCAGAGTCCCTAATTACAGGAAAGGAGAAAAAGGCAGTATGTGACTGCACTAGAACAAGGGAGGCCTTGGGAGAGATGATTATAGAAGATAATAGGCATTAGTAAAGGCCTGTAAGAAACATTTTCCCTGGGTGATTGTCAACTGGCTTTGATTAAATAGATCATAAACTGAATTTGCAGGAATGTTTCCAAGTGTACAGACTGTAGTATGGGAATTGGCAGGCCTCCTGACAAAGTGGGTGAGGTCCTAATTGTTAATTCTCAAAATGGGCATTTTTGGTTAACAATTCTTGTATTTTTCCAATACTTGGTACAGTGCAATGTAGGTTATAATATACTTAGATGAGGACAGTGCCATCTAAGTAGAAGTTCAGACAATGAAGTATTATCTCTTTTTTTTTCCTGCAGGGTAAGGGAGTAACATTATGGGAGAAAGTTCTGAGAAATTCTGTTGTGGTCCTTTTTCTTCCATTATTTTATTACTATGTAAGCTACATTCTGCCATAATGACTAAAAGTTTGTGTCAATCACAGAATACTTTCAGTGGGCCATGAATTTGGAATTCCATCTGACGTGATTATTGATTTGATGGTGCAAGTGGTTTCAGTAAAGTATGCATGTGCACATGCCCTTAAGAGTTGTGGCCAAATAATTTATCAAATTATAGCATATATTGAATTTTAATTATTCATGATAATTTGAATTCCTGAAGAATGAATCAATGAATGCAATTTCTAACAAATCAACCTTTATGTGCTTCGGAAAATAGACCGCTTCACACTGAGTTAAAAACGTCACTAAGAAGCTGAAATGTCCTTGTCTTCTGTAAATAAATGCTATCAGATTAAATTACTGGCCTGGCACAGTGGCTCATGCCTGTAATCCCAACACTTTGGGAGGCTGGGGCAAGTGGATGATTTGAGGTCAGGAGTTTGAAACCAGCCTGGCCAACATGGTGAAACCCCATCTCTACTAAAAATACAAAGATTAGCCAGGCATGGTGGTATGTGCCTGTAATCCCAGCTACTCGGGAGACTGAGGCAGAAGAATTACTTGAGCCCGGGAGGCGGAGGTTGCAGTGAGCAGAGATCCAGAGATCGCGCCATTGCACTCCAGCCTGGGCAGCAGAGTGAGATGCCGTCCCAAAAAGAAAAAAAAAAAAAAAAGATTAAATTACTGACACACATCATCCCTAATTAAGAATTTGTGGATCAAATGTTTTTTGGCCAACCATGACTGAGTGGAGTACTGTGGGGGCATTGCAAAAGTGCTTATATAATATAAGCAAAGAACATTGGTGGTAGCCGAGACATTGGAAATCCTTAGGTCGTGCTCTGTGTTTCACAGGTGAGGATAATGAAGCCAAGAAGGGTTGAATGACCTATTCAAGATCAGAAGGCCAAAAATAAAACCCAGGCTCCCAACTCCCTAATCCTATCAAATTATCACCTCACAGGTTTTTTCCTGATCAAAAATATCACAAAAATCTATGAAAATAACCAAAGCAAAAGTGAATTAAGGAAATGGCATTGTCTGAATGAGATCCTTGAAGATTGTGTCCACGTCTATTCATTTTTAATTCCTTAGTATGTAACACAGTGCCTTGTGCATATTAGGAAGTCAATAAACTTTTCTTTAAAGCACTACTTTTGCTTTTAGTAGAAAAGTAACATTCTTTAAAAATATCTCATGCTGCCATGAGCATTTAGTGTTTATGGTGCTATGACTCAGAATATTTTCTTTGTAATTAGTTATGATTAAAATTGCCAAGGATAGAAAAACATTCATTTGTTGTCTGCCAGTATTAGAAAAGCAAATTTCTTTGGACCTTTGTTAAGCCTGGATTGGTTTTGGGTTATATGGCTTCTCACCAAGATATGGTAGAACCTGATTCTTTCCAGATTTTGTATTGAGTAACAACGTGGGTTTTGGCTTACCTACATGTAGACTGGTTTTTGTTGCCAAATTTTTTTTTTCTATCATTAAAGGTATTCTCTTGTTTCTTTCACACACACACACACACACACACACACACACACACACACAGTCATAAGACTATAATTTAGGATTGTATCATGTACATCCCACCCAGTGAGACTTTGGAGAAAAAACATTAAGACACCCATGATCAGAGGATTCCCTTTCTTGCTGCAGAAACACAGGGACCTCACCAAATACATTTTTGAGTAACAGGAGAAAGACTCGGTGAAGTCTCATTCCAGTGTTGTATTCATCTCAAATCTACAGCTTATGGCTTTTAGTGGGTTTTTTTTCTCAGTATACATTTCACAACTTTTAATTTTTAAGGGTTTTTGACACTTCCATCTGCCAAAATTTCAGAGATGTAATAAACACAATTTTGTGTGAATTGGAAAAACCATCAACTATAATTGAAGCCTTTGTCATGTATTTTGATGACTCGATGCAATTATAAACCCATACAAATTGAAGGTAAATTTAATTTCAGAGATCCTAGACCAAGGTATGAGTTTCTTAGACTTATTCAGAATTCTAAGCCAATGACAGCCACTTTACAAGAGAACTATGCCAGAGATAGGGACATTTTGTACTGTCTTTTGAACAACCTCATGAACTTTCACTGTTTATACATTGGACAAAAGTTAAGGATCATATCCCCTTTTGACTAAGAAATAACAAAAATGCATAGCTTATGGTTTTGTTCTTTTGTATGTGTGCATGAGTATTTTGGAATTAATGGTAGTGGCCATCATATAACCATATGCAGGTAGGCTTGGCAAGTTTTCAAAGTGTTCACTGATAGAAAATGCATATCTTACTCATCATATAGGAAGCAATTAACAATGAAAGAATATGTGTACTGCCAAGAAAGCATTTGAGTAAAGGAATGGACTGTCAGGAATATAATAGTTCCCGTTCAGGTGAAAGTGATATGAGAGTCTATGTTCCTTGCGGCTTAGCAAGTTTACTGAAATATAAAGAGTGGTAGGATTGTACATAGGATTAGACATTTCTATTTTAATAACACATGAATGGGCCAAATAAAAAAGGAAAACTTAGAAATGAAGTAAGTGATTGACAATAATCAAGAAACAATATTATAGATAAAATAAAACAAGTATTTAGCATTTGCAAAGTACTTTCATGCATATTAATTCTTTGATCCTTGTAACAACCTAGTGAGGGATGTGTGGCAGATCTTGTCATCATCCCTGTTTTACCACTGAAACTTGCAAAAGGTTGCACATCTTTTTATAGCAGAGCTAGAAATAGAACAAGCTCTTCTGATGACACATCCTATGATACTGCCTTTGTGTGTTTTCCAAGAACTATCCCTTATGTATATGTAACTGATGATGGTTACAATATGGCTGCAGCTGTGATTAAAAATCTCTCCTTACCAAAGGCTAGTTTCTGACTCGGTCTTTTCCTGATCACTTCCTCTTTGCTGGTTTTTTTCTTTTATTGCATGTCCTCACAAACTTCATCAGAATAATGCCAAAAACAGTGTGTTCATCTTTCCATCCATCCTTCCTTCCTTCCATCTGCCCATCCAATCAATAAACTAATTTGTGTATACAGTGTATTCACCTATATTCCCATTATTCATGGCCATGCTGTACATCTTCTTTCCCCAAACACTCAACCTGTGTATTTCTGACAGCGGGAAGTGACTGGGCAGGGTGACA
The DNA here is from genome assembly GCF_000001405.40 of Homo sapiens. Taxonomy (NCBI): domain Eukaryota; kingdom Metazoa; phylum Chordata; class Mammalia; order Primates; family Hominidae; genus Homo; species Homo sapiens. Next base: position 107,622,752 of record NC_000001.11, on the reverse strand, counting down.
GTCGCTCTGACCATTACCCATGTGTGATAAATTGCTTAGTAATCTCCACAGCACCATCGTGCATACATTGAGAGTGTTTAGGGCATTGTAACTTGGGAGAATTTCCAATCGTTCATAAATAACCATTAATCTGTCCCTTTTACATTCAGCTTTCCACATCTGTTTCAAATTGTTCAGTGCTATTCCAGGAGTGCATTAAGGCTCCAATCCAGGTAGTATTAAGGGGATAAATGAGCCACAGGGAAGAGACACTGTATTTTTCTCAAAGCAGTTCTTTCTCCTTTTTACAGAGTTAGGAGCCAAGCAATTTATGATTAAGATTTTCAGAAGATATGTTTTGTCATTTTAAGCCATCCTTGTCTGTGGGTTTAAAAATGAGGTTTTAGCTCTAGCATCCTGGCATACCTTAATGTATTTCTCTGTACAGGTAGATTGTGAATATCATTTCTACCAGCAAACCTGAAGTAGTTTTAATTCATTATGATTCAGTGTGGATTCTTATTGAAGAAAAATGAAGAATAGTTAAAACCTAAGGTCAGTTAGAAATAAATAAGTGCCAGAGTATGCATTTATGTTTGTGATGTTCGGGAATGTCAGAAGAAGTTGTCAATAATTTTAGTTTGATACATTTTCTACAGGAAAAAAATTGCTTTTCAGGAAAAAGGCATTGTTATTTTATGAATTATAATTTAATATTATGTTGCTTTATGTCTGCTCCAGATAATTGAATGAAAATTATACAGGTGCATTTTTTTCTTACCATATAGTACCCATAAGATATTTTCTCATGTGCTTTCCAAAGAATGTATTTTCATAAGAATGACCCAACCTGTACTGTTAGATTTACAAAAGTCTCATCACATAGTACAGAGATGCCCTGCAGAATAAATGCATATAAAGATAGCACCGTATGGTATATCAGATGACACCTAAGTATGAGAGAGGAATGTTTTCAAGTTGACCTTGAAGATGTTCAGGGACTTACAGAACAAATACGAGGCAGGAGGATAACTAAAAGATGATTCCCTATCTTTGGCATTTGTAATACTCATAAAAGGGATGACAAGCTGATTATCTGACCCAGAATAAAATGCCCACAGAGTAATGTAAAGAAGAAGGAAATTCAGTTGCATGTCTCTCACCAAGGTTAGTAAAAACCTCATATCATCACATAAAGTGCACTAAATCATTGGATTTGAGGTTGGTCTATGTCATAGTTACAGTCTGCAATTTCATCCATGCATAGGGGATTGACAGCTGCTCCACCCATTAGTATTAATGAATTACCAACGTACATCCCACACACATCCACCAAGAAACCAAAGAAAGCCCTCCTACACACTACTTTGTTTTGAATTCTCCAAATGTTGTAGGATAGCTATCTTTTTAATAAGTAGAAGTTATTATATAGCTAAAGCTGATAAGACTAGGAATTAGTAAGTAATTGTAACTTTATTCATACGTTAAAATAGGTTAAATTATCTCTCACCTCTCTGTCATCTACAGAATGCCTATGACCATTTAAGAAATGGGACCTGAACTGCTAGGGCATTTTATTAAGGAAAAAACAATTCAGAATGACATTGGCAGCCTGTTTAGTGAAATTTTTTCCCTCCTGAAGGACCTCCAAGAGTGTCCTTTAAAAGAGGTAAAAAAAAAAAAATGAGTTTTGATATGATGACCATGTGTACTTGTTTACCCAGAACAGTTCAGTTTATACCATTTGTTCTGGCATAGTTATTAGTCACTACCCATTTACTCTCAAAAGGTCCTGATTTGAATGGAAAATTATATGTTCATCTAGTTTTAGAGCATTTCTTATACAACCACGGTCTCTTCCTCTACCCCTCTAGTATGATTTCAGTTCCCATTTATGTCTTTTGTGTGGAACACCTGTTTCTACAAAGGAAGAAAGAAACAACTATGCCAGTCCATACACTTTCATCAGCTAAAAAATTCATCTCTTTTTCCTACTCTTTTATTCTTTGGGTTCTCATCCTCTTTTCTCTGCTTTGTGACATTGCACTCCCCAACGCTGTCCTTATAGAATATGTCAGGGACAGGTCAAAGAATGTCACTATATGAATATTTTCCTATAGAAACAGTCAGCTTAATCCTTGTCAGTGCTTGTCTGTGTGAACAAAAAAAAAGTGACATATAGTCATGAGTTACTTAATGACAGTGATACATACTAATAAATGCATCATTGTGTAAATGTTATGGAGTGTAGTTATACAAACCTAGATAGTGTAGCCTACTACACACCTAGGCTACGTGTATAGCCTCTTGCTGCCAGGCTACAAACCTGTATCGCATGTTACTGCACTGAATATTGTAGGTAGTTATAACATTTGTGTATCTAAACATAGAAAAAGTACAGTAAAAGTATGGTATTATAATCTTATGGGAGCACCATCATTATAAAGTTAGTCATTGACTGACATGTCATCATGTGGCACATAGCTTTATTTTATTCTTTTTAATGAAGAGGAATTTAGGGCCATGCTCCTCATTGACAGGGAACTATCAGATTGAGTTATATCTCCCCTTAGAAACATTTATTAAGGGCCCACTCTGTGTCTGACATCTTGTTATACAAAAATGACTGAGAGATTATCCCTTATGCCAAGGAACTCACAGTCTATTAATAGAGAAGACCATGTTGAACAATAATTACATATACTACTAGGAGTGAATACTACTAAAGCACTACTACTTCATGTATCACCAAGGGTATGGAAAGGTGTGCATGGGATTCAATCTGGGATCTGCTCCTTGGGGAAGAGATGACAGAGTAGGTAATGTGTGAACTGAGTTTTGGAGGAGGAACAGAATGAAGGTATCAATTTACATGAGGGGCTCTGCATCAGGTTTGCTCTGAGAAAGTAGATAGCATTACATTGGCCAACATACACTGTCACAAAATGTCACTTATTCTCCTGTACACTGCATTCTATAGATTAAAGCCTTTTGTTGTTGTTCTGAAGAAGAGTGGAAGTTGACAGTTTACTATTTATAATAGCCATAATTTTCCAATTTGTTGATACACCTTCAAATACACTTTGGAAAGACCATTACAGAGCTCTCTCTTTGGCCTTTCCTCGCAAAATAGACTTATTTCCTTTATGTACTCTCAAAGGTCTTGTTTGTTTTTTAAAGCATTCTTATTCTTTTCTCTTCTGAGCTTAATCAGTGTATGGTTCCTACCACACTCCTTTATATTTTGCACTCAGGTAGCATTGTAGTGTGTTTATATATAAAGGTCTGGCTAGTGGTATAGTCCCAAATACCATACTTATTTACTTGTATCTCACTGCCTGCTGAAAACAAACCATTATAGAGCACTTGATAAACACAGCTGAATGAAACAAACAGTTCACCCAACCTTGTAGTTACTGCTACCATCCCTCCCAGGTCTCTGATTCCTCTCTCTCCTGATCGTTTCTTTCTGCCTTGTTGTTTCACTAGTTTCTGTAAATTCTGTCTTCTATCTTCTCTCTACATTTTTTCCAAGTGATGCAGCCTTGCTCCAATTTTCAGATTCCTCTCTAAGTCATCTAAGTCTGTGTTGTATGGATGGATTCTCTAGTCACCTCCTACCTCCATTCTTCATACTTTTCCCAGTCTTTAACTCAGAAACAGATCATCTTCTCTTCCCATATCTAATCCACTGGCCAGTTCAGCAGACTTAGTTAAATAGTGTCTTCAGCATGTGTTTCTCTCCCTCCAATTCCTTTCCTTACCATGGGATCAGTTTCCTTGTGATATTCTCAACTCCGAAAGTGAGACCCATCTAGGAGCCATATTCCACATTGGTGCAAGTTTAAGTCTTCTAAAACATACAACACCTTTAAAGAAATGCCATCACCAATGACAGAATTCAGCTATCACTGTCAAATTGTTTCCTAACTACTTTTTATATTTAAGTCCCACTGTCTTTCTTCATGAGTCTCTATTATGCTTGTACAGAGAGGCAGTGCAGAGCCCTGAAGTTAGAACATCTGAGTTTGATTTATGGCTCTGTACTTGTTAGCTCTGTGACCATGGGCAGATTATTTACTTTCTCTGTGTCTCATTTTCCTCATCTGTAATGTGGGGATAGTAATTGGACCTACCATAAAGGATCATAGCAAGGATTAAATAAAACACTCAGAGCAGTGTCTAGCACATATTAAGGATTCAATAAGTATTAGTATTTTTGCAGTTTAATGATAAAAACCACAATTACTTTTGCACCAACCTAATAGAGTCCTATTCTCCAAAATCTTACGGTCTTCTTCTGTTAATAAGTATCCTATTTCTTTTTCTTAAATCTGAAAATCATCCAAAACTTACATTTCACTGTTTTCTATTTTCACATCTTGAAATCTCATCTTGCTAGAAAGACATTCTCATGTCTTCTCTTAGACCGGTAGTATCCATTTATATGGAATTCATAATTATATGCCTTCACAAAATTCATATGATCTGCTTATGCCAATGAATATAAAGGTGAAAGATAGAAACTGCTGTTATCTCTCTATCGTAGGTGTCCCCAACCCCCAGACTGTGGCCTGTTAGGAACTGGGCCACACAGCAGGAGGTGAGCTGCCAATGAGCAAGCGTTACTACCTGAGTTCCCCCTCCTGTCAAATCAGTGGCGGCATTAGATTCTCATAGGAGCGCAGACTTGACTGTGAACTGCGCATGTGAGGGATCTAGGTTGCACTTCCTTTATGAGAGTCTAATGCCTGAGGTGGAACAGTTTCCTCCCGAAACCACCTGCCACGCCCCCAGCACCCACCTCACCTCACCCCACATCCCTGGGGCCAAAAACGTTGGTGTCCACTGTGCTATAGGATTGAGAGATATAAAGCTAACAAAATTGAAGGGTAGATTGAAAAATAAACTTGAATTATTTTATGATCATGACCTGAAACCACATGTAAAGTTGAACAACCAAGAAAACTATCTCTGCTTTTGCTTCCTTTTCTGATCCACAGTAAGTTAATGCTCAGGACTGGATATAACACATAAGGAATTCTAAGGATCCTAAGTAACAGTGCTATGTATGGGGCATCATGGGGTTATCATTTGTGGTAAATTTGTTCTCAACACTGGCATTTTTTTTTTTTCCTTAGGGCAGAAATTTAGCATCTGGAGAGGTTGGATTTTTTCCAAGTGATGCAGTCAAGCCTTGCCCATGTGTAAGTATTAGTATCTTAATTTTCTCTTGCTTCATTTTGTTTTTGATCCTGTGATTAATTGTGCAAAAATCTACAAAGGATACTGGCCAGGTCAGTTATTAATTTTATTAATATTTTCTGGAAGAATCATTATTTTCAACATCATTATAGTTCTATTGTCAGAATATGTTTTTTAATATTAAGAAAATATATAGAAGAGGCAAATTTTACTTAGTAGAATTTATATAACTAAGTAGTCTAAAAGGTTTTAGAAGAAATAAACCACAGCTACAAATTAGACGCATTGTACAGGTTTCCCCTTTCCCACTGAACTGAGAATGGTACGGTCTGCCTCCAGTCACTTGGGTTACAGGGCGATATTACACTTCAGCTGATGTCTTTGAAAGCTTGCTAGAAAATGAAAAGTCCACAAATTTTTCAATCAAATGTCTAAATATATTTTCTATACTTTAGTGTGACATTACTTTTTATATAATGTCATAATGGAATTTTCTGAAAATATAAAACACAGATAAAAGGAGAATAAATGAACATTTCCTCAATTAATATTACAGGTGAATGTAACCTAAAATGTACTCCCTGGTGTGTTATGATACTGATAAACTTCTGTTTAGGGTAACATGATTTTAGTATCATAATATGGTATTATGGGTGACGTTTTCCACACAACTTTTTAATTTATTGACTCCAAAGTAAATGAAATTTCTTTACTAATACGATGGAGATGATTGCCTGAAGGGGAAAAACTCTCCTTAATCTATCGTGCTTGCTATATTTCAGTAGTTACTGAATTTCCAAACTGGACATTCTTTTTACTGTTAGAAACATGAGAATCTGCCATCCTTGGCTCTAGAATGTGCCCTATAGGATAATTTACTCCACTCATTCAAGCTTAATTACTTTCAAAATCAAAGAGAATAGAAAAGCGTCTGTTACTCTGTTGGTTTTGTGATCTAATATCACATTTGTTTAACTTTTATTTTAGGTTTAGGGGTACATGTGCAGGTTTATTATTTGGGTAAATTGCATGTCATGGGGGTTTGGTGTACAGATTATTGTGTCACTCAGTTTCTAAGCATAGTACCTGATAGGTAGTGTTTAGATCCTCACCCTCCTCCCACCTTCCACCCTCAAGGAGGCCCCTGGAATCTGTTGTTCCCTTCTCATGTCCATGTATACTCAATTTTAACTTTCACTTATAAATGAGAACATTGTTACTTGCTTTTCCGTTCCTGTGTTAGTTCACTCATGATAATGGCCTCCAGCTCCACCCATGCTGCTGCAAAGGGCATGATCTTGTTTCTTTTTATGGCTGTATAGTATTCCATGGTGTATATGTACCATATTTTCTTTATCCTGAAACATATGGGCATTTAGATTGATTCCATGTTTGTGAATATTGCTGGGATGAACATAAGCATGCATACCTTTATTTGTAGAACAATTTATATTTCTTTGGGTATATACCCAGTAATGGGATTGCTGGCTCAAAAGGTAATTCTGCTTTAAGTTCCTTGAGAAATTGTCACACTGCTTTCCACAAAGGCTGAATTACTTTACATTCCCACCAGCAGTGTATAAGCATTCCCTTTTCTCTGCAACCTTGTCAGCATCTGTTATTTTTTTACTTTTTAATAAAAGCCATTCTTACTGATGTGACATGGTATCTCATTGTGGTTTCAATTTGTATTTCTTTAATGATTAGTAAAATTGAGCATTTTTTCAAATTTTTTTTGGCCAATTATATGTATGTCTTCTTTCCAAAAGTGTCTGTTCATGTTATTTGCCCACTTTTTAATGGAGTTGTTTTTTGGCTTGTTAATTTATTTACATTTTTTATAGATGCTGGATATTAGACCTTTGTCAGATGCATAGTTTACAAATATTGTCTCCCATTCTCTATGTTGCCTGTTTACTCTCTTGATAGTTTCTTTTGCTGTGCAGAAGCCCTTTAGTTTAATTAGGTCCCATTTGTCAATTTTTGTTTTGTTGCAGTTGCTTTTGGCATCTTAGTCATTAAATCTTTGCTGGGTCCTATGTCAAGAATGGTATTTCCTAGGTTATCCTTCAGGGGTTTTATAGCTTTAGGATTTACATTTGTCTTCAATCCATCTCGAGCTGATTTTTGTATATCATATAAGGAAGGGGTTCACCTTCAGTCCTGCATATGGCTAGCCAGTTATCCCAGCATCATTTATCAAATGTTTAGCTGCCACTTACAAGTGAGAACGTGTTATTTGCTTTTCCTTTCCTGTGTTAATTCACGTATGATAATGGCCTGCAGCTCCATCCATGTTGCTGCAAAGGACATAATCTTGTTTCTCCCCTTTACTGAACAGGGAATCTTATCCCCATTGCCTGTTTTTGTCAGCTTTGTCAAAGATCAGATGGTTAGGTGTGTGGCATTATTTCTGGGCTCTTTATTCTGTTTCATTGGTCTATAATGTTACATATTTTTTGTCTTATATTACATTACAGTCTTGAAAGATTATTGAAGTTTGATACCACTCTTATTTAATTAGATAAGCTAAAATGATTCTCTATCTAGTTTTTGGACTTTGTATGAACAAGATTCAGGCTTCCTATCTGTAAAGTAGTGATGTATATCTGTAGGCAGGTGGCAGGATATTATACATTCTAACATTAAGAAGTTTGGGAACCTAAAGACATCAAATCAAGAATATTAAGCATTGAATGTACCATGTACTGTTTTCTGTTTACATCCTCTTGAATAAGGCATAAAGATGAGCACTTGAAGTTTTGTTTTAGGGATAGTCTCGCACAAAGTAGGCATTTAATAAATTACTGTTGAATGAATGAACAAAGGAGTGAAAAAGCAAATGCAAGTCCCTAGCTGTATATAGAACATTAGCAATGGTAGATACTAATTAAATCAGCCTGTAGAATCATATTGAATGATATTTGCTGACCCAAGAAGTGGCTAGAAGGAGAAATATGTTCAGAAATTTTAAGATGACAGAGAAGTAGAGTAACTTATAATTGTAAGCAAGACTACTAAATATGGTTGTTTTATATTAGTAGCTACTTTAAATTTTACTGCTTAATGAAATTATAGATTTTTTTTTTAATTATAGGGCAAGTTAAGTGAAGATAAATAGAGGGGAATTTGAAGAGGAGGGGATAGATTGAGGGAGTTTAGAAAATGGTATTGCTTTTGATTCTGGGATATATTGTTTATCGGGGTCCATGAGTAGTGCTGAATGTTCTATTCTGGGCTTAAAATTTATTTTCCTGCATTTGCTACATCCATCTCCTCAAAAATTCTGATATAGGCAGGTAGAAACCAAGAACTGAGGAAAACACAGGCGGTTCATAAATGGGTCAACTTCATTTCTAGCAATATGGCAACTAGAGACAAAGCCTGGAACTGCAGCACAATGCAAACTTGGGTATATCCCCGATTCCAGGAGCTCTTGGTGGATGAACTAGGAGAAAACCCATCCCACTGATGATGATATGCCTACTTTGGTATTGGTTCAGGATTGGAAAGAAAAAAGGAAAGCAGTATCCCCTGAGAATTTCTAATCTTAAATCCAAAACCATCCAGATGAAGGGCTGGAATTCATACCAGCTCTACTACCTAAATAATTCTAAGCTAGAAGTGTAGTTTAAAATTATTCCAGATTATTCCACTGCACTCCAGTCTGGGTGACAGAGCGAGACTCCGTCTCAAATAAAAAATAAAAATTAAAAAAATTATTCCACATTGATTATTCTCCCAATGAAAATTCAAATGCTGTCTGGATTGGAGCCTCTTTGCACACATTCCTCAAAGGATTTTTAACATAAAGTCCTAGGCAACATACACTCACAATTTGAAATCATTAAATCAATCCAGAAACAAACCACCTTATGCCAAGATCAGCAGAAACAATAAAATATATAATTAAATCCACAAATATAGCAGATATTTGAATTTTAGATACTAAATTCAAAATTTTATACTTAACATGGTTTAAGAAATTAAAGGGAACAAAAATCTAAGAGGAAAGGAAGACACTAATTGGGTATATATGAAAATGATTCAGGTATAGTAATTGAAATAAAAGCCTTAATGGACATATTACATGGCATATCAGACACAGTTGTGTAGGAAATTGAGGAGAAATCTGAAGAAATTGCTCAAGGAGCAGTTAAGAGAGATTAAGAAGTTAAAAATAAAACAGAAAATGGAGTGATGAGATACAAATACATTTAATAGAAGGAGAGAATAGAGATAATTGTAGAAAAGCAATATTCAAATAAACAATGCCTGAGAACTTTCCAGATTCTATAATAAAACTAATCTTCAGAGTCAAGAAGCATATATTAAAATTAATCAACACCTGGATGCATTGTAATGAAACCAGAAGACATTAAAGACAAATATTAAAACTGAGAGAAAAGACAGATTATCTATAAAAGGTTGATTATTAGACCCAGCTAACAACAGAAATAATAGAAGCAACAAGAGTTTCCACTTCTGGTAACTGTTGAATAGCTCCTATTGGACCAATACTCCCACACATAACTATAACTTGTGGACAAAATATCAAAACAAAACTATCTGAAGGCACTGCCCAGGAGAAGATTGACACTTGGAAAAAGGAATGGCACTAGGATGAGTTTCTTTGTTTTATGGCTAGCTCAAAGGCAGGCACTGGATTGTACCATGCAGGGTAGCTAAAATTCAGATAGAAACCTTATGGTATTTCTGGCTTAAAGAACCAGATTATGGAGTGAGTTTAAAGCAGTCTCAGCAGCTGGAAAAGGAGGTAGGAAGTCTTAAAAAGAGTCAGAGAGAGGAAACCTCAAATTCTGTGTATAAACTTTAAGGAAAGCCAGGTTCTTTTTTGGAACATAAGAAAATACAGAGCCTCTACAGTTTATCATTCATTCAAATTGTCCAAGATACAATATAAAATTACTCAGTATGCAAAGGAGCAGGAAAATGTGAACCATACTTAACAGAAAAGAGAATGAAGGGAGATCAACCCTGTGATTTCCTGTTTGATGACTTAGGAAAAGATTTTAAAAGCAGCTGTTATCATGGTGCTCAAGGACACAAAGGAAAACATGTTCATAATGAATGAACAGAAAACCTCAAAAGAGAAATAGGAACTACAAAAGAACCAAGTAGAGATTGTACAGTGTGAAACTACAATGTCTGAATTAATATCTGAAACAATAAGAATATGTTAAAAGTTGTGAGAGAAAATTACTATCCTCTTAGAAATTTCTCAAAAAAAGGATGAAATCGTGATAGTTTATTCAAACAAACACAAACTTCACTTCTAAGTGTGCCATCTAGCTTCATAAGGTATACTTCAGGAAGAAGCACACATAAATAGACACATATATATTTATTTATATATATATATATAGACCAATATAAATATTTCTGTATGTATGTGTGTGTGTGTATATATATATATATAATTTTGTACGGATACTATATTCTCAATAAAATGTTTTTTAAAAACTACATGTTCATAGCAGAAGTTTTGCAGTGTTAATGGACTATGGTGCTGGGAGAAAATGGCATTAGAGAAAAATAGTAACCATATACTCAAAGATGAAAAAGTTCCCAAAAGGAAATTAACTGTAATCTTAAATATGAAGTACTTGCCAGACAAGGACCCATAGTACACAGAAGAAAGTGCAGAGGGCCTATGACTGATGGAAAAGGATAGGACCCCACCTGAGTAATATGGATCATGGCTGGGAAGGTAGTCCTGGATCTTCACATGTCAGAATGCACCCACTGAAGAGAGAAAAGCTCTAGTGGGACACCAGGGTGGAACAGCCTCAGTTACCTGTTCTGTTTTAGAATCTTCTGTCACTGTTTCCTTTTTTGGATCTCCAGCCTTTTTAACAGCCAAAGGAGTCCACAGCCAGAATATTTTGAAATTCTTTACTCTCCTCCTTCCTGTCTCCTTTTTTTTGTTTGTTTGTTTGTTTTTTTTTTTTGGTTCTCTATGGAAAGCTTGGTTTAAGAATAAATATATACATTATACTTTTAAAGAACACAGGGAGAGGGAAAGAGGAAATATTTTTCGCATCACATTTCAGAAGCCATGTATATCTTGTCATCAAAGGGTGAACTATTGAAGATCAGTTTATTTGTGAAAGCAAAGTTATGTAAGAAACTATTTGAATGATTAGAATGGGTATAATTTACCTTCAACATTAATTGCTGTTTATTAGGATTTTACAAAGTTGTGATTTTAAAAATGTAATCCATAGGATAAAAATATTTGAATATTAATAATCAAAGAAATGTTCTGACTAGAAAGATGATTTTTGATACAGTTTGAGTATTCCTCATTTGAAAATCTGACATCTGAAATGCTCTAAAGTCCAAACTTTTTAAGCACTGACATGATGCTCAAAGGAAATGCTCATTGGAGCACATACGATTTTAGATTTTTGGATTAGGGATGTGGAATGTAATTCAAATATTCTAATTTTTTTAAATCCAAAATGTGAAACATCTCTAGTCCCAAGGATTGCAGATAAGGGATGCTCAACCTGTAGATAACTCTTAACCTGGAAGGGCAAAATAGTAACAGCACATTATGAAGACCAGCATGGCTAGAGACATGTTCACATTGGCTAGTTCTCTGAAATACTATAGTTTTTACTGTTCCAAATGAGGGAACAGTATTTTCAATCACCAAATATAAAAATCCCATTAATAGCATGGAATGCATATATCAGATATTTGGACATGAGACAAACTATCTGTACTCCTATTCGTAGGAATTTTTAAAGTAACCCTCTCTATAGAATGTACTTTATTTCTTATTTTTAACATTAATATACCTGCTTTGTCTTTGTTCATTTTCTATTTGACCATTAGCAGCTACAAGTTTTCTTTCTTTGTTTGAATAGCAAATGCAATATTTTTCCTTGTGCGAAGCTCTATGTGAAACAAATGGAAAAATAAGTATTTTCCATGCCTTTTTTCTGAATAAAAGGTTCTTAGTTGGTAGATTTTTAAATCAGAATTTGGAATTTATTACAAAATAAGAGTCTATATCCAGTGTATATTGTTTATTTTGCATGTTTTCCCAATGTCTTGGAAAAGTAAAGAGCTATTTGGTTTTCTTAATAATGTTTTCACTTTAATTTTCTTTGATAAGATTAAATTGCCTTGATAATAAATAATAAAATATTAAAAATATTAAATACCCACATCCAGTGTATATTTTTTATTTTGCATGTTTTTCCAAGGTCTTGGAAAAGTAAAGTGCTATTCGGTTTTCTTAATAACGTTTTCACTTTAGTTTTCTTTGGTAGGATTAAATTGCCTTGATAATAAATATTAAAAGTTTCCAGTTCATATTCGCCTGCTATCTCTCCTCTTAGAGTTACAGTGGCAGTAAAATGAATGAAAGAATGAATTAAAGTGAAATGAATTATTTTCTACTTATCTGACAGATACTATGATTCACTCTGTATAAAATTACCAATGGATAGTTCCAGGACTGTGCCACTTAGGGTTTTATAGAGCTGAGTCAGCTGAACTGAATTAATGATTGATTTCTAAAAGCTTCCCTTATGTAAACTTAATCTGTTTTTGCTTTTTTATATCCTAGGTGCCCAAACCAGTAGATTATTCTTGCCAACCCTGGTAAGTATTAAAAATGTTTATGTAGCTAGGTTGAAATACCATACCCTTAGCTCCAGGATGCCTTAAATGTGGGGGTAGTAAACCATATTCCATTTCCATTTGTCTCGGCTAAAGGTGTTTTCAGATGTAACAAAACACCATAATGAATTCATGTATTGCTGACCTTTCCATATCTTTATCTGCGAGGGGGGTGTGTGTGCATGCGAGTGCCCAGTGCCCTAGACTGATAATTTAAAGTTTATACCAGCCACAGAAAGGAATGGAACATACGCATATGTATCTTATATTTTACAGATTTAATAAAGCAGAGAGAAAAATATGCTTTCATTGTCTAAAAACTAAAAATTAGCTCAAAAAGGACAGTAGTAGTTTTTTTTTTTATTTTTTATAGTTTTAGAGATGGGGTCTTGCTCTGTCACCCAGGATGGAGTGCAGCGATGCCATCATAACCCATTGCAGCCTTGAACTCCTGGGCTGAAGTGATCCTCCAAAGTGCTGGGATTACAGGTGTGAGCCACTGCTTCTGGTTGACACTAGTAGCTTCTAAAAATAAAATTTACAACATATGAGAGCAACAAAATATAAGGATGGGGCACCCTTACCACTTGGAGGCTGAAAGTATCATTAACAAAACCTAGGAAGTGTAATGGATAGTAATTATTATTTTCTAGATATCTCCAACTATTAAAAAATATATTTAGGATTTAGTATAGTCATGATGTCATAATAACTAATATATACTGAGTATTTACTATATGTGCTTTGTACTGTACATGTTTTGTTTTATTTCTTCAACATTTATATAAGAAAAGTGGTGGTGACTGTTGTTATTTTTTATGGGTGAAGAAACAAAGAAACAGAGCATGCAACTAGTGAGTGGTAAAGCCAGAATTCCAAGTTATGCCATCTGTACATTGCTATACTGCCCCCAAAATGCAGAATGTGAACACATTACTCATTTCTATTTGTTTTCCTGAATTTTGTGTTTGACTTCTCTTAAAAAGACTGAATCTATTTTTAATTTATTGGTATTAAAATACATGCATAGAAATGAGATATCAGAATACATATATAAATATAATATCCTGGGAATATATAGTACTAGTTGGGTTTGCATGTTACCATGTGAGTTATCTGATATTTTTTACATGTTCTGATTATTTTCTGTTCTATAACAAAAGCATGGAAAATGCTGAGTTACTTTTCAAAGTGTAGGAATCCACTGTGCAATGTATGGGACTCTCCTCGGGCCCTCCTCCACCTTCCCTCCTCTGGCAGTCACTCTGCCTTCTGTAGTTACTGTCTACCCTTCCTGATATCCCTCCCTGGGCCTCAGCACTGAGCTTGCTGAAGAAATTGTGGCAGGTTTGTGATAGAACTGGGAATGTGCTTCATTTTTACCTGATTGAAGACAATTTGAAGTCATTAGTGTCTGTGGAATTTTAAACTATAGTCCTGAAAGAAATTTAATTTGAGGTCTAGAGCTGATAGCATTGATAATCAAACTGAAAAACATCAGGAACTGTTAAAAATCTTGAAAGTGTGATGATTAGGTTTCTTCTCTTATACCATTTTTCATGTAACTGGGCATTATAGTTACAAAGGTAATGATTTGAGAGATAAAATGCTAATACCTCAAACTGCATGGATTTTATGAAATAAACTTATTAGGTACCTAAGAACCATTCAGGGCACCCGAAGGTAGGTTTTGTACCCTTAGTTTTAAAATGCACCCTTGCCAATATGTAAAATCCTACTGAAAATATGACCAGTTAGAATAATATTATTCTTATAAAAGCAAGATGTTCAGGCAAAGGGAGAGCCTTGAAAATAGGAAGAAATAAAGATGTAGTAGAATTTTAAATTACTTTTCTTTTTTTCTTGAGCAACCTGGACAATCTATTTAAACTAAGCAGGCAGTTTGATGTGAAATGTCTTCTGCTAGGGAACAAAATGATCAACTCCCCCAGAAAATAGAACCTTCAATTTTAGAAATACTAAACTATTTAGAGAAAATTACTTTGCTTGATGGCATGGTAGTTCTCAAGTCACTGAGAAGTTAAGTATCACCAACTATATTATCTACTCATTATTTCTACATTTAAAAGTAAGTTGTTTGCACAAGGTAAATTTTGTCTCTTGCATACAGAATGAAATAAAATAGAAAATTAAGATGATTGTCTTCAATAATCTATGTTTCGGGGTATCAAAAGATAGGAATGAGATTTGGGACTGCAAACTGGGGAACTATCCTAAAATCTGTATGCAGAACAAGAGATAGATGTCAGGGTCCCTGCCTTTTCCCATGGTAGTCCGGACAAATTGCCCTTTCCTGCAGTGGCAGGAGACACTGGAGTTAGAAGGTATATTATGTGGAAAAGGTGAACCATGTAGGGCCTAGATTTGGAAAGATCAAGCCTAGCAGAGACTGGGGAGATGCCATAGTGAAAACAGAGGGCTCTGTATACTGAGTGATGATGCTCTCCAGTTCTCTTGTGTAGCTCAGTTTCAGCACTGTGACAGCTGGGTCCCATATACACATACTACCCTGTCTTGGTATTCAGACAGGAATTTGGAAGATTTTTGGCCAAAGAAACGAAATAGAGTTAAAAATCTAAAATCCAGACCTTTGGGTGTTTCCCAGCTCAGTCTTCAGGTTCTTGTCAAATGATCAGACTCAGCTGGGCGTGTTGACTCGTGCCTGTAATCCCTGCACTTTGGGAGGCCGAAGTGGGCGGATCATGAGGTCAGGAGTTCAAGACCAGCCTGGAACATAGTGAAACCCCATCTCTACTAAAAATACAAAAAATTAGCTGGGCGTGGTTGTGGGTGCCTGTAATCCTAGCTACTCGGGAGGCTGAGGCAGGAGAATCACTTGAACCCTGGAGGTGGAGGTTGCAGGCAGCCGAGATCACACCACTGCACACCAGCCCGGGTGACAGTGTGAGATTTCATCTTAAAAAAAAAAAAAAGATCAGACTCCTACCCAGTGGACCTATTTTGGTGCTCACACACACAGAGTTTCCAGTCAATTGTGGATGCATCCTTCTTAAGTAACAAACAACAAAGAGTAACCATACATTTGAGGAAACCCTTGAACTAAAAAAAAAAAAAAAAAAAAAAAAAAGAAGAAACCATTGGAGTGAGCAGACACCTTAAAAAAACTTTTATTTACATCTTCAAAATTAAGAGAAAACTTAAGTTCATTGGAAGTAAGCTCAATGTTTTAGAAAACAGTCAAAATAAAAAGGAGCTCTTATAAGTTAAATATTATAGAAGACTTGGGAAATAAAGTTTAGCAAATCTTCCAAAAAGTCAGAGATGGATAATATGAGAGAAGCTATATGGAAGCTAGACTGTTGACCCAGGGGATACAGCATTCAAGTAGCAGGAATTCCAGAAAGAGAAAACCAAGGGCAGCAATTATCAAAGAAATGATACAGAAATTTCTCAGAACCGAAGGACATGTGGCTCCAAATTGAAGATACTTCTGAAAGGCAAGGACAATATAAAAAACACATTATCACGAAATTTTGCAGTATATAGAGAATACAGAAAGAATTTGAAGGTTTCTAGGGAGAAAAAAATCAGGCAACATACAAAGAATTAGAAATGGTATTGAATGGAAATTAGAAGACAATGAATCAATGTATTAATATTTGAGAGGCAAAATAATTTCTCACCTAGAATTCTTTACCCAATAACCAAACTATGAATATTGCAATAATATTCATAGCCAAACTATGAATTACTAGGTAAAATAAAATATTTTCATAGATGTGGGACTTTAGAGTGTTACATCCTGTGTATGTTTAGAAAAAGCTGAAGGATGAGCTAGTAAATCAAGGAAGAGGGAGATATAGAAGCCAGGAAAGGGGAGCAAAGAGAAGTCCCAGGACTACAGTAATTCAACAGGCTTAGTAGAGCAAGCAGTATCAATTAGAAGAGCGTGGAGGGCTCAGAAGAAAAGGCTCCAGAGAAAATTAACAGGTAGATTATGTGGTTGTCTTAATTCAATTAATGCAGCTATAGGTTGAGTATCCCTTATTCAAAATGCTTGGGACCGGAAGTGTTTTGAATTTCAGATTTTTTCAGATTTTGGAATATTTGCATAAACATCATGAGATATATTCAGGATGGAACCCAAGTGTAAACACAAAATTTATTTATGTTTTATATATATCTTATACACAAAGCCTGAAGGTAATTTTATGTAATATTTTAAATTTTGTGCATGAAGCAAAGTTTCGACTGCATTTTGACTATAATCTGCATTTTAGTGGAAACATGCTGACTCTCAGAAAGTTTCAGATTTTGGAGGTTTCTGAATTTCAGATTTTAAGATTAGAGATGCTCAACGTGTATAGTAGAATACCACAGAGATTGGTTAACTTATAAAGAAGATATATTTATTTGTCTCATGGTTCTAAAAGTTGGGCAGTCCAAAATCGAGGGGCTGCATCTGGTGAGGGCCTTCTCATTGCATAATAACATGGCAGGAGATATCACAAAGCGAGGAAGCAGTGGGAGAGACAGAGAGAGAGTAGTGGATGAACTCATTCTTTTTATCAGGAACCTACTCCAAAGATAGCTAACCACTCCTATGATAAGGTCATTAATCCACTCATGAGGGCAGAGCCCCCGTGACCTAATCACTTTTTAAGGATTCTACCTTTCAATACTCTTATAACAATACTTAAATTTCAACATGGGTTTTAAGGGGACATTCAAACCATAGCAATGTTGTTGAAAAATGTATTTTTGGGAGGTATATTTGGAAAGAATCTGTGATAGAGACAGAGAACTTGAACAAACAAAAACATGAGCAATTTTATTTTGGAGGGCAGATATTCTTTGAATGAACACCCTGCCAAAACTAGGCCAGATGACAGCTTGGCTTTGTAGAGGTTACAGAAAGACAAGAGTGAGGAACAGCACTATAAAGGAGTGAGCACAGGTGGCAGGAAGAAGATGGTTTTCCTTCCTTATGTTTAAAATTGATAAGAAATTGTCATATAATTGTTTAGAAATACACAAGTAGAAATAAAAAATAGGTACAGTGTTTGAAAGGGAACTTGGAGTAGAATGCTGGTCTGATGGAATACTGCTGCTTTTTCATTATTATAATGTGAATGGACTTTTAAAACTATATTAATGCATAGCTTTGATAAAAATGCATACACTCAATACTAATTGTGATAAGTGCCACAAAAATAGGAATACTGTAATGAGAATAATGGAGTAGGTAGTACAAGATGCAGGACAACATTCTTTAGATGGTATGGTCAGAGAAGACCCCTCTAAACCTTAACAATGAGAAGGAATATTGTGTTGATAGGGTATGAGTGTTTCCAGACAAGAGTGCAGTCTGTGAGAAGACCCTAAGCGCAAAAGGAGCTTGAGAAACTCCTGGATCTGAAAGAAGGCTGGAGACTAGTGATGAAGGTAGATGTAAGAGATAAGGTTGAAGAGAGGTAGGCATGAGTCAGATTATACTAGGTCCTAGTAGTTCATGAGTTGTTATAACTTTTCTTTTAACGCAAGGTACCATCTGCATAAAATGCCTTTAGTTCCTCTTTTATACTAGATGGAAACCTAACATGTCCTCCATCAACAAACTTTTGCTGAATGCCTGTCATGTGCGTTTTAAATGAATATTAAGTTTGCATTACAGGTGGATGTTTATACAAAGTTACGTGGGTCTATATGTGAATCAGAGGATTTTCGGATACATTAATTATTGACTAGCTTTGAAAGAGAACCAATCTAAACAGAATTTTTCTTTTAAGTTCTATTGACTAAAATCTCTGATGTAACTTGCCAGGAGATTTTACACCTATGTATGATTTGAGGGGTCATTAAAGATTATTTTAAGATTGAATTTTGGCCTTTTATTATTACAGTTATTATGGAGTTTCTGTATGTTTAAGGCCAGCAAAGTCTAGGGAGATTGAATTCTGGTTTTGAAAAATATCAACCACACCGGTGGTATCAACTACTTGGGAGGCTGAGGCACAGGCCTCCCTTGAACCCAGGAGGCGGAGGTTGCAGGCAGCTGGGATGGTGCCATGCACTCCAGCCTGGGCAAGAGAGAGAAGCTCTGTCTCAAAAAAAAAAAAAAAGTTACTAGCATGTTAAATAGACTGCATTGCTTTGGGCTTGCCTGTATTTAGCAAATAAAGAGAATGAGAAATGTTCTTTCTATGCAAAAAAAAAAATCTACCTTTTAAAAGTAAATTTTACTCATTATTACTAATTGCTTAAGAAAATTTATCAAAATTGTGGACGAATGAATTAATCTCATAACAAAAAACTATTTAAAATAACTTATTGCTAGAATTTTCTTTAAAAAGATACTTAAAGGAGATTTCATTTCATAGTATATATAGAAAAGCTAAAATAAATGTGTCTGTGTATCTTATACAGGGCAGTTTCTCCCTACAAGTCTTTTTCCTTCCTGTCCCTAAGCTCCCCACAACTGTCTTTTTACCCAATACCCACTGACTCCTCTGTGTCCCATTTATTTACTAGGTGCTTAGTGGGTATTAGGCATTGTTCATTTTGCTGTTGTTAGTTTTGTAGAGCATTTGTGTTTGGACGTATTAAAGGACCTTTTTCTGATTTATTTTTCTTAAACAATGTAATTAGTATAGAATTACCAACAGCTCAGATCTGCCACTAAATTAAATATTGAGAGATACTTACTTTTAGCCTCTGTTCTCTTCCAGGTATATTATCCAAATTTTCTGTGTCATTGTTTTTTACAGGTATGCTGGAGCAATGGAAAGATTGCAAGCAGAGACCGAACTTATTAATAGGGTAAATAGTACTTACCTTGTGAGGCACAGGACCAAAGAGTCAGGAGAATATGCAATTAGCATTAAGTAAGTAGGACAAGTACTTTTACAGAAATAGATTTCCTGTTTTCATAATTGCATAGACCATCTGACATGTATAACACTGAAGGTGAAAACCAAAGTTCTAATTGAAGGAGAAATAATGCATCTATCCAGACAGTTCATTAATACTTGAAAATATATCTTTGAAAAACAGTAAAAAGTGTTATAGGTTGCTAATTGGCATATTAGATTTCTTTCATAATATTGTGTTTTGGTGGTTTGATGTGTGTATATTTCTAGTAAATACTAACAGTATAAATTTCTAGATTTTTGTCTTATTTTTCTGTATTCTCAAACTGAACTTAATAAATTGTGCATAATGAATAGTCAAATCCAACCTCCCTTCTCACTTCAAATATTGGTTGTATCCTCAACCAATCCAGTAAATATATTTTGTTAATTAGCTGTCACCAGTGTATTGGCATAGGTATATATTTTTGTCTGCAGAATTAATTCCTAAAATGTTATTGGGGCATGCCCTCTGGTAATTATTGATTTCTACTGATTAAAAACACATTTATATTCATAAGTTATTCATTGCCCACAGGTACAATAATGAAGCAAAGCACATCAAGATTTTAACAAGAGATGGCTTTTTTCACATTGCAGAAAATAGAAAATTTAAAAGTTTAATGGTAAGCATTGATTATTTCTTTTCAATCTGGGATCCTTATTTTTCTTTTGTTAGAAAGGTCATTTTAATTCTATAGTTTCTTGGAAATTTTGCTCACTGAAAAGTTATTTAAAGATAATCATATTCTAATTTTGCAACAAAATCCTGAAAATTCTAATTTATAAATCTCTAAGTTTTATATTGCTCGAATCGTAATCTTCATTGTAAATTGTTTGCAGGTTTAGATAGAGTTTTGGTTTGTGTTTAAATGATACAGCAGATTTTAAATATACCTTTCTTTCCTCTTTTTTTCTTCCTTTGCCTCTATGTCCTGATTCAGGCAGAGGACAGTATTTTAAATTATAACACAAAAAGTTGTAATTAGTAAAATATGTCTAACATTTAGGTTCATTTTTTATAAAATGCAATATAAAGTCAAATTGAAAAGATTTTTGTATTTTTTGCTATTTTAAGTGATCTCTACCATGGTTCTCATTCATTACCTTAGATAATTATGCATTAACAAGGTAACATTTTTGCCACTTAACAGTTGATATTTCATAGGAATTGTATATTTAAATGGAAATAGTATATTGTCAAATCACATCAAATGAATAAGGATTATTCCCAGTTTAAAAAAAATAGAACTTATTCATACTTTTGTTAGCATATAAGAATATTTTGTGTATGTCATTTAAACAATGTGTATATATCATCATGTATGCGTTGCTAACAGTAAACTCTAAATTCACATTTCCTTAAGTGGTCTCAAGTATGTTTCTCAAGTTTGGTAGTTTCTGAGATAATGAAGAGTTTGGATATAGGACATAAGATGCATTTGTACTGCTAAGTACCTTGAGTAACATTGGGAAGGACCACTCATTGAATGAACCATCAATCAAATGATACATACTGCATCCTTCCAGAAAACATCTCAAAGCACTTTGCAGATGTTAACATTAAAGTTAAACTGAGTGTAAGGGAGCCTTACAAAATAGGCCAGCTTGAATGCCTTATCCAAAAATGTAGAACTGCTTCAAGGCAGGTGTCAGTGTTTTAAAGAAATTGAAGCATCTTGAGTTGAAAGAAAAATAAGAAAATCTCTATGGATGTAAAGATCATTCCCAGTTCAAAAGCTAAGGATGGGCAGCAAGGTCATGTCCTGGAAAATGTAAACTCTGTCAAATTTGTAACCAAGATCCAGGCATCCTCCCTGCTGGAAGTAACTTACATTCTGTTGAAACAAGCAGGCTGAGCACAGAGAGAATTGGACCAGAGGAGGTTCTTCATAAAATGAAAACTTGGAGGGAGGTGGCAAGTGGATGCACAAATAATGAATGACAGACACAGCTGAGACATGATAAAAGCACGCACAGGGGCTCTCCACATCTCTGCAAGACGTACCAGCTTGAGCTTTCACCTGCAGAACTTCCTTGGATGGTAATGAGGCTGCTCCACAGTGTTATAGTTACTATGGGACTTAAAAAACTGCTGCAGAGCCAAAGATAACTGCCAGCCTTGCAGACTTTGAAAGTAGCAAAAGTAACTCCCATCAGAGGAGACAAGCAAAGAAGATGAAAGGAATCGTCACTGAAAAGGGCCAATGAATTTAGCTTTGTGTCACCTGGGTTCAGCTCAAGGCAGTTCTTCAGAAGCCAAGGTTAGATGTGAAAAGCCAGTAATACCACAGTGACCTGGATTGGTAGACATAGATACATGAGTTCCTATCTGCATGTAAAAGCTGTGATTATAGTGAAAGCAATAGAGACCCAGCATTAAAAAAAAATTGTGCCAGAGAGCCTTAAAAGTTTCTACAATGATATTCTCTGGAAAAATAACTAAAAGTACTTGTCACAGGACTAAAGTAAGCTTTTCTTATATGTTATGTATAAAATCTCAGCAATGCCACTATTAGAGACACGTGCATATGTGTTTTCGTCTCCATATCTGGGCATCTTTTGTAAGGAAGCACGTATCACAGCGTGTTAAAGGGAAGGGACTAAGAATTTTAGCAAAGCAAAATGAAACTAACAAACATTAGCAAAGGATGTAATTATGAAAAGAAAAACAAGGAGCTGGAAAAAAAATCTCAATATCAGAAAAGTGCTTTTATCAAGTTTAGTAAATAACTATAAAAATTGCTGAAGAGGCAGCTGAACTAATCTGAAGCTACCCCTCCATTTTGTTTCTGTTCATTTGTTGAGCAAATTTATATTGAGTCCTTACAATGTGAAATCACTTTCTGGAGAACTCAAAAGGACTTAACCATTCTAAAAAGAAGCTTAAGAATCAGTAAATACGTCTACACCAAGAACCTCACCATAGAGCAGTCCTTGGAACCTAGGCTGGGAAATGCCACATGGATACTTGGTCAGAAGGAATGGCTCATGTTTTAGCAACCTGAACTTCTGGAAGGAGGTAGAAGATGATTAATTGGTGTGAAGGTTTCTCAAAATCAAGATCATACAGACTTCATGGAGTTACCTTTTATCATGTTGGAGTCAAATAACACACTTGTCTATTATAAGTAAGGAGTGATCTGTGGATTTGAGTTGTTTCTTAAGAATAGTTCAGTATCCTCTTGTTATTGGTATTAGTTTACTCTTCTATCTGTGAAACACAATAGGGCCTGGAATTAAATTTAAATCTGGAAAGTGTGTAAAACATAAGCAAACTCCAGAGCTTCTTTTAAATTAACTGGTTTCTCAGTGAGAAGATTGGCCTTAGGTGGTTTTGACCTAACCTTTTTCCCTTGAGTTTCAATAGCTTGGTTAATCAGAATCTTTGTCTTTCTTAGTCATTAAATTCAAATCCTAAATGAATTTCTGTATCCAGATTACAAGGCATTAATTTTGTTCTAATTTTCATGTATGCGAGACAGTCCATGTCCAAATGCTGTTTATAAACCATCTCCATTGCCTGTTTCCTTGGTAATTGGAATGACTGGCTCTCACTCATTATTTTTGAGAGACTTGAATTGTTGACACTGCTGTGTCAGTGTGAGATAAGGAAAGCTTAGCGATTTCTTTTGTTTAGAGTCTTCTTATTTACTTGTTGTACCTGAAGGTCAATGACTGTTAAGGCAGGGGTGGATTAGACTAAAATACAGAAAGCATAAAGGCAAATTGGAAAAGATCCATGGTGACACTATTTAGTTCTACCCAGTTAGAAACATGTAGGAAGATTTACCCTCGTAAGACTGTAAAAATGGAACTAAAATATCTTCCATGCTTAGTGAAGTGATAAAGAGTGTTTTGCAGCTTACTAAGTAAGCCGCATGACCCTAGGCCTTGGAAAACTCATTTTTTCTTCCATAAAATTTGGGGGTGGGCGAGTATTAAATAATCACCAAATCATTTTTCAGTATGATAATTCTATGGTTTCTAGCCAAATTCACATAAATTGTAATTCATAGCAAAAATCATAAAATTCATATTACCTATAACAAAATTACGTTGAAGTTCAAAGCTATGGCTTATAATTCCTTTCAAGTTTGTTTTCACATTTGCTAAAGAAAATAACACATTTTACTCAATTTAAGTAATAAGACTAGGAGAAACTTCGGTATCGTTTGTATCAGTGACATTATGTATACGTGTGTGTGTGTGTGTGTGTGTATTCCAGAGACCTCACAAAATTTTGCTTTATATTTTAAAAAAATGAATAGCAATATTGGTCACTAAGTAGAATTTAATTCTATACCTTGTCTGCGCAAAACATGTTAAAATTCACCAAAATACAAATGCATATTCTGATCATTGAAACCATTTTGGAGATACAAACTTCTACATGGTCTTTTGTTTCTTTTTCTCTTTGCTTTTAAAGGTCGGTCTGATTACAAATTTCTTGCTTCAACAAGGACCCACATTATCTGGGCCCAAGGAAGAAAGGAAGAAATACATATTTTTCAAGTTATAGATATAATATTTGGAAGACCCTAACATTTTAAGTCTAAGAAAACAAAGTTCCTAGTACATCATGAACACATAGCAAAAACTATTTCACTTTTGCCTCCCTGTTTTTTGTGTGTGTGTTTTTTGGTGTTTTGTTTTGTTTTGTTTTGAGACAGAGTTTCGTTCTTGTTGCCCAGGCTGGAGTACAGTGGCAAAGTCTCGGCTCACTGCAACCTCCACCTCCCAGGTTCAAGTGATTGTCCTGCCTCAGCCTCCCAAGTAGCTGGGATCACAGGCACCTGCCACCACACCTGGCTAACTTTTTTGTATTTTTGGTAGAGACAGGGTTTCACCATGTTGGCCACGTTGGTCTCAAACTCCTGGCCTCAGGTGATCCGCCTGCCTCAGCCTCTCAAAGTGCTGGGATTACAGGCATGAACCACCATGCCTGGCTCTTGTTTTTGTATTTACATTTGCTAGGCACTATTTGCTAATAGTATGATACAGTTAAGAGCACAAACTTTGGATAAAGGCGCTAGCTATGTGACTTTGCCTAAGTTCACTCACCTCACTGATATTTGAGCTTCAATGGGAATAAGGCCCATTTCATAATGTTCTTGAGTGAAAGTTATAAGGAGCCATGTAAAGGGCCTGGCACATGGGATAATGGGGTAGCTGTTACAGTTTTTCACATGTATTAGGTACTTTATATATTCTTTGTTATCATCTGTGAAATGGTTTATTAGCCCCATTTTATAGGTGAGATTGAAAAATTGCCATTTCCCTTATCCAATGCTTTAGCCAAACTATGCTGCTTTTAGCTTATGAAAGGTGGTCTTTGTTTATCACCTTTATGTCTGTTTCCAGCCTGCCTGCTCTACCTAAAATGATCTTTCCCTGGTTCCTGGCTATTGTAATTTTACTAGTTCTTCAGTTTAAGCCAAGCTACTTGTATTACAAAACTTTCTGTCACCCTTCCCATTGGATACACAAAACAAAGTTCTCTCTCCTGCCTTTGAACTTTCCCTTCCAAGATGAGAATTCCTCAATGGCAGGAGGCTTATCTTTATAATCTCTGTGACCTCTGAAGCTCCTGGTACAGTGCATTCCACAACATACTCAAGTTTTGTCATAAATAATAAATCATTGATGATTCTCTTTTTCTTCTTTCAGCTGATTTTTGGACTCATTGATTTGTCTGGGGAACTTTGAACATAACCACTGAACAGAGATATTAAGTTGATGGCAGTGGGATTTTTAGAAGAAACAAGTGGTTTTTTTTTCTGTTTTTTTTTTTTTATTTTTTATTTTTAAAAAGGCGCTCCAATAGAAACATTGAATAATTAAGTTAAAAGTGATTTTTCGTTTATTTTCATTTCAGATATTTATAAGAAATTTTATATCTACAGGACTCATTTGATGATAAGATACATTTTTATTGTGAATTATTATTCAGTTTCAGTTTACAGTAGAGAGATTCAGATTTCTGCAGAATCTATGAAACCAACCTGCGAAATTTTCTGAAACGATAGTCTGAAGGATGGCATGTGGTTATTACATTAGGTTTAGATGTATTTAAGACAAATTATTTATAAGAGAAAATTGGAAAGAATTACATTGACCTCTGTGAGTAGCAGATATGCGGAGCTATGACAGGTACTATACTTCATCAGAAACTAAAAACAGTCTCAAGTACCATTTGTGCTTTATCAACTTTTGTTTACCACGAAAAAGCATAAGTTTGTTTTTCTGCCATTTTGAAAGAAAATAAGTGCAGGAAAGTAGAAATTGCTGTATATTCAGCAAGCAGCTGTTCCTTTTATTTTGGTTTAGAAAGGCAAGTATTTCATAAATAAGAACAATAATTACTACTCTGAAACTGAGGTTTAGTATTGTTTCTTTTCATTTGCTACATCTGACTGAAGACAGGATGTTCTCCATCTGTGAATAACAATAGGGGGTAACTCATATTATTAATGGCCTGAGTAACAAGGACAGCTATTAGGTAGGTGTCATGTACATCCAGACAGCAGGGAGAGATTATCATTTGCTTAATCTTCCATATACCTATGGAAAATTTAGCATTAAATTGGTCATCCTTATTGTATTTATGTGCTCAGGAGTTCATGTGTTTGAGAACAAAAGTATCCTTATCAAAAATATGTTGGATTCTTTTTTCCAAAGGAACTTGTGGAGTACTACAAGCATCATTCTCTCAAGGAAGGGTTCAGAACCTTAGATACAACTCTGCAGTTTCCATACAAGGAGCCAGAACATTCAGCTGGACAGAGGGGTAATAGAGCAGGCAACAGCTGTAAGTATTGTAATTGAGAATACAATTTGCTGTCACTTAAAAATTAGGGGCACAATAACATTAAACATCTTCCTTCCAAATTTTAAAATATAACCAATGGATGCGCTAATGCATGAGCAAGGACTTCTTTTCTGGAGTTAAGCAGAGTCAGATGGACCAACAGGCTTGTGAACATGTCTAATTATAGATCTTTATGGCAAATTAAAAATTATGTTTATGTCCAAAAATCCAGCAGAAACGTAAAAGATATGCTAATATTTACATTTCATACTTTTCATTGACTTTTATATTAACTAAACTCTTTTTAACTTACATGTAATGTGTGAGGTCATAATTCTGTTTGAGTAATAGTATTTAAGCAGGGCTGGTACACAGCTCTCCAGTTAGCCTAGTATCTCAAATCTGCTTATGGTCTATTTCAATGACTACTTTAAGAATTTTGACATTACTAATGTGTTTTTTTGGATGCTAGTATTTCTAAAACCATACATTGGCCACTTTCTTTCAGAATGAGCTGTGTGCTACAACTAATCACAAAAGATTAGCATGCAAACAAAAGCATGTTATGGTTGGACTGTGAGTCTAAGTCGAAAACCTTTTCTCTCATCGTTTAATGTTACATAATCTTCCTGGAGATAGAGCATGTAACAAAAAAATTGAAAAATGTCATCAAGAAGGTGTGATTTTATTTTCTTAATCTGATATCACTTTATTTTTTTTAAATAAGTGTTTTGGGGAAGAAGTGAATACAATTTCATTACTCTTAGAATCTTTAGCCTAAGCAACACTGGGATATCTAGAGGTATTTGAAAACAGAATTTGCGTCGGTTTAATATAACTTTATATTTTTCCTTGAAAGCAGAAACTGAAAGGGGAACAGGTAATGCTCTGGGTTTCAACAACATCAGTGAAGTTTTATACATTTCAATTCAAGTAAACAAACAATCTGTCACATCAACTGACATATTTTTTATTTAAGTAACTTAATATATGTTTTCCTCACAGTGATCAATGATGTATGCCTAAGCTCGTGCAATGAAAGTAGAGCGAACTTTATGTTAAAACTTTAAACACCTATTAGATTTTATGGTGTTATTTTTTAGCCCAAGATTACCTGATTATTTTAGATTCTCAAATAGGCATAATTTTTGCTCATTCAAAAATGGAAGTTTTCTCCAAAAAAACAATTTTCCTACCAATATCTTAAAACTCTGTTGAAGCTATGACATTTCCCCCAGCATGAAACATGTAATTTTCGAAGCTCTGTTTCTTTGCCTTCCCAGCAGCAAGAGATAATAAAAGTTGCCAGGGAGGTCAGTTAGATGAAAAATCCTGTTTGAGTTGTTCACTTAGCTCTAGAGAGCCTAGGAGGGAGAAGTGGGGCAGACAGGGAGAACAGATGTCCCATATTAGGTAGGAAGGTCACTAACCCTCATATTTCACTCTGTGGTTCACTCCCAGCCAATTCCTTAGTGTTTAGTACATGGAGGTACTCAGAGAATGTAGCCCGGCAATGAATGAAGTTGTCTAACTTAAAATTATGTCTCATGTTTAATGAAGTATTTAATGCTCAACTTGTTTGACAACTAAGAAGGGAATTACAGGACTTTTTCTTAAAAAAAAGCATAGCCAGTAGAATGTCTTTGAATATCCATGCTAGCCCCAGATAAATTTTTCAGCAAATAAACTCATGAGTTCAAACTTCCCTATCCAGTCTTTTTAAGAGATTCTGACAACTTGAATCAAGCCACTAAAACTTTTTTTTTGTAATTGTGAAGGGAAAGCAAACAATTCATTGAAAATTTTATATTTGTTATCGTTTGGTTTTGTTCATCAATTATTCATTCATTCGTTAAACAGATATATATTAAACACCTAACACATACAAGGCACTGTTCTGGTTCTGGGATATAGCAATTAAGAAGACAAAGTTCCTGCCTTTATGGAGTTTACATTTCAATGGGGAAACTCAGGCAAGTCTGGTTTGGAGGAGTTTCATATTTTTATATAGAGTGGTCAGGTAAGATCTCCCTCGTAAAGCAACTCAAAAGGAGAGAAGGGGTGTAGGTTGGTAATGATTGCACAGTGGTTAACACTCCAAGATTAGTCATTCGTTACTGCAAAGAAGGATTACAATCTTAGATCAAATTTGTGATACCATTCCAGTGTTTTATTTACTTTATACTAACTTTGTATAAAGTTAGAGGAAGACTAAGATGGTTCTGAGGACTAAATGAGGTGTTCTATATAAAGCACTTAGCATAGTGCTCTTACATGGTAAACAGTAAAAGTTACTGCTGACTCTACAACTTCTACTTCCTCTACTACTGCTGCTACTTCTAACTCTTATTCTAACACAGTACTTTCCTATATTTCTAAGGCTTGAATACATTTACTAATTATGACTCATAGCAATGTACATCTTTGCCTTTATGATTTTTTAAATATAACTTGCTTATTTTTATACCAAGTCTTGATAAAAGCTCACCCTTAAAGAAAGACTGCTTCTATTTTTATGCATTTTATACATCCCAGGAAGTGGTAAGGAGGAAATGCTGCATGTTTGTATAGAAAGATTGTGCAAGATGTCTTCATATTGCTTACCTTTGGTTCATAGCTTTAGGTATGCTGCTATCATCTAAAAATAACATTTGCCAAGCATTATTACCTTGGGATACTGGGTTGGACAGAAATGGCATCTCCATTACTTCTAAAAGTCCTTGGAGGATACAGAGCAGGCAAGGTAAAGCTTGGAACCATTCTGTGTTCTGAGTAGAGGTTGAGAATAGAACTTCAACTCCTGAAACCTGCTGTTTATTATTGTTATTATTTTTAAATAATCTAGTCACCTTGGAAAAGAAAGCCCCAGGGCACTGTAGTGGCCACTTACTTTTGGGCTACTCTAGGTTAGAATGTTCGTAGAATGTTTACCAATTATTTTTTCAAGTATGTACAATGTGATAAGATTATGACAGGACTATCTTATGCAAATTCAAAGTAACATCTAAAAAGATATTGATTAGAATTAAGCAAGTGTCCAAAGTATTGGGCAAGGAGCATAACATTTTAAAGTTAGGGGCCCATTGTAGGCTGTCTCTCAGCCTCTCTCCCAGAGTGATGGGATTTTATCTTTGTCTTTGGAATGACTTAAGAGCATTTCTAAGGGAGAAGAAAAGAGAGAAAGAAAAAGAACAAAGAGAGAACTCAGGCATAGCAGGGAGCTCTTGGGCTTCCTCTAGAAACTTCAGTGACTCCATGAAAGATGTTCTATGGATCTTTGTAAAAATCCCATTATTTTCCAAAATGGTCATCTCAAACCTGCCTTAGATTGCTTTAGGTTTACCTGTAGGGCTTGTATATTTGAAGGGCATTAAATTGACTTTTGCATTTCTTGCTCTACAATGAACACATAATTATTTTGAGGTCTGCCAGAGTAGCTGTCTGACCTTAGGCGAGTCACTTAGCCTGTCTGGACCTTAGCTTTCTCATCTGATGAATGAGGAATGAAATTAGAGATTTTATAATGTTCTTTTAAAAATAGCATCTTAGGTTTTTTCCTTTGTTTGCATGAGAGAAGCAGGTAAGGTAATGTTAACAGATTGGTGCATTAGGAAAAGTTGTATGTTTAGCTATTTTGTGACCCATAAGCAGACCTTAAATATTTTGCCAAGTTTTTATTTGTAGAGAATTAGTTGGGCCACAGAGTAGAGTTGGGTAATTTTTTTAAATGGCTATCACTATATTTATATAATATCCAAGTATCTTCTGTAAGAACTTATTAATTACAAAAGGGTAATAGTAATAACCAAGTGATTGAAGTTAACATCCCTAATAATGGGACAAATAAATATCATGTACCTCCTAATATAATGCTCCAAGCAGGACAAACCAACACTTTGGTGGTATTATTGTCCCCAAAAAGCATAAGTGGAATCTAATCATGAGGAAACATCAGACAATCCCAAACTAAAAGACATTCTGCAAAATAATTGGTCTATACTCTAAAACCTTCAGTGTCATTAAAGAAAAAGTCTGAGGAACTGTTTCAGATTAAAGGAGACCAAGAGATGTGACAACTACATATAACATGTGGTCTTGGATTGAATCCTAGAACAGGGGTTGGGAAGATACATACACACACACACACACACACACGTATGTATATATATGTGTGTGTGTATAGTAACATATTTTGTATATGTTATAAAATATGTGTGTATATATGTTGCTATAAAAGATGTGATACAATTGGCAAATTTTGAATAAATTCTCTTGATTAAAAAATAGTACCGCATCAATGCAATTTTCTGCTTTTGATAATTGTACTGTGGTTATATAAGAGAAGAGAATACCTTTGTTTTTCAGGAACGTGTGCTGAGTATTTAGCAATAAGGGGCATTATGTCTGCAATTTATTCTCAAGTGGCTCAGGAAAAATACATAGATTGATAAAGCAAACATCATAAAATGTTAACATTTGGGGAGTCTGAATGAAAAATATGTGGGAATTCCTTTTGCTCTCCTTGCTACTTTAAGTCTGAAATATTTCAGAATAGAAGTTTTCAGTTGTGGAGATGATCCCATTTGCTGGCTATATCTGAAGAATTGGGAGGTAGTGACAGTGTCCTTCTTTTGCCTGCTTCAGACATAGAAGCGTCTGGTCCATTGATTTCAGGACGTGTGGAACACTAGCATGTACTGAACAGATCATATTTGAAGCCATCCGTTCCTTACCTGTGACCTCATTGGATTTGCTTCATTCATTCATTCATTCATTTATTCATTCATTCATTCATTCATCCCTTTATCCTGAAAATATTTTCAGTACTTAGTATGTGCTAGGCCTTGTGCTAGATACTTGAATTATAATAGTGAATAAGATACACAATCTGGTGAACAAGAACAGACAAAAACAAACACCTTCAATAATCACAAATTTTGATAATCCTTATGAAGCTGAAGCATAAGTGCAAGGAAATGGGAGCAGGGCCATTTAGCCTTCAGGGTCAGAGAAGGGCTTTTTGAAGAAGTGACAGTCAGGCTAAACTTAAAGGATCTACAAGAGCTGACAGGGTGTGGGGTGGTGGCCAATAGGGAACCTGCATAGCAAAGAGGTCGTTTGTGTGAAGGTTCATAAGCATTAGAGAACTTCATATTTTTAAGGAACTGAAAAAGG
Source organism: Homo sapiens (assembly GCF_000001405.40). NCBI lineage: Eukaryota > Metazoa > Chordata > Mammalia > Primates > Hominidae > Homo > Homo sapiens. Next base: position 107,591,036 of record NC_000001.11, on the reverse strand, counting down.
ACCAATGTGTTGTGAGTATAGTAAGTGGATTCTGATATTTGCACTAGGAAAGTATTGAAGTTTTACAGACAGAAAATGGCATGAACTAATTTACATTGTCTTAAAAGACCACTGACTGTTCCTGAGGAGTGGCCTAGAGGGAGGCATGCACAGAGGGAAGATGAGTTAGGAGGCTATTGCAGATGTCCGTGAGAGGGATAAGCATGCTTTGAACATGAGTTGCATAGTGACAGCAGAGAAGGATAGTGGCAGGTTTGCGTATATCTTAGAGGTTGAGTTGATTGGATAAAGGATTTGAAATCAAATTAGTACAAGTATGGTACATAAGTATTTGCTTTGGACAACTGGCAAGTGATAAAACCATTAACAATCCAGGAAACAGAAGAGATAGAACAGATTTAAGAGAAAAGAGAATATATTCAGTTTTGCACAGTGTTTAGGTACCTGCGGATATTCAATGGTTCAGGATGCAGCTGGCACTGAGGAGAGTGGTCTGGATTGAAGGTAGAATTTTATGAATCATTAATACTCCATTTCATAGTTCACATAGAATATAGTGATGTGAGAATTATAGGCATTTGTATATAGGCTTAATTTCTTCTGGTGCATTGTTTGCTGGAGCCCTAGAAGCCAGGACCCTTTGCTTGTCATTCTCAATTGTACTTTTGCACATGCCTTGCATGAAATAGCCTCAGAAGGGGCTAAATAAGAGAAGTCAGAGTCTAAGGTTCACAGGAGACACAGCAGATATTAGAGTGCTAAGTTGAAACTGGAAAAGCATGGGAATATGGGTGAGTTTGAAAACAAAGTGTAGATCAGCATGTTCCTTTCAGTGTGGTGACAAATAGTGTAGCAATTCTTCAAAGATTGACAAAGGCTACTTTTGTCATTGGAGCCATAAGTTTGACCTTGCAGGAAGAAGTAGAAGCCAGAACAGAGCCTAGGCTGTCTCTCCCTGGGTGTGGTCTCTTTCCTGTCACCCACTGTCCCCATTATTCTATTCACCATCCAACAACATGCTTATCCTTCATTTTTAGTCAGTATTTTGGGTAGAAACAGAAACTTGGATAATTTGTGTCGTATTTATTTAACTCAGTAGAACATAAAGTAGCATTCTTATTCCTGATAATTCCTTAAACATCCTAATAATTCCTTAACTACTATTTATTAGTTATATTACAATAGAATAGAGACAATATTTATTATCTCCTTCGTACAGGTTCCTAACCATCCACTTAACTTAGTTTCTCCCTTGCCCTTTTAATTCAGCATTCCCATATTCACCTGCCTTTATTTTCTGATTTTATTGTATCCTCAGTTTTTTTGTCATCTTTTCCTCGGTCATTTTGCAATTGGGTTTGATATGATCTAATTTTATTCTGGTAATTTAAATATTTGTTTTAATCTCATTATATTGGTTTCCTAGTACTGCTATAAAATTATCACGAACCAAGTGGCTTAAAACAACAGAAGTTTACTCTCTCACCCTTCTGGAGGCCAGAAGTTGAAAACCAAAGTGTTAGCAGGGCTAATTCTTCCTGGAGGCTCTGAGGGAGAATCCCTCCCATGCCCCTCTCCCAGTTTCTACTGGCAATCCTTGGCATGGCTTGGTTTATAGATGCACCGCTCCAGTCTCTGCTGGTCTTCACGTCACCTTCTGTGTGTATCATTGTCCCTTCTTTTCTCTTATGGACACCTGTCATTGGATTTAGGGCCCACCCAAATACAGCTTGATCTCATTATGAGATCCTTAACTGAATTACATCTGCAAAGACCCCTGTTTCAAATAAAGTCACATTCACAGGTTCACAGGTCCTGGGTGGGCATATCTTTTTGAAGGGCCACCATTCGACCCACTGCAGTTCCACTGTATTAATTTTAAACTTTTCTCTAAAATTTTCCATCCTTATTCTAATTTTTCTTTTTGTCATTTTGTAACTTGGAGTTATAAGAGGACTTTACATTATTACAGCAGTCAGGCAGTCAGTGAATGAGATTTATACAAGAAAAACACTACTTTAATACAAAAAAAAAGTGTTTTCAATGAATTGTATTGCCTTTCCATGGTGAAATGCCTTATCTTTCTGAGAGACTGCACTTCTAGCCAATGCAGGCTCCTAAACAATACTTGAATGACCATTTGTCTGAAACATTGTATTAAATATTTTATATGGAATAAGAGAACCTAAGAATTCTGAAATTCAATAATTTGATGATTAACAGGACACTCTTACTTTTCAAACCCCTTTTACAAATATCAGATCAATATCTCCAATGGAGTATTCCAGGAATCTCTAGCCCTGTGAGAAGTACCATGAAAAGATTTCTTTTGTCAAACAGATATATAAGAAATGCTGCTAGTATGATGTATTCCCTTCTAGGAAAGTGACAGTTTATCTAGAGTTTTCCCCAGTTTATTTCATCATGCAACACTGTCTCATAGTGTTTAATGCTCATGTTAGGAGGCTTAAAAGAGTTAGTAGGTGTGAAATACTGAGAATAGCATCTCACATGTGGGAAGTGCTATGTGTTTTGCTCCTGCTATTACTACTGCTGCTCCTGCTACCACTTCCAATACTGGTACCCAGTGTGAAGTGTTACATTAGCCTCATTTGACAATTTTAAGTATATTTATAAAGTCCTTCTCCTTTTCCCTGATACTTTGGTTTCCTACTTCTATTTCCTGGATACACACTATTCCGGTATACACACTATTCTATGGACTAAGTTAGTTATAACATATTGCTGACATTTTTATATTCTTCTCTCTTCATTTATGATGTCCACATAATTTACAGTTCTTGAACAACTGATCAACTGCAATTGCACATCTTCATTAGTAAGTGATGCTGGGCTTCCCTTTTTTATTTAGTTACTTCAGGATCTTTACCAGCTACTCTAAAGCATTTTTATTCTGAGCCTGATGGCTTTAAAAGTTAGCAACCAGTATCCAGGATCCCTTCAGAATATGGCTTGCAGGTGTAAATTCTACAGATTCAGATAACCTCATTCAGTGCTATCTTTTAAATGTTTCAAGGCTCAGAGCAGTACTTATGATCTTAGAATTTCTCATCTTTTATACTGTTCATTAATACTTTTATAGTGTCTCATATAACCTCATGTTCTAAATTGAAAACTGGTCTCGGCCAGGCAGAGTGGCTCATGCCTGTAATCCCCAGCACTTTGAGAGGCTGAAGCAGGTGGATCATTTGAGGTTAGGAGTTTGAAACCTGCCTGGCCAACGTGGTGAAACCCCGTCTCTACTAAGAATACAAAAAATTAGCCCGGTGTGGTGGCACGCATCTGTAATCCCAGCTACTCGGGAGGCCGAGGCAGAAGAATTGCTTGAACCCAGGAAGTGGAGGTTGTAGTGAGCCAAGATGGTGCCACTGCACTCCAGCATGGGCAACAGAGGGAGACTCAATATAAAAAATAACTACATACATAGATACATGCATACATACATACATACAAACATACATACATAACTGGTCTCAATGCAGTTAATTTACCATAGTGCTTTCATATAACAGCCCTGATCCAAGAATTTGGTTTTACTAGTCTCTTGCTTGAAAAACAAACAAATTCATCTAAATGGGGAGAAATTCCCAGTTTTTCTTCCTAAAAATTTAACCAGGCTCCTAGTTATGAGGATCAATGCTGATATCTCTTTTTTCCTGATATATGACTGATATTTGATTTTCCCTGCTGAATCCCAAATCTGCATAAGGTAGCAGGTTTTAACTCTGCAGCTCTCTTGCTCTTAATAACATTAATAAGCTGACTACATATTCGGCTAGGGTTTCCTTTCATTAAGTTATACTTTCATTCATTGCTTCGTGCATTCAACATTTGTTGAGCCTCTGCTTGCATTAAATACTATATCATACTCACGTCTCAAGTGTTACATACAATACAGCTTAACATCTAAACAATAGGTAGGAATGCCAGAGAAACTCTTCTTGTATCTAGGCACTTCAAACTTACCATCCCCATTAGCCCTAATACAAGTTTTTTTAAACGTTCTGTAACACTCCTGAGAAGTCATCATCAGGCTTTGCTTGAACACTCAAGGGACTTTATGTTCAATACCACACAAAACACCCTATTTTCTGAACAAATTAAGTTTTTTTCTTTTATTGATCTAGAAATTTGATGTACTATAGCTATTTACTGTGATTAGTTCAAAATAAATATATATTCTTCCTACCAAGATAACCCCAAATATACTATAAAAATAATGCATTGTACATTCAAAATAAATATACTATATACTCTCCCTCTCATGGTAACTTTTCATCTGGTATGTTCTTTCCCCTTCCCCATGCTTCCTTCCTACCTCTTCATTCCTTCCTTTTCTTTTTCAAAATAATTAATCAATTCCTCATCATGTAAATGGTTGTCAATTTCCCACCATCTTCACCACCCTCTGATAGATGCACTCCAATTTGTCAGACCGGGCACAAAAATTTCAATATTGCCTGACTGATTGGCTCAGATTTTTCTTTATTCAAAACTCATTCTTCAACAGTTAATTTCCACCCTTCCCTTTCTCCTTCCTCCTCAAAGGGTACAGTTCTACATATTTCAGTCGAATCCAAGCACTTCTTTCCTCATTTACTGTTTAGTTGTTGCATCTTCACCATTAACCTCCTCCATAGTTCCCCACATTCATTCATTCATTATTCATTAATGCATTCATTCAACAGATCTTAATTGAGAGCCTACTTCAGGGCAGGCACTGTTAAAATACAGCAGTGAATAGCATGGATAAAATTCCCTACTCTAATGGAGATGCCACTTGCTAGTAGGGAAGGTAGCTAATGGATTTAGAAAAATAATTAAGTGTATTATGTTAGACGTTACTGAGCGCTCTGGGAAAAAAAAAAAAAAAAAACTATGCCAAGGGAGTGGTACTCATGAGCGCTGAGGGATGGCTTACAATTTTTAACTGGGCTGGTTGGGTGATGAAAAACAAAACTATAGTCTCATTTTCCCTCTTTCTGGTAGCGTAGCAGAAAGCTGGTTCATCACTTCTGAGTTAGTTCAATGGTAGAGCAGGCTGACACCAGCCACTGGCTCTAGAAGCACTTCTTTCTAACAGGCCACTTGTGTGACCAGGGAGCTTCTGCTATTATAAGTTTGCATAAATATCCTGTCAATACATAGAGCAGGATGCTGAAACTGTAACTACAGTGTGTGTAGAGCATTTGTGCCTCACCTCAGCAGTAGGACAATGGGAGTTTGGGAGATTGCATGCACGCTACCTACTTCTCTGATTGTGTGTTGTTCCCACAATAAGCTCTGTTTCTGTCACCATCACATGGCACTAGTGGTGTGGATCCATGACTTTTATAGGACATCACAGCAGGTTTCATTGTGAAGGTTGCATTTGAATCAAGACTCTCAAGGAGGTGAAAGAGAGAACTGTCAGTGCTAAGGGAGGGGTATGTCTGACTGGGCAATGTGGCCAGAGCAGAAGGACCAAGAGGAAGAGTAGCTGGAGATGAGGTTCAAGGGGTAAGTGAGGCCAGATCACTTAAGGCCCTAAAGGACTTTAGCTTTTACCCTTGAAGAAACAGGAAACCATTGGAGGGATGTGGGCAAAGGAGAAACATGGTCTGTCTTTAAAGTTTTAATAGGATTATTCTAGTTTCTGTATTATAATAAAAAAAACCATGAAAATAGATGACAGAGTAGGCACAGGAAGACCAGTTAGGCCCATACAGCAATCAAGGTAAGAGATGATAGTGGCCTGGAACAGCACGTAGCCATATAGGTGACTATATTTATATTTTGAGGGTGATCCAAAAGGATATTATGACACATCAGATGTGATGTATAATAGTAATAGAAGACTTAAGAATAATTCTAAGGTTTTTGCTCTGAGCAACTGGGAGTTTGGAAGGTTTTGTTTTGTGTTGAGGGCTCCAATAGAGCCTAAAGTCTAATCATAGCATTCTCAATCCAAAATCAATCATTTCCATATCTCTACATAATTTCTGTCTGTGTCTATCTCTTCACTAATTTCTAAGCTCCTGTGATGTCAGAGGCTGTACCTATTCATTATATCTCCTATGATATCTTAGCAGTCTTTGGCACATTAGCAATATAATACATGTCTGCCAAATATTTTTTAAATATAGATTTAGAATTAACATCTTGATAAGCCATATGCATATAAATAATCTGAAATCCCTAGGCAGTTTTCCATAGCAATAAGAAAGACCTTATACTTAGTTTGTTTTCTTGTTAATGGCTTTATATGTTTATACTCTGTAGCATTGAATACTAAGTAGTAGTTTATTTTTTACAATAATCCTAGACATAAGTTTTCCTTGTTACAGCTTTGGACTTTGGGTTAACAGAAATTTGTCTACTTACCAGATGTCAGCATTCAATTAAATGAAATTAATCTAAATTATTCCTAGTTTTTTTTCAGTGACAATATATAAAATATACAATAAGCTTTTTTCTTGTAAATTTGTTTGAGTTCATTGTAGATTCTGGATATTAGCCCTTTGTCAGATGAGTAGGTTGTGAAAATTTTCTCCCATTTTGTGGGTTGCCTGTTCACTCTGATGGTAGTTTCTTTTGCCGTGCAGAAGCTCTTTAGTTTAATTAGGTCCCATTTGTCAATTTTGGCTTTTGTTGCCATTGCTTTGGTGTTTTAGACATGAAGTCCTTGCCCATGCCTATGTCCTGAATGGTAATGCCTAGGTTTTCTTCTAGGGCTTTTATGGTTTTAGGTCTAATGTTTAAGTCTTTAATCCATCTTGAATTGATTCTTGTATAAGGTGTAAGGAAGGGATCCAGTTTCAGCTTTCTACATATGGCTAGCCAGTTTTCCCAGCACCATTTATTAAATAGGGAATCCTTTCCCCATTGCTTGTTTTTTGTCAGGTTTGTCAAAGATCAGATAGTTGTAGATATGCGGTGTTATTTCTGAGGGCTCTGTTCTGTTCCTTTGATCTATATCTCTGTTTTGGTACCAGTACCATGCTGTTTTGGTTACTGTAGCCTTGTAGTATAGTTTGAAGTCAGGTAGCATGATGCCTCCAGCTTTGTTCTTTTGGCTTAGGATTGACTTGGCGATGCGGGCTCTTTTTTGGTTCCATATGAACTTTAAAGTAGTTTTTTCCAATTCTGTGAAGAAAGTCATTGGTAGCTTGATGGGGATGGCATTTGAATCTATAAATTACCTTGGGCAGTATGGCCATTTTCGCGATATTGATTCTTCCTACCCATGAACATGGAATGTTCTTCCATTTGTTTGTATCCTCTTTTATTTCATTGAGCAGTGGTTTGTAGTTCTCCTTGAAGAGGTCCTTCACATCCCTTGTAAGTTGGATTCCTAGGTATTTTATTCTCTTTGAAGCAATTGTGAATGGGAGTTCACTCATGATTTGGCTCTCTGTCTGTTATTGGTATATAAGAATGCTTGTGATTTTTGTACATTGATTTTGTATCCTGAGACTTTGCTGAAGTTGCTTATCAGCTTAAGGAGATTTTGGGCTGAGACAGTGGGGTTTTCTAGATATACAATCATGTCATCTGCAAACAGGGACAATTTGACTTCCTCTTTTCCTAACTGAATACCCTTTATTTCCTTCTCCTGCCTAATTGCCCTGGCCAGAACTTCCAACACTATGTTGAATAGGAGTGGTGAGAGAGGGCATCCTTGTCTTGTGCCAGTTTGCAAAGGGAATGCTTCCAGTTTTTTCGCATTCAGTATGATCTTGGCTGTGGGTTTGTCACAGATAGCTCTTACTCAAACAACCCCATCAAAAAGTGGGCAAAGGACATGAACAGACACTTCTCAAAAGAAGACATTTATGCAGCCAAAAAACACATGAAAAAATGCTCACCATCACTGGCCATCAGAGAAATGCAAATCAAAACCACAGTGAGATACCATCTCACACCAGTTAGAATGGGAATCATTAAAAAGTCAGGAAACACCAGGTGCTGGAGAGGATGTGGAGAAATAGGAACACTTTTACGCTGTTGGTGGGACTGTAAACTAGTTCAACCATTGTGGAAGTCAGTGTGGCAATTCCTCAGGGATCTAGAACTAGAAATACCATTTGACCCAGCCATCCCATTACTGGGTATATACCCAAAGGACTATAAATCATGCTGCTATAAAGACACATGCACACGTATGTTTATTGCATCACTATTCACAATAGCAAAGACTTGGAACCAACCCAAATGTCCAACAATGATAGACTGGATTAAGAAAATGTGGCAGATATTCACCATGGAATACTATGCAGCCATAAAAAATGATGAGTTCATGTCCTTTGTAGGGACATGGATGAAATTGGAAATCATCATTCTCAGTAAACTATCGCGAGAACAAAAAACCAAACACCACATATTCTCACTCATAGGTGGGAATCGAACAATGAGAACACATGGACACAGGAAGGGGAACATCACACCCTGGGGACTGTTGTGGGGTGGGGGGAGGGGGGAGGGATAGCATTGGGAGATATACCTAATGCTAGATGACGAGTTAGTGGGTGCAGCGCACCAGCGTGGCACATGTATACATATGTAACTAACCTGCACATTGTGCACACGTACCCTAAAACTTAAAGTATAATAATAAAAAATATATATATACAATAAGCAGTAAACAATAGGGTTTTAGGTCATTTTGTTTGGGAGAGATTGGGGAGCAGATAGTTGATACTCTGTCTATGAATTTTGCAGGGCATCTAAAACGATATGCCTGAGTTCTAAAATAAAACCAGGGTAAGGATCACAAATTTAAATTAAGCATTCATTAAATTCTCAGCATGTTCTCTGGTGTTAGGCCATCTGTAGACAATCTTGGCAAAACGAACCTCCTAGACTGCTCATCAAAGCATCCCACTTAGGAGTACAGTTCTTCAGCAAAACATCTAGGGCCACTGCTGGGCAGCAAACGCAAGTGATCAGTGTTGACAGTACCATTGACCCAATCTTCTCATATTCTTACTAACAACTTTTTGTTACCTGAGTGAGAACACATGTGCTTGTTACAACTAAAAACTGAGTGTTAAGGAATGTCTGTCCCAGAGAATACTTAGCAAGCAACTTAGGGTAATGTTCTCTGATACATGTAAAGGATAATTATTAGTTCAAAAATACTTAGGATTTGATAACTAGTACCTGAACGAAGAGTGTCGATTAGGTTGGTTTCCAATGTGTAAAAATTTCAAATATTACTGAAAACTGAGTAAATTTTCATCTGCTCATGAACATTAATAGCACGATCAAGGCAGAACATAATACTTTAAAACAATCCTTAGCCTTGGCAACAAAAGTATAGGCATCAAATATCCAGTCACTAGTACTTTTTTATCCTACCATAAACACTGTGTTCTTTTTCTTTTTAATTGGCATTCTTCTGTGTTTTGTGGTGTTATCTTCTCAGTCAGGTCTCAGAACTGAATAATAACCACTAATGATTTGCCAGTCAGTTATTATGGCTATGCTGATAACTTCTATTCCAAGTTTATTTATTTAACAGATAACTTCTATTTATATTAGGTAATGTTAGTACTTCAGGTTTTGCTTAACTTGGAAAACTTGATAAATAATATTTGACTGTGCTCTTAATAGTTCCTAATTGGAAACTTTAAGTCACTAAATTATGAGCCACTGAGTCATTTGCTAATAATGCCCCATGTATGTTAGCTCAGTTGAGAGCCAGGTGTCATACACATGCAAAATAACCAGATACCTACCTAAGTGTGATGGTCTCTCTAAGCAAGGTGGCCTCCCTTGCCTATGCTAATATGGAGTTGAAAGTGTTTGTAAAAGGGGGAAAGTTATGCCGTTAAACGAAGCATCCAGTTTGCAAATGATTACCTATTGAAAAAGGTCGCAGTATTGGTGTAATATTATCTAAGTGGATGCTAATATGCATAAAAGAGTTCTCTTTCAAGAAGCTTCCAGAACAACATGATGCAGGTAGGTTGTCTATAATGTTAGGCAGTGAATGAAGAGTCCGGGAGATGATAACCACCTCAACGTTCCCATTTAAATGTCACTGTTACTGGGCCCTTTTTAATTCTATTCCAGGACGTGTACCTACCAATAATTTTTACTTTAGAAGTTTCTTGGTGTGGTAGGAGGAGTTTGATGATGAAACCATGCATCCATATATATAGAAACAAGTGGATATATTATCAGTATGGATGGAAATATATTTTACAGGTTAAATCATTCTAAAAATATTTTTATCAAATACCTTATTCTGATATTGCTTACATCTGGGTTTAAATCCATACTTTCCTGGAGAAACATGTTATCTTTTACTCTTGTCTCAGTAGGTGCCAGGCATTCAAATGCTGTTTTTCCAGCTCAAAGGAATTAAGGACCCAAAGGCATTTACCATTGATATATAGGAAGAGTGGCAACAATAAGTCACGCTACAGTGTGTAGAAAAGTAGAAAGCATCCCTACCAATCCTTAAAATGTTTGGCTGAGAGCTATACACTGGGTGGCAGGAGAAACTGATTAACCTTTTACTCCTAAGAAGATTCCTCAGGCATAGAGTATGGTTAATGCCGTGAGACATACAGTATTTAATAGGTGTTCAGCATCTCAGAAAAAAAAAATAATAGTTATTTTAGGAATATCACTGATAGATGGTGGTGCTCAGGAAGCCTGCGGAATAGAACCCGAATATATTTCGCTTTCTTTGCTTGGTGTTTTGCTGGCCTTTGTTGGAAGTCTTATGGAGCAGTTTAAGTGAGCAGAAGATGAGCTAAAGGAATGGAAGGAGGAGACATAAGGAACTTGCAGAATTAAATACCCTGCCGAGATACTTGTCCATTCAGCAGCTTCAGTTGCTTAGCACTGGACCTGATCCTGTGGAGGATGCAGAAGCAATATTAGAACTGGCCCCTGCCCTCCAGAATCGCTGTCTAATTGGGGATACAACACAGAACGTACAGTAATTAAATATCAGAGCCATGAAGTGCCATGATGCAATGCCTACCAGAGGGCTAGGAAAGGTCAAAGAAGGGGCCAGAGTGTTGTCTGGATTGTCAGGGAAGGCTCCTGGGAGGGGTCTGGGCTGGACTTTTGAGACAGGGAAGTTAAGGTCAGCAGAGGTCGGGGAAGGAGCAGCATTCCAGAATGAGCAGATATTTGGAGTTGGAAATGTAGCTGAGGGCCTCAGGAGGTAGTAGGAAGCTGGTCTGGGTAAAGAGAACACATGTGGAAATGGATGCAGATTTCATTAGAGAGACAAGAGTGGCCAGATTATGAATTGTCATGGAATTCAGGCCAAGGGTTTGGATTTCATAATTTAGCAAATAGCATGATAGACTTTACATCAAAGGTGAGCTGCTGTGAGGCAGTATTTAGAACAGAAGAGAAAGAAAGCCAGAAGCAAGAAGACCATTTGGCTGGCAGTTTTCTGAGAGTAGGAATGATATAGATACCTGAATTGGGATGGTGCAGCTGAGAATTACTGAACGATTAACTTCATATTGCAGAGAAAGAAAGCACTTTACTTAGAAAGGCGACAAGGAGGGCTGAACGGTGTACTAACTTTGCAAGGCTAGTTCACAGAGAGAACAGGAGAGTTCTTGCAGGGGGGAAACATGGGACTTTGAGCTAGATTACAGGGAATAAGTTGAGGAATTTGGTTTCAGACACATTAAATCAGACATAAAAGCTAGTCTTCATAGCAGTGTCATGAAAACATTTGAAGCCATAGTCTGAAATTCAGGTGAGAAGCCAAACCATATCGAAGAATCTCCTGCATTCATAAGGGAAAAACATTAGTTTAAGTGAAGACAGCAGCGGGGCCAAAGCCTAACTGTGAGGGCTAACTACTGTTTGGGTGGAATTATAATATTTTAGATAAGATTTAAGAGGATTCTAATTCTAGCTACTTGATAGGAATGCGAATGATGATAAGGCTTTTAGAGTTAGATAAGAGAGAGGGCTAGCACCCTGATATTCTGTAATTGAAACAGAGTTTCAAGTCCTTTGGTCAAGTATTACCCTTATTCCTTCAGGAATAGTAGATATTTTAAGATTACAGATAGGTTATCTTATCTAATTTACCTACCTATTGTTGAAATTATTTAATTTGCATTTAACTGTGTTTTCACTGGCTTATCATTTCTCTCTTCTAGAGCTAACTTATCTCTTGTTATATTCCAGACTCTTGGTGTAAATTACCTTCATTGAAAATTTTGGAGAAATATAGTGTTTTATTTCTTTATGGATAAAATAGTCCCAGAGAGAGAGACACAAGGATGGACACTTAGAAAACAGTCCCAGCTACTCGGGAGGCTGAGGCAGGAGAATGGCGTGAACCCGGGAGGCGGAGCTTGCAGTGAGCCGAGATCGTGTAACTGCACTCCAAACTGGGCAACAGAGCGAAACTCCGTCTCAAAAAAAAGAAAGAAAGAAAACAGTCCAAGGAGAGAATTCTAATGCCTGACAGAAGTAATGTTTAGAATGAGGGCTTCTAACTGAAGTTTTCACAGACATAGGATAGAAATCTTAGCACCAGATTTTCTGCCAATAATAGAGTTAGATGTGTGTCATTTGCTCATTAAAATGGAGGTGGCATCCTGTCCTCTAAAATTATATCATGATCTCAAGAAAATGAAAATGTACCATTTCTACTGCATGGCTGAAAATGATTTGGGCTGATTATAAAAATTAGTTGTAATGGCATGTATCAGTATACTTAAAAATAAAAAATGTACTGCAGAATGTGCAATGGAATAGAAAAGGACTTTGATTATCAACAAGAGTATACTTCATGGTAGGTGAAAAGTAAACATGAGGCCATTCATGAGAAAAGTCTGTCATTAATGCATCAGTGTGTATATGAGGGCTCCAAGGCCATTGATTCTAAGAATAACTAAACTCCCTCCAATTCTCTTGGCCAGTCTGTTTGGGTGGTGTCTGGGAATCTCCTTAATAAGTCACTGCTATCCACAAATATCACTAGGACCCTTTCATGACAAGAGTATTAACTTTGGAAGAATTCTGTGGCTGTCAAGTCAAGCAGTTACCTGAACAGAGGCAGAATATATTGGAAGATGATGTGAACTCATTCCCAGTTGTCTTAGCTCACTTTTACCTCATGCTTGGCTGTAGAAAACTTTTTGTCACAGTTCAGATTAGGCCATGGTACAAGTAACAGCAACCCAAAAACCTTAAATAGGCTTCAAGAAGATAATTATTTCTCTTTCCCAAAAAATCCTAGAAATACTCCAGGGCTGGAGGGCAGGGCTGGTCATCTCTGTTCCAGGAAATCTTTAGCGATCCAGTTTCTTTCAGGCTCATGCTCCACCATCCTGAAGGGGAGGCTTTCCTCCTCATGAACCAAGATAGTAGCTTTCATATTCCAGACAGCAGGATAGAATGAAGAGCCAAAAAGAAAGGCAAAGGCGTGTGTCCACTGTATTGTTAGGAAAGGTCCCAGAAGCTGTCTCATGACACTTTTGTTTATATTCCATTGGCCAGAACTTGGTTGTATGGCTATACCGAACTGCAAGGGAGGCTGAGAAATGTAGCCTTCTCTCTAGGCAAACATAGCCCAATGCATAATCTAAGACATGAAAGAAGGGGAGAATAAATACTGGGAGAAAGTATACAACCACACCTTCCTTTTCCATTGCAGTGGCACCATAGTATCAGCAGGTCAATTTATATAGCTGCCTGCGGAGGTGCCTGAAGCAGAGTGGCAGTTGCACAGTAGTGCAGCAGTCGCTAAGAGCAGGTACCCTGGAGTCACATCACTTAGGTTTGAGTCCAGATTTTTCTCATATGTAAAGGGGAAATAATATTAGTACCTTCCTCTTAGAGCTGTGACAATTAAGTGAAATACTGAGTATGGCACTTTCAGCATGGTACCTAAGACTTCAAAACCATTTGATAAATGTGATTAGCTCTTATATTAAAAGTAAAATGAAAGTTTTAGAGCATCCATAGACATGTAACTTTTCTGTACATCTCTACAATGTGGAGGATGTATTTACTTTTTTCCAGCTATAAGAGTCAGAGTGGTTTTCATTTCTAACTGCACTTTTCTCCTTTTGAAAATAAGCTGGGATGTGCATGCTTGGCTGGGAGGATGGAGGTGGTTTGTAACAAATTGTATGAATAATTTTCTTGAATTTTCCATGGGTTCTGCATGTTTCATTGATACCATCTTACAGGCTTTTCTTTATAATAGTTTTGATGTGAAGGATTACTTTACAGTAAGCATCTACAGGTTACCCCTTTCCACTGATGTAACAAAGTGGGAATTGGGCACCACATCAAAAGGATGAGGCCATTGTTGGCCATCCTTGGATGGATGGGGTTCAAAGATGGCAATGTGGAGTGGGTATTCTCTGTGTTTGCCTGTAAAAGGATAGACAGCTCTGAATTGCAAAATACTATTGTCTATCAAAATGTAAAAGTTTGGCTTGTTCTTCATTTAGAAATGGTGATAGGAAAGAAGTGGGTGAAAATGGTTGTGTTGAGATATTTTTGCCAATACCTAAATGCTCTTTTGCTTCTCTCTTTTTCTTTCTTTCTCAAAGCCCCCTCTTTGTTCTGTGGCTTTTCTTTTGTAACTCCTCCAGACTACAGCTTTGTTCCCCCTTCTTCCACTCCTTTCTGGTCAGGTACTGCTTTACTACTTTTATTTGTCTCTTCAACTTGCTTCTGCTTGCAAATAAAATATTTGAGTTCCATGTATGGCTTCTCATACGGATACATCTCCTCACAGACAATCCCTCGAGTTCCATTACCACCATGCACTTTACTCTTCTCTGTCATAGTCACCGTTCATCATGACATTTCACTCCTCTGGTGTTTGTGTGTGTGCTCATGCCATGAGACATTCTATAATTTATCTGTTGGGGAGAGTTTGCAGAGGGATGGGGCTGAAAGTATAAAGGGGGATGAAAAATCTATAAAATCATTATTTTTCTTGAAGACCAGAAAGTTTAGTTGAAAAAAGCCAATGTTTATGTATTTTCATGAAGAAAATAAATAGAAATAAAATCCCAACTTTGTTTTCAAATATAAAAGTAAAATTCAGTACACATTACTTGAAAAGATGACTGGCGCCCATGAATTCTGCAGTTCTTCGGTTTGTGCATGGGCATTTTGGTCTTGATTTCTGTCATTACCCAGAGAGTTTAATGGCTATTTACATGACATTTAGGGTATACATTAGATAAAGTCTGTTTTCTGACCGATTTTTAAAAATTAACCTGCACATCCCAATAAAAATCATAGAATTTAAAACTAGAAAAAACTTAGAAGTCATCTAGTACAAACATTTCATTTCATAGATGAGAAAAAATGTGGCCTTGAGGGGTTAGGAGACCTATGCAAGGTCACCACACAGTTGATGATTGGGTTTTTCCATCATAGGGGTGTTTTTATGTGCACCGACTCTAACAGTAGTGCCCCAGTAATGGGACAGTTTTCAGTGAGAAAGCTATTAAAGTGGTTTGTGTCCTGAACAGTAAAACAAAATGACCTATTTTTACTCCCTTTACAGTTCTGAAATCTAGAGTATTGCCATTCATTTATTTCGTGATGGACACCTGGAGTCTAAAAAAATTTCTGTCATTACAAAGCCATGAATAATAGGTCAGAGATCCCTGTGGCCAAGTGGGCAGGCTCTTCCAGGGTAACACAGGTCATAACTTCTGCTGCCTGAGCCCTGGGAACTGTTAAAAATACAGATGGTTGGTGTTTCCCATTTGTCTCTTTTTCTTACACTTAAGTTCCTTTACCATTTAAGATTTATAAAGTTTCACCAACCTCCGATGAGTGATTCTCAGAATCACTGAACATATAATTGAAAACACTTTATAACCCCAAAGAGCAACAGGTAGAGAAGTTAATATAAAGCGTGCCATGAAACACTAGAGACTAACAAACATGAACCACTGGAATGGAGTTTTCTTTTCAGAACAGGGCCAGCAGGGCCAGGGAGAAAGTTAGCTCCTCTCCTGCCATCGAATATTAAACACGCGCGCGTGTGCGCGCGCGCGCGCGCACGCACGCACACACACACACACACACACACACACACAGAGAAACTCAACTCTGAACACAGGATATTTAATACCCTGACATCTTATTTTTGATTAGATACATCAGTAAAGTTTTTCTGTAAGGCAGTATTTGTTTCAAAGAAAGAAAATATAGATGGTATTTGTGTGTTCCTTCTCTGAGACCTGATTCACACCTCTTCACTTAGGTGAATTATATAGAAAACAATAACTAAATTTATCCCCAAATAGTTTTAACATAGAAAGCCTTGTTAGGGAAGAAAGTGCCACTTAACCAGAAGTGATAACATAGATTTGACAAGAGACTGACATCAGAGCAAAATATTTCGTTGTTTTGAGTGTTAGTTAAAGCAGTTACTGGATAAAAACATAAAGCTTTACCTTGGAGGTGCTGGTTAGATTACTGGGCCATCAATAGGAAGTGTATGATGAAATTATTTTAGAATCTATCTCCTTAGATACTTAGATATTAACGAGTTTTTTTAATTTGTTTTTTTGTTTTGTTTTGTTTCATTTTTATAAAAACTAGTCCTTACTTTGATTGAGGTTCTTATGAAGAATGGAAAAACAGGACAATGGTTCTTTAAACTTATGAAGCGAATTTGCTTGCACCTGATTGAATTGAAACAGCAATTCTGCTGCTTTCAAGCTCCTCTGCCATTATCGCTGGTCTGTAATGAAATCACGACTGTGCATTTGATAGCATCAATAACATTCATCTGATTAGGTTGTTATGGTTGTTAACGAACTGCAAACCTACTGTCATTGCTTGTCATTTCTTGACAGTGTTAAGTCCAAAAGTGCTGGGCATTGCCATCGCTCGGTATGACTTCTGTGCAAGAGATATGAGAGAGTTGTCCTTGTTGAAAGGAGATGTGGTGAAGATTTACACAAAGATGAGTGCAAATGGCTGGTGGAGAGGAGAAGTAAATGGCAGGGTAAGTTGGCCCTCTCGATGTGCTGGTGCATGTGAAAGAAGGGGACTGAGCAGTTGTTTGCACCCATTGTGGCACCAGGGAGAAGCCTCTATACTGTATTACAGCTTTCAGCCCACAGGCCTCTGCCCTCTGGAAACTGGTGCTGTGTTTTGCTGATACCAGGGACTCGCTGAAAATATTTGAAATGAATATGATAGTGACATAAATAAAATTCACCTGGGCAAGTGGGACAGCTTGCTGCTTGGAAAAGAGTCGAGGAGCATTTCAGTTCTTTTTAGACCCTGAGCCATAGAGCTAAACTTTATGTGTATTGCAAAATATCTATAAGAACTGCTGATGTAAATTGGAAAGAATGGGACATAGTACCTCTGTCTTTTCATCCTGTTCTACAGCAGAAATAGGAATCATTATGCAGCAGAGCCCCCCTGTATTATACTTAATTTACATATTTATTTGTGTGCTAGTGGATTAGAACACTGTTTATTTTATTCCTCCATTTCGATCATTTACTCTATTAGGCTTCTAAGAGCAGTTAAACCAATCTTCTCACCTACAATGGACATAAAACCCCAGTTTAATTGGGGTGTTATGAAAACAAAATACTCTGTTTGTAGAATCCTTTGAAGTGTCAGATACAAAGTCATGTTGCTGTGTTGGTTGCTTTTCTTTTTTAGGTGGGCTGGTTTCCATCCACATATGTGGAAGAGGATGAATAAATTCAAATCCCGTGTTGCACCCTGCACCAAAAATTTCAGAGAAGGGATAAATAGAAGCCTGCACAGCATCGTGAATTAACTGAAGTGTTTAAAAAGCTGCATTTCTGGCTGTTCAACATCCTCCCTCCTTAGCCCCTCCTAAGTCTTAATGCTGAGATTTCTAAAGATGCTGGTACTGACAGATTAATGGCTTGCCTAGAGCTGTGCAAGAAACAGCCTGCCAGTCTGTCATTGTCAGGGACCAGGGCAAAACCAAGAGCTGTTCTTCCCAGAAGAGCCCTGCAAACACATTGGTTCGTGCTTCCCTTTACTTCTTCTGGTCAGATACCATGAATGCCAGTCATCAGTAAATCTTAATACACTTTTGCTTTATTCTCACATGCCATTCACCAGATTATTTGATGGTACAAAGAAGCAGAAGTGTAATTTTCCTTTTCCCAGCATGACGAAAAATTGGAGTTCTGCCATTTGAGCAGCTTACTGGAAAGATCCAGCCTTACTTGTCTTAAATTGTCCAACAAGGTGACTCATTGCCCGGCAAACACTTTTACCCTCAGATGTTACTCATGATATTATAAAATATGAGGCCAGTGCTCAGGTTTGCATCATAAGTGAGCTATCCCTGAAGGGTTTTAATTACTTATTTGGTGTCCTGATTATATTTGCAAACTTCTTTATAAAAGGTGAAAAAAGCACACAAAAGAGAGGGTGTCTTCATATTAAACCTTCACAACCTTCATGATTTCATAGGATTATTTTGGAAATATAGCACTTGACTTTATGAAAGGATCTGGGCTAGGTATATTAAGGGTAGTTGCCAATAACCTGAAGAAGCTGGCATTGTTTACAGAAACAGATCAAGGGCTATAATTTATGTCATTTTATAGCAGCAGTATCTATTAATACATGCCTTTTCCTCCCATCCACCTCCCCCGCACACACACAAAGATGACCTGGGACATGATTTTTTTATTCCCACATTTTCTTGGAGCACAAACAACTTTGTTGAGGATTTTGGAAGGAAAGCACAACTGGGTCCTTTATTCATTTCTGGGACAGAAAGAGGGTCAGTGGACTTTTGTGGGCCTCCAGCTTCTCTCAGAGTCTCCCCCTCTGCAGCCCATCCTGGGAGTGTATTAACTGGAGGGAAGATGGGTCTTGCAGTACATTTGTTTTGCCCAGCCATCACTCTTTTTTGTGAGGAGCCTAAATACATTCTTCCTGGGGTCCAGAGTCCCCATTCAAGGCAGTCAAGTTAAGACACTAACTTGGCCCTTTCCTGATGGAAATATTTCCTCCATAGCAGAAGTTGTGTTCTGACAAGACTGAGAGAGTTACATGTTGGGAAAAAAAAGAAGCATTAACTTAGTAGAACTGAACCAGGAGCATTAAGTTCTGAAATTTTGAATCATCTCTGAAATGAAGCAGGTGTAGCCTGCCCTCTCATCAATCCGTCTGGGTGCCAGAACTCAAGGTTCAGTGGACACATCCCCCTGTTAGAGACCCTCATGGGCTAGGACTTTTCATCTAGGATAGATTCAAGACCTTTACCTCAGAATTATGTAAACTGTGATTGTGTTTTAGAAAAATTATTATTTGCTAAAACCATTTAAGTCTTTGTATATGTGTAAATGATCACAAAAATGTATTTTATAAAATGTTCTGTACAATAAAGTTACACCTCAAAGTGTACTCTTGGAATGGATTCTTTCCTGTAAAGTCTTATCTGCGACTCTGTCTCGGGAATGTTTTGTCTGTTGCCGTCAGCCGAACTTTGTTATGGAGGGAGCAGCCTCACACAAGCAGAAACACTCCTGTGGATGGTATTGTAGCATGTATTGTTTATTTTAGTCAATAGACCCTCTCCTTATAAATGGTGTTTAGTCTTCCTGTTGCATTTCATGGGCCTGGGGGTTTCCTAGCAGAGGATATTGGAGCCCCTTTTTGTGACATTACCAATTACATCTTTGTCCACGTTTAATACTTTGTTTTGGAAAATTTAAATGCTGCAGATTTGTGTAGAGTTCTAATACCAAAGACAGAAGTAAATGTTTTCCATATACTTTGTCTTGCCTGTATGCAGCCCTCGTGTAATACGGTGAATTAGAGTGGTATTTCACTTTGTATTATTTTGTAAATATGTCAATATAATAAATAGTGACTAAATTGATTTCTAAGAGTTGGAGTCTTTTTATTGAATGATCCCTGTATTAGTCAGGGTTCCCCTGAAAATGGATGGCACTGGATTGTTGGGCCTGTACCAGGCCATCGCCAGCAGTCCAGAGTGAACAGAAGCAGTGTATGTGTGGAGGTCACCACCCCCCCGCCCGCCAGCCCCGTGGACGCTATGCGTCTAGTAGGAGGGCCGCTGCGGTGAGTCTTGAAGCCCAGGGCTGGGCCCGGGCAGAGCCGCCGCAGGTGCAGATGTTGGTGGTAGTAGCACATATTCTAAAGAGAACTTCAAAGGCCGAAGTGGAGAAGGGTTCCATGTGAACAGCAGTTGGACATGGGTCATTCGGTCCTGAGAAATAGGTGAGCGCCATTCTGAATGGACAGGCGATGGCCTCTGTTGCCCTCAGCCAATCGAAAGGGAGTCCGGTTCAGATCCCGAATCCGGAGTGGCGGAGATGGACACTGCCAAGCGTCCAGCACAGTAATGCGAAGGATCCCAGAGAAGCCAATGGAAGCCCCGGGGAGAGTTCTTTTCTCCTTGTGAAGGGCAGGGCGCCCTGGAATTGGGTTCGCCTGGAGAGAGGGGTCCGCGCCTTGGAAAGCGTCGCGCTTCCAGCGGCATCTGGTGAGCTCTGGAGGGCCCTTGAAAGTGCGGGGGAGAGGGTGTAAATCTCGCGCCCGGCTGTACCCATATCCACAGCATTCCTCCCTCTGGAACTAAGACCTCTAGGCCAGCACAACAGAATGTCGCGGGAACAGGAAGCAAAAATTTTGCTAGTGGATCACTTAGGGTGATGGTGAGTGGTGCCACTTCCACTTCCACCCCCTGATTCCTGGACCCTTGAATCCTGGCCATGGGAGAAACAGTACCATACATTGGACACTGATTCAGAGCATACACGGCCTTCTAAAGAATTTTGTCCCATCCCTGCAAAGTATTGTCACCTAGTTGGCATTGTAATTGTGACTTCAAAAGGCCATTCCACCTTTCTATCAATTCAGCTGCTTCAGGATGATGGTGAATTCCATGAGCATGAGCCCACTGCTACACTTCTTTAGCCATAAAGTGAGTGCCTTGGACAGAGGCAATGCTGTGTGGAATAGCATGATTGTGGATAAGGCATTCTGTGAGTCCACGGATGGTAGTCTTGGCAGAAGCATTGCATACAAAATAGGCAAACCCATATCTGGAGTAATTGTCTATTCCAGTGAGGACAAACTTCTGCCTTTTCCATGATGGAAGAGGTCCAATATAATCAACCTGCCACCAGGTAGCTAGCTGCCTGATCACCCCAAGGAATGGTGCCATATCGAGGGCTCAGTGTTGGTCTCTGCTGCTGGCAAATTGGGCACTCAACACTGGCTGTAGCCAGGTCAGCCTTGGTGAGTGGAAGTCCATGTTGCTGAGCCCATGTGTAACCTCCAACCCTGCCACCATGGCCACTTTGTTGATGGGCCCATTGAGCGATGACAGGAGTGACTGGAGAAGGAGGCTGAGTGGTGTCCACAGAATGGGTCATACTAGCCAGTTGATTATTAAAATCCTCCTCTGCTGAGGTCACCCATTGGTGAGCACTCACATGGGATACAAATATCTTCACAGTTTTTGGCCACTCAGGCCCATCCACATACCTCTTCCCCAGATTTCTTTGTCACCAATTTTCCAATCATGCTTCTTCCAGGTCCCTGACCACCCAGCCAAACCATTGGCTACAGCCCACGTATCAGTATATAATCACACAACCAGGTGCACTGATTGAAGTTCTGCCCACTGGAAATATTTCCCTTCAGCACTGTCCTTCAGGGATGTCTTGGAAAGGGGCTGTAGTGCTGCAGCTGTCCACTTTGGGTGATGCCTGCATATCATGAAGAACCATCTGTGAACCAGGCCCTAGTCTTCTCTCCTCTGTCAATTCATCATAGAGAACTCCTTATGCGGCCATTGGTGCAGGCTAGGGAAGAGAAAGCAGGGTGGCAGGAGTAGAGACCATGGGCGTTTGAGCCACTTCCTCATGTAACTTACTTGGCCTTCAAGACCTGCTCGAGCCCGATCACGTATATACCACTTTCATTTGATGATGGAATGCTGCTGTGCATGACCCACTTTATGGCTAGATGGGTCAGAAAGCACCCAGTTCATGATAGGCAATTCAGGTGGCATGGTGACTTGATGACCCATAGTCAAATGTTCAGTTTCCACCAAAGCCCAGTAGCAATCCAAGAGCTGTCTCTCAAAAGGAGAGTAGTTATCTGCAGAAGATGGCAGGGTCTTGCTCCAAAATCCTGGAGGCCTCCACTGTGATTCACCTATGGGGGTCTGCCGAAGGCTCCAAACAGCATCCCTATCTGCCACTGACACCTCAAGCACGATTGGATCTGCTGGGTCATATGGCCCAAGTGGCAGAGCAGCTCGTACAGCAGCCTGGACCTGTTGCAGAGCCTTCTGTTCTGGACCCCACTCAAAACTGGCAGCCTTTCAGGTCACTTGATAATTGGGCAGGACTAATATACCCAAATGAGGAATGTGTTGCCTCCAAAAGCCAAATAGGCCCACTAGGCATTGTGCCTCTTTCTTGGTTGTAGGAGGGGCCAAATGCAGCAACTTACCCTTTACCTTAGAAGGACTATCTTGACAGGCCCCACAGTCCCATAACACACATACACCAGCCCCATAATTAACATGGGGATTAAGCCCTAATTTTGTTTAAGTTTAGCTCAGGATTGCTGCCTAAGTTATGAACAGTGAACTACAAGGTAAACTCAATAGTTGCCAATAACATGTATTGGCATGCTTACCATGTGCCATGCTCTGTTCTAAGTGCTTTATTTGCACCAACTTACAACAACCCCCAAAGGTAGAACCCCATAATATTTTCATTTGCACATGAGGAAACTGAGGTACATCAAGAGGTTGCAACTTTCCCAAAGTCACACAGCTGCTAAGTGTCAGAGCTGAATTCTGACTTGGGTGGTCTGGCTCCAGAGTCCGTATAACCACTACCCTATCCTGCCACACTTTGTAGGGCAAGAGAGAGATTTCGTACATTTTTAAACTTACATAACCGAGAAGAAACTATACGATACTAAACAGTGGTTTGAACAATGAAAGGTTAACACAGAATTCAGAAATATGCCACTATTCCTGCCACCTAAAAGAAAACCCAAAAAAGATATTGCCTAGAGAGATTAGTATCAGATTGAATTTTCGTTTCTACTTTGATTCACTCTTGCACTAGAAAATGGCTGCTAATCCAGAGAGGCTTGGAGTCAAGTTTCCCTTGGTGGAGCAGGCCAGCTGATAATCCACAGTGATGGAGTCTGTCTTAGGGAGAGGGTGGAATCACTTCATTCCTTCTAAGGACCAGGAAAGGCCATGGTGGTAGCTTCTGCTTGACTTCACCATCACAACCTTGCTACAAACACAAAATTCCTCTTATTTTCATTACGATACAGTGGGTTATACAGCCCTGAATCCATTATTTGAGGAGCCAACTCCGTTGGTATCTTTATCACTTCTCTTTGACATATTAACATTACGTGACTGTTAGACCTTGTATCAGTTCATCACCGTCCTCACCACTGCCAATTGTACTCACCGTTGCTCCCTTTATTTGCTAGTTAACATGGGAACACAGCTTTGTAACAAGTATTTTGTCTTCCACCAAATGAGTGAAGTAAAATATGCTGGTAGTTAGTTTTTCGTTGTTTGTTTGTTTTGAGACAGAGTTTTTCTCTTGTCGCCCAAGCTGGAGTGCAATGGTGCGATCTGTGCTCACTGCAGCCTCCACCTCCCAGGTCCAGGCAATTCTCCTGCCTCTGCCTCCTGAGTAGCTGGGATTACAGGCACCCACCGTCACGCCCAGCTAATTTTTGTATTTTTTTAGTAGAGACGGGGTTTCACCATGTTTGCCAGGCTGGTCTCGAACTCCTGACCTCAGGTGATCCACCCACCTCGGCCTCCCAAAGTGCTGGGATTACAGGCGTGAGCCGCCATGCCCAGCCACTGGTAGTTAGTTTTGAGGCATCTTGCTTTGTTCTACTTAATCTGACAGCTGTACAGAAGAGTGAAAAGGTATGGCCCTATAAGTCAGACTGACTGTCTCAGTTTATATCTCATCCCTACCATGCAGAACCTCCACCAATCAGTACCACAACACCTACTTCATAGAACGGTTGTGTGACACAACTGAGATCATCCACATAAAGTGGAACAGTGGCTGGCATATACAAAGCCATATTTGTCATTATCATCCTTGTTGTGATTGTCAGATGGGTTTGCTGACAAGTTTGGATAGTTGGCATCTTAATATTTGAAATTCTTTAGCATAAATTAGGCTCATTTATTGGATTGAGGAGAAAAACTCTGCAGATTCGAAATTAACCTTTCTAGGATGGGAATTAAACTATTTGTTCATAGGAAGAAGGAGGGTTTTAGCATCAGTCAGACCGGGGTTCAAACCCCAACCCTGCCACTAACTTTTAGGAGCATCCACTACCTCTTCTGTAATAAAGGGATCATTAAAAGTGCCTGAGAGAGCTGTTGTGAAGAATAAATGATAACATATGAAAAAGGTCCCTAGTACAGAGCCTCACACATAGTAGGTATGCAAGAAATATTGGTTTCCCTCCCTTTATGAAAGATAAGATACTCAGGTATCAAATTATGTACTTGCTGCCGTTATTTTGAATATTATTGGGAGTCCATGCTTTGTTTTTTACATATAGTTTAATTTTCTGCACTTAAATTATGGACAGAGTAAAAAGTATACATGTTCAGGAAGATTAATATGCAAACCCACAAACAATCTCAGAAGTTGAATTTAACAGCTCTACATTATTTTGACTAGGAAAATGGAATTTTTACTCAGCTCATAATCATTTAGACTGAGTCCATTAGTCACTTCATTTTTCACTGAAAACTAGTTTGCTGTGATTGGTTGGACTCTGATTAGAAATGTTACGCACCCACATCTGGTCTGGCACCTTATTCTAAGTAATAAGGTGGTTTGGAAGCCACCTTATTCTAAGTAATGAACAAGTCCCAGAAAGGATATCATAAAGGAATTCTGTCTCTCGTTCGGTGCCATTGATTAAACCAGATCGAGGGAAACAGTGACAGAAAACAAACTCCTTTTGAAGCACTCTAGACACTGGCTGTCAAAGTCCCTGAATTTCTAGGCACAATGCAACTACAAATGATGACCCAGGCACATGGCCAGATGGGAAGAGTCCTCAGTGCAGAAACACAGTGTACACAAAAGTCACTTCACACCCTGTCCTCTAATGGATGTTGCGATCCACGTTGAGAGTCCTGAATAGGAGGGAAGGTGGACTCCAGAAGAGCCAATGTGTCCAATTCATGATCTGGCTTGCCCAAGGTCATGCAGATAGAAAATACTGTCAAGGTAAAGACTAAAACATGGGTGTCTCAGCTGTAAGTCAAATAAATGCTGTCTCTATTCCTCTGTCATACATCAGTACTCAGGACCCTCTGACTCCAGTATTATTTCCTCCATTCTTAAGGCCTTTCTTCTGGGAATCATTCTGGGTGACTGCTGGGATCCTAGATCAGGTAAGAATATGACTGAGTCACAATCCTTGCACCTCTTGCTATCAACCTGTCTTGATGACTTTGAAACGTGTCAATAAGAACAGTAATGACTCGGGAGTCTGATCAGTAAATGCTTGTGGATTTTCCTATTTATTTATTTATTTTTTGCTTTAAGTTCCGGGATACGTGTGCAGAACGTGCAGGTTTGTTACATGTGCCACGTATGGTTTGCTGCACCTATCAACCTGCTACCTAGACAAGGATGAAGCTTGTGGATTTTCTTGTGATCCAAATGACCTCCCTATAGAAAGTGATTTTTTTTTCCGACGATAATTTATAGTCCATCTCCTTTTCTCTTTTGGCTGTTCTTTTTTTGTACTGGTATCTGCCAGACAGTATGCTAGGTATTTGTCGTATATTATCTCATTTATCTCATATAATCCTTCTGAGAATTCATTACAGACTAACAACATCCCATCTTTTAATCATGAAAAATCTTGTCCTAGTTTAGTAAATCTTCTACACTAGGGTTGTTTTTTAAGGCTATTTGACATGTTTTACTAATCTGTATCATCTGTCTTTTTGTCTAAAATGCAATATAGACTAGTGGTTAAGGCTTTGGAACCAGACTATCATGGCTCTACCACTTATTAGTTGTATGACCTTGGGCAAGATGCTTACACTGCCTGTTCCTCTGTTTCTGCATAGTTAGAATGGGTTATGATAGCACCTTACTTCAGGAGGTTTTTGTGAGGATTAAATGAAATAATAATAATAGCTGTAATGTTTTTTTTGTTTGAGACGGAGTTTCACTCTTGTTGCCTAGGCTGGAGGGCAATGGCGCAATCTCCTCTCACGGCAACCTCCGCCTCCCGGGTTCAAATGATTCTCCTGCCTCAGCCTCCCGAGTAGCTGGGATTACAGGCATGCGCCACCACACCCAGCTAATTTTGTATTTTTAGTAGAGATGGGTATCTCCATGTTGGTCAGGCTGGTCTCAAACTCCCAACCTCAGGTGATCCACCCGCCTCAGCCTCCCAAAGTGCTGGGATTACAGGCGTGAGCCACCTCTCCCAGCCACAGCTGTAAAATGTTTAGAAGATTGTCTGGCAGAGAGTAGACATTCAGTAAACAAGACAGTTTAAACTTGCATTTTGGCCACTACTTTAAATATATATACAAAAATAAGTGTTACGAATTTTAAAAACTCGGATATGTTAAAAACTCCCTTTAAATGTATATATTAGCCTTTGGAAGACCTCTTGAGTTAATTTATTTTTTGAGAAGGAGTTTCGCTCTTGTCGCCTAGGCTGGAGTGCAATGGCACGACTTCGGCTCACTGTAAACCTCCACCTCCTGGGTTGAAGCAATTCTCCTGCCTCAGGTGCCCGCCACCACTTCCGGCTATTTTTTATTATGATTATTATTATTATTATTATTATTATTTTTAGTAGAGACAGGGTTTCACCGTGTTAGCCAGGCTGGTCTCAAACTCCTGACCTCAGGTGATCCTCCCTCCTCGGCCTTCCAAAGTGCTGGGATTACAGGCATGAGCCACCACGCCCGGCCTTGAGCTATCTTTTCACATTAGTAATCCTTTCAAAATGATGCACAAATGGAGCCAAAATCAAATGCTCTACCAGAGCACCATCTATCAGTTATCTACTGCTACCCAACAAATTTGGTACTCCCAAACTTTGCAGTTGGGTACAGCAAACATCTATTATTTCACTGTTTCTGTGGGTAAGAAATCCGGGAGCAGATTTGCTGTGTATTTCTGACTTCGGGTCTCCCATGAGGCTTCTATCAAGGTGTCAGCCAGGCTGCAGTCATCTCCAGGCCCAACTGGGGGAGAGTCTGCTCCTGAGTTCACTCCTGTGGACCTCTCCACATGGCTGCCTCACAACATGGCAGCTGGCTTCTCCTAAAATAAGCATCCAAGAGGGAAAGAGCAAAAGCACTCAAGATGAAAGCTAGTCTTTTTATAACCATCTTAGAAGTGACAGCCCAGCACTCAGCTCTTTTCTATCCCTTAGCGTTGAGTTACTAAATCCAGCTCATGCTCAAGGGGAGGGGATTACACAGGATGAACACCAGGACAAAGGGATTATTGGGGGCCATCCTACTGGCTGCCTACAACAGATGGATGCATTGAATGGTCGTTGGAGCCAAAGATGAGGCCTATCTGAAAGGCATGGGTTACTTCAGAGAAACTTAGGTGAATCTAAAATGTAGTCCTTCATAAAAAACCATTTCCTGTTGATTCCTTTAATCAGTATTTACAGAACCCACTCTATACCAGCCTCTGCAGGGAATAAAAGGATGCATAAGAGAAGGAGCTGTCCCCAGGGGAGCTCATTTTCTTTGCCCCTTTCCTCATTTAGGAAATGCCTTTCCTGAGGCTCAAATTTTTGGGAGAGAGAAAGGGGGAGAGAGGAAGTGTGGGAGAAGTGTCCAATATGTGAGATGCAGGCTCCATCTCACAGGATCACAGGGAAAAGTGGAAACGGCAATCAGGCATGCCCTGGAAGTAGCTGTTGAAAATGTAAAACTCTAAAATCCCAGAGTATGTGGCCAATCATTCATTCCTTCATTCTTTCATTCATTCCTTCTACAAATGTGTATTGAGCTTCTTCTACGAACTCTATAATTCTAGCCTTTGAGGATACAACAATGAAGCTGACACAATTCCTACCCATGAAAAGCTTATCTGCTTGCAGATGGTGATGAGCAAGACACAGGTACATAATGTTAGGCACTGGTAAGTGTTATTGAGGGAGAAAAAAAAGAAGAAGAAGCAAGGAAAATGTTATTTGAATATGGTGATCAAAGAAGGCTTTATGGGGAAATGATTTTTTTTAGCAGAGACCTAATTTGAGAATAGAAAAAAATATATGAATATCTGAGTGCTTAGTGTTTGGAGAGCCACAAGGGCCCAGTGTGGTTGGAGAGGGTGAAAAGGAAGAGAGCTTTCTGGAACAGATCTGGTAGATCTTATAGACAGGGAAAAGAGGGTGACAGGAGCCACTGGAAGCGTTTAAGCAGGGATGTGAGGTGATCTCATTTACATTTCAGAAAGCTCACACTGGATGCTGTGGACTGAGATAGAGCTAGACCCGTGCAATCAACACACTGCCATTCTTTGATAATAGCTCCTGTATTTGTTTGCCAGGGACGCCATAATAAAGTACCACAAACCCAGTGGCTTAAATAGCAGAAATTTATTGTCTCACAGTTCTTAAGGTCAGAAATCCAAGATCAAGGTGCCTGCCAGGCCATGCCCTCTCTGAAGGCACTAAAGAAGGATCTGTTCCAAGGCTCTCTCCTGGCCTCTGTAGTCCTTGGCTGCAGCAGCATAACTGTCATCTTCACATGGCATTCTCCCTGTGTGTGTTTCTGTGTCTAAGATTCTCCTTTCTATAAGGACACCAGTTATATTTAATTAGGGGCCCACCCTACACCAGTATGACCTAGTCTTGACTAATTACATCTGCAACCACCCCATTTCCCAATAAGGTCACATTTTGAGGTACCAGAGTTTAGCACTTCAACATATGCATTTGAAGGGGACACAATTAAATCCATAACAGCTCTCTTTCTTATATCCTCATGTTATTAGAGTGCATGCTGAACGATACAAATACTTCAGCAGAGATTACTAGGGAACGGGTGCAGCATGGGAAGAGGAAAGTGAGCCAGAGAGACGCTATACTTAGGGACAGATGTGTCCACAGCCTGTCTCTGTCCTGCTCAACCTCAGGGGGTGTAAACAAAGGCCAAACTTTTCTAGAAATTCAAGTATATGCTGATAGAAACAATACCACTTCCACCCATGTATTTGTCATCTTCTTAGGCCATCAGCCCCAAGTGAATTACCCTTTTTTTTTCTCACCCTATGTGTCAGAATCACACGTCTTCCCGCCAGGAGAGGAAAGCTCCTAGGTACTTCTGTGTAGGTAAGCTCATTAGGAAAAAGCAACCTATTTAAGTGAATTAATGAAACACTTCTGGATTCTGTGCAAATTAGGCCTGCGTAATATGAAGAAGGGAGAAAAAAATGTGCTGTGGTTTTATAGAGAGGTGGGAAATGCCCTCAGCATTTATTATACTTAATGATGAGATATTGTTGCTAGGTGGTTTGAAGGATAAAGTTTACATTAATAATATGTGATGCAATGAATCTACATTAGTGTGAAAAATTATTTTATTTACCTTTATGCAGCCTATCTGGTCCACTCATTACGTAGTTTATTTTGCAATGTCCTTAAAATACTGGACATAATCCCATTTATAAATTCCTGCCTCAAAGATGACATTGAGTGGATATTTAGGAGGGGCATCCAGGAAAGGGGGAGTGGACAAACCCTAAATTAATAATCCTGGAATGATACATTGAATGCTGCACTATCAGTTTGAAGCTGTTGGGTGGAAAGATGCAAATGAAAATCTGTTGTGTCCTCTTGGGACTTCTCAGCACAGCCCAAAATACAATTAAAATTGTGCAAGAGGCCTAAGTTGAACTTTTGTAATCATATGGCAAGTTATTTTTACAACAATTAGCAGTTTCAAAGTTCTTAATACGTTATAAGTACATATAGTTTTTCCAAAGTAATTTTGCAATACAACTGCTGGGGAAGTGGAAAGAGCACAGGAATGAAAATAAGGCAAACCAGATTCTAGTTCTTGATTCTTCCACTAATGAGTCAAGAGGCTCTGGGTGGAACCCCCAACCTCTCTAAGGCTCGGTTTTCTCATCTGTAGAATGAAGACATCAAGCCCACTTCCAGTTCTAACGTCCTATTATTCTGCATGAAGACATTCAATAAATATTTGGCCATGATACATCTTCATGGAATCAAATTTGTAAATGGGACAGAGAACTGAGGCTCAAACAAAAGTAGGTGGACAACTTTGAAGGGCATAAATCTTGCATCATTCTCTTCTTAATATCTCCACTTCTTTCACCTTAGTCCCAGTCAATCTCATGTCACCTGGATGATTGCAAGAGCCCCTAACTGGCATCCCTGCTTCCCTTCCCACCCCCCTCTAATCTTTTGATTATATAATTTCATTTCATTTTTTAGAACTCTCCAACACCTCCCATTTATTTAATGAATTTGTGGAGTACTTAACCCATGGCACAGGTGCTGCAAATACATGGTTAACAAAACAGACAATTCTCTGCTTTTATAGAGCCTACTTTATATTGGAAAGAACAGGGAGATAGACAGTAAATGAATATACATTACATAATATAAGGAAGTGATAAATACAATGAAAAAATCAAAGCAAAGGAAGGAGAGTATATGAGCAAAGTGCTGCTTTAGATATGCTAGTCAAGGAAAGCCTCTCTTGGCGTAAGATGAGTTAGAGAGCTAATCTTCAACCAGATCATCTTGGTCCAGGATGACCTTGTAGGTCATCTTTCCATTACCTTGTAGGTAATGGAAAGGACTTAAGATTTTATGTTTTGAAAAACCAGTGGCGAGTCTGAAGCAGTGGTATGGTTTGGATGTGGTTTGTTGCAGCCATGACTCATGCTGAAGTTTAATTGCCAGTGTGGCTGCATTAGAAGGTGGAACCTAGTGGGAGATGTTTTCATCATGGGAGTGGATCCCTCATGGATCCCTCATGAACAGAATAATGCCCTTCCTTGGTGGTGAGTGAGTTCTTGCTCTCTCGAAAATGGATTAGTTACCATGAGAGCAGGTTATTAAAAAGAGTCTGGCTTCCTTGATTTCATTCTCTTGCTTTCTTTCTCACCATGTGATCTCTGCCTAATCTTGGGCTTTCCACCCACCAGAATCATGAGCCAAATAAATATCTTTTCTTTATCTATTACCCAGGTTCGGGTATTTTGTTCTAGCAACACAAAATTGACTAAAACAAGCAGAAAAGAGAAATGATCAGATACGCCTTATTAAAGAAACACTGTGGATTCTTGGTGGAAGTTTTACTACAGAGAGACAGGAGTGGAAGCAGAGAGACCATGAAAGTACTATTAGGTAACACAGGCGAAAAATGTTGGTGGCTCACATTAGCATGATATCAAGGGATGTGTAAGAAATATTGGGATTTCAGATGTATTTTGAAGTTACTGCTGGCCTAGCTTATGGCTTGAATGTAAAGTGACAATGGGAGGAAAAATCATTATGTGAGGTGTCAACATTTTTGGCTTAAGCAACTCTGTGCACGGTGTTATACATACACGGTTAAGGATGAGCAGCTGATTTGGGAAGGAAGGTAAGAAATCAGTTATTCAGTTCTAGACACATTAAGCTTAAGGTGCTCATTAGATATTAAACCGATATCAGGTAAGCAGTTGGGTCTGAGTCTGGAGTTTGGGGAAAAGTTGGAGCATGAGAAAAACATCTGGAAATGAGTAGTATATTTGAAGCCATGAGACTAAATGATATCATCTCAGCAAATGAGTATAGGAGAGGCAGCAAGCTAATACCTGAGCCTTGGGGCTCTCCAGTGTTTAGAGTTTGGGTAGAAAAGAATACTCCAGCAATGGGGCTAAATCATAGGAGACTATCTACAAACATTCCCCACCACACCTACTAGTCTACTTGCACCAATATCCTTATCTCCTCTTGCTGTGTGAACTGGGCCTGTGCTCTTCTCCAAAGCCCACCAGTTCACCTACCCACAG
This sequence comes from Homo sapiens, assembly GCF_000001405.40. NCBI lineage: Eukaryota > Metazoa > Chordata > Mammalia > Primates > Hominidae > Homo > Homo sapiens. Next base: position 107,558,952 of record NC_000001.11, on the reverse strand, counting down.
AATCTTATTTCTTTTCCTGTGCTCAAATACATCGCTTCAGCAATTATCCCCTCTCAATTATGCAAATTCAAACTTCATTTATCTATCAGACCCTTCCATCAGGATACAGATATCCTTCTTAAAAAATAAATACACAAAAAGGGAAAGCTCCTTTCCTCTTGTATTTACCTTCAGCTACTGTTCATTTTCTGATCTCCTAGAAAGCAACACTCCTCAAAACAGCTGACCAAAGTTGCTACTGTTAATTCCTCTTCTTCTATTCTCTTTTGAACCCACTCTGATCTGAATTTTGACCTTAACACTTCACAAAACCTTCACCAAAAACTTCCACATTGCCAAATCCAGAAGTCAACTCTCTGCAACATTTAAATCGCTGATCACCCTCTTCCTTCTTGAGATCATTGTTTCACTTAGTTCTCAAAACATCATTTATTCTTGTTCCTTTTTCTGTCTTACTAGCTGCTTCTTCCTGGACTCCTTTAATTCATTCAACAATTATGTACTGCCTATTTTGCGCCAGGCATTGTTCTTGGCACTAGAGATACAGCAGTGAACAAGCCAAAGACCTTGCTCTCAGGGAGCATATCACCTTCTATTAGGTAGAAACAAACGAGGATGCGCTGGGATCCAGGTGAAGACAGTATTTCAACAAGGCAGGGTGTTCATCTGGTGGAGGTCAAGTGAGATGAGGGCTGTGAATTAACCACTGCACTTGGCATTTAGGGAGTTGAGCACAGCCTGACATTTTGAATTTTAGTGAAGAAGTAGAAACAAAAATCTGCTTGAAGTGGGTTTCAGATAAAATGGCAAGTAAGGAAGAGGTTGTCCCAAGTGTAAAAATCTGCTTGAAGTGGGTTTAAGATAAAATGGCAAGTAAGGAAGAGGTTGTCGCAAGTGTACTCAACCCCTTTCAGGGCATTTTGAGATGGGGCTACTTGCTTTTTTTTTTTTTCTAGAATATTTTCTTGCACTCTTCATTTGTGATGTCTCAGCTTACATGTCATCTCTCAGTGAAGTATTCTCTACCACTCAGTCTAACTTCTTCCTACTCTGTCATTTTCTCTCATGGGCCCATGTTAATTTTCCTTCACAGCACTATCATGTTTATAATTATAGACTTCAGTATTTGAAACGTGTTTATAATGTCTGTTCTGCTATGTTTTACATTCCATTAAGTCTGTTTGAAGCTCTGCAAGCTGAGTGCCTCGAGTGTTACTGGCACAATATACTTCTTATTTAAATGAATGAATGAATAAATGACCAGTCTTTTTCCTCTGGAATTTTGCTGAAGTGTGCCATATCACTTGGTTAAAGTGGAACTACATTTCTCAGAATCCCATTCCCTTTATGTCTCCTGAACACAATTGGAGTTGGGGGGAATTTGTACAAGGTTTAGAAAGTGGAAGTAAATCACTAGTCATAATCTTGGAAGGTCTTGCAGTCAAATATGTGGAGAATAGACAGATTCAGAAGTGCCCAAGAGATTCAAACTTGCCACTTCTCTCCTGCATTCCTTGTCTAGTTCTTCTTTATGACTACTAGACCTGGCTTCAAAACCAGTTTCAAAATCAGAAGTTTGGCGGTTCCCCAGAGGTGGAACTAATCAGAGGCCATAGTTTCCCCAGCCCTATTAAGGACATTCCCTTTGCTGTCTCAGTAAACTCTCTTAGATTTCCCTGCAAGCCTATGCTTGTCCACCCTGCACCAGTGCTTTAGAAGGACTGGATGGTGACTCTGTCTCCTTTCCTCCAACTCTCCCCTCTGCATATTACTTCGCTAGTATTTGCCACAACTAGATAGGTATAATTCTATAATAAATATCTTATCCAAAGTCACAGTGGCTCTAGTTTCCTAACTAACCTTTGTTATTGGCATTGCTACTTCTGAGCTTGGATACGTGAAATCCTCTTCTTCAGAACTGAGCGCTTTTCCTGTGTATTTTATGGTATTATATCACATACTGTTTGATAGACTCTACATGAGCTGCGTTAATCACGGTCCCAATGAGAGACACATGGCACATCCATAATGGAGAATTTAATGAAGAGATTGTTTACAGAGCCTAGAGCAGGGTTAAGGGTTAAGTGAAACCAGTGAGGCTTGGTAAGGCCTCCTGAGCTAGGAACAATGAAGAACAAGGACCTAGTCCAAATAAACAAGGGGACCGAGCAATTTCAGAAACCTGGAAAGCTGGAGGAATCTGTAAGAGAGGACCTGAGATGATGCATGGCCAACCCACAGCCCCAAAGAGAGAGATCCCTGGAATAAATACCTTGACTTCAGGGTCTCCCATCCTCCCATCCCTGCCAAGGCTTCCCAGTGCCCAAACTCAATCATAAGTCAGAAGGCAAGGGACTGTGGTTGGCACAGTCCGTGAAGATCAGCCTCCTTGGGCCTGCAGCACGGGGATGGGATGGTACAGAGCGCATGTAGGGGCAAACGGAGAATGTCCACCAGGCTGTTGCATCCAGATTTATGTGAGAGTAAACCTGTGTTCTTTCTCCAGATGCAACAACCATGTTATTAGGGATCTCATTCCTGCCACAAATATGCCTGAAAGGGCACTCTTCACTCAGGAGGACACAGTCTAGTTCTTTATCTGGTGCACATTAAAGTGAGCAAGATAATAAATGTTCATTCAGGTGGAAATCATTCAGCTCTAATCTTTCAATGTCTCTTTTGTATTTTTGTCTTTTTTAAGAATCATGAAGGCATAGATTTTTAATTTAGCTGCAGTGACCTATGTATCAAAACTTACAGGTCTGTTTTGGGATTTTTACATTTGAGATTACCAAGAAAAAAAGTCATAATTTTATTGTCATTAGGAAAATTAATTGAGAAGCACAAAAACCTTGATGATGGCTTCACAGTGACTCAAATGAATTTAATTGGATATTGCCGCATCCTCATTCAACATTAGAGGTTTTGTTGAATGTCACAGTATTCCAAATACCAAATGATTTGACGGAGCAAAATAAGTCATTTTAATCAGAGAAATGACATTCAATAATCACAAAAAGTCTATGTGGAATGACTTGTGCTGGGAACTAACAGGGATTTCCCTCTAACAGTGGGGCATGTAGCAGCCAGGCCTGTCTCCTTGCCCATTTGCTGGCAGTAGCAGGCTGGGATTTCCTGTGGCTGAAAGAAGGATCTCTGGATTCTGTCACTGGCAATTGTAGGCCACTGCCCTATCATTAAACCTCTGGGGTAGTTTATTTGTCTTTGATGAAACTACTTGATTACTCTCTTCCATGCCAGGTTTCAGTATCTTCCATGCCAGATTTTAGTATCTTCTATCCATTTGCTTTTTTTCAGCTTTATGCCACTGAATAAGATTCTTACAACCAGGTCCATCATTGTTGTCTTGCATCTTCACATCTTTATTTGATGAATTATTATATTAGGTGAATCCCAGTAAAGAGCAATTAGTTCTCAAAATTTCTACCAAGGTTTACCTACTGCAGCAAAAAGTGAACTTGTACTTCTGGGATTTGTGGGAAGGAAGAGAAGACAGGTGCATCCCATTTTAAACAGGAAATCTTCTAAGTTTCTCATGTGTCATCAATAAAATTTTTATGGATTTTGTATTCTGTGTCATGATATCATAAAATGTAAACATAATAGTTTTCTGTGAAAACAAAAAAATTGCAGTTCCATGAAGATGTGCCATATTTTTCTGTGGCCTCACACACACCAGCACCAGCACACCACTATGGAATGTTATCTGAGAAGGACAAAGTTTTGCCTATCAAATTAGCACACACAACTCCCAGTATTATGTATATGAGGGTATTAGCTATGGGAAACAAACTTGCTGGAAGAAAATTTATCAAGACCAGTCAAACATTCATATACTTTGACCCTGAAATTTAGCATTGAAATTTATCCTAGATGTACACAAAGACAAAGCCACAAGAGTGTTTGTCACGGGGCAAGGTATCAGCGTGAAAGTCCGAAAGAACATAAATGTCCAACAGTAGTGAACTTGAATAAAGTATGGTGCATCCAAACAGGGACTATTGTACATTTGCTCCCTTTCCCTTCCTAACAGTATCCAGCTTTTGTTAGGGTATTCTCCTCTACCACTCCCAACCCATATACTTCAGTCGAGGAGCACACCCTCTGCTCAAGGAATAAGCTTTGATCAGCTTCAGCCAATCAGGATAAGCCTGTTCTTTGCACTACAGTCATTGGTTCAGGTAAACAAGCCCAAAACCAATAGGTACAATGTCTTTCTCTCTAGGGCTTCCTACTAGAATTGGCTTTCTCACTACCTCTATTCTACCCTCTTTGGGTTCCTGGAGCTAGAAAATTAAATATTGTGTTCAATGTGTTCAAGACTCCTTGAGACCAAGTTTCTCTGATTAAGTTCTCCCGGTTGAATACAGTCATGTGATACTTGGAAGCTGGCAGGAGGGTGGACCCATCTTTCTATGATAATGTAGACAGACTTGAGTGCTGGCAGTTGCCAGCGTCCCTGAACTTGTTTCTTCATCTGTAAGGCAGGGGGAACATTGAATACCTTGCATGGAAATATGGTAGATGCCTTTATGCCCTCTTTTTCAATATTTCTTATCTAGACATTGCAATGGCAGTGTCGTTCACCTGAGTGGTCTGAGAATTCTTGGATTCTTAGTTACAGATGACTATGATCATGACTTTATTATGCTCAGAATCCGGGGTGTGTTTAAGAACCTAAGCAAAGTGGGTCACTGCATTCGGGGCAGGAAAGATCTGCTCAGACCCTGGGTTTTCCACACCATGCCTGTGGCTTCTTTATAAAAGTATCCTGGGCCACCCTGAAAAAATTCCAGACAATAGATACTTGGTTTTTCCACAAGAGAAACTGAATAGGATCTCAGGGACCAGAGAGTTGTTCTTGGCTCTGATATGTTCTAATTGACCCTGGGTAAATAAATTCACCCCTCAGGACCTCTGTTAGTTCATCAGAAGAAAGGTTTGAAATAAGCTCTTTCAACTTTAGCAGCTTTGTATATTAGTAAGACAAAATCATTCAAAGTTTTTATGCAAACTCAATGTTTATGTAACTGAAGGTCAGCCCTGAAATGCCTTTATTTCATATACATCTTTTAAATCATGCCTTTTAATAAATCTGTCCTGGAGTATAAAACATAAAAAAACAATAAATTGTATTGCACAGAATAGCAAGGTCCAGGGCATATTATAAATTGACACGTATGAAAATTGCTGATATTTTATCTTACTTTACCCACAAATGGGCAATTTCATGTGACTCAACCTAGTAAAATTACAATGATTTTTAAATGTGTTTGTCTTGAGCATCAGCAGATTAGAAAAAAAATAACAAACTGATAATAGTCACGCCAAGGACTGTGAGTTTTAAGTGAAGGGGCATAGTCATTTGGGGGATTGATATTGGGGAATCACGTTTTTCTTTGACTTCACATGTTGATGCCAAAATCTTTTGAGTTACTTTATTTTTTCAGAGGTGGGGAGTATGGTGGAAGAGAGAAAGATACAGTCATATTTTAATTTCTATAAAATAGAAAAAGGTATCTGAATACTCTCTTGTCCTCTAGCCAGAAAGCCCTCCCCATTCATTCTCTCCGACACACTGGAGCCTAAAAATGTGCTCAACCTGAGCTCTGTGATAACCCATCGTGCTCTGCTTTCCTGGGCATCCTCATGGTGGCAATCATCACAGGCTCGTGGACACTATGAGAAACTTGTTTCCTTGTGTTTTTTAATCCAATTCTTTGGCAGAGTGGGTGGGCATAGATCCCACTCTATGTCAATGTCAATAATGTCTATGTCAGTAATGCTGGTAATATTACAATGGCAAACACTATATAGCACTTATTATGTGTAAGGTACCAGTTGAAGTGAGTTCTCTTTACATAAGAGAACATAAAGTTCTCTTTACTTGCCCCAGATCACAACAAGCAAGGGCCCAGAAATGACCCCAGCCTCTGCTGTGAACTCGTGCTCTGCTACATTTCTGGTTGGTCTTCCAAACACATCATTACCATGTCAGTGCTGCAGGCACAATTCCAGAGTAAGTCTCAGGAAAGAGTAACTGCCATCTACAATCATAATTTATCTTATGATGAATGAACTGACCATTCATTCCCTCTGTATCTGTGTGGGGATGGAAGTACAGGCCTTGTACCCACAGCAGCCTAGAATTTCCAGGTGAAGGGAGGGCAATGTAGTTTCTACAAGTAACTTCCCTCTCTGAGATTCTGACACATCCCTGTAGATGCACCCCCACTTGAAACTCTGCCTTAGATATTGTTGGGGAACAGAACTTACTTGACCTATTTCTATTGCTTTTCAAGGTTTAGATTGATAAGAAAGTATATGCTATTTAGTAAGTTTTAATAAAATTACTTCATTTATTCTTATTTACCTAGTGCATTACTTATTTATCTACTCCAGATGAAATAATTTTTAAACTGTAAACCTACGGCATTTTATATTCAAATGCATGTTATTGTCTTCAGAGTACTCCCTTCAGGAGCTCTATTCCCACTTCACTAATGCTGCTTTTTTTTTTTTTTTTTTTTCTTTTCTGCAGGGTTTGAAAATCTTGGTGATTGGTCTTCTGAGCTGGTTCACAGACCAAGAAACCAAGCTGGTTTTTGATAGATGCTCCTTGTCCCTATCATGGAACAGTATGAGAACAGCAAGTGAGGCATTGTACAAGACTGCCCTAGGAATTCAACTGGAACCCTTACCCCATGGGTCCTTCAAAAGGGGACAACTCATTCCAAATTGAGACATTACAGTTTTAACCACCCCAGGGTCTGTCATAAGAACTTGCAGGTGGATGATGGGCGGTCTGTAGAGCTTGGCTGTTTTCCTTGGATGCACTTTTGAGTCTGAGAAATTTGCACACCTTTTCCCTTAGCAAGCAAGTTATTTTAAGAAAAGAAAATGCACTCACCTATTTAACTTTGTAGATTAAAGTTAAAACTTTTGTCTTTCAGCAGGTTGAGGTTTTGTAATTTTTTTTTTCATTTTATTCATATGGTAACATCTGTTCCCAATTTACACACAGAAGTTGTCTTAGGGACTTGTTGGGCTTAGGTATTCCATCCTTGGGTCAACAGTGATTTCACCAGTCTAAGAAGGCCTGAAGGGACATTATCTGGTGATGTCCTTGGTGGCTCCCAGGCACAATGATTTGAAAACATGCCCATCGTTATCCCTTTGCCTTCTCTATCCAGACTAGAGTCCTTACATAGCCCCATCTGGAGCTCTTGGCTCAGTGTTACAGAAGGACAGATTCCTAGCAGATGGTTCATCAGAGGACCTGGCACATGGTTTGGCCAAGAAAACCTTATCTAATACCTCTGAGTTTGGGAAGCTTTAGAGTGAAGAGTAGCTCCAAGCCTTCTGCACAACCAGGAATGTTTTGCTTATTAGATTTTTTAAAAGATGCTCAGAATAAATATCTAGACAGCAGCAGTTCTGGAGATCTGGTGCCACAGATGGCACCAAACTAATGTAATATCCCCTTACACCAGTTTTATGACATCTATGAAATTTGGGATAAGACCAGAGTCTTGGGCTTGAAAGGAATGGGGCTAATCCTAAAAGATTTCAGCCATTTGGACAAGTGATATTTTAATTTAAAAATATGCAATTCTGATCAGCATGAAGTGTCTTGGATGACTAATAGCCTGCTTAAAATTAATATATTGTAACCTGCTCCTTCCACAGTCTTTTCATTTCAGTTAATAGTAACTCCATCTTTCCGTTTGCTCAGGCCAAACCCATTGGAATAATTCTAGATTCCTCTCTTTTATATGGAACATCTAGTCCATCAGTAGGTCTTGTCCACTCTACCTTCAAAATATGTACCTCATTCAACATCTCTGCTACCACTCTGGTTGGAATTGCTATTATCTTTCAACCAGATTATGGCAATAGCCTCCTATCTGGCATTTTGCCTCCTGTCTTTTCTCCTCCTCAGCCTATTCTCAACAGAGCCATCTGAGTGAGAGTGCTAAAATCTATGTGCCACTGTGTCACTCTTCTGCTGAAAACCCTCCAGTGACCTCCTATTGCCCTCATTGTGAAAGTTCCACAGGCCTACAAGGCCCTGCATGATGAAGCCCTTGTGTCTCTTCTCTCTCTGCAATAACCTCCCACTGGATCATTTACCCCAGCCGTATTGGCCTCCTTTCTGGTCCATCAACTCACAAGGCATCAAGGTATATACCTGGTATCATTCAGTTGTGTCCCCATCCAAATCTCATCTTGAATTGGACTCCCATAATTCCTATGTGTTGTGGGAGGGATCTGATGGGAGAGAATTTGAATCATGGAGGAGATTTACCCCATACTGTTCTTGTGGTAATGAATAAGTCTCACAAGAGCTGACGGTTTTATCAGGGGTTTCCGCTTTTGCATCTTCCTCATTTTCTCCTGCTGCTGCCATGTAAAAGTGCCTTTCACCGCTTGCCATGATTCTGAGGCCTCCCTAGCCAGGTGGAACTGTAAGTCGGATTAAACCTCTTTTTCTTCTCAGTCTCGGGTATGTCTTTATCAGCAGCATGAAAATGGACTAATACAATACCCTTCTAGGACCTTGAACTTGCTGCTCCATGTGCTGGAGCACTGTTCCCCCAGACATTCACCTAATGTCTCCTCTCTCTCTCTCCCTCCTGTTCCTCCTCCTTCTCCTCCTTCTCCATCTTTGGATGCTTTATCAAATGTTATCTTTGTTCTTCCCTGACAACCCAAAACCTCTTATCATATACTTCCTTTTTCTCATTTGATGTTTTTCTATAGCATTTATTACCTTCAAGTATACTATATTAAATATGCTATGTTAAATTATATTAAATATACTATATATACAAATATACTATATACTATGTATATACACATACACAAATATGTATATATATATGTAATATATGTATAAATATATACATATTTTCTTATTTGTTTTGTATATTCTGTCTCTCTTCACTAGAATATAACTCCTTAGGGCAGAGAGTTTTGTCCCTTAAAGCAATTATTATTGTTTCTGTATCACCAGCACCGGGAATAGAGCTTGCGACAGAGTAGGCAGTCAAAAAACATTTTTTTGAATAAATGAATCATATATTTTGTAAATATATGTCAGGCACTGTGCTACTTGCTAGACACACACTGGTGAACAAAACAGGTAAAAGATTCATGACCTCATGGATCTTAAAATCTAATGGGGATAGAATATGGTCATTTTACAATTAGTGAATTAGACATAGAAGTAAGAAAGAGTTGAAGCATTTGAGGAACTGAAACATGTTGAATTGAGCTGGAGAGTAAAATTTGAGAAATAGCATTGTGAGACAGACATCAAGCCCTGTTTATGTTTGAGGTGTCAGCCTAATCATGGGACGCCATTGAAGGATTTTAAGCTGGTGAGTGACATTGTCCCATGTGCATTTTGTAAAGTACCCTCTGGTTGCAATGTGAGAAGTGAGAATGGCTGGGAAGAGGTAAAGAGTGGAAACAAGGATGATGTGATAGGAGGTGATTGCTATAGTGAGAGATGACAAGCACAGATGGGAGCAGTCTGCATTAGAGAGAGGAACGCAAACTTAGAGCCTGTTTGAATAGGATTGGGTGGATTTGAGGAATCAGGAAGTGAGAGAGTCACAGATGAACCCCAGGGCTCTTATTTGAACAATAGCTGTATGCCATTTCCTGAGAGGCATACTATAGTAAATGAGGTTTGGGATGCAGAGTGATGAGAGCAAGAACGGGAAAAAGGTCATGAGTCAGCTTCTGAAGTCTGGGCTTTTAGTGTACCCATGATCTGAGTCGTGTACATATGTACATCGAGTGTGACATATACACATGCAGCATCCCTGCGATGACATCCTGCTTGGGAGAAAGTCTGAGTAGGAGTGATAAAGTCATTAGTTTGCAGATAGATGGTGATCCAAGTCATCAGGATGGACAAGATTACAAGGAGTGAATTAGAATGAACAAGGAAGGAGGTCTGGGACAGACGTTGCCTGACTCCAACATTTCAAGGCCTGATAGCATAGGCAAAAAAAGTCCACCATGGAAGAAGGAGACAGTGTGTCAAGGAAGCCAAGAGAAAGGAATATTTTACAGAGGAAGGTATTGTCAATTGTACTAAATATTGTCAATAGATCAAGTAAGATGGGGCCTAAAGTTAAACTTTATAATTAGCAACATGGAAGCCATTGGTGAGAGTAATTTCAAGGAAGCTTTGAGGGCATAAAACCGATGAGACAATGATGAGAGCGGAAGGGAAGGTGAAGAAATGGAAGCAGAGGGTAGACACTCTTTGCGAAATTCATCTGTGAAAGGGAGAAATGGAAAATGTCAGAGCAAAAAATGGTGTCCAGACGAGTACATTATTTTTAAGGCAAGTGGAACTTAAGTGGGTTAATTATGTTTGGAGGAGGCAGTGGTCACAGAGTGACTGCATACATTTTGGCAGCCATACAAGGATCAGCGGGGAAGTGTTCCAGCCAGATAAATGGCTGAGGCTTAAGGTGGGAGTGAGTTTGGCACATTTGAGAAACTGAAAGACCAATGTAGTCAAAGTTTAGTGGTGAAGGGATGGGGGTAACTTTGGGGAATTAGGCTGCTCATGGAATGTCCTGATGGCCATGGCAAGAAGTCTGTATTTTATTTATTATTTCAATAGCTTTAGGAGTACAAGTGGTTTTTGGTTATACAGATGAATAAATTGTACAATGTTGAAGTCTGGGCTTTTAGTGTACCCATGATCCAAGTCATGTACATTGTACCTAATAGGTACCTTCTGAGTCTCCATAGTCCATTGTACCACTCTGTGTGTCCTTGCATATCCGTAGCTTAGCTCCCAGTTATAAGTGAGAACATGCAGTATTTAGTTTTTTTTCCTGAGTTACTTCATGGAAGATAATGGCCTCCAGATTTTCAATATGACGTTAAGCCATGAGATGGCTTCAGCCAGGCATTTATGATATAAATGCATTGGAATGAATGTTAGGCATGCCCAGGCAAGAGAAAGCAGCCATTCCTTGTCCTGCCTTAGAACAAAGTCCATGCCGCCTTCTGATCTGCTGCACTGCCTTCTAGTCTAACTCCAGTTCTTTATTGTGCTCAGAGATTCTCTATACCCCATCTTAGAAAGATATGGGACACAGGAAATAGGCCACATCACCCAGAAAAGGTAGAGGGGGTGACTGGCAGCACACCATCCCTGAGATGGTGGCACATGAGCTCACAAAAAAATGTTCCTGATAACATGAGTCAGCTCCTGTCTCACCTCTTTCCAAAAGCCCCCAGTATCTCTGTCTCACTGACTATGAAAGTCAAGGTCCTCATTTTGATGCATAAAACCTAGTGTCAACTGGCCATACTCTGACCTCGTCTCCTTTTACTTCTTTCTTTGAGCCATGCTTGCCAGGTAAGCTCTTGCTGCCAAGACTTTGAACCTGCAGTTTCCTCTGCCTGGAATGTTCTTCCCCCAAGTATCCCCATGGTCCTCTCCCTCACCTTATAATGACCTTTACTTAAATGTCACCTTGTCAGTGAGGCCTTCCCTGAATACCATATCTAAATTTTCAATACCTTCAATATGCAGTAGCAATTAGTTACTATACAACATTTTGTATATTTGACTTAATCTTGCTTATTGTCATCTTCTCCACCAAAATTAAAGCTCTGGGAGGGCAGATGGTTTGGTCTTGTTGAATCTCTAGCATCTAAGACAAGTGAGTGAGAGTCAATTGTGTTTGAACATTTTAGGAAGGAGACAATGATAAGGCAGTAGCTGTATTGGTCACCCTTGCACATAGTGGACACTCAGTAATTAACTATCCAGTGAATGAATGTGTAATGATTGGTTTTAGATGGGGAAAGGGACACCTCTTCCATTTTGACAGGATGGGAGCAAGAAGAATGGGTGCTTGCAGATTTGTGACAACTATTGGAGGCTGTTCCTAGCTGATGGGGTCTACTTTCTTTGTGAAGTAGCAAGTGAAGGTTGGAGTATGGGTAGCAGTAAGAGGTAAGGAGCATGCAGGGAGGGGCTTTGCGGTGGTTATCGTGAAGAAAAGAAGAGTGAGCTTACTACAGAAACAGTGCAATGTTAACAGGAAGTGCTGCAGATGAAGCTGAGTCAGGTGACCAGGAGTTCACAGCGAAGCCAATGTGCTTGTTGAAAAATGTCTGCCGTCAGCAGTCAGCAGGCCAGGTGCAGTCATGGAGAAGGAAGGTAGTTGAAATTTTCCAGCTGTTGTGATGATTAGATAAGTGACTTGCCCTCTACTGGAAAGAAAGTAGTTGAAGAGGTGGACCCTGAATCTGAGCTGGATTGGTAGGAGGTAAACACAGAAGGTGGATGGACTGGGGGCTGGTAGAACAGTCCATGGACTGAAGTCATGGCTGTCCCGCCTGTGAGAGCACAGCTTAATCTGCTCACTTTATCAGAAGGGTTTGTTCTGTATCTTATTCTTGGCATCCTCGGGGTTGGAAGGGGAAGCTGCTTTCCTCAAACCATGATGCAATCTTTTACTGTATTCCTTCCATCATGTCTTCACGGCAGGCACAGATTAGGAGTAGAAATCGAGTGAAATGGAAAAGTCTAGGATAAGTTCTGGGTTTGGAGATTTGATAATTAAAGATAGATATCAAAGAGGTAGGAAATACAGGAATGGGACAGGGTTTGGGGTAGTGGATAGTGAATTCAGTCTTTAATATGCAGAATAAAGATGCTTATAATATACACAGATGGAGATCATCAGTAAATCATTGGATCTATGGGTCTGGAGTACAACCATCTAGCTGTGGGTTGAAGATGCATATTTCTAAATTATGCATATGTAGGCAGCGATTGTAATCAAGGGAAGGAATATGTAGAGTGAGTAGGGAGACAGGGCCCGCCCATGCCATAGGGAGCAGTGTATTTATGGGGCATGGAGAGGAACATCCAGCCAAGGAGATGGAAAGGAAACCAGAGAGATGGAAAGAAACTGGGAATAGTATTGCAAAGGCCAAGGGAGGAAAATTTTAAGACGAAGGGAAGAGTCTACAAGGACCATGGATGCAGGGGATCAGGTCACGTGGGGACTGAGAAGAGAGGTCCCAGGGCGGCTTCATGAGAGGACCCGGAGGCAGGGACTACCTAGAGCTCTAGGCATTGCAGCCTCAGAGGGAACACTGGGAATAATCTCTGCATTTCACCTCAAGGCTCGAAACTGCCTTCAATTTTCACAAGTCAAATGAAGAGGTTGCACTAGATCACTGTTAAGTTCCTCCTGGTTCTAAAATCATGACTCCAAGATCTTTTACAGGAGCAAGAGCCAACAACAAAAGATTGCCCTTCCCCTGGGGAATGTCTTAAAGTTGGCTCATGAAAGAAGCCACATAAACAGCCTAAAGTCTTGATCTCATCAGAAGTCTTTTCTGTAAAGCACAGGGCTATAAATATACCACCTGGATGGAGGAGTGTGTTAGATCCAGACCCCAGTATGCTGCCCTCTGCCCACTAGAGGCCTGCCCCAGGATGTGCTGGGCCCCACAGGGGCTTTCTGAGCCTTCACGCTATCAGAAGAGGCTGTCAGGTGGAGCACTGAGCTGCTGGATGCAGCTGGAGGAGGCTGGAGGACTGCTTGTTCAAAAATTTGTTGAAAATATTCAGGCAGTTGGTGGCAGCTGGATTTGATGACCTTGTGGTTATTTTCAACTCAACGATTCATGTATCCTCTGAGGGAGGCTCCATTCCTGTTACTAATTTTGTCATGTTTCCCATGGGGATTCTGTTGCAAAGTATTTATCCCCTGATCTCCTCTCAGGGGTCCCTCAGCTGGCTTCCCTTCCCTGCTTTGAGATCCTCCTCATGATACTAGGAGAGGTAAGGCCCCTGACCTTGATGTGCCAGCTGAGATGAGTTTCTGCCCCCAGGTAGGGTGTTGGACCCTTTCCTTCCCCCAAGGATGTGCTGCATGTCTCTTGTCACCATGGTGGGGCTTCTGGGGTCTGGGACTGGATCTCCAAAAGCGGCAGCAGAGGGTAGATCCAGGGCGTAGTTTGAGAGGAGGCATCTGGCTCCTGCCACGCTCCTTCTTCACATTTGCTCAGCCTCAAGCACGTCTCGAACTGACGGAGGCCTCTGCCTAGAGTTTTCTCCCCCAGATTTCCTCATGCCTCATTCCTCCTTTCCATTCAGGGCTCTGTGTGTACAACAGCTCTTGGAGAAGCCTTCCTTGACTTGCCTATCAAAAACAGCATCCCTGGTACGCTCCATACCCATATGTTGCTCTATATTTTTTTCCTACTGAGCTCTTATCAATCCCTGTTCTATTACATACTCATTTCTTCACTAGTGTAGCTCTGGCTTCACTGATTAGAACATGAGATCCTGAGAACAGGCAGTTTGCCTGCTTTGTTCACCGGTGCATTCCCAGTGCCAGAAACAGTGCCTGGGGCATGCAGAGTAATCGCTCAGTAAATATCTGTTAAACAGAAGAAATAATGAATGATCGGCACAAATAATTTCTAAATTACAGTGAGTCATCACTTATCATCAATTGGTTCCTGGAAACTGCGACTTTAAGTGAAATTATGTAAACAAAACTCTTTTTTTCCTCATCAACATTATAACAAAATGACATTGAAGGAAAAGAAGTTATTGGAGGCCCTGCTGTAGGTTGTCATTTCATTTAAACTCACAGTTTCCAAGAATCTATTGACAATGTTAAGTGAGGACTTCAGGGGACAGCTATGAGCAGAGCCTCAAAGGAGAAATTACAGAGTGCTATTAAAGTGCATTTCGAAGGGTGTGTGCAGACCTCAGGAAATAAGCAGAGGGTCCTGAGGCATCTCTTTAGATGGATCATTGTGGCAAGCAGGCTGGTGGGTGTGGGGCATCATCTCTGTTGCTGAGATGCTGGACCTAATTTCCACTGGGTCACTGTCATACTTAGCCTCCTTAGTGCTGTTTTTCCTTTTCCTTTTCTTTCTTTCTTTTTCTTTTTGAAACAGAGTCTCCCTTTGTTACCCAGGCTGGAGTGCAGTGGTGTGATCTCAGCTCACTGCAACCTCCACCTCCCAGGTTAAAGCAATTCTCCTGCCTCAGCCTCCCAAGTAGCTGGGACTACAGGCGTGCGCCACCACGCCTGGCTAATTTTTGTATTTTTAGTAGAGACGAAGTTTCACCATATTGGCCAGGCTGGTCTCGAACTCCTGACCTCGTGATCCGCCCACCTCGGCCTCCCAAAGTGCTGGGATTGCAGGTGTGAGCCACTGTGCCCGGCCTTTCTTTTATTTTTTGAAACAGAGTCTCCTCCCTCGCCCAGGCTGGAGTGCAGTGACATGATCTTGGCTCACTGCAACTTCTGCCTCCCTGGTTCAAGCAGTTCTCCTGCCTCAGCCTCCCCAGTAACTCAGCTTCCTGAGTAGCTGGAATTACAGGTGCCCGCCAACAAACCCAGCTAATTTTTGTGTTTTTAGTAAAGACAAGGTTTCGCCATGTTTGCCAGGCTGGTCTCGAACTCCTCATCTCAAATGATCCGCCTGCCCCGCCCTCCCAAAGTGCTGAGACTACGGGCGTGAGCCACCACACCCAGCCCTCCTGAGCTATTTTGTTCACTGCCATAACCATGAGCCATGTGTATCTATTTAACTTTACATTAATTAAAATTAAATAAAATTTTAAAATGCACTTACTTAGTCACACATTTCATTTGAAGTACTCAGCGGTCACGTGTGGTTAGTGGCTACCATATTGGGCAGTGCTATTAGACAGAAACTATTTTCATCATTGGAGATAGTTTCTACTGGGCAGCACTGGTCTGGAGTGTGTTTCCAATAAGCAGGCCAGTAGGTAAGGCATGAGCTAAATTCCACATTTGGTGTCTGTTTCCACTCCCGTTAGCAATACCGAAAGGAAAAGGGGGAGAGCAAGAGAAACAAAAGACCTGCTTCCTAATGATTCCCATGAAATCCATGTTATATTTCTTGTGAACTTGCTCTTTCCTCTGAACCATAAAATAACCTCTCCCCTATTATCTCTCCATCTACACCTGTTCCCCGAGAAACCTTCTATTATCACAATGCTGGGCCTAGAAAAAGAATCCAACAAATGGTCGCTCTTATTCATATACTCACTTTTCCTACTGGGAGGAGAAAGATGAGACACTTTTGATATTGTCTGCAGGGGAGGAACAAAGGGAGAACTCACTCAGACTTTGGATGGAGGCTCCTTTGTAGCTACTGACACCTCTGCTGAGAAGCAAGGAAGTAGGGTGCTTTGCCCCCTTTTCAGGTTAAAGTATAACATCCTCAGGAGAGAAACTGTAGGAAGGGAAGGGCCCTTGAGCTTCCAGAGCAAGGTAGCTAGGGAAGGGTCAGAAATGTGTTCTTTGTAGGTAGGCTGTTTTAAGATTCTTACTTTCTCGGTTTATCCTGCTTTTGTGCACCTTTTGTACCTTAATTTTTTTTGACAGGCCTAGCCAGGCTAAGCTGTGCCAAAGATAAATAGGGAGAGAGGTTTTGTCCCCACCTGTGCCAGAGCATTCAAGGAGTTGCAGCCATTTCTGGGGGCAGTCTGGTGGCAGAGGAATTTGATATGAGCAAGTCCCAGGGGGAAGGTAAAACTCTGTCAGACAATATTGGATCCACTTGGTAAACTATTTCTTCCTGCCTGGAGCTTCATCTTCTAGGGCAAAACCTTGGATGTTTTAATAAGAGGAATGATAACAGCAATAGTATCTAGACATGAGGTCTGCTAGGGCATAACACCCGTGCCACGTGCAACCACAGCAGCACGTGGAAATCACATATTTGTGTATCCTCCAGGACCTGGTTATATGAACAGAAGTGAAGAAAACTCAAAGGTGGAATTATTAATATATGTATGAATTATTTGTCATCTCCTATTTGTAAAAAAGAGAAAATCTATTACAAATATTCCTCTCAAGATTGTATGCTAATTTTAATTCCTTATGGCCCTTTGAATAAGTGCAAGATAAATTTTTCCGAACAGTTCTGCATGCGAGTTTATTGGTGACTATGTGTCAATATGCTCATTTCCAGGGATCATTTATGAGCAATGAATTCTGTGTCTGGAATAGCCTTTGTTATAGCTATTGTCTCACACACCTCTAACTAGACAGCCCTCCTGGTGTCACTCCAATGACCAAACAGCAAATAGGAAAAATAAACCATCAATCAATTTAATACTAGCTTTTTCTTTCACACAAAAACCTCTACTCAGCTGATGATGACTGACATAAAAACTAAATCCATCTGCTTTATCACTCCTCTCCAAAAGGACAAGTCTGAGAGGCAGGGAAGAGAAGAAAATATGTAGGATTAGTCTTACCTTTAGTCACCGGCCTGCTGTTGTATTAATAATCTGTGCATGTGGGAAAAGGAAGTCAATTGTTAAAATAGTCTCCTTGCTGTTTAGTGTGAGTTTGGTATAAAACGTGGAGATGTGAATCATAAGCAAGGTCTTTGAAAGCAGGATTTTTGGAATATTGTTTAATATTATGGAAACCATCTTAAATAGGGTCTGAGAATATGTTATTTCATTCATTATTTATTCATGCATTTAACAAATATGTATAGAGAAACTATAGTGTCTCAAATGCATGTTGGACATTGAAAATATAGTCTTAAACAATACAAACCTTCTTGCCTTCATGAAGCTTACAATCTGGTGGAGAAGACAGACATTTAATAAATAAATGGGGGAGATAAATGTTACCAGAGGGGAAGCACAGAGTGTTTTGAGAGCATATTACGGGGACTATGACAGGCCGTGGTGGTGGTAGTGATCGATTCTTTCTGAGGAAAACACATTTAAGATGGAACACAAAGGGTGGGTGGGATTCAGATAACTGAATGGGCGGTGGACTGGGGTAATCGAGGGAAAGCCATAAGTGTAAGCCCCAGGGCAAGAGCCCCCAGGGGAGATTTCAGGGACTGAAATAAGACCGGGATGGCTTGTGTAGAGAAAACAAGGGGGAGAGGCATGGGATGAAACTTGAGAAGTTCAAAAGGATTAGATCCTGAATAACCCTGTAAACCATGATGAAAACATTAACATTATGCAAAGGGGAATGAGAGAACAAAGCGTTTTAAGCCCAGAATGCAACGCTTTAGAGAGATCTCTCTGTGTGTTAAGACCAGAGGCACAGGGTCCAGGGAGGTGGCTAGGCAGTGGGTAACAGTGATGATGACGGTGCCTTAGACTAGAATAGGGGCTGTGAATCTTTAGAGAAATGGTCAGGTTCAACAGATGCCTAGAAGATAGAACTCACAGCACAATGCTTGATCAGATGAAGGGAAAGGTGAGGGCAAAGACGCAATTAGGGTGATTCTCAGGCTTCTGGCTCAAGTGATGGGATGGATGGTGACACTTCACTGAGCCAAGGGACCGTGGAGTAAAGGCAGATTTGGGGAGCTGATAGAAATATGACAAGTTTAGTTGTAGGAATGTTTCATTTAGAATACCTATGCAACATCCAAGCAGAAATGTCCAGTAAATGATTTGATATATAGCTCCGGTGGTCAACAGAAACAAGGGTGCATATATAGTACCCCTTTATCTTCAGTTCTCTCTACTTACTTAAACAAAGAAACACGTAAATAATGCCCATGAAAAATTACTTATAAGTTGTAAAAAATGAACCTATCCTTGAACCTCTCAATTCAATCTTTGAGAAATTATCCCAAGTAAATTATCCAGGGAAAGAAAAAAGTCAGATACATTGAGTTATAGTTTATAATACCAAAAATTTAGAAAACATGTCCATGGCCAACGGTAGTTAAATAAATTATAGTTAAATAAATTGTAGTATAACAACAAAACAGAATATTGTACAGAGGCTAAAAACCATAATTTTGGATATTTTATAGTGGTTTAGAAAAAGTGTTTGTGGTTTAAAGCTAAACAGCAAAATTCAGAAATCTATGCTCTGATTATAATTTTCTAAAAATGATTACAAATGGGCAATTCATAAAAGGGCACTTGAATAAACTAGAAGAGTTGACTTGCTAAATGTTGGAATTATGGTGATACTTTTTGATGTATTAAAATGTTGTTTGTAGAGTAAATATGCTAAACAACCATGATAAATATGATTCTGTTCTTTTGTTTTTGTTTTTAAAGCAAGCAAGTTTCCAGCTTAGATAATCTTAGGCACTGTCTTGCCAGTTGGAGACATGGAGTTCAATAATTGTGTATGGCTCGAGGTACTTTGTCAACCAAGATCATGTCTCCCACATCAGCCCACAATTGCACAAGAGTCTCATTTCTGGGCATGTCCTCATTTCTCCACCAGAAAAAAGTCAGTGCACCTTGGAGTACATGTGAGTCTCCACTAGGCTCCCATGGACTCAGTCTGTTAGCCTCAGATCTTCTTTCCTTCCAATTGCTTTCCAGTCTCGGGTGACTGAACACAGGATTGATCTGTTTCTCTATTTCTGATTTGCCTTAGGACTCTAGTAAGAATTAATGATCAGATGTCTGAGACAGGTTCTTCTTCATTTTGTTTAATGTTTTCATCATCTCCTTCATCAAAGGGCCCCTCATTGAATATTTGCAAATGATCATGAAGATGAAATGCCAACGATTTCCAAAGGAGAGGGGCTCGGTAGATACCGGATGGCCATTGTTACCCTTCTTGTCTATCCAATTATATGCTGTTTGTGATCCACAGGGGGCACAAGAGTCTTTGCTCACTGGGAAATCTTGTATAATAAACAGTACCAGGAACAGCTGAGCCAGAATGCAAAACTCCTGGGTCAGGTGTCATCCTGAAATAGTTTGTGAGCAAGATCACTGTACAGTCAGGATTCTTTGTTTTTCCAAAAAAAGCAATGCCTGAGAACTAGTATAGAAAATGAACTCCAATGGCAATGTATAGCAAGGACAGATTTCACACTTTTGAAATAAGCTGGGCTACGTGGCAAAGAAATCAATGCCAATGAAATAATGGAACATAAACCCTCAGAGGTAAAAGAGCTCTTTTTCATTCTGGGAGGAAAAAATAAAACCAAGCAAAAATGGATTTTAAATGTCCTCGTTGTGTGTTTGTGACAAATGGAGAATTAAGCAGATTGGATGAGTGGGTTCTCTTGAAAGAGATAAAATGGCTGAATATTCAGACGCTCCTTTTCTTCTCTGGGGCAGCCAACAAGAAAGGTGTGATGAATGCCACAGTGGGATAGTCATGTGAGAGGGAGCTCAACAATGGAGCCAGGCAGGGTATTGCTGCAGACAGAATTCCTGTTCCAGCTGCTCTCTTACCCAAGCAGGGAGCGATTCCATCTGTCTTCCTAGGATGTGATAGTCCCTTGAGAGATGGTCGAAATGAATATTTGAAGCTTTGAGAACTTTTGCGTCTTCTAGAATCGAATGCAATACCATCATAGAACAGTTGCTTGGGTATATGATTCACAGTTGGCAAAGGAATGACTAAGTGCTTTTGAATGCTCCAAAAATGCTTTATAATATTTTTATCTTTATTTTGAAACATTTGAGATTTACAGAAGGGTTGCAAAGATAATAAGAGAGATCCCATATACTCTTCCTTCAGCTTTCCCTAATGTTAACATCTTATCTAGCCATGGAACATTTTTCAAAACATAGAAATTAGGCCAGGTGCAGAGGCTCACGCCTGTAATCCCAGCACTTTGGGAGGCTGAGGTGGGCAGATCACCTGAGGTCAGGGGTTCGAGACCAGCCTGGCCAATATAGCGAAGCCCCATCTCTACTAAAAATACAAAAATTAGCTGGGCATTGTGGCAGGTGTTGTGATGGGCCGAGATCACGCCATTGCACTCCATCCTGGACGACAAAAGTGAAACTCCGTCTCAAAAAAAAAAGTGTTTGCTTTTCTCTGAGAAATTTTTTTGAATGTTTCCTTTCTCATTTTAGAAGCCCTCACCTGGGAGGAGAGCATCTAGCCAGTGACAGTTAGGACTTATTTCCCCTTCAGCCCCAGGAGAAGCAGCAGAGCCAGGTTGTGACAGTCTCTCCATCTTTCTCTGTCTGCCTGGCTCCCCCTCTTTCAGGATACTAGATGAGGGTAAAGAGCAACAAAACAATGCTTGTGTTATTGAAGAGGTTTGTGGCGGGGAATAATCATGTGACTCTCTGGGTCTGGAATTAACACCAGGGCTTGGATGTCAAGCAAGGGAAAGGGCCAAACTAGAGTCCTGATATATTTTTAAACAATGCTTTGACAAGAACGGCCATTTATCTTGGGTTTTGGATGTGTTTTAGGGTGATCCACAAGAAGCATGTGAGTGACATCCCAGTTGTGGGCTGAAACACATCAGAATCACCTGGGGGCTTAACGTGTAGCTTGCTGAGCTCCAACGCCAGCCTCTCTGATTCAGTAGGTCTGGGGTGAGGTCCAAGCAGTTGTATTTCCAATAAGTTGCTGGATGATGCTGATGCTTTTGGCCCAGGACTACACTTTGAGAATGACTTCTATGGACCAAGCTATTTGCATAGATTAATTTCTGCACAGGTTGCAGTGCTGACTAAGGGGATGTGATGAACTAATACATGCAACACCAGGACAAAACAAAATTTAGTCTGCCTTGCTCCAATTTTATTCTAACTAACATCTGCTCTCTCTTGGGCTCCCTGAAAAAGACTTCTGATGTTTGTATTCGTAACCACCACCAAAATGAGCTTGATGCAAAAATTCATTCAATCGCTAAACATTTTATTTGTGATGACAAATACTTTTTATTATTTCTCTAATTTGAGAGATGTTCTGTTTTGTCTTCCATGGTAGCCTGAGCAGGTGTTTCTTTCTTTCCTACATCTGCCAGGCCTCACTGACTTAAGAGTTTTCTGATCTTTTCTCACACTTTTCTCTTCAGAATCATGATGTTCTTGGGTCTGGGGCCTGCTTTGTGTTTTAGGGGTCTTTGACAATTTAAACTGTCACTCTTTTTTAGTCTCAGATATAAATATATAACTTCTGATATCTGAGTCATAAGGTGAAATGAAATAGTTTGGAATATACTCCAAGACCTTGGCATTATTCAGGGATATGATCCAAGACCTTCATCAATTCTCAAACTTGAGAATTTCTAATGCAGTCTGCCTCCCTCATTCTTGCCTCAGTGAGGCACTCTGAAATGTAGTTCCAGGGAAACAAGCCAGACAGCACAACAAAAACACCTTAAGAAAGCAATACAAAGAGTTCAACAGAGACAGGAAGTGAGGGCCAAAGAGGTTTTCTGGAATATAACACCAAAAATGAAATAGTGCAAAAGAGGAAGAAATGAAATAGTACAAGTCATTAAGTGATTCTTTGCTTGCTGGATGATCACTCTTTTAGAGGGAAATGAAAACGAGGACATGAAATGGAAAGGGCTAAGTTATTATCTTTATGTTTTAGTGCATAAGCAAAACCGGCACCCATTCTGGCAACAGAAACAGCTGGTATGGAGCCAATGGCGTGGTTTGTTATGGGGTTGGGCTGGGCTGGTGCCCAGTGTAAATTATCAGGCATATAAAACTGAGGCTAGAAGTTGGTCAGACAAGTAAGAACAGGACTGTGGTTAGAGACTTTCAAGTGAAGCAGACAGGTAAGGGTGGGAAGAGCATTAAGTTTATTGAGCATTCACCATGGGCCTGCTTGTGTTTGGAGTGCAAATATGAGTGTATGTCCAAAGTGGGAGTGTAGTTAGATAGTCACATCTGACAACAAACAAGCAAAGACCTGGTCAGGACTAGGTACCAGACAAAATACAGAAAACATGGTTAAATTTAAATTTCAGGCAAGCAATGAATATTTGAAACATACACTAAACAATTACTTGTTGTTTATATAAAACTTAACTGGGTGTTTTGTATTTTTATTTGCTAAATTGGGCACCCTAAATTCAGGAGGCAAATGTCAGATAAGGCAGGTTGCAGCAGCTGTGCTGAACTCAGAGGCACCCTCTGGGCTTCTGCTCAGGAGGTGGGCTTGCTGTGGGGTGCTGCATAGTGGGGGAAATCAGGGGGCCCACTTTCACCAGGTCAGGGGGAAAGCTGTAGGGAGCACTTCTGTGTCCAGCCAGATGTTTTTATGTTGTTGTTTTTTGTTTGTTTTGTTTTTGTTTTTGTTTTTGCAAAAAGCGAGAGAAGGGTAGGGAGTCCTAGGGGCCAAGGGGTGACTTCGGGCAGAAACTGTAATTGTGAGTTCTCCTTAGCTAGCTGATAAGTGTGACCAAGTAGTGGCAGAGGAAGAGAGGGAACTAGTGAGCATCTGCTCTGAACCAGGCATTTTCCATTGGCCACTGTCTATATTTTCATAACAACAACTGTGAAGAAGGGGAGTAGTGGTCCCTATTAATTCCCTAGCACCCCACTCCTTACTGAAATCTATTTTACTTCCCTCTTTTCTCTTCCCCGCATACACATATCCAAAGCCTGGACTTGACAGCTTTATTTTCCATGTAAATCTTATTATTTAAATAGGACCAATAAGAAACTCTCCTGAAGCTTTGGAATGGGAAGCAGCGACTGAGCCTCTTAATTTCAGGGAAAAAAGTTAGAAGGTTGTGTGGTCTCAGAAGACTGGTTTGCCATTTTAGGTGGCCACACTAACAAGTGCTTGCCATTAATAGTGCAGAGAAAGCCAGTGCGCAGGGGGAGAAAGTGAATGTGAAAGACAGAAGCAGAAACGGCACAGAAGGAGAGAGACAGACGTGGACTATTGGCAGCTTTCCAGTTCCTGTTAGACACAACTGTCATCCTAACTGGCCTGGCCTGGCCGAGCCACTCCTTTATAATTCACCCCAATTTTGTATTTTATTGAGTGGCTTGTTGTGCTCACAGTTAGCGTGCTGTAAACCAGGAATTATCATTAACTCTTCTTTATAATACATCACATGGCAAATAAATGGTAGAACCTGAAATTGACCCCAACCTGGCCAATCGCAACTGCCCTTGCCCTGCCTGGTTTCTAAGGTGCCTGCTCTTTCTTACTTAGCATCCTGCTGGGTCCCCTTCTCCTGCCATGGCATATGTTGGATGTCAGGTGACTCATCTTCTTCTGTTGGGTAGCCCACAGAAGTGACAATGGTTTACCCACAGGCAAGGACATGGGAGGTGGAGGAAATAGGCATTGAGGTCATATAATTGAAAGTGGAAGGCTGGGCAGGGCTTGTCCAGCAGGTAAGACCAGACTCCTCCAGCCACATGGTCATCAGAAGGAATAAAGCTGCTAAAGAAGGTGTGGCTGACAGGGCCTGGTCAACTCAGGAGGCTTAAGTGAGGCAGTAGCAGAGTCAGTGCAGGAGGCCAAAGATCGGATGGTTCCCAAATGGTGCCATTTACCTAACAGGGTTGGCTAACTCCAGATTTCCTACAAAAGCTGAAGAGCACCTACTGTGCAACCAGCCCCGTGCCAGGCACTGGGGATTCAGTGATGACACAGGCTGAAATGATACTCCTGCTCTTAGGAACTTACAGTCCAGTGAAGATGGATGTAGTGAACAGGGAATTATAACTAATTAAGTTAATTAATACAGGTGAGCAACACAATATTAAGGAGAAGTACAGTGTGTAGGGGGAGGTACAGTGGGGCAGTGAGGTGATCACCACAGCAGCTCAGCATGGCCCAGTCCAAGAGGGAGTCCTGGCCCTCCAACAGCAACAGCTATAGACCCTTCAGATCAGGGGTAGAATTTGTCTTGGGAGTCAGTCAGGGGAGACCCACTACTAGGGTCAATGGTCTAGTCCACTCAATGGCAAGGGAGATGAAAACTAAATTTTGCAGATTCTCTTTGGATTTTATTTTTCAACGTACTCATTGGTTGGTTGTAGTGTTTGGCATCTTGGTCAAATCACTGGGAAACACTTTTTCAAATCCAATTCATACAATAGCTGGCTTGCTATATTACTAAAATTACTACAGTTGGTCAGATACGGATTTTAACTGGACATAGAACAGCTTGTCACAGCCATTTTGTGGGCAAGGGCAAGCAAGGTGAAGGGCAAAGACAGGCACAAGTTAGGAGCTGATGAAGTGGAGAAGTAGGCAGAAAATGGGCACACTTCCCGAGTCAGAGAGGGAGCAAACGGTATCAAAGAGAAACTCATCCAATTGATACAGAACTTCTATGCTCAGGACGCCCTAGGCACTGAAGAAGTGAAATCTAGAAGAAATTGACATTCAATTTAGAAGAATCTGATAGACATCATAGCTAAATGAGCAAAATGCTAAAGTAGCCTCAGAAAAGACATGGCTAAAAAAAAGCGTGGGGACATTCTGTTTTGTGATGAGTTCTTCTGGCAAATAGATTATTTGAGGAATCTATTTTTGGCAGATTGGTTAGTCAGAGAGTTGGGTTTCAAAATCATGGTGATTCAGGGTACTGTCCTGTTCCCCTTTTATTTGATCCACTTATTTGTCCAGACTCTTTTAGACGCAAGTGACAGAAACTCAAAACAGCCTTGGCACAAATAGTAAATTACAGGAAGGATATGGGAGCATCCTATGTAATTGAAGGAAGGATCTGGCAGCCAAACAGGAAGGTAGAGCTGCAGTTGGTCCTCAGGGGCCCCTGACTCAGGTCCATGCTGGATCCTTGCTAGTGTCTGCCTATCCTCGCTGGAGCACTCTGACTTCTCCCACAAGATACTGATGGATCCTGGGCCTCACACCCCATAACTCCCTCCCCGGGAACGGAGCTCACTCTCTGCCCAGCATTGGTTTAGAAATTATAGAGAGGTTCTCTGATTGGCCAGTCTGATCAAGGTACCCAAGAATGGCTGGAAGCAGGGTTTCCCGAAGAATGGGATGATGAGGGCAGATAAAAGGGATGTTTCTTACAGGCCTCATGAGAAGCTGGGAAAGGTGTCCTTGCCTCTTATATCCACATGGCAGTTCTTAGTGATATAAAAGGACAAGCCAGCCAACATCCCTGATGAGCAGCTCTCCAGTCTCTTTCCTCTACCTGCTGGCTTAAAATTGTGATCCCTCTCCACCCTTAAGTCGGAGAAGGGCAGAGTGCCCCCCAGTCCTCCGCTCAGAAGCAATAAGAACAGAAAAACTGCAGGCCAAGTTGAGCCTCACTTTGAACATGGCAA
This sequence comes from Homo sapiens, assembly GCF_000001405.40. Lineage (NCBI taxonomy): Eukaryota > Metazoa > Chordata > Mammalia > Primates > Hominidae > Homo > Homo sapiens. The sequence goes on along the minus strand of NC_000001.11, from coordinate 107,532,887 downwards.
TGGCTGTTTAACAAATGCCACAGGGGCTTCTTGTGACAGGGACGAAAAGAGTGAGAGGGCCAGGGACGCTGCTGAGGGGTTCTGGGAAGCTCACCAGGGCCTTTCAGGAATTGAGGCTGCCTGACTGCCCGGAGCCTGGCCCTGAGAGTGGGCAGGTGTGCTGCCTGTATAATGCCCTTGATCTCTAAGAGAAACAGTGGCAAACCAATCAGATGGCAACCTCCTGCCAAGGACTCCATTAGCCCGCTCTGGTGGCTGCTTCTGAAGTGGCGGCTGCTGGCTCCACTCGCTCCCCTGTTCAGAGAGGACATATGGGCCAGGCAGTGATCAATGAGGGAACATCTGGCACAGGAGCAAATCAAACAGCACCGATGACTAATTTAGGAGTGTTGCCTTGCCATTGTTCTTTCTGTGGCCCCATGCAAAGGTCACCCAGTGTGGCAGGCTCAGAGAAGCTGCTGCTTCACCTTCAGCAGTCCCCAGGATCCAACTTGTTTGCCTTAAAAATGAATCGATAGCTTCTTCTTTGAGGGCTGAAACAGCAGCTCCCTATCACTGAATCCTGAATTCTCACGTGCATGGTCAGCCCCCTCCTTGCAAGCCCCTAGGCACCCCTGTTTCTTATTAGCCATTTATCATCTTGCCTCTGAAGTCTCTCTCTTAAAAAAAAAAAAAGAAAAAGAAAAGAAAAAAAAACACTCTACTGAATTCATGTTCTATTTCTGCAACTGAGATTTTTCTCCTTTGGGTTCAAATAAAAGAAATAGCAAATATTAAAGAGCATGAGAGAAAAAGGCACACATGCCTGGCCCATGAATAGACAAGATTGCCTGTAGTTCTGATTTTGGTGGTTTATATAATAGCTTCAAATGCTGGTGAAGACAGGTCTCAGCCTTGCCAGAAATGATCTCTAAATTAAACAGCCATTTTCTTTTAAATTACCTTTAATGGCACATTAGAACCACATAATTTTCAGCCTTGAAGGAGGATTTGGTAGGATATTGGGTGCTATTCGTTTCCTCTTTTTGGGTCAGGAGAGCGCATCAGACAGTTTATGTGTAAAAGTTCTCCATCGGAAATGATACACTTTTTCTTGAGAATTTATTCTCATGTATGAAAGGTGTGCTGTGGGATAAGCCATGTCTTCTGTGATTGACAGTTTGCGTCCTAGCTCACTGATAACACCCAGCTGGCTGTCATGGTGGCAAGGCCTCCTGCTTCTCCTTCTCATCTGGTATCACACACTCATGGGCCTGGGGATGCGCAGAGTCATGGGCTTGAAGGGGTGGTATCCTACTGCTGCCCAGTCACAATTACTCATCTCTCAGAAACACCTAGAAATAAACTGATCCTCTTCCTGGTGGACAGAACATGTTCTATTCCCCGTTCATTCAATTCCCAAGGGAAGTGAATGCTCAATTTCTCTGCTGTTTTATCCTGCAGTCATCCAGCTTCTAAGAGTGATTCTGGAGTCGTCTTGCTGGTTATCTCCATCGGATTTCTTCAGTACAACACTAGCCCCCTCCCACCCTTCATTAACATAGATTGGCATCCTTTATAAGACAAGCAGCCCAGGCAGCTGGGTGATCATTTGAGTGACAAGAGAAGTGGATTCTAGTCTAGCTTAGTCACAAACTCGCTATAGGCTCAGAGACAAGTTACAACCTCTCTGGGCTTCAGTAGCTACACCTTTTAAGGTACACGATGTTCTCTGGGGGAGGGATAGCATTAGGAGAAATACCTAATGTAAATGATGAGTTGATGGGTGCAGCAAACCAACACGGCACATGTATACCTATGTATCAAACCTGCACGTTGTACACATGTACCCTAGAACTTAAAGTATAATAATAATAAAAAGAACAGGTAAAAAAATAATAAAAAAAAGATACACGAATCTAGATCTTCTGATTTGGTAATAATCGAAGGGGGGTGGTGGGTAACAGATTCAGGGAAAAAGAGAAACGGGAAAACTATGCTTCGTCAACAAGGCAATAATGGTGAACCAATGTGTGTTTAGAGGCCCTATATGCTTGTGTTCAGAGTATTCCATTGTGTCTTTGCTATCCGAAGCTGCTCAGGGACATAGTCATGAATCAAGACTTCCAGTAAATGCCTCTGGAACGTGGAGGAATGAGAACCTGGCAGGAAGACAGTGCAGGGCATTGTCTGGAGCTCGTTCCTCTTGGTTGCGTGACTGCCCATTATGACTGTCTGATGATGGCAATGTGATCATTTGTCTAGCAATTACAAAGCATCTTCATTTTACTGCCTCTTTTAATGTTCCCAATAACCCTGTGAAGTAAATATTATTCTCCCTACTTTAGAGATGAAAACCCTGAGGTTTAGAAAGGTTAATGACTTGTTATATGATGCTCAGGTACTAAAGAGTAGAGTTGAGATACAAAGCTAAGACTTCTGATTTCACATATAATACAATTTCCATATTTTCAACAGTTGTCAGACTGTGCCCTCAAAGGTGTGGGTTTGGAGGATGTGTCTGGGGTGGTGGCGGGGGTGGGAGAGAAAAGCTAAACCAGTGGCGCTCAGACTCCCTGCTTCAATCAAAGCACCTTTATTGTTCTATTCTATATTTATATAATGCCACCCTAAATTTGGCTTTAAACAAAATGTTTCTAGTGCTAAAAAGTCAAGTTTATGAGACGCAAAATATACCATTGTGGTGTTGAAGATGAAACCTTTTTTCAGTCTCTTTACTCGGAGGATTCTGCGTTCTTTGTTCCAACAATCCCAGCTCGAAATCCTCTCTCTCTCTCTCTCTCAGAGGAGCTGACCACAGATGCTCTTACTTCTCTCAGTCCAGTGAGCCATATTCTGTTTTTTGTGGGCCTTTCACAGGAAAAGTGTTCTGTGGCCAAGGTAGTTGATAACAAGCCAGATGTTCAGCCCAGATAGAGACCCCATTCCTTTCCTTAGAAGAATTGACCCACATGTTCCAACTTGCCTCATAAATATAAAAAGAAAAGCCTAGCTTCCATTTTAATTAGATGAAATAATTACATGTCACACATCTCTTAAGCAGTTTTATACTCGCTCTGACTGTGATGCAGGGATTAGCATTCAAAGACGCTGCTTGCCCTGTGTACAGATGTTGGGTTTATAGACTGTCATGCTCCTTGTGGCCACAAGATGTCAGGCAAATATGGTCATGGGATATAGGTGCAGGAAGGTGCCTTGGCTCCTGAAAATACCATTGACGAGTTCATTAGCTGATTAAAATCCTTCCAATAAGCTTGTTGGAAGAACCTAGGGAAAGTCTATGAAATGTGTCATATTGTTATCCTGTTGATGGAGACGCTGAACACGACTAGGAGGTAATCAGATTAAGATCAACAAATATTGATTGTACATGCTTGCACGATTAAATCCTGAATAATTAAAGGCCACTGAGTTTCCTAGCTCTCATCTTAGTGTGTGTTTCCATAAGCAACATGTGCTGTGTTTCCAAAGTACCATGAATAGACATGGCTATAGGAAAGAAATGGGATCAGTCAGAGAATCAATCACTTTTAAAAGTTTCAGTTTGAAAATCTGATGAAATAAAGAAGTGGGTTTTAAGTTAACAGCTATTCTATAATCATGAGACATTTTATAAACCAAAATATATAAAATAAAGCCATACACTGAAACTTGTGCATACTTCTAATGTAGATTTGTTTACTCCATGATTTGAATGATTTGTTAATTAACAGCTGATCTGACACACCACCCCTCACTATTCTTTTAGTCTCTGGACCGACTTTCTATAGAAGCTTCCTTGGGGTCTGGCAGAAGGAAGCAGTAATGACAAGCAAAGGTTGAGCTCAATCGATCTGTGGTTATTGAGTTCCTACAGAGAGCTGGGTGCTGCTGAGGCTGCAGCAGACCTAGAGGGCATGGCTTATGCCTCACTGTTTCTTCCCTTTCATTTATCTCTTTCTTCTAATTTTCTGTGTTCTACTTCTTAACTCTTCAGATGCTTCTTACTGCTAAGCTAGGTGAGGGGATAAGCTTTTATTTATTTACCTTTGAAAACATGCTGATCTCCTACTATGTGCTAGACTTTGGCCTGGAGATTCAGAGACAAATTTTAAAATGGTGCTTACCTTGCTCATGGATCCGGCAAGCCAAAAATCGTATTACAGCAGTATGGCACTGGCAATGCAATCAAGTAAATGTCCTATGGAGCGCACAGGCAAAGGGGGATTCATTCCGCTTGGTCCTGAGGGCATTGTGGTACTTCACAACAATGTAAATTGGAACTCATCAAGTGAACAGGGATGGGGCAGCCTGAAGAATTAGAATATGTGAAGGCAAGTCTGTTCCAGTAAAAGCTAAGCTGCTGTGAGAAAGAGATCTGCAGTACAGTAACTTGAAAAGATAGATGTCCATTTTCCTCTCATATAATAGTCTAAAGGTAGGCAGTCTGGTGGGGCTGCCCTACTCCATGAGGTCATTCAGGGACCATGGTCCTTCCAACTTGTTGCTCCACCATCCTCTAGGCATTTTTCACACTGCTGGAGCATCAGCTGGCTTGCCATTTCCAGCCGTGTGAAGAATAGGGAGAAGTGGTCCAGGGTAAGTTACTTTATTATAGTAAGGAAGGCAGAAATTGCACACTTCTTTATATTTCATTGACTTTGACATGACCACATCTAGCCTCAAGGGGGGCAGGGAAATATGCTTGTAATAAGGTGGTTCTGTACCCATGAAAAAAACAGGAAAAACAAGTTACGGGGGCAACTAGCATCTCGCCACAGCAGAGGCACGTGGAAGGGAATAGTCTGTTGTGGAACTTGCACGCAGTGGAGTGTAGCTGGATCATGGCTCATGTGACTGGTAAGGTGGGGCCAGGATGTGGAGGAGTTTGAATGCTACATTGCTAAAAAAAATTTTAATGAAGCCAGCATGCTGAGCTTTGTGTTTGAGGGTAAGTCACTCTAGCACCTGAGGGTTGAGGAAGCGTTTGGAATGATTAGACTGAAGGCTGTTGTCGTTTTAGGTCCAGGTGAAAGAAGGTGAAGGCTTCTCTCAGGAAAGGAGAGCCAAGGGTAATGGGGAAAGTAGATTTAAGAGACATTTAAGCCAGAACTAGAACTTAAACTGGCTGGTAAGTTTCTACAGGTCACCTCAATTAAAAACTGTTAATGAACCACACTGACAGTATTTTTATTATTAGCAAAGTCTCTTCAACAGAGAACAGGCTAAATGTTTCTTTGACCCCTGCCCTCAGCTTTTGTCAAATGTGCACATTCTAGAAATTAAGGGAGCACAGTGGGGTCTTTATGGTTTAACAAGTTGGGTCCATGTTCACTTCTCATATATTCTCAAGACAATCTTGTGGGTTCGGAACACAGAATAATATGTCAGTACATTAAGAGTGTCTCTGTCATTTGCCCCTCAGGGATTGGGACACAAACCAAGTTCACAGAGACTGATATATATTAGCTAGATCACCAATTTAGTCATCTGTAATTAGAAAAGCTACTGGCAGACAGACATATGTCAACTTGGCCTGCTCTCTGGGGGGCACTCTACATGGGAAGTCAAATTATCAGAAGATTGCTTGAGGGGTGTGGAACTGAACAAGGGGAATTATACATTTGAATATTAAATGGTGTTAAGCTTCGATAGCTTCATGCATTCATCTCCAAGGTGGGAACGTGGCTGTCAGGAACACTAACTTCTTTGTTTGGACTTACCAGGCATCTTGTCCTAGACAAATCTAAGAAGAAATTTCCAAACTTGGAAACTTCGGCATTTCCATCAGTATAACCACATACTAGGGGGTATTTATAATTAAGCACCACACATGGAGACTCTGATAAGCACCAAGACCCCCCTGCCCCAATGTGAAAACTGTTGGGAGTATGGTTTATTCTGGAGAGGAGCCAGAGGAGATCAAACACTGAGAGATCAAAGACTGACTGGGGCTAGCAAACGTTTTCTCCAAAGGGCTAGAGAGTAAATACTTAGGAAATGTAGACCACATGATTCTGTCATAGCTACAGAACTCCATCATTGTAGCACAGAAACAGGCTTAGACAATATGTAAACAAATGTTCCAATGAAACCTTATTTACAGAAACAGGCAGCAAGCTGGACTTGGCCCACAGGCCATTGTTTGCTGACCCCTTGAGATGCCAGTCCTAGATTATCAGTTCACAAAACCTTTCTCCAAAGAGGATTCAATACTATTGATTTTTTTTCTACTGACTAAATCCTAATTATGTTCAAGTTTGCCATCCCTGGGTTTGCTCCTAGATCACCCTGACTAGAATTTGGGGTGTTTCTAAAGCTATAAGGCACAGATAATCTCTTGGTTTACTCCCACAGATATGTGTCACATCTACTGTTTGACTAGTTGAAGTTTTCAAAGCCCATCTTATTTCTCTCCAAGTTCCAGGGTAGCAACTCACTCTGTATCTATGAATAAAACCCATTTTACAGACGAGCAATCCACCTTAGAGTGACCCAGGTGAGTGTCAGAGCTGAGACTGGATGTCAAGTCATCCACCTGCAGGCCCAGCATTTACTCTACTTGGTCATATTTTCCTGGGTAGATTCTAACTCTGTAGGCTTACAATTTGGACAGGGAGGTAAATTAATTTAGCTCAGTGTAATGACAACAGAGAAATGTGGTAGTATGGGTATGGTAGAAAATGATTAGGGCTTGGGGGCTGTGAAAACAAACAAAACTGAAATGTAAACCTGAGCTCACTGCCTAACATCTATAGCAAACATGGCCTTTCTAGAACAAAGAAAAGAGGTGATTTAGTCATTGAAGCTAAAGGGGTTTTATATGACTGTGTGTTTGGATTTAATCTCTATACTTCATTAAGGATGCGGTGGTGAACAATGTCTGCTTCCCATCGTACTGATGAAGGGCAATGAGACCAGAAATATCCTTCAGTCATCTGTGAGTGGCTTTGGGTGTTGCCAGGCTTGGCAGATGGAATTCAGAAAAATGTTGATTTATGTGTCCCTCATTGTTACAGCAGTGGTATTATAAATTGGATGTCCTTATTCTGACTGGTGGCACTCCTATGGTACCCTTCTTGACCCTAAGCCCCACCCCCTGTAGAAATCAACTGCTCCCTCTTCTCTGTAAGTCTGGCTCCAATAAGGCCTACAACACTTTAGGGATTTGTCCTTTTACAGGTCTCTTCCTCTCTTTCCTTTGAAGGCAACAATTAGGTTGAGTCCACCTAGCATAGGGTCTGGCCCTGAATAGTCATTCTATAAATATTTGATGAGAGAAAGAGAGCTTCCCCATGCAACTTACCCCAACTTCCATCTGTGTATACACTCTCTGAATAATAAGCGTATGGAAAGACTCACCTTTTCTTTCCTTTCTCACAGTTAGTTCTATTCCCCTTTGCATTGGGTCTCACCAAGTGCCAGGCAGTGTTTTTAGTGCTTTGTGGGCCTTAGCTCCCTCAATCCTCTTGACACTACTCTACACCTTACTGTATGTCAGCTCAAGAATTTGGCAGTTTGGGTTGAGATTCTGAATTCTCTGCTACTCCATTGCGCAACTTCCTGTGTGACTCTAAATGTCTTACCTTCCTACTCTATGAAATCATCAGAGAAATGATAGCACTCAACTCACAGGTCTCATGAACTTTAAATGAGATAATGCTTGTTAAGTGATTAGCACAGTTCCTGGTACATAGAGCTCTATCTATTTTAGCCCTTCACAAAGGAGAGTCTGTTGTCTTTCAGATGTTTTATACTAAAGAATGTAATTACCTACTCAGCACCCACTTCTCTCAGTAGAGCCAGGAATGCACCCCATAGACTTGTGCTAGGAAGAGCCACAACTACATGGAAATGACTGTGGGAGACAGAGAAAAGGAAAAAAGAGGAAGGAAGAATGGCAGGGCCTCTCTCTGATCCCAAGGAGAACAATAAATATACTATTTGCAGCATTCTCTGGACCTCAAGCATGTTTGTGATTGGCTGAGAGTCAGATTGGATTCTCTCTGGTAGTGGATTGCGTGGCTTTCCAGACATCGCATAACATAATGGCAAGATTACAAATGTCTTACTTGGGTGGTTAAGCAGTTGATCAATAATTATTTATTTCATACCTAACAAATCACTGTCCTGAAAGAATATGTCCCCTCCCTTAAAAGTGGTCACACATAAGCTTTTGTTATAACGTTAACAAGAGTGGACTGGGAAGTGGTCCCTGTGCACATGAGGAAGGAACGGTTTCCTGCCAGAGCGACTCCAGGGTGCAGTTCATGGGCCTGAGGCAGATTGTGGAGAGGACATGATGACAAGGGCAAGACATTTCACCACACTCAGGTCTTCTGACACATACCATTCAAATGAAAATGAAAACCATGACAAATTAAAGAAAATTAAAGGCTCTTCTTCCTCCTTCCCCTCACAAGATGCTTTCTGTGGTGCTAGGACCAATCAAACAGATCAGAGAGGTCAGCATTTTCCACTTCCAAATATACACCAGAGTCACATTCATGAGGAAGCAGGCTGAGTGCTTTGAAAAGTTGCAGCACCCTGAGCAGGCTCTGAGAGGAGAGGGTTTTGCACACACATCCTGAGGACAGGGACTTCCCAGGACCTCATCCCTACTCCTTCCATCTCTGATTCCTGTCAAATATACACCACTTTCCTAAACTGTCTCTTGCAAGTGAAAAAATCACCCTTATATCATATGTGGGTATTGTTAGGAGGAAGTATGCCTCCCTCTCAGCTGTATAGTTGTTTGCTACAATATGTTATAAATAAATAATATTTCTATAAGAGAAAAGAAGACAGAAGGGGGAAGGACAACGTTTGTCAGACAGAATGTGTGCCAGTTAGGAGAACCTGAATTGGAATGTTAACACGGATTAAACAGGAAAACATGCTGCTGGCAAGGAAAACTCAAGTATAACCGGCTTTGACTGGGTGCTGAATTGGCGTTCACCAGGTAGCCAGCCTTTGAATTGAAGGTGGTTGCTGTCTCAGGCAGGGGGCATGAACAAGCTCCAATTAGTGCTGCTTTGACAATTACAGGCAGCTCTGTGGGGGAAATCATTCCTGCAAGTAGACAATGCAGGATTAAGGGAACCCTGGATCTCTTTGAGAAGTATCCATGAGGGAAAAAGCAAAACAAAAGATATTTTAGTAACTCTAATAGTAATAAACTGGTAACAGTTTGAAAGGCTTAGGTAGTCCCATAAATCTCAGCATCGGAACCATATGCATCCATCTTCATCAGCTCCTGACTTCTGTCTAGGGATGTGTTCATTCATTCGTTCATTCATTCATTCAATGAAAACGTAATGAGTACCTACCATGTGCCTCTTGAGCTACGTCTTTGAGTGAGATAGGCAAAGGAGATGAGGGCAGAAGATAAATAATGAGCATATTAAGTAAGGGACGTCCACAGTCTCAAAGATAAGTATGAAGGCACGAAAACAAAAAAAATAAAGTGAGGGGAATTGGGGAGAAATAGTTGACATTTTAAACACGGACAGGGTGAGCCTGATAGGAAAGGTGACATTTTAGCAAGGACTAAAGGGCACAAGGAAGGCAGCTGCATAGGTATTTGTCATTGTGTTCCAGGCAGAGGAAACTGGCAGAGCAAAGGCCCTAAGGTAAGGGCAGGCCCAGCTTAGGAACAGCAGGGGGACCTGTGTGGCTGGAGCAGAACAGGTTGGGGTGGGGGAGTGTGGTAGGAGACTGAGAGTCTGGTCGCACCTTGTCTTAAGCCCGTGATGAGAACTTTGGCTTTTATGCAGATGGCATGAGGAGGAATTGTCAGCGGTTGTCACTGAGGAACTGCTCTCTCACCATCTGACATAGGATTTCTGAGATGACAGCAAGCCCAGGTCCTTGCTGCTACCACAGTAGAAGGCTCAGAGTTCTTTAGAGATCAAGGTGCATGTAGCTGAGTGCGGTCAGTCATCTTCAAGCAAGTTCAGAAAAATCACTGTGATGCAATAGCTTCTAACTGTTCTGCTTCGAGGGGGATTTTCTTTTGCACTTCAATTTGTCCTAGAAATAGGTAGTAACATGTTGAGTATAAAGAGTAATGGATCAGGAATCAGATGTCATATGGATCTGCCAACTCTGCCACGTTGGATAATCTTGGACACTTTCCCCCTTCATGTTAACAGGAGTGACCAAACCCTACAGAGCTTACCTCATAGGGTAGATGTGATCCATCATATAAGATAAGCTCTTAAAGGAGCAAGAAAAAGGGAAATCATATGTCATATACTTACTGCATGCCTGGTGCTGGGCTGGGAGCTTGGTCCAGTTTATTCGTAAGGATTTTCTAGTAGAAGAAAACCTATTGAATATTAAAGATTTCTTTTTCTTGAACTGACAAAAATAATTGGGCTGTACTATGAAGAGAGTTTTTTTGTGTAACTGACTTGAAGATTGGGATCCCAACCTAGGGAAAATAAACCCAGGATTAATGCAAAAACAAGAAACTGTAGAGACCCGGTATATTTTTACCAAACTGGAAATGATGATTATATTCTAGAGAGTGAATTCTTTGACAATAAGGCCTTCATTTGATTGATCTATTTATATCTAATAATAATGCCTTTGTGGAATAAATAATGAATAAATAGGAATTGGTAAAGGAGGAAGAAACTAACAACAAACAGGTAGATAAAGAATGGTTGGTTGGATAGATGGATGGATAAACTAATGTTCATTATTCTCTGCAGGTCATAGCTTTCTGTTTGTTTTGATGTAACTTTCTCATTTATGTAGGCCTCTCTGGCTTAAGAAATTATTTTTCTACTTAAAGAGTGAGAATTACAAAAAATAGGTGCTGAATATATGGAAAAAGTGATAGGAGACATGACAGCATCTGCTCCACTGATTACAGTCTTGGCCACATGGAAAGTTTCCTGAAGCATGTCCCTCAAGTTGAACTGAAGACAAGGCCAATGCTTTTCTCCCTCACTAAAGTTCATCTTTCAAAGTCATGATAAGAAGGTGAAAGGCATCACCCAAGTCCAATTTTACATGTGCAGAAGTATACAGAATGCTTGGGAATTTTTCCTTATTTACTTCTCTTTTTCACTTCTTTTTTTTTTTTTTTTTTTTTTTTTTTTGAGACGGAGTCTCGCTCTGTCGCCCAGGCTGGAGTGCAGTGGCGCGATCTCGGCTCACTGCAAGCTCCGCCTCCCGGGTTCACGCCATTCTCCTGCCTCAGCCTCCTGAGTAGCTGGGACTACAGGCAGGCGCCCACCACCGCGCCTGGCTAATTTTTTTTTTTTTTTTTTTTTTGTATTTTTAGTAGAGACGGGGTTTCACCATGTTAGCCAGGATGGTCTCGATCTGCTGACCTCGTGATCTGCCTGCCTTGGCCTCCCAAAGTGCTGGGATTAAAGGCGTGAGCCACCACGCCTGGCCTCTTTCCTCTTTTTAAAAAAGTCCCTATTTAATAAATGGTGCTGGGAAAACTGGCTAGCCATATGTAGAAAGCTGAAACTGGATCCCTTCCTTACACCTTATACAAAAATTAATTCAAGATGGATTAAAGACTTACATGTTAGACCTAAAACCATAAAAACCCTAGAAGAAAACCTAGGCGTTACCATTCAGGACATAGGCATGGGCAAGGACTTCATGTCTAAAACACCAAAAGCAATGGCAACAAAAGCCAAAATTGACAAATGGTATCCAATTAAACTAAAGAGCTTCTGCACAGCAAAAGAAACCACCATCAGAGTGAACAGGCAACATACAGAATGGGAGAAAATTTTTGCAACCTACTCATCTGACAAAGGGCTAATATCCAGAATCTACAATCAACTCAAACAAATTTACAAGAAAAAAACAAACAACCCCATCAAAAAGTGGGTGAAGGATATGAACAGACACTTCTCAAAAGAAGACATTTATGCAGCCAAAAAACACATGAAAAAATGCTCATCATCACTGGCCATGAGAGAAATGCAAATCAAAACCACAATGAGATACCATCTCACACCAGTTAGAATGGCGATCATTAAAAAGTCAGGAAACAACAGGTGCTGGAGAGGATGTGGAGAAATAGGAAGACTTTTACACTGTTGGTGGGACTGTAAACTAGTTCAACCATTGTGGAAGTCAGTGTGGCGATTCCTCAGGGATCTAGAACTAGAAATACCATTTGACCCAGCCATCCCATTACTGAGTATATACCCAAAGGATTATAAATCATGCTGCTATAAAGACACATGCACACGTATGTTTATTGCGGCACTATTCACAACAGCAAAGACTTGGAACCAACCCAAATGTCCAACAATGATAGACTGGATTAAGAAAATGTGGCACATATGCACCACGGAATACTATGCAGCCATAAAAAATGATAAATGATGAGTTCATGTCCTTTGTAGGGACATGGATGAAACTGGAAACCATCATTCTCAGCAAACTATCGCAAGGAGAAAAAAATCAAACAAACACCGCATGTTCTCACTCATAGGTGGGAATTGAACAATGAGAACACATGGACACAGGAAGGGAACATCACACACCGGGGACTGTTGTGGGGTGGGGGCAGGGGGAGGGATAGCATTAGGAGATATACCTAATGCTAAATGACGAGTTAATGGGTGCAGCACACCAACATGGCACATGTATACATATGTAACAAACCTGCACGTTGTGCACATGTACCCTAAAACTTAAAGTATAATAATAATAAAATTTTAAAAAAAAGTATTGACATATGGCATACTTTGCTATAATATATATCCCTTCCACAGTACATCATCTTATGTTGTTTTTCCTATGGACACCCATGTGTCTGACTGACCTTTTTGAATACCTTTAAATGTCTCTTGCTCTGCTCCACTTCAATTTTTCACTGTTCCTTGACCTCTTTTTCAATTTTGCATGTTGCATCTTTCCTATCCCGCCCTGTGTATTAACATTTTTTTTAAAAAGGAATGTAGTAAAAAAGGTTGAAGTATCACTAACTTTTTATTGATGTCCATGTGACCCCAGCAATCTTAACTGCTTGAAACAAAATCTTTGTGAGACAAAGATGAGATTGAAGAATGCAGTTACATGTTCAGATGCTAAGTGTATTGCCTTTAGGGTAATCTGTGCAATTCTAAGACATATTGATTTATGAACTAATTAATAGCACACAACAAAAATACGTATGGAAACTTGCTCTACCCTCAGCCTGAAAAATCTCTAAACAACAGGAAAATGGGTTTTGCATGTTAGGAAATTAAATTCAATATATATTTACGAGGCCATTCAAAATGTGGAGTCCTTTTCTACTGAGTCCCAAGTAAGCAGAAATATCCATGTATCAAAACCCAATTGTGCTGGAGTCCAAGGCTTGGGGAATAAATTAAGTCTTAAGCTACAAAAGACATTGGACATTAATTTTAAGGCTTATTATAGCTCTGATGATATGGGCATTAATAAATCCAACAGGAAGAAAGAATAAGACAAAATGACAAATAAGACATACCTATTGGTTTCCTTGGCAAAATGTTGATTGTTGATAATTCATTTAAAGTTACACAGGTATTTCCACACTCTAGGGTCATTGTTCCAGCAGCTTATTGATAGGGACAGAATAGGGTGTTGAACATTTCATGGATTCTTAGAAGTTCATTTCTCGTCCCTGAGGTGGGGAGGGAATGGAAAGGATTTAATAGTATGTAATACATTCAACATTCATCCCACAGACCTTTATGGAGCATTTCGAATGATAAAGTGGTAATACAGGCTATGGGTAAAATTTGATAGGCATCTGAGGAGGGAGACATTATTTCAGGCTGGAAAGAGAATTGTCTTTAGAACTGCCCATTGAAATACCTGTAGATCTTTTTTAAAAATCTGTAGGACTTAACTGGAGAAAAATGTGTTAGGGAGGCTTCCAAGGTAAGGAAGCAGTAAATAAAGGCACAAAGATGGGAAAATGTGGAGCATATAGTAGAAATAAGAATTATATTAATAACAATTGTATGTTTAAAACAAGGTTCATGAAGGCATGTAATGGGAGATCATGCCAGAAAGATGGCGGGAGCTAGGTTATGGTTAAGCGAAAAAAATTGGGCTTTATGTGGTAGACAATGCATTTAGTGAAACAATTTTTATTGAGCAACCTATTAGATGGGTGGCCCATTGAATAATACATGGTACTTTTTCTCAAGGAGACTTTAGTTTTTTAGGGTAATATCACAATTCAAAAAGCAATTTCAGGCTGGTCACGGTAGCTCACTCCTGTAATTCCAGCACTTTGGGAGGCCGAGGTGGGTGGATCACCTAAGGTAAGGAGTTCAAGATCAGCCTGACCAACATGGTGAAACCCCGTCTCTACTAAAAATACAAAAAATTAGCTGGGTGTGGTGGCGGGCGCCTGTAATCCCAGCTATTCTGGGGGCTGAGACAGGAGAATCGCTTGAACCTGTGAGGTGGAGGTTGCAGTGAGCCGAGACCATGCCACTGCACTCCAGCCTGGGTGACAGAGGGAAACTCCACCTCAAAAAAAAAAAAAAAAGCAATTTCAGTACAAAATTTAAAATGCATGATAATAAAGTAAATGCAGAGTCTATGCAAACACATTACCAGGGCCTCTAATATATTTTCTGGGGTTCAGAAAAGATTTATTGGTAACCTTACTACTGTTCCCCGAAGTTCTTGCCTTCTTTTTCTGGGCACTGGGAGAACTGTACTTTTATATGCCTTGAAATTAGGCATGGTCATGTGATTTTTTTTTTTTTTTTTTCTTGCCAGTGAATGTGTGTGTGGGAAGAAGCATTTAATTTCTGGTGTTCAACTGTATATCTGGTTCTCCTGCTGCCATAAGATTATGAAAATGTGTTTGATATGGAAGTGCAACATTGAGGCAGCACATGGGGGATGGCTTCCTGAAAGCCAGTTGTAGGGTAAACACCTGATAGCAATAACAAGCATGGCCTTAGAACGACCCTCTATGGCACATGCACCTGAATGTGTGTTCCAAGCTAGGGAATTCAAGAGTGGTCAACATAGAGATTCATTCCTTGTCCATGAGGAACATCTGAACCCATCTGACTTGCCCTGTGGAACATTGACCATACAGGGGATGAGGTCCTGAGTTTTGGGTTAAATGAAGGTTGCCAGGTGGCGGTCATTAAGGGGAGGGTGTTAAGGGAAAATGCTATGTATAAAACGCATGCTGTTTGCAAGACATTTTCCTGCCCAGCCCGCTGCCACTGGACTCTCTCCCCTGTATGTAAGCCCTGAATAAAACCTCATGTCTTGTTTGTTGGCTCTGGGAATCTTCAGCCTCTTGAACCTGGCGGCTTCTCTACTGAGGTTAATAGTGTTCGGCACAACATCATTTGAACCTATATTAGACTGCATGAATGAGAAATAAATGTGTTATTTTAAGACATGCAGATGGGATTCTTTGTAGCAAATCCAAGCCTATGCTGGTTGATACATAAGCTATGGTAAAGAGTCTAGATTTCATTATGGGGATAATGAGGACTAATAGGGCTGTGCATGTGTGTGTGTGTGTGTGTGTGTGTGTGTGTGTATTATTATAAAAAATAGTACGGCGGTGACATATATGCTCAGAGCTTAAATTTTTTAAATACTACCTTTATGTCAATTAATAGAAGAGCAGAAAGTTCCATAATCCAGGCAAGAAGTAATGAGGTAAGAATTGGAACAGCGGCAGTGGAATAGAAGATATATGATACATAGGAGAAATATTGTCAGAATTGAATCCACGAGATTTGTTGAGCGATTAGCTGTGAGAGGTGAGGAAGGAATCTAAAGGACTTCTCCCTTAGACTCTTCTAAGGGACTAGTTTTTTGCCTGGAGTACTAGAAGAGTTGTGTTTTTCTTAATAGAAATAAAAAACATAGTAGCAGAAAGGAGTTGGGAGGGAAAGAAGAATATGGTCCATGAACGAAGTGGAATTATATCATTTAAGACAGGGCTTGGGATTTAGGAATCTACCTACTTCTAGGTGGTGGCTGAAGCAAATAGAGCGACTTCCTAGAGAAGAGGGTTGAGAACAGCAGCTGGATAACATATTAGCGGGCAGGAAAGGAAAAGTGTCCAGTAAAGGAGCATAAGAAAGTGCAATGCCATGTCACAGAAACTAAAACACAAGAGACTTCTGGGAGGAAAGGGTATTAAATGTTATGAAGACATTAAGGAGAGTGAAGACTAAACAAATCCCATTACAATTAAAGTTTCAAGAGCAGAGAACAGATTTTGAGAGACAGGGTAAGAAGGTGTTGGGAATGGGGAGGTAATGGATATAGATGAATATTGCAACAAGTTTGCCAGTGAAAGGATGTACAAAAATTGGAAAATTAGATTGGAAAATATAAGAATAAGAAACAAGTAAAATGTTAGAATTTCTACAGAGAGTTGAGTTCCAGTAATAATTAGGAAGGCATTGTAATTGTGACAGTTTGGGCTGTGGGGTCAGATAGGCCTAGATTTTAGTCTCAGCTACGTCAATGACAACTTTTGTGACCTATTGCAAGAGGACCTCACAGAAGTCTCAAATCCTTATAAATAAGTTTCTTCCTGATCTGCCCCCTATCTATCTGTTTAACCTCACCTGATACCTCTCTGCCCTTTGGTTACTAAGCTCCAACCACACTGGCTTATATTAACGGGCTCAATCAATAAGAGCTATTAAACAGCCCCTCAGATCCCCATATATAGTCATATATGCTTAGCAGAAATGGGACCAAGGATTTATAAACCCTTTTGAATAGGGTTAAGAGTGGGCTTAGAGAATTTCTGGTCTTGGACTTCACAGATCTTTCTGAATATTCCATTCCAGCTGATGTCTGTGGTTTGAGGTGATGGTGGCCAAGACAGCATCTGAGGATGCAGGGAATTTATCTCAATAACAAGTTTAGGTCCTGGCCTGCATGAGGAGAAGGTGGGTCCTTAGAGGGGCACTGGCCTTGTAGTGAGAATAAGGTAAGCACAGGCAAGACACCATGCGCAGATTCCATCATTGTCACTAGATGGGGTGCTGCCCAGGGAGGAAGGGGCCCCATTTCCCTTATCTCCCCAGCTATACTTGTGAGTGGGAGACAATGGCCAGTCACTGCAGGGCATGGAGAGGCTCCTACACTAGTGTGGGGATGATGGCAACACTTCTCCAAAATTAAGTTCGAGGTCAATATCTATGCTTTTAATATATGAATCCGTTTTCCCACCTTACTATGTGTCCAGGGTTACAGCAAATAGCAAGAAAAGATAATTTAATAGTAAAGATTTCAGGAGGATCCCCAGTATCTACAAAGTGCATCATTGTTTTAAAGGTAAACTTTTTTTTTTTAATAACAAATAATTTGTGGCAGCCATGGCTTCAGGGGCTGAGATTGAGGACTTAACTGGGGAATGGAGCTATGAGGATGCTTCTATACACACTGACCTCTCTGAATCCACTGTGGTCTTAGACAATTTGGGGAAATGAAAGTAACTTACTGGTGGCCAAAGCTGGAGCCCACCATGGAACTTACTTAGTTATTACATCTCTGATACATTGGAATGTATCCTCTTCATTAAAAGAGATATTTCTAAGAAGACGGCATTATAGGATAAGGAACAAAAGTTTTAAGGCCTTCCTCTTAGACATATAAATCCTTGGTCCCATTTCTGCTAAGCATATATGACTAGCTTTAGCCATTTTTACAAAGTGTATGTATACAAATATATGTATATGTGCCTGATAGTTGGGCAGATAAGATCGTGCTCTAAATATCACAAACAACTTCCTAGAGAAACACAATAAGTATATCTTAAAATTCAGGCTTGCTGACAGGGAGAAGTACACGTGATCATGGCAAAGAACTGAAAGTCTGTGTGAGGACTGAATGTGTTGCTCAGAATCTCAATTTCAGCCTCAAACTGGCCCTTTCATAGGGAGAAAGGAGCTTACTCCACAAAGAAAAAAAAGTTGTCTGTCTTGTAGACGAAGGAGGCTTCTCTGGAAACCTTAACAAGTCAGGGTATAGATCCAGACCTGCAATGAAGTAACAGGTGTACAGGGACTTGTTTTTTCTTTTGTTTCTGCTGTTCTGGCACAGCCTATCTCATTGACTGTTCCTGACATCAGACCACACAAGTGGCACATCCATTCATTCGCAAATACTTACTGGTCACCTGCAATGCAGTGACTACTGTTCTGAGCACTGGAGATAAGCCAGACAACAAAATGAATCCCCTGATTTCATGCTGTTTACATTTAATGAGGGAGGCGATGAGAGCTAGATGGGTATATGCCTGTTCACATCCATACATGCAAGTAGTGCTAAGCGATATAAAGAAAAAACAGAGGAAACATACAATGGAAAGAGGTGCAGTTTGGTCAAGGTTTTCTTTAAGGAGATGACGTTTGAGCAGAAACCTCAGTGAGATGAGCAATAAACCACATGGAAACCCAGGGGAAAGGTGTTCCAAGGCAGAAAGACATCAAATGCAAAAGCCCCAAGATGGGAATACTCTGTGTAGTTAAGGAACAAGTAACGAGGCCTGAGTGACAGAGCAAAATGAGTGCATGGGCCAGGAGCTGGGAGGAATACAGCTTCTCACAGCACATGCCTTCCATGAAACAGGACATGTTTGGGATTTTGTTCTTGTTTCTTGTCAATGTTTTCTCTATGAGGACACAGACTTTGTTTTCTTCACCTCTACATCTGCTGCGGTGATCATTGTGCCTGGTACATAGTCCAAAACTGGCTTTGGAGTCAGAAGGTCTTTATTGCAAATGCTACTTTGCTACTTAATATCTGTATCTCCTAGGCAATGCATTTATACTTCTTAAGCAGCAGTCTCCATATTTAGATAGAGTACTAAGGATTCCAAAAGTGAATGCTGTCAAATGAATTAAATTCAATACATCTAGGTAAAGTTCTAGGTAAAGTTCTTTGCCTAGAACCTGTAAATGTAAGTGCTCAATAAATGGTGGTTACAGGTAGGTTATAAATGGGTGACAGGGTTCCAGTGACTATATACGTAGACTTAGGAACAAGATGCTGATCTCTAATTTGTAATATTTAGAACATTTGCTTGGTAGATGATTAAATTTGGGGGCTGTTCTTTCTAGTTTATCAGTTCTTAAAAAATCTAAAAAGATTCCTTCACCAATTACTCTCGCTCTCTCCCTTGTTACTAGCTACTATGTGGACCATAAACTAAAATGCTGTTCAGACTAGCATATAGCCTTTGGAAAGGTCCTTTATGTGGCCCTAAAGTGCTGGCTTGAGTGAACTCGGACTGGATTCTACTTCTCTCTCTCTCTTTTTTTTTTTTTTTTTTTTTGAGGTGGAGTCTCACTCTGTCACTCTGTCACCCAGGCTGGAGTGCAGTGGCATGGTCTCAGCTCACTGCAACCTCCGCCTCCCAGGCTCAAGTGATACTCCTGCCTCAGCCTCCCAAGGAGCTGGGACCACAGACATGTGCTTCCATGCCCAGCTAATTTTTGTATTTTGGGTAGAGACAGGGTTTTACCATGTTGTCCAGGTTGGTTTTGAACTCCTGAGCTCGAGCAATTTGCCTGCCTCCCAAAGTGCTGGGATTACAGGCGTGAGCCACTGCAACTGGCGTCTACTTTCAATTATAACCAATTTCCCTTATTCCTTGATATTGGGTGAGGTTTGTCTTCTGCATGTTTTCACAAGTGGTCCATATGCTTATTATCTATGTCAGCAAATAACACGAAGTATGGTAATAGATGATTTATTGATTTATACTGAAAGCCACTTGGTGGTAGAAGCTACTTAATGTTCATTATTGAATCCCTGCCACACGAGGTACATTTACCATGAAGCTAGTGCAGCTCAGCTTTTAAGTCCCTAGGTTGCACTAGCCCTTTACTTGGTGAAGAAGGGGGTGACCTTTAACAAAGCTTCATACAGTCATTTACTTTTGGTAAAATTTGCATAAGTATTTTAACCACAACCAATTAGACTTACAGGTCTTTCCCCACTAAATTCTCCTCAGTCACACTCTCCCTCATGTTAAGTAACTGTTGATGTGGCCAAGGGTGCTATTTGAATTTGGCTAATGGAAAATTGAATTGAGTATGTATTTCATTTCAGTTTAATGATACATATTTCTGTGGTTCACATTCATTGCTTTGTATAGTTAAGTTATTGCTTTGCTTGCTGATCCAGTCCAAGAACAGTTTCCAGAAATAATCATACTGTCTCCTGTGCCAACTCATCTGGTGTTGGGATACAATGATAGGGGACTAGAGGCTGTCCTTTGAAACTGCCATTCCTATGGCTCCAAGCAGGGGAGGTATATGGGAAGCAGCAGAGAAACAAGGTTCAAACTATATGGTGGCAGAAGTTAGTTTATGAAAAATTCTTCTAATCATCAGCTGCGTAAAATCATAGAAGATTTGATTCGCATTGCTGGAATCAAATCAAAAGAGAAGAGCTCTCATTTATAGATGTTCCCTCAAATTTGATGGCAATTCTGAATTTTATATTATATTACCAAAAATGAGTGATGAAGATTTTAAAAACCATTTCAGACTCCCAATTATCAGAAATAAACTTTGATCAATGATGCTGAAGAGTAAAATAACTTTCCTTTTTGTCTATAGAAAATGATATTACCAAATCCTTGTCATAGAAAAGGTGATCAAGAAGTATGTAGCCAAAATTATCAGGAAAAGATATTATAGGCTTATCTTGGAGATATTGCAGGTGTCATTCCAGATCATTTCAAGAAAGTGAATATTGCAATGAAGCAAGTTACATGATGTTCTTTATTTTCCAGTACATATAGAAGTTATGTTTACACTATATTGTAGTCTGTTAAGTATGCAATCACATTATGTCACAAAAACAATGCACATACCTTAATTTAAAAATACTTCATTACTAAAAAATGCTAATGATCATCTGCATCTTCAGCAAGTGGTGAACTTTTTGTTGGCAGAGGGTCTTGCCTTGATGTTGATGGCTGCTAATTGATCAGAGTGGTGGGTGCTAAAGGTTGGGGTGGCTGTGGCAATTTCTTAAAATAAGGTTTATTAGTCTGTTCTCACCCTGCTGTGGGCAAATGCCCAAGACTAGGTAATTTATAAAAGAAAGAGGCTTAATTGATTCACAGTTCCCCAGGGCTAGGAGGCCTCAGAAAACATATTCATGGCAGAAAAGGAAGCAAACACGTCCTTCTTCACATGGCAGCAGCAAGAAGAAGAATGAGACCCAAGTGAAGGGGGAAGCCCCCTTATAAAGCCCCTTATAAAGCCATCATATCTTGTGAGAAGTTGCTCACTATCACAAGCATAGCATGGGGGAAACTGCTCATATGATTAAATTACCTCCCACTAGGTCCTTCCTACCACATGTGGGGATTATGGGAACTACAATTCAAGATGAGATTTGGGTGAGGACACAGCCTAACCATATCATTCTGCCCATGGCTCCTCATGTCCACTCATTAAGCTGAATGAAATACACACTCAAATCTCATGTCCTCACATTTCAAAACACAATTATGCCTTTCCAACAGTCCCCCAAAGTTTTAGCTCATTCCAGCACTGGCCCAAAAGTCCAAGTCCAAACTCTCATCTGAGACAAGGCATATCCCTTCCACCTATGAACCTGTAAAATCAAAAGCAAGTTAGTTACATCCTAGATACAATGGAGTTATAGACATTGGGAAAATACACCAGTTCCAAGTCAGAGAAACTGGCCAAAACAAAGGGGCTATAGGCCCTGTGCAAGTCTGAAATCCAATAAGGCAGTAATTAAAATTTAAAGCTCTGAAATAATCTCCTTTGACTCCATGTCTCACATCCAGGTCATGCTGATGCAAGACATGGGCTCCCATGGCCTTGGGCAGCTCAACCTCTGTGGCTCTGCAGGTTACAGTTCCCCCTCTGGCTGCTTTCACAGGCTGGCATTGAGTGCCTGCAGCTTTTCCAGGTGCACAGTGCAAGCTGATGGTGGATCTACCATTCTCGGGTCTGGAGGACTGTGGCCTTTTTCTCACAGCTCCACTAGGCAGTGTCCCAGTGGGGACTTTGTGTAGGGGCTCCAACCCCATATTTTCCTTCCCCACTGCCTTAATAAAGGTTCTTCATGAGGGCTCCACCCTTGCAGCAAACTTTTGCCTGAACATCCAGGTATTTCCATACATCATCTGAAGGCGGATGGTTCCCAAACCTCAATTCTTGACTTCTGTGCTCCTGCAGGCTCAACACCATGTGGAAGCTGCCAAGGCTTGGGGCTTGCACCCTCTGAAGCTGTGGCCAAGCTCTGCCTTGGCTTCTTTTAGCCATGGCTGGAGTAGCTGATACACAGGGCACAAAGTCCCTAGGCTGCACACAGCAGGGGGCCCTGGGCCCTGCCCATGAAACCATTTTTCCCTCCTAGGCCTCCGGGCCTATGATGGGAGGCGCTGCTGTGAAGGTCTCTGACTTGCCCTGGAGACGTTTTCCCCATTGTCTTGACGATTAGCCTTTGGCTCCTTGTTACTTATGCAAATTTCTGCAACAGGCTTGAATTTCTCCCCAGAAAATGGTTTTTTCTTTTTTATGGCATTGTCAGGCTGCAAGTTTTTCAAACTTTTAAGCTCTGTTTACTCTTAAACACTTGGCTGCTTGGATATTTCTTCTGCCAATTATCCTAAATCATCTCTCTCAGGTTCAAAGTTCTACATATCTCTTTGCCTCTTTGCAGGGGCAAAATGTTGCCAGTGTCTTTCTAAAACACAACAAGAGTCACCTTTGCTCTAGTCCCAACAAGTTCTCATCTCCACCTGAGACCACTTCAGCCTGGACTTCATTGTTCATACCACTATTGGCATTTTGGTTGAAGTCATTCAAAAAGTCTCTAGGAAGTTCCAAACTTTCCCACATCTTCCTGTGTTCTGAGCCCTCCAAGTCTCTAGGAGGTTCCAAACTTTCCCACATTTTCCTGTCTTCTTCCGACCCACCCCTCCAAACTCTTCCAACCTCTGCCTGTTAGCCATTTCCAAAGTTGCTTCCACATTTTTGGGTATCCTTATAGCAGCATCTGACTCTACTGGTATTGATTTACTGTATTAGTCTGTTCTCATGCTGCTATGAAGAAATACCTAAGACTAGGTAATTTATAAAGGAAAGAGGTCTAATTGACTCACAGTTCCACAGGGTTAGGGAGGCCTCAGGAAACTTACAATCATGGCAGAAGGGGAAGCAAACATGTCCTTCTTCATATAGTGGCAGCAAGGAGAAGAATGAGGGCTGAGCAAAGGGGGAAGCCCCTTATAAAACCATCAGATCTCATGAAAACTTACTATCACGAGAATAGCATGGGGGAAACGGACCCCACGATTCAATTACCTCCCACCGGGTCCCTCCCATGACATGTGGGGATTATGAGAACTATAATTCAAGATGAGATTTGGGTGGGGACACAGCCAAACCATCTCATAAGATGACAATGAAGTTTGCTGAATTGATTCACTCTATCTTTCATGACAGATGTCTCTGTTGTGTGTGATACTATTTGATAGCACTTTACATACAGTAGAACTTCTTTCAAAATTAAAATCAATCCTCTCAAACCCTGCTTTTGTTTTATCGATGAAGTTTATGTAATATTCTAAGTCCTTTGGTGTCACTTCAACAATGTTCACAGTATCTTCACTGGGAGTAGATTTCATCTCAAGAACAACTTTTTTTCATCCGTAAGAAGTAACTTATCCATTCAAGTTATTTTTATTGATACAAATATTTGTACGTATGTATGGGATATATGTGATATTTTCTTACATGCATAGACTGTGTAATAATTAAGTCAGGATATTTGAGGTGTCCATCACCTCAAGTATTTATCATTACTATGTGTTGGTAACATTTCAAGTTCTCTCTTCTAGCTATTTTGAAATATACAATACATTGTTGTTAACTATAGTCAACCTGCCTTGCTATGGAAAGTTAGAATTTATTTGTCCTATCTAACTGTATGTTTGTACCCATTACCCAATTTCTTTTTATTCCTCCATTCAAGTTTTATCATGAGATTGCAACAATCCAGTCACATCTTCAGGCTCTGCTCCTAATTCTAGTTCTCTGACCATTTCCACCACATGTGCAATGACCTCCTTCACAGAAGGCTTGAATCCTTCAAATGTATCCATGAGGGCTGGAATAAACTTTTTCCAAACTCCTGTAAATGTTGATATTTTGAGCTTCACTCATGAATCACAAATGTGCTTAATGGGATGTAGAATAGTGAATCTTTTCCAGAAGGTTTTCAATTTACTTTTCCCAGATCCACCAGAGGAATCATTATCTATGGCAGTTATAGCCTTAAAAAATGTTTTTATTTTAATAATGAGCCTTGAACATTGAAATTACTCCTTGATCCATAGGCTGCAGAATGGATGTTGTGTTAGCAGGCATGAAAACAACATTCATCTCTTCATATATCTCCATCAGAGCTCTTGGGTGACTAGGTGTATTATCAATGAGCAATAGTATTTTGAAAGGAATCTTTTTTTTAGCAGTATGTCTCAGTGGTGAGTTTAAAATATTCAGTGAACCATGCTATAAACAGAGGTACTGTAATCCAGACTTTGTTTTTGCATTTATAGAGTAGATTATAGAGGGAGAGTAGATTTAGCCTCATTCTTAAGGACCCTAGGATTTTCAGAATGGTAAATGATCATTGGTTTAAGTTACAAGCTGCATTAGACCTTAGGAAGAGAGTCAGCCTGTCCTTTGAAGCTTTGAAGCCATGCACTGACTTCTCCTCTCTAGCTATGAAATCCTAGGTGGCATCTTGTTCCAACGGAAAGATTTTGGTCTTCATCGAAAATCTGTTGTGTAGCATAGCCATCTTCACCAATTATCTTAGCTAGATCTTCTGGGTGACTTGCAACAGCTTTTACATCAGCACTAGCTGTTTCACCTTGCACTTTTATGTTACAGAAATGGCCTCTTAAACTCTATTAACCAATTTTTGCCAGCTTCAAACTTTTCTTCTGCAACTTCCTTACCTCTCTCAGCCTTCATAGAATTGAAGAGACATAGAGCCTTGCTCTTCATTAGGCTTTGGCTTAAGGAAATGTTGGGCCTGATTTGATCTTTTATCCAGACTACTAAAAACTTTCTTCATATCAGCAATAAGGCTATTCAGCTTTTCTATCATTTGTGTGTTCACCGGAGTTGCACTTCTAATTTCCTTCAAGAACTCTTCCTCTGCATTCACAGCTTGGCTAACTGTTTCATGCAAGAGGGCTAGCTTTTGACTAACTTTTGACATGCTTTCCTCACTAAGCTTAATCATTTCTAGCTTTTTATAGAAAGTGAGAGACACGTGGCTCTTCCTTTCACTTGAACACTTAGAGGCCATTGTAAGGTATTAATTGGTCTAAATTTAATATTGTCATGTCTCAGGGAATAGGGAGGCTTGAGGAGAAAGAGAGACAGGGAATGACCAGTCAGTGGAGCAGTTGGAATGCACACTACATTTATGGATTGATTTGCCATCTTATTTGGTCATACTTCATAGTGCTCCAAAACAATTGCAATAGAGGCATCAAAGATCACTGACCACAGATCACCACAACAGACATAATAATGATGAAAAAGTTTGAAATAAATATTGCAAGAATTACCAAAATGTGACACAGAGACATGAAGCGAGCACATGCTGTTGGAAATAGACTTGCTTGACTCAGGGTTGCCACAAACCTTCAATTTGTAAAAATACACAGTGTCTGTGAAGCACAATAAAGCAAAGCACAGTAATATTAGGTATGTCAGTATAGAGGTGTGTGTGACAGGCAGTTACTTCATATAAATATTATGCTATTTTTCTGGATTTTATGATGCTTGTGATGATTATTGGCTTTAACATTTTTTGTGTTTTCCATTATTCTACAAAAGTGTTCACCTTTTGACCTACTTATGCATTTTTATCTTAAAATTGTATAAGATTCTGGATCTGCAAATAGAGATCCACCCCTGGCTACCATTTAGCCTTGCACTGGGTTCATCAGAGTTGTTCATTAAATGCTTATTGAATTAATGAATAAGTAAAAAATATGACCAGATAAATCACTTTTACTCTTAGGCCTTTGGTCTCCTTATCTGAAAAATAATGGAGCTAGGGTAAAAGGGTTGGAGGTGAGATCTAATCCAATCATTTTAGGTCTAATGTTTCCAATTCAGTGGTTTGAAATTTTCTTTGGCAAGTAGGAGTCATATTCCCATGTTCTCAGATTTTTAGTGCGGTCTTTGCCCTTGGCTGATCACTTGAATGCTGATCTCTATTTTAGTGTTTTGCCATTAAATGTAATGGCAAAAACTGCAATTACTTTTGCACCAACCTAACAGAATAGCAAAACCTGCAATTACTTTTGCACCAACCTAATAGAATGGTCTCATGCAATCACACGATCAGATTTTCTTATTCCCAAACAATTTTGGTCAAATCCATAGCTTTAGGACATTGCATTATTTCCCCCAAAGAGAGTTTAAAAATCATTTCTAAAAATCCTTCCTCTCCCACATGACTTTCTTAAAGATGACCCACTGGAATATAATATAATAGCTGAATGAGGACTGACGTTATATCTTACCTCCTATTAGCAAATTAAAAACAAAGAGTCATACCACGCAGAAACCTGGCTGGAAGCTCTTTTTTTTTTTTTTTAAAGAACAGGATTTAACTCATTAAACAGTCTCTACATGTTAAATTTCCCATCAGCTATAACATCCTACACATTTTTGCTGAGAACATCTGTGACAGTCTGAAATGTGTTTTTTCCCAGTGTTTGACTTCATGCTTACTCCAAGCGTCAGACACTTTCTCAGATCCTGTGATGTATTTGAATACAGTATTATTAAAGAGATGTCAGTTATACCTGCATCTTGAACAGTGTCAATCTGAATTGAAAATATACCATTTTTCTAACAGAGCTCTTAATTCACTGGCTAAAGGTGACGATAGTGCTGTCCACTGAAGGTTCAAGGGCCGTAGCTGAGTATGTCTTCTTTCACTATAAGTCTATAGTTTCTATAGAACTAAACAATTATTTTTAAAAGCAAATGAGAAATTCAGAAAGAGCATAAAAGTGGTTGATTCAAGTTTTTTCCTCTGTATTTAACCATCTGCCTCTTATCAACTCCAGTTCCATTAATAATTTATTCTAAAATGTCAGTATTTTTCACGATCCGTGCTCATGTCATGTTGTTCATAGGGCAAGAAATAGTTTTAGCAGGATGTTTTGGGGGTGTAAGTATTGTGCTATTTTGTTTCATAGAATTTTATTTTATTTTATTTTTCAAGTTTCAGTTATTTATTGATTTAATCAGTGTAATCTCCAATAGAGATTACAATAGAGATCTCCAACATGATTTCATGCATTTAGAGAAGAAATATTTCCTGGTTAAGTGAAAAATTGTGCGGATGTGGCTTCTGGAAAACCTTCATTCTAAAGCAGTGTTATAGTGAAACATTTCATTTAGAAATCTGGACATTCCTTCTTCAGCTTGCTGTAATCCACATTCACTGAGCAGAACTTGTATTGATCATTGGGACCCAGTTTGTTCCAGGGCTCTGGGTTATTTCTGTCCCAACAAACATCTGGATTGAACAATGCCAGATGCAAGAGATACAGTGTTGCTCCAGAAGCTCCAGTTCCAATAAATACAAAGAGGGGGATCAAGCTCGGATGCTTCTTGGCCTGACCGAGGATCTGGCAGAGCATGTTTGCGGCAGAGGTCTCTGATTGGAAAGGAGAGAACCAACCTAGCCACCAGGCCCTGAGCTAAAAAGTGTCTGCCTTTCATAGAATTTTAAACATATATGCACTTAAAGAATTTAACATTTCTATTAATCCAATTCATTTACTGGGGAAGAGGCCATCTGCCCATACATAGGCCAACATACCAAGAACTTGTCCTTCTGATGTGATATAAATCACTGTGCTTTCAGGCCAACATAAGTCGAGAAGCAGTAAGGATTTTTTTTCTCCTTGTCTGATGTTTTCCAGTAACTTGTTGACCTCCATTTGGTGCTCTGAGTAACAAACACATGTCAGAGGTTGAAAGGGCAGAGGTGAGATGTGGGGAAGAGACAGGTCTCTGCAGAAAAAGGCAGAAGAGAAAGATATTTTATAATTTATCAGAATAGAAATACTAGAACAACAGGTTTTAGGAAGAAATAGACATTGCTCTTTTAAAAACTGAAAGATGAAATTCACATTTTACATAGATTGAAATAAACTAAATATTGTTTTTTGTTTTCACCAAAAATTAAGACTGTTTCTCTAATGATCAATGATGTTGAGCTTTTTCTTAATATGTTTGTTGGCACATGAATGTCTTCTTTCGAGAAGTGTCTGTTCATGTCCTTTGCCTACTTTTTAATGGGGTTTTTGTTTTTTTCTTGGAAATTTAAGTTCCTTGTAGACGCTGGAATTAGGCCTTTGCCAGATGGACAGATTGCAAAAATTTTCTTCTACTCTGTAGGATTCCTGTTCACTCTGATGATAGTTTCTTTTGCTGTGCAGAACCTCCTTAGTTTAATTAGATCCCATTTGTCAATGTTTGCTTTTGTTGCAATTGCTTTTGGTGATTTTGTTATGAAATCTTTGCCCATGCCCATGTCTTGAATGGTATCGCATACATTTTCTTCTAAGGTTTTTATAGTCTTGAGTTTTATGTTTAAGTTCTTAATCCATCTTGAGTTAATTTTTGTATAAGGTGTAAGGAAGGGGTCCAGTTTCAATTTTCTGCATATGGCTAGCCAGTTCTCCCAGCACAATTTATTAAGCAGGGAATCCTTTCCCCATTGCTTGTTTTTTTTTTTCAGGTTTATTGAAGATCAGACAGTTGTAGATGTGTGGTCTCATTTCTGAGTTTTCTATTCTGTTTCACTGGGAAAACGGTAATGAGATACCATCTCATGCCAGTCAGAATAGCTATTATTAAAAAGTCAAGAAACAACAGATGCTGACAGGGTTGTGGAGAAATAGGAATGCTTTTACATGGTTGGCTGGAATGTAAATTAGTTTAAACATTGTGGAAGATGGTGTGGCGATTCCTCAAAGATCTAGAACCAGAAATACCATTTGACCCAGCAACCCCATTACTGGGTATATGCCCAAAGGAATATAAATCATTCTATTACAAAGATACATGGATGTCTATGTTCATTGCAGCACTATTCACAATAGCAATGACATAGAATCAACCCGAATGCTCATCAAAGATAGACTGGATAAAGAAAATGTGGTACATATGCACCCTGAAATACTATGTAGCCATAAAAAGGAATGAGATCATGTCCTTTGCAGGGACATAGATGGAGCTGGAAGCCGTTATTTTCAGCAAACTAACATAGGAACAGAAAACCAAACACTGCATGTTCTCGTTTATAAGTAAGAACTGAACAATGAGAACACATGGACACAGGGATGGGAACAACATAAATTGGGGCCTGTTGGAGGAGGGTGTGGGTAGGGAAGAATATTAGGGAAAAGAACTAATGCATGCTGGGCTTAATACCTTGGTAATGAGTGGATAGGTGCAGGAAACCACCATGGCATACATTTACCTATGTAACAAACCTGCACATGTACCTCAGAACTTAAAAATTAAAATTAAAATAAAAAACAAAAAGAATATTATTTTATCTACTGCCTGTTGATAAGCTACAAAACTGTTTGTTGTTTTTGCACATCCTCCTGACTAGATAAGTCAAGGTAGGGCATGGCAAAAGGTGGCACAAACACATACAGAAGAGTGTCAGTGGCCAGAGACTTGACTTCTGATTCCATCATGATTATAAAGCAAGTATAAAATACACACCTACATACAAGCATCCTGTTTGTATGTACACTCAACAAGGAAGTGGATGAACTAGCAGCATCCAGATTTGGATTTGTCTCTGCTGGATACTTGCTGAATGCTCAATAAATATTTATTGAATAAATTCAGCGACCTAGAAATGGAGGTTGTATCTCTTCCTTGATGCTTGATCATAGATATTTCCAGCTGCTTATGCTGAAACACATTTAGTAGTCTTTGTGCCCCCAAACTCTACTATACCCAAAAGTTTGTTTCTGCTGTGGGAAAGCTAAGAACTCCTTACTTCAATATTTTATAGTCAAATGACTCAAACTGCTGTTTACTTAAGGAAAAAGAAGACGCACTGTTCAGTTGACTGTACTTTTGGATGTACTGTTCTCCATTCATCACAAAGAAGAATCATAAAGAAGAATCAGACTATGTGGAAGGCAGAGCTACCTGTAACTCTGGCTTTGCAATTTTCACTTGGAAAGGGAGGTGATGGTCAACCTTATACAACTTAGGTAGTATTAGATACTCTCTTCCTCAATTCTTTGCCTTATTGCATTTGTGGTTGGGTGTTTAGACTGGTGTCTCACAGGCAGTTCCAAAGTCATCTTCTGTGATATCACTAATAATAGCAGGTGTACTATAGACAGTCTGGGGGTTGCAGGGGGGGAATATAGAGAAAAAAAATGTGTGCAAGATCATAAAAAACAGAGTTGTAAGGATTTTTTTTCTGTAGTTTTTGAAGCTCACATATAATAAATAAAGCACTAAATATCCAACCCCATAAGTTGAATATATGTTAGGAACAAACACCTAATTCATGTGTTATGGTTAAACACCCATTCAGGGAGTCTCATTAGCAAACACGCTGATTAGGATCCTGTTTACTTTTCTACTCACAACAATTGTTTGTTTGAGCTAGCCTAGCCTATTCTACCATCATTAGAAAGTAGCACCAGTCAGCTCATGAAAATTTGGTTTAATTTTTATAAGAAATTTAGGACCCATACAGGGTTTACATTTCTCTGTACATCTTCTGATCATTCAATATTTTAAATATATGAACAAGGCATAAGGTTTAATTTTGGTTAACAAGAACTGCAAATGGAAATATAAATTATATTATTCCCCTTGTGGATTTTTTTTTCCTTTTCTTTTCTTCCTTTTTTTTTTTTTTTTTTTTTTTTTTTTTTTTGAGATAGAGTCTTGCTCTATTGCCCAGGCAGGAGTGCAGTGGTGCCATCTTGGCTCACTACAACCTCCACCTCCTGGATTCAAATGATTCTCCTGCCTCAGCCTCCTGAGTATCTGGGATTACAGGCACCTGCCACCATGCCTGGCTAATTTTTTTTGTATTTTCAGTAAAGACGGGGTTTCACCTTGTTGGCCAAGCTGGTTTCGAACTCCTGACCTCAAGTGATCCACCCACCTCGGCCTCCCAAAGTGCTAGGATTACAGGCATGAGCCACTGTGCCTAGCCTAATTTTTTTATTGTTTGATTGATTCATTCATTTATGCAATCGTGTGTAGTAAGGATGCCCAGGTAAATAAGACATGGCTTCTGTTTTCATGTGGCTTACAATCTAAAAGAAATCTGGAATGTCAGCACACAGCACGAATGTTGCCAGCCTCTCCATTTGCAGGTACAAATGAGGGCAGAAGTAGATGAATACCCTAAACCTCAATTCTGTACACCAGGGGTCAGCCAACTGCTGCTGGAAGGCCAAATCCAGCCTACCACCTGTTTCTGTAAAGTTTTATCGGAACACAACAACAGTCATTTGTTGACTTGCTGTCTCTGGCTATTTTCATGCAGCAATGACAGAATTAAGTATTTGCAACCGAGAACAAACAGCCCATAAAACCTAAAATATTTACTACTTGGCCCTTTATAGAAAAAGTTTGCTGAGCTGTATTCCCATGTCCGAGATTTCCCTGGAGTGTTTACATATCAGTCCTGCTCCTGGCTCCGAGGAGTCCCTTGTTGAGGAACTGGGAGTTTGCATGTATCTTTAATGAGGCCAGGCTCTGACAGTGATGGCCCCCAAGCATCCTGCAGCAGTGCCACTGCAACAGGATCATCCACTCCAACTGGGCTTGGGGCCTCAGGCCATAGCTTTCACTATCTCTTCTGTACTGGCTTCCATGCTGGAAAACATCCTAGTTGCGATTGGTAGACCCAGAAACTTCTCAACATTATGGGGAGCTGCAAGCCATAAAGAACAGGCCTTGACAGTCCCTTGGAGATATGCCTAATAAAGTCACTTGGGTTGACTTTGGTGAAGACTCTCTCATGGAACCAGTTGGCCAGTATCTTGGAGAAGTAAGGAGAATGATGCCCTGCATTTTCCATTTGTCCCTGGAAATTCACCATTAGGATTCCACCTGCTGAGAGCCTTGAGCAATCCTTTATGGCTTCTTCATGGATTACATGAGCAGGCTCTTTTGCCCTCCAGATCCCTGTTGAGTTTGGCCAATGAGAGGCTCTGGCAGGAGACTCAAGAGCAGAGGATGGGAGTTTATTTCCCAGGATTCTTTCCTGCCAGGATGCAAGTTGGCATAGGCTGGTTTCTCTACCAAAGCCCACAGCTCCCATAAAGCTGCCAGTCTCTTCAGGTTCTGGTGACAGCTCACATTCTCACACTTTAGGCCTAGGGGCTGGTATCTGTTTCCCCAACTCAATACTTTATCATTTTTTAATCGTTAGCTTTATTCATAGTCTCTTCATTATATGCTCCTCAATTTCTCCCCCTCCCCAACTTTTTAAGAAAAGGTCTTGCTCTGTCACTCAGACTGGAGTCCAGTGGCATGATCATAGCTGACTGCAACCTCAAACCCCTGGGCTCAAACAATCCTCCCGCCTCAGCCTCTCAGGCCTGAGCCACCATGCCTGGCCAATTTTTTTGTTTGAGTGTCCCATTATTTCCTGTGGGAGCGCTGATCATACTCAGAGCCACTTCCCCAAAGTACCCTCATACCACAAAGATGGCTAGGTTGCAATCTAAACCTCTCCCCTGCACCTGAGGCTGTGGCACTGACTCCAGAGTCACCTTCCTCTTATGGCTCCTTATGTCCTTTCTTGTAATTGGTCCTGGATTTGATCCATCCCAGGTCAGCATTTTAATAAATTAGAGATGCAAATATATACTTGTTGTGGGGACGAATGAGGGGAGAGAACATTACCTTACTCCACTTCTTGGTAGCATCTGAATCCTAAACAACCCAAGTGGGAGAAGGTGCCCCTTAACACCATTATTTATGAATAGCTTCCACAATAGCTGAGTCCCAAGGCTAGAGAGGAGTGGCCTCCCCTTCTCCCCACGTACATCTGAGGCCCAGCTCCTGCTTAGCCCAAATGCCCCATTTCAAAAGAAGTACATCTGAGTATCATGAGGCAATGAGCCTATTTTGCCTTTAGTTCTGACACATATGCATAGCTGGGAGTTTTTACCTTCTAGGTACAGGTTCAGAAAACAGAAACCTGCCGTAATTACACTGTGGTATTTACAAGGCCATGGCACAGAAGCAGAAACATAAAACAAAAGTGAAATACTCAATTGGGAAGCCACAGTCTGTCAGCAAGAGAGGACTTGGCAAACTTAGAAACACCTCCCGATTCAACTCTTAACTGCTGTCTCAGGGGAACCTCAATTCTGCTTGATTTCCCAGATTCGCCCTCTGCCCTGTTGCTGGAGGTCTCAGTCAGGAGGTGCCTCTCAGGTTTGCCATTCTGACTGATTTAATTTAGAGAATTTCTTGCTCTTCACATGGCAGCAAAGGTCACGTGGCTTAGCTATTATGTTGTTCAGGAAACAGCTTCTTGACTGCTGTAGTTTTGTAATATTGGTTAAAATTCCCTTTTTGTTCTATTAATAAAATTCTTGGTCCTGAGATTATAAGGTCCTACTCAATAGTTTTATGGCCACATGTTGAAAAAGTACATTTTTAAAAGGCTTTATTGCCAAAAGAAATGAAAATGTGTATATGCAGTTGCATAAGTAGATTGCTATCTTCAGAACAATTTCCCAACCTGTAGTGAAAGTGAATTGGTGTTATCTGTAGACAGCTCTGTCAAGGAGAACGTGGCCTGGATAAAAAGAGGGGAAGACTTGGAAACCAAAAGAGTCCAGGTGCCATTGCTTATGATTTCATCTTATTTGAAAGTTGAACTCTGTACATAACTGGGAAATTAAGGTGGTGTCAGTAACCCTTCTATGGTCATTTCTTTGGCTTTTTGGTTTTTCTTGATTTAATAGCACTCCTATAATGGAGAACCAATTCTACATTTGTGAATCCCACAGGACTCTATGGGGTAGCAATTGTTATGTTGGTTTTCAGAGCAGAAGACTGAGGCTCAAATAATTTGTGTTACTTGTCCAAAGACACGCAGCTCCTTCATGGTGGTGGAACAGCATCCAGGATGTGAAGGTTCAGGATCCTTGGCACTTCTTACCCAACTGGGGCAGTTTGCTGATGGCTTCCAGTGGGCCGATCTTGCCCTGTGGAGCTATTTGGTTTGCCACAGAGTTTTGAAAGGAAATGGACTGTGAATGCACTTAGGCAGGGCATAAAGTCCCCATCACTCCTTATGGTTCCACAAGCCACTCCTTGTCTGACTGCTAAAGGTATTTAAGTTGTGGCCCCTATTTGTTCTATTTGTCTTTCTACTGTTGACCCACTTGTTCTCCATTCTCTTTCAGATTTGTCCATTTAATAAAATGATTCAATGATTAATGATATAGCTCCATACTGTTAGCATTTTAAATGAGAAGACACCTCCAAGCAAGCACTGCTGATCAGACGTGTCAGATTGGATTCTTTCCAGTCTGACTTCTTTCTGACACACATCCGCATTGGTACCTGCCTATCTCCCCTGCTATGCCATGACCTCTTGGCGCTCAAGGACCAACTGTTCATTCTTGCATCCCTAGTGCGTGCAATGGCACTGAAACAGAGAGTCTACATAATACATGGTTCATGCATACGCAAGACACATGTGTTCTGGGGACAGCGAGCAGCCAGACTTGCTAGTGAACATTAGAAAACGATAAGGCCTGTGGATTTACTAAATGATAAATGAGCATCTCTAAGAGTTTTGTTATAAGGGCAGAACTGGAATTTTCAGAGTGCATTTTGGACAGATCCCCTGGCTGGGGAAAGCTGGAGACAGGCTATTGTAATGGTCCAGGTGGCAGGAAAAGAAGGTCTGAAATGAAATGGGGGCAGTGAGAATGAATGAGAGAAAGCCAAGCCCAAAACACCTGGTGGCAATGGAATCAATAGGACGTGTTGATTGAAACTGAGTGGGCACATGAGGGAGGAAGCAAATATGACTACAAGTTTTGTGACTGAGAGGAACAGATAATTCTCTTTTTATCACTCCCCTCACCTATCCTCCCCACTACCCACATCCCCTGCCATTTCTCTGATTATTAGCTCCTGTGTCTCTTGCTTTTTCACTGGCATTGGCTTTTCCTAACCATTTAAACTTGAAAAGGAAAATGTTCGGGCAAACTTTGATCCTTCAGAACCCTGTAAGACAAAATTGTTGTGTACTTTTTGGCCATTTATGCTCAAGATTATGCCAGGATCACCTGCCTGGCCCAATTCCTATAGGGCCAGGTCAGCCAGCACTGGCTACTGGCTCCCATTTCAATCAGACCTGTGCTGGCCACTCTGAGAAGGGGGTAACACAGAGGGAGAGAGTGAGGAGTGCCCATGTAAAAGTGGAGGCTAAAACAATGAGAGTAGATGATACTACTGAAGGAATTTAATAGTAATACAGATGATATTGGTAATATCCAATATTTAGTAAGTGCTTGTTATGTTCTGCGCTTAAAACGTGATGATACATTAAATTTCTTTATCAAGGTGATATAGACATAACTAAACCCATTTATAGGAAAGAAACTGGGGCACTAAGGTTAAGTCAGTGTTCAAGATCACGTAGCTTATAAGTGGAGAAACTGGGCTTTAAACACATGCGATTGGACCTCAAAGACCACACTCCAAACTACTCTGCCAAACAAGGAAAGATGTTTGAAATCTGGGTGGGTATTGGAGGCCTCTTGGCATCGAGGAGGCTACTAGAATAAGAATGGCTAACCCCAGCAGGCTTTTTCTCAGAGCTTAGCATCCTCGTGACTCAGGCATACCCTCTGCAATCCAGGAGGGCCAGCCTTCTACCCGCCATGGGTGCTAGAATAGTGGGGAACTGGAGTTGCTGGAAAGGAGGGTGGTGATCCCGTCCCTGGCCTGGGATTACAACTGTAGGGGTTGGAAAGAGCATCAAGCCTGGTGCCTGAGACCCAGCTCCCCCTGTGTCTTTAAGCCACAGCTCTTTCCTCTGTAAGATGAATTGTGATGAGGCTTGAAGGAGATCAAGTACGTGAATGCACCTAGTGCAATGTCAGGTGCATAACTGGTGTTTGGTAAAAATTTACTTGCTCATTTTCCACTTAGAGAATGAATGTCTGAGGGGTAGGGGGCAGCCTTCCCCCTACTCTCAGGAGAAACTCTTACATCCAGCATTTTCATGCAATAATGTTAGAACATTCAACCATGGCCCAGAAAGATGCTTACAATTGTCCTTTATATTTCCTCACAATGATGATGTTAATGTTTTAACTCTAGTTAGAGGAGGAGTGAGGATCTAGAGGAGACTATTCTTGTACTTGATGCCTTCTATGAAGTATCATTTCCTTTTATTTGTCTTATGTAATGTGCTGGTAATTTCATTGCATAAGTTGGCATTTCCAACCAATGTAATTACATTTGGAAATGGTTATAAGAGGGCTATTACTAAAGAAATCAAATGTTTCTCCTCTTTATGTAAAGTGGAGATAATAATTCCTCTTAATGTTTGTACTGTGCTTGGAGAGCCTTGGCTGAAAGAAGTTTTGCAAACACAAAACAGCACTCCCTGTCTCACTTTGTCCTTATTTAGCACCTATCACAAGAGTGCCATTCTGGCACAAAGTAATGCAGAAAACTCAGTCTCTGGGGACCTATCAAATGATCATGTCACCTGAGTGACTGGGTGTTAACATTAGGAGAGAGAAAATGTCAAATGTAAATTAAGGGCTCCTGTCACAAACGTGAACAATACTGTCCTTGAAAGTTACAGATAAACACAGGCTAAAGTGGCACCGTTTCTTCTCTTCCTGCGATCCAGGGGGAGACACCAGCCCAGAGTGACTTTAGGCCATGCCAGTGAGAGAGGCTGGGGGAGCAGGCTGGGCTGAAGAAGCTCACAGGGCTCAGACGCTTCTTGGATCCAGCTGGTTAGTGGTGAGCTGTGCCTTCTCTCCTTCCAAACCCCCAGCTGAGCCATGGAGAATACAGGGAAGGAACACAGGCTATGAGGCACAGTGCTTGGCATATTGAGGGTCAATAAAATATCTGAAGAATTATTTTAGGGCTACCATATCACCAGTTAAGTTTTACACATGAGCCACAAAGCCATCTTCCCTACTTTTACTTGTCTACTGAGCATCAGTTTGGCAAACACTTAACAAATGCCTGTTAGGCCCAGAAGCTATTAGTTTCCAGGAATAAAGAGACAAATAAAACAGTACTTGCTGGAAAGACAAAAAAGAAAAGCATCCCATGGTTTAATGCAGGGATGGCATGTCATTTTCATTTCTTGAACTGAAATTCTTTTCCAGTGCTAATGGTCATCGGGAGCACTGCTCAGAAGGGTCCTAAGGCCTCCTCTGGTTTCTGCAGGCAAGGACGCTGTGATCAAAAGCATTTGTTTGTTCATTCATTAATTCCACAGATATTTGTTTAGTGCCTTCTATAATGTCAGACACTGTTCTGGGTGCTTGGAATTCAGCAGCAAACACAGCAGATATTCTAGTGGAAGGAGACAGACAATGAACAAACAAATAATATAATGTCAGTGGTGGTAAGTAGTAGGAAGAGAAATCAGGATAAAGGAATAGAAGGTGATGGTGAGAAAGAGAGGCCTCTCTGCTGAGGTGACATCTGAGCCAAGTCCTGGTTGAATTTTGGAGAATATCTAGGGAAGAAGATTCCAGGCAGAGGAAACAGCATGTACAGAGCCTCGAGACAGAGTGGGCTTGAGAGAAAGGCAAGGAATGTGTCCGAAGGGGAGTCAGGGAGGGGTGTTTGAATTTTCAGAGAAATTTCGCTGGAGATGTAGCTGCGGGCTGTTTATGGAGGGTCTGTGAGTCTCAGTAAGCCTTTCATACTTTAATCTACATGTGAGGAGAAGCCATTGGCGGGTTTGTGCAGAGGCAGGCATGACCATATTTTCTTATTTAAAGGGGAGATGGAGTGAAGAGGGGTAAGGCTGGAAGAAATGAAACCAGTAAGGATGCTGTCGCAGTAGGCCAGCGAGGAGGGGTGCCGGGTTGGATATGTGGAGCCGGAAGGGTTTGCTGACTGCACGTATGATTGAAAGGGGAATCTTCAGGCTTCTGGGTCTAAGAAATCGAGTGAAAGGAGATGTCACATCGTGACATGGGGAAGTTGGAGAGCAGGTAGGGGCTGGAGGAGGGGGGCATATTAGTTTGGTATTTTAGACATATTTGTTAAGCACTCCTGTTAGACACCTAGGTAGGCCTCTCATAGGCCACAGGACACAAAAGGCTGATTCCAGGGAAAGGATGCCTTTGACATCCCTGGCAAGTGCTTCTAGTTCTAGTTGATGAAGGCTAGATAATTCCTCGGACACAATTTCCAGGCTTTGCGGTTTCTCTTTTGATTGTGGAACAAATACTGGTTACCCTGTAACATTTATTCCCCATGTTTTCTGAATCGAAACCTGGCATCGATGGTTTGATAAACACCAATAGCTCAAAGTTGAAACTGATTAGAATGTCCGGATGCATTATTGCTGAATTGGCTAATTCATGCATTCTTGAGTTCATTCATTCCACAAGCATTTATTGAACACCTCCTACATACTTTGCTACTTATTAGCAAAATTGGCAGCACAGAAATAAATCTAATTAAAGCACAGCCCTCTAAGGGGGTTATTTTCCTCATTTTATTTCCTGTGGGCGCCAGAAATCCTCACTGAAATATTTGTGTAACTTCATCAGCATAAAAGATGACATAGCCCAGGCCGTTTCTCTCACTTCTTGTACCACACTCCTTTGTGCTTGGCCTGGTCAGCCACATTTCCCTCTTGCTGTTCCTCACACACACTCTTGCCCCCGATGTGTGCCCTTGATTTATCCTCCGCCTGCCAGGTTCTTCCCTAAGATATCGGTAATGCCCATTTCCTAATTTAGGTTTCTGCTTAAAAGCCACTGTGTCATGACGCCTCATCTCATCTCTGTCTCAGGTGGCCTCAATCTACTGTTACTCTCCATTCCTGGATCACGTATCACCATCTGTGCCTCCGCTCTTGCCAGTCACCCACCACCAGAATATGAGCTCCGTGAGAACAGGATCATATTGTCCTCCACTGCATCTAGGTGCTAGAATCAAAATCATTCCTGGCACATACTACGTTCTCAATAAGTAGCTGGAGAATAAATGAACAAACTTAGCAAGAGCTTTTTTTGTTTGTTTGTTCTTGTTTGAACTTGGGACTTTAGATGGTGTATTACTTTACCAGGGCTAGGTTAAAAGTCCAAGATCAATGTGCTGGCATGGTTGGTTTCTCCTGAGGCCAGCCTCCTTGGCTTGCAGAAGGCTGCCTTCTCACTGTGTTCTCATATGGCCTTTTCTCAGCACACATGCATCCCTGGTGCCTCTTTCTCTTCTTGTAAGGACAACAGTCATACAGGATAAGGGTCCCCCTCCCACTGCCATATGACCTCATTTAACCTAATTACCTCTTTAAAGATCCTATCTCCAAATCCAGTCCCATTGGGGGTTAGGGATTCAACATATGCATCTGGAGGAACACAATTCAGTCTGTACAGATGGAAAAAATGTTGCTCCTTAGAATGACGGACTTTTTACCCCGGCCTCTGCAATTAGATGAGGTTTGTATAACAGCACTTTTAAAAACAGGAGCCTATTCCCTCATGCTCAACCCAGGCCTGACCGTGCTAACAGCAGATTTTCTATGGCATCCTGTCTGCAACAGTCTTCTTTCCTGTGCCCCATATTATTCCTGGCCCTGCTGCCCTGCAGTGGGTGGTCTTCTCCTTGCCTGGGGCCCTTGGCTTGACCATGGTTGGCATTTGCCTTTGATCACTCACCTTTGGAAAGGTGGTGTGCTGCTGTGGCTACTGATAATCTCTCTGAGAAGTCTGAATCTACATTCTGGGGGTCACCAGGTTCTCCATTCGGAAATAGTGTGCTTCCTCACAGCGCAGAGAAATTGGGCTTGGTGTGAGGGTTAGATACTCTTTGATAGAAGGGGTATCTGTGTGCTCGGACTCCAAACATACAGACCTTTAATTTGGGCAATGCTCAGTGTGACTTAATTTAAGTACTTGGTGTCCAATATCATATGTGTGCTTTGCCAGACCTGCATATACAATGTCCATGAGGACATCATGGTCTAATGTGGAAGCCAGTGGGCTAAGCAGCCACATAGCACAGTCAGAAGAAGGCGTTGATAGAGGTCGCAAGGTACTGGGTGGTCAAAGGAGACACTGTCCACCCTATCTGGGAGAGGTGAGACATGGAACAAGATTCCAAATTCGTTGACACTTCTGCCAGCGAGAGGCAATATCTATGTCCACTCCCATGAATCTGGGTTAGCTTTTGACTGTGTTGAGTGATTGAGTTCTAAGGCTAAGTCACAAAAGGCATCTTGATCATTGAAATGAGATGTCTGACCTCTCTGCAGCTGTGTCACCAGCCAGGCTAGGTGTAGGCACTCAGGTCATGTGGAGAGTGGATCCTCCAGTCCCAGC
The DNA here is from genome assembly GCF_000001405.40 of Homo sapiens. NCBI lineage: Eukaryota > Metazoa > Chordata > Mammalia > Primates > Hominidae > Homo > Homo sapiens. The sequence continues at coordinate 107,492,263 of NC_000001.11, read as the reverse complement.
TGCCAGTCATGTCAATTGCCCCCAACTGAGGTGCCAGATATCACAGAGGAAAGATGAGACACCATCCTTTCTTGCTACTCACTAAGTTTTGGGGTGGTTCGTCATGCAGCAATGGTAACTGGAACAGGGCATCAAAATGAAGGCTCCTCAACCATGTCCTAAGGGATATAAGCTCACCAGATGGGTACAATGAGGAAGCACATATCAGGCCAAAGGGACAACACATGTGAAAGCATATGGGACATCAGAGTCTGATGTCTTCAGGGAAGTGCAATCACTTGCATTTAGCTGGAGCACAGGCTGGCAAGCAAGATGAGGCTGAAAAAATACGCAGGGACCAGATAATAAGGAGACTTGCATGCTTTGCAAAGGCCTCTTCATCAGGCTCGGTTACATTCAGGTTAATCTAAACTCGCTGTTGTTTCTCCACTGCTGATAATTTACTCATGCCCTGCTGACTTCTTAATGAAACCAATTGTTGGACAGTATTTGAGATGCTATCCATAATATAGAAACTAAAGAAGCTCTTTATTTCCTATGTCACTGACCACAGACTTTCAATTTCACTGTTTTAACATTTCAATCGTTGAGTGTAACAATAAAGTGTCCATTCTACTGCCCCCAAAGAAAGGGTGTGGGTGTCAGCCTCTGCAATGCTATGACTTCCAGGGGATAGAGAGGATTGGGGCTTGGAGTGGGGGTATCTGAGGGGAGAGCTAGGATTGCTCTACTTCTTGAAATTCTCTGTTCCCCCGGAACACCTCCATCACATTTTTTCTGAAGTTAGCATTTCCTTTTACTTTTAATAGGAACAAAAGCTTTTTTCTTCCTTGGAAAGGAGGATCCCCATTCTGTATTCTTGTTGAGTCAATTTTAGAAGCACCTTCTCTGTGCTGCAAGATATTGTAGTGCGTTTCCATAACGTATTTAAAGGCTCACTCCTCAAAACTGCCACATCTGGAGAGCCCTAGATAAGTCAGCAAGGACAAAGACGTGATGACTCTCTCCTGCCCCTAGTATTACAGGCAGCTATCAATTCCAGCTCATTTAGGCTGATCCAATCCCGGCACCAAAAGCCATTTCCATATTATTACACCAAACTGAAAATTACAGAGGCTGTGTATTCCTCTGCAGAGTCTCCAATTTAAGCTTGTAACTTAGCACTAGGTTAATAGTGACATACATCATTATTCTCAAGACACATTCTATCTGCAAAATTTTGTTCTCCAATTCTTCGGAAGATGTCAGCTGTGCTGCTCAGACTCTCCACTAGGCAAGCTGCACTGTTCATGTTAATGCGCTCTTACCACAGGCTTTAAAATTAATTTTTGATCATTGATTCCTTACATTAACAGCCCCTTGAGCCCTTCTAGTGGGTAGAGAAACATCACAGAGTGAGGCCACAGAGTGTGTCAGTGGGCAAACTGGAGTTAGAATGAACCAGGCTTTAATTAAGTGGGCTGTCACAGGGCCTCAGAGCATCCATTGGAAGCTACAACCATGAGCTGACAAGAAAAACGAGAATCTCATTTCTATTTTTCTTTTAGTCTGGAAGTAGCTTGTTTCCGTCAAATAATTCAAGTTAGGAAAAAACCAAATATTCAAGTTGAGAAATGATACATGCAACCCATTCAATTGCTTTGATTGCTTTATTGAATCAAGAAAGTAAACAAAAAAAGGTTTGACTATTTACCTGCTCCAAAACATTTAACTGCTCGCTCCAGAAAATCTCTAAGGTCTTGGCCAGCTGTATGATTCTATTATTTTATCATTTTTGTCAGTAAAAATTGTTGAATTTAGAGACCAGAATTTCCAATAGCTGGAATTGCTTGAGTGGGAGGATCTAGTGAAATATATGCTTTAGCCGTATTTTATGGCTAAATTGAAAATGTGTAGTTTTAACTCACAGTTCATAAATGTGAACTTCAGATGAGACACTTTCACGTACATTATCTCCTTTAATTCTCACCACAACCCTTCTGGGTAGGAATAATGATGCTCATTTTAATATTAGTTAACCTCAGGGAAGCGGAGTTTAGGGTAAACCCAGTGAGCTTCTTGTTAAACTGCAGTGAGATTTTTAATTAGTTTAAGCCAATGGTTCGCAAAGTCATGTCAGGATCAGCAGTTTTCAACCTCACCTGGGAACTTGTTGCAGATCACACCCTTTACCTCCATTTCAGACCTACTGAATCAGAAACTCTGGGGCTTGGCTCCAGCAAACTGTTTTACTACAACCCTCTAAGAGATTCTGATTCACACTCGAGGTTGAAAATGGTTAGCTCAAGGGCCAAATATTTTTTTCTTTTTTTGAGACAAAGTCTTGCTCTTTCATCCAGGCTGGAGTGCAGTGGCACGATCTTGACTCTCTGCAACCTCTCCCTCCCAGGTTCAAGTGATTCTCCTGCCTCAGCCTCCCGAGCAGCTGGGATTACAGGCACAAACCACCACGGCCAACTAATTTTTTGTATTTTTAGTAGAGACGGAGTTTCACCATATTGCCCAGGCTGGTCCTGAACTCTTGGGCTCAAGTGATCCACCCGCCTCAGCCTCCCAAAGTGCTGGGATTACAGGCGTGAGCCAGCGCGCCCAGCCGAGGGCTATATATGACGAAGATTGAGAAATGCAGACGTTTCTGTTTTAAGAAAAGCAGAAATATATCAAAATCTGACATTAGAAAAGGTAAATTGGGATATATTGATCCCATTAGAAAAGGTAAATTGGGATATATTTATCACTTTTTTAAAAAAAGAATAAACCACAAGTTTTAATTAGAAATACTCCTTAATGAATTTAAAATGAGATTCAATTTGCAAATCTTGAGTGTATATACATTTTCTCTTCAGGAACTCTCTTTATTTTAGCTCTTATTTATATTACTTAATACAGCAATAGATTTATATTACATAATTTAAGTATAATGAGGGGCACACAGTCTCAAATGTGTGTTAGACTCTTGTTCCAATCAACTAGAGCAGTGCTTAGTACATTACTAGATGCTCAACAGATGTTTGTGAATGCACATATAGAGCCTTACTAAATGCAAGGTCCTCTGTGTGTATGCATGTGTGTATGTATGTATGTGTCATGTCAGTATTAACACTGATAATCTAGTAGGAGAGATAACAAGTCACAAGATAAGTCACACATAAGAAGAACTAGCTGCTGGGTCAAATCTTTAAGCAGGAATAGAAGCAGTGAGATGAATTGGCAAGGTTTCTTGGAAAGACAGAACCTGATGTGGGATAGGGTTTTAATGGGTGAAGAGTGTTCAAAGGCATTCTAAGTTTTTAAAAAAGATCTAAATACAGTCAAGAAGATGAGAAGGGGTAGAGCATTTTCAAGGCTCATGGGTTGGGCAGGTGTCCTGGGGCCAGTGTGAAGATGGATTTTGAGTTTGAGGTGTGAAATGATAAGCTGATCCTGTAAGATTGTTAAATGGGGTGATAACAGAAATACTATCTCACGAATATTATCCTTTAAATTGATAAAATTTAAATTAATGTGAGGTTCAACACTTCAATCCAACTATAGAAATTTGGACACCTTTCACATACTGTATCTCTATTATGCAACCATATACACATATGGTTGACTCAAATTTTGCTTTGTCCATTTAATTGCTGCTATAAGTCACATTTAGCCATCTTCTTGTTGTATACATATATAACTTATCAGAAGCAATTAAGTTTCAGAAAGCAAACTACAAGTCAACTATGTGTTCATAAACTGCATTAATAGAGGTGCAGTGTATTATTTAGAATAGAGATGGTAAAAAGAAATACTTAACATGGTACCTGGCTCAAGACTTTTGATAAAGGTTGTTGATTACTAATCTTTTTATTACCATTAGTATTCTCCTGTTGTCATTGTTGCTGATGTAAGCTCCAGGTTCAGGTCATGTGTCACATTCAAAACTTTGAAAGTGTTGCATTTATTGCATTGGAGCACTTTCAGAGAAAGTTATGGCAAGACCTCTGGCTGGAAACTTCCAAAAAATCTGCAAATATGGAACAGGAGCTTGAAAATTTTATCGTGATTATCACTATCATGGAAAACTACAATTTACCAAGGAATTTCATATTCAGTAACTCATCTTGATTTTCATACTAACTCTGGGAAGTGAATACTTCTACTACTTGAATATTATTAGCCCCGTTTTAGGGGCTAATAGATGGAAAAATTAGGTGTCTAGAGCAGTGTTGTCCAACAGAAATATAATGTGAGCCACACATGTAATTCAAAAATCTCTAATAGCCACATTAGAAAAGGGAAAAAAATAGTTAAAATAAATTCTAGTAATATATTTTATTTAATCCGTGTATCTAAAATATTATCATTTTAATGTGTAACCAATATGAAAATTATGAAAGAGATAATTCACATCTTTTGTTTTTGCACTGAGACTTTGAAGTATGGTGTGTCTTTTAAATTCACAAGACTTTGGACTGACAACATTGATATGCCCAGTGGCCAGAGGTGGCTAGCAGCTATGGCAGGTGCAGGTCTACCGGACTGATTAGGAATGTAAGTCCTCACATAATTAGAGTAGTGCCCACAACTCAGGGAGCCATAAAGACAATTAGAAAGACCTTTGCTCCTGATCTAATTCTTGTAAGCTAGAACAGCCATACAAATGAAACAAACCAGTCAAAAAGGAAACGACTTTGTGCCATTCAATCCAAGTGTGTTCCTGTGTCACACATATATTATTTTCTTTCTAATAAATTTTATGAGAAGTGTGGGAAAAAATGGTTGAAGCCCTTTCTAGCAAAATGTCTGCAATAAAGAAAAATCAGAGTGGGTTGCTTCTCACCACCCTGAAAACAGAATCAGAGCTCACACTATATCAGACTTTTTCAGAAGGTAATATATAGAGACACTCACACACACAAGAGGGACTACAGATTTCCTTAGCAGCTCAGGTAGAGATAAGATTAGTATGAAATAAATAAATAACTGATTGTAGGAAAACATGTGCTTTCATTCACCTGAGTCATTATCATTCATCTCCTGACAACAATTTATTATGTAATGAGACTTTCCACAGTTGGGGTAAATCGTAATCTTAGGATTCAGAGCAGTCATTCTTATACTTTCAGGCCTTTTATAAATTTAAAAAAAGAATTTCTTTCTCTATTCAGAAAAACAATGTCATATATATAGGAAATCTTACATATAACTTTAAACACTTCACTGATAGACTCCCCACAGTGCCCTCCCCTAACCTAGTTTGAATTCTAGGTGTAGAAGTCCTGTTTTGAAGTCACTTACTCTAATGTCTTGTGTGGGGTCTACTTGGCAGCCTGAGAGCCATTGATCAGAATGCATTTAGATTTGACTGCTTTCCCAATTATGAATTGTAATTACACAGGATGTAAACATGAGTTTAAGTGGTTGTAAAGCTCTCCAATACTTGTCACGCTATTAATTTAATAAACAGAATATTTAGCTGGGGTCTTTATAATTAAGCATCAACTGACTGAAAGATTCTTGAAAACATTGTCATACTATATTTGGACACCCCCCACCTTTTTTTTTTTTTTTTCCAAAGGGAGAGAAAAAGAGACGGAGAGTAATGACACTAATCTCTTTGCCTCTAGGTGTTTATCACACCATGAAAGCCAAAACAATTACTCAGGGCTTCATGGGGTAGTCATGACTGGTAAATAGCAAAATGCGATTTCCTTGGAGAATGTTTTCCTGCAGTGCTTCACACTGGCAGAGGGAAAACCATTCCCCAACAGGAGCAGCCCTCCTTCAGAGTGCAAATACAAACGAACAAAAATGACATTATGTTCTTGCCTGCCTGGGGCAAAAAGAATCACCTATTCTTAACAGGACTTCAGGTGTGTGATTTTCTGCCATTTTCTGTCTTTTATTAGATTAAAATGACTGCCCCTTGTAAGAGCAAAGCTGTAATGTGGTACTATCAGGGCGGCTGGAGGATACAGCTGTGGTACTTTATGTCTTCAAGACAACTTGACACATTCTTGCCATGCAGGAATTTCAGAATCTATTCAGACAGATGTAGGAGGGGTAGTAATTATTTTTTCTCTTTCCAGTCATTTTTCCCCATAGAATTCACAGTTCACTAATTTAATAATAGTTAAAAGTAATGCCTTTGAAAAAATGGGACTAAGTTAAGAAAATGAAGATTGTTTTTACTTCCAATCCTCTGCAGTTTGCTTCAGCCAGGCAAGCTAAATCTTTAGTGTTAACATAATTAGATTTTGCAGAATAATGGCCCATTTTACCAGCTATCATTTTAGGTTAATAAAAACAGCACATAATTTTAAATGTTACTACTCCATTTTAATTCATCCTTCAATGAAAAACAGCTTTTGGGTGATGAGAGAAGGCAGAGGGGGATTCCAGCACTTAATAAATGCTCAATTAGGTAACTCTAAACAACCCCCCCTAACATCATTTAGGTCTTCTTGCTAGACTTGTTTCAAGGCCTACTCTAAAAATGTGTTAGGGACAGAACTTTTCTGCCATAGCAGATCTCAAGTAACTGCATTTTATTCATTATCATTATGAGTTTTTCACAGATGTTATTTTCTCATTTCTAGTTCAATGCAATAATATGATTTATACAAGCGATAGGTGTGTTTCTTAGTTATTTGATATTTCAGATGCAAAATGAAGATAATAATATGTGAGTCACACCTCACCAGGTGTTGAGAAGAGTAAAAGTTCACTATGTTCCCAAGATTACTGGTGAAAATTCAAAACATGATAGTTGGCATTCTTAATTCTTTCTGACATATTATGTTTATGTGCAGTTTATTCTGGGAATTTGTTGGCATCTGTTTTAGGTAGCTAAAGGAGAAAGCTACTTTTAGTGTAAGAAAGTAAAAACATAAAGTATAAAATCGTTCTATATGGAAATGGTCAGAACTGACAGAATATTTACGTCAGATGAACATTTGATGTTTCTTAGAGATAAAATTGATTAGAATTTAATCCTTATTTCCTGAGGCAAAGAAAGAATTGTGCATGGCCAGATACTTAAATCAAAACCTTGAGAGTGTCCCTTACCTGTATTTTCATTCCTCTATATTATTAAAACTTTCCAACTGGACTTTCTTTAAAAAACAAACAAACAAAAAAACAAAATAAAAAACTTGGAGTTTTACCTGGTGGCTCGTACTGTTCTCTGATACAGCTTAGCCACTGCCACCTTGCCATCCTTCTCAATTAAGGTCGGGAGTAGGAAAGGTAGGTAAGGAATTCTAGTTCAGATTCGGGAAGCTGAGCTCCGAGTTGCACCAGATCAAAAATACCTACAGTGTTTTCACATTACAAATATATAGAAAATGCAGTTCCCACATATCTTGGTCAATCCTGTGAGCAGAGAATCTGTTAAACAGGTATTTTATTTAGTGTTTAACAACCGGTAAAGTACAACAACCCATTTCCCATATAGTACAGAGCATCCCATTTCAGAATGCTGGGTCTTTACATCCCAATCATACTGGATTATTGATGGTAGAGGGTGAAGGAGATGGAACAAAATATTCGATGTCAAGATTTCCTCACAGTTGTTCCCCCAGTGCATCCAAAATTTCTTATACTCCAGTCAGACCACAGGTCCAAGAGAAGGTGAGGGGAGCATTAACTACAGGGCCAGCTGAACTGTGGAGCAGACGCCTTCTTCCAACCTGGACCTTTCTTTGTGTTATGTGGTTAGCAGTTTGTGCCAACTTAGGGATCTGACTCAAGGGCACCTCAGGCAGATCGACCCCAAATGTCTGCAGGATCTTGTGCAAAAGTACCAATGGAGGACCCCATGCCACATGTCTAAGTATTTAAAAGTCATACATAAAGCTAACAAACTGTTAAATTATCTTCCATCCTGCCACTTTGACACATGATGCTTTCATAACCCTTGGAAGCCCAGGTATAGATTTAGAATTCTTAGACTGTTCAGTGTTCTGTACTGGCCCCCAGCCTCGTGGTAGCCCTTGTCTATCTCCTTCCTACCCCTCATCCCTTTATTTTTCAGCCCTGGACTCTTGTTTTCATGGCAAGTGGCTTCTCCTTGCTTGTGTGTAAATTCCACAGTGAACACTCCAGGCCCCAGGGCCTAATCCATCCACACAGATGCACCCTTTGCCACTCCCTGTGCCCAGGTATATGCACTCAGGATGTTGCTTGCCTCCAGGAGTTTAAACCCCCAGAGGGGGCCTACATTTGGCCTAAAAGTGTGCGTGTGGGGGGCGGTTATCTGAGTAGGAAACTCTAGGTTCCTGATATCTGGGAGAAAGCTGGAGGAGAGTCAGAATGGGTCTCTCTAAGCAAGGTCCCCTCTTTGCTGGACTAAATTCTTCCCCTAGGCTGTGTACAGGGTCAGAAATAAATAACCCTCAAATCACAGCAGGGCATGTCCATTATCTTCCTATAAATAGCAAATCTTTCTAGATAGCTGAACCTTTGTCCCATTTTTTGAAATGTTATGCCCATCAATATTATTGATAGAAGGAATTATATCAGTTCTATGTGGGAAAGTTGATAGATTAACTCATATGCAAGACTACATTAAGCCACTTTAAGGGATTTATCAAAGGGAAAAAATACCAAGAATTAGGACCTCAAATATATGAACAACTGAGTACCCGCTTTTCACCCCAGTCCTGTTCTTAGGGCACAACATTGTAGATGAAACCAGCTTTGTAAGAATGCTGGAAAGTAACAGATGAATCAAGTCCACTGAGTTGAGGTTTCCTCAGAGGAGTAGCTCCTTTAGAAGAACTTGAGAATCCAGATTTAAAAAGAACATTTCATTTCCATTTGTTGTACACCTAAAAGTGAATTTTTATTAAAAGCAGATCACATCGCTTCAGGAAATTCAGAAAACTATATCTAAATACACGGAATGAAAGATATTCCTCATCAATTTAGATTCTTATGGCCTCATAAAGATAAAATGCAGATGAATCAGTTTAAATCAGGCCTTCATTAAATTTTAGAATTAGCTTTTGGAATCCCAACTATTGAAGTGTGCAGTGTCTGATTCCTGAGCGTTGCGACAAAGCCATGAGCAGATAACGATAAAGTGCATCTTTGCCAGAAATAACATGGGCTGCCTTTGGTTTGTGCTAATAAACTATAAGACAACTTAAACTCTAATTTTAATATCAGAAATCCACCTCATTATAAATAATCTCAAACTCCCTATGTTATCAGCATTTTCATGTGTTTCTTTGGTGAGCCTGAAATATAATTTTCTATTTATGCTTCCAACGTAAATCTCCAATTTCTGGTTGGCCACTCTGGCACTAAGCCTAAGCTCTAATTTATTTCCATCTTTCCTTATTTCTTACATCAAAAGAGACTGTTGGTTTGAATAACAAACATTCAATAGACTTAGACGTGGGGTGGCAGGCAGCACAGGCATTACCTGTTTACCTTTTATTGCCTTCTTCGAATTGGCTTTTCTGGGAACAAAACCAATAAGACATGCTGTTCCTTCATCTAGTTTTTACCCAGGTTATTTATCAGGAGACATTCCTCCCCCCTTCCCTGTTTCAGCAAGGAGTGGCAGCAGGGTGAAGAATTCAGACTGGAACTAGGTTTCTGACCTTACACTATCATAGGTTATTGTTCTACCAAGTCATGTAGAATTTCATTGTCCTTAAGACTCTGGTTCGGGCTGATAATTGTTTTTGATTCCAGGAGATGCTGCTGCTAATACACTTGTAATCTGTAGGACAACAGTGTGCTGGGAACGAAATGCACACTGTCTTAGCCTCTTTGAAACTTTGCAAAGGTTCTTCCCCACCTGCCTCCCCTTGCTGTCTTGCACAGTAATTGGCCTAATAAAAGGCAGAAACAAGAATTTATTACACCTTGGGCAGCACTTAAAACAAACTTTATTCTCAGGAACAGCAGTTATGTCTACTTGCTGCTTTATATTTTGATATTTCCTCTAAATACTTAAGTCTGAATATATTCAAAGTCAAATTGCAAATCACTCAATTTCCCTGCTCCCTTCCTGGTTCCCCAGGTTGCGTCTTGTGATACTCCATGTAAACACTGTATTTGGAAAGATACATAGATCAGCATCCCTAGAGTCACATGATCACCATCAATCTGTGAAAATAGCATGACTTAAAAATAAAAGTCTCTTAGTACTCTGCCAACAGGCTTTGGCATAATCTTGGCAATCACTTAGATTTTTTTTTTTTTTTTTTTTTTTTTTTGCTGTTGTAATTTTTCCCAAGTGGAAATAGTCTCATATTTTGCAGAAGTTGTCCAAGCTAGTGAACATCAATCCATCTTCCTGGGAACTAAATTCGTCAGCTGAATGTACTCAGTCCACACAGAAATCAGTAAAGTGAGTGTGAAACTGCTTGGTGGCTGTTCCTTTCATCTTAAGAAATTGCAATACAAATTCCTGAAATCGTTTATGCAGGAGTTTTTATTCTTTAAATCTTCCAGTGTTAAAGCAACAAGAAAACATTTAGAATGTCCTTTGGTGGAATCTTATTACACTTGTTATATATGTAAACTGATATTCTTTGATGCCAGCACGTTCGTTGCCCTTACAGAGAAATCTCTGCACAGTGAAACAAAACAGAACGAAAGAGGACAAAATAAAATGTCAGTCTTTGCTGATTCGAATTAGATACATTAACAGATTGTCTGGTAACACAAATTGGCAATAATACAAAAAATCTACATATTACAGTAGTTCAAGAAAAATAACTTCATTTGAATACAAAAGGATAGATACACTTTCTTTTTTCCTATAGCCACTCTTGTATAGTGGGTGTGTGCTCGCACTGGACTCAGTGCTGCTAAGATATACAGGGGTATGACTGGCTTGCGCTTTTAGAGGGGGCTGTTACACATGTGCATCACTAACATCAGACAAAGAAATCTTTCAACCAACAAGGGTTACAGAGCAACGTTCACTAAAGCACAGGTTGGAAGGGATTCAGGGACGGAAGCAGGCCAATATGGCAGCTTGTAACAGATTTCCTTATGCCCACAATGCACCTGACAGCAAAGAATGCTATTTGGTTGGTCCACACACTGGGCGGAGTCGTACTAGGGCGCACCACGCTAGAGTAGCCAATGTTTTTAGGTCGGTTGATTTGTTTGTTTTTTGTCTTTCCTGTTTGGGGGGCTGTCGCAGCCTTTCCAATCCACAATATGCTCTGCAGCTGGCAATGTGATTTGCAGTGATAATATCAACAGCTGCCAACTCCTCTGGAGTCAGAAATTAACAGTCTTGACTCGGATGTGCTGTCCACGGGTGATAAATATGGCTTAGTTCAGTTAGGCCTTCTTAGTTTGTACACTGTCTGAGTGGGGGTGTCTGTATGTGTGTGTTTCCTATGTTAGTAGCAAATGTTTGGGTTGTGTCTGCTTCCCCACGGCACAGGCCCGTCCGGTGTGGCTGGAGGTGACACCTAGAACACCAGGGGGCTGGCGGTTCCCAGCAGCGTGGTCAGCAGCAGCAGCGCTGGGGAGCCGTGCGGGGGCGCGCCCTGGCCAGAGTCGGAGCCGCAGCTGCCAGCCTCCTCGCACCGCAGCTTCTCGCAGAGGATGCCCGTGTATGCGGCCGGGCACAGGCAGCGCACGTTGTTGTGGCACGTCCCTCCGTTCTGGCAGTGCAGGAGCTCGTTGTCGCAGACATTCGCTGCAGAATGAGGGGGAAGGTAGGGGTGGGTGGGCGCGGGGAGGAGAAGCAGAATCAATTGAAGTTCATCTGGTACATCATGTTTTCAGCCTAAAAAAAAAATCTCTATCGATCTTTGTGCTCCCCCCTCCCCTCCACAAACGAAGCCCGTGACTCCAATTTCCAAACAAATGTAGTTTTCTGCCTTTGTTTTTATCATATTAGTCCTTTTCATATAGATTTTTGCTGCAATCTTGGATGTTATCATTGTCCATTTCAGGCTATAGAATACAAAGTAATGCAATAGTCCTAGTTTGGCAGTATCTTTTCTTCATGGAACTGGGACCTGTTGTGATCTTTTGGGTTTTTAAAGGACAAGTGCCCGATGCAAGAGTGCAGATCTTTGAAGCCAGATGAATGGTATTTAAAATGCAAAGCGGTATTGCTAAAATGACCAAAAACCTCTAAGGGGTGGGCCATTCTCTCGGTGCGTGATTCCAGCGCTGCATGCATGAAGACAGAACCCACCGGGAGGCATGGGGATGAGGAGGGGTGGGGACACGGGGAAAGTAGCATGCTCCAGGCAGGCGGCAGCCAGATGGGAAGAGAGAAAGCTTGTTTCATGGGAGGAGTGTGAGGAAAAGCAGTCACATTCGTCCCTGACAGCCTATTAAGGATTTTTATCACCTTGTAAATATGGGAAGTATAGCCCAAGGTTACCTTGATTTCCGGGAATAGTAATAAATGCGATGGTGAAACCCTGATTACCAAAATTTCATTATGTCCATCAATTAATGGAATCAGTTTGAATAAATCAAGACAAGCAACTTCAGAGACTAGAATTCATTCACAGACCCTGTCATGTAACTTTCACCTCTAATAATTTCTTATTTCTTCAAAATTCTGACTAACCTCATTAATTCCATGTCTCCTATTCTTTTAGATAATCACTGTTTCACTGATTTAGCAGAATGTTAACTAGAACCCAGGGAAATTAAAACAACAACAAAGAGTAAAAGAGCCAAGAACATTTCCCAAGCAACATATGCTGCTTAAGCATTTAATATATAGAACCCCTCTGGAATGGGAGGTGGGGAACAGAGCAGAAAAAGTAGCTTTTTATAAATTGTAACATTTTCCATTTTTAAAAATGTCATGGTGAAATTTCCCCAGGGATGCCACATGAGTTCAACACACTACACACTCATATACACATACCCAATATTACTATTAAGTGCAAAGTATTAAAAGAAAACAACTCTACCCTCCAAGTAGTAACTCAATAGAGAATGTTGCCTTGTCCACTAATTATGTTCAACAGTCATGTCAGCTTCAAAAGAAGCTTCTTACACACAAACATGCCAGTGCTTTGTGTGTCAATGAGCTTAGGAAAGATGGTGGTGGATACCCACATGGTTAATAACAGAGTGCCCTAAATAGACCACTGTTTTACTGCCTTCCTCAACATTTCCTTGGTGACCTCTAACACGGTTGCGTAGTGTATTGGCATAATTTTCAAATGTATCCACGTTTGCTATCTGTAAATGTCAGAAGTGACTATTAAGGCCTACTAAATCCTTCAGGCTCCAAATATTGATATGCAAGGCAGTGTTCCATGGTTTCTAATGATTATATAAGCTACCTCTTATTGAGTGGCTTAGAAATCATAATATTAGAACCACATTATTTTATGAGTCATGGTTAAAAATGTCAAGATCTGTAGCTGTGAAGCAAAGTCCACATGTAGGGTGGTTAGCCTCATGGTCAAAACTGACAAAAGCTCTTGTTTTTTGGCTTTAGTTAATTTGGAAAGCATATGTAGGTTTTCAGGATTTTATTTTGCTTGCACTTGAAGAAATATGTTTAATTGGGGCAACATGGAATAAACAGATCCAGATAACTGTTTTCAGCTAAAGTTGAAGATCCTCAGCATTTCTTGTTCCAGGCAGCAGAATGCTGAATGGGATATTTCCTTTCATTTGGGCACTAGAGGTAGGGAAATATCTGTTCCATCAATATCGATAATTGCTTGCCTTGAATAATTGAGAAGAAATCAATAGTTAATTACATATCACTCCCCTTTAGAAAAAAAAAGCTATTTTTCTTCTTCTTGGATGTGAATATAAATCAGCTGTTGAACAGAGGTTTCTTTTTTCAAGAAGCTGGTGATTAAGTTAAAATTCAATATTTTTCCTGCATTTAAGTAATTACTAGTTGATTTTAATAGTTGTGAGAAATTTAATAAATATACTAGGAACAGATATAGCCCAGAATTAGTAATCTCATGGATTGGCAGGATATATTTTCTGTAGGAGATCAATAGAGAAAAATAAAACCTATAATATATTTCATTATTTAGAATTCACTATAAAACATATTACATTTGGTCTCTTGATTGTGTTAGTCCTCCAACAAATACAGAACTTTACCATACATACAGTGCCCTCTAACTGTTGGAATCATGGGCTAGAAGCACATCTAACCTAATTATGGATCTTACCTGATATTCATAATCATGCTCCATCTTCATGTCATTTTGAACCAAAATTGTGGTAGCTAATAAACAAGCTAGGTGGTTAACAAATATCACTGAGCTCTTCTTCAGTGTGCTCAACCTTGCACTTAACCCCGCAAAGAAAATAAAAGAAATATAAAGGATGATTTCTGCTCTTATGAAGTTTAAATCTGGCTGGGATGATAAAATATCTATAAGAAATGATCTAATATTAATGTCATTAAAATGCCCTTATCAATTCCATTGAGCTTAACCAATATCTGTTGTATGCCAGGCACCCTGCTATATTTTATGGTTGTAACTAACTGTCCTAAAGGAGTACCTGGTTTGGCAGAAAATAAATGGAAAATAAACACACAAACACATATTATGATATAGTATAAAAAAAATCTACAAAAAACGTATTTACAAATTACTGGGGAAACTCACATGATAGTATAAATAATTACTTTTGGGAAGATTAAGGGAGATTATAAAAAAGAGATTGTATTTGAGCAAAGGCATTCATCAGGCAGATACTTGTAGAAAAGCCATTATAAATGGGGAAACTGCATCAGTAAAGACAAGGAGATGTGAAAGTGTACTGTATTGGTTATTAAGCAATTGTCTTTTAACTCTAAATCCACCCTTCTGATGTTGAGGCCAGAACTCTGCAAGTTGTCTGCTGGATCCCACCAACAGGGGGCACTAGAGGGAGCAGAGAAAGTAGGAGGCATGGAAGATCCTGTTTCCTTGACTCTGTTTGATGGTGCTCTAACAGTACTGCCCAGCAACGGCCCTTCACATCAACAGCAACATGTGGTTCCAGTGTTGAGCTTTATTCATAACCAGCTTCATCACACCGTTAGAGGTTCCTACACCAGCCTGGTGGCACTCCTTCCCTAGAGGTTTAAGCCTCAGCTCCAAGGAGGCTCTACTCAGCATTTCAGAGGCAGCTGCAGCAGCCAGCCATTACCCCACCTTAGAGGTGCAGGTTTCAGCTCTGTGGGGGTCCCTTTTATCCAAACTTTTACTTTCTGATAACTCAATCCTCTTTCCTGTAATCCCTCAGTCCCAGAGTGATAGATGGTTCCTGCTTACTTAACACAGGAATTACTTCAGTATCCTGTTCTCACTTTAAAATTTCAAATACTTTTTAAACCATTTCTTTTAATAAATTCTCTCTGTTGAAATACCTAGAAATGGTTTCAGTTTTCTGCCTGAAGCCCAACTGAAAGACACATTAGTGAATGATGCATGGACTGCTATGGCTGGAATGATGGATGCACAAAGGGAAAGGCAAATGTGACCTGGTTGTGAAGGTGCCACAGTGGAGTTTAGTAATAAGGAATGGAAAGCTGTCAAAGACTTAGAAGGAGGGTGGTGTTTAAAGGAGAAGAGGAAGGTGAATCTAGACCAGAAAAACGGCAGACTGGAGGTAAGGAGACCATACTCAAATAGAATGGACTTGGACGAGGTTAGAACAATGGTGAAGGGAAGGAGGGAAAAGATTTGGAGACAGGTTATGTGAATGGATAAGAGAGAGTCTAAGCTTCCTGTTTGGGGTATTTAGATGCATAATAAAGAAATTTATTGAGAAAAGAAGATAAGAGGAAGAGTTTGGTCAGGAGAGAGAGAAATGTTTTTTGGACCTATTGACTTTTAGAACTGTCAAGGTTCTTCTGCAGCTGTTTTGTTATTAGTTGGAAAACTATTTAATGGAACAGGAGATAGGTCATCCTGGAGACACAAATTTGGAGCTGGGGTGGTGGTGGTCGTTGTTGCAAAAGATGAATCAAAAAGAGTAGAAGACTTCATCCTAGAAGAATATAGACCAAGTAAAAATGAGGACTACAGATAGAAAACTGAAGAACATCAGCATTTAGGCCATTGGAAGAGAAAGACCATAAAGGATGCTGAGAAGAAAACAATGTCAGAAAAATGCAGTGATCCTATGAAGGTATGAAATTAACCGCAGAAGTCTTCCTGATGTGAATGACTGTATCTATGAATCGACAAACTGGAAAAGTGTGACAGTAAGGGCACTTTGAGTTGGACAAATGAAATATGCAAAATAAACATTGCATGTTCTTGATTGACTCTGTCATAAGGGGTTCTTGAATAATTGGAAAAAGGATTGAAAAATTTTGAAGAATTAACATTTAATGGATGTCTTTGGATGTCAGTCTAAAGTAGTGGTTCTCAACGCTGGATGATTTTGCTCCCATGGGTATTTGACAATGTCTGGAGACATTTTTTTTGGTTGTCACAAGTGGGTAGGGAGGGCACACTACTGGCCACTGATGTGTATAGCGAGGCCAGGAATGTTGCTAACATCCTGCAGTATACAGAACAACCCCCCACAACAAAGAATTACTTCTCAATTAATGTAAAAGATAAAACGATAAGGCCTGGGTCAGGGCATCAGTCATAGCAATGAAGAAGGGCAGTTGTCCCTGATATATTTTGGGGAAGGTACAATAAAGAAACTTTGTCATTTCTAGATCAGGAAGATAGTAAGTTTTCAGGTGCTGAGCTGTGGGAATTAGAGGTGACTAAGTACTTGAATTGGAAATGTAAGAGTGGATTATCTTCTTCAGGGAGTAAATATAGGAGACTGGGATCTAAGACAGACCCTTTAGTACTGTTCACAATGAAAGGGTGAGAGGAACAAAAAGCACCCCTGCTATGTAATTTGCTTGCATAGAAGCAGTAAAATCAGAGCTTGCAGGAAACTTTAGAAACCATCTAGATGAGCTGTAGATAAGGAAGCTGTAGATAAGCAATTGAGAGTAGAACTGGGACTAGAATCCAGGTCTCCCAATTTATAGATTACTGCTCTTCACATAGAAAAGAACAATCAGGAGAAATGTGGTAAATAATATTGCACAGTGCCACATTCCATGCTCCTCAAAACATAGCTGACTTTCCCACTTACCAGGGAGACATGAACTCTTCTATAGATAGTCAGTAGATTTGCAGCTGTATTGACTAAGTGCTCTGCTTTCATATCACACTTTGACTAGGCAGAGGTCTTTGTTGATAGTATCAATTGTTACTCATCCTAGGGTTTTACCACATTTTGGTAGAGCTCCAAGTACAAATCAGCTCATACAGAAAATAAACCAGAAATGCCAATGTCTAGGCTGAAAATGGCAAATATGTCTGCATTTACACTGTCATTTCCTCTTCCCCTGTACATAGGAGACTGCTATGTACAGAACGTGTGTTCTCTCTAAAACTCATGTTGAAATTTATTTGCCACTGTAACAGTATTAAGAAGTGGGACCTTTAAGAAGTGTTTAGCTCATAAGGGCTCCACCTTCATGAATGGACTAATGCTGTTATTTTGGGAGAGGGTTTGTTATCATGGGGTGGGCTGACCCTTTCTTTTCCTCTTTCTCTCTCTGCCCTTCAATCATGTGATGCCTTCTGCCATGTTATGGTGCAACAAGAAGGCCATTACAAGATGTGAGCCCCTTGATCTTGGGCTTGTCAGCCTCCAGAATTGTGAGTTGATAAACTTCTATTCATTATAAATTACCCAGTGTGTGGTATTCTGTTATAGTGCATAAAATGGAATAAGTCAGAAATACAGCTAGTTAATCATGGGACTCTCTTGCACTGAACTTCAAATGCTTCTCAACACAAGTTTCCAGGCATCCACCATGAGTTGATAGTACTGGCATGAGGATAAACACCCATTTACAATCCTGGCATTATCTCACATAATCCTGCATATAGTTGCAAATTAAAGATCCAAGTGAAAATTTCTACCCAACAGGCATCTTTCAGTGATCACACTTTTTACTTGGTGCCCTGCTCTGTGGGTTTACCTCAGACTGAAAACTCTAAACTTATTCTGTGGGTGTATTCATTTTAAGCATGTCCCAACTCTCTCTTTATTGTTATTGACAGTCTTAGAGTGTCCTATGTCAGTAAACAGAAAGGTTCATTTTAAAATCCTTATACAACACTTGATCCAGTGCTGGATGCAAATAGTTATTTGCTAGACAGATTTCTTTTTGTGATAGTAAAATATGATCCTTAGATACCAGAAAAACTAATACTGCTTTGGTAATAGCTTGACTGTATTCTAAAGGATTCCTTTTCGTATTGATAAATATAATTCATTTATGGAGTATCCAATATCACATACTATAATCCTCTGATGTTTTGATATTAGGAATGATTTCAAATGGAGTGACCAAGATAATTTGTGGAATTTGACAGATAAGGTTAGAGTATTAATGTTAGATTCAAACAGAGTTACGTGGCCAAAAGATGAAGTGTGGAAACCTGGTGGAAAAGCTGAAGTCAGCAAGGTGTTGTAACAGCTCTGATCATAGCTTTAGCAAGCAAGCCACAAGGTAGATAAACAAGCTCTCACAATTGCCATGAGTTTACAAAAACATTTAGAATTTCCACAGTGAAAGAACTGATCAAGCAGCATTTCTTCCTCTCTTACTTCTATCTATTTTTCTTGCACCATCTTGGATGAGGAGCGACACAGGGATATAGCTAAATTATTTAATTCTTTCATTTTTTTGGTGGGTTTCTTGATTGTCACATACATTTCCTCTTCTCAAACTGCAATCTACTGTCAAATGTGACTTACGAGACCTTGATTCCTTTCCCCTCTATGAGTTCTTTCTGGAAGGTATGGAAAAACTGACCACAGATGGACTCCTTATGCTCAGAGGGTATTAGCCAGGACTTGGTGTTGCCACTTGTTCTATTCTTTTATCTTTTATGAGCTGAGGGGTCACTTGTTCCCCTAAGGTCATGATGATCCATTCCACTACCAAAGGGAAGTTTTCTTTTCTCTGGGTTTTGTTCAACGTTATACATTTAGGTTCATGCTGTCAGTGAGCTGCTATGCTTGAGCAATGCTGGGTCTGTATTTATAGACTTGAAAGTTTCTCTTTTTGGCTTTGTCTCCTGCACTTCAAGGAATCAATGTAATGCGTTACCATGACAGCTTTTCTTGATGGTTGTATTAATAAAGTGACCTCTACCTTTACCACCTGAAACAAGCCCAGGATTGCTGAGAGAAAGATGTTCCAAATTGTTCCCGTCCTTTTCAAAGAAACATCAAAGAGTGAATAACCTCCACCAAACAGGCTAATAACAAAGGTATGTGGGCTACATTCAGGTCTGATTTAGGCATTCGAGACTGTGTGGCAGGGAGTTGAAGAGCTGTGATTATGACCCATTTATACAGCTTTTGCAGCTGTTTTGCTAAGTTGTGATATGTGAGATGGAAAACTGAACCTACAGGTTAGCTCCTGGGCCATGGAAGAAACTTTATAGATTGTTATCTAATCACTTTTTGTTGTTGTGGTTGGAATTCTAGGTACACTAACTGCAATCCATCCCCGCCCCACAAAAAAACAAAACAAAACAAAAAAAAACCTTTTTTCTTCCCCGACCTTATGGTCTGGTCTGGTCTGGCCATGAGGGGTAGTATGGTGCAAAGGGAAAACACATTGGCTGAGCGTCATAAAACTGGAAAACCTGAGATCTGGGTCTCACTAGTCATCCATTTACGACAAGGCCTTGGACATACTATGCAACTATTTAGTGACACTCATCCATGCGTTTGTCCAACATCCACCCAGGCACTGCTCTGGATGGTGGCCATATTTTGGTAAGCCAGACCCACAGTGGAGCTGCACATGAGGGGCTTGTATTCTAGTTGCAGCTGTAAAGTTAGGCTACAGGTTACAGGTTTGAAGTCGGTATTTCTAAAGTTTTCTCAAGTTTTATGATTTGCATGAATATTTTTAATGGAAAGCCTATCATTTTGAAGGCAAAGTGTTAGAAATCCCTCCCCTTCTTGACCAAATATATGATGATGGATGGTCTTGTGTAATAGAGTCCTTGGTGATGACTTAGGTGACTGTTTCTGTTTGATCTGTTTTGGTTCAGTCTTATCTGCTGCCCCATGGAACAGGGATAGTTTTTTCCCTCATACGCACTAAAAGCATGAGGTAGTATAAAGAGAATTAGGCTCAGATTCTGTGATTCAAGTCTCATCCCTGTAGTTAATGGGCTGAGTGAACTTGGGGAAATCACTTAACCTCTTTGTGCCTTTCTTCACTTCACAAGCAGGATAATAACACTTGTCCTATTTACCCACCTAATAGTTGTTGGTAGCCTCAAGATGAATTATGTGGAGGTGCTCTAAAAAAATATAAAACACAACCTAAGTATACTTTGTTAAAGTTCAATTTCTTCCTCAATCCACCCAGTGCTAGAAGCTCAGGATGGAAGAATGAGGTGCTAATTCCTATCTCTGCCAGAATAATGAATTAAACACTACTTATCCAATCCAAGCTACTTGAAGTATAAAAGGAAGCAAATGTCCTTCCTCAAAGACAGCATCTGTGCATGTCTTCTGCTAGTATGAAACTTGAGCAAGCATGGGGTCAAAACATGCAATTCTCAAATATTTGTATTCAACTACTGCATATTCTACAAAGCCTTGCAAGGTCACCTTAGGGTGGCAGTGCCCATTTTCTCAAAGACGACTTCTATATTCTCATTCAATGTGCACTCTCCTGTATCAATCAGAGCACATAAATAAGCTGTGTTTCCAGAGTAGCAGGGAGGGGCTGAGCTGGAGACCCTCAACCTGCATCTACTGCTCCATAGCCCACCTTTTGTCTTTTGCAATGTTGATGGTGTAGGGGGCCAGGGGAGGTACGGATGCAAACAACAGACTGAAACCTGGTAGACTCATGTGAAAATGCCCTTGCTTTCCTGCTTTTAATTTACACTCAAGTTTGTCTGTATGCATCTGAAGACAGTGGTACTTCGGTGGCGAGACTCTGTGTGACAGCATCCGACCTACTTGGTTTCAGCATAATGAACCCAAGGGTCAGAGCTGAAGTTGCTATAGGGAACAATGTGGAAGCTGTTGGCTGGGTGGTTGGACACATGTAGGTAATCAAGGACTGCAAGTTCTGACCCTAGGGAGTAGCCATTCTATTCTTACTCATCTAATATTAAAGCACCTGTTATGAGAGTGACACTTTCTTTTGCCAAACCATAGAAAAAACTGCTTAAAACACCATTAAAGAGCCTCACTCATTTAGAAGGAGACCATTCTGCAGTTCACAGTATCCTGGCTAGCATGAAAGAGGTGACAGGTGACTCTGATGCAGGAGCAGGAGGCCCTGCCCAAACATCCCTAAAATTTTTGGCCTTTGCAACCTGAAAAAAAGCCTTTGCTGATATCGAGAAAGAATTAATTTACTGAGAATCCTACAAGCTGAAGGCTGGGCACCTCTCCCAAAGTGATCATTAATGATGTATTGAAATCCTATTTAGGTCAACACCTTCAGACACAGACACAGACAAGGTTCTCATAAAAATGGTGCTGAGAAGTCACAGACTTTCTCATCAGGTATCAGAAAATGCACTTGTCTAGTTTAATAAGAGTTGCAACCTCTACTCTTAGCTGAAGGTGAAAGATGGAATTCATGGGGAGGCATATTCACACAAAATGGCAACACATATCAGGGTAAAAATCATCGTTTCAAAGTACATGGCATTGTGCCAGGATGAAAGGCAGATACAAAATGTTTATCCAGCATAATCTCCATAAGTACAGACATGTAACTCTACACATACCTGTGTAATATAAACCTTAGCAAAAATACTACAATCAATTGTACCAAAATGTGAACAGTGTTTATTTATAGCTGGTAGGAGTGCAATAAACTTTAGTAATTTTAATTTTCATCTTTATACTTTTCACTCTTTCCAAATTGCCTAGAATATAGTCCTTTGGTGATATTAAAAATGTTAATAAAATAAATTGCTGGGTTTTTTTTAGAAATATGTGTCTTTTACTTAGATAATAAAGGTAATTCAGTTAAGAAATGAATTATGTAATCACATTTTATCAAATTTCAGTATTTGTGTTACTAATACATATTTCTAGTAGGACTACCAATTATCTCAGAAAAGGCATGAGTTTCTACACAATCCCATAACCATGAAGGGGTCTTAGACTTGATTCCTTGGCTTGCCAATGACTCCACAGCCTCAGATGTGAATGGAACCATCAGAGCTTCCTGAGCTAAAGGGATCTGCAACCCAACGGATGACCATCTTGTTGGTAATTAGTAGAGACTGGTGCTAAATGAGTGGACATTTTTACATTTGTAGATTGAGCCACAGTGACAGTTGGCTGAATATCTCACCACCTTTCTAGTAGAGGGGATCAAAGTTGAATTTAAACTAATTAAAAAAAAAAACTATTTCTGCCCTTGTACGTACCTGCACTACATCTTTTACCTGTTTATTGTTGCTGTCATTAGTATTCAGCACTGTCCCTGGCATGGAATAGATGCTAAATAAATAATAAACAAATAAGCTAGGCGTGGTGGCTCACGCCTGTAATCCCAGCACTTTGAGAGGCCGAGGCAGGAGGGTCACTTGAGCTCAGGAGTTCAAGACCAGCCAACATGGTCGAACCCAGGCTCTATTAAAAATACCAAAAAATTAGCTGGGCATGGTGGGGAGGTTGAAGCAGGAGAATTGCTTGAACCTGGGAGACGGAGGTTGCATTGAGTTGACATTGTGCCACTGCACTCCAGCCTGGGAGACAGAGAGAGACTCTGACTCAAAAAATACAATACAATAAAATAAGATAAAATAAAATAAATAAAATTTTGTTGTATGCCTGTTTCCGAATGGTGGATGTCTGTCTATTATTAGTAGCTAGCTAGCTGAAAGGGAAAATTATTTGGCAGGGAATGGGAGAGGGAGCTAACTAACACATGGAAAACTTGCTGAGCAGCTTTGACTTGCCAACTCAGGTTGGATACCATGATTGTCAAAGATTCCCATACACATGGTTTGATAATGGAAGCATGAACAGGAAGAGAATGGTGACTTGTATTAAGTCATTCTTCATGAAACAATATACACTTGGGGAAAAGATGGAAGAGAGGAGAAGCAGCAAGGATGATTGCTTTGAAATAAAAGATCAGGAACGCTCCTTTCGTTGTTTTTTTTTTTTTTTTTTGAAATGGAGTTTTGATCCTGTCACCCAGGCTGGAGTGCAGTGGCATGATAATGGCTCACTGCAACCTCCGCCTCCCGGGATTCAAGCGATTCTCCTGCTTCAGCCTCCTGAGTAGCTGGGATTATAGGCGCGCGCCACCACTCCTAGCTAATTTTTGTAGTTTTAGTAGAGACAGGGTTTCACCATGTTGGTCAGGCTGGTCTCAAACTCCTGACCTCATGATCCGCCCACCTTGGCCTCCCAAAGTGCTGGGATTACAGGCGTGAGCCACCACACCCGGCCTTCCTATCATTTTTCATTAAGCAAAATGTATTAGCTCTTATTATAATCTGGGCATTGCTAGCAACACAAAGGTGAAAACAACATGGCCCTGAAGACCTGAAGGATCTCAGTGACTTTTTTTATTTAATTGAGAAGGTGATTAGTTAACTTTGGAACATAGGGTAAAGGAAAATCCACATGGAGCTGTTCTTTGTGGGAGTACAGCCGAGGTGAGAAACCATTATGGGAACATAGAAGAACTCAAGTAAAAGGATTTGGTGTTCTTTGAAATGATGTTGGAATTATGAAAGACAATCTTTCCAACCCCATACAGTGCTGAAGACAAATTTGTAAAACATTCTACATTCTGGCTAGGAGGTAGGAAAATACTACAGGCCTTTGATATCCCAGCATTAAGAAATGCAAGTATCTGCAGCCGAAAGGAGATAATTGTGTCATCAATTCAAATACGCGTTTTTTTAAAAGGCAGAATTTCAATGCCTTTGAGCACTTTGTAAAGCTAAAATATAATTTGAGGTTCCTGTTTGTCAAGCTATAGCCAAACGTCTCCTTAGAGACTTAATTTTTCCTATACATACTTGGTAGGAGTGTTCTAAATATGGTCTAAGCCCTCTTAGGATTTTTAAACAGCAGGGATATTTAAGTATGAAAAATAGCTACTAAAATCACACAGCGGTAACTTTTCTTAATGATTTTTTTTTCCAGGGAATCGCTGTAATTCACTCTTGTCTGCTGTGGCCTTGCTGTCACCATAACCACCCCCTGACAATGTCAAACCAAGTCTTGGGAGGTGATTTTATAATGTCAGGATGAAACAAAGCCATTTCCCTGTTAATGCCAATGTCAAGGCAAAATGAATTGGTGTCAATAAATTCAAGGTGAGGAAAACAACATTATGGAATCACGAGAATGTGCAAAATGATGACAGGAGCCATTTAGGGATGCCTGATTCCAAGTAAAAATGACTGCTAATTTTCAAAAGTATATTTGCTACTGCACTGGAGACCAAACATTTAAATTTCTTAAAATACATCAGCAAGGCTAAGAAAGGACAAAGAGGTTAAGATTATAGACAAGTCATAGCATACCTTTTCAATGAAGTTGATGCTGACTATTGTAACTCACATTGTCTTTCCCACTTACAAATTCCTGAGACACTCAAAATTTGAACCACAAAGTTTAGTACTTGATCATTTACTGTGGTGGTGTCCAGAAGTCTGGATTTCAATACTGACATTACCACGCATGGCTCTGCAATCTGGATTTCTGAGCCTCTATTTCTTCATCTGTAAAAGAGGCCACTTCACAGGGCTGTTGTGAACATGAGAGGTCATTCAACTCAATGATTGTTATTAAGTGCTTTGTAAGTGCCAGGCACTGCTCAAAGTCCTACAATAAAAGATAGACTGTCAGAGTCACAGAAATGGTAATTGTTAATATAGGTTCATGCTTTTTATGTTTCATTAGGTAATGAAGTTTCACATAGTGCATACTCCTGTGTCTTCTAGTTCACTTTTATCATTAGCAATTTCTAGCTTAATGAATACTTGTCAATTTGAAAAAAATCATCGTTCACTCCTACAATTTCTTGGATGAATCAATAGCTGCTTACCTCTTGAAAAGATCTATTTGTTAATTTTTCTTTAATGATGAGAAAAATAAACAAGAGCTCTTATTAAAAAAAAAAGTTTAGGTAAAGACAGTGACTTTAGACAAGCTCATGAGTAACATTAAGTAATTCTGTGCAACATAACTTTTACTAAAGCCAAACTTCAAACATGAGGCAGAAAGAGGATGTACTGAGTTCTTTCCTAATATCCAGAGGAATCCTTTCTTCATTGGTTAAGAAAAAGGTATTTGAGTGAGAACAGATCTGCTTAGTGGACCTGAAAAGGGGGGAAATTAAGTCATTACGGGCATGCAGAAGGGTATTTTACAGCTTTTCGAAGAAGAGCAAGGCTGTTGTGTCTCAGGAGAGAGGTAAGATACTTAAACCAAAATCAGAGTCTGGCAAAAAATGTGTGGAAGCTATGCCTTCAGGGACTTTCAGATCCAGCAGCAGAGAGAAAAAATTTATGAATTGGTTTGGATACAACTGGGAGGCTATGCATGGTATTTAAAACACAGGGAAAAGATGTTAGAGCTTCTCTTTGAAGCAGACTAAGACATACCCAGGTTAGATTAAGCAGTGATGAAAAAGACTTGGGTGGACTTGTTAAAGACTAATCACATGACGTGCTTTAAAATATCTTGTCCTAACACATTTCACTTTCCTCGACATTTCTTACTCTATTTTCTGAAGATATGTACTTTTATATGAATAGGGAGTTATTCTAGAATAAAAGCTCCATGAAGATAAGAATTTTGACTGCTTTCTTCTTTGCTGAGTGTGCAATGCCTAGAACAGTGCTTGAGAACAAACTGTACTCAATGAATATGAGTATTTTGAGTGAATGAATAAATGAATTTCATAGAAAAAATGACATATTCCATATCCATTGCTTCCTCTTTACTTCTGAAATAGCTTCTCAACTGTGTCTATTTTATATCCCCTAAATTAAATTGCACAGACATGCTACAGCCAGATGGGGCTTCCTCACAAAGAGTTTACACAATACTTCTCACTCATTCTCTCCCTCACAATCTTCCATGGCTCCCCACTGCTAACTGCAAATACTGTAGTCAGGACCTCCCAACAGTGTGTTCAGAATCTCCCCACTGCTAACTGCAAATACTATAGTCAGGACCTCCCAACAGTGTGTTCAGAATCTCCCCATCATGTGCTTTTACTCCACAACATGAAATGTCTACTCCTGGATCATATACTTACTGTCTTAAACTTACATACCACCTTCCCACACACATATGCACACACACACAATTAAAATTAACACGTTATAATTAAAAGGCCAGAAACATTTACATCTGTTATCTAATTGAATATATCTAATAATCTGGTACATAGGTATTATTGTTATTATTATTACTTCAATTGTATGGGAGACCTGTGGATCTTACATAAGTCCTCCTGGCGACTGAGCAGCAGAGGCAGGATCAGAGCTGAAGTCTTTCTGTTTGCAAAGCACTGTCCATGTTCTCCCTGGTCCCTGGACTGCCACATGCCTGCCCCTGTAGAGGTGTCTCTGCTCCAGATATGTCCTTCCCTAAACTCTCCACCCATTCTTTAAGATCTTGCTCATGGACAACCCCCACCATGGAAATTTATTTCTGTGAGTGTTTAAGCCTTCAGATACTATCCTTCCTTTGAAGCCTTATGGCAGATGATCTAGATAAAGATATAGACATAGATAGAAATGTAAGCTTTATATGACTCTGCAAAATCTACAACAAACACTCCTTTTCCATGTGCATTTCTTGTCTCCTCAACCAAAATACAAGCACTCTGAGGGCAGGCCATTGTCTTGCACCTCCTCTCATTGTCCACACAGAACAGTATGGTGCATGACAGAGCAGTCCGTCTATAAGCACTATTCCTTAAAGGTAGTAGACACCTTTTTCATCTTTATAGCCTCAGATATCTATTTTATCTTTGAATCCTAAGCATCCATTTTTTTTCTGGCACCTAACGGGATTCTCAATGATTTCTTTTCCAATGATGATTTTTCACGTGGCTTCTGCATTTCTAAGGTCATGGAAGGATTCAGTAATTCCTGAGACTGTAATTGGAAATAACCTGGGTTTTCATTAACGCCTCCAAGTACTGGTTTCAAAAAAGTCCCTTTGTTAGCAGTTTTTAAAACTTTGTGCTTCTGTTTCTTGTATTGTGGTGAGAAGGGCAGTAGAGGGAGATAAAGAGGACAGAGAAGGAGGGGGAATGTGGGGTTGGGCCGACCTGGAGAGAAACACCACATAAGCCTATGGAGAGACGTGGGGCCCATCCTTCCCTGTGGGCATCTCAGCTCTGCTTGTTTAGGGGTAGGAATCACATTTAAACTTTAAAACCTTCAAAGTATTAAACTAAAACTGTATCTTGGATTTAGCTTCTTGTATCAGAGTGATGAATGAATCTCACGGACTTCCCATAAAAAGGTGCAGGAGGGTGGAAGGCAGATTCTCCACCTATTGCACTCCCATTACCATTCGAACTTGGCCTGAGGCTGAAGCTAAGACCTGCATGGACAAACACTTTTCTTGTCACTGGATGTGCTGCTGCTTGGTATGCTGTCTGACCTCACTTGGATCACTTCATTTGGTTTTATCTTCCAGGGTTCTAATTGTTTTTCACTTGTTGTTCCGTGCAAGCCTCTTGGTTAATCTAAAGGTCTTTGCTCCCATTCACCCTTCGTTCCGTAGGTTCCTGCCACCTGTCACTGCTGCGCTAGCCCCTTCATATATGTCTGAGTTACTCATTTCCATGCTGGGCTTGCTTTTTACACCTGGGGCCCCAACTAGGCAAATCTTTTGAACATCCCTTCAGCCTATCAGGATCTGTTTCAGGCTGGTCTCTGTCCTGCTTAATCGGGCAATTCTTTTGTGCTAACGATGTGACTGATTATCCATCTTTAGGCTTGTCAAATCTACCTATAAAGTTTAAATACTGTAGTCTAAAGGCCAAGGCTATGGCTGGCCTGGCTTTAACAAGACAAAGCAAAGCAGTTTATTCACAGATTGCGAAGAAAGAAAAGATTCACAAGATGGGCAACAAGGTTTTTTTAAGGGTGTAAAGCTGATGCCCCTATTTATGTTAACTAAAGGGGAAGAAACACACAACTCAAAGGATATTGAATTAAGGGCAAGGTCATTACATCAGACTTGAATACTGAAGCCTTCATCCTAACTGCCACTAATTGCTTTTAATTTTTAGTAAATGATTATTAGATGCCTCCTTTTTATATAGTCTAGGAAATAAATTATATATTTTCAAAATAACCTCAAACCCCCCAAATCCACCAAATGAAAATGTATCTAAAAGTGAATACATTGCATTTTTCTGTATTTTTAGGGTCACACATGCTGATTTTTAGGGTCACTGTTGATATGAAGAAGAAATAAGGACTATAATTTAGTAAACATATGGAAATGACTCCTAAGGACATAATCAGGGCTCTTGCCTTATATAGACTGGTGAGTAAACTGAAAAAAAATCTTGCAAGCCACAAGTACATTTTGGTTCTCAATAATTTGCTGACAAAAACTCTTACATTTTCTTTTGATGTAATGCTTAAATAGCTAAAAATGCTTTAGTTAATATTATAGATTATTCATTTTCTATTTTAAATTTATTGCTTTATTTTTCTGGGAACAAGTGAAAAAAAAAAACCAAGGTTATTATGGAATGAAATTGTGTCTTATTTTTTTCTAGCATTACATAACTAATAAGATGAAAATTTTGACAATTCAGCCAGTAAAGAATTACACCAAAATCTCAGGATAAATGGATTTTTATGACCAAGTTATAAACGACATGATACAGATTGAGTTTACAATGTTAACGTCAATAGATTCTTAACTATATTGCCAAGAGCAATAAAGTGAGAATAATGGGAAAGATTGGATGACCACTTGAAAAAGGAAAGGATTTTCAGTGATTTCCAACCTTTATCAGTTAATTTCCTAAGAAGCACATAACGAATTCATGTTGATGATGAGTACTTGCCTAATGACATCCAAATACATGATCAATACATACTAACTAGACTAGGAATCTAGCACAGAACATTCCTAACTGGAAGTTAGTCAAGGCACAATGAAAATCTCAGCTGACATGAGGAAAGGGAGGGGAGAAACCTACTTTCCTGGTTTGTTTGATAGTGCAGCCAAGAGTCCATTGGAGGTAGGCTGGTATAGTTTGTCTCTTCCCCACTGTATGGGAGAAATTGCAAGGATTGTGGAGTCACACAGATCTAGAGTCCCATCTTGTATCCTCAACTCATTAGCTGTGGGGCGTTGGCAAATCAAGTGACCTCCCTGAGCCTTGGCTTCTGCATCTATAAAACAGGCACAGCATGTTTTCACTGTAAGGCAGTTTTGAAGATGAGAATAGGTACCAACAAATAAAAATCTTACCAACAAATGGTAACTCTGTTGATTATAGAGAGGTCTAAATGAGATATATATGAAACATCTGGCAAACAGTAAGAACTTCTTAAATGTTAGTTCCTTTTCTCCTTAGAAGAGATATTTAAAAACAACAACAAAAAGCCTCTACATAGTTTGGCTTCCTGTTTGGGAAATTAAAGGAAAAGCACATGTTGATACGCCATTAAATGTATCACATTTGGTGGTGGAAGGTGAGGTTTAAATTAAAACAGGATAATAATAGTAACAAAAGCGAACATCTATTTATTGAGGACTTGGTCTCCTATCAGGCATTTTTCCAAGTGCTTTTCATGCACTGGTTAATCCTTTTAACAATCTTACAAGGAAAGACCTTTTAAGAGTTTGACAGGTGAAGAAACCAAGACTTGAGGAGGGTAAATAGTCTCTCTAAGGTCACACAGGTAGTGGGTAGCAGAGCCTGTAACCCACCCAATTCTGTGAGCTTAATTACTTTGCTATTTTTCCTGATCATTATGTTCTGTTCGAGGTCTATATGCTGGAATGCTGTGAATGCTATTACTTTTGCCCTTGTTTCTTTCTCCACGAAACAGAAACTGGTAGGAACCATTATTACAAGGCATCCATGTGGCAAGGGCAATAGAAAACAGAAAAAGTGCATCCTTGCTTCAGACCACCTGAAAATTTAGATTTAACACTTTTTCAGCAAAGGCAGGCAGAGACTACGACAGATCCCAAATCCATCTATTTTCATTATCTGCGTTGCTCCTAATGGTCCAAGCCACTAACACCCCTTACCTGGTCTACTGTAATCCTGCTAATTACAAACCTTGCCCTTTCCTTCTTGCCCCTGCTTGCAATCCATTGTCCACACAGTAGCCAGAGTTATTTTTTAATTTAAACTCCTATATCATGGCACGCCTCTGCTCAAGGCCCAGGGAACTTGGAATAGAATCCATGTCTCTAGGCCAGGCGCGGTGGCTCACACCTGTAATCCCAGCACTTTGGGAGGCTGAGGTGGGCAGTTCACGAGGTCAAGAGATCAAGAACATCCTGGCCAACATGGTGAAACCCTGTCTTTACTAAAATACAATAAATTAGCTGGGCATGGTGGTGCACACCTGTAGTTCCAGCTACTCAGGAGGCTGAGGCAGGGGAATCGCTTGAACCCGGGAGGCAGAGGTTGCAGTGAGCCGAGACTGTGCCACTCCAGCCTGGAGACAGAGCAAGACTCCGTCTCAAAAGAAAAAAAAAAGAAAAAAAAAAGAAAAAAAGAGAATCCATATCTCTAGTGTTGGCCTTCAAGGATGGGTGATCTGGTGTTTATCTTCCTCTTCGCATCTCAGACCACCTCTCCCTCATCAGCACCCTCCAGCCATACTTGCTTCCTTCCATTTTCTGAACTGGCCCAGCTCCTTCCTGCCTTTCAGCTTTTGCAGGAATTGTCTCCTCCGCCTGGAACACTCTTCCTCCAGAACTTTCCATGGTGGGGTCTCCTTAATACTTGGATCTCAGCTGAAGTACTCCCTTCTCAGAAAGACCTTCAATGACTATTCAGTCTACAGTGGTCTTTGCCCACTGTTTATTTCTTTCCCTGTTTTCCATGTGCCTCCCACCAGTGTATGAGCTCCTTGAGAGCAGGGTCTATGTATGTCTTCTTAACACAGTATACTCAATATCCAGAGCAGTGGCTGGTATAGAATTCACGCTTTTTACACATGTATTGAATAAATTAAAGCCTTCTCTGTCTTGTTTCACCCAGCATCCATCCTTTAAGGGCCTAAAAATAGGCCAGGGATAATGGATTTTGTGGAGACTGTCCTGGCTGGGATGGATTTTAATTGGTCTCTTACCCTAGGATTAGAGAAATTCTTCTGACCTTCTGGGCTCTAAGACCCGATGACAACTACTGAACACCATTAGCAGCCCAGTACACGGGGCTGCCAGACCCTCTAGAGTTAAATATCTCAGAATGTGTCACAGCAGTGTTGTTTTATGCAGCCTTGCTCCAGGGGAATATTATGCACTTGGCAATCCAGCAGCAAATTCCCCTCAGAGAAAGGATCATTCCTCATGATGGATGGACAGTTTCCAGCATCAGTTTTCACAGCTAGGCTACCTCCTAATTTCCAGTTTGGTATAAAAGTGAAAGCTGAAGGATGTACTGCTGTCAAAAAAAAGAAGCTATCGAATAATTACAGCTATTATTTCACATAGAGCTGCCTTTTTCCCCAGCAGTGCAGCCAAGTTGCTGTGAATATAAATATTCGTAAGAAGTCAATATTAAACCATGGGCCATAGAGGAAATAATTTCATTTCCTAAATAGAAAACTATTGGATTTCTTTGTGAGATTTAATTGCCAAAGTTTTCCCAAAGTGTAAAATCTGTCCTGCCTGGTAAAATATTATCTGTGAGGGCTCAGAAGGAAAGCTGAGGAGAAATGAGCTCACCTCTTTCTGACAGTAAGAGCAGAGGAGCGATGTCATGGTAAATGAGGCTACTAAAGACCTGGGAGTGCGCTCATGATGAACTGTCAGTTCGGCACTGTGCAGGCCATGGTTTGATGGCATTGCACCGGGGCATGAGCTGAGTTTCATGAAGCTCACGACGAGAACCCAGACTAACCATCTGTGACTCTGAAACTCTGCCCTTGAGGAAACGGGCCTTAGCTTGCATGCTCGTTGCACTGAGAACTGTTTTCTAGAGGTTTTCCTTTCCTGACAAAGCAAATTATTTTCTAATCTTATCTTAATATTTTAAAGAAAAGGAAAAGAACAAAGTGAGAAATTAGGCGAAAAAAAAGAGAGCCACAATTGTACTTTTATACTTCAAAAGTTCATTTGCTCTCCCTGAGTGTACATGGGACTAGTTGGAAAGTTGAGGGATACTGAATTGTGATTTAAATTTCCCCACTGGAAAATCCACAAGCAAATAATTTGCCCTAGGAGTACCCGGCTGGCTCCATCTTAAAATGCTGCTATGAATGCTTGTGTTAAAACATTCCAAAACCGTGTATTGGGACAGCTCGTTTGAGCAACGTTCTAGGTTAAAGTGCTCTATTCTGAAGGTGTTTTAACAAACTCTCTCCTGCTGGTGTCCTGCTAGCATCAATGCATAATAAATTTTGTCAGGAGAAATCAGTGGTGATGCTGCTAAGTCCTCCCCCAACCTGTAAAGAATCATTAATCTTGACTGCAAATAATTCCAAATGACTTGAATGAATAGAAATAAGCTCAAATTGAATTGAAAATACATTTTTTTTTCTTTTGGCAACTTTTTATTTTTTACCCCTGCCTTTTTTTCCTCCCCCATCTTCTCTTTCTGTTCTTTAGGCTGACATCTCTGTATACTGGCAAGGGTATTTTCAAAGACTCTCCAACAGCTGTGAATGCAGAGAACAGGATCTTCTGAAAGTATGTATTCTATTTTCAGGCTGAATGAATAGCATAACCTGAAGCTAGTGGCCTTTATGTTAGGAAAGCAAAACAAAACACAACAGAACCTGAGTTTTACAAAGGATATATGAATAAAGTTATCCTAGGTTTAGGACTCAAATAAAATTAAAGGCAATTTCTCTCTCTCTCTTTTTGAACAATATGCATATATGTCTTTGCAAAGTTACAAAAGAGGAAAAGCAATGAACTAATTTAACTTTTTCCTCTTTGATATACTTCAGGTAATAATAGATAGTGTGAACCTAAGCTATATCAAAATCCAGTAATGCCATTTTTCAGTGGTAAAAGATAATGATAAAAATAAAATAAAATAAAAAACAATACATATGGAAAATGACTTTAAAACAGCATTTAGAAAGTTCAACTTTCTAAACTGTTTTGATCCCTTCTGAGATTGTAGGAAGTAGAACGAAACAAGGCAAACATTAAGTTATATTCCTTACAAGAAAACAATGTTTCCAATTTGAAAATGAAGTTCACATCCAGCAAATAGGACACCAGATACAGAAAATCTACAGAAATTGGCATGACAAATTTGGCCTACCAATTTTTGTATGCAAAAATGATATGCCAAGGAACTATCATATGGAAAGCAGTAATTATGGTATTATGGTAATGGTAATTAATGGTAAGACATTACATGTTTTTCTTCTTCTTTTCCTGAGTTGCTCAGCTTCAAAAAGGCCATCAGGTTAATTTTTGAATAATTGTTTCATGAATATTGTTAATCTGTGAATTAACTGAATTTGCAGGACTTTAAAAAGGAAGCAGTGCACACTTTGCTCATTTCTGTCCATGTCTCAAATGATACCTATTTTTTAATTTTAAGCCAGATGGTCAATGAAGGCAGTGACCTTAGTAATAGCCAATGTAATTACCTACTTTATTTTCACTGAAATTGAAACTTCATTGAAAATAATTTTGCCTCTCAGTTTATTTATGGTGAAAAGTGCTTTTTACCTTTTGAACTTTAAGATTACTGGGCTAAATTTAATGGATAGAGATCTCCTTTAATCGCCTCTAATGGCTTCAGAGTAGGCTGGAGTTAAATTTAAAATGATATAGAGTTCTTTTGCTTCCCCCGGATTGGCAGTTCCTAATTTTAGAAGATTGCCACTGGAGTAGTATAACAGTGGAACTCATGTGTCATCCCCATTAATCTGACTAATAGATTTAAAGTAAGGGGATTTTGGATCAGCTTTTTATTGTTCTGTGTGTTTTAATATTTGACATTAGGCATATGGTGAATTACACTTCCAAACTTTTAGATGCGAACATGTTGGAATTGAATATATCTGCACTTGGGCTATTAGAGCAAATGAGAGCAACTTTTAATGGGAAACAGCCTTTTTCTCTAACATGATGGCTAAAAACACACCATGCTGAGGACGGGCTCATTCTCTAATATCTCTAACTAAGGAAGCTGGGATATACAAATTAAAAATGTCTTCAGAAAAATTTCCTTACAGTACTCATAACACAAAAAGCCCCCCAAAATTTATGTGCTTTTTCTTAGATGTTACGGCAAAGTATTAGATTCATAATTTTCTAATACATTAGGAGGCAAACACATCCCCACACTACAAACTCATAAGTCTACTGGCATAAATAATTTATTCCAGTGGCTTATGTATGATTCAAACTGTAATATTTATAAAAGAATGTGGCAATTTTCTTGTTATAAAAAACTTAAAAAATAAATTATTATTAAAAAATGCATAAGATTTTCTAGATCATTAATAAAAGGAAAACAATCCCACCCCCAAAAAATCTATTTGTCTTAGAGCATTACATGAATATTGGATAGACACATATATGTTTTAATTTAGCATGATATGAGACAATATTCCCAAGTTCCATATTAATTGAGCATAATCACACAATCAACATAACTGTGTTGGATGAATGCTCATATCTGTATATCTATAGCACTGAGCACAGTGCCATGCACATGGGTAAATGTAAAAGGTGCAAATGGAATTCTAATGCATTGCCTCTAGACTTTTCCAAATATGTACTGCTCTTTTAAGCTGAAGTATTGGATTGGGGATTTAGTACCAAAAGAGCCAGAAATTCATACTACAAAATAAGCTGAATGATAGGTGTATGGTGTTTACTTTGTATTTGGATGATGTCTACTGGCTTTTATTTCTCTCCAAGAGTGATTTCTTAATGAAGGAGAACAGACTGGGACAATTGTATATTTTTACACCTAATGCAGCACAGAAAAGGTTGCATTGGCCAGGCAAGCCTGAGGTTTGAGATTTGTATTTTCTTCAGATAATATAACCTAGTTGTACTAGTGGTTATAATCATGATAGAATAAAAAGGAAGCCATTTCTTACATGTGTGGATGGTGTTGTGCTTCATTTCTGCAGAAGAATTATTAATTCATCAGTATATTGATTTATATGACACAACACTCCAAATATATAATTCCATGGACCTAAGACCTGGCATTCCAGTATGGCCTTATGGAGAAAGATTTTATGACAGAGTATCTGGTAATAATGGTCCTTCTAAGCACAAATGTCATCCAACTTGGGGACTGAGGTCTTGCATCACGTTACATAAGCAACAATATTGCATTGCATAGCCAGACAAAGGTCTTTGTGGACAAACATGAAACCAAATGGAAACACTAGCTCTGACTTCCCTACTTGCTACCCAATACTTTAACCTACTTTCAGAGTCAAGGATTAAATAAGATGTAGTGTGGTATCTGCAGCCACATCAAAGGCTATTCTAAAATCCAGCTAGGAGTATTGATAAGCGAGCAGGCCTACCAAGGGTTCTACTTGATTCTGGTGGGAGCTCTGAGAGAGGCATGGCTGATTTATCTGAGTGGGAGTAATCCTCCAATACTACAGTCTCTGGGATTAGGCATGGACCTACAAGAGACTCCAAAATCAGATAGCATGAGACAGAACTTGCTCATGCTGTGTACAAATCCCACTCTCTCTTCAAAAGATTAAAAGTAGGAATGTAGACATCTTCTTAGCATCTAAGGGCCTTCATTTTGTTAAACCCAGCTAGCTCACAGCCAAGTGAGCCTTTGGCTTATCAGACCAGGGTTGAAGGGTGTCAAGTCTTCCTATGCATCACTTTATTATCTTACTACTCACTTTAAAAAGATCCATCCATGCAATTTAAAGCCCCAAGTGATTCCAGGATGCTTTTCACTGCTCCTTCACGGCCTTTGTCTTTCATTGCTCATCCCTCTTGGCATGTAATGGTTTTCTGTTTCTAAGATGAAATGACCTGCCTCCCATCATCATAGGACACTGTGTTATGACCTGGGGAATCGTTCTATCCCTTCTCGAAATGGGTGCATCCTTTCAAACCTCTTCAGGGATTATTTCGTGGCACCTCTCCATGTTTTCAAAGATCCTGTTTTTAGGATGTGCAATCACTATATTGAGCTATCTCTACTTTTCCTCATACACCATTTTAGAAGGAATGACAGGCACAGGACATGGAGCTGAGACAGGGTGTCTGCTACTGGCAGCTAATGATTTGATGATGAAGAGAATTCTTACCATTCCTGTCTCCGGGGCAACAGAGGCAGCCTGACCATGTAGCACTGACACGACAGCATGAAAGTTGCTACCACAGTAAAAGGCTCATCCGCGTATTGTTCTTGTCATGCTCTCCAGTGCTGTCACCTCATTTCACAGAAATGGCTGCAGTGCAACAGCAGTTACCTTCCATCTCACCACAGAGCTGTGGAGTAGAGTCACTTTGTGGTTGCCCTGCCTGTCTGAGAATATTGGGCTCTCAGAGCGAGTCAGGCATTTATTACTTTTTACGCACACTAACACAGCTGTTGAAGAAGAACAAGCCTGCTGCTTTGGAAAAG
The DNA here is from genome assembly GCF_000001405.40 of Homo sapiens. Classification (NCBI taxonomy): domain Eukaryota; kingdom Metazoa; phylum Chordata; class Mammalia; order Primates; family Hominidae; genus Homo; species Homo sapiens. Next base: position 107,455,482 of record NC_000001.11, on the reverse strand, counting down.
ATGGGCACCTTCCTGCTTCCAGCATCCAACCCTCAGGTTCACTTGATCCTGAGCACCACATTAGGCTACTGGACAACACTGTGCATAATGACTTTTTATTGCTTTTTAAAGTCACCATGGGCTGGGCGTGGTGGCTCACGCCTGTAATCCCAGCACTTTGGGAGGCTGAGGCGGGAAGATCACTGGAGGTCAGGAGTTCGACACCAGCCTGACCAACATGGTGAAACCCCGTCTCCACTAAAAATACAAAAATTAGCCGGGCATGGTGGCACATGCCTGTAATCCCAGCTACTTGGGAGGCTGAGGCAGGAGAATCACTTGAACCTGGGAGGTGGAGGTTGTAATGAGCTGAGATCGCCCCATTGCACTCCAGCCTGGGCGACAAAAGCAAATCTCAGTCTCAGAAAAAAAAAAAAAAAATAGTCACCATGTGAGTGACTAATGTTCAAGAGTCTTCCTCATTCTTGCCTCTGCTTCCCTACAAGGCTTACCACAGAGTTGGCACAGCACTGTGCTCACACGTAGCACCTGAACGATGAATGTATGTTGGTGTGGGGTGGAGAGGAAGAGAGCTGGGTTTGAGCCTCATTCATTTCTCTTCTAAATTCCTGACCTCAAATGTGCTTCACCTCTGTAAGCTTGGTTTCCTTATCTGTAAGAAGCAAAAAATGGTATCTTCTATTATAGGGATATTGCAAAGATCAGATAAAATGATGCGAAGAGCCTGCCATGATGATGATGTTGGAATAAGGTTACCTCTTTTTCATATATGATCCAGTGACTAAATAGATGATAGCTATTTATGCATGCTATTTCCTCCTTTGGGTATTAATTAGTGAAGTGACATGGGGTCTGCTTATTGGGCCACAGTTTGATGTTTATTTATCTAAATTTTTGACAGGTTTGAGGAATTGGTCAGAGTGATTTTTTTTTTTTGGTAAAAAGACACAGGATATTTGGCTTGAATTGCATCATTTGCATCCTTGGAATGAAAGCCCGTTGTTTCCGTTAACATCTTAGGCCTATGAGAATGGGTAGGGACTATGTCTCAGCAGTGTCTACTTTACGGCAGGGTCTCTCCTCTGCATGCAAGTAAACACTGTCCTTGTGAGCTGGTAATCTGAGTATAACTTGCTTGTGCAAAGTATGCATGGGTGCAATAGTTGTTGATTCTGAGAAATAAATTCACTGCACACAGAGGGCAGTGAACAAACATTTGTTCCTGATAAATGATAAACAGATAGTGAGAGAGAATTGGTAAGCCTTGTCAGTCACTGCTTGCTTTTATCCTAAAGTCTCTTTCTCTGTTGTGTGGTATTGTTTGTGTTTACCAACACTCCCATTAATGAGTACTGAGGGCTGTTTTCATTTCACTGAAAGCAAACTGATCCTGTAGCTGGGCTGTGGTCCAATATTAGAACACTGCAAGTTCCTATTACCCTCCTGGTTCTAAAGGAGGGTTGGGCTTGAGGTGGGTTTATTTTGGACCTATCACAGTGAGTTGGTGTGGCATGTGGGGCAAGGAGTCAAATCTGTATTTTGATTTTATAATAGCTCTATCAGCTACTAGTTGTTTGCTTTGAGCATATTAAGTTCTCTGAGACTCAGTTTCCTCATCTCTAAAATGAGTATATTAGCACTCCTTTGCAGGGTTATTGGAAGAATAAATAAAGTAACATGTGTGAAATGTCCAAGCATACTGATGGCACAAAGTGTGTTTATTACTGAAATAATTTTAAATTTAGTTTAATTTATAAAGTGGTTACAACATGAGAGTTTTTATGTGTAAGAGTCTAGCCCACTTCCCTACATGGCATCCACTTTCCTCTTTATTAAAGTCATGGCAGTTTGAAAAGAAAGACGTAGTCAGCAGGAAAATCTTAAGTACATTGTAGAAGAAATCCAGGCTTATGCTGGACCGAAGAAACCCCCTGGGAGGCTTTGGTCATGATCTCTATTCATATTTTCAAACACACTCTTCAGTAAGTAATGCACACTCTTGTAGCTGGAAACTAGATACCTGCTGAGGGAAAGAAAAGATCCCCAGTGAACTACTGTCTTCTCTTAAAATGAAATGCGTTTGTAGTGTCCTTTTTGACTGTCAGTTTCTGGATGAAGTTTTAGATGAAAATCCATATCCTAGAGGAACATTATTTTCTGTACTAGTGTTAAAGTTGGAGCTAGGAATAGGTGGTGCTTTGCCTTCTTGATGAAAAAGAAGTATAAGACTTCCTTTGCCTCCACATTTATTAACAAACTTGAAGTTTACTGTGCTGCTTTACAAAAAAAATAAAATTCTAATTTGAAGTCAGACACAAGAGAAAATTCTTTCTTTCACTAAAACAAAGGATTAATGCTGACCACTGTTGAGACACCGAACAGTCTCAGTGTCACTGAACATTCAGGAAAGTAAGCCACAGTGAATGGAAGATCCATACTCTGCCTCAGCATACTCAGAGGGAATCCTGAGCAATGCTGGGGGCCTCAGGCACTCTCTAGAAGTTAGTTACCTCCTTAGGGCCAAGGAATGAGACCAGGGATTGTCACGTACCTCCTCAGTAAAGGATGGACTTTCAATTCTTTATACTTCTACTCCCCATTTGTTTTAGTCCATTTTGCGTTGCTATAGCAGAATACCTGAGACTGGGTGATTTATAAAGAAAAGAATTTTATTTAGCTTATGGTTCTCCAGGCTGGGAAGTTCAAGGGCATGATGCTGGTTTCTGGAAAAGGTATTCCTGCTTCATTGTATCATGGCAGAGAAGGTCAAAGGGGAAGCAGACACTTGGAAAGAAAGAAAACCCAAGGGGCATCCTGCCTTTATACCAACCCATTATCAAGGGAACTAATCCATTCCCATGAGAATTAATCCAGTCTCACCAGAAGGAGGACTCACTCACTACCACTAGAATGCACTAGTAGCCATTCATGAGGGATCTACCCCCATGACCCAAACACCTCCCTGTAGGCCCCACTTCCCAATACTACCACAGTGGGGATCAAATTTCAATACAAGTTTCTGTGGGGACAAACTCAAGCTCTATTTATACCATAGTGCCACTGAATTTCAGAGTTTTAAGGAATCCATAGTAAGTGTACTGTCCACCATCCAAGACTTCCCATGTTTCCTTGATAGACACACATAATTTACTGCTTTGTCAAATACTCTGTAAAAACCCAAATTTATGATCAGAATTTCCATTTACAGGTTTAGTGGCTCATTGACAGATGAAAATCCTTCCCAGCACTTCATCAAGGTTATCTACCACCACTTGATTATAGTACAGTAATACCAATAATAGCTGTAATTTATGGAGGTTATTTTACTGCAGATGTTGTGCTTAGTAGTTTACAAGCATTTCATTTAATTCCATAACAACCCCAATGAGGTGTAATAATATTTTTTTAGAGAAGTGAAATCTTAGGTCAGAGAAGTTATATAATTTTTTCAACAAGACACACTTAGTAAGTGGCAGAGCCAGGATTCAAACCACTACATAAGAGACAGCTACTGAGCTGGAATAGACCTTAGAGTTTTCAGTTTCCTTTCACAACCAGAGCCATTAGGAGTTCTCTAAGTACTCTGGACAGGAAACTTTGGTTTCACTCTACGATTTCACGTTTTACTACAATCTCAAGTTTAGCAACATCCTTAAGGCATGGGCTGTGTTAAACTTGTTTTCTATCTTATATGGTACCTATGATGTTGCAGGATTCAAACAGTCAATAAATGTTTGGTTGCTGATTAATGAACCTCTCAAACCAAGGTCTCTCTTCCTACCATACTCCTTCAGAGTGGTATTCTTACACTGTTTCTCTCTCTCCTGGGGGTTCTTCACTCAACATCTAGCTGCAACGACTAATACATTCATGTCAAAACATAAAATAATACACTGATATAGTGTGTAGGAGGACAGCACTTTACAAATGCAGACGAAACCAAGATGGCTGACCCCTGACAATGAGTCCATGCAGTGTGCTGCCGATGACAGTCACACTTACAGTCTCTTTACTCTGTGGAGGTTATGTTTCCTTCTCATTTTTACATTTTTGGTTAACCGTGTTAGGGCTGCAGAAGTATTAACTCATCCTCTGTTCCTCAGTGCCTTTTAGTTTACTAGGAAAATTCAGCCTTACTTTTTCAAGGGCAGTGTGACATGTGGTGAAATTGTTAATCATACTATTTTTAAAAAATCTTTTTACAGGAATAAACAACCTTATTCTCTTCAAAGTTAGAGTCTCAATGTTAGTCTTTCTAGCATAAAAAGAGAAACCTTAACTTTGCTGAAAAATAGCACATAGCATGAACTTGCTAAGAATAGCCAAATAACCCCGTGGAAAGTCCCCTGAGGAGTTCTAAAAAAAAAAAAAAAAGAAAGAAAGAAAGAAAAAAGGGAATTGAGAATTGAGGAACTGAATGCTTGTTTCAGACATACAAACCCCTAAGGGTATTAACAGTCACCAAGCTGATAATAGTTAAGTATCCAGTAGGTCTGATGGTGACTCTATGAATTGTGACTGCCCAGTAATCACTCCTGGATAACTGGTTTCTGCCCAGGTAGAGAACCCCACTTAGTTTTTGGTCTGTTTAGAGGTCACCATAATTCAAGACCCTTCCAGTAGGCAGGTATTTTAGCATTACAGGGTAATTTCCAGGATTTAGGATGATCCTAAAATTGATGAAGAATTGCTGCTAAGGTTGGGATGAATTTAATGAATACAACTTATCAGAGGTTGCTTTATTTTGCTATTTGGAACCTGTAAGACTAAATGGCATTGATTTTGGACAAAATCTTAACTTAAAATTCACGTTTACAGATGGTAATTAGTATTTGAAACGACCACAGAAAAAGACATAATAGGTATTAAATCCCATAATTTTGTAGCCTTCTTTTTTTTTCCGGGAAGGAGCCATGATTATCATAGCTTTCGTTTTATTATGTCATTTGTTTGTAAATTGATTTCTTAAATTTGTTAATCCATTCCTCACCATTTTCAATGAAACTCTGAGGATGGGTACCATCATTTATAGTTTTATTATCTTACTGCGTGCCCATACTCTGACAGAAACTGGGTTAAACATTTTAATTCATTGTGTTATTTAATTCTCATGGATAGTGATGTGGGTCCAATTCTTATCTTCATTTTACATGCACAAACTGAGGCTGAGGCTGCATTTTTCAACACTAAATATTTGTCTGTGCAACAATAACAGACATATACTGCTAGCTGTTTCTAATTCTATAAGAATTTAGGCACATTAGCTTAGGTTGCAAATATTACATTTGGTTTCATTATCTTTAAAATTCTGTCGTTGTCCAAAATGTTCTTGCTTCTTTATCCCAAGACTTTAAAAATTAACAGGTGTTAATATATTTTTCTAGTTCTATTCACTTTTAAAAACATAACTGAACATAAACAGGAATTCTTGAAGAAACAGGATAAACCTATCAGTAGGAATAAAGCAGTCATACATTTTTCTTTATACCTACTTGCTTTCTACCTGTCTAGAAATATTTTATCAAGACAAGTATGCAATGAGGAAGTTGGTTTTAAAAAATGGTAATTGGGAACCTGGTAAAATATATTTCAGTGCAATGCTAATCATGTGTGTCAAGATAAAGGAAATTAAGGTAGCTTAAGTTTTCAGTTCTTTTCAGAAAAATCAATTATAAAGCAGTTACGCTGCTGACACTAAACAATAAATCCCTGGATTTAGTTAATAGAAAAAGCTTCCACTTTTTGAAGGTTTTTTTTTTTTTAATCCAGCAGAAGAAGCTCATAACATTGATTTTTGAGGAAAAAAGCAAGGACTCTTTAAGTCAGGTATTTTTAAATCCAGACATATTCTTGGTCTTAGCCTGTTGGGATCAGAAATCACTGACCATCTAGGGAACATGTCTTTATAAAGCTTCCCACAGTCCGCAGTGCTCTTGGCATTAGTTACCTTGAAGTCTAACTAGGAGTGGCAAACTGGAGGCCAGCTTGCATCTCACTTGGGGTTCTGAATATCCTGAGTCAATTCACGGCTGGATTAAATCTCTCCGAAAATGTATAATTGCTAAATATGTAGTCCTCAATCCTGGCTGCATGTTATCCTCACCTAGGGAGTTTTGTAAAATACAGATGCCTGGAGCCCACCCCCAGAGAATCACACTTAAGAAGGTTGGAGTGGGGCCAGCGATTACTATTTCATTTCAATCTCAATTAACCTTTATATAGTCACCGAGATGTCCCCTGTCTTGTCACTTTCTAGTTTTGGATGATTAGGATCTTGCTGTCATTCTTTCCGTTTTGTTCTCATAAAACCAATGACACAAAGGTTAGCCACTGAGAAAGAAAGTTTTTCAACAAGTACAGTTCTGCTCATCTCTTTTCAAATAAGCAATTAATAATTCATAACAATTAACTGAGTTATGAGTTTCTCTTTCAATATGTTTCCAAACATGAATAGATTAAATGGTAATTGCCATCAAATTTTATGTTCTCTTTCATGTGCCCAATAGAAGTTTATCTTTTGGAGCTCACTTTGTATTTCCTTTTGATATATTCATAACCAAATGCAATATACTATATTAAAATATTTATTATTAACCTATCAAATATTAACCACTTTTAAATTGTAGGGATGAAAGAAAACAAATAGGCTACTTGTTTAAGTTTTCATGGTTTTTCTTATTTTAATATGATTTGGATTCGTAGAATACATAAAAATTGATGGCGTGAGATACTATTTGAGTTCCTGCCCCTTATATAAAATGTTCCAAGGTGTATGTATGCCCTTGACTTCCCAGCCACCATTATTTTATAAACACAAAGTGATAAAAAGCAACAACAAAACTTCTTGGGCTTGAGTCAGTTTATCCTAGTTAAAACCTTCATTTGTTATCCAGTCCTCTGCTTCTCAAACTTCACTGTGCATATGAATCACCTGGAGATCTTATTAAAATGCAGATCAGTAAGTCTGCAGGTGGGTCTATGATTCTGCATTTCCAACAAATTCCCAAGTGATGCTGATCATACCCATTGAGGGATCACACTTTTAAGTTGCAAGGATCTATACAACTTTGTGCAGATTACTTAAGCCTCTCTGGGCCTCAGTCCATTCATCATCTGTTAAATGGGGATAACTGCCAATGGGGTTTATAATTGGCAAGACTATAAATGGCTTGGCATAGTGCCTGGTACATGACAAGCATATAATTAATAGTGTCCATTGTCATTACTACTACATATTAATAAGGAGAGCTGATTTATGACTTAAATGAGTGGCTAAACCAGAACATTGTTAAGGTTCCTGCTCAGATATCAAATTCTATGGTTATAAGTCAGAGATAACTATGATCAGAAAAGCAAGCTAGAAAAGTGGTACTGGAAGTCAATCGTCTCAGATTTTGACAAGAGGAAGGTACTGTTAGACTGGAGACCCCTCTTGAACCGTGGCCCTTGGATGGCAGGAATCCCATTTATCTTCTAGTGCCAAAACTTAGCACAATGTCTGGCACATACTGGGACTTCAATATTTGTTAAATAAATGATTTGTGAATTAATGAATGAAAATATAAGTGAATGTGTGATTGAATAAAAGGTGAATGCTTTGGGCAATGTGATAGCCAGGCCAGTTTGCTAGGAAGGATAATTTAAAAGGTTTAGCAAGGCTCTGTTAAGAAGCTCCTTCTGTCACCTTGGCTAAATTAAATTCAGTAACCAAAGATGAAACGAAGGCATAGTTTTCTGTAGAGTAGAGTATGATCTCATCTCATTTGCTGTATTTGAAAGGACGTATTGAACATAGTTGATTGAACCATGTTTTATTAGATGTTTCTATCAAGTGAAGCACAAACTCCTCCATGCCTAGACCCTGGACAGTCTTTATTAAAATTGTTACTTCAGAAATTTCGAGGCCTGATTTAACTATATGGAATTCATACATCATGTCTGTATGTAGTTTAGCATCCTTGTTGCAAAATCAGCAACTTTAATTTTTCATTTAATTAGAAAGAACAAGGGTGTAATATTTCAGGAAAGACTTACTAGTACGCCCAAATAACTTCCATCTGGTGAACCAGCAACACCATAGAGAATGCAGTGATGGTGGCCTCTGACATTGCATCACTAATAAATTGTCAAGTTATCCTGATAACAAGCTCTTCTGTAAACTCCCTAACTTTGTCTTTTTGCATTCAACATCTGTGGGAACATAGTAGTTGTCCATATTATTGATTTTCATGATAAAGAATATGGGTTAACACATAGGCTAAGTCCATTGGGTCAACAATACTAATTAAAAAGAGGCCTAAATGTATGTCTTAAAAATAAAATCAATATTTCATCATTTTTATAGTGTTTTATCTCTGAGACATATGCCCATTTCCCCAAAAGAGTTGTAGTTTAGAAAAAAATATCTGTAATATGTAATGTTAATCCTATGCTTTTGCAGAATAAGGGAAAGAATATTGTTAAAAATATATCTTAGCAATTGTTTCTGTTTAAAAATGAGCATCCAGCAGTGTCTGGATGATCTTGACTGCTAACCAGTCAAAGATTAAGGCGGAGGCAGAGCAGATGAACTGTGCGTAAGTCTAAATTTCCATGAGCATACAGTATGTGCCTATATTGGAATTTACATCAAGACAATCAATCACTCTGTATTTATGGTATTTATGAAGGCCTTTTCTCCCCTCCTTGTAGCAATGGATAACTGAAGGCTGTAAACAGAAAACTTTGTAAAGATGGGATGAAAAACATATATGCATTTTAACAGTGATGGGTTATAACATTATTCCTGTGGGTAATCCAGAATCTCTTGGGTTCAATGGGCTCAATCACACTGAAAAGAGAGCTGGGCAGAAATGCAGGGGTTCACATTCACAGCACTGTCATGGACTGTGTTCAGAAGAATTGTCTCTGATATTAAAAGGCAATGGTAAAAACCTACATTCTGAACACGTTCTGTATGTATTTTTTCCCTGTGAACATGGTATTATAACCTGATATTATTACTGTAATTGTCTCTAAATAGAGCTTTTTGCTGATATTCAAGATGACGGGTTGTTCCTGCAGAATACAACTGAATGATCCCTTACACCAACATGAGCAATCCTGATCATTTTATGGCCACCCTGACTTCTCTTTCATTAGTTGCTGATTGTACTAAATTGATGCTAAATTGGCTCAGCTGGCTCTTAAAGCCTTTAAACAGACGGCACTGATTATGTCTGTGATCTTGTCCTGGAAATGATATGGTCAAAGCCCTTATGTTTCTGGGAACCCTAACATTTTTCTTAAGAACAGTTGGGGCCTTGTAAATAAGAACCAGTTAGTTCAACTCCCTGTGATACCCATGTCAAGACAGAGGACACATTTTAATGAAATGTATGTTTTTCTTATGTTCTTTCCTGCCTTCTGCTTCACATTCTTTATTTAACTGGTCCTCTGTTTCTTCATCTTGAATTGCTGTTTGAGTTTGGAATAAATCAAACTATGATCTGCAAGCCAAATCCAGCCTGCTTCCTGTTTACAATGGCCTATGAACTAAGAATGGTTTTTACCTTTTTTAAATGATTGAAACAAAATCAAAAGAAGAATATTTCTTGGCACATGAAAATTACATGAAATTCAAATTTCAGCATCCATAAAAAAAGTTTTACCGGAACACAGCTACACTCTTTCATTTAAGCGTTGTCTATGGCAGTACAATAGCAGGGTTGAGTAGCTGTGACAGAGACTGTATGGCCTACAGAGCCTAAAATTGTTGCCATCTGGCCCATTACAGAAAGAATTTGCTGACCCCTGGAATAAATTATCAAAGCTTCTGTCTCCATCTGCAAAGTAAAAGTGACAAAATCCTATAAAATGCCATTTGATTAACAATAAATATTCACTAATAACTGGTGTGCTACTTAACAGGTATTTGAGTTGGTGGAATTATCCTCTTTAAATCTCAGTTTTGTCATCTATAAAATAAGGAAAATAATCTTCTCCTGTGGAATGAGATAATGCATACATGTTCCCGACACATACAAAGGGCTCAGTAAGTAACACTTTTTATTATTTTAAAATAATAATAATTCTTTACTAGAAATAAGTCCATATGTAAACTGATGGGACCATTTGTAAGATTTCAGGATCACAGAATTTCAGACCAAGAAGGAACCTTGGAATATCCAAGCCCTCTCTAGGATTTCACAGAAGGAAATTCAAAGGCTGATGATTGAGCAAACATTCTTTGGAGAGGTGGTGGAGTTACACCTAGAACAAGACCCCGACTCCAAATCTAAGGCTTCCTTTCACCTCACTGTGTTGACTCCTACAATTTAGTTTTCAAGAACCCTCTCATCATAGTCTATCTGTGACTCCTCTTCCCCAGAATTCTGTTCCGCTGGGGGCTGAGAACTTGCCCTTGCTTAACTGAAATATTTATTCTGCAAGTTTCAAGTAGGATGGCCCTTTTGCAATTGGGCTGATTTTCACATTTAGACATTATCTTTATATATGTAGCTTTAGAAAATTTTGAAATTTTTTCTTACATACACACTCACACATACACTCATTAGTGTGTAAAGAATGGCCCAAGGTGAAACTCCACTTATGTACTTACGTAAGAAAAGAGCTTCACATATTGTATTACCACTTGGCCTTCTTATCATCTTATTATCAGGTAGGATCAGGCTGTTGCTTTGATTCTCGGCTGCTAGCAGATAAAACTGTGCCTGCATTTTTCCATGAGCACCAGCATTTCATACACCTTTCACTGTTAAGCTTCAGTGGTTCTGCGGTGTGAAATTGTGGAGTTTGAGCATACATGTCCTTCTCAATATTCTCTTTAAATAAAGGGGGAAATTAACATGGATTGTCAAGTAAATATGAAAAGTTGCCATCCAGGTCAAAGTGGAGGCCCCTCTCTGAGCTGAGCACAGGATGGCTAAATAGTAGGCAAGCCTCAGAATGCCAGTGGGTGCCTGGAATTGCCGTCTGGTATGTCCACTGTCTGCATTTGCCCTAGGCTAAGCTTCAGCAATTCAGGAGCTGTGGGTTTTGAATGTATTTAGGATATGATGCTACTGTGGAGTACATTCAGAACAACTCACTGCTTTCAAGCCAGCTCCATCAGTGTATCCCTTTTGTGGTTGCTCTGAATGGAGCCCTTAGTGTGTGAAGAGTTAAAGTCCTTTCCACAGCATAAGCCCTGACTCTGCATGCTCAGAGGTAGCATCAGGTCCCTGATGTTTTAGAGGTCTATGGGCTTTTTACATTAAGAATCAAGGGAAAATAAGAGCTGCATCTGGAATGCAATGGCTATTAGCAAGACTGAGTGGTGTGGCATCTTCCTGCTGAATCAAGAGATACTTCACAACTGGGGGCAACCCTGGGGTTTGCTCATCTAGCAGACAAAACGATCCTTTTTGCCCCCAGGAGTACTACCAGCTTATTTGTAATGCCTACAAATTGCCACTTTCTATTTCCTGTCTTCCTAATATTTTCCTTTTTAAATTGCCTCTGGGAGGCTCCTACTGGTTCTGTTTAAAGAGCACTTCCTTCCCACCCTTAGGAGTCGTACCACAGTAACATCAAGTGCCTCTCTCTATTTATTTTTCATCACCCTTATGTATGTAGCAAGGGAAATGATGCTGTGTTCAAGGTGCTATTGGAAACTAATGATACTAAGGAAATTAAAAACTTGGATTCAGTGATGCCATTCATTTTATTGATGAGACCAACTTGTAGTGATAGAGATTGATAGACATGTGAGGGCCAAATGAGGGAAATCATATGTTTAGCAACTACAGATGCTCTGCAGCATCACAGACACATCCTTGTTTAAGTGACATGCTGCCTGTCAATGAATTCAAAGTGTGAGGTCAACTGGTGAAATGTGAACTGGACATTTTAATGTAACACGACAAATAGGAAGAGACAGCAACTAGAAACATTGAAAAATTACAAGTTAGGCGCAAGATATTTGTCCAGGGAGGTATAATCTTCATCTCACAGAGGCAATTGGAAGCATCATCTTAATACCTTCATGATCACAATTCGTCAGGACTGTAGTAGTTAATCCCCTATCCCCTCCAAAAAGAAAAAAAGAAAACCTCCTGAACTATAGTAATAGAAGAGTTTGATAGGAACCAATTAATCCCTAGAATAAAAGGAGTTATTTAAGTCTCTAGTTTCTGACTTTTGGAAACCAGAAGTGAGGACTGAGAACACGGTTAGTGGGAAGTATGAGAGTCTGAGGTCTGTGGGTAAAGAAAGATTAGAGTGTAGAGGACAGCCAAGTGATCAAACTGTGGTTCTTACTATAAACTGAGGTGGGCAACTTCACGATGCCTCCCCTCTGCTGCATGAGTGTGGTCTGACGTTAAAGCTGGGAAGTTGAAGAGGCCCTAAAGAGTTTTCACTCAATTTCTCGTTTAAGCCAAAACTCTCCAGAAAGCGTCACTGATAGGAGCCTGTTCAGCTTCTATTGGAACTTCTCCAGAGTCTGGGGAAGTTGTCATTACTCAATGCACCTACTATATTCTCAGACACCTAGAAAGCGTAACTGTTGGAAAATGCTAAATTGAAACCCATCTCCATTATTCATGGTCCCTGTTCTATCTTCCTGAACCATGTCTACTTGTTAGCCCTCCAAACACTGGCTGACATCTGTAACATATGTTATCAAGCTGCTTCATATGAAAAAACTTTCATCAAAGAAGGGACTCTCTTACATCACTGTCTGCAATGCTAGAATGCTCTTTCCAAGAACTGGCCCCTTGATGTGGGCTGCTCAGGACATGTTTTAGTGGGACTATAACCTCCTTTGATCTTTGTTCAGCCTGAAATTGTTAGTTCCTTTGCCACTTATATAATATACTGTCTAAAATTGAGCTTTAATGTAAGCTAATATCTTTACATTTTTGTCATTTGAACTATGTCAGCACAGCCTTATACCATCTGCATTTTTGCAAATTATTTAGCCTAAATTTGCAACACAGTGTAGGGACTGAAATAATGTTCATCAAAACCTCAGAAGAAAGAGCGTTTGATAGTCAAGTTGGTTAATGTAGAGGTCTCTCTTTTTTTTATAGGTAGTCTATTGGGAACAATTTATGCTTTTATTTTTAATAAAAGTGATTGTATGTGTATGTGCATATGTGAACACCCATTTTTAAAAAGGTCTAACATCCTACCTTTTTCCCCCAGGAATATTTTGAATTTTTCTTAATGTTTGGAACAATACCTCTTAGATTTTTAATAGTGTTTGCTCCCTTATGTGACAATGCCTTCTCCATGGTACCAATAAGTGGTAGCTCCTCAGACTGCTTCTTCCACTCTTTTGGGTAAAGAAATTCTCATTAATGCAAGTAAACTATTTTACCAGAACAAATCTTTTAGCAGAACTCCTGATATTTGAATTCCCCCATTTTGGAAGATAGAATGTTTAAATTTTCCAATTTTCCTCTGAACAATGTATCCTCTAAATGGTCTAGTGGTCTACAATATGCTCTCACAATACCTTTCTTATACAGTCTGTGGTCTTGATTGAAACATATTTCACTATCTCTACCCTGTAATGCACAATGCACATCTATACCTGCTTGACATACATTACTCCTCTCGAATCCTTTTAAATATTTCTTTTGAATATGTTTTATCATTGCATATCTTTTTCCCCAGCATGAGTTGCATTCTGTCTTCATAACACCTGCATATTTATCTCTGACATGAAACTTTGACATTCTTTATTATTATTATGATAAGCACAATATAATGTGTTCTCAAAGATGTCTACATCCTGATCCCCAGAGCCTCTTACCTCACTTGGCAAAAGAGACTTTATAGATGTGATTAAATTAAAGATCTTGAAAAGGAGAGATTATCCTAGATTACATGTGTGGGCCCAATCTATTCACATGGTTCCTTAAAAATGGAAAGCCTTTCCCACTTGCGCTCAGAAAAGGATGTGATCTGTCTCCCCCTTGCTATGTGTACTTTGCTTTTTATTTCCTACAGCTCTAGCATCTTCCAAAATCATAACATTTAACTGATATCACCAAATCTTTTGACTTTCACTTAAATAAGCAGACTATGAATTCTTCTGAAAGTACCATTAGTATTCACACAAGTTAACAATTGGTGGATTTAATAAACCCTGCAGCATATTCCCATGTGTCTTACATACATCCTCCAGGAAGACAAACATATCTCCTCACCAGTCACATTAGTTCTACAAGTGGCTATTTCTACCTCCCAAACTGAAAAGTCATAAATCTCCTTTACGTCCAGTTACTTTGGCGCTGATAACAACTATTTAGTTACTTCCCAATACATGTTAACCCTTCATATTTTATATAAAGCATGGAATGCTGCTTCCTATGTAGAAGGCTCAATTTTATTCTCTGGAACCTAGCTGTTGACTCTTCTCTGGTTTCAAAAGGATCATTTAAAACTTTTTTTCTCTTTCTTTCCAATGTCTCATTTTTCTATTGGGTAACCTCAACACTAATTTTGATTCTGCCAGGCCTGCTTGAAATCTTATTATTTCTGTTTTCTTTCCTAGGTTATTTGTTCTATGCTGTCTAAAGACCATTCATTCTAGTGGTTTAGAAGTGTTTCACCTTTTAATTCAGAAAGACTTGCCTACATTTACACAGTACATAATTGGTGGCCTCTCAAGCAGAAAGTTTGCTGATGAGCCTGGAGTTTTTAAAATGTCCCCAGCTCAAACCCCATAATTGCTTTGGGGTCAGCTTTGCTTCACTTTCTTGAATCCGTCTTGTCTCTAACCAGGAGGCTTTTTAGAAGCCCCCAGGTCAACAGTTTGATTCCTCAATAGTGGCCCAACAAGTTCTACAGTAACATTGCACGAAAGCTTTTGAACATGGATTCTTGCTTAGTTCTATGGCATATCAACATGTGCTTGGAAGTAGTAATAATAATTGAGCACTTACTATGTACTACGAGGTCCACATTCATTATTTTATTTGAACCTTCACAATTACTATATATGGTAGGTCATATTATTACCCCATTTTAGATGAAACACCAGGCTTAGACGGGCCAAGTAATTTCCTCTTAGTCTTGCAGGTCATAAGAAGTGGAGAAGGGATTCAGACCCTGGTCTCTACGAATCCAGAGTCTACTCAAAGAGCATATTCACTGTTTCTATTCACAGAATATAGGCAACACTGTCAGTTACTGAATCCCTTTTTTAAATCTTCTGTTCCCAAACCCAAGTCCTTTTGGACCACAATTCCACATGGCTCCTTTTGACAATCCTCTGGGAGGACTGGAACCTTGGGCCTGGATCCCTTGGACTCTTCCTGATATCTCCTACTGCCTCCCTGGCAGTGCCTACCTAAATGCCTGCTTACTCTCAGCTCATCACTGCAACACCACTGTCAGCCCTACTCTCCCACTGGTTTTCTGCTTGGCATTGATTTTGTGTTGCCAGGTTAATAGCTCTTCTACTAATACTGTGGCCAAATCCAAGGATGGGTTCCACTCAGGGCAAGTGGAAGTCAGGGTGAGCAGTGGAAGAGGGGAAAGGAAGACAAGGATGCACTCAAGGGGCATTTTTGAGTGCATTCATGTGTGTGAGGACAGGAGCAAAATGAAAAAAAAAAATTATCAACCTTCCAGCACCAACTAATCAGAATGCACATCAACTATAATCCTGGAGCAGGTGCTAGTGGCATGCTACTGTGACACGTGTTACCCCGTTATTGCTGATCCTTGGTGACAGCCCAAGAGATCCCAGGGGAAGGCACTTCAGGATCTTGGTGAAGTAGCCATTTACTAACTGACAGAAGAATTTCTATATTTTAACATAGAATACCAGCCCTATGTGGGTGGGTCTAAGAGAAGGAACAAAGATTTCAGAGTGAGAAAAATCTCCTATGTTCCCAAAGGTGTGTTTGGACGATGTTAAATTTATATATCAAATCTAATTTCAACCCATTCCATTCTTTTCTTTACTTAGTAGCTAGAATAATCTTTTTAAAAACAAATCTGTTCCTTTCATGTCTCTGCTTAAAACCATATGATGGATCACATATCTTCTCCAGATGATGATTCCGATTTTCCTCCCTGACAACATAAAATGTCTTAGCTTGGGATTCATGAAACCACATAATCTAGTCCCTGGATGCTGTTTAACATCTTCCCTTACTCCCAACACATGTGCATGCTCACACACACACACACACACACACACACACGCAAGTTCTGGAACACAGTGTGTTAGCTCAATCACGTTTACCCAAGATTCCTATCCTGGAAAGCTCCACTGATCCTTTAGTGCTTAACTACATGTCACTTTTCTGGGAAGACTTACTCCCCATGTTGGGCTTCACTAACAAATAACATGTACATTCCTCTTATTGAGCTCTGATTACCTTCTATCGTAATTGTTGGGCCTCTCATTCGGATGTGAACTCCATGTCCACATGTCCACAGTAGCTCTCTCTTTTCATCCTTCTGTGCCCTACCATTAGCCCAGTGCCTAAGTCACGGTAGGTACTCAATACATACTCAAAAGAATAAATGCATGTCCTCTCATCATCTCAGTGATCCACCTAACAAGTATGTGAGGTTCTGGAACTGAGGCACAGAGGGTTTTATGATTTGTATGTGGCAGGGTAAGGCTTAAATTCAGTCTTTTGATTCCAGAAGGGAAAAGTTGGTGGCAACACCATATTTTTTATAATACTCCAATAATGAATATAGAAAAATTGGGTTAGGTCCTTTTTGAGATGCATTTTCCCAAAGCAGGATTGACTTATTTTCCTCTCCCAAGTCTTACCCTGAGTACACTCCAGCAACCCATTCTTTAGGTCCTGCTTCCTCAGGAGCTTTATATGAGATCTTCTCTTTGAGAAGTGTGTCTTAATTACAAAGTCTCCTTATTCTTTATGCCTTGAGTCTTGGTGCTGGTTTTGATTTTTCCTCTGCCTATTCTCCTCTTCTCCTGACTGTTGGCCTGCTCTAGGCCTTGAGGTCTAGCTGTGCCATGATTGATAGCTTCACTCTGAGCCCTGACACTTCACATGGTTGCTGGGATCCACCAACTCTCCCAGGCACTAAGGACTAGCACTTTCTGGAAAACAACAGCATGCAAGACTTTTAAACCATGGCTTTATCTAGACCTTATATACAGGTGTGAGGCCTGACTTCTGACTATTTGACTGTCTTTCAGTGTTCCTCTCCAGCAAGGCTGGAGACCTCAGTTCCCAGTTCTTGGATTCCATTCTAACCTTGGCCTGCTCAATGCCAAAATTTCAACCTATTGCCAGAGCTCATTGCTGCCCATGGCATTTCACTTTGGAGTTATATTACTTAGAAGTGTGGCTGCCAGATAACTATGTATTCCATAAGTAACAGATAGAACATTCTATAATATTGTATAGAAATTGGATCTACACAGTTATTATTATAGAATTCATCATGAAGAATTTATTTTATAGAATATAAAAGTTGCTATTACTACTATATTATACAAATAATATACAGTTTTCTATAGAAATTGGCTTTAGATGTTTCCTGCATGCTGACATTTGTTTCAAGTGAAAAGCAAGCAAAAATAACTCTAGGGCTGTGCTGTCCAATATGGTAGACACATGTGGCTATTAAGCCTTACAATATGGGCAGCCCTAACTGACATTTTCTGCAAGTATAAAATGCACATCTGACTTCAAAGACAATAAAAAAACACGAAAAATATAGCCTTAATAATTTTGATATTAGTTATATGTTGAAATAATAGTATCTTATATAATTTGAGCTAAATATAATAGTTATTAAAATTAATTTATCTTATTTCTTTTTACTTTTTTAATGTGGAAAGCAAAAGCATCTAAAATTACATATGTGGCTTGCTTGATTTTCTATTGGACCACACTGCTACACAGGATATGTCTTGTGGTGCTTTAATACTAGCAAAATACCTGTCTATAGATGAAATGGAAAGTTAGTTCGGAATTCAAAAGCAGAAAAGGTTATAAAAGACGGAAGGAACCTTCTGCCTTGATTTTATAATTCATGTTCCTTGTACACACTGACATGCCACGTGCCTTGACAAGCTTTGAAGACCTGGTAATCTCAAGAGAAATGAGGCTGAACCAAATGGCATTTGTCCACAGCTCCTCGCATAGTGCCTAACCTCAGAGGCTTAAAATCAATATCGATTTTTGCCATTTATTTTACCCCACGTTTAAATATTCCTTAGATTTATTACCTTTAGGTTTTTGGTTAAGATTCAGTGATGGGTATGATAGCAAGGGTAGTAATAAGTTATGTAGATATCATTTAATTTATGAACTCTGGAGCTCTAGGGTAACTTTCAGTTCAAGAAATATATTAATCACATGCACATCACCCTTCATTCTGCGGTGAAGATTTCCACGCTGGGTCCCTATTGTGTCACTTAATTTATGGTCTGGACGGGTATATGGATCTCCATACAATATTTCAATATAAGTTGCTCCAGCTAACTGAGGGGATGAAGATGGGCTTCAAAAAAGCCAGTTGGACAGCTGATGGATTGCTCTCCCAATACATTGGCCGCAGCATTAAGTAGCTTTTAAAACTTGTCAGCGGTTTGGATCTTTTTCTGCTCTGAGAAGCTGCACGCACCGGCCTAGCCAAGCAGAAATCAGCCATGCTGCAGCAGGCAGAGGGCAGCTCCCAGAGTTACTTACGTTGACAGCCGTAGTGCCAGGAATTTCCCGGCAGACACTCATCACACTTAGGCCCTGTTGTTCCAGTCTTACACTCACAAAATCCTGAGCCATTACAACGATCATGGATTGAGCCCAAAGGGTTACAATAACACTCTGTAGAAACAAGACAACACACAGGCTGGAGACAAGTCTGCATGGCTTACAGGTTATCAACACAGGAGCGTCACGTACTTAAATGCATCACTTACTTAAAGAAAGATGTCCATTAATGAAATGCTTCGGCAAATATGGCTATTTCACAACCATTTATTTATTCGCTTAGCCTTCCATGATATCATTTTTATGATATGGGAGGAAATCAACTGAAAACTTCCAAGGAAATAAGACATGCTTTTCACTGGTAACAGATCGTAATGGAGATTCCATTTGTTAGGATATTTTTAGATGGTTTAATAAACACCATGAGAAGTTTGTATATCAAGGATAAATCAATATGCCATCAGTGTAAAATGTGTTTTAAATTATTCAAATGGGCTTAGCCATTGCACTCAATATTTGAGAACTGCTGAACATTTTAAAAGTACAATATGAATGCACTTTGCTCATTCAAAGGTAGTTTTACTTTATGATTTGGGACAGCATCTTAACTTATTCATGCATATACCATTTTGTGATAAGCCTTTAGATGTTGTATTTGCTAGGCATATTAATGCAGCTTTTATGCAGCCCAGCTTAACAATCATGAAAGAAAAATAAACTTTGTAACCCCAAATAATTTTCAACATAGTTATAATTTAAGATGTATATTTTTCATTATAATGTCTGCTGGCAGGACAATACAGCTTTGCACAATAAAAGGTGAATACAGTGTTTTCTTGATTCCTCACACATTCTTATATAGGATATTTTTACTTCTGAAGCTCTATTTTGCTTAAAGCTTGAACCAGAAATGGATATCCTTTAGGCTTCTATTAGCTGGAAAGATAGTGCAGGTAGCTGGCAGCTTTTGGGTACTGTGAGCTAAAGTTTCTTTCCTCATTACTCTTCTAATACTTTTGAGGAAGTTATTGTGCCTCTCAGTTTCCATTATTTAAAAATGGGTACATTAAGCAGTTCCCTCATGAAAAACCAAATAAAACTATACCATCCAACTAACCAAGAGAAGTCTTGAAAATTTAGTTTAATATAATCAAGTTTGGCATATTAGATTTGCTATGGGGATTCAGGGTTTAGCCTTATAGATGGGTCTAGGGGTTTGATTCTAAGTTTATGTCACAGACACTAATTATTCTTCAAATAAATGTGGAGTACCTTAGAATTATGATTTATTTTATGCTAATTAAGTCAGGTTTCGAGTTCAGCATTCTTATAAAACAAACATTTATATGATGAATAGTTATATATGTAGGTAAAAATAAAACTTAATAAACTCTAAAATGCTCTCTCCTTGCCTGGCTTAGTTTGTACTTAACAACTAGAGTTTTATTTTAAATTAACATTTTCTATTTTAATATGCATGTGTATATGGAAGCAGATTAAAAATATTTTAAAATACTAATTTTGTGAAAGCTTTTAATGTTTGTCTGTACATAGGCACATTATAAATTTGTACCTATATCGAAACTGTAATTTTTTTTTTTACTGTTTAAAGTGTGTAAGTTGACAATAAATCACCAATGTTTTGTAAGCCAGTAAGCAGAGTTACATCTGGCCAACGTGAATTCACATACTCCTCCAGTCAATTAGCCCATGACCATTAATTAATATAAGATTTTAGAGGCAAAAAATGTAAACAAAATTAAACAAAACAGTAAAACATTTAAACCATAATATATCCCAGTCATTGTCATAGGAAAATGTGGGTAAGTGTAATGTTTTGCAGTCATGAAAATAAAGGACAAGAAGGGGTGTGGCCTTCCCTTCACCTTATGTAACAAATAATTCAGTTTTTTAAAAGTGTCATTTATGGAATGATGGTCAATGGTGGATATTGGAGTAATGCAAAGAGTCTTGGAGGATCATATTTTATTCCATGAAATTAGGAAGAACATGCAGGACTGTTAGATTACAAAGCAACGTAAAATACCTGGCAGGGGGTGCTTCATTTAAAAGTTATACTAGAATTGATTTACAGGTATTAAAAGTGTCTTATGTTCCCCTTATTCTATTTAAGGTACCTCTGATTACCCAACCATGGGTTTCAAAGGGGAATTAAAAATTATACATCATAATTTTAAGAAATGCTTAGCAGCAGCTGCTGAGCTCTGTTTCATTGTGATGCAAAGCTTGTCAGCTGGATTATTAACAGTGATTACTCAGGGTCACAAACCATATATCCTCTAGCTTCCTGCTTAATGCTCAAGTTTACATGAAACAGAAGCATGCAAGGATGTCATCTTCATGTAATTGCTATGTCATTACAGGGTAATTACATGTATCTTTGGAGACATGGCTGTGTTTGGAATTTGTAGAAAAAATGGGCAAATTCACCAGTAATTACAAAGCAGCAATCACTGTGGCAACATGGAATAGCCTGCTGCATTTTATATTTGCCATAATATAAAATGATGCAAGTATTTTACAACATCTATTTCATCACACAGAGCCTACATTTTGTCAAAGATATGAGTTGTTCCTTTACAGCAAGGGTGGTGAATTTTATTGTCAGTTGTTAAAGAATTGGCAAAGTGTTCTTTTTTTATTTTTAATGTAGATGAGACTTAGATGAAGTTCAAAGTTTCCAAGATTAGTGCCTTATTCTGTGAAAGTGAATGGGGTAAATATCCCTTCATTTTCATTAGTGCTTTCTATACAAAATGGTATTAAGATTAACTCTCAATTACTTGTGATGTATCCTTTCGAATTTAACAGTCCTGCCGCAAGCCCTTTAGGAATCTTAATTGTGGAAAATAGCAAATAGGTTCATGCTGTCTCATAGGGCAAACCTTAGCAAAGGAGCCAGAGGCTTCCAACGGCCCTGAGAGGGCAAACTCCAGCCTAGTGCACAGGCAGCCCCAGTACCACTGTCCTCAGCGCCTCAAGCAGGGTAAGTGAAATCTACAGCTTTTTAAGGAAATTGTTATTAATTCATTGTGTGCATATAAGCACTACAGATAAAAGATAGACCTTAGTACCTATCAGCTAGCTAAATTTTTCTATTCATTCTTGAAACACAATTTTCTTCTTTAGAAAAGGGCAATAATTTAAGAAATTATGGTGGGTGAGGGAACAATCTAGCTAATATTACTTTTTATTTTATTTTATTTTTTGAGATGGAGTCTCGCTCTGTAGCCCAGGCTGGAGTGCAGTGGCGCTATTCTCTCAGCTCACTGCAACCTCTACCTCTCGAGTTCAACTGATTCTCCTGCCTCAGCCTTCTGAGTAGCTGGGATTACAGGCACAGGCCACCACGCTCAG
Organism: Homo sapiens; assembly: GCF_000001405.40. Lineage (NCBI taxonomy): Eukaryota > Metazoa > Chordata > Mammalia > Primates > Hominidae > Homo > Homo sapiens. The sequence goes on along the minus strand of NC_000001.11, from coordinate 107,433,400 downwards.
CTAATTTTTTATCTCTTTCAGTAGAGATGTGGTTTCACCATGTTGGCCAGGCTGGTCTCAAACTCCTGACCTTAAGTGATCCACCTGCCCGGGCCTTCTAAAGTGCTGGGATTACAGGCATTAGCCATTGCACCTGGCCTAATGTAGCTAACTTTAATAGTACCTAGGAATGCACTCCTTTGTGTTCACCAAGTACTTCGCTTGGTTTCAAGTACAAAATACTAAATAGAAACAGGTTTACCTCGATAAAATGGAATTTTCCAAAAGTTTATAATTTTAATTAATAAACTTTCTAGAAATGGAGAGGAAAACTCTTCTTGATTTTTAAAAGTAAAAATAAATACAAAATTGATATCTTTTTCATATTTCTTCTGTAGTTTATCTGATTTAAAAGACAGACACTGAATGGATTGTTTTCTAGTCTGTGGATAATCAAATATGGATTTACAACTGAACTATACCTCTTAAAACTGGATAGAAAGAAGCAGATGTGGAGTTCACAGTTTACTTCAGAACTGGAAAAAAGGCCAAACTTCATAATAATAAAATACTCTGAATAAAATATATTGTGATATTGTTAAGTTACCTGATAAGAGAAATTTTATGGAATAAAATATTTCCTTTTAAGGACTTTTTTAGATTGATTTAAAATCATATTAAATATTATAAAACATTTTAATCTTATGTAAAAATGGTTAGGTTTTTTATCCTGTGTTCCTATTTATTTTAGTTTTTCTGGTGTTTACCTATCTATAGCATGACATTTATATATTTTTATAAATGACATTCAGTAAAATGTACTCTGCCTTCAAAATTCAGACAACTACATGTCTTTTGGTTTTCATTAATATCCTCAAATCTTTGTAACCCAAGTGTTATGAAGACAATTGAACTTCTGTTCATAAACTCAGAGTGGAATTGCTGCTGTCATCCAAAACACATACCATAAGTAAAAGTCTGACAAGCTTAGCTTTGCTAATTGTGTCAGTGGTTGAAAGTGTTTAAGCTTTGAAGTCAGAAACCCTTTGCTGTAAGATTTGGGTCAATCTGCCTTACTTTTCTCAATGACAAGACAGGGGAAACAATTAGTGTAATACTTACCCCACTGTTTTGTTAATGAGGATTAAGTAAAAACAAAACAAGACATCTGCAAGCCAGTTCACAGTTGACCAAGGGTTTCCTGTGCATCCCATTTATCCTTTTCTGACTAGAAGGCTCAAATGACTTACCTATGGCACACAGCCATGAGCTAGCAAACGGAAATTTGAGCCTAGCTTTCTGGCCTCTAAGTCCAGTACTTTCTCTCCTAATTGACAAATAATAAATAAGGAGATGCTCTGAAATACAGAAAGTACTGTAGACACCAACAGTATTATATATACTTGGCCCAATTTGATTAAAAACAACTCAACAGCTTTTTTTTGTGACACTTGGATCTTGACGATCCAATCAGAGGACAATGATCACAGAAATACGAATTGGATTTCTTTTCTTGATAAAAAGATTGCTTGTCATTATTCAGCTTGTGTATCCTATTGAACGTACCTCAATGTGAAAAAGTCTACCTTTAAAACTGGGTGCCTATATAGCTACCTACTGGTGTGGTAATGGCTACACATATATTTTTCAGCATTTCAAATATATGCATTGCTTCAGAGTGAATTATGAAGTGAAATTCCATTTATTGTTTCTTATTTTTCCATTGGCACCCCCATATTCTTAAAGACAGGTTTCACTATGTAAAAGGTAGGAGATTTTCTGGGTGGGAAAGGTGCCTGGTCCTCCCTAGGTGCCAAGAGCAGTAGTCATTGGTGGGGAGGGAAGGGAAAGTGCTCAGGGGCCTCTGTGGACGCAGTTTTCCAGGGCTAAGATAATTAGTTGCCTAGAATACTTTTGAGAAATTACTCCTCCTTTTTGGGAGCTGTAGGAAAATTCAATAAATGGAATTTCATTGCTATGGATGAAGAAGTCAGACAAACTTTTACATTTCCAGTTGCTAGTCATTTTCAATCTCAAATAGCAACATTTTCAATCTATCAATACTCGTTGATCACCAATTATATGCAAGAATCTGTACCCTAATTTTTCATATCTATAATTAAATCGCATATAATGAGTTTCTATTTTGAAAGTTGAATGTATAGCCTTAAGTTTAAGGCTATAAGATCAGTTCAGAATCATCAGGTTTTACAATTTCATACAAAAGCAAAAAACGGGAAGAAAGAAAATTCTTAATTTCTTTAACATGATTTCTGAGATCATCATATTTAAAGCAACAACATAAGGGTTCAAAGTATATCCCCCAACTATGATTTCAACCAATACAAGTGAAATCACAAGTGAAATCTACCATAGGATATTTTCTACATTGAGAAAGTTCATTCTGGCTCAACCGCGGTGCAAATCGCCAGCCTCTCCACCCTAAATATCTCCCCGTAGCTCAAAAGGCACAGAAGAATAGCTGAAATTGTAATGGAACTGACCTATGCACACATTCTCATCGTCCAGTTGTGCAGAAGCATTTCTGAAGTAGCCCAGCCTGCATAACTCACAGTGCTGCCCTCTAGTGTTGTGTTTACAGCTCACGCAAATGACTGTATTTAGCAGATCGATATAACTGCATCGATTGGAGTGGCCGAAGCATTCACAATCTTGCAAGGAAGAACAGAAATGTATACAGAGTGTATACAGTAGCAGAGTAATAGCATACTACATGCTTGGGTAAAATGAGGGATGGAGAAAAGACGGTGGAATGGCATTACATATATGTGATTCAACACAACACATGGTGGCAACAGGTGGTTGTGACTGGCACGGAAATAGCATCTGTTTCAAGCAGGATAGAAAGGTCGGACATTCGGAACAAGACTGAAGATTGTTAATTCTTGGCAGACAAAATGAACAGAAGCATTTGCAGGTGTACACCTTTTAAAATTTGGGAAGCCTCAGTTTCTAGTGATGAAAAAGTCTATTATTTTTATTTTTTGCAGATGGAGAATTTTAGTGTCTTTGCACCATTTCCCTTGTTTTCATCTTTTCAGCCTTAAAAAAAGTGAGAGGGGACTGTGTGAGCATTGAGAGTCTAAGTACCATCACCATGGCTCCTTTAGCTCTCTGACATCATGCCAAGACAGCAACTCAGTCGGGGTTTCATATACATCATGGCAAATTTAATAGAGTTCTAGACAACTAAACAATTCTTTATTTTTGTTTTTCCCCAATGCTAAGAGAAGATGGCTTTCTTAAGCCTTTCTTCAGACCAAATCTGTATGTATATGTGTGAGAGAAGACAAAAAAAGCAGGGAGATAATTTGTGCGAAAAGGTGCTTTTAAGATTCCCTCCTTTTCTCTTAAGTTTCAAGAATAGTTTGCTACAAAAGAAGAATTAGGTAGCTACTGTAACCCCACCTTTCTTTTCCTTGGTTTCTCTGAAATGTTAGAGGTGTCTCTGAGGCTTAGGAGTGATGGTGGTAATGACTAGACAGGGAGATGAAGAAGAGCATGAGAGTAGTTGGGGAAGGGTGGAGGGTGACTAGATTTCTTCTTTCTTGCATCTCAACTAGAGAAAGAAGTTGTAAATCCAATTCAACCTTTTAAAAATAAATGATAATGACAAAGTCTCTGTTGGTAGAAATAATTATCACAAAAGTGTGAGTGGTAACTAGGTGGGGTATCTGTTTTGTCTTCATGGAATATGAGGGTAGGCCTAGTTGGACATTTATAAGGAAGGTCAGCCAGGATACTGCAAATTTTGTTTGTTTAAAAATATTTCTTGCATCAATATCTGTCTTGCTTTTATTTTATCCCACTAGAAAGCCAAGCACAGTCATTATTTGAACACATTCATTCATTCTTTCATTCATTCATTCAATAAATATTTTTATTGAGTTGGTCTACCTATGTGTCAGGAACTTGGCTAGGTGTTGAGTTACTATTTTGGCCTATATAAAATTTTTCAAATATTATATTTTGATGAGTAGAGTAAAAATGAGTAAGTGTTGTCAAGTAAATAATAATAAGAGGTGGCTAACTTTTAAACTTTTAAAAAAATTAATATGCTACCACTCATCAGAAAAGTTCATATTCATTTGTTAGAGAGCTAGTTACTACAATAGGAAGCTGATAACAAGGTCCTGATGGAATGAAATCAAATTTGGATAGAAGCAGAGGAGGATACTCAAATGGTGAAGAGTAGAAGATAACCAGAAACAGTGTCAGCAACTTCGGGACCCCAGTTGCTAAAAGAGAGGCAAGAAGAAAGGGGGGATGCTGAAGCCAAACCACTTCGTTTATTTGAGGTGAGCTGTATCACCATGTGTACGTGAACAGGGAGAGAAGGGTGAGTGTGAGGACAGGAAGAAGTCAGAGGGGAGGCGAGTATGGAGGAGAGGGAGAGTACTGGGAGAAGGTGGCATTGAGACTCCAATGTAGGAGACAGTGTAAGGAAATATCCATATAAATTTAGTAGTAAAGGCATGCCAAGTGAATAATAATACTACCACCAATAATCATAGAGTTACAGATTACTAAATTAAAATCTCTTGTAAAACAACAAGCATTTCCCACCAATCCTCTGTACCGCTCAGAGTTACGCCTTGTTTATACTGGCATTACTGACTTCTGAGGGAGTCAGAAAAGCTTCTAGAGCCTTCTATGTTTGAGAGTTTGAAATAAAGACAATCTTTCAGGACTAGAGCCTTTTGAGAGCAGTGGTTGAAGGAAGGAAACCCAATTCTCAAACCTAATTGCTTCCCAAGGACTTTTTGAGAACTGCCTGGAATTCCTGAGGAGGGCCAATAACAGCCCTGCCCCTGGGTCGCCTCCTCTGGAAGAGGTCTCTTATTGGCTGTTCTTCTTCATGTTCCCTAACCCGGGTTGGTTCTTGGTACATCTAATTTAATTAATAGAGCTTTGTTCAAAAGCATCTTTTATGTGCAAAAATTCATCTAGGAGCTTTCTACAGCTACATATAAGCTTGTGGCCTGGAAGCTTATTTAGTAAATAAGAAAACATATGCTCAGATAACCAGAAAAAAATAGTATGTGCAGAGAAAAAACAGTGACATAAAGCAATCTAAGTAGAAGGAGAACTTCATTTAACAGGAGGAGAATTAGAAAAAATGTCCTACAGGATGTGCACTCTGAATCTTCCTCAGGGCAGGTAGAGTTTATTAAAACAAAACAAAATAGGAGGGAATGAGCATTTTAGGTGAAAGTAATAGAGTAAAGAGTGGGCAAAGGTATGAAGTTAGGGAAATGTAGAGAATAAGGCTGGTGACTTTTCATACTATGGTTCCTTTGTGGGTACCTAAAGGATTCTGTAGAGTCTGCCCAATGGCCAGAACTACATGCTTTAATCTACCTGATAAAACTTTATCTGAGTAAGAAAACCAAATCTGTAAGATACCCAAGTTCAACAGTTTAAGACCCATTCCATGAATCTCTATAAAAATGTTAAATGTGATATTATCACTACTATTATTAGAATTTAATGAATAGTACACATTTCTGTGGGGACATTAACAATTTATGGGTCTTGTTTAAAAACTAATTTATTAATTTAGAAAGGAAATGATAAATAATTGTATAAGAAATCATGTTCAGCTAAACATGCAATAGTATAAATTTATTTCAAATGATAACTGGATACTTTAAATGTTTTATCAGCATTAAAATGTTTTATGATGTAGAAAATGGGTAATAATAACTTGATTCTTTTAAGACTTCTAGTACTCTTCTGAGACTTTGATAAAGCTGTCATCTCTGGCCATAATATATTTGAGAATATAAAATAAGAAACAGATCTTTGAAAGTGATTTGAAAAACATGAGAGTACTATATAAATGCAAAGTATTTCAAATATGACTCTTAAACTGCTATATTATTTTCTGGTGTTCTGTTAATTTCCTACTTTTTAATACCTGGTCTTTCCACACAGGCACAGAACCTATTAAGGTACAGCTTGAGTTGCATTATCCTACTAAGTTTCTGAAGGGATGATATTAATAGTTTAATAATTATTTGATTCTTCAAATCACTGACCTCCCATGACCTCCCATTTCTTCTTATATAGTATCCATAGTCCAATCCTTATAATCACTTCCTTTTATATACTCCCTTGGCCTTCCACCCTCCAATTATAAGGAAATCTTGATCCCAGTTAAAAGTTGATGCTGGTTAAATTCAACTCTCCAGGAGGTCCTAGCCAGAGCTATCAGGCAAGAGAAAGAAATAAAAGGCATTCAAATTGGAAAAGAGGAAATCAAATTATCTCTGTTTGCTGACAACATGATCATATACCTAGAAAAGCCAAAAGATCCTGTAGGAGAATCCTAGACTGATTGCCGACTTAAGCAAAGTCTCAGGATACAAAATCAATGTACAAAAATCAGTAGCATTTCTATACACCAATAATATTCAAGCTGCAAACCAAATTAAGAACTCAATCCCATTTACATGCCCCCCAAAATAAAATAAAATACCTAGGAATACAGCTAACAGAAGAGATGAAACATCTCTACAAGGAGAATTATAAAACACTGATAGGAGAAATTGTAGACAACACAAATTAATGAAAAAATTTCCCATGTTCATGGGTTGAAAGAATTAATATTGTTAAAATCACCCATTACTCAAAGCAATCTAAAATTCAGTGCAATTCCTATCAAATTTCCAATGTCATTTTTCACAGAATCAGAAAAACCAATCCTGAAGTTCATATGGAACCCCACCCCCCAAAAAAAGCCCAAATAGCCAAAGCCAAAGCATTTCTAAGCAAAAGGAACCAATCCAGAGGCATCACATTTCCTGACTTCAAATTATACTACAAGGCTATAGTAACTGAAACAGCATGGTACTGGTACAAAAATAGACACATAGATCAATGGAAGAGAATAGAGAATCCAACAATAAAGCCACATACCCTACAACCTCTGACCTTCCATAAAGTGGACAAAACTAAGCAATGGGGAAAAGCACCCTATTCAATAAACAGTGCTGAGAAAACTGGCTCGCAATATGCAGAAAAATGAAACTGAACCTCTATCTCACCCTATACAAATATTAACTCAAGATGGATTAAGGACCTACATATAAGACCTGAAACCATAGAAATCCTGGAAGAAAACCTGGGAGAAACTCTTTTGCACATCAGCCTAGGCAAAGAATTTATAATGAAGACCGAAAAAACAAATACAACAAAAACAAAAATAATAAAATGGGACTTAAACTAAAAAGCTTCTGCATAGCAAAATAAATAATCAACAGAATAAACAGACAACCTACAGAATGGGAGAAGTATTTAGAAATTATGCCTCTAAAGACCAATGTTTAAAATCTACAAGGAACTCAGATAACTCAACAAGAATAAAACAAACAACCCCATTAAAAACTGGGACAGGCATGAACAGACATTTCTCAAAAGAAGACATACAAGTAGCCAACAAACACATGAAAAAATTCTCAGTATCACTAATCAACAGAGAAATGTAAATTAAAATCACACTAACGTGCCATCTTACACCAGTCAAAATGACTGTAATTAAAAAGTCAAAAAGCAAGAGATGCTGGCATGGATGTAGAGAAAAAGGAATACTCATATACTGTTGGTGGGAATGTAAATAAGATCAAGCTCCATGGGAAACAGTATGGAGATATCTCAAAGAACTAAAAATAGAACTGTCATTTGACCCAGCAATTCTACTACTGGGTATCTACCCAAAGGAACATAAATCATTATATAAAAAAGACAACTACAGTAATATGTTTATTGCAGCACTATGTATGATAGCAAAGTCATGAAACCATCCTAAGTGTCCACCAATGGTTGATTAAATAAAGAAAATGTGCATATACATGATGAAATACTATGCAGACATAAGAAAGAATTAAATCATGTCATTTGCAGCAACATGGATGGAGCTGCAGGCCATTATCCTAAGTGAACTAACAGAGAAGCAGAGAATCAAATATTGCATGTTCTTATGTATAAGTGGGGGTTAAATAAAGGGTACATACGGACATAAAGATGGAAAAAATAGACTGTGAGCACTCTAAAATGGGGGATGTTTGAGGGTTGAAAAATTACCTACTGGTAATTACTAAATCCAATATTTAGGTGATAAGTATACTAGAAGCCCAATCCCCGGCCATTATGCATGTAATATCCATGAAACACACAAGCACATGTACCCCCTGAATCTAATTTTTTTTTTTAATTCAACTTTTCATCTCTTCATGCTCATATCCCAGTAGCTAAATGTGGCTAGTTTTTCTCCAGCCATTTAGAAACAAGTCTCATTTGAAGTTCATGACCATAAACCTCAATGGGGTCCCCAGATCTGCCTGGTAATCCTTCCTGAAGCAGGGGCTTCTGGGCCACCACAGTCTCTTGATTCTTCTTCTTCCTTACCCATCATTGCTTTTTTCTCTCTTTTGCTTTTTGTCCTCATCTCTTCAAATGTCTCAAGGTTTAATCCTTGGACCTCTTTGTTCTCTACATTCACTCTAGATGATTTTTACCCAACCCCATGGTCTATATGCAGGCCATTCCAAAATAGTTATTTCCAGGGTGGACTGACTCCCCAATTAATTAGTGAGACTCCCTTCAGAGTCATCCATTGTGTGCCACTGCCTTCCAAGAATTTCCACTTGGACGTTTTATAAACATTTCAACTTTAACTTGTTCAAAACTGAGCTCTTGGGTTGCCTTCCTAAACTTGCTACTCACCCAGGCTTCTCCATCTCACTACATGACTATTCCATTCCTCCAACTGCTTAGCCTACACCTCTCACCATCTCTACCACCTTTTCCTCAGACGCATCATCAGCCCTTACTTGGATTACTGCCATCATCCCCAAACTGTTCTTCTGGCCTCAACCCTTGTGATAATGTCATCTCCACACAGCAGACAGAGTGACTCTTTCAAAACTTTAGTGAGGTCATGACATGCCTCTGCTCATCATTCTAATGGCTTCACATCTTATTCAGAATAAAAGAGGAGTTCATTCATTCTCTAGTGACCTGGCCCCTGTCCTCCCTGGGGGCTCATTGCTAGCACTCACCTCCTAATTCATGGCACAGTGCCTCCATGTTGCTCTTCAAACACACCAAGCACTTCCCAGGGCCTTTGCACTTGCTGGTCTGGAATACCCCCAGACATCTCCATTATTTGCTTCCCCATTTCTTTTTAAAATATCTTCTCAAAGAAAATTCTCTGACCATTTAATCTGAGATAATAGCCCCACCCACATTCCCTAATCCCTCAATTTCCTAATCTTGTTTATATTTTTTCATAGAATTTATAATATTCAAAAAGTATATGCAAAAATAATTTCTCCCTCTCTGAGTGTAAATATTCAAGGGCAGACTGTGTCTGTTTTGTGCACAATTATAACTACAGAACTTAAGATATTGCCTGGCATACACTAAGCACTGAAAAAATATTGTCAAATGAATGAATGAATGATGATCCTGAGACCCCTTCCTTTGGGGAACAGAGGAAGATAGAGAAAAGTTATGTTTAAATTCATTCCTTCATCGTTTGAATTCCTGAAGAGAATCTGGCTATATCCTATATATTAAGGAGTTTAGAAAAACAGTAGCCACAGAACAAGCTACAGCTGAGTTAGTGATTATTTTAGCTGAGAGTTCACTACATGTCTATTAACAGATCAGCTTAGGCAGAGAAAAAGCAGGTTTCTGAAAATTGCTGTGGTTTTATATAGTTTTTAATGTCAAATTGCATTTCAGACAACTTTTATTACTGTTGTATAAGCAAAGCTAAAGGGGGTCTTTAGCTGTATGTATACACAATGTGGCATGGCAACCATTGGCAACACATATTTATTGAGAACTACCCTGTACCACGTACAGCCATCATGTACCAGAAGACAAAGGGAATGCGATCCAGGCCTTCAGAGTCTAGTGTGGGGTTTCTCAACCTTGGCACGATTGCCATTTTGGGCCAAATAACTTTGTTGTATGGGGCTGTCCTGTGCATTGTAGGCTTTTCAGATGCATCCCTGGGCCCTCTACGGACTAGATGACTAGATGTGGTAGCAACCCCCAAACTGTGACAAACAAAAATTTCTCCAGACATTGCCAAATGTCCCCTGGGGGGCAAAATCCACCCACATCCCCATTGAGTACTATTCTTCTAGTGGGAAGATAGAAAAAATACTATATATGTGTAATATATATGATATATTGAAACATAGAAGGCAGTTGTGATAAAGTACTTAGTACCTAGACAGTTAAGAGCAATGAAGGCTAGAGGTGTTTTACAAGGGGAAGGGTTCAAAGTTGACTTTCTAGATAAGGAAAGGACCAAGTCCCCTCTAAGGTTTAAAAGGTTCCTTTTGACTGACACTGGCTGGGGAAGACCTGGGCAGATGAGATTTCCAGGAAATCAAGAGGTTGGACACAGAGAATGAAAGAAAAAGAATGTTACTAAGAGGAGGGGATTCAATTTCTCCTTTGCATCCTCGTTTTTACTGTTCCCCATGTTGCCTATAATTACATTAGTAAATTGTCTCTGTAAATATAACATAAAATACAATGAATGTGGCACAATTAGAACAGGTAGATTTTTTTTTGGCCAAATGAGGAAAGCTAATTCAAATCCAGAGCTGATTAAAATTCACTTTAGACATTCAAAAAGAAAGAATTTGAGAAAAAGACCTCAAAGGTGAAGGAGTTGGAACTCTAAGAAGAATTTTCCCTTCACTGCATTAAATGGAGTGATTCTGGGAATTAAGAGGCTCTAGCATTTTCCTTGTCTTTTCCCCACCCACCATCCTGTCTTGCATCCTTATGTAGCTGTTGAAGCTCTTCCACACATATCATTTGACGATGATGTGAATTTGTCTCTGGTAAGTCTACCTCATTGGGTAGCTTCTCCCTGCCCCCAGGAATGTGTCTGGACCTCATTGGTGCTGTGTCCTCAAGAAACTAGAGATGCAGGTTCAAATTCCAGGTTCAGAGGCCTCTTATATATCTAGCATGCTTGACATGACAGAAAAGAGATGAACTTTGCATGTGCTTTTTCCTTCCTTTCTCCTTCACCTCCTTTGTTTCTTTCCATATGGCATCCCTATGATGGCTTCAGTGACTGCCTATATGACACACCACATACCCAAATTGATTTGTTACCCTCTGAGCCTGCATCTGCTCTTCTCATACAGGACTTATTTCCAAAAATTTCAAACCTAATTGGGTTCCCCTCAACCCAAATTGGCATCTTCTATGTTCCACGGTTAAAAGCACATTTGAGAAAATTTTGACATATGGTTTAAATACTCTTGGTTTCCCTTTTCCCATTTCCTGACCAGTTTCCACTTTTTCTCTATATGCCATGGAAGGACAAATTCAACATTGATTAAAATCTAGGAAATGACTAAATTCAATAAAGAATAGGAAAACATTATGGTCATTTTCACCAAATGGGTCAAACTAAGTTCAGATTTTATTAATAAATGCATTTCTTTGTAAGAGGTGTTTTATGAAAAAACAAAAAACAAAACTAAAACGTGACATATGCCCAACAGTCAAGGGTGGAAAACAAGACACACCTGTTACACAGGACATTTAAAGAAAAAATGGTGAAATAAAAACAGAAGTCTTCATGTTTCCTGAAAAATCTTCATTCTGTGAATGACAGATGCTAGCTGGAATGGGCCATTCATGAGTCACAGATGAGATGCTGCTCACTTTCATTTAAACAAAGTAATATAACTATTATTTTTGGATCCTAAGCAACACTTAATCCAGTGCAGATCTTCACTTGTGTTTTTCAAAGTTATTCGAAACAATTTTTTGGAAGCATAAATTCCAAGGTGTTTCATTTGTCACAAAGTGAAATGGGCACCATACATGGAACCTGCCTTTCTGGTCTCATGAAAAGCATCCTTGAAACTCACTGTAAGTGGGTTTCCTTATTTTCAATGCAAGTGAGTATCCATGATAGTGCTCTAACATTCGTGTTCTAAACAGGAACCTCAACCATTGTAATTCTTATTCACACATGAATCTTTCAGAAAACAAATGTAACATTTTTAATTGCAGTCAAGTTTCTGAGTGAAGCATTTTTTTTTCTTACAGATGATTCTCAGTACTATTCGATGCATTGATTGATATTAGTCAACATGCCTCACCAATAAGCTGATGGGTACACTTCACAGATATTCCAGATTCATACAGTGCAATGTTTCACAACACATAACACCATGAAATCACTGTATGAATCCAAGAATTCCTACCTCTCTTGTGGTTTGCAACTTGAACAGAAGAAACTGTTGACAAAGCTAATTTGGGAGCAACTGGATAGGTTTAAAAGAATGAACAGTAAATTAGAAACAATAGTGAAACGTTCAAACTGTAATAACTTATCACCAACCCACTTGAAAAGTAGCCCTAAATTAAGAGACTATTTGTATCTGTTGTTTCTAGGAGTTTGTTTCAATCACAAAGTAAGGCTTGTATTTGGCTGAAAATGGTTCAACATTGTCAGTAATACAATTTAGAAGTTTTCTTTTCAGAGGGAAAAATCATTACCATTTAAATCAAGAATCCAGTGAAGCAAGGATTGTTACCATAACAATATGGATAGTAGGATCCCCTACTGTCAATCTTTTAAAGTAGGAGTTGTCTTGTCAGTTGACATTATCATTGCCTGGGTTCACCATGACATTCTGTGTCATGATAAACTATTCGACATATACACCATTTAGACTATTTTTGTTGAACTAATTAGGCATCCTAGAACATAAGTCAGTCCCAATAGTCAGCCATTCAGCAGCATTTGGGCCTATCTCAGAGTCATCTTGAACACATATACCTTTAAAAGTTGTAGCCTTCTCAGCATTTGTTACCTTTTTGATGATATCAGCTTGTTAATGGCAGAGATTTCTCTCTATGTTTGCCTGCCATTTCTTTTCCAATTATTCATGAAGAGTTGCTTGTGAAAATAGCCAAAACAGAACAGAGCCTGATGTTCTTTGCAGATGCTGACAAGATAAATTATGGCTGCATAGAACTGGCCTCTGCTACAAAGTGCACCTTTCGCTAAAATTTCAGAATTTAAGAACTTTGCTCAACTGTGCTGCTTCTCAATAGATTCATTTGAACTCATTATCCACATTCTAAGAAAGTGCAACTGGTATTACATAATGATATTTCTGAAAGTGTTTTGTCCTGTGACTCTCACAGACAGCACAGCAAAATAATTAAATGGGCCTATTTCAGGTTTTGAACAATGCATAATCTTGTTCAGCTCAAAACTCACTGTGGAGAAGTGTTGTCTTAGAGCCTGTGTTGTATAATTTGTGAACTATGAAATTCAATAGGAAATACTGAGTGACATTTCACTGAAGATGCTGTCATTGAACTTGCCAAGGAATAAAGCCACTAAACCTCTTCTGAATCCTCCTAGAATTATACTAATAGGGGCAAGCTTGATCTGTATTTCTTCTTTCATATATGTATGCAGAAACTTGAAAAAATTCATTTGGAGCAGATGATTAAGATAATTCTATTTGCTAGTAATATATGTATCTAGGACAGTCTAGATTTCATCACTCTGATCAAGGACTGAAAATGCAGCCCTTCCAATTTGACTCCTCAACAAATTACTAATATATTTTGTTTTGCTTAGCAGCTATTTCCTGGTTCCTCCTTTTGCTCATTTCCTTTTCCATCTGTATTCATTAGAGTTTAAAAGGAACATCCTGTATATAGCTAAGGAAGGTGGAAGCCAAAGATGTGCCTTTTTTTTTTTTTTGAAGAAGGAAGAAGGCAAAATAATACAATACTATATTAAAATAAATTCCTATTTATACATGACTATATATATCTATAGGCTAGATGTTAATATAAATTTAACATTACACTGCAGCTTATGAAGTTTATTGCTCAGCCTTTAAAAGTTCTCTTTCTTCCTGCGTAATCACATTTCTGTCTATCAGTGTTGTTTTCTTTTTTCTTTTTTCTTTTTCTTCTTTGACATTAGGAGTCAGAAAATAATTACTGCTCTAAGGACAGAAAGAGAACAGATTGCTCTAAATGCTGGAACACATGAATGTTAATTGATAAAGAAGATAAAAGGAAAAGTTCCAACAAGGAAAATTTACTGTGATGTGAAAGACAGAGAGAGAGAGAGAGAGAGGAGGGAGGAGGTAGCGGGGAGAGGGAGAGAGGAGACAGGGAGTGAGAAAGGGTGTGTGAGAGAGGCTAAAGGGAGGGAGGAAGACAGGAAAAAGGAGGAAGGGAAAGAGACAGATTGCTCCAAATTTTTGCAAGTCAATATGGAGCAATAGTCAGCGAAAACAGATCTGTTAGGTGTCACAATACTACCTCTATGTATTTACCCAGACCCTCAGTACAACTGAGGTACCAGTTGGTTGACTTAAAAATAAGAGGAAGACATTGAAAGGATGCCTGTGCCACTCACACATTTTTAAGTCTTGTTTGTCCTCCACACTGTGGTGGTAACAGAAGTCTAGGCTTCTCCTGGGACTGACTGACCTTCAATGTAATCTGGTAAAGGGCTTTTTAACTTCCATGCCATCTAATTTTCCCCTTCATCTTTCACTCTAATATTTTTGGGACACTCTTCATATTAGAAAAAAAGATTGAATTATGATTCTTTCAAAGACATAGCATTCATGATAATGCTCTTATTTTGTGCTAAAAATGGCATATAGGATTTTCCCCCAAACATGTGGGATTTTATGTCCGTAGGAATTTTACATGCTCCTACCTTGTTTTGGGTTAGAAACCTCAAGGGAAGAAATATTCGGCCATATCCTATTAAACTTTGGAGGATCTGCACGCATCAGGAAAAATCAGGGTATGTTATTTTCAGCTATAATGTCATTTGGTCTAAACAGAAAATTATATGGATAAAGACACAAACCACACATCTGCTCTTTAACTTGGCTGTGATGCACTTAAACAAAACATGACTCCCACATCAAACAAGAGCAAGCAATTGATGATTCCCAAAACATTGAATGGACATTAAATATATAGCTACTTCCCTACCAAAGCTACACATTTACTTTTAAAATAAGGTAGAGTGTTCTTACACACACACAAAAATACAAATAAGGACTTCAGCAATCCAAACCATTATGTAAAGCTGGTGCCTGAAACTAGAAGATAACACTAAAGAAATAATTTCTCACCTGAGGATTCCATTCTCCTCAATTTATATTTACAGATATGAACTGGTTGCATTCGTCTTTCATGATAGATTCTTCGGGGTATGTTTTAAGTGTGAGCCATTATCTCTGAAAAGGAGTGGATATATTTCCTATTTTTATATGTGTAGTTTCTCAGAAAAGGAAAGAGGGAAAACTGGTGGTTTTGGCTTATGGAGAAAAGTCCAAGATGCTTCCAGTTGTATTTAAGGTTTGTTTGTATGGGTGTGTATGTGTTTTCATGATGCCTTTACCTCAAAATATGTTCCTAGAGTTATTGGTTTCAATGCAGAAATAAATAAAAGCATTAATTAATTTAAGAACTGGTATTATTTATATCTTGGTATTATTTGTGTCTTCCAGTTATGGAAGGCAGAAGAGCCAGGCTAGGATTTAATGTTTTTAAACTATTTTTGTGAAGGTGCATGGGCATGACTATTAAAGCAGCTATTTTATGATGAAAATCCTACCATCTATTGAGTCCAGTCTCAAAACCACATCTCTTGTGTTGTCCTTTGGTACCACCCAGGTCCATAAGGATGGCTCTTGGCTCTAAATTTCTGTAACCTGTTACTTCCAGTGTTCCTGTTTTCTCACCGATATGTGGACAGGCATGAGTTTTAATATTGCCAGTTAAAATTGTATAGGTCGATTTCTCATCTCTGTAATTGGATTGGATCTCTTTGAAGAAGGGCAAAGCCTTGCAGAGGGCTTCAGTAAATATCTGATAATTGAGAAATAGATACCAAGTGGCTATGCTACTGTAAACAGGTATTATCATGTTGTTTCCTCCATAATTAGATTATAGCGCATTCTTCCAAGACAAGAGACTTGCACTATAACTTTGCTTTTTTAAATATTTGTTAGAAAAGCTGACCTGATAGAGCCAACAGAAATGTTGCTCTCTTTCGCTGTGTTCTCATACATATATCCACAAAGGCAAAGGCAATCTTGATGATATCTATGAAAATTTATGAATGAAGAAAGAATGTAATAATTTTCCACATCTGTACTCAGGTGTTATTAAATAAATACATATTTGGTAACATGTAGGCAAAATATGTAAGTCAATTGACTGAATGTTGCTTTTCACTTGAGCATTTTGATGATGGGTAGATATTGAATGGTAGATATTGAATTAATAGGACAAGCCTACTTGATCTGTGATGATCAGCTTTGAAAAACTATAAATTTGTGTTTTGAGGAAATTAATATTGTCTGTATTCCCAGAAATTGTTTTATTTAATAAAGCTTTCAAAGTATTGGTGTGGTTTTACATAAAAATGTATTTGTATTATTAGTATCAGATTAAGACAATCTTAGTTCGGTTAACTAGCTTTCTCCATCTTTTTCTGTGCAGAAACAAATATAGGTCTTAAGTGGAGGTGATGTTTGCAAGCTTAATGTTAAGTAGTGACTTGTTTGTCTTGATGAAATGCAAGTACTGGTATGATTTATTATTTTGTTATTGAGCTTTGCCAAGAAATTTAAGTAAAGATAATAATTTTATATTAAATCAATTTTAGAAATGAGTTCTGAAAAATAACCCTATAAATTAAACTTTATTTTATATACTAATATTTTAAATATTTGTCTGTGCCTGTATTTTAGTGTAACTCCTTTCTTAGTGTTTTATGATTTTTTTCCCACAGGGTGCTGAGGTTCCAGTTTATGGATCTTCTTATATGTATTTAAAAAATTAATGTAGGCCATTCTGCTTTCAAATTGCTGAGACTTCTTGAACTGTATGGACTTATCAAGATAGACACCTCACTTACAATCTGTTCCTACTGAGAATATAATTGTCTTCTGTATTGTGTATCTAACATATTTTCTTGGGTGGGGGAAGCCTTTGTATTTGCCTAGGAATGTAATTCGACTTTTTTTTTTCAAATAATTTTCATTATGTAGAATGCCTAACTTCGTTAAACTACTAAAACTCAGAACCACCAGCAGCCATCATATGAAAATCCGGATCAAATCCATACATATCTCCAGTGGGACAAAATTTTATGTGCTCTGCCTTCCTTGGGAGGAAAAATGTTATCCTGTAAAAATGGATATTGAAATTTGTGGCCTCTAAACTCCTATAGTGTGTTACCGACTGCACATATACATTTTAACATTTGGCCATCACGAGACTTTTTAAGTTAATATCTCATCTTAATTTTTTAAATGTATTTTGTTTTATAATTGCAAGGCCAAGTAAGAAAACAACTTAAAATTAGCCAATTACTCTCTGAGTAATTTTACTTTTTATTCTAATACCTTAGCATGTAGTAAATGCTCGACAAATATTACTAACATTTAATTCCCAGAAGTAAATTAAGCATATTAGAGGCTACTTTAATAGTATGTCTGAGAGCAATTCTATCTTATCACATCCAATTCCAATGAAAGTTTTTGTAGAACATGAAGCTTCTGAGAATTCTTAGTGAGAAAAATTCTCAGCAATGGAAATGAATTATAATACGTCAACAATATTTGTATTGCTTCTTTGTATGAACTGTTGTGGAATGTATTAATTTCATTTTTTTTTCACAAATCAACTAGGGAAAATCTTTGGGTCAATATGAATGTCTCAGAGTGGTGTTTTGTTACAAGGCAAAGGGCACTGGGATTCAGAAGATGACACGTCTGATCCCCGTTCCGCCACTGAGGAGCTATCTGGCTGTTAATTTCTCCGGATTTTACTTTCCTTATCTGTAAAACAGGAATGCCAGATAAGAGATTTCTAAGGTTTCTCTCAGCTGACAATTTCATCACTCCAGTGGTTTTCTCATGGCCTAGCAGCATCATAGTAAAGTTCATGGAAGGGTGATGCCTGTATGTATGAGGCATATGCCATTTGGAGAATCTAGTGGATTAAGAATTCCTTGTGTGATGAGGAAATTATCCCTACATGCCTTGACTATGGACCTTTTGACTGTTGGTGAAACCCAAACTGAATTGAGAAATTATTATAAGGGTGAGGGGAAGGATCACGATATGCTTGTAAATGGCAAATCATTCAAGAATAGCTTTTTATGGAAATCACTTCTTCTTAAGGATGCTGGTTCCATACCTTTGTTAAAATTGACTGAATTTGTCTTGAGGATCTCCCTGATCAGGCTCCAAAGACTATGTCTACATATGTAGTATGGAGACCAAAATCATTTATTCCACAACTGCCTCCTTTAAAAAATAAAATATCTGAAATGCCTTTCAGTTGCTATTATTAGTCTGAATTTTCAGATTGTATCTGTGGGAAGCCTAGAAAATAATCTATTTAGGATAAATTTATTTAAGATATGGTGCATGTAAATAGAGCTCAGGCTGGGTTAAAAGTCCGGTTCCACCACTTGAACAATTCCTTAACTGCTTTGTGCCTAGCTTTTCTCATCTGCAAAATGGAATAGATAATGACACTGTCTGCTACTCATTGTTGTCAAGACAGAATGAGTTAATATTTGCTTGGCATCATAGTGAGCATTCAGTAAATGTTAGCTCATTCTATTTGCGGTTGCTGTTGTAAATAAAAATCAGATTGCTGTACTATAAACAGTTACTGACTCGAAGTAGGAAAATAATGTCTTCCCCTATTTTTTTCAGTATTAATTGTTCTTAACCCAAGTGATCTGATAAGTTAAAAAGATCTCTTAAGATATAGCTTAATTTAGAGAATAATCCAATTCTAGGGCCTCTATCAATTACTATTATTCAGAAAGCAATACAAATTATTTTGTAATACTGTGGACAATATTTGATTTCTAACCTTTAATCTGAAAATGGTAATTCCTAAATTTCTTTTGGTTTAGAACCACATCAGCTTAGAATATGAATCAAATAGGTAGTTTCTCCAATTTTTTTAAGAACCCACCCCCAAACTGTTACATGACAATTTAGTGGTCGCACTTGAAATCAATTTTCATGAATGAGAAAAATGGAGATTTTGGTTATAAAAATTGGACTCTGGAAGGAAATATTTTGCTCTTCTGCACCCAAGGAAAGCTCACTGCATTGTAAGTTGAAGAAAACTATGATAGAATTGCTAAACCTGACTGTCTAGTGCTGACGTCCCAGTGAGTCAAGCTGCAAAGCAAGCTTGAAACAGAAAACTAAAGACAGTTTATTAACATCAAGAAAGCTTTAGAGGTAGAGTTGCTTTAGAATATTAAGTTGTCTTCTATCACACATGGCATTTACTGAGCAGCTTTCAAGTCATTTTGTGGATGGCCTTTAAGAACATTGTAAAATGTAACTTTCCCATCAAGGAAAAAGTTTTCTGATTTTTTTTCTATTATTGTTTACCATGTAATATCTCATATTTTAGTTTAATTTATATAAATGAGAAGGTCAATTCTAATGTCATGGTAGAATGAAAAAAGTCCTGGTTTGGAAATTGGACATTGAGCTGGAATTCTGGCTCTGTCATTATTTAGATGCTTTAGGGAATTCATTTAAGACTTGGCTGCCTGGTCGGAAAATGATGAGGTGGATGAGTTGCTTTTTTATTAAGTTTCCTAACAACACTAATGCTTACATAATTTTTGGTTCTAAAATATGGCAACCTGTGAGAAACAGGATACCACGATGATATGATGTGCCACTGCTGTGAGGATGTTAGTGAACCTTACTTAAACATTCTTCTTCCCTGGCATATGAGGAAACTATCTGGTGGAGATAAAATTACAAGGTCCCTTTGGGTTTATACAGTCACTGCTGTCATTCCTCAGGAAATCTGGAAATAGCATTTTTTTTAATTGAAAAAAATTTTTTAAGCACACACCGCACTTGGGATGGAAATAGCATTATTGATGCCCAGAAAGAAATCCACAGGACCATCCTGGCTAATAGGGTGAGACCCCGTCTCTACTAAAAATCCAAAAACAAAATTAGCCGTGTGTGGTGGCAGGAGCCTGTAGTCCCAGCTATTCAGGAGGCTGAGGTGGGAGAATGGCGTGAACCCAGGAGGTGGAGCTTGCAGTAAGCTGAGACTGCGTCACTGCACTCCAGCCTGGGTGACAGAGTGAGACTCCATCTCAGAAAAAAAAAATGAAAAAAAAAATGAACAAAACAAAACAAAAAACAGAAAAGAAAAGAAAAGAAAAGAAATCCACAGGAAACTCCAAAGTTCTACAGGAGAAATCCCCAGAGCCTTGGAGGTAATCTTACCATCTTCGCAGCAACTACCTACTATCAGAAACACACCATCATTAAACAGATGGGGAAAACAGAGTTTAGTGTGATACTGGCAGAGTTATCCTTGAGATGGCATATCGAATTTTATTTTGTTATAAGCAACTATCCTGATGAAGAAAAATTTTTGGTTTACTGTCGCAGAGTAGGCATAAGCATGCTTCACAATTTGCATAGCTAATTTCACAAACTGTTCCATGTTCTATAAAATACCTGACATCTATACATTTTCCCTCTTCCTCAATATATTGAAGATGTTTGGTGGTAGAGGAATAGTATATTTTGAAAGGGGGAGGTCACAGTCCTCCATCCCTGTCCTCAGACACCATGCTTGTAAGTTCTCCAGGTGACAACACAATAAGGAATCCGAAAATGAACTCTGATTTTTCTCCAGGACTCTACAGTTCCCTGCATAGAAATGGGTCAATTAGGGATCAACAGGTCTTCTAAGGCACAGTGTAATGGATTGGAAAAAATCTAGGGTAGGAGGCAATTAATCTACAATTTTTCTTTTCTAATCTCTTCCACTTGGTATAATGTTATGAGTGTAGCCTTTGCAGCCAGATAGGCATTCCTGGTTGTACTGCATTGGGCAAGTTATGTGGCCACTCTAAACCTCAGATTCACCATTTGTAAAACAGAATTCTGTAGACATGTGGGAATACCTCCCTACAATAACTTTTCCTAGGCAGTGGCATGGTTAGTTGGACAGCTCTCCATTGATAGTCCAAGAAGACTTCAATTGATAGCCACATCCTTGAAGTAACTGGCACAGTACAGGAATTCATAGTTAACATGTCTAAAGTCTCATCAAATGAAACCTTTTGGAGATCTTGGCAAGTTTTTGCTTAAGCTACGAATTTCCTGACCCCACAGAGATAACTGGCAAAGGCAGAGATATCAGCTCACACTTAAAAAAAAAAAGTGGCTTGACATTGTAAAGTCACCTGGGAAAATGCTAATACATGATAAAGTTAATTTGCTCAAGGTGGGCAATTGTTGTCAATAAAGATTGGCAAACTTATTGGATTTTAAAAAGACATTTAAGTAGGAGATTATTTCAGCTCCTCCATTGGAATATTCGATTTGTTCTTCAGGATTAAAGAGGCAGCTATATCCTAATGTTCATTCAATTTTAGGATAACCACAAGATTTCATGAATGTGAAATGCCATTTACACAAATATGAAATGGTTCTGTGATGAGGATACTGGGTACATGATAGTCCCAAAGGCATTTCACCTGGGACCTTAGCTTTCCTTCTAGAACATCAGCAAACAGTTCAAAATTAATGTAGCACACCATGCAATTTGCCTATCGCTACACTAGCCTGATAATTTTTTCCTCATTACATAAAACCTAATTAGTTAAAGGGCAATTCAAATGAAACTTTTATTTGGGGGATTTAGAAGTATTAAAGCAAAGGGGAAAAAAAAACCCAAACAAACACTGCAGCTCTCTGTATAACATGAATGCGATTATTAATAACTCTTGGGTGGGAAAATGATTAACCTTGTTATTTTCTTGACTATCCAGGTTTCTACAATAAATCAAGACTGCACAAAAATATTTGGATGCTGTATGGAAAACAACTTTTACCAGGTCTCCAACTGGCATAAAATGTTTTCAAGTATGAAAACATCTCTGGGCTTCCTCAACAGGCTGACAGATCCCTGCAGGTAGCACTTCCCTTGTTTAATGGTCTTGCCAATTACATCAAATTAGAGATGAATTTTTAACTCTGTGATGAAGACACTGCTTACTATAAGATAAAACAGGACAATTAGCTATTTCCCTTAAGTGAACTGTTGTTTTAAATTGAATAAGTTAGGGTGGGGGACAGGAGAGGAATAGCCAAACACCTTCCTCAGTATTCTATGCTTCATATAACATCATGCCAGTCATTTGAAAGTAATTTAAGGAAATACTCTAGAGTCAGGTTCACAAAATGTGTACATCTCTCTTCTTTTGTTTGTGTTATTTAAAAAATTCTATTTATTTCAAAACTCCAAGAGTTCGAAATGGTCTTCCTTGATGTGATCTTTGTTTTGTGGATAGCTTAACTTTAACCTCTGACTCATCTGTCATTCAGTTTTGTAAGAAGTGATGATCACCCACACAAATGTATTTGCACATTAGGCCAATTCTTGCTGGTCTAATTATGCTTTTTATAATATAATGTTTAACATAATTTGTGTAATCATTTGCTTTTCAGGACCAAAGATCATATGATATATATTAGAAGGTAATGATCAGTTTATCACTTGAACAAAAACACCCACACCAAGACAACTATTACTTTGGATTATCGGCAGCAACAAATATTCACTTGGATAAAATCACGAATTTTACTTATAAGTGCATAATACACTTTATTAAAAAATGCAATCTGAAGGAATTCCTACCACATCAGGTAAAGTGAAAACATAGATCATAAGGCTCAAAGGCTACAGATTTATTTTGGGATTCATTAATTGCTGACAATATCACCAGCATTTTTTCAGCCATGGCCAAAGCAGATCAGAATGACTGAGTTCTAAGTCAAGTATCCTTAGGATTATGGGAAACCTATTTGTTAATAGATAGACAACAGCAGGTACGAATGACCTTAATGGGAAATTTGTTTCAAAAACATTTTTAGCAGATGATCGGAAAGGATGACCACCCTATCCATGCATTTGAACCTTAATACAGGCGTTGGCATTTTGAGATCTATACTGAAATTTATTAGGGCCCCAAAACCTTTAATCACTGTGTATACAGAATATGTATGTAAACTGATGGTTATATACATCAATAATCTACATCGATAATATACATCATTTATTTTCCTTGAGCTATGCTGTGATAATCGGGGTCTCAGGGGTGTTACATCTGCTATAATGGTATCTTTCTATATAGTTAGTGGAATTATAGTCATTGATTCCTTCTTTGGGGTAATGCAAAAAGCACTGGCAAACACCCATAACTTAGCTAAATATCCAAACAGCTTCCTTTTCTCTGGCTTGCACCTTGAAAACCCCATTCCCGTGCCCTCTGGAACAGGCAGTGTCGTCTACGTGTGAATTCTTGCCCTTTGGAGGGGAAAGGAATCCACGAGTGCACGCAAAAAGCAACTTATAAGCCCACAAAGAAGGAACTTTCGAATGCCATTAAAGCAGCCTAGAAGATACAATCACGTTTGATGGTTTTACTGTAACTCTTTACCTTAAAAGCCAGGAAACAGGTAAGCTAGTCATGTGTGATGTTGGGTGACCTCTGGAAGCTCTTACATCCTGTTTGCTGGAAATCTGAGAAAATACCCATTGCATTCTAAGCGGAACAGCCAGAGGCATATTGAAGGGAGAGTCCAAAATATCACTTTTAGTCAGAGGGTTTTTATTAGGAGTAAATTTTCCTAGGTTCTCGATAATAAAGGTTAATATATTTTTTTCAAAGGCACAACGAAGCATCCTTTCAGGTCACCACTGATTTCAAAACAAAACAAAACAAAACAAAACAGAAATTTCCTGATTTGATGTGTAAAAGGTCAACATCTGCTGATGCTCAGATATGGGGAATGTGGTGGAGGCGGCCGAATGGGATGTCGAGTGAGCAGTACAGTTAGAGGGGCCATGCAACATACAACTGACACTCCAAACAGAAAGACACCCCAACGCCAAAGAACTACTTTTCCATCCATCCATTTCTGAAACTTCTGACAGGCCAGATCACTATAGCAGCCTCAATAATCTGTGTCAGCTTGCTTCTACTTGCTTCCCTGTTGCACTAAAATGCACGTGCAAATGCAATTGTCAAGGCCTGAAAGGAGCACATTGTGGGGTATATATACAGTTAGGCAAATGCCAAGGGGGATACTAAAGCAGAAAAATTAGACTATTAGAGCTGAAGGTTTTCATTTGCAAGTTTTTAACACTGATGCTGTTTCAACAAGATCACAAAGAGGATGCTGTAGCATTAGGCTGGTATCTCTAAATGGATGTGAACACTACTTCTATTTACAAAGTGGCCAATTTTCATGGCATTTACCACATCTAGCGCTTAACAAATCAGTGTCCAGGCCTATTCACAAGCTCAAGTAAACTGGGTTGATTTATAAATTGGGACACCTGACTGTGCATTTATAAGAAGCAGGAAGTTGCTTTATCCAAATTATCAGAGTATTGCTTTTTAGATGGATGCTGGGAATCGCAATCATTCAATGGCTATTTACACTGCGATCACCCTGCCTGGCACAGCACCTATGACACAAGCCTGTGAGGGGATGACACTACAGTGAAAATTCTCTCCGCTTACCATGCGTAATCTTGCTTTCTCGGTAATTTATTTGTAATCAGTTACTTAGTAGTTGTTCAAAGATTTTAGCCATTAGAGATAAAGGGTGCAATGTATAAAAAAAAATTTAAAATTTTGCTCTGTAAAGTTACTGGGCATTTTCTTAATGTGAATTTCAGGCTTGGCATGAGGGCATCATTATTTTACACATGAAGCGGGAGCTACACCTGGTTCTCCCATGATAGCTGGAAGAAAGTTCTTTGTAGTGATACTGGGGAAGTGTTCTACAGATGGTTGAAGAGCGGTTTCTCTTCAATTGCTTGGATTCATACTAACAGATTTATTAAAGGAATTTCTAGTACTCTCACTCCCAAATTCTGCACATATTTTTTATACTCTTTCTATATCAAACTCAAAGCTAAGTAGTCAAGAAGACATAGATCATCGTATTTTAGGAAGGAGAAATGAATGTACAGATTCTCTTTTTCCTTTATCTCTCCAGAGAGACTACTGATCACAAATTTGCCTGTTTCAGGCCTTCACAAAACATAGAATTTAATGCATTAACAAAATTCCCTTCCCTTGGTATCATGGACTTTTTCTTGGGTTCTGATGCATATACCCAAGGCATTCATTGGCTTTCATTTTCTGCTTTTTAAAATTATGTCAGACATCCAAATCCAGTCTAAGAGAGAGTTCAATTTGTTTGTTGGTTGCTAAGTATGGATAAATAGGACTACTTATATTTTTCCTGAATGATGATTATCTAAGGAATTGCACCTGAGTCTAGGTAGCCCTCACTGGTTAAGAGTAGTCAGAAAAGTCATAGCACTGCCATGTTCATGGAGTTATGCACAAATAATCACTTTATCTGTGTTCTCACCAGATCTGTGCAGAAAACCAACACAAAAATGCAATTCACAAAGAAAATACCCTATTACATCAGAAATGGACACTGGGAAAATAGATCTGAGGAGGTGAACAACAAAGCAAAGCTAGCCTAGACTTGGTTTGGTGTTTTTTTTGTTTTTGTTTTTACTTACTACCAATACTGGAAATACTGGGGATACCTGGAGAAAAAGAAAACAATAAAGAAAAGCTGTTAGCTATTTATTAGTACATAACATCTTTAACTTAATATAAAAATCTTAGAAACTTGACACTTGATAATATTCAGACTATTAAGAAATTAGCACACACACAAAATACAGGTGCACATATATATGCATATACACATTATACACACACACACACACACAATTTCCAGCAATTGAAACCATTTTGTTTCATTCTAGAACTCCTGGGCTCATCAGAGTTGGGAAGTTAATACTCATTTCGGCATCTGGTCCAAGTAAGCTTTTGACATCCAACATTTTGTGTTTCCCTATAAGGTTAATGAACATTTGTAGGTGGTTCAAACTAGATATTAAACCAGGCTTAAGTTATGGGTACAGAGTACCAAATATACACTCTATGGACACGTGCAAATATATTCACATATGCAATAGACCTTTTAAAATGTGTTATGAGATGCATGTGTTAGCTGTTGAAAATCACGTGGCATTTTATTTGATTAATTTCATATAACCATCATTTTTATTCTTTTACTTGTCAGATGTGTGGATTAAACTCTGTAATAGAAACTCAATTGAGCAGAATAATTCAAGAATACATTAGGTTGTGCATATTGATCACGGACTTCATCGATTTTTCAGCTTTCACTTTAATTCACAAGTTGTGCTAAGGTAGAGAAGCCATTTCAGAATATGGCTGGACTTGGTATAAATGTGGACATGAATTTAGTCTGTATCTAACCCAGCAATATAGTGCTGTGGCCAATAGTCTGGGCTCAGAAGCCAGGCTCTCTGAGTCTGATGCTTGACTCCAACTCCTAAATTTTCACTGACCACATGACTTTGGGGCAAGTTGCTTATGCCCTCTGTAGCTCAGTTTTTTACCTCTTAGGGTTGCTGCAAGAGTTATATAAACTGATAGATGTAAATCACTCAGAGTATTGCTTGACAGGTAGTATGTACTAGGTCCATCTTTGCGATGATTACTATTATTGTTATAGCTCATTCACCAAGCAACATTATGATAGATGCTGTTAATTAAAAGCCAGAGATTTACATCTTCACCACTAATTTGGGTAGGAGAGCATGCGATGGAAAGCAGACAGAACTCAGTGAGAATTCTGCTTTATACCGCCTTGCTGGGTGATTTTAGGCAAGTCTGCTAGCTTCTTTGCACTGTTTCCTCATCTGAAAAAGGGCTAATAAGATCTACTGCATAGGGCTGCCGTGAGGATCGAATGAGATAATCCATAAAAATGTCTGACACATGGTGTGCGGCCAATAAACGGTAGCTGTTAATGAGTTGTTCAGACTTGTTCTTCACATCATTGAAGTATAGTAACAGGTGGTAACTGTGAAAATCATTAAGGTTCTATTTTAGTATTTATCTTTGAACAACAGCCCTTGTTTTATTTTAACTAATCATTTTAGCTTGCTCGGAGATTTCTAGCTTTGTATTCTTTAAAACCTAAAACTATTTTCCTATTTTTTAGTGGGTAGGAGAGAATAAGAAATTAAGACTTACTCTGATTCTTTTAAACCCTGGAAAGAATGAAGTCTTAATTTTAGTTATTAGAAACACAAAAAATATCTTGATTTTAAATGCTCAGAATTTGTAGTGCTTCAGCTTAATTACTGATCAACCAAAACTAGAAATCCAAATTTCCATGTCCATGTTTTAACTCTACCCTATGAATTTCAAGCTGAACGTGATTTCTGCAAAGGACTGCTGAATTCCTGACCTGACACTTCAGTAGACTACCTCTGCTGCAGTGTGACAGTGACTTGATACTGAATCTTTATTTTTTTTTGCAAATCCTCTGTTGAGTGAGATATGATGGCAGCATCATAATTTTAGTATCAATTGCAGAAGTTCCAAATTTTTCCATGATTGAAAATCCTGCTCCATTGCAACGCACTGCTTGCCTGTTGTAATCCATCAAAGAGAATGGAAGTTGGGATGGCAGGAAGAGACTTTTCATGTCTTTACAAACTTACAAGGTGCTAGAAGGCCAGGCATTATGCAAGGCAGAGATCTCAGGGTGTTTGGCACCATACAATGAAAAACAAAGCCGCAAGACTGTTTGATGCAGTATTTGCTGCAGCTGAATACTTTGGAAAGATGCAGAAATTTTTTCATTCCTTTAGTACCAGGGCAGGGGAGCAATGTTTGTTCCAAGTTTCCAAACCTCACCAAGCGAGGCTATTAGGAGATTCTGTTTTTCTCACTAAGATGTTTTCTATTACCTAACATTGGTTGCTTAAAATTCAGGCTGTTCCTCATTTTGTGGCTTACAATTTTTTGAGGTGCTGCCAGATGAGTCATTTTTTCTATTCCTCTGCTGTAAAATGGGAATTGCTTAGAAAAGATTTTTAAACTGCTCATTTGAATAAAGACCTTTGAAGTTGAAAATATCTGAACACCAAGGGATGTCCACTACTATATTTTAAAATATCATTATTTTTTTCTAATGCTTCTTATTTTAATGTCCAAATACCTTGTTTGTGGTTCTCCACAGATAAAGAATTGAATAAACTCATAAATCCACTAGAAAGGCTACAGGTAAGCCAGGAGAAATTCCTCAAACACTTGAGGGGATAAGACGGAAAGGGCTAGAAATGAAGTGCAACAATTTATTTCATGAAAGCTGGGGTATCTTTGGGGTTTGTGAGGAATGAATCAATGAATGCAATTCCATCTTACAACAAACAGTGACTATGTCTAAAAGCCACAGGAATGAGAGTCAGACTGTGCTTAGGAAAACTGTCTAGGCACATGTTGGCAGTTTTTTAGCATTCTCTGTGAATTGACAACTACCATGTAAAGAATATTATTACCTTTGAAACTGAGCTCAGAAGTTATTTATTTCCTTCCTCCTCCACATCCCTGATGTGAGTTAGCTACTCTCTCCTTTGTGATCCCATAGCATTTTGTACAGGCCTCCATGATCAATTTATCAACTTGTTTTTGCATTTTTTTAATGTGTTTGCCTGACAGATCTGAGGGCACAAGTTCCATGTCTTGTTCCCTTCTGCACCTGTTGGATCTGCCTGGGACAATGTCTGATGACATAAGAGTTGCTCAATGTATATTGGATCAGAAAATTTATTACTTATTTCCATGAAACTTACTATCATTGTGAAAACATCACTTTTTGGTCAAAGGGTGATTTTATCCCCTATAAAGTGTTCCACTGAGATTTCTCAGAGTTCAGGATTAATGGATATTAATTGTTAATATTAACAATACATATTGTCTTTGAACACATGCAACATTCTTATAACAAGAGTTAGGCAATGTACAAATTCCTTTTACCACTTTGCCTTCCATGAAACTCAGAGCTCAGTTTGATGCTCAGCTGGGGAAACTGTTTAGCATTTAATGTTTGGCCTATTTTCTTTCTATTCTTTTTCTCGGATCTTCTGTTTAAATTCTATTTTTTGATACTCTCATTTGTATTTGTCTTTTTTCCTAACACACCCAGGGGCAAGTGCAGACTTTGTGGGACATAAAATGTGTACAATTCTGTGACTTCTCTTTAAGAAAAACAACTTAACATTAAAATATAAAATTATACATATATATATATATATATAAATTAAGAAGGAGTTCAGTGAGGGATCCTGAAGTTTAAGCTTCATTAGCTTAACTCCATCTCTGGAACAACCTCAAAAATACTTGGGAAAGATAAAGAGATGACAGGTAAATTAAAAAGAACGGAAGGAAGGAAAGATACTAGATAAGTTAATTCAGAAAGAGTGATAACAAATGAAAGCTGAAAGGGATTTAAGACATCATCTTCTTCAGCCCTTTCATTTTATAGAAGAGGCACAAAGAGACTCAAGTGCCTTGTCCAAGTCCATCCCTTTATAGTCAACATCAGAGCATGTAACTTCTAGTCCCTGTGTGAGGCATTGTTAAATTTGTGCAGAGGAAATGAAGCACAGGTGTGCATGAGGTTTTTTTTTTTTTTTTGACAGAGTCTTGTCATCCAGGCTGAAGTGCAGTGGCTTGATCTTGGCTCACTGCAACCTCCACCTCCCAGGTTCAAGCGATTCTCCTGCCTCAGCCTCCCGAGTAGCTAGGATTACAGGCACATGCCAACACGTCTGGCTAATTTTTGTATTTTTAGTAGAGATGGGGTTTTGCCGTACTGGCCACGCTGGTCCTGAACTCCTGACCTCAGGTGATCCACCTGCCTCATCCTCCCAAAGTGCTGGGATTACAGGTATAAGCCACCACGCTCAGCCCCAGTGCATGAGTTTTAACAGAAGTTTCTGCAATTAGTACTATTTTAATAATAACGCTTCTTCTAGAACAGAAATGTCACTTCAACCACAGAAATACATACGTGTTGAGTAAGCTAAAGGGCTATTATGCTACCATACGCTGAAAAAATGAGAAAGCACTTGTCTTGCAGGTACTTGCAATTATTCTTTCCTCAATCAGCCCTTCCTTCTCCCACTTACGTTTGTTTTAAAGATATTCTGCTGCAATTAGGGGGGTGAGAACCTAGTAGAATTACACAATATAATAATGTGATGTTTTCTTCTTTTTAAATAAGTTTACTACTCCCCCAACCAAGTAAATAACTTAAGGGTACACTGTTATGCTTAAGGAAGTCAAAATGATGATTTCAAAAATAAATACCCTCCTCTTCAGAAGCTGATTAATACAGTGCCATAACTCCTTTTGAGAATCAATGGAAGATTCAGCGGCTTTTCATCAGGAAGGAAGCAGAAGGGATAAGGATTTGGCATGCTTCAAATTGAGAGGAAAAATTACCACTGTTGTGATAGATGGTTTGAAAAACCCATCAAGTGGGTAACTAGATCTTATAGCCAGACTGCAGCCATCAGGAATTCTAACTCCAAAAAAACTTCTTCAAGTTGAAGAAAACGCAGATAATGAGTAAGAAAACATTCTGCAGATTCATTTGTATTGCAGAGGAATTACTTCCAATGTTCTTCCAGTCCTGGCCCCTAGTATAAACTGCTGTTGATAGGAGATGCAGTGAGTTGTCTCCCAGAAACTTGAAAGTGAGGGAAATAAGATCACCTTCAAAGATGTATGCTGTGAAATCATCATATAAATGATCCAAGCAGAAATGGCTACAGTCATCTTATAGCAGTAGCAGAGCTTGGGGCCTGAGTGTGTGTGGCAGACTCAACAGAGGTGACATTAACCTGACTTACCATGTTAGCATATCTGAAGAGTGGAAGAACTAGCTAATCAGAAGGTGGAAGCCTCACAAAAGGAGCATCCTGACACATATGGTGACAGTACCGTCCTAGCATGGTCTCAAGAGCGGGAGTGGTAACCCGCAAACTTTCAGACCTTCAGTGTCCTGTTGGCATGAAGAAGGCTGACCCTGAGGCAGGATGGATGGGTCAGGATGTTTCAGCCCGATGTTATTAACATTCAAGTCATTCAAATTTCCTGATCCCATGCTCACCAAGCAACCTCCTGATTATTATCTGGCTCTGCACATAGACTTAATTACAGGAAAGATAATACACTGGCCATAAGGACTTGAATAATCTGAACACCATGACAGTTATTTCATATTGTGGTTGAATAGACAGGCAGTTGGCCACAATATATCTCCCTACATAGCTGCTGTCTCCAAGGGGAGAATTTGCTGCTTATGTGCTGGGTCTCAGGGAAAAGATAATGACTGTAGCAGGTAATTGCACTGCTGCTTACTACGTGGCTGGCACTGTCTAAATGCCTTACATGTACTAATTCATTTAATTTTTATGACCATCCTATGACGTCAATAATCAGGCTGATTTTACAGATGGAGGAAACTCAAACACATAGAAGCTGAGTAACTTGCCCAAGATCATCTCAGTCTGTTGGGAAGGAAACTGGAGCCCAGAGTCCAGGTACCAGAATTCAGGCCCATCGCCACCGTTCTATACTGTCTTTCCATTTATTTCAGGCCCTGAACTTTATTATTCAGCCCTCAAATTAAAAAAAAAAAAAACTATGAAAATTAAAATTTTTTTCAACATGTACCTGCAATATGACCTACTGTGATCTGAATTAACTTGGTGGCAAAACTGTACTGAAACTTGTGTGAGGGTATTATTTATAGTCTTACTTCATCCCAGTTGCTGAGAATAATCATGTTTGCTGTAGAAACATTAAAATGTTTGATTAAATGGTGTTGCCTAATATTCTGCTGTGGGTATTGTTGTAATATATGTGCACTGTATTACCTTTGTAAAATCCTAAAGATGTTGAATTCCAAATCATATCTGGTCAGATGAGGGACCACAGACAATAGATCAGTGGTTGTACCTGAATAACTTGGTATTCCGGTTTTCAACACTGGGCCTACAGCTTGGTCATACACATATGTGGAAGAACCTCTCTTACTGCGCTGACAAAATTAGGATTCTGAGCCAGAAAGGCTGGTAGTCAAGCCACCCAGGCAGTAAATAACCCTCGGGGAGGCCTGTGAAAATCCGCCATCCGATATGCTATCTAGATGGTTCGATTGGCCATGAGCACCAGTGAGACTTTTTCCCATTAAAGTTCCTCCAAGAACTCAGATGGTCTCTCCTGTAGGAGATTGAAGGCTCTTGTGTTGGAGCTGGTGACCTGTGAAGGCCACATATTCCAGGAGATACAAGAATATCAATGGGAAGCCAGTGTAGCCACGTGCACATTACAGGGCTATTAGGTTTACTTATCCACTCACAAAAGTAATTCCACAAATGGGCTGGGCGTGGTGGCTCACACCTGTAATCCCAGCACTTTGGGAAGCTGAGGCAGGTGGATCACCTGAGGTCAGAAGTTCGAGAGCAGCCTGACCAACATGGTGAAACCCTTTCTCTACTAAAAATACAAAAAATTAGCTGGGTGTGGTGGTGGGCACCTGTAATCCCAGCTACTTGGGAGGCTAAGGTGGGAGAATCACTTGAACCCGGGAGGCAGAGGTTGCAGTGAGCCAAGATCATGCCATTGCACTCCAGCCTGGGCAACAAGAGCAAAACTACATCTCAAAAAAAAAAAAAACTTATTCCACAAACGTTGATGAAGACCAAGAATAAAACATGGACCTATTCTTAAATTTCTCACATTTTAGTTCCTATAATGAGACAGACCTAAGTTTAAATCTTGCTCTGTCATACATTAGCTATGGGACTTTGGAACAACTTAACCTTTCTGTGTCTGCATTTCCTTATCTGTGAAATGAGGATAATAATAGTACATATCTCATGGGGATATTGTGGGGATTTAAACCAATAAAGAGCATAAAGTACTTTATGAAGTGTAAAAGCCTGTAGTAAATTTAATAAATGGTAGCTATCATTATTATAATAATTTTGGCTAAAGATAGTTGACCAGTTGTAAATCTACACACATTATCAATATTTGAGAGAGAGACAGAAGTAATTGATTTTGCATAGGAGAGTCTAGGTAGGCTTCAATGAGGCATTGAGGAGCAGTCTTGAAAAATGAGCAGAATTTCAATATAGAGTGAAGAGAAAAATGCTTTAGGGGAAAGAAATGAATTTAGTATCTAGCATATTGACTTTGAGATCTTTACTGACAGCTGAAAAATTTTTCTGAATTTATTAGAAAGATTGAAGTTAGAATTGGTTGATTACGACTAAATCAATAATACTAAGATCTAAAACCACAAGAATAGGCTAGAATGTCAAGAAAAAATTGTAGACTGAGAACAGCCGGGGTGGGGAACATGGAGATTTAAAAGACTAATAGAAGGGGAATCTTTGAAGGCAGAAAAATAACAGGCAGAGATGAAGGAAGAGGGCAGGTTTAGAGAAAACTGACTTGTTCAAATAGGCATTGAAATGGAGCCTAAATCCCAGTGGAGGACAGAGAAAGTCATCCAAATTTAACTTGATCAGCAATACAGTGCAATGTGCAGTCCTCAGAGTCAAGACCCACCTGGATTCAAATCCTCCCTTTAACCCTTTCTAGCTGTGCAAACCTTAAACAGATCTTTTTCCTCTGAAATCACAATATTCCATGTGTTTAAAATTAAAATAGTAGTATTTGCCTTGTAAGACTATTTTGAGTTTAGAATGGACTAATGTATATAAAGCACTTAGGAAATTGTCTGGATAAGGACACATACATGTGTACACCTGGGAAAATATAAATTGGTCAATGCAAACTTGATACCAGAGAAAATAATAGAACAATCATCAAATTACTTTCCAT
The DNA here is from genome assembly GCF_000001405.40 of Homo sapiens. Lineage (NCBI taxonomy): Eukaryota > Metazoa > Chordata > Mammalia > Primates > Hominidae > Homo > Homo sapiens. The sequence continues at coordinate 107,399,475 of NC_000001.11, read as the reverse complement.
CACTCAGAGGACCCCTAGATATTGTGTAACAATTCAAGTTAGATTTATGAACAAATAATGTCAAAGTCAGACCAATTTGATTTTCTTTCTTTGAAGACAATTAGACCATGTGGGTAAGAGAAAAGGAAAAGATTGAATACAGCTGAACTTGCTCAGTTTTCTGTCTATCTCCATGACATTTCTATGGCTAGGCTGCAAGAAACTGTTTAGCTCAGCATGTCCCCATAAGAGTGTTTTATAGAAAGTTATTGAATGGTCCATGGAGCAAATAAGTTTGAGAAACATTGGGTAAAATAGGTTGTTTTATTGTAGGACTTTTCAAATGTTTCTATTATAGTAATGTAATATGAATAGTCTATAGTATACAGCATTTTTCAGACTTAGCTGGCCATGGAGTGCTTTTATGGGTCATAGAACATAGCCAGAGAAGGAGAGGTATAGGTATAATATTATATTTGCTGAAGTTAGGATTCCTACATAGTGATTATTAAGCTTTTAGCATCTATATATAGAAAAACATGTGTTATTCCATAGGGATCAGAGTTTAAAGAGTTATTTAATACTTTTATTCATGAGCTGGACAATGGGGAATCAAGAGAATCATAATTAAGCATGAAGTTGGACAGAATTGCTATTACTTGGAAGACAGAAATAAAATTCAAAGGACATCCAAAATAGAATTCTATCAAAAAAGAATGAAGATCAATAAGGAGAAGAAAAATGTCTTTTCTATAAAACATAAGCTTTGTAGAAAAAGAAAGAAAAGATTTTGATATACATGTGCATGGCTTTAAAAGTCCAAGAAAACACACTGGGTCTTGAATAAAAGCATGATGAATAAAAATATCACAAAAGTTACTCTGCCTCTGTCAAGTTTATTGTCATGAAAAGCATAGGGAAATGTGGTGTGTCTCACAGACTGGGGTGGCTATATTTTAGAATGTTGGCCTTCTGACACTTCTGCTTAGCTCTACATGTTTCATACAACAGTGGTCTTGAACTGCTCCAGAATAGAGGACCTCCAAAGCCAAATGACTCCCAGCAAGTTCCCATCTATGGTATCCCTGAGTGGTGGGCTGAGTGTCTTGGGGAAGAATATTGTCATTCCCTGACTTAATTTAAGACCTCCCAGTTGTTCTGTTAAAACTTGTGAAGGTGAACAGAAACTGACCATCCTATTTTTTTTTATTATACTTTAAGTTTTAGGGTACATGTGCACATTGTGCAGGTTAGTTACATATGTATACATGTGCCATGCTGGTGCACTGCACCCACTAACTCGTCATCCTATTTGAAAAATATCCTGGCTACTTGATATTCTGCTAAATCTAGAGATTATCCAGGATGAGTGGCATTTCTAGGTCCCTGAAAAGTTGATTTTGAGGGACCAGAAGTTGTAGCTTTTGTGTTATGTTAGGGGATGATATATCCTAAGTATCCCTCATAGATAACTGACTTGTAACGTACCCACTAGAGTCATGTGAGTGTGTGTGTGTGTGTACCTGTATGCATATGTGTAAGAAAAAGCCAATATGAAGTGAGAATCATAAAACTGCTGAAGGTCCTGTGCTTGGCTGGAAGTACTACACTAATGAATTAGAGGACTTCCAGAGCAGGCAACCAGGTAAAGGACATGAAAACATTAGCACATAAGAATTGGAGTCGATAATGGTTAATCTGGGGAAGAAATAAAGCCAGGGTCGATATACTTCCTTTACTACTTAAAAAGAAAAAAAAAAAAGGTTTGATAAGAAGTAACTTTTATACCAGTTAAAACTGTCCAACAATGGACAAGACTGTCTTATGAAAAAAACTAAAAATAAATTATTTTTTGAATGCTTATTTTGTGACAGGTGTTAGGCTAAACATATGACATGCGTTAGCTTAGTCAACCATCTAAAAATCCACAGGAGGTAATAACTGTTATTATCCTCGCATTAGAGATGGGAAACAGTGTTGGAGAGGTTAGCTTACTTTTTCAAGGTCACATAGCTAGTAAATGGAGAAACTGGGATTCCAGCCTGGAGTCTGTGCACTAAACTACTAAACTGCTTACTTCCATCCTCAGATGCTTTAAAGCAGAGTCTGATGTGTCAGAGATTTAGTCAAAGGGGTTATTCCCATTGCAAGACTGGACCACTGCAGATCTGCAGATAGTTTCTAAAACCCTTCATCTAATTTCTGCCATGCTGATGATTGGAATATTGAATTGAACCCCTTTGGACACTGGGTCCATCCATCACCTGCCTATTTTAACATCAATGAGGAAAAACGTCCAAAATGTATACAGAAAACCAGTAAAACTAAGGGATAGGTGGACAATTGGACCTACAAGGAAAACTGAAAGAAGTTTCATTCCTTTGGTCAGAAAGTGACTTGGTGATCTTCAATATGCAAAGGATTCGGGGTAGGAGACATTTCCATGATGATTATAACAAGAGAATAACAAGAAATCAGTTTCAATGCGAAAGCTTGGATGAAACAAGAAAGTCTTTCCAGTGAAAATGTCTTGAAATAAAAACTTCAAAGTACAGTTACGGGTAGAAGAACAAGGTCACGTTAGAATAGAAGCTGAGGGCTTCAACAGCAGCCTTCCCCTGCTGCCTCTCCAGTGGTCTTGGCAAGCTGACCTGCCCTGAGGACAAGCCAGAATGCCAGGAAGTGTTTGTGAACATCACACTCTTCCAGCCTTTTCTACTAAAGAAGGAGCAGACATTAAAGAGGAAATCTGAGCCATTTTTACTTTAGGAAAGCTTTAAACTAAATTTGACAACTGGGGTCATAGGAGTTCTTAGGTAGCCAGCCACAGGGTATTGCAATAAATAACCTTGCAAGATCCCTTTCAAATTCATGAGTCTGTGGCCCTCAACAATTGAGGAAAGGCCACAGAGTCTCCATCAATAAAATCACCTTGAAACATCCACGTTTCTGCTCAACAGAGCGTTAATGTATTAATTTTAGGAGCAAGAAGTCAAGTTTTTTTTCTTTAACACTGAAAGCAACTGAATACCCTTACAAAGAGGGATTTTTTTAAACCTTTTGAAGGATTTCTTTCTGCTTCATAGAAATGTTATCATAATTTCATGCCCCCATACTTCATGGTTTGTTACTTGGTCCATTACTCTTACGTTTAACTTGATAAAGTCCTGGTTCCTATGATACTAGTTCTTAGGTTTGGTTTCTCACAGCTGCTGCTTTGAAGTGCCTGATAACATTCTTACCCTTCTACGGAAGCAGTGGCTTCTCAAGTTCTGATTCTCCTGTGCTCACTGTCCGGCTGCTTCTGTTAGTTCTCACTGAATGGGGACATTCTAATCTCCCCCTTTCTCTACTTTTTAAAGAGTGCAAACCTTGGGCTGTTGCAGGTAGTTAATTGGTCCATCCATGGAATTGGGCAAATTATTCAGCAAATAATCACATTTCTCTGTGAGCATGTCAGAGCCTGTTTTCCTATGGGGAATCAGGGATTTCAGTGGGGGCACACAGATGGTTTCTGTAAACGCGGATAATGCTTGCACTCTTTCACATGCGTAGAAAAATCTTTTTTCTTAATGTGGTCCCCACAGGCCTACAGTCATGCTCTTTATCCAAAGGGGGCCTCTACACACAGGATCCAAAGCAGGTATGTTTCAATTGCTGGAGTTTGGAAACAGCCAAACTTTTCACAAGGCAAAGTTAGGTCCTAGCTAAAACTGTAGTGGGGAGAAATATTCTGGACAAAGCATCTCTCAGGATACTCAGTAGGGGAAATGGGGCTGTAAACATTCAAATAATTTCTGTAAATTGTTTATGGCTAAAATTAAATTAGGATTGAGAGTTTACAAGGCCTTTGATATTTTAATAGGAAATTAATTTGGGGGAGGAAAAAAATCACCTCCTGTCTCATCCACTTATAAAAAATTCCTTCTGTGATGTCAAGTATCATTTCCCAACACATTTGATGTGAATGTTAGATGACTGAATTTTACTGATGATCAGAGTGCTAAAAGATGTCTACATGAGGTAAGATAGGGACTGAAACTTTCGCTGCACTTTAAAGAAGAATGAGACAACTGGTAAGAGGAATAAAATCACAATTGTAAGCAAAATTGAGAGGAACTATCACCTCATGGTGCACAGAATATGCTGTTACCAAGCAAAGTTACTCACAGGTATTTGCAGTGCCTTTGGGGATGGGGAGATAGGAGCCTGGACTCCAAGGTCGGCCCTGATAATTCTTCTTGCATTTCCCACAGTCTGGACCTGTAGTGTTGTGCTCACATTCGCATGTCAATTTGCTGTTGTCATACACACATACAGTGGCATGGAGATTACACTTGCACCTGGGCAGAGGAGAGACAAAGAGTTCATTGTCAGATAAGTTGGTCTTGGTGACCACTGAGGCTTCCCTGATTTGTCTCCTCAAACCATGCAGTGCTTTAGTGATACACAGAGGCATTTAGTAAGAGATAGATTTGCAGGCCCAGCCCTCAGAATCTTCCCCAAAAGAGCCGTTTGCAGGGGGCAGGGTTGTTACAATGTAGTCTGTCCTTACACTGTACATTGAGAAAGCCGAATAGCAGTCAAGTCAGTGGGGGCCTGAAGCTCCCGCAAGATAACTGTGCTCCAAAATCAAGGGGTTCCCAACAGGTTCCAAAATACTGTCATTTAGGAAAAGGTCTTTTTGTGATATTAACAGATCTATGACAATTTCATCTGGGCTTCGTTTGGGTTTAAAGAACAATGTTATCTTTTTTCTTTAAATCGTTAAGACAATTCTTATTTGTTTAAAAAGGAAGATAACCATTAAAATAATTTGCTATTCAGACTTATTCTTAGAAACCCAAGAAATTATAATCAAGTGTTCTCATTCTGCACTCTAAAATGACATTTCCTCAGATCAGAAGAGATTTTCCACCAAGGCTGCTAACAGACCCGAAGGGGGGTGAGACACAGTAATCCTCAGACATCCCACTCACAGCAAATCGGAGAATCACAAAGGGCTCTCAGAAACAGGCCAAATGACTCTAATTAAAAATGCCTAGAATCCTAAAGGAGAAAAAAAAATCCTTCATGTGGCAGGGTTTGGAAGTCATTAGCCAAGGCCTGGCCTTTGCTGCCTATGAATAAAGCCATGATATATGAGAGGCAACAATGGAATATGCAATTTCCACAAAAATACATCCCAATGCCCGAAGTCTTTGACTATAAAATTGCAGTGGCTAACTTGATATTTGTTGAGGCAGCAGGATATAAACTGTATCACACCATATCCTCTGGAAAGGTAAAACCTACATTGACAGAATGGCCACAACCAGAGGTCAGAATAATGTATGTGGGAAGAGATGGTCCACACATAGGAGAGAACCTGGGCATCCAGCCTGGGCAGGGGTAGAGAACCAAGATAGGTCTGAATCAGAACCAGAGAGAGAGAGAGATTGACAGTGTGTGTGTGTGTGTGTTTATGTGTGTGTGTGTGAGAGAGAAACATGGCCTCTTCCAGGAACTAGGACAAAAATATAGAAAATCAAGTTTCATAAAGACCAAAAAATATTATAGTATTTTATTTTATTTTATTTTTCTCTTGGGCCAAATGCCATGAATGGGAAAAAGAACAGAATGCTCTTTCTTAGGTAGGAAGATAAGACTCCTTAACAACCATGTTGGCTTCTCTAATGTCTGTATAGCAATGGCCAAGTTTTTCTTTAGTGCCTCCATAATCTTTCTGGAACACTGACCCATACTTACGGCAAGGAAAAAAAGGAATGGTTAAGACTATTACTGAAAGCTGTTGGGCTCTCTTTTAACTAAAAGGTGTAGTCCTAAAGCAATCACCATCTACTCAAACCTGTCTGGGAAGACCAAGCTACAGCTTTCTCGGGGGTCTATTACAATGTTTAATACTTCTTGCTACAATCTGTTCTCTGTGTACTTATGAATTATAATAAGCTTGTTCAACTTAGACACATAAATGTCACCTTTGAAAATGAACATTTGTATATTCCTTAAAAAGGTAAGATAAAAAATAATTCAGTTAAATAGGCAATGTTTAATTATGAGCTAGGTCCTATAATAATCTCCTATATGCAGGGAATTACTTGTGCTAGGTTGCTTATTAAAGCATCTTTCTCCTTCCAACATTAACACCTTTATTTATGGGTGTGTTTCTATATACGGAGGATGTTTAAAACCTAAGTGATAGAAGCACCAGCTTATACTGATTTAGCACCATATCTGGTGTTAAAAATTCCAAATGAGGAAATTGAACAATGTGATCCCAAAGAATATGCTGGTTTCCTGCGTGAAGATCAAGAATGCAAGGAGTAATTGTAAATTGGATTATGTATCTTGTAACTGTTAATACTTTCATACTTGTAGTCACTCTGAGTTACAGGCAATTTCCATTCTAAAGACATTATATTAGCTGAGAAGATATTCTTTGAATAATAAAAGGAGGTAAAAGGAGAATAGATGAATGTTTAGTCTTATTTTTTCTCAGATTTCTTCCAATTAATGGCTCATTCTCAGCTGTCCTAAAGCTTATTAACCATTCAAGGCTCAACTCAATTCATAACCTGAATCCATCCTGACCACTGTACATAACCCTGAGTTCTACTCTTCTGATTTCCTTAAATGTGTCCGTGTGCTTGGATAGGTTGTTACTAAAGGCTTTTCATACTTATAAATTTTCTCACTCATTGCACAAGCCTCTCCCATCTTAAGGTGAGGAAATACCTGCTGTGCATTTGGTCATCTTCTCTAGCTACCTCCTAAGTCCTCTCCCCTCCCTTCTTGAGTTTCCTATACTTGCCATCTCCATTCTCTCATCTCCCACTCACTCAGTCCTTCCAAATGTCCACAGCCTCCCTTGTCAAATCACCCACGACCTCCTTGTTGAAAATCCAATGGATACTTTTCCATGCCTTATTTGTTTCCTCAGGGGCTGGGACTCTGGACCACTCCCTCTCCCCTGACACTCTCCCCTCTGGATACCCAAGCTCGTTTTCAGGAACCTCTTCAGCCTGTTGACTACACATGCTGTTCTCTGGGTTCTGGCCTAGCACAGCCAGCTCACTCTCCTTGCGCACTCTTATCTAGTTGTCCCTTCAATCTTTGTCTGCACTCCTTAACTTCCTTCGCATTACAAACCTTTTAAAGCAAATTCACATCATCTTCCCCACCCCAAATAAATATATTTAAAGGAAGCTCAAAGTGTGAAAACACTTTAGGATATTCGAAGATTCTCTGTTACCCACTGGGGTCCATAGAGCCCCCTCCCTCCATTACACCACATGAAGAATATCTAATCAAAATGCTGGTAAGTCTGGGCTCTGTATCTCCATCTCAGATCTCTCTCCCAGGCTTCAGACTTATTCATCAAAATGCCTCCTGGACATACTTAACTCAATATGTCCCCAAACTAAACTCTTTGGCTTCCTGCCTCACCCATTCTTCCTTCTGTGCTTTCTTAGTAAATTGTACCATCTTCCACCCAGTTAGGCAAGAATGATGTATCCCTCTCCTTTTCCTACCACATCTAATCTGGCATTAGTCAGTCTCTCACCATGCCCTGAGATTCCTCTTTGATATGGTTTGGATATTTTGTCCCCTCCAAATCTCATGTTGAAATGTGATCTCCAATGCTAGGGAGGGACCTGATGGGAGGTATTGGAGTCATGAGGGCAGATCTCTCATGAAGGCTTGGTGCCCTCATTGTGGTAATGACTGAGTTCTCCCTCCATGAGTTTTTGCAAGATCTGGCGGTTTAAAAAGTGTGGTACCTCCCTCCCCCATTCTTGTTCCTGCTCTTGCCATGTGACATGTCAACTTCCCCTTTGCCTTCCACCATGAGTGGAAGCTTCCTGAGGCCCTCATCAGAAACTGAGCAGATGCAGGCATCACGCTTCTTGTACACAGCTTACAGAACTGTAAGCCAAAATAAGCTTCTTTCCTTTATAAATTACCAAGTCTTAGGTATTTCTTTATAGCTGTGCAAATGGACTAATGCACTCTTCCTTGATTCTCTTTCCAATCCATACAGTTCTAGCAACAATCACTTTCTTAGCTGTGATCATCATCTTTGATCTGGTTTATTACAAGAACTTCTAAACAGAATTTTGTGCTCCAGGCATGCCCCTCTCTACCCAATCTCAACACAATAGTCCAAATATTTTTTTACACAAATATATTTTGGGTCACTTCTGGAATAGAACCATTGTAAGATTTCCCATTATTTTCAGGATAGAGTCCAAGCTCTGTTACATGGCTTGCAAGTTCATTTTGCAATTTATCTCTTGCCCCTTTTCCAGCTTCATTTGTACCACTCCTAACTCTACACTTAGTTCTTCAAGCTTTGCCTTCAGGTACTCTTATAAGCTGTTTCTTCTGCCTACAGCATTCTACTCTCCTATTCCTACCTCTTTGATCAGGATAATTCTTCCCTTCAGATATTAACCTGTATATGTCAGTGGCTGGCTCCTTTCTGGTATACAAAAAATATCTGCCCATAGTTGGAATGTTTCTCTGGTCCACCAGGATGCCTTTTCTGTGTGCTCCTATGACATAAGGCAAGGCTGGTTGCATAATAAAACCCATAGCATCTTTGCTATAGACTGTAGACTGTATTTTAATTGCTTATTCTGTCATCCTCACTAGAGGATAAGTTCCTGGGAGGCAGCAGTCATGTCTGCTTTATTTATTGTAATATCCCTAGTGTGTGTTGCTGTTCTTGGCACATAATAAGTGCTTGAAAACTTAGACGATTAAGACAAATGATAATAAAGTAAGCTTCCTGAAAGCAGGAATGTCATATGCATGTTCTACTGTGTCTAATTTGACAATGGACTAATTAATGAAAAATTAATAGACATTGTACTAAATTAAACACTCCATGATGTGTGTTGAAAACTGCCACATGCCCTAATTGTTGGTTTTCATAACTTACACTACATTGGAGAAAGGAGACGCTATGAAATTTGTGAGATATCATAAACCCAGTTTAATTTCATTTAAACTCCAGGGGATTCATCAGATGACTGAAACCCAAAACAAGAGCTTCTTAAACAATGTTTGAAAGACCTAGGAAAAGAACACAGCTCAGGGGAGAGAAAAAAACAAAGCATTTGCATAGCGTAATTATTCTGAAATGTGCCTCTTTTAGCTTTAATGTCTCATGCAAGGATGGCCACCCTGGTCCAGCTGAAGTTGGAGGAAGGGCATTGCTTGAACGTTGGCTAAAACTGTAACTTCACATCTGGTGAAGCTTTTGGGCTGTCTTTGCTTAGTCAGTGTAACAATTGCTGTGCTGGGGCTGAACACTGCAAGTAGAGGGTGAGGCACCAGGGCACTTCCTTTGTTTGGAGAGGACTCCCTTTCATTTTCCACAACTCAGTTTATCCTCACCAGCCCCATTCCAATCAGATGTGAAAACCTGTGATTTAGAGCCCTTGCCAGAAAAAAAACAAAAAAACAAAAACATTTCACAATGCTGGGAGATTGCTGTCAATTCCTGGTGCTGTGACCTCCGGCCTCACGATGTGTAGAGGGCAGACTTCTGTGACGTCCCACTTGTCTCTGACAGATTCATTATCCATTCCCATGGCCATCCAGCTCCCACGTCTATTTATCCTGTCGCTTTAGGCAGGGGAGGACTGGACAAGTGGAGACCGAAAAGGCTCTGCTAGCAGTCACATGTCTGATGTTCTCGAGAGCCAAGTCTATTCACCGATTCTGTTTACACCCACAGTACTCATACCTAAGCACTGCAGATAGAACTAATTGACCTGCGTGTTCCTTGAACATCTACTTGTGTGCAAGTGATAAATGGCAGACATTGCCAAATAAGGGTGTCGCTAAGGCAGACTTAAAAGAAAAAGTGAGCTCTAGTCTGTGATGCAAACTTTACGAACACCAGTGTGTTCTCGCTTTCAACCAGATCTGCACTTCCTGTATTTTAGTGACCAGCTGTCATGAGTCAATTTAATCTTGCTTATAAAAATGCTCCAACATTTAGTTCTGTGCCACCTGCCAGTAGGTATGAAAAACCTATACCGTCTGCCTCATTTTTTTATTTTTTTATAACTTAATATATCTATTCTGGGAAGCCTGTTATCTGCCAGAATTTCCTGTGAGCTCGAGGTCCATATAGCCTATTACTAATGTTCAAAATAGAGGTACTGAGACAAAGAAATTAAAAAAATGTCCCTTTGTGAAGAAAAACATGAATGCAGGCCAGGCTTCCTGTTGTGCAGTCAGAGTTTTGGTTACTTTTGTGCCATAGGAGGATTCACCATGAAGTGGATGAAGTTTAGCTTCGGGGCCCTTTCAGGGCTCTGAGGACGACCCTAGCAATATGTTCACATGGTAATATGCTTTGGTATAATTTACTCAAGTAAGATATTTATTTATTTTTATTAATGAGGGTTTTTCCTTAATGAGGCCCCTTGGGTCCCTGCATCCCCAAAGGAAGTAAGTTTTAGGCATTCCAAAATGTGGATCATCCTCTGCTTGCGCCTCTTCCCTTGGATTGGCACTAGCTATACAAATGCTTTTAGAGAACGTGTTAGCACAAATATTGGAGCTTGTAAATATCTTTTTAAAAGAGTGATACATTATACAGTGCCTCTCACATTCTTTTTCTGTCTCTGCAGCCACCTTGACTTTTGACTTTCTTTACATAGACACATGAATTTCCAGTTCCCACCTTAACACATTACTTGAAATGGGAGATGTGCAACAACATAACTTAGAGTTGATGAGTTATGACACTGGGACACTGAAATAGACAGCCTGAGTTCAAATCCCTCCTTTGCCACTTACTTACTGTAAGGCCAGGATAAGTAACTTAACAAATCAACAACTAAACAAAGCTACCATTGTCTGAATAATTCTAAGCACCTGGCATTGTGCTCATTGCTTTTTGCATTTTTCACATATTGTTTCATACCAAGCTCACAACAATCCCATGAGACCTGCACTAATGATTACAGATGATCATGCATTTGAATATTAAAGTGTTCTGAATCCCAGCAGGTACAAAATGGAGCAGGGATTTAGACCATGGGCAGCCTGCCTCCAGAACTTTGCTCTTACAACTGCAGAGGGCATTCACTCTTGCTGAGTACAGCTAAAATTCAGCTGCCTTTTCTGTAAAACAAGGGCAAGAAATGGAGGGGTTTCAAAGGACGGTTGTGGGGCTTGAACCAGATGATGCATGTAAGCCCTTAAGATAGTATCTGACACAAAGTTCTTAACAAATGTTAGTTTCCTTTATTATTTCTATAGTTACTATCTCTACTACTATGGACTTGGGCTGTCTGATTCATTCTGTGGGCATTAATTAATGGGATAGTCTATGGATACACCATGAGAGGTCGCATAGGGATTCAAACAGAAGGCAATATATAGTCCTAATCCCCAAGAACATAGAATCTGTTGAGTAGAGAAGATGAAACATACACAGAATAACTACAGACTATAAACAGAGTAATACTCTCTGTATCTAATCATGACAATATAACAAAGTAGGGTAGGGACACTTAGTTGTCTCTCCAGTGATGATGATGCCTTTGCACTGAACAATCAGAGGGAGACAGTCTCTATTACGGAAGGCAAGTGGAAAAAAGAGGGCCAACAATTACCAAGGCCCTTCATATACCTGGAACTGTAATAGATGCTTTATGTACATTATTTCACCTCATCCTCATTATCACTCTGAGAAGGAGGTATAATTACCTGTTAGTTTCAGATGTGTGGCTGAGAGCAGTAAAGTAACTTGCTCAAAGAAACACACTGCTGGTAAGTGGCAGCCAAGAGTCAATTCCAAAGGCTGGATCTAGGACATTACTCTCTCTGAGATTAGAACTAAGCAATCTGGTTCATATAACAATTAGACTCAAGGTTCTAGACAGCCACATTAACACTTAATACTCTAATGTTGCTAATCAATGTGTGGTCCATGGACCAGCATCTTCTGTATCAGCAGAGGGCTTGTTAGAAATCCCAGGCTTCCTCTAGGCTTACTAAAGCAGAATCTGCAACGTTAACAAGATTTCACATGACTTAGATGCACAGTAAGCTTTGAGAAACACTGTAGAGCTCACCAGTATGTCAGAGTTCTGATGAACAGAAAAACTAAAATATGGCTGAGGCTTATGCAAGCCCTCTCCCTTCTACCAGAATAAAATTTTTGGCCCAAACTGGACTAGCACTAAGGTTCTAGCTGTACTCACAAACTGGACTGATTATTTTGTTTGGAAATTCTGTCAAATCTACTAATTGGTGCATTCATACAATAACTGAACAATTTAACTATATCAAAATGGGTTGCACTTACTGTTTAAAATGGTATTTATGTTTAGAACATATTAGGAATGCTAACAACTGATTTATAAAATGACAAATAACCCAATTAGAAAATGGGTGAAGAATCTGAATAGATATTTTAAGAAGACGATATACAAATAGCCAATAAGCACACGAAGAAATGCTCAACATTATTTGTCATTAAGGGAGATGCAAATCAAAATGACAATGAGACGCCGATTCACACTAGGATGGCTGTAATAAAACAAAGATGGATGATAACAAATGCTGCAAGGATGTGGAGAAATTGGAATCCTCAGAGATTGCTATTGGGAGTATAAAATGTGTTTTTACACTTTCAAAGTGGTACAGCCATTTTGCAAAATAGTCTGGCAGTTCCTCAAAAAGATACAGTTACCATATGACCCATAAATTTTACATCTAGGTATTTATCCAAGAGAACTGAAAATATGTCCACATAAAAACTTGTACGCAAATATTAAAAGCAACATTATTCATAATAGCCAAAAAGTGAACACAACCCAATGTCCATCAACTGATGAATAGATAAACAAAATTCAGTATATCCATACAATGGAATATTATTCTGCCATAAAAAAGAATGAAGTACTGATACATGCTACAGCATGAATTAACCTTGGAAGCATTGTGCTATGTGAAAAATGTCAGACACAAAAGGCCACGTAATATCTGATTTCCTGCCAGGAGTGGTGGCACACGCCTGTAATCCCAGCACTTTGGGAGGCCGAGGCAGGCAGATCACTTGAGGTCAGGAGTTCAAGACCAGCCTGGCCAACATGGCGAAACCCCATCTCTACTAAAAATACAAAAAAAAGTTAGCTGGGCCTGGTGGCGGGCGCCTGTAATCCCAGCTACTCAGAGGGCTGAGACAGAAGAATAGCTTGAATCCAAGAGGTGTAGGCTGCAGTGAGCCGAGATCATGCCATTGAACTCCAGTCTGGGCAACAAGAGTGAAACCCCATTTCAAAGGAAGAAAAAAAAAAAAATATATATATATATATACACACATATATATATATACATACATATAAGTATATATATGTGTATATATATATACATACATATAAGTATATATATGTATATATACAGTTTCCTTCATATGAAATGTCCAGAATAGGCAAGTCTATAGAGACAGAAAGTAGATTAGTGGATGCCAGGAGATGGGGAGAGGGGCACGAGGGGCACATGGGGAGTGACTGTTGATGGATAGGGGCTTTTTGAGTGATAAAAATGTTCTGGAATTAGACAGTGGTGATGGTTGCACAACATTTTGAATATACTAAAAACCACTGAATTGTACATTAAAAAAAAAAACAAAATTCTTAAAAGTATGGCATTTATCCAAAATAGAATAGAAAACAGTGGATAAAAGTTTCAGCCCTGGAATCATGTAGCCCTGTGCAGCAGGAAGTTTTAGGCAAGTTCCTTAAGCTCAATTTACTTACTCTGTAAAATGAGGATAATAAGATACCTACAAAAGGGGTTGTTAGGAGCATTAAATGATATGACACAATGAGGCCAAGACTGGTAACTGATATATAATCTTTTTTTTTTTTTTCCTCACAACAGCACAGTTTTAGCTGGGTACACAGTCACCAGTATAAAGATAACACCTCTCAACACCTTCTCTAGCTAGGTGTGGCCATATGACTATGTTCTGACCGATGGGGTATTAGCAGGCATGGCGTCTGTGAAACTCATTCCTCAATTTCTCATTTATTTCCTGGAATAAGAACACAGTGTGGAGCCATCATGGACCACATGGACTATGGCAGAGACCAGGACCACATGGACTATGGCAGAGACCAGGACCACATGGACTATGGCAGAGACCAGAGAGTAGTGGCGTGGCGGTGAGGGGACTGAATCCCAGCCCTCAGACAACTTCCACTGTAATTAGGGAACGTGTGTCAAAGTGGGTATATGGAGCAGAGGCCACGATCCCAGTCCTAGGGCACTGTTAACGTGAGTCTGTCTTCCCACAACTGATATCTGAACACAGGGCCTGGTATATATTAATCACTTAATAAATATAAGCTATTATTATCATCACTTGTATAATTAAGTACAATATTACAGCAAAAGCCTAGATCATGAAATGTCAAGTGTGCCTGGCCTGATCCTGATACCAGAGGAAAGAGAAGACTCCAATCTGTTCAGCATTCTATGATTCCATTCTTTATTAATAAAAACCCAGAGTTTGACAGTAGTTATCCCTGCTAAGCAAAAATGTTTTTAGAAGATGTATTTTTCCAAAATATGCAATGACCAAAGTTTAATGTGAAATAGATATCTTCTTATAATTTTTTGAAAGCAGCCACATGTCAACAGACCAACAAAGAGGACAACAGCCAATTTGCATACGAATTCCTGTATTATAGGAGAAGCATACATGAAAGAAGGGGCATTAGGGCTCTAGGCAGCCTCTCTGCAAACCCAGAGGCCAGGTTTCCATAGAGTTCTTGAGCTCATTCTTTCACAAGTATAATGAGTACCTAATATAGCTCCTGGTTGATGGGATTTTCTTGTCTTGGGCTCTGTTCTTGAGAAAATTATCTTTGGAAACTGACTGGTATAGACTATAAAGAAAAAACAAATAAACAGAGAAATAGACTGCTATGCAGTTTCCTCTGGGAATGTAAACTAAAAACTGAGATTTTGATCATTTCTTCATGGACAGTGGGATGCTGTGGTCATATATATAGAGAGAGAGAGAGCAATTGGCTTGCCCCAGAAGTTGATGGAACAAGGACCAGAAAGTCTTCTTGTACATTTAGGCAATAAATGAGTTAGACATCTTGGCATTTAAAAAAATTATCTAAAATTCCATTTAAACCTTACTTGAGCCTCTAAACTTGAGTATAGTGAAGCATCAGATTACATGATTCAGTAAACTGCTGGTTCTATTAGATAATAGTAAAAGTTGCCCTATTCTATTTCTAAGCTTGCAAGGGAGGCTAGAGTACCATGACTATAAAATGAAGATAGGAGCTTATAAGTTTGAGATAATGAACTGCTCAAGATTGGTGCAGGAATATGATGGTGCTCCGTGACCATTTGCTAAACTCATGAGGAATCTGGTTAGATAAGGAGTGCTGAAGGATAAAAGACATAACAAGATAATTACTACAATCCAGATTGCAACCGTTCTCCACAAAACCAATCTATCCGAAGACTGGTAGGCAAAAGGCTTGTTAAATTAAAACTAAGTGAACCCAAGGCCAATAAGCAATTAACAGCATTAACAAAACTAGGTGCTTAATATATGCACAGGTGTGGCAAACTTTTATATTCTACGTCCTTTTGAGGAAACAGAAAGTTTAGGGTATTCCAGCCCCAGAAATACAAATGAACAACGTTCAAGTAACCAGAGTCTATAAGAGGAATAGGGTAACATAGTGTTAAGAGCTTGGACTCTGGTGACAAAAGGGGCTGAGTTCAAGTCCTGGCTCTCTCATTAACCTGCTGGGTGCATCCAACTGAGTCTCAGCTTCCTTCTGTGTAACTCAAGACTATTATTATTAGCTATAATGTAGGACTGCTATGAAGATAAATAAAATAGTCCTAGAGCTTATAAAGATTTGTGATGTATTCAAGCTATTTTCACACATATTCATCCATTCTGTGGTTTATGGTAACCAACTTCTATATTAGATCTCTTTCTTTTTTTCTCTTTATAGAACCACATAAGTGAAATATTTCTTTCATTTAGGTTTTTATTTCCGATTTGATGTGAACTATACCATGATAATTTCTTATATACTTCCTTGGATTAAACAATATAATTTTTTATAGGGGAAACTGTGAGAAAAGAAAAATAGAGCAAGAATAAACCTAATGCTCTCTTGGGTTTTGCAAAGCCACAGAGTTCAGGCAGGCTCTGGCTAGAGAGCTGTGAGCCATCTGACTCCATAGCCCTCTTCTATCAGGCTAGATTATCAGGTAAGGTTTTGATATCTCTTAAATATGTATACTTGTCTACTTAAAAAAAGATTATTTCATCAAATGGTTATATTACACTCTGATTAGAAATGGATCAGGCTGAGTAAATAGCTCTATGACTAAGAATTTTAAAACATCAAATCTGTGTAAAAGAATACTACACTCCAGCAACTTTATTCCATACTTTTAGTTTTTACTACAAAATTCGAGAGGAAATTGAATTGGATTCCCATGGGTGGTATGGAAAATTGGGGAAAATAGCTTTCTTCTAATTCTCCCTTTTCTGAGAAATAAAATAATTTCCAATAGAGAAGAGTGCACCTAGCAAAGCTCTTTTTTTTTTTCCTCTTATTTGGTGGCCTACTTTTGTTAATAAGCCTTGGAAAAGTTGAAGTTTTAAAGACCAAAAACAAAACAAAAAATAAAGAGAGAGAGAGAGAGAGAGGAAAAGGGAAAACAAAACCAAAAACCCAAGCCCACCAAAGGAATCTGATCTTATTTGTCAAGACCAATGACCCAAACTGTGCCACTTAAGAATAGAAACAAAGGTTTTAAAGCAAAGACACAAAGAACCCTGAAAAGAGAAATGAAGAACAGCAATGATGTCTGAAATGATACAACAGATAGGACATGGCCAAGAAAAAAATAACCAGATAGTGACTACTGGACTTCTTGACACTGTCATAATTATAGTCAATGCCTGCAATCTTTCTGTCTATCTGGTTAAATATTCCAAAATGGAGTCTGCACAAAGTGTGTACAAATGTTTTAATGAAAAGTGAAATTTAAAATAATTTAACATGGATCAATGTCACATTTTTAGAGTCAAATGATATACGATCAAGAGACACTAACTAGCTGATTCACTAGTTGGGCTGGGCTGGCTTTCTGGGGCTAATTTCTTTGAAATTTAAAGGGTTTGATCTATGTTGAAAAATGTCTCACATTGGCTCCTTGACTGTCCCCACCTTCTGGCAATATCTAAGTTGTAGTGAGGTTGCATGCTGTAGCTTTTGCACACCCCAATACCTTCTTCCTTCTTTGATAACAACCCTTTGGGACCACTCTTCCTCATTCTCAGGTTAAGCAATTCCCAACTTCCAGCAAGGAGAACAGAGAAGCCAGGTTCAGCCCATCAATCCATTCTATCTTCCTGACACAATGGTTGGTTCAAGGAAAATTGAACCAACCATTGTGATTGGTTCAATTTTGAAACCAACTATGAAAATTGGCCCTGGGGCCTTTGCTGAGATCATGGGAGAGACAAGTCCTTTTAATTACAATACTGCCAACCTGATAGAAGGTAAACTTGGAACTGGTCATCATTTTGGCCATGACATGGAGAATCCCGGCTTAGAATAAAGCCAAGACAGAAGAGAGCAGAAGCAAGAGCCAGGGTCAATGTCCTGATGACTTTATGTAGCCCATGATCCAGCCTGTCTGAATCTAGCTGTGTCCTGGATTCCTAGTTATGTAAGCCAAATAATCTCTATTTGGTTTAAACTGGTTTGGATTATTTTTCTAACACTTGCAACCCAAAGATGCTAACTAACATACCTGACTACAGCACAGAGTACATCACGTTACTTCACCTCCCAACCTGAATGAGCTAGACTGGATGCAAAACAATGGATTGAGCAGCAATCTGCAACTTATGGCCTGGCCTGAAAACATGATCTGGATCAACCAGAGTTTTCTACCTAGCATTTAGCTTTGGAAAATGGAGAAATGATATCACTAGGAGGCAGGCATTAGAATATGCTAATTTCAAAGCCCATTCTAGTTCTAATCTTATGCAATGCTTACGAAACAAATTAGTTAAAATAAAGTGACTTTTTTTTTTTTTTTTTTTTTTTTTTTTAGTTAAAGAGAAAGGTGCTATATTTTGGAGTTAGAGAAAACTGGATTTGACTCTGCCCTTTATCACTTTAAAAGCTGTTTGACCTTAGGCTAGTGACTTTGCTTCTCTAGGTCTAGCTCCTTATCTGTAAAATAGAGATGACAATAAGCTCTTCATTTGGTTTTATTGTGACTTTTGAATGACATAACATGTCAAGTGCCACCATCAACACCACATGAGTAGGTACTTGATAAGTTTTAGGTCCTATCTGATGTCATAATCAATCATTTATAAAATAGTTGTTTAATACTCACAATATAGAGGACCCTGTGGTTAAGTTTTTACTATTTCTGAGCATTGAACCATTGATGAACAAGCAAAACAAACAGATGAAAGGGACCTGATGTTTCAACTCATACTCCAGGGTCATCAGATTTTCTCATTTTTGTTTTATATTTAACAGAAGTGTTAAATATTTTTGTTTTATATTTAACAGAAGTGTTTTGTTTTATATTTAACAGTAGTGTGGAGGAAAGGAACCAGGACTATGAGCTTCTTGAGGGTAAGGGACCAGCAGGGGATGGTCAGGGTATGGTCAGGGGACAGGCAGGGCTGAATCCCCAGGTCCTGAGCAAGGCCTTCCATGGCGCCTGGTGTGCAGTAAGCTCTTAATAAACACTTGCTGGAAAAAATTATCTAATTCTATCTCCTCGCTGTGGAAATATGAAAACCAGGATCAGAGAAATAATAATAACAATAGTAAATTAGCTAGCACTATTGAACTACTTCATGTTTAAACATGCCTTCATAAGAATACATTTTCCTAACAGTGTAATGGTGTTTTACTTCATTTATACAGCAGCTTTATGAGAGAGATACAAGAAAGTATCACTATCCCTATTTTACAGATAAAGAAAAAAATCATCCCTAGGGAGTATATGTGTAACAGAATATAAAGCCAAACTGGTTTTAAAGTGATAACATAATGACTTAGCTCTTCTCCACACACCTCCTTCTCCCATCTCCCCCAAGTCCTATTAGCAATACTTTAAACAAAGTAAGGCAACTTTCATCTTTTAAGTGTTTGAAAATGGAGATCACTTTGCCTTGCTTTATTTGCCAAAAATTTCTGCTATGGCTTTAACAGGTTATCAAAAATCATTTGATGGAAAAAAAAGAGAGATTAATTAGGGTTTTGTGCTTGAAAAAATAAAAAGTGGGTAGCATCATTGCCTTTCAAATTTTCCTGTGGCCTCCCCTGAAGGTCACTGCAGACAGTTCTCCCAACAGTCAGCTTCATAGTCTCTGCCTTTTGCCTTAACATGCTTGATGCTTGGCCAGTCAAGTTGAACAGGCCAGAGGTGATTTAACTTCCCAGGAGCAACTCTCAAAGAAACAGATGTTTGAGGATAAATACTCCAGTATTTTTTCCCACCCCAGGGAGATAGTTCTGAGAATAGCATCTTTATTGATGTTCTTTCCTTCTCTTGTATCCTGGTCTTCTATCTCAAGTCCAAAATGCTCCAATTTGAATTCCACTTGCTTTACCACCTGCTAGCAGGTTGCTTAACTTTTATGTATCTTAATTTCCTCATCTGTAAAACTGGATTTTAACAGTACCTACATTATTAGGTTGTTAAGAATAACAAATTATTATCTTTGAAGTATTTAAAAAATAGTACCTGACACATAGTGCTTGCTATCATTATTACCACCTTCATTATTCTTGTTATTATTTTGGTTGTGGGAAGGAGGGCTGATAGGGCACTAGAGAAAGCCAAGATCTCCAAATTCCTGACTTGCAGAGTTCTTTGTAACAGTATTGCTAAATTATCACATGAAAGGTTTCTGGATCTATATGGCTGGCAGCTTAGGATATGACTAATACCATTCATGTTTTTATCTCTCATGAATTGTGTAGTTTGGACACAATTTTAAACTTTCAGGTGCTTGAATCAAATCTGAAGGCCACTGTTGATCCCTGATCCTCAGAGAGTGAGGATATAGCATCTGAAACGAAGGTGGAAGGTTCTGGAAGTCTTATAGGTCTTTACAATTCCGTAGAGATGACCATAGAAATGAAGCGACATGTGCTTTTTAAAATAAAAACCACATGATGCTGACAATAACTGCCACGATGCAGTTCCAGACCTTGAGGTTTCCCTTCATTTGAGGACCCGCCTGAAGAGCAGCCTTGCAACAAAAGCAAATGGAAATTGCCTCTCCTGCAGGACTGGAAATATCAAATGCAGAGTGTGTGGTAGCCTTTTAATCCACAGGGTAGCAAAGTAAAGGTCAATTACCTCAGAGGAATGAAAGGCATGTAGTAAAAGTCAAATAGATATGCCATTAGATAATGTATTTCAAGCATGAAAATGAGGATTTTTCTATTGCAGGGTTATATTTAATGCAGTGGTAAACACAAGAGCTTTATGACAAAGAGTAAGATACAAGGTTGACAGTGAATCTGCCTAACAGAGTGCCCTCTGTTTCATGTGTGGGGGGACTGTGCAGTCACCATTGATTGGTGTCAGGACCCTGCCAGGAAGCAGGCAGACTGGCCCCACAACCCGCCAGACTGAGCCAGGAGGAACAGGTGCTTCCAAGGGTGGCTCTAGGGATTTAAGTCCGTCAAGACACTCTCAGCTATGCCAGACCAGCCTCTCTGTCTGTAGTCTGTCCTGACCTGTGAACCTGTACCTTGGGCTTTTCTCCTTCCTCGACATTCTTCTCCTGAGCCTGACATTGGCTCCATACCCAGCTCTGCCCTCCATCATTGGTGAGTCAGGTTTAACAAACTCATTCCCAGCTCCCGTGGCTGTGACTCTGCATTCCAAGGCTGTTCCCCCATCCCCAAGTACCCCAGATTTGAGTCTCTACTTTTAACCAAGACCAATGTGTATCCATCCTTGGTTTCTGCATTTGTGGATGATTTGATTTGAAGTGTCTGACCCTGATTTTTACATTCCGGTCACTTGTTTAGAAAGGGCTCTTTCCCTGCCGAAAGCAATCACCTGGCCAGGTCTCTGGATATATCTTCTTCCCTGGCTATGCGATCAGTCTTTCACCTCATCAGAAACATCCTCAAGGGTCATAGGCAATGTGCTGAGGCTGGGAGAAGGAGTGCTTCTGCTGCTGACCCAGGAGTTCCTCATGAACCTGGTGTTATTTCACTTGGGGAAGCACAGGGTTGGTTTAGACCTATTGTCTAATTTCTCTGAGCTTCGGTTTCTACATTGCAAGCACGTAAAATAATTCCACTTCTCATTTCTTTTCTAAATATAAGCACTTACATTAAATAGGGACATTTATTTGGTAAAAATGTACTTTAGTGTTAATGAAACCGATTGGCAGTTCTGCCAGCAACATCACCATTGGATTAGATCTGTGTGGCAAAGTCTACCTTAGTTCTGAAAATCACTTTGGTGAACTTTTCCTTTATGCAATATATAATGCAAGTACCTATCCACTCTTGTTGGGAATGCCCTGATCCTGTGAAATAGCCAAGTGCAGGGACTTCAGCTTGAGATGGTAAGCTTTCTGGTTAGTGACGTAAGTCTGATGCCTCGTTTGCACATCCACACGTCTAGGGAGATTCCCCAGTAAATTGCAATGTATGCTGCCTTATTCCTGAAAATGCTGACTTGTCCTTGGTAGATACATGCATCTTTTTGCCCAAGCACTTGCTCATAGGAAATAAGAAGAGTGCAGGGCACAAGGAGGAGTGTGGTGCTCTGATCTCTTATCCTCTCACTGGAGAAAATGCTGTGAAGAGGAACCAGACTGAGCTTGTGCACACAACCAGGACTGAATTTTGCTGTCTCAAAGGTGAAGTTATGGTGGATTCGACAGACTTAAATGTACTGGTTGAACAGAGCCATTGTTTTTCTCCTGGGCCAGGAGGTCTGGCTGCATTCTCTGGGTAGATGTGAGAATTTCCCTTAAAGAAATAGAATCTTCTCAGACAATTATCCTCAGGCAGGAAATTAGGTGGGCTTTAGAGGGATAAAGGAGTTCTCTTCTCTTTCTCTGGAGCCAGGCAGTGGGGAGCTTGGAGGTGTGGTGGTGACTGAGATAATCCTCCGTTCCTGGCCACATCACTACTGCATGATGCCTCCTGGGAGGTTCAATGTGAGGCCTTAAAACTAGTCACTTACTCTCAGTTTAGTATTCAGTGCTCCCCAAAGCTTCCATCAAGTGTTGTTAAATTCAACAACCTTGTTTTAAGGAAGTATGTGTCCAAAACTGGGGGAAACAGATATGTGACAAGCAGCTCAACTGGCCCCATGTAAGCCAGGAAGAGGAGTCAGGGGGACCCTGAAGCCACACATATCAGGCTCAGGGCACTTTAATCTCCCCCTTTGCAGACCTGCAACTCCCTGCTTTTCCTATGTTACTCTAAATGAAGCTCTGCTGCTGAGTCAATGAATAAGTAGGCAGAGGCAGTGATCTTCATTTGAGAAGAGGCGTTATTCAGATAGTTACAAAGGAACAGAGCTGTGAACATAAACAGTAGGGGAAGACGGGACACTTGCATGTGCTGGGGCTGGTGGCTGGGGGGGCAGCAAAAGAAGACTGGAAGCTGGGACCAAGAAAGCCAAGAAATTATCCAGTAAGGTTCACTCGAGATACTATGTCAGCAATTAGGTTAAAAATTTCCATGTCATACAAATTAAAAGTCAGAGAAAAGCATGTAAGAAACTCAAGGAAAACAAAAAAACAGAAACAAAACAAAATTCAGGGCCAGTGTAAATTCTAAAGTTGAGGGAGCCTGGGCATAAGGTGGCACGGCAGAGTGGGTAGGATCTCAGGCTCCTCACAGGGTTTCCTGATTGGGATCCTTTGCCTTTTTAACTGGGTATACAACACTGGACAATTTTCTTAATGCCTCTGCTTCTCAATCTGTAAAATGGAAATACAATAGCAAATTTTTTTTTTTTGTTTTTTTTTTTGTTTTGTTTTGAGACGGAGTCTCACTCTGTCACCCAGGCTGGAGTGCAGTGGCGCGACCTCGGCTCACTGTAAGCTCCGCCTCCCGGGTTCACGCCATTCCCATGCCTCAGCCTCCCGAGTAGCTGGGACTACAGGCGCCCGCCACCGCGCCCAGCTAATTTCTTGTATTTTTAGTAGAGACGGGGTTTCACTGTGGTCTCGATCTCCTGACCTCATGATCCGCCCACCTCTGCCTCCCAAAGTGCTGGGATTACAGGCGTGAGCCACCGCGCCCAGCCTACAATAGCAATATTATTATATGTTTTGATGATTAAATAAGTCAATAAGAGTAAAGTGCTTATAGGAGTTCCTAACACAATATAAGTGCTCAATAAATGTTGGCAAATTACTATCATTACTATTATTGTTTTCTAGGCAGATATGAGCTAGAAGCAACTGATTAATAATTAAATGTCCTGACTAGTCACCTACTCTCTGTCTTTCTCCAAAATGAGGAAGAGGTAAACAGAAAGAATGAGGTGGTTAGGCACAAGAATTTAAAGCACAGGAAAAACAGTTAAAAGAGCAAAAAAGTGTGAATACCAAGAAGACTATGATTCTGAGCTGGTCTGATGTCTGACATGGTGAACTTCATATTTACTTCCTCTTGGGGTAGCTAAAAATCCTGCTTATTATCAATTATCAGTCAAATGATCAATCTATGACCTGAAGGTGGAGGCACTAAAGTGGGTTTCATTGTGGGTTGTAATCCCTTTTTGGGTCAGAATCAAAAGATAAGTCAACATTCTTGACTAAAACATAATAATATATAACTTTCATATCCAATAAGGGCACTTTAGCCAATGAATCTGCCATTTAAAAATAGCTGATCAATAGTACCCTGTAGATCATGTCAGTAATCACTGGAAAAAATATTAATTAAGAAGAAGGATTCCAGAAGAACTTCTACTTACAACCAAGTTGGAGTAACAAGACCTGTATTTAACCTCCCACCTGAAACAACAGCAACAACAAGTCAAAACAAAATATACGAAACGTTTTTAAGACATCAGGTAAGGAGGGACAATTGCCTCTGAGAGGCAGAAAACAAATGAGATGAGTCCAATGACTGCCTTAGCTTGCCAGAGTGTAGAAAGGAGGAACGCAGGCTGAGCTACTAGACTCCCGGATCAAAGGAGTTGAGGTGAGTTCAGGGGACTGAGGATGCTAGAGTCAAGGCTAAGTACTGGAGAGAAAAGAATTGCACAAAGAACACTGAAGATCTGTACATGGTCCCCCTGAACGATTTAGCAGAGTACTTGTTAGTGTATGTGTATGAAGAAACTACATGAAGGCAGGGAAAAAACCTCCAAAAGTATTAGAGAAAAGCACCCAGTATTCACACAAGGCTAGGAATAGTGCCGGTGCTCACTAGTCAGACTAGAAAATCTCTAATTCACAGGGCATTGAGTAGATAATCAGGAAAGTCTTGCTTCAATAATGAGGAATAATTAACCCTAGACTACTGTGAACGAGTCAGAAAAGCAAGATCCGAAAGGACTAACAGTTTCCAAATAACTTAATAAATCACAGAAAAAAAAACCCTAAAGAATATTCATAAAAATACAAAAAGGCTCAACACTCAACCAGATAAAATTCACAATACCTATTATAGAATCAAAGATTGCCAGTCATGCAAAGGAGCAGAAAAATGACACAAATAATCAACTGAAATCAACTCCAAACTGACACATATATTGGAATTAGCAGACAGGACATTAAAACAGTTATATACAATTATTATAATTGTATTCTATATGTTCAAACATTAACTAAAGTAATAGAATATATAGATATATATTTTTAAAAGACCCAAATTGAACTTCTAGAGCCAAAAAGTACATTTCTGTAAAAAAAGATACACTGAATGAAATTAGAAGAAATGATTAGTGAAGTGAAAGACACAGCAATAGAAATGGTTTAAAATGAAACATAGAGAAGATAAAAAAAATTTTTAAAAATGCAAAAAGCTTCAGTGAATTGCATGCCAATGTAAAGTCACCTAAGACATGTGTAACTGGAATAGTCAAAGGAGAAGAGAGAGAGATGGGTGGGCCAAATAAATATTTGAATAAATAATTACCAAAACTTTTCTGACTTTACCAAATCCAAGGAGTGTCATGAACCTCAAGAATAAAAATAAATAAATAAAATTACACCAAGCACATCTTAAACAAACATGCCCCAAACGAGCAATACAGACTATCTTGAAAGCAACAGAAGAATAAAGGACATGTTACACACAGATTTCTTTTTGAAAACAATCCAAGTGAGAAGACAGTAGAGTAAAATCTTCCAAGTAATAAAAGAAAAACAGAAAACACGTCAATCTAGGACTCTCTACCCAGTAAAATATCTTTCAAAATAGAAGTCTGTGGCTGAGTGTAGTGGCTCATGCATGTAATCCCAATACTCTCAGAGGCCGAGGCAGGAGGATTTCTTGAAGCCAGGTGTTTGAGACCTGCCTGAGCAAAAAAGCAAGACCCTGTCTTTACAAAAAATAATTTAAAAAATAGCCAGATGTTGTGGCACACGCCTGGAGTCTCGGCTACTTGAGAGGCTGAGTCATGAGGATTGCTTGAACCCAGGATGTTGAGGCTGTAGTGAGCTATGATTGTGCCACTGCACTCCAGCCTGGGTGACAGAGTGAGACCCTGTCTCTTGAAAAAAAATAAATAAATAAAAAATAAAAAAGAAGGCTGAATAAAGACATTTTCAGACATACAAAAGCTGAAAGAATTCATTTCCAGCAGACATGTGCTGCAAGAAATGTTAAAGGAAGTCCTTTAGGAAAAAAAAAAAAAAAAGGATAACATACGGAATTCTGCATTTAGACACAAAGGAATGAAGAGAACAAGAAATGGTAGCTATGTGAGTAAATATGTAAGTTTTTATCTGTTATTTGAAAGATAATTGTTAAAACAAAAATGATATATTGTGAGGTATATTAGATATATATATATCTGTAAAACATGTGAAAACAAAATCATAAAGTCTGAGAGGGGAGAAATGGAAGTACTATTGTAAGGTTGTTATATTTCATCTGAACTGGTATGATATCACCTGAATTTAGACTGTGTTAAATTATAGTTATATATTATATACTCTAAAGCAATTCTAAGTTAAAAAAATGAAAAATGACTAGTAAGCCAACAAAGGAGATATAAAGGAATCATTTAAAAAATTCCATTAATCCCAACAAATGCAGAAAAAGAGGAAAAGGGAACAATAAGAATGGGACAAGTAGAAAATAAATAGCAAGATATTACCTTTAAGTCTAAAGATATCAATAATTACATTAAGTATAAATAATCTAAACACTATAATTAGGATAGATATTTAAACAAAAACAAGACGAGTTATATGCTGCCCACGAAAAGGGTGCAGAAAAATAGATCATGCTAACACTAACCCGAAGGAAGCTGGAATGATATATCAATATCAGACTAAGCAGGGTTCAGAGCAAAGACTATTGCCAGAGTTAATGTAGGTTATTTAATTATAATAAGGATTTAACTGATGAAAAGAACAAAATAATTCTAATCGTTTATTCTTCCTGAAGCAGAACTTTAAATTGAATTAAGCAAAATTGATTGAAGGACAAATAAAAAAAAATGATGGCGAGGTGTTTCCATAGTCCTTTCTCAGTAATTGATAGAACAAGTAGATAGAAAATTTGCAAGTTTATAGTAGACTTGACAACACTATCCACCAACTTGATCTTATTGGCATTTTTAAAACATTCCACCCCAAAACATCAGATTATGCATTCTTTTCATGTATATACAGAGCATTTACTAAGCCATAAAATAAGTTGAAATAAATTTAAAATGAAGTTATACAATGTATGTTCTCTGATTATAATGAAACTACACTGAAAATTCATAACAGAAAAATGTCTGAAACATCCCCAAATATTAGGTAAATAAATATATACATCTAAATAAACCACAGGTCAAATTAAATCTCAAAAAGTTTCCCTTTTGAGATTTTTGAACTGACAAAATAAATCAAAATTTTTGAAACAGTACTAAAACAGTACTTAGGGAGGAAATTTATAGCACTAAATTCCAATATTATTACAGAAGAAGAAAGCCTCAAATCAATTTCCTCACCTTCCATCTTAAGAAACTAGAAAACGAAAAGCATATTAAGAAGAGCAAATTAAGCCCAAAGTATGCTTAATGAATACCAAAGCAGAAACCAATGAAATAGAAAAAATAAACATAATAAAAAAATCAATGAAACCAAAAGATAGTTTTTAGAGAAGATAAATTAAGTTGAATCTCTAGCTAAACTGATCTGAGAAAAAAGAAGACACAAATTATCTACATAAGGAATGAGAGAGGTGATACACTACAAGTTGAGCACCTCAAATCTGAAATGCTTCAAAGTCTAAAATGTTTTTGAGGGCTGACAGGACACTCATAGGAAATACTCATTGGAGTATTTTGGATTTCATATTAGGGATGCTGAACCATTAAGTATATAATGCAAATATTTCAAAATAAAAAAAATCCAAAATCTGAAACTCTTCTGGTCCTAAGCTTTTTGGATAAGTAATACTCAGCTTGTCTTGTAAAGATCTTGTCTTGTTTTGGTACCAGCCTGTTACTTGCATCAGACAATGATTTAGAAAGTATTCCCTCCTCTTCAGTTTTCTGGCTGAGTTTGTGTAGCATTGGTATTTCTTTCTTAAATGTTTCGTAGAATTCACTACTGATTCTAGTGAATTTGGCCTTGGGACTTTTCTCTGTGGGAAGATGTCTAACTACAAGTTCAATTTATTTAATAAATATGAGGCTTTTTGAGTTGTCTGTTTCTTTTTGAGTAAGATTTGGTAGTTTGTATCTTTCAAAAAATCTTGTCTATTTTATCTAAGTTGTCAAGTTTAAAGGCATAAAATTGTTCACAATATTTCCTAATTTTCCTTTTACTAGCTATAGAATCTATCATGTATAGGCCAATAACCCTTATAAACATAGATGTAAAAATTCTAAACAAAAATTTAGCAAAATGAATTCAACAATATATAAAAAGGATAATACATGATGACTAAGTAAAGTGTGTATATTCCAGAAATGCAGGGTTGTTTTAACATTCAACAATGAATTAATGTAATTCACCATATTAACAAACTAAGAAAGAAAAACCACAAGATCAGCTCAAAAGACACACAAAAAACATTTAGCAAAACTCAACATCCATTTCTGATAACAACTCTCAGGAAACTAGGCATGGAAGGAAACTTCCTCAGAATGATAAACGAACACCTATATTTAACATTTCACTTAATGGTCAAAGACAGAATGCTTTCTTTTTAATGTAAGGAGCAAGAAAAGATGCTCATTCTCACCACTTCTGACTGTCTGTGTAAAAAACTGAAAGAATTTAAAATAAGCTATTAGAAATAATAAGTCAATTTAGCAAGGTTGCAGTATATAAGATCAATATACAAAAATCAATTGTATTTCTAAATAGTGGTAACAAACTGTTGAAAATTATAATAAAAGCCAATAGCATTTATACTAGCATAAAAATAAAATACTTACGATTAAATTTGACAAAATATGTGCAAAACCTATACAGAAATAAATAAAATTGCTGAGGCAAATTAAAGAAAATCTAAATAATTGAAGAAATATACCTTGTCCATGGGCCAGAAGACTCAATATTGTAAAAAGGAATGAATTAATGGCATTAGCAGCAAACTGGATGGGATTGGAGACTATTATTCTAAGTGAAGTGACTCAGGAATGGAAAACCAAATATTTTGTGTTCTCAGTCATAAGTGGGAGCTAAGCTAGAGGATGGAAAGGCCTAAGAATGATACAATGGACTTTGGGGACTCGGTGGAAAGTATGAAAGGGGGGTGAGGGATAAAAGACTACAAATTGGGTTCAGTGTATATATACTGCTTGGGTGAGGGGTGCACCAAAATCTCACAAATCACCACTAAAGAACTTACTCATGTAACCAAGTACCACCTGTTCCCCTAAAACCTATGGAGACAAAAATTGAAAAAAATTTTCAAAAAAAAATGACAATTCTCCCTAAACTTATCAATGGATTCAACGCACTCTCAAGTAATCCTCTCCTTTGGAGAAAAGCTCAGCAGCTTTTTTTTTTTTTTTTTTAAGAAATTGACAAGCTCATTCTAAAATTTACATGGAAATGTAAAGGGCTTAGAATAGCCAGAACAATTTTTACAAAGAACAAAGCTGAAAGATTAACACTACCTGATTTCAAGACTTATAAAGCTACAGTAATTAAAACAGTGTGATACTGGTATAAAGATAGATTGGAGAACGGAATATAGCATCCAGAAATAGGCCACGCATATATACACAACTGATTTTTGACAAAAATGCAAAGACACTTCAGTGGAAAAATGATAGTCTTTTCCATAAATGCTGTTAAAACAATTAGATATTCATATAATAACTGAACTATTCATACCTTCATCGCTTACAAAAATTAATTCAAAACTGATCATAGGCTTAAATATGAAACCTAAAACTGTACATTTTTACAAGAAAACATAGCAGAAAGTCTTGGTGACCTTAGATTAGGAAAAGGTTTCTTAGATGTGGCACCAACAGGATGATCCATAAAGAACACACCTAGATCAACTTCTACTCTTCAAAAGACAATGTTAAGAGAAGGAAAAGATAAATTGGGAGATCCACATATTGAAATAAAATATTTGCAAAGCATACATGTGACAAAGAATATGCATCCAGAATACATAAAGACCTTTCTGAACTCAATAATAGGAAAATAATCAGCCCAATTTTTAAAATGAGCAAAAGTTTTGAACTGACACTTCACCAAGAAAGATATATGGCAAATAAGCAAATGAAAGATGTTCAATGCAATTAGTTATTAGTAAAGTGCCAATTAAAATCCCAATGAGATACCATTACACACCTACTAAAGTGTCTAAAATTAAAAAGACTGACCCTCACCAAATTTGGTGAAGGATGTGGAGGAACTGGAACTCTCATACACTGTGAGTGCGAATGTAACGTATTATAACTAAGTCAGATAACAGTTTGACAGTTTCTTAAAGAGTTAAACTTATGTTTACCATATGATTCGGCCATTCTACTACTGGGTATTTACCTCAAAGAAAATATATGCCCATAAAACATTTGTACATGAATGTTCATAACAGCATTACTTGTAATAGCCAAAAACTGGTCACAACCCAAGTGTCCATCAATAGGTGAATAGATAAATAATGGAATAATACACATCAATAAAGTGGAATGAAATATGACATGAATGAATCTCAAAATAATTATGTTGAATAAAAGAAGTGATAAAAGAGTCATATTATATAATTCCATTTATATAAAACTCTAGAATATGCAAACTAATCTGTAAAACCAAAGTTGATCTGGGGCACGAAGAAACTTCTGGGCATAATGGATATGTTCACTACTTAGCTTGTGGTGATGGCTTCACGGATGTATACATAAGTCAAAACATATCAAATTGTACATTTCAAATATGTGCAGTTTATTGTATGTCAATTACATTTCAATAAAACTGTTTACAAAATAAAGACAAGGTCTTAGTGTTGGACTGCCTGGAATGGAATCCTGACTCCATTATTTACTAGGTGTCTGATTATAAACAACTGAGTCCCCTTGAGACTCAGTTTCTTTATCTGTCACATTGGGATAACAACAGTGCAAGTCTCATGTTCCTGATATGAAGAGTAAGTGAAATAATGCACTTAAAGGACTCAGAAGAATGCTGTTACATAGGCAGTACTCAGTGAGTGCTCACTGTTAGTATGTTACTTCATGGTGGCTCTAATGAAGGAGGCAGTGAATCACAGTCAACTTAGAAGTCAAGTTCAACTTCTAGCACTTTAGGTACTGGCTGTGAAACTTTACATAAGTTAGTCAACTTCTCTCCTTCTCAGTTTCCCTATCTGTAAAATGAGGAAAGCAACAGTGCTTACCACACAAGATCATTATGCAAGGTGAAATGAGAAACTTGTACTAAATAATTCTGCCACCAATGTTTTTTTTTTTTAGGTAAAGAAAATAAACAAATGTGGTATTTTTGCACACCTGAGAATCATCTTTATTGCACACATTTAGATTCATGTTGGGGGAGAAGGAAAAGAAGGAAGAGGGGAGAAACAGAAGGAAGACAGGAGACCTAAGACATTGGAACCAGAGGTAATAAGGATGTAAGAAAATCCTCTAAGAATCCTGGAGATAATGGGGACATGAAGATAGAAGAAAGGGGTTCCTATTATGTGTTGGATCGATGTTTCAGCCATCCTTGTTTAAAGTTTTTAGGCCGGGCACGGTGGCTCATGACTGTAATCCCAGCACTTTGGGAGGCCGAGGCAGGCGGGTTGAGGTCAGACCATCCTGATCCCCTGGCCAGCATGGTGAAACCCCGTCTCTACTAAAAATTACAAAAATTAGCTGGGCATAGTGGTGTGTGCATGTAGTCACAGCTACTCAGGAGGCTGAGGTGGGAGAATCGCTTGAACCAGGGAGGCGGAGGCTGCAGTGAGCTGAGATCGCACCACTGCACTCCAGCCTGGCAACAGAGTGAGACTCCATGTCAACAAAAAAATACCCCCAAAAAACAAAAAAACAGAAACAAAACCAAACAAACAGACAGAAAAAATAAAAAATAAAGATTTTAGCACAGAGTAACTACAGTAGACTAAGGACTAGGGGAAATTTGGATGGCTCACGTATTTGCCATGTATTTATTTATTTATTTATTTTGTGGTAAAATTGCCTGTTTACAAATGAGAAAAATTGTTGTGACATTCCAGGCTTGCCAAGATGCAACAGGGATCCACAGGCATAAAGGTATTCCAGGATTTAAGAGTCACACAGGAAAACTTTCTCCTGAGGGTAAATCTGATCTTAGTTACAAATGAAGTTTTTTAGGCCATAATGATAATAATTCACTCCAGAATTATTTACTACTTATTTGACATGAACCAAGCATGCTGGTGTCAGACATTCAGAAGATTCAGTGCCCTTCATCGAGGAGTTTCAAATCTGCATGTTTCTAATTCCTATCTATATTTCTCAGGGTCTTGTATTTAAAAAAAAATCAATTTCAGGCAAACATTAAGATCTGTACTTCTTCTTTGGGGCAGGCATGGGTTTAAAATGGCCAAGCCTAAGTCCAGGATTCAGCCCCTTTGCCTGTTATATCTGTAGGACAGTACTGATTTATCACATGGCTTGATGTCATTAAACATTTATTATGCACCCATAGTGTGCTAGAGAAACACACACACACACACACACACACACACACGAACAGATAAAAGACATTGTTCCTTTGTAGCAGCACTTTGTACAAAATGACTAATGAATATATGCTTATTCAATAGATCAAGCAAGTAATATACATTTTAAGAAATTTATAAATATTTAATCAAGATTTTGTACAGTAACTCTGACTGAGAAACCCAGGCTTCTTGGAATACTAAAATAGGATTTTAAATGACCAGAAATTTAAAGGTCTGCAGCTTTTGTGAACGAAATGAACTGAAACATCTTGAAATGGATATTTTAGAAGTATTTCATATAATTTCTTATACATTTTTCAGAAGAAAACATAAAAAGCAGAGAACATCCTACATCCCTAATAGATGAGTTAATTCTGCATCATTTCAGTCTAGAAATAAAATGTGGAAGATTTCATTTTGTCCTAGTAGCTTATATGCTAATAACTTGGGAAGAATTTGAAGTCTGACTTTCTCCTTTCGAGTACCTTTAAATATAAACACATATACAGAGAGCTTTACAGAAATAGTTTTTGTCTACAGAGCTATAACCCAACATGCTGGCATTCTGTAGCCCTTTGGAACATCATCCTTGACTCTAAACCCTTTTGTTCTAAAGTTAATTTTAGCTACGAATTTCCAGGTCTCTGGAGAGAATGTGTCACAACAAACTTTATTTTGAGACAGATTTTTTGGGTCTATATTTAATTAAAAGTGCCCTTACATCTGTTCAGTAGCCATCCTAAAAAAGTCCTTCTGAGATATGAGTGATGACCCACAACTTCCGATCTATATTTGTAGGTAGTATTCCATAGCAGCAACTGCCAGCTGGTGTCGTGCTCTTTTCTCTCTACTGTGCCACACTGAAAGGGAACAATTTGTTGTGTGGGAGGTCTAACATTGTGGAGATTAAATTACCTTCTGAGTGGACATGGTTACAATACCATTAAAAATATTACTTAACTCTCTGCTATGTTCCCCCACCACACACACACACTAACAGAACTGCCCAGGTGAGCTGTTACAGATCTGCGTCAACTGCTATTGTTGCATGAAACAGACATGGGTAGCAGAATCTTTATCTGTCATCAGCTTACTGGAAAGGAAGAGAAGGTAATTTGACACAGTGGGGAATATAGTACATTTATGAACTGAAAGAAAATTGAGTTTCTGTGGAATTGTTTACTGCTGCTGGAGAAACAAAAGAGGTTAATTCCATACTGTTTAATATAGCTTTGAATGAACATAAAATAAAATAATGCTTGAGCATAACAGTGGTATGCTTAAAATCTGCCCTCCCCCAAGCAAAACAAACTCAATGTAGTTTCAGACCTTTAAAGCAGATTTTAAATTCTTATGAATTCAGATCCTGAGGGATTATGTTAAGTAGTTGTTACAAATCATATCTCATGCCAAGTGGCATATAGAAAAAATATGCAAAAATATGATTATGTTTCATTGAAGATACTGTCTATTCTGTATTATGGCTGAATTTGAATTTTTATATTTATAGACATCATTACATCACATATGGTAAGCGACTGTAAAATTGCATATATAAAAATTATATTGGCTTACCTATATGCAAATGAATATATATATTCATGTGTACAATTTTTTTTATTATCCTTTAACTTC
Organism: Homo sapiens; assembly: GCF_000001405.40. Lineage (NCBI taxonomy): Eukaryota > Metazoa > Chordata > Mammalia > Primates > Hominidae > Homo > Homo sapiens. The sequence continues at coordinate 107,365,456 of NC_000001.11, read as the reverse complement.
TTAAAAATGGGGCTGGAATCCAGTTGTTTCTTATGGGCCCTGGAGTGCCAAGAAAGATTAATGCGTACCATCAGTAAATCATTCACCACATTGGTGACCCTTTGGTTATCTTTTTTTGGTAGGGAACATCAATACTTTTTTGGACAGTTCCTAATACAGGCTGGAGTTATGGAGTTATGGTGTGAAAAAAGACAATATCTCAGAGTTGATTTTGACCATTTTGAATGAAGTCTTCTAGGAAAGAAATCTGCTCCATAGTCCAAAACCATATATTGGATCTCAACTGTCTTTTAAGTCAACACTTTGTAATATAGCTGTAATGTGAGCTTTGGATACAAGGCCCCATATGTAAGTTTAAATTTTCTAACTAGCCACATCAAAAAAAGTAACAGGTGAAATTAATTTTAACAAGGTATTTAATTTAATGTATCCAAAATGTTATTGTTTCAATATACTCATTAAAATGAATACATGACTGTGCATCATATAAATTATTTTGTTTCCCATCAGTGTTACAAGTGCTATACTTTGGGAAGTACTTTTTTACATAATGAATGAGGACTGGGAGACAAAAGGTAGATCAACAATTATGTGCATATGAGATAGACACGGATTGGGACTCTTGGTTCTGTATTTTACTACACAATTGACTTTAAGCAGGTAATTTCGCACTTGGAACTACTCTTATCTGTAAAGGTAGAATAATTGATTCAGAGTAGATAAGCATTCAAAGCACTTAGTATGTTGCCTGGCACAGAACAATTGCTCAATACATGTTAGGAGGAAAAAAATGATGGAGATGCTTTCTTATGTGTGAAACCAAGGGGTGCAGTTTTGATCAGGTCACTAAGAGCTCATGTGAGAGTACCCCAGGCCCTTCTGAGCACGTCGTAAATGGTTGCAGAAGCACTTTGTGAAACTATATGTAAAATGTAGTGAGAAAATTCAATGAGTCTTTTAACCAAGTCAGTTCACTCCTAGAATATGTCTGAATGAAATAATTCAAGTAAAACAACAACAAAAAACCTTTATTATGAAGGTCTTCACTGCAGTGTAACCTATGAAAGAAATAAATGGGGAAAAGCTAAAAGTTTAATAATAAGTGAATAGCTTAATAAACAAGGGAATATTGTGCTGTACCTCATTATGCAGTTAACAATGATAGCCACGAGAATTATGTAAAATTACTGAAATGATTATGGTAAATACAAATTAAAATTCCGAATACAAAATAGTAAGTATATTCTGAAAACAATTATATAAAATACGTATGGTGTGAAAAAGGTTTGGAAGATAATTTGCAAAAATAGAAATAATTGTATTAGGGTAAAGTGACTTAAATTATTAATATCATTATGACATATTTTCAATAAAATAAGTGTAAGCAGTTTACCCAAGAAATACTTATACATTCTTCTTAGTCAGTCAAGCAAAATATTTCACATCTATCCTATGCTCCTCTCTCCACTGGGCACTGTGCAGCATCAGAAAATAAAAAGAGACAGTTCTTTTTCCCCCAAATGTTACCTAGACCAACAACACAAAATAACTGATCAAAACAATAGTGAACAATGTAAGATAGGTAGCAATTATGTCATACTACATCTTATTTAATAATGAAAGTATTGTATATAATATTTGAGGAAATATACATGTGCATGTTGAAACGATTAAATGTTAAATTGAATTGAGTTCAGATAAGATGAAAGCAAGTGATCAATATGAAATGGTGCCTGTTGGTGGAGATGAGCCTTGAGCTAACGTCTGAAGGAGAAGCAATCTTTATATAACTGGCAAGAGAGGATCCACATTCCACAAAGGGAAAAAGCAAATAAAAGCATGAAGTGAATAGAATTAACCAGAAAAGAGACTGATATTATTAGCAGGTTTTTTTATTGGGGGAAATAATAGTGGGATAATTATTAATTTTACTTAACTAACATTTATTAAGTGCAAACTATGGTTCAGATAAGGAGATGAAATTAGGCATGATGTTGAACGCAGTTATATTGCAGATTAAATCATGTTTCCTGTGTATTCTAAATGATGACTGAATTGGACTGGATGACCCCCCAGTTTCCTCATGACTATGAGACTTTGCAATGATATACTCCATGTGGCTTTCTGGCACAGAGACTACACAATTCTATACTCCCTCCCTAGGAATACAGCAAGACACTGTTTTATTTGTATTTGCAGTGGGGCTTTTTTCCTTCAGAAAACCATCCAATGAATAAGCCCTGTCATTTCTCCATCATATGTTCATGAAATTCAGGTGTGAAAATGCTTTCTTTTGAAAACTATAATTAGACTAATTCATATTTACAACACAAGGAAAAAACCTGCCTGTAATTCTTTGATTAACTTTTAAAAAGAAGCAGCAATATGAAACCCTGACCATCCATTAGACAAGATATAAAAATGTTCCTAAGAAATTCAGTCAGCCAGCCTTCTGTATGATAAAAGCCAGCCATGGAAAAGCCATGAAACAGAAGGGAGGGAAAGGGCGAGGCACTAAGACCAAACTCAAACATTTGCTCAGAATATTCTCCTGAGCTCATCCTCAAGTAATCAGCCAAAATAAAAACAGATTGTTAAGAAGGGTAGGGAAACTTTTAAAAAAATCTGAAAGGTCTTGAAATCTTCATCTGCCCTTATTCTATTTTTGCTTAAATTGAAAATAGCATCATTTGCCTTGTGCTTTACAGTTTACAAAGTGTTTTAACATATATGCCGTGTTTCAGTTTCACAGCAACTCTGGATTTTACAGCTGATGCAAGAGTCTCAGAGGTTTAGGGACCTGCCCACACCTCTGCTTCATCAAGCAGTGGACACTGAGCACACATCTAGGTCTTCAGACTCCAAAGCTCATGGTGTTTTCACTGCACTACATCATGCACCTGTTCAGCTTTGGCTTCATTTGTGCTGGAATAATGCACAGACTAATTCATGTTCCTACTTAGATCCGGCAACCCCATAGTGGAGGCCACAGTGAAAATTAACTAGTGAACACTTAGCTTTCCAGTAATTAAAGCAGTAGGATAACATGTAACCAACAACCACAGGTATCTAGCATACCTCACATTAGACATCAAGTGGTAGTATTACAAAGGAAATAAAAAGCCTCTTCTCCATAACTCTCCTAAGCTGCCAGCTAGTGCATCCAGAATTTCCACCATTTTAGTTATTCCTTTGGGCAAGGTGTAACCGTCTCTTTTAAATAGCAATTATTTTATTGAGGTGAAAATATCATGGCACACAGACTTAAGAAAATTGATCAGAGAGAGAGTTCTGAGGAAAATGGGTAGAGGTTGGGGTAATTCTGATGGATGGTTTCAGGGATGGGTGCTCTTTGGATGCCCAAGGAGATTGTGATGGTGGTACAAGAGCATGAGACGAGGGAGTGCTGGATATGGGATGAGCTTCACGCTTTCTGCAATGTTGTTCAGGGCTCTCCCTTCCCCTGTTGTTGTCTCTGCCATATTTAAATCAGTCTGTTCCAGCTGAGTACTCCATGGACCCTGTCAGCCACGCTCTAAGATTCTACAAAATAGTGTAGCATAAGCCAAGATGCTAATTTGATGTTACAATTATGAAGTGATCCTCAGAATTGAAATAGCAAACACTCTTTCTTCAGATTATTGCAGCAGGATGCAGACTAGTTTATCATTTCTTCCATAAAGAAGTCATTTCCCGAGTGTCAAAAATGACATCAGCTTTCAACAGGATGAGGAGGTACTGGCAGTGATTAAAATATTTGCTTTTTTCTGGCTGGGTGCAGTGGCTCACACCTGTAATCCCAGCACTTTGGGAGGCCGAGGCGGGTGGATCACTTGAGATCAGGAGTTTGAGACCAGCCTGACCAACGTGCTGAAACCTCATGTCTACTAAAAATACAAAATTAGCTGGGCATAGTGGTGCATGCCTGCAATCCCAGCTACTCTGGAGGCTGAGGCAGGAGAATTGCTTGACCCAGGAGGCAGAGGTTGCAGTGAGCTGAGATCACGCCATTGCACTCCAGCCTGGGCAACAAGAGCGAAACTGTGTCTCAAAAAAAAAAAAAAATATATATATATATATATGTATATATATATATGTTATATAATGTATATATTCATTATATAATGATTATATATGTTATATATTATGTTATATATTTTTATATAAAAATTATATATTATATAGTTCTTACATAACATATATTTTATATAATAATTTATATGTTTATTTTATATATAATTTATATATATTTATTTTATACATAATTATATATAATATAATATATATTATATTTTATATAAGAAATATATAATATATAATATAAGAAATATATAATACTATATATATTATATATATTTTTTCAAACCCATTTCAAAGATCTTTTGCCTTTTTTTTGGAGCTATGTACTTCCATATTGCAATATAAGAACTGATTCTTCTTTAAAACAATGAAATTTATAGAGTTAAAGAAGTGAGATAGCAGTTACACGAGAAGCAGATTTATGTGTCATGTATACAAATCAATAACAAAACTAAGTTTCTTAAGTCTTTCTAGTAATCATGGGAAGAAATATGTAACATGTATTCTGGAGGCATGGACGAGAGATACTCAGTGACTGGTGACTAGATGTTAGAAAGTAGCCTCTCGGCTATGAGTCAAGGACCATATATTAAGTGATCTTTACATCCTAAACAGGGCTTAGCATAGGATGTGCACATATTAGTTGCTACTTAAATGCTTTCTAATATATTGATTTGCTAAGCAGACTGATAATGCAGATAAAATTTCACAGGCATTACTTGACTTTGCAAATACTTTTCAGAATTCAAATAAATTATTTATGTACTACCCATGAATTAGAGACTATCCATTCATTATCATATAAATTATATTACTTGATTTCCTTGCTGAAAATCTTCCAGTGGCTTCCTGTTGCCTATAGGACCTAAACAATTTGGCATTTGCTCATCTCTCCTACCTTAATTTCTATCACTTTCCACCTTGAGTATTCCATACTGTACTTTCTATTTCTCTTCAGGGTCTTTACACTCACTGTTTCTCTTTTTGGAATGTTCTTCCACAGATATTTCCGTGGCCCACTCTTTCACATCCTTTAACTTTTGTTCTGATATTCTGACCTCTCAGATCACCTCTTCCTAAAGTGGCTGTCTTCTTATTCTCTTTCCCTTACCCTGATTCATTTTTCTTCATGGTATATATCACTGCCTGAAATTATATTTATTGTTTTGGTGTGTCAAGTTCAGTACCTGGTATATAATGCCCACTAAACATTTTCCTAAAAAAAATCAATTTTTCTAATCAATATGTTTGAGTGCTATAGACCAAAGGGTTGGTCGGTTGTCAGGCAGGTAAGCAGACCCTGTATAAGACAACAGGGTGTGGCGGGAGCAGCAACCATGTGTGAACAGTTTAGGCTTGATTAAGAGGTATGCAAATAAAAAATAAGTAAAATGTTGTGTCGACCAAATAAGATATATCTGGGGACCAGATTGGGCCCAACTGTTTTGGGTTTACATAAGTTACACAATAAATAGCAGTGACTATCTCGTGATAGTTTTGGAGAAAATACTGTTTTCTATAAATATGTATTTCCACTTCTCTCTTTTCCTTTTTTTTCATCTTATCACACTTAGTATTTTTTCCTTCAGATGTAAAGGTGAATTAGCACGGTGTATGCACTCAATACTGTCTGTTCAGCTCCCTAATGATATGAACAGTGAATGCAAATGTAAACCTATCTGTAGGTTTTCTAATCACAGAAACAGGAAGCTCCAAATTTAAGAACATAGAATCAGTGATGCAAATGTGTTGGGGGTGGGGGAGCTTGCCAAGGACAGACAGAAAATAGAAAAAGTCACCCTTCACTTCTGATGCCTACTCTCAATCAAGTCTCAGATAGGGGCAATTTCCAGAGAAATGATCATCCTATAGGTATGAATAGGTTAATGAAGCTATAAAGCCTTTGTTTGCCCACCAGACCTGTTTTCTCTTCTCTTCCTGGGAAACTAAGGCTTCTCTTAAGCCATTCTCTGATTCTCTGATATCTTAACTGGTCTGTGATAGGGTTCAGATTCAGTCAATCTATTATCATCTCCTATTTATATTTCTCTGCAATCAATGACCATGCTGTATTGCTTCAGGCTGTGATTCACAATCATAAACTGTAGTTTATATTTATCAACTTCATTTATGAGAAAAATTGGGCACGCAGGATGTAATTACATTGTCATGAGCTGCTAAAGACAAACACTGAGGCTCACACATCAGTGACCACAGAAGTCAGACCCGTTCTCCCCAACAGCTCAGTTTGTGTGTCCAAATCTCTATAGCTCTACTGGCATCTAGGAGCTGCAATTTCCTGTGTGTGTGTTTTAAGTTGCCTTGTTCAGATTTCTAGCAAATTGGAGTAACATTTGGTGATAGAGACGTCCGCATTTTCAATAGAACTTTATATTTTTTTGTGAGACAATGATCAGCCTTGTAGCAGTTGGCCATAATTTAGATTAATTTACAGTGGAGCTGTCAAGTCTAGAATTAACAGAGAAAACCTAGCATAAACTAATCTGTCAGTTCAAGGCACAGACTTCAATCCTTTAATCACAGCTAAACTCTTTTACTTCTGGGGCACCAAAGCTGTCCTCACAGCAGGGTGTTATGGCATGTTTGTAATGTCTGAAGGGTAAAAATATGCTCAAATTGCAGTTCAAATACTGTGTTTTTAAGCAACAGCAGCTTGTAGATGTTGTTAAACTCTCTGCCTTTTTTTTTTTCCTGGAATGATTTGATTATCATCGTAAGGTCCTCTTTAGAATTCCTTACTTTCAAAACAGATACACTAAAATTTAGGCTTTTCTCCCCCATAGGTCAGTGCTCTGTATTAGTTTGGAAAAAGATGACCAGATTTTCAGTGGGCTAGATCAACACTAGAATGCAACAAATGAATTGATTGTAAAGAAAAAGTTTACATTAGACAGACTCATCCAGAACAGGAAACCCCCACTCGTGACCAAATCTATGTGCAAGTGGCCATTTGCTGTTGATTAATTCTAGTCATAGATGTCAAAAAAAAAAAAAAATTAAGTACTATCTCCTCATGCCCATCTATTTTCCAGTGCTCAACTTGAGAGTATCATCTTCTTCAATAAGGCTTGAAGAACTAAATTTTTAAAATAACTCAAGTAGAGGTAGCACTTAATATTTCTTAGTCCAGAGTGTAATATTTTCTCTCAATTGCATTTTTCCCCACAAAGATTAAAAAAATTCATACCTTAGGTATTTACTTTCAGGTTGTGCATATTGTTATATATGCATTCTTAGGACATGTAAACACTTTCTCACAGTGTTTAGAGTCACAATAAAAGCTCATTTTTAATTTGATATCTTTCAAAATTTTAACCATGTATTCGAATGGAATGATCTATTATTTGAGTGGTCAGAAATTTAAAAGAAACGATTTGACTTACATAGAAGAGTAGTATATAATGCTATAAATTCCACTGTTACAGTTTCAAATGTTCCTTAGATATATGAAACCAAGTGCAACTTTAATATTCTAACTAAAGAACTTCATCTATATTTCAAATGTTTCTAATCAATATTTTCCTTCATTTCAGATCAACTCACCATTATAATCACAGATAACTGGAAAGTTAAGGACCAGATAGCCTGTTATGAATAATTTACAGCTGTCATTGTGAAAAACGAATTGTTAAATATCACTGAAAAAAAAATATTTACAATTTTATGTCAAAAAATAATTTTTTTCCAGTTCCCTTTGTTCTTTGTTAGCTTTTAAAATCAAGCTGTCCTCTTTCTTCCAATGTTAACTTGGTGATTCAGGATTTCTGGCCATTTCTCAACTATTTCTATCAGATCAGCCAAGTAAAGAATGAAATTAGCTAAAGTTTTTAAGGAACTATGAAATGTCTGTGGAAGAAATGAAGTAGTTAAAATTAAAAGCTGAGCTCTCATATGTTTATGGAGATTTTGGGGTCCAAGACTTTGACAAGGAGGTATTACAATCAAAGTATCTAGAAAATATGTTATAATCCTGAATGAATCATGTTTAGCTTTTCTTCCCTTTCTCATGCTCACTGCATGCCTGCTCATCTTTTCTGGCCCAGTTAAGTATAAATTTAGGAATTTTTTTTAATTGAGATCATGGCTCAATGAGGATCAGGTCAGCAGAAAATAATTTCTTTCAAATAGTACTCTCATATACTATAGGGCATAAGTTAGTCCTCTGTAACCTAGGGAAAGAATCCATGGACACAATTGTCAGGGCCAATTCTGACTGGGGTGGGGCCTAGCAGTGAATGCATTTAAAAATTATATTTGGTGATTTGTGTTGTCTGGTTAGGCACTGCTGATTAGGCCCAGATGGAGACAGACTTGTTAAAATTCTCCCCATCATCAGATTGGTCTTTTATTTTTGAGACAGAGTCTCACCTTGTTGCCCAGGCTGGAGTGCAGTGGCATGATCCCCACTTGCTGCAACCTCCACCTCCTGGGTTCAGGAGATCCTCATGCCTCAACCTCCCGAGTAGCTAGGATTACAGGTATGCGCCAACATGCCCGGCTAACTTTTATATATTTTTTAGAGACAGTGTTTTGCCATGTTGTCCAGGTTGGTCTCAAACTCCTGAACTCAAGTGATCTACCAGCCTTGGCCTCCCAAAGTGTTGGGATTACAGGCATGAGCCACCACCAGATTGGTCTTTAATTCCTATACCCAAAGGATACAATACGTTTCTTCTAATGACTTGACTCCCTTCAGAAAATAGCCAAATTCTTCCTTAAAAAAAAATCATTCTTATAAATTGGTTAATTCATTCAACAGGACTGGCTGGCATGGTGGCTCACACCTGTAATCCCAGCACTTTGGGAGGCCGAAGCAAGCAGATCACTTGAGGCCAGGAGTTCGACACCAGCCTGGCCAATGTGGAAAAACCCTGTCTCTACTAAGAATACAAAAATTAGCCAGGTGTGGTGGTGGGCGCCTGTAATTGCAGCTACTCGGGAGGCTGAGGCACAACAATCACTTGAACCTGGGAGGTGGAGGTTGCAGTCAGCTGAGATTGTGCCACTGCACTCCAGGCTGGGTGACAGAGCAAGACTCTGTCTCTAAATAAACAAATAAATAAATTTATTCATTCATTCAATAAATATTTTTGAGAATATACTTTCTACCAGGTATGTTCTAGGTCAATATCATTTTAATCTTAGCATCGGATTAAAATTTCTTAAAGAGCTTTTAAAATATGTCTATGTGAGGCCTTATGCCAGATGTGCATAATCACTGGATACAACCCTAAGTATAACCAGGATGGAGACACTTTCCAGGCACTGAGGTGACAAAGGTGAGAAGAACAGACTAAATCCCTTTCATAGTGAATACATTTTCATGAAGGTAAAACAGCCCAAAATATGAAGACTTTTGTTTCTGCCACGACGGTGGTCTGGAATACACAAAAATCTTTTTAGGACACAATAATTTATGAACACTTTTGAGACTGTGTAAAACAATGTAGAAAAATCCACTGAGGTCAGAAATAAACAATAAAACCAGAGCATTACTGAAGCCATGGATTACCGAATCTCTGTGGCCTAGAGTTTGAGGGTGGCGGTGGTTGGACTTGTATTGTGAAAAGACCTGATGCCATTGCATCAAAGATAACCCTAAATAAAGAAGGAAACCCAAGAAAGGTTAAGGCCTCATGAGAAAGGGCAAATTAGTGTGTGTCTGTTTATATATGCACATTTCATAGAGACATCCACACTTCCTGTAAATGTTGTTGAGACAATTGGCAAGGAAACTTATTTGTTTGGGCTTGGCTCTAAGTAGTGGTTAAAAATGAACAAATATCTCGGTTTCTGATTACTACACTATGTGCTCTGAAGTTTGAATATACTCTATTGGTATGTTCCTTAAGACTGCAATCTGTGAATTATAACTTTAAATAGATCCAGTCCCCATTACCCCTAAGTAACGTAAAGAAGAAAACATAAATTTGCTTTATTATTTAAAGAATTGGGAAAGATAAATTACCATCAATTATAAGCTAAGAATTAAAAAAACTCACAAAGCTAGCAGAAAACTACTGCCTTATGTGAGAATCAGTGGAAAAAGTAAAAAGAATGATGTCAATTAAAAAAAACAATAAAAAAGTTAAAAAAAAAAAGACTAGACCTGTAAAGACTTTGAAAAGTTGAACAATCAGATCAAAATAACCATGTTTGATAGCCTTAAGAAATAAAGAGAAAATTAAAAGCACAAGTGAGGAATCAGAGACTATCAAAAATGATCAGGAAGGTTTAAAAGAAAAAAAGAAAACTAACCAAACACAATTCTAGAAATAAAATATCTGTTCACTAAAATGAAAAATTCAATGATAAGAGTTTCATGTAGAGAGAAACTCAATATAAGACAGAAGTAGCATTGCTTATCAACAGGAAAGGGTGAATTATTTTTAGGATACTAACAGCTGGGCACACTGCTCCCTTGTCTTTTAAGGTATATAATGTCAAACCCATCACACTAAAGTTTGCTATCATAAAAAACTGAAGTGTTTATTACTCACTCAGGCAATAGGCATTCCCTGGATGAGAGACAGAGCACACCCACAAAAGGGCTCTCTGAGAGTGTCCAGTGGAAGCGGATGAGGAAGCGTGCAGGCCACAAGTGGGAATTTTCAGTGATGCTAGGGGTAGACTAAGTTTTGAAAGACTGTATTGGTGAGGACCAAAAGGGGATGGGAGAGGGTCCCTGTCATGCAACTTATTGAGCTTCAGCAGAAATGAATGCAAGTGGCATTTTGATGATCCCCATGTAGCTGAGCATAGGGTTTTACCCATGGATGCAGCTGAGCGCTACAGGTTTCCACCCATACTGACTGGTGTTTAATGGTTTAATTAATATCATAATACTTGGGGTGATTTAATTCTTTTTTTTTTTTTTTTTTTTTTTTGAGATGGAGTCTCAGTTTGTCGTCCAGGCTGGAGTGCAGTGGCACAATCGTGGCTCACTGCAGGCTCCACCTCCCGGGTTCAAGCGATTCTTCTGCCTCTGCCTCCTGAGTAGCTAGGACTACAGGTGCCTGCCACCACGCTCGGCTAATTTTTGTATTTTTAGTAGAGACAGGGTGTCACCATATTGGCCAGGCTGGTCTTGAACTCTTGACCTCATGATCTGCCCGCTTCAGCCTCCCAAAGTGCTGGGATTACAGGCATGAGCCACCATGCCTGGCCAATTTAATTCTATATCTCTACAACTATTCAATAAATGGTGCTGGAACAATCAGTTATCCAAGTAGAAAAAAATAAACTGGATCTCACTTCAGGGTCATTGACATGGTTTGGGTCTGTGTCTCCACCAAAATCTCATGTCAAATTGTAATCCCCAGTGTTGGAGGTGGTGCCTTGTGGGAGGTGATTGGATCATTGGGGTTGATTTCCCCTTGGTGTTGGTTTCATGATAGTGAGTGACTTCTCATAAGATCTGGTTGTTTAAAAGTGCATGGCACCTCTCTACCCATTGGTACTGCTCTTTCCATGTAAGACATCTGCTCTGTTTTGCCTTCTGCCATGAGTAAAAGCAACCTGAGGCCTCCCCAGAAGCAGATGCTACCATGCTTCCTGTACAGCCTGTGGAAACATAAGCCAGTTAAATCTCTTTTCTTTATGAAGTACCCAGTTTCAGGTATTTCTTTGTAGCAGTGCAAGAATAAACTAACACAAAAATTGGTATTCAGGAGTGGGGCATTGCCATAAAAATATCTGAAAATGTGGAAGCAGCTTTGGAATTGGGTAACTGGCAGAGGCTGGAGGAGTGTGGAGTGCTCAGAAGAAGACAGGAAGATGAGGGAAAGTTTGGAACTTCCAAACTTTCTAGATTTGCTAAGCTGTTGTGACAAAAATGTGAATAGTGATATGGACAATGAAGTCTAGGCTGAGGAGGTCTCGGATGGAAATTAGGAAGTCATTGGGAACAGGAGTAAAGGTCACCTTTGTTATGTGTTAGCAAAAATGTTGACTGCGTTGTGCCCTGCCCTAGGGATCTGTGGAACTTTGAACTTGAGAATGAAGATTTAGGGTATCTGGCAAAATAAATTTCTAAGCAGCAAAGCATTCAAAATTTGACATGGCTGTTTCTAACAGTTTTGGCTGATATGTGTGGGCAAAGAAATGGCTTGAAACTGGAACACATATTTGAAAGGGAAGCAGAGTGTAAAAGTATGGAAACTTTGCAGCCTGGCCATGTGGTAGAAAAGAAAAGCCCATTTTTAGGAGAGGATCAAGCAGGCTACAGAAATTTGCATAAGAAAAATGTTAATTTACTTATGCAAATGTTAATATCCAAGACAATGGGGGAACAGCCTTGAAGGCATTTCAGAGACTTTCATGGCAGGCCCCCTCATCTGAGGCCCAAAAACCTAGGAGGAAAAAATGGTTTCCTGGGCCAGGCCCAGTGCCCCACCACCTTGCACAGCCTTGGCCCACTGTTCCTCACATGCTGGCTGCTCCAGCTCCAGTTGTGGCTCAAAGGGGCCCACCTACAGCTAGGACCACTGCTCCAGAGGGTGCAAACCATAAGCCTTGGTGGTTTCCATGTGGTGTTAAGCCTGCAGGTGCACAGAACTTATTTAAAAATGCAGAGCAGGAACAGGCATATTACAAAGAGAGTGTGTAAGAACTCCTGACCTCGTGAGCTGCCCGCCTTTAAGCTGATCCACACCTTAAAGCTTATTTTGAAGCTTTAAGATTTAATGACTACTATGTTGGGTTTTGGACTTGCAGGGGGCCTGTAGCCCCTTTCTTTTGGCTGATTTCTCCCTTTTGGAAGGAGAATGTTTACCCAATTGTACCTTGGAGGTAACTAACTTGTTTTTGATTTTACAGACTCATAGGTGGAAGGGACTTGCCTTATCACAGAGGGGAAATGTGGGGCTGGAGCCTCCACTCAGAGTCCCCATTTGAGCATTGTCTAGTGGGTCTGTCAGAAGAGGGCCATTGTCTTCCAGAGACCATAATTGTAGATACACCAACAGCTTGCACCTGTCACCAGGAAAAGCCTAGATTTCAGAGGATATATGGAAAAGCCTGAATGTCCAGGCAGAAGCCTGCTGCAGAAGCAAAGCCCTCATGAAGAACCTCTACTAAGGTAGTGCAGAGGGGAAATGTGGGGCTGGAGCCCACACACAGAGTCCCCATTGGAGCACTGCCTAGTGGGTCTGTGAGAAGAGGGCCACTGTACTCCAGAGCCCATAACTGTAGATACACCAACAGCTTGCTCCCATCAACAGGAAAAGCCACAAGCACTCAACGCCAACCCATGAAAGCAGCCACAGGGGCTGAACCCTGCAAAGCCACAAAGATGGAGCTGCCCATGGCTTTGGGAGCCCACCCCTTGCACCACTGTGCCCTGGATGTGAAACATGGAGTCAAAGGAGATTATTTTGAAGCTTTAAGGTTTAATGACTACCATGTTGGGTTTTGGACTTGCACGGGGCCTGTAGCCCCTTTCTTTTGGCTGGTTTCTCCCTTTTGGAAGGAGAATGTTTACCCAATGCTTGTATCCTAATTGTACCTTGGAGGTAACTAACTTGTTTTTGATTTTACAGACTGATAGGTGGAAGGAACTTGCCTTATCTCAGATGAGACTTTGGACTTCAGACTTTTGAGTTAATGCTGGAATGAGTTAAGACTTTGGGGGACTGCTGGGAAGGCATGATTATATACTGCAATGTGAGAAGGACATGAGATTTGGGAAGGGCCAGGGGCAGAATGATATTGTTTTGGGTCTGTGTCCCTGCCCAAATCTCATGTTGAATTGTAATAACCAATGCTGGAGGTGGGGCCTGGTGGGAAGTGATTGGATCATGGGGGCAGATTATCCCCTTGGTACAGGTGAGTTCTTATGAGATCTGATTCTTTAAAAGTATGTAGCACTGCCCCCATCTTTCTTGGTCTTGCTCCTGCCAGATAAGATGACTGTTCCTGCTTTACCTTCCACCATGAGTAAAAGCTCTCTGAGGCCTCCCCAGAAGCAGCTGCTGCCATGCTTCCTGTATAGCCTGCAGAACTGTGAGTCAATTGAACATCTTTTCTTTATAAATTATCCAGTTTCAGGTATTTCTTTATAGCAGTGAGCAAACTGACTAAAACAGCCATATATAAAATTGATCTCCAGGTGGGTCATGGACTTTATTGTGAGTGGCAAAATCCTAAAACATTTTGAAGAAGCTAAGAAAGAGTAGCTCTGTGATTTGGGGAAGACAAAGATTGCATTTTTATAGATTTATTAAGGTATAATTAACAGACAAAAATTGTGTATATTTAAATACTACTAAGTGATAATTTGACATGTATAAACACTGTGAAGTGTTTCACAATCAAGCTGATTAACACAACCATAACCTCACATAGTTACCTCTGTGTGTGTGGGGAGAACATTTAAGATCTATATTCTTAGCAAATTTTAGGTCTACAATATTACTAACTATAGTCACCATGCTGTACATTAGCTCTCCAAAACTTATTCAACCTGCATAACTGAAACTTTGCACTTTTTGACAAGAATTTTCCCACTTTCTCCACCTCCCATCCCCTGGCAACCATCATTCTACTCTCTGCTTCAATTTGTTAGACTTCTTTAGATTCCACATATAAGTGAGATCCTGCAGCATTGTCTTTCTGTGCCTGGCTTATATTTCTTAGCATAATGTTCTCCAGGCTCATCAATGTTGTCACAAATGACAGAATTTTCTTCTTTTTTTAAGGCTGAATAACATCACATTGTATATATGCATTACACTTTCCTTATCCATTCATCTGTCAATGAACATTTAGGGTGATTCCACATCTTTGCAATTGTGAGTAATGCTGCAGTGAACAAGGGAGTGCAGATATCTCTTTGAGACACTGATTTTAATTCCTTTTGATATATACACAGAAGTAGGATTGCTGGATCATATGGTAGTTGAATAAAGATTTAATTTCTTAAGTAAAACACAAAAACATAATCATCATAAAGACAACTATGGATAAATTTGATTAATTACAAATTATGAACATCTATTCATCAAAAGTCACCATAAAGAGAATGAAAATTCAAGCCATGAATTGGAGAAAGGAAGATAAAACTGATGAAGAATTAGAATCCTGATTATATATTTCTATGGATCAATTAAAATGAAAGATAAATTCTCTCATTAAAAATGGGCAAAATACAGGGAAAGATATTTCCCAATATAAGAAACAAGAATGATAGACATTTAGAGCTTCTATCTTCATCAGTAATGAGATTATTAATCAGAACCACAACTTATTATATTACATTCATGAGGCTGAAAAAAATTAATAAGTTTGAAAATACCAACTCGTAGAGAGAAAGTACAATTTTTAGACCTGCTGTTGAAAATATAAATTAGTACAACACTTTGGAAGAAAAGTAGGGGTTATTTTATAATGCTGAATATGTGCTTCTTACCTATCCCTTCCAAGGTATTTATTTCCCTAGATACTTTTTGCACACATGTACCAAAAATTTCTTAACAAGGATATCTATAAGAGCAGCAGTTTAAAACAACCCAAATATCCATCGACAGGAGTATAGATAAACTGTGGTATAGTCACACAATGGAATACTATTTCATCAATATTTATGATTCTCAGAAGCATAATATTAGGCTAGAAAAGCAAGTCTCAGAAGAAGGCATACACTACGACACTTAAAACTAACCTAAACAATATATTGTTTAGGGATAAGTATCCATGTGCTAAAACTACAGAGCAAAGCAAAAGAATGAGAAAAAATAATGCAAGATAATGGTTATCCTAGATGTGAGTGTGGATGGTCAAAAAGTCAGGGACATGTAGCAGCATGGTATTGTCACTTGGGAGAAATACATAAGGGATTTAAACAATATTGCTAATATTCTATTTCTCAAATTCTGTGGTGGGTTCACAGGTGGGTAATTTTGTTATTCAGCTCCCTAACCTAGATCTATTCTACATACATTCTTTGTATGTTTCATTAAAAAGGATTTTATGCATATAACTTAAATTACATATATGCATAGAAAAAAAATTTAAAATAAATTAAAAAATAGATTATTATTTTATACAGAGCTCAGTGCTACGAACAACAACAACAGGGTAATATAATCAGGGTGGGGTTGCTGTTGGAGAGAAAATGATTCTCAGAAGTGGCTTTTGGTATGATATCTGATTAATGCGAAGGAATCCATGAAATGTCAGGCAAACAGCATTCCAGGTAGAGAAATTAGAAGCTCATGAAGAGGTCCTGAAGCAGGAACAAGCTTGGCAACTGAGGAACAGAAGAAGGCTCTGTGGCTAGAGCTGAGGGACCAATGGAGTAGTAATCCCAGAGGAAGTCAGAGAGAGGCAAGGGCTCACTATGGAGGGCACTAGAATCAGGAGGTAGAGTTTGGATGTTATCTGAAATGCATTTAAAAGCCATGGGAGGATATTAAGCACAAAAGTAGTAGATTTAAGTTTGGAAAAGAGAACTTTGACTGTAGAGTGGAAAATAGAGTTGAGAGAGGCATAAGTAAAAGCACAGAGAACAGTATAATAATATTCCTATCAACAATAATTATGGTAATAAAAGAAGCCAAGATTTATTGTGCACTTACTAGGTGCAAGGCACACAGCATTATCAGCATTATCCTAAGTCTCTTGGAGAGGCAGGGTTCAACTTGGATATGAAATTTTCTATTTTATCCTAGACACCATAGCAGAAATCAGTTTATTTGAATTAATTTACTAAAATGTTCATTACCCATTGTCATCAGGGGGACAATGAAATTCAGAACAAGACAATGTTTGGAGGTGGGAGGGAGGTCTGAGAGCTGAGGCTGGTGCATCTGACAGTGGCTGAGGCACAACAGTGGACAGCCCTTGATAAAAATGAAATAATTTAAGGAAAATGGCTTAATATGGAAGCTGGTAAAATAGAGGTATTAACATAGTGATTAAGAAGAGTACCAGGGACAGGCACAGTGGCTCAAGCCTGTAATCCTAGCATTTAGGGAGGCCGAGGTGAGCATATCACTTGAAGTCAGGAGTTCGAGACCATCCTGGCCAACATGGCAAAACGCCGTCTCTTCTAAAAATACAAAAATCAGCCAGGTGTCGTGGTGCACACCTGTTGTCCCAGCTACTCAGGAGGTTGAGGCAGAATAATTGCTTGAACCCAGGAGGTGGAGTTCACAGTGAGCCAAGACCATGCCACTGCACTCCAGCCTGGACAACAGAGTGAGACTCTATCTCAAATAATAATAATAATAATAATAATAATAAAAGCAAACAAAAAAAGCAAACAAAAAAACTGGGTACCAATATGGGGACAGAGAAGATAGGCAGTCAGAAGGCAAGGATGTCAGAACCACAGATATGATATGGTTTGGCTCTGTGTCCCCACCCAAATCTCACCTCAAATTGTAATCCTCATGATCACCACGTGTCAAGGGTGGGACCAAGTGGAAGTAATTGGATCATGGGGCTAATTTTCCCCATTCTGTTTTCATGATAGTGAGGGAGTTCTCACGAGATCTGATGATTTTATAAGTATCTGGCATTTCCCCTGCTGGCACTCACTCCGTCCTGCCACCCTGTGAAGAAGGTGCCTGCTTCTCCTTTGCTTTCTGCCATGATTGTAAGTGTCCTGAGGCCTCCCCAGCAATGCAGAACTGTGAGTCGATTAAATCTCTTTCCTTTATAAATTACCCAGTCTCGGGTATTTCTTCATAGCAGTGTGAGAATGGACTAACACAGATAAATCATGACAAATAACAATTCTTACCATGTATGTACTAGACACCAAGTGCAGCACACTATATGCTAATTCTCTCAACAATCTCATGAGGCCAGTTTTGTTTTGTTTTGTTGTTTGTTTTTAAGAGATAGGATCTCGCTCTGTTGACCAAATTGGAATGCAGTGGAGCAATCTCGGCTCACTGCGGCCTCAATCACCTAGACTCAAAAGATCGTCCTGCCTCAGCCTCCCAAGTAGCTGGTGCTACAGGCACCCACCACCATGCCCAGCTAATTTTTCTAATGTTTTCTAGATACGGGGGTCTCATTATATTGCCTATCTGATCTTGAACTTCTGGCCTCAAACAGTCCTCCCACCTTGATCTTCCAAAGTGCTAGGATTACAGGTGTGAGCCACCATGCCCAGCCTGAGGCCAGTCATTATTCTCACTTTACTGACGTGGAAACTATTGCTCAGAGAGAAGTCATCACCCAAGTTACAGAGATGGTAAATGATGGAGAGATGGATTTGAATCCAGTCTGTGTGACGACAAAGATGCCCATCAAGTGATAGGAAGCCTTACTGTGACCATTTTTGTCTCACTCTAGAAGTCTGCTCCTCCTGCTTGCTTTGCCTTGTTCTTTATTCCCTACCTCTTCCTCTTCCTTCCACCCCTAAAACATGCTGTAGCTGCTTCTGCCACCACTGTTTTCCTGGGTCAGCACATGTCCCCACAAAAAGGATTTTTCATTTTTTTTTTTTTTTTTTTTTTTTTAGGATAGAAAAGAGATCATGGCAGAGGTGAAAGAACTAAGGTGCAGCTGCTGTTTTTTGAATTCCTACTATGTTCACATTCTTCACAAATGCATATACAAAATAAGAAAGTCCTGGCTGTTATAGGGGCAAGATTAGCCATCTTTAAGCAATCTTGAAAGAATGTGTTAAGTAGGGGGTGCCTTGCAATAAACCTCCAAATGCTATTCTGGTCCCCTCAGTTTGATCAAAGTTCCTTTTTAAACTAGCTACTGAACATTTTATCTTGGATATAAATTTTTCACTTGTTTTGACATCTCTGAGGAGTTTTTTAAAACTTGCCAAAAAAATCTAAATATATAGCAGATTTGTGTGTGCACCTTGAGAGAAAAGTATTTTAAATCCAGAACAGCCATCAGAACCTATGTAGTTAAGCTGCCATCCTAGAAAGGGGCATGGGTCATGTCCATGCCACTACCTGAAATCCAGTTATCTGGTAAGTTCCCACTCTGCATCTGGGTTGCCATCAAATGAATGGTCTTTTTCTCCAGCCTGCAGTCTTAAAGGGTATCAGAATGGCTCACTCAAACACCACTTTGCCTCTGGCCAGCTGACTGTAGTAAATCTATACCCAGAGCCAAAGAAATGCAGTTTCCTCATAGTGCCAAATTGATCAGGGATCAATCTTCTTCCAGAGCTGTATTACTGATGGAGAAAAACTTCAGTCATTTCTTGTTGGCTGTAGTTCAGTATTTCTTAGTCTCCTACATTTTTCCTTTTTTGAAATCTATAGAAATTGCAATGCCTGGGCAAATCAGACTGCAACACATCAGCCACATAGGCAGGGAGACACCAGACCCCAACTCAAATCGAGGCTTATCAGGTGTGCCTTTTTTGTGTGTTGCTGGTTGATGTAACTGTACCTTTTCTGATACATTAGGGCCTGAAGGAAATCCCTTCTCAGAAAATAGATTCACAAGTTATACAATCTATGCCAAGTGAACTAATGAACACTTTCAATTCTGAGAAGACTATATATACCCTCAGTCTGGAAATGAGAAGAGGGTATTGCTCACCATGTCACATACATAACCTAGGAATGAAAATCTTTCCAATCAGAAAGTTTTTAAAGAAAAAGAGAAAACAGTGAAAATCTAGGGCAGGCAGTACACTTTTCTTATGGGGATTAGTTGAGGTAAAAGAATTTCTAAGGTACTGCAAAGGCTGCACGTAAAATACAGTGGGTGACATTCAGACTGTTTGAGATGAGGGCCAGTTATCAGCCTGCAGGTGGGTTTTTTAGAACAATGGTGCTGGACTGAAGGTTGCCGTCATGAATAATATGAAATGCCATCTGAAGTTCCTATCCCAGAAAAATGCCATTTCAAAGGAGAAAGCCAAAGTAATCCGCTCTCCCTTGCTGCTATGTTTGTAACTTCTGTGCCACAGCGGCTCACACCTGTCTAGTGACCTGCTGAGCACATTGCCTTCCAGCATAATCCACAGAACTTTGAAAATAACCCTTTGGGCTCTTTGGATTCACACAAAGAATAATAAGGGTCAGTTATTCTGAGTATTAGCTAACAGTAAGTAGTTCCGGCTTATAATGTTTCGAATGTTAGCTCTTCTCTATTTTGATAACTAATTCTGTCATCAAGCAGGGTAGAGATCAGTTATCTGATTTTACCCAGATTTTCCGTATAGCTCTGGAACTCTGCATTTAAATTCCCAGGTAAATAAATGAGACAAACTCAAAACATTTGGAGAGATTTTCATGGTCAGACCTACAAGACGACGTGATCCCTAGTCTCTCTTGGAATTATTGGGTCTTATCCTTCTTAGAAAGACAAAAATATTACAAGCAACATTTTGGAACTACTCCAGGGATATCAGTGTTTGAATGCTATGCTTTTCCTGATAGTAAAAATAAACTACATAGTTTTCATCTGTTTTAAAGAAAACTAGATGTTTTATTCACAAATCAACTTTTTTTCCTGCTGTTTTAAAGCAGATTGCTACACTGTAAAGGAGAAGGCAAGGTTTAAAAAATTAACCTTATCTTTGAGGATAAATAAACACTGTTGTCAGCCAACTAGACAACTTGAACTTTATGACCCAAAAGAGTTTCAGAATAAAAGTGAGAAAAATGTTTTAGAATTGAGGACACTGACAGTATAAAAAAGGTATTAAGGGAGGGTTATGAAATTCTGTTTTGTATCTCAGAGATATCTTTGGGCCCAAGAAGAGGGCCCAAACCTCACAAATACAACAGAATGACAAGTTTGCTGACAAACACTTCATCAAGTAGACTTGAAAAAAATTAAAACACCAACAGATGGAATGTGTTTGAATCCCCTCCCTGCTGGTGTGTGTGTCACTAAATATCAGCAAGTATACTGGGGAGGCCCCATAGGATTCTGCTGAGAAGGCAGCAATGACCCAAATGCACTTCCCTACACAAAAGACTCAAGGTTGATGAATGCAGCTGGCTTTTGTTGGCTCTTCGTGTCTCCCTAGGAGCCCTGTCCTCTCCTAAAATAAAAACAAAACAAAACAACAAACAAAAAAAGTCAGATCATAATTTTAGATCAAAGAAACTTTTCATTTCTTTTTCCATAAAAACTTTGGTAAATATCAATCCTCCTGTTCCCTGTAATTAAGTGGGAAAATAAATTAGTAAATGTTTCCAAACATAAGCATTAAAAACAATAAATATGCCTCTATGGTAAAGTTTTCCTTTTGGAGGGGAAGAAGTAACAAAATCTAAATTAAATTAAAGTGGCGTTCTGGGAACCAAAGTGATACCATAGCTCAATAAACTAATGTAATTAGATAATGTAAGATTTTTTTTTTTCTAGACTCCAAGTTTAAAACATGGGCTTTGTAAGGACTCAGGATCATTGTTGGAATCCAATTCAGTATTCCAGCTTCTCAAATTCACAGGCAGAACTCTGCCTTTCAGGTATCGCTTGTCTGATTATTGTGCCAGTCTCTCTCCATCTCAGAATGGTTTTGTGTAACTTCCAAGTGCAGCAGCCCCCTTTGGAAACTGACAAGTGTTCATTTTAAAATGGAGTCATCAAATGCACGCAGCCTTCAGGAGGCTCCTTTTTTCACGAGAACAAACAAAGAGAAATGTTTTTAGTACAAAATTCCTTTTTAACAAATAAAAAGCCTCTATTGCACTGCAGGGCTGCCCATCTCCACAAAGCCCTGGCTCTTTTTGGTGGCCCTCAGAAGCAGCTTTTCATTGTATAATTCGTTCAGGGATAGAGCGTCTGCTGGGCTAATGAGCTCTCCTGCAGCCTTTTCTTCTGCAGGCGAATCCCCAAAAGCACAATCTGAAATCAGGTACTGTAAAAGCCAAAAGTAGAAGGGGGAAATGAAAGGAAAAAAAAAAAAGTAGGGTCAAGAAAGCCAAGATAGCAGTAGGCCAATAATCATACCTTGCATTTGGCTTCAAAGAAATTGTGGGCTTGAAGATCTTCATCCATAGTTAATTTCTATGGTTGTTCTTTCACGGCCAAGGTTCTGTTTTGGGTATTGCATCATGTGAACACACTTCCAATGGATGTTAATATAGTAGATCATCATGGCGGCTTGCTCTTAAATATATTGACAACAACCTTGACCAGGAGCTGATTAGAAAGGGCAGGATTAAGGAACATTCCCTTCTTTGCCAAAAAGTGGAGCGTGACATTGGAAATTATGAAGGCTCTGATTCCTATTACTAATTTTCCCATGTTTTATACTGTCACCAGTGAGTCTGGCAGACATTATTAGGAAGCTATGTGACAACATCTAATAAAGTATGTTGGGAGAGAAATCATGGCTCCCCTCTGCACTGATGATCTTTTGAAGAAATACAGTATTGTAGATTACAGGAGGTGGAGGTTGCAAACACTGATGATACCCATGATATTTCATCATCAGCCAGCAACTTACCAGTGATCTATAGCTGCAAAGGAATAGCTTTTAGGAGGCACAGGGATAGGGAGTGTGTCTTATCCATGTTAGCAAAGATATTCTGGAGAGGATCGTTTGATTATTTATTGGTCGTTCTAAATCCCTGAACACAATTTTAGAACACTGTAGGTCTCTGTGGTATGACACCTCTATAGGATAATTCTGCCTTTAGAAGTAGCCAATGGGGTTGTTTAAAACAGCACAGACTGTGTTACGAGTGTTTTAGTGATGAACTTGGAGAATTTAAAAGGCCAGGGGAGTATTAGTAATGTTGGGGTTAACAGAGGCAGCTCATTTTAGAAATTTGGCATTTGAGTTTTTCAACATTATCCAAAGTAGGTTCACCACATTCTTTTTAACAAACTCTCCAGCATGGAGCAGATGGTTTCTCTATTAACAACCATTTGCATTTAACATATTGCAATGATTTATGTACCACATGCCACTGAGCAAAGCAAAAACATTCAGTAGCAACTAATTAGTTGAGTGCAAAGACACATATTTCAATGTACAGAGCCCTCCTTTATATTTTACATTTTTTATAGTTTACTGTTTTATTTGTGCAAAGCAGTTAAATCTGAACCATGGCATTCCTCTTATGATTATGGTAATGCCTCTGTAATTATCATTCTATTAATGCTTCAGTCATACTTTTTCTTTAATTCAGGGGGCTAACATATTTTTATGTCAGAATTTCCCTGGAAACTGAAGTCAGTCACATTTTATTTTTAAGTGGTTAAAGTGATTATAAGTTATTCCTAAACCCACCAAAATGCTTATTTTCATAAGTCTACTTTGCTTTTAAAATAGGATATACTCAATATAAAATGTATATAAAATACGACTACTAAACAAAAAGTGACTTATAGTGACTAATTTTAAATGGGTTTTTGATGTCATTTATTAATACATAATTTGTTTTTATCCTATCTTCTTTAGTAAATTGTCCACTCTAATGCACTCACATATTTTTTTCCTTTTCCTGCGGAACCCCTGTTCCAATTTCCTCACAACTCATAGATACACCTCTAAACTGGATGTGATTCTTAAGTTGGTGACCTCTTAACCTCCCAGGACACAAGGGTTTTGCTGTCTTTCAAAACCAGCTTTCCTGAAGCCAGAAGAGAAATAGAACTAAAAATTCATTAGTTATTGCATTCTATGAAAAAGAAATCCCAAACTCTTTTTCTCTCATAGATGATCCTGAAACATATTCTCCTTTTTTGTGCTGACCAACAGGGTCAATGGATATTACAATGCTGTCACTGTGTGTCAAGGTGACAATGTTAGGACTGTAGGATGAGCCAATGAATCTTTTATAAGCATGATTTTCATTCTCAAGAGCCATCCATGCAAAATGTCAAAGTAGGCCATCCATCATCGGTGAGGATAAATGAGCATCTGCAACCCAGAGGAAATGGGGTATAATATAACTTCATTACCCAGGGCTCAAGAAGCCAATCTTAGAAAACTAAGCTTGCTCTTCCCCCTTTGTAATTCCCAGTTTTAATTTTCATGGGAATCTCTACCAATAGAGAACTCTAGGAATATGGTAATGATAAATTTAAGCTGCTGAGGTCTTTAAAGAGGAAGGAAACAATTAAGACAGATAAGTGCACATTAATGGCAGTACAATAGGATATGAATTATATAGTAGAATTAATATAAACTCGGTCCATCAATATAAGAAAGTGGAAAGAGTTAGTAGAGGAAGACAAAATACTAGTGGTTAAGTTTGACAGGGCCAATATATTGTTGTGAAACTAATATAAAAAATAATTAAAAATAAAACAAAACTTACTTCTTTCTTTTTTATAAGAGATGGGGTCTTGCTATGTTGTCCAGTGTGGTCTCAAACTCCTGGCCTCAAGAAATCTTTTCACTTTGGCCTCTCAAAGCACTGGAATTACAGTCACTGCACCTGGCCCAAAGCTACTTTCAAAGTCACAATATTCATTGTAGCTACCATTTCGTGAGCCTCATGGTAATAACCACTACTTAGTTTAATATGTACTTGCATTTTATACACATTAATAAACTTGAAAATAACTTGCAAATGTGGGTAGCATTTGTATATTTTATGGATGGGGACTGAGACTCTGAGATGTTTAAATTATGTGATTTTTCTAAAGTCTATCAAGTAAACAAATGGAGGAGCTGTGATTTGAACCCAGGTCTGTCAGCCTTAAAGCCACTCTCTGTTGCCTCTCTATGTAAACCAGAGTTCATTAACAAACCACACTTGATTTTTCTGATTTTAGTTTGTATTAAAAACTTACCTGTGGTGTGTAATTTCCTCTGGCATCTCATTTTGATAGTAAAATAACATTGGAATCTTTACATATGTTTTTGTTGGTAGAAAAATCTGATAGAATAATCAATATCAAGGAAAGCAGCAAATAATCAAATTGCAAAGAAGCCTCTTGGTTTAAACTCATCAGTGCTAAACAAATATAAAATGTGTAACCCTGAGAGATATTCTTTTGCTTCTGCAGGGCTCCTGTTTTCCATAAATAACATTTATATTTAATGAAAACAGGATTAACTTAGCATTGAAAATTGAGCCTTTCATTCAGTCTGATTAAACAACATGTGGTCTTGCAAGTCCACATTTTACTCAGTATTTCTGTGTGTCTGAAACCACCTCCACTGGTTATGCCTATCAATTTTCTGGATATGCCTATCTTAGGGAAAGGAGAAATAAAGCATGTCTTTCTAAGCATATATACAGATCTGGTACTAAAATAAGGCATAAGATATTTTCAACCATTAGATAATCAACCATTTAAAATGATTAATAAGGAGAATTTCATTTAGTTTAAGATAACATATGGAGATAATTGTTTAGAAATAACCTTGACGAAATTGAGACTATCAGAACGTCATCCAGAAAGCGTCTGTCCTCCCAGAGGTCTGGGCTGCTGCTCTTCCTCCTCCCTGCTGTTGCCACAGTACCCTTATGCACATCCTTATCATTGCACAAACCATGATGCTTCATAATTTTTCTCTTGAAGTAGCTGTCAGCTCATCCAGATGGTAGCAACTTGAGGACAGGGACTGTGGCTTTTCATCTTTGTATCTCTAGCAACTGGAACCCTGCCAGGAACTATTATACTAAGCACAAAATACTTAAGAGTTTACATTTATTTGTATTATATTCTACATTCGTGAAAGAGAAGTAGGTAGATATTATTTTCCATGTTACAGTTCTGGGATAAGAATTCACGTGATCTGATTCCCAGCTAAATAATGTTTTACTCCTTTATATTCCTACCAATTGTCATGTTCTCACAAAGCTAACAAAGTCATTTCTAGTTTACTAAACAGAACTGATTATTCTTTTCTTTCTTAGTCCACAAACATAAATTGCTACTAAAGTAGCAAAATGTCTGCATGGTATTAACAGATTTAATCAAATGGTTACAGCTATTTGCCAAATGAAACCCTTTCCTTTTTAAATTATAGTATATTTCTCACTTTCTTTGGGCTATTTTTCATTTAAGTGTATGTTATACATTATAGGATCTTTATATTTTAAATTCTATTTAGTGCAGAGGTTAAGAAGGCAGTTGCCAGGGTCTCCTTTGATATTAACACTATACATTTCCAGAACACTTCATTGCTTCCTTTAAATGGGTCACCCTGGAACACAGAAGAAGCCCTGTCTGATAGATTGTAACCTGTTGACTTCCCAAATTAACAACGGCTGGAGAAGTGGGAAGATCTGAGAGAACCAAAGAGAATTTGAGAGCCCCTAGTGGAGCTGGAGGCCTAGCTTTGAACCAGGAAGGGTTATGTGCTGCATCCTTATATTCCTCCATCCATAATCAGCCAGGTGGGCAATAATAATGGTTCTAAAGTGAATGTGGATGGGATTTCTCAACTGACTTGCTCTTCCTGGGAGTGTAGAATATTGTACTATGCTGTTAAAGAGCTCTATTGAAGCTTTACAATTTCCCACAAAAATGCCACTTACTTTTTTCTTTTTTTAAAAACACTTTTCCAAAGAAAAACAATATATTTTTGTAATATACTTTCCATCCAAAATCCTATTTCCTTTTTTTTTTTAAAGCTTCTTACTTTGTTTTATCTTTGTGTTTTATTATTATTATTTTTTTAAAGTTTTGACCTTGGCTGCTGCCTCTAAGTACAGAACCCTATTCTCTGTGGTCATTCTCCAGGGCCTTCAAATAATTGTTTTGATATTTAGTTCAGAGTTTGTAGTTGTTGTGAACCGGAGAGTCAGCATGATAAGACATGCTTGGCTACTACCAGAAGAAGAACTCTTGGTGTAATTTTGGGAGGTGCTTAGAACTACCTGGAAATCCTGAAATGAAGAAGTGAATCATGGAAGAGGATAAATTTCCTGGCTTGGCCTCCTAGGTGCTTGCCTGGGTAAGTTTCCATCCCAAGTTCATGTAGATCCAGTTACTACTTAAGAGTCTTGGGTCAAGGACATAGCTTCTACCTTCCTCTAGCTCAGGCTTGCAGCAGCAGACCTAGCTGGGGAGAGATGATGGCCCCTTTTGTCACACTATGGGGAGTGAGCTATGGGACTCAGGATGGAAACATGAGTCAAACAGTGGTGTAGTTCAGCTTATGTTTTATACATATTTAGGCATATGGTATGTGGGCTTGTATTTTTATTTTTTCCCCAACCTTGCAAATGTTAGGGGCAAACCTACTTTCTGTATTATTAAAACCTACTTTTCACATTTACTTCTTCCTTTCTCTATCCACAACCCTCATGTTTCATGAAAGTTATTTCAACAGTCAATTACATCCCTCTTCCAAACCATTTTATGCACAGATGGTAACACACTCTTTTAAGTCTTTTTCTAACAGTGGCATCATCCCCAACATAGGCCACTTTACAAGGGCCTATAGTGGTTCCAATTGCTTACCTACAGTATGAAATAAAAACTCAGTCTGATATTAAATATCCTCCACTACTATTATTATATCTGCCCCTTAAGCTCCCTTGCTCTCTGTGCTTCACCGCTCCTCTACACAGAAAATGTTCTTTGATTAGTTAAGTTCTGGCCAAATTCTTTCTCTAAAACTTATTTTCTGTTGCTTCACATCCTATTTCCTCCAACTAGACTCCTCATTGTGAAGCCCCGTACAAACTTCGAAACCTGTTGAACATCTTCCTCCATCTCAAAACCAAGAATAACATTAAAAGTGGGAAAAGACTAGAAGATTTCATAAGGACAGAGAAGAAAGACACATGGATATATGTCAGAATTTCTGTGTTTTACTTTGCTGAGTCAAGGAGTATTGTTTGTGCAGTTATTTTTGTTGTTGTTGTTAAAATACACATAACACATAATTTACTATTTTAATTATTAATGTACAGTTTTGTGGCATTAAATATTTTCACATTGTTGTGCAACCATCATCATCATTCATCTCTGGAACTTTTTTATCTTCCCTAACTGAAACTTTGTGCTCATTACAAATGAATCTTCTTTTTCATCTGCCCCCAGCCCCTGGCAGTCACCATTATACTTTATTTCTATGAATTTGCTTACTCTAGGACACTCATATAAGTTGCATATCATGTAACATTTGTCCTTTTGTGACTGGCTTATTTCACTTAGCATAATGTCTTTAAGTTTCATCCATGTTGTAGCATGTGTCAAAATTTCTTTCCTTTTTGTGGCTAAATAAAATTCCACTGTATGTATATGCCACATTTTGGTTTTCCGCTGATCCATCGATGGATACTTGGGTGGCTTCCACCTTTGGCTGTTGCAAACCATGCTGCTATGAACAGGATGTACAAATATCTGTTCAAGCTTCCGCTTTAACTTCTTTTGGATATATACCCAGAATGGAATTCCTGGATCATATGGCAATTTTATGTTTAGTTTTTTGAGTAATCGCCACACTGTTTTCCACAGTGTCTGTACCATTTCATTAGTATAGCAAAAACCCTCCAATTTTTTCATGTCCTTTCCAACCATGTTATTTTATGTTTTTGAATAGTAATCATTCTGACGGGTGTGAAGTGGTATTTCATTGTGGTTTTGACTTGCATGTCCCTAATGACTAATGATCTTGAGCATCTTTGCCTATGTTTATTGACCATTTTTATATATCTTCTTTGGAGAAATGTTTATTTAAGTCCTTTGCTCATTTTTTAATTAGGATTATTTTGTTGTTGAATTGTAAGAGTAATTTATACATTCTGGATAAAAGTCCCTTATCAAATATATGATTTACAAATATTCCCACCCATTCTGTGGGTTGCTTTTTCACTTTGTTGACAGTGTCCTTTGATGCACAAAAGTTGTTAATTTTGATGACGTTCAACTTACCCATTTTTGCTTTTGTTGACTGTGCTTTTGATGTTATATCCAAGAAATTATTGCCAGATTTAATGTCATGAAGTTTTCTTCCTTTGTTTTTTTCTAAACATTTCATAGTTTTAGCTCTTACATTTAGGTCTTTAATGCATTTTGAATTAGTTTTTGTATATGGTGTAAGGTAAGGGTCCAACTTCCTTTTTTGGTTTGTTTTTCTTGCATGTGACTGTTCAGTTTTCCCAACATCATTTGTTGAAAAGACTGTCTTTTCCTCACTCGATGGTCTTGGCAACGTTGTTGAAAATTATTTGACCATACATGTGAGGGTTTATTTTGGGACTGTCTATTCTATTTCTTTGGTTCGTATGTCTATCTTTATGTCAGTACCACACAGTTTTGACTACTGTGACTTTGTAGTAAGTTTTGAAATTAAAAAAAAAAAAAGAACAACAACATAAAAACCCCAGTGACGCCACTAACTTTATTCTTCTTTTTCAATGTTATTTTGGCTATTTCCAGGTCCCTTAAAATTCTATATGAATTTTAGCATGAAGTTTTCTATTTCGGAAAATATCGTCAATGGGATTTTGATAGAGATTCTATTAAATCTGTACATAGCTTTGGGTAGTATTAACATCTTAGCAACATTGACTTCCAATCCATGAACATAGGATGTCTTCCCATTTATTTGTGTCTTCTTTAATTAGTTTCAGCACTGTTTTGCAGTTTTTAGTGTACAAGGCTTTTGGATCTTGGTTAAGTTTATTCTTAACCATTTTATTATTTTTACGCTATTGTAAATGGAATTGTTTTCTTAATTTCCTGTTGGACCTTCATTGTTAGTGTATAGAAGCACTGCTGATGTTTGTGTGTTGCTTTTGTATCCTGCAACTTTGCTGAATTTTAACTTAATTTTAAAAACTATTTTTTTCTGACGATACAATGAGTAAAATGAAAAAAAATAGAAAATCATAACTAATTAGATAAAAATTACTCACAATTCCACCACTATTAGCCAACTATATTTGTGTTGTCTCATTCTCTCTTTTTTCCTCCTTCTCATAATTAGCCTCACGCTATTAATATTTTTAATCCTATTTTGCCACTTAAGAGTATATAATGAACTTCAATTATTTTCATAAAGACATATGTTCATAAAAGTTTCAGCAGATACATGTATATAGTTGAGTTTGGCCACTGCCTGTTTCCATGTCTCCTCAGCTCAAACTCTTTGAAACCCCAGCTTTGAACCTATCAATATGTAAAGGCATC
The DNA here is from genome assembly GCF_000001405.40 of Homo sapiens. Lineage (NCBI taxonomy): Eukaryota > Metazoa > Chordata > Mammalia > Primates > Hominidae > Homo > Homo sapiens. Next base: position 107,335,357 of record NC_000001.11, on the reverse strand, counting down.
ATTTACAAGTTGTAAGGTTTTTAAATAGCATTTTAAGTCCCTTTGGTTGGTAAACTCAAGAAGCAAACATCATTTGAAGACAACTTTGGGACGTGGATGTATAGTGATATTGCGATTTTACTAAATATTGCTTGAGAATGAGAGCAGTTCATTCCTTTTCATGGACTTCTCTTCATCCAGGAAAGGGATTAAGGATCACAATTTCTGATCTTAAAAGGACCAATCAAACAAATAATAAAAGAAATTGTGTGTATTTGAGTGGAGTGGTATTCATTTAACCCAAGTACATAGCTTACTCTGTTATCTGAAGTAGATATATTTTATTCTTTAAGTTTGGACTATTGGTTAAAGCCTGAAGCTTTGCGATCTGGTTGATTGGATGAAGTGACATAGCCAAAAACAATGGGCTAAGCTCCAATTCTCTTGCAGTCTTGTGTGGGGAATATTTAGAGGTGGCCATAGCATACCTAATGGGAAAACCGTCCTCAGAATGGTCCTCTACGTGATGCTTAGAAGGATATTCTGCAATCATTCTCTCATTCCATCAATAAATATTTATTGAACTTTTAATATGCGCCAGGCCTAGTTGTAGGCACGGGACGCAGATCAGTGAGTAAACTGAAAGTTCCCTCTGAGTCTAAATTCTAGTTATGCAACAGTGTCATCCTTGACTAATTCATTTAACCATTCTGTTTCACATCTGAAAAAGGAGTTAGATTAAATTATTTTTATGTTTTTTTTTTCAGTTCTAAAAGAAATGATTTTGCAATGCTATGACTCTATGTGGCGTACACCCTGTCTATACAAATCCAATACTGGAGTTAATGATGCTGTCTCCTTCCAACCTGCCAAATCTCTGACCTCTTAGACTTCCCCCACCCATCATCTCTTGGCCCACCCTTCCCCCATCTGTTCCCTGTTCCCAGCAGCACTGGAGTATCTATAATTACACATGGATGTCATCAATATGTTATAACAGCTTTGCTTCCCTGATATTCTGTTAGCACCAAATGAGTAAAAGCGGCCAGGACAAAAACACAATTCCTAGACAAGGTGATATCCTTAGCTATATACAATGTTCAGTTTTACTGGGCTCTGATTTGTTATTCATTAACAGTCCTAATTAGCAAAAGAAAGGCAAGATTCATTTAACTAAAATTAGCTTGTGGTTTCAAGAATATCCTCCAAAGCAAATGAAAAAAAAAGAATATATTAAATACTGGTTAATCTAATTTTTCTTTCAATACATGATTTTAGCTCATTGCTGTAATTAGAGTTTGAGGCACTTACATATGGGAGGAATAAAAATCCTTTAGCATCTCTATTTATCTACAAAATACACCAGATTGTACCACTTGGCATTTCATTTTTCACATCTTTGCTGACTCTTCCATCACAATTTCACTAGCCTAAAAACAAAACAAAAAAATCCCTATTTATTCCAATACAGTACTTAATTTCCTATAATTCTTAAAGAAGGATGCATAGTACTCCAAGGTTCAAAAAATAAGAGCGACAGTTAAAAAAAAAAAAAAAAAGAGATACTCTTCATTGAGGTTAGTCTTTCTCTACGACAGTCTCACTTTTTCACCCAAAGTAGCAGTAATATAGGAAGGATGATAACTAAAGTTGGAACTTGCTTTGAAAAATCAATCTGTTTTTAGCACTGCAAATAGTTTAAACACACACACACACACAAACACACACATGCACACACACACGATGTTTTCATGTATTTCCTTCAATCTTACAAAGAGTCCAACAATGTTGGAGCTTAAAGAGTTCTGCGAATACTAGTCGTTTATGGGTACTAATATATGTTTTTTGACTAAGTAAGTTCTAGAGGCTCTGTCTTCAATAAAATAGAAATGTTTCTTTACTGTAGGACACCTCAGGGTCTTTAATATATGAATATACATTGTGATTCTCATAGAAGGAAGTATTGTGAACACTTCCAAAATGTTTTTGACCATCATGGACTTTATTTGAAGAGTACATCCTGAGAAACAGTAAAATAGTATAAAAATCTCATTTTGTAGATGAGGAGACTCTGATTATGGTAACTGTGACCTATTCTGAGCTGACAAAGAATTATTAGCACAACCAGAGTGAGAATCTATTTCTCTTGACTCTTAGCCAATGTTTCCTTCTAAAATAAGGTAGATAATGATTTTAAAATCCTAATGACTTGTCCTCTATCCTCTCAATATATTTATAGCACAATATCAGTTGTCTTAGGTACCAGTCACAATGCAAGAGAGAGCCAGTGTAGTAACTACCCTACTTTTATAATCTTCTGGACCAGTAGGGTTTGTGAGGCTCCTGTTTCACATATTCAAAGCCTTTCCATCCATTTTTTTCAATGTTTTTCAAGGGGAGTTGAGAAACAAATTTATACACCAACATAAGTAATTTTTAAATTTTCCTTTCCCCTTTGCTATTGATTAACCTTGTTTAGATGTAGTTTTCCTACCTATAAAAGGGAGGTAGAAATAGTAACCATGAGTTTTTATGCAGTGCAGTCATTTCTGGTTAAACTAATATACTTAGTTCTAAAAGTGGCTTATTGAATTGAAAATATAGACCCATATTGCAACAGAATCAATATATCAATCCACACAATCAAATTACTGTGATAAAATTCATTTGTTCTTGTATTTATTTGGAGAATGAATGGAAATAGTCTCTTTACTGAACCATTGATCACATAGGTCTCAAAAAACTCTTGCACTAAGTATCAAACAATGGCCAACATCTCCTAACGTGTTAAGAAAAAACTCTGATCCTAGGTACAGAAAGACAGCAAGACATTCCAAAGATGCAGACCACAGATTTAGGATAAAAAACAGGGCTGCAGAAGCTGGTGTACTGCTGCCTCCCATTGTTTGGGCATGCAGATGTAGCTAGAATGTAGCTTCCCTTACAAATGCTAAGTTAAATGAGGGAAGAAATTATTTTATTTATCCATTTTGTGGTATTTTGCTTAAATATCCTTATGTTTCTTAAAAAAGAGACATCTTCCCTTTAACGACCCACTAGCTTAAAAAATCTATGGCACTAGGGAATTAAGGATAAAGAGACAAGCTCCTAAACCGGATTGTTTTTCTGCATGCTAATGAATTTCATAATTTAAATGGAGGAATTATTAGATACATTCTCTCCTTATAATAGTACAAACCTCAGAGGAAAATGAGCTGCTTATGCATATATTCTCTTTATAATTCAAGATTTTCTAATAGATTTTAAAAATATGCTCCAAATCAGAATGTCCCTCAGTTGTCCACTTACAATGGGTGCATACGATAAAGTCTTTATTCTAAATGTTTCCACTGGAGTTAAGTAGCAATGTTTTATGTTGGTTTTTAATTTTTAATTATGATTACCATGCTTTTCATTTGAATACTCTTATTTACTGGACTTCATTCTGCCTTTTAAAAGGAGAGTAAATTAAATTTTAGTGGAATGGTTTAATATCCATTTAGCTTGAAAAAAAGACCTGGTGGAGAGAATCATTGATTAAAAATTTATGAAATTTTATTATATGAAAGAGGCAGCACACTTATTCAAAATAGTTTCAGAAGAGAGAATGTGGACTTATATGTGGAAGTTAAAGGAAAAACATATTGCCCTCACTTGAAGTATGAACTTGCTTAAAATAAGCGAAGGTAGTTGGCTATTTCCAAGTTTATCCATTAAGATATATGACTTGTTTTAGTGTTTGATGATGCCCATTAGTTGAAAGCAGGTGTACATAATAAAAGTTTATGAAGAAATATGGGAGAAAAATTAACATTGAGAAAATACAGCTTATTTATTTATTTTTGTCTCCCCATGGAAAAATAAGAAGCTATCATCACAATTTGATTTTAGTAGTAAAACACCTAGACTTAACACAATGTGACAAATGAGCCCAATCACACATTTGAAAGTTGATAAAAATGAAGTAAGAAGTTAGAGTTCAGATAAACACAGAGCAGCCTGGTGTAATAAAATACTGAGCCAAAAGCCATGGAGAGTGTGACTCCCAGAACATTCTAAGAGGGGCAGAGTCATAAGATGTATTGATTCATTGTTGCTATTTAAAGATGGCTTCTCTGGGAATTTTTGGGGTCTTCTATATATACTGAGCTGATCTCTGGCTGGTGTGACTGTAAGAGCATAATGCTTGGAAAAAGCCTAAGGTTTGCCGTGAAAAACCTGATTTTACCACTTTGTTATGTGTGACGTTAAAGAAAAAGTCACGGCACTCCTCTGGTCCTCAGTTTTCTCCTCTGTAAAATGGGGTTAACCAACACCTGCCTCACAAGTGTCCTGTAAGTACTAAAGGAAATAAGGTACCTGACAAGAATTTTGTAAACTGAATGCTATACAAATTTAAAGGATTATTACTTAAATATGAGTGGGGACTATTAGAATGACATTAACTCATTCCCTTCTCTTTGAATTTTCTCAGATTATTTCTCAATTTCCTTCAGAAATTACCTTTTACATAGTAGTATTCCACAGGATTCTGTAAATGTTCTATAATGGTCATTTATACCTATGAACAAAAAAATCCTCAATGTCATCGATTCTCAAAGAGTCCACCATAACACATAAGGTAATAATTCTCAAACCTATATTTGAGCTCAAATCTCTCTCTACAACACTAGACAAGTATTTTCAAATCCCTAACTAGAATCTCTACTTGAATTTCTACTACTTGAAATGGCACAACAAAATAACTAGCTAAATCATGAATTAACTAAAAGCCTGTTTCAGTATTTATTCCCCATTTTAGTTTTGGCCCCACCATCCAATTCACTAGGAAGTCTTCCCCAAAATCTGACTGGTCAACAAGTCCTACTGACTTTGTAAGCAAATCTGAGACCACTGCCATATGATGGCTCCTGTGGAATATGGAGAGCTTTTCTGGATTCTCCACTTGAGCATCAGGGCTTGGAGCTATAGTTGCTCCACAATTAAGCAATGTTATAGCTTTCCAGTCTGCACAGTTACACCAGAATAGCCTTTACTACAATTGCCTTAAAAACTGTTCCTCACTTGTAGTCAATTAATACGGAGACTCCATAAGATTTTGGGTTTCTTATGGCATGGGAGAATCAGAGAGAAAGAGGTAGGAATCCTTCAGAGCTTCCTGAACATGCTGAAGACCCATAAAGGGAAGATGGTAGAACATCTTCAGGACTCTTAACTCCATCAATTCTTTACTGCTTGGAGTTCCTTAACATGCTGTGCTGTTTTTAGGTATAATTTGTCTGCCTAGGATATCCATTCTTTCCTGGCTGCTTGGCACAATAAAACCCATATTTCAAGACATCATACATGTCACATCTTTATCAAAGGTTTTACTAATCTTTCCAGATTACATTAGTAGCTTCTCTGCTACCACAGCACTTTGAATATTCACACAGTAAAATCACTTAACCCACATTATCATCATTTTTTTTTTGTCGTTGTTGTTTATAAAGTCTGTGTCCCTTCTGGATATCAGCTCCTTAAGAGCAGAGACTATGCTTGGTGCATCTTCGTCTGTCTACCATCAAAGCCAGCATCTGTCCCAGAGTAGAGGATAAGTATTTATGGATGACAGAAAGGAAGAAGGTGTTATAAAAAGCAGAATCTGTTAAGTGGCAGTAAAGCCCAACCTCAATAATTGAGACTAATTGGAAAAGAATAGATAAAGGCCAGGCTCAATGCTTTAAAAGCATTTTTGTGGGATGTCTCTTACAAAAGAGGTAAAAAGTAAATATTTCAGATTTATTTCAGTTGTGGCTAGGAAAAAGACTTAGGGAACCTTCAGAATAACTGATTTTTCCAGAAATTTAAAAAGTGCTCTACTGCTTTTATACTTTTGAATTTCCCCAAGTGTTCTTGCTTGCCTGACATCACATCTTTCGCACTAACCATGTGGAAGTTGTGCTTCAAGAACACGATGTCAGCTCCACCTTGTTCTAATTACAGCAAATATAAAGGCAGTGACATTCAAAGAATAAGGTTTACACATAGAAGCTGGACTCCTGAGAGTGACGTAGGGGGCCTGCCTCACTCCTGGCACCTAGTCATAGTGGCTCTGGTCCTGGCCCTTTGCAGGTCCTGGGATTAGGCAGGGAGAGTGTGATTCTGAGCAGGGGCAGCCATGAAGTGAAGATGGCACCAAAAAGTTTTGTCGAAGTGAAACTTCTGTGCTAATATTCCAAGGCTTCTTTCTTGGAGGTAAACAATGGAGGTAGAAAAAGGAAAAAATACTGTTCACTATTATGGCAGTCAACTACCTATAATGGAGCCTGAGTAGGCACTGCAAGGGATAAGAAATGTGTAATGACCATTGAGAAAAAATGACCGATAATTACCTTCAGGAATATTTTGTTAAAGGGTAAATACTGAAGATGTTGATGGGAGTTTTCCAGTCCACTTTCTTCAAGTTCTTACTGTTAAAATAGAATTTCCATTGTCTTATGGCTAAAATCAGTACCTTGATATATGGCTGATAGCATATCTTAAAAATAAATGAGTAGATTACTAAAGATTCATTTGTCTTTCAGATTTATAAATTATTACATTAAATCACATTATTTCTTTGAAATTGTTTACCTCAAAGAAATAATAAATAATTTTTAGTTTATATTTCATAAAATCTATGCAGCTGACAAATACAGTGCTCGCTTTTTCAATTATTTTAATTGTGGAAAGCTTGCAAAGAAACAAAATACTTAAAAATCAAAGCTTCCAATGGTGTAAATAAGAAAACATTTTGGACATTATCTATATTTAACAGCTTTTGAGTTTAACCCCCTGTCTGTATAAAAAGATGTTCAGAACAAACATTTACTTCTAATTTCTCCTCTTGCCCCTCATCTGAGTAGATTTTATTTATGCATTAGATGACCTTTTTGGCCATTAGAACCATCTTGCTTCAGCAGTTAATTAACATAAGTACCATAATTTAATACAGTTAATGCTACTTGATGCCCTTTAATGTACCTTCCATTAGTGATATTATTGTAGTATTACCCTGTAAATTAAAATGAGATCAAGACTAAGAGAGCCGCTCTTTAATTAAGGTACTGGCACACTGCACTCGTCTGTTATTCACTGGAGAAAATCACCGTGATTTACTGAAGCAGGACATCCATAAGTCAGAATTAGTCCATGTAGATTATTAAGTTTATTGAACAATGTAAGTACTACGGAGCTGCTGAAATTGCCAACAGCCATGTTTCCTCTTTTTCCTTCATTATCTTAATAAATACGCAATGAGAGGGAGTAAATGGAAGCAAAATAAGTATGTGGCAAAAGAAGAATAAATTTTTTATGATGAGATTACACTTTTTTCTTACTAGTAAAATAGGTATCAGATGTATCACATTCCAAAAAGAACATAAATGCTACATTAGTCTAATGTCAATCAAAACACTATTTTTCCATTAAAAAACACTAGCCAGTATAAAACAAACATATGCACAAAGAAACGGAGAATTGGATCTCACAAGCTCAGTCATCTTAAGCAAAGATCAACTGTCTCACAGTTTAAGATTTCAAGGTAAAAAAATTTTGAATTCTCTGTCCACTATACTATAGATGTTTACATCTGGTCTCCATTCTACTTTTCCAAAATAACTTATGTCAATTTCCACATTATGGTGGGGTGGGGATAGAAGTAACAAGTAGAAAAATATCATTATCATGATCAGATATAGACATGTAAAGGCATGTTAAATGTTGCAATCATTTCATGGGATGGTGGGGGCGGGTGCAAGGAACAAGAACTTCAGTTGTATTTTGAAAAGTGTACATTTATGAGAGCCTTGAAAGGGAAACTTTAGAACTTTCTTTTAGAGATTATCAATTAATATTTAATCCTTCTATAGATGATTTGTTATATAACAGAAAGACAATCTAGACCATTAATCTTACTGAAACTTTCAAGAGTAAAATAATTAGATCAGCTTCTATGCTGAAAGGCCCCTGAACCAGACTATAGCTCAACATTTCCTTTCACTGGCTCCATCATCAGCAGATCTTCATTATATAACTTAAAAGCTGGAGACACGCCCGAGCCATCAGACCTTGCTTCTTTAGTCCCTCCCCTAAGACTAAAAATACTCCAGCCATCTGGTGCCTAGTGCAGTACATGCCAGCATCAGTTCTGCCCTGAGGATTTGGACAAAGTCTGGAGGTGACAGAAGAAGACCTTATGGAAGGGGCTCACCTCTACTGGACCTTTCTCATTTGCCCAGCTGCTTCTCTTCAGCTTACAGTTGACTAGTGAACAGGAAAAGACAGTGGAGCTGAGTCCAGAGAAGGAGGGAGGAGCCCTCCAAACTCCTCAGAACCACTGAAATGCAGTTGGAGGAAATGACTAGTCTGGGAGATGGGAGAAATGTGATAGATATGAAGGAATCTACATTTCCAACACACCACCTTTAGGAGATGGCATGCTTGACATCAGTGGAGAATGCAGAAAAATGCCTTTAGCTTTCAAGTTTATTTTACACTTTCTTTTAAATTATTAGAGGAAACAAAATGAATACTAATAACAAAAATAAGCATCAGCAATAGGTTTTTCCCAACCAAAATGCTTCAGAAGATTGCCTTATTTACAAGTGGCAAATAAAGGTATATGGGGAGGTGGAGCAATAGGAATTTGGGCTCAGATTAAGTATTTTTTAAACTGCAAGGAAATTGACCTAGATGAATCTACCGAGCAATGTAGATTACACTAGGATTAAAATCCACATCTTAGTTTGTTAATTTTTTACCATTATTCATGTAGATGAATTGAATATTTGCTACTTCATTGTGGCAAGCTATCATTAATAATAACAATATCAACTATTTTCATATATCATACTTCCCCAAGAATAAGATCCTGGAAACTAATAGTCTTTTGCTAAAATGTTCATAAGTATAATGGCTGTGTATTACTATAAATAGCAAACTTATGTTTAAGACAACAGCTCCTGTATTGCCCTGTCATGTACTCTGCTAATAATACATGAATTATCCTCTACAGCTTAGAACTCACAAGTTCAACATCATACTGCTTTAAAGATATATTCGTTATATACCACCAAGATCTTGGTCAAAATTTTAGGAAAAGCTTCGCAGATAAAGGCTTTTGATTCTTCCATGAGGAACATGAAGCTAGAAAAAGCTGAGAGTAGATGGCCACCAGTTTCTACTGCTTTTCCACAGCTAAGACTCTGAAACCTTTGACACCACACTATGATCAAGCCCACCACTCCATTCTGCGTTCCCACTATGGTCTTTACCTTAACAGCAGTGACCTTTCTCCCAGCACACATAGGTAAGGCAAATCTCTAACAGACCAGAAAGTTTCAACACTTCTCCAGTTTCTGAGAACTGGGCTGCCTAAAGGATGTTGGCAGCCAATAAATTGAATCAATCCTGCCTTATCTGTTTGAATTTTATCATTAAATAATGAAACCTACATGATATATACTATTTATATGCTTATCCTCATATGTTTCAATTTAAAGATATCTTGGCCTTTTTACTGGGGTGTTATTTCTTTGCTTGCCTTTCCCTTTGCTAGATACTCTGCTCTTACCTTTACTTTTCCCACTCATTATCTCATGCTTCCACTCCCATCAGGTGGTCGTTTTGATAATATACCACACTTAAAAAGCTGGTTGAAAATCCCTATGTGGTGGTTCTGGTTCTCATTATTGAAGTTTTTCATTTAAACATCTTCAAAATTCTTGGAAATTTGCTCAATTCTGTCTCTAGTATATTATCAAAACCAAAGCTATCCCTGACTGTGTTTAATTAATGTGTTTAAACTCTGTCCATTTGTGATTAATCTACAAGATGAAGGGAGCCCAACTCAGGTCTATATTTTAAATGCTAGTATATATTTTTGATATAATAACATCCAAAAACATGAAAAGTAGAGCGTGTCCCAATTTAACAAATGTTTCCTACATGCTATTGATTCTGATTTAATAAATTTAAAGAAACATAACTCTAGTTTCCAGATTTTTTTGTGCAATATTACACAAAACATAAATTGACTGCTGTACCATGTTGAATCCCTGCTTTGCATTTGTAAACAATGGTATGTTGTATTTCTAGTTTTTCAGTTCGTTATAGGGCAAATGGTTTTGCTTCCCCTGGCTTCATTGCCTTAAAGACCTAAAGGACCTCCCGACTCAGGGAGTTACTTTTTAAAATTCACTTTTATTTAAATTCTGAAGAATCATGCCAGGTTCAGGGACAGCAAGTTTGGGATTACAAATTACTGCTGAGGATGAGGGATCTCAGAATGCCTTCAGAACCTACTTCTACAGTGGAGTTCCTGAAGAAAACGTTGCAGTAGAAATTGACAAATGTCACTTTACAGCTGTGAGACACTCTGGCATTTTCTTTGGACACACCCGTTCCCATTGAAGGCAGACAGATTTTCTCTTACCTTCCTCGCACCTTTATGTCTGAGATCGCGTAAAAGTAGCGTGCCAAGTGTAGCTCATCTACAAATATTTCCCCAACGGCTGGTCTTAACAGCCTTATCCTCAGGTCTGTGACTGTAAAGAAATCTCTGAGTTTCTTGGTTGTATCCAGCTGTCCGTAGAGGGAAGCCATATTGCGTAGGCGAGGTCCAGCAAAAAACGCGAACCTGTCTTTGATTTCAAAGTGGATTATTTTGCTATTTGTTGTATACCCTGTTGAGTACTCTTCTGTGCAAATGATTTCTAAGACCGTATGCTGTGATAAATCCTTCACGGATTTAGGATCCATGTGAAAAGCATCTAAGCAGTCTGTGGCATAATACTGATAGGGCTGCCATGTTCGTCCATAATCGAGAGACTTCTCCAGGATCATTTGGTCTGGACGCCCAGATTCAAAGGTAATAACTATGTTGTCTGTTAGCTCAATGGTTTTGCTCCAAGACAGAGTGATGTTAACCTGGAGAGGCTTGGGATACTCCTTCCAAGTGGCAGACTGCCAAAATGTGGAGGGATGTCTTCCTTCAAAATCAAACATCAGCTCAGGGGGGTGTGCCAGCTCAGGGGTACTCGCATCACACTCATTATTGCACATGTAGGGATTGCCCTATGGAAGAAGAACAAAAGAGCGTGCATCAAAACACTGGTTTGCCACAAGTCTTGCCATATTGCTGTTGCTCAGTAAGAGGCTAGAAAAGGAAAAAAAAAATCTGTTTTCAGTAATCATTTTTATTTGCCCTAACTGGATTCTCCTCTTTAATAGCTTTTAAAAAAAAAAAGCAATATGGTAATTTTCTTGTCTTGTTTCCTTCCATGTGCTTTAAGAAATGAAAACAGTTTATTTATCCCATATGTGTTAGACCCATAATGTGGTCACAGAAGCACGAAGGCACCGAGCAACTGTCTAACAGCTCAATACCTCCGCTTCCTCTTACAAAGATGCTATAGAAAAGCAAGGGAAATTCCTCCCTGCCTGAAGGACATTCTTTAAGAGTACACTTCTTTAAAAAGTCATTTTTCAAGCAAAGCTTTAGAATGAGCCATGAACCATAGATACCTGTGTTCTGTAGGGGAGACAATACCCCCATACAACATTCAGCCTTTTTTTTTGGCTTTCCCTGAAATCCGTCATACTTAACTGGGTCCTTGCTTCATAATGTCTGGTTTTACAACGTTTACTTTGTTCACCACCAATTATTAAAATGTGGTACCCTAAAGGCTCTGGGGCTTGGTCCAAATACCTGCCAGCCTATTAGGTAGAGATAAAAGGATTGTTCAGGAAAGTCTTGGGGCTGGGAGTGTGCTCCAAGTTATCAGGACAAGAAAACGTACTACTCAGTTAGGAGGCTGTTGCACATCAAACCACAGCCACTTGATGTGTTTGTTACTCTGTGCCTGCCCACAGGCAGTTCTTCATGGATGTTAGTTATTATTATTCTACCTTTAACAAATGCTACTTCCTTTACAGACATTCAAACAAGAAGCTAGAAATAAATCTCCTAGTTATATTACAAGTTACAACACTGCTTATGCTACACTAAATGGCTACTCTCAGCTTTCATCAGTAGATTCCATGGCAAATGACAAGTTACCAGATTTTTGTTGATTTTGTTTTTAAGAAAACAAGTAGTATCATTAGGACTTGACTATTCAGGTGTTTCTTATTCTGTACTCAGTTATTATGAGCATGGCTGGGTGAAAAGAATTGATCCTCGGACATTGTCCTTGGGCTTCCTTTTGTAATTACAATTAGGTTTCTTTCTTTCTTTCCTTTTTTTTTTTTTCCATATACTGTGAGCTTTTCATCATACCTGTAGGATACAGGAGCGAGGTCTCAGATAATGAATTTACACTTTAGACACTGACACTCAGTTACTAGCTGACTCCTATGAAATATAAGATGAACATGGGAGAATTGCTTTGGTCTCCCTAGAGGCAACTTTCTCCTACCTAGTCAGCTAATACTCTCACTCTCTCTTTCCCATTAATGTAACCGAATCCTAAAGTTGGCAACAGGTTTTGGAGATTCAAGTATAATTGTGATAGGGCAGGAGAAAGAAGAGAAGGTACATTATTTGAGGAACAGAACTGTTTTAAAAATACACTCAAGGAATCAGTGATAATGAAAATGTTTCTGTACTTCTCTCTCAAATTTCAATTCCCTAGTCCTGATCCCAGCGTCTGTGGCACTATTTATAGTATCCCCTTCAAAATGAGCCAGGGGAGGGGGGAAATAAGTTTCTGTTCCAGGTGGAATAAATCACCAAATTTATTATTATTTAAATTCTCTTAAGCATGCCAGAGAGCCAAATGCAAAGCTCTACAGACTGGCAAAGGCTTTTTATGGAGGGCTATAAATATTGTGGAATCTGTCAGGATTTATAAATTCTAAATATATGTAAATGCACATTTTACAGGAAGAGGTCAGATTTACACAAATCACACCTTCATTTGAAATTTACTGAAAAAATATGGTCACTTCAAAATCTGTCAGCATGTAGCCATCTGCACTATCATTAACTTGGATGCTGCCATCTTCCTCCTGAAAAAAGTGTCTTCATCTGAGGTCAGGGGTATGGAAACAAGGGGAAAGGCGCTGTGGGATCCACCAAAGTGAGTTATCAGATGTTTGTAGTAAGTTGTGTTGAAAGATAACATTTGTTTGCCTTCAGCACAGGTGTGCAGAGCTTCTCAGATAGGGATAGGGCACTGGGGCCACATGAGATGACACATTAGGCTGCTTCTGGAAATTGGTCAATACTAACAAACCTATTTTAAAAAATATGGTTGAAGAAATCTATGTAAAAGGCTCTCATGCCTATACTTAATATAAAGTCTTGGCAATAACCACCATTTAGTTAGCACTTGCGTGCTGGACACTACGTACATTTTCCTGGGTAATCCTTTTCATCCCTACCTTACAGAAGAGGAAATTGAGGCACAGAGGTGTTAAGTAATTTGTCCAAGGTCACATAATAAAGTCAGTAAGAGGCAGTGATGAGACTGGTGCCTCTTACCCCTTCCCTGGCTTGCTGAATTCCCAAGTCACTGGAGTTCCCTCTGTTGTAGCCCTGTTGTAGAAACAGGATTGGCTGGTAGAGAGGAAATGTCTAAGACCAAATAAGTTCAGGAAACACAGCCTAATCTTCTTGTCTTGGAGAGTCCTAATGAATGTTATCATAATCTGATATACCTTGAAATTAAGAACCTTGTTTAGCTTCACATAATACCTAGTTACATAGGTTTATGTGACCACGGAGTCTCTTTCTAGTTTAGTAACTCCTGTTCATATTCTACAGAAGTCGTATCCTGGAGGGCATCCTTAAAGATTCTCTGCTTTGTATCACTGGATATTGTAAACATGAGGAGGCCAAACAGCACTATACAACCCAGTTTTAGTTCTTTAATGAAGGCATAGCTACAGAAAGCACCAGGTCTGTTCTCAGTGGGCACCCTTCCATTGAGGCTGAGTGGATCAGCCAGCTCAGGGCAAATGTCTACATTTGTATCAAGTTCTTCATTGCTTGGCACAGATCTGGTGCTTCAGGCACCTAAAAAAATGAGAGTAAAGATTCATACATGCAACAATGTGTTATTGATTGCCATATTTAAGGCACTCAGCTTGGCTCTCAAGATACAGCAATAAACAAATCCAAGTCCTTGCTTCCTGTGGCACTTCCATCCTAGTTGGGGGACAGGCACTAAACAAACAAGCATAATGTGTTATAATGTTACACGATGACAACTTGTATGGAGAAAATAAAGCCAATTAAAGGAAGCAATGGTGATTGTAATTTTATTTTGGGAAGTCAGAGAAGGTCTCCCTGATAACATGACATTTGAGCTGATTGAGAACAATTCCCAATTTACACCGGAGATGATCAGAGGAAGTTGATCAGAATGACAGTTTCGTCCTTCATTTGACTCTACTCTTAGTGATATTTTCAGCAGCATAACAATTTATTGAAATCAATGGGTAAACAAATCATTTCAAATGAGAATCTACACCAAATGACTGTAGATACCAAAGAGGGGAAAAAATCAATTGTTCTCCTTATTTCATAACACTCGTGCTCTTTTAGGAGATTAGTGATTTGATGGCTATTAACATAACTTACTGAGATATGATGACATTGACAGAAAATTAAAAGAGGAAGCAGGAAAAAAAAAAGATTTCATTTTGGTCCCCTGCACTTCAGGTGAGAGAAAGGAAAAAAAAAAAAAAAAGATGAAAGGTGAAGAAGCCGTAAATCTTATCCTTCCCCAAAGAAAAAGCTGGAGGAGAGATTACAGGCTACAATATTTAGTGTAAATATTTCACAGGGCGTGATCTGTAATACTGTTATTACAGAGAATTATCAATATGAAAATAATTCCTGTTAAAGGGATTAGATTAATTAAATTTTCAGCTACTTCAACCCCACCCTAATCCTCTTTAATAACATCAACAATGAAATTTATATAAGAAAATGCAACTTTTTCTGACTTACAAAAACAAAGTACACTTCTTGCTGCTATATCTAACAGATTCAGGCATCAGGAAGTGTAAGTAATTATTTTGTGGCCAGCAGGCAGCCTTAAATAGATCTTAATTTAAGTCCCACAAGCAACATATCCTTAGCTGATTGTGGACAAAGCAGAAAATATTTATGACTGTGCTGATAATATTTACACCACTAACAAATGCCTAAATAATTAAACAGCTATTGCTGCTAAATATTTTTGTAACAATTAGAAGAAGATTGTGATGTTTAATTTCATTTTTAAAATGTTAATATTTTACCTCTGGGAGAATTGTAGTTATTAATTAGCAATTTGTAGCCAAAGTGGAATATTGCTATTCTTCCTTAATACGCTTTCAGAATTTAGAGAGATAAATACAATTTGAGGCATGCTTTTACTGTTTCTATTGATGGAAGGTGTCTTTCTTCCTTTCTTCTGGCAAAGTGACACTTTGAAAAGAACATCCTTTCACCTAAGATCTGCTAAGCCCTTCAGAGTTTTATATATATATATATATATAAACCTCAGGTAAGCGATATTAATGTAACACTTCCGGTTGCTATCATTTTGACTTTGCCTTTCCAAGCTTTACCTATGGGCAAACTATTGGAAACAACAGTTGAAAATGAAGAGAATTCTTACGCGAGATTTGCCACTGAACTGTAAGCTACATGCCAAGCAGACATGTACACAAGTGAATGTGAGACGCGTTTGGGTTAACACTTAAACGAATCATGAAAAAAGAATGACACAGAGATGTCCTGCACCCATTTGCATCTGGCTTATCCTTGCTTGTTTTATTGGTGACAGTCAAAAAAGACACAAAGGCAAGAAGCAGCATTCTGGAATGGCACTCCCAACCTGTTCCTGCTGTGACTGAGATAGATACCATTAGGGTGTTTCCAACGCAAGGCCTTTAAAGGGTGTAGAAATTGGTTGCAGAGCCTACTATTCGTTTCTCAGAGATTGAAACCATGAGAACCATGCTTTAACTGCAAGTTTGGGGCATCGTCTAGAAAGCTTCTGGGAGGCTAGTGACTGACTCCTTTATATCAGAGGTATAATTTTTGGTGGAGGGACTCCCCATCCCAGTTCCTTTTTGCCACTTCCCGGCCACTCCTCCTTGCCTCAAGTCCTTCTGCTCCCAAATTCTTGCTTGGCTATAGCATGGGAAGGCCCCTTCTTTGTGACTTTTCTGAAGACACTTAGACTATTCTGAGTCTGGGAGCTGATGTTCACAGGTCACGCTGAGGTGCCCCCTTCAGGTCTTATAGCTTAGTTACTGGCATTGGGGAGAGGCAGAGACAAGTCAGTACCAGAGGTAAGAACAATCTAAGATAGTGGACATGTCTTTCAGATTCAGAAGACTGAAAGATAAAGATCAGCACCACAAACATACTAACAAGCCCTGATGACCACAATTCTAGAGACAAACTGTATATCTTCAGACAGGAAGGTCCACAAGGCCATATGTTTCCAGTTGCCCACTGGCCCTCAGGACAAAAAGGGCAGTGATCTCTACTAATGGCCATGTAGTGCAATCTCATTTTGTAAGCTTCCTTGTTAACTGGTATGCTGGGTACCAACATGTGGTATGCATACAGCAACAGTACAGAGCAGTCCCCCTTTATTCTCTGGGGAAATGTTCCAAGACCCCCCATTGGATGCATGAAAGTGAGGATAGTATGAAATCTGATCGCTGTCAGTCGAAACGTTTCTGTTCATGTTTTCCACTCACAAATGTAATGCCTCTTCCCTCTTAACTAAGCACTTATCACACACTGTGGCCATAACTTTTGCAGTTTGAGGTGTGACAGCAAAACCGGCACAAATTTCTTTGTCTTTTTTTTTTTTGCAATTTCACAGATAGATTTGTTCTTACCATAGCTGTTAGCAACCTCAATATGATTTTTTTTCTTTCCTTGTTGAGAACTTTTTCCTTTTCAAAGGAAACACTTTACAGCTTCTCTTTGGCATATCCAAATTGCCAGCAACACTACCTCTGTGCTTTAGGGCCATTATTCAATAAAATAAGGGTTCTTTGAATACAAGCAGTGTGATACTATGACAATGGACCTGATAACCGAGATGGCTACTGACTAGTGGGTGGGTAACATCCAGAGTGTGGAGCTTCTGGACAAAAAGATGGGTCATGTCCCAGGCGGGACAGGTCTAAGTGGTGTGAGATTTTATCAAACTACTTATAGAGGCACACAATTTAAAACTTGTGAATTATTTTATCTCTGGAATTTTCCATTAAATATTTTCAGACTGTGGGATAACTGAAATTATGGGAATTAAAACTGTGGATAAAGTGGGACTACTACATCCTAAATACTATGGGACTGTCCCAACATTAGATAGTCTGAAACTGTTGTGACAAAAGCACCTATGCATCTGTCAGAACATGAGTCTCAAATTTTGGTTTGGAAAATATGGCCACCCTAAGAATAGTAGAGGATAAAGAGTTTTGTTTTTGTATAACTCTGGAGTTAAAAACTAACTGCTCCGTTTTCTAATGGAATCCTTTGTTCATCACAGAGATTCCCCGCTGGCATAGACACCAGCTTAGGGCCTGATTGAAGTTGCAGCTTGTTTCAATCTGCTCCCTGACAATACTAAAACCCTGTGGACTTTTTTACTCAGGAATAAAGACGGGAGGGCTTAACCTTTCTGCAACAAGGATACTGGAAGCCCTATCACAGATTATGGGCAATAATAGACACCTGTGTAAATCCCCACAGAGGATTATGGTTGGAATTTTCAAACTGGTGAAGGCTGAGGGGTCAAGAAGACCAAGTTTTTAAGAAGGAGCCAAATAAATTCCCAAGCCATAAGCCACAAAAACAGATTCCTATATAGCAATGTCAATTATTACTTTGCATGTACTGGACAAGAAATAAATACTAACAGAATCAAGTGGGGTTGAATATGAATGTCTGCAGAAAAGCTGTGTACTGAGGTAACATTATTGTAAGTGGTAGGGAGGTTGCTTTTTAAAAAATATTTTCTTTAAAAAATCACTAATAAGGGTTTCATAGAGTATTTCACCTTATAGATGGTCTTGAATTAGATCAGAGCACAGATTTTAAAAACGTTAATTACAAAAAAGCTAAAGTAGGCTGTTAGCATTTAAGTTAATGCAACTTGAGAAAAACAAGGGGAGTTAAAATATCATGGAGGTGGGAATGTTCTGAGTCCTGATTCCATCAGGTATCATGAGAGATAGTTTGAGCATTTTGATCCTGAAAGCTCTAATTTGATGTTCGAAAAGTTTTTTTCTTCTCCGCATGAGTATGCAAGTCCAAGACCTCTTTGAAGTCCATTTACTGAAGGCCATGAGTTTGGAGAGACTATGTTAAGACCAAAAGCATTCTCTGCTGAAGTGATCGCTTGATCTTGAGAGGCAGGCAGGACCTTCCTACGGTGGCACTTCCAATAGCATCTGGCTTCTTGCAGGTCTATCCTGCTTTCTCAGATTCCTTATTTCTTTCAAACTCTTGTGTTCCAAATTCGTTAGCTATTTATTGGATATCTACTGTGTTGAAAACATTGTGAAGAACATAACATAATACAAGAAGGTATTTGCAGTTTAGTGTGGAGATAAGATATATACAGGCAACAATCACCTGTTTCTCAAATGGGTTGCTCATGCGCCTAAAGAGAGGATTAGGTGTCCTTGAGGGTAAACTGAGTCATCAACAACACAATGCCATTTCCTGGAGCATCAGTTTCATCTCTTGGTACATAATTCAATGTAATTTTATATAAAAAACAGATATTTTATGGGGTAAAATGCAAAAACAATTTGCAAGCATTTGTAGGGAAACAAAGCCACAAAGACATTTCATGCATGGGGCAGATTTGGAGGTATGTGCTCAAACCCACCAAAGGAGAGTATGAAGAAGGAAAGAGAAGTCTAGGAGGCTTGGGAATAATTTACTGTATCCCACCACCATCTTGAATTTTCTACTTCATCCAAACCAACACAGGGTGGCTGAAGAAAAACTAGTCATTTTAAGTCTCAGAATTGTGAGTTTCACCATCCTGACATAAAATTCCTAGTGGAAAATATTTGCTTCACTCCACCCTATGGCCATCTGGGTGGTGTCTCCATATTCAGCACTTCTAGGTAGAAGATAGCACCTGGAACACCGATTGCTTTGTTTAGAAATATATTTTATTCTCATGATAACAGCATCTGGTGTGCATTGGAATCACCTAGGGCATAAGGGCAATGTTACTTCCTAGGCTCCAGCTTCAGAAATTCTAAATTTTTGGTTCTGAGTACAGGCACAGGAACTGGTATTTTTAAAGCAAGCACTCACAACTTAGGCGTTAGGGAAACACCTCTTTATTAATGACATCTTAATTTTCATGGCTTTCCTGAAAAAAGAAGTGAACTTTTGTTGATCTCCAGCTTCCAAGAAAGCTCTCCAGAACCTGAAAGAGTACTTTATCTATATTCCTATCTTTTATTTACTTACTCACTGATTCATTCATTCAATAAATAGTTATTGGATATGACAGACACTGTGCTGTATACTGGGTATAGTGTGGTAAATTAAACAGCTGAGTCCCTATATAGACTAAGTTCATTTACAGGTTAGTTGGAAAGGCAGCCCCTACAAAAGTAAACAATTATATAATTACATATAAACTGCAAAAGGAAATCACAGAGTTCTATGAAGGAAAAATAAGTTGAGACCCAGAAAGTAAGAAAGACTACACCTTGGGACTCAAGGCTGGGAGGGAGATCATTCTTGGCAAAGGGAGTAACAAATGCCAGGCCCTAAGTTGAGGTAGAACTTGGGGTTTCACGGAACTGATACAAAGTGATTGTTCCTGGAATGTAATGAGCTAGAGGGAAGTGAAGGGGATGAGGCTGGGGAAGAAGTCACAGAGGAGATCATGCATGAGCCTGAAGGAAATAGAGTATGTGAGATGGAAGAACTGATGTGTTGTAAGGGGAGGCCTGCCACAATTTGATTTACATTTTCAATGTTCTTTTTGCCTTCTGTGTGGATAGTGGATCCTAAGGGGGTAGGCAGCAGAAGCAGAGCAACCCGTAGGAGGTTTACTAGAGTCACTGAATGAGGCATGTTGGTGGCTTGATACGGGGTGCGAGGAGTGGAAATGGACAGAAGAGGATGGATGGAAGGTATATTTTAAAGAACAATCAATGGAGCTTTATATACCTCCTTAATATTTATGACAGGTCTAGATATGAGGTAAAGATGAAGAACAAGAAGTGATAAAAAGCAGGCTTCTGGAGTGACCAAGTAGGTGTTTGGTGGTACTTTTTACTGAGTTGGAAGGCCAGGTTTGGAGTTGTGGAGCGAGCAAGAGTTCAAGACTGGAAATGTTAAATTTGATATTCTTATGAGACATAATAGAAGTAAGCATATGTGATGCTTAGGATGTGTTCAACACTCTTCTAAATGTTTTGCTCATTTCTTCATAACAACACCGTGAGGGAGATATTGTTATTCACTTTGTTTACAGATAACGCAATCGAAGTACAAATCATTTAAGTAACTTGCTAAGTTATTACTTGCTAAATTTAATAAATTTGAGCTAGTAAGTCTCAAAAGTCAGGACACGAGTCCAGTCAATGAGTTAACAGTCAATGTTCTCAACCACTATGTTATACCACCTTTCTATACATTGAGATCTTCAAGTAAATGTGCGTTTAGACCTCAGCGGAGAGGCCAGGCTGCAGATCATATATTTATGAGACATTAGCTTACAGAGGTATTTAAAAGTGAGAATAGATAAGAATAATGGGGGAGAAAGTGTAGGGATAAAAGGGCAAAAACCTAGGACAGTGTCCTATGTTAACTCATATATGTAGGCAATACTCACTCATTTACTAGGCCCAAGGATGTTATTCACCAATACCTGACAAACCAGCTGTTAACTAGGTGTGTATCTCATTTTTATTTATTTATTTATTTATTTATTTATTTATTTATTTATTTATTTATTGAGACGGATTCTCCCTCTTTGCCCAGGCTGGAGTGCAGTGGTGCGATCTTGGCTCACTGCAACCTCTGCCTCCCGGGTTCAAGCGATTCGCCTGCCTCAGCCTCCCGAGTAGCTGGGAATACAGGCATGTGCCACCACACCCAGCTAATCTATTTTTAGTAGAGACGGGGTTTCACTATGTTGGCCAGGATGGTCTCGATCTCCTGAACTCATGACCAGCCTGCCTCGGCCTCCCAAAGTGCTGGGATTACAGGCATGAGCCACCACACCTGGCCTTCATTTTTTAAAGAGCAGATTTGAATGGGAGGATTCGAGGTCACCTGAGGGGTTAAAATAAGGAAAAACGTCGACTTTACTAAAGAATAATTTTTTAAAATTTGGGTTTGGGAGAAAATAAACTTTTCAGTAGATCACTTATTTATGATAAGAAAGAATATCATGTCTACTGTGGGGAAACAAAGGGCTTGCAGAGATAAAAGATAAACAAATGGTATATCAATTTTTTTTGGAATAGTGAATTTAATAACATGAGAGGAGCAGATTCCACTTAAAAGAATTATAAAAGAATCCACATTATCAGTGAAAGTCCAGTTGCAGTAAAGAAGAGTAAATGCAAGGACAGTTTGAAGAAAACATCAACAGGAGGGATTAATTTAGGACTGCAACCTTCATCTCCATTAGTTTTCCTAATCCTGTTTCACTATTTTTTTTAACCTCTCCATCATCTACTCCTCCTCACTTTGTTTTGCCTGTTTTCCTTCTTATTTTAGATTCTTAAAATCAATGTGCACCCGTGGTCTTCTCACCCTTTGGCCTCTTCCCTCCTAGCTCTACATAAAGTCCTTTATTGAGTTAATTCCCATTTACAGCTTCAACTATCACTTACACTTCGATGACTCTAAAATTCTGTCTTCAGATATGATTTCTCAGGTGAACCTCAGATCCATCTATTCAAGTACTTATTAGACATCATCTAACTGCTCCACAAGAATTTCAAACTCAACATACTGAAAAGTTAACTTTTCCTCTTTCCCTCCCTCTTCCTTCCTGAATAATTCACTCCTAAAGCTATTGGGTGGGTCCAAACGAGGCAGGTATCACTTGGAAATATTCCTGCCAAAGATGCATAATCAGAATCTAATCATGAGGAAATACCAGACAAATCTCAATTGAGGGGTATTCTATAAAATAACTGCCCTGTAGTATCTAACCATATCATAAAAATTTTGAGAAACAATTTCAGACTGATGGAGACTAAAGGGATCTGACAACTAATGCCCCCCAAAGTAGATCATTTTGCTACAAAATATATTACTGGGACAACTGGTGACACTGGTCAGGAGTCTGAAGATTATATGCTACTAAAGGATCCATATTAATTTCCTGACTTTGACTGTCAAATTGTAACTATGTAGGAGAATGCCTTTATTTGTAGGAGGTATTAAAGTATTAGCAGGCTATGAGCATCAGGTTGACAACTTACAGTCAAATGGCTCAGGAAAAAAAAAGGTATTTCTATTGTATGCATCTTTTCTATAAATGTGAGATTTGGAAAAAATGCTAAAGATTTTCATATAAAAAAGTGAATTTGTTATCATCTTTCTACCAAGCAGTAGTATATTACTATGCATTGCAGTGGTATGTAAAGATTAAGGTGCATAAAAAATGCCTGGTAAGTCCAGTCCCCACCCACCAGGAATTCTGTTTGAATAAACTGGTTCCTGTTGGACCCAGGAACCTGTATTTAGAAAGTACCTTAGATCATCTGCATGCAAGTAGCCTCTGGCCCACACTTCAATTCGCACTGGTATAGTGTTTGTTAAGAGGCATGGCTCTGGGTCAGATCTTCCTAAGTTTGAATTCCAGCTCTACCACTTAGCTACAGTGTAATTTTTGACAACCTTCTTCACATTGTGAGCCTTGACTTCTTGAAATTCAATATAATTAATGATGCTAATTTGAGATACAATTATATAATGCACGTTAAGTGCTTAGCATCTCCTTGGGTGTAGTCAGTGCTCAATAATTAGTAGTTAGCATTAAACCTACTCCCCCACCTGTGCTTCTTGACTCAGAGAGTAATACCAAATTCTTCCATTTCCTAAATAGGAAAGGTTGGAGTCATCTTATATTCCTTATTCTTCATCAATCTGTTTATCAAAGAAGTCTACAGATGAAATTTTTCACCGCAGCTTCATTCATATTGCCATTGCCTTCGTTAATTTTTTAAAAATATATTTCTTCTGAATTATCATTAATAGGCTCAAAATTATCTCCCGCCATATAGTATTGCCATCTTATAACCTATTTTCTGCATAGCTGCTAAAGTGATCTTTCTACAACCGAAATCTGACTGTATCATGTTCCCTTTTAAAGCTATTGAATGGATTTCTCACTACCCTTCGAGCGTACCATTCAAATTCTTTAGCATAGCATGTAAGATTCTTCAAGAATAGCCTCTGCAAGTCTCTGAACATACGTTTTAGTTTTTCACTCACTTGTGGTGTTCACACCTCATAAGTCGGTCATATCAGCCTATGAGTGTGTATATATGCACCATCATGCAATTCATCATATAAAATTGTGATTTTTTTTGTATCTCTCCTACTATAATTCTTTGAGATGAAGAACTGACACATAACAAGTGTGCAAACATTTTTAATGATTCAAGAAAAGTAAGAAAAGCAGAAAAGACAAAAAGCCAGGAAGAAGATAGGATAAATTAGGTAGGTTTGGAAGTGTGGGATAAGATGGAATGGATTTGCTCATAGGTTGGTCACTGGGAATTGACATAATCAAGCTTAAAGAACTAACCATTTCAATGAGTTGTATATGGAATTTGTATAATGTAATAAGCAATGTAGAAAAAAAAAGTCCAACTCCAAGTACAGAGTGCCTATTTGTGTGATTGATATAGTTACTGGGGTTTCAGGTGAGGTTAGAGGACAAAGACAAATGGCATGAGCTGCAATTATGTCCCAGTTCTTTCTTGCTGTTCATTTTTTCTTCATTTTTCTCCATCAGTCAAAGAAGTATTTCTCCTAGTGGCTTCAGAGCTGACCATCTCTTTCCCTAATCCTATCTTGCCTTATTTATCCAATCCACAGCATCCTTCTGCGTTCTCAGGAGGAGCTGAACATGAAGAATGTATTTGTTCTTGAGCAATTATGGAGAGCTGAATACAAACTGATGGAAAAAGCACTGAATGGCACGGTTGTAAATTTACAATGGTCATGCATGGAGGTGTCTCAGTCGGGAAAAGTCTTGAAAAAATTGTCAGATATAAGGTAGAAATAGGTGTAGAACAAGGAACAAAACTTTATTGTGCTGGAGAAGAGGGATATGCTCTTTGTTTATTTGCCACAGCTTCAGTGGCTAATTACAGAGATTCTGATAATTCTACCTGAGTTCCGAGGTTGATTCATTATAAGCTAATGAAACTTACCCCTCAGAGACACTCCATTACACAAGCTGCTTCTCAGGCCTTTTATGTAGGTTTGTATTGCTAGTCTTGGATTTATTTTTTTTTTAAAGAAGGCCCTCAGAACTGAAGAGGCAACAAGTTCATTAAACCTGGTCTTGTCACTGTTTGGGACATGGGTAGTGTATTTCAGGGCCCACTGAACTAAAACAACTCTATCTTCTTATTCCCTCTTTTCAATTAATTTCATTGTTCTTTCCCCCCCAAGATTTTCTATTTTCAGCATTTGCAATCTTGAGATATATATTCTCTAAATCCAATTTTCAAAATTGTGCTTGTCCAAGTTCATACCTGATATATAACATGCCAATGTTTCATTAAAATACAAGTATATTTTATTCAGATCAGCAGACACATAAATCTCTTGGTGTGTTACCCACAATAAATATGATCTTCACTTATCTGTAAGACTGGAATAGCTGTTGATCTATCAGATCCACCATCATGAACCAAAGTAAATTAAATTATATAATATATTCAGCATCTGTCATGTGCCAAGCACTATGTTAGATGTTGTAGGTTAGTTCAAAATAAGGCTGATTCTTCCCTATTAGCTACAATATACTAGCAAGACAAGATTGAGAAAGCTGTATCATTTTGAAACTAAGAAAATGTATTATAGAGGGCTACTTTGATAAATGGAAATAAAATAGCAGTTAGTAATATTCTAATGTGAAGACAACATGTGCAAAAATCTATTGTTAGAGAGATGAAAGTCAGAAAGTCATTATGAAAAATGTTGAGGAGGCAGAGTCTTGGTTTTGAAAAATGTGTCATATTTGCATAAGTGAACCACATTCTCTTTTTTGAAATGGAGAAGGAATCAATGACCATTCAACACCCTTATGGTTAGGAATTTTAAAAGGGGCTTTCTATTTGTCATTTCATTTAATTTTCATGGTTCCCTAGGAGTCGGGTATTATCCTAGGTTTACCTATGAATAAACTAAGGTCCAAAATGTCATGGAACCTAGTTAAAAGAAATGGTGGGAGTTTGTCTGTAAGGATGTAAAACAAACCTAATATTTGGGAGGCCAGGAGTAAGGCTGTGAGGTAGTAGGAGATAGGTTTAAATATAAAACAAGAAGTTGATTTTAGAGAGCATTAAAAGCTGGGTAGAAATGTTGGGTTTGATTAATTGGAGAGCTGAAAGCCATTAATGGTTTTTATAGCAGATGTCTCATACTTGGTTAACCTTCTTCATTAGTTTTCCAGAATCCTTTCTAGAGAAAACAAAAAGTTCAAGTTGAGTCCAATGTTGGAAGTCATCTCAAACAAGCGATGAAGCAGAATCAAAAGCAAGATTTGGTAAGAATGCCAGTAGTGGGCATACAAAGAATCCTGGACACATCTTATTCATTTTTGTATCCTTCAAAATTCCTGGCAGAGAGTAGATAGTCAATAAAAGATGAGCAAACAAGTGAATGTAAAACAAACTATTTTATAATTAATTCTTCTGTTTAACAAAATATGAAACTGCTCAAAAATTAAAGAATCAATTGTATGTCTTCTAATTAAATGCTGTATCTGCTGCATGAGTCACTTTTGGAATATCTAGCAAAGATGAAGCATTATCTTTGACTTCTCTCTTTATTTACAGAGATATTGCCTAATTCTCAAACATGAGTTTATAAATCAAGAGACCCTATTGTGAGCCAGAAAGGGTCCAGAACTGGCCTAGAGTTGGTGACTCTATTTCCACTGAAGCCTAAGACACAGGCTGAGACATCCTAAGAAATAGTGGATAAATGCAGTGCAGTATAAAATGAAAGGAGGATAGATTGGAGGTAGGAAAGCCCGTTAGGAATTTAGCTTTAATTATCTAGTTGTGAGAACAAGGGACTGATGAAGAGCAAGATGATGGAAGATTCAGCAAGAGTTTGACTGGAAGTAGAGAACAAAGGAAAAGAAAGAACCAATAATACATCAACGTGTAATGTCTGGAAGACGGTGAAAATGATGGTGATAAGCCAACAACAGTCAAGCAAAGAGCCCAATCAGGTACGCAATCCCATGCACAATTTCCACAAAAAGAAAAGAATAAAATGCCTAGAAATACAGCTAACCAGAGAGGTGAAGGATCTCAACAATGAGAATTACAAATTGATCAAAGAAGTGGAAAAACATTCATACTTATGAATAGGAAGATTCAATATTATTAAAATGGCCATATTGCCCAAGACTATTTACAGATGCAGTGCTATTTCTATCAAACTACCAGTGACATTATTTCACAGAATTAGAAAAAACATTCTAAAATTCATTTGGAACCAAAAGAACAGCCTAAATAGCCAAAGCAAACCTAAGCAAAAATAACGAATCTGGAGGCATCACACTACTTGACTTCACACTATACTACAGGGCTACAGTAACCAAAACAGTATGGCACTGGTGCAGAAAAAGACACAGAGACCAATGGAACAGAATAGAGAGCCCAGAAATAAGGCCACACACCTACAACCATCTGATCTTTGCCACAGCTGACAAAAACAAGCAATGGGGAAAGGACTCCCTATTGAATAAACTGTGCTGGCATAACTGGCTAGCCATATGCAGAAGATTGAAACTGGACCCCTTCCTTACACCATACACAAAAATCAACTCAAGATGGATTAAAGACTTAAATGTAAAACCCAAAACTATAAAAACCCTGGAAGCAACCTAGGCAATAACATTCTGGACATAGGAACAGGCAAAGATTTCATGATGAATATGCCAAAAACAATCTCGACAAAAGCAAAAATTGACAAACAGGATCTAATTAAACTTAAGAGCTTCTGCACAGCAAAGAAGCTATCAGTAGAGTTGATACAGAATGGGAGAGAATATTTGCAAACTATGCATCTGACAAAGGTTAATACAGCATCTATAAGGAACTTAGATGAATTTACAAGAAAAAAAAAAACACTATTAAAAGTGGGCAAAGACATGAGCTGTGAATATTCTGAAGGACCTAAGTGGGCCCAACAATATTTTTGACAAGAGGCTAAAGCTGGGAATTTCAACCCAAGGAAGGAACAATGTATGTTACCCTCCCCAACGTAGTTACTAGAGATTAGAAGGCCAAGGACAAATGCCAAGTGGAAAACAGCTTACGTAGAAGTGAGAACAGGGCTAAGTGTTAGAAGACAGAGAGAAACCAGTAAAAATAGGAGGAAGTTAGAAATAAGTTAAAAATAAGCCTTGTTAGATGGAAACTAGTGATGAATGGGAGCATTAGCACTGGACAAAGATGGAGTCATCATTTTCAAGTCTGGACAACTGGAACAAATAATTTTTCTATTGGGAAATATGTCTTTCCTATAATGAATAAGATCACAAAACTGTCTTTTCTCAGAGTTGGCATCCCAGCCCTCTGTGAATTCTTTGTGTCTCAGTTTCTCATCTATGCAAGATGAATAATAATTTTACACATTTCATAGTGTTTTTGTGAGGACTAAATGAACTAATATTTAAAAAGAGCTTGACATGGTGCCTAGAACATAGTAAGGTCTCAATACAAGTCAGAAATTACTAGCATCATCATCATCATCACTATCATTGCTATTCTTATGTATGATCTTCCCAGCTTGCCATCTTATAAAAGCCTCCTTTGTAGGGTCCAGTGTGTCACCTAATAGGTCAGCACTCAGTTAATAAAATGGAGGCATGAAAATTAATCTCTTCATAGAATACACAGAATAAGCCATTCTCTTACAGATCTAAATGCAAAATGCAATTTTACTATTTATGGTGTAACTGTAAAAGGTCCCAAGTTATTCTTGTGGACAAAATAAAAACATCCCCCAAATGGCTCTGATTGTACTATCATACCTATCTCTTAGTATCAAACCTGTTGTAGCAGCTACGGACAAATTAGAAAGAACACAATTCTCCCAGCCTTGCCAGCTAACACAGAATTCAGAGTAATTAAAATTCAGGTGAGAAAAGACCAAACACAAGACTGAATCCACACTTTTGACTTTATGAGCTGAATCAAGTTTGAGAAATGATCTACCTTTCGGAGCCCCTGTTGGCCAGGTATACAATGAAGACTATGTCTCACTCCCAGATAGATTAAAGTAGCTAATTCATTAGAAAACAACCAAGTCACTTATAGAAATTGAAATATAATTGGCAATATAGATTTATTTTTTTCCATTTACACTTTCACTTTTTTTTTTTTTTGCGATGGAGTCTTGTTCTGTCTCCCAGGCTGGAGCGCAAGGGCGTGATCTCGGCTCACTGCAACCTCCACCTCCCAGGTTCAAGCGATTCTCCGGCCTCAGCCTCCTGAGTAGCTGGGATTACAGGCACGTGCCACCATGCCCAGCTAATTTTTCTATTTTTAGTAGAGGCAGGGTTTCACCATCTTGGCCAGGCTAGTTTTGAACTCCTGACCTCAGGTGATCTGCCTGCCTTGGCCTCCCAAAGTGCTGGGATTACAGGCATGAGCTGCCACGCCTGGCCTCCACTTCCACTCTTTTGTCATGTTAACAGTTCAGCCCTGTGTTGTCCCATATGGGAGCCATGAGCCACATGAAGGTACTGAACACTTGAAATGTAGCTAGTCCAAATGAGATGTGATGTAAGTATAAATTACACATTGGATTTTGAAGACTTAGTACAAAAAGAAAACAATGTAAGAATACCTCGCTAGTAACTTTATACTGATGCATATTGAAATGATAATATTTTAAATATATTAGGTTAAATAAAACATATTAAAATTATTTTACCTGTTTCATTTTACCTTTGTTAAATTTAAAATTACTTATATAGACACATTATATTTCTATAGGATAGTAGTAGTTTAAGTAATCAATCTGATGTGATTAAAGAAACAATAATTAGGCAAATGAAATATCATAGTGGTGCTTTCTACTTCTCACAGCCTAGACTGAAGAGGCCTTTGCCTTTAGCACCAATGAGTGCTTGAATGTTTGTTTCCAGCAGTAGTCCAGGAAAGGGGATAAGCTTGCTCACAAAATAAATAGTTAAGTAAATTAATTAATAAAATATTAAATAACAACATAGGTACAGGAGGCATGAAAAATAATCAGCTGATGAAAACAAAGCCTAAGATGAAAAACAGAACAATAAAAAGTTCTGGATATAGGCATGGGCAAAGACTTCATGACCTAAACACCAAAAGCAATGGCAACAAAAGCCAAAATAGACAAATGGGATCTAATTAAACTAAAGAGCTTCTGCACAGCAAAAGAAACTATCATCAGAGTGAACAGGCAACCTACAGAATGGGAGAAAATATTTGCTATCTATCTATCCATCTATTAAAGAGCTAATATCTAGAATTTACAAAGAACTTAAACAAATTTACAAGAAAAAAAAATAACCCCATCAAAAAGTGGGTGAAGTATATAAACAGACACTTCTCAAAAGAAGACATTTATGCGGCCAACAAACATATGAAAAAAAAGCTAATCATCACTGGTCATTAGAGAAATGCAAATGAAAACCCCAATTAGATAACATCTCAGGCCAGTTAGAATGGCAATCATTAAGAAGTCAGGAAACAACAGATGCTGGAGAGGATGTGGAGAAATAGGAAGGCTATTACACTGTTGGTGGGAGTGTAAATTAGTTCAACCATTGTGGAAGACAGTGTGGCGATTCCTCAAGGACCTAGAACCAGAAATACCATTTGACCCAGCCATCCCATTACTGGGTATATACCCAAAGGATTATAAATCATTCTACTATAAAGACACATGCACATGGATGTTTATTGCAGCACTGTTCACAATAGCACAGATGTGGAACCAACCCAAATGCCCATCAATGATAGACTGGATAAAGAAAATATGGCACATACACACCATGGAATACTATGCAGCCATAAAAAAAGATAAATTCATGTCTTTTGCAGGGACATGGATAAAGCTGGAAACCATCATTCTCAGCAAACTAACACAGGAACAGAAAAGCAAACACCACATGTTCTCACTCATAAGTGGGAGCTGAACAATGAGAACACATGGACACAGGGAGGGGAATATCATACACCAGGGCCTGTCAGGGGGTGGCAGGGCTAGGGGAGGGATAGCATTAGAAGAAATACCTAATGTAGATGATGAGTTGATGAGTGCAGCAAACGACCATGGCATGTGTATACCTATGTAACAAATCTGCATGTTCTGCACATGTATGTATCCCAGAACTTAAAGTATAATTTAAAAAAAAAAAAAAGAACATTCTGAGCCTTGTGTTTTTCATGGTTGGGAAGGACAGAGAGAGATTAGCCCTAGGACAAAACAATTCGTCATAAATTACATGAAAATTAATATCAACTGGATGTCCAAGAATCAAACTGCAACAAGGATCATTTATGTGTGTCCAGAAAAATAATTGGAGATTTCTCAATCCCAGTAGTAATATGTTTTTTATAGAATTTAGAAGGGGTAGAAAATGGAGTTACTTTTTCTGGAAGTGCCTCTCCTGAATCTACCATGTAGGAGGTTGATGAGCTCTTCTATAGAAAGGAAGAATTCATGTATTTGGCCATAAATGTGAAAACACCAAATTCAGTTACAACTGATTTTATTGGCAGCTTACAACTCAAATTTGAGTTACTATATATAATTTGGGCCACTCTAGATAGTTGAATGTGTGTACTAGAAGAGAAATAAAAATTTAATCTGACCTCCAAAAAATGAAAAGGCAATTCATATCCTAGAGAATAAAGAAAAAAATTATTTTAAAATGCCAGAAAGAAAAAGAAAAAAAAAAAGTATGTGATCAATAGTGCCAGATACTCTAAAGAAGATAAGGAGTAAGAAAAATCTTTTGATTTGTCTTGAAAGTGGTTGTCAGTGACCTTGGAAATACTTGTTGTAATAGGCTGTTGAGGCAGAAGTCATTTTACTAGAGAATTCTGCAATTACTATTTTTTTTTTTTTCTGAAAAGAGGCAGGGGTTCAAAACACTCATTAGAGGCGGGCGCGGTGGCTCACGCCTGTAATCCCAGCACTTCTGGAGGCCAAGGCGGGCGGATTATGAGGTCAGGAGATCAAGACCATCCTGACCAACATGGTGAAACCCCGTTTGTACTATCATACAAAAAATTAGCCAGGTGTGGTGGCGTGCGCCTGTAGTCCCAGCTACTCCGGAGACTGAGGCAGGGGAATCACTTGAACCTGGGAGGCGGAGGTTGCAGTGAGCCGAGATCGTTCCACTGCATTACACCTTGGCGACAGAGCAAGACTCCATCTCAAAACAAACACAGGACAAACAAAAAAAGAAACACTCATTAGAGAAGTGTTAAAATGAAGGCAGGGAAAATGGGATAGTAGTTTAAGTGGAGAAGAGAATCTAGTAATGTACTTTTAAGACTTATCAATGTTTGATGACAGAGTGCAAAGAAATGTAGTGAAAAAGGAAAAGATAAATCTATTCATGAAACAAGGGCTAAGTGTAGAACTAAGGTGTTAGCATCTGCATTGTAATTTTTGAAACACAGGATAGATTCCTATTAAAAAAAAACTCTTACTTGTCGGATAAATCTTTTTAGTTAGTAGTCAGTATGCTCTATGGCTAAGATTATTGGATAAATGTCTCTTTTATTCCTCACTTTCTAATCTCATTAATCTGCTGTGGTTAACTCTCACTAACAGAGACCAATATAAGGATTGATTTTAGGCAATTTCAAATTTTCCTCAGTATTAGTTCAGGACCATATCAGCAAAAAACCTGCTTGTCCTGAATGCATTGCACTGGTCTACTCAAGTGATTTCAGAACTGGGAAGTCAGAAGATATTGAATTTTAAATATGAGATTATTTTATATTGGACTTAGGATCTAATCTTAGATATTAAAGTATAAAATCACATTGTCCTTATTGCTAGCCTTCTTTTATATCTTGCTGCAGGATCAGTATTGTTTTACTACAGTATTTGATGGCTCATGAACCTACAGGGTAGGAAGGTAGGGGGAAATATTTACACTACGTATTGAGTGGCGAATAGCCTAAGCTTTAAAACAAATGTTGCCACATTTTAAGTGCCATAATTTATTAGCATCTGATGGCCAAACCATATTTTACTATTGTAGCAAAAGAAATATAAAACAAAACAAAATACCAAGC
Source organism: Homo sapiens (assembly GCF_000001405.40). NCBI lineage: Eukaryota > Metazoa > Chordata > Mammalia > Primates > Hominidae > Homo > Homo sapiens. The sequence goes on along the minus strand of NC_000001.11, from coordinate 107,302,834 downwards.
TAGCTTAGAAAAGTAAGGGATATGTCTGTAAGTCATCTGTGGTCTTGCCTCTAAAAAGAAATATTTCTCCAAGAAAGACTGCCTCTGTTCATTCTGGTATGTTGATGTCATAAAAAAGGTAGAAAACAAAAACAAAAGAAGATAATTATGAGGATTCACATTCATAATACTAAAGTGGGTCAATATTATTTTTCAACTGTACTATTCTGACATATATTAAGACTCACTACTGAGCAATACTTTAAAAAAATACTAAAGCTGAAAAAAAATGTACATCTTTGACCCTCAAATCAAACACAAATGTTTGATTTTATTGAATTGTAAAACAGGCCCAAGTTTTGCTTTTGTCTAAAACAATGATAGTATTTATAATAATAATAATATTTTTCTTGAAATGGACAGGTGCCAAGCAGGTGAGCGGTAACCTGGTTATCAATGGAGAACAAAGTGGGGACTGGGTCCTATGAACTAGAAGGTTATCAGAATAAGTGTTCCTGTACATGATCAAGATCAAGCAGGAAGAGTGAATTTGTGATGAGTCCCAAATTATGGGGCAGACCTATCTTAATTCTCTTTGACCCAAAGCCAGGATTCATCCTAGAAACTGTAGTGAAGCTATGCTAGCAAGTTTTGTGAAAGGCCATGGTACTCCACGTACATGGACAAGAGAAGGGCAAAAGCTAAGACCTGAGTAGGGCTTATCCAAAAAGATCTTAGGTTCTGAGTACAAAGGGGTGGACGTTGGTCCTAGGAAATAAGGGAAAGTTTAGTGAGATGAAAGGTTTGTAATATAAAGAGGTTGGAAATGTTTACCAGGATCTTCCTGGGATTAAGTGGAGACCCTATGGAAAGAGCTGGCAAACAGCAAGCAAAGATGATTTTCAGAAAACTTGAACACAGCAGGATTTCCCAGAGATCTTGGAGGAGTATTAGCCATATAGACGCTCTCCCTCATAAAGATTCACAACAGGATTCTGTATTAAAGATGAGAAGTCACACAACAAGAAAACCTATCTAATTTTAACCTAATATTTCCCAAACTTACTTGAAAATGAAACTCTTTCTCATGGAATTCTTATTAAAATGACGTTGAACTTGTGTTGCGTAGAATAGAATTTGGAAAAGAACTGGGATGATCACAATGAAGAAGAAGGAACAAAGTAGTCCATTATGGGAGTTGAGGAAAAAACTGGAACATCTATTTCTACTTTTGTTATCTCATCCTTTAAAATTTCTTATTAGGATATGCTTTATAATGTATGACATACATTACTGCAGTGGAAAATTTATTGAATTTTTATATAAATAAATGTAAACATATTGAGGGTGCATGTTCCCTACATTCTACTGATGAAGTACACATTAGATGGGTTTGAAGTCAGCCAGGAGGAGGAGGAGATCATGTTTTAGGTGGATATTCCCTATCACAGTGTAACTTTAGTCTATCTTGGAGGCTGTTCCACATTCCTCCTCTGTTTGTGTTTCTTTCTGTGTTTGTCCAGGAATAATTTTAGCCTCCTATAGTACCACTCTTAGCCACTGTGAACTGTTAGTGGTAAGTACCAGTATCAACTTGAACAATAGCATATGAAGTCTTTTAAAGATAATGTAAATGTATGCCCCTTCAAATTAATAATCAAAATAAATCTAAACATTACATAGGATTGTTATTGTTATTAAATTTTTTAAAGCAATATACTAATCATTTGTTCATAGATAAGTCTTTTGTATAGAAATCAGCATTACTTTTTTTTCTAATATTGATAACTACTTAGGGTCAGATATAGAATTTTTTAAGTAAAATAAAGTACTGATGTCAAAAAGTCATAAGCTTTTAGGTAGAAAAAAAGAAAAAAGGAAAGAATCTATTCAGACACTGCAATTATTTGAATTTATAAATCTCTTTTCTCCACAGCCCTTAAAATTCTCTCGAAATAAGTTTGCTGACATACATTTTAAACATATAATCTGGATTCTCGTGAATATTATTAACATTTAAGTATCCAATTGTAATTAGTTACTAAGTCTTAAAATGTTAACATTAACTCTGTATTCAGGATCTTAAAATGTGAAAGTAAAATGTAAATTTTTTAAAATTCTGGAGACATAAATACTACAATCAACTTTAAAAAAGAAGAGATGAATCACTTGCTTGAACTGAATTCTCTGTGAAAGGACTACCACATATAATTCTGGATATCACAAAACAGATCTCACTGCTCCTTCTAACTTACAAATTTTTATACTTGCTTGCAACTGTCAAAGCGTATTGTTTTGAAGTAAATAGCTGTCTTAATTATAATAGCCATTTAGATGTGAGGTCACCAACTAAAAGCCAGGCAGGCAGAGTCAACCTGTGTAAAAGAATAATTGAGTGTTGGCGCAGAGGTGAACTGGGGAACTAGATTAGGGAAGCAATGGCTACTCAGCTCCAGCTGTTACTGTCATGCAGGGATTCAGATGTAATATTGCCAAATTCTCTCATTTTTCAAGAGAAGCTGCAAAAATCCAGATTTTAGGTGACCTCTCAGTATTTAAAAATTAACATGATTTTTAAAGAAAACGTGGCATGTGACGAGCCAACCACATCTATAGGCAAAATTCAAACTGCAAGCTGCCAGTGTGCAACCTCTGCTTAGCAACACTCTTCCTTTCAGCGTCAGTACGTGCGTTTAATTATTTTTGAAAAATCAAAGATGATGGGGCTTTAGGGGCAAATATGCCTCGGTCCGCATTCTTGTTTTGCTATAGAAGAGTTCTGGAAATGGCCACAAGTTTCTTGTGCTCTATAGAATTCATTTCTACAGCTGTTACACAAAGGAAAATGGCAACGGCCATGAAGCACTGTTGTTATGATTAAATAACATAAACCAACAGCCAACAATCTCTCTTTTAAAATGTACTGTATCTGTTTTCTTCAATTTTGCTTCCAATGGTGGCAATAATGGGAAGTGTGTGTGTCTGTGTGTGTGTGTGTATGTGTGTATACATAGAACAAGATTAGATTACAGTCTATCCACTATACCGCACACTTCTTGTCAGGCTGCTTAACTTCTCCTGGCCTTAGTTGCTTATCTGTACATTCATAAAGCGATCACAATGATGCCCCCAGTCTAGAGTCATTCTGAGGCACTGATATAGTAGTGACAGGCTTGGACACTGGTGTCAGACTGTCTGGATTTGAATGTTGGCTCTGCTGCTTACTAGCTGTGAGATACTGGACACATTACTTAAGCTTCTCGTGTTTCAATCTCCTCATCTGTAAAGATAGTCAGAGTACTTACCCTACAGGGTCCATTTAAGAAATAAATAAGATACGTAAAGTCCTTAAAACTGTGACCAGATAGCAAGTGCCTAAAAAATAATAGTTATTTCTATAGTTCATAAAATCCACTACACCATTGATTTTGAGAAGTACCACTGTATGTGCTACGAAGGAAGAAAAAAAACGCTTCAAATTAAACTATGACATAATGCTTTGTTATTACAATTTTTATTTTATACTTGATTTTTAAGTACAGACCTAAGTACATGACCTAAGTACAGATTTGCATCAGACACCACTCTTGTTCATATATTAAAAGAAACATATATATTTAGTTGGTTAGACTGACTTTGCTGTATCTCTTTGCAACTTTGAGTTGTCCACATGTCCATCTCAGTGCTTTTCTATTCAATATCATCTGGACAATCAGGAGCATTAGGAATGCATTATCTCCTTTTGCTTTCTCCCTGCTTTCTTCTTCTTCTGATTTTTAAAAAGACTTTTAATTTCAAAAACTTTCCAAGAATAACAGAGAGAATAGCATAATGTACCCATAACCCAAGGCAACACTACCCATATGTACCCATAGTCCAAAGCAACATTCTTCACAAAGTGCTTTTTACCATCTGCAGGGTTTTTCTCCCAAGCTGCTAACACCATTTTGTAAGTTTGGTGCTTATATTTTCTTGATCTTCCTAGAGGATGCCAGTAGAAGGTTTTCAGGCAAGAATCACAATTCATATTCCTTTCTCCAATCATGCTGAAATGGTTCATTTGAGGCATCAAGGGGTTGCCCTTGTTCAGTCACATCAACAGGAGCTGCAGCCAGATGTGTGCATGTGCAGGCAATGACAACTATGTCACAACTGCCACCTGTCAAAGTTCAACTGTAGGACACTATTGATTGCATCCTGACTTCAGTGATGACAAAATAAGCGGGAGGAAAAGTTAAATTTAGGATTGATGCAATAGAATATTATCATAAAATAAGAGTCAAAAGATGTAAGACCCTTTTCTTGATTTCTCCTTCAGTGACTTTAACTGTATGTGTGAATAACTTTGGCAAAACAGCTTCTTGGATGGCATATTCTCTGCTATGTTACCTATCATATGATTTCTTTTTATATGAATAACAACTCAGTATTTCCTTGTCCTCACCCCAGAAATACTAGAGTTGCTTCGTTGTCTTAAGGTCTATGATAGTGCAGATGAGAACTTCGAAAAAAGGTAACTTTTACTCCTGTCGAAGTAAAGTGACTTTCCTGCTCTGAGACATGGAATTCATCATCACTATCTCCAATAATTTAAAAATTATAACAAGATACAGTTGGTGTCATTACCCTGACTACTAGCATTACTTGAGATATAATAAACTCAAATATTTTGGGGTCTTTTTATCCCCAGAATTCAGAAATACATTTTGTTATAACTTTAATGATTAATTTTGATCCATTTGTTGAGTCTATAGGTTTTATCTTCATGACTGAGTTCTATGCCAATTATATTTTGAGTCATTTTTAAAATCCATGATTTCATTTTCTCAGTATTCTGGGTATGGCTGATTTGATTATCTGCAATGTCAGGTCTGCTTTTTACTACTTTCAAATGAGACTTTTATTTCAGTTATTGTCATTTTCATTATGTAGCATGCTCTTCTTATCCAGGTCTGCTTTTGCTCAATAGAGACAATGTCATCTTTTATTGCATTAGGAATAAAAAGTAGGTAATTTCTAAAAACGTGACTTCTATTTCATGAAATAGATCAGATTTATGTCCCCACAATGTAACTGGGCTCTGCTGTGTGGCAGAATTCCTGCTAGTGTTTTTCATCTTTGAGATTGATGTGTTGATATTTTCATCCCTGAAGTTAAGATTTTTCTTGGACATCTCCAACAGCAGCAATTGTTGTTTGGGGAGAGACAAATTTATTACAGAAATGATCCTGACATCTTAAATCTCAACAGTGGTTCTTAAATCATAGAGCACATAAGAATCACCTGGGGAACTGTTTAAGAATGCAGATTCCAGGGATCCACTCCTGGTGATCTTGATACTGGAGTGGGGTGCCCATAAATATCATTTGTTAGATGTCTAATAGAAAATTTTCAAACATACCTAAAAGTAGAATCATATAGTGAATTACTATGCACCTATGACCCAACTTTCACAGTTACCACTATTTTGCTCATTTTGTGTCTTCTATCACCACTGCCTCTGTTTTTTCTTTATCTTTTCAATTTATTTGTTGCTAGAATACATCAGGTTCTTCAATCTTCAATTTACAACATGCATCCTTAACTGCTGTGTGTGTGTGTGTGTGCGCATATATATATATATATATATATATATATATGATGGTATATATATATGATGTTATATATATATGATGTTATATGATGTTATATATATGATGTTATATATATATATGATGTTATATATATATATGTGTGTGTTTGTGTGTGTGTGTGTGTGTGTGTGTGTGTCCTCATCTGTAAAGATAACCAGAGTACTTACCAGATAGTACTTGCTCCACTGGGCTCCACTTTAAAAAGGCAACAGCAAAATGATTCTTCTGAGCATCCCAACCAACCCTAATGTAATTACACAATCACCTTCTGATAACAAAAACTGAACACAGTGTAAGTACTGAAATAAACTGAAATAAGTAAGACATGTAAAGTCTTAAAAGGAACCTGTAGGGTAAGTACTCTGATTATCTTTTTATAATCATCCTTAGTTATTATCTTTTAGTTATATGTATATATAATAGATGTCTAATATATATTTTATATTACATAACATATATAACTGGAATGATACATATATAATTGGAATATTATATATAACTGGAATTATATTAATATGTAATAGTATATTAGTATATATAATGTATAAATATATGTTATATATAAATGTAAATAATATATATTTCATATATTCATAGAAATAATATATATTCATATAAATAACATCGATTTCATATATTTATAATTATGTGTAGTATATATTTATATTATATGTATATATAACTGGAATGATATTATCACATCTAATTAAAATCAAAAATAATCCCCAATATTCCACAATGCATAATCCTATTTAAATTTCTCTTAGTGATTAAAAACTGTCTTTTTCCAGTTAGATTGTCGAATCAGGTTTCATGCAATGTGCATACATTGTACTTGGTTGTTATGTTCCATATGTTGAAGCAGCTATTCTTAAAACTTGTCCTCTAGGTCCTGAGTAAGATGTTGACCTATGATTCCTTCCACTGAAAAGTCTAGATTTCTGGTTTGTGTATCTGTGTAAATACTGATATCATTCATCCAGGTGGAGAATTAATTGAAGGCATATGAAAATTCAGTAAGTTCCCTTTTGGAATATTGGTGCAGGATTGATAGGTAACAGTCAGTAAATGTGAGTCTGATGTTTACCAGTGAATCATTAGTCAAATCCGTGAAAGGCTACATGAAATGGAAAGATCAGAAGGTTGAGGATGAAACCTGAGTAATACCATCATTAAGAGGATCAACTGAGGCAGAAACCACTTATTTAAAAGAGACAAAGACGGATGAGCCAAAGAGGTTAGAAGAAAATAAGGAAAGAATGGGTCAAGGGCATATGAAGTTACAAGAGACTGAAAGTGGTCAACAGGGACAAATATGGCAGTAAATTATAGTGCACAAAGATATTAAAATACCCACTGAATTAGGCAGTTAGCAGCCTGCTTTTGTTAAGTGTAATACTACTTGAAACACAGTTTTGATTCTTGATTCTGTCATCATTTACTTTAGCTAGTTTTTTCTGCTTTGCATAATTTATATATATGTATGTGTATATATATATATACTTTCTATGCATTCATAACAATAGCTACAATTTATTAAATGCCTACTATATCCCTGGTTCTCTATGTACATTGTTATTAATGTATAAATAATCCTGCAAAATTCATACTATCATCTTCATTTTAAAAATGAAAAAACAGGTTGCCATAACTCGAATTCAAAGAAGAGGGGACCGGACCTAAGTCCAGCAGATATTAGGAACTGTTTTCTTCATGCTTACACTACAAACCCATTGTTCTCTTTGGGTGTCAATTGCATAAGCCATGAAATGCAGCTTCATTATGGCACAGGGAAACTAGTGACAAACAGCAAGGTTATTTGATGTTTCCAACCCTTGAAAGAAGCTGGCTTATTTAATCCACCATAGAAGCAAGAGGATTTGTTAATATGAAGCAAAGTGAAAATGGATATATCCACAATGAATGAGCAAAAAGGTATAGGTAATGACGCTTAAAACAATCACATCTAAAGGGAACCACAAGAAAAGAAGCAAAGTTGGGTGAGACCTACAGGAATATTCAAGTGATATAATTTGCTCCACTGGGCTCCACTTTAAAAAGGCAAGAGCACAAGTGATTCTTCTGCACATCCCAACCAACCCTAATGTAATTACACAACCACCTTCTGATATCAGAAACTGAACACAGTGTAAAATCCATGGGATGATTTTAATTGAAAGTTATTTTCAAAAGCAAACATAAATGGAATTTGCAAAAGGGCAAGTAAAAATCAGATGTCTGAGTGTTGCAGATTTCACTTACTGAGTGCATTTAGGTTGATATTGTATTGGATGAAAACACTTCTGACTCCCATGGCGTCAGCTCATTTTATATGTTGCAACACCCTGAACTTCAGATGAACTCAGGCCTAGAACTCATTATATTTTAATGTAATGTCACAAGATGGCAGATAGATGATAGCAGCAAAAGTATGAGGAAAATGCTAGGGGATTCCAGATGAACACTAAAGAACTACAAACTCTCACTAATCTCTGTAAAGCAAAGCTACTCTGCCCTCTTAAACATGAATCTCACCAAATTGACCACTTTTTTAGATTGCCTGATTTGTCTGATCTTCATCAACTACCATATTTAGCTGTCTAGGTCTATTTCTTTTAAAAATATACCCCCTTACTGTCTAGTGAAGGTGCTATTACCGATTCACTAATAACAGGATATATGTTTCGGATTATAGGTTTAGTAGTGGAGGGGCAGGGAAGTGGAAAGGAAAAAAGGAAGGAGGTAATTTGCTCCTTTCTATTCATGCTCTGAACTGGCCCAGGCTTGGTTAGACATATGGCAATGAACAGGCATGCAGCCTGCAGGCACACAAAGCGGCTAACTATGGGACTCCCTCGGGGGTGCAACATGGAACTTTGGCCTTATTCATACCATGCTGTAGCCTAGGGATTCTCAAATTTTGGTATGAGTTAGAATCACAGGTGGAGTCTTTATTAAAAATTCAAGCACTTATATCTCACCTCAGTCTTATCAAATTAAAAGCTCTGGACTTGGGCCCCTGGCATCCCTGTTGTTCTCAGGCTCCATTGTTGGTTGGATACACACCACGACTGAAGAACCACTGCTCTGCCAACTAGGAGACACCTCCTCGTCCAGGATGCTGCCTACTTGCTATGTGGCAGATGGTGCTGGCTGACAGAGGCTCTGCCCTGGTTGTCCAGCTCCTGGCTACTGCTGCTGCCTGTCTGATTTACTCTTTCTTTTCAGAATCCTTTATCTATCTTCCACTTGGAAACAAAATAAAAAACAAAACCAATATACTTAAAAAATCATGAAAGTAAAGAAATCTGGAAAATATACACAAGAAAAAAAATCACTTATAAGTGCACCATTCCAAGATAACCACTTTTAATGCTGCAGTAAATTATTTCACTCTATATTCAGTTATAGCCATCCTTTTATAGACTCTTATATGGTCATTAAAAAATAGTTAATTTTTATTGAGTGCTCTGTGCCTCTGGTAAGTACTTTATGTTCATTATCTCATTTAATCCTTACAACATCACAAAATCCCTATAAGCATTGAACAATTATACCCCCACTTTATATATTAAGAAATTAGAGCTTAGAGAAGGCAGAATAGATGGTGACAGAGTGCTGGTTTGGACCCAGGAACAGTCTCTTTTCTTACTCTAATGTTCCACATATGTAAATTTCCAAGACATTGGGAACATTGTATAAACAACATTTTTAATAGGCACATACTTTCCAATTTTAAGGCTGTATTATTGGTTTACCCAATGCTCATAATCCAATGGATGATAGACTGCTATAATGTTGCAATGGGTGCCTTCATGAATTTAGCTTATCTGTTTTTCCAATTGCTTCCTTAGGAAAAATTCCTAGAATATGAATCAATATGTCAAAGGGTATAAATATTTAAGAAATATCATTCTTGATGAATGCTACAGAGTTGCTTTTAACAAAAGATTATAAAAATTTCTTCATACTTTTTAAATCTACCTTGGCCAAAATGCTTAGGTAGCCATTTCTCATTTTTCCTTATTGTAAATAACCCCTAAGTGATCATATTTGTACACTTATTTTTGGTTACATTTTTGATCATTTCTTAAATTCCTAAAGATAAAATTGTTGGATCAATGGGTACACACATTTTAAAAGCTGTTAATACTTATAGTGTTATCAGCAGTGAATCTGTATGAGTTTGCAGCAACCTCAATTCTTGCTTCCTTAGAAGAAAGAATTCATCTGAAGGGCATAAGGCGGAAGGAGAGATGAAGGCAAGTTTTAGAGCAGGAGTGGAAGTTTATTAAAAAGTTTTAGAGCACGAACAAAAGGAAGGAAATTACACTTGGAAGTAGGCCACGGGGGTAACTTGAAAGACAAGTGCACAGTTTGACCTTTTGACTTGGGGTTCTATATGTAGGCATACTTGCAGGGTCTTGCATCCCATTTCCCTTGATTCTTCCCTGGGGTGGGCTGTCCGTATGCACAGTGGCCTGCTAGCACTTGAGAGGTGAGCATGTGCAGTGTGTTTACAGAGGCATTCTTCCCTTACCAACTTAATGACCCTAGGAGGTCATATACCATTTAAACTCCGCCATTTTGCCTCTTAGTGAGCATGTGTGAGCCCATCTGCCCATCTCCCGAGATCTTATTGGGAAAGTGTTGATCACCAGCTTCAGATGCTTCTATTTTGGGGGAGACTGCCTTTTCCTGGTGCTGGCAGTGACCAATTATTATTTCAGAGAGACCGCTTAACAACTGCCTGACCATCACGTGAGGATCGCCTGACACTGCTGGTGTGTGGGATAGGGCGGGGGAAACCCTCTCCTGTTGTGCTCATGTCTGACGAGCTACCTACTGTAACATTTCCTGCTCTAAAGCTTTTTAATAAATGTTCACTCCTGATCTAAAACTTGCCTCCATCACTCCTTCTGCCTGCCTTATGCCCCTCAGTCGAATTTTCATCTGAGGACGCGAGAATTGAGGTTGCCGCAGACCCACACAGATTTGCCACTGGCAACACTGGTATTTCTAAACTGTCTGCTAGAAAGGTCACACTTATATTCCCACTAGCAGGGAATGTGAGTGACCATTTCTTCACACCCTTATCAACAGGAAGCATCTTGTTTTTATCTGCATTTTAAGAACTAATGTAGTGGAACAGTTTTTTTATGTTTATCAACCCATTGCCTTCCTCGCTTCTCTTTGTAAATTTCTTATTTAAGCCCTTTGCCTTTACTTAAAAAAAAAAATCTTCTGGTTACAAGTCTCTGTCTTAATAATTGTTAATTTGAAAGAGTTCTTTTATTAAGATTATTAACTCTGTCATATACATTGCAAAATGTCTCTAGTTTGTCATTTGAATATTTCTTATGAATGTTTTTGATGTAACAGAGTTTAAATTTTAATAAGGTCATGTCTAAAAACTGTTTTCCTTTCTGGATCCTAGCTTTGGTTTTAGATAGAATTTAGAAAATGTATTCACATCCAACTAAATATAACTATTCACTTGTATTTTCTTTTAAGTTTATATAATGCATCATTTAATCTTTTATTCATTTGAAACATATTTTGAGGTAGGGTATAATATAAAATTTCTACATTTCTACTATATTTCAAGCAGTTGATAAATCAGCAATATTTTTTGAATTATTTATTTTTCCTTTTATGTGAAATGCTAACCTTATACATTTATGAAAAACACACACACGTACACACATACATATTTGTCTAGGCATATATTTACATATACATATGTACATGTACAGTTGATCCTTGAACGACACATGGGTTAGGGGTGCTAGCCCCTGGCACAGTCAGAACCTCACACCTAACTTTTGACTTCCCCAAAACTAAACTAGTAATAGCCTATTGTTGACCAAAAGACTTACTGATAAAATAAAGAATTGGTTACACATATTTTCTATGTTATATGTATTATATACTATATTCTTACAATAAAGTAAGCCAGAGAAAAGAAAATGTTAAGAAAATCATAAAGAAGAGAACACATATTTACTATTCATTAAGCAGACATGGATCATCATAAAGGTCTTCATCCTTGTCGTCTTCACACTGAGTAGGCTGAGGAGGGGGAGGCAAAGGATGGGTTGGTCTTGCTGTCTCAGAGGTGGCAGAGGTAGAAAAAAATCTGTGTATAAGTAGACCCACACAGTTTAAATGTGTGTTGTTCAAGAGTCAACTATATTTATCTATGCATATATATGCGTGTGTATGTATGTGTGTGTGTATATATATATATATATATATAATATATATATATGCACTTTAAAATATCTCCACATGTGTAACCAATATTTAAACAATCTAATTCATTGAGTAACCCATCTGGTCTTTCCTTTTTTTATTCAATATATATACATGAGTGGGTTTTACATGCAAGCATGTAATTATATGCTGTTTTCCCTCAATCTTATTATTATTGTATTAACAGGAAAGAGGTCCTACCATTTAACAAGAAATCTTACTTGCTTTATATGTTATAGCACGGATGGTCTCTTCTGTTCATTAGCTACTTAATCACCTCAAATACAACAGCATATTTTCATTCAATTTTAGACCTTCCTGGTTTGTGTCCATATGAAGAAGTTAACATATTTGTGTATAAGGATTGTGCCTGAATTCCAGTACCCCTCACAATGCTTAACAAATATAATACACTTTTAAGGCAAGTTTATCCTCTTAAAAATTAGGTATAAATTATTTACACTAATTTTGCAAATGAAGCAGATTTAAAAAAAAATGGCTTATTCAAGGTCACACAGCTAATCAGTGACTGTGTTTGGGTCAGGGTCCACGTCTTTCAGCTGTCACTTCAGGAACCTTTCTATCTCCATACTCTTTTTTTCTAGTACTTCGTTTCACTCTTCTACATGTACTGCTCTGCTAAAATAAACTTGGCTTGAAGGCAGGGTCATTGAGGCTCTCAAGCCATGAGTAAGTTAAAACACTCAATGAATTGTGAGATAATTCTATTTGATATTTCAGTATGTATACCCTTAAGTGGTATAGGTATCTCCTATAACACAAATAGCTTAGTCAACCAGACACATAATATTCAACAGGACACATAATATGTATGCATTATGTGTCTGGTTGACTAAGTTATTCGTGGTACAGGAGAACTAAATGCACAAACTGAAAAATTAAATACATATGGCAGAGAAATAATACTTGTTGAAATAAATACAGAAATGTCAAGGATGGTTTTTTCATATGTTGAGGTCAATACTCTTTCAGTGGAAACATATTTGAAAATATAATTGTTCTTAGTGGGAAAATATGATTTCATATGAAAATATTCCTTGGTTTACTGCAAAATTCAATGTATAAAAATCAATTAATATAAAAATCAACTGAATGTAAATCAATTCTTTAGGTAAATTACATTATAATAAATGTGCTAGGGAATGTATTAATGAGAAACTGCAGGGAACACTCAACAAAAATTTAATGAGGGCTTACTCTATGCCAGGCTGTATGCAGTATACACCACATAAGAATGAACAAGACACGTTATCTCTTCTTTGTGGAATTTACAGTCTCTTAGGAAAGAAAGACAAGAGGTGACTAGAAGGACTAGAATAAGGAAAAGTGCCTGGGCTAGGGTTGAAGAAAGACTGTTATAATGAAGTGATATTTAAGTTGAGAATGACAACATAAGTATAGAAAACCCTGGGGTGGGGAGGGCAGTTGAGAGGTGGGAATGACATTCCAAGCAGAGAAACTTGCAAAGCTAGGAGGCAAGGCAAGTATCTGTCTGTTAAAGATTGGCCAAGCTTTATGAAGCTTTGAAATTAACATCAATTTCTTTATAAAAGAAGCTGGAGAGAGGTAGTAAAGTGAGGACTTTATAAATATTTGGTTGAGATTTGAGCTTGTTTGATGACTGACAGGAAGACATCAAATTGAAGCTGCATATACATGGGGATGAGGTAATAACTAATAGCACAAGGTTCCCGATGAAGACAGAGGAGAGAAATCCAGCATAGCAGGTGAGTGGATCAGCCCAGACCGTTGTAAAAAGAGAGAAGTAAAAACCAGGATATTCAGAGCACGTATGAATTTTAGATTTGATGGTGGAAAGTTGAAAGAATCAGCACTTCTGATGGTCTGTGTTTCTCACTGAAGTAGACTGACAAGAATAAAGAGAAGCTGGAGGAGGAGTTAGGAGGAATATGTAGATTCTGAAATAATCATGAGGTCAATGGAAGAGACAACTGACTAGAGAAAGTCATACTTTATTAAGGCGAGGTTTCTTGTGTGTATACTTTGTGTGTATAAAAAACTTATCTTGACCTTTATCTATGAAACTGAGAAACTAGAAAGAAGGGAAACAAAGACAATCATTGAACCTTGATTCTGAAAAGACTTCAACTTTCATCCAATGAGATTGAATATGTAACCTTTGAACAAAATACATAAATTAAACCTTCTCAAAATATAAACATTTCTTGACTTCCATTAACTACCAAATTTCTCAGAGCAGTATTTTATACTTGTTTCCTCTTAACCCCCACTCATTTGTCAATCCTTTGCAATAAAAACTGAAGTTTCTAAGGATATAGATGATTTAATTGCAAATTATTTGGCTTCATACTATACCACCTTTCCTTACTCCCTTTTCTCTTGCTATCTTGAAATGTTTTCAACAACTCTTAGAACACCTCTATTTGATTATCTTCCTGCTCCATCATAAATGTTGCAATTTCTCAGTGGTGCGATTTTAGACCTTTTCTCTTTCCCCTTACTATTTCACAATATTCATGTTATATATTTCTTGGCTTCCGTTTGTACTTCAATGCAAATGCCTCTCAAACATACAGGCTCCAAAGCCAGACTTTTCATTATACTTCAGGTCCTCATTTTCAGTGGTCCAGCCAGACATCCCAGTCTGAATGTCCCATGGAAACTCCAAACCCTATTTTATCATTTCACTGTGTTTCCAAGTTTGAGTTAACATCCTCCTAGACCCTTATGTTCACATTTTTGAAATCATTTTTTCTCTTGCTTTTACCTCATGTGCATATCAGTTATCCCACCCTGTTGATGCTATTCTTTTATGATGCCATTTATTTATCCTTCTGTACCCTACTTCAGGCTTTTAAATAATATTTGCTTGGATAATTGTAATGATCTTTATAATTCTATTCTTTCTTCCTTTAGGCTTCACTCACTCTGTCCTTCATGCTGTGGTCAGAGTAATCTTCCTAAATGATAGGTGCGATTATGTATTTGCATGCTCAAAATTCTCCCAGGTGGTTCCAATAGTGATAGCTGTCATTTGTTAAGCTTTCATAAGTGCCAGACAGTATGCAATCTTTATCTTATATTACCTTATATTATATACCCTCCTTGTCCTCATCCTAATCTAAAAAAGGAGTATTGTACCCATTTTACAACTGAGAGTGCCACAGGTCATAGAGCTCAACTAATGGCAAAGTTGGAATTCAAATAAAGTGTTTAGTGAACTGTAAATCTCTGCTCCTAACCATTACTTTCCCACCTAGAGAATAAAAGTCAAACTCCCTATCTTCACATTCAAAGTCTTCAAAATGTATTGCAAATGTCCATCTTCAACCTTTTCCCCTACCATCAACCCTCTAAATTTAAGAGTTTTGTTTGTTTTATAGAGACCAAGGTCTCACTACATTGCCCAGGCTGGCCTCAAACTCCTGGGCTCGAGAAATCCTTCCGCCTCAGTCTCCTGAGTAGTCGGGACTACAGGCACATGCCACTGCACTATGCTTTAAATGAGTTTGACTACATTTCCGGCATGCATGCCAAGCAGTGGAAAGTCTTTGAAGGCTAACGCTCCAAAAAATATGTAGTAGTTAACCAAGGGCCATGTAACCGGTATTCTGTGTTACACCTAATCAACAAAGTAGTGATGAACTGGTTACACTTTATGCCAATTATTTAAATACTGTTTTATCATCGCCTTTTTTTTTATTGGTTGAGAGGGAGGAAATATTTTAAAATACAGTAACTAATTTATTATAATGCTTTATGTAAAGCCATATATACACTATGCACAATTTTTTGGTCTGTAGCCTCCACAGCTAGAACACCCTATTCTTCTTCTTATAAATAAATACATCTATTATTCCTTTATATCAATAGGTATACTACATATGAAAGAAAAATGAGCCTTCAAAATGCCTCAGAAAACCAAATGCAGCTGTAAATGGCTATACAATTTTGCACATGATTTACAAAGTTTTTATAAATCTATAAACACCCTGTACAGATGTGTGAAGGATACAGTGCTTAGTGTTATTATTTGAATATGCTAAATCTTTGTTGGCCTAAAAATATATTAATTCTTTTGAAATTTGGATGATGAGATTTATACTTTTCTTGGCAAAATCTTTAGAACTGGAATAAAGGAAATTATGGACATTGTAATAAATCACACCAACAACCAGGAATTAATATTTATTTGTAAGCCCTTTTATGTAAATAAACTTACTACCAGCAGACAAATAGCATAAAAGGCACTTAACTTTGTTGGAGTATACACCCTAAGGAAGTGACTTTGTGAATTGCAAAAGAGAACTGAATTATTTCTCTTTTCTCACTTTCACCCATTTATTAAATAATTCTATTTGCTTCTCTAAATGTGTAGCTATAACAAATATTCATATAATGCCTCTGCATAATCTGTAGAAAATCGGATATAAATTGCAGAAAGAAAATGAATGGTAAGCATGCAATCCTCCACGGCGTTCATTAATGGGTACTCTCTACAAGATCCTGTCAGCTTCAGTTTACTAATTTTTCCTTGCATGGTTCCTATTTCTTCAGCAGAAGGTTTAGGCATCACTAGGATAGCTCATCATTGGTGGCAGGAGTGAAATGACTTGTCTGTCAGACATGCTACAAAGCATAGAGTTGTTACTGAGAAATATGAAAGAGGGCCTCAGATCTTACTCATTTAGCAAGTAGCAGACCAAAAATGCCACGCTGAATTAGATGATCCTCCCATACCTTCAGCCACTTCTACACCATTGAGTAGTTTTCATTTTCCCATGGCACCTGGATAATTACGGAATTAGAGTTTAGGAGTGGCTCCTAGATGAATTTGATATAGAAGTTACAATAGAAATAGCTCCCATAGCCTTTACATCTGCTTAAGGGAATTTGTAGCAAACATCTTCAGAAATGACAAAGCGACTGCAGATCTCCTACAGCCTCTTCATAGTCTCTTTGATGTGTTTCCTTCTTTTAGAAAGAAAGACTGACATTTATTTTTTTATTGTTAATTCTATTGCTAATTCCAAGAGATAGCGGTGAGGAGCGAGTGTCACACATCAAGATAAAAAGAGAACAAAGGGAAAAACAACAAATGAAGGCTCTTTTCCCCCTCCTGCAACTTGAGATCTTTGAAATGTACTGCTGGGATTGTCTGCATTATTTGTGGGCTATTGATTCTACACCTGTGGATTCCATGCAAAAGTCAGATTTCTAAAATAAGTGCAATTTTATGGTTGATCATAAACCTCTCATTGTTTTCGACAATTTCTGATCTGCTTTATGCTGCCAATGTGTCTCCTGCCATTTTTAATAAGCTTTAGAGTTGGTGGATTAACACTGAATGTCAAGCACCACAAATAAAATTGCTGATTGTATGCAGAAACACTATTTTCATATATTAAAAAGCTGCCTTATTCTTACCATAAAATTCAGCACTCACTTCTGTTGTATTTGATCATTCTTTCATGCACATCTTAGCTCTCAATAATCCTTGTGTGAATACAAGCCTTTGAAAGGGAAAAAGTTAATGTAAATAAAAATGACAATCAGAAGTGGAACCTAATTTCCTTTCACTTTTATAAAAAGGTACATTAGGCTGTTTAGCTGTTCATTTTTCCTATGATTCATCATCAGTAACCATGTAATCCAACATCTGTGAAAGCAAATTTAAAAGCTAGACACAACAGAGTAAATGCACCTCCTTAGCATGGGTTGAAGTTAGGCTTTCTTGTATTCTCAAATTATAGAGCATAATTCTCTAGAAAGGAGTGACATTACTTATCCACTCTACTTCGTGTTATTCTGGATAGTTGTGCAAAGTTGTATCTGAGTTTAATCCATATTTTCCTACAGCATCAAGTAGAATAACCCAATTTTGGGGAAAAATTAGTAATTCTCAAATGTCCCACAAAACTTAATATAGGTCAAAAATATTTTTATACATGTGATTGACAATCAGTGAGATACAAATTATTCACTGAGATGTATCCATGACTAATCTAAATAAAATTTAGAATCCTGTACTCCTCCCTGTGTATCATTCTAAGTCAGTGGACTAATCAATCTATCAACAGCTACCAATAAGTTAGCGTTAATTCTGTTAGGCATTTTCCTTCCCTTTGTAATTCTTCACTTTTTAATATCAGTCTACTAAACTCACTAAAGTAAACTTGGAATATGCAAAATACTGTAATGGAGAAAAAAGCACCCATAGTTATGCCAGCACACTTACCTGTTAACATTTTGGAGGTGATTCTTTCTTTCCCTCAATCTTTTCTTATGCATATTTTTTAAAAAACACAGTCAGATTATAGTATATATATAATTTTTGTTCTACTTTTTTGCTTGGCATTATGTAAACATTTTCCATGTTACTGCAACCTGTGAAGTATAATTTTTAATGGCTATTTAATTTTCCATGAAGTGAATCAATTATTAGGCCAATTTTCTTAAGTATAGACTTGCTGAAGATTTACAAATAAAACATCATTTCTTACCTCTTTAGTCCAAATACCATTATTGCATATATACAACAAAGGTTTCTGCAGGTATCTGTAAACCAATCAATACTTTTAGGTAAATTATTTTCTTGAGAGTGGGGATATTCAAGTATCATCACAATTAGGTTTTCTTCATCAAGAGTGGCCCAAATTCTCCTGATGTTGGTTCTCCTTAAATTCTCACAAATCACCTTGATTGAGTGGCCACTATAATAGTTACTTTATTTGCTCTTCTGTAACAATCAATAATTTATTCAGTGACTAGGTATTGAGTATTATCCACATGAAAGAGATCGTGTTAGCCACTATGATGGTACACTGATGCATAAAGGGGTAACACCTACCCTCAAGGAGCTAATACTCAAAAAAGGAGATAAGTATACTAACAAATGAGTAGAAATGACAGAAAATAAAATGAATGCTCCAAAGAAGGGAAGATAACATTTGCCTGAGATTATCAAGTAAGATTATTCTGAAGAGACAGCATTTGAACTGAGCTGTAGAAGATGCATAAAAACTGAATCAGTAGAAAGCAAAAGAAAGATATAGCAATATGCCAAAATTAGAGGCAACAATTAAGGGCATGCAAATGAATAACTGAAAGACAGCTTAGGGTATAGGAGTCAATGGCTGAGTTGATGATGTGGCTTAATGATCAGGCAGCAGTTCTTGAACTCCATCTGTTATGCCATAGGGATCCACCATAGGTTCTTCAGCACAAGTATGAGGATTCATGTGGCAAACTGAAGAAGCTAACATGGCAACAGTGTGTAAATTGGATTGAAAAGATAAAAAATACCAAGTCTCTGGGTCAGATCTATTGAAATGGTCTAGGCCTAATACGGCTAACATATTTGAAATGGCAATACAGCAATTAATCTGACTTGCTCATTACAAGGTAATCATTAAATACAAAAGAATAATGTTTCTATATGTACTTGGAAAATTGAAAATGAATAAAGTGACAAACTAACAAGGTTATTTGCACTAACATAACCCATGTGGGTTTGGTGCTCTTTATCTGAGGATTGGACAGGGTGGAGCTTGCAAGTTGAAATTTAGCAGGACTGGAGCTGGCTCTGTTAGGAGTTGCCCCAAGTGATGCCCTCCACCAACATGGCATCCTAGGAAAGAAGAGCTGGTAGGTCTCAAAAGGAGACAGAGCACTCATGGCTGAAAAAGGTTAGAGATTCTAATCAAGTTGGAATTTAGTACATAGCCTCTTAAATGTTGCATCAACTGAGTGGTAGAAATCAGAGGGAAGGTTATCTCTGGGAAAGACTGGGTGCTACTCTCAGAGTAAAAGGCAAAAATGGTAAGAGCCTTGCTAGGGTCTGAAAGTTTGTGTCCCTGCAAAGTTTATATGTTGAAACCTAACCACCAAAATGATGATATTAGGAAGTGGGGCCTTTGAGAGGTGATCAGATCATGAGGGTGGAGCCATCATGAATGGCATTGATACCCTTATAAAACAGATGTCAGAGAGCTTCCTCACCCCCTCTGTCAAGTGAGGACAGTAAGAAGGTATCATCTATGAACCAGAATGTGGGCCCTCACCAAACACTGAATCTGTCAGCACCTTTATCTTGGACTTGCCAGCCTCCCCAGCTGTAAGAAGTAAGTTTCTGTTGTTTATAAGCTACCTACCTGAGGGTATTTTGTTATAGCAGCCTGAACAGTCTAAGACAAGCACCATTTAGAAACTAGGCCATTCCAGGAATTTGGTCTGAATGAGACTGAAGGACAGTGCTATAATATAATCGTTGGGATCTGAAGCTAACTAGAACCAAGGGTGGATTAGCATCAGACAGTGAGCTATAATGTGGGCAGGCCTTCTCTTCAGGTAAAAGTGTTTGGGAAGAGAATCAAGGAATTTTGAGGGCCAACAGAAGGGGACTGACCATTGCCTGATTATGCAATAGTGAATATTCAGGAGGTAGTACCTTCTCAGTAGTGTTACAGAAATGTCTTACCTTTCATCAGCAGGTAGAGATGGAGAGATCATTTTTAAATTCTGGAGGGCCTCATGATAGCAGACAAATATTGATATAGTAAATTCACTACCCACCTCACTAGCAATTTACACATAAAGATTTGCAGATCCCAGGGTGTTAATTAGAATCAGCTAGCATGAAGTCTCAGGATGAAGGTTCGTAGGGAGAAAGAACAGACAGGAAAGGGTTGGCAACAAGTAGAGGTCTGAAACAGTTTTGGATATTATCTCATTGGCAACTTAAATGATTGCTTTCTATTAAACAAACCAAAGTGGTTTATGGGATTTTGTCAAACTGAAAGAAAACAAAACTTCCACTGTGAGAAATGATTGAAACTTCCCCTATTGTTTTAAGAAAGAGATACACAATTAAGCATCGTATCTGTAAATGATCATAATAGTTCTCAAACTTATTCCAAAAAGTCCACGTGTCAGACTCAACTAGCACTTTATTCAATGCCTTCTCTGCCAGGCACTGTTCTAACTGATGTCTGCAAGTGTTCTCAAGATGTGAACTGAGGACTAGTGCTGATCTGAAAACTGTTACCTGTCTGTGATTGGATCAGTATCTTTTTTTGACAAAATGTGAGTCATTATACTCCTTCTTTCATTGGGAATGTCTTGCTGGGAAAAAATGTTAACTGCAAAGTATGCTTAGTAACTTAGTTGATTTACATTCTGGTAAAAGTTTATATTGTCATGGACAGTTAGCAAATATTGATATGCAGTAGCCCATAGACCATATTTTAAATAAAATTTGTGTGTGTGTGTGTATATATATATTTATGGGTATATACACACACATACACATATATATGTATATATAACCATTTAACCAAGTACACAAGTTAAGCCTAATATCTAATTGAGGAAAATGCAGGGCAAAGTAGACATTTAATTTAGGATTGGTTCATTTCCTCACAGTTCTGTGCCAACAACATGAAAATTCGACAACTCTTAACACATTTGTGAACTGATTCAAAATCCTCAATTATCTTGAAAACTCTTGAACATAACCATCAAGTTTTGCAAAATATAAACAAAATCAAACAAATTCATTTTTCTTTTTTTTTAGAAGAAGACTAATCATATTATTTTTCTGAAAAAAAAATCCCTGCTAAATATAAATTCCAAGAGCAGTTAAGGGACTTGTGGGTGAAGATAGCAGACTGAGGCTGGTCATTCATGTCCTCACTCTACTGGGGGCTCTGAAGTAACAGTGTTTTATATGTACATAATTGTGTGGAAGTACAAAGAGGAATAGACATATAACAACAAAGATATAAGATTTCAACACATTTATGGGAGAAAACAAATGGAAATGTTGATAGGTCAACAGAAATGCAGTCACCAGAATGTGCTATAAGAGGACTGTTGAGAAGGTAAGAAGGTTAGAAACCTGAAAGGCTGCAGGCTCTTGGCTGGAGGGTTACATGAGAGTAAGGGTGAGATGTGGGGCTTAAAACAGGAAGAGAAAGAGAACATATTATATGGAACAATTGCCCTTCCATTTCCATTACTCGAAGTGATTGGCAGTCTGGCCTTCATTCTCAGCCAAAATAAATAAAATAAAATAAAATAAAATAAAATAAAATAAAATAAAATAAAATAAGTCAGAGGACTGTTTGTGAAATAAATTAAATAAACTGTCTAGGGATGACCTAAGTTTCTGTTATGAGTGTTGGCACCTCCTTATTTTGGCATTTGTGGTCCTGAGGCTTGCAGCCTGCAGTTTGATCTTTGGCAGGTTTCCCTGCCAGGTGGGAATACCTGCCCAGTAACGAGCTCTGAATTAGGCTTCTCATTCAAAAAGGAGAGTTATAGGATGATGTGTTTATATAGTGGCCAAAAAAAAAAAAAAAGCCATGCCAACTTCCCAAACCTTGACTCTTATATAAGAATGGATAACCAAAAATCATGAGATATTGGAGGAAGAGTTACAGCATGCCTCAGAAAAGTCAAGACAAACAAAAAGAAAACTGATCTTGAAGGAAACAGAAATAATTCTGGAAACAGAGAATGGTATTAAAATTATAATTAATTAATAATACAGGAGAAACTCAAAGAAAGATAGACATGCAAACACACATACACACTTATGAGAGAAGAGGTTAATAATACAGAGATTCAACCCATGACATCCAAAGAACATCTAGTAGAGTTGCAAAGAAGAGAGCAGAGAACACACAGAATAAGCGATTGTCAGAAATAAAAAAGAAAAATTTCCACAGCTAAAGAAGTAAATTAACCTTCAGATTGAGAGGCCCTATAGAATAACCAAAACAGTGAGGGAAAAAAAAAAAAAAAAGGTTAGCACCGAAACACATCATACATCTTTAGGAGATATAAATTAAAAAGTTAAATCCAAAAAAATGATCCAAGAAGGTTTAGAGTAAAACACACACACACACACACACACACACACACACACCAACAAAGGAACAGGAATTCAGAAGTCATCAGACTTTTCCATCAGCAACACTGGAGGCCAAAAGCCATTGAAAGCCAAACATGGTGGTGTGCACCTCTAGTCCCAGCTACAGGTAGGACTGCAACCCATGGTGGGAGGACTGCTTGAGGCTAAGAGTTTGAGGCTGCAATGTGTTATGTTCACACCCCTGCACTCGAGCCTGGGCAACAGAGAGAGACCCCACCTTTAAAAATATTAAAAATGAAAAATAAAAGCCAATGGAGTAATGCTTTAAAAATGCCAAGGAAATACTGTTTTCTACCCAGAATTATATTCCAAGCCAAGTCATCAATGCAGAATGAAGGTAAAAGACTTTTCACTCTTTTAAAGTTAATTTTCCACATTTTTCTTTGGAGGAAGCTAAAGATGTATTCTAGAAAGATGAAGGAGAAAACAGAAGTAAGGAGAGTCAAGAAATAATTAGGCCATTCTACAGGAACAGAAAGGTAGAAACCTAGTGTGGCATCTGTGCTGCTGGCTTAGGCAGAGCTGTTAGTGTGTACACACAGGAATGCCCAGTTGGCTGTTTAAAAATGACTTCTGCCTTGATTGGTCAGTGATGATGTCACGCTAGTTGTTAAATAATTTTGCTCCAACATGAATTCAAGAGGGAAGAAAACAGGAAAAATGGTGACAATATACAACCAATTTTGTAATTGAGAAGATGAAGAACTTTAGACTATGATAAACATACATTCCATTGTCAATAACAAAACAAGGAGGAAAAGAAAAAACTGTACAAAAAAGTATAGAGATTAATATGAGGTAGATATGAGCCAAAAAATAATGTGACATTATTTTAAGCAATTTGAGGTCATTTTAAATAATCTACTTAATTTTGGTGCTGGAAATACTCTCTGAGTGACTGAAGGGTCAAGACCATAGTTCTATAGAGAAGGAAATGTAATCCTATTACTCATTTCATCCATGACCAACATCAATGTAGTCATAGTAACCCCAGTCTACTTGAATTTTAACTTTTAGAATCAACCTATGGATCAAACATGAAACCCTGGTTATGGTTATAGCACAAAATGTAACTATTAAGAATCCTAACAACATAAAAATAAGAATAACTGAGATGATCAGTGGAATGGGAGAAGGGAAAGTAGAAGAAAGTTTAGGGTCATTAAAATTCTCATGTTGAGAATTTAAGTGCTCACTGATGTTGATGGAACAAGACATCAAGAAAATCTTTTTTTTAAGTTACGAAAATAATCAACAGAAGACAAATTAATACAACAATCATCAAACAATGAAAAAAGGAGATAAACTGGTGAAAATAATGCTGCACCCATTATTAGATCCTCATATTTCATAGTGGGGAATCAGTACATATTGTCTAAAACTTCCTCATTGAAAGAGAGGTTATGGAGATAAATTCACCATAAGAACAAAAACAGAAAAGCCTAAAAGAGACTGCCTCTAGGCAGTGAAATTCAATGAATAAAAGACCTTCAATTCCTGGGTTTTCTTATCATAAGCACTTAGTCTGATTTTTAAAAAGTAATAAACACAAAATAAAAGCCTCTGTTTTGGATCTACTACATGCTTATGAATACTAAAGGAATAAAAGAATCATCTATTTCCCTGAAGTCTTTTCTATTTAATACGTGAGACAAGATCTTAAGGAAAAGACAACATGTAAGAGAGTACCTAGTAGAGTGTAGAGTATACTTATATAGGTGCTAAAGGAATGCAAATACTTAATGACAATACTTCATATTACTTTTGTAGTCTCTAAGAGATAATTGAGAGAATAGTTCTTTAGGAAATACTTCTTGGAAAAGAGTAGTCCTTCCCAATTCAAGGTATCTTCAAGGAAGTAATGGATTACTATGGGTGGGGAGGAAATGCAAAGGCCTTTTTCAACAAGATGAAGCCCATGAGAAAATATCCAGAGAGAAGTAGTGAGCTCATGGACAAATGCAGGGGCTGGGAACTAGAGTGGGATTGAGCAGGGAAACCAATCACGTGTTTTTAATAGCACTGCCTTCTATAAGTTATGCCATATATTATCTTGAATCATTTCTTTCTGGCATGAAAAATGTTATATGAAATAACGATTGGGTTTTATTTATTTATTAGAGTTAAGGTTGCTTCTAAGAAAGACTGGTTTATTTATAGGAATGCAAATTTTTAAAGCCTTTTGGAATTTAGAAAAGGCTTGTCATTTAAAACTCCTATAAATTAGATATGCTCTATTCTATACAACAGACTTACATGTTCTTTCTCACAAGATATGCAGCATCAACAATTTGTCAAATGTGATTCTTCTGAGGAAGCCATTCGAATTTAAACTGTAAGATCCAAAAAACTATGACCTTAGTAGAACATCTACTCATTAGAAACTTCCAAGCCAAAAAGATACCTTTGATTTTTCTTTGAAACATATTTGTGCCCACAGTTTCCTGTAGTGTTTTAATTTTGTTCACTTAAGTATTTTATTTTTCTCTATCATGTCAGAATTAGCTAACAATTGAAGCTTACCTAGGATTCTAAATAATTTCAAATGGTTTTAAGGTTTCCATGCACTTTCTATAGTTTCATTATTTAAAGAGAGCTTTTTGTATTTAAAATATGTTTAGATGCAAGACTGTAGAGGGAATAAAGGACATTCCCTACTGCCTCAAGGGTTTCAAGCCACTGTGGTCACCATGAAAATGTGGGCTCTGAAATCTAACTGCAAGGATTGTAACTGACCAAGGGCCCTGGCTTCTGGGCTCTGAAATCCATCTCTGAGTTTGACTAGGAAGTCCATACTGCTAAGGGTTGCTCCCAGCGAACAACTGAGTTCAGCAAGGATATTAACGCAGCCACTTCCTGAGAGATACAAAGCTCCCTCTGGTGGGCGATCTTTGGAAGATTCCCGATTGGCTGTTTGAAACATTCTTAAAACTGCACCACAGTGTAACACTTTTTCATATCTAACCTTCATTCCTTCCCTCTCTCCTTCACAAGGATTAAACCTGCATGGTGATCTGACAAATTTCCCAGCCTCCCCCAGCTTCCTCTTCTTTTTTCCTCACAGCAGTTCTCCCCAATAAATCTCTTTCATATCTAATCCTGTTACAGTAGCTGTTTCTTGGAGGACCTCTATTCACCATCAAAGATAAAATTTTAAGAATGACTGTTTATCCCATCTCTTCAATAAGACAAAAAAAAAAAAGAAGAAAATTTAAATGGCCTGGAAGGAGGCCAGGGAATACTAGGCATGAATATCATTGTTAATAATCTTATTGTACACATTAGTTTATTCATCGAACAATTAGTGACGACTTACTGTGTGTCAGGTAGAGTACTAGGTGCTTAAGATACAGAGATTGAATATGACCTCGTCTTTGACCCCTATAATTTCACTGACTGGCAAGGAAGGCAATACTCCTTGAATAAACTCTAGCAGAAGTAGATACCCAGTGTTATGGGAACTTGCTTGAAGACACAATGGATTCTTCCACATGAGAAAGGCTGAAGGTGAAGATTCAGTGATGTGAGCCTTGAAATTCGAGTAGGCATTCTCCATGTTAAGAATGCAGGAAGAAAAGCTTCCAATCAGAAGGTATGGCATAAGCAAAGGCAGGAGGGGAGGCAAGTATGTGGGATATGTGAGCAGTGGTGAACAGCAGGTATGGTCAGAGCTGACAGTGACTTTTGGGAGCATGGTAGACCTGAAAAGTGAGACAATGTTGCTATGAAGAGATAATGATTGACTGCTAATACTGAAGTCTAGTAAATAAATGTCTGCATGTACTATTTTCCTCCTCACACAAAAAAGACTGTAATCAACAAGTATTTAATAGAGTCTCCTTAGTAAGGAATCAGATTCAGAACAGAAGCTGTAAGGCAAAAAGGTCTGATCCCTACCTGTGATGTACATAGGAAGCATCAAATATATATACTCAAGATATCAAAGAATAAAACAAAACTAGATAAAATTGATTTATAGCATATTTTGTCCAGAACATATTCAGGAGGCTAACACATTTAAGTTTAGCACCTTCTGCATTCCAGCTCTGTACTAAGTGTTGTGGCATTCTCAGGAAAATAAGAGAGAAGCCCTTCTTCTCTTTTACTAGAGCCCATTGGTTTTGGGTGGAATGATGAAGGTGTGATGGTTAATTTTATATGTCACCTTGAATGGGATGCAGAGTGCAGAGACATTTGCTCAAACATTAATCTGAGTGTGTCTGTGAGGGTATTTTTGTAAGATTACCATTTGAATTGGTAAACTGAGTAAAGCAGATTTCTCTCCCTAATGTGGGTGGGCTCCATCCAGTTAGTGAATAGAACATAAAGGCTGACCCTTCCTTGAGTAAAGAACTCATCCTGTCTGGCTGCCTTTAAGCTGGGACATGGGTTTTTTTCCCTGCCTTTGGACTCTAATTGAAACATCATTGTTTCTTGGATCTTGAGCCTGCTGGTCTTTGGACTGGAACTACACCATCAGCTCTCCTGGTTCTCAGCTCTTTGGACTCAGACTGGAGCTACACATTGCCTCTCCTGGGTCTACAGCTTGCCAACTGCAGATCTTGGGACTTGTCAGCCTCTGTAATTGTATGAGCCAATTCCTCATAATAAATCTCTATATTTATTTATTTATTTTTATTTATTTATTTTTTTTGAGACGGAGTCTCGCTGTCACCTAGGCTGGAGTGCAGTGGTGCGATCTTGGCTCACTACAACCTCCACCTCCCGGATTCACGCCATTCTCCTGCCTCAGCCTCCCGAGTAGCTGAGGTTATAGGCATCTGCCACCACGCCTGGCTAATTTTTGTATTTTTAGTAGAGACAGGGTTTCACCATATTGGCCAGGCTGGTGTTGAACTCCTGACCTCAGGTGATCCACCTGCCTTAGCCTCCCAAAGTGCTGGGATTACTGGTGTGAGCCACCATGCCCGGCCAATTAATCTCTTTATGTTATATTATACACACACGTACACATGCCCTGTTAGTTCTGTTTCCCTGGAGAAGCCTGACTAATGCAAAAGGGAAGCACAAAGATATGGTAAGAGCTACAAGAACAAAGATTTCTGGGTCCTCAGGGAACACAGAAAAGCATCTATTCCAGAATTGGAGAAAGTGGTGAAAGGGTGGTCAGGAGGCTTCCCAGACAAAAGTGTCTAAGCTGACACAGTGCTGCAACCATTATAGATAATCTAAAGCTAAACAATAAATGCTGATAAATAATTTTAACAGTATTCCAATGCCCGCATAGAATCAAATATAAATTCTTCAGCCAACACATCTAAAACCCTCTACAATCTGTCTGTAGTGGGAGCTAACTTGTCTCCAGTGCTTTCCTGCTCATTGCCCAGAGAAAATCCACAGGTAGCAGAATATGTTCGAGTCTCTCCAAAGCCTACATGGTTACACATTCTCTTCATCTGGACAACCTGTTCTCTCTCTGCTGTTCCCCAAATCCCTTATACTGGCTGGGTGACTTGGAGCAAGTTATTTAAGGCTTGTGTTTCAGTTTGGTCATTGGTAAAAGGAAGGGATGATAATAGTACCTAATTCATAGGATTGTAGTGAGGCATAAATGACCTAATTATTAACCAAAGGTCCTTAGCACATGTCAAGTACAATACAAGTGTTTCCAGTTGTTATTACTGCTCTTAGGCAGTTCAAACTCAAGTTCTACTGACTCCACCAAATCTTTTCAAATAGCAAATTCCTAGCGATTTCATTTCCCTGAAATCTGATGGCACTTTAAAAATTCTCCATGAACACTTAGCACATAATACCTTGTCATCATGTTACTTTTTTTCCCAGAATGGGCCCTGGAAACAGCCTACCTGGGTTAGAATCCCAGTGCTACCCCCTTGGGGACTTGTGAAAGTTACTCCCTAATTCCCAATTCCTTCATTTGGAAATAGTGAATAATAATAATACCCACTTTAATGGGTTATTATACAAACTCAGTGGCAAATATACTCCTTAATAGGGTGACTGGCACATGGTAAGAGCTACTACATGTTTGATGTTAGTAAATGGTAAGTTCCAAAGACACAGAACTTTGCTTTAATTCTCAAATTAGTCAAGTTACTGGATAATCATGATAAATCACTTCAGTAATTCAGAAGAGAAGAAGATATTGTCAGAAAGAAAAAGTAATTAAAA
Organism: Homo sapiens; assembly: GCF_000001405.40. NCBI lineage: Eukaryota > Metazoa > Chordata > Mammalia > Primates > Hominidae > Homo > Homo sapiens. The sequence goes on along the minus strand of NC_000001.11, from coordinate 107,273,875 downwards.
AGTGAAAGTGAAACTATTAAGCTTGATGGGTTTATATCTCATGCATTTAGTTCATTTAATGCATATTCAGGGATCACCAACTGGGGTACTATGGGTACATGACTGTGACTGATATGTACTCGACAAGAGGCCCATGAATTAACAGGTGAGATGACGTATATAAAAATAACATCATTATAAGGAAGTACATAATTCACATTGCAAAGTTCAGAACTGTGAGAAAAAAGCTTCATTCATTCCTTAAATATTCAGACAGCACCTACTAGGTATAAGTCACCGCATGAGGCATTCTGTGGCAGACTGGAAAAGAAGCTGGGAAAGACAGCAAGCATGGCTGCTGTTTCAGATCCCTGTTCCTTCTATTTAAAAAACCAAACCAAACTAACCCCTTCCCTACAAATAACAACGACAACAACAATAACTATGTTGCTTTACATTTTGCACTTTCAAAGGCCTATCTCATGCTATTCCCTTAAGAATTCTCAGAGGGGAGATTTAAATAACTTCAGTAGTTTATAATAATTTGCCTTAATTCACAAGCCAATACATTCTTCTATCAGGATTCAAACAACCTAACGTCTGATTCCAGGCTCTCCCTTCCAGTTCTATACATTCTCCACTGCATCACTCAGCACTCACTTCCCGGCTATTCTCACTGCTCAGCGACCCCTGCCACACCTTTCAGGACCCCCCTACCTTGATGTCTGTAAGCTTCTGAGTAATTCATGCCATCTAGCAAGGCCTGATACTGTTCAAAAACAAGAAGAAAAAATCGACAGCCTTCATAGAGAGGAAAAAATAGATATGCATTTGATTCCTTTACTAAGAAATAGTATATTATTGATCTTTGCATCTTTATTATCCTAGAGAAAGTAAGCTGCTTGCAAAACAATGACAGTAAAGATATGCTAAGCAATCTTTAAGTATTTATGATGCTTTAGATTAGTTTGTATTATGGACAATTTTACCAGAGCTTCTAAGTGCTTCCGACTTCAGGGCTTTAAGCTGCTTAAGCATTTGTACTTAATGGTTAGACCAAGATAATGCCTACCTGCTTAATACAACACTAATGAAGGCCAAATGTATACATTACATCATTTTTAAGATTTGGTTTTCAAGTGACTTAGAGAGCACTATTAAACCTCAATATTGCCCCTTGACAACTTTTCTTACATACAGAATGGCTTTCACTTGCTCAACTGTATACATGGGGAAATGGTTCCTTCTGGGGGTTGACGGCTGCTTCTGAGTGTTTTCAGGTATTCTATACCTGAATTCTGTATAGACAGGCTGAGCACATAAATAACCTTCCCAAGAGAAGTTCCCATCTTGCGCCACGTACCTGTGGGAATTCACTGCAACAAAATGCCCTGGAGGGCTGATTTGAATACCATGTTCCCAGTGGAATTCTTTCTAAGATGCTCATTTATTAACCACCAAGGATTCTGATGCTTAGATTAGCCCAGCAGAGAGCTAAATAGTGGTGGAGCAAATGGAGAGAATCATTAGTTTATAAACTCAAGGAAGGAACAATGATGATTATCTGTGTTCCCGAAAAAAAGCTCAGGGAAGGAAACATTTTGCCACATGGAAAAAACATTATTCGAGAAAGAGACTGAGGAAAGTTCTTTTAGACCCTTTAAGAATATTATTAGTAGTATTATTAGTAATATTATTATTATTCAAAATCTAGACAATACTATTATTGATGATAACTAACTGAGCCATTTGCAAAAGCATGGTATTGACACAACGAGGTGCTCGATAAATATTTGTTGGAGAGTCACTTAAGAACACCAAGAATGTTTTACCAAGCTGATTTCCATTTGACTTTTAAAAGTTTTCTGCATCACTATTTGGTCAGAAGGGTATTTTAACTAGAAGAGACAGTTTTAGCTTAAAACTCTGAATCATTGTTTTTAGAACAGGTACTAAACTTGACAGAACAAGGTCTTACCTCCCCATAATTCCTTCTTTTCATTAATGTCATTTTTTAAAATGCATTTAAAAGACAGTGTATGCCCTAGATTTTGAAGTCACTAATATATATTCATGAAGCAAACATGATTGGAGTGTTATTCTGCAAAGCTCTATATCTTATATTCTTGTCTCTGATTAGTAGAATTTTTTTTTCACCTAAAGATGGGGAAACATCCATTTTACCAGATTTGGAAAAGTCAACTACATTTCTCTGTGTTGTATACATAACTTTACCTCTAATATCTATTTTTAATGAAGTATCCATCTACAGCAAACTAAAGGTTACAATAGAATATATCAGTTTGTTATTGTAACGAAGCTATTTTGGATTCTTATTCTTCGCTGGTCTGGGTTATTAAAATCTTTGATGTCTGCTAGTTATTAATGTGTTTTTGTTGTTTTGTTTTAAATACAACTTCTGAGTATAGGGAATTAATTATTTATAAGCTGAATATGGAAGAAAATGGTAAAGGAAAACATGGAGGTTACAAACAATAGTAATAAAGGCCTGAAGAGGTTAAATTTGCTTAGGTTAGACTTGATTTCTAACTGGTTTGTGTGATTATAATTCTTACAATATCCTAAATGACGAGTTAATGGGTGCAGCACAGCAGCATGGCACATGTATACGTATGTAACTAACCTGCACATTGTGCACATGTACCCTAAAACTTAGAGTATAATAATAAAAAAAAATTCTTACAATATCAATTAAAATATAGTTTGGATTGATTTATGCTACCTGGAGTACAAAATTACAATCTGTATCTTTATAGACAAAGTTATTGTAACTATTTAAATTATCTTAATTTTAGATTTGTGTCTATTGTTTTCTACTTTTTGTGGTAAGCAATCTGCTTTTTAAATCCTTTTGGTTGAATATGTAGAACACTTTCTGTTGCTTATAATTTCTTCATTATTTTAAATGAACTTACTTGATGTGTAGTCTAATTCCTTTATCATCAGAATCATCCTATATGTTGTGTATTGTTCTGGAGAGAGTGCTTTCACAATATAAGTGTCTTCTCTTAAAATAAATATTATATTATGCAAACAAAACAAACTTTCCAGCAAATGTAATATAAATGAAAAACTTAATTTTTAAGTTCAAAGAAATATGTCAGACCATGACTCAGAGAAAGGAGCAAGCACTGCACTTTGGCGGGTTGGGGGTGGGGGGGCGGGGGCGGGGGCGGGGGCGGGAATCCATATATTCAGATTAATGGGTTTTGTTTAGAAAGTGAACAAAAAGTTTATATCTTGGAGATAATATATCCAGCTCCAAATTATGAACTACTGGTAAACAGCTCTTCCTACAGCATAAGAGAACCCATTAATAACATCAGAAATACTGGTAAATATGTATTGAGTGTTATATAGGAATTGTTTATTTCTATCATCATGACAACCTTATTATTCCCATTTCAAACATGAGAAAACTGTGTCTTAGAGATGTTGAGCAATTTGTCTGATGTTACTGAGATGAAAATTCAAAGAGCTTAGATTCCAAATGAACAAGCCTGATTCCAAAGCCTGAACTTTGACATCATGAGAATAAGTGAAGAAATAAGCCAACCATGGCAGTCTACAATGAGATTTTCATATCTTACTAAACTATCTGTGGAAATAATAAAACAGTTTTCACTATAACAGAAAAAACTCAATACAAATAACAGGTCAAAAAAATGCTAAGAAAATAATAAAAGAATATACAGCACATTAAGTTTGTTTTCTGTTTTAAAAAGTTACTCACTGTTTTACATCTGTCTTTCTGTTTAAGGTGACTTGGATTTTTGGTTTTCACCAACTTTGGAACAGTTTGCTGTGCAGAAGCCCAGCTTGAAATAAAATGGCAGTTGATGATATTTTTCATATTGGCATACTTTGAGTAATATTCAGTGGCTTTTCAATGGCATTTGGAACATAAATAGAAATTACTGAGCCAGCTATGCTAAAAGCAAAACAATTGCTTAGACCACTATTGTGAGGGCATCCGTACAGAACTGTTTAAAGCTGCTGATGTCTATGTGTTCATTTAAGTTTATGATATTTAAAGGCAGAAGTCTGAACGTGAAAAGAAAGAAAATCTCTAAAAGTAACTCAACCATGGAATCTGCTAAGTAGTCTAAAGATATAAAATGTAACATGCCAAGTTTACAACCATAAGAATCTTACTCTACACTAGTATATTTAGCTGCAGAGCTAGAAGAAATGACTGATATCCTAGTCTCCCATAATCAATTAAGAGGAACATTCATTCATTTATTCAATTAACAAATGTTTTCTTAAGCACATTCCATGTATCAGATGTTATTCTAGGTATTGGGGATAAAGACAAATGATGGGAAGGGGGAACCTATAGAATCCCTGTTATCACAAAGCTGCCTTCATGTGGATAATAATAGCCAACAAACAAACAAACTAACATTGTATATCGGAAAGCAGTAACTGTTACGGGGAAAAACAATAAAGCAGGGTAAATAACTGGAAATGCCAAGGGTAGAAATGAGGATACTATTTTAATTAGGTGATAAAGTAAGATTTCACTGAAAAGGTGCCAAATGAGCAGAGAATTGAGGAAAATGAGAGAATGGGAGTGAGTCATGTAGATTTGGGAAGTAAGAAAATTCCAGCCAGAGAGAATAGCAAGTGCAAAGGCCCTTCAGTGAAGGCATCCTTGAAGATGTAGTAGAAGCCAAAAGAGAGTCCTACAGGATTTGTAAACTAACAAGGAGGAGATTCGTAGGACATGAAGTCAGGGAGGTAGCTGGGTCACTAAAAATAGATTGACTTTTATTTACTAGAGATATTGAGTCACTGGAAAGTGTTTTAACAGAGGAGTGACATGGCATGCCTTACATTAAAAAAAATTTGTACTGAATGCCATCTTGATAAAAGATTACAGGGAGTAAGGGTGGAAACAGACCAGATAGATTACGTCAGTTATCCACATGGGAGATGACAATGGCTTGGAGGGTTGGCTCCTAGATATATCTGTTGATAAATTGGATGTGATAAAGAAAAGAAGCCAAGGTTTTTCATGTGATGAAGACTACTGATAGACAACTACAAGATTTTAGGCCTAAGCAATTGGCAGAATGGAGTTGCATTGAACTGGAGTTGTCTAGAATGGTTTTGGGAAGGAGGTGGGAATTGGACATTTCATCTTAGATAAGTTCACCATGAAATGCTCAATAGGAACTTGGTGATGTGAAATAGGTAGTAACTCTGGAGTTCAGTAGTGAGGTCTGAGATTAAGTTATCTGGGGCTTATCAACATATAGTTCACACTTAAAGCCATGAGACTGGTTTGTTAGAAAGTACAGATAGAGAAGAGGAAACACAGTGTACCTTAAGAGGTTGGGGGATAAGGGGAAACCAGTAAAGAAAAGCCAAAAAAAAAAAAAAATATGATGAGAGACAGCCAAGATCAGGAGTCCAAAAAGCCCAGTGAAGACAGTTTCAAGAAGTGAGGAGTAACCAACTGAGTCCAATGTGTCAATCAATCCAGAAAGGTGAAGTCTGAGATCTCACCCTTGGAACCGGTGATACAGAGATCACTGGTTATTGGACACAAATTATATTTGTTACAGTGGTGGGGACCCAAGCATGTTTAGAGTGGTTAGGAAAGGAATGGAAGTAAAAGAAGTAGAGAAAGCCAGTATAGACAAATCTTTCCAGGAGTTTTGTTGTAAACAGAAGTAGAGAAATGTGGCAATGTCTAGAAGGGGATATGAAGTACAGTCAGATTTTTGTTTTTCTTTTTGAAGATGGGATGTATTTTTACATATCTGCAGAAATGATGTTATAAAAGAGAAATGATAATGTAGGAGAAAAGGAGAAGAATATCTGCAGTAATGTCCTCACTTTGGTAAGAGAGATGGGATTGAGTATGTGAAGGAAGGTTGGTCTTGGAATGGGGACAATTTATCCACAGTATGGGAAAGAAGGGCAGAGTTTGAATGCAAGAAGACTGTCTGGTGTGTGCTGAGAATTTGTGGAAAGTGGGCTCTTATTTGATGGTTAGCAGAGTGCTTTTTGTTTTTTCATTCTAGTGAAGGACAGAGAGAAATAAACAGGAAATGCAATGTTATGATAAAGACCTACTGGAGGAAAGGAGTCTAGGAGTTAATGTATGTGTGCTTGCTGTGTGCTCAACTGGGGAAGGAAAGGCAGCCAGGGGCTAATTGCTCTATGTTAAGAAAGCAGCACGTTCAAAGACCTGAGGGCAAGAGTATGGTGGACACCCTGGGGACTGACAGTAGTGGGAGGGATCCTGGCTGGAGAGAGGTACTGGGAATGGAAAAGTGCAGTGGAATTTGAGAGGATTAGGTAGATCTGAAAGAAGTTAGAATTGATAGACGTTGGTAGTGAATTGAATATTTTAGGAATGAGCATGAGGGTACGGGACAAGCTACAGTTGATACCCAGGTTTCAGTTTGAACAACTGGGTTGATATTGATTCTTGCATTAGCTCAGTCACCTCAGAGCCTTTCTTCATGATTTACCTCTATGCAAATTCATCTCCTGCACTCAAATCTAACACACACATTAGCTCCCCAGTATTCTTCCAGTCCATACTAAACTCTCTCTTCCTTGAATAATGGTCAACATTGCTACTATTCATTACAAGTCTTATGATGACCAGGCATTGTACAAGGTGTTTAAGATGTATTATCTCATTTATCTGTATAACAACCATATAGGTGGGTCTTGCCATCCCTTTTTACAAATGACAAAGGTGAAGGCTCAGTATGGACATTTTAACACGTCTCCCAATGCACAACTGAAGAATTAAAGTAGCTGAGGAACAGTTTCTGAATTATATTCTTGACATTTTTTGTACATTGTAGTACAATGTGTTGTGACTATAGTGAGACTGTAGTTTCCAAGATGCAATCATACACCTTTAACTCTGACCCTTTAGTGCTTTGAATTTATGAGGGAAGGAAATCAATGTTGACATGAAGTGAAAGAAATCTGTACATGAGACCCACAGCTTAAAACTTTAGATAAACCAATAGTTTTCACTGAACATGTTCAGGGAGTGGAGAGAGACCCAAAGAGCACTCCCACTGGCTGAAATGCTAACATAATAACATAAACTGAACAGCTCTTTACAGGTCTGAAAGCAGTCCACACATAATCTTTCTTTTGCTTCTTCTTGGTGGCTATTCTCCTCTTCCTATGAATAGGAAACTCTCACCTTAGAGAGTTAAATGACTTGATCCAGGTTATGTAGTTGTAACACCAGGTCTAAACTTAAAAAAAAAAAAAAACAATGTTGCTAAGGTTTGGATTTGTGTCCCTACCCAAATCTCATGTCAAATTGTAATCCCCAATGTTAGAGGAGGTGAGAGGTAGTTAGATCATGGGGACCTATTTCCCCCTTGCTGCTTTCATGATGGTGACTTCTCATGACATCTGGTTGCTAAACAGAATGTAGCACCTTCCCCTTCACTGTCTTCCTCCTGCCTCATCCATGTAAGACATGCCTGAATCACTTTCTGCCATGGTTAAAAGTTTCCTTAGGCCTCCCCAGCCTTGCTTCCTGTACAGCCCGCAGAACCATGAGCCAATTAAATCTATTTTCTTTATAAATTACCCAGTTTCAGGTATTTCTTTATAGCCCTGCAAGAATGGACTAATACGGGTGTCCAGCACATTTTCCTCATATAAGCATTTCCCCTCCCATATTCACTATTCAAGTGATACTTCTTAGTGGTCCCAATTTCATATTACCACATATTAGACATTGATAGGAGAAAACAGATGAATGAGACATAGGATTTCACATTCCAGGAAAAAGAAGAAGATAAGCAATTAAAAATGACTCCAAAATGTGACTAGCGTGCAATTAGAATTGTGCCCAAAAAATGCAAAGAAAGCACAAAGATTGAAAAGATGACTTTTTTTCTGAGACAAGGAGCAGGAAGATGGAAGCATTTTCAATTTGTCCATTATGTACAGATGTGCTTTTCAAATACATTGATTATTACTGGATATTGAATTAAAGAGACTCACCTCCTGGTAGGAGGCCAACCAGACCACCAGAGAGAGTACTCCCATCTTTGCTATGCATTCATAGCTCTGCTTTATTTTCCTATATATTTCTTAAACAAATAATTTCTTCTACTTCTCACCAAAGAGGAACATGACTGAATATGTTAAAACAACTTACATGTATAAACCCATAATTCTTATAATTTCAATTTCTTATACTGAAAATTTAACAGAAAGCTGATTTAGAGCCAGTTGTAAACAAGTGATTTCAAAATAACTAAGGGTCAACATAATTAAATCACCTAACAGATAGAACTCATTGCTTTTTAGAATCTGCATATGACATTTATGTCACTAGGCTTGCAGGCCTGCAAATCTTAACTCACAATGGAGAATTTTCAGTGCTTATATTCTGTTAATCATAGTTAGTTGACTATTAGTTGACTCCCTTTCAGCAAGTTCTCTTACCTCCAGACTCTCATTTTAATTCATTGTCAAACTCTTAAAATCAGGGAAGGAGAAGTGCTGTATTTGAATTGTCATGAAAGAAAATCCTTTTTTTTTTTCTGGCAAAGTAATTTATAGAGCCTGGAGGGGTGAATTTGTAACAGTTTACCAAAGTATAGTTGTAGATACTTCTACATTCCTTTCCTTATCCTCCTACTGATTTGGTATAAATTTTTATCAGCATCTACTATTCTGTAATTCTTCAGGGACTTCAAAGAGGCATTCTCCTGAGAGAGGAAACTGAGATAGAATATTGGAACAATGAGAAAACAAGACACAATCACCACACCAGCATTAGTCCTTCATGCTACTTTCATTCATCTGCACATTCATTCATTCAATAAATACTTGTTAGTGTCTGCTGTGCAAAACACTGACGGGGGGAGGTGAACAAAGACACAGCCAAGGTGCTCAACAGCAGGTGAGAGAGGCCAATATGCAAAACTTCCCACTGTACCCAAGTCACAGAAAACATCCTTCCTGCATATTTGATCAAAACCTTTATTTCGGGGGAAACAAGCTATGTGTGAATGTATGTTTCCTCAAGGCTGGAATTTCCAAGGACAGCTGTACAGAGTGACTGAAGGGTGGACTCAGCTTCTGCCTCAGTTCTCACTAACCACAGATGGGGCCAAACATCCAGGCTAAATGGAAAAGAAATGAAAAGGAAATGACTCAAAGGTGCCCTAAACTAATGTAAACAGAGAAAATGTTGAGATCATCTAAATAGATGCAAAATGATTTTCATTTTAAAAACTGCCAATTTATAAAGAAATAAGCACAAGGAGCTATGGCTAAGAATTATCCTCAGAGAATAGAGGGCAGTATGATAGAAAAATCCAAGGAGCATTTATAAAAAATGAAAGGAAAATCTATATATAGTCTTTTAACTTCATAGGGAAGGATGGGGGACATAGATTGTCATAAGATTGTGAAGGATTTCACTCTGTAGCCAGATGGCTTAATCCACTTGAATTTGGGGGTTGCTTCTTTAATAAAGCCATCCCTGTAATGAATGGGCCTTTCAGCCTCCACAAAGCAAAAATGGCAGGGAGTGTGTCAACCTCCAACAAATTGTGTGGGAGGTCAGATGATCGATAAGAAGTCTCTCTCACTGTCACCTTAAAGAGCAATGGCTACAAAAATGTGCACCAGGGTGGAAAAACGGTGGTGGTGAGGGGAGGGGGTGTGGCTAAGAATTCTGAAAAATAGAAGGGCGTGTGTGTGTTTGTGGGCGTGTGTGTGTGTATTCTACAGGCAAGAAGGAAAGATGGTGGCATGGATCTGTTTAATCAAATAACAAGAGAGAGAGAGGACTATAGATTAATCTCCTGTCATCTACTGACATCTGTCAAATACAAGGTAGCTTAGAACTATAATTCCTTGGAATGTTTCAACAAACTATGATAAGAACCATAAGAGAAATAGCATAATACATTTTTTTTAAAGATAGGAAACTTCAGAACATTTCATCAAGATGTGTTTGGGTCATGATGGATTGTACTATAACATTTCTTTTAACAAAATCCCAACAATGGTTACATACAAACCTCAAATTCTTGGGTACTCAAATATGAAAATGAATGTTAAAATGGATTTTTTTCATAAAATTAATAAAGGCAAGTGCCGTGAGCATAACTCTCAAATACTTCTTTCCCAAAGGGAATATCTGGGATTGCCTCAGGTTATAAGGCTTGTAAGGAGACAAGAAATGCTAAGTGGGAAGTTACACTGTACAAGCCTAGGAAAGAAATTATTTTAACTTGCCTTGTTAAGGCTAATTAGCATAGATGAAAAGAGCTAGATAACTCAGAGTATTCATTAGCTCCCTCACTCCACTAAGCAACCTCCCCAAAGTGCTAATATCTTTCCTACTACATTCTTAAAATGTTTCATATTCACTATTCATGATTCACACTTTGAAAAGACCAATTTCCTGATTAATGCCTAAATAGAAAGAGTATAAAATGTCTCAAAAATTAGCAAAGGCCTCAAAGGTGTAAAACTGCTATTGTAAAGGCTTTGTAAAGGAAAAAAAAAGAAAAAAAGGAAGGAAGGAAAGAAGGAAGGAAGGAAGGAAGGAAGGAAGGAAGGAAGGAAGGAAGGAAGGAAGCAAGCTAACCTAGAACTGTTATTAGCTTTTCCCACACACCCACTCACTCTCACACCCACACATCCTTTCTCTGAAGAACTGTGGGGATGCAGTCACATTCTCAGAGTAAATGTATTGAGATTTACCACATTTCAAAGCTTCAGGGTTTTGTTCATTCTCATTCCTCTTCACAATAAAGACAATATTGATTCCATAGCATTCCCCCCTCTTTTATCAGAATTGTTTGCACAGTAACTCACACATGAGTAAGTGACCAACTTTGCATTATTTGTGCTAGATAATGATTTCCATTCCTTTACCACCAGATCCTCTAATGGGCTGATTTCTCAATTCAGTCATCACTATGGTGGTTCATCTAATTACAGATGTTCACGGCTAAGAATAAAGTTGTGCACCAGCGAAAAAGTGTTTCATCTCTGTCCACTACCAACAGAGGGTAACCAACAGATTATGAATAACCCTTTATTTGTCTTTCCCAACCCCTTTCTGGAGGTGAATGAAGAGATTGTTTTTCATTTGCTTTGTCTTTTTCTAAACAGAAGACAAATACACTCACAGAAAAGATGAATACCATTGTCTCAAGTCAACATAAGCGATTTTCAACACCTTCTAATTCATGTATTTCTTTCTCAATTTCCAGCTACTGCTTTGAGTCATTACAATTTATTATGTCACCATGATTATGTGGGCTGCAGCCAGACTGATTCTTCTACTTTGATCATGGCAATCCCTTGCCCTAAAACCTTCAATGGCATAAAATATCAGAAAAAATATAAACTCCTTCGTTGATCACTCGAAGTCCACAATAGTTAGACCCCAACCTACTTTTATATTCTGTTTTATAACAATAAAATAAATCTCTATGCTTGTCTCCCTGACACATTTTAATCTTTTGTGACAAAATACCTTTTCTACTGCCCTCTTCTCCCTGAACTGCCCTCATTACCCACAAAAGACTCCATTCTGGCCTCCCTAAGTAGTGAACCTAGTCGTCCTCCCAGTCTCCACTCATGTGTCCCTGTCTTTCTAAAGTCATTCAGATTTCATGTGATTTACTAATTGTGTTACTACATGTGTAACGGCTTTGAAAAATACCTTTATAAGACTTTTAATGTAAAAGACTTTTAATGTAAATATATAAATCAGAAAAAGTCTTTGTAACGTTTAGCTTCAAAATATGTAAACAGCACTTAGGTACATTAACTGCCAAGGGCCTTAGCTCATATTCTTGTTTTGTGGTTATTTTAAGGTGTATCTTATTTTCCTCAATCAGAGTAAACTCCTAGAATGTAATTTTTCAATAGTTAACATTGCCCGGACAGAGAACCTCATACAAACTTTGTGTTTACCTTACATATGAGAATGTGGAATTCACAAATGATGTCTTATAATATAGTTGTTATCGTTTTTTTTGTTTTGTTTTGTTTTTTGAGACGGAGTCTCACTCTGTCGCCCAGGCTGGAGTGCAGTGGTGCGATCTCAGCTCACTGCAAGCTCCGCCTCCCGGGTTCACGCCATTCTCCCGCCTCAGCCTCCCGAGTAGCTGGGACTACAGGCACCCGCCACCACGCCCGGCTAATTTTTTGTATTTTTAGTAGAGACGGGGTTTCACTGTGTTAGCCAGGATGGTCTCGATCTCCTGGCCTCGTGATCTGCCCGCCTCGGCCTCCCAAAGTGCTGGGATTACAGGCGTGAGCCACCGCTCCTGGCCCTAGTTATCTTTTTAAATAGCAAATTTATCTTCTAAAATCAACAACAGGCTTGAAAGTAAAATATTAATTATAATGTTTAAAATCTTCTGAAGAGCTTTTTTTTTTTAAATCCTGTGAAACATGCAGACAAAAAGTTTTAACTGCCAGCATTTTCCACCTGATGTTAACAAATTCCCTTATTGTTATCAAATTGGCTACTGGAAGTTGTCTGGTATTTTAAGAAAATCTTAGATGCTTACAAAGCATTTATCATAGTTGTGACTAAATAATCATTTTTATGTTTGTGTAACATCTTTATTCCCTACTAGACTATCCATTACATGAAGGCAGGGATTATGTCTACCTTGTTCATTTTCATATCTCCAGTACTTAGTATAGTACCTGGCACAGGACCCAGGACCTGGTAAACATTTGCTGGATCAATGAATTAAAGAACAAATAATTTTTAAAAATGAATGAATTAAAGAACGAGTAATATCAACAGCACTCCTACTTCTCTGGGCTCTGATCCATCATAACTGTACAACTCTTCAGATGTACTTACCTGGGCTGCAGCTTTAGTTCACCAAGATCTCTAGATCCTTTTCCTTGCTTTTTTCTCTTGCCTATGAACTAACCTTGGTGAGTAGTCCCAGCTGGAATCTCCTTTCTCTGTGTAAAATATTGGCTTTGAATCAGTGGCTTTCATTTATCAGGTTTGTCAGGCAACAGAAGCAGCAGAAAATGCCAACAGAAGAAACCAGAGCGGTACGTGTGTGGTGTAGAAGGGGAGTACTCACCTGACTGATTTCTTGGGATCTCTAAACATCATCATCTTGACAATAGTATTATTTGGTAATAATGGTGGGGATGCTCTTATTCTGGAGCCTAGAGAAGCTAGATGGGAGAATGTCAAACAGGAGTAACTCAGCCCTGGCATTCTCAAAAGTAATGTGTTCTTGAAACACATGGTTTGTAATGATGGTAGTGACTGCTGTGGAAGACCCTGACCAAAAGCCAGAGACAGGTGCTTCTACGGGCACGTGACTCCAGGACTTTCTTTTGTCTTATTGCTGATGCTACAACTGAATATCATTCTATGAAGGCTGTTGTGATGACTACAGCTATTGTTGGTGGCAGGGTAGACCCTCTGCCTGCTGTAGAACATCAGAGTGAAATGGGGATCCCATTGTCCCTACATTTTGTTTCTGTGGTGAGTGTGAAAAGAAGTCCCAAAGCAGCCCCAGAAAGTAGCCAGCGAGAAGAGGATCATCTTTTCTCCATTCGCCAAAGCCTCTTTAGAGTTTGTATTGGCAAAAATCACTCTTCTCAAGGTCAGTTCAAGTAGGATATCTGGAAAGCTGGATGATCAAAAAGCTCATTCATCTTTATATGATGTTATCACAGAACACTAGTATCGTGAGAGGATCAAATGAGTATTTTCACTTTTCAATCACTGTTTACTATCATGAAGAGACATGGCCAAAATTTTAATTTTCAGTGTGTGTCTTCTTGTGCATTCCAGAGTCATATTTTAGATAACCTATAATTTGCATTCAAATGAAGAGAATGAACCATTTTTACTATCTCGGCTCTATGGTGTCCCTCTCACCTAGCTCAGTATTTTTAGCAAGTTTCTGACTTATTCTGGACTCTGAATCAGTAGGATTATAATTAAAATAACAGAATGCTGAAATCTATTTATGACCCAAGATATACAGAAAACTATAAAGATTTTTAATAATTATTTAAAGAAGAAAAGTAGAGACCTAATCAAAAGAAATCAGTCTGCGAAAGATATATGTCATCTGCGTCACACACATCTCACATACTAGAGAGAAATAGTTGACTGGTATTTGAACAAAGCAAATAGTAAGATGGAGATTTTATCTTGCGGGGGAGGAACATATAATGAGGGTAAAACAGAAGTAGCAAATGTAAATTATTCATTCCCAGCAGAATAATATTTTAGGAAGGAAAATTAAAGAGAAGAGCTTGAGGGAAACAACCTAAAAAATGAGTTCTAATAGGTTCTGGATTTATATCAATGAAAATTATCCAAAATAATAAGTTCAGAGTTAAACTAAATGATTTTAAAGATATTTCCTAAGTCTAATTTTGATGATTATATGGGCTAGTAAATTTAAGCTGTGTTACATTTCATGCCTTACACATGCTTCCTAACACTGGTGATCCTTTCAGGAAACCTTGTCAATTTATTCCTGTTATTTATAGCACCGAGCTTTTTCCAATGAACACACTTGCTACCTTGATCTAGTGGGCACTTTAGTGTGAAAGAGCCAGTAATGCAGATGGAAACAGTTTGAAGTTTTACATTACAAACTGCTTTGGAGCTTTGATTGAATAAAAATATACTGGAAAAAAACATAGCACAAAAATAGAAAAGAAAATTGGAATAATAAAGTACTTACAATCATAATGGTTTTATGATTTTTAAACCCAACCATTTTTACAGTGTATTTCTTAAGCCAGCATTTTCTAATAATTTACTTTCCTGCCTCTATTATCAATCAAATTTTGGTCATCCCCATTAGAGAGCTGATTAATTTTTAGGACTCCTTTAAATTATTGCCTTACTTTATTTTCCATTTTCCCTTTGGATTTTTCAGGTAACACATGCATTCTCTCTAATCTTACTTTTTTTTCCTTTCTCCAAGGATTAAAACAAATAATAACAACAACAGCAACAACAACAAAAAGACTTTATTCTCTTTGTATGAAGATGGCTACACTGTCAGACCAAAGTCTGTTCCTCAAGATTGCGCCTGCCAAAGTGGGCTGACTGCGTGGAATCTGAACTCTCTCCCTTGTCAAAGGCATTCAGTGAAGTGGCCAATTGTACCCTGTGGAGATGGACCCTGAGTTCAAATCCTGCTCTGCCACTTCCTTGTTTATGAACTCAAGTGAGTTATTTAATTCCCATGCCTCAGTTTTCTCATTTGGAAAATCAGGATATAATAGAAGCCACCTTAAAACAGGTATCTTGTGAGGAAATTAATACATGGAAGAATGCTGGCATGTTCAAATTGCCATGAGTGTTTGCTGTTATTATAAACTATGCTTATGCATGCCACTAAAAAGGATCTAAGTTTATACTCCAACTTCTTTTATTTTTTTTAATAAAATGCAATTTAAGGAGTCTATTATAGAGGTGGGTTTTTTGGGGTCACTTGTCTGAGTAGATAAAGTAACACGCTTTAATTCAGAGATAAACCTGCATTATTTTAATGTAGTAACAATTAGTTTTACTAATATCATGGGTTTTTTTTTTTCCTCAACCACTAATAAAATGAAAAAAAAAAACCAACAACTCTTAGAGCCATTACAACACTTAATAAGACTTTCCTTGGGCAAAACATTAAATAAAAAAAAATAATCCGAGTAAGAGCATTCAGTTTAATGATATTCATCCCATAAACCCAAACATAGATGATCCTATCTACACAGGGCAAGACTGCCAATGCCATTTGTAGGTTTAGTGATTAACCCTAGAGTGTCTTTCATATAATGTTTTAATCCTACATGTCCAAAATTTTAAAATGGGAAAGGAGCTCCTATTATCACCGATGATGTCCTAAATAATAAAATAACCTTGGAGGAAAGAAGGCTTTCTGGGTTACCCTAGGCCTGAGGCTCCTGAAACAAAGGAGAAACATGAAAAGGAAAACTGGATTATTAATGTGGAAATGTAGGATACTTTTTCATTGCTGAGGTCATTGGAAGAATAAGATATTTTGATTGTGGGAAATTCTAGCAAGCTGCATCTGTGATTTTGCTCTCTGCCATGCCTCTGCAGGACATTTGCTTACCCCTACTCTGGGTCTCTGGCTAACATGTGGAAGGGTTCTCTCAGCTGGAGTCCATGCAAAGAGGGTTCTAATCCCCCCACACAGTGCCCATCCATAGACCCCCATCTACATGCAGGGATCAAATTGGCTGCGTATTTTTGGATATATTCACAATCAATTCCAAATCAGGTGACTGGAGCCGCTGTGTAGCATTTCAGTTTATTCATTAAGATATACAAAATGACCATATTGATAGGTTTTGGTCTTTTCATTATCTTAAAGAAAAAAGAAGTAAATCCTCTAGTTCCAAAGAGCTGACTGCGAAGTTGAGGCAAAATATTAAAGAGATGAAAGGCATTCTTTTTATTTTCCAGTCTATACTTAAAATACAAAATAAATATTTGGAAGGACACATATCAAAAGGCCTACTTTTCTCAAATATTTCTCTAGATCTAGCTGTTCTACAGTCTTGGGATACTTTTAACAAAAATATATTTCAGTGATGTTTCCACGAGGACCTCCTAAGATTTTTTTCTATTTTGAATGTTATGAATTATGATTTAAACTGGTTTCTAAACTGGTTCATTCAGTCCAAATGACGATAAAGGCAGGTAGTTAATATCATATAAATAGCACATAATCTCTTTTTTAATATTGTTTACCATTATTTTTTGGAGCATATTTACCTTTCTAATTTAGCATGATAAAAGATTTCCAGCAGGTAGTTGAGGAAGGAAAATAGCAGTCAGAGATTCAGACCAGAAAGAAAAATCTCCATATTGTCAGATAAGCAAAAACATTTCAAAGTCAAATCTGTCAGAAATGGAAGCCAACTCAGTTTGGACAATAAAAAAAAATAACAATTTGGACATTTTGACAGGTATAGGAAGGGCATAAAGTATGGCTGATTAATTCAGTTAGAATTTGATACTAATTGGACAGAAGTCATTCTCTTGATTAAATCCTTCATTTGCTCTCTAGTTTCTGCAGGGTAAATGCCAAATGAATGGCTTCCAAAGCCTTCCCCAACGGCTTCCTTGCCCTGTCTTCCTCTCCCGCTCTCTCCTCTCCTCCCGTCCAGGCTCATGGAACTACTGGAGCAAGGTTCTCTCTGCAACTGCCTGCAAATGCGGCATTATCTGCCTGAACATCCTCCCCTTAGCTCTTCCTTTCTGAGAGCTCTTATTCTGTCTTCCCTTGGGACACCTTCTGTTACCTCTCTGGGCTCTGTTACGCTAACTTCGAATACTCTTTATGTTAATTGCTTGCTCCTTTGCAGGTCCTCTCACAAAATTTTGAGCTCTCTGAAAACAGGAGTTATGCCATCTATTCATACAGAAAATAAAATTATGTGGTGTAGAATCTGTGTAAGTGTTCAATAGTGCATAAATACATTTACTCATTGATGGACTGACTGAATGAATGAGTCCAGTTAGCAGTTCATAGCTCCAGAAAACACCAAGTACTCACCACCCTGGTTACCAGCTTCTGAGAGATATCTTTGGTTACATGAGGAAATTGAGAGGCCAGTGGGAAGCTCATGGCCCATAAGAGGAAAAGACAATTAAAGTAAATTGTGGGTGGGGAGTAACAATGGATCAATAATGTCATTTTCCTCTTAAAAGGACAGCCACATTTAGCCATCAAATAATTACAGAGAATGTTTGAGATGTGACCATAATGTAATAACTTTAATAAACAACACATGAAAACTAGTTTCATTAACTTAAAATCACATTCTTACAGATGCACTGAATTTGTTGCTTTTACAATTAAGACAATAGCTTATGAACAGCCCAGTGAGGTTCCAAACACATATTTTCAACTTTCTCAAAACAGTTATGTTTTAAGTATAATAATAACTATAAGCAATTCATTTTAATAGAATAGGTTTTAGTTGTAAAAGATACAATTATGTGTGAATAGGCTAAGAAAGGAAGGTATCAGGGATGCTATGAAAAACAGGGCTCATTTTTCAAGATTCCAGGCTATTTCTAAATGTGCTGAACTTAAGTTTTCAAACCAGAGAAAACTTGTTATATAGGCAACTTTATCCCCACAATAGTCTCAGCCCCACTGTCTGTCAGAATCCAGGAATGTGGGTGGTAAGTTGAAAAACTTGAATTACTAGAATTTCGTATTCGACTGGAACATAGACAGGTATCTTCAAAGAGACAAAAGGGCAGTTAATGAGAAAGAAAGATGTTTAAAAAATTAATTCTCATCGAGTTTCAGCTTTCAAGTCACACAGGAAAAGAAGAACTTAATCAAAAAGGCCTTAAATATATTTTCATCTGGGCTAATGCATTTCCTTTTATTTCAGTCTTTGCACCATTGTAGAAAGCCAACCAAATCACAAACAACCACTCCATCTCTCATCCTCTCATTTATCACTGTCCTAATACCTATGCTCTTGGCTGCTTCTCCTTTGGGCAATGACTGTGTCTTTATGGAGGAAAACTATCTTTGCCATAATGACATGATGGTTACGATGTTTAATAATCTTAAGTTCAAAATGATTTTAAATGCTAAAAACATTTTATGTTTGTAAATAGCTTACCTTCTGAAATCTCAAGCTACAGAGGGAAGACTGATTAAAACATGAGGCAACTTTTATTTTAATTATTTTACTATTTTGGTTATTTCCTTCTCATTTGCTGGGATGCATATTAGTTATAATGCTTCCTTAGTTTTAATCTATAGTATTAAAAGTCCTAGGTATTTTCAGTGCCCTACATCTAAGTATTTTGTGTAATTGTGTTGTAGTTGTTTATGAATATAATTAATAGATGCAAATATTAAGGTCAAAAGACTAGAAGCATAGAAAGATTCTTTAGTCTTTCTCTTCTGGACAAAGGTACAGTATTTTTGGCAGGGATGTATGAAGCCTCTTTGAATACTAAAGCTGTGTGTCTAATACCGCCATAAGCATTCAAAGTCACAGATAGGTATAATACACAATCATGGGCAAGCAATGTATTTTTGTGTCCCCAAATGGAGAGATTAGCTCAGTCTTTCACTAAACAAAAGTCTGTTCTATTTTTAATCCTCAACTCATTTTTTTTCTTTCAAAAGTACTCTTCTATTTAAATTTGTTACGATTCCCCATTGCACAAAATCCTATTATCATAAATCCTTTCCTAGTGCAGGCAGTCACCCCTTGAACACAGTAGATAATGCATGCTCTTATGCATCACATAACCCCATGAAGTTTCCTACAGCGAGGCAAGCGCCTCAAAGGGCAGTGGTGTGGATTCTTCAGAAGGAGCCCGGGGAGCTCTTGAGCCCCATTGCCAGGGCAGACTCAAACAGCAGTAGCAGCAGCAGTCCTCATGCGGCTGCTACTGGGAAGTGAGGTACATGACAGTCAAGAGGTAAAATGAGCATAAAGTCACCAAGACTTTGTTATTTTAGCTTACTGGATACAGAGAAAATCTTGGTAAGTGCTTATTCACCTCAATTTTACAATCCAGCTGGTGTGCTGGGTTTTCAGATTGTATAGTTCGTATTAACTCAATTTTATCATCAGTTGTTTCTCCTGATGTTAAACAGATCTGATGGCTACTCTAGCCACCACTGTAGGTGTTTATTTAAAGAACACATTTTCCTCAGTTGGTTCTCCATTTTACAGCTTTACTGGAGCATTCTCATGTCAACAAAGCCCCCTGGGCTTTGAGAAGTGATGAATCCTAAAAGATATTTTCCCCACAGAATCCACAAGGTAAATGTAAGAAGCAATCAATCTTCTAAGCAGCAATCAGGCAACCACTTAACGAACATACTACACAAACAAAATAATTAATCTAAGCACTGTCCCGAATAGTAATTAATCTAATCGGTTTTCAGTGATGTGTTTGTTCACTGTTCACTATTTTGTTTCATAGTTGTCATAGTTAAAGGTGTCAGAGACAGTACAAATGTGTTAACCAGTTTAAAAGAATACTAATTTCGAGAGGAAAGTGTGACACAAATGTTTATGCAATGTGGGATGTTGGTTCTTTTGTTTGCAGAGAGGAACAACACAGATCAATGTCAGGGTAAAACAAAAAGGACAAATGGTTTAAAATAAAAGAGGAAACAGGAGCAACACTGCTAAATATCAGCGAAGCCATTAAAGACCTGAGACAATTATAAGGCAATCTAAACCAATAATTGCCTTCTGGGGAAGAGCAGGTAAACTTAATTATACATGCCCCAACAAATGAAAATGAAATGAAATGAGAAATAGAGCCAAAAGAGTACCCTTCTCTAACACCTGTGACACACAAATTGGTTACAAGAGTTGGCTGATTTTCTGGGGAAAATGGGTGACATGGAAGCTAATTCTGAGAATTTAGAATAAAAGGATAAAGATATATTCCTTATTAGCTGTTTCTTTACTTGGATTCCAAATTCAATAATTTCAAATGTTATCAGCTAACTCTTATCATTGAACTTCACCTTATGTCATGAAGACCAAACCTTTATTGGAGTGTGGCTGCCCTCAAGAGTAAAAAGTCACCAGACTGCATTTATAACAAACATGTGGCTCAGGAATGTAATGTACAGTGGCATTAAGCCTCAATTTAAGTCAGACTCTACTGAGTACCAGGAGCTTTCTCAAGACTGTTTTAACCCATGAAAGCTGAGTGAAACCACCTTAAGACTTGTAGGTCTGTTCTGGAAAACATCCATGAAATTAAGAGTGGATTTCAAAATACTTGGTACCAATAGGTTTTCCCTGGTATTCTTTAGTGCTTCTGGAGTGGCAAAAGAGAGTAAAGAAAGCAGGCATTCTGCAAGAATACACTAAGATATATCTTACTCCAGTAAAGACGGTGACAGGATCCATGCCTATTTTGTGGCATCTGCACTGTGCCTATGCCCATCTTTGGTAATGGTAATATTCCCCACCCACTGCCGCTATAGGAGGGATATTCTAAGTTATTATCTTTGAATCAGATAAAGCTATAGCTTTGACTACAGCAACTGAAATAGAAGGGGGCACTTAATCTAGGGAACCAAACCATATTCCACCTGAGCCAGTAAAATACTACTTCCTAAGAATTTGGAATTCAGATACCAAAAGACTGTGTTTGTTAGTTGTAGGGAGCCCAGATGCAAAGCCAAGTGATATCCAAGCAGTAATCAGTGTCTTAGCAAACTCAATCCACTCATGTGCAAGAAGAATAGGGGGAAACAGCAAAACTGAGCAGAGAAAGTCAGTCTGCTAAGAGAACTAGGGAAAGAACCCAGAAGCAGACTAAAACAGTGTGAAATGGCCTAGAACAGACAGAAGTTTCAGCCTAATCCCATGTGGCCTAGCTGTCTGCAATTTCCTGTTCTTAGATATTGGCATGATTACCTGTTGGAGCCATTCAGTAAACATTAAGCTTGCATGCACTGGTTTCCGTGACTTTCGATAAAATACATTTCCTGAATTAGGAAAGGAAGGAATCACCAAATTAAAAAATCTGGGACCAGACATACAATTAGCAAGTAGCAAATCAGCAAATGGCTTTAAAAGGACAATGCATCATGGGGCTACAGTAAAAGATCCTATATAAAAGTAGGTGCCAGTGAAGACTTTAATTTGGCCTGAACAAAAGCAATAATAATAGACAAAATGTATAGAATGCTTATTATAAGCCAGGCAGTCTTCTAAGCAATTCCATCTATGAACCATTTAGTTCACAACGTCTGATGCAGATGCTACTGTCCTCATTTTACAAATGAGGAACTTAGGCAGAAAGAAATTGAGTAACATACTCAAAGTCATACAATTAGTAAGTGGATAGAAGTAAACCATGGAGGCTGGTTCCAGAGCCTACTCTCTTAAACTAAATACCCTTCCGTTCTCAGTATTTTGGTATGTAGGCTTTCCTCTGCCTTTAGGAGCCCACAGATTATAGGAACAGCAAAGACTGAAAAAGCATAAACTATGCACTTATGGATGAAACTAATGTGCTTAGGGACAAATAGTGGGAGGAGAAACTGGAGAGGTCAGTGGCAACAGTAAGACAACAGTGAGACAAAGTAAGACAACAGTGGACAGGAAGGGCCCTTACTGTCTAGCTTCTGGCCACTGAGAATTCTAAGTAGTGAAGTGACATGATCAGAGTTGAGTTGTAGGAGACTGGTCTGATAGTTTCAACTGGAGACATTAATTTAGATGCCAATGTACTAGTCCAGTTAGAGGTTTTATGGCCAGGGAATAGAAAGAGAGAGCAGATGCTAGAAGTAGTGAAGATGCAGAACTTGTGGGATTTGTTGACCAATTTGTTAACTAGATGCAAAAGTGAAGGAGTGGCTGAGAGGTAAAGCTGATTCTGGATTACAAACCTAAGGGAATTTGAGAATGGTGATTCCAATTTAAAAAAAAGTTTAAAAGCCAAAAAGGGGAATGGTTTGGCTGGAATACAAGTAGAGAAACAAAGATTAATTGTATGTGAGGGGGAGATAAGACGAGTTTCTACAAAGTATATTTGAGGACCCAAACTAATAAAAACATTTACTCATCAAGGAAAGATTCTATTATGCACATTTCAGCCTTTTCATTAAGATATGGATATATGAGCAAGATTTTAGTAAGATTTCCTTTAAAAATAGTGTTTAAAAGTTTTGGCATTTAGGTAAATCTTTCAACTAGAAGAGTCAGTCATGCAGAACGTATTCTTTTCCCAGTGATTTGGAATGATTTGAAGCATTACTGCATGAAATTTCTTCATGATAAATGTATTCTTTCAACATTTTGTTCTTAAAATTTATTTTGCATGATTGAAGACAATAACAAGATATAAAGAATAAGGTAAGAATAACCATGCATGAAAATAAATTTTATTAATAAAATATAGATGTTGTATTTAAACAAATACAAATTTGCCAGTGGTGGTAAATCCTCTGAAGGGCATAGAGTGATGCTACCAGATTCCCACTTCAGAACCAAGACACCCACTCCACCAGTTGCCTGGCGGGTTGGCTGCTTTCAGCTGAAGCTGCCTTGACCAAGGTCACCCTATCTCTCTTCCTCTCCAGGAGCAGCTCACTTCCAATGACTGGTTGACGCAGGGCCGACCCTCTTGCCTGGATTCTGGACACATCTCTGAAGGACCGAGAGTTAGGTTGAAGGCAGTTTTGCAAAGGTATTACAGCTCAGCTTCTCCCTCTCTCTTCTTCCCTTTTTCTTTCACAGTTGTCTTTCTTTTATTTTTTTTATTTTTTTTATTTTTTAATTATTATACTTTCAGTTCTGGGATACATGTGCAGAACGTGCAGGTTTGTTACATAGGTATACATGTGCCATGGTCAGCACACTAACACAGGAACAGAAAACCAAACACCACATGTTTTCACAGCTGTCTTTCTTGAGAGCATTCCTGAAGGCTGCCCTGGGCTCAACCCTCAGGGTTTCATAGTGTTTCCCAGGAGCACACCTGCCATGCCTTCCTTTGTGTATCACTTCCTGACCACCTCCCACATCCTGGCAGCAGTAACCACCATCCTGAATTTGGTGTGTATCATTTTCATACAGTTCTTTGTATTTTTACCAGAAGAGGTTTCAGTTTTCTACATTCTTTGTGAAGCCATCTCATTATCTTATCACTTTGGAGACCTCTTTGGTTAAAATAATCAGTGAATTAAATCTATGAAGACAGTAACAATCTGGACCTATGTCTAAAGGTATAAATTTGTGCCAAGGAAGGCTTCATCAAAGACTGTAGGTAAATGTAGGTAAATAAATAAGTTTCTGATCCTTTTATATAACAAGAAAAGCACTTCTCCCTGCCCCTACACTGCATGGGAGACTGTCACCATGGGGAAGGACCACTGGAATGAATTGACTTACAAATGAATATCTCTGTTAGTACCTGCTCTTCTCCCATGTAAGCCCAGTGCATCTGTTGGTGAAAACATGTGATGCAGAAAAATACAATAGAAAAATGCATATTATGGTAACATTTCCCAAAATATATCTCATAAAGTGTTAGTCCCATAGTTTTTATTTTACAGGAAGGGTCTTTGTAGTCATGCAAATTTGTAAAACTCTGAGTCAAACGATGTGAAGTAAGCTCATTTTCTCAGGAATTGTGAAGTCCTTAACATGCTAATATACAGTGTGGATTATTAAGAGAAAGAGATTTTATGTAGTTCTCTGAAAACTCATATGAACACAGAACCCATTTTTAGGGTAGTCTCATCACAATAACACATTTGGGGAACTTCTAGGAAACAATGCAAATAATAGTGTCTTAGACATAATGTCCAAATACACATATAGTTACCCAAACTAACTTTTTTTTTTTTTTTTTTTGAGACGGAGTTTCACTCTTGTTGCCCAGGCTGGAGTGCAATGGCGCCATCTCGGCTCACAGCAACCTCCGCACCCCAGGTTCAAGCAATTCTCCTGCCTCAGCCTCCAGAGTAGCTGGGATTACAGGCATGCGCCACTACGCCCAGCTAATTTTGCATTTTTAGTAGAGATGGGGTTTCTCCATGTTGAGGCTGGTCTCGAACTCATGACCTCAGGTGATCCGCCCATCTGAGCCTCCCAAAGTGCTGGGATTACAGGTGTGAGCCACCGTGCCCGGCCTTACCCAAACTAACTTTTAAATTATTATTATTATTATTATTATTGAGATAGAGTCTCACTCTTGTCACCCAGGTTAGAGTGCAGTGGTGTGATCTCGGCTTACTGCAACCCCCACCTCCCGGGTTCAAGTGATTCTCCTGCCTCAGCCTCCCAAGAAGCTGAGATTACAGGCGCCTGCACCATGCCCAGCTAATTTTTTTTTTTTTTTTGTACTTTTAGTAGAGACAGAGTTTCACCATGTTGGCTGGGCTGGTCTTGAACTCCTGACCTCAGATGATCCGCCTGTCTTGGCCTCCAAAAGTTCTGGGATTATAGGCATGAGCCACCACCCCCGGCCTAACTTTTACATTTCAATCAATAATAATAAACCTCTGATGAAGTAAACCACCAACATTCTTAAGGATTTATAAGCCAGATATACATACAAGTATACCTGTGCCCATTCATGAAAGAATGATGTGAAATTCAGTACTTTGGGAATAAAGAACAGTCTTGCATTTTCACCACCCTCCTGGATTTGGGATGTGACCAGAATAAGAAAGTTGTATAGTAACCGACAGGTTAATAAAATCGCTTATATTGTGATCGTCATTATAGATTCAGTGAACTCTACTTGGTGGCCAAAAGCAATGAAAAATGCTTGTCTTAAATCACAGAAGACCTGAGGACAAGTGGGTAGTGAAAGTACGCTAGGTAATCTTAGTTCCTTAGTAAGATTAACTCCTTGTTACCTCTCATGTCTGTTGAGCACCAAATTTGTAAAGGCAGCTACAAATCCCAGACTTTCCTAAACCAAAAACTGGCTTCACCACCTGCTACTCCCTCTAGAAATTGGAGAAGACATCGTATTACATAGGTGAACCCAATAGCATTGTGACATGATGCTGCCACTGCCATCATCGAAGTGATCATGAATGAATCCTCACCATTCTCATTCAGGAGTCAAGACCCCAAACAGAATGATCTGGTTAACAAAGGCAAGGTCACAGGACTGAGCCCCAGCTGCCAAGAGGCCTGAAAACTTTCATTTCTCTTTCTTAACTTCTGACTTGGAGACAAGGTACCTTATTACAATAATAGTATACACAGTGGCATTTTCCATTTAAATAGAATGGCATGTTGGCAGTAGGATTGCTAAAAAATAAAAGAAAAAAAGAAAAAAGTCTACTACCGTGGCAAGGGATCATTTTGAATGACCACTCCTAGTTCTATGGGAACTCTACAACTATCTAAATGAAGGAACAACTGTAGTTGGTGAGTCTGAGCCTCTCCATCCACTTTTCACCTCATCTGTGCAGCACCAGACTGACTTCACTGCACTGGCTTCACTTGAAAAGGTGGGTGTCAGACACATATTAACTGAGCAGAGAACCACAAAGCTTCTCAAGGTCTGGATAGCTGATGGAGCCCACAGCTGAGATTTGCTTCACTTGACATTGATATTGGTTTTTTGTTTTTGTTTTTTATAAGATAACTCATTTGTTAGGAGTAAATGAGATCTTCTCCTTTATGTGGCAAATGGTTGGCATTACAAGTTTGACATTCAGGAACCCGACAAAGAAAAGCTGATCATGTTATCTGGAGGGGAGGGAAAAGGTCAAGTTCTAAGATTGGGACCCAAACTCACAGTATTAAGGCAAAAATTGAAGAGAAGGTCCATGTTTTCGAGCATAGGTCTGTCAAGAATTCACTAACACACACTGAAAGACGTTATTATACTCACTTTACAGAAGAAGAATCAGAGTCTTAAGTATTTTAAGTAACTTGTATGACTTTGCATGATACAGCTCATCAGTAGTAGAGAAACTTGGCCTATCTAACTCCAAGCTCTGTGCTAGCCATTACATGATCTTCTTAGCTTGTTTCTCTCCTTTTCATCACTCTGTAGCCTCATTTTAAACTTACGACTGAAAGAGATAGAAACACAAAGAAAAGACCAGCTAATTAAGTAATGATTATTTCTAAGCAAGATTGAGGGTGCTGTTGTGGCATGATTAATGGTGCGACAAGTCCCACTTAGTATTCAGGAAATGACCAATTGCATGAGTGCAGACACAAAGTCTCAGAAGGTTACAACTATTCTTATGGAGAATTACCCTTTCGGCTTCTTCCACCAGAGCCTCACAGTGGTCTCCTCAAATGTACTTTAGTGAAAAATCAAGTAGGAAGACAGCCTCATCTCCGAATCCGCTGGGTTTCTAGGGTGACAGCCACATCAATAAAGCCACAGAGAAGTGGCAGATAATGTGACATGTCTTTATAGGAATAACCCGATGCCTGGCTGATAGCTGTAGTTCTCACCAAGAAAGGAAGCGTACGATGGCTATTACAATTTACATATGGGTGTTGTATATCATGAAAAATTAGATTTACTATATAAATAAATTTAACCTCTGTTATAAACAGGATCTTGGATTTTATGTGTGATTCACTGAAAAGCTCCTTTAAGTAGTCAGTTTTCCTATTATATTTACATTTTTTATAACTTACTATACAGGGGCTCTGAGATTGCAAAATTTAAGATTTCAGCATTAGTAGCTACCGCAATAAAAAATTAAGCATAGGTAAAACACATTTTTAAAATTATAATGTATATATTATATTACAGGAAATAGGAGTAGATGAGAAAAATCAAATGGAAACCCAGCCACTCACGATTATGACTACTACATCAATTGAGGTTTAAAGGTATTTCCCCATTGTAAAACAGGGATTAATATATTTATAATAGTATCATTTAAAAACAGTTGCATTTAAGCTTTCCTTTCCCACAAGGACATTTTTTTTTTTTTTTTGCTTAAACAAGGAGAATAAAACTCTCATATTGACTTTATATTGTATAGCCTACTACTAATAATTAAATAAACTCAAGCCTGTAATCCCAGCACTTTTGGAGGCCGAGGTGGGCACATCATAAGGTCAGGAGATCGAGACTATTCTGGCTAACACGGTGAAACCCCGTCTCTATTAAAAATACAAAAATAATTAGCCAGGCGTGGTGGCAGGTGCCTGTAGTCCCAGCTACTCAGGAGGCTGAGGCAGGAGAATGGCATGAACCCAGGAGGCGGAGCTTGCAGTGAGCGGAGATCACACCACTGTACTCCAGCCTGGGCAACAGAGCAAGACTCTGTCTCCAAAACAAAACAAAACAAAAATAATAATTAAATAAAATCTCCTATAGCAACAAATGTTTTTAAACTACTAATCTAGGGATGTAAAATTTACAGCTGATATATATGAAATAAATTTTGTTTTAATAAGAGAATTACAAGGATACATATCATTTATTGACCACCTAGTATGTTTCTGGCTTTAAATGAGGCTGTTTATTCATTATAACATGTAATAGAACAATTTTTGGGATAGGTATTACTTCCATTTAATAGATGAGAAAATAGTGACTTAGTATTAACACCTAATTAAAAAGCGCATGGGTGATAATACGCAGCAAGCCATTCAAACCTTGATGTGTTTCTGTGACTCTTAATCCCTACGCATTTGCTTTTCACCCTTGGCTACATAAAACAACTGCAATGAAAGTATTTTCCTAGATTAACGTTCTGTAAATCATTCAAATAAGTAGCATCAAATTAGACTAAGAAAACAGTATTGATTACAAACAATAGTAAAAGCAAGACAATAAATATGAATAAAAAGAAATATACATAAATGGAGAAAAGCAAATTAAACTTGAAAAATCATTTCAATTTAAAAACTAAGCAGTGGTGGCAAGAGCAGAGATTCTTTTTTCTTATAATAGCCAAATAGGCTGATGGCTCATTTCTTTGTACAGCAACATTCTGATTTTTCTCCTGAAGCTGGAAATGCCTATTTACCAGAATGAGAAAAATACTTACACTTACGTAAACTGCAGTGGTAAATTATGCATGCTCAATTAATCCACAAGTATAGCCCTGGGTTTGCTCAAGGTTTTTCAAGCATAAGATGCAGGTGCCATGCTGATAATTTATCAACCACTGGATTTTTAGTCATCTATTCAGATTAGCCTGATAGTGTATGAAGTGTTTATTGTTTAAAAGGAATTTGCCTGGATAAATTCCTGCCGCTGTCCCTCCCCCACCACATCATTCATTATTGAGCTCTATAGATGTGAAAGATGAACACTTATGGGTCTTTTTTTGATACAGTTCCGAGAAAGTTCTGTTAGCTAACAAATCCAGCCCACAATAAATCTTCTTTATTTACTGCTCACCTGGCTATGGCTCTATCAGTATCAGCAGGAGAAAAGATAAAATCTTATCAGTGAACTGCGCTGACACCAGATGCAGTTTCCCTTTCAGGACTTGGGGCATGTGAATTGCACACTAGTTCTATCAGGCTCCAAAGTGACAGCTAAATTCTCCAGTGCAAGATGCACAGTCCAGACCGTGCCACAGTCAAGGTCCTGCTGTTCGCGCCACACTCTTCACCTCATTCAGAAGATCTGTGTAAGGCATGTGTAAGAGAGAGAGCTAGATTGGCAGACAGACAGACAGACAGAGAAGAAGGGAGAGAACACCTTGAGCTGGCAGGAGAAGGAGGAAGGAAGAGGGAGACACAGAGAAAGGAAACTCAAAAATATAACAATATACAAAATTACTGAAATAATGGACCATTTATTCCATAAGATAAACTGAAAACAGAAATACAGAGTGGAAAAATTTAAAGCTTGAACATGATCTCACATAATGGCAGTGTCTATTAGGGAATAAAAGGGGGCCTATTATTTCTAAGACAGCAGCATCGGTTTGTATGGAGCAGCAGATGCGGGCACATAATACAGGATACCTCACGTGGCACATTTCAGAACAAGTTAAAATGATGGGGATTTGGAGGGGAAACAAAATTGTCAACACTTTTTACTTTTTCAGAATCATGAGTTTTAGAAGTTACAGGCAGCATAAGAGAAAAATAAATCATTCAAACTTTTAAGTTGTATCTATTTTATTAGTACTTTGTCTCCACAGGATAAGCAAATGTAGGTAACACTCATACTCTTGTTTATTGGTTTCTATGTATATAAAGCAAATATATAAAACTAAACAACAGGCAACATTATATATAAAGTTAGTAACCTACACATTAGCGGCAATGATAGGTGTATTTTTCAAATGTATTTATTATACTAGCATGTTTTTAGCTTCCAGCAATTATTGCCATGGATTGAAAGATGCTCTATTGCTAAGTGGTTAATTTGCCTCCAAGTTTGTTTGTAATTTCATTTTTCATGTCAAAATAAAACAAAATCTCCTAACATTTTCTGTAGCCACTTTACTTCACTGGACAAAATGCCTAGTTTTAACAAAATTTGAAAAATAATATATTTAAAGAGTGAGGGCATAAGGAACTGAATAGTTTTCTTCTATCGGTATATCTATCCTTACATTAAAATGATTCGAGTGCAGAGTCATATATTGAAAAAAAAAACGAAAACTCTCAGTCTGTTGAGACATAGCTCCTTTCCCTCTCTCTAGAGCAGCATAAGAAGCCAGCTGTGGTGGCACACACCTGTAGTCCCAGCTACTGGAAGGCTGAGGCAGGACAGCTTCAAGGCTGCAGTGCACACTACGACCGTGCCTGTGAACAGCTGGTGCGCTCTAGCCAGGGCAATACAGTGAAAGCCCATCTCAAAAAACGAAACACAAAAACAAAAAAAACCCCAGCACAACCAACTTATACAATTCTGTCATTGAAATATATTCTATGTGTAGGTACATCAAAATATTGAATGAACAAACCAAGGCATTTAACAGTGGTGGGACTTTTCTTTTTCATTCAATATAGCTTGGATCTGATCTTTTAAGCCGGCAAATAGGATTCCATTTTAAGGTTGTGCCATGACTTATTTAAATAGTCCCTATTCGTGTTCATTTAGGTTATTCCTTGGAATTCTGCAAGCTTGAAACATTTTTAGAGCCAACTTTTGGGTCACTTTTCCTCTTTCAAAACTTTCTGCTTTTTTTCTAGCAATGTTCAAATTCAATTCAACCACTGATGTTATAACAAGTATAAAGCCTGCACAGGAATAGCTGCAAAGCTACAAGGAGAAACATGCCACATGGAATATAAATGTGGGCAAAAAATATTTTGTATAATTTTTCAAAGGAATAAAAGTCAAGTTCACAAGTTACGAGGATTTTCAACAAACCCCTTGATGCTCTGATCAAGCCTTAGAAATTTAAATCAA
This sequence comes from Homo sapiens, assembly GCF_000001405.40. NCBI lineage: Eukaryota > Metazoa > Chordata > Mammalia > Primates > Hominidae > Homo > Homo sapiens. The sequence continues at coordinate 107,243,016 of NC_000001.11, read as the reverse complement.
AAACCCTCTGGCAACCTTACCTCTAAGTAATCAAAAGCTCACTTTCCCTGTATATGACATATTGACATGTGCTAACCTCTTACTCCAAAGAATTATTTCTTCTCAAATAAGGCTTTTTATTATTTTGTTCTCTGGTTGCATTCAACTCTTCAGTATAAAAATTTTTCCCCTTTAAATTATAAATCCAACAAAACAAAGGTATTTCAAAGCACAAATGTTCCCACTTCGGCAGCTCAGTGAGCTCCAGCCACAACATTAGGGAGAGGAGGTGGTCGAGTGGAGAGAGGGAAGAGATCTTTTGTTTACTGCAGCAAAGCAAGTCTTCCTATTCATTTTCTATATAAAAATACAGCAACTACCTTATAAGTACAGCACAAGGTTAGGATGACAGTGAATCCAAAGCTTTAGGTATGTTCATTTTGTAGACCACAAGTGTAGGAAACAGACTGGTTTGCTGTTTTACCTAACACATCTTACATGGTATTATCTGGTGTTCAGTAAAGCTCAGAGGCTAATCTGCAATTGTTATACTATTTAATACAACTATGTGGTTGGAAGACTTTCTCTTACCACAGATTCCTAAAGCCTTTGAGTTAGACGGTGTTTGGATATACTTCATAAAAATTTTTAGGTAATATATGCATATATAGAAAGAGAGAGTGAGAGAGAGAGATAAAGAGAGAGAGAGCGAGATCAAACATATTCTTTTTTTTCACTCTGTCACCCAAGCTGGAGTGTAGTAGTGTAATCTTGCCTCACGGCAAACTTTGCCTCCTGGGCTCAAAGGATTCTCTCACCTCAAGCCTCCCCAACCACTCCTCTGACCCCATCCCCTCACCCCCCCTCCTCCAAGTAGCTGGGACTACAGGCACGCAACACCACGCTCAGATAATGCTTGTATTTTTGTAAAGACAGGGTTTTGCTATGACGTCCAGGTGGTGTCGAACTCCTGGGCTCATTGAGCGATCTGCCTGACTTGGCCTTCCAAAGTGCTGGGATTACAGGTATGAGCCACCATGCCCGGCCTAAAGATCAAACATACTCTAATATATGTATGATACATTTCATAATCAAAACTTTAACTAAAACGTCTGTGAGCACGGTGATGCAGGAGGTCACAACTCTTTTAAGTCAGTTCAAGATTTTTTTTCTCGAGAAGTTAAAGTAAAACTGATGGTTCAAGATTTTAAAGACAATTATATGACTCCCTCCCGACTTTTTTTGCCCTAAAATATGTTCCTGGCATCAAGTTATCCCCCAAATTGAATTAAGCAATCAAATTTTTTAAAACATGGTATAGTAGTGATGCCCTTGTGCCAATGACTGCATTTTCTTGAGGGAACAGGGTATTTCAGGTAGAACTGTGGCACAACTATTGGCATTCTGTTGCTTTGGTCACTGATGCTTTGTCCTGTTTGAGTTGTTCTGGTTGTAGGATGCATGATTTAGTGCAGGACGCTCTAAACTACTTTTAGTAGGGTTAAAACACTGTGGTTTATGGTTAGCTTGTTCTTGGCCTCTTTACTAATATCCTATCACAATGCGGAATTCAGTTATATTTGGACATTATACAGAACATTAACTGAAGGCAATTTTTTTCTGTATAGTAAATATTACCGCTTCCTCCTTTCCATTTATACCCAGGCTTGGCTGTTCCAGGAGGTCTCCTGTCCAAGAACCCATTAGTAATTTATCAAAAGAGCAAATGTCATTATGCAGGAAACTAAGGGAACTATTTTGCATTTGATTTCTGGTTTTGATAACATTACTATTGATTTAGTATTCTCCAGCATGACATGGGCTAGACAAAACATATCACTGTATTTTTGAACTGTCAATCACAAATGATCCAAAGCTTTCCAAAAGAGTAGAAGGTCCATGTCACAGCCTGAAAACTGCATTTTATCTGAAATTCCTCAGTCCCAAAATATTTAGTAAGGATCTGCTTTATTACTATTAAAAATATTTTTAAATGAAGAAATCTCAATAGTTACTTCCAAAAAGTAAGGGAATCATGTAATTAGTACTTCAAAAAAAAATCCGAAGTGATTTTAAAGAAATTCGTTTTAGATCTGTCATCTCCCAAAAAAAGAAACTAAGAAACTAAGAGTACAGAGCCTAGGTTAAATGAAGGAAATTCACATAATTTCTGATTAACTGAGAAATTCAGCAATTTTTCCAGCATATGGCAGCAAAATTATTTGTTAAAATATTTTAATTGGTTAAATTTACATCAATCTTCACTACAGAAAAACCTAGTGTGTTCATATTGCATATAGTTTGTTCACCTTTTTTCACTAACTGAACAATGAAAATCAAACTGGACTCATGAACACCCAACAGATAGCCAGGTATTAATGAAGAGCACTTAATACATGCAATGCTTTTCAGAGAACAAGAAGGATTTGCAGAGGAATGTGCACATTTTTTGGCAAAACTGATATTACAACATCAAATGACTGCTGCAGCAGGGCACTGCACAAGCAGAATGGACACCTTCACTACTAAGTTCAGTTCTGGCATAAACAGGCAGAGATGTCTGCCCTCTACTACACCACAGGTGGCCCCTCAGTCCCAAAGGTGGCTTCTGGGCTCTTCTGGAGTGCAAAGGTCAGGTACACTGGCTTTGGAGTTAAGCAGCGTGACTTCAACTACTGACCGTCACCATTTACTGCTAGTGTGAAGTGACCTGACTTCACTAAAACTAAATATCGTAATGTGTAAAAAAAAAAAAAAAAAAATAAGGATATTCCACTCAAAAGGGATAAACATCCCTAAAACTGTTTGTTGGCAAAGTACGGCATTATGCTGCAAGACCTTTACTATATTCACTTCCAAAATATAAACATTTTTTTAAAAAAAAGCAATTTTGTAGTTGTTTCTGAAAGACATTAATTGCATTTCTCTATTGTATCATCATACCTCACATACATCAAAACATTACTGTGTAATGGAACCTTCTGCATTGATAGAAATGTTCTATGTCTGTGATGTCCAACATGGTAGCCAACAGGTATATGTGATTACTGAACCCTTGAAGTGTGACTAGTGTAACTGATGATCTGTGTGTTTATGTAATTTTAATTACCTCAAATTTATATTTAAATGGCTAGTGACCTTGTTGTTGAACAGAACAGTTATAGAGATCCTAGTATTATCTTCAATTTATTTCATGATTCATTTCATATTGAGATCCACCTCCACTATCAAGGACATTTTTTTTTTATTTAACCACCTGTCCCAAGCTATTGTCCTAATCTATTCTGCCCCACACCCCAACTCTAAGCCAACCTGACCAGAAGTCAGTGATGGCTTCTTGTTCTCTCTTTAGTATAACTAAACATCATGGCTCCAGTGGCCTATACCAGTCAGGGGTCTGATAGACTTAATAACAAATTGTGAGCTCTCAATGTTTGGATTTTGGTCGAATTATTTATCTATCATTGCTGTGGTTTTCAGAATGATAGGATTTAATCTCTGGCCAAGAGACAGCAATCCTCCAGAAAACAGCCTTCTTACTCTTGCTTGGATAAAGAATGTCCAGTAGGCTTAATCTCAGGTGTTAATTCCAAAAAATGGTAGAACAATGTGGAGTACTTCAGATCTGATATTTAAACTCAAAATGAGATGTCAAACCTGTCCCACCCATTCATTTCCATTCCAATCTACTGTTTGTCTTTGATCTGGGTCTTGCTATATAATCCATGAAGACTGATTTGAGACAAAGTATAAAATATTCATTAAATTTTCTAAATCAGATATTTCTAGTGCTCCATGTCTGCCATTCAAATTGTTTACATTCTGGCAGCCTATGTTGCTTGCTCAGCTTCTTATCTGTTACTTTCTACTCCTTCTAGGCCTAACTCTCCTGTTATCCATGTATACTTTTCCTTCACAATCCTAGGCATTATATTTGCTCCCCGACTTGTGATTTCATAGCACTTTCTAGACTTCTTCATTTTGGCAGTTACTACCTTGTTTGGTATAAAGTCAGCACTCAAAAAATCCTGTGTTGAACAAATCAATGAACTGGGTGATAACAGTTTGTCTTCGCCTCTTTCTGGAGCATAGCTTCCTAGGTGTATGGGCCACATCGTATTCATTTTTTTTTTTACCTTAATACAAGACAATGCCAGGAATATGGAAAGCATTATGTATTAGTCCATTTTCATGCTGCTGATAAAGACATACCCGAGAGTGGGCAATTTACAAAAAAAAAAAAGTGTTTAATTGGACTCACAGTTCCACATGGCTGGGGAGACCTCACAGTCAGGGTGAAAGGCAAGTAGGAGCAAGTCACATCTTACGTGGATGGCAGCAGGCAAAAAAAGCTTGTACAGGAAAACTCTCATTTTTAAAGCCATCAGATTTCATGAGACTCATTCACGCTCACAGATACAGCGCAGGAGAGACTTGCCCCAATGATTCATTTACCTCCCACTGTGTCTCTCCCACAACATGTGGGAAATCAAAATGAGATTTGGGTGGGGACACAGCCAAACCATATCATTCTACCCCTGGCTCCTCCCAATTCTTATGTCCTCACATTTCAAAACCAATCATGCCTTCCCAACAGTCCCCAAAAGTCTTAACTCATTTCAGCATTAACTCAAAAGTCCACAGTCCAAAGTCTCATCCAAGACAAGGCAAGTATGAGTCTGTAAAATCAAAAGCAAGTTAGTTACTTCCTAGATACAATGGGGGTAATAAGCATTGGATAAACACAGCCATTCCACATAGGGGAAATTGGCCAAAACAAAGGGGCTATAGACCCCATGCAAGTCTGAAATCCAGTGGGGCAGTCAAATCTTAAAGCCCCAAAATGCTCTCCTTTGATTCATGTCTCATATCCAGGTCACGATGATGAAAGAGGTGGGTTCCCATGGTCTTGGGCAGCTCCACTCCTGTGGCTTTGCAGGGTATAGTATCCCTCCTGGCTGCTTTCAAGGGCTGGTGTTGAGCGTCTGCAGCTTTTCCACACTCACGGTGCAAGCTGTCAGTGGGTCTACCATTCTGGGATCTGGAGGACGGTGGCCCTCTTCTCACAGCTCCACTAGGTGGTGCCCCAGTAGGCACTCTCTGTGGGGGATCCGAACCCATATTTCCCTTCCACACTGACCTAGCAGAGGTTCTCCATGAGGGTCCCATCCCTGCAGCAAACTTTTGGCTGGGCATTCAGGTGTTTCCATACATCTTCTGAAATCTAGGCAGAGATTTCCAAACCTCAATTCTTGACTTCTGTGCATTTGCAGGCTCAACACCACTTGGAAGCTGCCAAGACTTGGGGTTTGAACCCTCTCAAGCCATGGTCTGCTTGAGCTCTACAGTGGCCCCTTTCAGCCACAGCTGGGGTAGCTGGAACACAGGGCACCAAGTCCCTAGGCTGCACATAGCACAGGGACCCTGGGCCCAGCCCACAAAACCACTTTTTTTCTCCCAGGCCTTCAGACCTGTGATGGGAAGGACTGCCATGAAGACCTCTGATGTGCCCTGGAGACATTTTCTTCATTGTCTTGGGGATTAACATTTGGATCCTCATTACTTATGTGAATTTCTGCAGCTGGCTTGGATTTCTTCTCAGAAAATGAGATTTTCTTTTCTATTGCATTGTCAGGCTGCATATTTTCCAAACTTTTATGCTCTGCTTTCTTTATAAAAACGAATGCCTTTAACAACACCCAGGTCATCTCTTGAATGCTTTGCTGCTTAGAAATTTCTTCCACTATATACCCTAAATCATCACTCTCAAGTTCAAAATTCCACAAATCTCTAGGGCAGGGGCAAAATGCCACCAGTCTCTTTGCTAAAACATAACAAGAGTCACCTTTGCTCCAGTTCCCAACAAGTTCCTCATCTCCATCTAAGACCACCTCTGCTGGGACCTTATTGTCCATATCGCTATCAGCATTTTGGTCAAAGACATTCAACAGGTCTCTAGGAAGTTCCAAGCTTCCCACATTTTCCTGTCTTCTTCTGAGCCCTCCAAACTGTTCCAATCTCTGCCTGTTACCTAGTTCCAAAGTTGCTTCCACAATTTGGGGTATCTTTTCAGCAACACCCCACTTCTGGTACCAATTTACTGTATTAGTCCATTTTCACATTGCTGATAAAGACATACCTGAGACTGGGCAATTTACAAAAGAAAGAGGTTTAATTGGACTCACAGTTTCACATGGCTGGGGAGGCCTCACAATTACGGCAGAAGGCAAGGAGGAGCAAGTCACATCTTACGGGGATGGCAGCAGGCAAAAAAAAATATTGGGCAGGGAAACTCCCATTTTTAAAACCATCAGATCTCATGAGACTCATTCACTATCATGAGAAGAGTGCAGGAAAGACCTGCCCACATGAGTCAATTACCTCCCACTGAGTCCTTCCCACAACACATGGGAATTGAAGATGAGATCTGGGTGGGGACATAGCCAAATCATATGACATTATAAACCATTTTTCAGCCTAGATGGCATGCAGGGGCTTTAAGCAATCTTTTCTATTCTGACCACACTCTGAGCTCCTCAAACCCTGGCTATCTGGATCATCATCTGTATACTTCACTTTGCCTCTGTCTTCCTTCAGTGCTCCTATCTTCTGACTCTCTGCCCATACCTTTAATAACACATATGCCTTAGGTCTGTCTGCCTGCCTGTTTTCTGACTTATAACCTCTTCCTTCTGCCTGAAAAACTTAAATCTTCACTTTTGAAGGATAACTTTGATGGATGTAGAATTCTATGTTGGCATTCTTTGCATTCAACACTTTAAGTATTTCACTCCCTGCTCTTCCTGCTTGAATAATTTCTGACCAGAAGTCCACTGTAATTATTTCACTTGTTCCTCTAAAAGTAAGGTGTTTTCCTTCCTCAGGCTAATTTCAAGATTTTCTCTGTTTTTTATTTTCTGCAGATTGAACATGATATGACTAGATTTGTTGTGTGTCTGTGTGTGTGTGCACACATGTGTAAAATGCATGTAGGCATCCTTGATGTTGTATTCCTTCTTGACTTTGAGATTCTGTGTCTTACAGCTTTTTCAGCTGTAATCCACTGTTATTACACTGGGACTCTGTTGGTGTGGGGGCAGAGTGTGAGAGAGGGGAGCATTCTATAATCTTCTGATTAAATTTCAGTATCTTAGTGAGCCCTGGACAGTGGGATGTAGTCTTCCCAAAGTTACTCCAGGGGCATAGCTAATCTCCCTCCCACCATCTCCCAATATCCTTCCCTGGCTGCAGCATTCCCAATATATTTCCTTGAAGATCTGACCCCTATGTCCTATTTCTTTCTCTATTAGATGAGATTGGCAGGCTAAAGGGATCAAAAGTGGAAGGAGTATACTTTCCTTAACTGAGGATAAAGTCTATTACTGTGGAGTTAAAGCCTTTGTTATGGAGAAGGCTCTGGGTATATACTGCAATAATTCCTTCCAACCACAGCAATGATGGAAGCTTCACCATGAGAACTTGATGGAGCTCCTGAAGGTAAAGCCCATGAAAGTGTGGGGACCAGAGGCTGAGGTTCCCTGGCATTTTTCACATCCATAACAGTCTATACTCAGTGTTTAGCAATTCATCAAAATCATCATTGACATGTTCCTACCAGTATGTGGCTCCAGCGGCTTGGTTGCTAGGTATGAAGATGTAGGTCATTTCTCTTTTAATGTGCCTGTCTCTCCGGAATTTGCGATGTTGATTTGCCCAGTAACCACGTTTCTGATGGATCCAAAAAGTCCAGTGGGTCCATGGAAGTCACTGACTTTCAATGTCCATGTTTTTCTTGGTTTTAAAACAATAGTGATGGCTTCTAAGCTCTTTCCGTGTCAGAACTGAAATCTCAAGTCCTAGAGCATGCCCTTTGAAATCAGACAAAGGGAGTTGAGCTCCCCTATTGTCATTTATCAGCTATGTAACCCTGGGAAAATTACCTAACCTTTTAAAACCCCAATTGCTGCACTGATAAAGTTGGAATAATTATAGGAAGCCTGTATTAAATAAGACATTGCATTACATTGGGTCTAGCACATGGAAAGCACCCAATAAAAGTTAGCTTCTATTATTTCCCAAGGGCCATTTTCATTTGTGCTTATGCATGATACTCTGCTGGAGGTCTTGCCCCATCTTTCTGTATCCTGTCCCCTTGTTCCATGCATGAGGCTTGATACTGCATGAGCAGTTCCAGTGTTGATAAATTTAGAAGCTGTGGGTTCAATAGCAGCACATCCCCACACTTCATTTTAATCACTGGCTTTTATCTAATAAAAGATTCCCGACTATCAATGCTTTCTCCATGGGGACCAGTTGACTTTGGGCTTATATGTGATTAGAATATGTTGTTAAGAGTGGGAAGAAGAGAAATTCAAATATTGCTTCTGTAATTTTTTGGCTGTATCATCTTAGGCATGTTACTTACCCTCTCTGTGCAACAGTTTTCTTATCCATACAATAGAGGGGAATAATAGCTACCTCATGAAATGGCTGCGTGGATCAAAAGAGGAAACATATGTAGTATTTAGAACAGTGCTTGCCACAGAGTAAGCACTCAATAAGCATGAAAAATGACTATCACTGAACATACATTTCCGAAAAAAAAACTGAAAAGGGGCTGGGTTTGGTGGCTCATGCCTGTAATCCCAGCACTTTGGGAGGCTGAGGTGGGCAGATTACTTGAGGTCAGGAGTTAAAGACCAGCTTGGCCAATATGGGGGAAACACATGTCTACTAAAAATATAAAAATTAGCCGGGCCTGGTGTCAGGTATCTGTAATCCCAGCTACTCGGGAGACTGAGGCAGGAAAATCGCTTGAACCCAGGAGACAGACGTTGCAGTGAGCCAAGATCATGCCACTGCTCTGCAGCCTGGGCAACAGAGTGAGACTCCATCTCAAATCCCCCTCTCTTAACAGCCCTAGCCCATTACGTCATTATGCTATTAGATGTATAAGTTATTCCCTCTCTATTACAAAATTTTATCCCATATAAAGGTAAAAATCGATAACTAAAAAGCCTATCTCCAGGGCTCCGGGGTATAAAGTGACAGAACAATACAGGCAAAATTAGTTCAGCTAATTATCCGCCCCTCGATCTAATGCAACTCTTATTCTGAAACAAAAATCCTGTATGGCTTTAGAGTAGATGCCAATGAAGACAGGAACATGAGATAGGAAAGGTGGTTCTAATTACATGGTTTCCAGTAAGAAAAACTTAATATAAAAAGGAGCAAAAAAATGTCAAAGCCATATGGTCATTAACCATCCTGAACAGGCAACAGAAAATTAAGTAATTAATCCCTAATCAAAATCTACAAGTAAGATTTCTATTCCATGTACACTCTCTAATCATTGTATTTGAAAGCTATCTGGGGAAGGGTTCTGGCTTCTAGATGTGGGGAACAGTGAAAGACCATGATCGGCGGGGAACTCACTAAAAGAACTTGACCACCATGCTGAATGTTTTCCAAAATGCCATGAGCACAATTTCTCTTCCAATAAAAGACGTAATTTATCAATTGCTAAGATTGATTTCCTCAGTAAAGCTCATTTAAGGATGGGCTTTGAAATTGTACACATTGCATTTCTTTTTAAAATCAAGGTTGTTTACTGAAAGACCTAAAAGTTTGAATATCATTGAGTGATCTAAAGTCTACTCCCAGTGGAATGCTAGAGTTCAAGAGACTTCATATAAACAACAATCCTGTTAGAAATATTTAAGCTCAATAAAAGTATTTTCTGAAATCTACAAAGCACAATAAGTAGAGAAATGTGAATGCTTAAAAATAGCAGACCAAGTCTCTGACTGCTTAGTAGTATTTCTTATCTTCTATCTCCAAGATTTTGCTTATTTATATAGACCTGAAATTGAAAGCTGTTATTCTCAGACAGGTCTATATGGTTTAATGTTTCCATAATCTCATATTGATGGACTTTAGGCAAATGTATCAGTCATATTAGAGACAACCTTGAAACAAAAGTAGAACATGTTAGTGGTCTCTGAAAGGAAATGCAATTAAAATGATAAAAAGCTAATAAAAATTACATTATTATCCATAAAATGGAAAAAGCATATTCTGATGAGATTTGTGCATAAACCTTATCCTAAATAAAATAAAGTCCAATATTTGAGCTTCCAGCTTTAATTTGTTTCTCTGTAGTCTGAGCTATACACACTATCATTATCAGATAATGTCTATGCAGCTGAATGCTATTAGTACCCTCCATTTTGACTAGACTATTATATTACAAAACATGAGATTGGACAATTTTACCTCTATTCCTTTTATTGATTCTGACTAGTAAGTAGGCAATCAATGGTGATTACAAGATGCAAGGCATTCCAGAGTAGAAAGAAAATTAAATTTGGCTCATCACTTCTCTTAACTATACAAATATAATATCTCAAGACGAACAGCAGGCAGACTTTAATATAAATAAATATACCGTTTAAGGTCCCAAACCAGCAACAAAATTTATGAGACCACTTCAAAATGATGATGCATTTAAAAGGAGATTATATTTTCAAAGGAACTGCTCTATTTAAATTGTTAGCAATATAAGCACATGGTGACACCAATTAGTAAGTGAAAGAACACAAGGCATATTTGTTAAAAGGGAGAAACCATGGAAGGCACAAGACCCAGAGTTTCTGGTTTCCATGGAAGAAGGGAAAGGTATATAGAGAAGAATTGGTTTAAGCAGTCATTTTGTGGTTTCTTTAGCGGTGGGGTATAACCAATACTTTGTTGGAATATTTCACCTATAAAAACTCCACTGTGCATTAAGTGTCCTTTACATGTTATTATTCTGGATCTGTACTTGCCTTCATTTGAAAAGATACTATTATAGTAGAAAGGATCTGATCTTGAAATGTTTTAGTAAGTAGAAAATAAAGAAGGTTACACATTGTGTCCCTTCATTCTATTCACCTTGACTTAAGACAATAAGGACCAAATGAGGCTAACCTTAGAATTTGATCTGTTAAATATCCACATAGTACCAAGCTGCTATTCAGAGTTTCTGAATCAAGAGGCCTTCATTATTCTTTCTGTGTATAGGAAGACCATCCAAAGTATAAAATACTCACAGATATATGGAAAAAGCCTGGTAAGTTTCCAGACTGATTTCACTTGAGACTTTCTAAATGGAGGGGTCAATCCATGGACTAAATCTATTTCTTCTATTGTAGCCATATGTTAATTTCATTTCATTCTCGTTGGCAACAATTTGCCTTCCTTCCATGGCCTGGCAGTATCCAAGATGCTAAAGTAGACAGAGGCCACCGAGGACCAGCTTACAGATACTGGGAACTGGCCCTCCTTCAATCTGCACACCTCACTGGCCTGAACTTGATGGTTATCATCCAGGAGTTCATCTGTTTGGTTATCTTCCCTTCTGTGAGAGGCAATGTAATTTAACAAGTGGTGAAGTTCTCAGAATTGTAATTAATTTGGCAATGTATGATAATCTAACCTACTCATATCATAAGGAGCAAATGACTAGCCATCTGAGATGAATTAGCCCCAAAATACCACAAATAGTCCTAGAAAAAGTATACAATCTGTTGAGAAGACACATGGAATTGTATTTAGCATAAATCTCTTATCTGAATTAACCACCATTTACCGCAGTAAATGGCATTCAGGAGTTGAAGTCAGGCTACTTAGCTCCACAGCCTGCTCACTTGTCCTCTGTAACTCAAGACAGTGCAGAGGCTACATCCAGTACTGAGAAGCGATCCAGTACTGAGTGGGTGCAGTGGTGGGCACCTCTGCTTGTTTATGCCAGCAATTGAGCTTATTAATTAGAATTGATTTTTATGATGATCATCATGGCCATCATGGCATTGTATTGATCTTTTATTGTACAGGTAGTTTACATGAATCATCTCTGCGTAAAATCTGCAAGGCAGGGATATTTATGTTTGTTCTACAGGCAAGGAAACAGAGACTCTCAGTCAAGTACTTCATCATACATTTGGTTATTATCAGAAACTGGCTCCAAACCCATCTTTACCTAATTCCAAAGTCCAAGCTCTCTCCCATTCTATCACAATACTTCCTTTATTCATTGTAATTCAATATATGGATAACACATTAGAAGCTACTCATTCTAGGAAGTACTTCACGTGGTACAAAGAAAAAAATTCACTCATCTTTGAAATTCGTTAGTACTGCATCTTATTGCTGTATTATCTACCAAGGCCAACTAGTGGGTCAAATGTCAACTACTCTACATTTCTAGGCTCTCAGCATTAAATATGTGTTCAAAGTTTTGGCAGACCTAAGAATAACTTGTTTTTCTGTTATAGCTTAAAAAGCACATTCCTAAATAATGCATGTTTGAAAATCACAAGGTAAATTTTGTTATTAATATTCCCATCTTAAATATAGAAAACCATACCTAAGGTCAAGAATCAAAAGGAAAACAAGGTGAAGAAAACAAGGTTTAGATAATTTGTTTGGCTGCTATGTAAAGAAACAGTATTCAAATCCTATTCTATTGACTCAGTCTTTCCAGAGTCCTAAAAATGCTTCTTTGGGTCCAGCTTCCAGCTGCACTGTACCCACTCTTAGCCTCTTTATTCCCATAGAGCTCTCTTATCTTCTTATCTGTTCTTATCTGGAACAAATCCTGCAGAAACTGCAGACTTTCTAGAGATCTGTCTGATACAGACTGCCCATCAATGGACTGACTGGAACCTGCAGGAAAGGGCATAAGGGCTGTCTTTTCCCCCACCCGCATACAGGTGGGGACCTTACATCACTCTTACACCGAGGGATGTCCAGAAGTAAAAATTTCTTGTGATATCACTATTTCTTTAGCTTTCATAATTATTATAAGTGATTATAAAACTAGTGTAACAAACAGCCACAATAATCCAGCAAATTATAAGAAACTACACATTTTTGAGTAGGTCCCAATATTATCATTTATATATTTAATACTTAGTTTCCTCAATTTATCTTCCATATTTTGCCTCAGTGAAGAATTCTAGAACCAGTCTTTGCCATCTTTACAAATAAGCCAAAATCCCAGAAACCACAGAACAGTGTTTCTAAAAAAATAAATTCAGTTTTCAGGGTCATTAGCATATTCCCATGAGATTACAAAGCAGAGCAACTCTGCTCAGGAAATACATTTCCTTCCTCCAAGAGAGGAACCACTGCATTTTCTTCCAGCTGTCTCTCAGAGGATCATCGCTATTTCCAACAGAATTCACAGTAAATGCAGAAATACTAAGCACTATGACTTAAGTGAAGGAATCACTTGAGACGCTAAAAATAATATTTTTAAATAAAAAAAAAAGTGCCCAAAAGTTTTTGCAAACTGTCATGGCATAGCAATCTTTAGAAGTGAGAGAAGGGAAGATAAGATATTACAGGAATCAGCTTCCCAACTCCCCACAGAGCAGCCCAACACACTGGTACCTCCATCTCTAAGCATTTTTCCAATTGCTTCTCTTTTCAGAGCAGAACCCTTTCCATAAATTCTCATTTAAAAACAAATGAAAAAACTTTGAAATATATTAAACACATCACAAATTCTGTAGTATAAATAAGCTGCTCTGGAAAGACAGGATTAAGAGCCTGAGAGGGCAGCAAAGGAATATTCTCATTCCAGCTTTTGCACTTGATCTTAGCCAAAAGGCCTAGAAGCAATCATTCCAGCTTTAGTAATGCTTGCTGTCTTTTATTTTTAGAGACGGCATACTTGATGAGAAAATGACATCAAGTGTATACAGATGAGGCTGAGAAGGCCAATGCTGGATCAACTGAGGGACATGTACATATTGAGCAAAGATTGATTGCCCTGCAATCAGTTATTAAGTGGGGCTGCCATCCGAAGAGCCCTTCTTCATTTATGACATTTCCACTTTCCTAGACTTGCAGCCAGCCCTTTGCTCAATATGAGCAGTTCCAATCAGTCTAGCAACTTGCTAGGTTACGCATGCAGCTACACATCTTTGAAAGGCATCTAGCATGAAGCCAGTCCAAGGCTATGTTTCATGCATCCTCAAGCCATCTTTATCAGTTTCCTGCTGGTGAGGAGATTCTTGCTTCACTGAGAAGTTATTCTGATGACATTAACCATGATTAGTTCAATAGAAATGCACTGCGGGGAGCAATGCTGCCAGCCCTGGAAGGCTGACCACAGCACATGGCTTGTCTTGCCATTTATGTTCACTTACCTGGTTCATATGTTATGCCAGCTGAGACTCCCCATTGGCTGGTGGGGATGGTTTTGGTGACTCAGGTCTTTCTTACAGCCTCATCAGAATTAGGAAACACTATTATTGTATGAATCTGAATCCATATCAGTGGCATATTCAACTTCCCTGAACCTCATTTTCCTTATTTATACAACTGGAATAATAACAGGACCTGCACAATGAATTTATTGTAAAGTTATTGTAAACTATCTCACCCATAGGGTGGCATGTAGTAGTCATACAGTCAATATTAATTATTATTATTATTGCAGTTGTTTTTCAGCTACTTGGAAATGTGCTGACTTCAAGACTCTGGAATAAACTTTAACATGGAAATGATTGCCATACTTTAACAGGAGTGAGCATTTGACTTTTCTGTAAACATGCAAGTAGTTTACTAAAACCTAAATTGGAATCTTTGCTGATGTGTTGAATGAAAAACTATTATATATATACACTTCATAGTTCACAAAATAACAGTTGAGTCTGACCTCATGGATGTAAAATGTCCTGGCATGTAACAAGCAAACACTGAATAGTGTATTAATACTAAGAAAGAGCAGGAAAGTGAGAGTAGATGAATACCTAAGTTCAAATATTACTGGCATAAGGGATAATGCTATTTTTGTCTTGGAAGCATTGTTTCAACTTTGCCTTTAGAAAAGAATCCTTGTGATTCAAATCTCAACGAGGAAAAAAGAATTAAATGTTTTAAAGTTGATGCAAGAATAGCAGATGTGGATTACCTGATACTTACATAGTACTTGAATAAGAACAAAAGAAGAATAGATAATTTATTATCTAGAAGTCATACAAATAGGTATTCTTGAACAAACTGCTAAAGTGAATGTTTTCATTAGTGAACAATTCTTTAATTCTGGTTTCAGGTAACTGAAGAACTAATTAGTATCACTGAAAGATTACTTGGGAGGTTTCATATAAAACATCATTTCACAATGACGTTCTGTTGAAATTTCAGTGAAAAAGTATCTTTGAATGAGATTTAACAAGAATTCAAGTATATCTAAGAAGTCAAGTATATAACCAAATGGTAATGGAAGGTTTCAGGGCTGAAAAAATATAACTCCATGTGTCTGTCTATCTGTGTGTGTGTGTGTGTATGTGTGTGTGTGAGAGAGAGAGAGAGAGAGAGAGCGAGAGAGACAGATTGAGAATATGAATCCTTGTTTCCAGCTTGAGCCAAAAGGAAATTCAGCTAGGATTCAAACATCAGACATATCTTAGCCCATTTGGATGCCTGCGAACCTAGTACCAACAGAATTGATTTGCTCAAGGGACCAACCGAGGAGCCAGCTAGTCAAACCTAAGGAAGGAATAATAAAGGCACACAAATGTAATGAAGGTTAGTGCCACAGAGTTGGAAAGCAGGGCATTCCTGAATAAACCCAAGTGCTTACTACTCACAGCATCCTCCAGCTCAAGGTTGAGTCCTAGGGAGAGGAGCTGCAAGTATAAAGTGAAAGAGGAAAAGATAAAAATCTCTGCACTGTATCCTGGGTGCCAGAGCCAGTTAGATTTGAGGACTCATACAATATTAACAGTGGCCAACATTTGCTGAGCCCTCACTCTGGACTAGGTACAACCCTGTGAGGTAAGTACTCTTATTGTTAACCCCACTTTACAGATGAGGAAACGTAGGCAAACAGAGATTAAATAATTGCCCATAGTCACACTGCCACCAGACAGAAGAGCTGAAACTCAGACCCCAGGAGGAGGGAGTATGATTCTCCACCCCTACTCCGATCCACTATGGTTTATAGAGTAAAGCACTCAAATGGGAGAGCTGGGTATTCGCCCATTACTGAAGCATACAGAAGTAGATGTGGATTCAGGAATTCCAGAGAACACAGCAAGCCCTTGGTGCTGCTCAGTTGCTGCACCAAGCAGTATCCTTAAGATTCCAAATGCTGTTTTGGAGGCCCCAAAACAGCATATTTTGGAGACTGAGCCAGTTACTTCACACAAGCCTGCACAGCACCATCATTTCAGGAAGTCAGAACATGCGAGGAAGAAACCAGCTGATAGTCTTTGGTATCTGGTGAGACTCTGTACATGAGCAACTCTCTGTGTAATAACTGAGGGAATCCTTCTGTAGGGATGGGGTCACACAATAATGAAAGTATAGACAGTCAAAGAGATATTGTTTGTTAATGGTATTCCACCACTGAATTTCACCCCTGGGCTGATGTGGCCTGGGGAAACCACTGTAGGTGCTAAGGAAAGTAAGGTTAGTAGAAACATAGTTGGGTAAGAAACTCCCATATGCATGCCTGCTGGGTGCTGAGCTCCTTGTCTGCATGCGATTGCCCTGGAGGCATATGAACCTACATGTGTTTTATTCCTAATAAAACTATTGTCGCATAATAACAAAATTCTTATCTTACACAATGAGAGAGGGAAAAAAGGAACATGAACATGGCATTTATCTCAGATGTAACATTTTACTTCCTGACTGTGTTAATGGTTGCATCTGAATAGCAGGGAGGAAGAAAAAAACCTAAAATAGTGCATTGCATTTAGCGTTTAACATCTGGGATCAATTCAGTCAAACTAAGACTCACAAGAGTACACCGGGACATCATGGGGGTTCTGTTGTTGTTCCACAATATAGTCATAACAATATTACATTTGTTTTTGCTACACAATTGACACTAGCTTAAAAGTGCCTTTAAAGACAACAGGCCAGGGTTTAAGTCCTGCCTTCTCTCACAAGCTATATAACTTTGGGCAAGATACTTAATCTTTTTGAGTCTTATTTTATTTGTCTATAAATACAGATGAGATTTGCCTATCTCATAGCATTAATGTGAGGTTTGCAAAAGAGATTACTTGGCAGGTGCTTGGAACAGTACTGGGCACATAGAACCTGTGCCTCCATAGCCCTTCCCCCTGTACTTCCTTAGGCTGTGTGATTGTCCCCAGTGGCTATCTGAGCAATTCATATGTTAATTGCCCGGAAAGGGTTCTATGAAAAAAGAATCTCTGGGTTATTCATTTCTATATCAATACAGTAACAGGCTTGAAAAACAAATTCTTGATTTTATCTGGACACACATGAGAACTTCCTAGGGATAAAATGTTGTTGTCTGCCTGAATACATATTGACGCCACATTCGCACATAGAAAAATATAACTAACATGTACTGATTATTTATCTCATGCCATGCTCTCTGCTAACAGGTGTTCAGCATCTATATTAGTTTCCACAGAGGGAGGAGGATATGGTTTATAGAGGTTATGTATCTTGCTCAGGAGCTCACAGATAGTAAAGTGATTCATCAGGCACTCAAACACAGATCTGTCTAAATCCAAAGCAATGTCTGAACCCCCAATCCATGTTGTCTGAACTATACACAAAACTTGCACAGACCTATTTACATATTTTCACACAAAATCTAGCATTGAAGATAAGCAAGATTTTTTTTTTTGAATTCACACTTTATTTTCCTTTGTCCCATCAACAGGTGCTTCTCAACTGCCTTGACCTAGGAGATGGATATAATGTCTTGGATTTTGATGTCTGCTAATCCCAAAACTGCCCCCAGAGAGCACCTATCCAAAATCATGTTCTTATCCAAAGTCCTTAACTGTGAAAGGAAAATTGCTAATTCTTCTAATTTCATTCCTATATAAATCTTATGTTCTGGCTATGTGGCAAATTAATATCTTTCCTTGGAACACACTTGTTTTATGTTTCTGGAGATACTCTCTGGGTATATGGACAAGTAACAGTAACAGGAGAAGTAGTAACCACTAATATTTAGTAAGCATTTACTATTAACATATGCTAGGTACTATACAATTAATAAACATGCATTATCTTATTCACTACTCACTATAACCTTATAAAGGAAGTGACTTTTATACAACAGTTGAGAAACTGAGCCTTAGAGATTTAGAGCTAATGATTTGCAGAGGGGGGTCTCAGACCAGATTCTGTCTGACACCAATATCCATATTTCTAACAGCTACAGATTCAGCCTCAGTTGTGAATCAGAATGCTATTTAATTTCTCATTATTCCTGCATAATTAAATGAATGCACTGCAACCCTGCAGCTTCTGTTATACTACCAGGCAACATTTCAGAAGACATTACAGACAGGAATCCAGTAGGGAGTACTTAAAACTGCAGCATTCCAGGCAGGTAAATGGAATCGAGTCCCATTTAGTAAACGCTCTAGGGACCAACAAATGTCTGACCACAAAAGAAGCTACTCAAATAGCTTCTTCTCAGATGACTGTGATCCATGATCCTCTTGATGAGTTCCCTGAGTGGGGAAGGTTTAGAGAGGGTGAAACAGTCTGAATATCCAGGAAAACTGAAACTCATTACATGAAAGACGATATCATAAATCATCAGCCTTAGAAATCAGTGACCAATGCCCTCGAGTGTCCAGATAAGCACCAATTTTCCTGAAAATGTGTTTCTTAGATCTCTATGGGCAAACATTTTCGGGCAGTTCATTTCAAGGAAAGAAAACTTTACAACGTGAGCTTTGATTTAGGGTTTTACATCCTCAATCAGATCTTCAGGTAAGGTTAGGTTCTAAGTCATACTGGAGCACCTTAGTAATGAATACATATGTGCTTTTCCTTGCATGATACCAATAAATTGGCAATGATCCATTCATCCTCTCTTGCATGGTGTTTTTGTTTTGGTGACCCTTGACATCTTTCTACAAAACAGGTGTCTGATGTTAGCTTAAGTTATTTAGCCTTTAGGAATGAGAAGAAGTTAACTGGTCCATTAGGGGATCAAATCTGTGACTTCGTGCTCTAATTAAAATATCTTAAAACAATTGAACTAGCATTTTGAAAATTCCCATGTAAAGGACAGTACTTTTAGCTCTTGTATTGTCATTAATATTTTCATCAGTTGTCTCTGAAATTCTTCATAAAATGTCTCCCTTCTCCATTCTAAGGATAACCCTTCAATCTGACACAATTCCAGATTGGTTCTTCCAGGATTTCATCCTCACCTGACAACACCTCTACCTTCTCTAAAGAGCAAGCAAAAATGTTTTCTGACCTTAAAAGAAAAGGCCTTTCTCTCCGTCCTGTAATCCCTAGAGATACCTTTTTTCTTTCAGCTCCACTCAGAAAATTCAAGACTGTTTATTTTTTGTTATGAAACCAATACTTTAACTGTAGAAAAATTAATAAATACCATTGATGAAAAGGAGAAAATAAAAACTGCCCATAATATAACTACTTAGCTATAACAAAACATAGTGTCATTCTGATTTATACTATATTTTACTTAAAAACATGTCATTAATGTTTTTCTGTGTCATTAAATATTCTATTAGTAAGGAACACCCATTGCCCTCTTCCTAACCTCTTCCTGCCCTAGTATTCTGTCCAAGAACACAATTTTCTCATCTGTGGCTTCTGCATGTCAAACTCACTAACCTTCTTTCATTTCTCACTCGCTCCTTCCTTTACTGACTTGTCATACCACATGGGATACCATGTTTTCTTCCAGAAACTCTTTACTTCCTTTCCTTATATAACCTTCACACACATGCGCACACACAGACACACACACACCCCTGCGTGTTCTCGCCTCCTTTTCACCCTACAAAAGGTAGATACCATTCTCATTTAATAAGGGTAGAAACTGAAACTCATAATAAATAGTTTGTTCAAAGTCACAGTGAAATCATCTAAGCTATTTGTCAAAATGCATATTCCACCACAGACCTACCTTATTGATCAGAATCTATAGAGATAAAACCCAGAAGCATGCCCCTTAAAACCCTCCTCAGGTTATTCCAAAGCACACTAAAGTTAGAGAAGCATTGGCTCAAAAAAGTCCCCCTTCTTAAAATGAAATTCATGCCTTTCTCCCATCTATAATTTCTTTCCCCAGCTCCAGGACCAAATGTTGGTTGAGCTTGCTACTAAACATATAACTCAGTATGCTCCCTAAATGAGTTCTGAATTGATGATGTTGTCTCACCCACCACTTCTGCTCCAAAAAAAAAAAAAAAAAAAAAAGCAGCACTGGTCTTCCCTTTCTCTAGGCTCAGGCCTGAGTTAAAGACTGCCCACTACCTTGTCTCCTCCTATAATTAGGTAAACTGCTAAGTTCTATTGGCTCTTACCTCTAAAACATTTTTCACATCTACATCTTCATCATTTCCACGGGCATTGTTTCAATCATCCAACAATATTTGGCACACCTAGTATGCTCCCAGTAGTGTGCTGCTGTGGAGCACTCCAAGGGGTCCAATTGTGACTACTAGCAGCAAAATTTTAATAAGTACTTATGATGTCTTAATTATATTACAGGCACTCTGCTAAACTTTGCCTATGCTACCACATTTCATTCCTCACACCAACCCTAAAGTTAGTCTCTGTTATTATTTCCATTGTACAGATAAGACATGAATGTTAGCTACATCAAGTAACTCATCCAAAGTCATTCTAGTACTGAATTGCAGAATCGGGATATAGAACTAGGTTTATACATATCTCTCAATCCCCACTTTTAGCCAATAGGTTATATAGTCTTCACCCTTTTAGAACTTTCAGTCTGCAGTAGTTAGGCGGCAAGTACAGAGAGACAGATAACATGTGGGAAGTACAGGGTGCTATGGGAGTCCCCAGAAGAGAAGCTATCCAGATTTGCCGGCTAGAGTGAGTCAGAGAAAGCCTTCTACAAGAAATGATGTATCCACCGAGATGGAAGATGAGCAGGAGTTGGCCAAGTGGTGAAGAGAAGGAGATTCAAAGCAGACACAACAACACGTATGAAGGTTTGAGACACAAGAGGGTTTGATCAGCAAGTTGAAGGAACTAAAATAAATTAAGCAGAGTTAGACATTAGTTGTGATGGAGGTAGGGGAAAAGGAGGGAAGGAAAGGTTGGAAATGAGGCTGGATAGCTTAGCAGGACCCTGGACAAACAGAAGTGTCTCTGCCTCTAGGAGCTTCACTTCAAGTTTTCAAGGATACATATATTCCCCAACTCAACTTTCCAAAGGATGGCACTGACAATTGTACTCCTTTGGTCAAAAATGTCCCACTCTCTTTTTTACTGAACAGAGCTCACATCCCTTAGTATGCACTGGTTCAAGCACATACCAGGTGCCAGCCACGGCCCAAGTACTGTGCTGAGTGTTAAAATACACAGGCTTTGCCTTCCACCTCCAGCTCTCATGTACCCTATGTTCTAACCAAAGAAATTATACACTGTACATTCCTACTGCTCTTTCTTTGCTTTGAATGTTCCCTCTACCTAGAAAGCCTTTCCTGACATTTTGGTAGGAAATGTCAGGAAAGTTTGACTTCAGGCTCTGAGTCAGGCTCAGATGTCAACTTTATCATAGAGCCACCCTGAATCCTTGCAGATGGAGGTAGTCTACCTTGCTTGGAATCTTCCAACACTTAACCTGTCTTTGTTAGGCCATGATCAGCTTTGCCTTGCAGGTGTTTGCTTGTTTCTTTTTAAACAAATGTTTCCTTGCCTGTAGGAGTGTGGTCTCCTTGTGGGCTGAAGCCCAAGGGCAATTTGCTGTGTACCATCACACCCTGCAAAGCCTTATCAAAAAAGCTAATAAGTATATTGAGATATTCTCATTAGGATGGACTGTATGAAATTGCCTTTTTCATAGTAAAAAAAAAAGGTGAATATTGGCAATTTCATGTTGTTTAACCTAAAAATAGGCCAAGTACCCAGCTAAGTAATTTACATGGTATAACTCAATTAATCCACACAATAGCCCTATAATGTAGGTACTAAATTACCTTTATTTTACATACAAAGTTTGCCAGGCTTAGAGGAGGTAAATGATTTGCTCAAGGTTACATTGATAATAATATCCATTGATAATAAGTGGAAAAGTTTAATTAAGTAAAAAAAAAATGATTGGAATGAAACACATCAAAATGGTAACATAAATTGCCTCTTAGTGGTGGGATAAGGGAAATACATGTCATTTTTACTCATTTTCTGTATTTTTCCCTTTTCCACAGGAAGGGTATAGTGCCTGATTGTGAATAAGACTGTTATTAAAATAACTAGGAAATGCATAGAGTCTTAATGATAAAGATCCATTAGGCATTTATCTTATGTCAAACACTGTTCTAATTCCTTTAAATCAGTTAATGTTCACAACAATCCTATGAGACACAGTCCTGACAAATAAGGAAACTGAGGCTGACAGAGGTTAAAAACTTTGCCCCATTCACACAACTACTAAGTAGTGGAGTTAGGATCTGGCAGGTAGTCAGACTTCAGAGATCATTCTCTTAACCTCTATGCCATGCATATGTGCAAAAGCTGATACTGTATGTAGAGGATATATTTAAAATGGTGAAAGAGGTAGGAAAATGGTGGATAGAAGGCAAGACTAACTTGCAGCTCCCACTTGAACAGACAGAGAAGCATGTGGAAACCCACATCATGAACTTGTGCTCCAAGAACTACCACAAGAACATACCAGGAAAGCTGAGAGAATCCACAGACCCTTTGAAGGTGGTGGATTGCCACTGCAGGCTCCATGGGAGAGCCAAGGAACTGTGCCTGGGGCAAATTCTCAGCTCTGACCACCAGCTGCCTGGAAATAAACTCAGTGCTGTTGGCGGAGGGTGAGGAGGGCTGCATGGGATCTGGGTGAGGCCTGTGGCTGCTGGCCTTCCTCCTCTTCCCTGGCAACCTGTGTGACACAGTAGAGGCATCCATAATCCCCCTGGGAACATAACTCCATTGGCCTGGAAACCACACTCCTTGGGCAGCAAGCCTTGTCCATGGAGAGTCAGAAATCAGATATGCCTAACACCTGATGGTCTGTCTCTACTCACCCTGGTAGCCAAAGACAAAGGACATAGCCTCTTGGGAGCTCTATGGCCCCACCCACTGCCTGATCCTCCCTATACTACTGCAACTAATGTGCTCTTAAAAGTGCCACCTCCTGGTTGGAGGCTAACCAACACAAAACCAGTGCACTTAACAAAAATGCTACCAAGGACCCTCACAGAGTCCACTTCACTCCCCTGCTACCTCCACCAAGTAGGTGCTGGTATCCATGGCTGAGAGACCTGAAGATAGATCACATCACAGGACCTTTGCAGATATTCCCTGGTACCAGCCCAGAGCTGGGTAGCTCCACTGGGTGGCTAAATCACTACAGTTAGTTCAGCTCTCAGGAAGCCCCATCCCTAGGGGAAAGGGGAGAGCACCACATTAACAGAGCATCCCATGAGACAGAAGAATCTCAACAGCAGCCCTTAAGTCCTATATCTTCCCTTTGACATCTACCCAAGTGAGAAGGACCAAAAACAATTCCAGTAACATGACAAAACAAGATTCTTTAACACCCACAAAAGATCACACTAGTTTACCAGTAATGGATCCAAATCACGACGAAATCTCTGAATTGCCAGAAAAAGAATTCAGAATGTTGACTATTAAGCCAATTGAAGAGGCACCAGAGAAGGATGAAGTCCAACTCAAAGAAATCAAAAACATAGTACAGGATACTAATAGAAACATCTCCAGTGAGATAGAGAGGATAAATATAAAACAATCACAACTTCTGGAAATAAAGGACATGCTTAGAGAATTGCAAAATGCCCTGAAAAGTCTCAGCAATAGAATTGAACAAGTAGAGGAAGAAACTTCAGAGCTCAAAGACAAGGCTTTTCAATTAACCTGATCTATTAAAGACAAAAAAAAAAAATTTAAAAACAATGAACAAAAACTCCAAGAAGTTTGGGATTATGTCAAATGACCAAGCCTAGGAATAATTGGTGTTCCTGAGGAAGAAGATAAGTCTAAAAGTCAGAGTTTTTCCAAAAACATATTTGGAGCTATAATCGAGGAAAATTTCTCTGGCCTTCCTAGAGACCCAGACATCCAAGTACAAGAAGCTCAAAGAACACCTGGGAAATTCATTGCAAAAAGATCATCACCTAGGCACATAGTCATCAGGTTATCTAAAGTCACAACAAAGGAAAGAATCTGATTAACAGCAGATTTCTCAGCAGAAACCCTACAAGCTAGAAGGGACTGGGGTCCTATATTCAGCCTCCTTAAACAAAACAACTATCAGCCAAGAATTTTGTATTCAGCAAAACTAAGCCTCATAAATGAAGGAAAGATAGTCTTTTACAGACAAACAAATGCTGAGAGAATTTGCCACTACCAAGCCAGCACCATGAGAACTTCTAAAAGGAGCTCTAAATCTTGAAATGAATGTGTGAAATACACCAAAATAGAATCTCCTTAAAGCATAAATATCACAGGACCTATAAAACAACTATGCAATGAAAAATAAACCAAGGTTTTCAGGCAACAAATAGCATGATGAATAGAATAGTACCTCACATCTCAACACTAACGTTGAATGTAAATGGCCTAAATGCTCCATTTAAAAGATACAGAATGGCAGAATGATAAGAACTCACCAAACAAGTATCTGCTGTCTTCAAGAGACTCACCTGACACATAAAGACTCATGTAAATTTAAGGTAAAAGAATGGAAAAAGATATTCCATGCAAATGGACACCAAAATCCACCAGGAGTAGCTATTCTTATATCAAACAAAACAAATTTTAAAGCAACAGTAGTTAAAAAAGACAAACAGGAACATTACATAATGATAAAAGAACTAGTCCAACAGGAAAATATCACAGTCCTAAATAAATATGCACCTAACAGTGGGGATCCCGAATTTATAAAACAATTACTACAAGACCTATTATTGTGTTGCTGAGACAGACAGCAACACAATAATAGTGTGGGACTTCAGTGCTCCACTGACAGCACTAGACAGGTCAAGTCAGAAAGTCAACAACAAAACAATTGAATTAAACTATACCCTAGAACAAATGGGCTTAACAGATATTTACAAAACATTCTGCCCAACAACTGGAGAATATACATTCCATTTATCAGCCATGGAACATTGTCCAAGATAGACCAAATGATAGGCCACAAAACAAATCTCAACAAGTTTTAGAAAATTGAAATTATAGCAAGTACTCTCTCAGACCACAGTGGAATAAAATTGGAAATCAACTCCAAAGGAACCCTCAAAACCATGAAATAAATGGAAATTAAATAACCCGCTCCTGAATGATTGTTAGGTCAACAATGGAATCAAGATAGAAACTAAAAGATTCTTTGAAATGAGTAGTAGTGATATAACCTATCAAAACCTCTGGGATATAGCAAGGTCAGTGCTAAGAGGAAAGTTCATAGCATTAAATGCCTACATCAAAAAGCTGAAAGAGCACAAATAAACAATCTAAGGTCCCACCTCAAGGAGCTGGAGAAACAGGAACAAACCAAACCGAAACCCAGCAAAAGAAAATAAATACCAAGAACAGAGCAGAACTAAATGAAATTGAAACAAATAAACAAACAAAAAATCCAAAAGATGAATGAAACAAAAAGCTGGTTCTTTGAAAAGATAAATAAAATTAATAGACCATTAGCGAGATTAACCAAGAAAAGAAGAGAGAAGATTCAAATAAGCTCAATTAGAAGTGAAATGGAAGATATTACAACCAATACCACAGAAATACAGAAGGTCATTCAAGGCTACTGTGAACACAGTTACATGCATAAACTAGAAAACCTAGAGGAGATGGATAAATTCCTGGAAATACACAACCCTCCTAGATTAAACCAGGAAGAAATAGAAACTCTGGACAGACCAATAACAAGCAGCAGATTAAAATAGTAATTAAAAAGTTACCAACAAAAAAAGTCTGGGACCAGACAGATTTACTGCTGAATTCTATTGGACTTTCAAAGAAAAACTGGTACCAATCCTATTGGCACTATTCCAAAAGATAGAGAAAGAGGGAATCTGCTGGGTGTGGTGGCTCACGCCTGTAATCCCAGCACTTTGGGTTGCCGAGGAGGGTGGATCATGAGGTCAAGAGATCAAGACCATCCTGGCCAACATGGTGAAACCCCATCTCTACTAAAAATACAAAAATTAAGCTGGTCGTGGTGGTACATGCCTGTAGTCCCAGCTACTTGGGAGGCTGAGGCAGGAGAACTGCTTGAACCCAGGAGGTAGAGGTTGCAGTGAGCCGAGATCATGCCACTACATTCCAGCTGGGCGACAGAGGAAGACTCCCAAAAAAAAAAAAAAGAGGGAATCCTCCTTAAATCATTCTATGAAGTCAGTATCACCCAAATACCAAAACGAGGAAATGACATAACCAAATAAGAAAACCACAGACCAATATCCCTGGTGAACCTAAATGTAAAAATCCTTAACAAAATACTAGCTAACCAAATCCAAAAGCATATTGAAAAGATAATCCATCATGATCAAGTGGGTCTCATTCCAGAGATGCAAGGATGGTTTAACATCTGCAGGTCAATAAATGTGGTATATCAGATAAACAGAATTAAAAACAAAAATCACATGATCATCTCAATAGACTCAGAAAAAGCATTTGACAAAATCCAGCATCCACTTATGATTAAAACCCTTAGCAAAACTGGCATACAAGGGACATACCTTAAGGTAATAAAAGCCATCTATGACAAACCTATAGCCAACAGTATCTTGAATGGGGAAAAGTTGAAAACATCCCCCCTGAGAACTGGAATAAGACAAGGATGCCCACTTTCACCACTTCTATTCAACATAGTACTGGAAGTCCTAGCCAGAGCAACTGGACAAGAGAAAGAAATAAGGGGCATCCAAATGGGTAAAGAGGAAGTCAAACTGTCTCTGTTTGCTGATGACATGATTGTATACCTTGAAAACCCCAAAGACTCATCCAAAAGGCTTCCAGAACTGGGAAATGAATTCAGCAAAGTCTTAGTATAAATATTTAACGTACACAAATCAGTAGCCGTGCTATACACCAACAGCAACCAAGCTGAGAATCAAATCAAGAACTCAATCCCTTTTACAATAGCTGCAAGACAATAAAATTAAATTATTAGGAATATACTTAACCAAGGAGGTAAAAAGACCTCTACAAAAAAAAAACCTACAAAACCCTGCTGAAAGAAATCATAGATGACACAAGCAAATAGAAACATATTCCATGCTTATCGATGGGTACAATCAATATTGTGAAAATGACCACACTGCCAAAAGCAATCCTAAAATTCCTTGCAATTCTCATCAAAATATCACCATCATTCTTCACAGAACTAGAAAACAAATCTCAAAATTCATATGGAACAACAACAACAACAAAAGCCTGCATGGCCAAAGCGAGACTAAGCAAAAAAAACAAATCTGGAGGCATTACATTACCTGACTTCAAACTATGCTATAAGGCCATAGTCATCAAAACAGCATGGTACTGGTATAAAAACAGGCACATAGACCAATGTAACAGAATAGAGAACCCAAAAATAAAGACAAACACTTACAGTCAACTGATCTTTGACAAGACAAACAAAAACAAAGTGGGGGAAGGACACCCTATTCAACAAAAGGTGCTGGGATAATTGGCAAGCCACATGTAGAAAAATGAAACTGGATCCTCATCTCTCACCTTATATAAAAATCAACTCAAGATGGATCAAATACTTAAATAAATCTAAGACCTGAAACCATACAAATTCTAGAAGATAACTTTGGAAAAACACTTCTCGACATTGGCTCAGGCAATGACTTCATGACCAAGAATCTAAAAGCTAATGCACCAAAATAAAGATATATAGATGATAATTAGTTAAACTAAAAAGCTTCTGCACAGCAAAATAAATAATCATCAGAGTAAACAGACAACCCACAGAGTGGGAGAAAATCTTCACAATTTATACATCAGACAAAGGACTAATATCCAGAATCTACAAGGAACTCAAACAAAAAATCAAGAAAAAACAAACAATCCCATCAAAAAGTGGGCTAAGGACAAAATAGACAATTATCAAAAAAATATATACAAATGGCCAAAAAAAATATGAAACAATGCTCAACATCACTAATGATGAGAGAAATGTAAATCAAACCACAATGTGATACCACCTCACTCCTGCAAGAATGGCCATAATCAGAAAATTGAAAAAAAAAAAATGATGGCATGGATGTGGTGAAAAGGAAACACTTTTACGCTGCTGGTGGGAATGTAAACTAGTACAACCACTATGACAAACAGTGTGAAGATTCCTTAAAGAACTAAAAACAGATCTACCATTTCATCCAGCAAATGGATCAAGGTAGATATCCTGGGTATCCACCCAGAGGAAAAGAAGTCATTACATGAAAAAGATACTTGCACGTGCATATTTATAGCGGCATAATTTGCATCTGCAAAAATATGCAACCAGCCCAAATGCCCATCAATCAATGAGTGGATAAAGAAAATGTGGCTTATATACATACCATGGAATACTACTCAGCCATAAAAAGGAATGAAACAATAACATTTGCAGCAACCTG
This sequence comes from Homo sapiens, assembly GCF_000001405.40. Taxonomy (NCBI): domain Eukaryota; kingdom Metazoa; phylum Chordata; class Mammalia; order Primates; family Hominidae; genus Homo; species Homo sapiens. Next base: position 107,214,424 of record NC_000001.11, on the reverse strand, counting down.
GATGGAATTGGAGACCATTATTCTAAGTGAAGCAACTCAGGAATGGAAAATCAAACATCGTATCTTCTCAATCGTAAGTGAGAGCTAAGCTATGAGGACACAAAGGTATAAGAATGATACAATGGACTTTGGGGACTCGGGGGAAAGTATGGGAAGGGGTGAGGGATAAAAGATTACACATTGGGTACAGGTTCACTGCTCAGATGATGGGTGCACCAAATCTCACAAATCACCACTAAAGAACTTATTCATGTAACCAAACATCACCTGTTTACCAAAAATCTTGAAATAAAAAATAAATACATTAAAAATTTAAAAAGCAACGATCATAAAAGATTGATAAATTTTACTTCATTAAAATTAAGAACTTATATTTATTAAAACTATCAATGGGAGAGTGAAAAGAAAAACTAAAAATTAGGAGAAGATATTTTCATACATATGTCTGATGAAGGATTGTATCCAAAATATATTTTAAAACCTACAAACCAATAAAAATGCAAAAAGCAATAAAATATAACGGCAAAAGGCACAAATATATATTAATCTAAATCAAGGTTAAGAATGCATGCAAAAATGTGAATGAATTTGGTGCCTTAATTCTCCCTTGCTACGTCTGGAAAATAATCACAGGCGGACTCTTTTTAACATGTTGCACTTTCAAAGGCAGATTTATTTGTTTATTAGCTTCTTCAAAGAATAATGATTAGGAAAGAACAAAGACATATAGCCATACTGATACACACATAATGGTTCAGAATCTTGAATACAAAAGTATTTCTGACTCTGCCCCAGGAATATGTCAGCTAGCCCTGATTAAGTCCAAAGTATCACTGAGGAACTAATCACTGCTTGGGATAAACCAATCAGAGAGGGCAATGGGAGGGGGAATGGGTTGGGGAGCTTAGTAGGTACCTAGAAAATAATCTGTTTTGGGAAATGCATTTCCCAACTAAGGCTTGCGGAGCAGCCTTCCACGCATGCTCCACCCCTCTTGTCTACTCCCATCTGTAATGCTGGATACAGAAGCGGAGAGAGCGTGGCAGGAGCGTTAGTGCCAATGGTTAGCCAGGTCTTAATAATATGTCCTTTAACACGATTTCTTGTGACAGTCTCTTTAGACAGGCTGTTGTGCTTTTCATAGCTTCCAGATGTTAAAGCTGTGATGCAAAAAATTGAAACAAGTGTAACGGGCTTGATTGTGCAAAATCAGATCAATTCAAATTAGTTTATGGGCCCACTAAACATTAACAGTCAATGAGTTTACAAGAGATTACAACTGAAAACAGCATTAACTATGGTATTTCATGACAAAATGAGAAATTTAACAGCTAAAATGAAAATATTTCATTTCACTTTTATCTAGTAGCAGTTTTCAAATCACCTCAGGATATGTTCGACTATAAATCTTAGCATTCACCACCACTCTTCTAAAAGTAGAATGCCAAGGGAATTGGCAGCATTGCCCTGGGATGTTCCCAGTGAGAATTACTTGGTAACAGGCTTCTGAATGGTCACCTTTCTCCCCACATAACTCATATCAAGTGAGTTAATACATGCAAAAGGCTGGATATATACTGAGCACAAAGTTGGAGCTCAATACGCGATAGTTTCCTTCCCTTTCTCCTACACTGAGTAAGACACCCCTTCCTGGTATCTATAGGAAAAACTGGAGGCAGACAAGTATATTTTGGATTGAAGTCATACACAGTTGAAGTTTTCTTCAGTAAGTTCTTGGGAGGGCAGATTGTTCGGGCTATGTCCAGAAGCTCCAATGAATAATTCACTACTCAAAGCTCAATGATGTCAAAATTATTTTAAGAAAACAAGAAGTGTCTATAAACTTTTCATATGTTCAGTGACACTGAATTAACAAGGAGAAAAATGGCTTGACATTACTGTTCATATAACAAAATTAAATGGGCACAGATTTTGGAGCCAAAAGGACCTGGATTTGAGTCCTACTTTCAAAACTTACTAGCTATGTTGCCTTGGATAAGACCTGTAATCTTTCCGGGAGTCATTTCAAATGGGTTATTACTATCTGCAGTGCTGTTATGAGGATTCAAGATCAGATATGTAAAGTACTGGTACAGTCTCTGGCAAAGAGTGAGCACTCATTAAATGATGTAATATTGCAATGGATATTCAAGCATACTCATTACTATTACATTTTCATTTGATAAAAATAGCAATATCATAGATTTAAAGATTTTTAACAAAAGTGTGGGCGATGCTACTACAACAGAGAGCAAATGGGGCTACTTGCTCTATAGTTCTGACCAACTCCCCTACACCTTCTAGTTCTCATATAATGCTTTCCCCCAAGAAAAAAATATCTAGTTCTGATTTTCTCCTTAGAGATTTATGAGTATTAAATGTTTTAATACATCTATAAAGAGATTTAAGCTCTTTTTGGAAATAAAGCTGAAGAAGCCATTGATCAGAGTTTGACATGTGAATAACTTCACCGCTGGGCTGCATTTTTCCAAATACATTTCTCCCCATAAACTGATAAGAAATTCAGTATTTCATTTTCTGAATATTGCCCAAATGAACTGTGGAAGTCTGGCAGAAGTGCTTGATTGTACTTTCATTAGACTTCCTTTCCTTTATGCCATACAGGTGCAATGAAAGAACAAAGAAAATTAATTAAATTTATGGGCATGTTTATACCCTCCAGGTGTCATAAAATGTACTGGCTCAGACATTTTTCAAGTAATTAAGCAGACATCTCTGTGTTTCCTAATGAGTTGCTGCCCTTCCCTTTTTAATCTGGTGAGAGATCTCATCACCTGCTTTCTGTCAGCTGATGGGCTTATTCCCTGGATGAGCTCAACCTTGTCCTCATGCTGCAATGTGCTAATGGGACTTCATGGATACAAATATGAAATCCTCTTCCCTGCAAAAATATTTCAAAGGGTCAAGTAATCATTGTACTAGGTGTGGTGGCTTAGGGATATTAAAATAAATCTGCCTCTTATAGGTATTATTGGAAATGCTGCTCTATATTATTTGAAAAATATTATGACTGAAATATGCACAAATATTCAAATATATATTATATATTACATATGTATGAAGATAAGAGTAAATAATTCATTTCAGTCTGGGGCTTAGCTTCACAGATGAGACAAACTTTGAACTGCATCTTATAGGATGTATGAATGGAATTTTGTGAAAAAGTAGAGGTGGAGAAAGATTCCAGGAGACGTGAAGAACATGTATAACTGACTTATATGATGCTTCTACAATTCACCCAACACTGTTCCAGACACCAAAGACCCTTAAGAAGCACTAGGTTTAGAAAGCAAACCAACACATATGAAATAATTAGAGTTCTAAATTACAGAGAATATGTATGACTGATTGTATTACATAGGAGTTGAGTACAGTGCACGTTCAGAGACGACATATAAGGGCCCCAGGACAGAGCAGAGTATGGAGAAGGAAGGCATCTCAATAGAATGGAGAACTAGCCAAGCTAAGACAATTGCTAAGAAAGAAATGGAAAACAGGATTCTGTACAGGAGCGTCTTATAAACTCGGCATCTGCAGGAACATGGAAGGAACTGCTCTGTCTAGAGAAGAGAGTGTGGCATGGAAAGCATCTGTAAATAAGATTAAAGAGGCACAGGGAGGCCAAATGAAAATGGAAGGTTTAGAATCTAGGGTGAGAGATTAGAATTTGAATCTTTGTGTAGATTCCTTGGCAGTGACACATAATCAATTTTTTTAATCACCTGAAGTAATCTTAAAGATCAACTAATCTAAACTTATCCTCCCTCAACAATCTTTTCACAGATGAAGAAATACATTGAAAAGAGTATTTTATTAAAATTCATCTGGCGGTGACTTGGATAGCTTGAGGATAGCCTGAGCTGCCAGGCACAATGGGCAAATGCCTCAACTTCCCTCCAGACCTTCTCTGCCTCTGATGTCCCCCATCTCAGTGGAACGGCTCCTTCATCCTCGAGTGGCCCAAGGTCTGCCCTGGCAGTTTCATCTCTTTATTCTCCTTTAAAGCCACCATTTTACTCTGTTCTCCGGACCACTGCCTTAATTCAAGTCTTTATCATTGTTGACTGGAGTAACAGAGGAGTTGTTTAAATTTTCTCCTTGCTTTGTTTTTGTTCCATTCCAAGTCATTCTCCAAATGAACTTGAGTAAAAAAGTTTGGGGTACCAAAGCTATCTTCCTAAAATTCATTATTTTATTATTGTGTTCAGGGTAAAACCCCAAACTCCTCTGCTTGGTCTCCAGTGGAAATGATTCTCCAATATCCTTGAGCAGTGTCCTCTCCCCCTCCGTTAATGTCCTCACTGTTCACGTTTCCATCTCATTGCAGCCTTTGCTCAAAGTGCATCCCCTTTCTGTGATGCTCCTCTCCTTCTTCAGCACTCAACTCTGGCATCACCTCCTTTAGAGAACATTTAAATTGCATCTCTTTTAGTTGCAATCCTGAACCGAAATCCTGAACCATCCAATTTAAACAAAACCTGGAGCAACTTAAACAGAAAAAAAAAAAAAAAAGAAGTCTGTATTGACAGAAAGAACGGTGATGGACCTGACTTCAGGCATGGCCTGATCTAGGGACACCTGTTGCCAGGTCTCTTTGTGGATCCTGCCTCCCTTCCCTACTCCCACAATATAATAACTTAACTTCTTCCTTGTACAAACAGGCTTTTTGCAAACACAGTTGCAGGCAACTGCCACTATATGAAAGAGGATAGAGAATTCTTAGGAAAATTCTAGGGGAATACCTTCAATTGGCCCAACTAAGGTCATATGTCTATCCCTGGACCTATTAATGTGGGAGGGAGGATGAGGCGCAATTATTGTCTCAATCAAGGTCACATGTCAGGGACTGATTACTGAGAGAAGGTGATGAATAACTGAGAGCTGAGCCAAGGATAAGCAGTAGCCAATGCAAGAAGACTTCTCTTACCTTACCTGTTAAGGCTGTCATCTCCCATAGGTGCTCCTTTCACCCCTTTTTCATACGACTGTCTTAAGTCGCCACTATCTCATCATCTGTTTCCTTTTCTGCCTTCCTTAAGAGTATATTTTGAGGCATCTTCATCATGACTACAGCTCTTGGCACATAGTGGTGTCTGGAAAAACATTACTTGAATAGACCAAAAAAAGTCAAATCTGTGACTGATCAAAAGAGATCCACATAGTGTAATTACCACATTGTGGTAATCAAAGCAATAGGTAAGGAGGTTTCAGATGAGGTCAGGACAGAGTAGAAAAGCAAGGACTCAAATGCTATGGGGTATTTGCAGTTAAACGAGGTAAGGAAATAGAAAATGCAGCTCAGAAAAAAAAGGCAAGCAGAAGGTTTGAAAAAGTATCAAAGGAATCTGGAATCTCAGAAACCACATAAAGAAGCTCATGAACACAAAATACAAAACTTGAGCTGTATTTGTTTGGATAATGGATAACTAAGGATGTTTTCTAACTAGCTGTATTTACCAACGAGACAAGTAATCTCACAAATAAATACTGTGGCATGTGGTCAGGGCTTTGAGGGCAGTAGTGGTGGTGAAGTCCCAGAAAAAAGGCATATGGAAGCTGTGAGCGTGGTTGAAGGTAGACATTTCAGTCAGCTGAACTGGAAGGTAAGCCCCCACAAAAGACCACTCTCCTGAGAAACTGAGGCACCCTCTGGGAGGGACTCCAGCTAAGGGAAGGGAGAGTAGGGGATACATGCCTAACCCAAGGACAATGCCTTGGTCACTGGAAGTGGGAGATGATTCTAAGTGCAGTGTGGTGCTGGTCACTTGCATATTTCTCCCTGCCAGGCCTCTGGGGACAGGGACAACAGATGGAAAACGAAAGAGTTCCTTCATTAGAAACTCAGTGAGACATGGGGCGTAGGTGTGTTGCTTGGGGACATATTTGATAAAGAAAAAGATTAACAGAGAAGCAAGCAAAGAAGTATTCCCTCCATTTCTTTTCTTTCTTTCTTTCTTTCTTTTTTTTTTTTTTGAGATGATGTTTGGCTCTTGTTGCCCAGGCTGGAGTGCAGTGGTGTGATCATGGCTCACTGCAACCTCCGCCTTCCAGGTTCAAGTGATTCTCCTGCCTCAGCCTCCTGAGTAGCTGGGATTACAGGCCTGCGCCACCACACCCAGCTAATTTTGTATTTTTAGTAGAGACGGGGGTTTCTCCATGTTGGTCAGGCTGGTCTCAAACTCCCAGCCTCTGGTGATCAGCCCGTCTTGGCCTCTCAAAGTGCTGGGATTACAGGCATGAGCCACCATGCCCACCCTCCCTCCATTTCTGCATGAATCAGATATGAACTTAATGTGCTGGTGTCTCAAGGGAACACACATGCCTTCGACGCCTTGAGCACTTCAGCATCAGCTCTGTTTCCACGATCATGATGAAGAGGAGGGGGACAGGGACAATGGTTCCCTGTAGAAAACATTCTTCTGTGAGTACGAGTCCCTGGTAGCGAGTCACTGGAACCAGAGACAGGGTGGAAGGAGAAGAAAGTTCAGCTGCCATGCTGTGGCTGCTAGGACATGTTTAAGTCCATGGCATGTGGAAACCTTCCCACGGAATTTTAACTATCATTGAGGGAAAGTGCATTAGGCCAGAAATCCTAAAATAGTTTACAGGCACAAGTTCCATGAAACATGAGCTACGAAAGTATCTCTTATCACTTCACAGAGCACAGAGTGAAGAAATGGGCACGTGAATCATCATAACTGTTGAGATACATATGTCACCTCATCTTCAATAGGTGAAAAGTTTTGAATCATTTTGAATATGATGAAAACAAGAAAACAACAGCCACCCTTTATACCTTAGGTACTAAACATAATGTAGTTTCTCCATGGAAGGGTTCATTTTTCTCTTTACTTTCTGTAGCAGAAGTTGATTAGAAGAGAAAAGCAGAATGAAGATACCTTTAAAAAAGCAAATAAGTACACAATGGGATCTCTCACTAAGCACCATGGAGAAACTGGCTTTGTGCCATCACCTTCACAGCTACAGTATTTTTCCTTTGGGAGGTGGCTGTCCACAGTCTGAAAGTCATTTTTTCAGTGTGTGTACCTACTGCATAAAGTACCTGATTCCACAGAGGAGTTTTTCACAGTTATGGGAGGAAAATAGGAAAGTGTTTGAGGCAAAATGAAATCTCTAGGTGTCATAGTTAGTGCCAGGAAGAGTGTTTCCTCAGGGTGGAGGTCACAGCTCTGCTATTATAGAGGATAACAAAGCTGTGTCAGACTGGGAAGAGAATTTCTTTAACAAAACCCACAGTGACACTTGAGACTGTCTAGGATAGCTGAGAAATTAGGAACCAAGTAATTGGATGTTTTCATCTCCGAAACACACTTCACACCACTTTTGAAAAAAGTATCAGTGAAAAATCTTAATTTTTTTTCCTTTTAGAAAATTACTAGGCAGAAATCTCACAAGATGAAATTTCAAAGTAGCTTCCATGTTCATATACTTAAAGTACTATACATCAGCTTCTTCCCATCCAACTGCACCAGCGAGATGGCGGAATATACATCGAGGTCTTATATTAAAGGCGGGCTCGTTCAAAACCAGCACTTAATCTAGGCCGGCCCATGGTCTAAATGCTCCATGAGTAAAAGAATTGTCTCTGATTCACTCATAAGCCCTCCACCAACACAGCTTCACACAAAACCCAATATATACTAGGCACTGAATAAATATTTACTTAAGATCTTTTAAATTTGTAAAATCTAAAACTTACATATTTGATTTTTCAGGAATAATCCTTGTGGTGGCTCCTAAGTGCAGCTTGGGATATAAAAGTGGACCCTATATGTTTTATATGTTCATTCAGTTAAGCAGACATCTCCGTAACACTGGGTGAAAGGCACATGAGAAGAACATCATGGCAGATTTTGAGAGATGCAAAGGTAATGATAAGAACCCTGCCTAGAAAGACCTCCCAGTCTAGCTAGAAAGATAGACTTGACTAAAAGTCCATCATAATGGATGGCATGCTCAAAGGGCCAGTAAACGTAAAAAGATGCTCAACATTATTACCCATAGGGAAAATAAAATTAAAACCACAGTGAAACACCACTATACACTTTAGAAACAGCAAAAGAGAAAAAGACGCAAAATATCAAATGTTCATGAGGATATGGGGCAGCTAGAAATTTCATACATTCTGGGTAGTGTTGATGGGATAGGGAAATGAGGGAGTGAAGGAGGACAGGGACAGCCATGCAGAAAATTACTTTTTTTTCAGTGTCCACGAAAGCTGAAAGTATGCATACATTATGACCCAGCAATTAGACTTCTCCAAGGTATACACCTAATAGAAACACACATATATATTCATCAAAAATATGTACTAGAAAGTTTCAGCAGCCCTGGAAACTATGAAAATCTTCATACACTTTAGAATGGACAGATAAATTGTCACAGTGAGCAATGAGAATGAACTATATACAATAATGCAGATTAATTTTAAAACCTAACATTAAACCCAACAAGTCAGATACGAAAGAGCACATACTGTACAATTCCACGTATAAGTTCAAAAACAAGCCAAACTAGCATATGCTATAAGAAGTCAAAATAGTAGTTGTCTTTTGGGAGTGGGGGCAATTAGTAAAGTTGAAAGGGCAGTTGAAGAGGGCATGAGAGGTGTTCCTGGGAGTGTGGTAATGTTCTGATTCTTTACCTGGGTGCCAGTTGTACTGGTGACTTTCAGTTTGTGAAAATTCATTGTTCTGTATACTTAGGATGGGGCACATTTCTGCGTGTATGTTAGACGGATTATATAGTTTTTTTTAAAAAAAAAGTCTGCTTTATACACTGAAAAAGAATTGTAAAGAAAATATTCAGGATTTGTGGTAGAGGCGGAATTGTGATTTCACACTTGGAGGTTCTGCATCCTGGTCCAAACTTTTAACAATAATATATACTTATAAAAATTATGAAAATTTAAAATAAAAAAGCCATAACTAATTTCTGGCTTGAGCTCGGACAGGCAAGGTACTTGGAAGTCATCACTGTCATCCTTACAAGGAAACGCTGGATAAGTTGAAAATCACTGACTTTTCTTGGACCCATCAGAGAACTGAGGCTGTATAGCAAACCATCACCCTGAAATTTGGGGAGACAGGCATATCCAAGAGACACAGCCTAGATCTACATACCTGGAGCAGAAGTCTCTGAAGCTATAAACTCTGAAGCCATAGACTCATAGAAACATTTAAAATGGATTATTGAATTTTTGGAGGTTGAAACTTCGAAGTAGCTTGAATTTGGAGGTTGAGTGTGAATTTTTGGAGGTTGAGTGTGAATTAAATGAGAGTGAGACACTTCTGGGGTCAAAGTCCTAGTGGAGCTCCACATTTTCATGTGCTTTACTTCCAGGTTCTCACTCTAAAGATTTCCTGAGGCTCTGGCAGAGGGAAGGGATGATAGTGGAGGTGCTTCATGTAAGTGAGGAACTGGACCAAGATGCTTTTAGCTCAGTGACTCCAATCTGCAGTAACTCCCGTATCACCTGCTCTCAATAGGAGCTCTAAGCCTTAGTTCTGGACTGAGGAATGGGGAAATTTAGTGAAGCATCCCAAAACCAGTAGTCAAGAAGGGTATGTACAGAGATTGCAGGGGTGCGGGTAGGAGGCAGGGAAACAGTCAGATTCAAGATAAAACCCCATTTCTGTTGTCTGTTGCTAAGTAACAAAACACCCTAAAACTTTAATGGCTTAAAACAATTACCATTTCATTCTATCTTATAATTTTGTGGATCAGGAATTTCAACAGGTTTCAGCTGAGTGATTCTTCTGCTTCACCTGGTATCAATTATTATCCTTGATTGTATTCAGATGGTGGCTGGGGTGATATGAAGGGTCAGAGACAGATTCGCTCACATGCCTGGTTCCCTGGCAGAGATGGCTGGAAGGTTGGGATCAGCTAGGCCCCACTCCCTCTCTGTGAAGTCTCAGGGTCTTTCCATGTGGTCATTCACATGGTAGTGAAACTTCTCAAGTCTCAGTTTAAGGCTCTAAAGTGACTGATACAAGAGATAAGAAGTATCCAGAAACTGATGCAGTGTCAGTTCCACCATTGTCTGTTGTTAAAAAATAGTTAGAAATTCCATCAAATTAAAGAAGAGACAGGGATTCACAGTCGTGACTCAACGGAAATAGCATCAACTAATCTGCTATATCAAACCAAAACTCCAAAACAGTAAAGAAAATTTAATGCTAAAAGTTGTAATCAAAGAAATCAACAAGTGGGAAATAAATGTATTCCAGAGGGGGAAAAACAAAACAAAACAAAACAGAAACATCTTGGTAACAACTTCAGTATAAAAACCTTAAGGATTTTCAAAAAGATACAGAGAAGCAATAATATGGAAAAAAAATAGAACCATATACTATGAAATACAAATAGCTAAGAAGAGTAAGTAGATTAGAAATCTTGAATATTACAAATAAAGGTTTAATTTTTTAAAATAAAGTTAGTGGAATAAACTTTAAACTAGTAAGAGTCAATGATAAGAATTAGTGAACTGAAATGTAGTATTGATAAATTCACCTAAAATGCAATGCAAAAAGATAAAGATATTTTAAAATACATAAAAAAGCAATTAAGAGACATAAAATGCCAGTTAAGACTCTCAAGTATACTTAAAAAAATTCAAAGTATAGAGTAAAGGGAATAGATAAAAAATTCCAAGTCTGAATAAAAATAGATATTCTTAGATTAAAAGTATAAAACAAAGGTCAAGTTGAAAAACCAAACATAAAACAATACTTCAGTAGAATTTAGTGAAACTGAATGAAGAATAGCTATATATATGTGTATATATATACACACACACACACACAGTAACTATATATATGAATAACTCTATAAGAATAACTATACATATAACTATATATTCATATATATAAACTTCCCAGAAAGAATAACTGCTTATCTACAAAAAATAAAATTGACAAAATTGGCAATAAATTTTCATTAGTAGCAATATGACTAGGAAACAATAGAAAATATCTTCTGAAAATGGAAAGAAAACTGTCAATCTGGAATTCTATCTCAAGGTATACTATCATTTGACACTGAAGAAACAGCAAAAAAAAAGACATTTTCAGACAAAGAGTAAGAGAAATTACTACTCACAGACCCTTGATGAAAAAACTATTAAGGAATGTGCATCAGTAAGAAAAATAGTAAATACAAAGGGGTCAAAAGATGAAAAAAAAATGAGTGACTGAAAGAATTAAAGAACATTCTTGCTACATTCAATTACCTGAAAAACAAAGAAACATTATGTTTTTAAAAGTAGAATTAAAATTCTAGACAACAATAAGAAGAAAAACAGAAGAATGGAGGGTCAGTGTGTGTACATATAGCTAAGATCTTTTCATTTAAAAAGTGTGGATATATTAAATAATTTTAAATTTTGGTAAAAATTTTTATCATTAAAATGTAATAGATCTCCATATAGATTCATCTCAAAGACATTTTTCTAGGTAAAAGAACACAATCTCAAAATATTACATACTCTATTATTACATTTAGATGAAAAAGGGAAAACTTTTGAGACAGAAAACAGATCAGTGATTGCCAGATTTTAGGGGTAGTAGGAGGTCTGACTACGGAGGTCAGCAGGAGAAAATAGTGCATTTGGAATTGTTTAGAATTCTGATTGTGGTGATAGTTACAAGAATCTGTGCATGCATTGCAACTCATAGAATTGTACACCAAATGGATGAATGCTACTGTAAGTAAATTTAAAAATAAACAAAAATAATTGTAACCAATAAAACAGTGGACTAAAATTTATAGTTTCAATCCAGTAGAAAGGGAAAAAAGAGTAGAAAAGTTTTTCTACAGTGAGTCAGGAAATTATAAAAAGCAAACAAAGAAATAAAATAAATAAGGTCTTAGAAAACAAGGTAAAATAGTAGTAGTAGTACTGGCAGTGGTGGTAGTAATAGCATTCACTGTGCTATTACACAGTGCTATCACATAGCTAAATGCTATGCACCATTTAAAGTATTTTACGTACATTAACTGACTGATTCTTTACAATTAGGTAGATACTATTATAACCAACATTTTCCAGATGACAAAAGTAAGATATATATAAGTTAAACAAATAGTCCAAATCACAAAGTTAGTAAAGGTTGAAACTGAGATTTGAAAATAGGAAAAAGTACAAGTCAGCCAAGAATAACAATAAATATAAATGGATTAAATTCTATCAGATTGGATTTTTTTTGAAGTCCAGTTATGAGACATGTCTAAAGCAAAATTACATGAAAAGGCAAAACAATAAAAAGGTTTTTTAAAAACTCTTCTAGTAAAATACTAAAGAAAATATAAAACAAAAAATAAAGCTATAGCAATATTAATATAAGACAAAATAAAATTTAAAGCCAAAAGAACTATTAGGGATAAAGAGGAACATTATATAATTATAACAGAATAATCCAGTAAAACTATAGAACAGAGGAGAGAGGAATTAATTCTCTTACAAATGTGAAGGATCATTTCATGGAGTAAGTAGCATTTGAGTTCTTCCTTAAAGAATGAACTGAATATCAGGATAGTTGTAAATAAAGGGAATGTTAAGGAAATGGGAACAGGCATTATTTAATGTGCCTGAAGAAATATCTGTGTGTGAATAACTACAATTGCATTTTAACAGGTTACATGTTATCTGTCTGCTGAATTGCCTGCCTAGGGTAGAAATTACAGCCTGGAAGACCAGTTAAGAGGTTTGATACGTTCTAGGCAAATTGACATGTGAAATATGCACCTGATTTTCTTTCTCCTCCCAACCTAATCATCTACAATATGTGATCAAGAATACAGAATGGAGAGTGTGGAGCAAAGGAAATAAAAAAGGCACAAGAGATAACATCTTTGGCAATCTTTTCTCTCCTTTGTCACAGAAGTGACCACCCACTCCCCAAACACAGGAATTCATAAGACAAAAGGGAAATGAAGAAGAAATCCTTGTAACACAATGAGGGAAAATTATATGAGGATTACAAGTGAGAACTGAAGGGCTATTTAACAAGTTGGCACGAGAGTAGGGCGAGATTCAGATTGGAAGATTGAGGACAATTTAAAATGTGGTCAGGAGACAAATTCAGGGACTTTAGGAAGATGATTCTGGGAACAAATACACAAAAGGAAGGCAAAGTTCCCTGGTCTCCATGCCTAAAAGTGATAGTTGCCCAAGAAGTAAAGTTTACTCCATCATTATCTGTGAGAATTAGGGAATAGTTTAATACTATACATTCAGAGGATAATGTTAAAAAAATAAAGGTACAAGTTTTTGAGGATAATATAGATATGGCTTGAAGAATATTTGAATTATTTCCTTCAGTTTTAATTTTTAAAAAAATTGAAAAAATTTACAGTACCCAAAATTGCGTTGTGTTGCTTAGAATGCTAGGGCAAACAGAAACAAACACAGTAAATGTTCAGTATAAGAAGCAAACACAATTCAAGGGAGGGATATCAATAACAAAAATAATGCTGGTCAGAGAAAAGAACTGAGTCATAGCTTTCCTAAGAAAAATATACTTACTGAGTTTTTTATCTATGCAGTGCTAACACACAATAAGCATTTGGTAAATATTTGTTGAATGAATGAATAAAAAGTCACTATGGAGAGTAATAGGAGGGGCTCAGGGAGGAAATTGATTTTTCAAATAGAAAATCAAGCCCTCTTTTACATAAAGCAGTTATGTGAAAATGAGAGAACTATATGATCAAAGGGCAACCAGTGACCCTAATTTTTTTCATTTTAAAAAGGCTTTGAAGTATTCCTCATGAAAGAGTATTAAAAGGACGGTGAAACAACAACAATGAAAATCTCCAAAGGGTTGGCCAAGAAGGGAGAATGATTTGGTTAATCCTTTCCCCTGGACACATGTTCCCTAATGTTCCCCTGCAGCCTGATGGGAATCTTCATGAAAACATTATGAAAGACTCAAAAAGAAACTCAAGACACTGTGATCAAGAGAACACAGACTGTTTAAGTTCAACCACAGACCATATGATTAGTTGATATGCTACCAAGTATCACTAATATGTTATTTTGTTATTAACAAGAAATGTTATATAACAAGAAACATGTTATTTTGAAATGGAGGGTGCCAGGATTATCTTTGCCACTCTTGTACTTACCTAACAAAGAGTGAATGACCAAAAGAATGTTTATGAATGACTAAATGAATGAATGTTAATATTAGTAGCTAACCACAGAGCCCACCCTAATGTATCAGTCAGAGATTATGGTGAAAGAAAGGAATGGTTACAAAAGCAGTATCCAAGAATCTGGCATTGTCACTAGAGTACATATCTGGCTAAAGAAGGAACAAATCATAGTACTTGTCATGTCTAGTACTTCTAACAAATTGAGAGAAAACCCCATGATTCCATGAAGATCAAAAACTGGTGCTGAAAGATTCTAGATAAAAGCATCACTGCTTCATAGAAACTAAACAAACAAATCCTGGTCCAGAAGGTTACTGATTGATAAAAAGGATTATCACAAAGACATTGAGTAAGCCAAGAGGATTTGTATTTTTTAAGGATGACAATGGATTTCTTAGGGATATTCCATTATAGCTTCCACTGAAATAGTCACTTTACTTTAAGAGGACCAGAGTTGGGTCTCTGAATTAATTATGGTAATTTTGAAGTATCTACGCGAGAGGAGGACTGTGTGTATGAATAAGTAAGTGTCACTTAGTAACATTTTCTGATGAATAAATCAGTTTAAAATTGGAAATCTGTGTCCTCTGGTAATTTCTTCTAAGCCTTCTTTCCTGTGAAATCGCTTTTCAGAATTAACACATCTAGAAGACATTCATTAAACATTTGTTGAATGGATGAATTTTGATGTGACATTGAGATAATACTTAGTATTACTATAAAGTAGTATCCAGTACATATTTTTAATAAGCAAATGTTTTGCAATGATTATAGGACTGCAATACAATTTAATACTCGTGTAGAAGTTACAAAGATATAGATCTACAGTGAGCTAAGGTTGTGCTTCACATATTCAGAAGTCTCACTATAGCATTTTTTTTATGGCCTAAATACAACATATGTAATGTGTGCCAAATTCCAGAATTAGGAATAGAAAAAAAAAAGAAGTAATAAAATTGGTGAAGAGATCTGGCTACATGAGAATACATAAAAGAATTAAGAAAACTGGGGAGATAACTGAAGGTAATAAAATCATAAAATGATATATAGAATATATGGTATTATTAAGAAGACCTTGGCCTACTAAAAGAAGGGTGCACTTTTAAAATCTTGAGTTTATTTTAGCACTATATCAAGAAATTTCAACTTTTCAAAGTGAGAAATAATTTCTGTAACTCATTGTTGACTAGAAAATTTCAAAAAAAAAATAGCAATTTCAGAAGAAACTAAATAATAAATTGCTGCACAGGAGATTCATGGGAAGCATAAAATATTTCGGTGTCTCATTCCTAATATCTTTAAGTCAAAATCAGTTGTCCCCAGAATATAGCCCGTTGCTCCATTAATAGAGACAGAATACAGGACTAAACACTCCATGAGCCAAGTTTGCAGGGGATTTGGAAAGCCTGCGTGTGATATCAAGTCAAACAATTTTAGAGCCAAACGCCCTATGAAACCACACAGTGCAATGTTCTCATTTTACATAATGAGAAAACTGAGACCCAAAGAGATTAAGTATCTTGCCTGAGGTCACACAACTAACAAAAGGCAGAAACTTGCTAGAATCTAGACTCCCTGAGTCCCCAGTTCTAAGTTCTTTCTCTTACATGTTTACTCTCCCCAAAACACAAAAATACGAAGGGGAACAAAAGAAGCAGACACACAAGTACTGAACTTTTGGACAAATATTATTTCTCCCCACTAAAGATGGGCATTAAAATCTTTGATTTCCTGTGATGTAATTTTATTTTGTCTTTGTATAAGCAGACTAGAGTTTGGAGATAAGGATACAGTTTTTACTGTTCTGGAAAATTTCAAGCATATACAAAAGTAGACAGCATAGTATAATGAAACTGTCATGTACTCACTATCCACCTTCAGTAATTATCTCAATAGTAATCTTGTTTGATCCATTCCCTACTTAATCCTGTCTCCTTCCACAATATAATTTTGAAGTCAAGCCAAGAGCACATCCATAAGTATATCAGTATGTGTCTCTAAATGTAACTACAACACCATTATCACACCTAAAGAATGAAACATCATTCTTTTCCAACACCGTTAAAGTCACTGTTTAAATTTCCAATTGTCCCGTTGGTGTCACATTATTTAGAATTTGTTCTGAAGCAAGAACATTTTAAATTTTACTGAAATATTGAAAATGCAGAATATCTAAATAAGCTGTAGTGATGAAAGTTACACTAGAATCTACCTTTGACATTGCACCTCAAAGAATAGGAAAAAAATGTGCATTATCATAAGGGCCTGGGAATAGGATCATTATTTTTGTATAATCACATTAAGTGACCCAATTTAATGCATAGAAAATTATGTGAATAGAGATGAGCTTATGATTTAAAATAACAGTGGCCAGGTGGATGGCAATGTTTACACACCATGGTGCACCAGATTATCAATTATATCCATACATCCAAATGATCCTGGGCAAGGTGCCACACAGAGAAAGAAAAATGGATCCTACTCTGTCACTACGTGAATGTGTATTCTAATGTCATGGCAGGGATTAGATAGGGAGCACCATAGGGGAAACACTGTAGGGAAAACCAGTGGAGCCTGAAGACAGAGGGCCAAAATCTCATCCAAGCCAGAATGTAGTCCTGCACAAATCTGTTGAACTCTCTGAGTGTCGCCTTATCAGCATAAAAAGAGTAGCCAAGGTGGCATCTGAAGACCCTTCCATATCTAACACTCAATGGGTCTAAATATTGTCAACCCATTCTTATATAATATGCAGAACTTCAAAGATATCATTTCATTATGAAACTAAATGTTGAAAAATTGCTTCATCTGCCACACAGTTTCTAAAGAACAAAATTCCAAAGTATTGACGTTTGCCATTTCTCATTAGATTGTGTCTAATGAGAAGGCTCGGTGACACTGTAATTGGCTGTTGTAGAGGGCAGCATTTGGGAGTGGCAGTAAGCCAGCAGAGACCTACCTAGTTTCAGCACAGCTGACCCTTGTAACTAAGGCTGCAGAACTAATCAGACCGCATTTCCTGTGTCACAAGCCTAAGGGTATCATACAGACATATACAGCGCCCCCTGTAGGTTGGTCAGATTAAGCAACTAAAAGTACTGCATGCTCAGTTAAAATGTTTCACATAAACAATAAATAGTTTTACACTAAACTTTTATACGCTAAAACTTGTATAACAACCATATTCATTGTTTACAATGAATTCAAACTTAACTGGTTGTCCTGTATTTTATTTGGTAACCCTAACCCCAACATGCATGCACGTGCGCACACACACACACCCGCCCGAGAATGACAAGGTTTTCATAGGCTCTTAGTCTGACACTATTATAGAAAAATATGACATTAGAGCTGATATTTGGGAGAATGCACATACAGTCCTGAAAGACACAGATCATCCATAATTAGAATAAAATATTTTTATCTTTATTTTATCTAAAATTTAAAATGCATATTGATATTGGCAGGTAGAACTCTTCTTTTCTACCCAACATACTTAGTTTATTAATAAAACTCATAACAGTTTTTCCATAGAGAAACTAGTTTCCCTTTGACAAACAGTTCTTGCCTGGGTGTTATGTTGTCATCATTTACTGTACTCCTCACAGGAAGTTGAAGCAGAGAAAGGTTGTGTTATTTTTTCAAAGGCACACATCTATCAAAGAGCAGAATTAAACAGAAGACAGGACCCAAGGACTCCGAGTCCATCCCACTACTTCCCACGATCTACTTTCCTCAACTTCCATGGGATAAGATGTTTAAAAATCAGCATATTAACAGTTACGACTTACTGAGTGTTAATTATATGCCAGGCACTGTGCCAAGTAGTTTATATACATTATATTATTTATTCCATATAGTAAGGTGAGATGTTAATTATAACCCATTTCATACATGGAAGGGGTTTTGTGGGGAGGGAGCTGAGGCTCAGAGAGCCTAGGTAAATTGCCCACAGATCAAGAGCTGGTAGTCAAAAGAGGTATGTTTAAACATAAGTCCATCTGCCCCCACTCCCACCAAAGCCAAATTTCTTAAGAGTCAGTGACTGCTACGTAGGAGATCCTTTATATGGATTATTTTACTTAATCTTTGAAACAATTGGAGAGGTAGGAAGTCATTAAACCAAAGTTATCAAGTGCCTACTACTATGTGCCAGGCCCTGGGTTCT
Organism: Homo sapiens; assembly: GCF_000001405.40. NCBI lineage: Eukaryota > Metazoa > Chordata > Mammalia > Primates > Hominidae > Homo > Homo sapiens. The sequence continues at coordinate 107,196,054 of NC_000001.11, read as the reverse complement.
AAGTGCTGGGAGTACAACAAAAGCAAATAGTACAAAAATTCCCATCCTCCATGAGGCTTACATTCTAGGAGGGGAGATCAATGAGGGTAAATAAAAGATACAGTGTTTAGAGACTGGTAAATGCTAAGGAGAAAATAAAGCAAAGGAGCACATGAGGTGTGGGCACAGGGTGAGAAAGAGGGTCACTGGCCATTTTAGAAAGCGTGTCTAGGAAAGGATTTACCAAGAAGAAAATATTTGAGTCAGAACTGATATAAACAAGGGAGCAAGTCATATGGATATCCAGAATGCATTCTAGGCAAAGGAATCAGCAAGTGCAAGGGCCTGAACATACCTGAAATATTTGGAATATTTAAGAACAAGGAGGACAATGTGGCTGGAAAAAGGTGGGCAAGGGAGACTGCTAAGGCACAGGTGTGTGTGTATGTGTGTGTGTGTGTGTCTGCCTGTGTGTGTGTTTAGGAAGTCAGAAATAGTGAAGGATAGGAATCAAATTATGTAGGGCCTTGTGGGACATAGTGAGGACTTTGGCTTTTACCCATGTGAAATGAGAACCTCTTACAGACTTTTGAGCAAAGGAATGGTGTAACTGACTCACTTTTTAATATTTATACTCTGGCTGCCAAAGTTGCAAATAGACTGAAGGGGAGGCAAAGGCAGGAGTAAGGCAACCAAACAGAAATCCATTGCAGCAATCCAGATAATGGTGATGATGACTAGGAGCAGGATGGCAGCATGCAGGTGAAAAAAATTGTACGATTCTGAATACCTTTTGAGAATAAAGTGGACATGATTTATTAATGGGGCAGATGCAGAATGTACGTGGATTTAATCTTCATTTTACAGATCAAGAAACTGAGGTTCAGAAAGCTTAAGTGAAGCTTAACATAGAAAACACAAATGGTCGCAGTGGAATTTAAACACCAATCTGCCTCACTTGAAAATGCATGCATTTTTCATTACATTTTCATTGTTCCCTAAGCATGCAGGGAAAACAATTTAAATTTTCTTTAAATAAGCAGTGAAACTTTAACAAATTTAAATGTAAGAAGACCACAGCTTCTAGAAGGGTTATGCCTCAAAGTCTGTAAGGCAGCTATTAAAAACTTGGAAGGCCTTTTTTTTCCCTATAGAAATACTCTTACAAATGGTTATTAGTTTCCAGGTCAAACGATAAAATCTGTGTAATCCATATTCTAGTTGATCGCCATAGATACTTTTAATTAAAAATATAGTAGGAGCTAAGCATGTTGCCATATCTATAATTAACCAAGACAAAACTAATAGGAAGTATATTCTTATTTGCTTTTTAATGGAGCTGTAGGATGTAAAGCAAATTGCATTGTGATAAATCAGAAGTTAATGGAAACATTGTGAAGACTTAACAGTGTCTACTAAAAATTTCTAAACACATTACAGATGGATGCTATTGGTTTACTATGCTGATCTCACTTTTAAACATTTTGCATTTTCTTTTCTTGGATACAGATGTCAGTTTGCATATGTGACCAGTAACTGGGGCTGTCTCTTTCCTCTCAGATAAAAATATATGAGAGAAAGGGAGAAAGAAAGAAGAATAAATCAAAGTATTCACCTCTGTGGCTGAAATAACTGGAAAAAATTTTAGGAGAAAAGAGGAGACTGATGTGAATTTCTGTTTCTGTAAGGACGTATTGATTTAAGATGTAATTAACTAAGGAATAATAGGAAAAAAGGCAGAAGAATGCTGTGAATGCCATAGGGAAGTGATTTAAAACCAGAGACTTCCCTGCACTGGTACCCATCTGATATAACCATCCAAAAACATTTGGTTATTGTTCCAAACAGCTTTGGAAAGCCCAGAGCCCAGAGCAATATAGGAACATGGTGGAGGTAGAGGGAGGACAGGCTGAGTTCTGAAGAATGCTAAGAGTTGGCCAGTACAAGGAGAGTTCTAGGCAAAGGTGGAAGTGCATGCAAAGGTACAAAGACCAGAATGCATGGTCTGTTGATGATTTCAAGCAGTTTGGTAGAGTTGGAAGTGATGAGAAGGAAATCATTAGATAAATGGTGAGATAAAATCCTGGGCAAGAATTCAGGGACCTGATCATAAAGGGTTAAGGAGTCTGGATTTGATTAGGATGGCAAGATGGAGACTTTGAAACATTTAAGGAGGAGAGAGACACTATAGGTCTTTTCTTTTTTACTCACTCAAAAGGAAGAAGGAAGGAAGAAAAAAAGAAGGAAGGAATTGAGGGAAGGAAGGAGAAAGGAAGGTCTGGTGGCAGTAAAGAGAATGGACCTGAGTAAGGTGAAATTTAAGGCAAATTAATAGATATTCCAGGTGAAATTATGAGGGTTTGAACTAAGACGGTGGCATTAAAAATATAAACCTTGTAGTCTTAATGCCTGAACCTTCACTTGGACCTCTTAGGCAAGTCACCTAACTTCACTCAATCTACATCTGCTCACCCATAAACTGAGGACATAATTAAGTACACTTGCAAGGGCTGCTGCGTATGAAAGTGGCCAATACATAGCAAGAGTTCCACAATATTAGACACTACTCTGGCTATTACTAAAAGATTAAGAAAGGGGGTTTCTGGCCAGAGAAGTACAGAGAATACCAGAATAATGAGTTATGAGGACAAAGAGCATGAATTCAGTTCAAAGTATCTAGAGTTTCAATTTATTCTGAGATGTGGAAGTGTTCAGTTGGCAGATGAGAATCCAGGCTTGGAGAACACAAAATGACCGAAGTTGGAGAAACAGCAGCAAGTAGGCAGAACTTGAAATTATATCCGGAAGACTATGAGAAGTAAGAAGACCAGTGAGCAAAAAATATGAGAGTATTGAGAAGTGACAAGAGTGAAGAAGTTGTGGAAGGGGTTCTCAAAGAGGTAAGAAGAATACCTGGGGAGAAAATCATCCAACTGTCCAGGAGAGAAGACAATGAGAGCACCTATCAAGGTACTTTTAATTTCTGAGTCTAACCATTGAACAATTAGTATATGTTCAAGGGCATTTATTTCATTAGGCCATTATATTTTGATTCATAATCATTCTGTAACTGATCTCATTTTACCTATTAGTTTCTATTTACTTTGTTTATGATACACATGGAATTTGAAAGGAAAACAATTTAATTATGTTGAAAATTAGTCAATGATTCTCATTTTTCAGGAAATCACAGTAGTCTTAACTTCCATTATTCAGAATTAGTCAGATTTTATTATATAATGTGAACCAGCTGAATTAAAATAAACATTAGAATCAAATCCCATGGCTTTGCTGATAATGTCCAAGCATGCACAAGGTACTCACACATGGAATAATAATTGTAGCAAAGACCATTTTAGTTACCCAGGAATGGCATTTGTATCCTAAAATTTTAAACTATGTACACATTTTGGAAATACAAAAAATCAAGATAGGCAAAAGATATGCCAGAAAATTAGCAAACACAAGAAAAGAGAGAGATTTCAGGCAAATACATGTGTCCCTAGGGCCCCTGTGAGTTGAAAGGGGAAAGTAGGGGTTAACCTGGCAAAGAATCTCCAGATACTGGCATTTGGGGCTAACAGTTGAGATTGTGGGGCCAAGAGGTTTTGAGAAGACTCCTGGGAGAAACCATAGTGAGACACATTAGAACTGATGTCAACCCTTGGGATAAGGCTTTTGAACAAAATCCATCTACTTATGTCTTAGGAAACACGCTGGGCAGGCTTATCCATCCAGGATGGTTGTGTAAAAAGAAGGTCGAAAGCACGAAGGAGAAGTCAGACACACAGGGGCACAGAGCAAGTAGAGTGTAAGATGGTACAAAAAATACACCAATAACAGACAAACAGAGAGCCAAATCATGAGTGAAATCCCATTCACAATTGCTTCAAAGAGAATTAAAATACCTAGGAATCCAACTTACAAGGGATGTCAAGGACCTCTTCAAGGAGAACTACAAACCACTGATCAATGAAATAAAAGAGGATACAAACAAATGGAAGAACATTCCATGCTCATGGGTTGGAAGAATCAATATTGTGAAAATGGCCATACTGCCCAAGGTAATTTATTGATTCAATGCCATCCCCATCAAGCTACCAATGACTGTCTTCACAGAATTGGAGAAAACTACTTTAAAGTTCATATGGAACCAAAATAGAGCCCGCATCGCCAAGTCAATCCTAAGCCAAAAGAACAAAGCTGGAGGCATCATGCTACCTGACTTCAAACTATACTACAAGGCTACAGTAACCAAAACAGCATGGTACTGGTACCAAAACAGAGATATAGACCAATGGAACAGAACAGAGCCCTCAGAAATAACGCCACATATCTACAACTATCTGATCTTTGACAAACCTGAGAAAAACAAGCAATGGGGAAAGGATTCCCTATTTAATAAATGGTGCTGGGAAAACTGGCTAGCCATATGTAGAAAGCTGAAACTGGATCCCTTCCTTACACCTTATACAAAAATTAATTCAAGCTGGATTAAAGACTTAAATGTTAGACCTAAAACCATAAAAACCCTAGAAGAAAACCTAGGCAATACCATTGAGGACATAGGCATGGGCAAGGACTTCATGTCTAAAACACCAAAAGCAATGGCAACAAAAGCCACAATTGACAAATGGGATCTAATTAAACTAAAGAGCTTCTGCACAGCAAAAGAAACTACCATCAGAGTGAACAGGCAACCTACAGAATGGGAGAAAATTTTTGCAACCTACTCATCTGACCAAGGGCTAATATCCAGAATCTACAATGAACTCAAACAAATTTACAAGAAAAAAACAAACAACCCCATCAAAAAGTGGGCAAAGGATATGAACAGACACTTCTCAAAAGAAGACATTTATGCAGCCAACAGACACATGAAAAAATGCTCATCATCACTGGCCATCAGAGAAATGCAAATCAAAACCACAATGAGATATCATCTCACACCGGTTAGAATGGCGATCATTAAAAAGTCAGGAAACAACAGGTGCTGGAGAGGATGCGGAGAAATAGGAACACTTTTACACTGTTGGTGGGACTGTAAACTAGTTCAACCATTGTGGAAGTCAGTGTGGTGACTCCTCAGGGATCTAGAACTAGAAATACCATTTGACCCAGCCATCCCATTACTGGGTATATACCCAAAGGATTATAAATCATGCTGCTATAAAGACACATGCACATGTATGTTTATAGCGGCACTATTCACAATAGCAAAGACTTGGAACCAACCTCAATGTCCAACAACGATAGACTGGATTAAGAAAATGTGGCACATATACACCATGGAATACTATGCAGCCATAAAAAGGGATGAGTTCATGTCCCTTGTAGGGACATGGATGAAGGTGGAAACCATCATTCTCAGCAAACTATCACAAGGACAAAAAGCCAAACACCGCATGTTCTCACTCATAGGTGGGAACTGAACAATGAGAACACTTGGACACAGGAAGGGGAACATCACACACCGGGGCCTGTTATGGGGTGGGGGGAGTGGAGAGGGATAGCATTAGGAGATATACCTAATGTAAATGACGAGTTAATGGGTGCAGCACACCAACATGGCACATGTATACATATGTAACAAACCTGCACGTTGTGCACATGTACCCTAAAACTTAAAGTATAATAATAATAAAATTTTTAAAAAAATGATGGTACAAAAAGATGCTCAAGAACTCTTGGCTTCTTCTAAGACATCTTGCTCTTTGTTGTTGTTGTTTTGTTTTTAATTGTGGTAAAATAAACACAACATAAAACTTACCATCTTAACCACTTTCAAGTGTGCAATTCAGTGGAATTAAGTGAGTTAACATTGCTTTGCAACCATTACCACAATCCTTCTCCGAAACGTTATTTTCCCAAACTGAAACTCTGTGCCCATTAAACAATAACTCTTCATTCCTCCCTCCTCTCAGTCCCTGGAAACCACCATTCTACTTTCTGTCTCTAGGATTTTACTACTCTGGAGAGCTCACATAAGTGGAATTGTACAATATTTGCCATTTTGTGATAGGCTTATTTTACTTAAAATATCTTCAAGATTCATCCATATTGTAGCATGTATCAAAATTTCATTCTTTTTTAAGGCTAATATTCTATTGTATGTATATACTACATTTTGTCTATCCATTCATCTGTCAATGGATATTTGGGCTATTCCCACCTTTTGGCTGTTACAAATAATGCTGCTGTGAATACTAGTACACAAATACCTGATCCAGTAAGGCCCCCCCCTTTTTTTTTTTTTAACTTTTGACTTGGTAGGCCATAGCTGTTTGCTTCAGTTGTCTTAGGACATTGAGGCCTTTCTGTTTTTAGATGTGTTTAGCTAGAACTATTTGTCGTCCAGGGTGATATATAGGGAATTTATACACCAGATAGGATGATGGGCAACTGATGGTTTATACATTCAGCTAGGATATTTTTTAAAGGTAGAGAATATTAAAACATTTTATAACCTACCTATATGAACCTAGTGCTATGCTCAAATTCTAGAGAAAGAAATTGAGTCAATGATATTGGCAAACTATGAAAGATACTTGTGTAGCAAACAGTACTTTGACAGGGCTTGCAATTTTGACACCCCTCCCCCGCCTTTTTTTTTTCAAGACCACTGGTTGTTTATTTTCCTTTAAAAAAAACTAAGAGTTACTTACATTTTGTCCCAAAACTTCATTTTCTTTTCTAAATTCACCCAAACTTTTTTTTTTTTTTTTGAGACAAGGTCTGTCTCTGTCACCCAGGTTTTAGTGCAGTGGCCTGATCTCGGTTCACTGCAACCTCTGCCTCCTGGGTTCAAGAGATTCTTGTGCCTCAGCCTTTGGAGTAGGTGGAACTACAGGCGTGAACTACCACTCCCAGCTAATTTTTGTATTTTTGGTAGAGAAGGAGTTTCGCCACGTGGCCAGGCTAGTCTTGAACTCCTGGCCTCAAGGGATACACCCACCTCGGTCTCCCAAAGTGCTGGGATTACAGGTGAGAGCCACGGTGCTAGGCCTATATTCACCCAAACTCTTACAGTCCCCCAAAATTTGACTGTACACCAACACCTATTCTTTCAAATATTGAATAGGAAGCCCCTCAAATGAGATGGAATTAATACTCTGAAAAATTCCATTGATTTGTATGCCATTATCCAATTTGAGATTACCAGGAAGGACCATTTTAAATTTAAATAAATGCTGCCTTAGATGGAATAACTTACTCTTGATCCCTACATTTGTAATCAATAGGGAACTCTTTGGCTGCATCTGATTTGTCACAGTTTTCAGCTAAGTCAGGAAACCTAATGCAAAATTCTGCCCTGTTATGTGGATTTGTGAACTGTCTAGAGGGTTCTGGGTCCATTAACCAATGGATAGATTACCAAGAGACCCAAATATAATGTTTTTGTCTCCAACAGAGACATTCTTACTCTAATATTATTCATATGATTTCAAGCAAAGTGCTGGCTGTTTTCTTCAGGCTCATACCTGGAAATTAATAAAGAGATAGAGCAAGGCATTTCTCTTGGCATTAATTCAAAATTCTAAAGCAAAATTAATTACATGTGCACTTTAAAAAATCTGGATTCTGGAGCTTTCAGTGAGAGCATTTCAGAATTTATTCATTCAAAATCCCAGAGCGAATGTGCATAATAGGGGGTATATTACTTATGCAGAGTGTGAAGAGCTGTAGCATCTGGGGCCAAGGTATAGACCTGTCAGTTAAATGACAGACACATTACACCCTGGCCATGACTGAGACAAGACATCCAAGCATCACCCCTTGTCTTACTGCCTTGGTGCTGCAGCCAGGCAACATATGTCAGGAATCTCATACCCAATGTGATAAATACAGTCCCACCAAGTTCTACAAATTCATTCAGATCTATTGTCGCTTCACATCAATCAGGACTACGGAACTGTTGATTTAAAAAAAAAATCAATTGATACTTTTGTAATTAAAAACTGTCAAATAAGATGTAATCAGCAACGCTGAGTGGCACATAGTTGTCAAAAAAAAATGCCTATGCCATTCCCGATTACACACAGAGGTAAGTAACTGGACTAATTATAAATCAGTCCTTTGTATGATCATGCAGCATAAAACATCTAACAAACATTCTCAAGGAAATGTTTCCTCCTAGCCAAAGCTGTAACTGAGAATTTTTAAGCCTAATGTAAAATATTAATGGCTTTTTCCCCTTTCCTCTTTTCACTCCTTCCTGCTCCAATCTCTGCCATCCTCTCCCTTTAAAGGGTAAAACAAAGTCATTCTGCCCTTGCTTCTGCATCATATGTGTCCTTGCCGACACCTGAGGCAGTGAAAAAAGATGAAGAAATGACAGTATCTGGTCTCAGTGTTTCTCACCACATTGTTGTAGCGATATTTAGTATCTCAGATACAGAGTTAACTCTTCGTTGTCCTTTTGCAGCTCTGATAACAGCTGTGCTCTGAACCCTCACACCAATGTATGTGATCTGTTTGGAGCTGAAACCACAAGGGTTTATGCAGAAAGGGCAACCCCCTATCCTGCTAGGAAACCAATTACTGTGGGTGAGCTACTCTGCTCTTTGCAACATTCATTCATTTATTCATTAATTCAGTGATATGCTAGAGCTTAACTTTCAGAGATCTTGTAAGCCAATTGTTAAACTGTTTGCAACTTGAAATTGGTTGGTGGTAAGAGTATGGAAATTTTAAAAAGCTATAAATCATCCCTGACCTTATACCCAAAGCTAGCTGTTAGATCAACACATTACTAAATTTATTCATCAATTACTTATTGAGTACCTACTATGTGCCAAGTACTGCATTGGGTGCTAGGGTATAACAATGAAAAATAACAATAAAAATTTTCAATACTAGTGGTAAAGATAGGCAATAAACAAATAAATACACTCTTTTAAAAAAATACAGAGAGTAATAGGCAAAACGAAGAAAAGAAACAGATGCTATAACTGAGAATAAAATGAGGGGCAAGCCTCTCTCTAGAGGCAACAGAGACTGGTAGTTTAGAGGGCAGCCTTTGGAGCCAGAAAGCCCAGTGTGTAATTCTAAACTCTGTGCTTCATCATACACAGTATACTGCATAAGTGTGCAACAGTATGATTTGGGAACATTATTTTACATCCCTAAACCTCAGTTTCCTTATCTGTAAAATAAGGATAATAATAAAACCTCTTTCATAAGATGTTACAAGGATCGCAAGAGATAATCCAGGTAGAATGTCTAGTTCTGGGGCATGGCCTATATTTTGAGCTAACTCAAAAATATGTTAACTTAATTATTATTATCATTATTGTCTAAAGAGATAACATTTAAGATGAAACTTAGAGTGTGCAAAATGTGAGCTTCATAAAGACCTGAATAAAGAGATTTCCAGGCAGAAGAAAACACAAGCGCAAAGTCTTTAAGGTACAAACAGTTCTTGGTCCAGGAACAATTTGAAGGCTTGGGTGGCCGGAGAGTTAGTACTTTACTTTAATGCCTTACTTTTAATGACAAAACTGCAGTTACTTTTGCACCAACCTAATAGTACATAGGGAAGAAGAAGCTGACATAGAATAGAGTTGAAGAGACAGGCTCGGAGGGATCATGCAGAGCCAGTTAGGCCTCTGAGACACATCTGGATTTTACGCTAAGTGTAATCAGAAGTCTCTAAAGGAGTTAAACAGAGAAGTGACATAAGTCCATTCATAGTTTTAGTATCTCTTTTATTGCCACTTGGTGCTGAGTGGTTTAGAAGAGGCAAGAGTAGACACAGAAAGATCAAATAAGAGTCTAATACCATAATTCAGATGAGAGATAACGGTGTTTTGCATGACTGGGTGGCAAAGGAGGCAAGTGAACAGATTTGGGATATATTTTGAAGGTAAAGTCCATATGAAATCATGTCTTGTGGAGCAACACAGATGGAACTGGAGGCCATTATCCTAAGTGAAATAACTAAAAAACAGAAGGTCAAACACCACATGTTCTCACTTATAAGTGGAAGCTAAATAATGCACATGCATAGTGGAATAATAGATATTGGAGACTCTGAAGAGTGGGAGGGTGGGCGTGAGGGCGAGGGATGCAAAATTACCTAGTGGGTACAATGTACAATATTTGGGTGCTGGTTGCACTAAAAGCCCAAGCTTCACCACTATGGAATATAATTATGTAACAAAACTGCACTTTTACCCTTTAAACGTATACAAGTTTTAAAAAAAAATAGAAGTTGGTCGCAGACTGGATAAGGATGTGGTAGACTGCATTTTTAAAAAATGAACACAATGCCACTTCACAGGCCGCATATTGCTCCACAATGTGATCCTAGCTGTCCCCCATCTGGAAGTCTCCTCCCTTTAAACCTCAGTATGATTGTGGCTGTTTTAACCAATTGAAGCACAGCACAAACGATGCTACGTAACTTTCAAGGCTAAAGAGACAATGTGATTTCCACCTTGTTCTGACTTCAATAGTGTCCCACAAAAATTCATAGCCACTCAAACCTCAGAAAGTGACCTTCTTTAGAAATACGGTTTTTGCAAATGCAATTAGGTAAGATGAGGACATATTGGATTAGGATGGACCCTAATTCCAATATGGTTTGTGTCCTTCTAAGAAGAAGAAAGGGCACACAGACACAGACACACACAGAGTGAAGAAGGCCGTGTAAAGATAAGGAAGGCAGAGATTGGACTGATGCAGCTGCAAGCCAAGGAAGGCCAGGGGTCGCCAGCAACCACCACAAGCTATAGGAATCTGTAACAAAGGATTCTTCCCCAGAGCCTTCACAGGGAGTGCAGTCCTGCCAACACTTTGATTTCAGACGTCTGGCCTCTGAAACTGTGAGAAGATATATGCATGCTTTTAAGCCATCCAATTTGTGGCATTTTGTCACAGCAGTCCCAGGAAATTAAAATACACCTTGTCTGCTATGACTCACCTTGAAGCTCAAAGCTGCTATGTAACAAATTGACTACTCTGAGTTCACCACACAGTGAGGAAGCCCAGGCCATGTGAGAAGCCACATGAAGGTGCTCCAGTGAGTAGCCTCAGTGAGGTTCCAACTGACAGCCAGCATCAACTGCCAGACACGTGAGGAGACACCTCAACTCAAGATGATCCCAATCCCAGATGTCAACTTGTCCCCAGCTGTTGAGTTCTCCCAGTGGAAACTCTAGAAATTGTGGAGCAGAGACAAGCCATCCTTATTTTACCCTGTCTGAATACCTGATCTACAGAAATCTTTAAGTATAATAAATGAATATTTTCTGCCACTAAATTTTGGAGTGGTTTTGGAAAGATTTAAGATGGTTCCTTATAAACTTTTCACACATACACAAAGCCTTCAGGATTTAAGAACCTGCCTTTTTAAAACAACAGGCACTCATGAATCTTAAGGGTGATGGTCCATGGCAGCTTCACTGGAAGCCCATGGTAGAAAAAGGCTTACACTAAAGAGATCTGTGGGTGTGTCTTTTGTCGAATGTAGTGGATATATAAATTGATACAGGAAGCCATGAAGTTTTTTTAAAGGAACTCCATCAGCTTGAACTAAAATGAGAGATACACCATAAAATGAAGGGGGTGAGGTCTCTGGGCCCATGAACTACTTTCGGCAGGAAGCAGGGTGAGAAAACTACTCAGTGGCAACAACCGGCCATTTACTATGGAAAAGGAAGAATAACTCAGAAAGTTGTGTCAGATGCTGGGAAGGTGGATCTGGCAACAATTGACTTTTGAACTGCTGTTGGACAGTGACTGCTGTGTGTCTCCCATGTCTCCCTTTTTTGAACAGGAATGCTTGCCTGACCCCCAGTGCATGGTGGTATGTGGGAAGAAGACAATTGGAATCTTTTGTTGACAGCTCTTCAGAAATTAAGAGGAGCCATGCTAGGAGAACTGCATCCAAAGAGCCTCATCAGTACCAGGCATGACTTGGATGACAACATCCTAGACTTCAAAGTCATGAGGTGAGATTTTGGGAATGTTGGGGGAAGGACTGGGTGTATTTTACATGTAGAAAGGTTGTGAACAGTTGTGGGCAGTAGATAGATCGATTGTACTGACTGAAGATGGCTACTACAGCATCTTTTATCTCACATGCTCTTCTCTGCTTTATGCCACTAAGTTTTGGGATAGTTTGTCACACAGCAATAGTAATCAGATTGTGGCAGGAAAAGGGAGGGGGATCACATAGGACTACTAGTTTTTGGCTTAGGCAACTGGTTGAAAGGTGATCCCATTTGCTAAGATAATCAGTTTTGGGGGAAGGGGGCTAAGGAGTGCAGGAGAGGAAATCACAGTTGTCTTTTGTCCAGGTTATTTTTGAAATGTGTATGAGACATTCAAATGCAATCTCCTTAGCTCATTCGGGATTCTGAAACCTCAGTATGACTTCCATAGTAGAATTAGCTTAGCAGTGACATTTCTATGAAGCATGGCACTATAAGCCCATTGTGACATTAACAAAAACAAAAGCTCGATGTCCTCCAAGTGGCATAATCATCCAAAACTAATACAACCAAATATAAGCTGCCCCTCATTTTTAATACTAGTGCTTGTTACTTTGAAAGGGGACCATTTGGCCCTCATTAAATAAGAGAAATACAACTTTATTACTTGATAATATTTGAATGCTTCAAGTAGAAAAAATATATTTAAATAATCACCCTTGCAACAAAAACACAATTTGAGGTTTATCTAACTGATCGCTTCCCGAAAATCAAATCCTGGACTGGATTCTAGTTTTAGTCTAAATGCAAATGAGGGCTATTTCAAAACTGGTGTTCCTTATGGGGATGCCAAAGACCTTAAACAGATCAGTGTGCCAGATACAGCCATAAAGAAGAGAAGTAGCTGTTTTGCATTCCAGCATTAATCACAGGAACCAGACAAGAATAAACAGCAGTTAAGGTAGGGGGTGCCCCATGAACAAGGATAATGAATGTTTGTGATGACCTCTTCCAGCACGGAATTAAATGCTCTGGGAGACATGAAGAAGTAGAGCAAAAGAATCGGTTCAGTCTTCTGTTACCTGTGTTGATGAAACAATGTGCAATTTGTACAAAACCTCTACTCAAAACAAATCATCCCAGCCTGCTAGATCCCATGTTTCTGGTTACAATGTGACCTTAATATCACTGGAATTCTCCTTCATTTTTGGATGTTGTGATTGATCCATGACACTAGGTTTGTTGCAACCTTCAACAGAATGCTATCATTTATTCAAGGGGCAACTGAATCACAGCGAATCAGCGGACAGAGGAATGGTCTCTGACTCCTCTGTCCTTGTCTCTCATGAAGGATAAAGAAGGTTGCCATCCATGCTATGCCCTGCTTTCCCTTTGTGAATGCATCAGTGGTCCCAATTGAATGTGTGATTGTAGATCGGGTCTCCTGTGCAGCTCAAATCTCAAAATCCCAGAGAATCACTAGATGACATTTAATAAAGCCTACAGAGTCTGTGCCAAGGAAATGGTGAGTGATTGGAAGTTTACTAGGACCATGGGGAATTGAGTATAGGCAAGGAATGAAGGATATTTTATCATTTTTTTTCTTGTATCTATCTAACACAGGAACTCTAGGTGCCAGCACAGAGCTCAACACATAGTCAGACATCAATGACTTTTTAATAATGATGAGCTGATGTTTACAATAAAGTATAATCTTAATTGACAAAGCAATTAATAAAACAAAATGCAAAGCAAAATTTCTTCACTTGGCTTTGACCATCAAGGGGGGAAGAATTTATTACTGGCAGTATCATTAAACATGTGGCATGTTTCTGTTGCTAGGAAATCTCTCTAAAATGAGATTTGGGGAGACTCAAATGCTGTACTTGTGCCTATACTTTTTTTAACTGCTTCCTCCTCCTTCCCATTCCTAATGTTAGATATGGATCATAAATGTCTTCTCTTGCATTTCAATAAAATACATTTATGCATTCAAATCTTTTATCAAATGTTAAAGCTTCAAATACTTTAAAGACAAAAGGGAAAATGCACATTGGTTTGGGGGTTTAGAAGTGTTTAGAGTTTTCTGGGTTTTCTTTTAAAGAGAAATTGCAAATGGTACAGGAGAGGAATCAACCCTAATTCCCCTAATAATTATTATTAATATAAAAAAAACAGGGGAATATTGAGAGTACTCTGGCATTTTTTTTCACCTAAAGGAGGCAACCAGAATGAGATGCAAATCAGTGCTCTTATCTAATGAATAATGCAAATGAGCGTTCTGCATATAGTAAATCAGTCTGCAGGAATTCTCTCAGCCTTACCTCACATTTCTTGTGGATTTAAGCACCGTGTGTCACAAGAAATTAGAGAAAGGAATTGCCAAGTAATGAGAGAGCCTTGGAGCCCCAAGTCAGTGCAGACAGCAAGGACATTAAGAAGCGCAGTACAGCAAGGGAGGGAGCTGACATCTCATTAAAATGAAAATGTTGTTATTTTCCTTCACCGAGTTAATGGAGTTGTATGACACTGTAATCTGCGATTATTTGTGTGGCTATTACTTAAAAGAATCCTCAGCCACAGTTTTTTCCTCACAAACCCTACTGAAAGAAAAAAATGTTATCAAGGATTGTTTCACACTCTCTTTCATATAAGTTAACCAACACTTAAGACTTTTCAGTAGCATAACAAAAGCCACTTAAAATTGCACTTTACACAACTTTCTAGCCACTTAAAAGGTACTCAATTCCTCTAATAACAATTGAAAACAAACCCTCTTTTATGCAATACATAACTGATAGATGTGAACCAAGGGTGTGCTCATAGTTACTTTTCAGTCATGGGTTATTTCACTGAAATGTATTTTTTATTTAGAACTCACTGTCATTGTCTCTAGTTTTCTAAGAAAGCAGCTCTGAATACAAAATTCTTTTCCTTGCATAACAAAATATCACGTCTTATTTTTGTTGTTGAATCCCTTTTTCTGCTAGTCCCAGATTTAAATCAATCTTGGAGTGCTCAGCTAATCTTGTGCAAGTGTGATTGACTCTATTTTTCACCAAAATATTTAGAAAAGAGTTCGGCATAAGTGGCCACTTGCAGGAGGGGAATCTGCAGCACAGTCCTTGGCCATTGGTTTCTGGCTTTCCTTAGGGGATCTCTAAATACAGAGGTGGACCAAAATCAAGCAACAAAGGTTAAATCTTTTTGATGAAGAGAAATATGTTGTAAATTCCCTGCTATAAGAAATATTATCTAGGAGATACAGAAGATACTATTATCTAGGCGATACTAACCACACATTATCCTAATTAGGACAATGGACACATATATCCATTATTAATCTAGGCAATTATTATGTTTTAGTTTTGTGGTTTCCTCCTAAGCTTTAATTTTGGAGAAAATTTTGGATAACAAAGCCTGCCAAAAATTATAAGCCTCTGAGTTAAGGAGCAATGTTACAAAATAAAGGCAATATATTCAGAATAGAGATTTTGTGACATTTATTTAAAAACCTAGAGAACATTTTTATTTAGTTCTCAGGACCATGTTCTATAGCACTATTTTTTACACTATAAAATTATCAGTATGTCATAAACCAGTTTAGCAAATCTTGATCACAGTTTTAAAATCTGAAATAGAAAACATAAAATTGCTTTGTACACAGTAAGGCACTTTTGTGAAACTTTTATTTCACTTAAATGCATATTTATGTTTATATGTGCTTACTGAGTCTTGATGTAAAATGCATTACCATTAATTTTAGATTTAAAAAGTTTGAAAGACTTTACTTTAGGGCCCTTCATCAAATCATCCAAGGTTCATATTGACACTGAGAAGGAGCACAAATAAGCCAGACAAACTTGATTATTATGCTTACTAAGTAAAAGGATTGACTAAGACCTCCATACGTATCTAAAATATAAGCTCTGAGAAATTCAAAATTTTATAGGAACACGAATACATTTTTATTTCCTAATGGGCTTTGCAAAAAGAAGCACAGATTTTATTACAATTCCTATATTGTTGCCAGGGGTGGAAATCAATCCAGGTTCCTATCTTCAGACAGAAAAATCTAAGACACTCTCTGGTATGTAGGAAGCAAGGGTTTCAATAGGGCCTTGAGTTAATTGGGCAAATTTAAGGCTCCTGTGTGTACACCGGAGTTTTAAAGTGGAGCTTTTGCAATCTTGCATATTGGACAACCATTTCCTGACATGCAACTTACTAATGTAAAACTGGACTTACTCCCTCACAATGCTTCTAGTCAGAAACTCTTGAAAAGGAAGCCAAAAGAAATAAGCAGAAAAGCTCACCCTAAGGGAAATGGAGATAACTCAGGAAGCAGAAAAGAATATTAAAGTAATTCCATTAATATTTCGGAGGGTGGAGGGTGAGGAGGAGGGAGAGGATCAGGAAAAATAACTAATAGTGCTAGTTTTAATACTTGGGTGATGAAATAATCTAGACAACAAACCCCTATGACACAAGTTTACCTGTGTAACAAACCTGCACTTGTACCCTTGAACTTCAAATAAAGGTTAAAAACAAAAACAAATCTACTCGGAGAAGTTCAAGAATGTTTTATATTCATATAACAAAAATGAAATATTTTGAGAGAAAACAGTAAAAATAATTTGTATTGTCAATTTTAAAAAAAATACATTGAAATAAATGCCTGGAAAAATGTCATAGAGCAAAAAGACAAAACAATGACACAGGTGTTTTAAAAAATAAAAACATAAAAGATACAGATAAAAACAACTGAGATGCTTCAGTTTCTAGGATGAATGAAATGAAGAACAGGAAGAAGAGTTATTTAAAAGATAATAAAATATTTCCCACAAGAAAGGTTTAAGTCTTTTGGATTGGGTAGATCCACCAAGTTCCAGCATAATAATAAATGAATAAAAGAACCAGCTGGACACTCATTATTAATTTTCAGGATAAAAAGAAAGTCCTCAACTCTTTCAAGAGTGTGGTACATTGTCTTATTGTTCCTAGTTATTCACTGTCCCCCTCTAAAGAGCCCATCTTTCAGGGCCCCTCCCTGGGTCTTCTCTTTGTGGGGAGGGCAGGGCTAAAAAAGGAGGAGGCTTGGAGAGAATGTTTCCTATTACATTAATGTCAAGCTTGGACATATTGAAATATGAGTGGAAATAACATATGCTATGTCCAAGCAGCGACATTGATCTACCACAGCTCCTTTCTCTAGCCAAGAGGTGAGCATTCCCAGATGGGGCTAATTCTTCAGTCTAGATCATGTGGGACCAAGCTAAAGTTAATCTGAAGCTAACATGTTGCAAGCCACTAAGATTTTTATGTTGTGTGTCGCCATGGCTTAACTTAGTGAAACTTAATGCAAGAGAACAATATGTCACCTAGAAAAGAAAAACAGTATGTCTTTTCAGCAGCATTGGGTCTAACTGTGCCTTCTGAATTGTGGACAAAAATATTTTTAACTTAGAATTCTGTGCCAACCTATCAATTAAGGTGAGAGTAAAATAGAAAAATTTTTCATCAAGCAAGTACCCATGCAAAGTTGACTGCCCATACACTTTTTCTTTATAAGTTAATTGAACCTATGTCCTAACAAAATGAAGATAAAACAAAAACTAGAAAGACACGGGAAACTATGGGTCCTACCTAGGACAACAATGAAAAAAAAAACCCAGGTGGTGGGTTGGGATCCAGAAAAGACTGACCTCATAAACATGTGGCTATAATGAAGGAAAATAGGCAAATAGTGCAAGAAACGGGGCAAATGAAAACTCACAAGAAAGATAGGAGTTACTTGTAAAAGATGGCATGATTTTTCACAGCTGATAAGAATTGAAGAAAAAAAGAATTTATCTGACACTGATACTAATCATTATACTCCATGTGATGCAAGGATCATGACTTTGGACCTATGCAAAATAAAATAAAATTATAGATCTAAACTTGATGTAATATTGAAAAATGTCTGCAGAGTCATGATAATGTAAATTTGGTTTAATGACTTTCAACTTAAAGAGTTAACCTAAGAATAAAGGACATAAGACTTAGTTGCATTTGCAAGGCAGAATAAAAATCTTAACACTGTGAATAGTAGTGTAAATAAAAATACGGCTGACAGCAGGTAGGATATGGAAGAGGTGAAGAAAAGGTAAAAGCAGTCAAGTTCTCAACTTACTATAATGGGAGGGTTGAGAGATACAATCAATTGGGTCTCTAGTCCCTCCTAGCTCCAGAAAGTACAACAATGTGGTCCTGAAAGTTGATTGACCAATAATAGATTATGTTTACAAGATCAACATACATGAATACAATCACCTAAATATCATAAAATGGAAAAAAGGGAAGAAAAAAGGCAATTTATATAACTGATCTAAAACTTCATCTTGAAAACAGAGAGACAATGTTGCCTAAAGTTGATAAATCAAACAAAAGTATAGACATATCTAGAGTTATGGAGAAAAATGCAAGAAGCAAATCAGCAACAGTTCTTTAAAAGTTGCTTCTTAAGGCCGGGAGCGGTGGTTCACGCCTGTAATCCCAGCACTTTGGGAGGCTGAGGCAGGCGGATCACCAGGTCAGGAGTTTGAGACCAGGCTGGCCAACATGCTGAAACCCCATCTATACTAAAACTACAAAAATTAGCCGGGCATGGTGGTGAGTGCCTGCAATTCCAGCTACTCAAGAGGCTGAGGCAAGAGAATTGCTTGAACCCAGGAGGCGGAGGTTGCAGTGAGCTGAGATCGTGCCACTGCACTCTAGCCTGGGTGACAGAGCAAGACTCTGTCTCAGGAAAAAAAAAAAAAGTTGCTTCTTAGACATGAGAGTGGGGAGAAGGAGACCAGGTGACTTGCTTTTCATAGCTCTTCTGTACTCTCTCATTTGTTAACATGAGCATGTAGTATTTTGCTACAAATGAAACTTAAATAAAACAGGGTAAGGGCAGTTAGGGCCTCGAATATTATGGTAAGAGTCATTGGAGGTTCAGTGGCACAAGAGAGACATGTGATTCTCAGTAAAATAATGCATTAGAATCATTAGAATAGCAGCTATCATGAAGGAAGTTGAGACTGAAGAAGAAGATTTAGGAAGTTGACTTGGACCAGTGGTTCTCAACTGGGGCAATTTTGCTCCTCAGAGGATATTTGGCAATATCTGAAGATATGATGGTTTGCCACAACTGGATGTGTGTGCTACTGGCATCTAGTGCCAGTAAGCTGCTATACAGGATAGCCACCTATAACAGGAAATTATCCAGTCTCAAATGTCAATTATGCCAAGTGTGAGAAACCTTGCTTTAGACTACGTATATTTGTTTATATGAGAGATAAAAAGACACCAAACTAAGCAAATAACATAAAGGAATGAGTGAAATAATGAAAGATGAGGAGAAACTGGTAGTATTGGGGGCAACCTGGATGGGTAAATGAAAATCAAAAACCTTTGAAAATACAGATTGTAAAAAATCACATTCCGTTTATCCATGTTAGTCAATTCCTAACATAATATAGCATTGCAGTCAACCTGAACATTTTCAAAATACTCCAATTCATGTAAGTATCACAGCACCCTTAAGCCTCACTGTAAGTGTATATGCAGTTCATCCTGTCAGATAATTCACTTAACCGTGATGTTAAGATTCATACTTTGTCAAACAGATGGGCAAAGGCAACCCTTGAATTCCTTACTTGAGGATGAATGCAACTGAGTTATTTATAAAGATTAATTCAGCGAACTTATTCCTCCAAAGCATCTTGTGTTCAGATACTTAAGAGTAAAGGTATGCTCTTCATGTCTATGAAAATGCATATTTTTATTTTAATTTCAGAAATAAACAATGTACATAATTTTCCAAACCTCCCTTATCAAATAAGTTGCTGATTGCAGTTGAAAGAAAAGAAAGATACTCATAGGAAATGGGAAAACATTTAACTCTCCCTAAATCAATCTCTCCTACCATGGTGTTATTCTATAGACCTAATTTACTGGCAACAAAACTTTATTTTATAATCAAAAGCTGCAGTTTTTCTACCCAATAGTAGAAATTTTACTCAACTACCCATATGTTCCCTGAAGGTAGGAACCTTGTCTTACCCAATTGCCTTCTCCTCAAAATACCCAGGTGAAAACAGTGGGCCCTCAATAAGTAGCTATTGATTTGTACTGAATTGCTGAATTAAACTTCACACAACCCCCAGCAAGAATCTGTACTTGTCAACACTAAAACTACTTATGATCCTATGCAGAGACATAATCAACTGACAAAGTTATGAATCTTTACCAAACTGGCCTTAAAACTTAGTTGTTCTCACCATGCATATGTTAAATGAATCTGGAATTTTTATGCCAAGTTGAAATATGGTGTCCTAGAGAATTTCCATAAATTATCTCATTCAAGAAAATTCACTCTGTGCCCTCTAACACCCACACTATTATTAGAGACTGGCCTTTTGTTTCAAATTACATAATAGCATAATAGCTTTTCATATAAGACATCTGTCTTGTAACTTGCCTTTCTTAGAAAAAAAAAAACAAAACACACAGAAAGCAATGGGAAAAACAATACCTCAGTGACATTAATTATACCAGAATGTTTGCCAGTGCTTTGAAAGGAGGGCTATGAACATTGATTGCCGTTGAAATGAGAGCTGAAGGATATATTATAGTCCTGAAAACCCCACTTAATGTTCTCATGGCTCTAAGAAATCTAGTAATATCCTGATGGCTACCTAGGGAAACAAACAATTTATCCTATGAAGTTGCCCTAGGCAGGTTACTACCTGCTGTGTGCTGGTGCCAGGATCCTTTTGCAGGCTGTTGAATTCTAAAATGCCTCTTGCTTTCTGATGCAAAGTTTGATCAGGATATAACATACCAGTAGATAAAGATCCTTCAAGTCCCAAATCAAATTGCAGAGAACCCTCACATTCTGATTGCACTATTGTTAAACTTCAGTCATCTCAATAAGCTGATTTTTCTTGAGTTTGGAATTCTTAAGAAGCATCATAGAAGAGCCACTGTGCTAGGTTTCAAAAGGCAAATACAATTTGGTTGTGAAAATCGTAAAGCACTAACCGAATTTGAAGATATTATAATTGCTGCTTAATGCTTGATAATATTTCACCATTAAGGCATTCAAGAATCATACAATGATCAAATCAATAAATAAAATACTTACATTACGAAAACCATGGTAAGTCAGCATTTAAAAATTCATTCATTCATTCATTCATCCATTCATTCATTCAACCAGTCATTATTAGTGAAGTATCTGTTATATATCAGGGATGGTACTAAGTTCTGGGAATATGGCTGAATTATCCTTGCCCTTGAATTTATAAGATAAATTTTCAACTCTCAGCTTGCACTAAAATTAGGTAGACAACTAAAAAAAAAAAAATCTCTAAATTTCATCTCCAAAAGTAGTTCTCAAATATTGGCATTTCTTAAAAACACCCTAGGAGGTTCTAATGTGGAGCTGGGAATGAGATCCTTGCTCTAAGAGGTGAACTACACAACAAATGGGAAATCATTATGCACTGTGTTAATTGCTGTCATAGGCATAGACCCCATGTTATGGGAGCACTTTGGAAGTCTTGGTGGGCAGCAGGTAGAGGAATGAACAGGGAGAGTTTTACCAATAAAAGTAACCTAATGGCTTCTACAGAAGAACAAAAGAACTTTCAAAAAGGATCAGGGCAGAAGGAGGGAGACAAGAAAATAAAGAATTAAGTAGGCAAAAACACACACACATTTTAGCACAATAAACTAAAGGGCAAACATTCAGCCAAAGTGCTGCATTCCACAGTGGAAGGAGTAAGGGATTCAGCTCAAACATCAACAATATGCTCCTGAGCAAGTAACTGTGCTTTTTATTTTTGTCTTCATTTTTAAATTGGGGGCAATAGATACCTTATAGGATTGTTATAAAGAACAGAAATAAAATATGGCATAAAGCAAACATTCCATGAACACTCATCATTAAGTAAATCTAGAGGATTCTAACCCAGATACTATTTAAATTAAACAATAATTTAGTGATTCGATTAAGGTGATAATTTCCATTTGTTTAGAAGACTGAAACCTCAAGATTAAATAAGAACAATCCTGTTTTATCTTTCTGTTGTGGAATATGTGATCTAGTACACATTACTTTTTATGCCACATTAATCCTAAACAGGACTCAACTTTCCTCTCTCAAAGGTAGTGTTGACTAGTGTAACACTTTCATTAATCAAGACCAGAAAATTCTGATGGAATTCGGATTCCATATGGAAAAGGAAATGCTAAAAATCAAATCTACCTTCCAGGACAAAACAAACTCTCAGTGTGACTCTGAAGTATTTTCTTCATGAAATCATTTCATTCTTTAGAATTGCTTATCTACCTTAAAATAGCAGGCAAAAAAAAAAAAAGAAAGAAAGAAAGAAAAGAAAAAAGAAAAAAAAAAGAGCTACAATTTTTCTCACTGTATTTCATTGTTCTAAATAAGAACTTATTAAACACCTCACACTCCTTTCACCAGATTGGTATCATCTTCCTTAAGAACCAGAGAGCTGTAAAACCTTCACTTCTAAGGCATTGAGTGTGCTGAGCATTATTGAAGGATTCCGGGTTTGGCATATAGTTTTTCAGGCAAAGCGAAGTGTTGTGGATCATACTTTGTTGTCAAAGAAATTTAGGCCCAATCCTTTACTTCTTCCCTGCCTCAAGCAAACAATAAGCCAGGTTATTCAATTTGTCTATTACTGAAGGAGAGAAACACCAATTCTCTTCCACCAGGGCTTTGAAATGGTTATTTCTAAAGAATCACCAGTCTTTCTGTATCCTAGACTAAGGTTTAGAAATTTTAAAAAAGCATAAAGGAAAAAAGGAACAAAACATAAAATGAAAAACTGCTAGAATAGTGAATTGTGAGGTTTTAAGATGCGTTAAACAGCAACACAACAAAATCCTGGCTGGGTATATATCTCAATAAATCCTTGAAACACTACTACATGATTCTTTGACAAATATCATATAATGGCCTGGAAGTGAAGTATAATTTCAGTTCCTACTACAGAGCCATTATGATGTTCTCGTGGACCAGTTAATTCATTACTGAGCTCTCCTGAACCAATCTCATACTAATCTGGAAACAGAAAAGTCATCTCTTCTGAATGAGGTGATTTCTCTAGAAAGGCAGCTGTTCTCAAGAGTCAAGTTCACAGCACATAGACTGCAGAAGGACATTGCCAAATTATCTACTTTAGAGTCTGCCAAGAAAAATTACTTTCTTCTATCACAAGATTCTACCAAGTACCTATTGCTCGAAAAATGCCAGTTTTTAAATCTTTCTTCTGGTATAACATAGCAAATTTCTATTTATGAGAGTCCCTAGTGACTCGTGGGACAAGGAGTCTATAATGTAAGGCAAACTCTTAATCAGGTTGATTCCATAAAAATTCCATTTCCTTTTAAGACAACTTTTAAAAGCATAGTCAGTATTCGCCACAGCCCAAGAATGTCTTAACCAAACCACTGGCCTCTTTTCTTTTATAGTGACAGTATAAAGACAATTTTAAGTCTTGGACTCTGCAACTTAACTTCACACATTATGGGATGCAGGGTAAACATAAGGAGTCAGAAACCAGACTGCCAAGATTTTTGCTAATTGTGGGACTTTGGACGGATTTTGTAATTTTTCTGTGTCCTACCTTCCGCATTTGAAAAGTGGGGTCAATTATAGTACCTAATCATTGAGATGGTTATGAATGAACACATATAAAAGTCTTACAATAGTGCCTGATATGCAGTTGATGTTTGACAGAGGTTAGCTGTTAATAATTTATGCTAAGGTCCCCAAGAATTCCCTTGGCAGAGTATAGGTTTTGAAACTGGGATGAATCTCAGCTCAGTCCTTCATTAGCTTTGTCGTGATAGACAACACCCTTTGAGCTCTCTGAGTCTCAGTGTTCTCAAGTGTTTCGAGGATAATAATACCTATGTCATACAACTGTTTGAGGATTAAATAAGCAAGGGGCAAAATGCTTGGCATACGTAGTCAGGTGGTTATCTGAATAGCATGTAGCAACTGAAGTGAATAAATAGCATATATGCTAGATTGTCAAACTGGCAAAAGAATAAAAAACAGACTAAAAGTAAGTTAACATTTCATTCTAAAAACTCCTAGATTTCTCACTTGCCATCTCAAAAAAAATAAAAAATAAAAATAAAAAATAAAAAACCAAGGAAAACAAAAAAAAAGGGGAAAAAATCCAGGCTGTTGGTAAAAGTATCCTATGTTTCAATGTGAATGTGAGACTAGGAAATCGCTGGTAACTCTGGTCAGCTTTCAGCAAACATATTGACTTAGATAAAGTGAACAGTTGTCACTGCAGAATCTCCAGAAATACTGCAGGTTTTCAGAGGGTGGATGGCAGTTATGTCTGTGAGGGGCAGAGAAATGGATTTTAGAGCGATAAATGCAGCCGGTGTGCAGTGACTAATACTGAGGACGACTGCAGTACAGAGCCCCATGGAGGTTCCACACACAGGGCAGTCTGGAAGCTTCTAAGTCTCCTGCTGGCACACACAATGGCAGACCACTGGCTGCTGAGGAGACCGAAAAAGAACCCAGTGTCTTTGAGTCATCCAGACTCCTTGAGAGAGAAAAACTTGAATCTCAAGTCATAAAAGTCCTTCCAGTGCTGTCTGCCAATGGCTGTGAGGAGACAGTGAAAGGCCAGGAGGAAGAGAAAAAGCTGTTTGCTGAAGGACGGAAGGAATCTAAGTGCAAAACTCAGAGCTAGTATAGAATGGACATGGAAAATGAGCAAGGGTTATCATTATAAATATATATATACACACACACATACAATGAGAAAAAATGAAAACTTTTTTGGGGGTGAAAAATTGTGATGTGTTGAAACTCAACTCAAAAAATATAAGGTGGAAAAGGAAAAATATTTACTGAGCATTTTTATACATCAATAACTTAGCCATTAATATTTTTAAATATTAAAAAGGGCACAGAGTATGGTATTGATTTGAAATATAGAAAATGTCATGCTAAAAACTGTATCTGGTTTTGACCTGACAAAATAAGATGAGTCAATCTGATTTTACCACATACTAAAGGCTAGATTTCAGCACAATAAAATTTTGTCTTATTAAAATGTGGATTGGGACACTAAATATTTGTACGATGCTATAAGTATTGATGGTCCCATTATTAAGATATGAAGAATGCATTCTTTACTAGAATCTACTATTCTGATTAAAGAGTTCCAAAGAAAGAAAAGGGAATTGCAAGCTTGAATATATTCTTTAATGACTGCCTATATTTGATTATGGAGTCAGCAATGGTAACTTAATAAATTATAATGTGTTTTTGGAACTTAGCTTATAATAGCTACTTTTATTCCATTTTTTATTCTTTTTTTTCCCCCTCAAGAAAAATCACATTCAATACAATAGCTACTATTAAAACAAAACATATAAATACCAAATAATCTATCCAATTAATCCACTTCCAATGGGTTTAGATTATCAGCAGCAATAATTATGTTCCATTTATATCTGGTTATTAATACTAATGATGCTAAATCTGCCATTTAAATAATTATTTTCTTTTACCAGTATCATCAGTGACAAAAATTTTTTGCTTGTAATTAATACATTTGTCATTTTTTTAAGACTGCTAATCAATTTTGAACAGACTTCCCTTAACCTAGTATATCATCCACAGGATGATCATAAAGATAAATAAAATAATAGATGGGTACTAAAATTTGCTACTCATTTGAATTTTCATACATGACATTGATGTGGCCCAAGAAAAAAAGAAATAACTTATTTATCTTCCTTAGGCTCAAACTCCCTTTCATTTTTACTTCCTTTAGGTCTAAGTTATTTTTACGTAAGAAGCCTTAATCAATAATCCACTTTAAAAATAATTTTCTTAGTATTCCTAAAAAGTAGAGGTGATGGTCTTTTTGATGCATCAACTCGTCTAGGCTACAGTCACCAGTTACTCTGCCAAACATTAATCCAGGTGTCTCCGTGAAGATATTTTATAGATGTGATTTAAGTCCATAATCAGTTGATTTTCAGTAAGGGAGATTATCCTAGATAATCTGAGTGGGCCTGATTCAATCAATTGAAATGTTTTAGAAGCAGAGTTGAGTCTTCCCTAAAGAAGAGAAAATTCCAGCTGTGGACAGCAGCTTTAGTCTGTGCACAAGAGTTCCAGACTCCCCTTTCTTACAGCCTGCCATAAAGATTTTTCAGTTGCCTAGGCAGCCTCCACAATAGCATAAACCAATTCTTTGCGAGGCATCTCTTAATGTACATCTCCTACTAGCTCTGCTTCTCTGGTTACAGTGAAGATTCGATGTCTTAATGAATGACTAACCCTGACTGATATAGTAGGCTAGTGCAAGGCGTCCTGGGGGTTGTGTCAGAGAATAGACAGAGTAAAAACTACTTGCTTTAAATATACACCTTACCATTTTAAATTTCATTATTGGATAGCCACTCACTTATTTGTAAGATTTTATAAAAATTCAGGATTTCCAGAAGGGGTAACAGCATAAACTATTCCTATGAAGGCCTTCACCATTAGAGGTTCCCTACTCCTGCTTGAGGTGCTTCTTGGCACTTCATATGAACATATGAAGGAGAGCTCTAAGGACCAGCAAATGAGAAATTACTAAGTGGATCTAATGTACACTATTTAGGCGATGGCTACATTACAAGTCTAGACTTCACCACTATGCAGAAAATCTGTGTAACAAAACTGCACTTGTATACCCTAAATCTTTAATAATAATGAAAGACCAGCAGAAGAGTAAGCATCAAATGGAAGCATTGCTACTGTGTAGCTTGGCCAAGGGCCAGTCCTCTCAGAACTAGTAATTCTCCAAATTTCCTTGAATTTCTAATGAATTACAAGTTTGACTTCTCCCAGGTGGCCAAGACTGTAAATTATAGGAATGTATACCCAAAGGATTTCATTATCAGAATGGAACCTACCAAGATGCTCTAAAATATTAATACTCTTGCCATTCTTTGTAAAATCTATAAATTCAAGAAAAAAGAATTTGATTCAAAGACTATGGAGTCAAATAATGCATTTACAGATTAAACTGTTTGCAATGGTTAGTTTTATTTTAACTATACATTAAATATGGGTACAGATTGAATAGAAAAAGAAGGCTAGCCTACATATGGAAGCCTTAGTAATGGCTTCAGCAAATTTCAGTCTGTCAAAAACATGATGTATATTTGAAATTGGTGACCAATTTGATCAATTTTTCAAAATGTCATCAGCTCAACAAATATATCCAATTATTTTGAGATGTTTCTGCAGATTTTGTTTTGCTATGTTGGTTCTATGAATCAGCCCTTTATGGTTAAGAGACTAATGGGCCTGTCCTGAGTTTGGAGGATTGAGCCAAATAGGAGTGAAATCACAGATATTGCTATAGATATAATACAATGTGCTTATTCCTATGTTTATCCAGGATGCAATTTAAAATATGATTATTTTAAGCTAGATTTACTATTGGGTTTATTTTGTTGTCCTTGGTAAATGTCACCACAAAGTAGTTCCACTTCTATTTTCCTCAAGGGAGCAGAGATGCTCATGAACAGTTGTAGACAGGGGCATAGTGTCAAGTTAAAGCAGATATGGAAAAGTTTCTACTGAGAGAGAGAAATATTTTAAACTGTCCAGAATATTAAAAACAAATAAGATTTATATATCAGAAAAATACTCTTCTAGATGTAGTGTCTTACTTCATCGATTAATAACTAATTGTAGACATAATTTTACAGCTTCCTGAAATTATTTTTATTACAATCTAGTTGCTAAGGTCATTTTTTGACAGGATTCTAAAGTGAAAATGAGGACTTTACCAGTGATTTCCTGTGCTGATGATGTACTTCCTTAAAAAAGAAAAAGAGAAAGAAGGAAGGAAGGAAATAAGGGGGATGCGGGGAGGGAGGGCAGTAGAGCAACACTTATTGTCTTGTTCATTTCAGGCTAGACTTCATGAATAATCTTGTTTCAAAGTAAAGCTCCCTTTAGTTATACTGTGAAATTACAGGGTGTTTTTCCTTCAGAGACCTCAAAGTTCTCTTCTGGTATCAATTTGTCAATAGCCCAATGCCTTCCATCCTGTAGTGCCCAGAGGAGTCTGTTCTAGCATTATTTCTGCAGAGCCTTTCATAAGCCTTATGACAACCCAAGGTAAGAAGCATCAATTATGACTGTAAAGTTTTGTTTTGTTTTCCAAATGCTTACTTAACTAACAAACAATATACACATGAAAAAAAAAGAATGGCTTTACAAAAACTGGAAAACTTAAGGGCAATATACTTACATCTTTCTAAAATCTACTCACGCTTTCATTCAAATATTATATTAATACATGTTAGGCATTTAAGACAGTGCCTGATGAAATATACTCAATAAAAATTAATTATTATCACCTTAATGATATCCAGCAATCTCACAACTATTTTTTATTAGTTACTGTGACTTATGGCAAGTCATTTAACCTCTTCACCTCAGTTTCCTCATTTTTTAAATGAGGCTTTTACCTACATATTAGAATTAACATGACTAAAGATACATAAAACCATATTTAAGTTTTTATACAAATATAAAAATACATATTATTTTTATATTTGTACTAATAATTATACAAGTTATTAGTATAATAAATATGGGTCTTGAACTTTAGGCACTTTCGAAATTTTAACACTGATAATAATAAATCATATAGAATATATATTATCCCCACTACTAATAAACTGTGGAAAAGGTAATGCCGATGTTCTGTCATTACAGATAGATTCTTCTAAAATAAAGTTCTTCTCGGTGAACATGCATAAATTCGTGCCACTCTAAGGATAACTGTAGACAGTCTCATGAAGTTATGAAGATCTGTTCTGTAACACTGAGGGGCAAATCAAATAAAATAGAACTTAGGCAATTTTATAAATCTTTCTTACTGGAAAACAGTGGTAAAACCAACAGTCCAATATACCACTGAAACTGTCATATAGTCATGAATCAGTATTTGAGAATTGGAGGGAAAACTGAGGTTTGGGCTGGGATTACAGAATGTCCTCTGAATGTCAGAGATTACGACCTAGAGCAGGTTAAGTTGCTTGTATCTGAACTCTGTGTCATTGTGATCCTTCTGACTGTACCCATCTCTAAATAAAAGCACTTAAACCCATGGTACTTAATGACAGCACCAGTGACTTTGATATTTCCCCATCTACTGTTATGTAGATATTGTATATCTCCATTATGTAAGTCTCATATCTCTAGAACGTTTTTGATAGGCAAAGGCCAGGGTCAATCCAAGGGTCTGGTATGTTATTAAGAGTGACTTTTTCTTGTACTTTTGGTTTCACAGTCAATTGTTTCAGATAATCTTCATAAAAAAAAAATTAAAAACTCCCTGAAACCCAGAAAGTTTGAATAAGTGACTTGTCCAAAATTACTTGATCAGGCTTTTGTAAATATATTTTGAATTGGATCTTTATATTATCTGTTAAGTACTTATGATTTGTGATCACTGAGCTTGCAAATAAATACAAAATAAGAATTATGGCAACTTACTTTTGTATACCACTTTCCTCCTATTTTATCTAGTACTGTGCATTTTATAAAGTACCTTCACCTACATTATTGCATTTAAAGATTGCTTATAGAGAGATGAAGCGAAGTATAAGAAACGATGGTAGTATATTATGTATTGGGAAACACAAGGAGAGCTGAGCAGGATTTACATTAATTCACAGACAGCACAATGGTAACATTTGTTACTGTTGAGATAAATCTACAAAAGAAACTTATTTTAAAAGGAAAGCGAAATACAAGACTTTGCAGTTTCCTTAAGCTAGAATGTCCTTCTATTTCTTCTTCCAGCTTAGAGTAGTCTACTTTTTTCTCAAAGCTTAGCTCAAAGGCCTTCTGGTTTTATGAAGCTATCATTGATCCCTCTGAGTTTGCAATGAACTGCTTCTTTCTGTGTTCCCATTGCTATTTACATGTAGTGCTGGCATAATATTTGTTTCTTCTTTGTAAATAATTATTGACTTTATAAAGCTTCTTGAAGGCAGAGGCCAGTCTGTCATTGTTATCTCCCATTATGCCCAGCCCAGGGCTCTACAGAGCAAGGAATTTCATAAATACATGCAGCACTAAACTAACTGTTTAGAGAACACTTAGGGAACACAACGTAGGGACTTCACAGTGGAGAGAAACCACTAAATACTCCCACAAAACAGCCCCAAGTATCACCTTCTGCCAGATTCTTCATGAGGTTACTTTGACATAATAAATAATGGCAAAGTCACTGGAAATAAGAAAAATGTGGCAGAAAAGATTATTGACGGACAATAATTAAAATGAAAGAGTGAAAGTGGAGAGCAGAAATTTAGGAAAGCAGACAGGGTAGAAGGATTCTTCATTCCATGCTTAGATATTAAGGGCTCACTATGTATCAGGCACTATACTTAATTGCCAGGGATACAATAGAGAACACAGGTTCATTTCTGTCTGCAAGGAGCTTACAATCTGATGTGGGGGGCAGACTAGTAACTAATAATTACAAAATGAAATGGTGAGTGCATTGTTAAGGAGAATTACCTACTACAAGAGGGCAGTTGCATTGCTAAGAAAACTTGCTCTTTAATTAACTTAAAAACATAGTTTCAGTGACAAAAAGGAGTTAGGGATTTTTCGTCTTATAACAGCAAAGCTATTTTAATGTAGGAATTTTAATAATAAAGTTGCATGTCTTAAACGCTGTTAGATATAGTGAATTCCAAGTTTCTCTTCAAAGAATCCGTATGTCAGTATGTTCAGCTCTCTTATTCTTTGATTCTCCATTTTAAAGTTTAACTTCCTGGTTCTCTTCGCCCCTTGCCTCTAGTTTCAGTAAACAGCTTTCCCGCTAGTTCTAATCAGTAGTTCACATCTGTTCCCTTGGTCACCTGCTTTGACCTGAGTCACCCCTGGTCACTTGCTCCATCCTGAGTCACTCCTGGTCACCTTCTCTGACCTGAATCATCCTGAGTCACCTGTTCTGTAACCGCCCTTCCCGCCAAACTACTCACCCCACTCTGGCTCGTATCCCTGCTCTCTTTAAAATAGCCAATCGGAATTAGCTTAGACTGTGCGGTCCAACCCTAGCCAACAGGGGAACCACACAGCGTCAGGAATAAGAACCCCTTCCCCTCCCTTGTCTAGGTATGCTCTCGCCATTATTCAGTCGCAAGTTGCACCCTTCTATAGAAGTAAAAATTGCCTTGCTGAGAAAATTAAATTTATGTTTGAGTGCTATTTCTTTGTGGCACTGAGGAACAAGCGTTTTGTTTCTAACAGCTGTAAAAATGTAGATGCAAAACCAAAACCATTACTGCACAAATCTAGCATTTGACAACGTTCATATTTTCCTCAAGAACAATGGTCTTTACTTTCCTGACATCACCAGCATTAAGATTACATACTCTCATAGGAGCTTAAATTTCTTCTTTGAAGTGTTTATCACAGTAGTAGTTACTGGTGTACTTATTTAAGTATTTCTCTCTGCTTTCGCTATGAGCTCCAAGAGGTTAGGAAATAAGTCTGTTTTGCACATTTTTGTACCTCTAGCTCAGTACCTTGCACATAACAGGTACTCAGTAAGTTAAATTACTAACACTTGTTACTTTTATCACCCAATGGTCACATCAATAAAGTTTCTGTATGGATTACAACAGCTTTTTCACCCTTCATGGTTCTCTTTCCAGAATGTAGTATGAGTCCTGCACAAAATCAAGTTATAATTGTGAGGCCTGCATGGTGCTTGGGACCAGCAGGCACTGTTGGCCAGGCTGTGACCAGCACAAGGAAGTCCAACCAAGCTAGAGGTGGAGGCTGAGATCCAGCCTGCTCTCCCCTCCTCAAGCCACAGTACAAAGCTACATGTATTGGAAGGAAATAGCACCTCTTTTTAATTCACAGTCACCTTGATAATGCAACTTGTTGCTGTCTCTAATTGAACACACTGTGAAGTAAAAAATGCAACTGGAGTAAGTAGAAATTATGGAGCTAAGTTTCCATCTAATAATGTTTTGTTTTGTTGAGTAGCAGTGTGACGGAAATCCATTGGATGCTTTTGAGGAAGGGGATAATATGGATAATATGGCAGCCAAAATAATTGATTTAGAACCTAGCATTTCCATTTCCCATGCAGCAGGAATTCCTCTCACTTGCTATGCCTTTATGAGAGCCAACATATTG
Organism: Homo sapiens; assembly: GCF_000001405.40. NCBI lineage: Eukaryota > Metazoa > Chordata > Mammalia > Primates > Hominidae > Homo > Homo sapiens. The sequence goes on along the minus strand of NC_000001.11, from coordinate 107,163,852 downwards.
AGCCTATTCCAATATGTCATTAATAAAAAGAGCTTTAATTTATTTGCACAATTGTTTATGTTGTTAGCTTTCTTTGTTTTCAGAAATAGTTATTACATCGTTCGTAGACATTTCTAAAGCAGTTGTTAAAACACCGAGCCAATATAATCTCAGTGCAAATGTCATTGTATCCATGAGTGATTATTTTAATTCTGTGTTATTTAGAATACACTTCGTTTAATTTAAAATCACAGTTGTGAAATTATTTTGATTTTAAATACCTTACTTGGAGCCTGAACCTCACAAGCAGTTAGCTACTAGCTGCCATTAGTAACATCCAGGAAAGCCAGACACATTTCAGAAAGGGAAACTAATAGGAAAACCTTCAGAAGATTCATTCAAAGCAGAAAATAAGCATCAGAAGGACTTGTACATTTTAGCAAGAGAAATGATAATCACAATGATAAAGATAATTAATATTTATTGAGTATTTACTATATGCCAGGCCCTGTGCTAAGTACATCATCTTATTATTTTTCAAAACAAAGAAGTAAAATAACTTGACTGAGGTACATCTTGAACCTTCAGACCTGTTTAAATCCAAATAAAATATCCATAAAGGTATGCACTTCCCCATGTTAGACATGGCACTTCAGAACACTTGGCTCTAAATGTCTAAAAACCCAAAAAGCTTCTGATCCCAGAAACTTCCTTTCAAGAAGGGACAATTGACTCTTTTTTATGAGGTCATAAAGAAATGTAAAGACTTATCATTGCTACTTTTAAAAGATCCTCCAATTCCCCCTGAACAAACAAGAAGATGTACAAAATGTGTACTGATCTACCTCCCTTGTCAGTCTAAATGTAAACTTCCTGGCTGTGGTTTTAATTGGAAATAGAACCCTTCCTTGCTGTCCAAATTTATTACAGTTACACATCACCCTCAGGTTTTAATCTAGGAGACAAGTTATTCCAGTGATGGATGATGCAATATTTATATATCATCTTGCAAAGTAAGCAAAAAGACTTCCAGTTTTAAAGCACTATAAGGCTATTGTTATAGTCTAGTAATGAAGACGGTAAATTTGGGAAAAAAATTACATATGGTTAAGTATTAAAAATTTTAAAAGAAGGACTTTTATACAAATTGTATAGGTCAGAGTATATCTTTTAATTCGGGTGGCCAGATGTAAGGTGCCACTCTTAAAATTTGTTGCCCCCTGTGTAAAGTTCTAGTCAAAGAAATTTGCTCATAATTTAGCTCAATGTTTATTTATCCAAATTTCATGCTTCTTTCTGTTATTTTGCCATTCTAAATATTTATTGGTGATGCTTATGCAACTTCCAAGTGATTTATTATTAAATAATTAAAACAAAAATGAGACATTAAGAGGCATAGTACATAGAGTTTTACCAAAAATTCTAAGTTAATTGTGGTTACCATGATACATCATAAAATCTATTCCTGACAGCTAAGAAAATAAGAGAAACATGATTTCTTAATATAGTAATTACATAATAAGAGGAAGCATATCAATAAACACGACAAAACTTATTAAGGAGAATACTTAAAATCTGTCGATAGGAGTTCAAAGTAGTGCATCCCCATTTGACGAAAATGTTCATACTCTACAGTCCAACAGATTGTCTTTGGGGTGCATTCCTTGGGAAAAACAAAATAAAACTTGCTCATACACACCAAGAGTTTGGTGCAAGGATATTTCTTGTAGAGTGGCTTGTAATTGCAAAAACTAAAAATAAAAAAAGAAACTTCCTAAATTTCCATTAATGAGTTATGTATTTATACAATAAAATATATACATATGCATACATATGTACATATATATAGTATTAACATGATCATATAGATCAAATGGATAATTTACAAATATAACATTGAATGACAAAGCAAGTTACAGAATAGTTTTTTTTTTCTCCAGGATGGTAACATTAAAAAAATCCAAAATCAAAAGTATGTGTTATTTTTGAACACATAATCCATGTATAAAAGCATAAAAGCATGGACTAGAAGGAAATACAGCAATGCAAGATACTGATTTCTTCTTAGGGAAATAGGGACAAAGATTATTTCAACTCTGTCAGTGATATCTTTTTTTTTTTAATTCTAACAAAAACAATATAACATTACCACTGTTAATCATAAGTCGTGGAGGTTTTTTTGGTGTTTTTTCTTTTTTTCTTTTTTTTTTTTTGAGACACAGTTTCACTCTGTCACCCAGGCTGGCGTGCAGTGGCACGATCTCAACTCACTGCAACCACTGCCCCTTGGGTTCAAGTGATTCTCGTACCTCAGCCTCCCAAGTGGCTGGAATTACAGGTGCACACCATTACACCTGGCCAATTTTTGTATTTTTAGTAGAGATGGGGTTTTGCCATGTTGGCCAGGTTGGTCTCAAACTCCTGACCTCAAGTAATCCTCCTGCCTCAGCCTCCCAAAGTGCTGGGATTACAGGCATGAGCCACCACACCCGGCCTATAAGTTGTGGTTGCACGTGTATTTATTATACTGCTTATGTACCTTAAAATATTTTTAATTGAAAAATAAAGCTAAAGGTTAAGGACCTTTAAGAGATTAAGGGCCTCCAGCACAGCCAATACCCCAAAGACCTTGTGTATATCAGAGCAATAATCTTTGATATGAAGGTTATGGTCAAACAAATATATCTCTGTTTAACGGTTCATTCATTCATTTAACAAATGTTTATGGGGCTCTACTATGGGCACTACGAAACACAGTTCCTACCCTTTGGAGCTTGTATTCTGGAGGGGAAAAGAGATATAAATAAATGAGCAAATATATAACCTATGAGATATCAGTTATAGTCTGATAGTCAGAAAGTGGCCTGTAAGGAGTAAAACCATTGTCATCTCTTCTGATTGGTCAGTATTTGTGCTGTCCCGGTTTGTAAATATTTTTACTATAATCCCCATAAAAAATTCAGAGGATGCATTTCAATAGGGTGGTCAGGTAGGCCCCTTTGAGGTTTTTTAAGTGGAGACCTGAATAAAAGTTAGGAAAAAACTATAGGAAGATATTGAGAATGCAGATCCAAGCAAAGAAGCAGGAATAAACAGTGTTACAAGGAACAGCAAAAGGGTGCAGCTAGAGAGGACTGAGCAAGGTGGGAGCAATGACAGTGGAGGTTAGAGAGGCATGCAGGAGCCAGATTAGATAGGAAGTTCCAGGCAGTAGTAAGGGTTAGCATATGATGTTGAATGGACACAAAGTTACGAGAAAAAATGAACAAGGAAAGGGTCAGACTGGCTGAGATTTTTTTAAATTATACACACACATACATTATTATGTTACGTACGTCTCTATTTTATAATAGCTTATATTATATAGTATATAAATGATGTTGATAGTAGGACAAAAGTAGGAAGCAGGGAGACCAATTAGGAGATACTGCGGGAGTCTAGCCTAGAGACACAGCTGGTTGAGACCTGGCTGTTGGCAGTGGAGAAGGTAAAAAGTGGTTGGATTTGCAATATATCTTGACGATTTTGCTAACAGCACTTGCTAATATATGTTGTGAGGGATATAAAGGAGTTAAGGAGGATTCTTAGATTTTTCATCTTCAGCAGCTAGATGAATATAAGTTGCCATTTACAGATATGGGAAATACTAGAGGCAGAATAGATTTAGGAAGAAGAAATCAAGAGTTCTATAATAAACACATTAAGTTTAAACTGCCTACTAGACATCCAAGTAGAGACAGCATGTAGGCAGTTGGCTATATGATAACAGTTGTTATTGATACTGTAAAAAACCAAAAACAAAACAAAAGCATCACACTAACTACTTTTCTCAACACCTCACCCACAAGAATATGATTTTGTTAACTAGCCAACAGTTGCTGACTTATTATTCTGTTTTTTACATGATGAATACAATATGTACTCCGCTCTCTATGATTTCTAACAGCTTATTTCCATTTATATGAACACGTTAATGGAAAAGAAAGCAAGAATGGAAACAAACACTGTTGATCAGTTCTCTTATCCCTGAATGAAGACACTCATCACGTAATATGTATTTTCAACCTTCCATACACTCTGTTTACACAATCCAATTTTCTGAGGTTATTTCAGATGAAAGGCTTTTTAAATAACAAAATGATAGTATTGTAGCTCACAGCCCAAATCAAAAATTTGATTTTTTAAAAAAGGTTTTCACTATGGTCTTATTCCATATGCTGCAAATAAAATTAGGGGAGGAATAGAATAGTTTAAGAGTGGAACGTAGATGTCAGAGTGGGTTTATATCCTGTTTGCACTACTTACTTAGAATAATTATTTAACCTCAGGCTCCAATTACTCTGGTGAGTAAGGATAAGATAGGACTGAGGATTATAAGAACCAACACAGTCCAAGCTTTCAGTACAGTGCATGACACCATGTAAGTTCTTCATAAATATCAGCTACAAGTATTATCTGTAAAAATATAGCACAAAGTTCAATTCAACAAGCATGTAACTACTCCTATATGCATCACACCATGCTCGGCACTATAAAAGCACTGTCTCCCGTGATGGCTAAATAGAACATGATTCTGAGCCAGATAGTAGCCACATTGATGAGTATGCTCCCTAACACCTCATATAAGATTAGTCTTTCTAAACTTTGAAATAAAAACCCATATGGAGTGGCCCAGGCATCAACAACCAACCTCAGATTAGCATATTGGCCACCAACTCATTTTCTCTATGTCATGCACACATCTTCTTCTGTAAGTTATGCAGACCACACACATTGGATTCTGTTCTCTCTTGAGAGAGCATGCAGACGGTCCACAATATGAATGACCTCAGTCTACTCTGACCCACAAAGGAATCCAAAAATTTTGAATGTCATTTTCAAAAAGATTGAGGCCCTTTAGTATAACCTTCATATGACCTACAAATCTCAGCTCTCCATATCTGGCAGACAATTTATAGTTTTACACATCCCACATTCATGTCTTCTGGCACCTATGCACACACTAAAATATCTTTCTTTGAAATATAGAATTCTTTTTCTAGAACAGTCTTTTAACTTCTCGGCAGGCTTCATATTCCTTACACTTGTCTAATCTTTTCTACCAGTTTATAATTTTTTCCTTCATACGAATCACTATAGAGGAACCATGACAACATTGCTGAAACACAAGACAAGTTTCCAGACCACGCTTAGAAATTGTCTGGAAGTGTACTTGATTTCTTCATTTTACAATTTCCAAGAAGGAAAGGGAGCAACAGGAAAGCAACAAAATGCCACATATGACGGTGAAAAATCACTGTGCAGATATGGCCTCATGATAATGTCGGCAGCTGGACTTCTCAATGGACATCAACTCTCTGAAACAAAAGGGCTATTTCTTTGTACTGGAGCAACACTTAGTTCAATTCTTCATTTAATATTTTAGAAGTCAGCTTCAAAGCAGGTCAAAGAGAAACCAATTCTGTTTTTTCCTCAGCTCACATCTTTAATTTTCATGGAATAGATACTATATGAATCTATCTATTCCTAGCAAGGTGAAAAGAAATTTACAACCTGCCGATCTCAGTAAGTTTTTTCCAATCTTATGCTTATGAAACAAATTTCATCATTTTCCCCTTTTGTAAGAAAAGAAACTCTGAAATTTTTAAATGGCACACAAAAAACCAGCCTGCCAATTAGACTGGTGAATTAAAACCAGAGCAGATTTCATACCAGCAGTTTTATACAAGGAATTATGTTTTAGGATTCAACTTTTTTCAAAGGGACTGATTCTAAGGGGAAAGGATGCTTTGCCTGAGAGTAAATGACAACTTAGCCAAGTTCTTATAATAGGAACAAAAGACAGAAGCAGGCACTCAGATGAATCTTTCCCAGCCCTAAGATTATGTCTCTACCACCAAAATCCAGTGCAGAAATCCATAACATTTCCACAAAATGAGGAGTGTGGAAAAGTCTCTGAAATGATATCTGTTCTATGGCAAAAAGATATTCATATTTTGAATGGATTATGCTGACAGAAAATGGAGTTTTTGTAAAAGGTCCAAATATTACATATATATAAATAAGTATTAATTTTTGGCTTTAGTAAAAAGTTAGAATCCAAGAGGCAAAAAGTACAAAGGAGTTAAAACTCTTACAGTTAGAAATAAAGAAATTTAAATAGCCAAGAAACATATTAAAAATCAACCCTCTCAATAAATGCATCTTTAAAAAAAATGAAATGCCATTTTTACCTTCAAATATGTCCCTATATCAATCTCAAATTTAAAACATTATAACCTTAGGAAAACAGATGGTGGGAATAAGATAATTTTGTCATTATTCTTTTGGTTAAACTCCATATCCTCATTTATTTGCTAAGGCCTTTTAGTGTAAGAAAATGTGAGAATATAATGTGCAGTATTGATGAGGATAATGACTAGCATATTTGCATAACATGCTGGTAGAAGTACAAATTGTTAACTATCTTTCTCTATCTTTCTGGTGGACAATTTGACAACACCAATCAAGAACCTTAGAGTGTAAAATCCAAAAAACTGAAATGCCTAGGAATAGAAGGCTGGCTGAAGAGATATTCATATGCTAGAATACTATACAACAGTTTATCTCAAAAACTTCATGTTCAATTTAAAAAAGGACATTATGCAATGTTTGGTACAGTATTTTTCCACTTATTCGAGTTTCAAAAACAATGCTACATATAATTTGTGGATCATAATCAGTATATACTTTCCAATTAGTTGTTAAATAAGAGAAAAGAATATAATGGAAGAAAAAATATCAGAGGCCATAACACATAGAAAGTGTAAGCTCTGTTTTGTGAAGCTTTTGTTTTGGCCGTGTGTGGGGATAAGTGTGTGTTTACTGTGTTCCAACATAAAATCTATTTCTCACTGTGGATCGATTTAAAGCAAATTTTAAAGCCACAGGTATAGTTTACAAGGTGTAATTTACTCATCTTCAGCTTATTGCTTCCAAAGAGATGGCCTGACTTCGCTTAATACCATGTGGTCAAGGCTACCTTCCTTCTTCCTCCAGAAGCACAGACAAAAGAGAGCAATGACCAGAGAGTGGGACCTGCCTAAGTTCCCTGACACCTCTTTCCCCATGACTGACACGGAGTATACATTCAATGGCAGTTCTGTCCCTGGACCACACAGGAATGCAGCCCTAAATTTTTAGCCTCAATTAAATACAATACAATGAGCTCAACATCCTAAAAACATACACAACATTGAAATCATTTTGCCATATCATTCTTTAAACAAATTTACTACTATGTTTTCCATGTTTATTTTTCTCATTATATATTCTTCAGAAATATTACTTTAATAGCTATACATATTCTATTATGTGGCTATACAATATTTTATTTAATTGCCTTCCACTTGGATATCTTGATGATATTTTCATTCTTTTTTCCGTTGGTTATAATGCTGTGTTGAACATATATCAGGATAGCCTTTTTTATCTAAACAGATTCTTATTTCCTCACATACCAAACCTCCTATATTTAATTAGAAATAGAAAAAAATTCTCATATATAGTCTACAGAAAAAGAGAGAGATTTCAGTATCTGAGTTCAGAGTAGATTTTGCCTCTACAATTTCTTTTCTGAGAGCAGCATAAGCTGCCCAAGTACAGTAGCTAAATTTTGCTAGTTGTCTCTTAATTTACAGAGGAAAACATTAGATTTATGATAAATGTGCTCAAGAAATAGAAAACATTACGGTAATCAAATACAGTCACGTGTCACTTTACGACAGGGATACATTTTGAGAAATGTGTCATTAGGTGATCTTGTTGTTATGTGAACATCATAGAGTGTACTTACACACATCTAGATGGTATACCCTGCTACACATACCTAGGCTGTATGGTATAGTCTATTGCTCCTAGGCTACAAGCCTGTATAGCATGTCACTATACTGAATACTATAGGAAACTATAACATGATGTTAAGTATTTGTGAACCTAAATCTATCTAAACATAGAAAAAGTACGTAAAAATACAGCATTTTAATCTCATGAGACCTCTGTAGTATAAATAGTCCCTCATTTACCAAAACATCATTATGTAGTGCATGACTTTAAAATATTCAAATCAATTAATTAGCTAGAACCATGTTATCATTTATTTGCTGCCTTGGAGTATGTTCAAGGAATAAAAAACAATATAATATATAGTCTTTAGTGAATTCCTACTATACATTAGCAAGTGTGGTGGCTCTCTCACATATCATCCCACTTAAAGAGTAGTGACCCACTTAAAGAGTCAGAATACAGTAAACATGAAGCGAATGTGTATGTGGGTATATAAATCAATAAGATCTAATGAGGTGCTAAATGGTGGAGTACAGTTGAGTACACAGGCAGTGCTGGCTACTATATATGTCTATCTAGATATAGAGATCTATACATATTAGATAGAGAGATAGAGATAGAGAGAGAGAGAGATTTAACATGAGTTAAAAAGTCAAGAGAATGATATGACCTGAAATTAACTTGAGCTAGACATTGAAAGATAGGTGGCATCAGAGTAAGTGGAGAAGAGCACGGACTATGCCAAACAGAAGAAATGTCTTCTGCTTGTCCTCCTAGAGACAAGAGATGACACGAGGGCTTCATGGTGATAACACTAGTCCTCAAAATCAGAGGATCAAGAGACCATCCTAAAGCCCATGTTAAACACAAAACAAAACAAAACAAAAATCAAAGAAAAGCAGAGCAAGCCTTCCAAAATTCTGGAGAATATGCTCATTATAGTTCAAAACAGTCCAGAGAGACTGATGCTTTAGGGCAATGCTTCTCACACTTTGCAAGTGATGATCCTCTAGATTAAAAGCAGACAAGGTTATCTCCAGGGGGACTGAAGGAGGTAACTTCAGTATTCCACTGCAAAGCATTCATTATTTTGAGGTCTCATGTTTCACCTTTAAAAATGTTGCATCTCTGCATTCGGTTAAATCTTTCCCCTAATCTTAACGTGAAATTGGAGTTCCAGGTAGATAAGCCACATTTGTTTTACTCAACATAGTCTGGTATCTCTTAAATTAATAACTATATATGCATATTTGAAATATATATACATATATATATTCCAACCTGATATATATATATATATCAGGTTCTTTATTATTTTGTTCCTCTTCCATCCTGGCTATATCTGCCAGATAGAAGAAGAAGTCTACCATTAACCAGGACACCAGGCAGTCATTAAAACACTGTGCCACCATCTGCTCCACCCAGTTTTTTTTTTTTTTTTTTTTTTTTTTTTTGAGACAGGGTCTTGCTTTGTTGCCTAGGCTGTTGTGCAGTGGCATGATCTTGGCTCACTGCAGCCTTGACCTCCTGGGCTCAACAGATCCTCCCACCTCAGCCTCCCAAGTAGCTGGGACTACAGGCGCATGTCACCTTGTCTGGCTAATTTTTATAGAGATGGGGTTTCTTTCTGTTGCCCAGGCTGGTCTTGAACTCCTAGGCTCAAGAGATCCACCCATTTCAGCCTCTCAAAGTGCTGGGATTACAGGTATCAGCCACTGTACTTGGCCAACCCAGCCTTATTTTCTCTCCCTTTCTGGCACTGTTTAATATTTTCTCTCCTTTTCTGGCATTTGGCTACCAGATAGTATTTTCCAAGTGGCCTTTGACATGTTGCAAAATAATATTTCACCTTTAAATTCTGAGTGCTGGTCTTATTTCTCTATTCTTCTACCCTCTGTATACACACTACTTTGTATTAAGTTTGCTCAGGACTCTACTTCTGTTGGCCGCAATGACCATATATTATTCGACATTAGTTATCTCCACCACCACTAGGTTTTGCATGTGCTGAATGCTCTGTTCACTTCACTCTGCAAACAATGGTTTGCAGTAATGTTTGTGAGGCATTAGCTCAACAAAGAGCACTTACGCACACTATCTGGGACAATAAATGACATGAGGTGGTTTTAGGTTTTGTTACATTTGCCATAATCTTCATCAGCTCCTTCCTAAGACCTCTCCAACAAGCCATGCATGCTATGCCAAGGCAGTTTCAACTCAAATCCAGTTGTCCCCTTCCAATCAGATTGCCAGCCATAGTCCCCTGGAGATGCTATAGAGTCCTGATGAGAAGTAGTGGACGATAGGCTGTATGCACCCAAATTCAAAAAACAGGTAGAGTAATTTAGACATGATGCAATAGATAGTAAGGAGCTATTGTAGGCTCCTCAAAAAGGAAATACTTGATATAGTGGTATATGAGAAAGACTTCCTTGGAACTTAATTCATTCCAAACATGAGTTAAACTTTTCTAAGAAATAAGTCTAAATAATGAACTAATAACAATGAAGTGTTAATAATGAAAGAACTGAAGGTTTTTAAAAATTCCATTTTGGCATAATTAAGGGATAAATCAGTTCAAATGAAAGGTGTCACTGTTACTAAAACTTCATTCATTTACTGAATTATGTTTCATGTGAACAGAGTGTATTTTTAAGATTATTTGATTATTATATAAATCAATGTCATTTCCAGTTTTTGGAAAATTGATAGTAATTCCATGTCATGGAAAATGTAACTGAATTTATCAAGTTCTTTTCTCAAGGGTCACCTGACAGCCACCAGATGGCAACCTGAGCCAAAGGTAAATCAGAACTTGAAATTATAGATAGCCCTGAGATTATGAGTTACCAGTCACTCATCTCTCAGCGTTCCTTTGAAACCACAAAACACAAAGGCTTTGTACCACTTCCGTAAATTCCATTTGAACATAATGAAATATGCTCTATCCACAATGCTTACAATAATTAAAGTTTCTTTCATAATAGAAGTCTATCTAGAAATAGCACAATATGGAGTGATCATTAATAGATCTGTTAAGGTACTTGAATAAATGCCTATCGAGAGCACAGGCACACATTAGTAAATTTCCTAAGTAAAATCCATTTTCATTTCACATTCTGACATTTTATTTAGAAAAATTATACCTTTTCTTTTAATTATTTCAGTAAACATAATGAGGTTATTGCTAACTGTACCTCAGAGTACTTTATTTTCTCCAATTTTTTAGTAATATGAGTCTACTTGTAATTAAAGGCATGCTGCATTAATGATGCTGAACGTCTCCAAGGGAAACATTTAATGTCCACCTCATAATATTATGCCAAAATTACATGCACAGAAGACTTTTTAATAATCTTTGTTTCCTAATTTAGTTTTGATTGGCTCTGAAATCCATAGCAGCACTCAAGGGCTTCCATTTCTACAGTGATCAGCACTTCTGAGCCATAAATTGTATAAACACACATGAGTTCTTCCGTCTGTAGGCTCCTTTTCAAAGCGTCTGTTTAACTTATCCAGAAAATTAGCTGCAGGCTAGAGATAACTGCAGATAATTTTGCCATTTTTAAGCCACTGGGGTGTGCGGGAAGATATGACAGCTAAGTTTGTCTAAACACAAAGAAAAAGTCATAGCTTTGTGTTGTCACTTCAGCTTTACACACAGGTTCAGATCATCCTCTCTGCTCTTTATGCAAATTGAAACAAATTGTAGTCACTAGATGATCTGTGTTTCCTGACAAAGCTCTGCCACCTGAAGCTTTCAATGTGGCTGAAAAGATAGGATCTATTCAAATGTGTTTTCCCAGCCTAAAAAAAGGGTTAACCCCCACCTTCCCTTCAGATTCTTCCCCATTGACAAAAACAGAGATTTTCTTTAGCCATCATCAACTCAAAAGGAATATATCAAATTAAAAAGAAAATATATGGTTTTCAATATATGCAATTTATATATATGTATGTGTATATACATGTATATATGTATGTATATATGTGTATATATGTATGTATATATGTATGTATATATATATGTATGTGTGTGTATATATATATGTGTGTGCATATATATATATTCCTCTTCCTTATCCACTATGATTAATAGAAATGGCAGTGTGCTCCTGAAAAACTAATGTTTATAAATACTGGTACAATTAATATAGAACAATTTTAAAGTACTTCACATTGAAGATTTATTAAGTATGCCATCCAGGTTAATAAGCAGAGATCTATTGTTAAATGGAATCCATATGCTCCTTCTTTTCCTGAAATTTTACTCTATATTAAAATAAATGCAACATTCATGGATAGTCACTGGCCTATAATGATGAAGTCAATGAAAAAAGCAGCAACACGGACTCTTAATGCAATGCCAATGAACTTCAACTTTATATTAAAGAAATTGGCCCTGGGAATTATAGGTATTTCTCTCAGCACATGTTCCCTCGATGCTCAGAACAGCTATAGCCACAGCTAATAGGAGTGTCACTAGCTGAACAAGTGATTACTGAAACAATTTTGCAGCAAACATTTACATATAGGGGCTAAGCAGTGGCTGTACTCATGTGGCAGCTCCCCTGATGTAATAGGCCATAATGACTCTGAGGGAGCAGGTATGGATGCAAGCGTCAAGGAGGGGAGAACGCATAAGTCATAACACAAATGACTTTATGAATCCCCATTACACCCTGGGCTAAGGAGTACCTAAACAGGTTTGATATGACAGCATCCTGAGACAGTTTCCCAACCTTCTGTCAGGAATCCTTATGCTAAAGAGTTTTATGGAACATCCAAAACTGCAGAGTGAATGTGTTGCTGTATTAGGCCATTACCATTGACGTGGTATATAATATGCATACAAATAGTCACAAGGTATATATTTAAAGGATAGATTATTAAATTTGTTATGCCTATCATATGCATATTAAGGAATACAAATTAAGCATTGATAGGTAATATTTCACAAATCTTACATTCTCCCTTGGAAAACCATTCTGTCCAATGACAAGTTTACATCCACCAGGGCTTCCAAATATCCGCATCACACTAAGATGCAGCCTTTTAAAGACTGTCCTACGGAGTTTCATGTGAACATACATAGTATACACATTACTGCACTTGAGAAAGCTGAGGGATATCATTTTAATTCTTTTTTCCCATTTGGTCTCTAACATCACTTAGCCAATGGACTGAGAGGAATGGACTTGTTTAAATACCTTAGACCATGTCCCTTTGAAAGGCAGGCATGGGAAGATCCGTAACATGCCCTTTGCACTCATGATGGGAGGAAGAGGCATGCTGAAGACACCAAGTAAACCCTTCAACATGACAGACAGGAGCAGTGCTAAGCAAGCATTCTCTGGCCAGAGACTGAGATCAGGGAAGCTGCACCCACAAATCACACCTTGAAAACATCACACAGGGCTTATGAGAGGGAAAACAGCACCCTGAGAAAGGAAATTTGCTATTTTACTTAGATCTGTAAATTATTAAACAATTCCAGAAGGGACATGTTGTTACAAGTGTCATGTAAACCAATATACAGAGCTAGAGAGTTCTTAACAATATGCAGACTTGGCCTGGAACTCATCCTCTGCTATAAGGCGTAGAAGACTATACAACCTATCACCCAAACAGCAATTTCAACCCAGATTTGTAATGAGCTCTTATAGTTGACCTTTCATGAGAAATTATTAAAGACCTCACATAAAGCCACCACAAATGTCTCTGCTCCTGTACTGATTTATTATGATTTTGCTAATGTGTTTGAATAAACTCCTTCTCTGGAACTCTCTGCTTTCCAAAATGCAACTTCTTTGCAAAGCACATACCTGTTCCCATAGAGACGGGTCCTCTCTTTGAAATATTTAGTCTTTCAGGGCACTTTAGTAACAGTGACACCTAATAGCCAAGTGCTTTTTCTCACTCTCCACAAAATCAGGTTTAGACTATAATTCAAACCAGTCCCCAAAGGCACTTCTGAAAAATGGCAAGCCCTTAGCTTTAAGGTGAAAACACTCTTTATTGCTCAAAATTGTTTCCTGTTACAAAACCTTTTTTATGGTGCTAGGTCTAAGATGATCTTATGCTAATTTAACTCACTGGGGACTGTGAACAGATGCTACTTTGATTAATAGTTTCACTATCCTGAAAATGCCAGGCCAGGTTCAAGATAATATAGTCAGGTAAGATTATTATTAAAATCTGCCATACAATTATATCTGTTATGTGGAGAAAAACAGGATCGCAGTTCTTCTATCAAATAAAAACCACCTATAATTAAAAAAAAAACCAAATGAACTCACCATCTGAACTCTTTAGCACATTAATGTATACTATTTTAATCACCAGCCTCTTTACTAATACTTATAGAAATATTGTCAGCCATGTCTTTCTTAAAAATTCAATGTGTTACTCCAATATTACCTTTTCACATGGTATTTAACTTTCTATGCAGAAAAAAAAGGACTTATATAAGCCTTCAGAACAATGAATTCTGTAACTTTGCTCATCAAAAAAAAGTATCTGAATTTGTATATGCTGAGTCCTTGCTTTTCAGCAAATAAGTTTTCTATATTCCAAAAGTCATCTTTAAAATATACATAGAAAACTATGACCTTGACAATAAGGGGAGTTGGCAAATAAGATTTTTCTGGAAAAACTTCTCACAAGGCTTTAGTTCCTCTCTCCTCTACTTTTTTTCTTGCTGATCTCCTAACCAAGGACTCCCAAATCATAGCAGCTTCCTGATGAACATAATTATGAGATCTAGTCTCTCCTTGAACTACAGAATTTAGGACTGGCTTTATACACATATGTGAAGAAACATTTGTGTTTTTAAAGTTGGTTTGCCAATGCATTTTATCCTTAACATGACAGATATGACCTAATCATATTTCCAACCTCCAATCTAAAATTTAACTTTCAATCGAACTTTTTCTTTTATAATATATGCTATAGTGTACCTGCCTCAGTGAAACTATAGGTTTTCAGGGAAGCGGAAAGTAAGTTCCTTCCAGGGCATCAATCACCCTGCACAAATTGTAACTCCAGGCAGTGTAAGCCTCCACTGAGAAAGAAACTAGCCTGTTAACACAAATCTGCCACCTGCAGATTCAACTTATTGCATGAATTGTCTTCACACTCACCACATCTGTATGCATATGCGATTAGACCCTATTTATATGAAATATTTTATGCAAAAGGGTTACCTCACCATTGCACAGAACGTCTCAGGAGGGTCTCCACAGGTAATATCCGGAGGATCGAGTTTCACTTTCAGATATTTTGTCATGTCCGTGGATTCCGGCTGGCAGGCCATGTAATCCCAAACTTTCCCTTCTTCCGTGTAAATCTGAGTCTTACACAAATCATAATGTCCCCAAACCAAAGGGTAGGGCTGCATCACTGAGGACACCGTAACCCAAAGGGCATGAATCGACAGGAATCTTGACAAATACATCTCTAAATTCTTTGTAATCTTCTTGGAAACTAAAGCAGAGCTTGCTTTATGATCTGCGATCTTTGTCTAGTTTACATATATATACACATATGTATGTATGCGTACGGGTAGGTAGGTCTCTGTATTTTTTTTTAAATGAAGATGGGACCTCAAAGCAGATCCCAAAACCAAATATGAAGAGTTAAGATATTGTGCGTATTCAGGTATATTGAGGACTTTGGTGGAAGCCTAACATACTTGTGTGTTAGGCGTTAACAACTTGCAGCTTTTTCTTTGTCTTAGAACATATCTATTAGACTCAGGTCTAGTTTGGTTTTTGTAAAAGATGTCCAATTGCAGATAATAATTTAGCAAAGCGATGGCTCTCCCGTTGTACATCCGATAACCCTGAGTGATCCTCAATGTTCACAGCTCACAAGGGATGCTCAAGCAGGCTGAGATATCAGTATCTGAAGCAAAAGGATGAGTGTCTATAGCCCGGTGTCTGTTTCCCATCAATCATTCTTTTCTTCTGGCACCAACACCCTTTTAGAAACAATAAGAGTAAGTGTTATTGTCCCAGAATCAATATATTACGAAATGTACAATATGTTGACATTTTGGAGGTCTGATGCAATATAAAGCAAATTGGTGTAATACAGATAACCTTTACTCAGCTGCTTTGCTAGAATGAGCAAACCATGGAAATCATTCACATTGGGGAGAATTTTAATATGAAGGATTTAACTCTTCCATAACAAAGACAGACACGTGTGCGTGAGTTACAGGTTTTCACTTCAAAAATTATATTTCCATCTTGACAAAACTGAGAGCAAGCAGCTAGATTTGAACATTTCTCATACATTGCAGTGCTAGAAAATCTTCCAAGAGAACAATGGGGTAAATGAGCACTTTTATAATGATGACAAAGAAATGACAACTACTTATATCCCTTTTGTCTCTTGGCAAAGAGACCCTAAAAATCTCCAAATTCCTTGTACTTTTCTTAGCTTTTCTTTGCTGGAGTGAAAATCCGCATTGTTGGCATAAGCCTGTCCCTGTGGATTTGCTCATTACATTGGAAGAATTTAGCATCTTTTGTTTAGTTGCATTTAGTAATAAAGATAAGTTGGCTCTCTGAAAAAAAAAAATCAAAAATAAAACCAAAGGAGCAAAATTTCCTTTCATAAGAATTTTCTATATTTTTACATCTTTTTATAGCCATTACATCTGCATTTGCCGTTACTTTTTGTAACAGAAGAGAATTTGTCCCAAAGGCGAATATTATAAGCTGCTTTAAAACTAAAAGCTCTGTAGTAAAACGCACAATTTAAAATGCACACATAAAAATAGCCGAGGGTGAGTTAACAGGCCATGAAGCAGAATAATATGGCACTAATTCTAAGAGAAAATAAAAATTACTGTGTAAAAGTACTTTTGATTAACTGATAATGCATCCTACATAACTATGGCTACAAGTCATTGGTGAGTTTAACTGGCCACTTTTCTGTTTAGAGATCACTATCCAAATCTGAACAAATGCTAACATTTGGAAACCAGGTATTAAAAAGTATAATTTCTTAATTAGATTGCTTATATTTATAGTCTAAAAGTTAACTGATTTTTAAGCAATGCAAAAAGGACAAAAAAGCCTACAATTTTAGAAAATTCTATTATAGACCCTTCAATTCACATTAAACAGTTGAAATATGGAAGTTCACTATCTTCAAACAATCTTATAAAGGGAATTCATTATATTTAAATAATGTACCATCTTAAAATGAACTAAGCCACAGAGACTATGAAATGCCAACAGATGGTTGAATTGTGTTTCCATAGCAAAGTAATTTATAATAATTGCTTTATGGATGCAAGTGCAATTTTCATTATATTCAATTCATAAAATGTTATCATACAGCTGCAATTTGTGATATTTTCTAATAGAAAAAGTGTTGAATATTTGAGTTCCTATGAAGCAATAATTAGTAGTTTGTCTAAATATGTATAAACTACAGATTTGAATCAGCCTCTTCCTTGTAACCTAAAAACTATACTGGGTAAAGCCCATTTTGAAATCTTAAGCTAAAAAGAAAAAAATCAGAGAAGCATGTGTTGTGGCTACTATAGCCTTCTGCTTTTTTTCAGATTCATTAGTAATTTTAAGTTGATATTTTCAGACACATCCAACAATTTGACAATTAATAATCTGAGGTGTTAAAATGATACAAATTTACATTTTTGAGATGAATTTTTCAACTGTGTTTACTAGTTTTTATAAGAGGAAACAAATACTTTCCAAAGGGCCGGGGGATGGAGGCATTATAACTGAAGCAGTGTAAAATCTATTAGGTCAGAAATTATTAACTTTAATTCTTAGTTTCAAATACACAGTAATTTATTTATCAAGAATGATATAATCTTGAAGACCCGGAATTGACTGTTTTGAGTTTGAATGGAGTGAGCATTGTGTGTTTATTTTTAATATTAGTTTGAAAATACCACTTTAAATATATTTGAGTGCTTCCTGAGATTAGTCTTCACTTTCTTTTTTAACCAACAAATGATATTCTCCTCATCCATTTATTCTCGGTTACTCTGTCCTCAACCACATTTTGCATTACTGCAACCACAAAATAAAGGGTGACCATACATTTGTACAGGAAAAATTTGAACACTAAGGAAATATATGTGAACCCTTTGCTATCTCCTGACACAACAGCAATCCCAATATAACGAATTCTCATTAAAGTATACCAGGATTATAATGATGGTCATTACACAGAATTATGGACTACACCATTGATCGAATTTAGAGAACTGACAAGGAAAAATGCAGAAGAGTGCAAGATATTTGAATATTAGGCAGTTGCAGGACTGTGCAACAGACATTCTTGACAAGAGGCAGCCAATTATAGCTTAAATTTCTGGCACATAACCAGTTGTGATTAATAGTTTTCCATTACATTACAGACATATTATTAATGTATTAAAAATGTCAAGCTTTGGCAAGCACTAATATGGCATGGCTCAGTTAGTCTGCAGAGTTTACATTTAATGAGCTCCCATTGACACAGAAAAAGATATTGACCACGGCGTATTACAGATCAGGAGCAGAGGGACACTAAGCTGTTATTTAACATAATTATTTGATTTCATTCTAATTTTTATATTTGTACTATTGTTATGTATCCTGCATTTCAGGGTCTTCTTACTTTTCAGTGTCACATATACTTCAAAGGAAATCCTCTTAACTTCAAATTAGTAAGAAATTAAATCTATGAACTTCCATGACACACAATGGAAAAGCAGCCTCTGAAAATCAGGAATTTGTTATTAAAGTATAATTACAGAGTTTTCAAAGAAAATACAATGATGTAAAAATAGAATATTATTTACAACTTAACCTCCACTATTTAATGGCACTGTGTCTATCTGCTGTGCTTTCAAACAGGTTAAAATTATCAATAGCTTCTTAAAAGCTAGGTCATCACAGCAAATAGCTAGGGAAACCAATTATGAGAAGGACAGTGAATAACATATTTGGGGACTTAATATACTAAACCTATCCCTTCTGGCCCATAACTGAACTAATTGTGAAGTGACGTGGCCTTTAAATTTGTCTCAGGTGTCCGTATCACCTAAATAAGAACAGATTCATAAGAGCTCTGGGCAGCTCCAGTTCTACCTCTTCACTTTGCAGACCTTGGGAACTCACTGTAATCAAAAATGCTACCACCTCTACTTGGGAACTAAAGTACTGAGAAGTCTCCTTTGATAAAAATACCCATTAATAGGTTGTGAGTACCCCATAGACCTCCGGTGTATAAATTTGCAGAACCAATAATAAAAGGTAAAATTAAGTCATGGCCCTCAAGTTGATAGAGATTATTGATCAGGACTAAAATGGGCTATAAAATGCCTTTGCACACACAAAACATGTATTTGTCCAGGATTCTGCAGCTAATTCCCTTCCACCTTGGATTAATTTTGCAGAAGCCATTTTCACAGGCCCTTTCTTTCACCAGAAAAAAAAAGCCTCCCAAAATATTACATGGAAGTAATAATGGTTAATATTACAGGCAATTATATTCCAAAAGCAATTGCCAGTTTCATCAACTGAGAGGAAGACATTATCAGTAAATCTCCTAATCTAGCTGGTTTTCAGCATTCATTTTATTATATAATCTCACTAGCAGGTGGGAATGGTGGTAGTAAGCTATTTTTTTCATAAATATTCAGCTTTTCAGGGGTACCTGAAATACACAACTATTGACTCATTCCTCATTCACATTAAGAATTTTATAAATATGCATGTTTCTGAATGGGAAGGAACAAAAGGAAAATTGACTATATAGATCATTGAGTGAAAATATAAAAAGATAAAGATATACAAAATTATAACCTATCAAAATTAGCAGCTTCCAACAGTCATAATGAAATTTATTACATAAGATATTTTAACATGTATTCAATGCTCTTTGCAGCTATTTGTTCTGAAGAAAGCATTTTCTAGTCAACTTAATGGAAAACATATGCTTCTATCCTTTTGTTAACTGTCTCTCAAAATATAAGGAATTTAATATGTACTGCAACATCATTGGCATAGCTTACTCACACTTGATTGGGTATTATGAGCAACTGTCTATCATGAGATTCTTAATAAACCCAAATAACACACCGTGGTAATTGAAAGATCTCTATTTTCATTGAGAGAAGACTGATTCAAGAAATTAGATAGCACATGTTTTGCAGGATGATTGAGGATGGGATAATACCCAAAACTATTTCAGAATCAGTTAAGCCTAGAAGAAATCTGGAATTTAATTACCACATGAAAAACAAATATTTAATTCTCATGCAGGGAAGTTCAGAGATCTAAGGTCTCAAACGCATATATGAGAAAATCTACACCTACCTGAAGTTTTGAAACAGAACTTTGGATTCTGCAAATAAAATTATTTTTTAAAGTATGCTAAATCTCATACTAACCTAAGACTTTACTAATATAATCTCCTATACAATATAATTCACACACATATATTTCAATGTTAACATATAATTGGTTTTCAAAGTTGAATCCAATTTTCTTTTTTCCAAGTGACTTGATGCCTTTGTAACTAAAACTCTCCAAATTTTTATGACACTTAGAAATCCTATCAAATAAATGTGTAATGGTTTAACTTTTTAAACAAATTACCTGAATATTTTTCAGAATAATAATGGAAGCAAAAATAGGTATTTGCACCACTTGCAAATATACAAAAGGAAACTGCAAAATACATTTGCCTCCTCCTAAAAAGGCTAACCTGAATCATTTTAACACATATACCCATTGAAAACTGACAAAACAAAAATATTAACAGGAAACCAGCTTTATGTTCAAATAAACTGTTTCCATGCAAAAGTTTTAAGATTATCCGTCTTAAATTCCACAGTAAGGAAATACCACCAAATTAGTAGTGCAGTATATAGAATCCTGAATGCCTTCATGGTGGTCTTCAGTGGGTGAAATATATCTCATTTCACGGCATCCAGAAAAGAAAATATATCCCTGGAACAACATTACATGTGAAATACTTGATGCACATTTTTCCTTGCATGTTGATCCACATGCAGAGATCCAAATTTTATCTTAATGAAAAATCGAAAGTTGCTTATCTTCAAAAAGAATCTTGGACAGTTACTGAGCTGCTTTTCCTTTGCCAAAGAGAAAGGGAGGCGGGTAAGGCATTCAAAGTGACACAGTTCAAAATACTTAATGAAATGTGGAATTGCTAATTCCCTCACTAGAGATCCTCCTCAAGGGACAAACAAAACAGAAAAGCCTCCCCTGAAAAAAAAAAAAATTATTTTTTGGAAAACTTTCCAACAAGCTTAACTACTAAGCATATCTGAATAAGTGATTTTAATGGAAGATCTTCCTGGGTTTTTTTTTTTTTCATTTCTGTAAGATAAAACAACTTTTAGTATTTTCAGTCATAAAACAGGGCCTTATTTCTAGAGCAATTCTACTGCCAGATTCACCATATGTTTAGTGGAGTTCTGAATCTTACTCAGAATTTTCCATTCCAAAGATTGACAATTTGTTATGAGGAGTGGCTCCATTATTCCCTGTATAAAGAGAAGAATGGGTGAGAGAGGAGGACCGTCTACTCACTGGAAATCTGTACCTGATGCAACTATAGGAGCTCAACCTGCGACTTTTCCAAGTAAAGTTGCTTTAAAATCCCCGCTAGGAATTTTCTTCCCTTGCCCTGTAAGATGACAGCCTACTCTTAAGTGGATTTCTGAAGGAAAAAAAAAAAAAGTCCCCGGGTGAGGGTACTAAAATTAACAGCAGAGGGCGCAGTTTCTTTTTATATCTAAGTTTTTCCTTGTATGAATCACTTAATTGGTTATTTTAGGCCCAATAATATTCAGTATTATTTGTATTATATATAGATATCCACAGATCCATACAGGAGTGCAATTCAGTGTCCCTAGCCGAATCCATCAACCGATTAATATGATGCCAGTAAAGAATATGAGAGAATATTCCAAACAGCATCCCTACACCAAGTCTTCCTCTTTCAATTTCCCTTTCTCCCCAGCTGCACAACATGGGATAGTAATGTTTTAATCTAGCACCAATAAAGGCGATTAAAAGAAGGGACTTCAAAAGCTCTCGATGTGGCCACCAGATCCCCAAGGCCGGCAATAGGGCAAGTGTTTTTTTGTTTTTTTTGTTTGCTTTTCCCCAAACAAATATAATTGGCGAAAGAAAGAAAAAATAACGACAAGCCGCCTGAGCGATGTGTGTGGCCAGGTGTGCGTGAGAGAGGGAGAGCGCGGGGCCCCTGTCAGTCGGCGGATGGAGGCTCAGACCCCACGCCTGGGCTCCGGACACAACAAGAGGACGCATCACCGGCCCGGGGCGCACCCCCGGGAAGACTTGTGTGTGGGTGTGAGCGTGTGCCGCTGTGTGTGCGCGTAGGGCTCCGCGCGCTGCCTCCTCGGGGCGCTTTACAAAGTTCCTCGCCCACCCGGAGCCTTCCCTCCCGCCTGTGCATCGCAGCGGGTGGGGCGGGGGGCGGCGGGGGGTGGGGAAACCCGGGGGAGAGGGGCACGGGCGAGAGGCTCGGGTCGCAGTAGGAGAGGCGAGCCGCAGGCACTTACCGTGTGGCTCGTTTGCCCTTGCGCCGGGCGGGAGCCGAGCCGACGGCGCGGGGCGGCGGCCCTGCGCAGCCAGCCTGGTCCGCCTCGGGCGGCGGCCGCAGCAGCGGAGCCCGCGGGCGGCGTACGGGCGGAGGGCGGCAGCTCCCGCGGAGCCTCCTCCCCAGGCGGGAGCGGGCGGAGCGGGAGGGGTGGGCGTGAGGACCCGAGCCGCCGCCACCGCCGCAGCCCGGGGATTCCGATCGCGCCCGGCCGCCGGCGGGAGAGGACCCCGAGGACCGAGAACCCAGCGCCGGCCCGCCACTCCCCGCCGCTTAATTACCTTCGCCTCCGCCCCCGGGGGGAGCCTCCTGCAAGTCGCCCCCTCTCGGAGCCCGCACCCAGAGGGGGAATTCCTTCCCGTTGACGTCCTCTTCCGAAATGCAAAAGATCAGTGACTTTGACAGGTAGATGAGGGGGAGGGAGTAAGGGTGGGCGGAGAGGAAGAGAGGATGAGAAAGGTGCCTCTCCCTCCAAAAATATAGTGATATTAATAATGAGATCTCAGCCTTCGGAGGTCGTGCCAGCCCAGTCCCCTGCTCGCCGGCTCTCCTCCGCGCCTCCTCGCTCCGCTGCCTCTGACACTTCTCGCCTTAAACTTTTACTGAGGGATATTTTTTCTTTTTTCTATTTCTATTTCTTTTTTTTTTCCTCTTTTTTTTTTTTTCAAGCCGCAGGACGATTTTCTGGTTCCCGGGGATCAGAACCAGCGGCCAGGCGGTTCTATGCCGCTTGGCACCGCTTTCATTTTATTTCAGATGAAGACGTTGAGCTTAGTCAGAAGGGGCATAAATCAGGACAATTAGCATTGGCGCCAAGAAGATCCTCTAATACCAATTTCGCCCGGGTTTCCTTCGCGCATTCCTCCACTCAAGTCAGAAATGTCACTGCACATAGCACTGATGGCAGTGAGACGCGACGCACCCAAAGTCCGTTTGATGAAATATACATGGCCCACGACGCTTCTGGATTGCGGCTCCCGGACTCCCCGCCCCCACCAGCGGCTCCCGGCCGGGACCCTGCTCCGAGCGGGCAGCGAGCTCCTGGCAAACTTAGGGGCCAGTGCCAATTAAAGAGTGAGCGCGAGAGCCGGAAAGAGGAGCGGCAAAGAAGCAAGCCCGGGGAAGCCGCAGCCCTCGGAGGGGTGGCATGTACGTTTCACTTAAAAAGCAGATCTTCTTCTGCAACTGCCAGCAAGTGGAAGGATAGCAAACCTTATACTACCTCGAGACCTGTGCGCTCCGAGCGGTCCTAACTCCGTCCCGCTCGCTGTTGCTGTTGCTGGTGCTGCTCCGGCTGCAGCTGCTGCCGCTCCACGACCTCGGGGCGCTGAGGCAACAGGGCCCCCTCCCTCTACTCCCCATCCCCCCCGGCTCCTCCACAGAAGCGCCGTTTCCAGTAACTCCTCGTGTACCTCCCACTTCTGCCGCCGTCCATCCCACCCCTCTCTCTTCTGTCCCCTCCCCAAACCGTTCCCAAGCACACCCTTCGCCGCTGGAAGTGATCACAATGTTGTTTTTCAACAAGCACTTCCTTTGCCCGGAGGCCCCTACAGCCCTAGACTGGAAACTCCTCCTTTAGAAATTCATTCCCCTTTAAAAAGTTGAAGTTCAAGGGAGAGCTGCGCATTTCAGGCTTCCTTGCCTTTTCTAAGAGAAAGACAAATGCTCCGATGCTCCAGGCTTCATTCCCCACCAAGGCGGGCTCAGACTCACCTGGGATCACTCTTAGCTACACATTAACGTCAAACAGAAACAAATCCGAATTTAGATAAGATAGGGAGACTTCCATTAGAAAGAAAGACTATTGCAACAGGGAAAACGCTCTGATCTCAGAAATCTGCAAACCTCTCAAAACCAAACAGAAATCGGCCTTTTTTTTCTATATATATAAGGGGGAGCAAGCAATAGGCAAAGCCAAGTGGATGGGGGAAACAACTCACTTCAAGACCCTCTTGGTTGAACAAGAAATGTGTCTCTGTGGTCCAAGAATTTGGAAGATAAGCTAACAATGGTGAATGTTTCACATTTTAGTTCTTGCTCAGATTTGGGGGGCAAGCTAAATTCCAGGGACCTGCTGGAGAGAAGCCTGACTCATGTTTGGTCAAGGCAAAGTGGCGGGTGGGGGGGGGGTGGAAGAAATGGGCAATTGTGAACACTTAGTCACTATGTGTCCCACAATTAAGGCAGGAGGCTGAGTAATTGGGTCATTTTTCTGTGATGACTGGGGGTGGTGTGGTAAAAGGATGGATGGGGGAGAAGTTTGTTGAGTTGGGCCTATAACCAGGCCCTCCTTGGCCCTGGGCAGCCAGGAAGTGGGCAGGGATTTCAGGCACCCCCAGCCTTCCCTCTAACACCTAAGAGGCCACAATAAGTCGCCTTCGGAATCTCTGAGTGCAGGAATCTGGGATTCATGTGCTTTCCTCTTTCCCACCTTTGTCCTGTAGTGCTGACATTGCAAAAAAGAGTTACCTGCAGGGCTGAAACTCCTACCAAGGGTTCTTAGACAGTGGCCAAGTCTGGCTCTTCCCCCTGTCTCTAGCCATGCTCCTCCAGGTTTAAAACATACTGACTATATGGAGATGTTACTCACCACCTAATCCTCCTTCACAGGCCCTTAGATCCCAGTTCTTTCTATGGGAGCCCTTTGCAATAGGATATAATAAACAATACCAAGAGTGGCCTTCTTATTTCTCGTTGGCCCCTTGGCCTAGATCCTGAAATACAGACAGTTCTCAGCCTTTCCTCTCTCTTGCCCTTCTCTCTCAAGCCAAGAAAGCCTTTCTGAACTCTCATCCTCTGCTTTATCTGGTCATTTAAGGCCCTTCTGTAGTAAAAATAAAATAAATCTATGCAGAGATTAGAGAACTCTCTTCTGGAATATACCAAGATCTTTGTGATTTTGGCTCCCAACCTGGAAAAATACTTGTTTTCATCTGTCAAAATCTTGGAACTGACCTCCCTTCCTCTCTTCCTGTATCATCCCTCATTCCCAGGATTCCTTTGACTATGAGGCAATCCCAAGTAAGTGTGATATGTAAATGGGAACCTCTCCAGTTAGGTAACACCTCCCACTACAGGAGTGGGAGAGTCTTTCAGAGGTGAGTTTTTCTGTGGAACATGTGCTCTGACCTTTGCAGAAGCTCAGTGAATCACCAACTAAACATGTGGATCTAAACTCAAGGAAGTAAATCAGAATCATCAGAGACTTTTCAACATTAAAACCCCTTCCCTTCCAGATCTTGTTCTCTCCTCCAGCAGCAATCAGGTGGTAAGGACTTTTTCTCCAAAAAAGCAGTTTAAGTGGATTTGATATACTTCCCCAAACTAACGTGCATATATTAAACCAGCTTTCCTCAATATACCTTTGCATATTTGTTTATATGATATACACTGATCAGAAATTGACTTTAGAGTTTTCATTGCCTCCAAGATAAATCATTTAGGGGATACCTACCTTTTCTTATCATTCTTTGCTTTTTCTAGCCATATATATATTTAACTTTCTTTGGAAAAAACTATTTTTCCGTTTTTATTTAACCTTTCAACTCTACTTTTTTTTTTTTTCTTTTTCCTTTTGGAGAAGAATGGTTTGATCTTTCAGTTCTCTGGCTTTAGATCTTTGGCTGGTTTCTACACATTCCTCATTCTTCTTCAACTTAGATATCCATTTATTTGTAATCTTGTTAGGTCTCTAACTGTTGTTCATTTTTCTAGGTTCTTAGCTGCCTAAAAATCTTCTCTTTAGAGATTTGGCAGGGTTGTTTCAATATTTGTAACTTCAATATGCCGAAGTGGTAGTGATGGCATATTTGCAATATATCTGGTCCAAAAAGAAATGTGTCTTTTTTATAAATACTGTAAAATACTTGACATAAAGTAGGTGTAAGATAAATGTTCAGTGCAGGTGTGAATAGCTTTAGCTTATTCTCAAGATTCATGGCCTCTTTGGTAACAGGAGCTAACTCTCACCATATTAAATTAATATGTAGATGTCTAAAATATCCAAATCATGGGTGCATTAGACATTCTGGGGTGCTGTAACAAAGACCATAGATTGAGTGGCTTTAAAACAATAGAAATTTATTTCTCACAGCTCTAGAGACTGGAAATCTGAGATCAGAGGGCCAACATGGTCAGGTTCTGGTGAGAACCCCCTACTGGGTTGCAGGCAATAGACTGACTCCTTGTATTCTCACATGGTGGAAGGAGAGCTAAGGAGCTCTCTAGGGTCCCTTTTATAAGGGCAGTAATCCTACTCATGAGGGCTCCATCTTCTTCTTAACTTAGTTATCTCCCAAAGGCCCTACCTCCTAATACCATCACATCAGGGATTAGGATTTCAACTTATGAATTTAGTGGGTATGGAAAAAAACATTTATTTCATAACAAGGACCAAGTTCTATTTGACCAATTGTATACTATGTGGTAGATGCTGTTTATAACTGCTGCTTGTGTCCTAATAGAAACATCCTTCAGCTCTTTCTTGCCTTCACTTTGTGCTCAGGGACATGTTTTACTACAAAGCCATTAGCTGTATAGTTTTGACAAGTTTTGAAGTTTCTTACCTGACAGGCTTTTTTAATGCTCAAATATTTTGACATTTAAACCTCCAGCAAGCCCTAAGCATTGGTCTGGGCTCTATAAACTAGACTATACTGTCAGTTCCTTCTGTTGTAAGAATACCAAGGTACTTCTCTTAAAGCTTTAAATTCGCAAGCCCAAACAATTCAAGTAACTGATCATGCTCAACATATGTATACCAACAGTCTCATTTAGTTCCTCTCAAGGCTAACAGCAGACCAAAGGACGTATTGTTTAATGTAATAAAATATACATATTTACTGAGTTAATGATACTGGAGCACAAAAATTAGCAAATGGTATAAGATATTGCCAGTTAGTGACCAATGCAGGGAACATGTTTTCTAGCACCCATGTACTTTCTAGTATATGGCACCGTGTAAAGTAGTTTGGAAATAATAAAATTAGCTGCTTGGTTAAATAATATATTTTTTAAATGAGCAAAATATGGATTTTTGAAGAGAAAGCATGCTAACTTAAAAGATGACTAACTTTAGTCAAATATTTTATGTCTCCTTTCTATTCCAATCCTAGGGCCCTAGAAATGTTTAATGGAAAATAAAGTTTTCTTTTTTTTGTTTACCCCTTCTTATCCATAAAATAATCAAGAGAAATCACTTTTTAATTTTTATGCTCTGAGTATGTGATACTAGATGTTTTTATCCAACTGGTGAATCTCTTAAAATCATGACACCCTGAGCTTCTATTACCCATTTTCTTTGAGAATCAGACAGAACACGTAGTCAATATTTGTTTAACAGTTTATCTTTCTTCTAAGTCTATTTAAAATAAAGGCATCCCACCAGCAGGTTTGGATAATTCTATGGTCTGAACAAACTCAATAAGCTCCCATGTGCTTATGTTTTATTGAGCTTCATTTGTCAGCCCAAGATCCTCAACTTATTTTTTGAAAACAGGAGATTCCACAATTAATCTAGTGTGTTGGCTGAAAAAGTTCAGCCCCAAAAATCAACAGCTGTGTGGATTTCCTCAAATGTAATTTTCATAATTTCAATTTCTCTACAACAACAAAATTAGCAGCCTTTTCAAAATGAGAAGGAAAATACGTGGAGAAGATTGAGTAATGCCCTTTGCCTCATTTAGAGAACTTTCCATCAATTGCATACCAATAGTTCTCCTCAAATTAGTGAACATTGGTGGAACGCCTGTGGCCTGCTGGGAACTGTCCTTGGTGCTGGAGGAAATGCAAAGCTCTCGAGTCTAGGTAGGTGGTAACAATCATGTTAGAGAGAACTGAATAACTAACTGTAATGTGCATCTTTAGTATTATATTAGAGATAGCTTAAGGGAAAGGCAGCTGTAAAGGTCAAGTCTAGGGACTCCTTTTGTGCACTCTTAAATGTCCACAAAGATCTGTATCATGCCATTGACCCAAAGGAAAATAGAGTGCAACCTCTCTGGTTTAGTAGCCTCTGTGGGCAATCCTTGTACTGTCATATAAATATGGGGCAAAAATGGTTCAAGGATAGAAAAATAGCAGACACAGGCCAGGTGCAGTGGCTTATGCCCGTAATCTCAGCACTTTGAGAGGCCAAGGTCAGGGAATCACTTGAAGCCAGGAATTCAAGACCAGCCTGGCCAATATGGTGAAACTCCATCTCTACTGAAAATACAAAAATTAGCCAAGGGTGGTGGTGCACACCTGTAGTCCCAGCTACTCTGGAGGCTGAGGCAGGAGAATCACTTGAACCCAGGAGGCGGAGGTTGCAGTGAGCCGAGATCACGCTACTGCATTCCAGCCTGGACAACAGACTGAGACCCTGTCTCAAAAGAAAAGAAAAAAAGAAAAAAGAAAAGAAAAGAAAAAGAAAAGAGAGGAGAGGAGAGGAGGAAAGAAAGAAAAAAAGAAAGAGAAAGAAAGAAGAGAGAAAGAAAGAGAGAGAGAAAAACAGGCACAGAAGAGAAACATAGGTCACAGGGTGCTATTTGGTTTGGGGTGTACTCTGTCCAGATGTATCTTTCTGCTTTTCTTGACTTCTTGGTCCCGGGTTTAGTTTGAGGTTTACTGTTCTAAAATTATTATTTTTACTACTGTTTTTAGCAGCTCTATGGCTGCCATCCTTTAGCTTCCATGTTGAATGGAAGCAATGGATATAAGCTGGATATTGGCTTCTAGTAAGTAAACTGGAGTCATGCCAAGTGGCCTTTACTTCCCAGTGGGCTGCCAAGAATTCTCCCTCTCATACAGAAAATGACTAATTCTCTTAAATCCTGCCTCGATTTGTAAGGGAGAGGAATAAAGTCAGAAGTATTATGAATTCTCTTCTTACTTCAGTAAGTCAGGAAGAAACTTGATTGTCAGTTCTCCAAACTTTGAAGTCCCATAGAAAATGACACAATAGTAAGATATTACAATAGATTTCTATGATCTTATAGAAATTCTTTTTCCTTGCTGCCTTTCTATTTCCTCTGCCTCAGACATGAATTTAGCTCCTATGTGCTAGGGACTGAATTAGAAATAACAAGATAAATAACACAGTCCCTTCTATAACTTACTGTCTGTTGGAGAAGATAAACTTGTAAACAAACAATGTAATACTACCGTAGGAACTGAGATAGACACCCACAGGGAGCAGGTTAGCCCCAAAGGAAAAGATGTATAATTCTCCTTTGGGATTCTGAGAAAAGCTAGATAGATGAGATGATATGTGAGCAACACCTCAAAATATGAGTAGCCGTTCATCCAGCAGACAAAGACACAAAAGACATTGTGACCAGAAAGCAGGTGGTACAAAGTCAGGAAGTAGAAGACAGTAGAGCATATTTTGACACTTCCAAGTCATCTGATACAACTGCACAGCTCACAGCACTATATGGATGGCCTTTGTAGTGCACATTTACAAGCATTTTGATACCAAAAATAACAAAAATTGAGGGCATTCGGAGAAAAATCAAGAATAAGAAAGTATTTTATATTATTTAGGTTGAGATATATTAACATGTCAATAATTTATCATTATTGACCTACAAAAATGGCAATTTCATATGTCTCAACCTATTAGCATCCAGTACTTCCAATTTAGTTCTTAGTAACCTGTTTTAAGAGAAGAGAATAAAACAGCAAATAATTTTTAAACTTCTATATTTGCTTTTGGAATACCTTATATTCCTTCTTTTGGCAGGAGATATACCTTCCTAATGAGATTTTGTGCTTAGATTGGTATTAAAATTAGCTGGATTTCCCTGAGTAGGCATTGAGCATGAGAACGTGCCTGCAGAGCAGACTGTGGGTGACCGAGAAACCCAAGGTTCAAGCATTTAACCAGGCATACGCCACACATGAATAATGAAAAGTTTAGTAATTAGTAATTATAGATACCAATTAAGCCTTAGACATAAAGAACCAGTCCTCAATCATTCTACCATGGTTTGCATTTTTGCCTTCCTAAATCACTGTTTCATTCCAACTCCAGTTGGAGAAAAACTTCTTTATTATTTGTCAATAATAAAGAAGAAAATAATATAATATAGGAAATAATGCTAAAAATCAAGAAATTTAGAAATCGTTATACATGATACAAGGAAACAGCAACAAATCGATGATTACAGTAACCAAGTACTTCTCTAAGGCAAAGTGAAATTCAGGTTTTCTCTTTACCTTTTTTGGTGAATTTGGTTAATCAAGTTCTTAAGTGGTTTATGACCAAAAGGTCAGGAGATACATTGGTGATGAAGAAAAAAATGAATCATCTTTCTTATTTTTTACCTGCTTTCCCCACATACTCCCACTGCCTTCTGCATTTTTAAACCTGTTTTTCAGATATCTATGTAAAATGAGATGCTGGAAATCACCTCAGCCACTGCCCTGAAACTCTATCTGCCCCCACTAGCCTGAGAGCTGAGTTCACAATAATGAAAGAGAGGTAGACTGTCAGTTACCGTATATCATGGTATATATATCACTGTATAGATGTTGTAATCATTTTTTTAAGGGACAGGGTCTTGCTCTGTTGCCCAGGCTGGAGTGCAGTGGCACAAACATAGTTCACTGCAGACTTGAACACCTGGACTCAAGAAATCTTCCTGCCTTCACCTCCCAAAGTCCTGGGGTGACAGGTGTGAACCTGGCCCAATTATTCTTATATTAAGAATTGACTGATAGGCAAGGAGAGCCAGATGCTCACAGCACACTAAAGCCTTCACAAGTATAACCTAGGACTTCAGTAGTAGAAAATTGAGACTGATCTAAATGCAAGATTAGCTTAAAATTCATATGTTGAGATACTGCAAATGAATTTTCAGAAAATCCAGTGAGATATAGTGTAAATAATCACTAAACTAGGAACCAAGAAACTAAGCCCTTGTTAAAACACTTTTCTGCTGTGTGAATTTTCCTACATCATTTTACTTCTCTGGGCCTTAACTACCTCATCTGTAAAATGAGGAAGTTGAATCTGATGATTCTAAGGCGGTTATTCTTAAAATAGGTTTCATAAACCTCCTACCTCAGAATAATGTTAGAGGCTTGCTAAAAAGCAGGTAGAAGAGTCCATCCTCTCCCACATTGCCTGAATTAGCAACTCCCCAGGTGGTTCTTATTTAAGCACATTAGAGTTTGAACATCACTAGCCTAAGGTTTGCTCCAGATTTTGCATTTTGAGTCTTGCTTTTAGGTTGGAATTAATTTAAATGAAAGCTAAGACAAAAATAAATCTACCCTTCATGTTTCTGGATGATAGAATAGGAGCTATGATTTCTAAAAGTTGTATATAACTTTCTATATATTGGAATTAAGTGGGATATATGTTTGATTCCCTGAAAGATTAGGTAGAATAAAGGCCAAGGACTTTGAAATAATATTTTTAACACACACACAAAAAATCAAAACCATGCTCACTGATGTCCAATTTCTGGAACACATGTATTAGCTATAAGCTGCCATAATCTCTCCTAGAAGTCTATTACTCAACTTGTAAAAACTAGTTCTCTGAAAACTACCATGAGATGCAGTCATGAGGTTTTAAAAGCTTTTGAACTTTTTTTTCCAGTTGAGTTTCTTTAAAATTAGTCAGGGATTATTGGACTTTCTTTACCAGCACTAGCTTATATATCTTTATAAAATGTCCTTGTAAATTATTACAATCAGATTTCCACGAAGGTTAGAACTTTCAAAACATTTCAGAGTAAAAACTTCTCAATTAAACAATATATATGTATATATGTATTGTATATTTGCCTGCATTTTCTGCGTATTTAATTATTGTGAAATGTATTCTAATGTATTGGCAAGTCTTTAAAGACCAAAGGTAAAGTCCTTGATATATTGCTAAACAGTTGCATGGCCTTAGATAACTGGCTTAATCTTTCTGAGCCTGTATTTCCTTAGCTACAAAATGGGAATAATAGGACTATTGCTGAGTATCTCATAGGATTGCTATGAAGAATAAATGTGCTCTTTGATATAACAAAAAATGTTTGCAAATATTAGATATTATTTACTTTCTATATTATAGTATTGAAGCTTCCATTATAAATAGCATAAGTTCTCACATTTATTTATTTAATTACTTACTTATTTAGTAAACAATCATTTTTGACAATCTATTATGCTAACAACACTGTACCAAGTGCTCTGGAAAATAAATCCAGAAAAAATATAAGCTGTAATTTCTACATTTAAGAAACTTAAATTTTACTTGAGGTTTTATAACAGTATCACAAAGTGTAAGGTTAAAAACTCTGAAATACAAATGTTTTAAGCTGGCTAGCAATTGACCTTCTAAGATCAAGGAGTATTTCATTGAAGCAGGTGAGGTACTGAGCTAGACCTTTTAGGGTTTGATAGGCAAATAATGGAAGGAAACTCAGCAAGAAGGAGACTGCACAAGGGCAAACTCAGGAAAGGCAGAAAGGTCAAGCCATTTTCAAGAGATCGGGGAGCAGCAGCATCGTTGGAATTAAGGTACCATGTTAGAGAATGGTGGACATACTTTTAGAAAATTCAACAAGCCCAGAGTTCATTGCTTCTTGAATTCCCCAGTGAAGAGTCTGAAATTTATGCAGGAGATAACACGGAGCAATTAAAGTTCTGAGCAGGAAAGACTCATGAATAATGTGGTGTTTTTAAACAAATTTACCTGGAAATATTGTTCATAATGAATTGGACTAGGGAGATAGTATTAGAATCAGGGAGAGCAATCAGGAGTCTACTATATGAAGCCAGAGAGATGATGATTTATGCCAAAATAGTAGTTGTTAAAATAGAAAAAAAGAATATATGAATATGTGAGGCAACAGTGAGATTTCTGATAGAATTTATTTACAAAAATAATTTCAGCTAAACAATTCTTTTAAATTATATGAGAATAAAAACAGTCCTCTAAAGCGCTTACATTTTCATTTTCATTCAAATGTTCAAACTGCACATATCTTTCCTTTATTCAACCAAATATTTATTGAAGGCATCATATGCATTGTTGTAGGAGTTTGCGATTCAATGATGAACTAAACAAAGATTGAACTCATGAACCTCATGTTCTACTTGGGGGACAAAGGATAGAAATGTTAAACATAATAAGTAATTATTATTATTGAAAGAGAAAAATATATGTAAATAAGAAAAAGTAGAACAGGATATGAGGGATTTGGAGTGATACATTGAGGAAGATTCCAGTGTAAATAGAGTGGTCAGTGGAGCCCTTGCAGAGAAGGTGATATTCAGCAAAGTCTTAAGGAGGAAAGCAAGCTAGTCTCACAGACATTTGGGGGAAGAATGTTACAGGCAGAGGAAACAAATAGCTCAAGAGTTGAGACTCCCTAGCATGTTGGAAGAGCCCAGTGTGGCTAGAGATTTAAGAATTTGTTTTATTTTTAATTTTTTAATTTATTATTTATTTATTTATTTATTTATTTTTGAGACGGAGTCTTGCTCTGTTGCTCAGGTTGGAGTGCAGTGGACATGATTTCGGTTCACTACAACCTTCGCCTCCCAGATTCGAGCGATTCTCCTGCCTCACCCTCCCAAGTAGCTGGGATTACAGGCACCCACCACCATGCCTGGCTTATTTTTGTATTTTTAGCAGAGATGGGATTTCACTATGTTGACCAGGCTGGTCTAGAACTTTTGACCTCAAGTGATCCACCCTCATTGGCCTCCCAAAGTGCTGCAATTACAGGTGTGAGCCACCAAGCCTGGCCAGGAATTTATTTTTACAGTCTGACAAAAACTTACAGCAAATCACTTTTCAAATTTGTGCTTACACAACTCTTTGAGGTTTAACCATATTTGTACTATTTTTATGTGTCACACAGGCCTCTATGAGGCAATTGTGAGCCTTTCTAATATACATATGTATGTATATAAATATGTACAGTGAAGAACAGCACGGAGAAAAGTGTGCTTTACACATTTGATGTCAGCTAGCATTATTATTATTTTAATTAATATTATTGATTTTATATGAATATTTTATTTCCATAGTTTTCTGTTTTAGGGTTTTTTTTTATTCATTCCTTTTCAATTTTGTGCTTCATGCAGAAAGGATTACTAATTAGTCTAGAAAGGATTTTAGGCCACTTACAAGCATAGCTAGGTGATATCCCCCCAAAAAAGAGCAAAAACAAAGTGAAGTGAGAAAAAGGCTTAAAAGGCACTTCATAATATCCACATACCACTAACTTTCCCCTAAGCTTGCTAGTGGATAATCAAAAGGAAAAATCTTATAACTCAATTGATAACATATATGATATTTTAAAAAACCTATGTATATAGAAAAAGTATTTTCTATATTTTTTGTAATAAGACCATACATACATTTTTCCTGAAGATTCTCAAAAAAAAGAATATGATGTGATGAAATAATATTTTAAACAACTTTGTCATAGATATGAATATAGAGAAAAATGTTTCATGGGAGAGGCAGTTTAATTCAAGACCTCATTTGATTATCTCAAGCACCTCTGGGAAAAGCATGGAATACACGTGAAATTATACTTGTAGCAGAAAAGAATCTCATTTTCTCACTTAGGATGTCACATAACCACATGTTTACAAACTCTGCAAATTACATGTCTGTCCCTTGTTCCATATTAAGATCCTGAATTCAAACCAGGGAAATTTGGATGGAATTGCCAGTTTTGTTACATATCTTGATAAGAATGCTTAAGAATGGGAGACTGGGACCGGGCGCGTTGGCTCACGCCTGTAATCTCAGCACTTTGGGAGGTGGGCAGATAGCGAGGTCAGGAGTTCAAGACCATCCTGGCCAATATGGTGAAATCCCGTCTCTACTAAAAATATGAAAATTAGCTGGGCATTGTGGCATGCACCTGTAGTCCCAGCTACTTGGGAGGCAGAGGCAGAAGAATCGCTTAAACCCAGGAGGTGGGGGTTTCAGGGAGCCAAGATCATGCCACTGCACTGCAGCCTGGGCGATAGAGTTAGACTCCATCTCAAAAAAAAAAAAAGAGCACAGGAGCCATAGCATCATGACCAAGGTTAAATTGAAAGGCTTTTCTTCTACTCCAGTTTTTACCAAACTTGTTAAATTTACTGTCATGGGAAACACTTAATGCCCATTGTGTATGTGGCCAGGAGAAACAGCACATTAATATTTTAGAATATATATAATAATCACATATAATTAGAACATAATCTAATTTAGAATAATCAGAACATAAAATCAGTAGCTGTAGAGCTGCTGCAAGGCAGCATTATGATTAAAAAATCACAATTTAAGAATCTCCACTTACTGATGATACTCTTAAAAGTTGTTTTGAGAGTAAAGAAATTTTTTCAGTGGATTTATGGTATGCATTTGGTTTGGTACCCATTATATATTTATCATTATGTGTAATATTTATCTCATGCTCATCTCTTAATTACATTTCATGTGTTAGATTTACATGAAAATCAGTGAAAATGTCTACTCACTGACCATATGAGTTTTGTTTGTCATAAGGACACAGATGACCAATTAGGTGGATAAGATAATAGTGAAAAAATAAATAGGAAATTCTGATGAACCTGATTTCCAGTGGGGAAACAGTGACACATAATAAATAGCACACAGCCTCTGTGAGCCTGTGGGTGAAGAAGAGTGATTTCAGTTGGCTGCCTGGCTGATCTTCACAAATACCCATTACTTGGAATGATGCATAGCAAGTAGAGATCTTCACACCTTTGACAGCTAACCATGAGCAGTGATTTGTGGTACCACTGCAAACCAGTAAAGGGCAGCACCAGCCAGCAGTTTTCTAACACTGAACAAATAAAGCCTAATTGTTATTTCAAGTTGTAAAGAAAAATGTTTGACTTTGTTCAACATAAAGGTATTTGCTGCAAATTATCAACAGTGTTGACAGGCTAACTTTTATTTATTTATTTATTTATTTATTTATTTATTTATTTATTTGAGGCAGAGTCTCCCTCTGTCACCTAGGCTGGAGTGCAGTGGTGCAATCTTGGCTCACTGCAACCTCCGCTTCCCGGGTTCAAGCGATTCTGCTGCAGCACGTGATAGGCTAACTTTAATATCACCTAACATGCACAAAAATTCACGATTAACTTGACCATTTGTCCTCTCAGAATCAGTTGGTCCTTACAGAACTTATAGAGAGACAAGAAGAAACTAAAGATTTTTCCGTGGCTATTTTGGGAAAACATAACAAATTAAATATTTTCAGACCATCTAAATTTTGCCATCCAAAATATAGCATTGAATGCATAAGCATCCTAAGGCTTTATTAATCTGAAATTAAAAATAAAAGACTAATTACATTCATTGGAACTTCAACTGATACAATTGTAAACCAAATAAATTCTTTTTCAGATATCATTTCAGTTCATGACTTGAACTCAAATTCTTTTGCCATAGACTAATAATGTATACAAGAAAAGGGGAAAACTCCTTGTAACATATTTTACACTTTGCCAGAGCTTTCTGATTAAATTAATTTCTTACTACAGTATGCTAAAAATTGGGGTAGGGAAGATGTTTATCCTAAGTGATTAAAATAAGTCAGAGGGAGGAAGGAGGTGACAGCCCCGGGCTTGGAGCCACACCTCACTTTAATTATCTTTCACTGCTGGGTTATAAGTATGACGCAAGAACTTTTTGTTTGTCCCCCCACCCTTTTTTTCACTTCTTAAAATTGTTTTGTAGATATGGGTGGAGGAAGGTGGGGTGTCTGTCTATGTTGTCCAGGCTGGCCTTAAACTCCTGCCTCAAGTGATTCTCCTACCTCAGCTTCCCACAGTACTGGGATTACAGGTGTTAGCCATGGCACCCAGCTGATGTAAGGACTTTTAATGGCCTTAAAATATTCTAGAATAGCCATTAGGAAATATGTGTAGATTTTGGGCTTTCTTATAGCAGACATATGCCTTTGGTGACTGACTGCCCTGATGTGATCTCCAACTCATCTACTTAAGATCGATGTGATCTCGACAAGTGACTTCATTCCCTCTGAACCTGTTTTTGACGTGTAGAATGGGGATACTATATGACTCTTACAATTACTAGAAGGTTAAGTTAAATGGCCTGTGCCCATAAGAATGTTATTTAACATAAATATGCCAGGCAAATCAATTAGAGAATCATTCTATAACTTTTGTCATTTTTGGATTGTGTAACAAAATATGGAGCAAATAAGATACTATACAAACCTTATTTAGTAATATGAACATAATTATTGCATTTACTTATAAATTATCATATCAAAATAAAAATTGTGATGCATAATCATTTTCTTTTTTTATCAAGCTTATATAATAATTTTTTAAAAAAAAGTGACAATTTCATTTACTGGGAAATCTTTGCTGATCTTTGCACTTTATTGGTTGTACTGCTTCCAGAGAAACAAAGGAAGGGGTTAGTGCCACAGCTCTTTTGCAAGGACCCAACAGGGTCATCTACCTTCTCTAGCCCTGCCTTGCCTTATCACATTCCTCTTTCAGTATGCACTTCTGGACTATGTCCTGCTCAGTAGCAAATTAGTATGTCTTATAAAATTTGTGAAATTTTTTCAATGTGAAATAGCTTCTGACAGAGTAATTTTCAAACTGCCCCATTAAGATCCACATCGTGGATAGTAGGTTGCAGCTCTGTAGTAGTTATCCCATTACCTGGTCTTTCTTTCTGTCCTAGTAATAGAATTTTAGCTGAGGACATTTCCCAGCCTTGCTTAAATAGTATGTAAAACTTCCAGGAAATCTCTTTAAAGGATAGGAGTCCTACCTTCCTTTTTTCTCCTTCCTTTTGAAATGTTGATGGGAAAGTGGGAGCTAGAACAACTGTCTTGAACCATGACATGGAAACCATACTTTGAGGGCTGCAGAACAAATGAGAAAGAATCCTGTCTTCATGATGTAACAGACCACCATATTAGCCCTGGACTATTCTGCTTGGATGGTTATGTGAGATTTTTTGGGTCTTGTTGAAGTGGCCAAACTGCACCTTAGTGAGTACAGTTTCTACGACTTAAGCACAGAATCCAGATACATCACAGCCAAGCAGAACAATCACTACTTACCAGAACTATAACAAATCACTTCTTAAGTATTATAGTGAAATTATTTTAAAATAATAATTCTATCATTTGGACCTTCTAACATGCATGGTAACTTAATTTGCTCTTTTTTCCTTCCAAGTCTTTTAAAATTAAAAAAAAAAAAAACTTTTCTATACTGAGTTCCTCACTTTTAAAAAAGTTACTTTTTAGCCTCATATGATAAAGACATAAAGGAAAACTAACATTATATCTTTTCATAGTGAATATATTCTAGACTCTCTGACCAGTGAAAATTGATTAGAAAACATATTTTCCTATGAAAGATAATAATGAAATACTTCCTACTATATAGTCTTGCTCTTTGACTTGCTATTCTGTCCTTCCCTAGTTAAAGTAGTCTTCTGGGTAGTACTGTACCCATGTGATGGGTCGTAAAATACAGTTTGCACAGCATGTCTTTAACCACAGTGGCCCCTGTCAATGATTTATAATCAGATTATTACTGTCTCAGCTACTCATACAGCTTCATCTGAACAGCCTTAGCCAGTGTGTATTAAAGTGAACAATTCCAGGAGGCCGGGAGTGCAGTGAAACTAGTGTGGGCTTTGAATTCAGATGTGTC
The DNA here is from genome assembly GCF_000001405.40 of Homo sapiens. Classification (NCBI taxonomy): domain Eukaryota; kingdom Metazoa; phylum Chordata; class Mammalia; order Primates; family Hominidae; genus Homo; species Homo sapiens. The sequence goes on along the minus strand of NC_000001.11, from coordinate 107,124,747 downwards.
TGGATTTAAATCCTGGCATTGACACTTAACTGCCCTATTTCCCTTGGGTTATATCCTTGACTCCTCTTAGCCTATGTCTGTAAATGAAGGTAATAACATCTATTCATAATTCACAGCGTAGTTGAAAAGAGTGCTTCATTCCTTGTAGTTGCTCAATAAATGTTAACCTCTTGGCCCCTACAAGAGTGTTTCTGACATAATGTCCACAGGTGAGCATGAAAAATTTGACCCCTGTTTCTGGGGACTTAGTCAGTGTATTTACTTATGGTCTATATTGAAGGATATTACTAGCCTTGCTCACAGAAGTTGGAGCACCCACCACCTTTTTAATTATAATGAAATCCATGAGGAATCGAAAAGGAGCAACTGGACACTCTCAGATGTGCTATATCTTAAGCAGTTAACGTCTTAGCTCCTCCCCATCTTCTCCACCTCACCTTGTTATCTTTTGAAGAGTTTGGAACAAATTTCCCTGGCTGCTTGGGCTTCTGTGACAAGGCTGTCTTTGAGAAGATCAACCACAACTCAGCCCACTTTGATGTTATATAAGTGGGCTTCAGGAGACCTATAGTACCCATTTCCATCCTGCCACTGAATGGGGGTGGAAACCTGGGTAAGGAAAGATTGGCAAAGAATATGTTTTGAATGCTTACTATGTACCTTGTCATGTGTTAGACAGTTGGTATCTTTATTTAATTTAATCTTCCCCAAAGGCCTGTGATATAAGCATTCTTACACCCTTTTCAGGTGAAGAAACCAAGGTTTCCTTGCACTAAGTAACCTGCTCTGAAATTATTGCATCATAAATTGAACCCAGCACTGACTGATTTCAAAGCCCTGTCCCTTTTGCCGTGTATAATAGAATGCTGCCTCTTTGACCTAATTGGACCTATGTTTCCCCTGCAAAATGCTATGGGATGGATGTTCTGTAAGGTCCTTTATACTCTCACATCCTGTAATTCCATCCTCTTTATTCTAAATGCAGGATTGTAAAACTTACTAAGCTTTTTAAAGACTTAATAAGTCTTACTCCAATAAATGTTCACACTATGTTTGGCTCAGTATAGTAGATACTTTTATATGTAAAAGATATAAAACGAGTGAATATGTATAATTGGCCACTGGGAGCAAGGGATTAGGTACCTGTTTTCTGTAGGCATCATTTTTTCAGAAAGATCCTGTTTAAAATCTAAATTCTTTTATTTCTTTATTTGTTAAACTTCTGATTACACAACAGAACACAAATGAAACAATTCACAATCCATGCTGTGTTGAAAGAAGAAAGGGATTCAACAAGTATAATTGAGCCCAACAGGAGGCACAGTTATAGACATGTTACAGCTGAAGGAGCCAGGAGTACAAAAGATCATCAACTTAATTCCATTTTAGTATTCCTGAGTTAGCTAAACAGTCAACACAGCAATATCTAACACCTAGCTTCCTTCATTTGTCACACACATTTTAAGTTCAAAGATGTGAGTCTCATACTGATTTGAAAAACATAAATAATTATTATTTGCCTTTTTTGGTACTATAATGCTTTCATTTTTTTCTCTCTTGAATAGCAAGGCCAGTTCTGGAGAGACTTGGCAGGTCTGTGCAGAAGCTCAACTGTAATACCTTTCAAGTTGCAAATTCAATTTTATATTTATGGATACATCTGCCTTAGTTATAATCGGTAAGTCTCCATCTCGGTCACCAAGAAATGTTGCATTTGGTTGGGGTTTATTATCTCTATTCATTGCTCTTTGTATATCTATTTGAAGAAAAGGAAGAGGCTACTTTTTTCTTTTTATTGTCAGTAAGTTTGTGCTTTTGTGAAACACATTAGAATTTGTATTTTCCTTTAGTTTATAATATAGTGCTATTGGAAGCTACTGAAAATTAAAGGTATTTAAAAGAGATGCAGAGAACATATTTTCAACTACTCAATAAGCCGTAGATGCAGATTCATGATGGAATGGACATTTAAGTAAAGTGACAGAGGTGCAGAGGTTACAGCGTCTGAGGCAGATGTTCTGTGAAAATGTAACCTGGTCCATTTCACTGCCCTTTCTTTAACAGTACTATTTATGATGTACTCTAGTTGACTCACTTTATGGACCACATTTTGCAAATGTAAAATTCACCATTTTGATTCCAGGTTTTATTACCACCTGAACCTCCATGGCACAATGCATGATTTTTATGCACATGAGGCTTCCACCGGTGTCGTGCACATTGTGAACTTCTGGCAAGGACAAATGACTCAACTCTCCCATGGAGCTGGAATTGCAGGGCCCCTTACATCTCTTCCAAATTTTGCAATTAATCAGCCCCACACATATGTTTTGGGTGTGTACTTTGCGCAAGGGCACAAATACTACAGCATGACTTCTGGGCTAACTTGATTCATTGGCAGCCTACTTCAGTTCTCCCTAGCTTACACCCAAGCTTTGACCTAATTAAGCACTTATTAATACTTGGTGCTTAGAAAAGGAGAAAGTTCATTTAAACAGTGTGGAAACAAAAAGGAAAGGATAGAAAAGGCACTGCTGCCTTCTCTCCCTAATCTGTCATTCCTGCTTCTAGCATGGAAGGTTCTTTGGGCCCAGGCATTCAGACATGTTCAGATGGATACAAAGAGAAAGGCATGTGATGTCAATAATCTCTTTCAGATCTGACAGTGGTGCTGGGCTATCAAATTCATTTGCTTTGCTTATTGTTTTTAAGGTAAAGTCAAATAAGGTTCAGCTGAGTCTCAAAGTATGGTCTGAGCCAGTTAAGTGTGCTCCTCAGCAGCCCTAAACCTGACTAGATCTCTCTTCTGAGCTGCATGAGTTCTGTTGACATTTAGGCTAACCCCTTGATAAGAATATTGCCAAGTAGTAAGCTAACATTTTTGGGATCCATTTTCCTTCTCATTGGATGAACAAGTATATGCCAGTGAGGCAAGTATGGAGGACTTCACTACAAGGATAAATCCCAATTGGGGTGGGGTGGGGCTGCTGCAGACCACATCTTGTTTGTTCAGATAAGGGCATTGAGACCCAGCTTCATTCTTCTTGGCATCCCCTCTCAAAACCACCACAGCAACCAGCAAGGAGGAACACATAACAATCATCTGCAGAGGAAAATTCCTACCACATAAACTGATGCCTCATTGCCCTTCCTCTTTAAAACCATGGTCAAATAGTAGAAGCCTGGACTTTAAAACTATCCTGTTATAAGAGTGACTGACACCCAGTCTCTGTTAAATGGATAGCATTATAACTTGGCTATCATGGTACTTTAAAATATGCAATTAAAAAAAATTTAACAGCCACAACAATTGGTAACACCTCGTTTAATTCTCATGGCAGCCCACACAAAGAGAAGCTTTAAGGGTGAGACATCTTGGGTTTAAATCTTGGCATCATCACTTTCTAGCTATATGGCCTTGCTGATCCCTGTGCCTACATTCCCTTTAATCTTTACGGCTACCGTGTATAGCAACTACAATGTCTCCACCTTACAAATGTGGAAACAGTCAGAGATGTTGGAAAATTGCCTGGCTTTAAATTCAACTTTCTCAAAGAAATTCTCATGTACTTTCTCCTGCTCTTCATTTCCGCTACAACCACAGTCAGTCCAAAATATTGTTTTTCATCAGCCCACTGCATTAGTCATAGACTGTTCTCTGTTACATTAACATGTTCTCAAACAACTAACCTCCCACCAATCCATTCTCTACATGGCAGCCAGTGATCTTCTTATAAACATATCTAAGCTTGTATCACATTCTGCTTAACACATTTGGTGTCTCTCCATTGTTCTGAGGATGAAAACAAAATCATTAGCAAGGCCTGTAAGGAAAGATGTGCTCTAGCACCTGCCTACCTAGTCAGGCTGATCTCACAAGACTTTGCCCCTTGCTCTCCTTAATAAGTTAAGAAAGGTAAGAAATGTGGGCATCTTGTCACCTGAACCACTTTCCAAAGATAAGCCTAGTATAGAAAACATTAGACAAATGATTCCTTAGGGACCTTAGGGACCTTAGAGGAAAATTCCTACCACATAAATTGATGCCTCATTGCCCTTCCTCTTTAAAACCATGGTCAAATAGTTGAAGACTGGACTTTAAAACTATCCTGTTATAAGAGTGACCTAAGACCTAAGAAAACATTAGACAAATGATTCCTTAGGGACCATACATGCACGTTTTATAGAAATGTAAATTGGTAGCTTAGACTAGAGAATGCGTTTTCCTATAGATCCTGTGTTATTAAAACCAGTTAAGTTTCAAGGCCATAAAAGCCCATTTTGCCTACAAGGTAGCAAAACTCTCTACTGAAAATGCTGTGGCTTCCCATTTGACAAAATACCAATATTTGACAAAATAACAATAGCTAATATTTATTTAGCACTTACTAAATACCAGGTGATATTTTCAGCATTTGATGTATATTAGCTACCCCAAACTTTATGAAGTAATTACTATCATAATCCCTATTGTACAGATAAAGAAAATGAGGCATACGGATCCCAACAAAGAAAAAAAAAATCAAGTGGAAGTAAACTACAATCATAGCTTTTAGGAGAAAATTCATGTTCATATGCCTCCTATTCTTAATTCTAACATTAATAGAATAGCAGCTTAAATTTCAGGAACCCATGATAGTTCAGCAATCAAGATATTTTTGCTCTTTATTTCATACTTTTAAAAGTAAAATCTATAAAATATAAAATTTTTCTAATTAAGGATTCAATACTTATTTCTCAGCCTTTGAAAAATTTCCCATAACTATGACAACAAAACAGTTCCTGCTTTTAGTGATTTGCACGTTGTTTCTGTCTGTTCAGACCTGCAGTTCAAAACCCACCATCTTGATCCACTCATTCAAAAATTTCTGTTAATGTCTGAATAGGTGACAAAACAGCACAGGTGTAGTCTAGTACTTATGGAATGCAGAGTCAATTTCCTCATGGTAACCCCATTTAAGACACAGTCTGTAGGAATGCATAGAAATAACAACCCTAAACCATCTTGAATTGCCTAATTTTTTCTTCCACCAGATTGGGATTGCTCCCTACAGTGTGGTGTTACATCTCTGTTTAGCTTTTTTATTTTTTAAAGGCTTAAGCAGATTCTGCATGTATAAAAAGATCAGATCTCAGGTTATTAATATTTGAGCAATTGCAAAAAAATTAAACTAAAATTCCAGACAGCATCACTCATTCATTTTCATCTATTGCCTTTGTTGTTTCACACATTGGGGAATATTTGGCTAGAATATGTTTAATTTGGGAGAATTATTTAAAAGTGTTTTTATTGCCTATAACAATTTTCAATAATAGGTCAGCAAACGAAGGGATTTAAATACATGTTTTATTGAAAGCTTAAAAATATTTTAGATTCAAAGGGATGCTGTAATATAAAACTGTAAGGTTTTGCAAAAGTAGTAATTTCTTAGTTGTGAAAATTTAAGCAAGGTGGAGGATAATTAAATCTTGCTTATATATTTGATATTCTTATTGTAGATTGTAACCAGAAAACATGTTATCTATTTTTTCATTCCATCCTCTATGCTACTTTTTCCCCAATACCATGGCCTCCATACTATCCTGATGTACTTCCATTTAAATAAGTGTTGTTAATATAATACAAAAGAAGATGTTATATGGTTTTTAATATATAGTTAATACATAGAGTAGCCCCCTGCCCCTTATCCATGGGAGATACATTGCAAGCACCCTAGTGGATACCTGAAACTGAGGATAGTACCAAACCCCCATATACACTACGTTTTTTTCCTATACCTACATACCTATCATAAAGTTTAATTTATAAATTAGACAGAGTAAGAGATTAATAACAACAACTAATAATAAAATGAAACAACTATAAAAATATGACAGCATCACTATTTTTGTGCTTTGGGGCCATTATTAAGTAAAATAAGGGTTACTTGAACACAAGCACTGAAATACCAGGATGGTCGATCCTGCAACTATGCAGGCTACTAAGTGACTAATGGGTGGGTTGTATAGACAGTGTGGACATGCTGGACAAAGAGATGATGTCCAACATCATGCATCAGCATCTCACTCAGCATGGTGTACAATTTACAACTTACGAATTGTGTTTTTTTTTCTGGAATTTTCCATTTAATATTTTTAGATCACGGTTGACTGTGGGTAACTGAAGCTGCAGAAAGTGAAACAGTGGATAAGGAGGACTACTGTATAAATATGCATTATATATGTTACAACAAGTAATAGTTAATGTTTTCTTCAAATCTCCATAATGTACTTAATAAATAAGACTTCAAAATATTGCAGTGGTAAACAATTTGTATGGCACAGGGCCCTACCAGACAGAGCTACCATAGGAGCCTGTTTAATGCTGTGCCAGGAATTAAACCTTTGGTTATGGGGAGATGGGACACTAGAAGTTGGGAGGTGCACAGTGCTTACGACAATGGCTATTTACTGACTAGTGCAGAAATATTTAAACATTGTAACTCACTGAATGTCCTTACAGGTACATACTGGCTTATGGAAGTCCTGATCTCAGTGTGAGATCAGTTGGTAATAGGCAGCCAAAGAAACACACCACTTTGCATTTATCATTTTATGATCCTATCTTTGCATTGCCATTTGAGAGCCTAGTTCTGTGACATCTCTAGCCATAGTTTGTAAGGGAGAGCCCCCAATGCACTCTTCATGATATGAATGGTCTTTTGTCACTCATGTATTCTTTACTGCTTTGGTAAATGGAATATCTCAGAACATTGGCATTAGGTGAGTTGTTAGGCTTTACAAAATATACCCACTCCTGCATGCTGCTTCTCCGAGCCCTTGTTTCCTTCTGCTACCATAGCAATTTTGACGTTTCTACTTCATTTATGGTAGGCTGTTGCTTCCTCCAAGCACACTAACACTTTTCCCAAGGGTCCTTGACAGGATATTACATTCTGTATTCCAGGACAATGATCCCACATCAACATATTTTTCCTCATTCAACTTTATGTTCTGTCCCTTTTGATCCAGCACCCCTAGAATCTACTACGACTCCTAGTTTTTTCTGGTCCATGTTGACTAGATCCTACACCTCCTTTGGTGTCCTTTATCCCCCTTGTCAGGTCTAACACTTCTCCAGCCAGGTTATGTTGTGATTTTAACCCTAATTATTGCTCTGAAGGACTGGACAGTGTCTGCATCTGCAGTTTTAAGTAGGTCTACTTAAAACTGGTGATTTAAGATGTTCAAGAGCATCTTTTATCAGAGGATCCCATTCTTTCCCAATTAAGGTCCTGGTCTTGACAGCAGATTTGCTTAAGTTGATAATTCAACCATTTTTGGAGTTCTGATACTTTTCATAAAAAATTAATTTGGGGCCTGGTTCTCAGCATTTTTTTTGCCATCCAGCTCCAAGAGATCAAAGTCTCTTCATATGCTGCTAAGATTTCAGTCTTTCATGCCAACCCCTTAATTGTTGATTTTCTATTCTCAGTCTTCTATTACTTTTTCTAAAGCATCAGTTGTTCCCATCAATAACCAGATAATTTCACTATCCTTACAATGACCTTGTGTTTCTCAAACAACTGATACATTGCAACCACTAGTGCATTTCCTTCCATTATTATACCAACCCCACTCGCCACCAGTAAGCATTTTAACAATGTCACTGCTACCTTTGCCAGGAGCTCCATCTACCTCCAGCGATAGGGTCCTCATTGCCAGGATAATGGCAGGTGTTCAAGCTCCGTTTTAGTGTTTGTATTCCCTGGCCACTCCTGGTATCAACAATTGCTGGTTGGATTACTGAGGAGGCAAAATCTGAGGCGGAGATTAGCATGCAGGAGAAATACCTGTGGCTATCTCAGTTTCCATACTTCCAGTGGATCCTTTGAGGCCTCCCTTAAGACTGCATTGCAGACCAATTTCTCCCTCTGCCTGATAATGTTTGCTTTTCCTTTTGCCACAGGATTTTTCTAAGTTGAAACAAAAAATGTCAGGAAAGACTTTTGTCAGGGACTTTTGCCAAGGTAGTTCTCATCAGTCTAGGTGAGTGACTCTCAAACTTTAGCATATATCAGAATCAGAACCCAGGAGGGCTTAATAAAACAGATTGTTGGGTCCTACTGCCAGAGTTTCTAATGAGGTCTGGAAGGAGGCCAGAGAACTTGCATTTCTAACAAGTTCCCAAGTGATGCTGCTACTTCTGGTCCAGGGATTGTATTTGGGGAATCACTGGTATAGTCCATTTCCTGGAAGGGGGCCTGTCAGCTGGCAGCACTCCCAACAGCTGGGGAGAACAAGGTGATAAATCCTGAGAGGAGATCTGGGAAGCAGACCACAACATCTACTGCTAGCATGGACTCTAGAGTCTGTAAGAGGCATAATCCTGTAGATTCCACCACTTACTAGATCTTTGACCTTAGGATATTATCCAACTTCTCTGAGCTTCATTTCTAAAGTGTCTATAATAACACCTAATGTAAGGAATATTGTGAGAAAAATTTGCTACTATTTATTTGTTCCTTTACCCAGTGGTTGGCACCACTATCCAACCAGTTGCCCAAGTTAGAATGTTGGGAATCATCTTGGTCTTACCTCTTCCTGTCATCTAATCAGTGCAGTAAAGCTTGACAGCTCTATCATTTAAATATCTCTTGATCCATTTCCTTTTAAGGCCATTGACAATGGTCCCAGTCATTCTTCACCTATGAACTGGCTTATTTGCCACCATTCTTTTCTTCCATTTTATTCCGTAAAAGCATCAGATTTTCCTAAAATATTAACTTGATCATGTATTCACATGCTCATCAGTCTTTAATGGCTCCCTACTGTCCTTAGGATAGAATGTCATCATTCCAACTTGGTTCTACCCTTTAGAAGACCTCTGCTACATTTCCATCCTCACATATCACCACTCATGCCTGCATAATTTACTCTGTAATCCTATTTAGCTATTTGTACTTCTTTCAAAGTTCTTTTCTTTTTCTTTCTTACCTTCAGACTTTGCATATTGTATGCACTCTTTATGGAATGCTCTTCCCTTATTTTCTATGACACCTTTTCCGGACTTCAAAATATCCTTCAGGTCTCACTTCTGTAAACATTTCTTGACTCATCAAGGCTTGTTAAATGTCCCTATTATGTGCCGCCTTGACTTCTTATGTTTTTCTTAATTTTGCTGCAGTTAACTACCTCTTTGTTTTTTTGTTCCTTAATCTCCACCTTCCACAAGGTGGAGATGGCTTTGAAAACACTATCATAACACCAGTGCCAGGTAAAGCACTAGGTACATAGTAGAGGTTCCCATTTCAAATTTTGGAAGGCTGAATCAGTAAACTGCATGCTTGACACATGAAAAGTATTCAATAAATAACAGTTATTATTTCTGTTGGAGCTGAAAATTTTAAAAAGTTCAGGTGAGTTAGGAGAAGGTTTGAAATGGAACATGCAACTGGTTATTTCTAAGTGGGAAGTTCATAATTGAGACAGTATCCATCATAGTTATTTTCCCTGCCAAAAATTCAAATGATTTGAAAACTTTAATCTTTTTAAACAAATCTTTTTGTATCCTAATTTCATTAATAAAGATATTAATAACATTAAAATTTTATAATCTACCATGGAAATGAAAGCCATAAATAATACTGAAGGAACGTAGTAATCTGACTATAACTATGGTTAATTTACTTTTCAATTGTAGTTAGTTATACTTTGTGATTGATTCAACTTCTCAGTATTGATATAACACTTTGCAACTACTTACATGTTTAATAAACTCAGCAATTCTGTGATAGAGAAATAAACCTAATGTTTTTTGCAACTGAAGAAATAGAAATAGTTATATAGGAATATCTCAAAAGAATTAAGGAGACAGAAACCAAGGTCCAGATTTTTAAGCACAGGAATCACATACCCCACCTCCATCTACTTTCCATGAGAAAAAGAAATCTTTACCAGAATCTGTGAGAAATAAGCAAACAGGATTATTGTGAGTGAAGATATCAATAAGGGAAATTAGAAGCTAATATAGCATAACATTATAGAGTAGATAAGTTTCTATTTTGGTACACAGGAGCCCCTTTACTGTTTATCCATTAAACATAGTTGCTGTGTACTATCTCTCCACTTAATCACTCACTCGGAACATTTCGACTCTTTTGCTTCCTATCAACTGTCAAAAATCTTATGAGAAAATTTCTGATACAGCGTTTTCCCCTCAGGTGTATGGAGACTTTGTAGTGTGTCAAATTTGTTAGGGGGAACTACATTTCCCAGAATCCCTTTTCCCTATATGTTTCTGGTAACAGTGGGCCCCAGAGAGATTTTTTCTGTGACATTTGAAGGACAAAAGTGAAATGATAGCTATTCTGTAGTTCACATATTTCACTGATCTAAGGGAAAAGAGAGAAAGAAAGAAAGAAAGAAAGAAAGAAAGAAAGAAAGAAAGAAAGAAAGAAAGAAAAAGAAAGAAAGAAGAGAGGGAGAGAAAGAAAGAAAGAAGAGAGGGAGAGAAAGAAGTAAGTAACAGCTTTTGATCTGCAGCGGGGACTGACACTGACCACTTGACTATGGACCATCAAGTTACCAAGTGGTCTGAACTGCCCATCATGGGCTGCATGTGATACCTGACCTACCAAACCATAAAACTGGATGTGCACAACTACACTGCATCATCAAATGGAAATAGTATATACAGTGTAGTGTTTAAACAAGTCCACAATGCTAAAGTAAGTTGCATGAGAAAGTGGCCCAGATGTTCACTGTTACGATTTCTGTTGCATTACCTTCTGTTTCTCAACATATAACTATGGACTCATAGGGAGTTGTGCATGACTAGTTGACTTAGGAAGAAAAGTCTTGTGCTTGTTTTACAGATGATTCTGCATGATGTGTCGGCACTAACCAAAAGAGGACGGTTATAGCACCGCAGTTCCACTCTGGGATAATGCTGAAGAACTGGAGTGGAAGGAATCCTCCCAGTGGGTAAAACTTCAAGCAGTGCCTCTGGTTTTCATTCTGCCTCAATGAAGGATTGGCATGATACATGAGTATATACCATTTTTTTTTTTTTTTTGAGAATGGTCTCACCTTGTTGCCCAGGCTGGAGTGCAGTGGCATGGTCATGGCTCATTGCAGCTCTGACTTGCTGTGCTCAAGCAATCCTCCCACCTTAGCCTCCCAAGTAACTGGGACTACACATGCATGACACCACATCTGGCTAATTTTTGTATTTTTTGTAGACATGGGGTTTCACCATATTGCTCAGGCTGGTCTCAAACTCCTCGGCTCATGCAATCCACCTGCCTGGGCTTCCAAAAGTGTCGGGACTACAGGTGTGAGCCACTGTGCTCAGCCAAGTCTATACTAATTTATAAGCTGTGGCTAATGGTTTGACTGGTTTGTCAGGGACTTCAAAGGAACACCATTGGAAAATTGCTTGTTAGGAGACCTTTCCAAACAGGCAGAGAGGTTGAAGATTTATGTTCCCTGTGAGTGTGCATCAAAGGATGACCTCAGCAGAGAAGGATCTTTATAACCAGATGGATAGTAGAACCCATTCTGTGGACAAAGTTAGCCTCCTTTTTCAGTCACTGCTGTCATTGCTTGGTGGGCTCATGAACTAATGACTATGATAACAGAGATAGAGGTTATATGTAGACCCAGCATTATGAACTTCCTCTCACCAGGCTTATCTGACTATACTCACTGTTGAGTACTCAATTATAGCAGACAACAGCTGCAGAGAACAACATGGAGCTAGTGGAGCTCCTGATATGGCACTATTCTCATGGGAGACCAACCAGCTACTTCATGTTGAGTTATTTACGGTAGGCAACTTCCATCGTGAAAGAGGCAACACTTATTTCTCACAAAATAAACACTTACTCTAGAGATGAATTTGCCTCCCCTAATGCTACTGCCAAAACTATCAACCATGGACTTCAAAGTGCCTTATCTATCCTAATGGTATTTCATACAGCATCACTTCTGACCAAGGAATTCATTTCACAGTGAATCAAGTGTGACATTGGGCCCATGGTCATGAAATTCACTGGTCTTAACATGTCCTCATCATCTTGGAGCAGCTGGTTTAAGTAAAGACTGGTGCTAGGCCACTGGCAACACGTAAAGAAGTAGTGTAGTATCCTCTCAGATGTGGTATATACCTGAAATCAGCATCCAATGCTGCTGGCCTCCTATAGCCAGGATTCGTGGATAGAAAGGAGAGTGACTCATTTTACTAATACCTTAAGTGATCTACTAGCAACATTTCTGTTTCTCATTTCCATGACATTACACTCTGCTGGGGACACAACAATTATTCCAATCAACTGGTAGTTAAAACTGCTGCCTGGATACTTTGGTTTCCTTATGCCACTGAATCAACAGACAATGCAAAGTATTATTCTATTGGCTGATGTGTTTGATCCTGACTATGAAGGGGAAATAGATTGCTACTACACAATAGTCTAGAGTGAGATGCAAAGAAAACAGCCTTAGTGAGACTGTGTAAGCAACTCGAGCTTCCAAATCTTGCAAGGTCAAATCCCTGTAACAAAACTCTCTATCTATCTACCTATCATCTATCTATCTATCTATCTATCTATCTATCTATCTATCTATCTATCTATCATCTATCATCTATCATCACATCATGGTCATGCTTCTCTGATTGGATGCTAACTGATAGAGAGTATAAATGTAGGCCAAGCCTGGTGGCTCATGCCTGTAATCCCAGCACTTTGGGAGGCCAAGGTGGGAGCATCACTTGAGGTCAGGAGCTTGAGACCAGCCTGGCTAACATGGTGGAACCCTGTCTCTACCAAAAATACAAAAATTAGCCAGGTGTGGTGATGGGCACTTTTAATCTCAGCTACTTAGGAGGCTGAGACAGAAGAATTGCTTGATCACTTGAACCCAGCAGATGGAGGTTGCAGTGAGCCAAGATGGTGCCATTGTACTCCAGCCTGGGTGACAGAGCGAGATTCTGTCTCAAAAAATAAATAAATAAATAAATAAAATAAATAAAAGAGTGTAAATGTAAATGACTACAAAGAAATTAAAGTTGTACTTTCTAATGAAGATCAAATCCTTAAGCCACTGGACAAGGTGAGAAGTGATTTTGGAAGAAGGCTTTTGGACAAACTACAACTAAGGTCACATTACCGCTAGGATCAGAAAAGATGTTTCCCACGAGGATTCTAGCATATGTTTTCCGATGACACAATGTACATTAACCTAAACAGACCTGCGATTTTATTTGTTAAATAGGCAGTGTAGCTTGGGTGACTCTAATTAGCCTAATAGCATCAAGTCTTAGGAAAATATTTCCTGTGTCTCAAACAAATGGCTGCAATAGGATCTCTAGGAGAGTATTTTATACTGAGGATTGCCCATGTGAAGTAATTTATCAAAATAACCAGAAAAGGTGACCATCCAACAGAAGGGTTGAAATCTAAATGAAATTTTCTTGGGAATGTTTCTCTCTGTGAATACGTTTTGTACTGTACCTTGGACTAGGAAAAGTTGTTTAAGAGGCAGTAGACCAAATTTTTGGAATTGTAAACAACAATAAGGGTGTGACCTATTTTGTGATATCATGTAATTACTGGGATAAGGTATATGGTACTTCTCAAAATCTTTCTAATGTAACGAGTACTTACCCAGATTTTTCAGTGTCAGTAAATAATGAGTTATCCTAGCAAAGGTCATGTGACTGTACCTTGTATAGTGGATGTTTAACATGCCTTATGGTCCCTGTTTCAGGACTGTATCTGATCACGGTGAATAAATGAGGACACCTAACTTTATCTCAGCTTCACTGTCACTTCACAAATGCCCTGATTTTATCCCAGAATTCATGAAAACAACTTATTTTTGTTATTTAACGTATTAATGTTCAAATTTCAGATATCTCATATTATGGGTTTCTAGGGCATTTCTGTTCTCAAGCCAGGAGCTGAGTTCCATGAGCTAAGTTCTGCATCTCTTTTCAATAGTAGGCTCTTTTAATCATTTCACTCAATCACAGTCTAAGTATGATTAAAATCACTTAATGAATCTCCAGTTATGTGTCAGAGCTCCAGGAAACGTGTAGATTCAGTAACATTGAACCTTAGAATCACAAAATAAAATAAATACATTTAACCCCGTTTTCCTCACTCGCTTCTTGATTCAACCAAATTGTCAATGCACAACAGCATGTGAAAGATTCATTTAACAAGTATTCATTGTTAAAGGATGCCAGAATGGCCTCTTTCCTGGAGGAATTTCAAACTCTAGAGCTGTGTATCCCACAAGGCTTACAGCATTATTTTGCAAACTTCCTTACCATATTTCTTTGAATATAATATCCCCAGGTATTTTCCTTTCCACTTCGATTTTGAGGAACAAATATATTTTTTATTTGGTTGGTTGGTTTTTACTCCAAGTTATTTTCACAGCAGTGTGCTGCTTTTGTTGTTGACAAAAGTAGTTGCTGCTCTGAAAGAGGCATGAAAGACCCTATTTGCTGAAAGAGAAAGCAAGTGTGTGTATAGACTTAGCAATGATGCTTGAGTGATTTGATATGGAGGAAATTTAGCTCTAAATTGCTATGGCTGTGGTCCCCGGGGCAGTTATAATCTATTGATCTAATTTTTATCTTCTGTGGACCATCTTCTATCCCTATTTCTATTTTAGGATTTAAACATTCACTTATGAGGCCACAGAAATTCAGCCCCATGTGAACACAAAGTGGGAGACGGTCATGGTTCATAAAGTGATTCCTGTTCTGAAGATTTCCCTCGTTTTAGAGATTTCAGAAATGATTATAGGAGAATTCTAAGCATTTGGTTCATCCTGGCAGTTTAAGGATTCAGAGGGTAACTTTCTCAGCATGAAGAATCTGTAACATATTTTAAAATAAAATCATTAGAAACATTGTTTTCTAATACATTTCACAGCTTATCCATGCTGAGTCATGTAAAAAGAGAGAGAAAATACAACAAAATGTGCTTTGTCCCTGACTGTATTGGTAATTAAAATATCATGAGGACCAGTAAATACCTTGAGAGTGAGTTGCATGCTCTAATGTGGTCTAGCACATTATTGATCAGCCAGCTGCTGCTGCATTTATTTAAGCTATTAATTGGAATTGCAACTATTGCCAAATAAAATGTATATACTTTGGTGGCTTAATAGACAAAATCAACATGTAAAAAGAGATAAGAGGGGGTATTAGAGAAATAGTTTTGTGTTGTCTTTTCTAAACAATGGAATATGAATGCAATATAGCATGACAAATGAGTAAAGAAAAGATGATATTGGTGTAAAAGAAAAAAGATATTTCTGTCTTATTGAAATCCATTTGTTTATTTGTGATCTCAGTGTTCTTCTGGGAATTTACCAAATCATAAGATATTTCTGATGGACAAAAATGTTCTTTTTTGCTCTATTATAAATTAAAAGAATTCTTGGCTCTGAATTGACACAGTTCACTTATTTAATAAATGAATTGTGGAAAGGTAAAATTCCTCTTTTGTGGCCGTAAATAATAGAAGCTGTTGAGTGTGGTCCTTCAGAACATAAGCCTTGATGACAGACACAACTAACCATGAACCTCAATTCTGCTGCTTACTGAGTGATTTGGGGCACATTTCTTAGTTTCTCTAAATCTTAGTTTATTTATCTAGCAAATGGGCTAAAACCACAACCTCTATTCATAAAGTTACATGCAAATTAAATAAGGCAATACATAAAAAATGCACAGCATAGTGTCTGGCACATAATAAAAGCTCAATAAATGTTTGCTATTTTTAAAGCTGCAAGCTTGTACATAAACTTGCAATATTCATAGTATGCTTATAGAATTTAGATCCTTAATACATTGGTCTTTAAATGGAGCAAGGTGCAGTACGACTATATAAAGAAACTTCACACAGGGTAACTTGAGTGTGTTGTTCAATGAGGTCCAAATGAGATGAACAAGGCATTCCGGAAGTAACCATAAAGATAATAAGCAGGCCGGGCATGGTGGCTCACGCCTGTAATGCCAACACTTTGGGAGGCCAAGGCGGGCGGATTGCCTGAGGTCAGGAGTTTGCGACCAGTCTGGCCAACATGGTGAAACCCTGTCTCTACTAAAAATACAAAAAAATTAGCCAGGCATGGTGGTGTGCACCTATAAGTCCAGCTACTCAGGAGGCTGAGGCAGGGGAATTGCTTGAACCAGGGAGGTGGAGGTTACAGTGAGTTGAGATTGAGCCACTGCACTCCAGCCTGGGCGACGGAGCCAGACTCCATCTCAAAAAAAAAAAAAAAAAAAAAGAGAGAGATAATGAGTAGTCAATCTAACAGCCTGAAACCGAGTAAGGATAGTGGAGATCTGTCTACACAGGAATTCCTCTTTTTAGCAGGCCAGGAGTTACAGGGGCTAGAATAAAGCACGGGTAAAAGACAGATACAGAATCTTCAAGGGCATATCACAAGGAGGGATGCTACAGTGGTTTACATATAATTAAATCAGAATTGAAAACCCTGGAAGGAGAGTCATCAAGTAACAGTTGAGGAATGAAAGCAAACACTGGAAAGGGGCCAGATGGCTAGCTCAAGGACCACATTGGCTGAGCCATACCAAGGAGTAAGGGACAAATTGAAGGTAGACCCTTTTATTCATTCACCTACGGTGTGCCAGGAGCCACACTAGTTAGGAGAATTAAACCGTATATTCACACAGAGAGAGAGAATGTATTTGGACTCTGCAGCATTTCCTGGTTTCTATTTGTTTATTCATGTATTCAACAAATACGTATTCACTGCTTGCTTTGTTCCAGGCTATGTTCTAAACATGGGATATGCTGTATTAAACAGAGATGAAAGTCTCTACCCTCATGGAGCTTACATTCTAGTGAAAGAAAGACACACATTAAAAAATAAATAAATAAAATATGTTAAAAGTTAGATGGCATTACCAGCTAAGCAAGAAGGGGAATAGGAAGTGCTGTGGGAGATACACTTTTATTTAGGCCTCACTGAAAAGTGATCCTTGAGTAAAATCCTGAAGGAGATGAGGCAGTACACCAAGTGGATATCTGAAAGAGTGGCATTCCCGGGTGATGCTAATGCTGCCTTGAGTGCCAGCAGGCTTGTCATGAGACTCACCATGTCAGGGGCAGATACACCTCCAGCAGAGGCAGAGGCTGCAGAAGAACCAGTCTAGGCTGGATGAAAAGGCTGGTGTTCACCAAAGTATCTCCAGTCAGCGGTAGCCACACTGAGATGGAGATAGTCAAGGAGAACTACCAGGCCCTGACCAAGCAAGAGAGACCAAATCATAAACAGTGCAATCAGAAACTTGATTCACAAGATGTCAGCAGGGCCAGTATCCCTAAGTCCAGTGTGTCCCACTTGGGACCTGCATGCAGCTAGTAAGCCTTATCACCCCTGGCAATCCTCAAGGACATAAAAGCTGCAAAACTCCTCTCCTTCCTCCAACTACAATCACTTATCCAGACAACATTTCAGAGAAAGAAGCAAGGAAAGGAATCTAAATAAACCACTGAATATTTTTGCCAAGGAAAGCTGGACCCTACCTGAAAGTTGTATTATACTAAATCATATAATTTATAATATATAAATTATGTATAAAGTCTATAATTAATATTTCATTTATTTTCTTTCATGTCTCCCCTCCTCTTTACCAGTGGGTGTGGCCCCAGAGGAAGACATCTGAATCGCACTGTGAGTAAAATTTGTGACTCTAATGCATTTATATGATCAAAGGAAAAATAGGATATATTAGCTGCTACACCATAAAAAAGACTTTTGCTTTCTTTTTAGTTATCTGTAAATTTATTCTAATTATCCTTGTTTTTCTTCTCCATTAGATGAATGATTCATCTTTTCATTTTTTTATTTAACCGTTTTTTATATTCTTGCTCAAAAATAATTTTCAAAATAAGTTGTTCTAGCAGCGGTGTAAATAAAACATCTATTTTACTTGTCCAATACTTTCCACTATTTTTCTGGGGAACTCACCTATCCCTCTTCCAAAAATGTGATTCTAACGAGAGCTTCCATGATGATGATGAACATAATAATTTAAAAATACTATTCACTATTTAATTGTGCATTTCATATGTACCTGATCTTATGCTAATCACTTCATGTACATTAATTCATTTAATATTCACAATATTGCTCTAAGTTGGGAATTAGTATTTCTTCCATGTTACAGATGAGGAAAAGGAGACCTAGAAAAATCAAGTAGCTTTTCCAATATCACACAGCCAGTAAATGGTGGGGCCTGAACATGTACTTATATTACCTTCGCTTCCTAGTGACAGTGCTGATTCTATGCTGGTTACCAGAATCAAATGGGTCCGATGATATTACTTGTCGCGAAAACCTCAATTGACTCATCTGATGGGGAGCACAAGACCCAAACTAGTAATTTTCTTTTCCAAATTGGAGTTGAGGAAGAAGAACCAGTAGAAGCAGGAGGTGGAGCGGGAAGAGCAGAAGTTGTAAGTTTAGAGTTTCAGATGCTGCTAGCAGCTGTGTTTTTCATCAAATAGAAGAAGCTAAACTAAGAGAATGAAGTCAAGTTGGCAATTTCGAGTGTAGGCAGTTTCCGTTGTTCTGAATTTCCACTGTCCCTGAGGTCTAGCAGCATTTCTGCTTTTCCATTATGTAGTTCAAGTTGGGTTTTGTCATTTGCCACCAAAAGCCCTGAAAGAATACAAATGGAAAAAGGAAGTTAAATGTTAATAGTCTAGTCTTTGATACAGTAGTGACTGTGAGGTGATCCAGTGGCTTTAGTTTCAATTTTATAACTTTTAACATTGAGGTACACATTCAAATATTTATTATTTCTAGTAATGGTGATATTTATTTGTATAATACTTGGTCAAAATATCAGTAAATTATTTTTTGGAATCACAGAATTTGAAGGGACTTGGAAATGGCATCTCTGTCCACCCCACTCTGCAGGAAATAAGTCATCCTTCAAGGTCTGAATCAAATAACGCTTCCATTGAGATAACTGTTTCTATATCCCAGAAAGAATTCATCACTTCTTTTTCTCATCTTGAGAATATCTTTCGTATAATGTTCGTATAATATATATTATGTAATATTGATGTTTTTATAGATACATAAAATGTATGCTGTGGCTTTTTGGCTTTGTATTTCAATATTTAGCACACACCTAGCATTCCCTAGATATATATGATGCAATTATCAAACAAATTAAACAACCATGAAATTCAGTTTAGAATAAAGAAACATAAAAATGAGAGGTAAAAAGAACCTTTGAAATCATCTAATATAAACTTCTTAGTGCATACATTTGTATACTGAGGCCTATAGAGTTGAAGTGTTTGCTTTCTCCCCCAAACTCACATAACTTATTAGTAGCAAAATTGGAATTAAAACGTAGATCTGCATTCGGCTATGCTAAGTTGTAACTCCAAGGAGATGTTTTCTCAAATTAAACCTTGTGTGATGAATTCCTGCTCTGAGAGGAGAAAAGAGAATTCATGAGCCCAAGAAAGGTGGCCTCCTTCATTCTCCATAAAGATGTACAGAACGGAGAACCATTCTTTTTGTCGATGTCTTGTTTAATGAGAACTGCTTTGGCCTTGTAACTCTGAAGGTTGAATGTTATTCTGTGCATGTGTCATCTAATGACAAGCTCTCTATTTTATGTTAGAAATATTTAAATTAGCATACAGAAAACTTCCCTGGGTCTGAGATGTTTAAAAGTTAGATACTTTAATGGCAGTCTTACGTCTCTTTGAGGAGACTTCTTGGTGAGACTCTGTATTTTATTTTAGAGCACAGCAAAATTTTCTTTTTAATTAGGCAGAACTATAGCTAGGATTCTGTTTTATTTCCACATGTGCTATATAGGACCTATGCAATGTTGGTGTTCAACTTTTGTAATGATGATGGATCCTGAGGAAAACACCACTGGAACTGAGTAGGAGCGCTGATAACAAGAGGTCAGTCATATCTTGGACCAGGTGGGGACTGTCAATGTTAATTGCTCAGAGATTTATGTACTCAATGTATCGAGAGCCTTTAAGGGGGAACTAAAATGTGCTTCTCAGGAGCAACTCTGAATTGGGAGTAATATCTCTCTTGATCATAGACTGAGTTATTGTAGAATGTGGAGGCAGATCACAGAGGAAATGGGAAAAGAGTAATTTGAGAGTGGATTATGAATAAGATGACAATGTTTGGAAGGGTTTCACCTATATGAAATTTCATGAAAATTTACTCTTTTGAATGGGAGTTGAGGCACAAATCACCTATGCTAATGTTGCTGGTGTGAATCACAAGGTTCCATCTTAAATTCTATAAACTAGATGGGATGGTTAGAAACCTCATGGAGACTACAGATACTATAGGGAGTTGGTGTTGGTTCTGCAACCAGTGAAGCTGTGCTGCAATCAATTTAGCTGCAGAGGTTGGGACAGATAGATATTTGCTTGTCCCTCTGTGTTGTCTGTGACCTCCAAGATAGTCAGGAGAGAACTGATTCCCGACATTTATACCAGAGCAAGTCATCAAACCTAATTTTTATTACAGGATTTCCTTTCTCTTTTTTAATATTTGTTGCTACATTGTATCAAAATATTAAAATATTTTTGCTCATATTAGCAATATATTTCAAGTACAGCTCTTAAATATTTATAGAACACAGAAATTTTATTTTTCTGTACACAGTTATTAGACATTTTTCTTGGTATGTATTTAAATAATATTATTTTAAAAATGATGAGACCTAAACTTATACCACTGTTCTTCAAGGAGAGAGATTAAAACTCATATTCCAACTATGTTTGAGGAGACTGACATATTTTATGTTTCTTAATTATCTTTAAAGTTCCCAATTGCATTACTGTTGAAAAGACTCAATTTACTATGTGCCAATGAAAGAATAAAAGAACCTCCCAGACAACTGCTATTTCAGATGAGAAAGTATTTCATTCCTTTGTACTGTCAGAATATAAAACTTTCATGTGAAGGACGTTTTCAACCTTCTTTTGTTCTACTCAAAGTCATGGCATTGTTTAGGTCAAGACTGACATTCAACACAAGTATAAAATATTAATTTAATAAAATTGTCCAGTATATAGATTTTCTGTTATTTATTAATTGGTAATGCCTTATATCTTTGTCTCTCAAAAATATTTTATGATATATGAAAGCAGTTTCAAAATGAGCTTGACAAAATTGATCAATCTTTTGAGGTTTTTACTAGCCTACTGAGATTATTTAACCCTTCTCCAAATTTCCTGTTCTTTCATCAAAGGGTCACTTCATTGAAAATCTTATTTTGTACCCTCTATGACCCTTTTCACTATGTGCCTTTTGAAACTACTAGGGAGAGTTTGATGAATCAATAATAGCCTGTAGGAATGGCTGCTGAATTGTTTGTTCATCTGAAATGGCTCAGTAGCAGAAAGCTTATCCCCTTCTAAATTTACATTTGGGCAGTTTGCAATCTGAAAATTACATTAACTATAAACCTATTTGCATATTTCATTGTGCAATTTTTTACAGCTGGTTTTGTTATAATTTCTTTTATCTTTTTTGGATGGTGATACAGAGACATGTTTTAATCATAAGTCTAGGTTCATGGCACATCATCATTATTAGTTCTCATTTCATTTTATTTCTACTAATTATCCTTTTCATCAATGGTCACTAGTTCCATTCTTTTCCGACCCCCTCTCTCAGCAGGGACTCACACTATTTTGTTTAAGATATGTCCATTTGTATGTTCTATCCTTGTTAAGTATTGTTTTGAATCTTTAAAAAATTAAGTAAATGGTATTATAGTATAAATTATAGTTATCTTTCTATTTCTTACACTTTTTTAAACCCCCAAAATATATTAACATTTATCCATGATTTTGAATGCATACCTAATTCATTGCTTCCAACTGTTGCATAGTATTTCATAGTATGTGTCCACCATATTTAATTTTCTGTTCTCCCAGTAATGGACAGCCAGTTTGCTTCATGTCTACATTAACCATGCTATGACTGAGGCTCCAATGTTGGAGTCAGGGTAGGCGAGAACTGTGAGTAGAAGTACCCAGGAGCTACATGATCAGCCAGCGCCTGTTTTCATGTCCTTCATAGCAATATGGGTTTGAATGCCTCTCTGTTTTGCTTATACCATCCATGGTGCTGACTAGAGCTGCTTTTTTGTATTTTACAGTGAGGAAGGGGCCAACAATGTTCTCCTCAGGGATTCTTTTTTTGCTGTTGCTGTTGTCATCATTAATTTTTCAGAGTGAGAAATTTTATCTCACTTCTATGTCACATCAGGTGTTGGATTTCAATAAAGGTGGCTAGCAACCTGTGTTAAGTCTTTGTGTTTTCAGGAACCGAGAATCTAGAATTACTTTTAGAAAACAAATTCTTGTTTATAATATGAAGATGAGCTTAGGTATTTGAGAAATACAGACATGAAAATATGCTTTCATTGGGCACATCTGACATGCAGAATGTTGAAATGATATCTACTCTAAATAAACATCAGGGTTATTAACTGCATTGAAAGAACCACAAATCTCACAAGGCAGAATTAATGGCTATACAAATGACCACAGATTTATTTGAAGTGATAAGAAAAAAAAGACTCTGGAAAAGATTTCTTAAAATTATTGTAGTAATATATTTTCTGGTCATGTTCTCACCTTCCAAGCAAATTTTGATCTTTGTGATCTCTTTTTTCTCTTTGATCTCATTCTTTGAAATAACTCCGTTCCCTTGGTGGGATGAGCAAGACTTGACATACAAATACTTACCTTTCTCTGCCTGGTGAACTCTGACAAGAACATTCAAATACTACCTAGAATCTTCCACTCTAAAACTAAGAATAAATAAATAAATAAATAAATAAATAAATAAATAAAAACAGAAAAAGAAACCTCCAATAAACAATAAAATGCCTTCCTTGATCCTGAATCTCACCCAGGTGCTGTTTTATATCCTTCACAGTCAAATTTCTTTCAAGAGACTTCCCCCCTTCACACTGCAACCTGCCCTTAACACCCCACTGAAACAAATGTTATCCTAAAGGGCACAATTAAACACTTTCATTTTCAGCTCCACATTTTCTATTGGCAGCAAATGACACGTAAACTACTTCCTCCACCTTGAAACTCTCTATTACATGGTCTTGCTCAGGTTTAACTCCTAACTCTCTAAGATATTCTACTGTCTCCTTTGTCTCCTAACACATCCAACCCTGAAATGTTCTTCATCCCTCTGCCCATGGCAGCCTTATCTTGTCACTCTATTTTCCCCTCCTAAGTAATTACATGACTTCATGTACCATATATCTATTTGCAGGGATTTAAAAATCTATATCTTCACTACAGATATCATTCCTAACTCCAAATATCCAACTATTAATTAGCTCTTACCTTGAGTAGCTCAGAGCTCATACTAAGCTTGGACTAGCTCCTTCCCATCCCCATTTTCTCTTCCCCTCCCCTACCCCATTAGTCCTCTTCCTGTTCCTGCAGTTCTCCATGTACAACCATCTATGCAGTCATGCAATCTATAAATGGACAAAGTATCCTTTACATTGCTCTTTCCTTTTTCAATCCTGATATATAATCAATCACCAAATCTTATCAGTTATATTTCAAAAATATGTTTACAATTTATCCATGTACCCACACTCCCATCCTGGTGCTTTGTCAACTCATTCTGCACACAGCAGCCAGAGTGAACTTAATAAACCCTAAATCAAATTTTTAAATGCCTTCAAATGGTACTCATAGTCCATAGGATGCCATTAAACTCCTCATGGATTAGGCCTGCCTATTACACTAATAATTCTGCTTTTTACTCTCTGTTGTCATCACGTTTAATATCTTTCCGTTCATGTGCTCATCCATCTGTCTGCCTGCATTATGATTTTCCCTGTGCCTGAAATGCTCTTCCTACATCACATTCCCCCGCCTCACCAGAATAACTCTTACTCACCCTTTAACACTTGGCTTAAACCTTACCTCCCCAGGTTAGATGAGGATTCCTTTTTGAGGAGCTTACATAGAACCATGTACTTTTCTTTTCATAATGTTATTTAATCTTGTAATTTTTTTTATTAATGCTACATTCTACAAACTATCCTTCAAGTATGCAAAACCCACAACTCTCTTATTCCCTTGGCATGGTGCCTGGGATCATAGGCACTCTAAAATATTTTATGAATGAAAGAATGAATACTTGAAGGAAGAAATTCATCCTTTGGGATTCCCTCATGCACTTGAGAAAGGCTTTCCCAAACTTTTCACTTTGGCTAAGGGCCCCTTTCCTTTATATTCCTAGCACTGTATCCATGTTTCTATGATAAATTTTACTAAGTTAAATTAAAAATATCTGCTTCAGGGTTTGCCACTACTGAACTCTGTCTCAGAACTTGGAACTGAAATTTGGCTGAAATTCCAGCTCTGCGACCAAATAACTAATCTTTAATAAACTATACCTCAGTTCCCCCCCTATAAAAAAGATATTAAGTTTTACAATGTGATTTATTGTTAGGATTAAAGGACAGCACACATAGTAAGTGTTCAATAAATGTTGTTTCTTATTATCGCTGTGTGTATGTACTGTTTTGTATATTCTATATTGTTTTTCTGTAAATGATAAGACAAATTGCCTAAGGCAGTAGAGAAGGACAAAGAGAAATGAAATTACAGCTTAAATTAATCCATCTTTTTTTATATAAAATATGTATTTGAGTACCTATTTCTAAATTCAATTCAGTTCGTCTTCCACACTTCAACCAGAATTATACTGTAAAACTGCAAGCTCTCTTTTGCTGCTTCTCTAATCAATTTTTTTCAATGATTTCTTATCACTTATATAAAAAATTACAAAAGCTTCAGCATGGAATGAGATGGTCCATGCTAACCTTTCCTATATTACCACCTCAAATTTTTTGTTCCATCTTGTCACTTTCTTTTGCTTCAGCTATATTTGTCTCCGACTAAAAAAGAAAAAAAAAAGAAAGAAAAAGAAAATGATGGCCAGTATTCTTCTCTGAAGCACCTGATCTTCACATAATCACACTATGTTTTCAATTTTTGTTTTACTTTTTTCCTATTCTCTACTCACTCCAAAAAAATTATATTACCTCTCTTTTAAATTCTCATGGCATCTTGCATAAGCCCATAGCATCTTGTCACATTTTATTATAATCACTTACGAGCTTATTTCTCTACTGGTTGTGAGCTCCTTGAGGGCAGGGACTTTGTAGACCATAGCAGTTAAAATGCAGGTCTTGCATTTAAATCCTGACTTCATCTCTTCCAAACTGTGTGTTCTTGCGTCAGTTTTTTTTGCTCCCCACTAGAAAATGGAGATAATGTTAGTATTTACCTAACGATTAAATAAGTGCCTAAGAGATAAAAAAGAGCTCAGTGGATGCTAGCTTTTATTAATAGTAATTGTTATGGGTATCTATGGTCGTACAATAAATTATCCTAAAATCTTGTGGCTTACACGAACAACCATTTTACTATGTTTCACAATTTTGTAGGTCAGAAATCCAAGCTGAGTTTTTCTGGACAATTTCCTATTCCTTGTACCGCTGACTGGGAGCAGCTGGAAGATTCAAGACAGAGTCATTCACATCTGATATGTGATCATTCTGCAAAGCCTGATCTCAGCTAAATGGCTGATCAAAGTGCCTACACATGGTCTCTTCATCAGATAGTTTCAGATAAGTCAAACTTCTTACATGGTGGCTCACTTCCCCTAGGGCAAGACTTTCAAGAAAACCAGGCAGAAGACGCATAACTGTATTTGTTTACTTTCTGTTGTTTATAACAGTTCCTGAAATTGCATAATTTATGAAGAAAATAAATGTATTTCTTATAGTTATGGAGTCTGAGAAGTCCAAGGCCCAGGCTGCATCTGGTAAGAGTCTTGTTGCTGGTGAAGTCTCTGTGCAGGGTCACCAGGCAGTGCAGGGTATCACATGGCATGGGGTCTGAGCATGCTAACCTGCTCAGGTCACTCTTGCTTTCTTTTTTTTTTTTTTTTTTTGGGATGAAGTCTTGCTCTGTCGCCCAGGCTGGAGTGCAGTGGGCCCAATCTCAGCTCACTGCAACCTCTGCCTCCCGAGTTGGAGCCATTCTCCTGCCTCAGCCTCCCAAGTAGTTGGGATTACAGGCACCCGCCACCACACCCAGCTAATTTTTGTATTTTTAGTAGAGATGAGGTTTCACCATGTTGGCCAGGCTGGTCTGGAACTCCTGACCCCTCGGGTGATCCACCCACTATGGCTTCCCAAAGTGCTGGGATTACAGGCATGAGCCACCACACCTGGCCTCTTGCTTTTCTTTTAAAGCTGCCAGTCCCACTCCCGTAATAATCATCAATCCATTAACACATTTATCCATTAATTCATGAATGGATTCAAGACTCTCATGACCCAATAACCTCTTAAAGGTCTTACCTTTCATTACTGCTGCATTGGAGATTTAATTTCAATGAATTTTGGAGGGAACATTCAAACCATAGCAAGGATATTTTCTGACCGGGCCTCAAAAAACCTGGATTTTTGGCTTCTTAATGATAGCCATTCTGACCAGTATGAAATGGTATCTCACTGTGGTTTTGATCTGCATTTCTCTGAATAGTGATGATGGGATGATGGTGATGAGCATTTCTTTATGTTTGTTGGTTTCTTACATGTTTTCTTTTGAAAAGTGTCTGTTCATGTCCTTTGTCCATTTTTAGTGGGGTTAAATATTTTCTGTTTGTTGATGTAAGTTCCTTATAGATTGCGGATATTAGACCTTTGTCAGATGCATAGCTTGCAAATATTTTCTCCCATCCTGTAGGCTGTCTGTTTACTCTACTGATAGTTCCTTTTGCTATATAGAAGCTCTTTAGTTTAGTTAGATCTCATTTGTCAATTTTTGTTTTTGTTGCAACTGCTTTTGGGGAACTAGTCAAAAACTATTTGCTGAGGCCAATATCAAGAGAGGTATTTCCTAGGTTTTCTTCTAAGATTTTTATAGTTTGAGGTCTTATATTAAAATCTTTAATGATGCTGGTGAGGCTGAAGAGAAAAGGGAACACTTATATACTGTTGGTGGGAATGTAAATTTGTTCAGCCACTCTGGAAAGCAGGTTGGAAAGTTCTCAAAGAACTTATAACAAAGCTACCATTTGACCCAGCAATCCATAACTGGGTATATACCCAAAGGTAAATATTATACCAGAAAGACACACAGACTCATGTGTTCATCACCACACTATCCACAATAGCAAAGACATGGAATTGACCTAGGCACTCATCAATGGTGGATTGGATAAAGAAAATGTGGTATATATACACCATTGAATACTACACAGCCATAAAAAATAATAAAATCAAGTCCTTTGAAGCAACATGGGTAGATCTGGAGGCCAGCATCCTAAGCAAATTAACACAGGAACAAAAAACCAAATACTACATGTTCTCATTTATAAGTGGGAGATAATCACTGAGCACACATGAACATAAACATGGGAACAATAGGCACTGTGGACCACTAGAGGGTTGGGGGAGGGAGCAGGGTGTGGATTTAAAAACTACCTATTCGGTACTATGCTCATAACACAACCTGCACATGTACCTATATCTAAAATAAAAGTGAAATTAAAAAAAAACTTGCATTTTCATTTCTGCTACATTCAATTTGTTAGAAGCAAATTCTAAGGCTAGACCAATGAACAGGAAGGAAGGGAATTCTCGAGGAAGCCCTGGCCTGGTCATATCATAAAAGAGCATGTAGAATAGACAATACTCTTGTCATTTTCGGAACACACAGTCTCCACTACAGTGTTATCAGTGTTTAGCAGAGTGTCAGGCAATCAATCACTATTTGGAGAATGGGTGAATGAGAGATTGTGGGGGAAGAAAATGAAAGTAGATCACAATCCTTGTTTTTTAGGATATTTTAACCATGCCCTTGATAGCTGCTGAGAATCAAAGGCAATCACAGTTTGGGTCTGTGTGAAACTAAAGAAACAGGCTCTACTTTTCCTTATTTTTTTTCTCCTCTAAAATAAATCTTGAAATTGGAAATGAAACGGAGTTTGCCCCTGAAAACTTACACCCAGTGTTCACCACACACACACAGACAAACACACCCTCCATGTTTTAAAATTTAATTAAGTTTTGTATCAGTTATCTTACTATTTTAACACAAAAAGATATAGTTTTCTTTTATACAGAAAATTATAGAAAGTTTTATGAAAAAGCATTTACTATTTAATTATGTCTTTATAAATACAAACTATAATTTTTAAGATAATAGTCAGTTAAAATGGTATCACAAAATGTTTCACAAGTCCAAAATTATTTTTTTAAATGAATGAAAACAAAAAAATCAATTGATATAAAAGTCTCTAATCAAATTGTTGATGTTAAATTGCTGATGTTAAAAAGAATCTTTAGAACAGGAAGTCTTGTGTCCAGTCATGGAATTCCCCTGCCCATGTGCCCAGGTGAGATTTAGCCTTTACTTCCTGATGGGCATAAAACTAATAATTACCCTACCAAATAGAATATCATATTTTCCAAATTCATAGTTATTATACAAAATATTATTGAATCTAGTATTTAAATGTTTTAAAATAACAACTACCAAAATGGGGAATACTTATTTAAAGATACATAGTACATAATAAAAAGATATGTCCAAGTAATGGCAAAACAGTCTGAAATCTAACAAGACAGAAATGATTATTTCCCCAATTGAGTATGGTGTCTCATGACCAGTGAAAACAGGCCCCAGTTATATTATTCACATATGTTGGTTAGTTACATCTTCTTTAAATTTTGGAATGTCTTGCTGAGCAGTGGATAAGCCAAAATTCTAAATTCAAGATTTTCCTTTCTCCTGGACCCCAGCCCAGCTCACTGAAGTGGAGAGTTGCACTTATTTCTGTTCAATAGCACCAAAGGGACTGAGAGGAGGAATATGCATTGATTGGCTGCTGTGATTTGGAAGAAACCAAAGGACACAGCAAATGATGCATCTGTAACATCTACTCAAGAAAATGCAGAGGGCAGTAAACCAGTTCAGCTGTTTATTCTCTGCATTTTGTGGGGTCTTTTTTTTTTTTGACGGAGTTTCACTGTTGTTGCCCAGGCTGGAGTGCAATGGCGCGATCTCAGCTCACTGCATCCTCCACCTCCTGGGTTGAAACAATTCCCCTGCCTCAACCTCCCGAGTAGCTAGGATTACAGGTGCCCACCACCACGTCTGGCTAATGGTTTTGTATTTTTAGTAGAGACGGGCCAGGCTGGTCTCGAACTCCTGACCTCAGGTAATCCGCCCACCTTGGCCTCCCAAAGTGCTGGGATTACAGGCGTGAGCCACCACGCCCGTACCGCATTTGTTATTTACACTAAATATTGGTGAAAATGTACGTTTGATCTTTCTACTGATTGTATCTAATTGTGCTTAAATATAAATGAGTCAAACAATTCCTGAATGACATATATTCAAACAATAAACATGGGTATAAGTAGTTCCTAAGTAAAATGTGCTGAAACATTACTGAGTCCTGGAATTTAAGTGGACATAACCTTTCCATAGAGATTCTAAAACATCTCAACCAGATGCTTGTTTACTAGAAGTGTTGGCTATTCAATACATGTTGGAGAAATCCTGTTTCTACTCATTTGTCATTGAACTTTCAACAAGAGTTAACATAGTATCCCTGTTCTCCCTCATGCCTTGGAACAAATACCAAACACCCTGTGTTCATTGGACAACTCTTCATTAAATCTGAAGAACAATTGGCATTGGTTTGGCCTCAAAAAAATCTGTGTTCTTCTATTTTTTTTTCTTAGTTGTTTACTTCTATAAAAGTCTTGGGTTTACCTTTAAGACATAAAGGACTATTAATTAATCCATTAATGTACTAGTTTGACCACAAATTCAAACATTACTGAACTCCTTATACTCTGAGTGTATAATTATTAATAAAAACAAAGAAAGTCATTACATTTTATTTACTCACATTGAGGAGACAGATACTTACATGCAATTATATTGTTCTGTATATGATAAATACACATCATGCACATAGGAGCATATACATTATGCCATAGAAGCCTGGGGGAGAGGAACACCCATTTTTTTCTCCTAGAGGGTTATAGAAATCTTCTTGGAGAAGGTAATAATTTAAGGGAAAGAAGTCTTAAGATATACAGGAAGAATAAGGATTTATTTTACTCTTGTAGTTAACCCTTGAACAATGTGAGAAGTTGGGGTGCCGACCCCCAAGCAGTAAAAAAAATCTGTGTATAACTTTTGACTTCCCCAAAACTTAACTACCTACTAATTGCCTACTGTTGACCAGAAGCCTTACCTGTAACCTAAGTCGTGAACTAACACATATTTTGTATGTTATATGTATTATATACTGTATTCTTATGATAAACTAGAGAAAAGTAGTAAACTAGAGAAAAGAAAATATTATTAAGAAAATCATAAGGAAGAAAGAATATATTTACTATGGAAGTGGATCATCATGAAGGTCTTCTTCCTCATGGTCTTCACGTTGAGTAGGCTGAGGGGAAGGGAGGAGAGGAGACATTAGTCTTGTGGTCTCAGTGGTAGCAGAGGTGGAAGAAAATCTGCATGTAAGTGGACCAAAACAGTTCAAAGCCATGTTATTCAAGGGGCAACAGTATTATGTTTGATTTTACTTTTAGTCAACCAATATACATTACTGGCTGACTAAATAATAGAGACTATTCTAAATAGAGACTATTTTTAATAGAGACAAAATAGAGTCTATTTCTCCATCATTCTCACTTAAAGACTTAACATTAGAATACACATTCTCAACCTCTTTAACACCACCATTGGGAGATAAGTGTAAACAACTGAAATACTAGGTATTACATACTGGGTGTATTAGTCCGTTTTCATGCTGCTCATAAAGACAGACTGGGCAATTTACAAAAGAAAGAGGTTTAATGGACTCACAATTCCATGTGACTGGAGAGGCCTCACAATCATGGTGGAAGATGAAAGGCACATCTCACATGGTGTGGTGGCAGTCAAGAGAAGACAGCTTGTGCAGGGAAACTCCCCTTTATAAAACCATCACATCTCATAAGACTTATTCACTATCATGAGAATGGCACAGGAAAGACCCGCCCCCATGATTCAATGACCTCCTACTGGGTCCCTCCCACAACATGTGGGAATTGTGGGAGTTACAATTCAAGATGAGATGTGGGTGGGCACACAGCCAAACTATATCACTGGGTTGGTCTATTAGACAGCATAATTTGGTTTCTTGATATTTTAGAAATTAATTACTTGCAGTTGAGACAAAGGTGAAAATAAAGGGGGAAGACTTTTTAAAAATCACCATTCAACTCATTGGTTCTACAGTGACAGAACAGGAAATGAGGTCATTCAATGAAATTTATTTTATTGGCAAAACTTCCTTAAAGGCATTTCCTTAGGTGGCTCTTCCTTCAACAAAACAGTCCCCAAAGCATTTTCTATTAAGATATTATTCCTGTGATATTAGTTGTTATGAAATATTTTATATTCACTTTTTCAGTTATTCATTTGACAATTATTTATTATGTGCTAACTATGGATCAGGCACCATCTTACCCCAAGTACTTGGTATACAGGCATGGGTGTACTGGGAAATGTTTGACAGTGCCTGGGGGTCACTTACTGTTTTCTCTGGTGTATATGCTTCTGTAATGGCTGATTTCAAGCCACCAATAGGATATGAGGTGAGTGCTCAGAGAGCACTGAATGAATTGACTTTTGAATGTATGACGGCCAGAAACTTTGTCTGCTTCCCACCATCTCCTCAACACCAAGTTAATAATAGGTGCTTAATAAATAATTGTTGATTGAATAACTATATACTTGAATAAATAGAAAGAAAGAAAAACTGGAAACTTTGGGCCGGGCGCGGTGGCTCACTCCTGTAATCCCAGCACTTTGGGAGGCCGAGGCGGGCGGATCACGAGGTCAGGAGATCGAGACCATCCTGGCTAACACGGTGAAACCCTGTCTCTACCAAAAATACAAAAAATTAGCCAGGCGCGGTGGCGGGCGCCTGTAGTCCCAGCTACTCGGAGGCTGAGGCAGGAGAATGGCGTGAACCCGGGAGGCAGAGCTTGCAGTGAGCCGAGATCCCGCCACTGCACTCCAGCCTGGGTGAAAGAGCGACACTCTGTCTCAAAAAAAAAAAAAAACACCAAAACTGGAAACTTTGGATTTGTGGTTTTAGGACAGCCTTGGACAAAAAAATTTCTTAAAGATAATGGAATATTAACTTCTTTGGTTTTGTTCTGGTTTATTAGCAAATGTTAATTGTGTTTAGAATGTTTTGAAAACATAAAATTGATATAGACACTGTATCAATTTTGCATAGCTTCTGTAACAAGTTACCACAGATGAAGTGGTTAAAACTATAATCTTACAGTTCTCTAGTTCTGAAGTGCAGAATGGGACTCACTGGGCCAAAATAAAGGTGTTATCAGGGCTGCACTCTTTCTAGATATCTAGGGGGAACTTCTGTTTTCTTGCCTTTCCCAGATTCCAGAGGCTGCTTGTGTTCCTTGGTTTGTGGTCCCTTTTCCGTCTTTACAACCAGCAATGGTCAGTTGAGTCCCTCTCACACCACTCTAATACTCTTCTGCCGCCGTCTTCTACATTTAAGGACTCTTGTGATTAAACTGGGACTGCCCAAATAATCCAGGACAAACTAGGCCTCTCAAGGTCAGCCGATGAAAAACCCTAATTCTATCTGCCACCTAAATTCCCATTGGCCCTGTAACCTGACATATTCACAGGTCCAGGGCATTAAGGTGTGGTCGTCCTGTGGGACCATTACTTTTCCTATCATAGACACCAAAAACTGGGATTGAAATTACTATTGTATAGTTATCTAAGGTTAAATTTAATAATAGGACATTGTCATCATTGACTCATTAATCTCATTTGAAACATTTACAAAGTTTGAGGGGCTTGATTCACATGGAGTTGGGTTGCAGTCCCAGATCTGCCTCCTCTACTTTTATAACCTTGGGCAAAGAGCTAGATGATTGATCCCAGTGTCATTCCGGGGCTGCAAAATGGTAACATGTGTTGCACAAGTTTTGTGAGGAGTAGAGAAATATGTGGAGAGGCAATAGACAATTTATAAGCCTACTAAAATTATCAATTTATTCTCACCATTTTGGGAAAATAGAAAGAATGGAAGAACAACTAAACAACCTGGTTCTTGCTTCTCTTGCTCCAGTAGTAATTAAGAACAACTTTAAATTTCTATCTAACATGTTAGAGAATCACATAGGACTGCTAAGGAAGAGGAGAAAATGGGAATAGGCATCTGAGAAGATGATGAAGGTGGCCAGACCCTGAGCCTCGAAGGACACAGGTATTATGGGATCAGTAAAGGGGCTGTGTTTCCTATTTATACCATCATGCTAGGGCCAGGTATGACTTCAAAGAGTGAAGGCTGCTCATGTGCCCAGGGAGGTCAGGATTCTTGATAAAGATTCTGGCTGGGAGCGGTGGCTCAGGCCTGTAATCCCAGAACTTTGGGAGGCCGAGGTGGCTGGATCATGAGATCAGGAGTTCAAGACCAGACTGGCCAAGATGGTGAAACCCCGTCTCTACTAAAAAAAATACAAAAAATTAGCCGGGCATGGTGGCGGCCACCTGTAATTCCAGCTACTCAGGAGGCTGAGGCAGAGAATTGCTTGAACCTGGGAGGTGGAGGTTGCAGTGAGCCGAGATCATGTCACTGCGCTCCAGCTTGGGCAACAGGGCATGACTCCATCTCAAAAAAAAAAAAAAAAAAGATTCCCGTGTTCATTCATACCTGGCATAGAAGTAAAGCACACAAATGTGCTGAAAGGACCATGAAGACCTTGGTGAGAAGTGGCAGAGTGGTTCTCACAGACCTTAGGATTCTTGAATTGTGGCAGGACGGGAGGTGAATAGGACAATTTTGATTTTGAAAAATAAGAGTATTTGATATTTTTAGTTATAAAGTCTGAAATATAAGAAAGTTTAAAAAGCAGCTATTAATTAACTTTCAGTCTGTGTGATATAATTTGATTCTTTCCAAATACTATGCCTGATGAACACAAGTAATATAAGGCTTCTCATTCATTTGTGTATCTTTGCTTTAATGTTCTTAATAAATAAGGTTTCTTAAAAATGAAATGGCAACAGATTTCTGATTTTCACTCTTCATAAAAATCATATAGTAATATCCTCTTCTTATTTGAAATCTTGACTACTCTTCCTGACATTTGCTAGTTCTAGTGTACTCTTTGCTACTTGTTATAAAATGTAAAAACAACATTTCTGAAAGGCCCACTCAATGTGATAAAGAATCTATTTGAATGGCTCAAAAGACACTTATTCTATTTAACCAATGTCTGTATGCATTTTGATATTATTTTACTTTAATTTTAAAAATGTACATTATTTATCCAACCAGTTGGAACTGTTCTGGTTTGCATTCATTTATGAATGCTTTTAAAATTCCAAATGGCTCATAAGCATATTTGAAACTACTGGAGTTGATGCTCTAAGTGAATGTTAAGACTCATAACCCAAATGAAAAGCTGTTATTGTACAACACTCAAGTCCATTTTCTAGGGCATAATATCTCAGCAGTTTTTAACACTTCTATTCAAAATACCAAGAAGAATTGGACAATATGATGGCAATCCCTTTGCAAACTTCAGCTGTTAAAAATCATTCTGAAAATATCCTCCTGGAAAATATCAACCACACTTACAAACATTTATTAGTATTACCATAAATTAATGTTGACTGTGGCAATAAAAGTGCCATAAGAATTGTAATAGCCAGGAAAATCTTCTAAACAATTTAAAATAACCCTCTGTATACAGCTAGATGATTCTATAAAAGCAGAGAAAGTATAAATCTCTTTTATGATTCGAGAAAGACCGTCATATGGTTAATATGGTCCATGTGGTTTACCACCGCAGCTTTTGGAGCATCATATCCTTCACTGCTTTTGTTCTACACAGTAAATATCCCATTCATTAATATGTATGTATATTCTGTGAAACAGCTTAAAACATTGGTACTATAGTGCACTATCTTCTGGCTGGGATGTATATTTCTACTAATTCATAAATATCAGTTACAGAAACTTGTACAGAATCTTTACTCTGTTTGAATACTCTGTAGAGAGCTAGAAAGTGCCAGAGAGTGGCTCTAAATCACTGATTCTCAAACAGCGTGCAATTTATCCCACTCTTGCAATCCTCCTGGGATATTTGGCAATGCCCAGAGATAATTTTGGTTGTCAAAACTAGATTGGGGGTGCCACTGGGGTTGAATGGATAGAAAGGAGCAATGCTGCTAGCATCTTACAATGCACAAGACGCCCTCACAGAAAAGAATTATCTGCCAAGGACATGTGGATAGTGCCAAGATTGAGAAATCTTGTTATAAATTAAACAACAATAGCAAAACATATATATATATATGTTTTGCTATAACTAATATATATAACTATATATATATATACTATAGTTATATATAGTTAGTTACATATATTTATTTTTACCCAAAAACTAACTAAATATATATATAACTATATATATAGTTATACATATATAGTTAGTTAGCTATTTTTACCCAAAAACTAACTCTCTCTATGTATAATATATGCATATATAGTTATATATAGAGAGAGAGAGTTAGTTTTTGGGTTAAGAAACTATATATAACCAACTATATATAACTATATATAACTATAGTACAAAATATATATAACTATAGTATAAAAACTAACTAAATATATATGTATTTAGTGAGTTTTGGGTAAAAATAACTATATATAACTAACCATATATATATATAACTAACTATATATATAACTGACTATATATATAACTATATATATAACTATGTATATATAACTAACTATATGTATATAAAACTATAGTTATATAACTATAAATATATAGTTATTTTTTTATAACTAGTTATATAGTTAGTTATAACTATATAACTATAGTTAGTTATATATAGTTATATATACATATTATAGTTAGTTATATATATATAGTTTTATATATATATAGTCAGTTATATATATATATAGTTAGTTTTTGGGTAAAAATAGCTGGTTGGCTAGTAACTCTTATTTACAGGATGTCCCCTTTGGCAAATGGAAACATTGAAAAATAAGTAGCTTCTTTCTTTGAAAATGTGGCACATATGTACCATGGAATACTGTGCAGCCATTAAAAAGGATGAGTTCACGTCCTTTGCAGGGACATGAATGAAGCTGGAAACCATCATTCTTAGCAAACTAACACAGGAACAGAAAACCAAACACCACATGTTCTCACTCATAAGTGGGAGGTGGACAATGAGAACACATGGACACAGGGAGGGGAACATCACACACCGGGGCTTGTTGGGGGTGGGGGGCTAGGGGAGGGATAGCATTAGGAGAAATACCTAATGCAGATGACAGGTTGATGGGTGCAGCAAACCAGCATGGCACATGTATACCTCTCTAACAAACCTGCATGTTCTGTACATGTATCCCAGAACTTAAAGTATAATAAAAAATTAAAGTCTATAAATATGACAAAAATGAAAATATTAAAGTTTCAATAAGACAGCTGGTCTAAAATTTGGTTTTCTTATTATTTCTAAAATTTAGCCTATAAATGTAAGCAAAACACAAATCCAAGAAATACAAAGCAAAGTATAAACAACTTTGTACACAATAGGTTCTCAATAAACATTTATCTAGTACAAATGTATTCAACGTCCACTGTGTTCTTAGCAGAATCAAAGTCAAATAAATAGGTCCCTGAGATTGAGGAATTCATATTCTACCACGAGGAGGCTGACAGCTAAACAAATGTATACAATTAGAGGAGAGAAAAGGCTGAGAAAGGAAGGTAGGGCCAGAAGGCAAATAGCATTATGTGACACAGAGGTTTGAATTTTATTTTATAGACAACAGCATTAAGAACTATCTGGTAGAAGTGGGAAGAATGGCCTGGAGTGATACCTACCAATAGGATTTTAAAATCCAGGAAAGAGGTGTTAAGGACCTTAATTAAGAGAGCAGCATAATTATGGAGAAGAGTAGGCAGGTATAAAAGCTACAAATGAGATTAAATTGAGTGAGTTTGGTGACTGATTAGCTAGGAGTGGGACTGGGAGATGGCATGAGAGAGAACAGACATGTAGATGACCCCCACGTATCAAGATGATTGCTATGATTTGAATATATCCCCTCCAAAATTCAGTTTTTGAAACTTAATGGCCAACGTGATGGTATTAAGAGGTACAGACTTTAAAAGGTGATTAGGTCACAAGGGATCCTCCTCTTGTGAATGGGATTAAGGCCTTTATAAAGGAGGCTTCATGAAGCATTTGGCTCTCTTGCCCTGTTGCATTTTTTTCATGTGAGACACAGCATCCCTGCCATATGTAGGGTGCATTAACAAGGCACTGTCTTGGAAGCACAGAACAGCCCTTACCAGACAACTTAACCTGCTAGTGCACTGCTCTAGATCTTCCTAGACTCAAGAACTTCAAGAAATAAATTTCTATTGCGTATAAACTACCCCGTCTCAGATATTTTGTTGTGGCAGTGCAAAACAGACTAAGACAGTGGGTTAGATAAGTAGTTATTTACCAAGATAGAAAATCAAAGGAAAAGTGAATTATGAAATAATCTTCTGAGTTCACTGTGGCAATCTAAGTTTGAAATGCCTTTATGATATCCTGGTGGTGTATCAAGTAGAAAACTGTATATGTGGGTCTGGAATTAATAGAAGAGAGTTGGACTATGATAAGAGACAATTCTGCAGGGATCTGTAACATCTTGGTATGTCTTTCAGGCAGAAATGTTGACAGATTTTGGTTCTGTACCATCTTTTCAAGGATGGTTATATAGGGATGTTCAAGGCTTGAAGATAGTGATAGTGGCTCACTCTGAAAGACAGAGCAGGTTTGTTTGCTTTAAAGTATAATACAGATAGTATGTCAGAGGAGGATTGTGGGAATATGATGAAGTAGGAATCACCAGGACTTTGTCTCCCCATCTAGATAACAATTGGACTGGAAGAATCTGTCTGATGTAAGTATTTTGGGACTCTGGAGCCTATTGAAGGCTTGAAACTTCCAGGGAAAAGTTTGGAGAATACTTTCAGTTAATTATGGTCAATTTCAGCTTCAACACAGAGCAGCTACCTATCTCCTACCCTCAGCCTTTTGGCAGTCAGCTGTGCACATGTTCCTGGAGCAGCTTGCACACAGATTGTGGGGGCCGGGGTGGGCAAAAAGGACCCTGTCATCCAAATATCAGGAATCTATGCTGTAATTGCTTATTTCTCCTTCTGATCACAGAGGTGCAGGGAAAAAGTTGAGTAAACATTGTTGTTGCACCTTTCTCTATTGGTGTAAACTCTTCCTCTTTGAGCTTTCTTTCCAAAGAAATTAAAGGGCTACCAGCACTAATTCTTTTCCCCACCCTCATTTTTTTCTTTTTTTCCTTTTATGGAGCCACACATTAAGGACTAGGAAATTCAAAAGCAACTACATATGTGGGGAAAAATAGAAAGTGACTGTACAAGCGCAGGGAAAGCTGAAACTCAAAAAAGGCCTGATAAGCCCTTAAATTTACACTTCAGTCTGATATTTGGCACAGAGACAGCCTGCAACAATCACAAAACAAGCAAGGTAGCAGAAAACAGCAAAGCCTGTGGAAGGGGAGAATCTGATATCCAGAGTTACCATATTATTAGATTCAAATGCCCAGGTTTCCACAACAAAGAAATCACAAGGTGTGCAAAGAAATAGGAAAGTATGGTCAATTCAAAGGGGGAAAAAAACCAACAGAAACTGTCTCTGAAAAATAACTAATGGCACATCTGCTAGACAAAGACCTTAAAACAACTATCTTAAAGATGCTCAAAGAACTAAAGAAAGGTGTGAAGAAAGTCAGGAAAATGATTTATGAACAAAATATTAATAAAATATTTATAAAATATAAAAAGAAACCAAAAAGAAATTCTGGAGCTGAAAAATACAATAATTGAAGTGAAAACTCTCCAGAGAGATTCAAAGGCAGATTTGATTTGGAAGAAAGAATCAGCAATAAACCAATTGGATCTAACAGATATATATGGAACACTCTACCCTACAACAATAGCATATACATTCTTCTCCAGTGCACATAGGACATTTTCTAGCGTAGACTATATATTAAGTCACAAAATATTTAAAAAATGAATGATAGATATCAAGCAAATTTTTTTTAACTACAATGGAATGAAGTTAGAAACCAATAAAATAAGTAAAGCTGGAAAACTCACAAATTTGTAGAAATTAAGCAACACACTCTTAAACAGCCAATGGAACATAGAAGAAATTCTAAGGAACAGAAAATACTTAGAGATGAATAAAAATGAAAACACAGCACATCAAAACTTATAGGACACAAAGAAAGTAGTGTAAAGAGAGAAATTTATATGTATAGTGCTTACATTAAAAAATAAGAAAGATCTCAAGTTAGCAATCTCACTTTACAACCTAAGAAACTAGAAAAATAAGAACAAATGAAACCCAAAGCTAGTAGAAAGAAGAAAATAATAAAGAACAGAGCAGAGAGAAATGAAATAGATAATAGAAAAACAATATAGAAAGTCAATAAAACCAAAAGGTTGTTCTCTGGAAAAAATCAACAAAATTGAGCAGCCTCTAGCTAAATGGACTAAGAAAGAAAGAGAGAAGACTCAAATTATTAAAATCAGTAATGAAAGCAGATACATTACTATCAATTCTATAAAAAAGGAATTATAATAGATTACTAAGAACAATTATACACCAACAAATAAGATAAGCTAGATGAAATGGACAGATACTTAGAAATGGAAAACCTACAAAGATGAAATCACAAAGAAACAGAGTATCTGAATAGACCTATAAATAGTAAGGATATTGAATTAGTCATCAAAAATTTCCCCAACAAGAAAATCCCTGGACCTGATGGCTTCACTGGTGAATTCTGCCAAACATTTAGAGAATAACTAATACCGATTATTCCCAAACTTTTCAAACAAGTTGAAGAGGAATACTTCCTAACTCATTCTATGATGCCAGCATTATCTTGATTCCAACACCAAAGACACTACAAAAAAATAAAACTATAGACCAATATTCCTTATGAGCACTGATGCAAAAACACTCAATGAAATATTAGCAAACTTAATTCAACAGCATATTAAAATGATAGTACATCACAACAAAGTGGGGTTTATTCCTACAATGCAAGGATGGTTCCACATGCAAAAGTCAATGTATTACACCACGTTAACATATTGAAGAAAAAACAACACATAATCACCTCAATTGATACAGAAAAAAGCATTTGAAAAAATTCAACACTCTCAGTGAACACACTCAACAGATAAGGACTAGAAGGAAACTACCTTAACATAATAAAAGCCATATATGAAAAACTCACGGTGGACATTATAAACTCAATGGTGAAAGGCTGAATGCATTTCCTCTAAGTTCAGGATCAAAGATGCCCACTTTTGTCCTTTCTATTAAATAGAGTACTAGCCAGAGCAAGTAGGCAAGAAAAAGAAATAAAAGGCATTCAAATTGGAAAGAAAAAAGTAAAATTTTCTCTGTTCTTACAGTGATATGATATTATATGTGGAAAACCCTAAAGATTCCATACATACACCCACAAAATACTGCTAGGATTAATAAATGAATTCAGCAAAGTAGCAGGATAGAACGTCAACCCACAAAAGTTAATTGCATTTAAATATACTAACATAAGTAATCTGAAAAGGGAATTATTAAAACAATTCCATTTACAATAGAGGCAAAATGAATAAAATACCTAGGAATTAATTTAACCAAAGATGTAAAAGATGTGTACAATGAAAGCTAGCATTGCTGAAATAAAGAAGACATAAATGGAAGGATATCCCATGTTTATAGATTGAAAAACTTAATATTTTTAAGATGTCAGTACTACCAAAAGAGAATTACAAATGCAATTTCCATCAAAACCTCAAGGACACTTTTTTGTAGAACTAGAAAACCCACCCTAAAATTTATGTGGAGTGTTATGGGACCCTGATTAACTAAAATAATTTTGAAAGAGAAGAACAAGACTGGAGTACTAATATTTCCTGATGTCAAAACTTACCACAAAGCCACAGTAATCAAAACAATGTGATAGTGGCATAAAAAAACAACAACCCAGTAACATATAGACCAATCTAAAAGAACAGAGAGCCCAGAAATATACCATTGCCTATATAGTCACATAATTTCTGGCAAGGGTGCCGAGAACATTCAATGGGGGAAAGAACAGTCTTTTCAACAAATGGTGCTGGGAAAACTGGACAACTCTTACAAAAGAATGATATCAGACACTTACCTAAAATGATATAAAAAATTAGCTCAAAATATATAAGATATTTACATGTAAGAACTCAAACTTAAAATCTTAGGAGAAAACTTACCAAAAGCTCCACATATTAGATTTGACAATAATTTCTTAGATATTGCACCAAAGGCACAGACAACAAAAGAAAACATAGGCAAATTGGACTTCATAGAAATTAAAACATTTTGTGCATCAAATGATAATATCCAACAAAGTAAAAGGCCACCCACAGAATGGGAAAAAATATTTGCAAAGTATATACCTGATAAGGGACTAGTATCCAGATCATAGAGAACTCCTAATACTCAACAACTAAAAACCAAATAACCTGATTCACATGCACAAAAGACTGGAGTAGACATTTCTCCAAAGAAGATGTACAATTTACCAATAAACACATGAAAAGATGCTCCACATTGCAAATCATTAGAGAAACACAAATCAAAACTATAATGTGATAGCATCTCATACCCATTAGGACAGCACTTACTAAAAAAATAAACACAATAAACAAACAACAAATACAGAAAATAGCAAGTGTTGATGAGGACATGGAGAGATTGGAACCCTTGCACCCTGTTAATGGAAATATACAATGAAACAGCCCTTGTGGAAAACCGTATGGAGGCTTCTAAAAAAAAATAAAAACAGACACCATATGATCAAGTAATTCCAATTCTAGATATAGACCCAAAAGAGTTGAAAGCAGGAGCTTAAAGCCATATTTGTACACCCACATTGGTAGCAGCACTATTCACAATACCTAAAACATGGAAGCAAAATGAGTGCCCATTAATGAATGAATGGATAAGCAAAATGTGATATATACGTAAAATGTAATATTATTCTCCTTAAAAAGGAAGGAAATTCTGATGTATGCTACAATATGGATGAACTTTGAGGACATTATGCTAAGTGAAATAATCCAGTAAAAAACGATAAATACTGTAGAGTCCCACTTATAGGAGATATTAAGAGTACCTCAAAATCATAAAGACTGAAAATAGAATGGTGGTTGCCAGGGGCTGGGAGTACAGGAGAATGAGAAATTATTGCTTGATGAGCATTGAGTTTCCATTTTTGCAAGATGAAAGAGTTATGGAGATGGATACTGGTGTTAATTAAACAACTTTATGAATGTATTGAATTCTACAGAACTGTGCACTTAAAAATGGTTGAGATTATACATTTTCATTACAGGCATTTTGCCACTAAATTTGGGGCTAGGAGATAATGTCTTCCTCTGGAGCACAGGTTGGACAGGTTTTCTTGCAGTCCATTTTAAAATTTGGGGGTATCCTAAGCTCAGATTTTCTCAGTTTCGGTGCAAACCCACTGCATCAAACTGGCCTCTCTACATCTACAGTACCCTCATGGGCCTGTATGGAAAAAGATAACTGGCGTGAATGTGAGGCTTACTCAGTTTGCTGTGCTATGAGTAAGAAAGGTCTTTGTCTCTGACCCAAGTGCCTTGAGTCTTCTGCCAGCATCCATGAACATGTGGCAATCTAACCTGTTAGACTGCAAGCATGGTAATATCTCATACAGTTATCGAAAGGCTGGAAATGGAGATTTGGGAAGGATCAAAGTAGTGGCGGTGGTTGAAGTTGTAGGATTGCATAAAGATCTCCCGCTATATTATAAAAGGAATGGAATGCTTCGACCTGAAATACATAGCATTTTTTTCTTTCTTTTGTTCCCTCCCTTCCTCCCTTCTTTCCTTCCTTCCTTCCTTCTTTCCTTCCTTCCTTTCCATTCTTCTTCATTCCTTTTTTCTCTCCGTCTATCTCTCTTTCTTTTGTAATGCCAGATAAGCCCAGGAGGCATTGCAAACAAACTGCACCTCTCTCCTTCATCACTGTACACAGAGATGCTATCCTTTTCCTCCGTCCCAAACTCAAAGAAACTGTCTCATGCAAAGCTTACAACAGGCAGCCCTGTCAGAATCTCACATTCTGGCCACATCATAGATGGAGATGG
Source organism: Homo sapiens (assembly GCF_000001405.40). NCBI lineage: Eukaryota > Metazoa > Chordata > Mammalia > Primates > Hominidae > Homo > Homo sapiens. Next base: position 107,081,283 of record NC_000001.11, on the reverse strand, counting down.
GAAGATAAGCTGCTTCTACTAGAGAGGACACAGAGAAAGCAGATAAAAGCAAAGTAATGCAGGGAGCATCCTGTGAAACCATTTGAGAAGAAAGGTTTGTTTGTGAGCCTTCCAGAGAAAATGTCATTTATTAAATCTCTTGATTTCCCCACACAGACATTGTAGCAGAGTATAAACATTCAAACTTTTAGCTTGGAAAGTTAACACTTTTTTTTTTCCTCCTTTTCTTTGCTATCCTGGGACTATTTCAGATAAGCCTGTATTTCTATTTCTGATTATTTAAGGTCTTGTTTTAGTGGCCCATTAATGTATCTTATTAAAGAGAAGAGATTACATTTTTTGAGTAGTGACTCTGGTGATGGGTGCAGTATACGTGGGGCACAAATTGTAGGAAGAACTTTGGAGATGACAAAAAATTTGTGTTTTTGGAGATGGAGTAGTCAGCCAATGAGGTTCCTAATGTTTATTAACTGATTCCAGTAAAATTTTCAAGTGAGAAGAGAAGGAATAACTTAATGAGTGGACACAATGAAAAACCAATAGATAAGACACAGAAGTACCTCCCAGGGGCTGGGTGTTGCTTTCAATCAAGCAAGATCATCATGGCTAAGACTCAAGAACTGTTTTTGTTGAATCTCCTGAAGTCCTAAAGAAAATATTTCTTTTATGACATATCCACATCTACTTTCACTCTGAATGCCCAGCAAGAGTAATGGTCATTCATGATACAAATCTCTGTTTTGTCCTGCTACCCTCTGTGCACACCATTACACACATACACAATGCCACAGAACACCTGCAGCCCAGAGAAAGAGGTCCTCAGTTGGAACCATTTTACACAGAATCATTTCAGGATTTTTTTTTGGAAAGAGGAATATTTTAAAGTAAAGCTTGAAAGAGGAATGAACACTTTTCCAGAATAAAGAGTGGCATAAGCACAAACAGGAATTTCTTTTAAATGGTGGTTATTTTGGAAAAAAAATGGCGAGTAAACCTGAACCAGTAGTGATTTTATTGGTAGCAACTAGAAGATTATTTTAGTCAACTAGGGGATAGTTATATTATGTAAAGGACAAGTTAACGATTAAAATCCTGCAGTGCCAAGTTTTGGCATGGGGTAACCCTGAGTGCAGAACGATGAAATAAATTCAGGACATTTCACGGCATTTCTGTTAAGTGCAAAGTGTTATGTGGTTAGCAAACATTCTATATCTGTAAAATTATTCACTCCCCAGACTGAAAAAAAATAAAGACCTAAAAAAAGGGAATATGTACTAAATATTTCCAAGAGAAAAGAATTGTTAATTTCTCAATTAAAAAACTGTTATGTAAAATATGCATTTCAATGAATAATATTACAGTACACCAAGCAAAGGCTTTCCACACAATTATGCATTCCCCTCTTTCTATGTATTTGTATCAAAGTATGGATCTAGCTGGATCTAGCTGGGAGTGGTAGCTCATGCTTGTAATCCCAGCACTTCGGGAGGCTGAGGCAGGAGGATCACTTGAGCCCAGGAGTTTGAAAGCAGCCTGGGCAACATGGTAAAATCGTATCTCTACAAAAAATAAAAAAAATTACCTGGGCATGGTGACATGCCCCTGTAGTCCCAGCTGCTGAGGTGGGAAGATCATTCAAGCCTAGGATATTGAGGCTGCTGTGAGCTGTGATGGTGCCCCACTGTACTTTATCCTGTCTGACAGAGTGGGGCCCTGTCTCAAAAAAAAAAAAAAAAAGAAAAGAAAAAAAACGGATCTAACTTTTCAGATGCATCTGTGAACACTAGAGCAACACTTGAATATTCAGTTCATGTCTGTTTCTGAGCTTAGACTATATGCATATTCTGATCTATGCAGACTTGTGATAAGATGCTTGTTGCAAAAATATGAACTCAATGTTTCTGCAAATGCATGCCTGAAGAAAAGCTGTCAATAACTATTCATCAATATGTCTTACTGGCCAGTTTTTTTTTCAGCATATGCAGTTCCTGTAATGTGTTATGATAATGCTGGTTTAAAATAGCTATGGTTCCAGTCAGTTCACATTAAGGGTAAACAAACAGACGGCTCACCAGAGGATGGATCTTCTTTTCTAATAACATAAATATGCCAAAAACATACGTTTATAAATATGATTACTTTGAAAAATTACCTTACAATTACCTTAGAAAAGCCATTCGACCTATATAAAAAATAAATTTTTTTTTTTTTAGAGACAAGTTCTCACTCTGACACCCAGGCTGGAGTGCTGTGGTGTGATCACACCTCACTGCAGCCTCAACTTCCTGGACTCAAGCGGTCCTCCTGCCTCAGCCTTCTGAGTATCTGGGACTACATGTGCCATCATGCCAGGCTATTTTTAAATTTTTTTGTAGAGACAGGATCTTGCTATGTTGCCCCAGCTGTTCTCGAACTCCTGGCCTCAAGCAATCCTCCCTCCTTGGTCTCCCAAATTGCTGGGATTACAGGTGTGAGCCATTATGCTCAGTCTAAAACATTCTTTTAAGTGAGAGTTCTTAGAATGTTCAGAGTAAATACAAGATTAAAAGTACCTTATTTCCTGACCTGTAGGTTAAGCGAGAAGGAAAGTGACAACATATCTAAGCCTAATAACCATGAACACCAGCCAAGTATTCACGTAGCAACTCCATCAATAAACTGTTCATAAATTTCCCTATGTAATTAGATTTATTGAATGCTGACAGCTAGTGTATATCCTATCTTTGAAAAGAAAATATCTGAAAGAAGAAAAGCAAGCTCTTTTATAATGAAGTTATATTAAGAAGCTTAATGAACCACACATATTATCTAACATGCACATCAAACATTGAGGCCATTTCCAGGAAAGATGTAGGAATAAGAGAAGACTTATAACCTAGCCCTCACTAAAAATGTACCAAAATAAACAAAATAGGCAAGAAAATTGAAACTAGAAAGTACTTTCAAACTTATACCACAAACTTTATGGAGTATCTTTTAGGAACAGTATAAACTGAAAAAAAAATTGAAAGTCAACACTATAATTTGACATTAAATAATCTTTCTAAAAGCAGTGATTCAGTGATTTAGGGAACAAGTGGTGTAAGTCTGGAAAGTCTCCAGTAACATTTCCCATTTTGGAAACAGATACGGAGGTAGAGACTGAATTAGAGAATGTTGAAGAAATCTTTTCATAAAGAGTTGACTGTCATGGAATTTAATGTTCAATGTGTATGTGCTATAAAGAAAAATTCCTCCAAAAATTCAAGGAAATGAAGCAGGTTACTTGAAGAAGAGTGAAAAAATAGATTGTTCTCAGACTTTTCCTTAGCAACAGCAAAAACCAGAAAAGTTATTTCTATGGACAAGGAAATGTCAGTAAACAGTTGGAAATATGGTCTATGGTTTATAAAAGACATTTGTTCTGGAGATAGAAATGCCTGCTAGTCAGTTGTACCCAATTGCCGTCATGAGGAATTCTAGGGCAGTATTGCCAGATCATCCAAACTTTTAAGAGAAGTAAATATTCTCTATTTTTAAATAAAATCTTCTGATTCTTAAATTTTGAATTTAAAACTATTTGAATTTTAATAGAAAGTATTTAAGAACTGCCATGGTTGAGCCAAATAAAGTATAGGGAGCATTAATCTGAAAACTCTGTAGTAGAATAAAAAGGAAACAAAGGCCTTACAATTAGTCTCAACGAACTCTAACAACTATCTAATTTGTTAAAACATATTACAAAGCTGCATTTATTAAAAGTGTGATGCTTGATCAGGAATAAATAAAAGAATGGGAAAGTTTTAAGTGTTACCAAAAAAAAAAGTCCCAATTATGGGAATCTTGGTGTGATAGAGATAGAATTACAGTGAGTAAAATAAATATACGTTTTTCAGTATGATTTGGGGACATTGTATGGCCATTTGGAAAATAAAATTATGTTGAAATCCTACCTCACATATCACAACAAAAATAATGACCACTTAAGATATAAATTTTTAAAAATATACATATACCAAAATAAAATTTAGGTATACATTTCTATAATGATAAGTTGAGAAAGAAGTATCTGAGTGTAAACCAAAGTCATCGTATTAAATATCTATTGCTGCACGACAAACCATTCTTAGTGGATTAAACAATGATTCATTTTTTCTAATTACTTTTTGGTTCTTTTGACTGGGTTGACTCATGTGGCTGCAATCAGGTCAGAAGGTGGCTGGGCTCAGCTAGGGCAAATGGAATGCCTGGTTTTTCATCTTTAACGAGGTTAACCTGGGCTTCCTCAGAGGCTAGTCACCCCAGAGTTTCAAAGAGGCAAAAGCAGAAACTGCAAGGAATTTGAGGCCTAGCTCAAAAGTTACGCAAAGTCACTTCTGCCTCATTCATAGCCAGTCACCGTGTTTGCCAGTTACAGTAAGTGGGAAAGTAAACTCTGTCTCTCCATGAAATAAGCTGCAAAGGATTCTTGGCAATTTTTAATCCACCACAGGAACAAACCTCCAAGGACAATTTTGTTGTTTTGATGACACAAAAGTTTGAAGTTTTACTGCCAAACTCCCATAATGAAAAAGGCTGAACAACAAATAACAAAAGTGGTTAAAAATATTTCTCAACATATGTGACTAAGGACTGATATTTCTATTTCTAAATTTTATTTATGTTTTGTTTTTATAGATTTAAGGGTACAAGTGCAGTTTCTTTACATGGAAACATCATGTAGTGGTGAAGTCTGGGCTTTTGGTGTACCCATCAAACCAAATAGTGAACATTGTACCCAATAGGTAATTTTTCGACCCTCACCCCCGCCTCACCCTTCCACCTTTTGTAGTCTCCAATGTCTATTATTCTACTTTGTATGTTCAAGTGTACTCATTGTTTAGCTCCCACTTACAAATGAGAACATATGGGTTTTGACCTTCTGTTTTCGAGTCATTTCACTCAGAATAATGGTCTCCAATTCCTTCCAGGTTGCTGCAAAATACATGATTTCATTTGTTTTTATGGCTAAGTAGTATTCGATGGTATACACGTACCATATTGTTTTTATCCAATCATCCACTGATGGACACTTACGTTCGAATATTCCATGACTTTGCTAAGGATTAATATTTCTAATATACAAATAGCTTTTAGAAGTCAATGAAAGAAAGTAAAAACTAATTAGAATAAGATAAGTCAACTGTAGTAACAATTCACAAAAGAACTATCAATAATTAGTATGAAAATAACCTAACTATAATCCATTTAGTAATCAAACAAACTCAAAATAAAACACCACTGCAATATTTTGTACCACCCATAAAACTATTTAATAGTACAAATTTAAAAATTGATGATAATGTCCTTTTTTGGAAAATTACAGAAAAAAAGTGCTCTCCCACAGTAGAAGAATGTGAATTTGAATTTCCTTTCAGAATAATAACTGGGCAGTCTATCAAAATTCCTTAAAAATATACATACCTAACAATTCAATTTCTAAGAATTTGTCTTAAGAAAATTAGGCAAATAGACAAAAATAAATATAAGAATCTTCCTTCCAAAGTTGATTGCAATAGCTCAAAAACAATAACAAGATTAATTCTTTATTCTTTCATGCATTCATTCAACAAATATTTATTTTTATATATAGGCATTTTTGGTAAACCAAAGTCCTTGGTGTCATGGTGCTCATGTTCTATTGTGGCACCTATTATACACAATATGCTATCAGGTGAAAGGGTAAGGAGTTATTTTAATAAAGTAGTCTGGGAAGATCTTTCTAATGAAGTGACATCAAGACACAGGATTTGTGGAAGACCCAGAGATGTGCTCCCACAGATCCCTTTTCAAAGAAGTACTTGTTGTCCAGCAAGGCAGAGACTGTTTTATTCAGTTTTATTTTTATCCCTAAGCATGCAGCTTTATGCTTGGTACATAAATAACTAAAAATAATCAAGATATTTCCATTAAAAATTATTCATTCATTATTATGTAGATTCAGAATACCTGGACAACCTTGGCATGCAAAACCTATACTTTGATACTATATTATTTTCTCCTTGGGCTGTATTTGTGCCTTGGCTGAGTCTCAGATCTTTCCTGGGAATCTACTGAATGCACTGAATCACTGGTGTGACCAAGAGAGTGGCTGTCTGGTCTGTCCCCTTTGGATTGTCATCTTTCCTCTCCAATGTTACTAGCTTCATTGTCCTGGTTACTAAACCAATAATCTTGACACTTTAGACTTCTGGAAGCACCACTTTTGGCAGCAGAGGTTGCCTTGTAGGCCTATTTTTCACCAAATACACAACCCTGTCTGATACTGCAAGAAGTGTTATAATTCAACTACTTTCTCTCAAAGCCACGAGTTTCTTTCTTTCTTTTTAAATTTTTTTTTATTTCAATAGGTTTTGGGGTAACAGGTGGTATTTGGTTACATAAATAAATTCTTTAGTGGTGATTTCTGGGATTTTGGTGCACCCATCACCCGAGCAGTGTACACTGTACCCAATGTGTAGTCTGTTATCCCTCGCCAGCTCCCACCCTTTCCTGAGCCCCCAAAGTCCAATGTATCATTCTTATGCCTTTGTGTCCTCATAGGTTAGTTTCCACATGTGAGTGAGAACATATGATGTTTCATTTTCCATTCCTGAGTTACTTCACTTAGAATAATGCTCTCCAATTCCATCCAGGTTGCTGTGAATGCCATTATTTCATTCCTTTTAATGGCTGAGTAGTATTCCATGGTGTGCGTGTGTATCACATTTTTTTTATCCACTTGTTGATTGATGGACATTTGGGCTGGTTCCACATTTTTGCAATTGCAAATTGTGCTGCCATAAATATGCATGTGCAAGTATCTTTTTTGTATAATGACTTCTTTTCCTCTGGGTAGATACTTAGTAATGGGATTGCTGGATCGAACTGCATATCTACTTTTAGGTCTTTAAGGAATCTCCGCACTGTTTTCCATAGTGGTTGTACTAGTTTACATTTCCACCAACAGTGGAAAAGTGTTCCCTTTTCACTGCATCCATGCCAACATCTATTAATTTTTTATTTTTATGTTATGGCCATTCTTACAAGTTTCTTTCTTTTTTTCTTTCAATTCTCTAGTTCAGAAACGTCTCTTCCAACCTTTGTTAGATTCTTAAATAGCTTAATTGCCTGCTTGAACACCCAAACTCTTCCTTCAAACAATTCTGATGTGATTGAAAAGTGTCAGAATTAAATAATATAAGATTAATCAATATTTATTGAGTACCTAGTACATCTAATAAATGTGTTAAGTAAGTAGAAACATACCCAAATAATAGTAAACATCAATCTTGAATTAACTGCCATGTAGTTGAACTACCCAAATATAACTAGTAATATCAAGTGGTATAGAAGGGGGTCCCCAACTGGGATGGTAAAGATTGCTGATTACCCAGTTTAGGGTCAAATATGAAACACGTAGTTGAATTGTTTGTTTTGCTTGAATTGAACAAAAAATTTGAACAATTCCATTTGTTGCCCTGAAATCAGTGAATTAGAAGTTCAGTTATTACTAGCAAAACCGCAACAACAGCAAAAGCAGCAAAAGCTAAGTCTAATGGCATCAACATGTCATTTTTAATTGTAAAAATGATGTCATTAAAAATGACATCAACCTGTCATTTTTAATTGTAAAAAACGGTGACCTGCTGAATGAACGTAATACACTTTGGGGTTAAGTCTCATTTCAAATGATTATGAATTGATATTTTTGCCTTTGTGCAAAATTCTAGATGCCTTAAACATAACAGATCTTTAATTCATGATGATTAACTTGAAATGAGTCTTACAGGAAGTAAGTTCAGGAGACAAAGCAGGAATTGGAACCTCCTATTAATACTCTCCTAAGTGTCCCATTTAGTTTACATATTCATGTTTACACATACAAATTTTATAGTATAAGAATTAAACTGTAAGTCAAATAAATCTGATAGATTTAGGGACAGTGTTTTTAATGTCTGTGTTTTAATCCCTTTTTCAGGAAAACAGGAATACTAGTAAACTTTGTCTCCTCTAAAGGAAAAGTTGTAAGAATAATTTTTTTTAATCTGTGAAAGAGCTTTGCATTATTCAGAAGCAAAATATTAATGTTGTTATTAATGGGGCACAGGCAATCATAGTAGAGAAAATTGAGAATTTAGAGATGCAATCAGATGTTAGGCTATTAAAACAAAATTAGTAGAAAATCAACCTGTAGTTGATATTAGCCACTTCTAGAAATTATTCTTCCTATTCTTTAGGGGATACTTTACTAATAATCATGGATCAAGTTATATCCTCGATTAAATCAAGCCACAGTTTACTTCTGTGAATCTAATCGAAATAATCAAAATGTTTTCTGAAAAACTGCAACCTAATTGATTGTATGTTAACAATCATATTATGCTTTCCCAGTAAAATTATTTTTTTCCTAAGTTAACTATTTCATGCTTCTCACTCCATCCAAAAGGAATAGATTGAGACATATGTCCTTTTCATGATAATACTATGGTTCTCTTCTTTGGGCACCAGAATTGAAAGATACTCCTACAGGTTTACAATGCGCAAAACAGAATTAAAGCACATGAACTCTTCATTACTGGCACACAACCCCAAGTCCTAAACCCTCAAGATGGTGGTGGAGAATCTCAGCCCAGGACCAGATATTGTTTGTCTTGTTTGTTCTGGCAGAGATGAATTTGAGGCTAGGCAGTTCTGAGCTTTCAGATATTGGGATATCATCTGCTTATGGTTTGGGATAGGATGGGAAAAATGAAAATAAAAATTGTTCTGGCTGGAGCAAAGCAGCTACTTTTGGGGACCCTAGGGTGTTAAGTGATGTCAGTTCTTAGGGGAAAATGCTTACCTAGGGCTAAAGAGGGGAGTCTATTATTTTTACATACTATCTATCTCTAGATTATTACAAAGATTAAATATGCACTATATGTGCACTCTAAAGCACATACGATGGTTTTTGGCACATAGAAAATGCTCAATAAATATTAGCTATTATTCATTGTTTCATCCAATTATCCTTATAATCAGCCAATATTTTTAATACTTTGCTAAACAAAAGAAATACATGGCAAAGAAAAAAAGAAAATATGGCTTCTGTCTTATGAAGCTTAAATTTTTGAAGGAAAGAAAAAAACAAATGAAATAATTACACATTATGTAAAATGACATGAATTAAAGAGGCTATTTTGATAAAACATAATCATGGAGGGGGCATGTACACTTGAGTGATTAGGGCTATATCTCTGTGGAAATGACATTTAAACTTAGGCATAAAGAATGACGAAGATTAATATGGTAAAAGTGTTCTAAATGAAGAACATACAGAGCCCAGAGAGCTTGGCATATTCTGGGCACTACCAGAAAGCCAGTGTGACTTCAGTGCCCTATGCAGGGCAGAGAAGTGGATGAGATTTTGGGGGAGGTGAAATGCAGATGAGGCCCGAGAGGGTAAGATCTTGTAGATTCATGATATGAAGTCTGGATTTTATTTTAGGTCCATTGGGAAGATAGTAAGGAGTCTAGGAAGCTATTGTGATTGGCTTGATCAGAGGATATGGTGACACAGACGAAGGTGATGGTAGTGATGACAAAGAAGATTAACTGGTTTCAAAATATATTTTGGCAGTAAACCCCTCAGTGTTTACAACAGATTAGATGTGGGGGAAGAAGTAATGTTAGGAATTAAGACTGACATCTAGTTTTCTGGCTTGAACAAAGAGGTAGGTGTCAGGGTGCTGTATATTGAGATAAAAAAGCTTTGTGGGAAAACCAGCCATGGAGGAGGAAGAGACAACTGAGAGGAGACAACTGAGATATTGTAGAAAGAAGAAAAGGGCTTCATACTTGTTCATTGCAATAACTGGAGAGAAAAGGAGTTTCCAAAACAAGATTCAAGTTTTCTAAAAATTCAGAAACATAGAAAAGTATTTCAGCAAGTTTTCAACCAGCTTCATATTTGAAATACCATATCTAGCACCCTAGTCATATTTCTACACTGACTGAGGCAGCAACAGCAAATGTTATTATGACAGCACACTCGCTCTCCTAAAAGTTAAGGGTCTGTCAGTATTTCCATTATAAACTCCAATTTTCAGGGACTTATAACTTGGCTATTTTAAAATCACATCAGGCTGAAACTTGCAAGTAATAAAACATTTTAAAAAATAGATTTAGTGCATTTTTGTCAAGATCTACTTAAAATATTGCCGAATTGTTCTGAAATAAAGTGACTTTTGGTAATATATTAAGATAAATGTTTAATTAAAAGCACTTTTTACTTTAAAGCTTTTGGAAAAAATACACTCTATAATACTGCTATATTTCATATGTATAGATTAGATATGGTGGAACACAAACATTACATTGAAGCAATTCTAACACATTATGCCAGAAGTTGGCATATGTATTGCAGTTTGGGATGAATTTCTTCCTGATAAAACTTGCTGTAAATTGGTTAAGGTTCTTCTGAGGAACAATAACTTGTTCAATTTTGTTTTATAAATAGATATTTTTATTATTGTGCCAAGCAGAACTTAGTCTCAAAGTTATTTTATTTTATTTTGTTTGAGACAGGGTCTTCGTCTGTCGCCCAGGCCGGAATTCAGTGGCAAAATCACAGCTCACTGCAGCCTTGACCTCCTGGGCTTAAGCAATCCTCCCATCTCAGTCTCCTAAGCAGCTGTGACCACAGGTGCATACCACCACACCCGGCTAATTAAAAGAAAAAATCTTTGTAGAGGTGGGGTCGTGCTTTGTTGCCCAGGCTGTCAAAGTTAGTATTCAATTAAAAATAAGCCATCTTCAGCTTGGGATACAATATTCTGATTTCCTGTTAGTAATGGAATTTATTAAATGGATTTTCACCTAATTTAAGTTCACCTAAGACCTTTTGTAAAATTGGTTAGGCCAGGAAATCGGCCTTAAAGTATAAAAACACTTTCCCTCATGAGGAACCTGAAGAAACCAAGAAAATGTTATATAATGGAAACAATTAAGTACTAAATCCTAGGCAAAATGGGGGATGCAAAGATGAATAAGAAATGTGCCCTGCCCTTAAAGGACAATAAAACAAAACCACAGCAGACACAGGCAAGACCCAAAAGAGTAGAGCAGATTGCTTTCGATGGAGAGATGAGGAAATACTAAGTATGGGAGGTGGCATTTAAGCAGGATCTTGAAGGTCGAATATGGAAAGAGAAAGGGAGCAGATGAGCGCTCTAGATAGGCATGGCAGCATGAGCAAAGGAAAGGAGCCAGGGAATTGCATGACAATTTTTGAGATGATAGCACTATATTTTTTCAGGAATTGAGCCACATTTGCCCAATAGATGTTGCTTTATGGGTTCGTTTCCAGAATTTCTACAAAGTGTGTGTGTGTGTTTGTGTGTGTGTGTGTGTGTGTATATATATATATATATATATATTTTTTTTTTTTTTTTGAGACGGAGTCTCGCTCTGTTGCCCAGGCTGGAGTGCAGTGGCGCAATCTCAGCTCACTGCAAGCTTCCCCTCCTGGGTTCACGCCATTCTCCTGCCTCACCCTCCCGAGTAGTTGGGACTACAGGCGCCCGCCACCACGCCCAGCTAATTTTTTTGTAGTTTTAGTAGAGACGGAGTTTCACTGTGTTAGCCAGGATGGTCTCGATCTCATGACCTCGTGATCCGCCTGCCTCGGGCTCCCAAAGTACTGGGATTACAGGCATGAGCCACTGCACCCGGCCTTATGTGTATATTTGACTAACAGGGTACATTAGTTGAATGTGAAACGAACTCTATTGGGTAGGTTTCTTCCTTCCTCCTTCCTCCTTTCTCCTTTCCTCCCCCTCCTCCCCCCTCCTCATCCTCCCACTCCTCTTTCCCTCCTCCTGCCCTCCTCCTTCTTTATTATTATTATTATTATTATTTTATTATTATTATTTTGAGAAGAATCTCGCTCTGTCGCCCAGGCTGGAGTGGCGCAATCCCGTCTCACTACAACATCTGCCTTCCGGGTTCAAGCAATTCTCATACTTCATCCTCCTGAGTAGCTGGGATTACAGGCGCATACCACCATACACAACTGTTTTATTTATTTATTTATTTATTTATTTATTTATTTATTTATTTACTTACTTACTTACTTTTCGAGACAGAGTCTCGCTCTGTCGCCAGGCTGGAGTGCAGTGGCGCGATCTCGGCTCACTGCAACCTCCGCCTCCTGGGTTCAAGTGATTCTCCTGCCTCGGCTTACCAAGTAGCTGGGACTACAGGTGAGCGCCATCAGGCCCAGCTAATTTTTGTATTTTTGGTAGAGACAGGTTTTCACCATGTTGGCCAGGATGGTCTCGATCTCTTGCCCTTGTGATCGGCCCGCCTTGGCCTCCCAAAGTGCTGGGATTACAAACGTGAGCCATCGCACCCGGCCAATTTTTGTATTTTTAATAGAGACAGGGTTTCACCATGATGGCCAGGCTGGTTCGAACTCCTGGCATCAAATGATGCGCCCACCTTGGCCTCCCACTGTGCTGGGATTACAGGTGTGAGCCACTGTGCCCAGGCTGTAAGCTTTAAAATAAATATTTATTAATATTAATAATAAAGAATAAAAAAATATTTATTAAGAAAAAATCAATCCTTTAAGAGAAGAGAAAATGTCAGACTATGTTAGAAATAATATTTATTCATCATTACAAAGATTGCATCAAAGTTGGCTTGGGCAGAAAACAGTTTGAAACAATGCTTTTTCTGGTTGGGTGCCAAACACTTTGGGACACTGAGGCAGGAGGATTGCTTGAGCCCAAGAATTTGAGACCAGCCTGGGCAATGTAGTAGACCACCTTTCCAAAATAATTTAAAAATAATTTTAAAATAAATATGTTTTTTGAATTGCAAGCATTAATGATAAATTTTGTTTGTTCTGCTTTAGCTCAGACATTTTATCTCATCTCCTGTATCTATCTTCTGAACATCTGTTGAGTTTCCAAACTCCTAAAATTTAGTGAGAACATTACTTATGCTGTAGTCTGCCACTGTTGTTTCGATCCTCTCCAACATTCTCTACTCCTCTTGCATTTTCTTTTCTAACTTAGGCCTTTTTTATTTCTCTTTCTTTTACCATGAAAATCTACCTATTGCTGTTTTCCATATATTTTCTTATATGTAGCTTTCTCTCTTTCTCCCATCTTACCTATTATTAAAATTATACTTTCTTATATTTCTGAAATGCTGAGGTATGTGTGAAAATCATTGATTCAACTTATGCTAAAAGTGAAATCTAGTAGTATTTAATACATGGATTTTATGGTCTTGCATTGAAAAGAATCTTTACCTCAAGTTGTTTAAAAAAACTCATAAATTTCATAGGGATTAAGTATCTGAATTAAAATTAAATAATGAAAATGGATGACAATTTGGGAATATGTCCCTCACCTTTGGATTAGGAGAAGGCTTTTTAATTAGAAAAGAAACTGATAAGCAATAACAAACAAGATTAATAGATTAGAGTAATAAAAATAAAAAAGTTCTGAATGACCAAATATTAATGAAGTAAAAAAAAATCAAATGAAAGCACGATAGCACGTGATAGACTATGCCTAATAAACAAAGAGCCCCCAATAGCCATAAAATCCAATAGAAAAATGGGTAAAGCAAGTAATATATTCACAGAAAAGGAAATATAAATGGATAATGAATATAAAGAAAGATGCTCAACCCACCAGGAGTTAGGGTAATAAAAACTAAAACAAGAAGCTAGTATTTTTTTGCCCATAAGATTAACATAAATAAGATTAATAAAATCCAGGTGAGTGGGTGTATCACAAAACAGGCTTTCTCTTATATCCTTGTTAGGAATGTGAATTATATGACCCTTTCGGAAAACAATCTGCCAGGATTTACTAAAATTAAAAATAAGCAAATACTTAAGGGAGTCTAGCCTAAAGATACAGAAATATCAGTACACAAAACAATAAATTTTCATACCATAAACTTTCATATTGCTATTATCAATAACAAGTTATTTGTACATGTATTGAGTTCTTGGGATACTTAGTATGTGCAGAGTTAAACTGAAAAAAAAACAACTTCCAGAGTAACATGAATTATACGTTTCCATATTTGTAAAAAATTATATAAATATTTGTATGTAAGTTTATGTAGTGGAAAGATATACTGGACTGTGGAAATAGGGAATTATTAACTTTTTACTTCCAAACAATTTGTTTCATTCGCACTTTATTAATGCAGCTTCAAAAACCTAATGAAAGAGGGACATAAAACAAATGTGTCTGCAACTATTTTAGAATGTAAAGGAATCTTAAAAAGGACATTTACCACTATAGCCATATCCTATCAGTGTTCCAATTACATTGCTTTATATCCTTTGCTTTTTTCTTTCTTCTTTTTCCCATATCTGCTCCCCCAGTGCTTTCACCTCAACCCTCAGCACTGCACTGGCAACCCTTTGTTGGGTGACTGTCCTTAGCCTGTGGAAGCTGCGATGCACATTCATGTAGAGAGCCAGGAAACTTATGTCTCCCCTGGGGCAGTCATTAACGAATGACTGGCAGGTGAGAAGGTAGGAATGTTCCAGATTTTTTGCTTCTTCACTGATACATTCTGAGGCGTGATCCATCCTGTAGCCAGAGTATCTCTGTGAGACTGAACATTTCTTGGGAATTTGCTCGATATCACACTCTAGCCTGGCTTACCATTCCTAGTCTCATTTGCCAACTACCCTTCTGCCATTTTTTTGGAACACTTTTTGATAACACTTTTACATGTATCCTTATCTCAAGGTTGGCTCCTGGAGATTCTGACCTAAGACAATGATCAGTCGGCTTTAAATGCCTACAGATGTCACTTTAACTCTTGAGAGCCCAGGTATCATGGTTAGGTCATTTACTTACACCACGGCCTTGGACAAGTCACCAAATTCCTTCATCCTTTGTTTTCTCATCTGTAAGATAGGATTGATAATAGAACTACTTCATGGAGCTATTTCGAAGAGTAAATAAGATAATGTGCTTAAAATTTATCTAACACATTAGGCACTCAATAATGATTTAAAAAATTAACAAAGATGCTTTATACAAGTATCATGACTGCTTCTCTCTAGGTAGGTTGAGGCCTGTCTGACAAAAGGAGGCATTTCCTTTAAATGGAAATTTATAATAGATTTGGAGTCTTCTTTAGAATGAAAATCACTCTTTATAGAACATTATTTTATTATGTATAACTCATGTGAAGTAAATAAAGTTAATATACTATTGATTTTAATGGAACTTTGCATGGCTTGATTAATATACCATTATTGCATAAAAATATTCTACATGCTGAGTAGTAGTGGCTGCATTAGAATATTGTTTGGTATAAAGTTTCACCATATTCTTTTTTCACAACCTATCCCAGCGAATGCACTATTATTTGGTATAAAATAAATCAGATATAGTGAATAAAAAAATGAAAAATTATAATCCATTAACAGACATATCACATATGTTATCACTGAATAATATATCATTTTAATGTTTTAAATAACATTACTGTTTATGGGGATAGTGCAATGACCACATCCTCTATGTCTGGTTTTAATTTTTAGAACTTTGTTTATAGTAACTCAATCATTTTATCTCCTATCTGTATATGGATTTACCATTCTGAAACTTTACTATAATATTTTTCTTTGACCCAGTGCCAAGGTATTAATTTATATGTAAACCTATCTTATAATAATGCCTGGGCTCTATGAAGTATCTTTGGTTGGGGTTTAAAGCAAAGCTAACTAATATTTAATTTTATTTTTACAAAAAACACATTTCCCAGTGATTTATATTTTCATTTTATATTAAAATCCTCTTGTAATTGTTGTCATTCTCTCCTTGCTTTCCTCTAATTATTTTGCCTAGAGTAAATTCTTAATTATTCAGTGACTGGATATTTAATCTGCAGATTTTCCAAATACTCTCTTTTTAATTCTTTTACTGTTCATTCTAAAGCATTTAAATGTTTTTTATTTTTATAATTTCACCAGATGATAAATGATGGTAGAGTGAGAAGTTCATATTAAAATAAGCAGTTTGCCCTTTTAATAAAGATTTCTGGTAAAAAGTTTGATGCCAATGAGTGCATAAAATAAATGTTTTAACCATTTGTGGACTGGAATCCTTTCACCATCCTATAAAACTTAAAGTCAAAACTCTATAGTTTGCTCTTAGAAAAATTTTATAATAAACATATTACCTTTAATATATTAATATATGTAATTAATATATAATATATAACATAATAATTTTACCAAAAGCAAAGTTGCAAGTGTTAAAAAGAAAGCCTAATAGTCACACCACTCCACACCACATACTAAACTGCACACAGCTTGCAATAATGGGGAGTGGAAAGTTTTCTTCACAAATTTGAGAGGATTAAGTAGTTCTTACATAGTAAAGTCCTTGTATAGATTTAGAAATTAAGCTGAAAAGTGAGGTTAAGGACAATGTCAAATATCAAAATACGCAACAGTTATGTCAATCAAAATACTGTTATAAGCCCATGATTTAAGGAAGAAGAAAATTACCTGAGGAAATTGTGACGTAGGCAGAAAGTATGCATAGGGATCCTACTCATCATTTATATGCTTCTCTCACTCACTTTAGGCTTTTTTTTGGCCCCAAGATGTTTTTATGTCACCCTGCGACTGTGGAAAAACAGCTATTGTCCCCAATGCCCTCTATCAAACTACCTTTTGAATGCAGGTAACTGTACTTAACTATTTTCCTTTCACTCTACACAGGTCAGAATTTGTATTCTCCCTTCCTATTAACTTTCCTGTTGACTAAAATAACAAAATTAATGCATACTAAAGTGTGGTTATAACCTTCCCTTCCCTTCCAGAAAATTTTAAAAAAGATTTTTAAACCCAAATGGAATTCTGAATTATTTAGTTTCTAGAAATTTCACAAAGAACAGAATGTTTCGTTACAATGCGTGTTTCCGTAAAAATAATGAAGTCAATTGGCAAGTGGAATGACATCACTATAGAATGTAGTGTTAGCACCACCAGGTAACAGTCGCTGAACACAAAATATATTGATGCAATTGAATGCAGCACCCTACTTCTTCCTATTGGCTCATTCTGTCTTAGAGATGTTTATTAAGCCTTCTCTCTGTCTTTGTGAATTTTACTTTGTATAAGTCTTCCTTATTTCCTTCCATCAGGCTATTTTTATTTATATTTACTGCAGTGTTTCTTTATTAAAAATTTATATTTCTTAACAAGTTTTATTAAAATTGCTATTATTTTGTTAGTACTTTTTTGAGACAGGGTCTTGCTCTGTCGCCCAGACTGGAATACATTGGCCCGATCAAGGGTCGCAGCAACCTCAACCTCCTGGTCCCAAGCTATCCTTCCATCTCAGCCTCCCAAGTAGCTGGGACCACAGGCATGCACCACCATGTCTAGCTAATTTTATATTTTATTTTTTGTAGAAATGGGGTGTCTCTGTGTTGCCCAGGCTGGTCTTGCAATCCTGGGCTCAAGCAATCCTCCAGTCTCGACCTCCCAAAGTGCTGAGATTTCAGGCCTGATCCACACCGCCCACTTGTTAGACTCTTGGTTACAAAGTTACATATGTTTTGATGGTTCACCAAACCCATTTTTCCCTTAAGCTTGTTATTTTTATTGAATAATTTTGCAGAATTTTGGGGGTTTTTCAGGAACATATATCACATGATTATAGGAGTGTTTGTAAAGTATTTCAAAAAGTGTGGGGAAAATATCCTTCCATCCTACCTCTTCTTTTTGTCCTTCCTTTCTTGCAGGAGGCAGCCTAGAGAGAGAGACAAAGGAACTTTTTTTCTTTCTCTCAGCTCCCTGCATTTTAAGTGTCTGTTATAAGGGTTTACTCAGTCAACTAAAATCATGTGCCTTCCCCTACAGTTATTATCAATAATGATAAACTTAATTACCAAAGGTTCCAAATGAGTACAATTCCGATGTCACTGGTCATGTCTTAAATTTTACTAAAATTCTCTTAATTTTAATCAGGTCCAAGATTCTTTGTTTCAAATGTCTTTTTCTATGAGCATGTATAATATTTTGAGAAATAGTCTCCTTGTATCATCTTCTTCCCTATCACTTAAATTGTTTTGACACATTATGGAAGAGGTTTGGAAGTCTGTAACTCTCCTTACTGTTGTGTTTAAGATTTTAATCAGGGCCTGTTCTAGGCTTAGAAAGTCCTGCAGAACATTTAGTTTCCACAAATTGTCTTCATGTCTCAGATTTTTCACATAGTCTCTTGATTCTATAAAATGTAAAATGCTATACATTTGGCTAAAAGGATGAGATCACATCAGTTACCCATCGATATGAACAATGTGATGAGACACCACCTTTTGTAGGAAATAATGGGGACATATCTCAGAGTCTTCTGGCCTCCTTATCCTCAGAGCTTCTGCGGGTATTCCAAAAGGTAGGAAGATATTTTCATGCCAAAAAATTTAGAAGAGAATAAGGTTACACACGTTCCAACAAAACACGTAATATTTATTATAAATGACAGAAGATAAATCAAGAAAAAAAATTGGAGTATAGAAGTGGAGCCAGATGTAAAGTAAAAAAAAGCACAGCAAAGCATAAATTTGGCTCAGCTCTCTAGTAGCCTATGTGAGAAGGGTCGTCTATGCAATATACTGTGTTCATTAGCTGAAACAAACCAGTTATTTAGAGGACATAGACTTACTTTTGGAACTAATAACAGAGAAGACTTTTTCTCTGAGGATTTCGTGATCTATGTGATAAGTAATATTTTTGCACTTGGGAGTTTTTTGCACTAAGGATAAGTGGGCTGGCTCTTCTCAACCTTGCTTCAACAGATTTAGTCGGAATGATGTTGGGACTCAGCAAATACCCCAAAATGAAGACCTTGGAAGCAAAAGTGTTTCTCTGATCTTCTCTTGCCCTCCTGTTTCTCAGTCCAATTCTCCCCTTAGGCTAGCCATAGAAACTAGAATCGCTTTTCCCCAAGGCAGGTCGTAGACACCAGAACCCCCTTTCCCCAAAGCCAGTCATAAGACCTAAAATCATTACTCACATTCCCTCTGCCTTTCTATATAAAAACTACTCATAAAGAAATTATGTGACCTACCTTCTTTGACTATGGGTTATAAGACCCTCATTCCAGAGATGGTGTTGCCTCACACCAAGAAGGAGGGAATGCATGCTCAGAGAGGCCAAGAATCTAGACAGACAGGCCCTGCTGGGATCCCCTGCTCAGTCTGTTAGCATGAGATCATACTCTTTTTGTGCAATCATATTTCTAAATAGTTATCCGTATTTTATTGAACCTCAGCATAAAAATGGACACTTTCTCCTGTATCTTTGGGTCTTCATTCTGAGGGCTCCCGTGTGTACAGATTATATAAATTTGTATGCCTTTTCTCCAATTAATTTGCATTTGTGAGTTGACTTCTCAGAGAAACTTCGGAGGGCCACAGAGAACTTTTCCCTTGGCCCTGACAGTCTTTCCAGGCTAAGGATGCAAATTACTGAACTGATATAGGTAATTTTATTTCCCATACTGTATACTAGTTTTTAGAGGGTAGGATTTGCTTATGATAGAACTTGAATGTTTTATAGTTGGTGTTTACTAAATCATGAAATGAATGGGTAAAAACATGTACATATGGGAGGAGGGGGGCCTCCTTGACTGATTCATCTCTCCTCAGCATTGGGTGGTATAAAGTGTGAAGATGCTAACAAGGATGGCTATAAGCAAAACGTTAGCCAGTTTTGTTTGCTGGAGGTGTCTTTCATACTCACCTTTTTTTCACTCCTGCCCACTTTTAGCCTCATCAGATGCCTCTGCTCCTCAGCACCAAGCACCTGTGAGTTCATCTACCTTTGCTACTATTTTGAGGAGTCAGTTTTCTGGGGGCCTCAGAGAGTGCCGCAATTGACTAACTGTTGGGAAAATTGGTATGGGGGTATTTATGTCAATGAGTGCCTAGTAGTTGTCAAGTGTGAGATCCTATACACTGAAAGTGGTTCTTTGAGGCCTATGAGATACATCTTTAATAGAGACTTCCTTAAGCTAAGGATGTTTCCCATTCCTTCATTCATCAAACAATAAAAACTGTTGTCACTCATTCAGGAGGTACGTACTTCTGTGTTTTATTTTTTTTTATTTTTTTGAGACAGAGTCTTGCTCTGTCACCCAGGCTAGAGTGCAATGGCACTATCTTGGCTCACTGCAAGCTCGGCCTCCCAGGTTCACGCCATTCTCCTGCCTCAGCCTCCCGAGTTGCTGGGACTACAGGCACCCGCCACCATGCCCGGCTAATTTTTTGTATTTTTAGTAGAGACGGGGTTTCACCGTGTTAGCCAGGATGGTCTTGATCTCCTGACCTGGTGATCCGCCCGCCTCGGCCTCCCAAAGTGCTGGGATTACAGGCGTGAGCCACCGTGCCCACTTCTGTTTTTAATTGAAGCAGGCAAGATTAATATAATAAACATGTGAATTTTTGTTTGGAGTTAGGAATTAAAAGCCAAGAATTAGCTATGTAAACTTAGGCCAAGTCCTTCAATATCTGTATAACTCTTGTTCCTGGTATGTAAATTGAGTTAATTACTTGCCCTTTCTAACACCAAGACCATCCCAGTCTTTAGCCCATTATCATTTATTGTACTTACCATTTTATCTTATGAACATATCATTTGAAGGAAGAAACTGTGTTTTGTTGGTTTGTATCCTAAATGCTTATCACAATGACTGTTGCATTGTATACTCAATAAAATGTCCATTGGTCCAATGAATTAATGAAAATATTTGTAAACTTTCACAGCGCAAAATAAATGTAAGTTGTTTGAGGGAAGCAGGTTGAACTTTACCATGTTTTCCTCTCCTTTGGGCCTGGTAGTTCCTGCCTGTGGTCCAATGGCACCAAGCAGTCAGTACCAGTCCATACAGACAGATTGGACAGTGCCTGGATGTTGATACATCTTACACCTTCATCCTTCTGGAGGTGTCCTCACTCCAGAGGTCTTGAATTCCCTTTGGATCATTTGGTGTACAGTGTCATACATTGCTCCTCACGTACAACCACATACTGTTGAATACCTGTAAAAAAAATCAAAATGTTGAATATTTATTCTGTCACACATTTTGCATGCATCCAAGTGCTCCAGGTTTGACTTTTCCCTAACTACCACACTGAGGCTTTATTGAGATCTTATTACATACCAGACATTATGTAGTCACATGTATTAACTCATTCTATTCTCACATCTATGACATAGGTACTATTGTTATCTCCATTTTGCATACGAGAGGAATTTCCTCCATTTTGAAGGAAAAAAAGGTGTTTAATATTTTGCCCAAGGTCACAAAGAGTGGTGGAGCCTAGGTTCTACTATGGGCTGTCTGGCTCCAGAGTCCAATTTTGTAGCCATTATGTTATGCTAACTCTTGACTAATTGCTTCAGTCGCTGTATTTTTATAATTCATTTTTCTTCTGGGAAGGAGTAATAAAAATCCTGAAGCTTACTTTAACTATGGAATACATACCCTTTACTTCTATAGTTCCTCCAAGTTTTAACTGAGGTTCCCTTTATGTGCTTATACTGATAATGATAACTCTATAGTATTTATCAAATATATAAAAAATAGAATTTGGAAGAATATTCTCATTTATCACTTAGTAAAGGAATTGTTAAATCAAGTTTTTTTTAAAAAACAAACCAAACCACCAGAAACCTACTCAAAATCACACACTCAAACTCTAAATAAATATTTGATTTAAAACATAGAACACCTTATAAGGAGCTCTATTTTCCCTCTAGCTTAAGTCTAGCTTGCTGTGACTGTAGCATTTACATGAGATGATCACTATCTTAGCATCAAAATGGTGACGGTTACAACTGTACTGCTTGCTACTCAATTATCTTGTAAATTGATAATTTTGTACATGTATATCTCTCCATGATGGAAGATCTGTGTTATATACAACCAAAGTTTAGCAAATTAGTTTTTATACTCTAATACTTTAATATGCAATGAATAAAAGGGCAGAAAATTCAGAATTACAATAAATGTTAGGCTATTTCAGAACACCAGTTTTTCACACCTATTTTCTTAGCATACAGAAGCTCGAAAATCATACATTAAGCATAGTTTGAATTGTCCTGAAGTTATATTCTGAAGGGGCTGTAACACTTAAGAACTAATAATATTAAAAAGGCAAAAGCATTATAACTCACAGCACACAAGACTTTTTACCTCATCTATAAAACGTGAGAATGTCAATGTTTTATTGGCTACAAGGATAAGGAAGGAAACATCAGAGAAATAAATTTGATAACAAGATTCACACTTCATTACAAGTGATTTTCCTAAATTCACAACTTTCACATTTGGCTGAGTGAAAGAGAAAAACAAAACAAAACAAAACAAAACTGAAAAGGGAACTTTCACTACTTGTAAGTAGGCCAACTCACATGATCCCTCCAAATGAGAGAGTTTAAATGAGAATGAGTATACTTTTCTAGCTGGGAAAATATTTTCCTTAATTAAGTGAGTTTAAATAATTTACCCATGGTGATGAATAAGCCCTTGGGCTAGGCTCAGAAACCTCCTCTACCAGCCTGTTTCATAAGAATTACACAAATATTTTTATGGGACATACAAGAAATATTTTTTGGTTATAATAGTAGAGACAAGAATTTTTAAAAATCCATACTATTTCTTTCAGGTCTCTCTCTTAAATGCACCTTCTGAGTTTCTTAGGTATGCTGTACAATTACAAAGTCCATTTTACTTAACGGATTAATGTGTTCATCAACTTTAGCACCCTATGATGTATGTGGTCAGAGTAATGAGAACAGGGCTATTTAAACTGCTTCCTCATATCCTTCCCCTTAATTACCAGTAGTGAAGTTTACCTAGAAAACAATGAGGAAGAAGTAC
This sequence comes from Homo sapiens, assembly GCF_000001405.40. Taxonomy (NCBI): domain Eukaryota; kingdom Metazoa; phylum Chordata; class Mammalia; order Primates; family Hominidae; genus Homo; species Homo sapiens. Next base: position 107,058,352 of record NC_000001.11, on the reverse strand, counting down.
CATAGCCTACAGGCACCTAGGGAGGGGGAATTAATTCGGACTGAGAAAATATGGCTCTGGAGAGATACTAAAGTCGTACTGGAAATGTATGAAGTCTAAATGAACCCCTTTCTCCCCAGCTTCAGACTTAGATAAGGTGTGAGGTGTCAGGGATGTGCATGGACCCTTCAAAAACTGACATTTTCATCCGTGTTCTTCCCCCTCACTCCCCCGCGAAACAAAATATACGGAAATACAAGTGCTTGGTACTACATGCTTTTGAGGCTAAATGCCCAATAATAAGCACGCTGTATCCGTTGTTGAGGGGGATCACTTTTTAAGTAAACATCACCAGAAGAATCTCTTCAAATGGAGAATGAAGTCACTCTCCCTCCCTAGAGGCTATGAGGGAAAAGGGGGAGATATTCCCCCTACTTGCACGTGGGATCTCCCTTTCCCCTCCGACCTCGCTACGCCTCTCCCACGCAGGTCAGGCTGCTTTGGGAGGTAGCTGGGAGAAAAGGCAACGCTCAGTCCTCCATGGCAAAGTCTTTGGTCTTCTCCTCCTGGTCTCCCACTTTGTAGCGCAGCAGCACGCGCAGGCGACGGGGGTTGTCCCGGGAGGGCAGCAGCGTGATCTCTCCTGAAACGTCCGTGTCTTGCTCCACTTGCACCGGCTCGTTCAGGTAGAGGAGCGCCTGTTTCCAGTGAGTGGCCGGGTGAAAAGGCGAGGTGGACAGCACCAGGGGTTTCTCCGACTCCCCTCCAGGGAAGGTCACCTGGAACCAGATGGCAAAGCCATGCATGGGCGCCGAGCCATAGCAGCTGCAGCGGAAGCGCCCGCCCACTCCGGCCTCCAGCTCCTGCTCCAAGCCGGCGCGGGAGAGCTCTAGCTGAGCAAAGCGCTGCGGCCGGGCCAGCACGTCCTCGCCGGACAATCCCTGCACAACGATCTCCGAGTGGCCCATGAGACAGCGCGTGGCGAAGCCCTCCAGGCAGCTCATGTCCACACCATAGTGCTGCTTCACCTGGCTCCAGAAGCCCAGGCGCCATTCCAGCATCTGGTCGCTGATGGGGGCTATGAAGAGCTCGGCGGAGGCCGGCAGGAGAAGACCGCCCTCCTTCAGCCACTTGGTTCGCGCGTGGAGGACGGAGCTCAGCATGGACTCGTGCAGGAGTCCGTAGCCCATCCACTCGCTCACGATGGCATCCACCTGTTCCGGCAACTCTACAGTCTCCACTGGTCCCGGCAGGACGTGCACCCGGTCCTCCAGCCCGTTGAACCGCACCACCTCCCGGGCCTGTTGCCAGATGGCGCTGGCCTCTACCGCGTACACGCGCCGGGCCCCGGCCTGGGCACAGAAGATGCTCAGAATGCCGGTGCCCGCGCCCACGTCCAGTACCGTCTTGCCTCGCAGTGCTGCCCAGTTCCGAAGGATACCCAGGCGGTAGGCATCGGTGCGGACGCGGTCCGCGATCATCTCCTCGTGGACCGAAACGTCCGAGTAGCACTCGTAGTACAGCTGGTCCCGTTCCCGCTTAGTCCTCCGGGGTCGCTCCAGGGCCGCCTCCCGCTCCGCGCCATCTTCCTCTTCAGTTCCCTCCCCTCCTTCGCCGCCGCCCCCCGACTCAAGCTTTCTTTTCTTGGGCTGCGACATCTTGGCCGCTCTGCCCGGCTCCCGGCGGGCGTAGCGCGGCACGGCGCGGGCTCCAGGAAACGGGGGCTTCTGGGACTTGTAGTGCGCGCTCGTCCTTCCTACTTCCTGCGGGGTCGCCCGGCCGGCGGCGCGGAAGGTCTCCTGTGCCTGCTCACGGGAGCTGTTTTGTATTGCTCTTCTGGTGTCCTGGCATCCCTTTTCCCACCCACGACGCCCACATTCTGAGATCCTTTCATTCCCCCTCCCACCCTTAGCTCCTCAGTTTTTTGCTTTCACTCCCTTCCTGAAGTAGGCACGCACACTTAAGACTAATAATCCACCTTTGTTTCTTCTGCTGAACTCACCTCTGTTTTTTTTGTTTGTTTTTCTGTTTTTTGTTTTTTTTGAGAGGGAGTTTCGCTCTTGTTTCCCAGGCTGGAGTGCAATGGCGCGATCTCCGCTCACCGCAACCTCCGCCTCCTGGGTTCAAGCGATTCTCCTGCCTCAGCCTCCCGAGTTGCTGGGATTACGGGCGCATGCCACCAGGGCCGGCTAATTTTGTATTTTTGGTAGACGGGGTTTCTCCCTGTTGGTCAGGCTGGTCTCAAACTCGCGACCTCAGGTGATCCGCCCACCTCGGCCTCCCAAAGTGCTGGGATTACAAGCGTGAGCCACCGCGCCCGGCCTAACTCACCTCTGGTTTTATTCCACCGAATTAACATGGCAGCACCATCCACCCACTACCGCCTTAACTGGACAATTGTAGCTCTTAAAGTGCTCCAGCTGTGGCAATTTAGAAACTGCACTACGCATTTCTTTTTTCTGTTTTCAGTGCAGTTAGAGTGCAAATGTAACAAAATTAAAACCTAACAATGCAAAATCTTGGTTCTGATTCCAGTATGACCACTAATTAGTTGAGTGATTTAGGGCAAATAATAGAACTTCTCTGGCCTTTAGTTGCCCATTCACCCACCAGCGAATCTTCATTGCAGTTGGGGAAGAACTAGGTTTCTGGTTCTACTTAGAAGAATAGTTACTTGGCTTTCGGCTCTGCTCTGATAATTCTGTGGCTCTCTTAAGAGTTAAATCCTGAAAAGTGCAGACTCAAGAGCCATGTGATACAAGCAAACTCGTTGCTAGGTGTATTCTATATATATATGCGTTTTTTTCTCTCAGAAATAACGGAATCAATTTCTTTTAATCACTTTCTCAATGCAATTCATTTTTTCCTGTGTTTTCTTGTCCGGGCAATATTGACACTCTCCTCTTTCTCTTATATTTTTCTTGTAGTCAACCATCAGCTGTTACTCTCTTTTTGTTGTCCATAATGGAAATAAAATATGTTTTTAAATATGTGTGGCATCTGTATGGGTGTCCGTGTTATTAACAAGGTGGGCATAATGCCATTTTCTGCCAGCTTGAAAAAAAAGTCACTCAGAGTAAAATGGATTTTTATTTTCTTGTGGTCTTGAATTATGTCCTTGTAACCAATAGGCCTGTATTCCTTGTCTGGGATCAAAGTTCTTTCATCCTATTTTCTCTATTAATCTTTCATTAGCAGAATAGGTTTATTGATATGGCATCCTTAGCTGTACTCTACTTCTAACTCAAGACTCTCCATCCTGGCTGCTTATTAGAATTCTCTAAGGAGCTTTTTAAAAAATACCGATGCCTGGGTCTACCTCAGACCAATTAAATCGGAATCACTCCAGTGGAACCTGGGCTTCTAGTTTTTAAAAGCTCCCCAGGGAATTCTAATGGGCAGCCAGGGTGAGAACAACTGTTTCTCACTAAAATGATCTTAGTTAAATCTTGCTTCGTTATTTTAATTGGGTAAATTGTATTTTTTTCAGTGGCCTGGGCTCAACCATTTAAGGCTAAAAACCTTGAAGTATTTCTTCTCTTTTTCTGCCTTGGTTTAATATCTTATTTTAAGATAATTGAGGCCCAGTGTAGGACATCAGATTAGAGTTGTAAATGTGACCACTTTAATATGTTACTTTTATTAATAGGTTGTTACTTAGTGTATACTTTTGCCATTCTTTCTTTCCTCAAAATGTCACCTTTTCCTTTTAAATACATTCATTCCTTCACCCAATTTTCAATTCACTTCCTTATGGTCTCTTTTAAGAAAATTCTGAATATAAGTTTCACTGGTTCTACCTCCAAAATATATCTTGAATCCATCTGCTTTTCTCCATTTCTATTGTCAACACCCTAGTCTAATCTTCCATATTGACTTGCCTGAAAATTAGTCTCCTAAGGGATCGCTCAGCTTCTAATCTCAACCCTATCTAATCCCTTCTCTACATAGCTGAAAGAATAAGCTTTTATAAAACCCATTGGGCCATGTCATTCTTCAGTAACTTCCCGTGTTAGTTAATGGAACAATTCAGTAACTTCAGGTAACTTCCCATCTCATCTCATACCATTTTTCCCAACTCTTCATTGGGCTCAAGATATACTGGTTTCTAATAACACATTTCTTTCCTGTGTCAGGTCGTCATGCATACTCTTCTGGTGCTGAGAAAATTGTTTTTCTCCTTAGCACTTCACTTTAGTGGCTTCTCATCCTTCATGTCTCAACTTAAATGTTACCTCATGAAAAAGGCCTTTCCTGGCTTCCTTAAATAATATTTTCAAACCCAAGACACTATTTTGTTCCCTCCCAGCATTCATTATTATCTGTATGTATTTAATTAATTTATTTGTTTTCTATACAATATCAACTCCAGGAGACTTGGACTTTTGTATTCCCACTATTGCAGTCCTTAGCACTACAACAGAAGCTGGCACATAGAAAGTGCTCAATAAATAGTCTTGAACAAAGTCTATTGTGGATGTAGAGAGTTTTGCTTCATTAGTTCAATGTGACAATGTGACTTGGTAAACTCTGAGATA